>NC_000008.11:50927265-53427265 GCF_000001405.40 Homo sapiens
AAGGCGAAATACAGAAGGAATAAAGATGATTCTGAGAAAATGATGGTTGCCTCTTTAAACTTGCCAGTAGTTTCTATGTACAGTAAATATTTCTCAAATAGGCCAAAGCAATCTTTCCAAGCTTTTGGATATTTATAAATATAATTAATATGGGGAAAATCTTATTAAGAAATATATGTGCTTCACTTACAGAAATCTGAGTAGAAATACAGAAGAACATTCAAGAAAAAAATATGTGAAAAAACAGAAACTTAAATTTGAGAGTTATTGACTGTTGCAATTTTAATCTCCTCTTCATACTTAATCATTATATTTGTAATATCTCTATGGCCAATAATCTTGATCACCTCCAACTCTAATAAAGCTTACAAGCTAGCCTTGAAAAGATCAAGCTAACCTCAAAAAAGTTTAACTCCTTGGTAATAAAAACCCAAAACTTTTTAAAGGAAGGAACTAATTACAAAATCACAACACAAAATACAAAAATCATGAAAACAATGATTCAAATATTTGACACCAGTCTAAAACTTTTTCTGAAATATATATTAATGTAACCCAAAGTTCTTATCTTGATTTCAAAATTCTTAAATTACCAATTCATGAGTGTCATTCATACCACTCTCCCCTGTCCCACGACACTGTAGAATACCTCGTTTCCTAGAACTTCCACCACATCAAGTTTATTTCTGTTTTTAAATCTTTGACATTATGATTCCTTTGCCTAGAATATCCTCTATAAAATTCTTTATTCATCTATAAATTAAATGTTTCTGAATCATTTCTATATCCCAGGAGCTATTCTAGAAGCTGGGGAGGCAACAGTGATTAAAAGAGGAAAGGGGACCCACCCTCAAGGAACCTATGTCGTAGTTGATAGGAATGACAGTAAACAGGTTAAAATGTATATTAGAAGGTGAGAAATGCTTAAAAAAATAAGATAAGCAAAACAGGCAGTGTCCATTAGGTAGTCTGGGCTGTTATAAATGATAAATAAACAGGTTAGTTATGGCTATGATAAAGTGAGAAAGACTTGAAAAAAGTGATGGTGTTATACATGAGAATATCTTGGGAAAACAGACTTTTAGGTAACAGTAGATAGAAGGAAATGAGACAAGAATGTGTTTGATTTATTTAAAGAGCAGCAGTAAATTGAGTGTCTGAAGTAGGGAGAACAATGAAAAAGGAAAGATAATGAGATACAATTAGAAGTGTATTTATTACTTAAAACTAAATGGGAGCCTTTGGAGTTGGAGAAGTTATGTGTAAAAAATTGCTATGGACTGAATTGTTCCCCCCAAGCCCCCAACAACCCCCTAGCTCTTATGTCAAATCTCTAACTCCCAATATGATGCAATTAGGAGATGGGGCCTTTGGGAGGTAATCAGAATTAGATGAGATCACAAGAGTGAGTTTTTCTTTTTTCTTTTCTTTCTTTCTTTCTTTTTTTTTTTTTAAGATGGAGTCTCACTCTGTCCCCAGGCTGAAGTGAGGTGGCACGATCTCGGCTCACTGCCACCTCCGCCTCCCGGGTTCAAGCAATTCTTCTGCTTCAGCCTCCCGAGTAGCTGGGACTACAGGCGCACACCACCATGCCCAGCTAATTTTTGTGTTTTTCATAGAGACGGGGTTTCACCATGTTGGTCAGGATGGGCTCGATCTCTTGATCTCATGATCCACCTGCCTCAGCCTCCCAAAGTGCAGGGATTACAGGTGTGAGCCACCGCGCCTGGCCAAGGCTGGGGTTCTTACAGTAGAATTAGTATCTTCATGAGAAAAGAAAGAGAGAAACATATCACTCCTTCTCTGCCATGTGGGGACACAGCATGAAAGTGGCTGTCTGCAAGCTGAGAGCCCTCATTGGGAACAAAATCTGCTGCCACCTTGATCATGGACTTCTCACCCTCTAGAATTATTTTTTAAAATGTTTATTTTTTGAGCTTCCCAGTTTATAACATTCTGTTATAGCATCCCCAGCATGATAATGCAGAAGTGTTATGAATATAATTTCTGACTTAAAAGGAATATTCTGGCTGCTGAGTAGAGAAAACAGTCTATGAGAGGTAGACTAGAGGCTTTTCCAATAATACAACCAGGAATGTTTGTGATTTGTACTGCATTAGTAGTGATGAAGATGATTAAATATGTTTGGATGTTATTTCCTCTGAAATGCCTGAGATGTATAGAACAAAATAATATGAGGATGATTAAGAATGACAAAAGAGACAAAAATTTAAAAATTCTCAGAGTTCTCACAAGGTGGGAAGAGGTTCAAGCTATAAAAAGCTAGGATGGAGAGTGCTGATTAATCACCCAAGGTATTCAGTGGAAAACCCAAATGTGTCATATATAAATGGCAGGGCCAACTATCACTACAATATACACTAACTCATACCAACTCTAACAAAGCTTAAAACAGCCTTGAATGGATCAAGTTGACTTGAAAGTAATTTGACACCTCAGTACTAAAAACCCAACACTTTTTAAAGGATGAAACCAAAATTTGCACAATTATGTAACAAGGATGATTTCTAGCATTTAATCAAAACTGCTAGACATTCAAAAGGAGAAAATGTGACTCAAAACTCTGACCAAAAAAAATGGTCATAGGAACAAATAAATTACGAAAAGGGTCGACTTAGCAGAGGACTTTCACGAATCTGTTACTAATGTGCCCAGTGCTCAAAGATTCAGAAAAAAAAAATAGAAATATCAAGAAGAGAAAATGGATGATATAATAAAGCAAAGAGGTACTTCTAGAGATTAAAAATAGTATCTGAGTTTAAGTTAATTAGGTGAGTCTTAGCAATGCAATAGACGGGGCAAAAATAAAAATTCAGTGAATGACAAGAGGTAACAATAAAAACAAGTTGACCTAAATCACAGTGAAGAAAAAAAATCACTGAAAAAAAAAAAGAATGAACAGAGCCCCAGTGGATTGTGGAAATGTACAAAGGCTAACATATGTGTAACTGGATTTTCAGGAAGTATAATAGAGTTCAGGTGAGGAAACATCCATAACAAATGTTTGAAAAGAGAATGGCTGAAAATATTCCAAATCTATGAAAACCAGAGGCTCAGAGAGCCAGAATTATTAACCAACCTGTACAAACTTAAACAAATAAAACCACAGAAAGCCACAGTATAATCAAATTGTTCAAAATAGCTATAGAGATAAAAAACCTTAAAGGTAGCTAGAAAAAGAAAATCATTTCAAAAAGCTATAATCAAGAATTTATAAAAATCTAAATGCATTTGCTTGCATCTTCAAAATGCATGAAGAAAAAAAAATTGAATGAGTCAGACGCATTCACAAACATAGTTGGAGATTTTAACATTCCTTTCTCATTAATTGGTAGAACAACTACACAGGAAAATCATAAGAAACTTGTCCTAATTAAGTTTTCTATTTAACACTCAATCAAGCAACAATATACACATGTCTATCCACACAGTGCATTTACCAAGATAGACTATACACTGAGCCATAAAACATTTTTAAATAGAAACAAATAACTGAAATTGTACTTGGTACATTCTCTTAAAACAAAGGTAATAAATTACAAAGCATTAACCAACAGATATTTGGAAAACCACCAAATATTTAAAAATTTAATAATATGTTTTTGTTGTTATATAATACATGGATAAAAGAAGAAATCACAAACAAAATTTGAAAATATTTTGAACTAAACAGAAATAAAAATTACAAGATATCAAATTATATGATGTAGTAAAACAATGACTATAGGGAAATTTAAATGTTTATATCCAAAAAGAGTAAAGGTCAAAAACCAACGATCCTAAGTTTCCACCTCAAAGTCTATATTTTTTAAAGAAATATAATTAAAGCAAGTATTAAAAAAACAGCAAAAATCGGTAAAAAAATTACAAAAATATAAAAGAATCCCACAATTATACCAAACGCTGTATGTATTTGCATGTGTGTATTTTTAAGAAATAAAATGTATGTGCTTCTAGGTAGACTGCACAAATAATTACTAATATAAGGAATTAAGCAAAAAATAAAGAGATCCTATAAAAACTTAAAGATTAAGAAAAGAATATAATTTTAAATAATAAAAACAACAGATTATTCCTCCAATTCAAAATATTCCGTATGAATATAAAATAAAAATCCTTAACCGAATTTTAACGACTTGAATCCAGTGATATATTAAAAGGGTAAAACACTATGACCCTTTGGGGTTCACTTTGCAAATGGAAGTCGGGTTTAATGTTCAAGATTTCTGAATGTAATTTACTATGTTAACAAATTTTTTTAAGTGAATAATAATTACAGGAAATGCATGCAAGTCATTTGGCAAAACTTCAACACCAATTCATGGTCAAACTCTGCCAACAAAAAATAGAAGAGAACTTTCTCAATCTGATAGAGAACATCTAAGGAAAATCTACAATAAACATGATACTTAATGGTAAAACAGTGCTAAATTGGGTGATATGATTTGGATCTGTGTCCTGAACCAAATCTCATGTGGAATTCTAATCCCCATGGTTGGAGGTGGGGCCTGGTGGGAGGTGATTGATCATGGAGGCGATTGATCATAAGGTATATTTCTCATGAAGGGTTTAGCAACATCCCCTTTGTACTTTTCTCATGATTATGAGTGAGTTCTTGGGCTACCTGGTTGTTTAAGTGTGCAGCACCTGCCACCCATTTTCTTGCTCCTGCTCCAGCCATGTGAAGTGTCTGTTCTTCCTTAGCCTTCCACCATGCTTATAAGTTTCCTGAGGCCTCCCCAGAAGCTAGCAGATGCCAGCATCATGCTTCTTGCTTCCTGTAAAGCCTGCAGAGCTGTGAGCCAATTAAACCTCTTGTGTTTATAAATTACCCAGTCTCAGTTTTTTTTGCTCATAGGAATGTGAGAATGGACTAATACAATGGGTATCAAGACAAAGGACATTATTCTTTTTATTTAGCAATTGTGCTGGATGGCATAGCCAATGCAATGAGACATTAAAAGAAATAAAAGTCATTCCCCCCCCAAAAAAACCTAAATAGATCTTTATTTATAGATAGTATTATGTATCTAGGATATACTAGAAATTACACAAAAAATGGTTCTAGAACTAATAAATGAGAAAAGTCCTAACATATGAGGTTATTATGCAGAAAATAATTATATTTCTATAAAATAGCAACAAAAATTAGAAACTGAAATTTTAAAAGTATCATTTGTAATAGAAGTCTAAAATATGAAAACTTGAATTTAATGAAGTAAGTAGAAAAATGTTCAATTTAAATCTTAAAAAGCACTTCTGAAAGAAACTTAAAATTACCTATATAAATGGGTAGATATTACATATTGAGATTGGAAATTCACTATTGTCAACGTATAAGTTTTCCCTAAATTGGTCTATAGATTCCATGTAATTCCAGTAAGAATTCCAGAAAGTACTTTTTGTAGAAATTAACATTCTGAGTGTAAATTTATATAAATATGCAAGACATAGAGAATTTGAATAATTTTGAAAGAGCACAGAAATTTTGGAGGACATACACTATTTTATTTCAAGACTTACTATAAAGCTACAACTGTCAAGACAGTTTGGTGTGGGAGTAAGTACACTGTTCAATGGGACCAAACAGAAAATCCAGCAATAATAATTGCGGATGTGGTTAAACACCTTTTTGATAAAAGTGCCAGGGGAATTATGAAAAGAATTTGTTTTCACAGATTGTCCTGGAACAACTGAATATCTATTTAGTAAGAAAAAGATCTGTAACATTTACCTGGCACCATATCCAAAAGCCAAGCTTTAAAAATATACTATACTTAACTTTAAATAAAAGTTATAGAATTTTTAGAAAGAAAAGGTACAGAGAAAAATGCTTGAAAACTTGTATAAGGCAAGCATTTTTTGGATAGCATGAATAATACTTAAAATATTAAAAGAACAGATACTTCACACAAACACATACATATTTATATATCATTTTATATATTATATAAATGTGTATCATTTTATATATTAGACAAATTTTATTCTTTGGTGCTTACTGAGAAATAATAATTACAAAAAGTATGTCCATACAAAATTCGTACATGTATTTTATTTTGTCTATTTTTATAAAGCAAAATGTTAAAAACAACTCACATATCTATCAAGGGGATAATAAATGACCAAATGTAATAAATCTGCAGACTGTAACACTACTCAGAAATAAAAAGAAATAAACTATGATAACCACAGTACATTGATTAAATCTCAAAAACATTATATAAGAAAAAATAACCAACATAAAAATAATACACTTTACTATTGTGTTTATACAAAACTTTAGTAAAGACAAGTTTGTAATTGCAGATAGGTGATCAGTGACTTCCAGGAACTTTTCACATGAAGGGAGAATATAGTCAAAAGAAGCATAATTAAACTGTATATGGGATAGAAATGGTTTAATATTTATGGTGGAATGCTTAGGTCTATATATTTATTAAACTTACTGACCTATACACTAAAACTGGAGGTACTGTATCTTAAAGTATACTTAAAGTATAATTCAAAAAAGTTGATTTTTAAAACAAAAACAGAATCAAATAAACCTTTTTAGTCTAAATTTTTAAACATCATTTTCCAAACTTAAGTGAATATGAATTTTAAATCTTAAATATTTTTATGATTAATTTTTTTATTTAGGACATATACCAATATCTTGAGAGAAAGTACTATGAAATTATGAGATTATAAAATGTTTAAGTAATGTACTTACAAAGTCCAGAAATATATTATCCATAAGGGTGGCAGGGTAGACTAGCGCTCTGAAAAACAGAAAAGTACATGAAGATATGTTATTTAGTGTTGCCAAACTTACCAGTTTTTTAAAAAGAAAAGCTATAGACCACATTTTAAGTGAATATTTCTAATTCTTCAGTGATTGACAAGTAAGTGCATTTTTGTAATATTTCTTTTGTTGTTATCTTAGTCTTTACCTGAGATGCTGTGAGCATTGATATCCTTTGCAGTGTAACCACGGTTCTTCAATTGCTGCTCTCCTATTTGTTGCAAGTCTCTGTTTATTTCATCGCCTATTCTCCAAATAAGCCAAGCTCATTCTGACTGTAAAAGTTTTCACTTGCTTTTTCTTTTTCCTGAACATTCTGATCCTACATCTTCATATGACCGGTTTGTTCATGTTCTTCAGGCATCTGTTCAGATGCCTCTTCCTCAAACTGCCAAATAGTATTAGTTTACAATTAACATCTTTGTTTTATCTCCATTATAAAGCACAGGCAAACAAAGAAGATTACAGCATATTAGAACAGAAGTCCAAGTGCAGAAACCTCTCTGTAAGCATGTTAAAGTAGAAAATCTTAAACTATATTAGACAAATTGCTAGAGGTTCACTGTAGTCAAGTTTGAAAGATAAAAGCTCTAAGAGGCCTAGTTTGTTATGAGTTTTACCTCAGCGAGCCCCAGCAGTTTCTCAATTGAAGCTCAGAGAAAAATCTCCTCCTGCTTCTGGCAGCAAGAGGGGAAAAGCAGCCAACTGGAAATAAGGCTAATACCTTTTGTTCTTTTCAACGAGTAAGGTCCTCTCTCAAGGGAAGTTACCTTTCAAGAGCCTCAGTGACATAGAGAAAAGAAATGCCCCACCCTAGTTGATTTTAGTTTTCCAGGTGGCGAGAAGGAAAATACCCAATTTCATTCCATCTAATCTTCCTGTTTAACCAAAAAGGCAATTGGGAAAGTCACATCCTAAGGGCACAGGCTCACTAAAATTCTGAGAACTATTGTAGATCTATAGAACAGTATTCCACCTACCACCCCTGACATTTCTTATCACTATATCAATAGGATTTTGGTATAATAACAAGGAAATACAACTGAAAGAACAATACACTTCAGACGTTATTTAAGAAGAAGGCTCTAAGAAAACCCAAGGACGACAGAAGAGAGCAAAACAAGAAAACCAGAATGAATTTTAACCTCTGATACCTACAGCTGCAGAAAATATTAAACACAGCTTAATTTTTAGCCATATAGACATAAAATTTTATATTAAAGACCTGTTAGTCCCAATTCCTCAGAACATTATCTTTCAAGAGATACTAAAGAGCAAAGAAACCCTACAAGTTGAAGAGACAGAGCAAGCCTCAGAACCAGAATCAAATATGGCAGAGAAGCTGGAATTATAAAAGTGCAGATTTAAAACTACTATGATCTCAATGATTAGGGCCTAATGAAAAAAAAGTAGATAACTTGCAAGTACAGATGGGTAATGTAAGCAGCAAGATAGCAATTTCAATATGAATTAAAGATGCTAGAAATAAAGAAAACCTGTCTTTATGAAACGAAGAATTCCTTTGATGTTCATCAATACACTAAACATAGCTGAAAAAAGGAATTGGTGAGATTGAGATTGAAGCAGAAAACTAACAAATAAATCTTGGACTTAAACTCAACAATTGGCCAATTGTACCTAACAGACATCTACAGAGTACTTTACTGAACAACCACATAATATATATTCTTCTCATCTGCACATGGAACATATTCTAATATAGACCACAGAGTTGGCCAAAAAGCAAGTCTCAATAAACTTAAAAGAAAAAGAAAATCATACCAAGCCCACTCTCAGACCACAGTGCAATAAAAATAGTAATCCATAGAAAGATCTCTCAAAACTGCACAAAAACATGAAAATCAACCAACTTGTTTCTAAATAACTCTTGAGTGAACAAGGAAATTATGGCAAAAATCAAAAAATTCTTTGAAATTATTAAAAAATAGAGACACAACTTACCAAAACCTATGGGATACAGCCAAGAAGTTTTAAGAGGAAAACTTATAGTGCTAAACACATTCATCAAGAGGTTAGAAAGATCTCCAATTAACAAGCTAACATCGCAACTAGAGAAAATAGAACAAAAGAATAATCTAACCGAAAAACTAGTAGAAAAAAGGAAATAACTGAAATCAGAGAAGAACTGAATGAAATTGAGACTCAAAGTCCATACAAAAGATAATGAAACTGAGAGATGGTTCTTTGAATGAATAAACAAGATATAGGACATAAGCTAGATTAATGACAAAAAAATGAGAAGATCCAAGTAAGAACAATCAGAAATGACAAAAGCGACTTTACAACTGCTCCCACAGAAATACAAAAAATCCTCAGAGACTATTATGAACACCTCTATGCACACAAATTAGAAAATCTAGAGTAAATGGATAAATTCCTGGAAACACACAACCTCTCAAGATTGAATAAGTAAGAAAGTGAAAACCTGAGCAAATCAATAACAAGTTTGGAAATTGAATCAGTAATGAAAAACTTACCAATCAAATAAATCCATGGAGCAAATGCATTCACAGTCTAATTCTATCAGATGTAAAAGAAGAACTGATAGCAATTCTACTGAGACTTTTCCAAAAACTCCAGGAGGAGAGGCTTCTCCCTATTCATTCTACAAAGGCAGTATCATTCTGATACCAAAATCTGGCAGAGACACAATAAAAATTGAGAACCTTAGACACTATTCCAATGAACATAGATGCAAAAATTCTCAAGAAAATGCTACCAAATTGAATCCTATAGCACATAAAATTTAATTCACCACAATCAAGTAGGCTTTATTTCTGGGATGCTGGAGCATCACATTGTGTAACTTCAAACTATAAGGCTACAGTAACCAAAACAGCATAGCACTGGTACAAAAAGAGACACATAGGCCAGTGGAACAAAATGGAGAACCCAGAAATAAACCTGCACACTTACAACCATCTCATTTTTTACAAAAGTTGACAAATGGCACCTTATAAACTAAACAGCTTCTGCAAAATAAACTACTAACTGCATAAACAGAAGGACTACAGAATGGGAAAATATTTATAAACTATGCATCTGACAAAGGTCTAATATCCAAAATACACAAAGAACTTAAACAAATCAATGAACAAAATACAAATGTCCAATTTAAAAAAAAAATGGGCAATGGACATGAACTGACAATTCTCAATGGAAGATACACAAGCAGCCAACAAAAATATGAAAAAATGCTCATTATCACTATTCATCAGAGAAATGCAAATCAAAACCACAAGGAGATACCGTCTCACACCAGTCAGAATGACAATTATTAAAAACTTGAAAAACAACAGATTCTGGTAAGGCTGCGTAGAAAAGGGAATGCTTATATACTGTTGGTGGGAATGCAAATTAGTTCAGCCACTGTGGAAAGCAGTTTGAAGATTTCTCAAATAACTTAAAATAGAAGAACCATTTACCCCAGCAATCTCACTACTGGATATATACCCAAAGGAAAATAATTCATTCAATCAAAAAGACACATGCACCCATATGTTCATTATGGTACTATTCACAATACGAAAGACATGGAATCAACTTAGGTGGACTGAAGGAAAATGTGGTACATATACACCATGAAATACTACACAGCCATAAAAAGAACAAAATCATGTCCTTAGCGGCAATATGAATGGAGTTGAATTAATGGCCATTGTTCTCTGCAAGCTAATGCAAGAACAGAAAACCAGATGCTACACATTCTCACTTATAAGTGGGAGTTAAACACTGAACACACATAAAGTTGTTTACAATAGACAGTGGGGACCACTACACAGGGAAGATAGGAAGGGAGCACGAACTGAAAATCCAACTATTGGGTACCGTGTTTACTGCCTGGATGATGGGATCATGGGAACCCCAAGCCTGATCATCACACAATATACCCAGGTAACAAACCTGCATGTGTACAATTTAATCTATAATAATAGTTGGAATTATTTTTTAAAAACTTTGTGTTGACCATATTTTAAAATCTTATTCTCATCCTTAATTGATATAGTGAGCCAATAAATTAGAAAGTTTATTGCATTCATTAAAAGATGCTCCATTATTGCTGAAAAAATAAACTTTAATAGAAATTCCCAAGAATGAAATAGCAATCCCCAAGAATGAATGAAACTTTGATAGCAATCCCCAAGGATGAATGAAACTTTGATAGCAATCCCCAAGAATGAATAGCGTTTCCTAAGAATGAGAGAATTCTCATTCTCCATAAAATGGAGAAAAAAATAAAAAAACAGAATAGTAAATCTAATAACTATGGGAAAATTAATTAATGTACAACAAATGCATAATGGGACTACCATAGGAAAAGAAAGTTATGAAATATTTGAGGCAATAATAACTGAGAATTTAACTAAATTAATGAGACACTGATATGGTTTGGCTCTGTGTCCCCACCCAAATCTTATCTTGCTGTTCCCATAATCCCCATGTATTGTGGGAGGGACCCTGTGGGAGATAATTGAATCATGGCAGCAGGTCTTTCCCATGCTGTTCTCATGATAGTGAATAAGTATAATGAGAACTGATGGTTTTGAAAATGGGAGTTTCCCTCCACAAGCTCTCTTCTCTTGCCTTCTGCCATGTGAGATGTGACTTTCACCTTCCGCCATGATTGTGAGGCCTCCCCAGCCGTGGAAACGGTAAGTTCAATAAACCTCTTTCTTTTGTAAATTGCCCAGTCTCAAGTACGTCTTTATCAGCAACATGAAAACAGACTAATACAGACACCAAACAATAATAGATTCTGCATCTCAGAGAATACCAAGTATGCTAAGTAATTTGTTTTGTTTTGTTTTGTTTTTGAGACTGAGTCTCGCTCTGTCACCCAGGCTAGAGTGCAGTGGCTCTATCTCAGCTCGCTTGTGCAAGCTCCACCTCCTGGTTTCACGCCATTCTCCTGCCTCAGCCTCCCGAGTAGCTGGGACTACAGGCACCCGCCACCACGCCTGGCTAATTTTTTGTATTTTTAGTAGAGATGGGGTTTCACCGTCTTAGCCAGGATGGTCTTGATCTCCTGACCTCGTGATCCACCTGCCTCGGCCTCCCAAAGTGCTGGGATTACAGGCGTGAGCCACCGCACCCAGCCAGTAGTTTTTTAAATCTACATCTAGGCATATCATATTCAAATCCCATAAAATTCAAAGAAGAGAAAAAGATTAGAAAAAAGTCATAGAAAATAAAAACATTATCTATAGAGGGAAAGTATAAAAAGTGCATCAGACTTCCCTTCAGAAACCATGCAAGAAAGAAGAGAGTGGAATGAAATATTTAAAGTGTTGACAGAAGGAAAAAAAAAACTAGTAACCTATTAATTGAAAGATAAACAACTTTTTTAAACAAATAAAGCTTGAAGAATTTTCTTTTACTGGTATGTGTGTTTCAAGAAATATCAAAAGAAATTCTTCAGAAAGGAAGAAAATGATATAGTCTGACACTCGGGTCTACATTAAAAAGATAGAGCCGTAGAAAGGAAACAAATGAAGGTATAATAAAATTGTAATTTTTGTTCTTAGTTGATATAAAATATTCTTCAATATAATAATAGCAAAATATAGAAACAAAGCCATATACATGGTTATATAGAGATTGAGGAGAATAAGTGAATAAATATAAATATAAGTGGATAAAGAAAATAAGTGACAGCAATGTTATAAGTAATGAGAAGGAGAAATTGAGAATAATCTGTTATAAGTTACAGTACTCATAAAGTAGAATAGAGATATCTGTAAACTCAAGGGAAACCACTAAAACACTAAAAATAGCCTAATTAATGTGCTAAAATAATAGACAAAAATAGAATCCTATAAAGTACTCACTTATACCAGAGAAGATAAGAAAAAAAGTGGAAGACAAAAAAAAACAGCAGAGAAAATGGCCACACAAATAGAAAATAATTTCAAATATGGTAAATATTAATGTAACAACTTAATTATTTTAAATTTTAATATGCTAAATACACCAATTAAAAGACAGAGTCTATAAGAGTAGGTTAAAAAAACTGACTGCACATTGTCTAGACCTTCTATCAGTAAAAAGATATACATTAAAATTTGAGGAGCCAAAGGAAGCAATGTTAGGGTAAGCCAAAGGCTAATATTTGCTGTTAGTTTTCCACGTTTTATCTTCTTTGAAAAGAACTTCTCATATTTTGGAAAGGAAGAGGCTATTCAAACAAACTAGTGACACTTAAGGCACAATTTGTAAAGAAAAACAATTTTATATAAAATGTTTTGAACATTTAGTTCATTTAGCTAATGGAATGTGTTGTCTATTTCAAGTGATAATTTTTATTTAAAGAGTATAATAAAACAAGTTAAATGTATCTTTGAACCATGCATCATTATATTCATAATCTTAGCCTATTTTTCTGATTTACTTTTATTCTTTGAGGTTGCATTATGTTTAACACATATTTGTAAAGTAAGCATGGTATCTCATGGTAAGATGAGCCCAGTGCCTAAGATAAAAAATGAGTTAGTAAACTAGGTGTAGTGGCTGAACTTAAAATAATTTAAATAAAGAAACATGGGAATGTTAACAAATTTTAATACCTGGAGGCTTTCATTAATTTTAAAGCTGGATTTAACTAAAACTGTTGATTCATTTTAAATGACTTTGCAACTTAAGCCACCAATTATTTGTACAGCACACTCATATTTGGAAGAACTAAAATAGCCCATTGAGGTGAGTAGAGAGATACCACCTTGAAACACTAGTTTCAAGTAATCTCTATACTGTCCCTGTTAATAAAAAAATTTATTGTCATAGTTTTTCAACAAAACTTTTAGTGATTTAGCCTTTACTTAAACAAAAATTAGAAATCAATTTACCCTACAGTTTAAGACTTTAAAATAGAATATATATATTTTTAAAATTTTTGGTTTGTAGCCTGTTTCTTTTGTTTCCATATGCAGGTAACAAAAAATCTGATCTTGTTGGCATAACTTTATGTTTACATTTTAGGATTACAATCAAAGTATGGTTAAAAAAAAACCTTATCAGCTTCCAATTGTGCAGAATGCCCTGGCTTTGTTTTCTAAAAAGTAAACTATCTTTGTTCTCTAAAAAGTAAACTTTCTTTGTTCTAAAGAATTAAGACAACAAAATATAGCCATGCCAGCCATGCCTATGTTTATAGCAGACACAAGGTAAGGCTGTTGTTTTGGTTTTTCCCTGGAGACTTCTTAAATGAGGTCTGAGATGTGTAGTTCTTTCTTCTTTCCTTCTTATTATGCAATAGTTCGTTCCATTGGTGTAGTGACAAGGTGTGGGGAAGGGGAGGCATTCTACAGTCCTGTGAGGAGGTCTCAGTCTTTTAGGGTGCCTGTGCTCCTACGCTGTGACCTTCGCAGGTTTATTTCTCCTTAAGTGAAGCAGAAAGCTTAGCTGGAGCTAACGTTTTGTATTTTTCTTACTCCAACTGGCAGTTTAGGGAGCTGGAATTGGGTACTTCTTTCCTTCTCCTGGATTGGTCAGGCTCAGGTATAACAACTTCTCTTGAGAGCAGATCTTGTTAAAAACAGGATTTCTGGCCTTACACCAAAATAAATTTTGATTTATTTCCCTGCCAGAAGCACGAAGGGATTTTCTACCAATCTTCACTGTGAGAACTTGGTGGGACTTCTGGATATAAAGCTCACAAAATTGTGGCCCCTTTTTATGACTGCCACCTTGGAGTTTTTCACTCTCAAACTTGCCCATGCTGAGCCTCCTGCAATTCCTCAATTACACTTAGGTTTTTCTGCTTTAGTCAGTTCTCACAGAGGTTTCTGGTTAGGTAACTTTTAATTTTCTGTGTCCATCTGTTTTTCTGTTCAATGTTAGGCCAGTGGTTTGCTCTGTTACCTCAGCTTTCATATGTATCTGAAATGAGTTGTTTATATTCAGTTTGTTCAGCTTTTTTCTTGTTGAGAGGATGGGATTGAGGACTTTCAAGCTTCTTACCTGTCAGACTGGAAACCAGACATCTCTCTCTTCCATTTTCAAATTTCCCTCATTTTCTTTGCACAAATGCCCCTCCATTATTTCTAACCTATGTAATTTGGATCAGGTAACTGCTTAGGGCTCAGATGTACCCCCAGTTTGTATAACCCCCATCACAGCAGGGTAATTCAGTGAGCCTCTTTTTTTCTCATCTTTCTCTCTCTTTCCGCAAGGTTGTTAACAACAAACCAGACTCCTTGGTTGATATATCCAACATATTTATCTTTTCCTTGGGTTTTACTTAAGAAATTTTCATCTTTTTCCTTAATTCTTCCCTTTTAGTGTTTTTTACCTTTCATTTTCAAGAGTGCTTTTGCTAATTACTGATTATTTGTTTTTCAGGTGATAGTGTTTCTTTTTTTTTTTAACACAATATCATCTCAAAAATTATTTTTGGAGGATATAAACTATTTTTTCTCTTTTTTATTCTGATGTCTTTCTATTCTTATCTGGGTTTTGTGCTCTCAAAATACCAAATTTACTCTAATTCATGGTGACATTTTGTTATTTATTAATCTGGAAGATGACATAACAGAAATGCTCTGTAAATGTGGGTGGGGCTTGTCCATGAGCAAACTTTACTTAGAGTAAAGGAGTGAAGAGTTGCTGCTCGGCCCTAAAAGTGTCCCAGTTTTCTCTAGTATGACAATTTTCTTGCTAGCTTTTCTAGTTCTTACGGATAATCCAATTAGTTGTTTTTTGAGAACTTTTCTTTTTTTTTTCTTACTCAATAGTACACCACTGGTTGTTTCACATTGAATATGGGTTTGAGGGGTGTCTTGGATAATTGGGTATTCTGAGGATAGAGTTTTAATAAATTCCTCTATTTTCCATCTCATTTCTCCTCTCTGACCTTATCAAACCTGTCTTCAGATCTCACACCTGTCTAGAATTCTGCACTGGAAAACTGACTGTCCCCCTGCAATGGTACAGTTCCCCTCCACATTACTTCAGTAGAAAATACATGTTTTTGTTTTTGATTTTCATTTGCCTGAAATTTATTCTCTGAATTTTCTTTAATCCTGCAGCTTCCTTCTGTGGATATGGAATTACAACTTTGTTATTCCCTTACCAAAATTTTTAGATGAGGTTTTGGTTACCTACTACCTGCCTTTTATTTGGATTTAAGTAAAATAACACAGTAATAGTAATGCAAAAGTAATATTTACCATAAGCATACAAATAACTACTGTGTACTGAATTCTTCCAATGGCAGGTCCTTTGCTAGGTAATTTGCAAAATCCATCTTCCTTAGACTCGTAACCACCCTGTGAAGTTATCACCTCCATTTACAGATGAAGGCACCCACTTCACTTAGAAATGGTTAGTTTAATTGTGTTAGAGTCTCCAGAGATGGCCGCCATCAATTCTTCACCTCTTCCCTATTTACAGACGTCTCAAGAATTGAGTCTAATCTCTCTGATTCTAGTCTGGCCTTGATACTTGCTTTGACTCAGAGACTGGGGCAGAAGTGATGCTGTGCCAGGTTTGGTCTTAGATTTTAAGGGTTCTGACACTGTTTACCTTTGTGCTTTTTGGGGAAGACATCTGCCATTCTCCAAACAAGCTCAGGCTGGAGAAGTGAATGGTGAGACACCCTGTGGAGAGAGAGAGAGAGTGTTGCAGATGACCACTGAGGCATCTGCCATGTAAGCAGACTCGACTTTCCAGGCCTGCACAATCACCACCAGAATGCAGCCACCTAAAAGACCACATCCAGTGACTCACGGGCACAAGAACTGCCCATCTGAGACCTGCCTGAATTCCTGACCTACAAAATTTTAAGAAAAATAAATGGTCTTTTTATGCCATTAATGTCAAATGGGTCATTATGTTACCAGGGAGTCCTTACTCCCAGAGCTCCCAAGAGGGTGGCGGGCCGCTTCCGAGATGGTGGCGAGCCGCTTCCAAGATGGGGGCAAGCCTCTTGTTCTCTGACCTGGAGTTCTTGGCTTCACGGATTCCAAGGAATGGAATCTTGAGCCATGCGGTGAGTGTTATAGATCTATTAGAAGTCATGGGTCATGGAAGAGAACCGTGGAACCCAGCGACTAGTGTTCAGCTCAATTAGGACGAACCCGGGCACTTAGCCGTGCAGGAACAATGGCAAGCCTTTAGACTGATGGAGAGCGGCAATGGGTGCCTCCCTGGATCAGGAGCACAGCAGACACCCTGCTGGATCCGGAGGGGTGGAAGTCAGCAGCGGGTCTGTGACAGCGCCCAAAAGCAGTGGTGGACGGCGAGCGAAAGCTCAGCTCAAGCCATAACAAACACGGACCAGAAGAGTGTGCACTTGCAAGATTTAATAGAGTGAAAACAGAGCTCCCATACAAAGGGAGGGGACCCAAAGAGGGTAGCCATTGCCAGCTTGAATGCCTGGGTTTATATCCTGATTATTGTCCCTCCCACTGTGCTCTCAGGCGATAGTTGAATGGCTAATTCTTTACCTCCTGTTTTTGCCTAATTAGCATTTTAGTGAGCTCTCTTTACTACCTGATTGGTCGGGTGTGAGCTAAGTTGCAAGCCCCGTGTTTAAAGGTGGATGCGGTCACCTTCCCAGCTAGGCTTAGGGATTCTTAGTCGGCCTAGGAAATCCAGCTAGTCCAGTCTCTCAATTACACAGATACAGATAACTGAAAGATGAACCTAAGCACAAATATCTAGCACATGCAGAACTGAAATTCATACCCAAGTCTATATGAATCAGGAGCTTGCACTTTTAACCAGCACTCTTGATTTCCATATATGGCAACAACCTGAGTGCACAGCAGATGGATTGAAAACTTTATTAAATTCACTTTACTTTATAATAAAACATAAACAGTACAAGAGAGAAAACATTTACTACCCAGTAAAATAACTCACAACTAGCTAAAACCTACACAAATATACAAAAGATATACAGATTACCAGTGTTAGCAAAAGAACAAATGAATAAGGAAGAGAAATACAGGAAGATGAATGTGGTTAAAGGCAAAAACTTAATTTTTTTTTCTTTTTTTTTTTTTTTTTGAGACAAGGTCTCACTTTGTTGTCCAGGCTGGAGTGCAATGTTGCAATCTCGGCTCACTGCAACATCTGCCTCCCTGGTTCAAGCGATTCTTCTTCTTCAGCCTCCCGAGTAGCTGGGACGACAGGTGCCCGCCACCGCGCCAGGCTAATTTTTGTATTTTTAGTAGAGATGGGGTTTCATCATGTTGGCCAGGCTGACCTCAAACTCCTGACTTCAGGTGATCTGCCCACCTCAACCTCCCAAAAGTGCTGGGATTACTGGCGTGAGCCACCGTGACTGGTCCAAAAAACCTTGATTCTTATATTGCCATCCTCTCTTGCTGTCCTAAGGATCTTTCTTAAGTAGCAGAATCAATATTTCACCCTTAGGTTATCTGCTCATTATCTATCTCAAGGAATCTGCAAATGTCTTCCAACCCTGTCAGTGGTGCTAGGGGGAAGGATTTGGCACACTTTCCCTTTATCAGATCATCTTCTGAACATTCCTATTAGGCTTTTCTCTCATCCTTAGGCCCAAGTTTCTAATGTGACTTCATCTTGCCTGTACATAAAAAAGGTGTTCAACTTGGTCCCATTACTGAAACACTTGAAGAAACTGGATAATAAAATCATCCCATTAATTTTAATTACATGTATATGGATTAATTATTTTGAAGAAATTTTGCATGCATGATATCATGAGCAACAAAACCTCTTCTTTAGAATAAGACAATGTTGAAATAAATGAATGGCATCAAGTTCCTAAAAGCAACTCAGTATGCAGAGCTATTAAGTACTGTCCTCATTTTGTAGAAAAGTACATGGAAACACAGAAAATCTGCTCTTACCAGCCAGTAAGCTGGTCACTCAGAGCTGCAGCAGCTTCCAGGAACCCTGGCTCCTGTTCTCTTCCTCGTCTCTGACACCTGATGCTATGTGAAAAGTAGGCTATGAGTTCCTCAGCACCTCACCGTCGGTCTTTACTGCCATCGTTTTGATGATATAGTAGAATAATTGTGTGAAAAACACTTGACTCTGATAATCAGTTCCCTATTAAACACCAAGTAAATACACGCATAATTATTTCATGAACATTTATTGTCCTATAATTAAAGGAATGATAAATGTAGTCTTTCATCTTAATGAGCTTTCTGTCTAGTGGGTGAAAAAACAGACATGTAAGTCAGTGTGGTGACATGCCTAAACCTATATGCAAAGTAACGTGAGAGCACTGAAGAGGGATTAATTTTACTGAATCTTAAATTGTGGCTGATTATTTACATTTTAAAATATTTGAATGCATGGATATGTTTATTCAGCTAAACAGGACCTCCAAAGCTGATTCTAGAGTACAGAATATATTTTCCTGGGATTTTGTTGATTTATATTGTGTTTTACTATTAGTGACAACTTGAAAACAGAACTTCTATTGCTCACAAACGATTGTAGTGCAATTTGGATTTGGATATCTGTTCTAATATGAAAACTCTACATGACCATTTTCCTTCTTGTCTGCAAGGAATTATTGTGATCTCTGGTGTATTGCAAATGAGACCATAGCCCATACCCGAGGGTTGCCACAGTAGATAGTTTTCAGTAAATATTGTAAAATACTAGATTGCCCAAGATTGTTCTTGAGATTGAGAGAGGATGCTGTGATAGACTGCATATGCGTGTTCCTCTTGATTCAGAAATACAGACAGATGGATATCTATCTACCACACAAATATAGACGCAATGATTTTCTTTGCAAAACCATTAAAGTCACATGTGAAACAGTATACACTTAACACATTATTTTTAGATCATCACCAAACACAAGAATATCAGCTTATTAATAAGATTTGAGCAATTACAACAAAACAGAACCAAAGAAAATTCCAAAAATTGATAAAGAATGGGCATTGAAATAGAATTTTCTAACACACTAAAATCTTAACCATGTATGACACACGGTTAGTGAACATTCATGGTGTTGTGTTGACTGGAGAGCTGTCTGTATATATAGTACAGGCTGTTTGAGCATGAAATAGAAAGGCATGAGCTTTATTTTACACCCTGAGAAAAACTTGCTTTGAGACTTTAGTCAAGTCAGTTTTTCTAGGATTCAGTGTATGCCTATGCTTAATTGGGCAGTAGACTTCATGATTTCTAAACACCAATCTACTAAATGAAAAGGTACCTGAGGTAGGGTAGAGTTACACATGTGGTATAAAAAGCCTGCACCAGCTGATATACTAGGTCACCATAGGTGAGTAATTTCAAATATGTAAGCTTCAGTTTCTCAAACATTCACTTGGGAAGAGTGATACCTAGATTGATATGTTGCTTAACTCAAAGACTGCACATATTGTTTAAAGATCCTTTAAAGATTTGTTAGGTGGCCAATAAAATTTCATTCGTTGTTCATCAATTCATTTATTATGTGATGTCAACAATGATTCCTATTGCACTATTGTCTCTACCAAATGGATCAGCTTTGACTTCCTCATATTTCTTAGTAACATGACTCTCAAAGTGTGATAATTGGGATGCCTTAATCAATTGCCAAGGCCCATTCCTATCTCAATAAAATAGGCATATTTAAAGAGCAAGACCAAGATTTTGCCTCTAGTCAGAAAAAGTATCATCATGAAGAATATCATAGTTATTTAAGGACTAAATAAAAACTGCATGAGTAAAAAATTATTTCTGTAAAGTTTAGACCAGATGGAACACAAAAATCGGAATTCAAAACTAATTAAATGGCCATAAATATTAGAATATAATTATAGGATTTCCCTTTCAAATTCCCTTAAAAACTATAACATAATTTTATTTGATTATGGGTATAGTGTTATATGAGGACTAAAAACTAGATTACTTCCTAAATCTTTTGTTAATGTTAAGGAATAAGAAGAAAAACAGTTTTCAGTGTTGTAATAATAGGCACACAAGTAGTACAGTAAAATAAACTATAAATAATAATAGAATAAACTATAAATATTACTCACCTTTATCATACATTCATATGGTTTTGCGTTTTACAATGTCACCCCACTGTGTGGATTCCACATAAAGCCCTTGAAGTAAATGTAAACAAAGAGCACTATTAACCATCCTAGACCAGCAGAAACTCAGAAACAGAAGGAAATGCCAGGCTGATGCTACAAACTGAGTTTGTTCTTATTCTAATTGATGGTTGCAGATCCATTACCAAGTTTATAGTAGTCTCACTTTTATTACTAGAAAGGTAATTAAGTTTCTCACAAAAATATGCTCTATTAAATGAAAATGAAAATGTATAATGAGAATTGCACTTATCTTAGGAGAAAAAAATCATAAAGAAGAAATCTTTATTTGGGGCTCAGAAAAATAAAATATTTGTAAACCGTGTAATATTGATATTTCTTTGCACTAAGTTTATTTACCCTCAAAATACATATAAGCCCCTGTAATGAAAGTTCCTGTGTAAACCATGTCAATATTTTAGCAATTTTGACTGAGAGAAATTCTAGCTAACCTGAAATTCCCTATGTTTTAAGCTGTCAGAACTATAATTTATGATATTGCTTTAGGAGGAAAACTGTAGTGGTAGCATTTGTTAAAACATAAAACAAAAACTTGTGTTTACATATGGTAGCAGAAGAGAAGACTGAGAGAAGCCCAGTTTGGTTTTAGGAAAATGTTTCTATCACCTTTGTTAGATCAGATGACTGAAAGAAGAAGCCAGCTACATGGCTGTGCCCAGAGTTGTAGACAGCCTGGGTGAGGTGTGCTCAACCTAGCCTGTTGGTAACAGTCCTGGAATAGCCATAAGGGGACAAAGGATGAGGACAGTTAACAGTTCCATGATCAAGAACAGAGACGAAGACAATGCTGATTTGGGACTAAGGTGAAAGTTAGTTTTTTATGTATTTAAAATGATAATTTGTTCAACATGGAGTTTTTGTGTAAAAATTTTATTTACAAATGCAGTAACATACTATTTTCCTTGATTACTGAGTCTTCAGTATTTGCTTAAATCATGCGCCCAGAGCAAGTGACAAAGCCTTATAACTGAGTGTAAATCCCAGCTTAGGCTCTGTGGGATGTTCAGGGTCTGATGTGGGAAAAACATTTATTGCAGAAAGCAGGGACCACGCTTGGGGTTAGGTTTCAAGGGTGCTTTGGTCACGTGGGCTTAAAGACTGGATAAACAAGAATTCATTGACTTAGGGAACTTATTTGGGACATGAGATTTAACACCCTGGCAAGGACTCACTGCCAGAGTGGATTTTAGAAGCCTGGAAAAGTGATCAGCTTTTGGTGAAGTAGAAATTCTACGTGACTCCAGCAGATAGGAGAAGAATAGATTATCGGAAAGAAGACACTTAGGGATAGCCAGAGCCCACCAGATACCTATGTTGCATAAGGAGCCCAGAGGATGTCTGTGATGTCCTGGTGAGAGGAAGTTGGCTAGTGACTCTCCTCTGCAGGTTACAGTGATGGTGGGAAAGGCATGCACAGAGACGTCCTTTTTTTATAGCCGAGGACATTGAGGCCAGTGGGCAGCTCTGAACCACCACCAGCAGCCACAAGGTCACCATGACTAACATAGCAAGTTCACAGGGAAGCTAAAGGGTTGACTTCAGTGAGTGGAGGAAATGGTTAACAGAGCACAGGGACCCTGGGGGCAAACTAGGAAGCCCACATGGGTGCTGCTTAATATCTACTACAACAAAATATAAAATAAAATAAAATAAAAAACTGTGTTGGAGGAGGGTAAGGGTGATTGCCCCACTAAAAATCCCTTGTCTGTCCTTCTCAGATGTGGCAGGTCCCTTGAAGAAAAGATCTTGCAACAGCAAAGCAGGTACATAGCAGGATGATTCCCCCAATCTTTCCCCAGAGGGTTCTAAGGCCATTCACTCAAATGGCTGTACCCTGGGGAAAGGGAAACAACCAGGCCTTTTGCATTTATTAGGCATAGAATCTCAGTAGATGTTATCCCCAAAAACCCAAGGGGCCAGAATGGTTAGAGTGGGCCGTGGTATATTCAGATAATCAATGAAGTATGAGTACAGAACAGCCAGAAGTACTCTGGAGCAACCCGCTGGTATTTTCAAGGCCCTGGAGAGTATAATGGCAACCAGTATACTTGGCCCTACACATTGGGTCTTGCCAGATGATGTAAGGGATAATGAGGAGGGCCACATGGAAGGAAACCTCTAAAATTGCCTCCTGCCTCATTAATATAGTAAATAAAAAAGAGTGTCATACCCCAGACAATGGCTGATACTAGTGCCACCCTTAAAAACCTAAAGGCTGCAGGGTGGCGCTTTCCATCACAAATCCATTTACTCACCAGCCTCACCTGATCCTGCAGATTCAACCAGGAGACAGCCGTGATCACAGCTGCTGTCCCAGAAGTGGTACTGTAGTCAGCACACACTGCGAGGCCTCAGATGTGGGGTGTGCAGCCATTAATTTGGTGACTTTTGTAAAAAAAAATTCTAATTAGAGAAGGGCATCAGAAACAGCCCACATTTGTATGGGAGGATTACAATTTCATTTATGGTTTTGCTACAGGACTCTGTTACCTCTCTTTCCTTCTGTCATTATTAGTCCAAAAGCACTAAGACTGCCTGGACATGCCAGGGTGTGGTGCATCGCCCTGGTCTAGGACATTCCAGCACTGTATGGTTGGAGAGGAGGGGCGGGAGATGGCTAGTGTGCTGAAGGACCTGAGAGGACATGCGTGCCCCACAGGGTGGGAGGTCAACTTTAGGTAAAGTTTTTAGGGGTCTAATTATGAGGAAAATTCTACAGTAATTTACTCTCAAGTGTTAAAAGAAAAAAAAAACTTCAGATCAATTTAATAGCATTTACTAGACAAAAAACAATTAGCAAATGGATTGGCCCTCAAAGCCAGAAGCAGTTGTGAGAGCTTCCCTCTGTAACCTGGGCGCCGTGTACTTACAGACAGAAAACAGAAGGAGGCAGGGAAACAGCTCCATTTGTCACAGCTCTGCACTTGCCTTACTTGGACACAGTCTGATTTACTGGCAGCCTCTGATTGGCTGAAGCTCGACTGCTGTAATGGGCTGAGAATCACCTATTTGTTACAAAAAAATGTACTCCTAAGTTAGTCTTTTTTTTTTTTTAATTAAACTTTAAGTTCTGGGATACATGTGCAGAAAGAGCTGGTTTGTTACATAGATAAATGTGTTCCATGGTGGTTTTCTGCACCCATCCACCCATCATCTAGGTTTTAAGCCCCACGTGCCTTAGGTATTTTTCCTAATGCTCTCCCTCCCTTTGCCCGCCAACCCCCAACAGGCCTCAGTGTGTGATGTTCTCTTCCTTGTGTCTGTGTTCTCATTGTTCAACTCCTACTTATGAGTGAGAACATGCAGTGTTTGGTTTTCTGTTCCTGTGTTAGTTTGCTGAGAATGATAGTTTCCAGCTTCATTCATGTCCCTGCAAAGGACACAAATTCATTCTTTTTTATGGCTGCATAGTATTCCATGGTGTATATGTGCCACATTTTCTTAATCCAGTCTATCATTGATGGACATTTGGGTTGGTTCCAAGTCTTTGCTGTTGTGAATAGCACTGCAGTAAACATACCTGTGCATGTGTCTTTATGGTAGAATGATTTATAATCCTTTGGGTATATATGCAGTAATGGGATTGCTGGGCCAAATGGTATTTCTGGTTCTAGATCTTTGAGGAATCGCCACAGTCTTCCACAATGATTGGATTAATTTACACTCCCACCAACAGTGTAAAAGCATTCTTATTTCTCCACATCCTCTCCAGCATCTGTTGTTTCCTGACCTTTTAATGATCGCCATTCTAACTGGTGTGAGATGGTATCTCATTGTGGTTTTGATTTGCATTTATCTAATGATCTGTGATGATGGGCTTTTATTCATGTGTCTGTTGGCTGCATAAATGTCTTCTTTCAAGAAGTGTCTGTTCATATCCTTTGCCCACTTTTTGGTGGGGTTGTGTTTTTCTGGTAAATTTGTTTAAGTTTCTTGTAGATTCCGGATATTAGACCTTTGTCAGATGGATAGATTGCCAAAATTTTCTCCCATTCTGTAGGTTGCCTGTTCACTCTGATGACAGTTTCTTTTGCTGTGCAGAAGCTCTTTAGTTTAATGAGATCCCATTTGTCAATTTTGGCTTTGTTGCCATTGCTTTGGTGTTTCAGTCATGAAGTCTTTGCCTATGCCTGTCCTGAATGGTATTGCCTAGGTTTTCTTCTAGAGTTTTCATGGTTTTTGGTTTTACATTTTAGTCTTTAATCCATCTTGAGTTAATTTTTGTATAAGGTGTAAGGAAGAAGTCCAGTTTCAGTTTTCTGCATATGGCTAGCCAGTTTTCCCAGCACCATTTATTAAATAGGAAATCCTTTAACCATTGCTTGTTTTTGTCAGGTTTGTTGAAGATCAGATGGCCGTAGATGTGTGGTGTTGTTTCTGCGGCCTCTGTACAGTACCGTTGGTCTATGTATCTGTTTTGGTACTATTACTGTACTGTTTTGGTTACTGTAGCCTTGTAGTATAGTTTGAAGACAGGTAGCATGATGCCTCTAGCTTTGTTCTTTTTGCTTAAGATTGTCCTGACTATACGGGCTCTTTTTTGTTCCACATGAAATTTAAAGTAGTTTTTTTCTAGTTCTGTGGAGAAAGTCAATTGTAGCTTGATGGTAACAGCATTGAATCTATAAATTACTTTGGGCAGTATGGCCATTTTCCAGGATATTGAATCTTCCTATTCATGAGCATGAAAAGTTTTTCCATTTATTTGTGTCCTATCTTATTTCCTTGAGCAGTGGTTTGTAGTTTTCCTTGAAGAGGCCCTTCACGTCCCTTGTAAGTTGTATTCCTAGGTATTTTATTCTCTTTGTAGCAAATGTGAATGAGAGTTCACTCATGATTTGGCTCTCTGTTTGCCTATTACTGGTGTATAGTAATGCATGTGATTTTTGCACATTGATTCTGTATCCTGAGACTGCTGAAGTTGCTTATCAGCTTAAGGAGTTTTGGGTCTGAGACGACAGGTTTTCTAAATATAAAATCATGTCTTCTGCAAACAGAGACAAGTAGACTTCTTCTCTTCCTATTTGAATACCCTTTACTTCTTTCTCTTGCCTGATTGCCCTGGCCAGAACTTCCAATACTATGTTGAATTGGAGTGGTGAGAAAGGGCATCCTTGTCTTGTGCCGGTTTTCAAAGGAATGCTTCCAGCTTTTGCCCATTCAGTATGATATTGGCTATGGGTTTGTCATAAATAGCTCTTACTATTTTAAGATACATTCCATCAATACCTAGTTTATTGAGTGTTTTTAGCCTGAAGGGGTGTTGAATTTTATCAAAAGCCTTTTCGGCATCTATTGAGATACTCATGTGGTTTTTGTCATTGGTTCTGTTTATGTGATGGATTACATTTATTGATTTGAGTATGTTGAACCAGCCTTGTATCCCAGGGATGAAGCCAACTTGATTGTGCTGGATAAGCTTTTTGATGTGCTGCTGGATTCAGTTTGCCTGTTTTTTATTCAGGATTTTCATATCAATTTTCTCAGGGATATTGGCCTGAATTTTCTTTTTTTGTCGTGTCTCTGACAGGTTTTGGTATCAGGATGATGCTGGCCTCATAAAATGAGTTAGGGAGGATTCCCTCTTTTTCTATTGTTTGGAATAGTTTCAGAAAGAAGGGTACCAGCTCCTGTTTGTACATCTGGTAAAATTTGGCTATGAATCCATCTGGTCCTGAGCTTTTTTGGTTGGTAGGCTATTAATTACTGCCTCAATTTCAGAACTTGTTATTGGTCTATTCAGAGATTCAACTTCTTCCTGGTTTAGTCCTCGGAGAGTATGTGTGTCCACGAATTTATGCATTTCTTCTAGATTTTCTACTTTATTTGTGTAGAGGTGTTTATAATGTTCTTTGATGATAGTTTGTATTTCTGCAGGATCAGTGGTGATGTCCTCTTTATCATTTTTATTGTGTCTATTTGATTCTTCTCTCTTTTCTTCTATATTAGTCTGGATAGCCGTCTATCTATTTTATTACTCTTTTCCAAAAAACACTTCCGGATTATTGAATTTTTGAAGGGTTTTTCATGTCTCTCCTTCATTTCTGCTCTGATCTTAGTTATTTCCTGTCTTCTGCTAGCTTTTGAATTTGTTTGCTCTTGCTTCTCTAGTTCTTTTAATTGTGATGTTCAGGTGTCAATTTTAGATCTTTCCTGCTTTCTGATGTGGGCATTTAGTGCTATAAATTTTCCTCTAAACACTGTTTTAGCTGTGTCCCAGAGATTCTGGTACATTGTGTCTTTGTTCTCCTTGTTTTCAAAGAACTTATTTATTTCTGCCTCAATTTCATTATTTACCCAGTAGTCATTCAGGAGCAGGTTGTTCAGCTTCCATGTAGTTTTGTGGTTTTGAGTGAGTTTCTTAATCCTAAGTTCTAATTTGATTGCACTGTGGTCTGAGACACTGTTTGTTAAGATTTTCATTCTTTTGAATTTGTTGAGGAGTGTTTTACTTCTAATTATGTGGTAGATTTTAGAATAAGTGCTGTGTGGTACTGGGCCTTATTGTTAGAAGGAAAACAAAAAAGAAAGTAATAACATTAACATCAGCAAATGTATGCTCACAGAAAAACCCCATCCAAAGGCCATCAGCATCAAAATCAAAGATTGATAAACCCATGAAAATGAGGAAAAACCGGCACAAAAATACTGTAATTTCCAAAAACCAGAATGCCTCTTCTCCTCCAAATGACTGCAACTTTTCTCCCGCAAGGGTACAAAACTGGATGGAGAATGAGTTGGACGAATAGACAAAAGTAGGCTTCAGAAGGTGGGTAATAACAAACTTCTCTGAGCTAAAGAGCATGTTCTAACCCAATGTAAGGATGCTAAGAAACTTGATAAAGGTTACAGGAACTGCTAACTAGAATAGCCAATTTAGAGAAGAACATAACTGACCTGATGGAGCTGAAAAACACAGCACGAGAATTTCGTGAAGCATACAAAAGTATCAAGAGCTGAATTGATCAAGCGAAAGAAAGGATATCAGAGATTAAATATCAACTTAATGAAATAAAGCATGAAGAGAAGATTAGAGAAAAAAGAATGAAAAGGAACAAACAAAGCCTCCAAAAAATATGGGACTATGTGAAAAGACCAAACTACAATTGATTGGTGTACCTGAAAGTGATAGGGAGAATGGAACCAAGTTGAAAAACACACTTCAGGATATTATCCAGGAGAACTTCCCCAACCTAGCAAGACAGGCCAACATTCAAATTCAGGAAATACAGAGAACACTACTAAGATATACCTCGAGAAGAGCAACCCCAAGACACATAATCATCAGATTCTCCAAGGTTGAAATGAAGGAAAAAATGTTAAGGGCAGCCAGAGAGAAAGGTCAGGTTACCTACAAAGGGAAGCCCATAAGACTAACAGGGGATCTCTCTGCAAAAACCCCTCAAGCCAGAAGAGAGTGGGGCCAATATTCAACATTCTAAATGAAAATAATTTTCAACCCAGAATTTCATATCCGGCCAAACTAAGGTTCATAACTGAAGGAGAAATAAAATCCTTTGCAGACAAGCAAATGCTGAGAGATTTTGTGACCACCAGGCCTGCACTAAAAGAGCTCCTGAAGGAAACACTTAAATATGGAAAGGAAAAACTGGTACCAGTCACTGCAAAAACATACCAAAATATAAAGACCAATGATACTATGAAGAAACTGCATCAACTAATGTACAAAACAACCAGCTAGCATCATGATGACAGGAACAAATTCACACATAACAATGTTAACCTTAAATGTAAGTGGGCTAAATGCCCCAATTAAAAGACACAGATTGACAAATTGTATAGTCAAGACCCATCGGTGTGCTATATCCAGGAGACCCAATTCACGTGCAAAGACACACATAGGCTCAAAATAAAGGGATGGAGGAGTATTTACCAAGCAAATGGAAAGCAAAAAAAAAAAAGCAGGGTTTGCTTTTTTTACAGTCTGATAAAACAGACTATAAACCAACAAAGATCAAAAAGAACAAAGAAGGGCATCACATAATGGTAAAGGGATCAATGAAACAAGAATAGCTAACTATGGTAAATATATATGCACCCAATACAGGAGCACCCAGATTCATAAATCAAGTCCTTAGAGACCTACAAAGAGACTTAGACTCCCACACAATAGTAGTGGGAGACTTTAACACCCCACTGTCAATATTAGAGAGATCAATGAGAGAGAAAATTAGCAAGTATATTCAAGACATGAACTCAACTCTGGACCAAGCAGACCTTAGAAACATCTACAGAATTCTCCACCCCAAATCAACAGAATAAGTTAGTCTTTCAGTTGGTTTACATACTAAGTTAGTTGGAGTTGGTCACTTAGTGACTCAACGTATGCAGTCATCCGTAGGCAAAATTTAGTTTAACACAAGTAAAAAACACACTTCTGCATTTTTTATTTTTTCTTTAGAGAAAGGGTCTCACTCTGTCACCTGAGCTGGAGTGCAGTGGGGTGATCATAGCTTGCTGCAGCCCCCACTTCCTGGTTCAAGTGATCCTCCCTCTGCC
Source organism: Homo sapiens (assembly GCF_000001405.40). Taxonomy (NCBI): domain Eukaryota; kingdom Metazoa; phylum Chordata; class Mammalia; order Primates; family Hominidae; genus Homo; species Homo sapiens. The sequence goes on from NC_000008.11 coordinate 50,956,672, forward strand.
GTGGACCCCAAAGCTGGAGTTACAGCTTGCAGCCACTGCATCCAGCACAAACTGGGGCATTTAAAACCTCTTCTCACAAAGTAGGAAGCATGGCACCTCAAGCCTTTTTGGGTTCTGGGGGCAACAGATCCCACACCTGGAAATTCTGCTCTGGTCCGTGTTCTGGATAACATGGGAGGTCACGTATACTCTTCTGTTGTCCATTATAACTATGGGCAGATACATGCAGCAACCCCATACTGAGAAAGGTGTCATCCCTGGGAGTGAAGATTTGAGTCACAACACCAATGAAGCTACCAAGGCTGGCTGAGCTACGGCAAAGGAAATTCATAGCAGCCATGGAGGAGGGAGAGGATGAGTAAAGGTGCTCCAAGATCAATTGACAGGAGCAAGGTCTGTTGTGGAGAATGTGAAGACATTGTCTCCAACATGGGGAGAGAAAGGAGTTTGTACAGCATGTGAGTGGACTGTGGCGGCATTGAGAATGCCATTGACTCCAGGGACAGTAATAGCCAAGGCTCCAGTGGCTAAGTTTGAATTCCAGTGCAGTCATGCTTTCCCAGGAGGCACACTAAGGTACATGCTCCCTGGGAGACAGGGACTCTATGACAACCTTTCCAGGCTAAGCCATGCGGATATGGAGCATAAAGGAAATAACTGAACTACAGCTATGGTTTCTATAATAGCGTTAGGACTGCACAAGTTCCATATTTCTTCTTGAACATATTGGTAGTTTGTGACTTCAAAGAAATTTTTAATTCCATTGAAGTTGTCAAACTTAATGCATGAAGATTTTCATAATATTCCCATTTTTAGCATCTGTAGAATACATAGCAATGTCATCTCTCTTATTTCTGATATTAGTAATTTGTGTTATCTTTCCTTTTACCTGATCCAGTTTTTTCAAGAGGCCTCAAAAAAAGTCTCAAAGAATCAGCTTTTGGTTTTACAATTTTTGTAATGCTTGTCTATTTTCTATGTCATTGATGAGTAGTTTGATTTTTATTATTTCCTTTCTGGAGCTTAGCTTGGATTTTATCTGCTTTTCTTTTTGTAGTGACTTAAAATGTCTATTAAATTGCTGATTTTAGAGCTTTCTCCTTTTTACTATAGAAGTTTAATGCTATGAAAGTCCCCCTAAATACTATTTTCAGAATCTCACAGATTTTGATATGTTGTTTTTTTTTATTTCATTAAATTGAAAATCAATTATTTCTTTTCTTGACTTCTTGTTATGGCCCATGGGATTTATAAAACTGTGTTATTCAGTTTGTGTATACTTAGAATATTTTAAGATGTTATTTTATTATTGAATTCTAATTTAATTCTATTTTGACCGGATAATATACTTTGTATGAGGTAATTTATTCTTAAATTTATTGAGACTTGTTTCATGGTTCATAATATGTTTTACATAGATAAAGGTTTTGTGTGTATCTTTAAAAAAATAAAGTTTTGCCTGTTTTCAATTTGTCCCATCTTCTTTGTTCCATTTTTCTTCTCTTTTTGTCTTAAGACTAATTACATTTTATGATTCTATTTCATTTTCTCTCTGGACTATAACTTGTGGTAATGTGCTTTAAGGTTTAAAAGTTTGTATCTTTAATTTATCACTGTCTATCTTTAAGTGATATACAAATTTAAAACAAAATAGTATAATTTATTTCACCCTTTTTAACCTTTGGTTATTGCTATCATAACATTTATTTTAAATATGTTTTAAAAACCAATATTTGTATAAACACTTAAATGTTAATGATATTTAAATAATAAAATAGTGATACAGAATAACTTATATTTACCCATATATTTATAATTTCTGGTGCTTCTGCTTTTGAGTAGTTCCGTATTTCCATCTGTTATCATCTTCCTTCTGCGCGAAGGACTTCTTTTCACATATCTTTCCATTGAAACACTCTTGGTGATGAATTCTTTCAGTTTTTGTATATTTGAAAAGTCTTCATTTCACTGTTATTCTTGAAATATATTTTCCTTGCAAAAATAATTCTAAATTGAAAGTTTATCTCTCTCAGTAATATTGAGGTGTTACTCCAGTCTTTTAATGTACAATGTTTTAGATGATAAATTTGTTGCCATTCTTATCATTAATCTACTGTATGTAATTTGTCTTTATTCCTTGGCTGTTTATAAAAATTTCTAAATACCACTGGTTCTGAGCAATTTGATTATAGTATGACTTAATGTAGTTTGTTCATATTTATTGTGCTTTGGCTGCACTGAGCTTCTTACTTCTGCAGTGTTAATAATTTTCATAGAATTAGAAAATTTTAGGACATTATGCTTTAAAATATATTTTTCTTTCTCTCTTTCAGAGTCTCCAATTATACAACTATTAGGTTCTTGAAAACTGTGCCTCAGGTTAATGATGCTCTGTTAATTATTTCTATTCTTTTTACATCACTGTACGTTTCAATGTAATTTTTTTATCACTTTGTCTTTAAATTCACTAATTCCACATTTTACATATATAATCTGCTATTATTCAATCCCGGGCATTTTGTTTCACAGAATATAGTTTCAACATTTTAAGTTTGACTTGTATCTTTAAAATAACTTCCATGTTACTATTTAAATTTTTGAAAGTAAGCAATAAAGTTATAATAACAAGCTTAATGTCTTTGCTAATTTTAACATCCTGTCAATTCTGGGTAGTTTGTGATTTTTTTAAATTTTCCTTATTGAACATATTTTGCTTATTTGCCTCCTTAATAATAATAATAATTATTATTATTATTAGTTTGAAACGGAGTCACACTCTGTCACCCAGGGTGGAGTGCAGTGGTGTGATCTTGGCTCACTGCAACCTCCGCCTCTGGGGTTCAAGAGATTCTCCTGCCTTAGCCACCCAGGTAGCTGGGACTATAGGCACGCACCACCACATCCGGCTAATTTTTGTATTTTTAGTAGAGACGGGGTTTCGCCACGTTGGCCAGGCTGGTCTCCACACCTACCCTCAGGTGATCCACCCATCTCGGCCTCCCAAAGTGCTGGGATTACAGGCATGAGCCACCACGCTCAGCCCTCCCTGGTAATTATTAATGGAATTCCAGATATTGTGACTTTTAGCTTTTGGGATGCTAGATATTTTATTATTCCTATCAATATTTTTGAGTTTTATTCTAGGATACGATTAAATCACTTGAAATTAGTATGATCTTTTCATATACCGATTTTAAGATTAGGTGAGACTAGAACTGTGCTTAGCTTAGGACTAAGTTTTTCCTACTACTAAGACAACATTCTTCTGAGTACTCTGATCAATGCCCCAAGAAACCTATTACTATGTCCCCTAAACTAACTAGCATTCCTTTGGTTTACTTGGAATCTTAGCTCCATTTCCTCAACTCAGGAAGTTTCCTCAGCTCTACGTGCATCCCCTTTCCCTGAGTCACGGTGGGGAAACTTACCCAAGGGAGTATGCTTCCACCACAGTAGCACTAAGAGCTCAATGATGCTCAGTGCCTTGAAAGAGTGTTTTATGTATTTATTCTTTTTTAAAGTTGTTTTAAGGCGTGAGAGTAAATCCAGTCTTTGTGTATTCCAGTATCTTCTGGCTTTCATGGTTTCACATGAACGCTCAGCTGTTATTCTTCCTGTTAAATGTAGCATGCCTTTATTCTCTACCTGCTCTTAGGTATTTATGTCATTTTGGGGGTTTGCTTCTATTAGCTTCTTTTTTTTTTTTTTGAGACAGAGTGTTGCTCTGTCTCCCAGGCTGGAGTGCAGTGGCACAATCTCGGCTCACTGCAAGCTCCACCTCCCGGGTTCATGCCATTCTCCTGCCTCAGCCTCCCCAGCAGCTGGGACTACAGGAACATGCCACCACACCTGGCTAATTTTTTGTACTTTTAGTAGAGACAGGGTTTCACCGTGCTAGCCGGGATGGTCTCGATCTCCTGACCTCGTGATCTGCCCACATCGGCCTACCAAAGTGCTGAGATTACAGGCATGAGCCACCACACCTGGCCTCTATTAGCTTCTTAATTTCTTCTCAGACTTAATTATTTTTAACTGTATGCTAGTTATCAGGTATTATAATAATGTTACATATCAAAATCAGCTAGGGGGAGGGATAACCACTTCAATCAAATTGATTTGGAATGGAGCTAGGTTGCTTTTAGACCTGAAAGACCTATCCTATGTCAATCACAGGGTTCTCCTCTGTGCTAGAAGTTTGGACTTCAGCACTGAAGGAAGGTGGGCTTTCTCTCCCTATCTTTTCACTTAAGACACCCATTTCTTGCAGGTCCCATTACTTAGTCCAAGTCTTTTAGAATAATTTGGTTGGTAACAACCAGCTGAATGTGTGGCACTTATCAAAATCCCAATATGTCATAATCACTTGCATGTTTTTCTGTCTGTATAGTCTCTCTGTCTTTCACAAGCCCAATGTTTTTTCTCCCTGTTCTTGTACTCAGCAGATGCCTCATCAAGGGAAATAGCTTCTAATTTCTACTCAGCTGAAAAGAGCACTTCACTCTCTGAAATTTAGTTTCTTTACACTCATGTGAGTCTCCAGATTTCTGAACTCTTCAAAAACACATATGCACATAATTTTTAAAATTTACTTGATTTTTCTAGTTGTCATTTTGGGGTATATTTGGGCTGTGGCCTTCTGCATTCTAATCAGAAGCAGAATTCCAAGTCTTGCTATTTCATGTTAATGAATGCACTAGTTTGTTGAAGCTTAATGTTTTTCTATTTAATTTAAGCATGTCATCTATTTAGTCTTGATTATTTAGGTGTTAAAATAGTTTGCCAGTATTTTGTAATTTTTTTGTTATTTTGTGAATATTTAGCAATTCATATTTGTCAAATCATCTTTAAGTTTGAAAGTTCCTGCTCATATGTTTTATGAAAACAATTATTCAAAATACATAACAAGGAATCATCAGTACATGTTGTGATTTTTATGGCTGTTAGGCTCTCTTTTCCTTGTGGGTGCTTGCAAGCTATCTGAAACCAAGACTCTCTCTTTCAATACTTTATATTCTGAATAAACACACTTTTTTTTTTTTTTTTTTTTTTTTGGGAGACAGAGTTTCACTTTTGTTGCCCAGGCTGGAATGAAATGGCACAATCTCAGCTCACGGCAACCTCTGCCTCCCAGGTTCAAGCAATTTGCCAGTCTCAGCTTCCCAAGTAGCTGGGATTACAGGTGCCCACCACCATGCCTGGCCAATTTTTGTATTTCTAGTGGAGACAGGGTTTCACCATGTTGGCCAGGCTGGTCTCGAACTTCTGATCTCAGGCAATCCGCCTGCCTCAGCCTCTCAAAGTGCTGGGATTACAGGCATGAGCCACTGCACCTGACCGTCTATTGTAACCTGTATAGTAGCCATATAGTAAAGGAAAGAAAGGCAGCAAAAAAAAAAAAAGATGTATTTACCCAGTTCAACATCCTGAAACTACACAGGCCCTCGTCATTTAACTCATATCTACTTATTCTGAAGTTGGCACCTCCCATAACTCCTAGAACTGCTTTGAGCTCTGTAGTACATCTTTGACTATATGATCTTTGCATATGATTTTCTTAGTGCAATACTTTTTATTAAATAAATATTTTTAAAATATATTTTCCTCTTGGTAGCACTTTCTTTTTTAATCAATACTATTACTATTATAAATTCATTTCTTTCAAAAACACACACACATAATTTTTTAAGGATTTGAGGGAGAAGAGAAGATGTATATACATGCCATGTCTGTTAACTATATCTGAGAATGCATTGATATATATTAAAAACTCATTACTAATATTTCTATGTTTGTTTGTTTTTTGGGGGGCGTGAGCTCGGCTCACTGCAAGCTCCGCTTCCCGGGTTCACGTCATTCTCCTGCCTCAGCCTCCCGAGTAGCTGGGACTACAGGCGCCCGCAACCAGGCCGGGCTAATTTTTTGTATTTTTAGTAGAGATGGGGTTTCACCGTGTTAGCCAGGATGGTCTCGATCTCCTGATCTGGTGATCCGCCCGTCTCGGCCTCCCAAAGTGCCGGGATTACAAGCGTGAGCCACCACGCCCAACCTAATATTTCTATGTTTATGTGTGTATTAGTATCTACATGTAGGTACAAACGTCTAAATATATTTATATGTAACATCATATAAACCATATCTGTAACTATCTAAAAGATAGACTCTCTCTATAGCATACTGTTACACAGGTAAATATTATACAGGCACACATACGTGAAAAAAATCTACTTAGGTCATATTTCTACTGTGGCCTGCATGATTCTTAAAAGAGAAAAAGTTACTTAATTAAATCCTTGTCTCTGAAACCAAAAACCAAATCGATTTATTTGCCTTCTGAATAATATTTTGATTAAATTAGCAACTGTCTTGTTACCATGTAATATAATGAAGACAATTTTTCTTTACTTTAAAAAAACAACATTTCATTGGATGCCTCTTTAACTCCAGTTGATTTTAGCTTATTTGTTAATATTAAATATGTAGTATAAATATTTAATAAAATTATATAAAGAAAAATGTTTTCATCACCCAAGTTTTTTCAGTCCTCTTGTAATGCATATTGTAAGTTTAAATGTGTTACTTTTATACAACTTATGAACGCTTTTGACACATAGTCGTTTTCCTCCTGCTTACACATGACTATGCCGTTTCATTCTCTTTTGAGGCCCGTTATACAGTTAGCATTTTTCATGTGTCATAGTGTTCTACTGAGTATACATATCACCAATTATGAATGGGACACATTTTAATATTTTGTAATCATTAAAAAAAGGAAGTGACCTGCATTTGAGTCCTTCGTTTTGCCCATCTTCCCCATTTGTACTGTGTACCAAGTCTGTAATAAGTACAAGGGTTATATGGCAAAAGGACAGATGCTATTAGTCCCTTCATGGAATTTAGCTTATGTATAGAAGGAAATAACAATAAAATGGTATTAGAAGTGTTGCAGAATGAAAAAGTGTTAGTTAGATTAAAAGGAAAAGCAATATGGAGAGAGAAAAGGAAGAGCTAAAAATAAATCAGCTATGAAGTCAGGAACTTGAGGCAGGATGGTGCTCATATGAACCAAAAATAGGTGCAGTGGAGCTGTAGCTGTGTGAGGGGCTGAAAACTGAAAGACAGCTAAGGATGGACAGACGGACAAGGTCAAAGTCATCTTAAGAAAAGTTGAGATAATTCCCTTAGGATAATTTATTTTACAACTGAGTTATTTCCAAAAATAATGAGCATTCTTTTTTTCTCTCCCAACTATATGTATGATAATTCAATGTACTCATTTTAAAATGCAAATTTCATCTAAATATCCATCTATTTAACACTCATTTACTTCTCAATGACAAATGATGCTCCTGGTGTTATATATAATAAAAAGTAATGAATTTGGAATTCATTTACTCTGTTCAATTTTGTCTAATTTATGTCTGTGACATACCACACTGATTCCCTTCATTTAACAAACTAATATTCACATGACTGTCACCATAGTAGCATTTTCTTAGGACAATTATGTTTCATCACATAAATGCTAATTATTCAATCATTTTCCATGGTAAATATATTTTTATCTCCTACAATATGGCAGGCATTATGTTTGGTTCTCACAGTGAACCAAGGGTGTTCTGTCTCCTTCCCTCGTGGGGCCTGCAGTTGGTAGAAGAGACAGATAGCAATAAAATTGTCACTCAGATAAAAAAATATAGTTACACTCTTAAGAAGTACCAGCAAGGAGGAATGCAAAGTGGCACATATTTATATTATACTGGGAAAATCCATGCGAAAATTGTACAGGGTTCATCTGTGAGGACATAGCAATGAGTTCACATAGGAAGGATGAGTAATAATATAATATATATTATATATAAATATAATATAATATATTATATATTTATATATAAATATAATATAATATATCATATTATATTTATATATAATATATATTATATATAAAATATAGGATCAGTAATACCACAGAGTAATTGCAAAATTACTGATATATACACATATACATATGAGATCCCATCCCAGTCTATCCATAGTGTGTCATCTGTAACTGTTTTCAAGCTAGAATGACAAGTGATGGGACTGTGTAGTTGACAAAGCCAGTTACTATCTGGCCCTTTACAGCAAAGTTATTATTTTTTTATATATTGTTATTATTATTATATATATATCATATATAATATAGGTATTATATATAGATAATAATTATATATTATTATCTATATATATTATATATAGATAATAATAATATAGATAATAATTATATATATATATAACCATATGTGTGTGTGTATATATATATAAGGAGATATATATATATATATATATAAGGTTAAGAGGAAAAGGAATATGGAGAGAGAAAGGGAACAGCCAAAAATGCAGCCATGAAGTCAGGAACTTGAGGCAGGATGGTGCTCATGTGAACCAAAAATAATAAATGCAGTGCAGTTGTCGCTGTGTGAGGGGCTGAAAACTGAAGGACTACTAAGGATGGCCAGATGGACAAGGTATTTATATATATACATATATGTAGAGAGAGAGAGAGAATAGATATAGACAGTAGATAGAAAGAGATATATGAAGAGAGATTTATCTTTATCACATCTTTCTGGTCATTTTGATGGTCTGTCATTTGATTTTTTCTGTGATTTTGTTATGCTACCTTTCATTTTATCAGCATTTTATATTTTTATGTGATAAATATAATGTCTAAAGTACTTGAGGATCTAAAGTTATTGGGATGATATTTACATATATTTTTCATTTCTGCTGTCTCTAATCCATTGTGAGGTTTTTTTTTGTGTGCTTGATCTTTGTTTATGTGTTTCCATTTGTTCAATCCTAGTTTGTGCATGTTCTGAGGGCCTAAATTGACCATGTTTTCTTCCAAAGAGAATGTATTTTCCTCTTTGGAGAAGAAGAGGTCATTAACAAAATTTGATCAAATTTTGTATCCCTCAATGTTCTTAGGCTTAATATTCTCGGATTCATTTACATTTCTCATTATGGATCTTAAATTAATAAAAGATCCATTTTTCTCAGGTGGGATCGCAGTGCTCCTGTTGGTACTTACCTCCACACAAGCCTTGCTATCCTGCTGGGGATGTCAATTAACAACACTTCGAGAAGGTGATAGGATGTCCAGTTTTCGTTTACCCAAATTCAATACCTTCCTTTTATGGTGGTATTAAAAAACCCTCATTACAGCCTCAGCTTCCACTGAACAGATTTTAGTTTGTGAGGGTTTTTTCTAAGCAGTTACAGGGATTTGTAAGATTGATTTATCATTATTTTATTCTTACTTAGACATTATTCAAAAATAACACAACTAATTTCCAGTAGAAAATATGCATTCTATTTTGCAATTACTCTGTGGTATTACTGATCCCTTTTATAAATTTCAGGTACATCGTGAGATTTTAGTTACCTCACTTTTCTATATCTTATATGCTGCTTTACTACATTTTCTATTTTGCATTTTAATCATATTTGGTATTCATTACTACATATAAACTATTCCCACTTAGGGTGAACTATACCAAAATAATAAGGAAACAAAAGAATTATAAAATTCCCTAAATAGGGATTGACAAACTGTGGCTGTGGACTGAATCCAACCAGATCCTGTTTTTATAAATAAAGACATATGAGATCCCATCCCTGTCTATCCATAATATGTCACCTGTAACTCTTTTCATGCTAGAATGGTAAGTGACGGGACTGTATAGTTGACAAAGCCAGTTACTATCTGGCCCTTTACAGCAAAGTTTGACTATCTCTGGCTTAAAATTATGATGAAAAAGTACAATAAACTGTCACTATTGCATTCCCATTTTCTTTTTATTGCATTTGCAAGAGTTTTACCTTTTCAAAAGTATATAAAACAAGACTAGAGACACCATCTTTGTAGGCTGCTTTTAATTTTTATTGAACACAGTTGAAAATAAAATTTTTATTCTCTACTAAATAATGGCAAAGAAAAAGATAATTGGCAGAGAAAGACATACCGAAATTATTAGAAAAATGATAGGATAAAAGCAACAAACAGCAACATTTGAGACTATAAAGATGATGGTGAATGTGACCTTATAAGTGAAATATTAGGTAAACTTTTAGGTGATAGTATCTTTAATGAATTTTCTCAAACTTAAGAATTTGTGATTGGAGAATGTATACATAAGTAAAAATGGAAAATAATGATGTTCTTATCAATGTAGTCATTCAACAGGCAGAATTTCATAATGCAATATTTTGTGACAAAATCTTGGCCAATCCCATTTTGTTAAAAAGACACATCTAAGTAATTTTATTCTTGTTAGGTTTATGTGCCAAAATTTACTTGATACTCTTCAGAAGCAAAAGTATAATGAAAGCAGATGTATAAAAAAAGGTAACTAGAAGAAAATAAATGATAAAGATATTTTAAATCACTGGGTAGGTTATTCTAAATGCTGTCTATAAATTAAAAAGTAGAAGACAAAATTATATAGAAAAGAAGTTGGTCTTCTCTTTAAGATACTTATGAGCCAGCAAAGGTTTCAAAAATTATTCAAATATTGTATTTTGATGATGCAAGTGTAAGAAAAATCACTCAAAATGATACACTAGAACTTGTTGGAAACACATTTGGAATCTAGCATTATTAGTATTTACAAGAATGATAAATTGCAGATCCATGTATGACAATTAATGAACAGCTACTTGCATGCAGAAGACAATTGCACTGTCCATTTTTCATACATATAAATTGAACACCAGTGGAATAAAGAATATATTTTGTGTTCATTATGGTTAAATTCTTATTATAATTTTTAGTAAACTGCTTTCATAATTTCTTTATTCTTACTTCTAGAAATTAATGAAATAATTTAAAGTATAAAAATTAAACAGATCCGTTGGACCCACACGATAAATAATAATGCCTATTTTCCCAAGTACAATAAAGGTTAGCACCTAGTTACTAGGTTTATTTGTGAGATTTTCATGTGACATAGTTCATTTGCCCTACATTTTTAATGTGATTACCAAAAGAAGAATATTCTTTCAATAAATTTGTTAGAAGACAAATCCAAACAGAAAGTTCTTACAGCATACAATTTGAAATGATTTTCCTCTTCCAACCAGTGATGTTCACACAGCTAGGTGAATGCAAGTAAAAGGTGGGAACATCATCTTTACTTTCTCCACTCTCCCCTCGTGGCAAGCTAAACTTCTTCCATTTTATCTTCTCCCTTTACCTTCTGTCCCATGTCTCTAATTCACAATCCAGAGCTGTTGAGTCATTAATAACAATAGGAGTGGGATATATTCCCCACGCCTAATGGAATGTAAATCACTGGACTGATGGGTTGTAAATCCCTGTTTTCAGTTAACCACATTCTCATTAAATTCAGTGAGCCTAATGAATAACTTTGGAAGGCACAAGATTTTTATAAATTATCCTTCGAGTTCACAAATTAAAGTTATATCCAACAGAACTACTTCAATGTTAATGGCCTTTACAGAATGCTTGGTGACACTTAAATGTCTTTAATAAAAATAAATCCATTTATATCTATTATAAAGAGATTCATGTTATTTGAATCTAAGATGCAAAAGGGTTAGAGCCCCCTGGCTGGGGAGCATATTAGACTTTTAATGTCTGCTCTCTGCTATGAATTCATGCAGAGATGCAATAATGATGCATTTTTCCCTGGGTTACTGATATTTCAAATTCATTCTTTTATCTGTGATCTGGAATTATTCTACAATTTTGTCTCAAAATTTTAATTTTTAACTTCTGTGACTTTCTTTGGTTCCAGAAAATAATTTATTTAAAGTAATTTGTTAAATATAATTTATAAAATAATGTATTTTGTTACATGAGGGAATATATGTAAAATATTTCACAGAATTTCACCCTTCCTGGGATGGCAAATTTTTTGATGGCATCAAATTACATATCTATATTTGTTGGCCACCAATGGATGATAAAAAAGAGAAATGAAAATGGACTTTGATATTATAAACTTAATGATGCCTAAACAGCAATCTAGGTATAATTCAACAAAGAAATACTGTTGTGAAAATAAGCCATAATTCAACACAGACTAGTGAACATTTGAAAAATATGAACAAAAGTGTAAGAAACTAGAGAAGGCAATAAGAATGTATGACATATATGATTTGATCCTTAAGTATTGAATTAAGGCAATGTAGCAGATAAATAGTCAATATGATGGATGCTTAGAAATTTCCAGATTTGGTAGAACATGCATTCTGAGCCACACAAATAAAAATTAGTCATTTCATTGACATAGTATTGTCAAATTACATTCAGAACAACAACAACAAAAGAAAACCAGAATATTAAGAGCAACTAGGAATAAAAAGACCATTTACCTTAAAAGCAGAAGAATTATCAACGGCAATAATAGAAGCTAAAAATATATATTAGAATTTTATCTCTAAAGTGTTTCTGGAAACCATAACTGTTTCTTTAGTAAGCCATAACCAGTTAATTATTATTCAGGAAAGAAAGCAATAGAGCAGTGAAGGATAAATATTTGTAATAAAGAGTGTGGCTCCATTTTTGGTGTTCAACTACTGAATGCATCTGCAGACTTGGCCTCTCTTTCGTCTTTGGCCCCACATCTGTGCAGCCTGGTAAGAGAACCCATGCACATGCACCTCCTCCTTTGGCATCAGCAGGAAAATTAAACCTCCTGCACAGGAACATTTCCCCCAGCCTCCCCTTGAGCCACAGCAGAGGCCGAACCTCCTCCCTTTGCTTTGCCCAAACAAGTCTGGAGTAGCTAGTGCGTGCCCAGCTCTCTCTGGAAGCCCCTTGTGTGAAAGATGCTGGCAAAACAAAATTTTTTAAATGCAATTCAGATTTGAGGTTACCCGAGTGAAAGCATTTAAAGTACATCATCATTCTTAAAGTGGATAGAGATATCAATCAGTTTGAAACCTTTCTAAGTATGCATGGTAGACATTGAAGAGTAACCAGAAGAACAGAAACAGGGCCTTGAACCCCACATTTGCAGAGAAAAAGGGCAATGAAGGAAAGGCAGTCAATCTAATAGAAGTCAGAAGAGCAGAAAATAACAGCAACAAGGGAGGGTTATGGTATATAGAAAACATAAAATATAAAGAGGGACGATATCCAAGTATAGCCTGTAAGTGGTTACTGCTATGTGTCTACCCAATATCCTCAACAAAAGAATCTGTAATTCTTTCCCGGGGGGAATATTCTTTTGTCTACTGGTGGTGATAGGTTCGGTGCTGAAAAGTTATGTGAGAAATAGAGCTCTGAATAAGTTCATGTTTTACATAAAAGAGTATAGCCTTCACTGGTGTGTAATTTTATCTGCCCACCCCTCCCCACCACTCCCACACCCACCACAACTTTCAGGTAACCTAATGCAGGAGTGGTACCTGTGGATAAAGCTGCTGTTTTGCATTTGTGAGGTTGAGAGCCACAGAATGAGAAGGGGGAAGGGGGAAGCTCCAAGGGTCCTTCCTTCATGACTTGCTCAAGCAGCCATACCAGCTCTGATATTCCCATGATATAGGAAAAAAACATTCCTCATTCCTCATTTGATGAAGCCACACTAAACCGTTTTTTGCTGTATGCTGCCCAATACAACCCAAACTGATAACATCATTCCCATATATTGATGAAACGTATTACATAGACTTTTTTAAAAAATCAGAAATAATGGAATTACATTAAAACCAAGCCAACCAACACAACAACAGTAACAAAAAACCATTTTAACATTGGTTTTAAAAAAAAGACATCTAAAATTTAAGGATAAAAAGTATTGAAGGTAAATGTGTGAAAAATCATTCATACTAAGTCTTCTAGGCACTTTCAACTCATTCTTTTAGATCTGTTCTCTCCACTTTCCATTCTCTTCTGTGCCCTAAAGGCTGACCTTCTGACCTCTGTGGACTTCATTACCAGGTTCTACTTCTCTCAGGCTTTCTGTTGGGCTTGTCCACTGGGACATTTTAGGAGACAGGCAGTAGAGAGTGGACAAAGGTGATGTCAAATATCTATTATCCAGGGTCCCTCACTGCTCAATTGCTGCATTTTGACTGTGTCTTTTTCAATGGGAGGCTGTGATTCCTCTCAGGTAGCTCCCTCATATATGTGATTTACAATATGCTCTCATTTCCCATAACCAAACAGTTTCCTTGTCTCTTCAGGTCTAAGGTGTGAGACTTGTCCTAAGAAATCTAAAAAGTACAAATAAACTACAGGAGCAGATGACTCAGATGCCTCACAGTAACTCCTTCTAATTCCTTACCTACGTTCCCTCACTTGGAGCTAGTGAAGGGGAGTTCTGCTCAACATGGGAGGAAAATTCAGGGGCCTGATTGAGGTGTGAATTCATAGCATGTTCTGGCACTGGCTGCAAATGAAGAACACTGAATCCTATCCCTACTCACTGGTGTCCCCGAAACCCATGGAGAAAGGAAATACACCATGGACAGGAACAGGATTTGCCTGCTTTATTAGGAAAGAGAGATGGCTCTAGATTTTGATACATATTGATTCTCGGTAGTGCATAACAGGTGGCTCTGCTAGCTAGGCACTTGGGAAGGACAAAATTGGAATATTGTTGACAAGAAGAACTAAGAGATAGCTATCTGGATGGACCTTCTTGGACTAGCACAGAGCATGAGGCTATTTACATTTCATGTAATCACCCAGCAGAAGCATCCACACTAGAGGAAGCTCTCAAAACTCAAATGGGAAAGATTACTCAGACATTTCCGTACTTGCTCAAAGGCCCATGTTATGAAATGACCACCCTTTGTGCTACTTTTGTACAAAAGGTACACATCTTGTACCATTGCTAATGTGTATCCCTCCAAGAGATGCTGTGTCCTCGCAAGATTTCACTGAGGGAGATTCAGGTCTATGCTCATTATGCAGTGGATGACTGGATTCTCTTCCACATGGTTAGTTGTCTGGAGGCTTCCCTCATTCCCTGGACTTGCTGGCCTGTTTATAGAATGGTTTCCAACATGAAAGAAGCTAGTTTCCATCAGGGAGAGCACACAAGAGGGCAAAATGGAGGGAGCAACACTGAAGTCATGGTCATTTTGCAGACCTAATCCTGGATGTAACATCTCATCATTCTATCACATTCTATTTATTAAAAATAAGTCCTGGGGTCTAGCCCACTTCGCAGGCTGAGGGAACACAAAGGATGTGAATGCCAGCAGGTGAGACTCACCGAGATCTGACTTGAGATTGCACATCTTAGTAATATACAACCAATTATTTGTATAATAGTAATATACAACAAATTTTTTTGCTTTATTTTGGGAAAAGAGAGATAATCCCAACTTTATTTTTCAGATCTGAGACCACACATTCTGAAAATTCACTTCATTTTTACCACATAGCTTCCACCAATAATCCTTTCCACACTCAGCTTTGATGGGACCAAAAGTTTTATAAAGAATGATTGGCCAATTGTCAAAGATACACTCATTTCCAAAATGTATCTTTTACATTTAACAAATTAATCTACAGAGAAAAACTTGTACTCTACAGAAATCACTTTCTAAATGATAAAGCAATATTTTAAAATATGACAATATATGCCTCAAATTTTATCTGGAAATTTTACCTAGAGATTATAGAATGTAGTAATAAAACAAAATATTTGGAAGTTTCTGGGTAGTTAGTGGATTAAAGAAAAGTTAACAGTCAATATTGGCCAAGTGTGAACCATTTACAAGCCAGTGCTTTAAATGTTCCAGTTGTATTAACTCTCTTAATCCTTACACCAACCACAGGGCTCGGTGCTATTTGCATTCGAATTTTAGAGCAAGGAAATTAAAGCTAAGAATGAATAAATTAGGTTCTATGATTTAGGAAAAGAGGAAAGCTGGGATTTGAATCCTGATATTTCAGAACAGAAGCTTTACCCTGAGCACGTCAATCATCCAGCGTGGCAGTCACTGAACTACACAGTGCAGACGACCTTCCCTCTCTCCCACGCCCACTCAATGAAAAGTTTCATTGTCCTTCTTCATTACTTGTTTATAATCCAGTCACAGGCCTTTGTTTTATCTCTCACAAAGCCCACTCTGCTAGATTAAACCAATTGGTCCATCTTTCAGGAGCTAATCAACGGAGAGTCATTCATTCAATGTACAATTGTGGCCCCTTCCCGCTAGGAGGTGAAATTGCGTGCACACCTGGCATAGCTCACAAGCTTCCCTAACACACGTTTTCTATGACACTAACTGTACTAGTTTGCAAGGGCTACCATTACAAACTATCACAGACTGGGTGGCTTAAACGCAGAAATTTATTTTCTCACAATTTTGGAGGCTGGAAGTGTGAGATTAAGGTGCTGGCAAGGCTGGTTTCTTTTGGAGGCCCCTCTCCATGGCCTTTTCCTCCCTGGTTGGCCATTTTCTCCCTGTGTGTTTACAGGGCTTTCTCTCTGTAGACATCTGTATCCCAATATATTTTATACAAACACCAGTCATACTGGGTTACTACCCACCTGAATGCCCTCATTTTAATTTAATTATCTCTTTAAAGACCCCTATCTTCAAATACAGTCACATTCTGAGTTCACAGGGAATAGGACTTCAACACACGAAATTGAGGGAGAATGCAATTCAGGCCATTGCACTGACTAAATAGAAGGAAACATTAGCAGAAAATGTAAACAGGATGGAAGTGTAACTTTAAAGCTCTTCGGAGCTGGGAGAGGTGGCTCGTGCCTGTAATTCCAGCACTTTGGGAGGCAGAGGCAGACACATCACCTGAGGTCAGGCGTTCGAGACCAGCTTGACCAATATGGTGAAGCCCTGTCTCTACTAAAAATATAAAACCTAGCTGGGTGTGGTGGTACACTCCTGTAATCCCAGCTACTCAGAGACAGGAGAATCGCTTGAACCTGGGAGGCGGAGATTGCAGTGAGCCAAGATCACGCTACTGTACTCCAGCCTGGGCGACAGAGACTCTGTCTCAAAAGAATAAAATAAAATAAAATAAAATAAAATAAAATAAAATAAAATAAAATAAAATAAAGCTCTGGGGGAATTTCTTAAGGTTGATAAACTTAACATTATTATAACCAAGGGTTTTGCAAATAGTTCTACAAAATAATACAATATGGCTTTAATTAGGCACTGTAACATTCTAAATTCTAAGTCATTACATAATTTGTTATATAAAACAATAAAGCATATTAGAAACTATAGAAAACAGTGCACATTGATTTTTTTTAGATTATTACTTCTGGATTGACGGAGCATTGATAAGGTTTTGGCATCATGTTGTAAATTAAAAACACTGTGAAGCAGGAAAAATACATTTCTATTGCTGTGGAATCAGCATGCAAAAAGTCATTCAAATAACCTTAACATCAGGTATAATACTACCATAACAAATATTAATAGTATTATTTTTCTCAGGTTATTTCTAAATATGAGTTTCTTTCAATGGTTAACACAAAAAATCTTCAAGATATTATCTAGACTATATTGTTGAGTAAAAAAGTGTGGAACTGCCAGCATTCCAAAAATTGGTTAGGTGTTTTAGTTTACTTAGATAATCTATTAATGTTTATTAGTTATTGTTGACTCAAAAATTTTTTTTCATTTTTCTCACATTTTCCTGCATATGCCTTTTACATATTTCCTAATTCGTACTGAGTAAAAATGGGCCTATTTTGTAATAAAGAGTTAAGTGGTGGAAAAGATTAAATTCTATTAGGATGATAGAGTTGCAGCCTCAGAAATAATTTCTGAATGTCTTTCATAGATCTTACATTCTTATTGAAATCCTCATTAACTACTAAAATTAATTTAACATACTTGAAAGGTTGTTATGAATGGTCAATGTTGGAATAGTATTTACCCAAAGGCAAAGACACAGATATACATACATTATCACAGAAATTTAAGTTTAAAGAAATATATTATGTAATTGACTTTATTTTTTTAATTTTGAGAAAACTGTAGATTCACACGTGGTGATAAGCAATAATAGAGAGATCCCAAACATTCTTCCCCAGGTTTCCCCCAATGTTAACATCTTGCATAACTATAATAGCATATGACCACAACCAGGAAATTGACATTGATGCAATCTACCAATATGGCTTACATTTCACCAGTTTTGCAGCACCCATGTGTGTATGTGAGTGTGTATATTTAGAGGTAGGAAATTTTATCATATTTGTACTGAGACCACCATGCAAAGGTACTGAGCCTTTGCAAAGGTACCGATTCCTTGTGCTACCCATTGATAGCCAGAGCCACTTCCCTTCCTCCCCAATTTCCTACTCATGGAAATTACTAACCTGTTTTTCATCTCTATAATTTTGTCATCAAAACGAAGTTATGAGAATGAAATTTTACATTATGTAAACTTTTGAAATTGACCTTTTGTATCAGTAATATCCACTTGAGACACATGCAGGTGGTTATATGTAACAGTAATTTTTGTTTTTCTTTCTTTTTTTTTGCTGCATAATATCTCATCGTATTGCTATATCACATTTTTTTAATCATTCACTTGCTGAGGGATATCAGGATTGCTTCCTGTTTCTGATTATTAAAATAAAGCTTCTATGAATATTCGTGTATAGGTTTTCATTTATCCTGGATAAGTACCCAAATATTCAATGTACGGATACTTCACAGTAAATTATTTCTTCCTTGGGTGACAGGTATTTGTGTTACTTACATTTTTTTTACTACTGCAGATATTTTTTATGAACATGTGAAATAATTTTTATAGTAAACCATCTCATAAACTTTACTGTTGTTTATATATCATCAATAATTGGGGAATATGTGATAAAATCACTCTCTATTATTGTGAATTTGTCAGTACCTCCTTAGAGTTCTGTTAGTGAGCAAATTATGTATTTTAAGGTGGTAGCATTCATTGGCTACAAGTTGTGTATTATTGCATCTTCTCGATTAACTGATTCTTTGCTCATTATGTAGTGGCCACCTCTATCTTTGTTTATGTTTTTTAAAATTTGTTTTATTTTTTCTGATATTTATGTGGCTATAGAAACTTATTTAGTTACTACCGGCCTGATTTATTGTATTCTATATTTTATTACTAATTTCTCTGTGTTTTTATGTTTTGCACTAGGCTATGACAGATTTATAAAAAGCTAATTTTATGATGTATAGTTTTCACTGGATAGTTCATTACTGCTTTCACAATAGTTAGAAATATATTTGAATTTATTTTACCTTCTTATTTAGGGAACTTTTATCTAGGCTTCTCTCTCTCTCTCTCTCTCTTCTCTCTCTCTCTGTCTCTGACATTTTAAAAAAAAACTTATGTCCCAATCTAAAGTTTCAGTTACTCAAAGGCTTTGCAGCTATGATTCT
Organism: Homo sapiens; assembly: GCF_000001405.40. NCBI lineage: Eukaryota > Metazoa > Chordata > Mammalia > Primates > Hominidae > Homo > Homo sapiens. Next base: position 50,976,049 of record NC_000008.11, read on the forward strand.
GAGGTTTATTCTTCCTTCTGACTTTCATAGTATTTTATTTCTTTTCATTTATTTCTCCTTACTTAGAACTCCTATATATTTTTTTGAATATTTGAAATTATTGAGCCCTGGACTGAAGGTCTATTCTTTGGGAGAAAATGAGCTTTTGTTTCTGCCAGACACCTAGTAACAACACAGACTAGGGTCTACTTTAACATAAATTCCGCTGAGGTTGTCTGAAATGCAGATAGTTTGAATTCAGGCTCCAAACTCATGTGACACGTGCATTTTGATTGCATATTCTCAGGGGAATATTTTTCTATTCTTTCTATCAGGACCAAGTGAGAATTATGAAAGTTCCCTTACAATCACCTTGCTACAAAGCAAATATTTTTAAATTTATGGATTTATCCAACAAATACTTATTGAGCATCTATTCTCAGTCTCTTAGAACCTATCAAATACTATTGTAGGTACACAAAACAGAGAGCCTGTCCTGTCTCTGTGAAAGTTTACACTCTATATGAGAGACAGAAAATAAAGTAATAAATAAATAACTAAAATACATAGTATGATAGAAAGTAGAGGCATCACGCTACCTGACTTCAAACCATACTGCAAGGTTACAGTAACCAAAACAGCATGGTACTGGTACCAAAACAGAGATAGAGACCAATGGAACAGAACAGAGCCCTCAGAAATAATGCTGCGTATCTACAACCATCTGATATTTGACAAACCTGACAAAAACAAGAAATGAGGAAAGGATTCCCTATTTAATAAATGGTGCTGGGAAAACTGGCTAGCCATATGTAGAAAGCTGAAACTGGATCCCTTCCTTACACCTTATACAAAAATTAAATCAAGATGGATTAAAGACTTAAATGTTAGACCCAAAACCATAAAAACCCTAGAAGAAAACCTAGGCAATATCATTCAGGACATAGGCATGGGCAAGGACTTCATGTCTAAAACACCAAAAGCAATGGCAACAGAAGCCAAAATTGACAAATGGGATCTAGTTAAACTAAAGAGCTTCTGCACAGCAAAAGAAACTACCACCAGAGTGAACAGGCAACCTACAGAATGGGAGAAAATTTTTGCAATCTACTCATCTGACAAAGGGCTAATATCCAGGATCTACAATGAACTCAAACAAATTTACAAGAAAAAAACAAACAGCCCCATCAAAAAGTGGGCAAAGGATATGAACAGACATTTCTCCAAAGAAGACATTTATGCATCCAAAAGACACATGAAAAAATGCTTGTCATCACTGGCCATCAGAGAAATGAAAATCAAAACCACAATGAGATACCATCACACACCAGTTAGAGTGGTGATCATTAAAAAGTCAGGAAACAACAGGTGCTGGAGAGGATGTGGAGAAATAGGAACAGTTTTACACTGTCGGTGGGACTGTAAACTAGTTCAACCATTGTGGAAGTCAGTGTGGCAATTCCTTAGGGAACTAGAACTAGAAATACCATTTGACCCAGCAATCCCATTACTGGGTATATACCCAAAGGATTATAAATCATGCTGCTATAAAGACACATGCACATGTATGTTTATTGCGGCATTATTCACAATAGCAAAGACTTCGAATCAAGCCAACTGTCCAACAGTGATAGACTGGATTAAGAAAATGTGGCACATATACACCATGGAATACTATGCATCCATAAAAAAGGATGAGTTCATGTCCTTTTTAGGGACATGGATGAAGCTGGAAACCATCATTTTCAGCAAACTATCACAAGGACAAAAAACCAAACACCACGTATTCTCACTCATAGGTGGGAATTGAACAATGAGAACACTTGGACACAGGAAGGGGAACATCACACACCGGGTCCTGTTGTGGGGGTGTGGGGAGGGGGGAGGGATAGCATTAGGAGATATACCTAATATTAAATGATGAGTTAATGGGTGCAGTACACCAACATGGCACATGTATACATATGTAACTAACCTGCACATTGTGCACATGTACCCTAAAACTTAAAGTATAATAAAAAAAGAAAAGAAAAGAAAAGAAAGTAGCAAATGCTTTTGAAGAAAAGAAAAATTAGAGCAAGGTAAGAGAGGGATATAGATGCAGTGTTTGCCTTTATCTTTATCTTCCTGTGTATATTTCCCCCCAGATAATACTAAATAGATTCTTCCTTTTTGCTTTAATTTGCATCACATTGTTTTACAACAAGATGTAATGTCTATTGAATGCTCATTTTCTGCAAGCATTATTTCTTTTAATCTTCAAAACAATCTAAGAAGTCATTACTATTATTGATAATAAAGCAACTATTTAAAATTTTTTATTGATACATATTAATGGTACATATTCATGGGCTACATGAAATACTTTGACATAAGCATATAATGTGTAATGATCAAATCAAGGTATTTAGGACATCCATCACCTCAGATATTTATCTATCTATTACATTAAACATTTATTTATCACTTCTTTGTGTTGGGAATATCTCAAATATTCCCTTCTAGCTATTTTTAAATGTACAATAGATTATTGGTAAATATAGTTGCCCTACTGAGCTATTTAACAATGTAACTTATTCCGTCTATCTATGTGTTTGTATTCATTAGCCAGCCGATCTTCATCTCCTCCCCAGACCCTTTCCAGCTTCTGGCAAATACCAATCTTGTTATTCAAAGTCTGATACTTGAACTAGCAGCATTGGCATCACTCGGGAGCTCTTTAGCAATGCAGAAGCTCAGATGGATTGAATCAGTGATTCATATGCATTTCATCTTCAAGTTGAGACAATGTTGAGACACAATTTCTGCAGCAGATTGATGAGATTCTTTATCCAAACTCAAACATTTACAAAATGAGGCAAACTAAGGCCAATTCCTTAAACTCCCTCTCATTTTTTTTTACTTATCTTTTTAAGGAGGTGATTCGAAAACATTTTATTACTAAAACATAAAATATATGCAGTAAACATCATAGTGCATGACACATTTAAGTATTCAATAAAAGATGGCATTAATTTTTATGTAAGCTTCAAATTTAACCGAGTCCCTTTCCTAGCAGGACATTCACATGAAAAATCATGACAGAAAAGACATGTGAGTGGGCATGCTTTTTAGATTTTTAGGTTTTTTTATTTTTAGTGACTAGTTCAGATGCTAATTATCACAATTTTATTTATATAAAAACCCAATAGATGTATAAAGTTGCATAACAATGTTTATGAGATACTATTTTCTATAAATACTTAAAACTGATAATCAGGCATTTATAAATTAAAAATATAAATGTTATACTTACCACACTATTATTATAAACACAATAAATAACTATCAAACATGAAATTCATTTTTATTTGATATACTTAAAAAATAAGAGATATATGGCACATAGTATTGTTTTAATTAAAAAATAATCTAGCTTAATGTTTCTTCAACAGTGTCACAAAGAATTAATATCACTACAATATACTAAAAGATATCATTATTGATAAAAGTGGGAGAGGTAGACATGGGAAGTTTCTATAATCATGGATGCTTCAGCAATGCTACAAAATAATGTCCCACTTAATGTTTCATTATGATCATTAACACATTAAGGACTTTAAGCAGGTATATGGTAAAGAAGCCATGTGAGTGTTTATGACTTCTCCAAATTCCAACCCCACCCTGTAATAGGTGCACTTCAGAGTGATAGACACTCTGATAAATGCAAACACATTTTCAGCTCTCACAGAGTCCATATTTTAATTTAGGGGTGGGGAGATGTGACAGACAAGAAGAGGTAATGTCGGCTACTGACAATGACTTGAAAATAACCCGTGGTAGCAGAATAGTGAGGACTTGGGGAGGGACATGGATATGACTATATATGAGTTGGTTGTCTGACTTTTGAGGCTTGAAAGATGGGAAAGTTTTGGGCAAGTGAAAACATGGAGAGAAAATCCTCAGACAGAGAGAATAGCACATGCAAGTGCTGTAAATTAGAAACATGTTTAATAAACAAAATGTGTTACAGGATAGGTGCAGTTGCTCTTGCCTGTAATCTCGGCACTTTAGGAGGCCCAGGTAGAAAGATTGCTTGAGGCCCGGAATTCAAGTCCATTCTGAGCAACATAGTGAAACCCCATCTCTACAAAAATTTTTTAAATTCCCAGGTGGGTTGGTGCACATCTTTAGTGTCAGCTACTTGGAAGGCTGAGGTAGGATGACTGCTTGAGACCAGGAGGTAGAGGCTGTGGTGAGCTATGATCTCCCCACTGTACTGCAGCCTGGGTGATAGAGCAAGACCCTCTCTTAAAAAAGAAAAAAAGTGTTACAGCTAGAGGTTAGTGAGAAAGGTAGATGAAGGCAGAAGAGGGAGAGAGGCAAATCATGTAGGCCAAGTTAAAGGGACTGGACTGTAAGTGCACGTGGATAAACATTCAGTAACGCAGCAGTACAGAAATGCTTAAAAGGATCTCTTGGAAAATTTCTGTTGCAAAGAAATATAATCTTCTAATGTGGGCTAGAAATGTAGATTCTGGATAAATCCTTAATCTTTAAACCCAAAATATCTCATTTATCTTTGTGTATGTAAGATTATAGAAACATATATTTGAATTTAGCTGCATTCTCTTAATTTTTCTTAATTAATTGTAAATGGCAGATGTTATTTGGAAACAATATTTTTAGAAGGAATATACTGTTCAAAAAATATCAAACATTTCTTCTTATAATAATTAGAAAATGTCTATCACCAAATCTCTTAAAATAAAATTCATATCAATAACGGAATCAACTATCCCTAGAAAACATTTCTTTCTTCAGTCTTTGTAGCTAGCAGAGCATCTCATACTACACAGTAAACTTGGCTAAAAAGCAAATTGATGAAATTTTAAATAGCTGAATATATATAATCAATAAGTTATTATTAGTTGGTTATTAATGAATATTTTATATATTCCTTAAAGAACTGAAAGCAATAAATAAAAAAATAAACAGACAATTCATATAAAAATAGGCAAAAGATGTTAACTAACACATAGAAAAGATGGACTCCAAATCTGCAAATAATTATATGAAAAGTTTCAGTTGCATAGAAGGAATAAGTTCAAGAGATGTTAGGTACAACATGGTGTTTGCAGTTAACAAAAATGTTCTGTATTTCTGATTACTGCGAGGAGAATGGTTTTTAAGTGTTCTCACCAAAAATCACGTTTTAAAGATTATATGTATGTATTATATGTATGTATATAAAAACATATAATACATACATATAACTGGCTTGATTTAGTCATCCCACAATGTAGTCATGTATTACAAATTTCTCTTTCAAAAAGAAACTGTGCTAACCCTTCTTAGTCATTAGAGAAGTGTAGTTGAAATTGCAACGGTTAACACTTCAAACAAAACAATTGCTAAAATTAGGAAAACAGAAAACACTAAATATTGAAGAGGAGATGGAACAAAGGGATTTGTTATGCACTGATGGTGAGGGTGTCAATTAGTGTAATCATTTTGGTAAACATTTTTTTGAGCATATTTCTACTGTATGACACTGTATTCCAGATAGATAGCAATCAGATAAACTGATAGGTAAGTATGCACACTAACAGAAATAAATGTGTAAGTTCATAAAAAATAAATGAATAACAAGTTCGTAATTGTACTCTTCATATTAGTGAAAAAGTAAAACAATAGTACATAGTAAATCAGAGGTAGAATAAATAAATTAGTTCAAAAATAAAATGTTGTATCTTCAGAAAATGGAATATTGTAAGGCAAGGAAAAGAATTAACTATTGCTGTTTACAATGAAATGTATAGATATCACAAATACAATGTTGACAAAATAAGTTAAGCACATAAAAGTAGAACATACTATAAAATTCCATTTATGTAAAGCTCAAAAACAGACAAAATCATATATGGATTTAGAAGTCCCAACAGTGACTATTTTTCCTTGTTAGGAGCTAGAACTTCTGGGATGATCATTAAGTTCTGTTTTTTAATCAAAGTGCTGGTTTCACTGGTATGTATACTTTGTAAAAATTCATCAAGCTGTATATTTAGGATTTGCATTTTTTTCTGTATGTACATCATGCTTTGTTTAAAAGTTTATGTAAAAGAACTAATAAAACAAGCTATTCTTTTACTATAAAAACACCATCAAAATTAATGTTATCCCTTGCTCATACAATGTCAGTAGAAATGGCTTGGTCAATGCACTTCATCTAGATTTGAATTATAAAATGAAGATTAAAATTTTTATTGTGTCCAATAGTTTCATAATCCTTCTGAAGGATAGTTGATAAACTATTTTTTGCCTCCAAAAATAAATGCCTCTTTTCCCTGTCAAACACCTGTGGAGAAAATTGTGAAACCAATGGTGAGGCAAAAGCAAGATTCTTAGATTCTGTTATAAAAAGCCATGAGACCCAGCGTTGCTGGGAGCCTTCCTTAGCACCACCCTTAGAAATGGAAGCTGCCCTTGCAGTGAGCCAAGATCGCGCCACTGCACTCCAGCCTGAGCAACAGAGCGAGATTCCGTCTCAAAAAAAAAAAAAAAGAAAAGAAAAAGAAATGGAAGCTGCCTCCTGCTTAAGGAGAACCTCCCCTTAGCCAGGTTTCTTGCTAAAGTCTAGGAATACCATGGTGACCAACATAGACACGGTATAGACGGTAGTTCATTGACAAGTGAGTGATAAAGACAAGTAAACTTAAGTAAACTATTACATAGAAAAAACAACAACACAACTATAAAGTTGCAAAAATTATTCTGCAAACATAGTGGAGCAGAGCTGAACAAGAAGCAAGCTGAATGGAAGTCCCAGATAGATAAGTGGGGGACCACTGCAGTAGCTTTGTGGTTGGTAGCAGAAACTAAGATTGCTGATTGTTACAGCAACTCACTGAGCTGTCATGCCTACTGTCCTGTGGTTACCTTGTATATGGATTTTTCCTTCTATTTGTCCCCACTCACCAACCTCACCCTCCCCACATTCATCATGGCAACAATTGGAATAGTCACTGTAACTTACCTTGGTCATCAGAGCAGAATTCTAACACAAATCAAACCAGAACAAACAGTAACAAAACTAGAACACTCTTGTTCATAGTTTTTCTTCCTGGTACTTCCTTTGCTTGAGTTATATGCATTGCCCTGGTACAAGGTAGAGATCACTAACCTCTAAAACTTCTCAAATTCACTCAAAATTCAAAAGCGCATCTCAGCCATCAAAAGCAACCACTAAAGGCCTCTAGATGTAGTGAGCCCTTCTGGATGTCCAATATCTTCGAAGTTGAAACACAGTATCAGATGTCAGTGGAATGCCTTCTTGTGTGGTGGGGCTGGGTGATAGGGTTACAGGAATGAAAATGCAAATAATGCATCAACCTCGTGGCTTTCCGTGGCCAGATTCTACCACCATAATGGTTTACGTTGTGTATCATTGCAGCCTTTCTTCCTGGCCTATTAGAACCCTTTGCACTAGGAAGTAATCATCTACTGCAAGCCAGAACATAATGTTCGGTGCTGTGATAAACTCCAGCTGGCACCTGGGCAGGTAGACATGATGGACTGGGAGAATAATGGCCCAGAGAGCAGAATACATTATCTCTAGAAACCTAGGGCTTAGACTTTCTTATTAGATTTACCTCCTTTGCCCTGCATGACGGACCTTTATACCCATCCAGCTGAATCACTTATAATTCTACTTGATTCTTTATATGACTTGCACAGTCTCTCTGTATATTGATAAAACACTTCATCTCAGCACTTATCATATGTGGCAATCACTTTTTCTTTTCCCTGGATACATGATTGCGTTTTGAAATTTATAAAACTATTGTGATAGTTTGCCGAGAATGATGGTTTCCAGCTTCATCCATGTCCCTGCAAAGGGCATGAACTCATTAATTTTTATGGCTGCATAGTATTCCATGGTGTGTATGTGCCACATTCCACTATGGCACGTGTATATGTATGCAACAAAACTGCACGTTCTGCATATGTAACCCAGAACGTAAAGTATAATAATAAAAAAATTTAATACTCAGCTCCCTGAAATATAACTCTTGAGGTTTGCCCCAGTTGACACTTTAAGCCCTCCAGGCATTGAATCTCACTGCCATCCTCATCACCCGTTTCTTGGACTCAGCTGTCTCGGACCCAATGTCTGATACTCAATAGGAGCTGTGAACAGCCTTGGATTTCATCTTTGGCCATCTTTGTGTTTCAGGGAGCAAAGTGAGTTTTATCATAGGTTTCCCAGCCAATATTAACTTGTCAGTATTATTTCTTAATGAAAGCTTCTTCCCTTCATTATCTCTCCCATTCAGTATGCTTCTCTCATTAGGATTTAACAGTTTTCTCCCTGTTCACAGGTTATCAACACTGAAACAATAAATAAAAGGAGTAGTGATTGACACAAAAGACAGAATCTAAATCATACTGAAGGGCAGGGAATCAAAGCAAATAACTTTTGGAATACAATTTGGAAGAAAAGGTAACAATTAAGAAAAGATGAACCAAATTTGCTTACCTGGTAAGCAAAGAAAAGGAATACTTGAGTAGTAGTAGAATTTTATTAGTGATGAAGGAATTGCAAAATCGAAGACAAATGGAGATGAGGAGAGGAGACATTTTCATCATCAGTGCAGAAATATGGGCACTTTAGCTATCGTATCATTTCAATATCATGAGTTTTTTCTAGCTATTTAGACATTGTCTATTTTTCTTGTTCCTCTTTACTTGTAGGTGTGGTATGTTCATTTGTTTTTGAATTGCCACTTTTTGTATATTCTTCACTTTAGATGCACTGATTACAATGCCTATGCACATAATCCCCACATCCCTATGTACAGGTATAATCTCTCTCCTATTTGCATTCTACCGTATCTAATAACACTTTAATTTTAAAACAGGGGAATCGTTTTATGTTATAAAACAATAGTACCTCTACTTTTTCTTTTCTTATAATGATGAAAAACATGATAAAGAATTAAGAGCATACCACCCAGACCAGTGAAATAGAATTTGGAGTATTCTATTATACCTACTTTTGTGAAAAAAATTCAACAACAATGTTCAACTGTAGACTCAATTTGAGTTATTGTTTAAGCACCTAATTTTAAGCACCTTAAAGTATTATGTCTTCTTAGATGATTTAACTATAGTTTTAAAAATAAAAAAATTATAAATTTATCCTGTCTATAATATTTATTATCTCTAGCATGATGTTGAGATAACCTTCTCAACAGGAAGACGATGAAGAAGACCTGTAGGATGAACCTCTTCCATGTAATGAATAGTAAATATATTTTATCTTCCTTATGATTTTCTTAGTAACATTTTCTTTGTTCTAGCTTACTTTATTGTAAGAATACAGTATATAATACATACAACATGTAAAATATGGTTTAATTGAACATTTATGTTATCAGGAACACTTCCAGCCAACAGTAAGCTATTAGTTAAGTTTTGAGTAAGTCAGAAATTATATGAGCGTTCTTGACTATGCAAGGGGTCAGCACCCTTAACCTCATGTCAACTGTATTCGTAAGAGTGAAATTACAGAATCATGTAATTCTATGTTTAAACTTTTAAAAAATAACCAAACTATTCTCCATGTAGGGTGAAACATCTTACATTTCCTCCAACCATTTGTGAGGATTCTAGTCTTGCCTTAATTTCCTGTTTAGATAGATAGATAAAGCCATCATAGTGGGTATGATGTGGTATCTCTGTGGTTTTCATTTCTCTAAAGTATAATGATTTTGTTTATGTTTCATGTATATACTGGCCATTTGTAAAAATCTTAAAGAAGTGTCTACTCATATCTTTTGTACATTTTCCTAATTTAGGGTTTTGCTTTATAATTAGTTTTAAAAATTATATATTCTTAATGCTAGTTCTTTCATGTATATGAGTTACAAATATTTTCTCTCATTCTGTCACTTTTCATTTTTGGTAATATCCTCTGACACAACATTTTTTAACTTTGATAAAGATCAGTTTGCCTACTTTTTATTTTGTTGCAGATGTTTTTGGAGTCATATCTAAGAATTCATTGGCACATCTAAAGTCATAAAGATTTACCCCTATGTTTTTTTCTGAGAGTGCTATGATTTTAGCTCTTGTTTTTAAGTTTTGTTATCCATTTTAAATAAACCTTTGAAATGATTTTAGGTAAACCGTGTTTTAGCTCTTATATTTAAGATTTTGATCCATTTTAAATAAGTGTTTAGTAAGTGTGAATTAGGTGCCTGATGTCATTCTTTTGCATGTAAATATCCAATTGCCACTGCAACATTCATTGGTAAGGCTATTTTTTCTACAATAAATGAAAGTGCCACTTTTATCATAAACTGATTGACTATAAATATATGGGTTTATGTATGAAATTGTGATTCCATTCTGTTGGTATATGTGTGTATTCTTATGCCAATAGCATAATGTTTTTATTATTATAGCTTTATTATAATTTTTTAAATTATACTTTAAGTACTAGGGTACAGGTTCACAACGTGCAAGTTTGTTAAATATGTATACATGTGCCATGTTGGTGTGCTGCACCCATTAACTCATCATTTACATTGGGTATATCTCCTAATGCTATCCCTACCCCCTTCCCCCACCCCACGACAGGCCCCGGTGTGTGATGTTCCCCTTCCTGTGTCCAAGTGTACTCATTGTTCAATTCCCACCTATGAGTGAGAATATGCGGTGTTTGGTTTTTTGTCCTTGCGATAGTTTGCTGAGAATGATGGTTTCCAGCTTCATCCATGTCCCTAAAAAGGACATGAACTCATCCTTTTTTATGGCTGCATAGTATTCCATGTGTATACATGCCACATTTTCTTAATCCAGTCTATCATTGTTGGACATTTGGGTTGGTTCCAGGTCTTTGCTATTGTGAATAGTGCCGCAATAAACGTATGTGTGCATGTGTCTTTATAGCAGCATGATTTATAATCCTTTGGGTATATACCCAGTAATGGGATGGCTGGGTCAAATGGTATTTCTAGTTCTAGATCCTTGAGGAATCGCCACACTGACTTCCACAATGGTTGAACTAGATTACAGTCCCACTGACAGTGTAAAAGTGTTCCTATTTCTCCACATCCTCTCCAGCACCTGTTGTTTCCTGACTTTTTAATGATCGCCATTCTAACTGGTTTGAGGTGGTATCTCATTGTGGTTTTGATTTGCATTTCTCTGATGGCCAATGATGATGAGCATTTTTTTCATGTGTCTTTTGGCTGCATAAATGTCTTCTTTTGAGAAGTGTCAGTTCATATCCTTTGCCCACTTTTTGAGGGGGTTGTTTGATTCTTTTCTCATAAATTTGTTTGAGTTCATTGTAGATTCTGGATATTAGCCCTTTGTCAGATGGGTAGATTGTTAAAATTTTCTCCCATTCTGTAGGTTGCCTGTTCACTCTGATGGTGGTTTGTTTTGCTGTGCAGAAGCTCTTTAACTTAATTAGATGCCATTTGTCTATTTTGGCTTTTGTTGCCATTGCTTTTGGTGTTTTAGTCATGAAGACCTTGCCCATGCCTATGTCCTGAATGGTATAGTCTAGGTTTTCTTCTAGGGTTTTTATGGTTTTAGGTCTAACATTTAAGTCTTTAATCCATCTTGAATTAATTTTTGTATAAGGTGTAAGGAAGGGATCCAGTTTCAGCTTTCCACATATGGCTAGCTGGTTTTCCCAGTACCATTTATTAAATAGGGAATCCTTTCTCCATTTCTTGTTTTTGTCAGGTTTGTCAAAGATCAGATGGTTGTAGATGTGTGGTATTATTTCTGAGGGCTCTGTTCTGTTCCATTGGTCTATATCTCTGTTTTGGTACCAATACTATGCTGCTTTGGTCACTGTAGCCTTGTAGTATAGTTTGAAGTCAGGTAGCATGATGCCTCCAGCTTTGTTCTTTTGGCTTAGGATTGTCTTGGCAATGTGGGCTCTTTTTTGGTTCCATATGAACTTTAAAATATTTTTTTCCAATTCTGTGAAGAAAGTCATTGGTAGCTTGATGGGGATGTCATTGAATCTATAAATTACCTTGGGCAGTATGGCCATTTACATAATATTGATTCTTCCTATCCATGAGCATGGAATGTTCTTCCATTTGTTTGTATCCTCTTTTATTTCATTGAGCAGTGTTTTGTAGTTCTCCTCGAAGATGTCCTTCATATCCCTTGTAAGTTGGATTCCTAGGTATTGTATTCTCTTTGAAGCAATTGTGAATGGGAGTTCACTCATGATTTGGCTCTCTGTTTGTCTGTTATTGGTGTATAGGAATGCTTGTGATTTTTGCACTTTGATTTTGTATCCTGAGACTTTGCTGAAGTTGCTTATCAGCTTAAGGAGATTTTGGGCTGAGACAATGGAGTTTTCTAAATATACAATCATGTCATCTGCAAACAGGGATAATTTGACTTCCTCTTTTCGTAATTGAATACCCTTGATTTCTTTCTCCTGCCTGATTGCCTTGGCCAGAACTTCCAACACTATGTTGAATAGGAGTGGTGAGAGAGGGCATCCCTGTCTTGTGCCGGTTTTCAAAAGGATTGCTTCCAGTTTTTGCCCATTCAGTATGATATTGGCTGTGGGTTTGTCATAAATAGCTCTTATTATTTTGAGCTACGTCCCATCAATACCTAGTTTATTGAGAGTTTTTAGCATGAAGGGCTGTTGAATTTTGTCAAAGGTCTTTTCTGCCTCTATTGAGATAATCATGTGGTTTTTGTCTTTGGTTCTGTTTATATGATGAATTATGTTAATTGATTTGTGTATGTTGAACCAGCCTTGCATCCCAGGGATGAAGCCAGCTTGATCGTGGTGGATATGCTTTTTGATGTGCTGCTGGATTCAGTTTGCCGTATTTTATTGAGGATTTTTGCATCAATGTTCATCAGGGATATTGGCCTAAAATTATCTTTTTTTTGTTGCGTCTCTGCCAGGATTTGGTACCAGGATGATGGTGGCCTCATAAAATGAGTTAGGGAGGATTCCCTCTTTTTCTATTGATTGGAATAGTTTCAGAAGGAATGGTACCAGCTCCTCCTTGTACCTCTGGTACAACTTGGCTGTGAATCCATCTGGTCCTGGACTTTTTTTGGTTGGTAGGCTGTTAATTATTACCTCAATTTCCGAGTGTGTTTTTGGTCTATGCACGGATTCAACTTCCTCTTGGTTTAGTCTTGGGAAGGTGTATGTGTCCAGGAATTTATCCATTTCTTCTAGATTTTCTAGTTTGTTTGCATAGAGGTGTTTATAGTATTCTCTGATGGTAGTTTGTATTTCTGTGGGATCGGTGGTGATATCCCCTTTATCATTTCTAATTGTGTCTATTTCTTCTTCTCTGTTTTCTCCTTTATTAGTCTTGCTAGTGGTCTATCAATTTTGTTTATCTTTTCAAAAACTAGATCCTGTTTTCATTGATTTTGGAAGGGATTCTGTGTCTCTATCTCCTTCAGTTCTTCTTTGATCTTAGTTATTTCTTGCCTTCTGCTTGTTTTGAATATATTTGCTCTTGCTTCTCTAGTTCTTTTAATTGTGATGTTAGGGTATCAATTTTAGATCTTTCCTGCCTTCTCTTGTGGGCATTTAGTGCTATAAATTTCCCTCTACACACTGCTTTAAATGTGTCCCAGAGATTCTGGTTTGTTGTGTCTTTGTTCTCATTGGTTTCAAAGAACACCTTTATTTCTGCCTTCATTTTATTATGTACCCAGCAGTCATTCAGGAGCATGTTGTTCAGTTTCCATGTAGTTGAGTGGTTTTGAGTGAGTTTCTTAATCCTGAGTCCTAATTTGATTGTGGTGTGATCTGAGAGACAGTTTGTTATAATTTCTGTTCTCTTACATTTGCTGAGGAGTGCTTTACTTCCAACTATGTGGTCAATTTTGGAATAAGTGCAATGTGGTGCTGAGAAGAATGTATATTCTGTTGATTTGGGGTGGAGAGTTCTGTAGATGTCTATTAGGTCCACTTGGTGCAGAGCTGAGTTCAAGTCCTGCATATCCTTGTTAACTTTCTGTCTTGTTGATCTGTCTAATGTTGACAGTGGGGTGTTAAAGTTTCCCATTATTATTGTGTGGGAGTCTAAGTCTCTTTGTAGGTCTCTAAGGACTTGCTTTATGAATCTGGGTGCTCCTGCATTGGGTGCATATATATTTAGGATAGTTAGCTCTTCTTGTTGAATTGATCCCTTCACCATTATGTAATGGCCTTCTTTGTCTCTTTTGATCTTTGTTGGTTTAAAGTCTGTTTTATCAGAGACTAGGATTGCAAACTCTGTTTTTTTATTTTGTTTTGTTTTCCGTTTCCTTCGTTGAGCTTCCTTCATCCCTTTATTTGGTGCCTATGTGTGTCTCTGCACATAAGGTGGGTCTCCTGAATACAGCACATTGATGGGTCTTGACTCTTTATCCAATTTGCCAGTCTGTGTCTTTTAATTGGATCATTTAGTCCATTTAAGGTTGGTATTGTTATGTGTGAATTTGATCCTGTCATTCTGATGTTAGCTGGTTATTTTGCTCATTAGTTGATGCAGTTTTCTCCTAGCATTGATGGTCTTTACAATTTGGCATGTTTTTGCAGTGGCTGGTACCAGTTGTTCCTTTCCATGTTTCATGCTTCCTTCAGGAACTCTTTTAGGGCAGGCCTGGTGTTGACAAAATCCCTTAGCATTTGCTTGTCTGTAAAGGATTTTATTTCTCCGTCACTTATGAAGCTTAATTTGGCTGTATATGAAATTCTGGGTTGAAAATTCTTTTCTTTAAGAATGTTGAATATTGGCCCCCACTCTCTTCTGGCTTGTAGAGTTTCTGCTAAGAGATCTGCTGTTAGTCTGATTGGCTTCCCTTTTTGGGTAACCCGACCTTTCTCTCTGGCTGCCCTTAACATTTTTTCCTTCATTTCAACTTTGGTGAATCTGAGAATTATGTGTCTTCGAGTTGCTCTTCTCGAGGAGTATCATCGTGGAATTCTCTGTATTTCCTGAATTTGAATGTTGGCCTGCCTTGCTAGGTTGGTGAAGTTCTCCTGGATAATATCCTGAAGAGTGTTTTCCAACTTGGTTCCATTCTCCCTGTCACTTTCAGGTACACCAATCAGATGTAGATTTGGTCTTTTCACATAGTCCCATATTTATTGGAGGCTTTGTTCATTTCTTTTTATTCTTGTTTCTCTAAACTTCTCTTAGCGCTTCATTTCATTCATTTGATCTTCAATCTCTGATACCCTTTCTTCCACTTGATTGAATCGGCTACTGAAGCTTGCACATTCATCACGTAGTTCTCGTGCCTTGGTTTTCAGCTCCATCAGGTCCTTTAAGGACTTCTCTGCATTGGTTATTCTACTTAGCCATTAGTCTAATTTTTTTTCAAGGTTTTTACCTTTTTGCCATTGGTTCAAACTTCCTCCTTTAGCTCGGAGTAGTTTCATCGTCTGAAGCCTTCTTCTTTCAACTCGTCAAAGTCATTCTCCATCCTGCTTTGCTCCATTGCTGGTGAGGAGCTGCGTTCCTTTGGAGGGGTAGAGGCACTCTGAGTTTTAGAATTTTCAGCTTTTCTGCTCTGTTTTTTCCCCATCTTTGTGGTTGTATCTACCTTTGGTCTTTGATGATGGTGACATACCAGATGGGGTTTTGGTGTCGATGTCCTTTCTGTTTGTTAGTTTTCCTTCTAATGGGAGGACCATCAGCTGCAGGTCTGTTGGAGTTTGCCGGAGGTCCACTCCAGACCCTGTTTGCCTGGATATCACTAGTGGAGGCTGCAGAACAGCAAATATTGCAGAATGGCAAATGTTGCTGCCTGATCCTTCCTCTGGAATCTTCGTCTCAGAGGCACACCCAGGTGTATGAGGTGTCAGTCAGCCCCTACTGGGTGATGTCTCCCAGTTAGGCTCCTTGGGGGTCAGGGACCCACTTGAGGAGGCAGTCTGTCCACTCTCAGATCTCAAACTCCATGCTAGGAGAATGACTATCCTCTTCAAAGCTGTCAGACAGGGACATTTAAGTCTGCAGAAGTTTCTGCTGCCTTTTGTTCAGCTATGCCCTGCCCCCAGAAGTGGAGTCTACAGAGGCAGGCAGGCCTCCTTGAGCTGTGATGGGCTCCACCCAGTTCGAGCTTCCCAGCCACTTTGTTTATCTATTCAAGCCTCAGCAATGGCAGAAGCCCCTCCCCCAGCCTCACTGCCTCCTTGCAGTTCGATCTCAGACTGCTGTGCTAGTAGTGAGTGAGGCTCTGTGGGCATGAGACACTCCAAGCCATGCGCAGGATATAATCTCCTGGTGTGCCATTTGCTAAGACTGTTGGAAAAGCACAGTATTAGGTTGGGAGTGTCCCTATATTCCAGGTACTGTCAGTCACGGCTTCCCTTGGCTAGGAAAGGGAATTCCCCAATCCCTTGCACTTCCCGGGTGATGCTATGCCCCACCCTGCTTCGGCTCACACACCTGGGCTGCACCCTCTGTCCAACAAGCCCCAGTGAGATGAACTTTGTACCTTAGTTGGAAATGCAGAAATCACCCATCTTCTGCATCGCTCACGCTGGGAGCTGTAGACTGGAGCTGTTCCTATTCAGCTATCTTGGAACTCACCCTATTATAATTTTTAAGTCAGGAAGTGAGAATCATATATTTTGCACTCTATAGTTTGGTGCATATATATTTCTGTTTCTGAATCTAATCTGAATTTTGTATTCTTGGAGAGCTTAATACATTCATTTTAAAGTAATTACTGATAAAGAAGGACTTACATTGGTCATTTTGGTGTTCGTTCTCAACAACCTAAAATTTGGGGGGGATAAGTTTCTCATTTCCATTATTAAACCTTAATTAGTGTTTAGATAATATTTTTGTGCTAAAGTCACTTTGATTCCCTCTCATTTTATTTTGTAAATATATATTAGTTATTTTCTTACCATGGGAGTTATAATTAACCTCATAAATTTATACTATCTAGTTTGAATATATATCAACTTGATTTCAATATCATACAGAAACTGTTCGATTGCACCTCTGCTCCAACCTGCATATTTAAGGTTTTTTGTTACATATTACATCTTTATGCATTATGTGGAAAATAGCACAAATTTATAATTCTTTTTATGCATTTGTATTTGAAATCTTGTAGGAAATTAAACATTGCATTTTAGAAACAAAAAGTCAATAACATTGGTTTTATATTTATCTATGTAGTTACTTTTACTGGAGATCTTTAGTTTTTCATAGAACTTCATGTTAGTGTATAGTGTCCTTTTATTTCAATGTGTATGACTCCCTTAGTATTTCTTGTATGGTAGAGCTACTGGTAATAAAGGCCCTCAGCTCTTGCTTATCTGATAATGTCTTAATTTCTTCTTCTTTTGAAGGATAGTTTTACTAGGTATAGAATTCTTAGTTGACAGAATTTTTACAATTACTTCATCTCACTGTCCTTTGGCTTCCATGGTTTATGATAAAAAAATCAGTTGTTAATATTCTTGAAGATTCCTTATATATAATGAGTTAATTATCTATCCCTCCTGCTTCAAGATTATTTCTTTCTCTTTGTCATTCAGTGTTTTGATTATACTGTCTCTTATTGTGGACCTCTTTGAGGTTATTCTAGTTGGAATTTGTTGAGCTTCTTGAATTTTTTGATCATGTCTTTCCTCAAATTTATGAAGTTTGTGGCCATTATGTCCTCAAATATTCTCACTTCCTCTTTATTTCTCTCTCCTCCTTCTGAGACTCTCACACTGCATATATTGATCTGTTTGATGGTATCTTGCATGTCTCTTAGAATCTATCCATTATTCTTCATTCTTTTTCTTTCTCCTTTTCAGACTGGATAATTTCCATTGTCCTATCTTCACTTTTATGACAGCCTGTTTTCTTTGCTCAAATCTGCTGTTTAACTCCTCTAGCAATTTTTTTTTTATTTCAAAATTGTACTTTTTCAGCTCCGGAATTTCTATTTGGTGGTTTTTGCCATTTATATATCTTTATTAATAGTTCCATTTTATTTGTACATTATTCTCTGATTTCCTTTAATTCTATATCCATTGTTCTCTTTAATTCTTTTAATTTTTATTTTTTGAGATAGAGTCTCACTCTGTTGCCCAGGCTGGAGTGCAGTGGTGCAATCTTGGCTCACTGCAACCTCCACCTCCCAGGTTCGAGTGATTCTCATGACTCAGCCTCTCGAGTAGCTGGGACTACAGGTGAACACCACCACACCTGACTAATTTTTGTATTTTTAGTAGAGATGGGGTTTCACCATGTTGACCAGGCTGGTCTCAAACTCCTGACCTCAGGTGATCTACCTGCCTCGGCCTCCCAAAGTGCAGGGATTACAGGCATGAGCCACTGTGGCTGGTTCCTTTAATTCTTTGAGTATATATAAGACATTAGATTTCAAGTATTTGTCTAGTAAGTCCAATGTTTGGGTTACTTCATCAATGATTTCTATCAATTTTTGTTCTATGAATGGGTCATACTTTCTCTTTACTTTGTGTGCCTTGGTATTTTCTGCTGAACGCTGAACATTTGAATGTTGTTATGTATTAACTCTGATACCTTATTTTCTCTGCTCCCCTGGGCTTCCTGTTTTTAATTATTGAAAATGATAGTTGTCCATTTTTTACTGAGTTTTCCAAATTGTCTTTGCAAAGGTTTTATTCCTCTTTATGTGCAGTCATTATGTCTCTCTTACTTTATCTAGTTTTCAACTATCATTTTGATGGAGATTTACCTAAATTGCAGAAACTAAGAAATTTTTTTAAATAATAAACCTTTCATCCCTGCCTTTGCACACTGCCTGTGTACTGGAGGTCTTCCTCAACACTCAACCAGGACGTTTACTACTCTGTCTTAGACTTCCTTTCTTGCTTGCAATGAGCTGAGAGTTCAGTCATGGCTGAAATGTTATGACCCTCATTTTCTGAGCATGAATCTTGCTATTGGCCATCACGAGGCTTTCTAAATTCCCCAAGAGATATAGCTAATTTCTCAAAGAAACGCTTCTCAAATTATTCTAACCACTATTCAAGTTTAGTGGTCTATTTTGTCTCAGCAGTAACCTTTTGCCTTGGTTTAACACTTTTCTGCCCTGAGTGAATTCTAAATTAAGTCAAATAGCAATGAGTTAATTACATCAGTCCTAAGTCCTAGGTTAGAACAGACAAACGTAATAATTTAAAAATAAAGTCTATTCTATTCCTTTTGGGACCAGGGACCATAATATCCCATGTGAAATGTCAACTTTTCTCTTCCAGACTGCCATTGAGCCAGGGTTGGGGTGAGGCAAGAGCAATTAAAAATACCACAAAGCTTTCCTACCGGTTTAAATTTCCTCTTTACCATATTCAGCATTTACTTGGTTTCTGTAAACCTTTGGCTGTTTTCTAGAGATCTGACACACTTGGTTTTTAAAGTTTCTACTTGTTTTTTGATGTGACTGTGAAGAGATGGGCATTTGCAACTGCCTAGGCTAAAATTTTCCTGATACACACTCACAACTGTGTATGTTTTTTCTTTTGACTATTTGCTAACAGTTAAAACAATGGGTATTAAAATCACTACAATATAAATTTCCTCATTTTTGTTCCTCCTAAACTATATTAAAATAAAATATTAATATAGTTTTTACAGGCAAATTTATTTTTTCTATATAATGGCCTTTGATCATAAATATATATTTTTTTCTCTGACTCAAGATTTTAACTTTGTCTACAAAAAAAATGAAATTGTCTTCTCTACAAGTATACTCCTGAATTAAATGTTGTCTGGGTTTTAAGATTACTGTAGGAGTAGAAAAGAGTTGCATATCATTAAATATTGAAAAATTTCCACAGTAACCTAAATAATTTTAAAAAAAATGTTTTAAACACCACAAGAGATTTATTTGTTGTTGATTTTATTTCCAATGACTAAGAAGATACTTTCAGTTTTATATGTATTCATGTGAAAAATCAAGGTGTTCCCAATTTGCGCACTTTGTAGAAATACATACATTTTTTAATATTACATACTGTATTTAGATATTTAGTACATATAATACTCTATAAATATACCATTGAATTTAATATTTTTAAAAGCTGTAAGCATCAACATTAATTTTACTTTGAAGCAGTTTGAACTTATTTTGAAACAATATTTGCACTGAACTTTTATTATTTTAGAATAATAGAGCACTTCTCAAAAAGACCCATTGCTTAATATCACCAAAATGAGAGTTGAGTTTCAACATAAATTTTAGAAAGAAACACATAATGAAACCACAGCAGCATGTAAAAGGCAAGGGGGAACACAGTCTAGGGAGACAATACAATCATGACAACCAGAGCGCAATAGGCTACAGCTGTTGAAGATATCAGATAAATAATATAAATAAGTATCATTAGCATGTTAAGAACTTATTCTAATGGGAAAAAAACAGACAATATAAAATAAAACATAGGATAACGTAAGCAAAGAGATGAAAATACTAAGAAAGAATAAAATTGAAATGTAAGATAATAAAAAGTATGATATCATAAATAAGGACTGCCTTCATGGGCTCACTGGTAGTCTGGATAAAGCCAAAGGAAGAATCAATGTTTCTCAACTTCTGATTTACACACAAGTTTCAAAAACAGTACAGAAGTTTTCATATTCACCCACATTTCCCTCTATTATTAAGACCTTACATTAGTATGGTAGATTTGTCACAGCTCGTAAAATAATATTAATGCATTAACAACAAGTAAAGTTCATACTTTATTCATTTTTCATTAAATTTTACCTAATGTTCTTTTTAAAATTCCGTGTTCCATCCCAGATACCGCATTATATTTAGAAATTGAACTGTTAATTTTTGTAAAGGTAGAATTCACATTTTTTAATGAATTATACTTTTGCTATTGTATTTTAATATTAAATTTCAATTTTAGAGACAAATCAATTCTTTTCTATTTTTTCCATTCCATTATTATAGTTTTTCATTTTACATTAAGTTTAATTTTCACTTAATTGCTATACAAGTATAATATTTATGTATAAATTTA
Source organism: Homo sapiens (assembly GCF_000001405.40). Taxonomy (NCBI): domain Eukaryota; kingdom Metazoa; phylum Chordata; class Mammalia; order Primates; family Hominidae; genus Homo; species Homo sapiens. The sequence continues at coordinate 50,997,044 of NC_000008.11, forward strand.
TTTTTTCATATGAATGTCCAGTTTTTTCCAGCACCATTTATTGCAAACACTGTACTTTCTCCACTGTATTGTCTTTGATCCTCTGTCAAAGATCATTTCTTTGTCAAAGATATTTCTGTGGATTCTTTTCTGGACTCTTTATTCTGTGTCATTAATTTAGTTGTCTATTATTTCACCAATATCAAGGAGTTTTAATAATTTTATTGTAAGTCTTGAATTCAGAAAATGTTAATCCTCCAATCTTGTTCTTTTATTTTCAGAATTATATTGGCGCTTATAGATCCTTTGTCTTAAGATATTATAAAATTTTGGAATCAGTTCGTCACTATCTACAATATACCTTGCTGGAATGTTGATTGTGATTTTTTAAAAAATTTATAAATTTAGCTGGAAAAAAGTTGACCTCTTAAATACCGAGCCTTCTAATCTACCAACGGTAATATCTCTTAATTCATTTTGGACATTTTGCAGCCATTATTTCAAATACTTCTTCTACTCTCTTCTCACTTTTTCTCCTTCTTGGATTCCTTAAGCATGAATTTTATACATTTTTGTAGTCCTATACAGCACATTAATGTTTCTTTCTATTTTACATTCTTTCCCTACTCCCTTGCATTTAGGTTTGGAAAGCTTCTATTGATCTATCTTCGAGAACATTGATTCTTCCCTTGGCTTTATCCAGACTATCAATGAGCCCATTGAAGACACTCCTTACTTATATCATACTTTTTATTATCCTACATTTCCATTTTATTCTTTCTTAGCATTTTCATCTCTTTGCTTACATTATCCTATCTTTTATTTCATGTTGTCTACTTTTTTTCATTAGACTAAGCTTATAACATACTGATGACAGTTTGATAGTTATTTATAGTTTCTATCTGATATCTCCAACAGCTGTATCCTATTACACTCTGGTTGTCATGATTGAACTGTCTCTTCAGACTGTGTTTTCCCTTGCCATTTTCATGCTCTATGGTTTTATTATGTGTTTCTTCCAAAATTTATGTTGAAACTTAACTGTCATTGTGGTGATATTAAGAAGTGGATTCTTTTGAGAAGTGTTGAAGTCCTGAGGGCTATGTGCTCATGAATGGGTTACCTATTGCAAAAGAGGCTTCAGAGTGAGTTTGCCTCTCTTGCCCTTCCACCTTCCTCCACCCATGTGAGGACACAGCAAAAAGTGTCATCTTACATGCAAGACACCAAGCCCTTGCCAGACACCAAACCTGCCAGCAGCCTGATTTTGGACTTCCATACTCCAGAACTGTAAGAAATAAATGTATATTGTTTACAAATTACCCAGTCTGTGGTATTTTGTTATAACAGGATAAACAGACTAAGATTAATGCCTTGTAATTTTTATTAGTAAATAGGCCACATATCAGGTAGCAGGAATTGAGGTAAATAGAACTTTACTGTCAGTAATTATGTTGATTTGGCTAAAAATTGTGTCGTGTTTATTGTTTGTTTTAAATATAAGTATAAACACTATTCACAATAGCTAAGATATTAAATCAAACTAAGTGTCCAACAACAGATAAGTGCATAAAAATGTGGTACATATACACAATGGGAATACTATACAGGCATAAAAAGGAATAAAATCCTGTTATTCACAACAATATGGATGAAACTGGAGGACATTATGCTAGGTGAAACAAGCCAGAAACAGAGAGTTAACCACCACATGTTCTCATTCACATGTGGCTAAAAAGAAATTGATCTCATAGCTGTAAAAAGTATTACAAGAGATACTAGAAGCTTGGATGAGTAGGGAGAAGGGTGATAGGGAGAGTTTTGTTAAAAGATAAAAAATGGTAACTAAATAGGAGGAATTAGTTCAGCATTCTACAGCACTGTAGGATGGCTATAGTAACATAGTTTTAAATAGCTAGAGGGATATCGAATGTTTCCAGCATAAATGTACATTGTAAATGCTAATTGCTGTGATCAAATCACTATACATTACATGTATTACAGCATCACTATGTACCCTATAAATATGTGCAGTTATATATGTAAATTTTAAAAATTTAACAACAGTAAATAAATATCAGAGTCTTCAAAGTTATCTAGTGTCATTGTTTTTGTCTTTCTTTTTGACTATGGGCTTCCATCTTGTATTAAGCTTTTCCAGAGAAACAGAATCAACAGGATAGGGTGTGTGTGTGTGCGTGTGTGTGTAGGAATCTGCAGGGTGGGCCAGAAGTTTGAAAATCCAGGAAATGTAGTTCATGTTCAAAGGCAGTCTGCTCCCATCATTCCCTTTCCCTTTTCCTCAGGGAGGTCAGTCATTCTGTTCTATTCAGGTCTTCAGCTGATTACATTATGCCTACCCAAATATGGATGACAATCTGCTTTACTCAAAATCCACTGATTTAGATGTAAATCTCATCCAAAAACGCCCTCACAAAACATCCAAGATAATGTTCTACAAAATATCTGGGCTCTGTGGCTTAGCCAAATTGATACATAAAATTAACCTATGCATGCTGGTCTTCAGAGAGAGTCTGTCTTACAGCTCCTTCAGCTGTCACACACTGTTACTATACTGGATCCCTGTTGGTGTGGTGACAAGGTTACAAGAGAGGAGCTTTCCATAATGTTTCAATTAAATATCACTGTTTCTTGGGCTCAATCTCGGGGGCTCTAATCTTTATTAGTTTCTTCAGTATAATAGTTTACGTGTCCTCCTCTGGCTTCTCCTTGCCTTCTTCTCTGCATCCTTCCCAATGCATTTGTTTGATTTATTAGCTCTTGCTGCCTATGGGCTCTCCTCCTGCAAGGCAATACTAGAAGCCTGGGGAAGCCAGGAGTGTGGTGGGATTAATTCCTCTCTCCAAACTGAGATAAAGTTTTAGAATTGGTTTCTGACATCTTTTCTCCTAGGTGTAGGTCTTTGTAGTGGAAAAAAGATCTCTTTTTGTTTTTCACAATCATTACTTTTTCCCTCTTCTGTCAGAGCCAGGAGATTCTCACATGAAGAACCTACTAAGTTGCCTAGAGAGAAAGCCCTTGAAATCCCCCATCAAGCCTGTCACCGAGTGGTTTCTCACTCTCATGCTAGTTAGCATTCAGGCTCCAGCTATTCATCAAAATTACCTTTCAGGCATTTCCATTGGATTATGTCTCCTGTGACTCCTGCTCCAGTGACACAATCCTTTATCTCTCCATACCCACTTGTCTCTCCATATTTTGAAAAGGTGGTTTGCCTTGTTAATTTAGGATTTTAGATCAATAATTTTCTAAGTGCTCTTTGAAAGCTCTTATAACATTCACAGTAAAAACAAATCATTTCACAAGACTGTGAATGCATCAGCAGCTCTGGCTTTTCCTAAGAAGGAAAATTTTTTATATGTGATGTGCATAAAATCCAGTCATTCAAAGAATATTTGTCAATCTTTACCTGGAGGCAAATTTTGCTGAAGAAAATATATAATTTAAACATTTAGTCTTGTTAAATATTTTTAATTGTAGTTCATATGGTATTGTTTCTTTTAAAAGTCAGTAAGCCATTTTTATCTTCAATTATTGTGTCTGTCATTTCAATGAATATCTCACACAGTTTGTATTTGAATAATACCATTAAAAATTCACCATTTAGGCCAGGTGCGGTGGCTCACGCCTGTAATCCCAGCACTTTGGGAAGCTGAGGCGGGTGGATCATGAGGTCAGGAAATCGAGACCATCCTGGCTAACAAAGTGAAACCCTGTCTCTACTAAAAATACAAAAAATTAGCCAGGCGTGGTGGCGGGTGCCTGTAGTCCCAGCTACTCAGGAGGCTGAGGCAGAAGAATGTCATGAACCCAGGAGGTGGAGGTTGCAGTGAGCTGAATCATGCCAGTGCACTCCAGCCTTGGCTACAGAGCAAGACTTCATCTCAAAAAAAAAAAAAAAAAAAAAAACCAAAGGAATTCACCATTTAAGGTCAGGTTTCTCACTACCAAAATATGTATTTTTAGTCTACTATCTTCTCACATTTGAGATGCAAACACAATATTTTTCCAAATATTTGCTAAATTCCTGGCAGACTGCCTCAGACATTCTATCCTATGAAGCCTTTATAAAATCAGCTGAAGATGTGTGAACTATTTAATTAACAGTTTTATTGAAGATAAATGGAAGGTTACCATTTCTGTTTACACATTTTAAATGGAAGAAGGTTCTTTTTACCTGATGCATTTGATACAAAATTTTTCCTGGAGAGAGAAGATTAATCTACATTATCCACCTTTCCATTTAAAAACTGTCAGGGAGCAATGCAAGACAGGATGTGGACATGTAGAAGTAGTGTTGGAAGTAATTTTTAATTTTACTTTGGTAGGTGGATTAATTCTCTTACACTAAGATACTGAATAACATATTTGATTTGTTTTGTTTTACTTTATTCCAGTAGACTGTAAAGAATTAAATGTCAAAATAAAATATTTTTAATCTTTCAAGCTAAATTGAATATTTTTCTTACAATATTAAATTTAATAGTGTTTAAAAACAATGGCTTATGTCACATAATCCCAGGGCTATTTAAATGCTTTAGATTATAAAAAGAAAAAAAAAAACTTTGTCCTAAGGTACAAGGTATAATAAATAACTAAACCATATAAAAATTTTATAAAATAAACTACTCTAGACCAATCTCACTTTAAACATCAATACACAAATTTCAAACTGAATAGAAACAAATAAAATCAAATTGCACATTAAAATAATACTATATCATAACCACATTGGACTGAGTCCAGGAATAAAAGGTTGATCATAATTAAGAAATGCATTAATTGAACTAGTTTACAGTCCCACCAACAGTGTAAAAGTGTTCCTATTTCTCCACATCCTCTCCAGCACCTGTTGTTTCCTGACTTTTTAATGATTGCCATTCTAACTGGAGTGAGATGGTATCTCGTTGTGGTTTTGATTTGCATTTCTCTGATGGCCAGTGATGATGAGCATTTTTTCATGTGTTTTTTGGCTGCATAAATGTCTTCTTTTGGGAAGTCAGTGTGGCGATTCCTCAGGGATCTAGAACTAGAAATACCATTTGACCCAGCCATCCCATTACTGGGTATATACCCAAAGGACTATAAATCATGCTGCTATAAAGACACATGCACACGTATGTTTATTGCGGCACTATTCACAATAGCAAAGACTTGGAACCAACCCAAATGTCCAACAATGATAGACTGGATTAAGAAAATGTGGCACATATACACCATGGAATACTATGTGGCCATAAAAAATGATGAGTTCATGTCCTTTGTAGGGACATGGATGAAATTGGAAATCATCATTCTCAGTAAACTATCGCAAGAACAAAAAACCAAACACCGCATATTCTCACTCATAGGTGGGAATTGAACAATGAGATCACATGGACACAGGAAGGGGAACATCACACTCTGGGGACTGTTGTGGGGTGGGGGGAGGGGGGAGGGATAGCATTGGAGATATACCTAATGCTAAATGACGAGTTAGTGGGTGCAGCGCACCAGCGTGGCACATGTATACATATGTAACTAACCTGCACAATGTGCACATGTACCCTAAAACTTAAAGTATAATAAAAGAAAAATAAATAAATAAATAAATAAATGCATTAATATATTTACCTATACATATAAATCTTAAGAGAATACTATGATATTCCGTGTATTTACACTGAAAACATTTGACAAGAATACAACACCAAGGAACCAATCAAAAGTGAAATGAAATAAAGATTCATGCATTTTATTTAATATGCAGAAGACCTATCCTCAGTCTAAATGTCGGCATTATATTTGTGTACTTATTTAATCTTTCACTAAAGTCAGGATCTAGGCAAGAAAGGTCATCTAGTTAAAATGGAAAAGTAGGGAGCTCCATGGGCTTGTCCCTCTTTGGAAACCCTAAAAAAAAATAGCAAAGTTGTCAGAATCAACTTTACTCTAACTTTGAGAAACAGTCAGAGGTTTGCAACAATAATTTACTTAATCAACAAAAGCAGTTACTTAAAGATGATAGAAAATATTTGCAGCATATTAAGTTAGCCTTATTTCATCCCATTTCCTTGGCAAGATAGTGGTCTTGAAGATGATAATCTCAGTAGGTATTTAGTTATGAAGGAAGAACAGTAAACTTTACTCTCAAGGACTTGTGTTTGTCTGTTTTGACCTATCTTATGGTTCTCTGATTGATATGAGGCATTTGCCTTTGTTTAGCCTAATTCAAACTCTGATGGGGTATAAAAGTGTCTAAATGAATGGCATTGTTGGATACCATTATAAGGGAAATTAATAAGCTGCTTTTGCCTAGGATAACAAAATACAGTTCAGACCTACAATAGACATGCAAAAAGAAAAAAAGCCTTAGAGGAAAAGCTGAAGAATATAAATTTGGAGACTATAGCTTCAAAAAGCTCCTACATATAATGGAATATTAACAAAGTCATCATGCATCTACTGAGGAAAAATACATGCTCAGAAAACTACTGAGGAGGCCCTAACTTTTCATTTCCAGCTGATCTTTAAGGAAGAGAACTAACAAAGTGGCTAGGTTTTATAGGAGTGATATAATACTGAGCTAATCGGCAAACACAGAAATTAAAAAAGACTATTTTTTCTTTTCTTTTCTTTCCTTTTGTTTTATGGTTCCAGAAATTTAAGGAAATTTTGGTTAAACCAGCAGCTTACCAGAATCTATAGGAACAGCAACCTCAGAAACCACACATGACAAAGAACACAAACTTTAAAAGGTAGCGTAGGAAAGACATGAAGCAAGCAACTACAGTGCATGGAAAGGAACAATGAAGAAACCTAAGCGGGGGGTGAATAAGAAGAAATTAGTAAATATTGTCCCTGTGAGGCACAAACATGGACTTAACAGATAAAGACTTTAAATCAATTGCCTTATATATGGTCAAAAACTATAGGAAGTAATGGACAAAGGATTTTTTTCAAAAAACAAGAGAACTATGTCTCAGCAAATGAAAACTATTAATAAAGAGATAAAAGTTATAGAAAGAGAACCAGATATAAATTCTGTACTTGAAAAGTACAATAACTGAAATGATAATTTCACAGAAGAGTGATCAATATCAGATTTGAACAAGCAGAAAAAAGACTGACCAGACCTAATAACAAACCAATTAAAATTATTCAATTTGATGAGCAGAAAGTGAAACGAATGGAGAAGAATATAGAAGTTTTAAGAGACAGAAGTTATAAGAGAATGGAGAAGAATTTAGAAGTAGGACACCATTGAGTATACCAACATATGTATAAAGAGAATCCCAGAAGAAGATAAAAAAGATAAAGAGGCAGGAGGAATATTTGAAGAGATAATAGCCAAAACTTCCCAATACATAAATCTATGACTGAGAAACATATTCAAACTGTTGAAATACAAAAACAAACAGAAACTCTTGAAAGCAGCAAGAGACAAGTGGTGCATAACCAAAAAGTAAAATTCAATAAAATTAACTACCAGTTTGATAGCAGTAACCATAAAAGCCAAAGGCAGTGAGATAATATATTTAAAATAGAGAGAACACTGTCAATCAAGAATTTCATATCATGCAAAATTGTCCTTCAAAATGAAGGAGAAAGTAAGATATCTCCATTACACAAAATTTGAGATAATGTGTGGCTAGTAGACATGCTCTAAGGTAAATGTCAGGGGAAATCCTTCATGCTTAATAAACAGACAGTAGACAATAATTGAAAGCCAAATGAAGAAGGAAAGACCTCTGCCTAAGGGAACTACACAGATAAATATAAAATTTTGTATTATTGTATTTTTGATTTTTAAGTTCTTTTTTCCTACCTGACTTGAAAGAAAAATATGGACCAAAAATTATAAATCTATGCTAATGCTTACATACTTTTTAAATTTGTAACTTTTTACAACATTAAGGAGTAGTAATGGAGCTGTATATGATCACAGTTTTTGTGTGCAATTAAAGCTCATTTTGAATTAATTTAAACTACAAATTTTTATAAATTAAAGATATCAACTGTCATCTCTTTGGTAACCAGTAAGAATATAACTTAAAAATATACAAAGAAAAATAAACATTTATCAAATGATATACTAGAATAAGAACAACTAATTAAACACAAATGAATTTCATAATGGAGGATATGAGGAAAAAAATAGGATACAACATATAGAAAACATATAGCAAAATGGCAGAATTCTTATCAGTATTTACATGTAAATGGATTAAACTCTCCAATTAAAAGGCAGAGACTGGCAATAGATTTTTAAAAATCCAACTGTATGCTGTCTGCAAGAAACTCACTTTAGATCCAAAAACACAAGTAAGTTGGAAGTGAAAGGATGAAAAAACTGTATTCCATGAAATTAGTAACTAAATGAATTAGTAAAATAGAATTTATATCAAATACTGTTACAAGACACAAACACAATTATATATTGATAAATCGTCAATTCACTGAGAAAATATAACAAGTATAAATATATACACACAAAATGGATCCCAAAAACACATTAAGCAAAAACCAATAGGATTGAAAGGAGAAACTATTTTATAAGACTAGTGGGAACTCCATCAACATGCTTTCAGTAATGGATTCCATAATTAGGCAGGAGATTAATAAACAAATAAAAGACTAAGACAACACTGTAAACCAATGACAGTCATTTCTTGGAATGCATGGCAGATTAGTTTCAGGACTGCCCCCATAGATGCCAAACCCACAGGTGTTCAAGTCCCACAGTCAGCCCTGCAAAACCTATCAGTCTGGGCACAGTGGCTCACGCTTGTAATCCCAGCACTTTGAGAGGCCAAGGCTGGTGGATCACGAGGTCAGGAGTTCAAGATCAGCCTGGCCAACATAGCAAAACCCCATCTCTACTAAAAATACAAAATGTTGTCCTGGCATGGTGGCACATGCCTGTAGTCCCAGCTACTCAGGAGGCTGAGGCAGGATAATAGCTTGAATCCAGAAGGAAGAGGTTCCAGTGAGCTGAGATCACGCCATTGCACTCCAGCCTGGGCAACAGTGTGAGACTCTGTCTCAAAAAAAAAAAAAAAAAAAAAAAAAGACCTATGGATATGAAAAGTCAGCCCTTCACATATGCAGGTTCTACATCCCCCAGTACTGTGTTTTCTATGCCTTGACTGGTTGAATACATCCATGCTAAACCGCAGATAGGGAGAGCTGTCTGTAGACCTAGCAGACATATACAGAATATTCCACTCAACAACAGCAAAATATACAGTCTTCTCAAGTGCACATGCTGCAATTCTCAGGAGAGACCACATCTTAATTAATTTAAAAAAGAAAATCTAAATCATACACAATATCTTCTTTGACTTCAATGGCATAAAACTAAATATCAAAAACTAAAAGAAAAACTGGAAAATTCACAAGTATGTGGAAATTTAAACAACATACACTTGAAAAAAATGACAATGAATAAAATGATAAATCAAAAAAATTAGAATAAAATTAAATTTACATTTTCATAAAAGATACATTTAGAATAAAATGAATAAGATATCAAACTTATAGAATGCAATGAAAGCAAACTCACAAGGAAATTTATAGCTTTATACAGTTATATTTATAAAGAAGAAAGATTTAAAATCAATAATTTATAAACTTCAAGGAACTCAAAAAAACACAAACATGAAGCTAGTATAAGAAAATACATTATAAAATATTAGAGTAGGAAAAAAGAGATAAAGAATAGAACAATAGAAAAAATAAACAAAACCAAAAGTTGATTCTTTCAAAAGATTAACAAAGCTAACAAAACTTTACTTGTACTTGATGAACAGAAAAAGAGAAAAATTTCAAATTAGTAAAAAAAAAAAAAGCGGAGACATTACAACAGTATGTAGGAGTCTACTGTAAACAATTGCATCCTAAAAAATTAGATAACCTAGACAAAGTGGACAATAATCTAGAAATATACAAATTATCAGGATTGACTGAAGAAGAAATAAAAAATCTGAACAGATCTATAAGAAGTAAAGAGATTGAATTGGTAATTAAAAAAAAAAGAAAATCGAATTCTACCAAACATTATAAACACAATTAACAACAATCCTCAAACTGTTACAAAAGTAGAAGAGGAAGTAGTTTTAATACATCTTATGAGGCCAGCATTCCCAGTCACCAAAGCCAAAGACATCACAATAAAAGAAAACTATAAGCAAATATCCCTTAAACATATAGAAAAATATCCTCAATAAAATATTAGCAAACTGAGTACAACTGCATATACAAATTTATATACCATTAACAAGAATGATTTAGGAATGCAAATGCAGTTCAACATGAAAATTAATCATGTAACACACCACATTAACAGAACAAAGGGGAAAAATACATTATCATCTCTATTGATGCAGGCAAAGCATCTGACAAACCCCATCATCCTTTTATGATAAGACACTATACAAAGTAGAAATAATAGAATAGAATTTCCTCACCTGATAAAGTGTACTTATGAAACTCTACACCTAGTATCATTCTTGATGATGAAAGACCAAAACTTTTCTAAGATCAGGAACATGTCATACTTGACTTATTTTACCACTTCTGTTCAAACATTAAATTGTACTAGAAGTTTTTGCCAATGCAATTAAGCATAATGAAAAAATAAAAGGCATAAATATTGAAAAAGAAAACTAAAATTGTCTTTCTTTATAAATGATGTTATTCTATATAAAGAAAATACTGAATAATATATATACACAACTATTAAATGTAATAAATGACCTTAGAAAAGTTACAGGACACCACATCAATGAATAAATATCATTGCATTTCTAGATACTGCCAATGAACCATCTATAAATAAAATTAAGAAAACAATTACACATTCAAAATAATAAAATACAAATAAGTTTAACCAAAGGGGTGTAATATTTGCACAGTGACAACTGCAAAATATTACTAAAAGAAATCTAAAAATTCCTAAGTAAATGGAAAGCCATCTTGTGTGCATGGATTAGAAGACTTTATACGGTCCTGATTGAAATACTCTACAAAGAAATGTTCAGGTGCATTTCAATTCCTAACAATATCCTAATGGCCACTCTCTGTCTCCCTTTCAGAAATGAAAAAGCCAATACTAATATTTCTATAGGATTGCTAGGGCCGTTGACTAGCTAAAACAATCTTGAAAAAAAAAAAAGAACAAAGTTGAAGGCAGGAATAATACCACAAATTGCAAGAATATTATTGAAAAGCTATGAAACAAGAGAAGCAGAGTAGTACTGGCATAAGGACATTCATATAAAAAAAGGGAGTAGAATTGAGTGTCCAGAAATAAGTTTATACCTTTGTGGCCAACTTGTCTTTGACAAGAATGCCAACACCACATACTGTGAAAGAAAAATAGCCTCTTCAATAAACAGTGCTAAGAAAATGAAATATCCAAATACAAAAGAATGAAGTTGCACTCCTCTCTCTCAATGTATACAAACATTAACTCAAAAAGGTCAAAGATGTAAATGTAAGAGCTAAAACTATCCTACTCTTAGAAGAAATCATAGAGGTTTCATTTTGGCAGTGACATCAAAAGCATGAGAAACAAGAAAAAATATATTAATAAGACAGAATAAAAATTTTTTAAAATAGTTTATTCATAAAATGGTATCAGAAAAGTAAAAACCATACCAAATGTGAGAAAATATTTACAAATCAAATATCTGACATGGCTCTAATACTTAGAATATACAAGAAACTCATTGCTCAACAACACAAAGACAAACAACTCAATAAAGGCAATGAGTGAAAGGTCTAGAGAGACACCTCACTAAAGAAGACACAGAGCAAATAAACATGAAAAGATCTTCAAAATTATATATCATCATAGAATTGTGGACTAAAACAATGAAATACCAATGGACACCTGTTCTTATATCTATAATACAAAACACTGACAATACTAAATGCTGGTGTGGATTTGGAGCAACTGGAACTCTCATTTATTGCAGGTGGAAGTGGAAAATGGTAAGCCACTTTGGAATACCATTTGTAAGTCTCTTACATAGCTAAATATAATCTTATCCTAAGATTCAGTATTTGTACTCCTTGGAATTTACTCAAATGAATAGAAAACTTATGTGCACACAAAAACCTGCACATGGACGTTTATACTATCTTTAATCACAATTGCCAATACTCGAAAGCAACCTAGCTGTCCTTCAATATGTGAATGGATAAATAAACTGTGCTATACCTGTGCAATAGAATATTATCCAGTGATGAACAGAAATGAGCTACCAAGTCATAGAAAGACATGGAGGAACCTAAAATACTGTTAAGTGAAAGAAGCCAATTAAATGAAAGAAGACAGTCTGAAAAGGCTAACACTGTATGATTTCAACTACAAGGCAATCTAGGAAAGGCTAAATTGTAGACAGTAAAAACATCAGTAGTGGCCAGAGCTTTGGGATAGGAAGAATGAATAGGTGGAGCACAGGTAATTTTTAGTTTGATTAATTTTGTGTGATACTGTAATGGTGGAAACACAATATTTTGCATTCATCAAAACCTATAGCACTATACAACACAAAGAGTGAAACCTAACTTAAACTATTCACTTTAATTAAAATCACATATTTGTATTGGTTTATTAGTTGTAACAAATGTACCACACTAATACAAGATGGTGGTAATAGAAGAGATTGTGTGCAGTGGGTAGGCAGGTTGCCGAGGAGAGGCAATATGGGAACTTCCTGCACCCTCTGCTCAAGTTTTCTGCAAATGTAAAAATGCTACAAAAAATAAAGTGTATAAATTTAAAAAACAACACACACACACAAACCTATGGAGGAAAAAAGAATGACCACTGTTTTAGCATCATTTAACTGTGTATTGTAGGTATTAACTAATGCAATAAAGTAAGAGAAATCAACTGGAGGCATCAAAAACTGAAAAAAAAATAAAAAGTATCTTTTAATACATGTCAACTGAAGGTAATTATTGGTAAAAAATATTTAAATCAATGTTTTTAAATCCCCTTTAATCTTTCTATGGCTCTGCCTATAAAATGATGATGTGGGCAGTGAAGTTGTCATCACAACAACCTTTCTGTAATTGTATCCCTAGAAAGGAGCCCACTATCCTTAATTTTGGATGACGAAAGGTATCTCAAACAAGGAATAAAATATTTTTAAAAACTGATGTTGTCAACCTTTGATTATGGTCAGATTTCTACACATGCTGTAAAAACACACGAGATTATTAGAATTTTTTTTTTTTTTGAGATGAAGCCTCATTCTTGTCACCCAGGCTGGCGTGCAATGGCACAATCTTGGCTCACTGCAATCTCCACTTCCTGGGTCAGCCTCTCAAGTAGCTGGGATTACAGATGCCACCACCACACCTGGCTTATTTTTATTTATTTATGTTTTTTTTAAGTAGAGACAGGGTTTCACCATGTTGGCCAGGCTGGTCTCAAATTCCTGACCTCAGGTGATCCGCCCGCCTCAGCCTTCCAATGTGCTGGGATTACAGGTGTGAGCCGCAGCGCTTGGCCAGAATTTTTTTGAACACTCATACAAGTAATGTTTCTTAACCAAGATAAAATAATGTAGAATAATAAAATTGACTTTCCCTAAGGAAGATGAACTACGCTTTTTGTCTTTTTGTTTTTTTCAATTTTTTTTTTGTTAGATTCAGTGAGTATGTGTGCAAGTTTATTAGATGGATATATTGAGTGATGCTGGAGTTTGAGCCTCTAATGATTCCACTGCCCAAGTAATAAACATAGTACCCAATAGGTAGTTTTTAAAACCTTGCCTCACCACCCTCTCTCTCCCCTTTTGGAGTTCCCAGTGACTATCATTCTCATCTTTCTGTCCATGTGTATACAATATTTACCTCCCACTTACAAGTGAGAATGTGTAGTATTTGGTTTTCTGTTCCTGTGTTAGTTTGCTTAGGTTAAACACAAAAATACAAAACCAGCTGCATCTATGCTGCTGCAAAGGACATGATTTTGCTTTTCTTATGGCTGTGTAGGTTTCTGTTGTGTGTATGTACCATATTTTCTTTATTCACTCCACTGTTGTTGGGCATATACGTTGATTCCATGTGTTTGCTATTGTGAATAGAGCAATAAACATATGAGTGCAGGTATCTTTTTGCTAAAATAGTTTATTTTCCTGTGGGTATATACCCAGTAATTGTATTGCTGAGTCAAGTAGTAACGGACCCAGTAATCCAATTACTCTTTATGGTTCTATCAAAAATCTCCAAACTGCATTCCACAGGGGGTGAACAAATTTTCATTCCGACCAAGAATATATGAGTGTCCCCTTTTCTCCACAGCCTCACCAACATTTCTTATTTTTCAATTTTTTTATTTTTTATTGTTTATTTTTAGAAGGAGTCTCACTCTGTCACCCAGGCTGGAGTGCAATGGGGCAGTGTCTGCTCACTGCAGCCCCTGCTTCCCAGCTTCAATCGATTCCCCTGCCTCAGCCTCCCAAGTAGCTGGGACTACAAGTGTGTGCCACCACACCCAGCTAATTGCTGTATTTTTAGTAGAAACGAGATTTCACTATGTTGGCCAGGCTGGTCTCGAACTCCTGACCTCATGATCTGCCCACCTCGGCCTCCCAAAATGCTGGGATTACAGATGTGAGCCACGGCAACTTTTTAACAATAGCCATTCTGCCTCGTGTGAGGTGGTATCTCATGATGGTTTTAATTTGCATCTCTCCAATGATTAGTGATGTTGAGCATTTTCTATATGTTTGCTTACCACATGCATGTTTTCTTTTGAGTAGTGTCTATTCATGTCTTTTGACCACCTTTTAATCAGGTTTTTATTTTCTTGTTGATTTGTTTACGTCCTTTATAGATTCTGGATATTAGTTCTTTGTTATATGCATTCCCTAGGTTTCATTAGAAATTTTATAGTTTGAGGTCTTACATTTAAGTCTTTAATCCATCTTGAGTTAATTTTTGCCTAAAGTGAGAGGTAGGGAGCAGGTTTTATACTTCTGCATCTGGTCAGCCAGTTTCCCAGCACCATTTAATAAATAGGGTATCTTTTCCACATTATTTATTTTTGTTGACTTTTCCAAAGATGGTTTGGTTGGAGAGTTGCTGCTTTGTTTCAGGGGTCTCTATTCTGTTCCATTTCTCTATCTGTCCGCTTTTGTATCAGTACCATGATGCTTTGATTACTGCAGTCGCGTAGTATAGTTTAATGTCAAATAATTTGATGCCTCTGGCTTTACACTTTTGGCATTAGATTGCCTCAGCTACTCAGACTCTGTTTTGATTCCATATAAATGTTAGGTTTTTTTTTAATTCTGTAAAAACTGACATTATTAGTTTGATAAGAATAGTGTTGATTCTGTATATTGCTTTCAGCAGTATGAACATTTAACAATATTGATTCTTCCAATCCATTTGCATGAAATGATTTTTCATTTGTTTGTGTCAACTGTGATTTCTTTCAGCAGTGTTTGTTTTGTAGTTCTCCTCATAGAGATGTCGCATCTCCTAGGTTAGATGTATTCCTAGGTACTTTTTTCTAGCTATTATGAATAGGATTGCATTCTTAATTGGGTTCTCAGCTTGAATATAACATTCAAGCTTATAATAAGCTAATTACAAGTGATATACACTTATAACAAGTGTATAGAAATACCACTTATTTTTGTGAGCTGATTTTGTATCCTGAGACTTTGTTGAAATAATTTATTAGATTTAGGAGTCTTTTGGTAGAACTTTTAGGATTTTCTAGGTATACAATCATATCATCAGTAAAGGGAGATAATTTGACTTTCTCTTTTCTTATTTTGATGCTTCTATTTTTTTCTGTTTTCTGATTGCTCTGGCTGGGACTACCAGTAATATGTTGAATAGCAGTGGTGATATAGACATTCTTGTCTTGCTCCAGTTCTTAAGAGGAATGCTTCCAGCTTTTGTTCATTCAGTATGATGTTGGCTGTGGGTTAGTCATAAATGCCTCATTATTTTTAGGTATGTTCCTTCAATGCCTGGTTTGTTGTGGGTTTAATCATGAAGGGATATTGGATTTTGTTTAATGTTTATTCCATGTCTATTGGGATGTTCCTATGATTTTTGTTTTTAAATATGTTTATGTGGTGAATCACATTTATTAATTTGCATATGTTGAAATATCCTTGCATTTCAAGAATAAAGCCCACTTGATTATGGTGAATTAACTTTTTGATGTGCTGTTGGATTCAGTTTGTCAGTATTTTTCAAAGATTTCTCCTGTGTTAATCTGAAATATTGGCCTGTAGTTTTCTTTTTGTTGTGTCTTTGACAGATCTTGATATCATATGATACTGGTGTTGTTGAATGAATTAGGGAAGAGTCCTTCCTTCTCGATTTTGTTGAATAATATTAGTAGGACAGGTACCAACACTTCTTTGTACATCTGATAGAATTTGGCTGTGAATCCAGCTAATCCACAAGGCTTTTTTTGGCTGGTAGGTTTTTATTACTGATTCAATTTCATTATCATTATTATTCTGTTTGAGATATCAGTTTCTTCCTAGTTTAATATTGGGAGGGGTTGTGTGCACCTAAGAATTGATCCATTTCCTTTAGATTTTCTAGTTTGTGTACATAGAGGTACCTAGTAGGTCTCTGAGGATATTCTGTATTTCTGTGAAATCGACTGTGATGTCACCTTTGTCATGTCTGATTCTGCTTATTTGGATCTTCTCCTTTATTCTTTGTTAATCTAATTAGCTTCAGTCTATAAATCTTATTTATTCTTTCAAAAAACAGAGTTTTCATTTTATTTATCCTTTGTATTCTTTTGATACCAATTTCATTTAGTTCTGCTCTTATTTTAGTTATTTCTTTTATTCTGATAGTTTTGGGTTTAGTTCGTTCTCGTTTTTCTAGTTGCTTTAGGTGTGAGGTTAAGTTGTGAATTTGAGATCTTTCTACCTTCTTGATGTGGTCCTCTAGACCTATAACTTTCCTCTTAAGACTGCTTTTGCTGCATACTAGACAATTTTGTAAGTTGTTTCTGTATTTGCATTTGTTTCAAATAAATTTTTCTGTCTCTGCTTTAATTTTGTTGTTTATGCAAAAATCACTCAGGAGTAAATTGTTTAGTTTCTACGTATTTGTGGTTTTGAAAGTTCCTCTTGTTATTGATTTCTATTGTCATTCCAGTAGAGTCTGAGAAGATGCTTGATATAATTTCAATTTTTCAAATTCGTTGAGACTTGCTTTATGACAGATCATGTGGTCAATTTTAAAGAATGTTCCATGTGCAGACAGGAAGAAGGTATATTCTGTGGTTGTTGGGTGGATTATTCTATAGATGCCTCTTAGGTCCAAATGGTCAAGTCTCAAATTAAAGTCCAGAATTTATTTGTTAGTATTCTGCCTTGATAATCTGTCTAATGCTGTTAGTGGGGTGTTAAAGTATCCCACTATTATTGCGTGCCTATCAAAGTCTTTTGTCTAGAGATAAGTGTTTTATGAATCTGTGTGCTTTGATGTTAGGTGTGTAAATATTCAGGAGAGTTAGGTCTTCTTGAATTGAACCCTGTATCATCATGTAATGCCCTTATTTGTCCTTTTTTTACTGTTGTTGGTTTAAATCCTATTTTATCTGATAGAGTAATAATGACCCCTGCTCTTTTTTGTTTTCCATTTGTCTGCTATGGAAAACAAAAGTAAATGGTTTTCCATTTCCATCTCTTTACTTTGAGCCTTTGAGTATTATTACATGTGAGATGGGTCTCTTGAAGGTAGCAGAAGAATGGGTCTTGTTTTCTAAATACAATTTCCACTCTGTGTCTGTTAAGTGGAGTGTTTGGGCCATTTTATATTCAAGATCAATATTAACATGTGAGGTTTTGTTTCTGTCATGGTGTTGTTAGCTATGTGTTTTGTAGTCTTGATGGTGTAGTTGCTTTACAGGGTCTCTGGGCTATGTGCTTGCATGTGCTTTTATGGTAGCAAGTATTGTTCTTTCATTTTCATGTTTAGAACTCTTAATCTCCTGGGATTGTGTCTGGCGAGTGCCCAGTATTCTGCCACCTTCAGAAGGAAGGGAAAGCAAACCTTCATGAAAGCAGAGGCATTCATTCCATTCCCAGCTTGCTCCAGATCTGGCAGTTGGAAGACATTCTGCAACAATGTCAAATCAGATGAACAAACAAAAAAGAACTCCCTTAAGCATCTCTTACGGAGCCAGTCTGGTAGTGATAAATTCCCTTAACAATTGTTTCCCTGAATTTTATATAATTCCCTGAATTTTATATAATTATATAATTCCCTGAATTTTATATAAAATATGAATTATATATATGAATTTTATATATATGAATTATATATATATTACATGCAATGAAATAATAATTATATATATGTATATATATTCCATTATTTCTGTCCCTCTAGAGAACCCAAATACAGGTGTAAACATGATGTAAGATTGTCCAGGGAAAATTTTCTGAACTGTGATGTTGGACATGCCAGAGGAGACTTTTACTGGAAAGAATTTTTTAAAAAGTATTCCCTGGTAAACATAAATTGCCACCACTTTTGCTATTACATCAGCCAGGTCACTTCCATCAACACAATTATTATTATTACAGAGCCCTGATTTTCTTCTTTCACCACACTTTATAATTACTTACCTGTGCAATGTGTAGGACACCTTGAAGATGAGGGAAATTACAGACTTACTCCTTCTGGTAATGGCATTATAGGTACTTTGTACCAACATTGCCACTGAGAACAACTAAAACTGCCAGATAAAATAAGGAGGGGAAAGGCCATGATGTTTGTGTACTCCTGGTAGAGAGCACAGAAGGTCAGCAGAGCACTAAAGGTCATTTTTTTAGGGGGTGGAGATAGGCCAAGGGCTTACTTTTAGCAGGCTCAGGAGGCCCCAGGACAGAAATAAAGGCTGAGATAGTGCTCAGTGAGGAATGTAATTGAGGAAACACTGACACTTTATGCTGAGATCCTAATGGTTACATTTCAGAGTCAGTGTGAACCAGTTTCGATTTGTTTTACTCCTACTCCAAACCGGGAAATTGGGCAGCAAGCAGATTAGGGGATGAACAGTAAAGGAAGGCATCCTGGCCTGAGAAGTGTTGACCTTTGTGCCTGTGAAGTGCCATGCTTTCATGGATAGGTAAGCTGGGTACTCCTTATCCTGGTCATTCTGAGAAACACATTGCATGAAGTTCATCAGAGGGAGTCTAAGAGTATGAAGCTCTCAGACACTTGGCAGATCTAAATGCAAATTCTCATATGGTAAGAGGAAAGAATGTTCAAAAAAATCTGTAAGAGTGTTTTCCTTTAGGAAGGAAAAGAATAGAAATAGGATGGAAGGAAAGCAATTGGTGTACCAACTTTATTATTCATAATATGTTGCTTGAATTAGAGATTTTGATGAAAAATGAGCATTTATTCCTACTGGGTGGTGAAAAGATAGTAGTTTTTAAAATTAATCTTTAAGTATGGGCATACCTTGGAGAAAACTGCTAGGTGAGTTCCAGATCATTGCAATGAAGTAAATTAAGTGACTCACGGGCATTTTCTTTGGTTTGCCACTGCATATGAAAGTTATGTTTACACTATACTGTAGCTTATTAAGTGCAATAGCATTATGTCTAAAACAATATGTAGGCCTTAGTTTAAAAAGACTTCAATGTTAAAAAATGCTAATAATCATGTGGGCTTCCAATGAGACTAAACTTTTTGCTGGAGGAGGGTGTTGCTTCAATGTTGATGGCTTTTGACTGATCAGAATGGCAGTTGCTGAAGGTTGAGGTGGCTGTGGCAATTTATTTAAATAACACAACAATGAAGTTTGCTGTACTAGTTGACTCTTGCTTTCATAAAAGATTTCTCTAAAGCATGTGATGCTGTTTGATAGCATTTTATCCACAGTATAACTTCTTTCAAAATTGGAATCAACTCTTTCAAACCCTGCCACTGCTTTATCGACTAAGTTCATGTCATATTGTAAATCCTTTGTTGTCATTTCAGTAACATTTACAGCATCTTCACCAGGAGTAGATTCCATCTAATAACACACTTTCTTTGCTTGTTGACAAAAAGTGATTTCTCATTTATTAAAGTTTTATCTTGAGATTGCAGCAATTCAGTGGCATCTTGAGGCTTCACTTCTATTTCCAGTTCTCTTGCTATTTCCACTGCATCTGCAGTTATTACCTCCACTGGAGTCTTGAATCCTCCATTTGCATCTAGGATGGCGAATTTTTTTCCAGAGGGTATTCAATTAACTTTACCCATATCCATCAGTGGCATCAGTATCTCTGGCAGATGTCATCATACAAAATATATTTCTTAACCAATAAGACTTGAAAGTCAAAATTACTCCTTGATCCATGGCTGCAAATGGATGCTATGTCAACAAATATGAAAAAGCATTAATCTCCTTGTACATGTCCATCAGAGTTCTTGGACAACCAAGGGGATTTTCAGTGAGCAGTAATATTTTAAAATAAATATATTTTTTCTGAGAATGCTGTAAACAGGTGTGATGTTTGTCAATCTATTTATAGAACACAAGCAGAGTAGCTTTAGAATAATGCTTAAAAGCCCTAGGATTTTCAGAATAAATGAGCATTGGCATCAACCTCAAGTCACCAGCTGCATTAGCTCCTAACAAGATAATCAGACTGTACTTTGAAGCTTTGAAGTCAGGTACTGCCTTCTCTTTAGCTATCAAAGTCCTAGATGGCATCTTCTTCCAATAAAAGACTGCTTCATCTACATGGAAAATCTGTTGTTTAGTGTTGCCACCTTCATCGGTGATCTTAGCTGCATCTTCTGGATAACTTGCTGCAGTTCTATACCAGCACTTGCTGCTTCACCTTGCACCTTTGTGTTGTGGAGATTACTTCTTTCCTTATACATTATGAACCAACTTCAGCTCATTTAAAACTTTAACTCTCCAGCTTTCTCACCTTTCTTAGCCTTGTAGAATTGAAGAGAGTTAGAGCCTTGCTCTGAGATAGGCTTTGGCTTAAGGGAATTTTGTGTCTGGTTTATCTTCTATCTAGACCACCAAAATGTTCTCCATATCAGCAATAAGGCTTTTTGCTTTCTAATCATTCATGTGTTCACTGGAATAGCACTTTAAATTTCATGCAAGACCTCCCCCTTTGCATTCACGACTTAGTTAACTCTTTGGTCCAAGAGGCCTAGCTCTCAGCCTGTCTCAGCTTTCAACATGCCTTCCTCATTAAGCGTAATCATTTCTAGCTTTTTACTTAAAGTGACAGATGTGGGACTCTTCCTTTAACTTGAACACTTAGAGACAAATGCAAGGTTATCAACTGGCCTCATTTCAATATGGTTGTGTGTCAGGGAATAGGAAGGCCTGAGGAGAGGGAGACAGACGGACAAACAGTCAGTAGGTGGAGCAGTCAGAACACATGCATCTGTCAATCAAATTCACCATCTTATATGGGCGTGGTGTGTGGTGCCCAAAACAATTACAGTAGTTATGTCAAAGATCACTGGTCACAGATCACCATAACAGACATACTAATAGAAAGCTTAAAATGTTGTGAGAATTACCAAAAGGTGACACTGATAACTAGACTGAGCACATGCTATTGGAAAAGTGGTGCCAGTAGATGTGCTGGACACATCTGGACACACTGAGGGTTGCCACAACCCTCAATTTGTCAAAAAATGCAATATCTGCAAAGTGTAATAAAGCAAAGAGCAATAAAATGAGGTAAGCCTGTATTTAGATTTTTGAAATTTTAATTATTAAAGTAACAATGCTGAGAGTGGGGGAGAAAGAAAATGCTGTCCAAAAACATCAGAAACTTGTCTATTTCTTTTCCAGAAAAGATTCTAGTTCTTATGGAGGGTCTTAAAAGCTATATATCATGTAATATTAAAAGTAATGGCATTATTGATAACAACAACAATACAGCCAAAGGTAGTTTGTCAATTCTTAACACCTATTATCCCTTAATTGTGCAAAAATGTCTTCTTCTGGGCAGTGAGGTATTACCTCAATAGGAGAGTATACAAATTTGTTGTTGACAGTAGGAAATATTCTAAGATGGTGATAAGCTTTCAGGGTCTTTGCATGTCAGGACTGCCAGAAACACTATTTCTCCAAAGATGAAGTACTGTGGTACTGAAAGTTCTGAGGAATAGTAGGTGAAGCATTCTGTAAAAAGACACTGAGTTACCCATCTGTGGACTCCTCAGTGAATGCGGAATGAGCCAATTTCAACATGAATGGTTTCACCGTGAATTTATATGTTTATTCTAAAAACATGGGCTGTGCGGAGTATTAAGTTGGAAGTCTATATTTATTTTGATTCTTTTTAGTACCTACCCGTGATGTTCACTTAACTCTCATGAAATGGAAAGTCTGCTTTTAAACTTCTCTCCAATATAGCCACTTTTTTCATCTAAATCACCATCATCTCTCAATTTATTGTGACAGCCTCCAAAACAATATGTTTCCAGGCTCAGCCTTATTTCTACTAATATATTTTCCACATATAATTCAGTGTGGATACTGTGAAATCTGATCTCTCATTTTCCTGTTGCAAACTCTCCAAATGACTGTTGCTCTCAGGCTTAAGGCCAGGTATTTGCAGTGGTTTACAAGTTTATTGGGTACATAGATAAAGAGACAGACAAGAAAGGCTAGAGAAATTATTCAAAAATCTTAAAAAATCAGGACTTGGAGGGTGAGTAGGAGTTTTTCAAGGAGAATAAAAAATGATTATGAGCATTCTAGGCAAAAGAAACATTGTTTGCAAGAACTTGGAGACACGAGAGTACTTGATATTTTCAGGGAAACATTGCAGAATAATAAAGTGTCTCCTGGGCAATGTTAGATACAGGGAAAGGTAAGTAAAATTTGTAATTTCTGTAATACAAAGTTTTGTGATTTTGATTACTATTTTGTCTTTGTGGAAGCCTAAATGTTCTTTGTGAGAACATATGAGTCACTGTGGATAACAAAATTAGCCTAAAGTGGACATAGGTCTATTCCTTAATAAGGCATTTTCCACATTCCATCCTTTTTCAATGACACAGGAATTTTTTTTTGGTGGTCTAAGAGACACCATGGAGTTAGAATACTGCTGATGACTGGTATTATTTGGATGTGACTAATGAATATGAGATTAGAATATAATTCCCAGGTATTGAGTTCAGGCAAAGATTGGCTATTAAATCTGAAAAGCCTATAAGCAATAGCTTATTTATTATTAGGAAATAATAAATATTGATGAGTGGGTGATACAGATATGAAAGCCATCAACCACATGTGGTAATTGGGGACTCAGCATGAAAAAAATTGTTTTATGCTCAGAGTAGTAAAAGGGGAAGCACTTGACGAGCATGCAATGATTAAAGGATCCTGTAAAAATGAATGAAATAATGTAGTTGGAGAGAAAGAATATAGTTTAGGAGCAAATGATGCCATGGAGACCCAGAAAGGGGTGAATCCTATGAAAAGCTGACAAATGATCAAGATGAGGATTGTTAGAAACTCAAATGCAATGAGTTAAGTAGGAATTATACATATATACATTTTGCATATTTTAAGCCTAGGTGGTATCATGAAGGAATTCTAAATGTCTATAGAATGGTAGAGGGAAAACCCGTTGTCAAAGGAAATTTTTAGTGATGGGGACAAATTGGCTACAATTTCAAGCTGAGGGAATGAGAGTAAGATAATTTAGATCAGTGGCTTTTGCTATTTTTATGCTTTCTGAAAGTAGATATTATGAAGTATAATCTTGACTTCTGGTTCCAAAATGGCAGCATAAGTGTAGGCTGACTTCACTCACCATCTACAGCAAACCAAAACCAAATATATAGCATAAAAATTTTCAGCAGCAATGTACCAGGGCTCAAATATGAGGATGAATCAGTTCCTGGGACTACAGAGAAGGACAACAACAAAAAAAATACTTTGAGCATATTAAAGAGAATTGTATTTTTGTATTCACAATATGTCTCCCTGCAGCCGGCCCAGCACCAAGCACATGGAAAAATTACCCTGACTCATGGTTTCTACACTGGAAAAAGTGAGATCGAGGTGGACAACCAGCTTCCCTACCATCTTGGGTTTTTTTGGCAGATCTGTCCATGCCTCACCCATGAGAGACATTGCGAGTACAGGAATGAGGACATATGCCTGAGAACAGTTAGAGACAAAGGGGAGAAGTGAAACTATTATCCCCAGCCTTGAAAACGCTGTTCCGTAACTCAGCCAAAATAGACATCAAATCATTGTGGGTGTTCAGCATCACCATGCTATAGGAGGTAAATTACACAGATTTCCTAGTCATAAACCCCTAGCCAGCACTTCCATCCTCCTGGGATAACCTCTTTGGGAACTCCCCCATCCCTTCTGCTTTGATTGTTTGCTAAAGCAGGGACAAACCTGGGCTTTTGGTGCCATCTTGTACTGAAAAGGAGGCAGTGACCTAGAGAAAAAAATATATAAGAAATTAAGAAGGTAAATTATGAAGACTCTCTCAGCAAACATAAACATTTTAAAAAAGCCAGACAGAGAAAACTGCAATACAAAAGTAAGTATTCAGTGCAAAGACAGACAACATTCACAAGAAACAAGAGCAAACAGGAAACCATAACATCCCCAAACAGATAAAGTGAGGAACCAGTGGTTGACCATAATGAGTCAGCAATATGTGAGCACCTTGACCAATAATTCAAAATAGCAGTTTAAAGGAAACAATGATCTCTAAGATAACATGCAAAAGCAATTTAAAAATTCATTAGAGAAATTTAACAGAGATTGAAATAATAAAACAAACAAATTTTAGAACTAAGAAATATATTTGTTGAACTGAAAAGTTCATTAGAGGCTCTCAAAAGCACAATATATTAAGCAGAGGAAAATATCGATGATCTTAAAGATAGTCTACTTGAAATTACACAGTCAATAGAGAAAAAAAATGAAGAAGCATAAAGATCACTTATAATTACCTGAAGAGACCAAACATAAGAATTATTGGTGTTCAAGAGAGTTGAAGAGGAGCAAGGGTAGAAAGCTTATTTAAAGAAATAATAACAGAAAACTTTCCAAAACTTGAAAAAGATACTAGGAACAGGAAGGTTAGAGAACACCAAACAGACATGACCCAAATAAGACCACCCCAAGGCATATAATAATCAAACTCTCAAGGGCAAGAACAAAGAGCAGATCCTAGAAGCAGCAAGAGAAAAGAAGAGAATGACCTATAAAGGAACTCCAATTCATCTGGCAACAGACTTCTCAGTGCACACCATGCACCACACTTCTCAACAGATGCCAAGAGGGAATGGAATGACATTTTCAAAGTGCTGAAAGAAAAAAAAATTGCCATTCGAAAATACTTTATCCACCAAAGCTATCTTTCAACTATGAAGGAAAAGGAATTCACCATCACCAGATCCAACTTACAAGAAATGCTAAAGGGAGTTCTTCAATCTGAAAGAATAAAAAAAAAATGTACAAAAATGACACACCAGAAGGTTTAAAACCCACTGGTAAAATTAAATACTAAGACAACCCAGAATATTCCAGTACTGTAATTGTGGCATGCAATCCACTTATAACACTAGTATGAAGTATAATCTAATTAATACATCACAGTATATCATTCAAGCAATAATTCTGAAGTTGAGGAGTATAATTAGGTTGAAGGAAGAGCAGACTAACCAAGAATATATCCAGATGAGTTATACTGACTTAACCCCACCTCCACAGTCTCATAAGCCATGTACCCTCACACCCAATCCCAGTTACCAAAGGTAGCTACATGGCTCTCACCACCTATATTTTCTACAGCTTCCCACAAAAGATAAATAATGTTAACTTACTGAATAACTTGTTGAATGTTAACTTACTGAATAACTTGTTGAATTAAAAAAACTGATACCCAGATTAAAAATAAAATTTTCTTGAAAGCTGAAAACAAACTATCCATTCTTTAATTGTAAAAAAAAAAGAACTGAAAAATTGAGATTTTTGGGGTGATTCTTGCTATTTGTTATTAATATATATATATATATATATATATATAAAACAGCCTGAAAATTATAATATTTATTTAAAAAATTAAAAATTGTAGGCAGAGAAAATGTAGATTTTAACAGTTTCTATCACAAGTGCATATATTAAAAGATCATAATAAAACAAGTTTTTCTTTTAATCAGTCTGACTTTCTGAATATGATTTTGCCTTCCTTTATGATCTGTGGCATGAAAAAGCAGCTCTTAAGAACATGGAGACAGTCTCAGGCCCTGCACTTGACCAAGAGGGCATGCTCCACACACCGCAGTGCAGTGTCCTTAGCTCTTCTAGCGCATCTCTTTGACTGCCTTTTTTTTTTTTTTTACATTTGAAACTAATGCTTATATCTCAAAGTGAACAGAAAATTAAAGGAACAAAAGAACCACTACTGTTTCTCTATTATTCCCTTGTACTTTAGGGAAAAGTTATATCTCAGTAATTCTCCCGAATTATTATGTGTTTACACTTTCATTGAAAACATACATTTTTGAGAAAATAAATACCAAGAATTTCCATGGTAGCATTTTTTTCGGCAACCCTCATGCTGAAAATGTTTCTTTGTAATATCTAGGCCAAATTCCTTCTATTACAGATGAAGCTAATTTTCTTAAGTTCTATCCTTAGTGAAAATAGAGGGCGATCCACGCCCCCCTCCACCCTACCAATACAATACTCTTGAATACAATTTAATTTACCTTCAACTTCCCCTGCCCCACACAGATGGTTTCATTAACCTTTTTCCATAGAGGCTATTTAAGTCTTCTCGTCACTCTTATAAAGTTGAGTTTGAAATGCCTCAAACTGAAAGTAATAAAGCTGTCACAACTCCTAATTAGAAAAAACATGACTTCAAATTATTTCTATTTTGTGTTGCTACTCTACATAAAACTAAATATAACTGATCTAGCCAAATATATTAACTAACTTACATTTTAAAAATCAGTACCCCATCACTGTCTTATTTTCAGTTTGAGCACCATGATCTCTGTGCATTTTTCCAAAATACTATATCATAATGTACTATATATAACTCCAATTTCAAGATATAGAAAGAAGTGAAAGAAGAGGATTTACCCTGATAAAATTATCTGTTAGCAGAAAATCAGACAATAAATCAGTGGCATAAAAGTTATTTAACACAAAGATTAACATTGAATCTAGAATGTTAGCACAGTCAAACAAACACCAATAAAATCTAACGGTTTATTCTTCATTTGTGCTGCAATATAATAATCTTAGGGGGAAAACAAACAAGAACCAGTAATAAGATAATACATTTACCTGAACTCTCCTTTGGAATGTCTACAGACTCTTTCAGGAAGCTTAGCATTTCTGTTTGGTGACAAGCTCAAATACTGACAGCTGTGCTGTCCAATAGTCATTATCTGCATGTGGCTAATAAGCATTTGAAATCTGTCTAGTCTGAATTGAGATGTGCTATAATGAAAAATATACAATGGAACTTGAACATCAGGATGGAACCAAGAATGTAAAATATCTTTAATAAAGTTTTGCATTGATTAAATGTAAAATAACATTTTTGTATTTGGGTCAAATAAAATGTATTATTAAAATTAATGTCATTTTAAAACTTTCTAAGTGGCAACTAGAAACTTTAAATGACTATGTAACTTGCATTTATGGCTCACATTATATTTCTACAGGATAGTACTGGTTTTGAGCAGGATTGTCAAACTACAGCTCTTGGTCAAATCGTCTGTTTTTGTAAACAAACTTGTATTGAAATGCAGTCATGCTTATTCATTTACCTATAGTCTAAGGACATTTTTGTGCTACAGTGGTAGAGTTGAGTAGTAGTGACAATACTATATGACTCATAAAGTATAAAATATTTATATTTGGACCCTTACAGAAAAAAATAATATTTGCCAATCCTTGATCTAGAGAAACAGCAGATAACTTGAAGTTGTGAAAATGAGTGGGGTGTATTTAGCAGAGAAGAGAAGATTTGTGAGATTGAAAAATATGAACAGCCATACTGTCTCTAAAATAATTAAAAAGGAAACCAAAATAAATAGCCAAACATAACATATTTTCTAAGCTGAGTCTTTTGAAAGTAAAAAGTATCTAAATTTAATGAAGTCTAGTTTGTCTTTTTTTTTTTTTTACTTTTGTGTTTTGGGATTTTGGTTTCTTATTTAAGAAACCTTTGCTTAATCCATTACTCCAAAGATTTTCTCTCATGTTTTCTTTTAAACATTTATAGTTTTATGTCTTAAACATAAGATAATGATGTATTTCCAGTTACATTTAGTGTATGTTGTAATGTAAGCGTTGAGGTTCATTATTATACGTATGGACATCCAATTTGTTTCCGTCACTATTTGTTGAAATATTATTGTGTTCCAAATTGAATGGTGTTGACACTTTTGTTAAAAAAAAAAAAAAAAAAAAAACTCAAACAAAACAACACAATCTTGACCCTATCTGGGAAGGTCTCATTCTAGACTCCTTGCCTGGACCATACTGCTTTGTTTAATAAAGACTTGCAGTTTGTTAATAAAATAAATATATAAATAAATAAATAAATAAATGCCGTCTAAACTTGTTTTTGTTTTTTCAATTCAGTTACTCTAGGTCCTTTACTTTTTCATAAAAATTCAACATCATGTTATTTTTTAAAAGCTTGTTGGCATTTTGATTAGAATTATATTGAATTTACAGACCTTCTAAGGGAAGATTGACATCTTGAAAATATTAAGTTCTACAATCTGTGAACATGGAACATCTCTTAATTTATTTCAGACTTTTAACTAATTGTAACCGATATTGTTGTTTCTATTATATGAAATTTGCACTTATTTGCTTAATCTTATTTCTAAATTTTTTATGTTTTGATATGATTGTAAATGCATTGTAAACTGGATATTTAAGTATAAACATCTTATCATTTATTGCTAATACATAGAAATACATCTGATTATCGTATATGGATTTTATGTACTGCTGTCCTGCTAAACGCACTTATTAGTTGAATACCTTTTTTGTAGATTTAGTAGAACTTTCTGCAGAGATAATCACACCATCTACCAGTAAAGGCAGTTTTATTTCTTGCTTTCCAATGTGATGGTTTTGATTTCTTTTTCTGACTCTATAGCACTGGTTATTCCACCAGTATCATGCTAAATAAAACTTGTAAATATAAAGCTAACTACTTTATTCCTGATTTTAGGGAGAAAGTATTCAGCATTTCACCATTAAATATAGTAAGCTATCAGCATTTCATATGTGCTTTTTGTCAAATTAATAAAGTTTCTGCTACTTTTAGTTTCTGAGCATGTTATTATGAATGAATATTGATTTTGTCAAATGTGTTTTGGTACATTTATTGAAAGTGTATATGATTAGTGAGGTAATATGGTCTTTATTGCGATTACTAAATAATAAACACATCTTGTATTCTGGGAATGATTGCAAATTGATCATGATTTATCATTCCTTGTACATACAGTTTGATTTAATTTACTAAAAATTGTTAATAATTTTAAAATAATATTGCTTATTTCATTTTGTCTTGTACTATATATTCTTCTGCTTTTGATATGAAGCTAATGCTGGATTTATAAAGTCTAATAAGTGAGTTTGGAAGTTGTTGCTCCTCTTTTCTGGAAGAGTTTGAATTAATATTTCATTCTTCAAATTGGGTATAATTCAATACTGAAACCATCTGGGCCTGGAATTTACATCATGGAAAGATTTTTATATATAATATATTTTTTAAAAAATGTGAGATTATCAGACAATGCATTTGCTCTTTAAATGTCTATGATAGTTGTCTTTATAGGAGTTTCTCCATATCTCCTAAGTTACTAAATGTATGACATAAAAATTGTTCATAATAGTTAATCATTATCTTTTATTTTCTGTAGAATCTGTAGTGATAATTTCTGTTTCATTCTTGATACTACTAATTTGTGATTTCTCACTTTTTCCTTGAACAGCCTGAGTAGAAGTTCACATATTAATCTTTTTAAATAACACATTTGAGTTGCATTAATTTTCTCACATGTTGTTGTTTCTTTGTCAATAATCTATGTTCTCTACATTATTGTTTTCTTTTGTCTGGCTACTTTGGTTTTTATTTTCTTTTATTTTACTGTTTTCTTAAGGTTAATGCTTAATTCTTTGATTCTACCTTTTCTTCCAATGTAAGTATCTACTTTATAACTTTATATCTAATCGGTGCTTTAGCTATATTCCACAAATGGGTGTATGTATGTTTTAACTCTCATTTAGTTCAAGATATTTTCTAATTTACTTTATTATTGCTTATATCACCCAGAAGATATTTAAGAGTGTAGTTGACAATTGTTGTACATTTGTTGTTTTCCAATTATCTTTTTGTAATTGCCAATTTAGTAGCATTTTGTTCAGAGAAGATACTTTGTTTTATTGAATAGAGTACAATGTATAAAGTATAAAGTACAACAGACTATATACATTTTTAATTAAAATTTTATATTTATTTATTTTATTTTATTTTAAGTTCCGGGTACATGCGCTGGACATGCAGGTTTGGTACATAGGAAAACATGTGCCATGGTGGTTTGTTGCACCTATCAACCTGTCACCTAGGTATTAAGCCCAGCATGCATTAGCTCTTTTTCCTGATGCTCTCCCTCTCCACCCTCCCTCAACAGGCCCCAGTGTGTGTTGTTCCCCTCTCTGTGTCCATGTGTTCTCATTGCTAAGCTCCCACTTATAAGTGAGAACATGTGGTATTTGGTTTTCTGTTCCTGCATTAGTTTGCTGAGGATAATGGCTTCCAGCTCCATCCATGTCCCTGCAAGGGACATGATCTCGTTCCTTTTTATGGCTGCCTAGTATTCAATGGTGTAGGTACCACATTTTCTTTATCCAGTTTATCATTGATGGGTATTTGAGTTAATTTCATGTCTTTGCTATTGGGAATAGTGCTACAGTGAAAGTACACGTGCATTTATCTTTATAACAGAATGATTTATATTCCTTTGGGTATATACCCAGTAATGGAACTGCTGGGTCAAATGGTATTTCTGGTACCAGGTCTTTGAGGAATTTTCTGCATATGGCTAGCCAGTTCTCCCAGCACCATTTATTAAATACAGAATCCTTTCTCCACTGCTTTTTTTGGTCAGGTTTGTCAAAGATCAGCTGGTTGTAGATGTGAGGTCTTATTTCTGAATTCTCTATTCTGTTCCATTGATCTGTGTATCTGTTTTTGTACCAGTATCATGCTGTTTTGGTTACTGTAGCCTTGTAGTATAGTTTGAAGTCAGGTAGCTTGATGCCTCCAGCTTTGTTCTTTTTGCTTAGGGTTGTCTTGGCTATATGGGCTCTTTTTTGGTGCCATATGAATTTTAAAATAGTTTTTTGTTTCTAATTCTGTGAAGAATGACAATTGTAGTTTAATGGGAATAGCACTGAATCTATAAATTGCTTTGGACCATACTACCTAAATAAAGTATGGCCATTTTCACGATATTGATTCTTCCTATCCATGAGCATGAAATGTTTTTCCATTTGTTTTTGTCCTCTCTGATTTGCTTGAGAAGTGGTTTGGAGTTCTGCTTGAAGAGGTCCTTCACTTCCCTTGTTAGCTGTATTCTTAGGTATTTTATTATCTTTATAGTAACTGTGAACGGGAGTTCATTTATGATTTGGCTCTTTGCTTGCCTGTTGTTAGTATATAGGAATGTGTGTGATTTTTGCACATTGATTTTGTATCTTCACACTTTGCTGAAGTTGTTTATCAGCTTAAAAAGCTTTTGGGCTGAGATTAGACCATACACGTTTTAATATAAAAAATCTCAATCAATTGAAATTTGTCTATGGCTTTGTGTATGGTCTATTTTTGGTGAGTTGCTTATGTACATTTAGATGAATGTATTCATCTGTTTTTAATTGAATGTTTATAATTGCCACTTAGGTCAAGTTGGTTGTAATGTAGAAGTCTCGTGTATTTTTACTAGCTTCCTGTCCACTTGTTCTACCAATTACTTAAGAGTTTGATGTTGAAATTTCCAGCTTTTAGGATTTTTCTTTTTTTTATTTTTTATTTTATTATACTTTAAGTTTTAGGGTACATGTGCACAATGTGCAGGTTAGTTACATATGTATATATGTGCCATATTGGTGTGCTGCACCCATTAGCTCATCATTTAACATTAGGTATATCTCATAATGCTATCCCTTCCCCATCCCCCCCACCCCACAACAGGCTGCAGTGTATGATGTTCCCCTTCCTGTGTCCATGTGTTCTCATTGTTCAATTCCCACCTATGAGTGAGAATATGCTGTGTTTGGTTTTTTGTCCTTGTGATCGTTTGCTGAGAATGATGGTTTCCAGCTTCATCCATGTCCCTAAAAAGGACATGAACTCATCATTTTTTATGGCTGCATAGTATTCTATGGTGTATATATGCCACATTTTCTTAATCCAGTCTATCATTGTTGGACATTTGGGTTGGTTCCAAGTCCTTGCTATTGTGAATAGTGCCACAATAAACATACATGTGCATGTGTCTTTATAGCAGCATGATTTATAATCCTTTGGGTATATACCCAGTAATGGGATGGCTGGGTCAAATGGTATTTCTAGTTCTAGATCCCTGAGGAATTGCCACACTGACTTCCACAATGGTTGAACTAGTTTACAGTCCCACCAACAATGTAAAAGTGTTCCTATTTCTCCACATCCTCTCCAGCACCATTTCTCTGATGGCCAGTGATGATGAGCATTTTTTCATGTGTCTTTTGGCTGCATAAATGTCTTCTTTTGAGAAGTGTCTGTTCATATCCTTCGCCCACTTTTTGATGGGGTTGTTTGTTTTTTTCTTGTAAATTTGTTTGAGTTCATTGTAGATTCTGGATATTAGCCCTTTTTCAGATGAGTAGATTGCAAAAATTTTTTCCCATTTTGTAGGTTGCCTGTTCACTCTGATGGTAGTTTCTTTTGCTGTGCGGAAGCTCTTTAGTTTAATTAGATCCCACTTGTCAATTTTGTCTTTTGTTGCCATTGCTTTTGGTGTTTTAGACGTGAAGTCCTTGCCCATGCCTATGTCCTGAATGGTATTGCCTAGGTTTTCTTCTAGGGTTTTTATGGTTTTAGGTCTAACATTTAAGTCTTTAATTCATCTTGAATTAATTTTTGTATAAGGTGTAAGGAAGGGATTTTTCTATTTCTCTTTACGTTTCTCGATCTCAGCCTGCTCTACTTTAAGCTGGATTTTACGTGCTTATGCTTTAGGATGATCATGTTCTCTTGAGAAATTAATCCTTGTATCATTATGAAATTAGCCTATTTACCTATAATAATATTCCTTTCTCTGAAGTCTACTTTATAATAATATGGTCATTTAACCTTTAAATTATTTTGGCTCAATGTTTGTGTCATATGTCTTTTTCACGCATTAACATTGCACTTTTTTAGCTATATTTCACTTTTTAAAGCGTGTTTCCTTATACGGCACATAGTAGTGTCTTTATTTTATCCAATCCAGCAATCTCTGTTTTTTAATTTGGCTACTTAGATACTTTACATTTAAGGTGATTATTGATATAATTTGGCTTAAATCAATCATCACAATACCTTTTTTTCTATTTGTCTAATACACAGTTTTCTCAGTTTTGTCTTCTATCTTAATCTCTTGAATAAATTAAAATTGTTTAATGTTTCTATTTAATCTTTACTATTGTCTTACTATTTCCTCTCTTTCTGTCACTTAGATTCTAAGTTTTTAACTTAATGCAATCTAACTTTAATATGGTTCCACTTCACATATTACGTAAGAAACCCACACAATATAGTTTCATTTTCCCCTACTCTACCATTTTTGTGCTATCGCTTTAGTTCTACATACTCTGTAAGTTCCACAATACATTGAGTGTCTTTTAATCTGAAAAGTTAATAATCTTTGAGAGAGATTAATACATAAGAAAAATCTACAAATTTACTTCCAGTTTTACCAATTTTATTCCATTGTGGAGATTTTTATGTCCTTCTTACATAATTTTTATTCTGCCTTAAAGACTTTCTTAATATTTCTTTAAGTGTAGCAATTCTCCTGCCTCAGTCTCCTGAGTAGCTGGGACTACAGTCATGCACCACCGCACCCAGCTAATTTTTTGTATTTTTAGTAGAGATGGGGTTTCACCATGTTGGCCAGGATGGTCTCCATCTCTTGACCTCGTGATCTACCCTCCTGGGCCTCCCAAAGTGCTGGAATGACAGGTGTGAGCCACCCCGCCATATTTTGATGGGTAAGGAATTTTAGTTTACATACATTTTGTTTTCCAGCATTTAAAAATATATGATTTTTTTCTGACCTGCAGTTTTTCTTAGAAGTCAGCTGCTATTCTTATTCTTCTCTATATGTAATGAGCATTTTTCCCCTTGTTTCCTTTATGAGTTTCTGCCTCTGTCATTGGTTTTCAGCAATTTCATCATGCCTTTGGGTAGACTTATTTAGATTTATTCTACATTTGTTTATTGAGCTTCTTGGATATGTTCTCTCTCTCTCTCGGGAATTTCAATTATGCCTACATTAGACTGTTTAATATGGTCTCATAGGTCACCGATGTTCTATTTAATTTTCTGTTCTTTTTATTTTTGAGCTAAATTTTGGAAAATTTCAATTGCTAAGAATTCAAGTATGCTGTTCTTTGTCTCTGTATCAGCTTACATGCTATTATCACTCAGGATTTTTTTTTTAATTTCAGTTACTATATTTTTCATCCCTACAAGTTCCATTTGAGTCTTTTCTGCAATCAATCACTCACACCATTTATCTGTTTTCAGTCTTCTAGAGCATATAGAGCATGTTTATAATCTATCTTTGTTGTCTTTGGTAGTTCTATCATCTTCTTCATCTTCATATGTTTCTACTAATTGCTTTTTCTGCTGCTTATGAGTCCTATTTTCATGCTTCTTTA
The DNA here is from genome assembly GCF_000001405.40 of Homo sapiens. Classification (NCBI taxonomy): domain Eukaryota; kingdom Metazoa; phylum Chordata; class Mammalia; order Primates; family Hominidae; genus Homo; species Homo sapiens. The sequence continues at coordinate 51,032,010 of NC_000008.11, forward strand.
AGTGCTGATTTTTTTACTTGACAGCATACATTAGAATTTGATGTTGCTAATTGTTGCATTTTATTGTATTTCTTTCAATAAAGTTTTTATTTATTTTGGCAAATAGTTATGTTAGCTTGAGGCAATTGGATCGCTGAGTTCTGCTTCCAAGATTTGGTAGTAGCTTTAGAGGTTTTATCTGTTCTGCTTTGTGGGGACACAGACTATTCCCACCTCTGTTGGAACACTAGTAATTATCTGTCTGTTCACTTATGAAGATTCTTTCCATAGCCTCGAGTGCTTCTTTCTTGTGCATATACAGATCAGTACTTAGCTAGAGAATCATAGGAACCCTTGGCAGATCTCTGGAGTTCTCTCTTCCTGTGAAACTCTGTCCTCTATTCTGGTTGGCTTGACCTCCCTGACTCTGATTTATATCTTTTGGCTCAGTGCAATCGACAGGCTCTGTTAGGCTCCTCCTCCCTACACTGCAGACTGAAAACTGATTCCAGTCATAAATCAGGAATTAGTCAGGTTCATCTTGTTTCTCCCCATTTTCAGAGAATATAATCCTGTATTGTCTTTCTTCTAATGCCTGCAATGCAATATTTAATATATTTTGTCAGATTTCTCATTGTTTAATGTATTATTCCATATTATTGAAAACTGGAAGTCCCTTAATTCTTTTTTTAACATTCATATTTTTCTTCTGTTTGTTTTATTTTTCTCCTAAGACATTACCCATTATATTTATTTTTTCTTGTGTTCCTTTTGGCTTTTTCTTCATATTGGATTTTCTTTTCTCAATTTCCAAATTTTTTGAAATATTTTATTCTCACATTTTTCTAATTTTGCTGTTCTCTTTTCTGTCTTTCATTATTTTCTAAGTGTGCTATAGCGCCTTTTGAAACAGTAGGTGACATTTTTACCTGCTTTATAAGAAAGTCTTCCTGGTGTCGTTCTCAGGAATGCTCCTCAGTCATTCTTCTTAAATGACTCTGTGTAGAATTAGACATTGACACTTTTCTGTGACTCAATCTTTACGTAAAATTTGTTTTCCTGAATTCAACATGAGGTGATGCACAGAACAGCTATTCAACTTCTCAGAGCCCTCTCTTCTCTTGTTTTCTTGTTTTTTGAGGTTCCCAGGACCTGTTTCTTTTCATTAAGTTTATCTGAGCTTTCACTTTCTTTTGTTTCAACATCTCTGTCCTACTTATCTTGTTTCCAATTTGAGTACTTTCTACTCAGTGTGAAGCCTTGAAAGGTAGCCCTGGTTCATCAGTTTTGAGAGCTCATAGAGGTTAGAAAGCTTGGGCCCTTCAATCCTTTCTACATTGGACCCATTGAACTCAACGGCTTTCGGATTGTGAAAATTCATCCCAGTTTTAGCTACTATATCTGCCCCACTCTTTATTTAATAAGAGTGGGATTTTAGTTATATTTAGTTCTAAGGTTTACAATCCACATAATTTCTCCCTTTTGATTCTTCTGCACAGACACTCATAGCAGGCAGGTGTTAAGGTTGTTGGTGAATTTCTCTATCCACTTCTGCTTTAAAGTTTGTGACAATATCGTGACACCTAGATTATCATTTTTTTTATAAATGAAGTCCTGTGGCTTTGTTTTTACTATCCAGTCATTTTGACATTCTAGAGATTCAAGAAAATTCAAAAAATAATAAAAATTAAAAAAAAACACAACTATACCACCAATACTGCTGGCATCTATCCAGAATTTCTCTCTTTTTTAAATTTAATTAATTTATTTATTTATTATTTTGAGATGAGTCTCTCTCTGTTGCCAGGCTAGAGTGCAGTGGCATGATCTCTGCTCACTGCAATCTCTGCCTCCTGGGTTCAAGTGATTCTCCTGTATCAGCCTCCCTAGTAGCTGGGACTACAGGCATGCGCCACCACGCCCAGCTAATTTTTGTATTTTTAGTAGAGATGGGGTTTCACCATGTTGGCCAAGATGGTCTGGATCTCTTGACCTCCTGATCTGCCCACCTCGGCCTCCCAAAGTGCTGAGATTACAGGTGTGAGCCACCACGCCCAGGCAAATTTCTCTATTTTTGAAAGAGAAAGACTACTTTAAATCATGAATAGCCTTCATCTTTAATCACTTTCTAAACCATTGCCTTTAATTCCATGTGCCTCTACCTTTTCTATAATTGCAAATACATTCTATATCATTTTCTGTTGCTGTTGTAATTTAAATGTGTTTTTGCCCAATATTCTTTCATGTATGCAACCACTATTAAGCTAGCACACTCGGTATGGCTCTAAGGTGTGAATTTTGTGAATGGAGACTCACTCCCTAGCCTGAGTGGAAGCATTCACCAGATCTACAGAATACGTAAAGCAGTTCGTTAGCTTAGAGAACTTTATATGAAGAAAAACAAGGAGTCCGTAAGCAGAAAAGATAGTAAAAACATGCTTGAAAATATTACAGCTTTATATGGTGGAAAAGGCAACTAACTATAGGACTAAAATTATCTCTTGATAACTCTTTTCGCCTGCCAAGCTGGAAGTGATTTGAAGTCATTTTTAAATTTACTTTTTCTAAATGGATATACTCAGGGTGATAAAGAGTTACTCCATAAACACTCTATTGAGATTTGAGATTTGGCGGGTACTTTTTTTTTTTTTAACAGGTATTCTCAAGGTTTTTTGTTTTGTTTTTTTTTTTAAATACATCTCTGGACAGTTTTAAAATGATTCAGTATACATATTAAAGCTTACTCATCTTGTGAGGTTTTACTGAACCCACTAGCACTTTTTGGTGTAGAGTCTACCACACTCTATTAAAATTGTCTGTGTATATGTCTGTCTTCCTCTACTACTAGGCAAGAACCATGTCCTTTTCACTATTTTATGTCCAGTGCCCAGAGAAATAGGATGTAATATAAAATTCATCATCTAAAAACCCAGATTAATGCAGCAGACCAGTCTGTAAATTTAATTAATTTGTCTGACAGTATGAAAATGGAAGAGCTCACTAAAGACAAGAGCCATAATCCAGTTAGTGGTTATAGAGTGATTACCTGCTTTAGGGCTGATTTCACTAGAGGTGGACTTTTTATTATTTCTACAAGAGACTGATGTGATGGTTTTAGAATCATTAATGCCAAGGAAAATACCTTGGTGGTGGTGAAACAAAATCAATGATTACTTATGTATCGAAGGAGATATGGCCTGAATGTGTTTCCTCCCAAAGAGAAACAGGGGAAGATATTAAACAAAACATTATAATGTCTGCACATGATGCTTCACTACAGTCAAATAGTCTGACTGCATATCCCAGCAGTAAAATAATTTTAAACATGCTCCCAGTGCATGTTTGATTTCAAACCACCAGTAAAGGATAATTCTAGACACTTATCCATTAGTTCAACATTAGCTATACAGAAAGTATTAATATATATTTATATTTCAGACTCTTTCTTGCCCTTACTTTGTCAGATATAATTAGATCATCAGTATTGTTTCATGAAATAGTCAAACCAAGTAGTTCTTACTATGAACAGATGAGGTGTTAGTTGTCCTTTTATACTTACTTTATTCATATACTTATTTCAGGATTTCTTGACACAATGCATTTTTATTCTCCTTCATATTTTATGATATTTTCATTTAGATAATTTTGTCCATCTAGCATACATAAAATACACTGTGTTATGATATTCCAAAATAGGTAAATAAGTGAAAGTTCACCACCTGCCAATACCTCCACTTTGCACAAGACCCCTTCTTCCCAGGTGTGCCTCACATAACACATGAAACATGATATGCTGGTCATTAAAAAGAGGTAAAGTCACCGGTGTCAAACTATACATTAAATAATAGGGAAGCTTAATTGTTTTCTTCTTTTTAGATAAAAATAGACAGAACTTAGAAGATCAAATATTTTTCTCTAGCCCCAGTAAAACATTTAGTTCATCTGCTGGCGGGGGTCCAGCAACAACATTCACAAGATAGATCATGACCACTGAAGGAACATGAGTAAGACAAATGGAATTAAGATGCACTAAATTTTGAATTACTTGAGATTAGACTTATCTCCTTACAGATATTTCTGTTGTCCTATTACATGGTTGTGTAGAAAAGAGTTAACATGGCAGGCCTGGGAGCTGTCCTGTTCGCAAGATTGGCTCTTGGGTGACATCTGAGAACTTAGATTTCAGGAGGACGTTCACTTGCCTGGCTTGTTTGCATTAACAATGTGGTTTATGCCAAATTCCTATTTTTCTTATGAGAGTCTTAAATTTGGAAGGTGCTAAGCAAAGGGTACCTCGAGACCAGCCTCCATTAAAAACCCTGGTTATTGGATTCTTAATAAGCTCACCTGGTAGAAAATATTGCACATATTCACAATTCATTGCTGGGGGAATCAAGCACATTCTGTTTGACTTCCTTGGGAAAGGACTCTTGGAAGTTAGTGCCTGTTTTGCCCTGTCTTTTACCTTTTCCTTTTTTGGCTTTTGCTTCATATCAGCTTGCTGTGATGAATCGTAGTCATAGGACTCAATACTAAGTCCCGTAGGTCCTCCTAGCAAACCAGTGAATCTGGAGATGATTATGAAAAAACGATTTGGTAGATTTGACAGGAAGAAAAAGGCCACCAAATTTGTGCTCACTACATATTAATTTTTTGAATCTACTCACAACTTTGGTCAACTTTACAAACTTTAGTTAATATTATTAGTAATTGCAGATATACCTTTAAGTTGTTAAGGAAGTTAACAATCTGCTGTGCTACAACAACCATCAAATGACATGTGTTCTACTTACACCACCACCACCAACTTGCTTTACATTATAAATTTTATGTGTGCTAAGAACTGGAGGTCTGGACCACTTGAATCCTGCTTTACACAAAATTGCGAAACCAAAATTGGTGAAACAGGCTAACGAGATTTGAAATGTGACCAGTCAAAGTTTACCTAAAATAGTTTGGAAAGCACAAATGTCAATCCAACTCTGGTTTCTTCTTTCTATTTTGCCATTTCTGCAATGACAAATAAGCCCAAGTTGCTCACCTAGAGGTGTGTCCATAGTAGTGTGTGGCTGAAGCACATTGGCAAGTAAAGTCCAAGATTTGAACACATCAGGAATAAAACTAAACATTTAAATACAGGATTCCATGTAATTTGGTAATCTCATGGTTTTGTGTATGAATTTGGTCAGAATTTTCAAAATATTTTTGAGTAATTTTGTTAATAAATTTCTTCTTTGTTTCCTCAACTCGCTCACCTGCTAAATGCCATTGTCATCTCTCCCTTCTCTCCTCACACCTCTCTGCATTCCTCCCTTCTCTAATAATTTCCCTGCACTGTTGGCATGTCCACTGCCAACGTGCACTAGAGACATTTCCTGTGCTAGCCATTTCAGCCTTTCCAGCCAAGCTGTCAGCCATGCTATGTGTTTGTCCTTTTGACTTTCTCTTCCTTACATTTTAATTCATTAATCTTATTTTTTCTTAAAGACATTCAAGGTCTGTGGGATACCAGAAACTTAATTAATATTAAATTAATTACTTTTTTCTTTTTTTTGAGACGGAGTCTCGCTCTGTCGCCCAGGCTGGGGTGCAGTGGCACAATCTCGGCTCACTGCAACCTCTTCCTCCCAGGTTCACGCCATTCTCCTGCCTCAGCCTGCCGAGTAGCTTGGGACTACAGGCACCCACCACCACACCCGGCTAATTTTTTGTATTTTTAGTAGAGACGGGTTCTACCATGTTAGCCAGGATGGTCTCGATCTCCTGACCTCGTGATCTGCCCACCTTGGCCTCCCAAAGTGCTGGGATTACAGGCGTGAGCCACCGTGCCCGGCCCTATTAAATTAATTTATATTCAAAATCAATGATTTTCTTCCTTTTAATGTATCCAGGGACCCTCAATTTCTGCAAAAATATCTCTGAAAAAAGAAAGATCTCACAAGATTAAAAACCAAGATTTTCATAAAAATTATTAGAACCCAGGGGAAAGTTTCTAAAAATTAAAAGGTATATGGAAATAAAATGAAAAATACATTGCATAACTTTTTTCACAATTGCATGATTTTGAAACACCTTTTGCTATATTAAAAAATAAACAAAGGATTGACAGTTTCTTACAAGTCACCTCATCCCTAACACCTTTTTTTCCCCTGGTTGAAGATCCAGGCTTTATACTTAGAAGACAACCAGAGTCTCTGTCATCCACACATGGGATAATGTTCTGCATCTCCTCAACTACCCTTTCCCAGCATCATTTTAATTCTATACACTCCTTGAAAATAACAAACCATGACTGGGAGAAAATATTGTGTTCTAAGCTTTATAAATTCTTTGGGAGGTATTTATCACCAAAAAGATCATGTTTTAAAGACTGTCATTTATCTTGTATATAATTAGGTTTTGGTATCCGAGGGGAGGCATTATTTTTATTCTCCAGAGATATTCTAGATGAATGGTTGCACAACACTGCAAAATCAGCTGAAAATCTCATCTTCTAGCTGTCAAAGTTATAATCACTACCGAATAGTATGGTAGTCATGTATGCCTTTTCTTATTTGAAAAATTGGGTGCTTGAGCTTTCTTTATTGAAAATAAAAGTTCTAAAGTGACTACTATGTAAGGATTCTTCCTGGTCCGATTGCCAGTTGAGTGTAAGAAGATGAGTCATAATGCCCAGTATTTTTCTTAAATCTAAGAGGTTAGAGCAAATTTTGCTAAGCTTTTTCTGTAATGGACCAGTTAATAAAAGCTGTAGGCTTTGTGGCCCATGTATCAACTCTGTTACTAGAATGCAAAGGCAGCTATTGACAATATATAAATTAATGAGCATATTGTATTCTAATAAAACTTTATGGACACTGAAATTCAAATTTCATATAATTTTCATGTGTCATGAAATATAACCTTCTTTTGATTTTTTCAATCATTCAAAAATGTAAAAACCTGGCCGGGTGCGGTGGCTCACTCCTGTAATCCCAGCACTTTGGAAGACCAAGGCGGGAGGATCACCTGAGGTCAGGAGTTTGAGACCAGCCTGGCCAACATGGTGAAATCCCATCTCTACTAAAAATACAAAAATTTGTCAGGCGTGGTGGTGGGCACCTGTAATCCTAGCTACTTGGAAGGCTGAGGCAGGTGAATCACTTGAATCTGGGAGGCGGAGGTTGCAGTGAGCCGAGATTGTGCCACTGCACTCCAGCCTGGGTGACAAGAGTGAGACTCTGTCTCAAAAAAAAAAAAAAAAAAAAAAAAGGAAAAACTTTTTCAGTTTGTGGGTCATAGAAAAAAACATGTACAAATATACATTTACAAAGACTTATCATATAGTCTTATGATATCACAACTTAAAAATGCAATCCAAATTTAGTTTAAAAAGAATAAGAATATGATATTCAGAGTAAAGCCTGAAAACATTAACATTTTAACCTCTGAAGCAGAAATTTTTAATAATTTTGATGTAGTCTTTTATACATTTTGATGGATTCTTTTCAAATGAGCTGAGGTGTGCTATTATTTTATTTCCAAGACAAAATTCAGCCTCAGTCACTGAGACATGAAAGGTTTAAATCATCTACAATATCTAATGTGTAACAATGCATCTTCACGCATCTTTTTTTTAATAGTGAACATATATTAACTTTCTGATTACAAAACAAAATATCTTAAAAATATTACCAAGACCGAAAGTGGTTATTTTTCCTTCTAACATTTGATTTTAATAAGGCCTTATCAATACTAATTAGCAAATGTTTTTGGGCCTAGGAATGGAAGACAACTTGGCAAGAAGGGAGCAGACCTAGACCAACAGGCGGGCAAGCAAGGCACCCTCCTGGGATAGTAATTGATAGTCTATAAAGACCACTAAAGTGTTCATGGGGCAAGTCAAAAAACCTAACTGGGTATGTAAAGATTAGCTTTGCCGTCATCACCAAAGTGATCGGGTTCTCTAGTAGACATTAATATCAAAATACAAACAAAATATCCATTAGCCAGAGTCAACCACACTCTCACTGAGAGTTTGACCAAGTCCAAATATTCTCCCTCAGGGGACAGTGGCATTCTGGGCCCCTCTTAGGGGTCCAGAGCCTGCCCACCTGACACACAGGTAGAGGCCGTGGCTTGGATGAAGCATTTGGATAAGTCTAGGTATTCCTCTAAATATACAACTTGATTATTTTAGTCTTTTTTACAATATATATGAGAAAATAAATTTGATTTTAAAAATAAAGATCTTTGGAGCTTTTGAATTGTCAGAAATTTACATTCAAATGCAGACTCTATGGAAATGCTTACATTGATAATATCTTTATTTTAGAGACCTGGTCTTTCTGATTCCAGGGAACTTTTGTTCTTTTGTTTTGTTGTTGCTGTTTTTGGTTTCGTTTTTTTTTTAAGGACGGAAATGTATATATTTCCAGTGATTTCTATTGTAAGAATCAATCATTTATTAGATTTCTGTGTTTTGTATTTCATTCCACTGTAGAAAGATCGTGGACTTTGAAGTCAATGAAACTTGTTTGAGCCTCAACTCTTCAGGACTCTTCAGGCCTCTGGCATGTTGCTTCATGTCACAAAGTCTGGTTTCCTTATCTTGAATATGTTGGTAGTAAAATCTACTGGGGTTTCTGAAGATTAAATCATGTAAACTGTATAGCAAATACACTATATATGTTAATTCTCTCCTCCAATCTTCTGAAAAGACATTAAGAAATATCATAATATTTAAAAGTTATAGTTAACAAAAATACCTTAAAACATTATTTTTTATATTTACTTGGCCATACTTGCCAATACTCATCCATTATTATTCAGTTCAAACATACACTTGGGAAACTAGACAGCAGTATGGGAATTTTAAAACCTTATTGTATTTATGTTTAAATTAATGTATTCATTTTTTATTTGTATCAATTGAAGGGGTGCTAGTACAGTTTTGTTACATGGATATATTGTGTGATGGTGAAGCCTTGACTTTTGGTGTAACCATTACCCAAATATACCCATCATAAAATTTCCCATGTTTTTCTTTTTTAACACAAATCTTAAAATAACTGCCCATAATGGAGGTTAAAAATTTGTTAGACATGCACATATTTCTTGTATACATCTTAAAAAATTAACAAAATGTGACAACTCATTTGAAATCAGAAATAAAGGAAGTTGATAAATGTTACTGCATTAATTTCAGATTTTGAGATTGCATTAATAGAAGAATGTTTCTGATAGAAATTGTAAAATTTGAAAAGCTTCACTTAGAAAAAAAGATAAATTTGATTTTGTTTTTATTTATTTATTTTTATTTTAATTATTTATTTTTTTTCAGAGACAGGATCTTGCTCTGTCACCCAGGCCAGAGTGCAGCAGTGTGATCATGGCTCACTGAAGCCTCGACCTCCTGACCTCAAGCAGTTCTCTGCCTCAGCCTCCCGAAGTGCTGGGATTGTGGGCATGAGCCACGGCACGCTGCCTGAATGTTATTTTGTGTAGAAATAGTTAAAGCACTGTTGTCCCTGTTAGGATATCTTAAAAGGAAGTACTCTCAATTTGGTTGAAGTGTTGGGGTGAGAGAATGAAAGATGGCTGAGGAGAAGTAGTAGCTCATAACATACAGAGAATTCAGGAAGAAGGAATTGAGGTTTTGTACTTGAGTAGGAGTCACTGGAGAAACCCAGAGGTAGAAGTTGAAATTTAAGAGGGAGCTCATAGATGAGGTATGAACTTAAGTAGCTTCTTCACTGCCCCATACTCAAGAGGGCAGATGTGCGAGAAGGACCCATTCCCTTGAGTCTGCAGCTACTTCCAGAGTTTTCAGCTCTCAAATTCCTTCCAGATAGAAGCAACCTCTTACCAATCATTTCAAAAAATCCCTCAACAGTTTCAACTATTCGATAAATAGAAAGTACAACCAATTTTTAAATTAGTAGAAATAACTTTTCCTACCCACTTCTCCAAAATTAAGTGTAAGATAACTCCAAAAGTCATTTATTATTCTAAATTACATTTTCCTTGAGAACAACCTGGACATGAAATGGGTTTAGTTCATCTTTGTTCAATGGGTGTTGCTCATGTGTGATGCACAAATGAATGTTTGTTGAATGAATAACAGATGTAGTGTTTTGTGGATCTACAGAAAACCATCAGGATCATGTCATAGAAACAGGGCATGTTGTTAATACTGTATCTAGAAATGCCTTAATTTCAGGCAAGCCTTTTCCACTTCTGTCTGCTCTAACCTAGGGTTTCTCACCTCAGTACTACTTACACTGTGCGATGATGTCTCTTTTACAGGGGTCTGGCCAGTACCTTGCAGGATGGTTAGCTGCATCCATGGCCTCTGCCCACTGGATGACAATAGCGTCATCCCCTGTTGTGGCAACCAAAATGTGTCCAGGAATTTCCAAATATCTTCTGAGCACTTGGGGGCCGAGAAGCAAAACTCACACCAAAGTTACCCCAAGATCATAGCTGTAACACAGCCATGCAGTTACCCCAAGTTCATAGCTGTAACACAGCCATGCAGTTACCCCAAGATCATAGCTGTAACACAAACTAAAACCTTTGCAGCTATAGAGCAGAAATCATAAACCAAAAAGCCCACTGGTACCATGGGGAGTGTGGCAGTTGAGGGGTGTGGATCTCAGACACTCACTAGAGAGTTAACATTATGTTTAAAACAGGAACTTGTTATTCAGGTATTCTTACTATGTGAGCAGAAACCTGTAATCCAGATGTATTTATGAAATTCCTAATATTTAAATCCTAACAGTTACTTCAAATTCTATTCGTAAGCTTGGTGTCTGCTACATCTATGAAAGTCAAACAAAATGCATGCATGGGCTGTCCTTAGAGCTTAGGCAGTTCTATTTCAAAGGACTGCCATAGAGATAAAAGACAGGGGTACTGCATATATCAGTGCTGCCAGTATCCCTGGATATTCTGATATTCCAGGAGGGAAATGTAGCCTTGCCTCCAACAATTAACTTACTGATCTATCTAATCATTCTTTCCATAATCACTATGCTGGGTAGAGGCAGGAAATAATGAGATAAATGTGAATGTAAAATTTAACTTTTGCCTTAGACATACATAACTGTTTTTTTGTTTGTTTTTTGTTCTTTTTTTTTTTTTTTTTCAGTTTAAAGCTGTCTGTTTCAACTTCAAATTCCTTGGGGTAATTAGTCTTTCAACAGACTTTTTTTTCTTGTCTCCCTAATAGTACCCAGTCAGTGGCAAGTTACTTGGGCAGGCCCTTGGACAGCATGGGACAAAGGTCCTCAGACCCTGTCTCCACCTTCAGGGCCTAGGACATTTATCATCTGGATCTTCCCAGCATCATCTAGCTCTGCTGCCAGCATTTTACTGGGACCCAGTCTGGAAATATGCATATTCCAAAACCACAGAGATCCATCCTCACACTTCTTACAAGTCCTCCAGGCCTTCAGCATCCCAGACTCATCACAGCTTCTTCTAAAATACAACTTAGCAGCCGTGTGGATGCCAGCACCTCTCTAACTGGCTTGTTATATTCCAGGCTGCACACTGGAGAGCTCAGTTACTCTTCACTGTGTTTGGGGCTCCATTTCTCTCTTTTCTGGGTTTCTATTTTGTGTATACCCAGCTCCATCCTACAACGAGGCCATGGATGTTGGGGATTAGGGGTTATTCAGGACCTATAAGTTCAATCTCTGTTCTCTCTCTCTCTCTCTGAATCTCTCCCTTCATTTTCTAGGAAACGTCTCCACTTCTTCTCCAACAAGGTGGATTCCTCTCATCATCTTCTCACTTCTGTGTGTTTGTGACTTATAGAAGATCTTGACTTGCCAAAACATTGCATTTGTTATATAAAGAAAGAATTTTATCTAGTCAAATACTTTTATGGCAAGAGACTCAAAGAAGATTGTCTTTGAAGCCCATATGCTTAATTAGTTCTTTTGTTCTGGTGGTATTCGCCCTCCACAAAATTGGGTGAGGGCCATTGATCTGGGTTGTGGGAATTCACAATGCAATAGCCTTCCATGGTATGGCAGCACCTTCACGGGCCTGTGCATCTTTGAATCATTATTTTATATCTCCAGGCCTGTGAAACTTCAGATGAGTCACATAATCTCTTAAGCATTTGTTGTGAACGATTCTGAGTACTCCATGAGTCAATGGCTCCTGATACAAACGGAAGCGCTGATGTTGCCTCCCACCCACTCAGCAGGGGGATGGCCGGGGGGCCTCCATCCTCGCATGGCATCTACACAACTGTGCTCACATCACCCCGGAGTCCAGGCATCTAATGCTTCAGAGGGAGCTGGAATTTCCTTTTTCTCTTTAAAACTTTCTAGTGATTTTCTTAAGAAATTTTAAAAGTAATTTTGTGTTGATATCACCTTGAGATACTAGGAAATCAGAGTTGCAAATGTTAATTTTTTATTAACCTAATGCAATATTTTAAAACAATGGAAGTAAACTGCCCCCTAAAAAGCTGTATTTTCTTGTGTTATTAAATAGTAGTTTGCTAAGCAATTAGTGATAAATTAGCCAAAACAAAACAAAGCAGCCAAATACCCATTTCTGATAGCACCTATAATAAGCTAAAGTCCCAGTGGAGGGCAGGGCTTGGGTGAGGAGTGCAAGATGCTGCCCAGGAGCACTCAGAGACTCCAACTCTTCCCTCAGCCACATGTCTGTAGGTCTTGCCCCATCCTCTATCTCATCATCCAGGACATACAACATTCATGTTACAAACGCTGATGCAGAACTCGGTAAGTCCCTGGCACCGTTCTAGGCATTCTGCAGTTTTCCTAACCAGCGTCCACTGCAGGCCCTGCTATCCTCTCCAGGTTTAGAAGACAATAGGGCCTGCAGAATAGGTTTGACAGAAAGCAAGGTGGAGAATGTGTCCAAGATCACCTCATATTACCCAAGTGTTGTACTTTCCTCTCACTAAGGATAACTCATCTTTTCCTAAGCCAACGGTGGCCTGAGAGTGAGGCTGACTGGCTGAGCTCCAAAGCACTCACTGTGTCACCAAGCTGCTGCTGATTGCACACCCTCTGCAGACATTTAGGCTGGCTGAGCCCCTAGAGAGAGTGGTAAGACCCAATGCTCTTCCACAGTGGGATTGTGGGGTATGCCTTAAAGCACTCCCAGGAGGCCAGAAGTGCATGGCAAGGGAAGAGTTTTGTGCTCCTGGAAACTCACACAGTGGCTTCTAAAACTCACTACCTGCTCTGTGACTGGACATAGGAGGAAGCAAAGGCCACTTCTGAATTCCCTGCACTTTGTTTATTTATTTATCATTTATTTTCGATTCCAGAGTACATGTGTGGGTTTGTTACATGCATAAGTTGCATGATGATGAGGTTTAGGATTCTAGTGTACCCATTATCCAAATAGTAAACATTTTAACCAAAAGATAATTTTGCAACCCTCGTTCTCCTCCCACCTTCCCCCCATTTGAAGTCCCCAGTGTTTATTATTTCCATCTTTATGTCCATGTGTACCTGTAGTTTAGCTCCCACTTATAAGTGAAAACACACAGTATTTAGTTTTCTGCTTCTGAGTTATTTCACTTAGGTTATGGCCTCCAGCTTCACCTGTAGTGCTGCAAAAAACATGATTTTGTTCATTTTTATGGCTGCATTGTATTCCATCATATGTACCACGTTTTCTTTATCCAATCATCCCTTGATAAGCACCTAGGTTGATTCCATGAGTTTTCTACTGTGAATAGCACTGCAAAAACATGTGAGTGCAGGCGTACTTTTCATATAATGATTTCTTTTCTTTTGGGTAGATACCCAGTAGTGGAATTGCTGGATTGAATGGTAGTTCCAGTTTTATCTCTTAAAGAAAAAAAACAAACAAACAAGCAAAAAACAGATGTTAACATCCATGCGAAGGAAATGGAACACTTATATACTGTTGGTGGGAATGCAAATTAGTACAGTCCGCAAACTTTCTACCAGGTTCCCTCAGGAGTGCTTTCTTTGGCCTTTCCGTACATCAGGTTTGTGTCTTCATATTGAGAACTGCCTCTGAACTACTTTTTAGTAAATAGAATGAAGTGCCATGGACTAATATGTCAGCTCCCCCTCCTAATCCCACCTGTACCCACCTCTGGCTACTTCCTGGCAGGCCTTCACAAAAACTTTTTGTGTCACTCATTTTCTCCCTGAATTTTGCCACCAGAGGACACATAAAGGCAATTGAGAGTTTTCATTTTAATTTTTTTAGTGCTAAAATTCTAGCTTTCTGTTGGCGCCACGTGAACAGCTGTTCAGTCTTCATATTCAGAGATAAAATGAAGATATTTAATTTGTAGCAGCGTGATCACAGGTGGGACAAGGTCGCAGCCAAGAATATAGTCTATCAACCATGGGACAAAATGACTAAGGCCTCTTTTTTGTAGGGCCTTTGAGGGCCATTTGCAAAAAAAAATAATGCAATCAATTTAACTTCTCTCAGCCATGAAGACTATAACTCTAAGCAAGTGATTGCTTGGTCAGATTTGTAGGAAGCCAAAGTTATTTTTTGTGAAGCAGAAGAAATTGGGATGATGAGAGAGAAGGAATGACAAAAAAGTGAGTTAATTCTAAACAAGCTTTTATTTATAACTTATCTGCTTATAAAAGAAGAGGTGTCCTTGAAGGAGAACACTGGCTCATGGGAGCCCCTGGTAAGATAGAAATAGTGCATTTTTAGAAAGAGGGGACTGTCAACACCAGCTACCCAGGCACCATGATTCTCTACAGCCACACCACCTGTAATTTAGCAGATAGTGAATAGAAGAGCTACCACAAGACTCTGGCTGTTCATCCTTCACACACGTACTATAATGTGCAGTGAAAAAGAAGAACATCATTTATTCTTTTATGAGATACAATTACAGAGCATCCTGGGTGATTGCATTGGAAGAAACTGCATATATCCTAATACATGTATTTCCTTATATTCAATTCAGAGAAAAGCTAGCCTGGAAGACTGCCCTTGTTTAAAAGCTAAACAAAACAAGCTGTTAACCTTGGAATAACCTTCATTCTGGGCCCACATTCAAAACGTTCACAAAAGTTCTGCTTAGCCAGTGTTAATTATTAAGTTAAAAAAAATCACAGGAGGCTAATGTTTTTTGTTGAATATATTGGTTTAAAAGATGATCAGATATTTTTTATTGAGTATATGTCTGTGTCATAAGTAGATTCGATTTTGAACATAAAAACATTTTAAAGGCACAGATGTCCAATGGTATATTGAAATGCAAATTTACTAATACTGGTGCACAGGTTAGCACAGGTTTTTGCAAAGATACGTATGTTCCATAATAAAGTGAAAAACAAAATAAAATAACACAGGTGAACGAAAATTTCTAATGATGTTCAATATATGTAACTCGGACTATTATTCTGAGAATATGTCAACATTTTGCAAAACGCTCATTTGCAGAGAATTGCTTTATGAACTATGACATAGACACATGGTATACAGTACTTGTGATATGGACTGATTTCAGTACATCATGAGATGTGTGCCTAAATTTGCATATATAGATTGTGAGTTACATTACAGGATTTTGCCAATGTTAAACTTTCTTATTTTATTAACTTCTGTGGTTGTGTAGTAATTCAGGGCTTTGGAATTACTACATATTAGTTTAAAATATGTGAGATTGTTAAAATTTGAAAATCATTTTTCTTTATTCCAAAATTGAAATAAAATTTGAAAATGTATTTAAAATAGTGTAACTTAAAAACTAATAATTTTAATATGAAAAATTTATGCTAGGAAGATATTAATTTGAAAAAAGCAAAAAATAATATAATTGTGAAAAAATCAAATCATTTGCATATCTAAACATTGAGAAGGGTTAAATAAACAACTTTATTCAGGTATATGTTATTAGGATTTTGTGAAACATGGCAGAAACATGTTTGTTTTTATTTTATGGAAAAAGCAAAATACAGCTTGCTTTGGTGTATATTTAAAAAAGCAAATTCTAGGAATAGGAAAAAAGTGATTAGAGCACAGCAGAATACAAATAGTGGTTTTCCTCAGGAATTACAAAATACATTTCAAAATTTAATTTCAAAATACATGACAAAATTGTAAATATGTTAAAAATGTCTCTTAGTGGAATTAGTAGGCCAGGTATTTTCTGGTTCACAGAAAAGCTCTAAGTTAATTGATGAGAGAAGGAGCTTTCCTGGATGGCTAGTTTTCTCCCTTCTGATGCTGAATTTGGCTTACAAAGTAATATCGCCTGAGATTTGAAGACACTCTCTTTAGTGGAAGTGCACTGCAGTGAGGACAATTTTCTTGGATGGCGAGGTCCCATGAAGAAATGTCTCTTTCTAAAACTTTCCTTGCTTGCTGAGCCCACGGTCCACCCGGCTGCCTTCTCTCTTAGGACCCCAAACAGGGGAAGTACATGGACGAAAGAACTGCAAATGCTCCCATTTCCATGTCACCAAGGTCATCATGTCATTTTAACAGTGACATAGCAAAAGACGTTTCCACACTCTATTAGGTGATACAAATAATCACCTCTTTATAGCTTGATTTACTGAATTATATACAAAAGTAATTCAAAGCAGAAAAAATTTTCATGCACTTAACCTTGATTTCCTTATTTTTCACTTGTAAAGACATCTCAATTACTTCTGACCAAAAAATCAAAACCAAAAAGCAATAAACAGCTTCTCATAAAAAATTCAAAACCTTCATTGAAATAAAATTGTATTTCTGAAAGCTAAACCAAAAACAACTTGTTGGAATAAACGTAGGAGAGAGACTAATATCAGAATTATTTTCCTTAATCCTATTGTCTAACTCCAGTGCTCTCTCTCTTTCTGTATCTAGTGTGTGTGTGTGTTTGTCTATATGTGTTGTGTGTGAGTGTGTGTGTGTGTGTGTGTGTGATCTTTCAGATGGGCATTGCAGTGGCTGGGTCAAGCAGGTTAGCTAACTCTCTTTAAAACCACCTGCAGCAGGCCTGGCGAGGTGGCTCACGCCTGTAATCCCAGCACTTTGGGAGGCCAAGGCGGGCAGATTATGAGGTGAAGAGATCGAGACCACCCTGGCTAACATGGTGAAACCCCCGTCTCTACTAAAAATGCAAAAAAATTAGCCGGGCGTGGTGGCGGGCACCTGTAGTCCCAGCTACTTGAGAGGCTGAGGCAGGAGAATAGTTTGAATCCAGGAGGCGGAGGTTGCCATGAGCCGATATCGCAACACTGCACTCCAGCCTGGGCAACAGAGTGAGACTCCGTCTCTAAAAACAACAACAACAACAACAAAAAGAACACCTGCAGTGTCATACAGGAAATCCATGAATGGAAAATGGAAAGACACTGCTGTCCCCTAAAAATGTTTAAAAGGCAAGCGGCACAAATGAAAATAATAAAGCAGTCCTGTTTTTGAAATCTTTCAGGAGAATAGAAAGTAAAAAGAACATTGCTACCATATCAGGTACAGAAGTGACAAAATAAACCTTCCAGCACTGGAGGATGCACTATTGGAAGCTCCAATGTGATGTGTCTCCTGCGAGGGCTGCTGCATGCCCCACTACGGAGATGCTTATTGATGGTTGTACCAAAGGGGATGTATAGGCAGCTGTGGACAAGGAAAGGCTGGCTTTTGCCACAGCCTCTTTCAGTTTTGATTACGGTGGAAAGCTGTACCACTTGTCTTACCCACAATTAAGAAAGAGTCTGGGGTGTGAGGGTATGATTCATAGAAACCAAACTAGAAATGATAACAGTAATTTAGCAGGGAATAAGAGAATAGCAAGTTCAAAGAAAAATTCAGAGGAGGCCCAGAATGTGTGCAATATTTATGCAAGCACATAGCAACAATATTTATTACTTCCCTGGGTAGATACTATTTGTGGCAATTGTAATACCAGTAAGTACAAATATTTAACTAAAATTTACAAGTGTTCAGACATAGTATTTAACGTGTGTGTGTGTGTGTGTGTGTGTGTGTGTGTGTACACATATATATAATGTTTTAAGTTAAAATGCCATGTTAATCCATTTTAAAGTCAATCACAAGCAGCTTTTTTAATATAAAATCTCTGGAATTTATTATAAACATGTCTTGGCTATGAGGAGCATTACTCTTGAATTATATAAACATATGGAATTTCTAGGTAGAAGCACAGCATTTCATATTTTACAGAAGCAAATGAAAAGTAACTCTAAAGGAAAACATTCAGTAAATGAAATCCTACCTACACCACCAGCCCAAAGCCAACCCTTACTGGTAACCTAATGCAATTAAATCCAAGAATCTCTATCCTAAAATAAGTAAATAAGCTCATCTCTTGATTTTGAATCAACTCTCGCCTGGGTGCTCCTCCCCAGGTTGATTTCTTGCCTTCGCCTCTCATTCACATCTCAGTCCCATTCAATTTCTATTTCTGTCACTACCACTCTCTTGAAACGTACTTTGTTAAATCATCAATTATACTATGAATAATGAATAACAAAACCAACAGAAATATTGTTACATTATTATTATTATCATCATCATTATGGCTTACTTATTGATTCTCAACTAAGTAATATGCTAAGTGCTTTACACTCCTGTTGTAATTTAATTTTCATAATACCACTATAAGGTACATTGGAGGATGGGGTCTGGGGAGAGTATTAGGGAAAAGAGCTAATGCATGCTGGGCTTAATACCTAGGTGATGGGTTGACAGGTACAGCAAACCACTATGGCACATGTTTACTATGTATCAAACCTGCACATCCTGCACATGTATTCCGGAACGTTAAAAAATATATATAGTTTACACATGAATAAGTGATGCTTAAGGAGAATTCTTAGGCCAGTGAAGGTATTTTGTACTGTAATGATACTATAATGGTGGATACATGTCATTACACATTTGTACAAACCCAGGAAATGTACATGGCCAATATTTAAACCTGTGCACCGTTTGGAGTAGTCGGGACTATTTTTAAAATACCTACATCCTATTCCTGACGATCTTGAAGTAATTGCTCTGAGGAAATTGTGTTAGCTTTTTCTTTGAGTTCCTTATTGACATTGTGAGGTCAAAAGGGTTATCTGTTTGTGTTTGCCACTAGAAAACATACAGCTAATTTTGTGACCTACCTGTAGCAACGTATGAAATTTTTGTGATATTCATCTTAAAAAATTAATTTAGAATAATTTTATATTTACAAAAATTATGAATATAGTAGGGAAATTTCTATAAACCCAAACCTAGTTTTCCTTGTTATTAAGACATAATAATATATAACAATAAACCAGTATTTATACTTTATTAATAAAAATCCACACTTTATTCCAATTTCCTTAGGTTTTACTTAATTTTCTTTTTCATACTAGTGTCCCATCCAGGATATCACATTGTGTTTAGTGGTCATTGCTTAACAGGCTCATTTGGGTTACAATAGTTTTTTTCAAACTTTTCTTATTTTTTTATTACCTTCATAATTTTGAAAAGTACTGAGTAGGTGTTTAAAGAGTATTCCTCCTTTGGTATTTTTCTGATATTTTCTCATAATAATACTGGATTTATGGGTTTTATGGAGAAAAGCCAGAGAGGTGCAGTGTCATTTTCATCACATCATTATCAAAGGTAAATAATATCAACATGATTTATAACTGCTGATGTTGACCTTCATCAACTGGGAAGGGTAGCATTGATCAGCCTTCTCCACATTGAAATTACTCTTTTTTTTCTCATATTTTAATTTTGTAAGAAAGTTACTATGCTTATTTTACACATAAAGAGTGGGAAATTACGCTCTGCCTCATTGAGGGCAGAGAATCTACAGAAGCTCTTTGAAATCCTTCTGCAAGAGAGATATGTTTATTCCTCTCTAATATTTATTCAATCATTAATTTATATGAGTATGGACTTGTGAATATTTATTTTATGATTTCTGTATTTGATTCCCAAATTACTTTTATCTTGGCCACTAGGAACTCTTTCAGTTAACCTGTGTGTCCCTTCGGTGTATTGCTGTCATTGTGTTTGTTTATTACTCAGTATTTTATTACTTTCTGATATGATAGGGTGCTTCAAGTTTATCTTGCAAATTTTCTGGCCAAGTCCTAGAATGAGCCATTTCTTCATGAAAACACTGTGGTGTTTTGTTTTGTTGTTGTTGTTGAATACTATTAGACACAAAGATCTGTGCAGTAGATGTGCTGACTGTTATTTGGATGTCATTGGTTCTAGGCCCTCTAAGCTAATAGAGAAAGGGAATATATGTGTGTATACACACTGCTGTCTTTACACATATCTGTAAATCTTTCTGTAAGTAAATATCTTCATCTATATTGAGCTGAAGATGAGTTCATTTTGACACGTCAAATTATAACCCATTAACCCATGAATCATCCCAGTCTCCACCACTTGTTTATGACTTTTCATTCCATGGTGAGAAAACTGGTTCCCACCATCCACAGTACTCAGTACTCTCACTGAATTATTTAATTATGTATATATTAATTTTCCAAATTATATGGCCAGGAACAAAAGGGCTTTCTAAATCTGGCTCTTACCTTCTTTCTTGAACTTCATGTTTTTCTATTTGAGGCTCACAGAATCTTATCTTCTAGAAATATTTACAATAAACTCATTTTAATCTATACAATGAACATACTCGTTGCTTCCCTATGTACCTTCCAAATTTCTATTAACCAAAAAAAGCTTATCTCAAATATTGTTGCCTCTGAAAAGTCTTCCTTCAATTCATGGCAAAGTCAGTTCCTCACCCCTTCCATTATCTTAACATCATGGCTATTTTCCTAAAATGACATGATTCATATTAGTTCAATGAATATACACTAAATCATTCAATATTTGACATATGAGTAATTCAACTTTTAATTTTTAATTTATGTATATATTTTTCTGAAAAAGACTATCTTTTTTGAGGGGAGCACAATATTTACATTAATATATCACTAACTGAAGTTTAATGATTGCATAGTATACTGTATATCGTAGAATAAATGATATTTATTCGACATATTTGGAAAAGTTGAAGAATTAAATTCAACTCAGACTCTATTATAAAAAATTGGAAACAGTGAATTAATATCTTACACATAGCCACAGGACGTTTTCCAAAGCCATGATTAAATTTAACTATTTTACTCTTTTTAGTTCTTTGACCAAATAGATTAGAAAATTTATATTTTTCTTCATAGGGTTTTCATAAGAGATTCAAGTACTTGAATTTCAGGGTTATCAAGTTGAATAAAATACAATAATCTATTCAAATGAGAAAATAAGATTCATTTGTATGATTTAAAATAAATGAAAATGGCTGATTCTGTCTTTTTAATATATCAAATAATTTGAAAATTAAATTTTCTAATTTAAGGATCATACTTCATAAAATATGCATAATTTCCTTTTTAAATAGTGTACCTTAAAAGATTTTCTCCATGCTCTTTCAAACAGTGTCAGCACATAATATTCACATATATAGAAACTCCTAAAATACCGAACACTTCAAAGATGAACCATGACATGAAGCATCTAAAGACTCGATGTGAAATTATGCAGTTCTATATTTAACATATCTGTAATTATCAGTGTTCCTCATGAAATCATTTTTATACTGCCATAGGAAAAGGTGGCCCTCATACGAAAACCTTTAGAGAGTATATATAGTAATAAAGTCCATTGGTTATCTTAGATCTTACATACAGTAATCTATGCATACACTTATTTGGTTTAGGAAAGAGACACTTGAAAATAACATTTTATGGTACAAATTGTTTAGTTATTACTTAAGGCTTCATTAAGTACCTAAAGTTAGATTACTGGTGAAATAGGCTCTGGAATATTTTTGCAGGCAGGAGCTTATAGCTGATGGCCCCTCAAATCAACATCTGGTAGAAAACGGAGGAAGCAGGAGTGGACAACTGTGGTAGATGAATCGTGATAAGATCACAACAAAGGTGTCAGCCAGTGGGAGTGAGTGCTCTGCAGCTGGGCTCTGCACATGGGAAAAAGGAAGACTTTCAGATAGGTGGTGGGACTTCTCACTGTGGGGGCTGCCTGTGTGCATGCATATTTGTGTGTGTCTGTGTGTGTGTGTGTGTTTGTGTGTCAGGACACCAATGAATACTGATACTGAATGAGCCGTTCTATTTCTATTCCATCTGAAATAAATGTATTGTCTTATTTTCTGCTGCAATTTTCTCTTGGATCTTCACTGTGCAATGCCATAGTTAGCCATTGGGACATTCAGCTGCTTTTCAAAAATCATAGGCAATAAAATTATTCCAATGATTGAGAATGGCGTTATAATTACTTAAATTCAATTTTTTCTTTGAATAATCTCTTAAAGGGGCAGTAACATAATCCTCTGTAAGAACAAGGTAGTAGGTATGAGATGAAGACGTACTGAGGACTTAGTCTCTGTTACGCAAGTGAAAGGTCATAGTCACTATTATAATATTTAGTATCTAATAAAACTGTTTATCTTATGCTTTATTTATTAGCCACATCATAAGGTCCAAGCATTAAAGTCAACTAAAAATTATGTCTTTCAAACAAGGTACACTGCCAGCATCTCCAGCCAGAGTATAATAAAATTGTCCAGCATAGATCTGACTGGAACACTCTTTTAGTGTCATATTTACAGCAGCCCATAATCAAAGCTAATAAAAATAACCATTTAAGGCAGCCAAACAAGAAGCTAGCAATAATGTGAACATTTTTATCACATTAATTTAACAATTAGCATGGTAAAAAATGTTCAACACCTAACATATGCCTTTCAGTGCTCTCATTAGAAATAATTTTCATTCCCTCATAAATTCAAACTTTAACTCTGAATACATTTAATTGACTTTAAAACTGTGATATGTGATTCTCATTTTTATCCTTATAGATTTCTTTCTCTTTAGTGTCCATTGATATTATGAGGCTATGCTTTTTAAAAAAAAATATGTTGATTTATTTCACTGCCAAAATAAGTGAGGGATCTTTCAGTTTTCTATTAAATGCTCACCGAAAAATGATACTTTCTTAGAATTCTTGAGATGAGTCATGATTTTTTCTGTACTTGGCAAAAGAAAGGCACAAATTTTTAATTACCAGCTCTCTTGAGGTCTATTACATAAACTAAGCCTTCATAATGCAGAACTCATTGTACACAGAACAGCCTACAGTGAACAGTTATGTAGAGGCAGGAATTGTATGGAAGGTGAACTGGAATATGTGCTATAGAAAATTCAAAGGTCAAAGCCCTGTTCTTTCATTATGCGTGTGCTTAGGGGAAATAATAGTCTCTGTCAGTTCTCTCTGGCATCTGATGTATTCCCTGACAATAAGTCAATCAGTACCAGTATCAGAAGTCTATTAACTCTCTCAGGCTTCTTAGGAGCTAGTTACTATGTTATTTTTTATGCTGTTAATACTGTGGTATACTACATGCTTAATACGTCTCTTTAAAAGGCTAGCATACCATTACAAGATGTAATAAACTAGATTTATCATATCACTGTATATATAATTTATCTTATTAATTTACCCTGATTTGCTGAGAAGTCTACCTTGGCATTTCAAAATCTTTAACATTACTGCTATGCTTCTGTTTTCGTCCAAGAGACCCCACTTATTTGACAAGGATGGACTTTTGAACATAAACAAAAAAATCACAAAGCCATGAGTTCCCTTTAGCATTTATCTGACATATTGACCTTAAATATAGATATTAAAGATACACACAAATATACACATCTTATTTTAAAGTTAAAATTTAGTAGTTTTTTCAAACTGCCATCTGCTGAAGACTAGCAGGTTATCAGAAAGTCTCTTTTTCTGAACAAAGAAAAAATCCTACATTTTTTTCAATCAAAAATAGTATAATAAATATAAAACTGGTATTTTAGTTTCCATCACCACTACAGCTACCTAAAAAATGATACTTTTAAGAAGTAAACAGGATTAGAACCACTTGATTTTTATCCAAAGATAGCATGCCTGTTCTGTGCTTTGCCCATATTTGTTAACCTCTTTTTTTTTTTTTTGAGACAGGAGTCTTGCTCTGTCGCCCAGGCTGGAGTGCAGTGGCACAATCTCAGCTCACTGCATCCTCAGCCTACTAGGCTCAAGCCATCCTCCCAGCCTCCCAAGTAGCTGGAACCACAGGCACATGCCACCATGCCTGGCCTTTGTGTGTCTGTGTGTGTGTGTGTGTGTGTGTGTTTGGTAGACATGGTGTTTTGCCATGTTGTTCAGGTTGGTCTTGAACTCCTGAGCTTAGGTGATCTGCCGGCCTCAGCCTCTCAAAATGGTGGGATTACACGCATGAGCCACTGCACCTCTCTAAATTTGTTAACCTCTTAGAGCCACAGTTCTTCAAGTGAAAACAGAATAAATCCATCTATCTCACAGAGTTGCAAAGATCAAATAAGTTGATGTATATAAAACGCTAGCAAAATCCTCATTACATAGAAGAATTCAATAAATAGTCTAACATGTGATATGGATCATATACACTCTGAATGCCTACATATCTGCAAATATCTCTCCAGTCACAACAGGGATGATATCTTGCCTGTGTATATCATTTATTAGTTTCAGGTCTCTATTCTCACTATTCTGCAGATAATATTTCGATCTTTCGGCTCCTGACATTTCAGATGACAACACAGACACCTGTCTAATTTTTCCCATAATAGATAGTATGTTCCTTCTAAGATTATCTGCAGAATGTTATCTTTATTTTTGAAATTCATAAACTTGAGAAGATGTAGAAATCATGCATGCTATGCCATGGTGATTTTCTCTTCTAATCGGTCTTCCCCAAAACACTTGGTGAACTCTTTGAATCCGAAATAGTGTTTCTTTCTTCAGCTCAGGAAAATTACATTATTGATTTAATCATTTTTTGCCCTATCAGTCCCTTTTATACTCAGATCTCTCACTTACATATAAGATTTTGTGAACCTGTTGTAGTGAGTTTTTCTTGTAATTTTGCCCTGGGCTTAGGGATAACTCTTCATCTTGATCTTCTAAGACATTAATCTGCACCTAAGTAATCATCTTTGAGTAGATTATATCTCCTGATTTTATATGTTAAATTGGAAGACTCGCTTGCAACTTTTTAAAATAATACTGTGTATCTCAAGTACTCTCATTATGTTATTAAATTTTCAGAGTCACATTTATTTTTTGAGTCACATTTCATCAAGAATCTCTACTTTTTTGGACATCTCTTCTATTTCTTCTTCTTCTGCCTGGTTTCTGGGTTCCCATATATGTGTTGTTAGATTATTTTTGTAAGCCCCCTGGTTAGTGGAGTAAATCAGTGGTGCACCAAATCAGCAGTCTTAAATGTGAATGAAAATAAAGAGGCTTGTGTTAATCTGGCCGCTGTGAGAAGCAGATGCCAATAGGATCCCCAACATGTTCGAGAGATGTATCAAAGGAAGTGCCTGTGAGATAAGACGGTGTAGGAGTCAGAGGAGGGCAGAGGAAGGCAGTCCCACTGACTCAGCAGGATGCAGATCCGCCCTTGAAGAACACTAGGAAGGAAGGGAGGTTGGATGGAAGATTCCTAGACTGTGGTACAGGTATAAGGATGTTTGATAAGGCTGGTGCAAATTGCTCAGCCCAAAATCTCCCATCAGACAAGACCCTGTCTCCCAGGAAGCAGCCTGCTTTAGCATTTCTGCCACCTCAATATCCAGTCATTGGCTGGGAGCAGCCCATGGGAGCCGGGCTCTACAGGAAACCATGGTGATGAATTTTATACTGTGTGCGCTCCAGGCATTGGTCAATTGTGAGTCCCAAAATATAATTTCTGAGAAGTGAATTTCATTACTTCCATATTTTTTTTGGACAGGGTCCACTCTGTCACTCAGGGTGGACTGCAGTGTGCTATCACCACTCATTGGAGTCTTGACCTCCAGGGCTAAGATGAGCCCTCCACCTCAGTCTCCCAAATAGCTGGGACTACAGGCACACACCACCACGCCCGGATCATTTTTGTACTTTTTGTAGACACGGGGTCTCACCTGTTGCCCAGGCTGGACTCAAACTCTTGGGCTCAAACGATTCTCCCCCTTCCGGCTCCAAGAATGCTTGGATTACAGGCGCAAGCCACCGCGCCTGGCCCTGCAAATTATTTTGCACCTAAAAATTTTATTCCCCATTATACTAGCTGAGCCCATTCTCCCTGGTCTCCTTGAATACTCAGTTGCCTGTTCATCTTCCTCTAGATTTCAGGGGCCAGGGAGACCAATCACAGAAGCATGTGTGCATGCCTGTTGAAACAGCTGCAGCTGCAGAGCCGCCTCGGACGCACTGACACCCAGCTGACAGCCGCTACTTCCTGTATCCTGTGCTTGCCCTAGGAGTGGCAGAAATCGAAGTTACCGCTAGTTGAATACAGACGTAGTCATGATGCAGCCATCTTAGAATTTCTATTGCCTCAAGGATGACTTCGTCTCCGTCTTTTTAAAATACGAAATTTTCGAAGGTGAGGACTGTGGTTTACTACTTATTTTTTTTTATTGCTTAAAAAATATTTTATTTTAGATACAGTGAGTAGTTAGACCCACCTTAACTTTTTAATGGCTTTATAAGGGAAATCTGACATAAGTGCCAACATCTGTTGCAATGCCTCTAAATCAATGTTCTTGAGGGAAAAATTATTTATTAGAATGTAATAGTAACTTAGGCTTACTTTACTGAACTTGTATTCTGGTAGCTTTATTTGATATTTCTGTTTCGGGGTGTTTTTTGTTGTTGTCGCTGTTCTGTTTGTTTGTTTGTTTGTTTTTTAGTTGACTCAGTGACTACAGCCCATACACCCGGATGATCAATAATTTCATAGTACAGAAATTATTGTTCACACATTGCAGAATAGGATTTAAGAGAGTTTCAAAACAATTTATATACAATATTCTTTGAATTGCAAAGAAATAATTTTGTGCCTTCATCATAGAAAATACTATTGCTTTTAAAAAGTCTTAATTAATTTTGCTTTCTAAATAAATTTTGCACAAATACCACCACTCTACTAGATAACAATTATTATCCCAGTCAGCTGTAGGAAAGTTTACTTGTGCAAAAATTAATCACTACAAATTAGAGTTCAGGTATTTCAGAGAAGAACAAAGCCTTGAGTTATGTTTATTTGACAATGTGAGTGGAGCAGATTGATAATCCAGGGCAGATTCTCATAATAGTCTAACAAATAAGAACATAGAAAGCCTCAAAATAGCTTAAAGTTCTAGAATTACTCTGAAAATATCTTGGTTGTGTTTTGTCTCATTTTTCCACTATGAAAATAGGAATGACCTCAATACTCCTCTATGTTATAAAATGCTCTAAGGAAAAAAACCTTTTTCTATGACCTTCGCATGGTCTCAATTCTCCAGTATTCTTCACTACACATCTTGCTAAACCATAGTTCTTCAAACCGACACTGCTAAACCACAAGAACAATTCCTGTGTCTTTGATATTTAGATCATATGCGGATAGCTGTTCCTGAAACTAGCAGAGCTTTGGTTGACGCCTCTTGCTAAAGCTCTGTGAAGACTCCACTTTTCTTTCCTAAGGTAGCACACTCCTTTGCAGGGTTTTTTATGCTGATGGGTGCTTACAGGTGATCTGGTTGCTTTTCTCTAACAGTTTTAGTGACATGACTGGGAACATAAATCAACTTTTTGTCCCTCCTCTGCATTCACTTTGGCAAGGGTAGAGTCCCTGTGAGCAGAGAGCTAAGTCATGCTCCTGTCATGTTCTCCTCCCCAGATTGAGTACTATATATTTCTTTACTTTTCCTCCTGTCTGCAGAAAATATTTATTTCAATTTGTTTCACTACTCGGCGATCTGACCAGCATGGTGAAATCATGATTAGTTCTGAGATTTTGAAGGTCTGAATATCTATGTTTTTATTGCCCCCAACATTTGAATATGAGCAATAGCAAGTGTATCAAACAGCCTCCAGATAGTTGTCAGAATTCTTACATGTATAATTGTTACTGTATCAATAGCATCAGACATTTGAAGTTCTGGCAGAATTTATTTTAATTTCAAAGTTATTTTGTAAAACTGGATTTACATGCTGTCATAAGAAGTAACATGAAGAAATTCAGTTCACTTTTTATTCATTTTTTTCCTAAAGGTAATGTCTTGTAAAACTATAGTACAATATAGAAACTATGATATCTATGTTGGTAAAATCAGTTTATTGTATTCATACTTCTCCAGTTTTACTTGTATTCATTTGTGTGTGTATTTAGCTCTATATGATTTTATTACCTGTGTACATTTGTTTATCCACCAAAGAGTGAAGGCACAGAACAGTTTCATTGCAAGGATTCCCTTTATAATCACATCAGTCTTCTCCAAGCCTTCCCAGTCACTAACTCCTGGCTAACACCGATTTTTTCTCCATTTCTAAAATACTGGCCTTTTAAAAATGTTACACAAATAGAATTACATAGTATTAACTGTTTTAGATTGGCTTTTTTCATTCAGTGTGTATCCCTGGAGATTCATGAAAGTTTTTCTGTATTCCTTTTTATTACTGAATAGTAATCCGTGGTACGGGTGTACCGCAGTTTGTTAATTCACCTGTTGAGAACATTGGACTTTTTTCCACTTTTTGTTTATGGTAGAAAAACAAAAATAAAAACAAATAAATGTGCTGGTATAAATATTTGTGTCTAGACTTACTGTGAAGATAAGTTTTTATTTATCTGAGATAAAAGCTTTCAGAAAATCATCATCATATGATAAATATACATTTAGATTTTAAGAGCCAAATTGCTTTCTAGAGTGGCTGTACCATTTTGTATTTTTATGAGCAATGAGTGATCCACTTTCTCCACATCCTTGCCTGCATATAGTAGCAACATAAAATATATATATATATATTGTAATTTTAGCCATTCTTATAGGTGTATTATAATTTCTCATTGTGACTTTAATTTGCATTTATCTGATAGTTAATATTGATTTCATGTGCTGATTTGCCATCATTAGATAGATAGATATTTTGAAATATCTATGTCTTTTGCTCATTTTCTAATTGCATTGTTTAGATTTTTACTGTCGACTTTTGAAATTTTTTATATATGCTAGATAGTAAGTTTTTGAATGGACACCCACACTCAGTATGCAAATATTTTCTCCCATTGTGTGGCTTGCATTTTTATCCTCTTAACAGAGTCTTTTATGGAACAAAATTTTACTTTCCATACAGTCTAATTTAACATTTTTTTCATATAATAGATTTTTTTTGGTGTTAGGTATAAGAATGCTTGGTTTACACCTAGATTCCAATGATTTTCTCCCAAGTCTTTTCTCTAAAAGGTTTCTAACTTTATATTGTATATTTAAACATGTGATCCATTTTGAATTAGTTTTTGTACGTGGTGTGAGATGTAAAGGTTTATTTTTCCACCCGGGGATGTACTATGGCTCCAGAAACATTTGTTAGAAAGGCTTTCTTTTCTTCACTGAATTATTTTTTATACCTTTGTTAAAAATTGGCATATCTTTGTGTCTGTTTCTGGGATTTCTTTTTCATTCTATTGATCTATTTGTCTATCTCTCTTCCCATACCATAGGGACTTAATTACTATAGCTGAAAAATAATTCTTAAATATGATAGAATGATTCCTACCATATTATTCTTTTATTTCTAAATTACTTTAGCTATCTGAGTTCCTTTGCTGTTCCACATAAGTTTCAAAATAAACTTGTTATAACTACAAAAATTTCACTGGAATTTGAATTAAATCTTGTGTTTCAAAAGAGGAGAATTGATATTTTTTACTGAGTCTCCCATCCCATGAATGACATGCCTCCCTATTTACTTGTGTTTTCATTCACCTATTTCATCAATATTATGTAGATTTCAGCATACAAATCTTGTACAATTTTTGTTATATTTACATCTAATTATTTTATATTTTTAAGTGACTTAAAATGCTATTGCAACTTTTATTTTGTTTCCACCTGCTCATTGACAGTATATAGGAGCACAATTGATTTGTATGTTTATCATGTCTCCTGTGACCTTGCTGAACTAAGTTACTAGAAAACCATAAAAACCCTAGAAGAAAACCTAGGCAATACCATTCAGGACATAGGCATGGGCAAGGACTTCATGTCTAAAACACCAAAAGCAATGGCAACAAAAGCCAAAATCGACAAATGGGATCTAATTAAACTAAAGAGCTTCTGCACAGAAAAAGAAACCACCGTCAGAGTGAACAGGCAACCTACAGAATGGGAGAAAATTTTTGCAACCTACTCAACTGACAAGGGGCTAATATCCAGAATCTACAATGAACTCAAACAAATTTACAAGAAAAAAACAAACAACCCCATCAATAAGTGGGCAAAGGGTAGGAACAGACACTTCTCAAAAGAAGACATTTATGCAGCCAAAAAACACATGAAAAAATGCTCATCATTATTGGCCATCAGAGAAATGCAAATCAAAACCACAATGAGATACCATCTCACACCAGTTAGAATGGCAGTCATTAAAAAGTCAGGAAACAACAGGTGCTGGAGAGGATGTGGAGAAATAGGAACACTTTTACACTGTTGGTGGGACTGCAAACTAGTTCAACCATTGTGGAAGTCAGTGTGGCGATTCCTCAGGGATCTAGAACTAGAAATACCATTTGACCCAGCCATCCCATTACTAGGTATATACCCAAAGGATTATAAATCATGCTGCTATAAAGACACATGCACACGTATGTTTATTGCGGCACTATTCACAATAACAAAGACTTGGAACCAACCCAAATGTCCAACAATGATAGACTGGATTAAGAAAATGTGGCACATATACACCATGGAATACTATGCAGCCATAAGAAATGATGAGTTCATGTCATTTGTAGGGACATGGATGAAGCTGGAAACCATCATTCTCAGCAAACTATCGTAAGGACAAAAAAACAAACACACGTGTTCTCACTCATAGGTGGGAATTGAGCAGTGAGAACACATGGACACAAGAAGGGGAACATCACACACCGGGGACTGTTGTGGGGGAGGGGGAGGGGGGAGGGATAGCATTAGGAGATATACCTAACGCTAAATGATGAGTTAATGGGTGCAGCATGCCAACATGGCACATGTATACATATGTAACAAACCTGCACATTGTGCACATGTACCCTAAAACTTAAAGTACAATAATAATAATAATAAAATTTTTTGTTTTCTGGTAGATTCCTGGGGATATTCTACATAAATAACCATCTAATTGGCAAATAGAGATAATTTACTTTCTGATGTAAATGTTTTAAATTTTCTTTTCTTGTCTTATTACCTTGGAAAGATCTCCAAATGCCACATTAAATCAGTGTGGCATACTGGACACCCTTGCTTGTCTCCTTTCTTAGGGAGGAAATCATGCAGGTTTTCACCATTAGTTTAACATTAGCTGGAGTTTATTGTTGGTGCTCTTTAGCAATTTGAAGAAGTTCCACTCAATTCCTAGTTTTCTGAGTTTTTGTCATGAATATGTGTTTAACTGTGTCCATTTTTTTTCTGTATAAATTCATATGATAATGAGATTTTTCTTATTTATCCTGTTAATATGCTGAACCCCAAATAGTCACGGTGTGTAATCATTTTTTTTTCTGTTGCTGAATTGAATTTCCTAATATTTTGTTCAGCATTTTCCCTCTATATTCATGATAGATATTGATGTGTAGCTTCCTACTTTTGTGCTGTCTGTTTCTAGTTTTTTTTACCAAGTCCATGGTAACTTTATAAAATGAATTTGAGGGTGTTATTTCATCCACTCCTTTTTTGTGTAGAACTGAAATTGGTTTTTGTTTTTAACATTTGGAAGAATGCTTCAGTAAAACCACTGGACCCTTTAATTTTCTTTTTTAAGAGGAGTTTTCTAATTATTAATTCAATTTTGTTAATGGTTACAAAGCTATTTAAATGATCTATTTATATTGGCTGACTACTAGTACTGTCTATCTTTCAGGAAGTGGCATATTTCATCTAAATTGACAAATTTATTTATGTAGAGTTGTTCATAGTGTTCCCTATTACTTTTACACCTGCAGGCTCTATAGCCTGCAGAAAATTTAAACATATCCAGTGTTTCATTCCTGTTGTTGGTAATTTGCACCTTGTCTCTTTTTCATTTCAGTCTTGCTAGGGATTTCTCATTTGTATTGTTTTAAGTGGTTTCAGCACAGCCAGTTGTTCAAAAAATTAATAGTCATCCAAAAGATGAAAGTCTCAAGAAGCCCTTATGTCAGTCATCAACAACTATCTAAGGCTGTAGTCTACATGAGTTGCATAGCTCTGGAGTTCTTAACAAGTACATATGTGACCAAATAATGAGACTCAACCTCACTGTTGATCACGGTAAAAGATTCTGAAACTGAAGGAATAAAAAATTTCCAAGGTCATGCTCCCATGAGCTTAGCCCCCAACTGTCCCTGTCTACTGTTTTTGTGAAACTGAAGTCGCCCAATGCATGGCTGAAAAACTGCAAGACAATCCTTCCATTTCCAAGAACCATTTTTGATGAATTATTTCCCAAAGTATTTTAGCTGACCATTTTTGCACTATCTACACTCTTTCTTTTTCAAGGTAGAATACCTTTGGGATGAAATAAAAATGTTTTGGAACTAGATAGATACAGAAGTTGCACAACAATGTACTAAATGCTACTCACTCATTGAATTGTTCCCTTCAAAACAATCAATTTAGTATTCTGTGAATTTCACCTTAATTAAAAAAATAATGTGAATGAACTCTGTAAACTGAATAAGTTGGTATGCCAAGAAATAAAAGAAGAAAAAAGTCAGAACACAGTCGCTCACGACTGTAATCCCAGCACTTTGGGAGGCTGAGATGGGCGGATCACCTAACCAGCCTTGCCAACATGGCAAAAACCCTAGTAAAAATACAAAAGTTAGCTGGGCATGGTGGCACGCACCTGTAATCCCAGCTACTCGAGAGGCTGAGGCAGGAGAATAGCTTGAACCCAGAGGTGGAGGTCACAGTGAGCAGAGATCGCACCATTGCATTCCAGTCTGGGTGACAGAGGGAGATCCATCTCAAAAACAAAAACAAAAGCAAAAACAAGATACAAGTACAGGCTATGTGTAGGAAACATACTTTAGATTTAAAGAAACAAATAGATTAATGGTAAAAGGATGAAGAAAAGATATGCAAATAGCAACCATAAGACAATTGGAGTGGCTGTACTAATATCAGACAATATAGGCTGAAACAAAAATGTAACTACAGATAAAGAAAAATATGTAAGAGCCACAACTATAAAAATCTTACCAGGAATATAGAAGTAAACCTTTATGACCATACATTTGCCCACAGATTCTTAGACATGACAGCAAGAAAAGAAAACATATATGGGATACTATCAAAATTGAAAACGATTGTGCTTAAAAGGATACTATCCAAAAAGTGAAAAGACAACCAACAGAATGGGAGAAAATATTTGCAAATCATATATTTGATAAGGGACATGTGTCCAAAATATTTAAGACAAGCTCTTACAACTCAATAATGAAAAGATGTTTTAAAATTTAATGAGAAAAGGATTTGAATAGACATTTCTCTAAAGAAGATATACCTATGGCCAATAAGCACATGGAAAGATGCTCAATGTCATTGGTTAAAGATATGAAAAGCAATATTGCAATGAGGTACCACTTTACACTCAGTAGGAGAGGTGTAATCCTAAAAGTCAGACCATAACAACTGTTGATGAGAATGTGGTGAAAATGGAAACCTCATACATTACTGGTGGTTATGTAAAATGGTGCAGTCAAGTCACTTAGAAAAACTATCTGACATTTTCTAAAAATAGAGTTACCATTTGCCCTAGCAATTTATTTCCTAGGTATACACCCAAGACAAAAAAAAATCTAACAAAGACTTGTGCACAAATGTTCATCACAGCATTTATAATATTCCAAAGGAAAAAATAAGCCAAATGTCCATTAACTGATGAATCAACAAGCAAAATGTAGTATATCCATGCAAAGTAATATTTGTTTCCCATAAAATAAAGTGTGTGTGGTACCATGTGGATGATTCTTGAAAACATAGTGTTAAATGAAACAAGTCAGTAACAAAAGATCACATACTATCCCATTTATATGAAATCAATGCAAAAAATAAATTATTAGCTTTTTAGGGCTGAGGCAAATGGAGCATGAAAGGTAATACCTAGAAGTACAAATTTTCTTTATGAGTTGATCAAAAGGTTAAAAAATTGATAGGGTGACAATTGAAGACCTCATAAGTGTACTAACACTACTGAATTGTATACTTTGTGTGAATTGTTATAATATGTGAAGTATATTTCAATAAAACTGTTACCAAAAAAATCCAATATTTCTACATGATAAAATTTCTCAAAAACAAGGAATAGATCAGAATTTCCTCAACTTGATAAAGAATATTTAGAAAAAATAATCTTAGAACTAACATCTTACTATAACATGACACATATACATATTATGCAGAAAACTACCAACTCTGAGAAAAAATTTGAAAATGACCTAAATAAATTGAAAGGCTCAAAATTAAGATGTCAAATCTTCTTGACAAGTTTTGATTCATAGATTTAATGCAATGCCAATAAAAGTGCTGCCAATCATTTTTAGATATTGATAGACTGATTCCAAATTTATACAGAGAGGCAAAAAACCTAAAAGAGTCAACACAATACTGAAGACAATCAGAGTTGAAGGACTAATACAACCTGAACCACATGCTTAGTGTAAAGCCGCAGTTATCAAAACAGTGTGGTATTAGGTAAAGAAAAGTCACACAGATAAGTTAAAGATAAATGAAAGAGATAACCCAAATTAAACCCACACAAATATATTCAGCTCCTTTTAGAAAAATAAAAAAAGGCATGTCCAGAGGATCCCCACAACACACGCACACATATTCACACAAATGGGCTCAGACACAGAACTTACATCTTTCACAAAAATTAACTCAAAATGAATCATAGACCTGAATGCAAAATATAAAACAAAAAACTTCTAGTAAAGAAACCACATAAGAGAAAATCTTTGTGACCTTGAGTTTTCTAATGAGTTTTCAGATACAACACTAACAGCATGTACCGTAATTGATAAAAAGAACAAATTTGACTTTATTAAAATTAAAAATTTCTGCTCTGCAGGAAAAACACTGTTAAGAGATTGAAATCATAAGCCATAGCCCGAGAGATAATATTTTCAAAACCTCCATATGATAATGGACTTCTATCCAAAATATACAAATAATTCTGCAAGAAAGTAACCCAATTAAAAATAGGCAAAGATCTGAAAAACACTTCACCAAAGAAGATTGAACATGGAAAATAAGCATATGGAAATATGCTCAACATCCTTTTGTCATTAGGAAAATGCTAATTACAAAAGGAATGAGATTCTACTTCATATATATCAGAGTGCCTAAAGTAAAACCAAGGAAACAAAAATCCCGACTATACCAATTGCTCATGTGGAGTCATATAAAGGAAAATTCTTATTTTTTTTCTGGTGGGCATGCAAACTGCTACAGCTTCTTTGAGAGAAAATTTTGCAGTTTCGTACAAAGATATATGTAGTTTTTCCATACTTGGCAGCAATCATGCTTCTACCTATTAATCCCAACTTTTTGAAAACTCAAGCCCACACCAAAACCTGCAAAAATATTTTCAAGTAACTTTATTCATAATGGCCCCAAATGGAAGCAACCAAGATGTCCTTCAATTAGATAAACGGGTTCTTAAAATCCATACAAGTTAACATTATTTAGCATTAAAAGGAAATTGGGTATCAAGCCACAAAAAGACATGAATGAATCTTAAATATCTATTGCTAAATGTATGTGCTTATGGGATTTTTGACTGATGAAAAATACATGACCATAACAGGCAGTGGCGGACAAGAAACTTTTATTGGATAGTGGTTGTACTTCATGAGAGATGAAGTCCCTCACACTATGATATGTTCCAGAAACTCATGGTGAAGGGGCCACCATTCACAAACGCAGAGGAGCAGAGAAAATCCTAAGGAAGAGGGGGATCAGAGAGGGCCTAATGTATCCAGGTGAGGTCACTCCACAACGTGGCTGAGAGTCTCTGAACAACAGCAGCAGGTTGGGCCTTATGACTACAAGCACTGTCTTATCTGTAGGTAACAGCTGTTGGGTGAGATTTCATGGTGTATAAAAAGCAGGCAGGCTGTATATGGCTAAAAATCTGCTTATTTGGGTTCTTTTAGAAACATTGGATGTACAAAAGTTTGAGTTTGGTAGCCATGGGCTTTGAAAAGGATCTCAACATGCAGTGAAGAAATAACCTAGGGGCCAATCCACAGAGGCCATCTTTGGCTCATTTACGTAACACTAAGTTAAAGAAGCCATTCCAAAAAAGCTACATACTGTGTGATGTCAATTATATTTTTAAAGGTAAAATTATAGAGACTATAAATGCCTACTGGTTGCCACAGTTATGGGGAGAGAGAAGGTTGAAGAAGTAAAACACCAGGAAATTTTAGGGCAGAGAAACTACAGTGTATGGTTTGTTAATGGTGGATATATGACTAAATATTTGTCAAAATCCATAAACTTTAGAGCATAAGGAGTGAACCTTAATGTATGCAAATGAAAAAATTCATTCAGGAAATCAGTTATCACTAGATGGAATACAGAATGTGACAAAACAATCTATCTCTATTGCAAATGTATAAAATAGCAGCTTTTCTGAATGAGGTGGTAGAAAAAGTTACTGAGCTAAGTAACTTTGAAAATGAGTGTAGTATAGAAGAGAAGGACAAAAGAATCTGTGCAACTCTAGTTGATAAAGTTGTTTCTCATATGAATACGGGTTAACAATACAGTATATACATGTACTATACATGTATGCTGAAATTGAAACTATGTAGGTGGACACTGGATTTTGTCAGGATGGGAGGTTACAAATAATAAAAAGAGGCTAGAAGACTTATATAGTAATGGCTTCAAATTGAGATATCTTTATTAATTCATGTTGGGCTTAATATAGATACCAATAATTAAATTTAGAAATAGCTATAGATACGTGTAAATACGCAGGTTAACATACACAAATTATGTATTTGATATATCACCTGAGAGTTCCTAGAAAGAACAATACCCCAAGAACAATAGGACACCTTGCATGCAGACCTTGCTTTCTGACACCCCCACCTTCAGCAAAAGGAAGCAAGGTGCTTTAGCAAAATGACTGATTCCAGGACTGGAGGGGGAAATAGAGAAGATGAGCCAGGAGTATCTTGTAATTTCAGAAGGTAAGGAAGTGTTTTAAAATTATGGGACTATGCCAAATGTACTTAGGAGACAGCTGCAAGATTTTCCAGTGGCCAAAGCTGGAACTATTTGAATAACAAAATGAATAAAATAAGATTGAATTATATCTCAACGTATAAAGTAAATGTCCACTACTCCATACGATTCAAATAAGTGGACAGGATAAATAAATAAATAGGGAAAAAGAGACAATTCTTCTGTACAGAAGAATTTCAAATACTTAATGTAGGTACTTCAAGATCATAGAGTGTCTCTTTTATTCTTCTCATTTCTTAAGCTCTTCCAAAGAGCGTAGTATGAAAAAGTAATAATTTTACAATGAAGAAACATAACAAACACATCAGGTAGGTGATTATGGTCAACATCAGCAGTGATAGTTCATGTTCATAGCATGGACCCTTGATAAGATGTGATAAAAAGGCACTTTACTTCTGTGCTCTCCCTTCCAAAATACATAACTGCAGCATATTGAATCCTGAGAAAAACACTTGGCATATCTCAATTAAGTGACATAATAGAAGTAAAAATAGTGTGCAAAAATGCACAAAATGAGTAACTAATAAAAATATGTACATTTCTGAGAAAATGAATTTTACACACATACTAGTTTATAAGAAAACTGACGTGATGGCCAATGGCCATTCAAAGTTGAAAATAGGTTAGTGGAGTTTGAATTTGAATCACCATTGACTTGTTTCAAAACAAAGTTACTCTAAAAATCCACTGTAAGATAATAACCACTCTACTCTAAACAATGGTTTGTTTTTTTGCAAAAAGTAACCTTTTTAGTCATGGGTCAAGACTGTTCTATTACTTGGAGCAGGGAAAAGTCATGGCTATGTGAATGGTGCCCACTACAGATGATCGGGACAGACCTCAAACATAGGCATGAGGGGGCCCTGAGTAGAGAAAACTGGAGCGTTGTTGAAATAATGAGTATCCTCTTCTCATTTAAACCATTTTAAAAAAGACATAAGATGATAGGTAGAGAGGGTGTGAATTGCAGGATGTATTTTAATATATTGATGTGCCAGCAGTGAGTTGGGGCGTCCCGAATAGTGGAATGTGGATTCTGATATACCCTCGTTGCAGTAAAATGACCATTTAACTTGTGAAAATTACAGAAAATAACTATTTAAAGTCTGGAAATTATCCTAAGGTCATACAGCAAATGAATAAACATTCATTCAAGATAAACTATTAAATATCTAAAACAACTGTTACAGTCTGGTATTTGAACCACCCCCTCTACTTTAATCCCACCCCACAGTTTTGTTGCAGAAACTCTACTGTGGTCTCTTTACTCAGTATCTATGGTCAAAACTTCCAGGTCTTCCTCACTTTTCAGTTCTCTGTCTAGGGCTACTCTTTCACTCCAAGATGGGGTGTTCGGGGCTGGCATTTCTCGCTCTCCTCAGCCCTGTGTTGCATCTCTATTCTGACTGGGTACAATCCAAAGGCCTGAGGTTCCATTCCCCACCCGGGACCTCCTTAGAGGATGAAAGCTCTCCCAAGGTACAGCCTACCTGAGTAAGCTCTAGCCCAGAGTTCCCAGTCTCCCAAACCCCAGCCCACCTGTAGGGTACAGATTCAATGCTGAGGAGGGCAAGCTAAGATGATTAGGAAATACCAGATACCCAGTACACAGGCACATGGCAGAGGTGTCACTCTAGGAAATTGTTGGTCAGTATTCCACCCTCTGCTGCTGCGTGGTGGTGCAGACGTTAGATCCAGATGGAGAGGTATGTCTGGAGGAAGCAGAAATCCACAGCTGCATGCAGGAACTGAAATTATATGGAAAACAGCATGGAGAATCTTATTCCTAATGGGCAATGTACAAAACAATGGAGGTCTTAGTGGCAGCCAACTAAAAACCTACTTGAAGCTCCATGATTCTGGTAACAGCATGTGAAATGGAAAAACAGCTGGAATTTTAACAGAGATAATCAGGGAAAGAGACAGCTAAGAAGAACCACGTTGAGATCAATGTCACCCTTGGAGATTGAGAAGGCCGTGTGTGTGTGTGTGTGTGTGTGTGTGCACGCGCGCACGCGCGTGCTAGGTTGTGTGCACTCAGCAGCAAACAGAGCAGGCTATGTGCAGGCTTGCAAGCATTCCGCAAGCTGCACACAGATTTTTTGATGCAGAGCAAAGGCATCTTTCACACAATGGGCTTAGGTACAACTTCTAACCACACTGGCTGAACAAGCTATTCAGACTCAACAATTTAATTTCTAGGTATGTACCAAACAGAAACGAAAACATAGGTCCTTACAATAACTGGTAAACACATATTCATAGCAGCGTGAGTCCTAATTGCCACAGAGTGGAAACAGCACAAATGTCTTTGAACTAATGAATGGATAAAAAAAATGTGGCATATCTATACAATGGAATATTATTAGGCAATAAAAATGAATGATGTACTAATGCGTATCACTACATGGATGAACAATGAAAGCTTTATGCTAAGTGAAAGAAGCTAGTCACAAAAGAACATGTATTGTATAATTTCATTTATATAAAATGTCCAGAAAGGGTCAATCTGTAGAGGACTTTGGGAGGTAAAGTAATTAATAATTATCTTTT
The DNA here is from genome assembly GCF_000001405.40 of Homo sapiens. Taxonomy (NCBI): domain Eukaryota; kingdom Metazoa; phylum Chordata; class Mammalia; order Primates; family Hominidae; genus Homo; species Homo sapiens. Next base: position 51,071,906 of record NC_000008.11, read on the forward strand.
TTTTTTTTTTTTTTGAGGCAGAGTCTCTCTCTGTCACCCAGGCTGGAGTGCAGTGGCGTGATCTCAGCTCACTGCAGCCTCTGCCTCCCAGGTTCATGTGATTCCCTTGCCTCAGCCTTTTGAGTAGCTGGGACTACAGGCGTGTGCCACCACGCCCGGCTGATGTTTTGTATTTTTAGTAGAAACGGGGTTTCACCATGTTAGCCAGGATGGTCTCGATCTCCTGACCTCGTGATCCACCCACCTCGACCTCCCAAAAGTGCTGAGATTACAGACGTGAGCCACCGCGTCTGGCCTAATTGGCCTAATTATCTATTTTATAAATATACAAATACGACTGTATAAGAAACGGAGGCTTTATTTCTCATATTCTCATTTTCTCTTCTCTTTAGTTTCTTTTGAATGAATGAAAGCTCAAAACCAAGTTTTGTGTTTTATCTGTATAATCCCCAAGTCCCCATGCAATATCATGCTTTATCCAATGTAATGCAGACTCTTAAATAAGCTCTTCTTTCAAGGTGTTTATTTAAATCCAGTTATGATAAACTTCCATAGATGCTCAGTTTTTTCATTCGATTAATATGGTGTTGTATTAAATATAACTAAATGGACTAAATAAGTGTCAGGACCCAGAAATCTTATTAAATAGAGATTTTCACTCTAATCTTTAAAAAAATAATATCTACTCATTCTCTAAGAGTGCTCTTAGCTTATTAAAATCCATCTCACTTCTGAGAAATCCAGACATCCAAACCCCCTAGATATGTGAATGATTCACATTCCACACAAAATTATTTTTCTCTTGCCACCCCACTCATAAATTTCCTTTTCTGAGTATACTATAGCCCAAGAAAATTTTGTCAATCACAAAAATAATAGTTTTTACTGGTTTTTAAAATTTAAAATATTATAATGTTGAATACACTTCCTCCAAATGACAATAGTCTCTAAAAATATTACCCAATTCACCTGCCCAATAATTGCCATTGTTGAAATTTGCACATATTTACACACACACACACACGTGTCTTATTTTAAACAACAATATTTTAAACCCCACTCTGGACTGTAGTGAGGTTTTCTGTTTTTTTGTTTTGTTTTGTTTTGTTATTTTTTTTTTACCTAAATACTTTGAAAGTTAACTATAGCATTTTACTTGATTTTTTTTTACATTCCTACTCTTTGTGGATATATCACACATTACAGAACTATTTATTTATTGATAGCCATTTATATTAATTCCATTATTTTCCTATTCCAAACAATATTATAAAAATATTATTGGGGTTATATATTTTTAAATACAATCCCTGTGATTGCTTTCAGGAAAAACAAAACAACAACAAAAATGATAAAAACAAAAAACAGAATAGGCCAGGTAAAGTGGCTCACACCTACAATCTCAGCACTTTAGGAGGCTGAGGCAGGCAGATCTCTTGAGCCCAGGGGTTCCAGACCAGGCTGAGCAACATGGAGAAACCCTATCTCTTAAAAAAAAAATACCAAAATTAGCCAGGGCGGTGGTGGGTGCCTGTAGACCCAGCTACTCAGGAGGCGGAGGTGGGAGGATTGCCTGGACCCAAGAGGTCAAGGCTGCAGTGAGCCAAGATCAAACCACTGCACTCCAGCCTTGGTGACAGAGGAACGCCCTGTCTCAAAAACAACCATAAACAAACAAACAAACAAACAAAAACAGAATTAGAAAAATGAAATACCTGGGGAAAAGTCTTTTTGAACTGGGTAAGCTCATATCTGGTGAAACAAAGACAGCCTTGCAAGTGAACCTTCCAGGGAATCACCTGATAGGTCAAGGGAGGACAGTTATCTGAGAGGGAAGCTGGAAAGATGCCCCAGCCACGACCTGCTCCTGCAGGTGACTGCTGGACTGGTGGTGCTGACTTTGACTTCAGGACTTTCGGTTTTTCAAGGCTAGAGATAGGGATTGGCCAACTCAAAAAGCCACATACCTCCCTGTTCTCACCAAGAATTAGCTGCTTTTTCTGAATAACAGTCTAGGTTTAATTTCCAGAGCCCGAAAATGTTGATGTTGCTAGTTTTTGGTGTTTTTGGTGTTGCTTTTTCTTTTGAGGAGGATAGGATTTTTCAATCCTTGCCCTGTGATTTTCTCTGACATCTGAAAACAAATTGATCTTTATATGACTCTTGTACTGTAGTCTCACTATAGTCATTGTTATCTTTCATAGACATTTTGTAGTTTTCTTACAATTTCTACATTGATAATTCTTTCACCTACAAATAATGACACTTTAGCATTTGTTCTAAATTGTAATCCTTTATTATTCTTTTTTTGCATTGTTACACTGCCTGGGACGTCCAGAACAGTGTTGAAGGAAAGTGATAAGAGAAAATAACATTGGCTTTTCTCCAATTTCAGGAAGAAAGCGCTTTTCCTATTAAGTATGTTACCAACTGCAAGTTTTCATCAATGCTATTCATCAGGTTGATAAAAGTTTCTTTTTATGCCCAGTGTACTGAGTTTTAATTGTATTATGAATAACCATTAAATTTTTCCAAAACCCTTTGTTCACATTTCTTTATAACCGGAGTCAGCAAACTTCTTCTGTAAAGGTCCAGAAAGAAATTAATGTTTCCAGGTAATACAATCTCTGTCATGCTCTGTCATGACAACTCAACACCGATTTTGTAACACAAAAGCACCAAAGACCATAGAAAACCAATGGATGTGGCTTTGTAAACATTTATTCCACATGTGGTAGGCTAAATATTGTCCACATTTTGGTTGGCCAGTCTAAGATAAAGATAATCATGTGAGTTTTCTTTTTTTTCTTTTCTTTTTTCTTTTCTTTTTCTTTTTTTTTTTTCTTTTTTTTTTTTTGAGATATAGTTTCACTCTTGTTGGCCAGGCTGGAGTGCAACGGCGCAATCTTGGCTCACCACAGCTTCTGCCTCCCAGGTTCAAGCAATTCTCCTGCCTCAGCCTCCTGAGTAACTGGGATTACAGGCATGCACCACCACACCCGGCTAATTTCGTAATTTTAGTAGAGATGTGGTTTCTCCATGTTGGTCAGGCTGGTCTCCAACTCTCAACCTCAGGTGGTCTGCCCACCTCGGCCTCCTTAAGTGCTGGGATTACAGGTGTGAGCCACTGCGCCCAGCTGTGATTTTTCTTTTTAATCTGGTCTGTTAATAGGTAAATTTCACTCAATTATTTTCAAGTGTTAAACCAGTCTTGTATTCTTAGGATAGATCCCATTTGTTCATGATAAATAATTATTATTTGATTATTATTAGATTTTACTTAACTCTATATTAAGTATTTTTTGCATCACTATGGATTTCTTGCTTTTCCACATTTGTATTTTTATCTCCTGTCTTCACAGTAACAATCTTACTCCCAAAAATATTGACGTTTTCTAGTTTTCTCAAATCTAAAATATGCAGTAACTAGTTTAGAATTGCTCTGCCTATTCAATTACCAGAAATACACCTTCGAACTAATGATTTAAAATTACCAAATAATTTGGTATGTACCATAGATCATGCCAAATGATATAAAAATTTTTATTCCAGTCTGAAAAATAATCACCAAATTATATTTTACCTTGATAAGTGTTGAAGTGGTGACAAAAGAGCATATCCCATTTTGACACAGCTTTATATGCAATGTGTCTTTATTTCTACTGGACTACTAGAGAATAAAGCCAAAAACAGTTTAATGGGAATGATACTTTCCCATTTATACCTATGAAAATTCATTTTGGTGCCCTTAGGAAAAAAAATGTTTCAAATGCTCTCTGAAAAGAGAAAGTACCCATATGCATTTACAAACATATGAAACAAAACACTGAAACACTTCTATAACCTAATTTCTGATTAGTGAATATTGCCAAATTTATCTACCTCTTTGCCCTAATCAAGTTGCTATTAATATAAACTCATTTTTGAACACATTATTAAGCCCAACTTTATTCTAATTGTTATAAATGTCTAATCTTTAAGAAATAATATATAACTACTCTCATTAGTAGTTTACATAGTTTTCTTATAGTTGATTTATAATCTTAATAAAGTACTTTAATCTAACCACTGAGTTTATGGTCTCAAAAAATCATGTGAGCAGGTATTAGTCACAGGTCTACAGAATAATATATATCCATCAGCTTTGCTTTAGGTGGGCAGCCAACCTTGACATTTAAACTTACTGAGAATAAAATAATGATATAGTTATGTTAACTTATTGACAAATATCAATTGTTTTTAACTCTTCAAGAACAAAAAACCAAACACCGCATATTCTCACTCATAGGTGGGAACTGAACAATGAGATCACATGGACACAGGAAGGGGAATATCACACTCTGGGGACTGTGGTGGGGAGAGGGGAGGGATAGCATTGGGAGATATACCTAATGCTAGATGACGAGTTGGTGGGTGCAGCACACCGGCATGGCACATGTATACATATGTAACTAACCTGCACAATGTGCACGTGTACCCTAAAACTTAAAGTATAATTAAAAAAAAAAAAGGAATAAACAAACCTTCACCTAAAAAAAAAAAAAGAGAGAAATACCATTCAACCCAGCAAAAATAAATAAATAAATAAATAAATAAATAAATAAATAAATAAAAATAAATTTAAAAAGTGATTCACTATTCTTCATAAATTCTTAATGACTACCATGGTCTGAGTGTGGCCTCCAAAATTAATATGTTAAAATTTAATAACCAATGTGACAGTAAGAAGAAATGAGGCATTTAGGCAGTGATTAAATCATGTGGGTGGAGTTCTTGTAGATAGTATTAGCACCTTAGAAAAGGGCTTGCAGAGGTGAATCCCTTCCTTCTGTCTCATCATCCATGTGCGGGATACAGAGGATGCAGCAACGAGGCACTATCCTGGAAGCAAAGGACAGCCCTCAACAGACAATAGACCAGCCAGCACCTTGATTTTCAACTTCCCAGCCTCCGGATCCATGAGAAATAAATTTCTATTGTTTATAAATTACCCAGTCTCTGGTATTTTGTTACAGCAAAACAAAAGGACTAAGACAATGACCTCTTTTTAAAAAAATCTTCTCTGTGAGTCTAATTCTCATTTTTTCTCAATGCAAAAAACAACAACACAGGATTTTCACTTTGGGTACATAAATGTGGTAAACATGAGTTTTGTTACTTTAGTGTGTATTTTTCAGTGATAATATCCTACTTCCATAAATTTTCTAATTAATATTTTAGGTTTGGTAGAAAAAATTTGAGTCACAAATCCCTGCCCACAGTTCCAATATTATACTAGAGGTTCATAACTTTAAAATCCTAAGTTGGGCCAGGCATGGTGGCTCATGCCTGTAATTCCAGCACTTTGGGAGGCCGAGGCAGGCAGATCATTTGAGGTCAGGAGTTTGAGACCAACCTGACCAATATAGTGAAACCTCGTCTCTACTAAATACAAAAGTTAGCCAGGCGTGGCGGCGCGTGCCTGTAATCTCAGCTACTCAGGAGGCTGAGGCAGGAGAATGGCTTGATCCCAAGAGGTGGAAGTGGCAATGAGCCGAGATCGTGCCACTGCACTCCAGCCTGGGTGAGAGAGCGAGACTCCCTCTCAAAAAAAAAAAAAATTGCTAAGCTGTATTGTCGTATAAATCATCATGATTTTCTCACATATAGTCATACTACATTCACAATCTCTTTCTGAACCAGTAGTAGTAAATCACCAGCAGTGTCTTCTAACAATTAGATATAGGTAAAAGACCACTTTACACACATAACAAAAAAAGCTTATGATTTCTCTATTTTAAGAAATAAATTTTTAGATTTTAACGTCTGTGTAATTGAGTGTATCTTTCAGTGCGTAAAAAACTCAGTCAGCTAAACAGCCATCATGAAATACTGCTCAATTCATGTGCAAATTTAGAAACATATCCATATAGTCATTAATTTGGAGATATGTGCATTATTAGTTGTACATGTGTTTGGCTTAATTGGCATTTAATGTGTTAAAATAGACTAAAATTCAACACTAAATAAAAGGAAATATGAAAATAAAGCAGAATCTAAAAACGTAAGCAATAAATTTGATGAATATTCATTATCTAGAAGAATGACCACGTTTGTATATTAACTTGTGAATAAAAAACTAAGTGCTTTAATGAACTTAAGAGGATACTTTCAGGTACAATCATGTGTCACTTAATAATAAGGATGCATCTTGAACATGCATTTTTAGGCAAATTCAGCATGCAGACATCACAGAGTATATTCACACAAACCTAGATGGCATAGCCTGCTACACACTTAGGCTAATATGGAATAGCTTATTGCTCCTAAGATACACACTTGTACATTATGATATTGTGTAGAATATTGCAGGCAATTGGAACACAATGGTAAGTATTTATGTATCTAAACATAGAAAACATAGTGTAAAACGTAGTATTATAATCTTACAAAGCCAGCATTGTATATACAGCCCATCGGTAAATGAAATGTCATGTGGCACATGACTGCAACTTTGTTGCGTTCTAAAAGATTGCCCATGATAAGTATCTGATATGAACATGAGAAAAAATTGCCAAATTCTTCATAATAGATACCAGAAATTCATAACAAAGAAAGCCTGGTGTGACAGACTCATGCATAATCTAGAACTATTTTCAAACATTCATGTGTTAGAAATCTCCTGTCTACTTTGACCGAAAGCTCCTTAATTTCTAATGGGATATAAATCTTGAAAAAAATAAAACTGTATAGAAAATACTGATTTATTCACAGTTTTTGACTTGCTTTAAAACTATAATTCAGTGCTACAAAGAACAAGGTCATGAATGCCAATTATGAAAAGCAGCATATCACTGTGAAACTAAAAATAACTGCTGGTCACAAAACGTTGCTTGCATATTTAAGTTTACCCTGTACAACAGTCTCAAAGAATGAAATCTTCGCTAATAATTTTGCTGTGCTTTCTGAAAAACTGGATAGGTGTCAGGTGACCTGACAGAGTAAACGTTTTATGGAATTGAGATCCTCCAGCCTTTTATTCTAAGTTGCCAAGTATCTTGATTCTTAATGCAGTTCATGGCACATACCAGAAAAGGTAAAAATGATCATGGTGAAAAATATGGCTAATTGATTCTGCCGCTGGTGGACTTTATGGTTATCTACAGTCTCTCAACATGCCAGTCAACAGGCCTCTTAAAAAATCATTTGAAGAAAGAATATAATTTCAAGATTTTTTCTAAAAACATTCCAGTAATACCTGCTGGTATAATCAAGAAAGCACCAGCACTGACCAGGCACGGTGGCTCACGCCTGTAATCCCAGCACTTTGAGAGGCCGAGGCGGGCGGATCATCTAAGGTCGGGAGTTCGAGACTAGCCTGACAAACATGGAGAAACCCCGTCTCTACTAAAAATACAAAATTAGCCTGGTATGGTAGTGCATGCCTGTAATCCCAGTTACTCAGGAAGGCTGAGGCAGGAGAATCACCTGAATCCAGGCGGAGGTTGCAGTGAGCTGAGATCTCGCCATTGCACTCCAGCCTGGGCAACAGGAGTGAAACTCCGTCTCAAAAAAAAAAAAAAAAGTAAAAAAAAAGAAAGCACCAGTATCAAAATCTCCTTAATGAATATCGGCAACATGGCAGACAATACCAGAGCAGGGCACTCTGTTAAGAAAGGCTCTATCATCTCAGCTCCTTATAACATATAAGTGAATCATTTTTTGAAAATCATAGACATCAATGACTGTGCAATTAAAAAGCTGTAGAAATACCGAGTTGGACTCCAAACATGAAGCTTTTAAGAAATATCTTGATTGATATATTTATCTTATATTTTTCTTTCTTTATGCAAACAAGTGACATGAAACAATAATCTGTGTTTAAATAGGAATTAATTTAAAAGTTCATGAGGATAAAATGCACAAATTTTAAAAATTATAATGTAATTCACTCTGCGGTGTTTTTATTTAGTAGTACCTTATATAATGGTCAATCCTACAATCTGTGGTATCTTATACTAAATGATATGGTGCCAATATTTTATCATTTAATCATCAGCAATTTTTAAAAGTCAGATATTTAAAGAAAATGTTGTGTCTTATTAGGCTGGTGCAAAAGTAATTGTGGTTTCAGATAGTGAATTTTAAATCATTGTAACTAGGCTCAAACACATCTTTATTGATCGAAGTAGGAGCCATTACAATCAACACATTTTTGTCAAGGAGAAATGTTTGTTTATTCCTGTAGTGTAAAAATCCATGCTTCGGGATTCGACAAACTCTTGGAAAGCATTTTCTGCATCCTGCTGGTTGTGGAAGCATTTTCCCTGCAAAAAATTGTCAAGATGCTAGAAAAAGTGGTAGTCGGCTGGCAAGAGGTCAGGTAAATACGGCAGATGAGGCAAACCTTCCAACCCAATTCGTTCAATTTTTGACGCATTGGTTGTGTCATGTGCGGTCCTGCGTTGCTGTGGAGAAGAATTGAGCCCTTTCTGTTGACCAATGTTGGAGGCAGGCATTGAAGTTTTCAGTGCATCTCATCCATTTGCTGAGCATAATTATCTGAGATCACGGTTTTACCAGGGTTCAGAAAACTGTAGTGGATCAGACTGGCAGCAGACCACCAAACAGTGACCACGACCTGTTTTTGGTGCAAGTTTGGCTTTGGGAAGTGCTTTGGAGCTTCTTCTCAGTCCAACCACTGAGCTGGTCATTACTGGTTGTCTTATAAAATCCACTTTTCATCCCACATCACAATCTGATGAGAAATGGTTCGTTGTTGTTGCATACAATAAGAGAAGGCGAAACTTCAAAACAACGATTTTTTTTTCTTTTTTTTTTTTTTTTTTTGGTCAGCTCATGAGGCACCCACTTACTGAGATTTGTCACCTTTCCAGTTTTCTTCAAATGTCAAACAACAGTAAAATGGTCGACATTGAATTATTTGGCAACTTCTTGTGTAGTTTTAAGAAGATCAGTTTCGATGATTGCTCTTAATTGGTCGTTGTCAACTTGCAATAGCCAGCCACTAAGCTCCTCATCTTCAAGGCTCTCATCTCCTTTGGAAAAGTTCTTGAACCACCACTGCACTGGACATTTGTTAACAGTTCCTGGACCAAATGTGTTATTAATGTTATAAGTTGTCTTCATTGCTTTACAACCCATTTTGAACTCAAATAAGAAAATAGCTCGAATTTGGCTTTGTCTAACATCATTTCTATAGTCTAAAATAAACATGAAATAAACAAGTGGTAAGTTATTAGCAAAAAAAAGTGAAAATTGCCCATTAAAATGATGTATAACATGACCAGATTTACTTAAGAACGTATTCCAAAATCAAATGGCCAATTCCAACAATGCAAAAACTGTGTTACCTTTGCTCCAACCTAGTATCTTGAGGATCAAGGAAATGGCACTAAATATTTTTTCATTGTGTTCATGAAAATAATTCCTTAGCAATAGCAGTAGCACTCAACAGGAAAGAAGATAAAAACATAGAAATGAGATATTAAATATAAGCATATATATACATATACCTATAAGCATATATGGCAATATAAATCTGTGTCTCTGTGCGTATATACATTGAGTTAAAATAAATTTGACCAGAGACTGTCTCTTTTTCTTGAGTTTTTACATAACAAACTGCAATCTGACTTAGTAGGTAACCCAACTGAAGGCCTAACTTAGCATATTTTTTGTAACAACTAACTGAGTCTCTGCCAATCACAGTAGTTGAACTTCAGTCAGTCAGAGGCCGCCAACTGGTGACCATGCCCAAATAAGGCCAAAGCTGTAACCATTTTTGCTGCTCCTGTACCTCACTTCCATTTTCTGCCTAGAAAAGCTGTCGACTCAAGTTGCAGAACTTGAGAAATGCTGTGAACAACTTTTGATTCTGAAAACTGCCCAATTTACATCACAAATGTTCTTTGCTCAATTACACTTTGTTTAATTTGTCTAAAGTTTTTCTTTTAATTATGTGTGTGTGTGCATGTGCACATCCACGTGCAGGCATGTACGTATACTTTTAGGATGCCATCAGGCTGCCCACAGGTATGATATTAACTCTTTCATTAATTGTCTTTTATTGTCACTGTTTGTGTAACAAAACACAGGGAAAGGATCCCTATCATCAAGTGGTTTGCACGTCCATGGCATAGCATTGTAAGATTTTATTTTCCCATTTATGGCAAGAGTTAAAATGAGTTATATGACATTTTTTCACACTCTTCTATAAAATAGATATTCCCATTGCATGTTTAATTATTGAATTCCATTTTTATGATTGCTTGTATCAATTGTTATTGCTGAATTCAGAAGAGTTAAGAGAGAAAGTGTTTCTCCCAACTTATAAAGTATCAGTGAAGGTTAAATTAAACATAAGTTTCAACCACTAACTAGGTGCCATTTTGCCAGATGCAATGAATAAAATGTGAATCAAACTCAGTTCCTTCCCTGAGGATGTTTATGTTCTAGGGCTGTTACCTTTGACTAGAATTCAATGTTGTAGTGAGAAACAAATCTGTTAAATTAAATGTTATCAGCTTTTGGGAAACTACTTCCTATTTGTGAATTCACTGGACATTTACAAAAGCCTACAATGTATCAGATGCATTATTAGGTACAGGAGACTCAAAGATAAATAAAACGTAGTTGCTGTACCCAAGGAGACTATAAATTTGTTCACAATATAAACACTATTAATATATAATTATACTGCATTATATTTTAAGATACAATTAATACATATATTATGGTTATATTGATGGCATAACTAATAAAAATAATGAATGCTTACATATATTATGGTATATATTGATGGCATAGCTATTAAAAATAATGAATGCTTATACGTGTTAGACACAATATTAAGAGCTTTGCCTATATTATACCTGACGAGGTAGTTGTATCATTATGATTACCATTTTCAGTTGAAGAAGTTGAGACACAGACATTGAATCCCTTAAACAGGTAGTAGTGTTGTTCTAGAATTTGGACCCAGGAAGTCTACTTCCAGAGTAAGGAAGGGAATAAACAATGATGATTAAGCAATAGCTATCATAGCAGTTTAAGCATAATTATAAAGAAAGAACAATTCACTCTTCCTGAGGTAACTGGAAATGTCTAAATAAGGAAACCAAGATTTAACTGAATTTTAAGAAAGAAGTCTACCTCTGTTTTTTTTTTTTTTTTTTTTTTTTTTGAGACGGAGTCTCACTCTGTCGCCTAGGCTGGGGTCCAGTGGCACTATCTTGGCTCACTGCAACCTCTGCCTCCCAGGATCAAGAGATTCTCCTGCCTCAGCCTCCCAAGTAGCTAGGACTACAGGCATGCACCACCACACCTGGCTAATTTTTTTGTATTTTTAGTCGAGACGAGGTTTCACCATATTGGTCAGGCTGGTCTTGAACTCCTGACCTCGTGATCTGCCCACCTCAGTCTCCCAAAGTGCTGGGATTACAGATGTGGGCCACCTCACCCGGCCTCTATTTATTTTTCAAGTTATAAGGCTATACACATGTATCAAATGTATCATGGTTCCACTCTCGTTACAAAAAGTATATATGCCTCACGATAAAAGTAGTATTAATTTAAATCCCAGCTAACTTCTTCACTTCTTAGATATGTTCCCAGAAATGTTAAAACTTCTCCATGGTTTAACATTTCTCATATGTTAAAAGAGGATAATAATACCATATTTGAAGATCTCACTGCCAAGTATCTATTAGTGCTTATGCTTTAAAAATGGCTACTAGGCAATAGCAAGGAGTTTGAATTAACACCCGCTTCAGATTCCGTGTTTCGAACGTGTGGTCCCAAAGCCAGCATTTTATAATTAGGGTCACCATATGTCTGGATTTTAAGATATATTACTAATTTCAAATAATCATTTTAATTCTTTAATTTTTTTAAAATTACAAATTAGAAAAAAGAATTTTCAACCATGTGTCAAATGCATAATCATTGTACTTAAACATCTATGACTGTAAAATATCAGATGACCTGGCTCTCCAACTGGTATAAATACTAAAAAAAATGCTAATTTTCTAACTCTTTTTTTGTTCTATTATCACCGGGCTGTTGACTCAGGCCTGGATTTTTGTAAGCATTTCTAGAGGACACCTGCCCTTTCAATCTCTTAAAATGTTTCATTTGTGCCTCTTTCTATGAATATGTGCTTTTGGAAGTGGGAATCTCACGTTATATGTTGCTGCTCGTTAGTTTCAATTGAATAGGCCTCATTTCTTTTCCAAAAATTCTAGGAAAACTCATTATATTCCTCTATAAATTGATTATGGATCGCATTTCTTCTATGAAATAATATGGTTAGAAAAAATAAAGTATTATAAATAATCTGTTATGATCACTCATGACTTCGTGAAAATCAGAAATATGGTTAAAAAAAAAAGCTGTTTTGAGAGCCCCTGACTTTAATTTAGACTAGCTGTCCCCCCAGTGCCTATGTCTGAGGATGGATAGCTTCTGACAGCTGCATTAAGAATGGCATAGGGTCACGGTTATTATGATTTCTCATGATCTCATTATGAACCAAGAAAAGAATATATTGTAGAGGGGAAAAATGGAATTTTTATATGTCAGCCACAGATCTGAGGAATCTGGCATACATTCTGGCTTCTTAGGCAAAATCCAGTAAAAGTGACACAAAATGAACCTGTATGCCACACTTTCTAAAATTCAGAATGTTGCTTTAGCACCCTGATTGGCTTGACAACTACTGGTGAATTCTAATTTGGAAAACAATCCAAAATTAGCATACAAGTCTTCTAAATTGTATTATAAATTTTGTTCTTTATGTATTAAAGCAAATATTCCAGAGGCACATTCTTTGGATAATTTAAAGATTAACTCCTACACAGATTGGCAACAGGCTTGACTTCCTAGGCTCACTCCAGTTGATAATGACCATCTGAGGCCAGCGTTGCAGGATGCTTGGGCTTAGTCAGAAAGCTTGTCGAGCAATGTGAGTCAGAGGAATGCACACTAAGTGCATGTGGTCCTGATCCTCAGCTCACCTTCTGTGTCCTAAAGCACAAGATGCTGTCCAACCATTTCTCTCCACTCGATGTAAGGAAAATCAAAGAAAAATAAAAACAGAAAACTATATATGGGATGTTTTCTGTGGAAGGAATTTAAACTTGGATAATCTATGATTATAATAGTCAAAACTGTTGTTAGATATTTAATATCAGTGTAGCTTATGGGGAGAACATACAATTTGTTTTTTCTCATTTACAGTAAAATCGTTGTTGCATGAATAAACTGGTTTTAAGGGAGAATATTTTAATATAATTTTACATAACTTTCACAACACCTTTTTTCCAAGAGTTCAATACTTGAAAGATGAAATTGATGAAACATTTAAATGTGTATATTTATAATATATTAAAAGTGGCATATTTAGACTTAGTAATGCAGCATTTTATCTGCCCAACTAAAGGTGACATCAACTTCTATCTCTTCTGGACAGTTGGTACAACTTGGGACTTTAGACTCAGCAATAGAGTGGTAGCTGGGAAGTCAGGACATGAATAAGAGACATGATGAGCGGGTATGGGCTATTTATGACATAAAATTTTAGAGTAAATAGAAAGCATATTTATAAAAGTCTTTGAAATTCAAGGCACATTCTTTGAAAATAATAGAAACTCTGTAACTAGGTTTAAATAAGAAAAATTTAATTATAAATTTAAGATCCATTCACCCAAAGGAAAATGAAACTCATCAAGCAAGAGCACTTACCATGATTTTTGTTTATGTTTTCCCTTTTCAAGTATATAACAAAATTTGGATGAGGGTATTTTTCCTCATCCAAAAGGATATTATTGACATTTGTGTGTCAATAGTATTATTAGGTTGTTTATATTTCTGAAATGTAATGCCAGGAGAATAAATGCTAACATCTCTATCACATAAATTAATGGGAAATGATGCTGTAATAATCAGGAAATGTGAATGATCAGAAAGATCAAGTGTTTACAGAAAAATATGTTTTTTTTTAGAAAAAATTTCCAAACTCTTGTTGAAAAACAAAAGGTAGTAAAATTACGACTATCATATTCAGGTGATGTCTGTTACTCACATGTGACACATCACTCACATGTGACACATCACTCACATGTGACACATCACTCACATGTGACACTCCAAACTCTCATGTTGTCAGACTTGTGGTGACTACACTTTGAGAAGACAGAAGTAAAAGTTGATTTTAGTAGTATAGAGAGCTAAAATGCTTCACACCTAAGTTATAATAAACTACTTTCAATGTATTATATATGAATAGTGTGTTTTAAAATGTCATTTTTATACAATGATATATACATTGTATAATTTATATATTCAAACATCGAATATTGGTGAAAACATGGTCTTGTAAATTTGTACAGCTAACTAGAGAGATTCTACCTGTGTCAATAGGGAACAAACAAAGAATAAGCTTTTTTAATTCATGGAAAGAAAAAAAAATAATGATGACTTGAACTTCACCCACTAGCCTCTGTGAACACTGAACACAGCTGAAAATATAACTTTCATCAGGTGCCTGAAAGATTTTCAGGATTTAAGGAAATTCAGCAGGAGACCACATTAAGTGTGTTTCAATCAGCAGGAAGCTTCTGTACTTTATGGCTTTCTCTTATGAAAGTACGTTCCTCAGAAGATATATTTTAAGTTATATAAATCTAAAAATATACAAGTACCACGTTTCTATTAGAGGTGAATACAGGAGTCTCTCTGTAAAATATGCTTTGATTTTCTTCATCACCTATATTTTCTATATTGAGAAATAGATATTCTTAAAATAATTCCATAACAAAGTCATTCAATATTTTTTCAAATAACTTAAAATTTCACAATTTTAGTTGCAGTCAAACATTTCATATCACAGGGGAGATATAAAAGAGATCCTCAATTCATTTTCACTGAAATAAGGAGAGTATTTATAACCTTCCAAACAGGAGATCTGGAAATAGGACTGCTTGAGTAATGATGTGGCAAAGCTCTAGATTCAGTTCTCTGCATGTTCAACTCTATCTTCCTTGACATGTTGGTTCGTTCTAAATCTCACAGCAAGAACATTGCTACAGTTCCAAGAATCAAATCCATTGATAATACATGACACAGGGCAACTAGAAAGTGCAACAGCCTCTCCAACGTGTTATCTTCATAGTTTCATGTCATTCTTTAACCAATTACTCTGAGAAAGGGATGAGAAAGACTGAGAATCACCTACATGTTGAGGAGTGAAACTCCATAACTTTCATCTCTTAACCCTTGCCTAAGACACTAGGATTGGAACTTTCTTGGGAAGAAACCTGGGGCTATGAAAGTAAATTTAATAAACATATATATATGTTCAAAAGGAAATGGCTTATTTTTCAACTATCAGTTACTAAAAGAAAAAATTCTCTTTTCCAAACAAATGGAAATAGCTGACTAATAAATAATCTACAATAACTAATAAGCAACAGCATCTGAAAGACAACCAAAACCCTGCTTTTAATAAAAACTTGCTCTGGGCTGATTTAGTAAAACCTAAAGTCTAGGATCTTGAATGCACCATGTAAGACTTGTATTTATGTTTTTATTGTCATAGTCAATATGATAAGCTACTATCTAACATAGTCATTATATTTTGCCCTACTTTGTACAAATTGCTCTATGTAGAATGTGTACTTTCAGGTTTTGATACATTGAAAACAGAAGTTTTAGAAAGTGAGTGATATATATCTTTAAAACTTCACTAGAAAAGTGCTTGGAATAAAAGCATGATCTAATAATAGGTTATATAGGTTTTAATTAAATAGCTAGTGAGATTCCATCTGTGTCAATAGGGGAGCAAACACAAATTAACTTTTTTTCTTAATTCATGGAAAAAAAAGAGTGACAACCTGTATTTTTTCAAACTACCTCTTTCTAAATAGTGAACACAGCTGAAGATATAATTTTCCTCAGGCCTTTTTGAAAGATATATGGAATTTACAAAAATTCAGCAGGCGATCAAATTAAGTGTATTTCCATCAGCAGGAGTATTCTGTATTGTATGGTTTTCTCCTATGCAAATATTAAAGTTGAAGGTAAGTACATGAAAAATTGTTCATAATTTTAAAGGAAATCTTGAACTGATAGCCACATTCCTCCCTTTTGTGGGAAGAAATGAGCTTTCATTATACCTTAGGTTTTGATTTAAACATTCTTCTTGCTTTGAGAAGATAGAAGTAAAAGTTACTTTTAGTAGTACAGGGAGTTAAAATGCTAAGTCATAATAAGCCACTTTCAATATGTTATATATGAACAGTATGTTTATAAATGTCCTGATTTTCATACAATGATATATACATTTTATAATTTATACATTCAAACAGTGAATGTATACATTCAAATATTTGGAGCAGTGTTTCTAATATGTCTTTTGAGGAGCAAAACAAGAAAAAATTAAATGAGAGTGTAAAATCAGGAAGGCGTTTTTGTATTTTGTTTTTTAACTGTGTTGCTTGTTGTAGAAACAGATATGTGTATGACAGGGTGTAATGGCAATGGCAGGCAGCAGTGATTTTAAAAACATCAGTGTCGGCCGGGTGCGGTGGCTCATGCCTGTAATCCCAGCACTTTGGGAGGCCAAGGTGGGTGGATCACGAGGTCAGGAGATCGAGACCTTCCTGGCTAACATGGTGAAACCCCATCTCTACTACAAATACAAAAAATTAGCCAGGCGTGGTGGTGGACGCCTGTAGTCCCAGCTACTCGGGAGGCTGAGGCAGAAGAATGGTGTGTACCCAGGAGGTGGACCTTGCAGTGAGCCAAGATCCTGCCACTGCACTCCAGCCTGGGCAACAGAGCGAGACTCTATCTCAAAAAAAAAAAAAAAATTGGTACGTTATGCCACATAGTGGTAGCAGTGAGAGCAAAACAAAAGCACCAGTAAATGAAACTCCTCTCCAGTTTGGTGCTTAAACCCTAAAGAGGTCAGCAGATAATTTTAGGGTCTCAAATTATAGTAAATATAACAACGTCCAATTCCTGTCAATTAACTTACCAGAATTACTGTTTGGTGATCAATCAGGCTTTCAAGTCACAGCCAACCCACAGAACCCCTGGGACTTACAAGTGGTGTATAAAAAATATCAACATATGTCATAAATGAAAACAAAATGTATACTTAAGCAAGAGAAGGCAACCAGAGTAAAAAAATGTCAAAAGTCAGTCTGGATTAACTAGAAGACCCAATATAGACAGTAGTTGATAAACAAAACTAGATTTATTTATCTCTGAGGAACAGAAGGAAGCCATCATAGTCAAGGATTTATATCAGAAAATCCGCAAAATTGTTCTAGACAGACAGAAAAACAAGTTTCCAGATCATAAAATATTTACAAGGTATGCATAGAATTTTGAGTGAAAATTACTCTACAGTGAGTGATTGTCACATCAGACTATCGAAAAGTTCAATAGTGCCAAAATAGAATACTAGAAAATATATATTATAGGAGTTGAAATCATTAAAAGATTTTTTCTTATTCTAAAAGAGATTAAGTCTGGAGGTTAACCTAAGACTCAAAGAAAATTATAAATCTAAATGTGTATATTAAATATTGGCAGGTAACTACCCCAAAAATGCAAACTATAATGGCTGAATCAATGGAGGCAAAAAGAACAGAAATATTTTAAATGCAAAAAGAAGTTGATGGCTCTCATCAAACCCTGCAAAACTTTAGAGCTTGCAATTTAATTTGCCATTATTGTCAGGTTGTAGTTTGAGTTTTGCACACATATAAATAACTAATTTAATAAAGGGCATAAAACCTTTTCCTGTTTGCCCTGAAAATAGTTGTTGGTGGTGTTCGTGGCTGTAATGTTTACCCTGAGATAACTTTGCCACGAAATATTTCTCTTTTGTTATTATTTTCATATAACTCTGGGATATCAATTTTGGAAACAAAAGACATCATTCTATTTATAGTATTCTGGTTTTAGTAATGGGATTTCCATTTACCAAATATAGTAATTCTGGGTTGCTGAAAATGCCAAATCCTAGAAAACATAGCATTCTTACTCATGAGTTCTCAAACAGTTGCTGGCTGAAGATTCATTTGATGAATTCAGTTTTTCCAAAATAGGCAATTCTGATGATTCAGACAATTCTGCTATTAGTTCTGTTTAGAAATAACTCCAAGAACAGCTGTTATATTTTATTTTCATGTTGAAAATCAGTCAGATTTGCTTCAGCCTCAAAGAGTGTGTTTATGTAAAATTAAATGAACACTGGCCGTGAACTGTACTTTTTCTTTTCTAAATAGGAAAAAGGTTTAAAGAAAATGAATTATAAACCAGCTTCAACTATCTTCATTATTATATCAATCTTTAATATAGTCTGGTCGTTAAATTTTAATATTCATACTATTTTAATTAATTTTAAGGTACTGAAATTTGGATCTCCTCACTTACTAAATATGCATAGTAAGGAAGAAAATGTTTTTGATTGTTTTATGTTTAAATACTAATTGGGGTCCCCAGGGCATAAACTAAGAAAACAACTAAAAAATGTATATTAAGGGTATTGATGTTAAAAGCCAAACTATGTAAAATATTTAAAGATGTTTATTCTGAGTCAATATGAGTAACCATGGTCCAAGCACAGTCCCAAAAGGTCCTAAGAATGTGTGCTCAAGGTTGTTTGGTTACAGTTGGCTTTATACATTTTAGGGAGACAGAAGTTACAGGCAAAGACATAGATAAATACATACAAGGTATACATTGGTTCAGTCTAAAGAGATGGGATATCGTGAATTTGATGGAGGGGCTCACAGGTTATAGGTGGATTTAAAGATTATCTGACTAACAATTGGTTGAGAGAGATAAGCTTTGTCTAAAGACTTAGGAAGTCACTAGAAAGACATGCTTGAGTTAAGATAAGGGGTTTTGAGGAAGCCACAGTTCTTGTTATGTAGATGAAGCCTCTAAGTATCTGACTTCAGAAAGAATAGGTGGTAAATGTCTCTTTTGAGACCTTAAAGTGTATCAGAACCTAGTTAAATCTCTCCTAAATCCAGGAAAGAACTAGAAAGGGAAGGGGATTTTCTACAGATGCAAATTTACCCCAGAAGTGGGGGCCATTTCAAAATATGTCCAAGAAATATATTTTGGTGTAAAATACTTTTATTTCCTTCAGGGCCTGCTATTTGTCATGTGATGCTATAGCAGAGTCAACTTGGAATTTAGTGTCTTATTGCCACAAAGAGTCTATTTGATCAGTTTCATGATCTCTGTGTTAATGTTAATGCTGGTCGGTTGTGCCTAAACTCCAAAAGAGAGAGGGTATAATGAGGTGCGTCCAAACTCCTTTCCTGTCATGATTGGGGATTCTGTTTTTCAGGTTTCCCTTGGCCCATAAGAAGTCCACTCAGCTGGTTGGGGAGCTTAGGGTTTTCTTTTTGGTTTACAAGCGGAACTGCGAATTAGAATAATGCATTTAAGGGATTTTTAAGTTCTAGCTTTGACATGTAAAGAGCTTAACAGGAGTCACTCTTATCTTTATAACAACAACAACAAAAGAACAAAATGAAGTTTTATGATTTTATTGGGCCAATCAGAAAACTGAAGTTGGAGGGGAAAATGACACCCTGAAATCTGAAGAGACAGACACATCCAGAGAGATACAGAAACAGATCTGTTTACCTGGAGCAGGAGTGCTGGAGCCATTAACTGGTACAAGCCCTGGAACAGTAATTGTGACGAATCACAGGAGGCTGGATGTGGTCTAGTGTGAGGGTGAGAAGCTTCTGGGAGCTGCAGTCTCAGAGAGCCAGTTGCACTTTCCAGGGCTTTATCTCCAGGAACACACCAGCTTCTCACTGTAAAGATCCAAATAAGATCCCCATATGACTCTGGAAGAGGAGAGGAAGAGCAATCATTGCGAAATAGGCCTAGAGTGCTGGCCACAAAAAAGTCCACCCTCCAGGGAAACACTTCCTAGGGTCTTTTCTCACCTGAGCAAGGGCATTCCTCAACCTCCACCCACTCTGTTCTGACTGTCTCACATAAGGAGAGAAAAAATAAATCTCCATCAGAAGAGAATCACAGTGAAAGTTACTGCTTATAGTTACAGGCCCATGAAGAGACAGATTTAATCATAAGATTGTAGAAAAGTTTCTCTTTTTTGTACTTTAAAACACCACCAAAGAAGACCCCATAAAACAGTGATTTAGAGCTTAAATGATTCGAGATAGAGACTCTCTAAAAGAGGGATATCACAGAAACCGAAAGCCAAAGGGAGGCACAACAACAAGGACACTGGAGGAACTTGAGGTCAATGGCACTGACAGTAACAGCAAACATTAAATAAAAAGCTAAAATCCTAACCATATTAGCATAAATCATCACAAGAAAGGCCCATTTACCTGAATTGGTATTAACTGATACAGCATGTTATCACTCTATGAAACCATAAAAGGCAACCAAATGCATGAAAAAATAGAATCTGAAGGAAAAAAAGCAAGCATTAGAAACAGATTCAGACATGATATATAAATGTTGGAATTTTTACCTAAAGAAATTAAAATTGATACAGGAGCTAAAAAGAAATTATTTAGGCAGATAGTGAGGGTAAGAGATCCTCAGTGGAATTTCCTTTTAATAAAAAGCAGCCCCCAAATCATTTCTTTTCTAAAAAAAAAAGTTAGTCTAAAAAATCAGGCTACAAACATAGATAAGCAAACTAGAAGCTTGCACAGGTAAATGCCAGCAGCTGTGTGAATAGAAAAGGGATAGTTGAAAACCAGGTATGTTCAACATGGAGGCTCCATCTTCCCTTTACTTTGTCACCACGTGTGCAGTAAAAAGCAGGCAACATGGCGCAGATCAGTCAGGTAACCCATCTGCATAACAAAAGATTAGGATGGGGTGGCCAGCTTCTTCATACACTGTGTAAATGGCACACCTGGTCCAACCAATCCTTTGTGCCCTATGTAAATCAAACACCACCTCGTCAAGCTCATCTATAAAACCAACCACATCTTGCCACAAACAGGGAGATTGATTTGGAACACCCTCCCTCTCTGCACGAGGGAGCTTTTCTCCTTTGCCTATTAAACTTCTGGTTTTTTTTGTGTGGTTTTTTTTTTTTGAGACGGAGTCACACTCTGTCATCAAGCTGGAGTGCAGTGGTGCGATCTTGGCTCACTGCAACCTCCACCTCCAGGTTTCAAGTGATTCTTCTGCCTCAGCCTCCTGAGTAGCTGGGATTACAGGCACCTGGACCACACTTAACTAATCTTTCTATTTTTAGTAGGGACGGGTTTCACCATGTTGGCCAGGATGGTCTCGATCTCTTGACCTTGTTATCTGTCCGCCTTGGCCTCCCAAAGTGCTGGTATTACAGGCGTGAGCCACCGCACCAGGCCTAAATTTCTGCTCTCAAAGTCATTCCTTGTATGTCTGAACCCTTGATTTCCTTGGTGTGAGACAAGGAACCTCGAGTATTACCCCAGAAAAACAATGCCGCTTCACAATGACTATAATTAGTATGATAAGGGCTTTAATGAAAAAATGTAGACAGCATGCTAGAATATATGGATAATGAAAGCAGAGATAAGGTAACTCTAAAGAAAGAATAAAATGCAAATGTTAGATACAATAATGAAGAAAAATTGCAACGGCATTGAAGAATGCCTTCAATGGACTCAACAGTCAAAAAATCAGTGATCTTAAAGACAGATTGATGGAAACTTTTCAAGCAGAAATACAGAGATAAGAACAAATGGAAATGGAAATGGGGGGAAAGAATATCCAAAAATAGAATTACAAGAACCATGGAGCAATTACAAATGTGTATGTGATTGGAATACCAGAGAAGAAATAAAGAATGGAGACATATATTTGAAGTACTGATAGATAAGAATTTGCTAAAATTAGTGACAGAGACCTGACCAGAAATCTAGGGAGTTCAACAAACACAAATAAAATAAAACCAAAATATCTATGCTGAGGCAGCTACTAAGTGGCGAGTGGCACATACAGCATGGGTACGCTGGACACCAGGAGGATTCACGTTCCAGGAAGGGTGGAGAAAGATGGTGGGAAGATTTATCATGCTATGCACAATGTACAGAATTTAAAATTTATATATTGTTTATTTATAAAATCTTCTATTTAACATTTCAGGCCAAAGTTGACTGTGAGCAACTGAAGCAAGGAAAAGTGAAACCACAGATAAAGGGGACAGCTGTATTTTATATGATCTCATTGTATAATCTCCTCTTGCTTGTAAATTTAACACAAAGACAAATAGTTACAAACATTAATGTAATGACACCAATATTTTACCTAACTACACCAATGTTAATCTAATTAGGTCAAAACTACTTTAAATCTGAATGGTGTAAATACAAATAAAAAACAAAGACAGCAGGATGAATTTAAAAAATCCCAAATCTATGTTATCAATAAATAATTCCATTTTCATTAGAGACTTAGATAATTTAAAACTAAAGGAATGGTTACAAAAAAAAAAAAAAAAAAAAAGAAAGACAGAATATATGTATGGAATAGAAAAATCAAATTTCACAATAAACTAGGCCTAACATACATAGAATACTTCAGCCCAAAACAGCAGAATGTACATCATTCTCAAAATTGCACATTCTTCAAGATAGACCATACATTACAGTTGAAAATAAGTCTCAATATGTTTTATAGGATGGATATTCAGATTATCTTCTCTGATTGCAATAAGATGAAATTAAAAAAAAAAAAAAAGGAAGAAAACCTGAGGATTTGCTGGCAAGATGGCTGAATAGGAACAGCTCCGGTCTGCAGCTCCCAGCGAGATCGATGCAGAAGGCAGGTGATTTCTGCATTTCCAACTGAGGTACCCAATTCCTCTCATTGGGACTAGTTGGACAGTGGGTGCAGCCCAAGGAGGGCAAGCTGAAGCAGGGTGGGATGTCACCTCACCAGGGAAGTGCAAGAGGTCAGGGGAGTGCAAGCTCTCCTGGCCAAGGGAAGCCATTAGGGATTGTACCATGCACTCTGGCCCAGATAATGCACATTTCCCATGGTCTTCGCAACCCACAGACCAGGAGATTCCCTCCTTTGCCTACACCACCAGGGCCCTGGGTTTCCAGCACAAAACTGGGCAGCCATGTTGGCAGACACCAAGCTAGCCGCAGGAGCTTTTTTTTCATATCCCAGTGGAGCCTGGAATGCCAAAGAGACAGAACCATTTGCTCCCCTAGAAAGTGGGCTGAAGCCAGGGAGCCAAGTGGCCTGGCTCGGCAGGTCCCACCCCCAAGGAGCCAGCAAGCTAAGATCCAGGAGCTTCAAATTCTCCTGAGTGCATAGCAATCTGAGCTCGACCTGGGACGCTCGTGTTTGGTGGGGGGAGGGGCGTCCGCCATTGCTGAGGCTTGAGGAGGTGGTTTTACCCTCACAGTGTAAACAAAGCTGCTGGGAAGTCAGAACTGGGCAAAGCCCACTGCAGCTCAGCAAGGCCACTGCGGCCGACTGCCTCTCTAGATTTCCTCCTCTCTGGGCAGGGCATCTCTGAAAAAAAGGCAGCAGCCCTAGTCAGGAAATTACAGATAAAACCCCCCCTTCCTGAAACAGAGCACCTGGGGGAAAGGGCGGTTGTGGGCGCAGCTTCAGCAGACTTAAACGTCACTACCTGGCAGCTCTGAAGAGAGCAGTGGATCTCCCAGCACAGCGTTTGAGCTCTGATAAGGGACAGCCTGCCTCTCAAGTGGGTCCCTGACCCCCGTGTATCCTGACTGGGAGACACCTCCAAATAGGGACCGACAGACAACTTATACAGGAGAGCTCTGGCTGGCATCTGGCAGGCGCCCTTCTGGGACGAAGCTTCCAGAGGTAGGAACAGGCAGCAATCTTTGCTGTTCTGCAGCCTCCGCCAGTGATATGCAGCCAAACAGGGTCTGGAGAGGACCTCCAGCAAACTCCAGCAGACCTGCAGCAGAGGGGCCAGACTTTCAGAAGGAAAACTGACAAACAGAAAGGAATAGTATCAACATCAACAAAAACGACATCCACTGAGACCCCATCCGAAGGTCACCAACTTAAAAGACCAAAGGTAGATAAATCCACGAAGATGGGAAGAAACCAGTGCAAAAAAGCTGAAAATTCCAAAAACCAGAACACCTCTTCTCCTCCAAAGGATCACAATTCCTTGCCAGCAAGGAAACAAAATTGGATGGAGAATGAGTTTGACGAATTGACAGAGTAGGCTTCAGAAGGTGGGTAATAACAAACTCCTCCAAGCTAAAGGAGCATGTTCTAACCCAATGCAAGAAATCTATAAACCTTGAAAAAAGGTTAGACAAATTGCTAACTAGAATAACCATTTTAGAGAAGAATATAAATGACCTGAGGAGCTGAAATACATAGCACGAGAACTTCGTAAAGCATACACAAGTATCAATAGCCGAATCAATCAAGAGGAAGAAAAGATATCAGAAATTGAAGATCAACTCAATGAAATAAAGTGAGAAGACAAGATTAGAGAAAAAAGAGTGAAAGCCTATTGATTGAGAGTTTTTATCGTGAAGGTCTGTTGCATTTTGTCAAAGGCCTTTTTGGCATCTATTGAGATAATCATGTGCTTTTTGTCATTGGTTCTGTCGATGTGATGGATTACGTTTATTGATTTGTTTATGTTGAACCAGCCTTGCATCCCAGGGATGAAGCCGACTTGTTCATGGTGGATATGTTTTTTGATGTGCTGCTAGATTTGGTTTGTGAGTATTTTGTTGAGGATTTTTGCGTCGATGTTCATCAGGGATATTGGTCTAAAATTCTCTTTTTTTGTTGTGTCTCTGCCGGGCTTTGGTATCAGGATGATGCTGGCCTTATAAAATGAGTTAGGGAGGTCTTTTTCTATTGTTTGGAATAGTTTCAGAAGGATGATACCAACTTCTTTTTGTACCTCTGGTACAATTCAGCTGTGAATCCATCTGGTCCTGGACTGTTTTTGGTTGGTAGGCTACTAACTGCTGCCTCAATTTCAGAACTTATTATTGGTCTATTCAGGGATTCGAATTCTTCTTGGTCTAGTCTTGGGAGGGTGTATGTGTCCAGGAATTTATCCATTTCTTCTAGATTTTCTAGTTTATTTGTGTAGAGGTGTTTATAGTATTCTCTGATGGTAGTTTGTATTTCTGTGGGATTGGTGGTGATATCCCCTTTATCTTTTTGTCTTACCAAATTGTCTCTGTTTGAAGATGACATGATTGTATATTTAGAAAACCCCATCGTCTCAACCCAAAATCTCCTTAAGCTGATAAGCAACTTCAGCAAAGTCTTAGGATACATAATCAATGTGCAAAAGTCACAAGCATTCCTATACATCAATAATAGACAAACAGAGAGCCAAATCATGAGTGAACTCCCATTCACAATTGCTACTAAAGGAATAAAATATCTAGGAATAAAATTTACAAGGGATGTGAAGGATCTCTTCAAGGTGAACTACAAACCACTGCTCAAGAAAATAAGAGAGGACACAAACAAATGAAAAAACATTTCATGTTCATGGAGAGGAAGAATCAATATCGTGAAAATAGCCATACTGCCCACAGTAATTTATAGATTCAATGCCATCCCCATCAAGTTACCATTGACTTTCTTCACAGATTGGAAAAAACTACTTTAAATTTCATATGGAACCAAAGAAGAGCCCACATAGCCAAG
Source organism: Homo sapiens (assembly GCF_000001405.40). Classification (NCBI taxonomy): domain Eukaryota; kingdom Metazoa; phylum Chordata; class Mammalia; order Primates; family Hominidae; genus Homo; species Homo sapiens. The sequence goes on from NC_000008.11 coordinate 51,097,604, forward strand.
ACAATCCTAAGCAAAAAGAACAAAGCTGGAAGCATCATGCTACCTGACTTCGAGCTATACTAGAAGGCTACAGCAACCAAAACAGCATGGTACTGGTACCAAAACAGATATGTAGACCAATGGAACAGAACAGAGGCCTCTGAAATAATGCCACACATCTACAACCATCTGATCTTTGACAAACCTGACAAAAACAAGCAATGGGGAAAGGATTCCCTATATAATTAATAGTGTTGGGAAAACTGGCTAGCCATATGCAGAAAGCTGAAACTAGATCCCTTCCTTACACTTTACACAAAAAGTAACTCAAGATGGATTAAAGACTTAAATGTAAGACCTAAAACCATAAAAATCCTAGAAGAAAACCTAGGTAATACCATTCAGGACACAGGCATGGGAAAAGACTTCATGACTAAAACACCAAAAGCAATGGCAACAAAAGCCAAAATCAACAAATGGGATCTCATTAAATTAAGGAGCTTCTGCACAGCAAAAGAAACGATCATCAGAGTGAACAGGCAACCTACAGAATGGGAGAAAATTTTTGCAATCTATCCATCTGACAAAAGGCTAATGTCCAGAATCTACAAAGAGCTTAAACAAATTTACAAGAAAAAAACAACCCCATCAAAAAGTGGGTGAAGGATACTAACAGAGACTTCTCAAGAGAAGATATTTGTGCATCCAACAAACATATTAATAAAAAGCTCATCATCACTGGTCATTAGAGAAATGCAAATCAAAACCACAATGAGATACAATCTCATGCCAGTTAGAATGGCAATCATTAAAAAGTCAGGAAACAACAGATGCTGGAGAGGATGTGGAGAAATAGGAACACTTTTACACTGTTTGTAGGAGTGTAAATAGTTCAACCATTGTGGAAGACAGTGTGGCGATTCCTCAAGGATCTGGAACTAGAAATACCATTTGACCCAGCAATCCCATTACTGGGTATATACCCAAAGATTATAAGTCATTCTACTATAAAGACACATGCACACATGCAATTAAACATGTATGTTTATTGCAGCACTGATCACAACAGTAAAGACTTTGAGCCAACCCAAATGCCCATCAATGATAGACTGGATAAAGAAAATGTGGTATATATATACCATGGAAAACTAGGCAGCCATAAAAAAGGATGAGTTCATGTCCTTTGCAGGGACATGGATGATGCTAGAAACCATCATTCTCAGCAAACTAACACAAGAACAGGAAACCAACACAGCATGTTCTCACTCATAAGTGGGAGCTGAACAATGAGAACACATGGACACAGGGAGGGGAACATCACACACTGGGTCCTGTTGAAGGGTGGAGGGCCCTGGGGAGGGATAGCATTAGGATAAATGCCTGATGTAGATGATGGGTTGATGGGTTCAGCAAACCACCATGGCACAGGTATACCTATGTTACAAACCTGCCCATTCTGCACATGTACTCCAGAACTTAAAGTATAACTTAAAAAAAAGAAAACCTGTAAAAATTCACAAACGTGTGGAAATTTTTAAACACAGTCAACCATTGAGTCAAAAAGAAATCATACGAGAAATTTAAAAATATTTAGTAATGACTAAAATTAAAAAAAAACACAACATATCAAAACATTGGAACAGTGAAAGCAGTACTCAGAGGGTAATTGGTAGCTGAAAATACCTACATTGAAAAATGACATTGGGTCAATAATCTAACTTTACATTTTAAGTAACTAGAGAAAGATGAGCAAACTAAACACAAGCTAGCAGAAAAAAAAAATCAAATAATGCTGAAGAAAACTAGGTATCCACATCCAAAAGAATGAACATGGTCAACCACACCTAAATACCAGTACAAAAAAAAAAAAAAATGAAAGTTCAAAATTTAAGACCTAAAACTGTAAAACTTCTTAGGAGAAAACTTTGGGGACATTTTTTGTGACATTAATATTGGCAACTTTCAAGGATCAAACAACAAAAGAAAAAATTGATGAATTGAGCTTGCACTTTTGTGCATCAAAGGTCACTACCAAGGAAGCAAAAAGACGACCAAGTGAATGGGAGACACTATTGCAAATCATATTATCCGATAAGAGATTGCTTTTCAAAATATGCAAAATAACTTCTAACATTCAACAACAGCAACGACAAAATAAACAACCCAATTCAAACATGGCAAAGGATTTTAATAGAAATTTTTCCAAATAAGATATGCAAAGGACCAATAAGTTCATGAACATATGCTCAACATTATTAGTCAGTAAGAAAATGCATATAAAACCACAATAAAATATAACAAGTGTTGGTGTGTAGGATGTGGAGAAAAAAGAACCCTTTTGTATTACTGATAGTGATGTAAACCAATGCAGCCACTGTGGAAACCAGTTTAGTGTTTCTTCAAAAATTGAATATACAACAACCATATGAGTCAACAATTCCATTTTTCATTTTTTTGGTATGTATGCAAAAAAACTAAAAGTAGAAACTTGAACAAATATGTGTTTACAAATATTCATTGTTCCATTATTCAGAATAGCCAAAAGATGAAAAGAATCCACATGTTTATAAAAAGATGAATGGACAAACAAATACGGTAGAGTCATATAATCAGCCATTAAAAAGAAAAATAATTCTTATGCATGACATAATATGCCTGGACCTTGATAACATTATGCAAAGTGAAATCAGCCAGACATCAAAGGACAAATATTGTAATTCCACTTGTATGTTATACCCAGAATAAGCCAATCCAAAGAGGCAGAAAGTAGAATTTAGGTTACCAGGAGCTGAGGAGGAGAAAAGAGTGAGAAGTTATTGCTTAACTGGTACAAAGCTTTTCTTGCAGATGATGAAAATGTTTTTGGTATAGACAGTGGTAATGAGTTCACAACATTGTTAAGGTATTTAATACCTCTTAGTTGTATACTTAAAAATGGTTAAAATGATAAATATTATACTTTGCATGTTTTACCACAATAAAAAATAACTGGAAAAACAGATACAGCAATATATAAAAATATTATATACCATGACAAAGTGGAATTTTTATCATGAATGCAGTTTTGTAATTTTTTAAAATACAGCAACATATAAAAATATATTAGGTACCATATAAAAATATATTAGGTACCATAGAAAAGGGCAATTTTTTCTTATGTTTGCAAGGCTTTGTTTCCTATTTTATTGTATGTAATACACCATACAAAGGACAAAGGGCAAAACCACATAATCATCTTAATAAACAGAGAAGAAGTATGACAAATCCAACATCCTTTCAGGATTGAAACACTCAACAAACTAGGAATTGAAGGTAACAAAAGAATAAAAAAGAAAAAGGAATTGAAAGTGACAAAAGTAAAATGTCTGCTCTTGCCTCTTCTATTCAACATTGTGTTACACATTCCAGCCAAAGAAATTAGGCAAGGAAAAAAGACATTTGGATTAAAAAAAAAAAAAGGCAGGAAGGAAGGAAAAAAGGAAGGAAGGAAGAAACGATCTCTATTTGCAGATGCCGTTACCTTATATGCAGAAAATTCTCAGTAATTTGGTCAGAAAAAGCTATTTGAAATAATAATAAAGTTAAGCACGGTTTCAGGATAAAAGATCACTGTAAGAAATATTTCTATAAAGTAGCAACGAACAATGGAATCATGAAAAACTTCCATTTGGAATAGCATAAAAATAACAGCGTAAAATAACAGTCAGGGTTCTCTAGAGGGACAGAACTAATAGGATATAAGTATGTATGAAGGGGAGTTTATTAAGGAGTATTGACTTACATGATCACAAGATAAAATCCCGCAATAGGCTGCCAGCAAGCTGAGGAGCCAGGAAGCCAGTTTTAGTCTCAAAACCTCAAAAGGAGAGAAGTCGATGGTGCAGCCTTCAGTCTGTGGCCAAAGGCCTGAGAGCCCCTGGCAAACCACTGGTGTAAGTCCAAGAGTCCAAAAGCTAAAGAACTTGGAGTTTGATGTTCAAGGGCAGGAAGCATCCAGCACAGGAGAAAGATGAAAGCCGGAAGACTCAGCAAGTCTGCTCTTCCATCTTCTCCTACCTGCTTTATTCTAGCCATGCTGGCAGCTGACTAGAATGGTGCCCACCCAGATTGAGGGTGGGTCTGCCTCTCCCAGGCCACTAACTCAAATGTTAATCTCCTTTGGCAGCACCCTCACAGACACTTCCAGGAACAATATTTTGCATCCTTCAATCCAATCAAGTTGACACTCAATATTAACCATCACAAATAGTTAGGAATACATTGAACACAAAAAGTGTGAGAGTTTCATACTGAAAACTCTAAAACATTGTTGAGAAAATGTAGAGGAGATCTAAAGAAATGAAAAAGACATTCATACTTCCTGGGTAAGAAGGCAACATTGTTAAAGTGGCAGCACTCCAGAAATTATTCTACAGATTCAACAACATCCTTGTCAAAATCACAGTCTGCTTTTAGTTTTGTTTTCTAAATTATTTATTATTTATTGGTTTGCTTGTTTATTTATTTTTATTTTATCTTAGTTTCTTGAGTCGACGTCTTGCTCTGTCACCCAGACTGGAATGTAGTGACACAATTATGGCTCACTGCAGCCTCAAACTTCTAGGTGGTAGTGATCTTCCCACTTCAGCCTCTGAAGTGGCTGAGACTACAGGTACATGCCATCATTTGTGGATAACATTTTTTAAATTTTTAATGGAGCTGGGGGGTCTCAATGTGTTGCCCAGGCTGGTCTTGAACTTTTAGCCTCACCTGATCTTCCCACCTTGGACTTCCAAACTGCTGAGACTACAGACACGATCCAGCTCCCAGCCTGCTTTTAATAGAGACTGACAGGCTTAAAATTAAAATTTCATGTGGAAATTCAAGTCGCTAATAATAGCCAAAACAGTCTTAGAAAAAGGAAACTACTTTGGAGGATTCACATTCCCTAATTTTAAAATTTACTACAGAAAAAAGACAGGATGGTAGAAGAATATGAACAGACATACAGATTAATGGAATATATTTCAGTTCAAAAATGTGCCCTTACACTTATGGTCGGTTGATTTTTGACAATGGTGTCAAGATAACTCAATAAAACAACATAATTCTTAGAATAAATGGTGCTGGGACAAGAGGACATCCACATACAATAGAATTAACTCGGACTCCCTACCTCACATCATGTACAGAAACTAACTAAAAATTAATCACAGACCAAGGTGGAAGTGCTAAAAATATAAAACTCTCAGTATAAAACAGAATAAATCTTCACGGCCTTGGCTTTAGCAGTGGTTTATTAGATATGATGCTGAAAGCATAAGTGGAAAAAGAAAAAATGAGTAGATTAGACACATCAGAATTAAAAATGTTTGTACTTTAAACAATACCATTAAGAGAGTGAAAAGAAAACCCACATGATGAGATGAAATATTTACAAATCACATATTTGATAAGGGTCTTATATCCTGAATAAGAAAAGAGCCCTTAGAAATCAATAATATAAGAATAAATGACCTAATTAAAAATAAGCAAAGAATCTGAATAGACATTTCTCCACAGAAGATATACAAATAACAAATAGACACATGAAAAAATGATGAACATCATAAGTCATGGGGAAATGCAAATCAAAATCACAGTGAGATTCCCCTTCAAATCTACAAGACTGGTAATTTTTAAAAGATAGTTAATTACAAGTGTTGGTGAGGACTGAGGATAGAAACTGGAACACTTATACATTGCTGGTGGCCATGTAAAATAGTGCAGTTACTTAGAAAACACATTAGCAACACCTCAAAATCTTAAAAATAGAGTTAGCATTAGCGTATAATCTAACAGTTCTACAAATTCTACATATATACCTGAGAAAAAATTAAAAACACAGTTTTGCAAAAAAACTTGTACATAAATGTTCATAGAAGTGTTATTTAATAATAACTCCTAAATGGAAAAACACTAATGTCTATCAACTGATACACAGATAAATAAAATATAATATAATCAAATTATAAAAAGGAATAAAGTACTGATATATGCTACAGTATGGATAAACCTTGAAAATGTTACACTAACTGAACGAAGTCAGTCACAATATACCCTATGTTGTGTGATTCCAATTACATGGAGTATCCACTATGGCAAATCTTAGAGAGACAGAAAGTAGGTCTGTTGTTGCTTAGAGCTGGTCTTGGAGTCAGAATGAGAATTGACGCCTAATGAGGTTGCTTTCGGGAGAGATAGTTGTTTTTTTTTTTTTTAATTAGATTGTGGTTATGAATACATAACTCTGTAAATATACTAAAATCCATATAAATTGCACACTTAAAATTAGGAATTTTTACAGCATGTGAATTATATCTATGTAAACCCATTAATAAAAATATTACTTGCTTTAGGAATAGTATAAGAAACAAATATATTTAGTGATAAAAATATGCTCAAAAACGAAGTATTTTTTATTATCTTTCCTTTTGTATTATTCATACTAGTATTCTTCTCTACTAATCTATTGAGTAGTTATAAGACAATCAATACTTAAAAATAAAACAAATACTATGTAATCATTTGGAGTCTAGGTTCAGTTACTTGTTCTTGCCCTAAATAAACTACCTCCTGTATTAATGCCTTAAGTATTGTACTTTTCAGAAAACGTCATTAATAATGTATTAACATTACTGATGAATATCTTGGCAACAGTCGGGTTTTTGTACTAGTCAAATGCTGCAAATACTTTTTGAGTTTGTTTTTTATGTGGGTAATGTATATATGCAACTTCCACTAATTGTATAAAACTACCAGATCCTCATAGGTGAAATCAGCTATCTTTAGGGTCCTGGTGAGTTTCCTATCTATGCCTAGGCCATTTTCCAGGTTACCAACAGTGATAAGATATTAAAAGTGAAGTTACTGAGAGCAGTGAATAAACCACCCATTATGGTGGTTTATATATGGTGGTGTATATATAATATACACTTCATTTTAAGTTTCAACCCTTAATCAATTAATGCTTATGAAGTTGTCAAAATTCCCTTCAAAGTAAAATACCTAGGAGATATTGTTAGCCAGTATATAACTATGATTACTGATATGTTTTCTACCCTGATAAACATTATTTTTAAAAATATAGACTATAGTTTTCTATATAGATATATAAGTACAGAAATCATTGATATTATAATGCCTCAGTTAGCCAAGGAAACAATGGGTAAATTATTATTGCAATAAGTTAAATATAATTCTTGATATTCAAAAGAATTTTTTTCTTTAATGACTTGGAATATTTTCTAAAGTGTAGTAATTAACCCTCTGTCTTTGGAACATAATTCTGAATCTTCTGAAATTACTTTGTTACTCTTTGACACATTGCAAATTTGTTATAATAAATGTATATTTTAATTTTGAGAAATAGAGATAGATCATGCAATTCTTGGCCTCTACTCATTAAACAGAGGTAGTGAATAAAGGTGAAATATATATTAAAAAATTATATTTTGTAAAAGTAAAAAAATCTAAATATGAGAACCAAAATTATTATTTTGAACAAATTATCTGTTTTGTTTTTTGACTTGAAAAAATAATACAATGCAACCACAAGGGCTCTTGTCATTGTTCTCCTTCTGCTCCTATCTAGGAGCAAGAAGACAGAAAACCTGGAAAAGCTACTGCCTTAATTCCAGCAGTCAAGCAACAGCAAAGGACTGGTTCATTTCTGACCAAGAAAGAGCTGGCAGATGAGAAAGGCTACCAACAACAGGGCTAATTTGTTACTATTTGTGTGACTTATTCTGGCAGGAATCTGGCTTAAGATTCAGAACCTGAGCCAATCACTGGAATGAGCTGTCTACTAAAATGAATGTAAGTATTGACATCTTCTTTCAAAATGAGACATGAAAAGTAAGAGAAAACAATCTCAAATAAACTGTTTTCTTAATTGTACAAATAATCTATACATTTATGCTAGGAATTTTTCTTTAAAATGTCTCTTCTCAAACGTTATTTATTATTAGATTTTACAATCCCACAAAATAAAATTACATCTAGATAAATACACCTAAACAGTATAATTAATGCCTATCAAAATATTCAGTATGAGTATTTTCATGTAATTGATAATTATTTTGACAAGTGTACTCATGTTGATATAATTTTCTTTGTTTAGTGAAATTCTGAGTATACTTTTGTTTTCTACTTTTATGTTTGCAAAAGTATTGAATAAAGATGTATTTTTATAAAAAAAAATCAACTTTACTGTTGCCAAGGTTTTTATTCTCCAGCTTCTTAAATGTAATCTTTTTTTCTCTCTCTTGTTCTGCTTTCATATATGTATATGTATTATATATGTTCATCTGAAAGTTTTTAAAACTTCAAATGAAAGATACTGGGTAAATAAAAATTATTATTACAGAGATAAATTTCTCATATTTTGAACTGCATCTTTTGCCCCCAAATTATTTAAAGAACAGCTAATAAAAAGCTTCTCAAAAACTTTTTAGTGCCTCAACTTAATGAAATTGCTACAACCCCAGCTAGGAATGTAATTCTAAACATAATTTTGTCAGAATAATCCTGAGTAACTATTGTTTAAATGGAAATATCCATATTATTGGTTAGTAGGTTCTCTAAGACTGACACCTGTACATAGTTTATGTATCAGATGGTTCTTCAATAATTTCTGCATCTCCTCCATTGCATCTATCAAGTAATAATAAATAACAATAATAATAATAACAACTACAACAATAGCAGCAAAACCCTTCCTATGTGTCAGGCATTGTTCAAAATGCTTTACATTAATTAAGTCATTTAATCATCAAGATGATCCTATAAAATATAGTAACCCCAATTTATGGATGAGGAAACTGGACAAAAAAGTTTGAAAAACTTCCCGAAGTCACGTAACATGTTAACTGATGGGGCGAGGATTGACTCCTAGAATAATATTTTCAAGCTAAGCTTTTAGCCACTGTGTGCTACTTTGTGTCTTCCTATAACACACACACACCTACACACACACATGCATTTGCACATACAAACACATATATGGCTTTATTTAAATTTTCTTTAAACTCCATCCTTCTCCTACACTAATAACAATACAATATTTTATTTTGTTTCAAGTAATATTCCATAGAGCCCCTGGTGTACCACAAACCTCAGTGCAATAAGGCCATAAAATTGAATTTGTTGAACTACGAGTTGTCCCTCGTGGTCTTATGCTGATTTGGGGTGAAAGACAGTGCCTATAAAGACTATAATAAGGAAGCCTTCAATCAGCTCAGTAGGTAGAAAGATTGCCACAAATACCTTAGGAGGTACTTTATTATGATGCTCATTTTATTAAAGTAAATTAATTCACCCAAATAATAACTCTCAAGGACAAGATCACTCCCAGGCATGATAACACTAGAATTCTTACTCTTCACCATTATGATGTCAAGACAATAGTCAAGTCTTGGGATAAAAATTCATGTCTTCATGGCATCCGCATTTTGACAGTAGCTGAAACCAAAGGAAAATATAAAGTTGCCCAAAGAAAGCAGGAAAGTTAAAAACAATGAGCTGGACTCACAAAACATAAGCATGAAACATATAGGCGGAAAAAGAGGTGAAGAAAATGTGAAAGGTAGGATAAATACTAGCTATGGGTGCTTCAAGGGTGGCTCAGAGTGAAAAAGTCAGCCAGTTTCAGTTTCAGAAAGGAAGGGGAGGAGCCATCAAATGAAATAGCGTTTCACTAAGGAAAAAAGTCTTGAATCAAATGAAAGCATCTACGGAATTTAGGATAGTTTCAGCAAAGTGGTAGGCTTGGAAAACATATTTAAGTAGTAGAGGCTGGGCACAGTGGTTCATGCCTGTTATCCTCGCATTTTGGGAGGCTGAGGTGGGTAGATTGCCTGAGCCCAGGAGTTCGAGACCAGCCTGGGCAACACAGTGAGACCCTGTCTCTTAAAAAAATATATAAAAATTAGGCGGGCCTGATGGTGCGCACCTGTGGTCCCAGATACATGAGACGCTGAGGTGAAGGATTGCATGATCATGGGAAGTCAAGGGTGCAGTGAGCCGTGATTGCGCAATTGCACTCCAGCCTGGGAGACAGTGAGACCCTGTCTCAAAACTAAATAAATAAATAAATAAATAAATAAATAAATAAATAAATAAAATAAGAAGAGGTAGAGGTTGTTGAGGGAATTGGATGTAAGAAAGTGGAGATAGCAGACATAAAATCTTTAGGTTTTTTGTTTGTTGTTTGTTTTAAATAAACTTGCCTTAAGGAAAAAAATAGCTATTTTCAATTGTAAGACAAGGTCAAAGTTGATTTTTTTCCTCCTTTGAGTTGACAGAAAATTAAGAAAGTTTACAGCGAAAGGAAAAATGCTCTAGTCAAGAGAAAGAGGAAAATAGAGGTGACAGTAAAAAGAGGGAACACTTACTAGAGGAAATTATTGGAAGACATAACAAAAATAAAATTAAGATTTTATTTTAGGAAACTTCACTCTCGGATATTGATGGGGAAGCTTGACACAGGTGAATGCTCCCACTGAGAACAATTAGAAAAGGGAAGTAAAATACCAAAAACTGTTTGGAGGAATTGGAGAGTTTACACTGTACTCATAACTTAAAAAGCCAGACCCTGGAGGAAAGGGAGCTTATGTAGGAGAACCTAAGTTTATGCAAGCCACATTTCCCCTTAAGCATTTGCCCACTGGGGGTTGAGGGAAAGGCTGAGAACCAAGACAGAAGGCAGATGTTAACGAGAAGAGGAACCACCAAACTCCCGGCCATCCCATGGAGGAGACAGAACAAAATATTGGAGTTGATGGGTCAAGATGACCAGCGGGGTAAGGGGCCAAAATCTCAGAGAGGAGGGAAGCACAGAGATGTGAAAGTGATATTTAGCACCTTCTGTCCTGTTAACACATTGTCTACATTAATCTGTGTGGTAGACTGTATGATGATAATCTCCTTAGTGAAGGAGAATAAAAAACAAAGCAAAAAGGAACTGCAAAGCACAGTGCAGTTGTTGGCAGTATTGCCGTTCTAGAAGACAAAATGGAATCAAGGAATCGAAAAGAAGGAAGACTCTAGGAATCATCCCAAGCTCTCAGTTATTTCCCTCCAGGTACTACACCCTAGGAGTGTGGGTAAACCAGAGAAAGACTGCACCTTACACAGACCATAAACAAGCCATGATTCACTTCAGTCCCTAAGAGATTTGAGGTTATCCAATTTTCTGTTCCCTGCACAAACTACCAGAGCACAGGATACAGCCTGTATGAAGGGAGAGAACATTATCTGTAGAATTCTTAGTTTTTTGTATAAAATTCTGAGCAGTCATTCAAAAATGTTTAAGCATGCTAAAACAAAGAAAGTAGAAAAGCAGACAGCAGAAACAAACCTGCAGGTGACCAATATCAGAATGGGTGAAAACAAATACTGCAGTTACAAATTGTATAACCCAATTAAAAAAAAAAAAACAGCATACCAATGGAAAAATGGGCAAAACTTGATATCCCACAACAGAAATTTCCAAAAGCTTCCTATATTATATGCTTCCAAAAGCATATTATACTGTATGCATCTTTATTAGTTGTCTGGGAAATGCAAATTAGAATCTCAGGCAGACTCTACTAGAGACCTACCAGAATAGTTAAAAACAGAATGACTGATAAATTAAGGGTTAATAAACAGATGTTGTCACTGGGATCCTCATACATGGTTGGTAGTAATGAAAACTGTTCACCTACTTGGAAAACTCCTTGTAAATATCTGCTAAAATACACACATACCCATTTATACGAAATTCAAAAACTGACCAAAGTTATCTAAGCTGTTACAAGTCAATCTGTGATGGGTAGTGACCAGATAGGAACACAGGAAGGACTTACAGAATACTCTTTTTGAAGTTCATCCCTATTCCCCAAATCACATTCTCTCAAGCCTACCTTTTTGTGTTAGCCACTGCTGCAGCATTGAGCTGAACATAGGTGTCCTTCAGCTACGTTCTTCATGACTTGGATTCTGTGTCTCTTACCTTCTATCTGGAGCTTCTCTGCAGCTGTCACATTCTGTAACTGTAGGAATGTTCTCAAACATACCAGAAATTATGTAAATATATAAATACAAGGTAGTCACTACATTCTATTGCTTTGGTCAATATCAGGCAGGAAAAAATTGTTGATATTACCCTTTTCTTGGTTTCTTGTAGGCAGTTCTGAGATTTGCTCTGCACTGCTTTTCAGGGATCTCCAGCTACATGGAGCCCCAAGTACCCACAACACACACTAGCTCAATATGCACTCTTGGATTGGATTTTCCTTCTTATGGGTTTTTCTAATCTTAAAACCTTCGATTATGTTCCCTCTAATTACTTCCTACTTTTAACTACTTGTCAACAATCCCTTGATTCAGGCTTTGCTTTTTGAGGAAACCCAATCCAAACATGTTGGTAATCTCAGATTCTGGAATAAGACCACTTATTGATCAGAAGAGAATCTGATCTTATTGCAGGTGAAATTAGAATATTGATAATCCCTCAATGTGTAATAAATTATGGTTACTAAAACCTGATCAATGGTTGATTATACTGAGGTACAGATGAAAAATGAAGCATTTGTTGAAGCCCTAGTAGACACTTGAATGTTATAGTGTCTGTGATAATTACCTGGTTTTATTTAAAAATTTAGAATCCTTGAAGAAGACAGAAGCAGAATCAGATTAACCATCAACTCACCTCACCCTGAGAAAGCCAAAGATCTTCCATGGTAGCATTTAGAGACTCATCTCCTGCAGCTAAAAGATGGAGTGTGCTACAAATTAGTCTAGAATATAATTATGAGAGGAGCCAAGGTACAAGTAGAAAAAATGCCACACCTCCTCCCACCGCCAAGTCTCCTCTGGCAACATTAAGGAGTTGATAAGATCCCTCCTAGCATAGGCTAGGTGATAGGGCTTAAATGACAGAGGCAAAAAGGATACAATTCTAAACAAAGTGATATAAATATTATTGTGTGAATGCCTATATCCTCTCCAAATTCATATGCTGAAGTCCTAACCCCCACAGTAACGGTATTAGGAAGTGGAGTCTTGGAAGGTGATTAGATTATGAGGCTATGGCCTTCATGATTGGGATTACTGCTCTTATAAAAGAGACCGCAGAGAACTAGCTCACCTCTTCCATGATGTGAGAACACCATGAGAAGGTGACATCTATGAACCAGGAAAAAGGCCCTCACCAGACACCAAGTGCTCTTGTTTTTCGACCTTAGACTTCCCAGCCTCCAGAACCATGAGAAATAATTTTTTGTTATTTTAAGCCACTCAGCTTATAGTATTTTTGCTATAGCATTCTGAACAAACTAAGACAAGCAAGAAGAGAGACAAATAAGAAAGCAAATAGGATGTTGTTTGGCTTAACCAGAGAAAACTAACAACAGCTTAAAAGCAAAGGATTGAATTCAGCTGTAACAATAGAATAATGCAACTTTTCCTAAAATTTCCAGATCTAAGCCAGTACTTTGACTAGAGACCTACAATGAAACAGCAAGGGCAGTTCATTTGGGGAAAGGTCTTAAATACCACTGCATGTATATACAATAAATACTACCCCAATATTTTGCCAAAAGGAGCTGAAGCCATTCACCAGAAGAGAGAGGAGCAAAAAACAAAAATAAAAGCAAAGCAAAACAAAACAAAAAAGTGCCATTCACCATTGTGTCAAATCAATGTGCAGGGAAGCACTCGATAGTTTTACAGGATGATTTTTCCTGCAGCTGATTAGAGTGTTGCCTCAAGCTAGTGATTCTATGCACATACAATGGGCTTTTCAATAAAGTACTCATGATGACAGAATGGAGCCTATTATTGGTTCAAAATTATAGACTCCATCTAACTAAGGTGAATCTAAATACTGCTACTGATGGAGGGCCAAGCTATTGATAGCAGAAACCAATACTTAGCCTTTGAAATTGCACTATTCCTCAAGAGGATGAGCAAGTTTCCCAGTGGCACATTGATTAGATTGGATCACTTCTAGTCTGAAGTGGGTAAAATTTTGTCCTTACTAAAAGTGATATCTGTCCTGGAAATGAGCTTGCCCTCCCTGCTCAAAATACCTCTGCCAATACCACCATCTGAGGGTCTAGAGAAGGCTTGATTTACTTTCATGAGTCCCGGAATAAGATCTCCTCAAACAAGGAATTTTTTTTTAATCATGGAAGTATGGCAATGGGCAACTAAACCAAAAGTCTCAGTGCTCCTCTCAGATATAGCTTCGCTCAGAAACAGGCAGCCTGGTAGAGAGATGGAATGTAAAGTCTTATTAAATGCTCAGCTGAAGTGTCAAGTAGGGGGCTTTGGTGCTGTCCTTCAGGATGTAATATATGTACTAAACCAGTGACCGAATACTATACAGAATCAGTAGTACCTAAAATACATGGATTTTTATACCAAGGCTTAGACATAGAATCAGCACTTGTAACTATCAAATGGTTGAGGAATTTCTACTTCATTTGTCCACAATTACGCTGGATTAGAAGTGTTTGCATCCTTGCATCTGTGTGTGTGTGTGTGTGTATGTGTGTGTGTGTCTATGTGTGCGTGTTGGGATGAGCAGTACTTCCCTACAGGTAAACAGTAAGGGTTCAGTGAACCCAAAGCTGTGATTACCCATAACGATGTTCGAGTTCTCATGCTGATTGACTGGTAAGAAATAAATGAAGTTACTATATTGGTAGGATTGATCGACACTGATTTATATGAGTGTTAAAGCAAGATACCACACAATAGAGACAGAAAGGATGATATCTAGACCCCAGAATAATCACAGGTTTATCTCTTGGTGCTATGTCCAGTTACAACTGTAAATGGGAAATCATTCCAATTATGGCTCAATTAAGGCAAAAGCAACCAAGGACTCTGATCCCTTATACTGTTCACCTTACTGGATACGACGAGAAAAATCTAAATGAGTGAGAGATAATAGACATCATAAGCAGAACAGACAGCCCCAGATCAGTTATAGTTGGTGAGTCTGTAAATTATTTTACTGGTCCTTTTGTGTTGAGTCTTTTGGAGAGATTGTAACTATCTGACACTTTGCAGTCTTTTGTGATAGTCCTGATTTAGTTAATGAAAAAGCATGAGTGGATCCAAGATGCAAGGGATGAACTGTGCTGAACATCCATTGTACCCCATTCTCTTGGCCAAATGTTTACAATTGGTCATTCACAGCAATCAGTTGAGCATAAATATAGCTTGAGAACATATGTCCTTGATTTTACTGTTTATCTCTTTCTTCCTGCACTGAAAATTCTCTTTTGCTGCACATAGGGCACCTGAAAGAGTCTACTGAGCCATTTAACCAAGTGTACGAATCTGGAAGTGTGAGGGTGTTAGGACCTCTTGGGCAGTGCAAAGCAGGTGTGTTCAGCAAATCTCTTCTTCCATGTGTACAGCAGACAGACCTTCCCAGTTGATCAGAGGATCGCCAGTAGGATTGAAGCCTCTTTGCACACAGTGGTAACCAGTTCAATTTTCAACTATTCAATTGGCTTTCTTTCTTTCCTTATTTCACTATTCTAAATTCCCCCAGTTTTATTCACTGAAATATTTCAAATTAAACTAGCTATATACAAGTTTTTGTCTCCAGTTCTGCTTTTTAGAAGAACATAAGCTAAAAGTATGACAGTGTTCTATTTTATAATCTGGGTGGTTGTTACACAGAAGTAAAGTGTAATGAGTGTACTATTCAGCAATAGAAAGTTTATTTTAAAAACATATACTCCAACTTGGGAGATTCTAAGTAGATTCTAAGACCATGCTATCTCATGAAAACTTCTTACCCTAATAGAAATGATATCCACTTACTCTTAATATACCTTTTCTTAGCTCCTTGAAAATGTTCCGTTCCATATCCCTCTTATCTTATACAAGTCTGTATGAGTCCATGAGACTTTTATTTTCTCTCTTTTAAAATTGTCATTAAAAATAATTTTAGACGCGAAAAGATTGCAAAAGTTATTTTCATATACACTGAGCTTCCCCAAATGTTAACTGACATAATCACAGTACAAATATTAAAATCAGGAAATTAATGTTGATACCGCACTATTATCTAATCTACAGGCCTTATTCAAATTCATCACTTGCTTCACTAATACCGTTTTCCCAGTCCAGGACCAATTGAGGGTCACATGTTGCATTTACTTGTCATGGTTCCCTTGTCTTCTCTAATCTTAGGCAGATCCTCAATATTTCTGCTTTTTGTGACCTTGTCATTTTTGCTTCCATTTTAATACCACCATTTTGCTTTTTTACTTAACCGGACTAGACCAATATAGTTCAGTGTGGCCTTGTAACTGAGCTAAAATCAGTAACATATAAGGAGATATAATGTGGCTCTCTGCTCTTCCTGGCTCATGAAACTCCCTGCTCATGTTCTCCATACCATTTCCCTACTAGCTGCCTGGATTGGAGGTAGTCACTTGGTGGGGAAAGGGGGCTGGATGTAGAAGCCATGGAAGAAGGCAGAGCTTCTGTCATCTTGAGGCACTGATGTGAAGAATGGCCAACACAGACCTACTCACTGCAGGTATCATTCATAAGCAAGAAATAATTCTATTATGTTTGAATAATTTTGCATTTGTATCTGACTTATTTAACTAGTTGTTTGGGGGTCCAGACTACCATAACTAGTTCACAGAGAAAAAGTGGATTTGAGAGTTAGGGAAAGTGCTTAAAATAAGCAATGGGTTTCCAGATTGGGGGCAGGGGGAGTTGATGAGGGTAGAGAACCGTGATATGGAGATGAGGATGCAGGAAAGTGCAGGTGACTAAAGGGATGCATGGGCTTTCTGAAGAATGACTACAATTAAGTGAATACACAGTGCAGTGTCAATTAATTAACAGAGACCCCACAGCTAGTCAGATTCATTTTCAAGCACTACAGACTAAGGGTTTTCCTGGAGTTGTATCAGACACTGAAAATTCCAGGGTCCAAAACTGAGTTCATGACCTTCCCACAAAATTCTCCTGTGATTTTTAGCTTAGAAAAATGCCACCATCATCCACACAGTT
Source organism: Homo sapiens (assembly GCF_000001405.40). Taxonomy (NCBI): domain Eukaryota; kingdom Metazoa; phylum Chordata; class Mammalia; order Primates; family Hominidae; genus Homo; species Homo sapiens. Next base: position 51,114,638 of record NC_000008.11, read on the forward strand.
ATTCAGATCCAGAAATATCTAAACCACAGAAATACCCTTCTAGTTTTTATGCAACATCCAGTTTTATCACCTCCATCCACTCCTTTCTCCAAATATTGCCAAAATTTTCACTTTAAAAGCAAATCTGATAAGAAGACCTCTCTCCTTCTCCCTTCTCTCTGCTCCCAATCCACTGTTATGAACCATGAATGTTGATCATTTCTTTTAGTATAAAAGCATAGTCCTTACTGTGGCATCTCTGGCATAGCATAATTCAATTCTTTGCCCCTTAAGCTGCTCTATATTGTCACTCCAGGGATTTTGGATATGCTGGGGTTTTTTGTTGTTGTTTGTTTGTTTTTTGGCTTAGGAAACCTTTCTGCAACTACTGATGACTAACTCACTTCCTACACCTTAGGTCAACTCTCACTCCCTTTAGGAGACCTTCATTGAACCCACAGTGACATATGTTCCTGTTGACTCCCTGTACTTCTCCATTTGTAGAACTCATTGTAATTACGGATAGGTGTTCAGTATTTGTATAACTGACTTAAAAATAGATCCTTTGGAAACAGAGGATGCCTATTTCATTCAGTAATTTTCTTTTTCAATATTTTGAATAAATGCAAAATGTATCTTCTCTCCAAATGGCTCCTACTGCATCCTCTATATCTTGATCTCCTTCCCCAGTCTGGTGAGCCGGCTTAGAGACACACAAGGAAACCTCAATCACTTCGAGCATTATACAGAAACTATGAATTTTCAAAATCTATGAGTGCTTACAAGGTATTGTGGGGATACGTGAGTGAGTGTCATGATTATGCAGGGCAGGTTATACAGCAACACTTCAGGGAGGATTTAAGCATTGAAATAAGCTTTACAGAAGGAGAGAAACTTGATTTGACAGGAAGAATTAGGATCAGAAAACCACCAAATGGAAAAATGTGTGCATTCATACACTCTGCAAACAGAGTTACAGGCATGCAAAGATAAGCACCCATAAGCTCTTCTATCAGATATTAAAAATGCGCAGGAGGAAACGCACAACAAATCACACTAACGAAATGTGGGCAGTTCTCTCTGCACACCGTTATGCAGTGCATTTTATTGCTTTTAGCTGAACAACTGAATAAAAAGGGTAACACCATTTGTGTTTTATTTCTTTTATGTATTGAGAAGTCAAGGTTAGGGGATTCTGGGGCTATTTAGAGATTCAACACCAGAACTTTGGGTCTGCTTTAGTGTGATTTCACAGACCTCTGGACCTGCTTGTAAGGGGACTACAGCAGTGCCAGGTATCCTATTCTGATATGATGATGCCCTAAGTGGCTCTCTTCGCTCATGACTCATCCAGTTCCTCGGCAAAGTAGATGGGGGTGAGGGGTGCAGATCTCTTTCAGGAACCTGTGACCATAGCAGATCTATTGCCCAAGGCACAGAAAGTCAATACAACAACACTGAGGGTTGCAGCAGAAAAAGAGCTTAATAATAGTAGGGCAGCCAAATGAGGAAACAGGAGGAAATCTCAAATCTGCCTCCCAAAGGAGTTTGGGGAAGAGATATTAAGGGGTTTAGCATGAGCTGGGGTATGAGGATCATTGATTAGTCAGAGTGCAGGGCCAAGTCATGGGACCAGGAAAGGAAGAAACTGCATTCTCGTGATGACTAGGTTGCTCTGTGAGGATCTTTAAACTGTTTGGTGTCAGCCATTCAGCCAGAATTCAGGGTCTAAAAAACACCTTAAGCAATTCTTAAATTAAAACCTTATGATTCTAAGGTCAGCAGTCTTATCTATAGGAACAACAGGGATACAGATGGTCAGTATCTAGTGCTGTGTAACTCTGAATTACAAGGAAGTAATTCAAAGTTAATTCAATTAATTAAGCCTGATTAATGCATGCTTATAACCATATTTCTGCCCAGATCCCAGCATGTAATTCTTGTTAACATTGTAAGGACAGCATCCAACCCTCTATCCACACCACTTCAGGTCAGGATTGGGTAACAGAGCCATGTTGCAGCTGGGAACCAGGTTATGGAGCTGAGTAACTAACATTTTCTATGCTGACAGCCAGCCTACATCTGAAAGAAAGGAATGTTACCAACTATGGGTACTGTGTGGCCTATCAATAGTGTGTGCACATGTAGAAATCACACAGATATTACTTACTAGCTCTGACCAAATGACGAAGATCTTCAAGGAAGAAACAGCACTTCAACTAATGTGCACTTGAGAACCAAACTTGTTCCTGAACTTGGGAGGCATGGAAAGTAGAATGGTGGAAAAACAATCATAGCCCCTGTCTCTCAGGCCATTGGACTTGCTGGAGCATCTTCCTCAAGACTTGCACATGGCTGGCTGCATTTTGTCATTTGGATACCTGTTCATACGCCACACCATCAGAGATGCCTTCCAGATGTCCTCATCTCAAACAGCTATTTTCCTGCTGAAATTGCACCTGTCAAATGCTATTTAAGTTATAAAGCTCTCCAAGTTAACACCTGGAATGTTATCGATGAGATATGTAGGACAAATTAATAATATAACTGGAAGAAAGACAGAATGACTAGGTAGATTGTGGTATAACAAAAAATAAGCATTTGATCTTTTGTCTGGGTTCCTGGTACAAAATTTCTAAAATCTTTGGAATCTCTGCAGGGACAAGAATGTCTTTTCTATGCTAATGAGACAACAGGTGGCTGGGGTCTCCTAGATAGCTTCAGGATGGGGGCTGATGACCAGAAATAAAAAATAACAGGCATGAACAGAGGGTCGAAATTCCCATTAGTCCCTCCCTCCTAATTCCCCACCCCATGCTTGGGACTGGGAGACAGGCTAGAGGCTGAGTTCAGTCACCAAAAGTCAATGATATAACTAATCATGTCTATGTAATGAAACCTCCATCAAAACCCCTAAACAATGTGGTTTGCAGAGATTCCAGGCTGGTGAGCACATGCAGTAGCTGAGAGTGTGGTATACCTGGGAAGGCCACCGAAGCACCACCCCCCTTCCTCCAGAGCTTGCCCTGTGCATCTCTGCCCTTTGGCTGTTCTCGAGTTGTATACGTTATAATAAACTGGTAATAGTAAGTAAAGTATTTTCCTAAGTAAATTCTATGAGTCATTCTAGCAAATGATCAAATTTGATGGGATATCCTAGGAACTGCTGACTTTGTAGTTGGTGAGGCGGAAGTGCAGGTAGCCCAGGCAACCCATCTGTGGCTGGCATCTGAAATGGGGGTTGTCTTGGGGAGTCCCTTAAACTTGTGGAGTCTGATGCTAACTCTAGGTATTCAGTGTCAGAATTATGTTGAATACCCAGTTGGTATTAGATATTTAGAGAATTGGTTGGAGCTAGGAGGAAAAAAACTGCTCATGAATAAAAACATTAAATACAGAGATAGACACTGACAAAGAAGGAAAAGAAATCATAAACTACCAACACTTGCTAATATAGAGACAAAAATATTAAAAAAATTTAGCAAATAAGACTGATACTTTAAGATTATAAGATACCACCAAAAAGTGACTTTAAGAGAAAACGTTGTTTCCAATGACAAGATTCATTAAGGGAATACATTCAAAAATAGCAAATGAGTAAAATATTATTCATTTGATTCTGCCTGAAATGGATTTGTTTTTATTTTCCCACACTACACTGATATATAAAATGGCACTTGAAATAAGTCAACATTTCTTCTTAATAGAATCTCATAGTGAACAAAAAACAAAATTAAATTAACAGAAAATATAATATCTTAAAGCAGCCACCAACATTATGCATAACAGTAAAGTCATCATAAGGGTTATTTTCAGATCATATGATGGTGAGCTAAAAAAACAATAGAATTAGCTGCACCCACCTCCAACTACAACGACTCACAAAAGTGCGAATGAGGGTAAGATTCAGAATACTCTTTTATGAGTAGGACAGATTTTCTTCTTGCATCACTGATACCATCCTGATTCCAGTGTGAGTGCTAAGGAGAAAGACACCTGGAGACGCAGGGAGAGAAGATAAGAAGGAAGTCCTTATTAGGCAGGTATAGAAGGGAAATGTTGTACCTTTCTATTTCAGAGGACTATGGAAAGGAGAAGGTAATGAGAGGGATTGTAAGGTTGAAATCTTGGGTTCTAATGCCCTCCTAACTGTGGAATTGGCTGTGAGGAAGAAGTGGGAGATGAGGAGAAAGCTGAAAAAGAAAGGAAAGAATTTGGCCTAGTTCCCATTTGGTTTTCCAAGAAGAGATTACTTCACTTTTTCATTTAAAAGAATGTTGGTCTTTAATAGAACTTCAATTCTTTAAAATTTAACAGACATCAAAGTACAGAACATCAAAAAGTATTCTCCATCTGCACTTCTGAACATTCACACTGTTGGAACAGAGATCAGTTGAATTTTAAGGAAATATATTTTAAGGAAATATATTTAAAAATTTTAATCCAATTTACTATACAGTTCTGTATTCTGATAAATCTATACAGGCATTTAACTACCACCACAAGATACAGCACAATTGCACCACCTGAAAACATTCCCCCTTGCTCTTTATAGTCAAGTTCTTCCTATATTGTGCATCTCTGCCATTTGGCCTGTTCATCTCTGCCATTTGGCCTGTGCATCTCTGCCCTTTGGCTGTTCTCGAGTTGTATACATTATAATAAACTGGTAATAGTAAGTAAAGTATTTTCCTAAGTAAGTTCTATGAGTCATTCTAGCAAATGATCAAATTTGATGGGATATCCTAGGAACTGCTGACTTTGTAGTTGGTGAGGCAGAAGTGCAGGTAGCCCAGGCAACCCAGGTCTGTTTCCTGTTCCTACATTATGAAAAAAAAAAAAGGAAGTCTTCAATTTTCCTAATCTGTCTTTTTTCAGTTTTCATTATAGAGATCTTTTGCTTCTTTGGTTAATTCCTAGGTATTTAATTTTATTTGTGTCTATTCTAAATGGGACTATTTTTCGTTATTTCTTTTTCAAATTGTTCACTGTTTGCATATAGAGATGTTACTGAGATTTGTATGTTGATTTTGAATCCTGAAACTTTACCAAATTTGTTTACCAGTCCTAATAGTTTTTGGTGGCGTCTTTAGGTTTTTCCAAATAAAAGCTCATATCATCTTCAAATAAGGATAATTTTACTTCTTCCTTTCCAATTTGGATGCTGTTTATTTATTTGTCTGATCTGATTGATATTTTGTTTCTTTGTTATGAATTTAGGTATAGGTTTAGGTCAGTGAGAATTCTGTTGTGCCATCCTAAGGGGTGTGTGTGTATGTGTGTGTGTGTGTGTGTGTGTGTGTGTGTGTGTGTGTAAAGGAGCAATCACATTCCATGGATTTGAGGAAAACCTTTCCCTCATCCTTGTGGTGAAACTTTGAAGGTAGCAAACATTAAGCACTACAGTATTTCTCTTGGACTGTTTATCTCACCCATCCTTCCCCCCACTACTCTGAATGCACTAATATACTGAAATGTACCACTTTAGAAATCTAAGATTATCCAGATGTGAGGAAGAGGAGGACTCTCAGGTAAAACTAACCTCTGTGGTTACAGATAGGATTTTCCTGAAGGATTGTGGAACCCACACTCTGGAGAGGAGGCGACTGACCACAGTAGAGGAAAGAGAGGGACCTTGAGACTGGGTAGCAAGGAGTTTCTACTCCTTAAAATACACTGAGCATGGTGCTCACATCCAGGTTCATTGTGAATAGTGCTAGTTTTTTGATGTCATTGAAAATTCTTAAATTCTTCTTTTAGATTCATCTTATAACCATCAATCATATGTATTCAAATAATTCTTTTAAAATAGAACATGAATTTTCTGAGTCCCTCCATGTGCAGAAATATTTTTCTGTTAACTTTAATTATTACATACAAATTGCTGAGAACAAATGTCTTGAGTTATAATCCTTTCTCATTCAGCACTCTCTGAGGCCATTTGTCTATGCTTAGATAGAAGTCCTTTTTAGGCTGATGTCAACAAATTGTAACCTCTTTAGTTCAGAATACACATTTCCATTTTTAAGGCAGAAATGCTTTATTTAATACCATGCTGTATAATTGCTTAGCTTCATTTGTAAAAAGATCTTCCTTGGGTCCAACCCTCATTTTAATATTGGCTCTATTCTTTTTTGTCTATGATCCCCCCCAGCCCCTGGTTTTGATAAGATTCCCTTCAGCGTGCTGTGCTATAGAAGGTAGTGTTTTTCCCTCACTCATCGTTCACCTGAACCATGAGGCCCAGTCAACAAATGTTGCCCCTGAAGCACACAAGACCCCTCCCAGGGCATTTGCTGCTCCCTGCAAGCTCTTTCTTCATCGCTCACCACTGTCGTTTACTTATAGGGAGCCCGTGTTCAAGTCGCTGTTCACCAGTTTCTCTCTGTTTGCAGAGTGTAATAGAATGAGATTATAAATCTTGGGAGTTCTAGATGACAAAAATAACGTCTAGCAGTCCACCTCCAAATCTATGTAAACAATGAAAACCAGAATGCATTTTGACTTTGTTGTCAGAATTCAGATGATATTTTTACTGTTTAAAGGTCAATGGAATTAGACGAATAACATAAAGCCTGTAGTTGTATTTACTTGGTGTCTCTCAAAGCAAATAGGGAGATCATTATCACTTTACTGTCTGTCCCTACACTCAGCCAAGGATAATTTTAATCAGAAAATGCAGCAGCCACTTCTTTAGTGTGTTTTTGCAGCCTTTCCAAGCAGCTGGGCTACTTTTTCTTCCATCAGTACAGTCGTTCCTCCATACAGTTTCCTCTGGAAAACTGGTTACAAGACTTCCCACAAATACCAAAATCTGAGGATGTTAAAGCCCCTTACATGAAATGGCATAGTATTTACATATAACCTGCATACATCCTTCCAAACTTTAAATCATCTCTAGATTATTAATAGTACCTAATTCAATGTATATGCTATGTAAATAGTTCTTAGACTGTATTGGCTTTTATTTGTGATAATGGGAGCGGGGCAGGGAAATGCTGGGAGGAGAAGGATAAGATCCCTGGCAAGGGCTGCGCCCTCAGGCCTGTGCCCGCGGACCTAGTTGAGGACAGGCATTTTTGTTTTCGCAACCAAATGATGCATTTTTCAAGACCACCCTTGCCCATCATGCCCCTATCCTGTGCCCATAAAAATTCTGAGACTCTAGAGGGCACAGACTCTAGAGGGCACAGACATTCACCTCGATGAGAGCTACCTCCACTTAATAAAACCTTGCCCTCGTTCTCCAAGCCCACGTGTGATCCGATTTTTCCTGTACACTAAGGCATGAACCTGGGATGCAGAAAGCCCTCTGTCCTTCTGATAAGGCAGAGGGCCTGACTGAGCTGATTAACACAAGCCACTTGCAGCTTGTGTTAATCAAAAACTGAAACTGAAAGAGCGCACTGTAACACACGCCCAATGGGGCTTCTGCAGCTGTGAGCACTCAACCCTCAGACACTGCCCTGGGGTTGGCGCTTCCCACTACCTGCTCTTCAGCGTGCTCCCCTCTAGGGGTATAAGCAGTGGGGCACCAGCAGCTAGCCACACCCCCATCGCATGCCCTGCGAGGGGGATAAAGGAACTCACCCCTTTTCATGTGCAGTATTTTTTATTGTCACATTGTTATTTTTTATTTTTTACTTTTTTCGAATATTTTAGATCCACAGCTGGTTGAGTCCCCGTATGCAGAGTCAGGGATATGGAGAGCTGACTGTAGTGCTCTGTGACAATCATTAAAGGCCAAACTCTCCCTCCTCCCAAGAACAGCTAAAGTGTAAATTAGTTATACTAAGCTCAGTTCTTCGGAGGTGAAATAAAGATCCCTTATCCATATCATCTCCCATAATATGTATTAATTAATCCTTTTTTAGCACTTTTCTTGATCTTTCATCTCTGCCTAAAAATAAGATTCAACTGTATTGTTTCTTCCAGCCCTTTCTTTCTCTTCCCCCAAATAAATGGCTGCCTATAGCCATAATCTCCATTTTTTTTCCAGTGACATCCTTTAATGTCTACTTATTCCTAACCAAAAATTCAGTGGATAGTGTTCCCTTTTACTGATCTCATTATTGAACCACTTCCCACAATGAGTCAAACAGATAGAATTAGTGTTTTAGAAGAATTTTCAAAAAGTCCTTTATATGAAATAACCATCAGTACTTGCTTACTATGTTGGAGTTCTGAATACTATTAAATTCACTTAATTATAAATTGTTGATGCTGCTTATATTATTAAAAATTTGAATGTTCTATGTATCAGATTTGTCAGCTAGTTTTATGTTTTCAATAGAATAAATGTAATATTTTATGAGAATTTGTATTAATTTTCTCAACAGTCAATGACTCATATTCTTGTCATTAAAATGTCTTTTCTTCATACTGCATTAAATTCTCACTTATAAAGTTTCTGATTTTGTTAGGGCAGAAATGTTTAGGTTCTGGTTTTGGGAACTGTTTTAAAGTGTGAGTTCAATAATTCATGAATAAATGAATGCTCAGATAGCAGTCATGAAATGTCATGAACATTTTTCAGGTTGTTTAAATTTATTCTTGACAGTTAAAGAATTAAGTCTTGTCCTTGAAATGTCTTATTTTATTTTCATATTCTTATATGAAATATTTATCAGTGAATTTACCTGGGGACATCACTTTAGATTAGAAATAGAAGACAGCAACAATGATATGCGACGAATGCTTTATTTTGAAAGTGGCTGTATGGTGACCATGTAATTATGTAATGAGTACCTGAAAAATTTAGGCAGTTAAACTTTTAGGCAATGAACTAGAGTTCCCTGCCAAGATATTGATGACTAGCCAATAGTGATGCCGTTTCCTAGAGAGAAAAAAGCACCACTAATAGGTAGACTGAATTATTTGCAGAAGTACCCACATTGTACTTTAGCTAAAGACAATAATTTGATGAGATCTCATTTGTTTAATGTCTAGGGACAAATCTTTTCAGGAAATTGTGCTTACCTTTAGATAGATGAACTAGTAATGGCTTTATAATTAGTGGTACTTTGTCAGTTCGTTGAATACTTTCAGACTGTTCTGAGGTGGATCTGATATATCTGAAAGATTTATGAAATGAGCAGATGAATAATGTTTTCAAAAGAACAAGTCATGTGTCCTGTAAAATGTGAAAAGTTTGAGATATAACACGGCAAGTAGAATGACCAAAATAAAATTCTAAAGTAATAAAACATTCTCAAGTTCCAACTGAATATAATAAACACTCAATGACAGGCCATTATGTACAAGGCACTGAATGCTTGGGGCTAGAGATTAATAAAACACTAGCTATTTTTGTTTTCTGAAGCTTTCAGTGAAGGGGAGGGGAGCATACAAACAAATAAATGCCCTATATGATAAATAAAAGTGCTTGGCAAAGAATAATTTTTCCACAAATGTTAGGCACTTTATTTCAATGGGACTGGGGACTGAATTACAATGGGAAATCCCTGGAGAAGGTGGTTCACTTAGTTCAGTGAGGCTATGCAATCTTCACTTCCAGGGTGGTGATGCCAGAATTACTGAGTCCAGAAGGAGTAGCCACAGTTGTCCAGAGATAAATGAGGCCACTGTGAAACCTCAACCTCTTGTGTCTTTGCTTGCAATAATCTCTCCACCACTATATGCCCATATAAATATTGCAGTGACTTTCACTGTTGCTCAACAATTTTCTTTGGTGATAGACACTGCTACCACTTATAGCAATAGAAGTAGAGCCAGTATTTGAAAATAGGTCGATTCACCATTTTTCAACACCTTCCACCGAAGTCATTAGCCAGCTTAAATCAAGAGTAACCAAAGGATGCCCTTTGCAATCAACACAGGCATTTCCATGACCAAAATAAGAACCAGAAATTACAAGGTCAATGAATCAACGTGTAGATTTAGACTTCAGAAATGCATCCAGAAAATGGACACCTCAGAGTGCCTGATTTAAATTATACCTTTTCATTCACTGGTTTATGTCTTGGAAAATGTATTTAGCCATCTCTGTGTCTATTTTTCATCAACATAATGGATTTATGAGTAATAAAAATTTATACAATTATGATGATTAAATGAGATAGTCTATATAAAGGAAGTGATGTATTCTATATAAAAGCTCAAATTATTATGTTACCTTGCATGCATCAACCGAATAATTTACACGTACTTAAATGATTTTATATGGTATTTCCCATATGTGATCCTTAAGTTATAAATGAGTAGTTTTTAAAGCGTTTATTTTAGAACCTCAGGGCCCACCAGGGGTCAGACAAGGGAAGATAAAAGATGCAACGAAAGCCCCCAACAACCTATGGGAATTCAGAAACAGTGGTATCAGGCTGCCAAGTATTTACAATCTTTATTATATCTTTTATATCTGTGGGAATTTAAAGATTTTTATAATCTATAAATGTTGGATTTGATTTTCTTAAAGAACCTACTTCAAAATGTATGCATCTAGAATTTATTCAACTATTTACATTTTAAAATATGCTTTTCTACAAATAATATCATTAAACACGTGACAAACCCTACAAGGAGTGTTATGGAAGTCTCATTTTAAAGATAGAAAAATTTGGACTCAGGGAGATTAACTTCTTATTGTTCTATTGCTCACAGACTTACTCAGTGGGGCTCAAAATATACTCGTTGTTTTCGTATATAAAGCACTATTTTTTCATTGATTTTTATTTTGACATAATAACAGATTTACAAGCAGTTGTGAAAAATAATACATAGAGATCCTTTATACACTCCATCTAATTTACTTCAATGCTGACAGCTTACCAAAGTATACAAAAATCACAACTAAAATATTGATAATGATACAGCCCAGACCAGCTTGGTCAGGGAGACCCTAACCCAGCAGCGCTAGAGGAATTAAAGCCACACACACAGAAATATAGAGGTGTGGAGTGGGAAATCAGGGGTCTCACAGCCTTCAGAGCTGAGAGCCTCAAACAGAGATTTACCCATATATTTATTGACAGCAAGCCAGTGATAAGCATTGTTTCTATAGTTATAGATTAACTAAAAGTATTCCTTATGGGAAACAAAGGGATGGGCCAAAATAAAGGGATGGGTTGGGCTAGTTATCTGCAGCAGGAGCATGTCCTTAAGGCACAGATCGCTTATGCTATTGTTTGTGGTTTAATAACGCCTTTAAGTGGTTTTCTGCCCTGGGTGGGCCAGGTGTTCCTTGCCCTCATTCCAGTAAACTCACAACCTTCCAGCATGGGTGTCATGGCCATCACCAACATGTCACAATACTGCAGAGATTTTGTTTATGGCCAGTTTTGGGGCCAGTTTATGGCCAGATTTTGGGGGGCCTGTTCCCAAGAGATACAGTCAAAACACAGATTCCCACAGAGGCACCCTCATGTTGCTCTTTTATAACCACACCTTTTCCTCCAGCCACCAATTCTCCCCACACTCAACCTTTGGCAACCACTAAATGGAAATATAGAAATTTCCATTTCTATATTTTTGTCATGTCATAAATGTTATATAAATATAAATTCATAGACTTTATAACTTTTTGGGGTTCACTTTTATTCTCAGCATTATTTTCTGCACATTTCTCCAGATTGTCACATGTATCTATAACTTGTTCCTTTTTGTTGCTGAGTAATATTTCATGGTAAGGACATAGAACAGTTTGTTGAACCTTTCTCCTATTTAAGGACATTTGGGTTATTTTCAGGTTTTGACTGTTACTACTGAAGAGTTAAGCATATATTTTAATAATTATCACTGTTGAAAATAAACGAAATACATGACTCTGTGGTCTTGATAAAATGTAGATTGCTTTTATTTTCCTGAAGCTAAATCAAATATGTTGATTAGACTTGTAGATAAGATCAAAATTGTAATGATATAATACAAGTAAACTTCCTTCTTTATATTTGAACAAATGGCATGTAAACTACTGGAACAATAATAAAAATTAAGCTCCTATAAATCCTATGAAGTTACCAGGGAACAAAAAAGTAATTTTCTTCAATCTAATTTCAAATATATAAATTATTTGAATTTCTATATTGTCAATTTGTTTGTTGTTTAGTTACAAACATTTTTAACCTTCTTTTTATAATCTTACTTTTTATATCCATATTGTCTTTTGGGAGCCTGTGTATGACTTATTATAGTTGCCAATGCTTTAGGTGAAGGGATTAGGAAGAGGGGAAAGAGCTCATCACCAGTCTCTCTAACTCATGCTCATTTTCTGATTAAATTGAATGCACTCAGTATCAGGTTCTTAAAAAGGAGAAGAGACCTCAGTGCGCCAAGACTGGAGCACCAGTCACCTGTGCTCTTAAGTTCTCCCAGATGTTTTCATGGCCAAGCAGAGGCATTTTCTACATGACAGATTTGGCTTGATTAGCCAAATTTTGATATTGATTATATGGTGCCACTTAGACCATGGCTTTACTATAGCTAGGAAAAGCCAGGAGGATCAGTGGGGTTTCACACTCACCTGAAGAAGCAGGATGTGCACACAGGAGTGCCACTTTATGACTGAAGCTCAGAGCTTTCTCCCTCTAAAAACAGAAGCAAGAACCTTTTCCTTCCCAGATCATCTCTTCAAAGTTATTCATTCCAAATGCAGTACCTACGCCTTTCCAAGTTAGTTCAAAGGTACTGTGATAAGAAGCAGGAAAGTAATTCTTAAATATTTACTTAAATTTATATTTTTATTAAAATATATTTTACTATACTTTATTAGTTTTTATTAAAACATATTTTTCAAAACATTTAAACTACTTTTATTTGAGCTTAGTGACACTAAAACCCAAAACTTTTCAGTTATTAGCCCATGCTCTTTTATCATAGGACTGTGGCTTGCATTTTTCTTTCATGGCAAGAAAATCTTCAACAGTGCTTTAAGGTGTTACCTGTGTATATCTTAAGGTGTTACCTGTGTATGTCTTATAATTATATTCAATCTCCTAATGACTCCTTCATTGGCAAATGTTGACTTGAAAATCTATATTGAGTTTAAAGTTTTGAGACTACTACTCAATATCTCTATTGTCAAAAGATTTACTGAGTCACAGTTATGTGCCAGACACAACGCTATGTATGCAAGATATAATTACTATTGGCATAACCCTTGCCTTAAACCACATATAGCCCAGTAGGTGAGCAGACCAGGAATATAGTACTAGGTTTTAACAGTTGCAAGAAAGACCTGTCATTCTCAAAGAAAGGTCCTGTTTATCTCACTCAGCAGCACCTCCAGCATCTAGCACATTAATCAGCATTGTTTTTCTACTCAGAAAATATTTATTAGATTGATTAACTGAATAGATAAATTATGGGCATAACAGAGCTCATAGAAATTCTATAATTCAAATGTAGAATTACCTAGATTAGACTGACAACCCATACTATCATACATATATTTTTTCTTTTGAATATTTTTCTCTAAAAATAATAAAAATGAATATACATTTGTGGTTTCTGAAAGATTTAGCAATGTAAAATTTTAAAACAAATATTTTCTGTATTTTCAGGACCCAGAAGTACAGGTAAAATTGTTTATATGTTTTATGTTTTCTTTCGATTGTATTAAGTGTTGGACATTTTCTGAATAAAATTATTATCATACAATATATTGGATTTTATTTTCTTTATAATTAACATTATATAAACAATTTGTCAGTATTGTTTAAGGCTACATGATAGCTCATCCTATATATCAGTATACCAAACATTATTGACAATTACCTAACTATAAATGTTGATTGTTGCATTTATGTACCATTAGTAATACTGTGATAGATAGTAATGTGTGTTCCTAAGTGTTTGTTTCAGGTTACCTCCTGTATTAGTGAAGTGGCTCTGTTGTCGATTGTAAATACCTCGGGTTCATCATCTTGTGCCAAGAAAATTTAGGACATGGACACACATGAGGAGTTTAGAAGCAGAGGTTTAATAGACAAAAGAAAGAGAAAGGAGAACAGCTCTCTCCCTACTGAGAGAGAGGGGATTCTGAAAGGTATCACCAGCCAGTGGTGGATGCACTGAATTTTATAGGCCGGCTTGAGGAGGCAAGTGTCTGATTTATTTAGAGCCCACACATTGGTTCGATTAGGTGTGTGTGATATTTACATAGCGCACAGGGAAGGCCGGCCACCTCGCCCTAGTCTTATTATGTAAATGGGCTTTCCACTTGACCAGTGCCATCTTGTCTGCTCCTTACTGTACTCGTGGCTGGCAAAGAGAGAAGGCAAGATGGAGTTGCTGTTTTGAACATGCTTAGTCCCAGGTAGCTTTTTCTGCTGGCATTCACCCATGCAAGCTTCCAGATTGCTTGTCTATGTCTGCAGCTCAATTCTACAAGCTGCTCTTTGTTAGAAAATGATTTTGGGACTGTTTTTCATTAATAAGGAAAACCTTACCGAGGACTCCATACCCTCTCCATCTGCCTAAGTAACTTCTTCTTAACTCCTATATCATTGGTCTGTTCTCACACTGCTATGAAGAAATACCCAAGACTGAATAATTTATAAAGAAAAGAGGTTTAATTGAATCACAGTTCCGCATGGCTGGGGAGTCCTCAGGAAACTTACAATCATGACAGAAGGCATCACTTCATAGGGCAGCAGGAGAGAGAATGAATGCGAGTGAAGAAGGAAGGCATCTGTTCTTATAAAACCATCAGATCTCATGATAACTCACTCACTTTCATGAGAACAGCATGGGGAGAACTGCCCCCATGATTCAATTATCTCCACCTTGCCCCCCCCTTGCCACGTGGGGATTTTTACAACTCAAGGTCAGATTTAGGTGGGGACACAGAACCAAACTATATTACCTCCTAACAGTATCTTGACATAATTGCTATTGTCTTTCCTTTATTATCAGTCTGCTACTGAAAAACTACAAGAAATGCTGAAAGACTGAAATGTCTAAAGATCAATATAGAAGTTGTATTAAAGGCCCACAGAAAAAAAATTGTGGTGTTTCTAAGCAATAAATTTCTACAAATAGAAAAAGAAAAGGATAATTTATTTTAGAGTCCCATGAAAAGAATTTTTGCTCTATTTAACCCAAACCTCTGATTATTTCACATAATCATTGTATCTAACCAATGTAGCTGGAGTCTTTGACAAAAATTGATAAATATAATAGCACTCTGTTAGACTCCATAAAATATGAGGGAAGAAGAAGAAGTAGCATGAGCCGCTAATCAACAAGGATGTTGTATTAAATAAGCTTAGATTGACTTGAAAATGGCCATCTCTAGCAGATAGACATTCCAGAGGACAAGTAGAGCTACTTATGCGATGCAGACTCACAGCATTCCTGTAAATAACACCTCTCTTTGCTCATTTAGAGTTCACCAGAGGATTGAAAAACCATTAACAGTGTCTGAGTGTCTGTGCCTGGCCAGGTAACTGTGATAGGTAAACAAAGCATGTTCTCATTCTCCAGGCATTTGCAGACTAGTATTGCAGTTATTTAAATGTGTAAACTCCTGCTGAATTAGGTAGACAGATTTTAATACAAATTATAGTAAGAGACGAATAAACTGCCATGTAAATAAAAGAGATTTATTCACATTAGGGAACCCAAGTAGATAATAACTTTATTCGACATCTATTCAACAAATATTTATTGAGTGCTTATCATGTTTTCCAGAAATAAATCATATAACAGTGAACTAGACAGAAGTCTTGATCTCTTATAGGTTTCCTGCAGCAGAGGAAGGCAAACCCCAAACAAATAAAACAGGAAAAACAGAGTTATCATTTACCGAGATGAGCACAACCAAGAACGGCCTGCCCTGAGGGACAGAGTAACAAAAGATCAGTTTAGCTTGGGTTAAGTTTAAAATTTAAATGTTTAAGGATAAGAAAGAGCATTTCAAATCAAAAGAAAATTTAAAAATTTTTTTTTGGAATTCTAGAATCTAATCCAAAACATAGAGCAACGAGATGGACTGTTTAAATGAAGAAAAGGATGGGTGAGTTTTTGTAAGAAAGTATTGTGGTAGTTTTGTTCACCTGTCCACCATCTCCCAGTCTCCAGCCAGTGGGAGTGGTCACGGCTGTGAGTTTGGCAACCCATGTTCCAAATGTGCCTTGCTGGTGCCAAGAGGCTAATACGCACCTTGTTCTCAAAAGACTGGCTCTTAAAATTCATGTTAGTAAAATATTGTGTTTTGACTATTTCTGTGGCTCCCAGAGGAACAGGCACAAAGGCTGACCTTTATTTTGTTTTCTTCTTTCCTCCTTGGGTTGGGATGACTGTCCAGGCAGTGACACTGGTGGTCTGTCTGAAAATTTAGAGACATATTCTACCCATTTTTACATGGAGAAAGGGACAGTAAACAGGGAAAAATAAAATAAACCCAAGGACAGGAAGAAGAAGGCAGAAAAGAAATTTCCTTGGAGGAATAATGGCTCAGAATGACCATTACATATACTGGGGAAAGAGGGAGTGGAATGTGCAGGCCCAGCACCAGATGCAGGCTCAGAAAAGACTTGAGAGGACCCTGTGCTTACCCTCCTGGCCAAACTGCAGACTCTGCAGAAGCAAAGGGAAAAGCAAAGCTGAATTATAAGCAGCCCAGTTTAGCATTCAGAGATTGCTCCAGCTCAAAGACAAACAGAAATTTTTTTTCTCTCTCTCCTTCTATTTTTTCTCTCCCTTTCCCCTCTTGGCTATAAATGTTTAATAAAATTACTTCTCTGTGATTTGGTGATAAGTGAGAAAGTGAACAGAGATGTCAGTGATCACACATGACAAGGAATGCAGTATTGTGAAATAGTTTAAAAAAAAGTTACTAGACCGCTGTACAACTACAGATCTCAGCAAGTAAACCTAGGGAAAGGTGAGACGCTGACTTCCAGAGTTACCGGAACATAATACTCAGAAGCCCAGTTTCTAACAAAACATTGCAAGGCATACAATGAAAAAGGAAAGTATGGCCCATTCATAGGAAATATTAAATTGACAAAAACCATCCCTGAGGACATCCAGACATGAAACTTATTAGATAAAGACTTTAAATCTACCATCTTGAATATGTTCAAAGGGCTAAAGGAAACTATGGACAAAAATCTAAAGGGAACGATGGAAACCATATGTGAACAAAATGAGAATATCAATAAAGATATAAAAATTATGAAAAGGAAGCAAATAGAAATTCTGAAACTGAAAAGGGCAATAACTGAAATAAAAAATTCACTCAAGAAGTTCAACAGGATTTGAGAAGGGAGAAGAAAGAATCAGCAGCTTGAAGATAAGACAATTAAAATTTCTGAAGAGAAGAAAGAAAAAATCATGAAGAAAAGTGAACAGAGTCTTAGGGATCTGTAAAACACCATTTTACCATTTTACACCATATCACCATTTAAATATAAATTTATTATATATTTTATAATATTTTATATATAACATATACATAATATATAAAATTTATATGTAATAGTATACGTAATATATATTAACATATATAAACTATGTATACTAACTATATATAAACATCTATATTAACCATATATACTATGTATATTAACATATATGTTAACTATTTGTATGTAGACAGAGATAAATATTAGCTGAAACCCCTTTAATAAGTGGTGCAGGAGCAACCGGATTTTCACACACAAAAAAATAAGATTAGGCTGGGCACAATAGCTCACACCTATAATCCCAGAACTTTGAGAGGCCAAGGCACACAGATTGCTTAAGTCCAGGAATTCGAGAACAGCCTGGGCAACATGGCAATAACCTGTCTCTACAGAAAATACCAAAAAAAAAAAAGAAAATTAGCTGGGAGTGGTGGCATGCACCTGTAATCCCAGCTACTTAGGAGGCTGAGATGAGAAGGTCATTTCAGCCTGAGAGATTGAAGCTGCAGTGAACCATTATTGTATCATCTTACTTCAACTGGGCAACAGATTGAGACTGTGTCTCAAACAAACAAGCAAGCAAACAAACAAACAAACAAACAAACAAATGCTCTCAGACTAGAGGATTTAAAAATAATAATAATAATGTTAGATTCCTAAATTCAAAATGGATCAGTGACCTGAATATAAGCACTAAAACCATGTAACTCTTAGAAGGAAACAAAGAGGTAGATTTTTATAGCCTTATATTTGGCAGTAGATTTTTAGGTATGACACCAAAAGCAGAAGCAGCGAAAGAATAAAAATGTCAGACTTCATCAAAATTGTAAGCTTTTTTGTATCAAAAAAATCAGTAATAAAGTGAAAATAACTTACACAATAGAGCATATTTACAAATATTATATCTGTAAGAAACTAATATACAACATATATAAAGAACCCTTACGACTCAACAACAAAACCACAGACAACCTAATTAAAAACTAGTCCAAGGACTTGAATAGACCTTTTCCCAGAGAATATATACAAATGGCCAATAACCACATAAAATGATGCTCAACATCATCAATTATTACGGAAATGGAAAAACACAATGAGATATCACTTTACTCCCACTAGCATGGTGATTTAAAAATAAAGAAAGAAAAGAACAATTGTTGGCAGGGATATGGAGAAACTGGAACACTCATAAACTCTGGTGAAAATGTAAAATGATACAGCCACTGTGAAAACAAATAGCTCCTAAAAATGTTAAACATAGAATTACTCTATGACCCGGCCATTCCGCTCCTAGTTATAAACCCAAGAGAATTGAAAACTTGTAGTCATACGAATACATGTACATGCATGTTCAAAGCAAACAGCACTCTTCACAATAGCTAAAAGGTGGAAACATCCCAAATGTTCATCAATAGAAGAAGGGATAACAAATCATGGTATATATGCATAATAAAAAGTTATTTAGCAATAAAAAAGAATGAAATAATTATCGATATATGCTACAAAGTGATAAACCTCAGAAACTTCATACTAAGTAAAAGAAGGCAGGCACAAAACATCATGTATAGTCTGATTCCTGTTATATAAAGAATTCAGGTCAGGCACGGTGGCTCACGCCTGTAGTCCCAGCACTTTGGGAGGCCTAGACGGGTGGAACATCTGAGGTCAGGAGTATGAGACCAGCCTGGCCAACATGGTGAAACCCTGTATCTACTAAAAATATAAAAATTAGCCAGTCATGGTGGCAGGAGCCTATATTCCCAGCTACTTGGGAGACTGAGGTGGGAGAATCGCTTGAACCCGGGAGACGGAGGTTGCAGTAAACCAAGGTCACACCATCGTACTCCAGCCTGGGCAACAAAAGTGAAACTCCACCTCAAAAAAACTTAAAAAATAAAATACATAAATAAATAAATGCAGCATTCAGCATAGGTAAATTCATACAGACAGAATTTATATTGGTAGGTGTTAGAAGGTGGAAGGGGGGAAATGGAGAACAACGGCTTAACGGTTACTGAGTTTCATTCTGGGGTGAAACAAAAATGTTTTGGAACCAGGTAGATACAGAATTTGCAAAACAATGTACTGAATGCCACTCACTCACTGAATTGTTCCCTTAAAATCAATCAATTTAATGTTATGTGAATTTTACCTCAATTAAAAAGATAATGTAAATGAACTCTGTAAATTGAATACATTGATGCACCAAGAAAAAAAGAAGAAAAAAGAAAAGAAAGAAGTAATTCAAGCTAAGATATAGAAGCAGAAAAGCACTGGTAATATTCATGATCTAGTGTATAGCCCGGCTTCAAAGAATACAAAATAAATAACAAGGGATAATGGAAAATAAGCCTAACAAAATAATTCTACTGTGATTATGAGAATAGTCTTTGTGATAACATTGTACTAAAGTAATTGTAATGCTACTCGTCGTACATACAGGTGGTAAGTATTAAAATATGAAAGATACCTCATATTTTGTGGTACAAAAGCTATTTTGCATTCTTTGTGGAAATACTGAATCAGTTTTAGGGCTCTACAACTTAATGTGAGCACAGAGTAAAAATCATTACAGAAATCATTTCAGTAAGTCATCAAACACTGTAGACACAAGATATATATAAATATCCATATGCTCATTTTTTCTTCTACTTTTAAAAAATCTAGAGAATGAGAAAATTCTCAAAGATAGAAACTAAAATAATCCTCAGATTTATATAAAAACACATTTTGCTTTTTAATGGAAATAACTAATGCAATTAATAGTGGTTATGTTTTCTAATGAACATTTAATTTACTCTTTGAGAAATTACTTATGATTACAAGTCATTATCAAATAATTGCATGCGGTATAGTGATTTGTGTCATGTCATTAATTTGTACTGGTGAAAGGGACCAATATTTCTAAAGTCAAATTCTAGTCTTTTGTAAAAAAAAAAAAAAAAAAAACAAAAAAAAAAACACTTTCTTTTTCATAATAACAATTAATACTGTTAAAGCAAACTAAATATGGCCTGAGAAGGACTATGTACTTCTGTATTTGAGTCCTTGTGAGTGAACTGCAACCTAACTTAATTGGTAGACAAGATTAAAAACATAACTCAGGAGTATGCACCCGTAAAAATTGCTGAGTCTTGGCCGATACCAGCGGCCATACTTCATACATAACTGAGTGTTCAAACTATGTTCAAATGAGGCAAACACAGAGCTGTAAACAATCCAGCTGTTTCTGTACCTCACTTCCTATTTCTGTACCTCACTTTACTTTTTTAGTCTATTAATTTATTCTGACCACAAGGCAACCTGGAGTCTCTCTGAATCTGCTGTGAATCTGGGGACTGCCCAATTCACAAATTATTCATTGCTCATATAAATCCTTTAAATTTAATTAGGCTCAAGTTTTTAACAGTACTCATAAATATAATCTTTTTCAATTGCCTGGTGTTTGCTGACAAATCACTGATGGGATAGAAATGTCATTTTCATTTAAAGAATATATTGTTAATAGAGGAAGGGTCAGGTTGAAATTTACTTGATTTGGATTTAAATCATCAGCAAAAGAAGTGCCCAGTTGGAGTAGGAGGCTAGATCGCTGATGACTGCCATTGCAGACATGACTTACCACATGTGTAGCATTTTCTTTTGAGATGATTTTCCTATGAAAATTGCCATTTTGCATTTAGTGCAATTGGAGTTGTCCCTTCCCTTTGCTGTAGTCAGTTTACCCAACAGTCGCCCTTGCCCTAAGGGTGCGGCACAGGAAACTCCAGCCCAGCAAGGGCCGTTGCCTCAGTTGCTGCAATGGACCAAGCCATAGTGGAAATGGGGGTGGAACATGGGGCTCATTGCATTGCTCCATCCTCGGAGTTAAACGTCTGTGCTCAAATGTCAATATTCCTAACGATAGGCTCTGAGGACCTTGGGCAAACTTCTTATCATGTGTTAGCTTCAATTTCCTCATTTGTAAAAAGGGGACAACTACAGTACTTGGGTTGTTGGGATTAAATGAAAACTGTGTAAGGCACTCAACTCCTGGAAGAATGAAAAAACATTCAGCATATAATAGCAGTTATGATTATTGTGAGTAGTTGTCACCTAAGCAAACTATCCATAAACAACAGTTTGCATATTTATGCCTTACTGGGAAGAAAACAACAATTGAAGAAATTCCTAGTTAAAAATATAAAGCAAAATGAGTATTTATACTATAAAACAAAAAATTGTACACTGGACATTTTACAATATCACTTCCAAGGTTAAATGCACCGTTTGGCATTGAACATACTTTCTCAGTGGGAACTCAAATATTATTCTATTTTTAGGTGCCTGGAAAAAATAGAGGTTCAAGAAATAATCTGTAGGATAAATGAAAGAATTTAACAAACATTTATGAAATGAATTTTTTCAAAATAGCTATTTCATAGGTTAATGATAGCTAAACTAATAATATTAAAAAATTGAAACCTTTTTTGTGTGTTTCCTATTTGTTCATATTATCAGGATGTCTTAAAAGACTATTCCATTGAGTCAGAAGCAAGGACTGATATGCACAAATTTGAGCTTACCAGCCAGATAAATATCTGTCCTGGTAAAACATCTACAATTTTCTCTTAAGTTGTGTCTCAATGTAACAAAATAAAAAATCTTAAATTCCTTTTTGTATAATATAATATATAATATAGCTGAGTCATATAATTATAATATACTATGTATATAAGTATTTAATTAAAGAAATTACAAAAGGAAAGTGCATGTGGTCGTTTAGGCTTATCAGCTTTTATCTCACAATCTTAAACTAAGGTGATATATCTATTGGTTGAAAATATCAGCTCAGGTTTACGTCTCAAAATTTCATTTACAGACTTTTCTTCTGGGAAAATACTCTGGACAGGTTCAAAATAACATGACCAACTCACTGATATTACTGATGTTATTTAGATTTCTACAAGCAGCTTTGATCAATCTCCTGTCACCTAGAGTAAAGAAATAATAACTTTGTAAGGAGTTGCCAGACGCCTGTGGTGGCAGCCCATGCATTTAATAAAAATGAATGATGGTGCAAGAGATTCTGAATCCCACATACTTGCTATAGCGTGGTTAGAACAACAGTGCTGCTCTTTCTCCCCACATCTCTGTAATCTGTCAAAAGCACACCTTATTTTTGAGGAAGAATTTTTATTGAGCACATATGTGCCAGGGCTGGCCTAGGGCACTTAAAATATCAATTCAAAATATATATTTACAATAAGTCCAAAAACTTAGAAGTGATCTGAGGTAAAAGTTAAGCCAGGAGACCAATTTAATCAATGGAAGACACCCAGGTTTTTAGTCCTTGAATTGTTAATCAGAAAACAGAGATAGCAGAGAAGGCGAAACAGACTTAAGCCCTACCCTGAAATAGAAATGCAGGAAGAGCGGGAGCTTGCAGTGAGCCGAGATTGCGCCACTGCAGTCCGCAGTCTGGCCTGGGCGACAGAGCGAGACTCCGTCTCAAAAAAAAAAAAAAAAAAAGAAATGCAGGAAGAGTGCTTAAGGGGCTCCAGGTAACAGCATCAAAGGAGCACTTATTATCCAGCACCTCATGCAGCCTGTGGGCCGAGCATCTCACTTCAGCCCTTAGAAGCTGTTTCTCATCTCTATCATCAAATCATGGTAAACTCTTTCATTCGGTGGTTTGGAGGGCATTGCCTGTCATAGGCACTTCCTTTGCTTCACTTTATATTCATTAAGAAACATCATTTCCAAAACTCTTATAAAGGTGTAGATGATTCATTTAAGAGTGGGTTTCAACTTGCTGACTATTGGTTGAAGTTCTGTATTGATGACCACACCAAATGAATCAGGAGCAGATGACTGATAATGACAGACTTGTATGGTGACACTTTCAGATAAATCTAGAAACACTGGTCACCTACAGAATCACCAACAGAATCACCAACCTGCCACCCTACAGAATCACCAACAGCATAGCTATTTTAAATGAGACCAATGGATGCTTGGACATAAAGAAATTAACAAATTTAAAGGTCACATAGTTATGTTAGACTATATGGATACTATTAACTCAAATAATCCGGAAATTCAGTCTCAGCAAGAAACAGCATCCACTTGAAAATGGTTTAAATAATGAGACCTAAATAAGAGACTATTAATAGAGTGTGGTCAGGATTAAGAAAAACAACAATGGTGTATGCTGAGATCTAAAGGAGCAACGGTTTGAGACTACAGCATGGAGGGAGCAGGGAGGAAACACCCTGACCTCTATTGCATTGTCCCTATAGCATCCCATCACTCTTTTTCAATTAGAAGCCAGCTGCTAAGGATCTGAATGACGACAAGCATTGGGCAGAGCCTTGGAGATCACAGAGCAGGGCAGCGGGATCAGAGAATGTGTCTGGGAGAGACCAGCGGAGACTAACCAGCAAAACTCAACCCTATCCACCCGGCATTCTTTCTTGCCTTTTGTTCACGTGAAGAAATTCTCATGCTAAGTAGAAGGGAGTCATAAAGTATCATTGGCCGTTGTTTATCACTATGTGATGTAAATTTCACACTTCCTTTTAGAACTTAAATTAGGATGTTAGACTCCATTTAGGCACCAGTAGAACACTGAAGGGGAAGTAGGAAGAAACGGTTAAGATAAAATACCCATAAATGCCATGATTGGCCTCTGTAATGAACACTAGACCACGATTATGAGCATACCTTCCTCCTTCCGTCGTTCATTTTATGTTCCCCTTCTCTTCTGCCTATACCTTGCCTAAATAAGGTTGTGTCTTTTTTTTTTTTTTTTTTTTTTTTTTTTTTTTTTTTTGAGACGGAGTCTCACTCTGTCACCCAGGCTGGAGTGCAGTGGCATGGTCTCGGCTCACTGCAAGCTCTGCCTCTGGGTTCATGCCATTCTCCTGCCTCAGCCTCCCGAGTGGCTGGGACTACAGGCGCCCGCCACCACGCCCGGCTAATTTTTTTGTATTTTTAGTAGAGACTGGGTTTCACTGTGTTTGCCAGGATCGTCTCGATCTCCTGACCTCGTGATCCGGCCGCCTCGTCCTCCCAAAGTGCTGGGATTACAGGCGTGAGCCACCGTGCCCGGCCGGTTGCGTCTTTAATCTTAATGGATCTGAGTCCTCAGTGGTCTCATCTCTGTCAAGGTGCTGGCCTTTAGTTTTGGACACAGGGGTACCACAGTGTGCGCTGGGACAACTAGCTTCTACATCTAGTCCCTTTGGCCCAGATGGTTTCTTCTTGGCAAGGGGGACTAATCTTCTGAGCCAAGAGTGTCACCTTCTTCTCTGCTTGCCCTTCAGTGGCATATGGTGGCCAAAATGACCTAAAGACATGAGACATATCTCAGCTTCCAATTCCGTGCAGCCTTTCTTGGTGGAAGTGTTTGTTTTCTTGGGAAGTAGGGTCTCCAAAAAACATCCAAGGGAGACACAAGAATCAGAAAGTCCTTAAAGGCTGAAAGTTGAAACTGTGAGGGATACTCACTATTAAACCCTCCACCACATCCCTGGCCCTGGACTCTTGTATTCTGGAGATGGGGGGAAACAGCACCATATATTAGTTCTGAGTTTAAAGCAAATGCTGCAACCAGTGAGTCATTATTTCGATTTGAAGGATAGATGATGATAGACATGGAGATACATTACCAAGGTCTCCTTCAGGGACTGTTGTCCCAAGGCTGAGAGGGTAAGCAGCAAACAGTCTTCACTGGTCTGCCCCTTCAGGGATTGCCTAAGCTCTGAAGAGCTGCCTCCTCTAAGATCATTCCCTTCCTTTATGCATCATATATCCAGTGACTTACTGAGATGGGTTATAAAGTTCTGGATCCTTTGGCCCAGTGTGGAAAAACTCAGCCCTTTCCAGCTCCAGGGTGTCATGTAGAGTTCCTGAGGCTATCAGGTCTGAATAGCAGGTTGTCTTCTTTCCCTATCCAATTATGCTTCCTTCCCCACTTTCTGCAGATGTCAATCCTAAGGACATTCAATGAGAAGCATACCAGACTTTATGCTCCCTCTTAGAGTCTATTTCTTAGACAAGCAACTGTCACATCCTATCTCTCAGATGATGCTGTCACTGTTTGTTCCATAATTCACATCGGATTTATCAAGCCAGCAGTTTGTAATGGAATTTGCAAAAAAAAAAAAAAAAAAAATCAAGTAGCAAGTCTCATACCACACTCCTTTCCCTGTAAAACAAATTCTTAAGTCAAAAGCAATATTTGTGGAATACCATCTTGGCAAGTAAAGAATTCTGAATGTCCACAGAGGACAATGCTGGCAGGAACATGTGGGCAAAGGAAGAAAAATTATATTTGAAAATCATCTCTTTCCTCATGAAAACATCACTGTTCCCTATGGGATGGAATTTGTCCAGTAGTTCCTACTACCCCTGGGAGGCTGGCTGCCCCCATCTGTAATTCCCAGGGAGTTGCAATATGTCAGGGACTCTGTGCTGGCCTCTGCTGTTAGCACTTAGTGAAAGTGGTAACCAGACCTGTTTTGGTGAGAGGAGGTCTCTGTTATCGAACCCCTGCATGGCCTCCACCCCTGCCTGGAATGATGAGTAAATCCATTGCATAAGTGCTGGGAAGGGCAGGGAACAGAAGCTTGGTGACATCCACAGCTCGGTTGTCTTTCCATCCTCATCTGTTCCACCTGATAAAAGGGCATCTGCCTTACCACAGATACCTGCTGAGGGGTGGTCCCAGGATCATGGACATCCTCACACTCTGTGCCCAGTCTGAGTAACTCATCCATCAGGTCTTTCCCGGTCCTTGCCCTTAATCTTCCAATCTTTCTTTTTCTGGGTCCTTGATCAATGAGGCAAACCATATGTATGCCTATGCCCCTGCCTCACACCACTTCTCTCTCCACACGCAGTGGACATTATTCTGTACTCTTGCAAATTTCCACTCTCCACTGTATTCCAAGGCACTCTCCTGAGTGGGCCTCAAATGCATCACTTTCTATTTTGTCATATGTTCACAACCAAGCTGATTGATCTGTGAACCAAGCTTGGTCATTTCTTTATCCATCACCCCTGCAACACACACACCAAGAGGCAGAGTCCTGGTGGACAGTGAGAGATACAGGGCCTGAGACACTTGCTAATGCATCTTACTCTGTTCTGACTCTGCCCATTTCTCATCAAGGAGGTACCTCCTTTGTCTTTATATGGATTACTGTTGTGCCCAAATGATATTATGACTTGATGGCTTTGATATAGCTCAGCTCATGATGGGCGAATTTTGGCCACAAGGTTATTTAGTGCCCCATGGTCAGGCACTTCATATCTGTTAGGTCCAGTAGCATGTCAAAAATTGCTTTGTTTTTTTTTTTTAATGTATAATTCTCTTCTGCATATGGCTTGACCTTACTTCAATACCCTAAAGGTAAATGTTATAATTTTGCGTTTGGGCCTTGCTCAGGAGGCCTTGAGGGATGATAAAATAATTAGAGTCTAATATGGTTGGATTAACAGGACATGTGTCCCAAATGATAGGACTAGCTGCACAGTAGTCTGGATCTTTTACAGAGCCCTTTTCTTCTTTAAGTCCTATTAAAAGTGGGTAATCCCGCCAAAGTGGGGGATCTTTTGGGTAATACAGCTAATGCACCTGGTTCCCAGGAAGATGACTCTGAGCTGGAGGTCTGTATGCATGAAATTCACTGGGGAGAATTCTTGGGATAACACTTCGAGAGGAGTGAAGAAAATGGGATTAGGCAGAGACAAATTGTTAAATTGTGATTTTAGTTGCAAAAAAGCTCTCAGCAAATCCTTCAGGGAGTTCTACATCTGGGATAGACTTTCAGACTTAAATTGGTGCAAGGGGTCCAGGCCTATATGTTTTTATGGAGGTATCCACTGTAAGCACACATGCTCTATATAGGGGACATAACCTTGGTCAAGGAGGCTCTGTTCAGTTAAAGGCAAATCCCCAAAGACGAATCAGCTGAGAGCTGTCAAAGGCCGAGGGAATAAGTGTTTAATCTTGGAGGTGGAGGGGTGGAGGCATTAGATTTGCCAAATTTACCAATAAAAGTACAAGGTGCTCAGTTTAATATGAATTTCAGATTAAAAAAACATAAATATATAATATTTAATCTTTGGGACATATTTATAACTAAAAAACTATCTGTGTATATCTAAAATGTAAATCAAATTTGGTGTCAAACAAAAAGTTTTTTATTTCATCTAGAACAGGCAGGCAACAGAGTAAGATATTACTGCTCTAGCAAAATTTATTATTTTAATGTGAACAATATGTAATAAATACCTGACATAGATTGAATTGTGTGCCCCTAAGATTCCTATGTTGAAACCCTAACCAATAGGACCTCAGAATGGGACTGTATTGGAGACAAGAACTTTAAGGATGTAATTAAGAGTTAATGAGATCCTAAGGGTGGGGTCTCAATCCAAGGCCCATTTAAGAAGAGGAAAAGACACCAGATATCACTCTCTCTCTCTCTCCAGGCATGAACAGAGAAACGACCACGTGTAGTGGAATTATGTGGCCATCTGCAAGCCAGAAAGAAGTGTCTGCCTCGTCAGACACCCTAGCACCTTGATCCTGGACTTCCAGCCTCCAGAACTGTGAGAAATACATTTCTGTTGTTTAAGCCACCCAGTCTGTGGTATTCTGTTTTGGCAACTCAAGCAGACTAATACAATATCTTTCCCCAATTAAGCAGTTAATTGTAAAACAAACAAGCAAGCAAACACAGTTGCTAACTAAATATTTCACTGACACAATAGAAAATAAAGTCATTGATACCCCTGTATTGGTCACTGTCACTAATATGGAAATTCATGTATACATAATAAAAAAGACAAATGATCTTTTGTATTAAATGAATACTAAGGCAAGCAAAGAGTAAAACACTTATTATAGAAGTTAGAGTTCTAGACAAAATGTTTATTGAATTTGTTTCATAAGCCATTAAAGTTTTCAGAAAGAGCTGAATAAACAGCAGCAAAGCTTTAATAAATTGAAATTTTCCATGAGAAAAAGCTAAAATTGGGATTCAAACAGAGATGGTGGACAAAACCTGTCCTGTCCAGTTCTTTCAAGCCTGTTCATGCCAAAGAAATGTTTCTCATCAGAGTGTTTTCTTCTAACATAATTGGAATAAGTAATTTTAAAATACTATAATGGGGAGTTTTAAATTTTGTAACTAATTATATTTTATTTGCACATTATATTTTATTTGCAATTATATTTTTATTTCCTAAAATAGTGTCTCTGAATATATTCTTAGTGGTCTAAATTTTCAATATAAATTTTTTTCCGAGACTTTGCTGAGTTGCATATCAGCTTAAGCAGATTTTGGGCTGAGACGATGGGGTTTTCTAAATACACAATAACGTAAGTAAAAATAACAATTTTACTTCCTGTCTTCCTATTTGAATACGCTTTATTTCTTTCTCTTGCCTAACTGCCCTGGCCAGAGCTTCTAATACTATGTTGAATAGGAGTGGTGACAGAGGGCATCCCTGTCTCGTGCCAGTTTTCAAAGGGAATGCTTCCAGTTTTTGCCCATTCAGTATGATATTGGCTGTGGGTTTGTCATAAATAGCTCTTATTCTTATTATTTTGAGATATGTTCCATTGATACCTAGTTTATTGAGAGCTTTTAGCATGAAGGAGTGTTGAACTTTGTCGAAGGCCTTTTCTGCATCTATTGAGATAATCATGTGGTTTTGGTCATTGGTTCTGTTTATGTGATGGATTACATTTATTGATTTGTGTATGTTGAACCAGCCCTCCATCCCATGGATGAAGCCGACTTGATCATGGTGGATAAGCTTTTTGATGTGCTGCTGGATTCGGTTTGCCAGTAGTTAATTGAAGATTTTCACATTGATGTTCATCAGGACTATTGGCCTGAAATTTTCTTTTTTGGTTGTGTCTCTGCCGGGTTTTGTTATCAGACTGATGCTGGCATCATAAAATGAACTAGGGAGGATTCCCTCTTTTTCTATTGTTTGGAATAATTTCAGAAATAATGGTATCAGATCCTCTTTGTACATCTGGTAGTATTCGGCTGTGAATCCATCTGGTCCTGGACTTTTTTTGATTGGTAGGCTATTAATTACTGCCTCAATTTCAGAACTTGTTATTGGTCTATTCAGGGATTCGACTTCTTCCTGGTTTAAACTTGGGAGGGTGTATGTGTCCAGGAATTTACCCATTTCTTCTAGATTTTCTAGTTTATTTACATAGAAGTGTTTATATTATTCTCTGATGGTAGTTTGTATTTCTGTGGGATCAATGGTGATATCCTCTGTTATCTTTTATACTGAGTCTATTTGATTCTTCGCTCTTTTCTTCTTTATTAGTCTGGCTAGTGGTCTATCTATTTTGTTGATCTTTTAAAAAAAACAGCTCCTGGATTCATTGATTTTTTTAAACGGTTTTTCGTGTCTCTAACTCCTTCAGTTCTGCTCTGATTTTAGTTATTCCTTGTCTTTGACTAGTTTCTGAATTTGTTTTCTGTTGCTTCTCTAGTTCTTTTAACTTTGATGTTAGGGTGTCAATTTTAGATCTTTCCTGCTTTCTCTTGTGGACATTTAGTGCCATAAATTTCCCTCTACAGACTGCTTTAAATGTGTCCCAGAGATTCTGGTATGTTCTACCTTCATTCTAATTGGTTTCAAAAAACATCTTCATTTCTGCCTTCATTTTATTATTTACCCAGTAGTCATTCAGGAGCAGGTGGTTCAGTTTCCATGTAGTTGTGCAGTTTTGAGTGAGTTTCTTAATCCTGAGTTCTAATTTGATTGCACTGTGTTCTGAGAGACTGTTTGCTATGATTTCCGTTCTTTTGCATTTGCTGAGGAGTGTTTTACTTTCAATTATGTGGTCAATTTTAGAATAAGTGTGATGAGGTGCTGACAAGCATTCCTATATAGCAATAACAGACAAACAGAGAGCCAAATCATGAGTGAACTCCCATTCACAATTGTTACTAAGAGAATAAAATACCTAGGAATACAACATACAAGGGATATGAAAGACTTCTTCAAGGAGAACTACGAACCACTGCTGAAGGAAATAAGAGAGGACACAAACAAATGGAAAAACATTCCATGCTCATGGATAGGAAGAATCAGTATTGTGAAAATGGCCATACTGCCCACAGTAATTTGTAGATTCAATGCTATCCCCATCAAGCTACTAGTGACTTTCTCTACAGAATTGGAAGAAACTACTTTAAACTTCATATGGAACCAAAAACGAGCCAAGACAATCCTAAGCCAAAATAACAAAGCTGGAGGCATCACACTACCTGACTTCAAACTATACTACAAGGCTACAGTAACAAAAAGAGCATGGTACTGGTACCAAAACAGATATATAGACCATCGGAACAGAACAGAGGCCTCAGAAATAACACCACACATCTACAACCATCTGATCTTTCAAAAATCTGATACAAACAACCAATGGGGAAAAGATTCCCTGTTTAATAAATGGTGTTGGGAAACTGGCTAGCCATATGCAAAAAACTGAAACTGGACCTCCTTCCTTACACCTTTTACAAAAAGCCACTCAAGATGAATTAAAGACTTAAACTTAAGACCTAAAACCATAAAATTCCTAGAAGAAAACTTGGGCAATACCATTCAGGACATAAGCACGGGCAAAGACTTCATGACTAAAACACCAAAAGCAATGGCAACAAAAGCCAAAACTGACAAGTGGGATCTAATTAAACTAAAGAGCTTCCGCACAGCAAAAGAAACTACCATCAGAGTGAACAGGCAACCTACAGAATGGGAGAAAATTTTGGCAATCTAACCATCTGAGAAAGGGCTAATATCCAGAGTCTACAAAGAACTTAAACAAATTTACAAGAAAAACAAACAACCCTATCAAAAAGTGGGCAAAGGATATGAACGGACACTTCTCAAAAGAAGACTTTTATGCAGCCAACAAACATATGAAAAAAAGTTCATCAGCACTGGTCATTAGAGAAATGCAAATCAAAACCACAATGAAATACCATCTCACACCAGTTAGAATGGTGATCATTAAAATGTCAGGAAACAACAGATGCTGGAGAGGATGTGGAGAAATAGGAGCGCTTTTACATTGTTGGTGGGAGTGTAAACTAGTTCAACCATTGTGGAAGACAGTATGGCGATTCCTCAAGGATCTAGAACTAGAAATACCATTTGACCCAGCAATCCCATTACTGGGTATATACCCAAAGGATTATAAATCATTCTACTATAAGGACACATGCACACGTATGTTTATTGTGGCACTATTCACAATAGCAAAGACTTGGAACAAACCCAAAAGCCCATCAATGATAGACTGGATTAAGAAAATGTAGCACATATACACCATGGAATGCTATGCAACCATAAAAAAGTATGAGTTCATATCTTTTGCAGGGACATGGATGAAGCTGGAAACCATCATTCTCAGCAAACTATCACAAGAACAGAAAATCAAATACCACATATTCTCACTCATGAATGGGAGTTGAAACAAGAGTTCACATGGACACAGGGAGGGGAACATCACACCCTGGGGCCTGTCTGAGGGTAGGGGCCTAGGGGAGGGATAGCATTAATAGAAATACCTAATGTAGATGACGGGTCGATGGGTGCAGCAAACCACCATGGCACGTGTATACCTATGTAACAAAACTGCACGTTCTGCACAGGTACCCTAGAACTTAAAGCATAATAATAATTAAAACATTTAAAAATTTAAAAAAAAATTTCCCCTTTTTTGGTCACTAATCTTGTGTGTGTGTGTGTGTGTGTGTATGTGTGTGTGTGTGTGTGTGTGTGTTTACCTGTTCCAGCTCATTTCAACAACCATTTCTTACTTGAACACTGCGATGCAGCATGCGCATTTGTATTCCATGATTGGATTGGTGTCCAATGATCACCTAACTCTAAAATGTTTTATTTTAATGTTATGTCCCTTAAGTGGGAGTAGAGGACTCTCAGGATTCTAAAGAGGGGGATCCAGTACTTCTCAAACACTGAATATTTCTACTTGTCTTTGGCAAAACAATCTCACTGTCTCTGTTAGCTTCCTCAATTGTAGGCATAAATTTATGGAAAAGATTGTTGGTCAAATGGGCATCATGATGTCTGCTTCTAGGAATTTTAAAAAGCATATTAAGATACTAATTTAGTCTGGTATCTCCATCTTCACAGCAGTGAATAAAGGACTTTTATAACCTTTGTACAATTTTTCAAAAAGATTATTGTGCATCTTAACAGAACATCACGCATTAATCCTTAATGCACTTTGAAATACAAAAGATTTAAAAAGAGCTACAGAAGAGGAATATAATCCTTAGGAAAGAGTAAAAACAAGACAAAGAAGATTAAAGGAGGCACATTCAGATGAATAACAATTTGCACTGAAGTATCATTAATTGCAGATGGTTAAGGTGAGTTTAGCATGGGCTGCAATAGAAACTAGAATGATTTAAGATAGGCCAATATAGTTCCAACTGGAGTGAAAGGAATTCAAATTTTGCAGTCATTGAAAACCAGAGGCTAAAAAATGTAAATAGATACTTTTGTAATCAATTATAATTACTTAATTATGAAAATTATATATGTTCTAAATTACAAATGAAAACTCTATATAAGCATATTGAGATGAAATTGTAGGCACTGTGAATAAAGGATGATTAAAGAGGTCTCAGAGAAAATAAATTGGGGTTGGTAGAAAGGTTTTTATTTGTCTTTCTGGGGCAAAGCCAATGGGAAGAGTAACACAGAAAACTGAAAAATCATCTCAAATCCGCCATGGGCCTGACTACTTGATCTGTGGCTATGAGCCTTTAGAGGCCAGGGAATAGCATACTGTGGCATAATTTCTCATGAGTGTCCCTCAGGTTGGATGCTGTTCCTCTCTCTTCCTCGTTGGCATGTTCAGTAATATTAAGGGATGACAAAAACTTTAAAAGTGACTCTCACCTCTTGTGTTTTCTGCCACTACTCACCCTTTTTACCCAAGAAGAGTTCCAAGACATGGCTACGCCTTTAAAACTTCACAGAAAATGCTGCTGCATTTCACTCATAAATACATCTGCAAAACAGTATAGAAGGGTGTAGTGAGTTTATTTCCTTGTAGGAAAGATCAAATCTCACTCTCCTAAGAAAGCTTCTTGATAAATTAACATGGGCATCACCCCAGCAGTCACAAAAGAAATCAGGATTAAATGAAAATTAATAACCATCTAATGATATGCCCTATTCATTGACATATGAAGTATGACTGCAACTTTCAGATAAAGTTATCACCTTTGTAATCTCTTAAGTATCTAAATTAGTAAAGAGGAGAGGATAGTGTTTACTAGTTAATAACATAAATATGTGTTTTGCTTTAGGATGACTGTTCACTTTAGCCATCCTTTTGCTTTGGAAAAGAATCTTTTTTGAAGTAGGGTGGGAGGGTCCTAGTTCAATATGACTTTTTTTTTTTTTTTTTTTTGAGACGGAGTCTCGCTCTGTCGCCCAGGCTGGAGTGCAGTGGCGGGATCTCGGCTCACTGCAAGCTCCGCCTCCCGGGTTCACGCCATTCTCCTGCCTCAGCCTCCCAAGTAGCTGGGACTACAGGCGCCCGCCACTACGCCCGGCTAATTTTTTGTATTTTTAGTAGAGACGGGGTTTCACCATTTTAGCCGGGGTGGTCTCGATCTCCTGACCTCGTGATCCGCCCGCCTCGGCCTCCCAAAGTGCTGGGATTACAGGCGTGAGCCACCGCGCCCGGCCTCAATATGACTTTTAAAAGGAGGAAATTTTGACACAGAGACAGACACACACAGAGGGAAGATTATGTGAAGACACACAAAGAGAAAGCCATGTGAAGATTGGAGTGAGGCTACCAAAAGCCAAGAAACAATTGGGGCTACCAGAAGCTGGAACAGGGAAGGAAGATTCTTCCTCTAAGATGTCCCAGGGAGCATGGCTCTGCCAACACCTTGATTTCAGACTTCTGAACTCAAGAATTGTGAGACAAAAAGTTTCTGTTGTTTTAAAAAAATCTGTTTTTTGGTACTTTGTTATGGCAGTTTTAGGGAACTAATAAGCCTCTTAATGCTTTTCATGATGGAAAACCATGATGTTGCCTGAGTGTCTGTGGCCTACAACCAGCTGCTGTAATAAACCATAGTGCGCTGTGCTCTTGGCGCCCATCTTTCTGTTGTTTGGATGGTTCAGCATCTCCAACAAGCACATACAGGATGCTGTTTCTAAAGGGCAGCTCACTGTCCCCTTTAAACTGGAATGTAAGAGATTTCTAGCCCTTTATGGGTGAGTGCATCAAACCTCACAACTTGAGCTTACTAGTGGTCCAAAACTGATGCATTTTCTTTGTCAATTGTAAATTTAACAAGTTAGAAAAAGTCCTGATGGTTCCCTAGACAAACTCCCAAACTTACATTTGGTTCTCTAGTTACAGATTTGCAAAATGCTAATTTTACAAATGAACTTTGGAAAGTATTTCACAAAATCAAGGCAATGGGAGTTCACCTTATAGCACTCCCCTCACCCATTTTGATGTATGCTTTCCCCCAAGCCTTTTTGTTGACTGGATTGAGAGCACTTGCACTTCAGAAGCATTGAGAGTTCTAATGGAGCAGACTGTGGAGGAGCTGGAGGAATGGTGCACAAGTTTTTCCCTCTCACCACTTCTCCTTCCAGCATCCAATAGTCCAGTCCATAGCCCACTGGAAAAGGACAGATCCTGGCTACATAGGAAATGCAGCATTTTACATGGACATTGCATGTGCAGGCCTGTCTCTAAGCCCTTTCTCTAACCCCCCTCATGCCATAACTATAACCCCTGAGGAATAATATGTAGAGTTTTGATTGCCAATGAATTTGTTGGTGAAAATTATCTAATGGAGTATAGAACACCTTGAAAATGGGTAAAGTTTAAAAATGAGTACAGGATAGCAACCATGTATTGCTTGTTTACTGTTTACTGTACAAGAAAGGCTGTTGAAGATTCAAAGACTCTTCAAATAATTTCTCTATGAAGCAGGAGATATATTATTTTAATCACCATGTTTAGAATCAGTAAGGTAGCATTTAGTACAGTCTTCAGTAAGTACTTGGAAGTTGTAATTGTAAGCATGCTTAGATCTATCACATCCTCCATGTCCCTACAAAGGACATTAACGCATCATTTTTTATTGCTGCATAGTATTCCATGGTGTATATGTGCCACATTTTCTTAATCCAGTCTATCATTGTTGGACATTTGGGTTGGTTCCAGGTCTTTGCTATTGTGAATAGTGCCGCAATAAACATACGTGTGCATGTGTCTTTATAGCGGCATGATTTATAATCCTTTGGGTATATACCCAGTAATGGGAGGGCTGGGTCAAATGGTATTTCTGGTTCTAGATCCCTGAGGAATCGCCACAGTCTTCCACAACGGTTGAACCAGTTTACAGTCCCACCAACAGTGTAAAAGTGTTCCTATTTCTCCACATCCTCTCCAGTACCTGTTGTTTCCTGACTTTTGAATGATCACCATTCTAACTGGTGTGAGATGATATCTCATTGCGGTTTTGATTTGAATTTCTCTGATGGCCAGTGATGAGCATTTTTTCATGTGTCTGTTGGCTGCATAAATGTCTTCTTTTAAGAAGTGTCTGTTCATATCCTTCGCCCACTTGTTGATGGGTTGTTTGTTTTTTTCTTGTAAATTTGTTTGAGTTTTTGTAGATTCTGGATATTAGCCCTTTGTCAGATGAGTAGATTGCAAAAATTTTCTCCCATTCTGTAGGTTGCCTGTTCACTCTGATGGTGGTTTCTTTTGCTGTGCAGAAGTTCTTTAGTTTAATTAGATCCCATTTGTCAGTTTTGGCTTTTGTTGCCATTGCTTTTGGTGTTTTAGACATGAAGTCCTTGCCCATGCCTATGTCCTGAATGGTATTGGCTAGGTTTTCTTCTAGGGTTTTTATGGTTTTAGGTCTAACATTTAAGTCTTTAATCCATCTTGAATTAATTTTTGTATAAGGTGTAAGGAAGGGATCCAGTTTCAACTTTCTACATATGGCTAGCCAGTTTTCCCAGCACCATTTGTTAAATAGGGAATCCTTTCCCTGTTTCTTCTTTTTGTCAGGTTTGTCAAAGATCAGATAGTTGTAGATGTGTGGTATTATTTCTGAGGGCTCTGTTCTGTTCTATTTGTCTCTATCTCTGTTTTGGTACCAGTACCATGCTGTTTTGGTACGAGTGCCATGCTGTTTTGGTACGAGTGCCATGCTGTTTTGGTTACTGTAGCCTTGTAGTATAGTTTGAAGTCAGGTAGCATGATGCCTCCAACTTTGTTCTTTTGGCTTAGGATTGACTTGGCTATGTGGGCTCTTTTTTGGTTCCATATGAACTTTAAAGTAGTTTTTTCCAATTCTGTGAAGAAAGTCATTGGTGGCTTGATGGGGATGGCCTTGAATCGATAAATTACCTTGGGCAGTATGGCCATTTTCACAATATTGATTCTTCCTATCCATGAGCATGGAATGTTCTTCCATTTGTTTGTATCCTCTTTTATTTCGTTGAGCAGTGGTTTGTAGTTCTCCTTGAAGAGGTCCTTCACATCCCTTCTAAGTTGGATTCCTAGGTATTTTATTCTCTTTGAAGCAATTGTGAATGGGAGTTCACTCATGATTTGGCTCTCTGTTTGTCTGTTATTGGTGTATAAGAATGCTTGTGATTTTTGCACATTGATTTTGTATCCTGAGACTTTGCTGAAGTTGCTTATCAGCTTAAGGAGATTTTGGGCTGAGACAATAGGGTTTTCTAGATATACAATCATGTCATCTGCAAACGGGGACAATTTGACTTCCTCTTTTCCTAATTGAATACCCTTTATTTATTTCTCCTGCCTAATTGCCCTGGCCAGAACTTCCAACACTATGTTGAATAGGAGTGGTGACAGATCATCAATCTCAGCAAACTATCAGAACGACAAAAAACCAAACATCGCATGTTCTCACTCATAGGTGGGAAATGAACAATGAGAACACTTGGACAAAGGAAGGGGGACATCACACAACAGGGTCTGTTGTGGGGTGAGCAGAGGGATAGCATTAAGTGATATACCTAATGTAAATGACGAGTTAATGTGTGCAGCACACCAACATGGCACATGTATACATATGTAACAAACCTGCACGTTGTGCACATGTACCCTAGAACTTAAAGTATAATTAAAAAAAAAAAGATCTATCATGTCCTAGGCTGCTAGGCAGTAAGAAAAACAGCAATGTTCAGTTTGCTGCACCCAGACTTGGCCTAGGTCCTCTCTCCACATTCTCTCTAAACCTTGCAAGGAGGCACTACAAGGAAGATGCCATCAAATTCAGGAAACCTCCTTTAGGAATCAGATAGGGAAAATGACATTTGGAAAGACGGAGCTATTTGATTCTGGTTCTGTATCTTGTAAATGACAGAGTGAGAATTAAAAACAAGCCTCATCTTTGCCAAAAAACATGTTTTTGTTTGTTTTTACTTCACTAACTTGTCATAGTGAAAAAAATGGACTTTAAAAATTAGACTTAGAATGAAGTTTCTTATTTAGTTATATGACTTTGAAATACGCAGTACCTATCACAATGTCCCTCATATAGAAGATGCTCTAAACATAATTCCTCAATGTGTTTATCTGAGTTTAAGTTTCACTGACATCAAAATGGGCCCACAATACTTATTTTAGTGGCTTATTTATTGGGATTCTGTAAGACAGATAAAAAAGCCTGACGTGTTTTGCTTTCAGTAAATGTCAGTTTTCACTCCCCTTTCTTCTTCTTTCTCTCTAATATTTATTTATTTAAACAAGAAATAATCAGAAGCTTTCAACATCAGTGTGTGTTAATATTGTATAACTTTTATATCATGAGATAACTTGGACAAAAGAATCTGCCTTATTGTGTATGACACGTTCTGTCAAAGCAAATGAGCCTGAAAATCTATTTCCTTACACAAGGTTACAGAGTTATGTGGAAATTACAGACCATAACTAACAATATATCATGCAAAATGTAGAGTCAAAAGGAAACATCAATATAAATAAAACGTCCTAATGTAAGACAGATGACTTTTTCCTTTTAATAAATAAGAAAATTTCAGATAATCTGAGCAGATAAACAGTATGAAATTATTTTGCATTTAAATAAGATCAGTTTTAAAAAGAAGAAATTACTATGCTGGAACCAGCAGATGACACACTGAATTCAGTGGAGTTGCCTAAACAAGTTACTCCAAGTTACGGCCTGGGATGATGAAGGAGGACACTCACACTCATTCTGCCCCTGATTATGAAAATATTTTTTCTTGTCATAATAATCCATGGTAAGATTCTGTCTGTCCACTTTGTTTCACCTCTTGATTGTAACATGGATTTTATTCCATTTCCCAGTGACCTTCTGTGAATGTCATGCAAGTTCATGATGATTTTATTCATTGTGGTGTACACATAACTTGAAGAGTAATTGGAGAACTTGTTTTATTTTCCTTGGGAAACTAAATAAAAGCAACTATAACAAATCAGTCTTAAAAATATATATTTGAAAGGATAGGCTTACATTGAAAGGAACTTACAAAGTTTAATAGAAGAAAAAATCTACTAAAATTTAAGATTAGTGATTGTAGAGAATTACCTTTTACTGTTATGAGAGTTTTTTATATAATCCAAAGCATGGATGGCTTTGCTCTTGAGACAATAGCAATTCGTGTATTGATAAAATTTTCCATTTTGCAGCTAAAATAAAATGTAACATATGGCCAAGGAAAATGTGCAAGGTACTAATTGGATTTGGCACAAGAATAAGTTCATTGGTGAACTCAGTAAGAGCAGAGAGGGAGGCTATTGATTTGCATTGATTATGATGGTGGTACCAAAAATGTGAAAATAATTAAATCTACCAAAATGAGTCAAGGAATATTTGCAGAGGAAGGACCTTAACCTAGTTCAACAGACATGAGACCCTTTTCTTCAGGAATTGCTAGAAAGTAATGGGTCTCTAAGTATTTTAGAAAATTTTATTCAAATTGGGAAAGAAAAACCAGATTGTCTCTATGGCTGGTCACAAGAAGGAAGAGTATGCTAATTTTCTATTGATGCATAATAGATTACTATAAACTGAGGGGCTTAAAGCAACACACATTTATTGTCTCTCACTCTGCAGGAGTTAAAAGTTGAGGCATGGTATTACTGGGTTCCCTGCTCAGGGTATCACAGGTGTCAGTCACCATGTTGCCAGGGTGTATTCTCATCTGGAGGCTGGAGTGGGAAAGAACCCATTCCTTCATATTGTTTACAGAAATCATTTCCTGTGGTGTGTGACTGAGACCTTGGCTGTTGCTGGCAGTGGGTTTTCAGTCACTTGTCTGCCCACAGTCACTTGTCACACAGACTCCTCCAACATGGCCAATTACTTCATTAAGCCAGCAAGGAGAGTCTCTCACTTGAAGGAGGGACCTCATCCCTCTTGTAAGAGCCTTTACCTGAGTAGGTTAACCCCACTCAGGATGATCTCTCTTTTTCTTTTCTTTTCTCTTTTTTTTTTTTTTTTTTTGAGACAAGGTCTTGCTCTGTCACATAGGCTGGAGTACAGTGGCACAATCCTGGGCTCAAGCAATCTTCCCAACTCAGCCTGAAGTGTCTGGGACTACAGATCCACACCACCATGCCTGGATAATTGTTTGAAATTTTTTGTACAGACTGGGTCTCACCATGTTACTCAGGCTGGTCTTGAACTCCTGGCCTCAAGTGATCCTCCCACCTCAGCCTCCAAAGTGCTGGGATTACAGGCGCAAACCACTGAGCCTGGCCCATGTCACTTTTGATTAATTTAACATTAATTCATTTGAGGCCTTAATTCTTTCACATTGGCCATATTCTACTAGCCAGAAGCAAGTGACAGGTCACACCCATGTCCAAGAGGAGGAGGTTATGCAGGATATGAACTCCAGTGGATAGAATTGAGTGGGCTCAGTAAGGTCTGCCCTTCAAAAGGAGAAAAGAAAATGTTGGAGATGAAGCTGAAGCTAGGGTTTCCTAGTGGTAACTATGCAGTCTGAAACAGAAAGTTCCACTAAGTGGTCACAGAACTCCCCAGCAGAGGCAGATTAAGACCTTTAGATACTGAAAACATTTTGACAATTCTATATGTAAGTTAAAATAATGCTATTTATTTTATCCTAATGATTAACATTGTCTTTGAAAAAATATCGCATTAACAAATTGTAAATGTTCTAGGCTGGGTGTGGTGGCTAATGCCTGCAATCCCAGCACTTTGGGAGACCAAAGCGGGCAGATCATCTGAAATCAGGAGTTCAAGACCAGCCTGGCCAACATGGCAAAACCCCATCTCTGCTAAAAATACAAAAATTAGCTGGGCGTGGTGGCAGGTGCCTCAGCTACTCGGGAGACTGAGGCAGGGGAATCACTTGAACCTGGGAGGTGGAGGTTGCAGTGAGCCAAGATCGCACCACTGTGCACTCCAGCCTGGGCGACAGAGCGAGAGTCCATCTCAAAACAAACAAATGAACAAACAAACAAAAATTGTAAACATTCCCTTTTTGCTGTTTTCCTAGGCACATATGTGCTCAGTATGCTTATTGGGTGACCCAGTTTTGCTCCCTGTAAAAGATACACGATATTATGTACCTATACCTGAGAGAGAAGGGTATAAGTTGTGGGTATATTTTTTAACTCACAGATTCACCTATTATGTCGAGGAAAGAGAGGAAATATAATATAATCTATTATTTTCACAAGTGGCCAACTTTTAAGAATTAGCTACTTCTTTTCAAATAATTTCATGAAAGATCTATATCCATACTGAAGGGGAGGATTTGAAACTCATTAAGAAATAGTACAATTCTCTATTGACTGTTTCTGCTTATTAGCTACTAAATAACATGACTGTAATAATTGTGTATAAAGCTGCCTTCTATCCTGTTTTAGTTCTGATTATGCAATATACAAAATGAAGAAAAAGTTACAAATTATTTTAAAAATTATCTCTATTTATTACACACATTCTATGAATCTCCAGTTTTGTTCTGCAAAACTGCTGGTTCTAACTTTATGAAAATCCTGTTCAGCATTTCAGAAAAAAATAGAACCACTGATATTGAGTTTAGTTGCCTCTGAAGTCAAATTACAAAAGCGGGAAATTTTGAGCTACAAAAGTCTATAGGGCTACAAAGTATTTTGAAGGTTGTTCTATTTTTCTTTTCCTATGCTGCACAGACATGCTTCCTCATAACTATAGCACCAGCCTTACAAGGCAAATTCTATTCCAGACATAACTGTTGTGGAGTGATTGCAGAACAACACAGGGGAAATCAGAGTAGCTTCCTTTTCACTTCCAAGCTGTACACAACGCCAACCTCAGCAGCCCCTAATTAACGTTCCTATAGTCTCTACTTAGTGCTTAGTTGATGGGAGTTAACCTCCAATCCAAGTCCACTGGTGTGTAGCCCAATAAACCAATTTTTAGTCCTCCTGTTTATTTGGCTTGAGTCAGTTAATTTGAGTTCCCAGGAGGGTTCTGGGGGATTTAGAGCTACCTCTGCATCTCTAGGTGTCTCGGCAACAAAGAATATAAAAAAAGAGCCTCGATCAAGAGGGTGATACACATTTATCACAGACCTTTCTCACTTACTGACTCCTGTCACAAAGTTAAGTCTTTCACCAGGACTGTAGGTGCATTAACAGGGCTGACTGTGTTCTTAGACCACTATCTTTGTTTTAAAATAATAGTAAAAACTAGCCGGGCGAGGCGGCTCACGCCTGTAATCCCAGAGCTTTGGGAGGTCGAGGTGGGTGGATCACGAGGTGAGGAGATCGAAACCATCCTGGCTAACACGGTGAAACCCCCTCTCTACTCAAAATACAA
This sequence comes from Homo sapiens, assembly GCF_000001405.40. Taxonomy (NCBI): domain Eukaryota; kingdom Metazoa; phylum Chordata; class Mammalia; order Primates; family Hominidae; genus Homo; species Homo sapiens. The sequence goes on from NC_000008.11 coordinate 51,156,894, forward strand.
AAAAATTAGCCTAGCCGGGCGTGGTAGTAGTCCCGGCGAGTAGTAGTCCCAGCTACTCGGGAGGCTGAGGCAGGAGAACGGGGTGAACCTGGGAGGCAGAGCTTGCAGTGAGCTGAGATCGCGCCACTGCCCTCCAGCCTGGAAGACAGAGCAAGACTCCATCTCAGAAAATAATAATAATAAATACCAAAAAATGTCAGGAAACCTATGGTTTTTAAAAATCAGGTATTGGAATGGATCTCCGATAAATTAGTTCACCTCAGTGCTCAACTATGATTCAACTGGTAATTTTGGAAAACAAGGATATTATTTTAACTACCTCACAAATGGAAGTCCATAAACACAGAAGTGAGACTAACTGAACGGTCAGTACCTGAGAATATAACAATATCCATTAACCATGGGAATGAGGAGAACATGAACCAAATCACACTCACAATGGAGACTCAAGGAAAAATGGACCAGAGATCCAAGGTAAAACATGCTGTTAAGCCTCATAAGGATTGTTTTTGTGTCCTGGAGCCAAAAAAAGCTAGCCATAAATGATTCTATAACTGCCTAAAGAAGTATTTTTTAAGTCATATTTTGTATATCATTACAAAGAATGCAAGTTAACTGCTGAAAAATAAATCTGTCTCTAAAAGAACATTAAGAAATATCTTTTGGCAAAGAGAAGCCTTAACTTTACTATTAGTCTTTAATTTGCTTTGCAAAGCCACATCATGTAGCTCAAGGTAAATGAAATATAAAGTGAAGTGACTTGTCTAAATAAAAACAAATTTGATTCTTTTCTACAAAATTATGGTAATAGCTTTTCTTGATTTTTATGTAGAGTGGTTTTTAAAGTGATACCAGGATTGAAAACTATAAAGCCAGAAGTTGTAACTCAGCTGAAATCAACAATGATATCCTATTCCATTAGAAAACTTAGTAGGAGAGCTTGCAGCTGGATTGGACACTGGAACTTTTGTGGCTGATAAAGAATAAACGATAATTATTTTAGAAATTGTTCTAGTTCTTTAAGAAAAAATCAAGTAAAATGTCTATGTCATTAAAAGATTGTCTATGTCCAGATAGTTTATTATTGTGCTTTCACTTCTTCCTCTTCTTTATCAATGCATCCATAGTGGCCCACCCAGCCTGAACCTAAAGTAAATTCAAATATTCCTGACAAGACCAGGCGCAGTGGCTCACGCCTGTAATCCCAGCACTTTGGGAGGCCAAGGTGGGTGGATCACGAGGTCAGGAGATCAAGACCACCCTGGATAACACGGTGAAACCCCGTCTCTACTAAAAATACAAAAAATTAGCCAAGCGTGGTGGCGGGTGCCTGTAGTCCCAGCTACTCGGAAGGCTGGTTCAGGAGAATTGCTTGAACCTGGGAGGCAGAGGTTTGCAGTGAGCCGAGATCACGCTGCTGCTCTCCAGCCTGGGCAACACAGCAAGACTCTGTCTCAAAAAAAAAACAAACACGCTCCTCCTCTCCCTCTCCCTCCTCTCCCTCTCCCTCTCCCTCTCCCTCTCCCCACGGTCTCCCTCTCCCCACGGTCTCCCTCTCCCCACGGTCTCCCTCTCCCTCTCTTTCCACGGTCTCCCCCTGATGCCGAGCCAAAGCTGGACTGTACTGCTGCCATCTCGGCTCACTGCAACCTCCCTGCCTGATTCTCCTGCCTCAGCCTGCCGAGTGCCTGCCATTGCAGGCGCGCGCCACCACGCCTGACTGGTTTTCGTATTTTTTTGGTGGAGACCGGGTTTCGCTGTGTTGGCCGGGCTGGTCTCCAGCTCCTAACCGCGAGTGATCCGCCAACCTCGGCCTCCCGAGGTGCCGGGATGGCAGACGGAGTCGCGTTCACTCAGTGCTCAATGGTGCCCAGGCTGGAGTGCAGTGGCGTGATCTCGGCTCGCTACAACCTCCACCTCCCAGCTGCCTGCCTTGGCCCCGCAAAGTGCCGAGATTGCAGCCTCTGCCCGGCCGCCACCCCGTCTGGGAAGTGAGGAGTGTCTCTGCCTGGCCGCCCATCGTCTGGGATGTGAGGAGCCTCTCTGCCTGGCTGCCCAGTCTGGAAAGTGAGGAGCGTCTCTGCCCGGCTGCCATCCCATCTAGGAAGTGAGGAGCATCTCTGCCAGGCCGCCCATCGTCTGAGATGTGGGGAGCGCCTCTGCCCTGCTGCCCCGTCTGGGATGTGAGGAGCGTCTCTGCCCGGCCGCCCCATCTGAGAAGTGAGGAGACCCTCTGCCTGGCAACCGCCCCGTCTGAGAAGTAAGGAGCCCCTCTGCCCGGCAGCCACTCTGTCTGGGAAGTGAGGAGCGTCTCCGCCCGGCAGCCACCCCGTCTGGGAGGGAGGTGGGGGTCAGCCCCCCGCCCGGCCAGCTGCCTCGTCCGGGAAGGAGGTGGGGGGGTCAGCCCCCCTCCCGCCCAGCCGCCCCGTCCGGGAAGGATGTGGGGGGGTCAGCCCCCCACCCGGCCAGCCGCCCCATCCGGGAGGTGAGGGGTGCCTCTGCCTGGCCACCCCTACTGGGAAGTGAGGAGCCCCTCTGCCCGGCCAGCTGCCCCGTCCAGGAGGGAGGTGGGGGGGTCAGCCCCCCGCCAGGCCAGCCGCCCCATCCAGGAGGGAGGCGGGGAGGTCAGCCCCCCGCCCGGCCAGCCACCCCATCCGGGAGGGAGGCGGGGGGGTCAGCCCCCCGCCCGGCCAGCCGCCCCGTCCGGGTGGTGAGGGGCGCCTCTGCCTGGCCGCCCCTACTGGGAAGTGAGAAGCCCCTCTGCCCGGCCACCACCCCATCTGGGAGGTGTACTCAACAGCTCATTGAGAAGGGCCATGATGACCATGGCGGTTTTGTGGAATAGAAAGGGGGGAAAGGTGGGGAAAAGATTGAGAAATCGGATGGTTGCCATGTCTGTGTAGAAAGAGGTAGACATGGGAGACTTTTCATTTTGCTCTGTACTAAGAAAAATTCTTCTGCCTTGGGATCCTGTTGATCTGTGACCTTACCCCCAACCCTGTGCTCTCTGAAACATGTGCTGTGTCCACTCAGGGTTGAATGGATTAAGGGTGGTGCAAGATGTGCTTTGTTAAACAGATGCTTGAAGGCAGCATGCTCGTTAAGAGTCATCACCACTCCCTAATCTCAAGTACCCAGGGACACAAACACTGCGGAAGGCCAAGGCCGCAGGGTCCTCTGCCTAGGAAAACCAGAGACCTTTGTTCACTTATCTGCTGACCTTCCCTCCACTATTGTCCTGTGCCCCTGCCAAATCCCCTTCTGCGAGAAACACCCAAGAATGATCAATAAAAAAAAAAAGAAAGAAAAAGAAAAACAAACAAACAAACAAACAAACAAACAAAAACACAAAGTTCCTGACAAGCTTAGGTGGAAAACTTCCCCTTTAAACTTATCTTCAAAGGTGTCAAAAATCTTTTTGGAAGAGAAGTTATAATAAAGGAAAAACAAACAAGAAACAATAAGCTTGACTCAGTGAGTGCCTCCTTCTAGTAGAGGAAGGGAGGTTAGGGGCAGGGTGTCCACTATTGCTATTTGTTTAGTGCCCAGGGTTCACCCCAGTCCTGCCTGAGAGGATGGTAAATAGAAATGAAAGATCGATTTCATAAAACTAAGAGTGACACTGAGATTTAAGGAGCACCACTAAGGTTCCTCTCCATCAATTTGTAACATAAAAGGAGCAGTTTCCTTGCAAATATTCAGCAGGACACCCTACAATTTTTGCCATCTTGAGGTTTCTCCCACTTTGGGAGGAGTGGGAAGAGGTGATGGTGGTATACAGAGGTGATGGTGCTCAGGTTACCTGGTGGGAAACACCTGTTCTCAGCAGATGGCCAGTGAGAAATGACAGGAGAGATTTCCTGAACTTCCATAAAGCACACCATTAAAAATACTCTAGAGATACTTGACTACCACTTTCTTTAAGGATACAGGTGCAGAGAACTGATAGAATGAATATTTTTATATTTATTGGAATCATGTTAGTAAAAATAAAAGGCTACGGAGATCCAAGAAAATAAGGTTGTGCTTCAGTTCTTTAGAATATCAAACTCTTTCCACCCCTATTTTTTGGTATCATTTCATTTATATTCTTGCCAGTTTCTGTTCTAATAATATAAGTGGATTTTAAAACTTTTAACTTTTCTTTCCAATGCCATAGGTATCTGTGAATTCTTAAGAGCAGTATTATATGTAAGTGGGTCTTCTAAGCAGAAAGATTATTTATTGACTGTGACAGGTGGGACAGCCTGAGGAGGGTTCAGTGACGAAGTATTGCAGGAGCGAGGGCCTCACAGACTGGGCACACAGTGATGGTGGGAGTAACCCTCTCTCCCACACTCTCCTCCTCCGATTCTCAGCTCTGTTCTCTGCATGTTGGTTCTCCCCATGGCAGGGAGGTTGGTTGTCAGGGCCCAGGCCTTACGCTTACACTCTAGCATTCAAGCAGACAAGTGGGCAGCTGTCCATCTCCAGTTAAAAATACTGCAGAGAAGAGTGCAGATTGTCCAGGCCTAGGTCACCTTCTCATACTGAGCATATGATGAAATGTTCTGGCTATTTTCCATTTTGCATAAAAGTGAATGCTCAACAGTTTCAAGTTCCTCTTCATAAATATACTTCTTATACAGACTCATGTAAATATGAGATATCATTTGAAAAAAAATGAGGCCTTGGTCAACATAAGAATTTTCTCTTTGTTTTACTCTTATCTTTAAGTTAGAGCAATAAACAACGTTTTAAAAGTAATTTGCAAATATAAAATGTTATTTATTTAAAACAGTTCTTCAATTCTTCAATTTAAGTAAATAACTTTTTTTCCCAACTATGTAGAGTTGGAAAAACCCCAACTACTTATTAACAAAACTTTCCTTGTCTGTATCTTCTTCAAGAAATTTGATTTTTTTGGGTAGTAATAGCATCACTATATCTTTCATCTAGAGCCAACTCGCTAATGTTGGCTATTGCATTTGGTGAGGTAAGTCATCAGTATATCTGGTTCTAAAGCCACTTAAAATGATAGCAAGGATGCAAATTTCTTAATAGTGGGAGAAATTAGATGACTTGACAAATTTGAATTTTTAGTATTTACTGGATTTGTGTGATTACATGAATGAAAATGAATTTAAAGATATATTTTGTGATTCAGTAAAAATTTCAAGCTTTCTGTCAAGCAGAATTTTAACTTCCACTTCCATCAAGAGAATCTAAATTGGTATTAATACAATGAAATTTCCACTGCAAGGTCATAACCTGCCTTCAGACTAAGTGTAGAAAAAGTAAATAAGTTGTAACATAGCTGATGCGCTGTGAGTTGACTCCACTTAAAGACTGAAAAATGTGGTAATCAGTGCATATTGATATACTTTATTATTATATGTAATGTGTGAAAAATCATAGCTTATTTTCATAAATAAGTGTCTCATATTAACACCTTGAAAGTTTATCAATAAGATCCTGGAACAGCAGAAATAAAATAAGCCCATTCACAGAAAACAAGCATATATTTAGAAATGTTAAGCAGCATTTACTTAGAGATTAAAACTTGAAAAGTGTTCTCATATTCATTACTACATTTGGTTCTTATAGCCTTGTAGTTATTATTATTTGAACAAGACGATTATGATTGAGAAATATTTCATAATAAAAAACTAACTTATATTGATCTAAAATTCAGAACTTTTCTATGTAAAATGATTTCTAATATATGGGGAACTAATTGGTCAAAACTTATAAAGCCAATCCTGGTATGATCGCAGTTTATTCTGGGATTAACTTCTAGCAAGCTGGAATCATCAACAGTTTTCTGTCAACTACAATGATACCCTTTCCTGTTTACAACATGTTTCTGTGAGGCCTTATGTTTCAAGGAGCAAAAGCATGAAACCTTTTCACCCACATGAAGCAATACTGCACACACCAGCAGTAACATCTGAACTTGTTCAGGTGACAGCTCACGGCAGAAAATGTTGAGCTTTTACAGATGTTCACCTTTTTTTTTTCAACCAACTTAGCTTATCAAATTTTCTTGAATTACTCAGTTAGAAACATGAGGAGGATTGTCACCTCCTCTCTGACAATGCCATATGTTTCACAAATCAAATTTTGACACCTCTCTTTGCTATTTAGTGATGACATTTGTAGTTTAAGTGCCTTCACCAAAGCTTTTTTTGCCACATTTATATCTCTCTTTCAAATTTTTTAAAATATAATTATGCTCTTCACAGTGTTTAAGCCTTAAAATGATATACAATACTTTGAGTGAACTCTTCTCTTAGCATAGAGGGAACATGCTTAGATGTTAAGTATCAGGCCCTTTTGACATCTTATATGTGAAGAGCTAAAGATATTCTCTCACCACCACGAAGCAATAAGCACCCCTCTTACCTTTTTAGTAGCATTCCTGTGCATGTGTGATTATTTGATTCACTTCTATTACAAGAACATGTTCTGAGAAGTTATTTGATACCAGGTCATAACCCACAGATCTGACTTAGCAGATAAGAGAACAAATTAAAAAATGTACTAATGTTGAAGATGCCAAGCTTGCCTGACAATATCAAACAGCATCAGTTTCATTGATTTCAGTCAAGGAGAAGATGACTTTGATAGAAATACCAAGTTTTAGCAACTCCAATTTGCTTGCTGAATTTGATGTCTTTAAGTAAGCCATGCTATCAAAAAGCATTCTTTATACAGTTTCTGAAATGCTTGGCTGTTCAACCAAATGAGCAGTAGAGTCCTGAATAACTGTGATAAAAGTTCTCGGCAAAAACATTTATAACATAGATGCTGTAAGAAAATAAATATTCCACTTATTATAAGTCAAAGACAATTTTTTCTTACAGAGGTACTGATATCTGGGTTTCCTTCTATAGTGATACTGTGCCATTTAAATATGTACTTTACTTTTCTTGCTTAAATGAAATGTTTGTACCTACATGCAGTATCTGTTCAACTTCTATACATAAATATTAATTTATTATATTTATTAGGTTTGTTATGTTAACATCACTTAATAAATCCTTTTCTATTTAAGCTAGAAGGAAAGAATGTTTTGGTCCACAACTAATAAGCTGACCAATACAGTAACAGATATTAGAAATCAGAATTTAATATCTGGTCTAGTTGATTGGAAGCCTGTGAGGATTAGCATTAAATTATAAAATATTTGGTAGCTCTGAATACCAGCAGGGAACTATTACCTAGAATGAGGTGTCAAAGACAAGGCTTGGTTTCAACTGTGTGACTATTGACCCATGCTGTTAGGATGGGCATAGGAGATGCTAGAAATGGGGAGTGAGCTGGCCACTTTTATGTGCACTACAAGACTTAGCAATTTAATATGAAAAGGTCTGATTTTAATTTCTTGCTTTGAATTATGGTCAGAGAATGAGCAATTTTCCATAACTGACAAAAGAGTTTCTAATCTTTGGTGGTATGTGGATCAGGGCAAAGAAAGAAAATCAGTCAGAGTCAGGTCCTAAATATTACTGTGTATATGTGAACAGTTGTTTTGTCTCTTATGTGAAATTTCCTATATAAAATTTAAGACAGAGTGGGACAAGCTGAGCCGCTGACAAGTGAAGGATTGATGTTGGGGAGATTTAGGTGCTTTTAGGCCTCTCTTTTTGGCCTTTTAGACCAAACACACTGCATTTCCATGCCAGGTGTGGAATCCACTCCTTTCTCATCTGCCTGGACCCTGTGAGGACCTTACCTAAGGTTTTGGTGAGCAGAAATGTGTTAATGTTACTTAAGCATTACTGTAAAATGTTGAAAGACTCTAGGCCTCAATCTGTGTCAGATCACAATATGCCTCAAGGATCCTATTTCAGGGCCAACCTGGTAAGAGAAGGTGTATACATCAAACTAACTGTATTTTTGTGTTAATTAATATAAGAAAAAAAACTTAGAAAATAAGTGAAAATGGGCATTGATGGTGCTAACTTGGAGAAGTAAAGAAAGGTAATTCTGATTTGGGCGAGAATAATTAAAAAGAAAAAACATCATTGATTATTTTAATAGATATAGGAAAAGTGTGAAAAAGTATTAACTGCCTTTCATGATACAAATATCTGCAGACAATTAATAGAAGGAAATGTTTTTAACCTGATAAAAGGCATTACAAAAAAGGGAGCCTGTGGGCAGTTCCTCAAAATGCTAAGCATATAGTTATCCTATGACCCAGCAACTCCATTCCTAGGGATACTCTAGGTATACTCAAAAGAACTGACAATGTATATATTTACACAAAAACAAAATATGGTCTATCTCTACAATGGAATATTATTTGCTTATAAAAAGGAACACAGTACTAATATGTGTGGTTGAGCATTGAAAATATTATACTAGGCCAGGCGCAGTGGCTCACGCTTGCATTCCTAGCACTTTGGGAGGCCGAGGCAGGTGGATCACGAGGTTGGGAGTTCAAGACCAGCCTGGCCAAGACAGTGAAACCCCATCTCTACTAAAAATACAAAAATTACACAGGCATGGTGGCGGGCACCTATAATCCCAGCTACTCGGGAGGCTGAAGCAGAGTATTGCTTGAACCCGGGAGGCAGAGGTTGCCGTGAGCCAAGATAGTGCCACTGCACTCCAGCCTGGGTGACAGAGCAACACTCTGTCTCAAATATACATATATATATATTATATATATAATTAATATATATAATATATAAAATATATATTATTAATATATATAATATATAATATATATTATTAATATATAATATATAATATATATTATTAATATATATAATATATAATATATATTATTTATATATAATATATAATATATATTATTAATATATATAATATATAATATATATTATTAATATATATAATATATATTATTAATTATATAATATATATTATTAATATATATAATATATAATATATATTATTAATATATAATATATATATAAGTAAAATAACTTAGTAAAAAATAAAATATTATTTGACTTTCTGTATAGAAATGGTATATGGATATAGATAGCTGTTGGTGGCTCTGAGTTAGAGGTTCTACGGTGCTCTGTTCAGAGTATATGGGAGGCCATAAGAAAATCCAGGGACTCAAAAGTGTGCTTCCTCAAGTTGCAAGGTCACTGAGCAGCTCCCCAGGTTCGTAGTTGGAAAAGGGGGGTTTAGAAGGGAAGGGTGAATCTCTTTTGGTTGGAACTGGAAGTTGTCATTTATTTTAAAAGATCTTTATGTCGCTTTTGAAAGATAATAATATTATAGCTACAATGCACTGTTCTATTATTATGATGTGTGTATGCCCCAAACAACATATGAACTAATTAAATATTCTATCTCCAGATTTCATGCAAGAGTATTCTAACACACAATGTTTAAGCAACTTGCTCAAAATCATTTAGCCAGTAAATGTTTGGCTTTAAGAAAGAATCTATGACCTTGCTGCAGGCCACCTAATAATTTGCTAGATTCTGAGTGATGACTTGATGTAAGAAGACTGTAGGAAGTTTTGTGTTCATTTTTATCCTCCCAAAACAAAACTAAAAATAGAAAAGTTCTTACTGTAGTCAAAACCAAAGTATAAACACTGCTGACAAAAATTGGTTATATTATCATAGTCATTTTGTAATAAATATATGGGAATACTTAAAAATTATGAAATTATCACAGATTTACTATTTTATTTAAAATGGTTCTAGGGAAAATCCAATTTTAATCTATCAGTTGTTCAAGTATAATCAAATTAATAAATCTATTTTTTAAGTTGAGAAATTTATGTTAGAACATAACAAATGAAAAATGGTAGGTTTAATTTATGCAAAGTCATCAGACTTTCATCATCCCCTGACTCCATGCTCACCAAGCATCTTCTGAATATGTTTGCCTTTGCAAGTATATTTACTTCCAAGGAATTTTTTTGTACATCACCAAAATCTTCTTCTGTCTTCTGTCTTCTTCCATGTGAATCATATATTTTTAAATTGCAATTTGGTTCATACACTACCTCCTTGTGAATTCTGTCATCAAGAAATAACGCTGGATACCAACCCACTTGGAGGAATTGACCATTTTCAGTTTCTATACGTCTAAAGCTGAGGACCAGTCCCTAGACCATGCAGCCTCACCGGCATGATGCCTCCTGGAGAAATTAGGCTCAGTGGGCTACATGGATGCCCTAGAGAACAACCCTCACTTATTTCTTGTCAGCTGCAACATTGCTGTCCTCATGTGAAACATTTATCAAACATATCTAAATTAAAAGTGTGGACTAACATGGCCAGCACTGGAACACACACCTCTCAACTTCAAGTCAAATTATTATTCTGTAAGAGTCTCTATGTCTCTGTCTCTCTCTTTTGATCTATGTACCTAAACACACACACACACACACACACACACACACATACACAATTACTTAAGATTGAGTGAATAAGTAGTTCCCAGAAAAGTGGCATTAGCATACGGTTGCAAGTAAGCATTGTTTTTTTCTGACATTAAATTAACAAAACCGAAAAAATTATGTCTTGTGTAAGAAAAAGTCATGTAAAGGGAAAGTAGATTGTAACTCTAAAATGTTGAAGTCATTAATTTCTAGATGTAAAATATTTTAACATACTTTTAATTTTTTCTATTGTAACATTGATTCATATTGTACAAATTGGTAATTTCTGTTTTGAGATATAAAGCTATCTTTTTAAAATTTTGAGATATAAAGCTTTTTTAAATTTTGAGATATAAAGCCATCTTTAATAAATCTACCTTTGGTAGAGTATCTTTCTCTTTCTTTCATCAGTGGTAAAGCAGGTAAATAACCTTTGAAAGTTTTTGACTAAGTCTTGAATACTGTAAGGCAAAGCAGACATAAAGATAATTTGTGTTGGCTTTAGTACTAACACAATTTCCAAGGAAAGTGATATGATTATAAAACAAACAATAACCACCTAGTTTTCAATGTCATAGATATGATACTTGGCAGAATTCTTAATCTTTATCATCCAATTTATGTCATTCTTCTATTCATGGAATAATTCTTTCAAAACTCTTACCATTCTCTAGAGGTATATCCCCATATATTTTATAACACAAATAGCTGACTTCCCAAATAAAGCATAATGGGATTTTTGAAATGCTGTTCTCTGTCGAGATTTACACATAAAACAATGGGTTACAAGAATCATAAATTCTGATGAAGAAAATGCTCTTCTGTGCTAGACTAGGGGCAAATTTCATCAACAAAGGAAGGATTTTAGATTATTGTTTATATGAAGTATTTTTTCTAGAAAGAACATTGTATAAGTTAATATGTCTATGCTAATAATCAAATGTTTAAAGCTTATTTCAAATAGTTTTAGACTGTGTTGGCATTAGAATAATATATGAACATATAAAGCCCACTTTTGTCAAGTCTGGCAGCCTGAAGATGCAAACATGGACATGTTCTCAACCATTACACATAGTTCACTGGATCTCAGTTCACGTGCCATACAGAGTTCCAAGTCCCTGCATCAGCTTGCAACTGATTATTTCTTGGAATTCAGATATGTCATATGGGGTGCTTCACGTGTACTCTCTAATATGTCTGTGAACTCCAAAGTGCCATCAACTGTTTCTCCTTTCCCATTTCAGACCTCTGCATGTTGCCCATTGACAAGGGTCTTGAAGCCACTAGCAAGTGCCTCAGTGCCTACTCCTCAGGAGCTCCAGGAAATCCATCTTTTGTTCTCAAAATTTCACCACCACCACCATCTTCCTCTATACAGATAATGCCTTTATCTGTGTCTTGACACAATTCATCTTTAGATCAATACTCGATGACCAGTTACATTATTTTAACAACATAACAGAATATCTGTGTATTGGCTGGGTGAAAATCATTTATTTATTTATTTTGTTTTTCCATTGGTAGTAAATCTTTCTTTAGAAAACTTAGATTTTTATTAATCTAGACTCAAGGATGCAGTCATCATTTTAAGCTACTGCATGATTCCATTTTTTCCTACATGACAGAACGAGGAACAGAAGTGTTAACTTGTATTGCACTAAAGTGCCTTTCTATTCTCAGATCGAATTGCAAAAATCTTTTCTGTTATGATTTGAATCATTAAGATATTGACTTTGAAAGTCCATCAGGCAAAGTAAGTGTTTATAGGTTTGTTCCAAAGACACCCTCAATACCATGTCATGCCGTAAAATAAGCAAATGGAACCAGAGCTGGACTTGATTTAATTAGTTTTGTCTATTGGAAATCACAGGAGGCTTATAGAAACCTCTTAATTCCTCCAGGCTTTATTACTTGGTATATTCACAGGGTGTATTTTCTGTATCACCTTATTAAAAAAAAAAAAACCCAGGGTAACTACTAAAGATCACACTGTTTTTCCAGGCCATCCAAGTAGCATTTTAGAGGAGATGTAATGATTCTCAGCAAGAAGAAATGTTTCATAATTTTGATCTTTGGGACAAAAATTAAAAAGAGCAAAGACAGTGTTTGCTTCCCGAGAGACACCTTCTGTTGCGTTTTTCATCTGAGTCTTTTCTGGTACCCAACAAAACAGTGGCTTTAGAGATCTGTTTGGCAAGAGACAGATTTTAAGCACACTTAAATAGGACAGTATATTCTGCTTGATCCATATAAAGTAAAAACTCATGTCCCCTACATTTGATGATGTATCTGTCTTTCTCCACTGAAATAATCACTTTTAATAATTCCTAGTGCTTCCCTCTAGAAATTTTTTATAACGATGAGAATATGATATTAATTTATGTAAATGTACCAACTTACATAAATTCATGTAAAAATGTGCCGAAATAACTTCCTGTAATTTGTTACTCCACATGAGACAAAAAGCCAACTACATGTAGACTATAGATCTAAATGTAAAAGACATGATGATAAAACCTCTCATCTCAAACATGGGTAATATATTAGTCAAAGTTCTTCAGATAATGAGAACTAATTGGAGATATAGAAAGATTGATAGCAAGGAAATAGTCTACGTGATTATGGAGGCTAGAAAGTCCAAAATCTGCAGAGCCAATGTCCCAGCTTGAGTCCAAAGGCAGAAGTTACTGTAGAAATAGGAAAAGGTGATGTCCCAATTTGAAGGCCTTTGGGGAAATTAGGTTTTTGTTCTATTCAGGCCTTTGTCTGATTGACTGAGTCCCATCTGCATTAGAGAGGGCAATCTGCTTTATTCAGTCTACTGATTTAAATATTAATATTACCAAAAAACCCACATAGAAACTTCCAGGATAATATTTGACCAAATATCTCAATACCCCATGGCCCAGTCAACTTGACGTATAAAATTAACTGTCATGGGTATTATGAATATACATGTGGTTTGGAGAACTAGTTATTGACAGAAATTAAAAAGGATTTAACTCAGGAGTTTGACACCAGCCTGGGTAACATGGGGAGACCCTGTTTCTATTTAAAATTTTTTCTTAAATAGTCAGGTGTGGTTGCATACATCTATAGTCCCTGCTACTGTGGAGGCTGACATGGGAGGATTGCTTGAGCCCAGGAGATCAAGGCTGCAGTAAGCCATGTTGGCACCACTGCATTCCAGCCTGGGCTACAGAGCGAGACCTTGTCTCAAAAGAGAAGAGGCTTTAACCATAAAGAAAAGATTAATAAAATGCCACATTAAAATTAAAGTTAATAAATTCTGTTTTCAGTAGCTACAATTTAGGGAATATATTTACACAGTAATATATGCTACAGCAATCAAAATAAATAATCCACTGTTATAAGCCATAACACGGATAAATTTCACAAGCATTGTGTTGAATGAAAGAAGCCAAATGCAAGAGTGAATGTTCTATAATCCCACTTATGCTAACTCTAGCAACTAACATATATGATCTTTAGAAGTCAGGATAACACTTGCATTTGGGGAGAGTAAGGATAAAGATCTGGGGGTTATTTATAAGCTTACATTCACTTTGTGATAATTCATCAATATATACATTTATATTTGTATGGTTTTCTTTATGTATAACATACATATAAATAATAAGTCAACCGCAAACTTTCTTATATTTAACAGCAGCAGTTAAATTGCCAGTCTAAAGTACAATTTTGCTATATCTTCTAGAGTTATTAATCACCAGAGGAACTGAAGACAAAAATAAATTTGCAAATCCAAGAGGAAGACACAATCAATACTTATTATAAAAACACAATTTTAATATAAAGAAAGATAATATAATTAGGGCTAACATTTATTACATTTAATACTGCTAAATCTAACATTAGAAAAAAATACATCTCAGATTTGTTTTAAAAAACACATAATACGTAAGATAAAAAAGTATAAACATATACTGACTCAGAAAAATTTAAAGTGAAAGAATAAGTGATTACATTAAATAAACACTGCAGTGAGTGTTGATTGTATTGGCAGAGTATTGAATGTCAAAATTAAGACAGCTTCATATTTCTACAACAAAAAGTGGACCGATAAGTTGACTTATTCTCATAAAGAAAAAGTTCTGTAATAAAGATATTATTGAGGAATTTGAATGTATCACATAAACTAGCATCAAAACAGAGAAACTTCAGATAGAAGAAATGACAGAGAATATAATAGATGGTTTTAATTTTCCTAGCTCCACAATGTAATCAGTAGTCTTGATGCAAACTGCCGGAATATGTTATTTGTCTTGAAGGGATGGCAAAAAAATGTTCAAATTTAAAGGCTTTTAGGCCTTTAAATATGTTCTCTAGTTTTGCAACTTCTACATCACTCCTTATGTTACATCTGTTCTGCACCTCGTGAAATTCATTCAAATCTATAAGAAACAGAAATGTATTATGCCAATAAAATCATTGCAGATTATGAAAAAGGAAGTAAATTTACGTGTTACTTTTACTAACTGTGATGGTTAATTTTATATGTCAGCTTGACCAAGTCAAAGGATATTCAGATATTTGGTCAAACATTATTGCGAGTGTGACTCTGAAGGCATTTTTAAATGAGATTAACATTCAAATCAGAAGGCAGAGTAAAGCAGAGTGGCCTCCCTAATGATGGTGAGCCTCGTCCAGTCAGTTGAAGACCTGACTAGAACAAAAAGCTGACTCTTTTTCCAAGCAAGAGAGAATTCTGCCTTTCTGACTGCCTTTGAACAGAAACTGTTTTTTTTTTTTTTTCTGGCTTTGGAGGAAAAAAAGCAGAAAAAAAAAAAAAAAACCCTGTTTTTTCTGGCTCTGGCTTTTGCCAGCCTTCAGACTGAAGGTATTTCAGAATGTCTAATAATCACACAAGTAAAAACCTTTTATATCGAATCTATGCAATATTTCATCACCTGTGTATAATTTTCTATTTTTCCTAAGAATTTACACACACTTCTTGTGTATTAGATTTATTTTTCTACACTGACTGCAAATTTTTATTTCATTTTGCTAAGAAATGTGTTACATTTTTCTGCAATTTAGACCTCCCTTCCTGTGCACTGCCCTCTCTTACTGTTTGCCTGTTTTGTTATTCCCCGTCTTTATTTGTTGTAGAAATCATTTACATAATCTTAATAGTAATAATGTCTAAATTATTAATGTAAAATGTTTTATCAGTTCTAAAAGTGATTGTGAATTGCTTTTTTCATTTTAGTATCATCATTTAAGAACCATTAAAATTCAGTCTTACTGTAGTATAATTTGTTGGTCATGTCCATTAGAGTTTTTGTTTCTTTATCTTAATAGATATTCATACTTTGGGCCAATAAAGATTACACCAGGTATTTTCTTCTAAAGTTCATAATTATTTACTTTTATATTTATATCTCTAATTCATCCTTAACAAAGAGTAGTGTTTCAGTGTTTTGTTTATCCATATGAATAACCAGTGATCAGAGTATAATTGGTTGATTCTTCCCCCCACTGTTCTGTGTGTACCCGAATCACATAACAGCGATTATATAACACATAAAACAATTGTATAACCTGGATGCATTTTGGGATTATCACAACTTTCCAATACATTTTCTCTGGTAAAGCAATATTTGTCTTCAATCTATTTCTTCAGTATAATTGGGGATATTTTTGGCCACTGACTTTTCCAAAATAAATGTATACATTGCTTGTTAAATTTTATTTGAAAACACGTGCTAACATTATTTATAAAGAATAACTGCTTATAGATACTTTTTAAAAAGAATCAATGTGCTTTTATTGACTGTATTTAAGAATGTGGTATACCTCTCAGTTAAAGTCTTCTCATATGTATTCCAACAAACACATAAAGAACAACAAATTATTTTACATAAAGCAACTACAAATATTTTCCCAGACTTATTTCTATTAGTTCTAAAGTTATCATAAATATTAACTCTTTTAATACTTATATATTCTCACTCTTTGTGAGAACATTTTTATGATGGTATTCAGAAATACAATTGATTTTTCTAAACTTAAATTTAGTCACCTTGGAAATTATCTTACTTATAAAAATAATTTCTCCATAGATCCTATAGGATTTTCCATGTATCCTTTCAATTATCTGTTAACCATGACTCTTTGATTTTGCCATGTCAAATCATTATATCTTTTTTAAAAAATTTTCCTTGCTGAAAAGGGCTGCCAATACAATATTGATGAGAAATGATCATAGATATATTCTTACATGATTTTAAAGAAAATGTAAGGGGATAATTCTTAAATAAGCAAAATTTCCTATGATCTTTCTTACATGAGGAATTTTATTATTGGATTCATTGATATGGTCAATCTAATTTTCCTTGTAAAATAAGTTTTGCATTGAATTATTCATAAAGGTTTTAAAGTTAAATTATTCTGATGAGATTTTAATTGCACATGATTTCTATTTTCATATAAAACTGCAGAGTTTATTTTGCTAATAATTTCCTTTTAGAATGGTGGTATCTAGAGCCATAAGTGAGTTTGGCCAGTTTTTTTTTTTCTGGATTTTGCATTATTTGCTTTTATTTTGTCTTTAACACATATTGGCTTCAAATAAATAAATTAGAGAATATTCACTTTACTTGCAGTTTAATCCTAATTTGGTTAATGTAGCCTTTCTTTTTTAGAAATTACTTCTAAAACTATTTATGTTGTTGCTTTGAGTAGGCAAAATTTAAACTACTGATTCAACTGTCTTGATTTTTTTTAGCTTTTACTTAATACTTATTTCCTTCTATTTCAGTGTTCGTAAGTGATTACCTGGGAAAATTTTCCCATTATTTTACATAAATTTAAAGTTGATTGGCATGACATTTTTTTCCTAGTAATATGTTAGGCACTATTGAATACATAACTTTGTCACTGCATGCATTTATGCAAGCTGGTTTTCTTTCTATTTTTATTGATAAATCTTACCATATACTTTTCTGTTTATTATTTTTAAACAATCAAATCTTTGATACTCTATTGAGTGCATTTTTATTATATCGGTATTTGATTTCACCTGTATTGTATCATTTTTTTCTATTGTGGGCTTATACAGATACAGATTTTTTGCTAAATTATTAAGTTGGAAATTTGTTTCATTAATTTTCATCCTTTTAAACAAACATAAGCATTTAAGGGTCTGAATTTCTTTTGAAATATGCTTTAGCTACATCTCATGAATTCCTATCAAAAAATATTTTCACAAGTACAAAATTTTAATGTCTTTTTGTACATTTTCATTTATCAATGAGATATTTACAGGTGGGATTTTACATTTTACTTAGATATATAATTTGTAGTTTATATTTTATTGTACATTTATAATCCAATATTTTTGTTGTCAGAGAATGTCATATGTATATTAATTTTTTTGACATCTGTAAGAGTTGGATGTAGGGCTTAGAAAATAATCAAAATTCAAAATGTGTCTTGTGTGCTTAAAAATATTGGATATATCTAAATTTTATTTTTTATTTTTTATTTTCCAGCATTTTTGAGGTATAATTGTAACCATGGAACCAGCTCCAGCTGACTAATGATTGCTTAAGTTGTTTCAGGTGGTACAGAGCCAAAATTGCCCAGCCATGGGCAATGGAAAGGGCTTTAACCTCCTAACTCGGAACACCATCAGCCTGGCAGAACAGCAGAGATTGTTGGCATCACCAGGGACTAGCTGGGACCGCTGTAAAAGCTTGACTCACCCCCAGCTTGGAGAGACAGATTCGAACATTGCCTCCTGTCTCCTTGCCAGCTGACTTGCAATAAAGCTTTTTCTTTTCTCAAAAGCTAGTGTCATGGTGTTGGTTTCTATGCCCACCACACAGTGAGCCCATTGCTTGGTAAAGTAATTAACAAACAAAATTCAAAAGTAGTTAAAGTGTACAACTTTATGTTTTGATATATGTACACACTGTTAAATGATTACCACAGTCAAATGAATTTTCATAGCAATCACCTCACATAGTTACTTTTGTATGCATGTGTGTGTGCTGACAGTATTTAACATCTATCCCATTAGCAAATTTCAATAATATAATATATTATTATTAACTGTAGTCACCATGCCGTATACCAGATCTACAGAATTTATTCATCCTACGTAACTTCAACTGTGTGCTCCTTGACCAACACCTCCCCATTTCCTCCTCCCTGTAGGCATTGGCAACCACTACTCTCAAGTGCTTCTGAGAGTTCAGTTTTCTTAGATTCCACATATAAATGAGATTATGCAGTATTTGTCTTTCTAAACCTGGTTTCTACATTTTCATGCTGACTTTGCAAAATGTCCACAAAATTACATGTCATTTATGACATTCGGAATGGCTATATTCTTGTTTATGTTTGTTTAACTGATCAAATTCTTAGGGAACCATGCTATAATCCTGCATGCTAATGTCAAATTTCCTTTGTAAATCTATCAGTAATTTTTCATCTGGTGTATGGAAGGTATTTACCATAAAGTAAGTTAACCTTTGTACTAACTGAAATATAAACTCTATTCAGATTTTTTTAATTTTTTGCCTAATATCATTTTTTCTGTTCCAGGATTCAATTCAGGATACCACATTTCTGGTAGTGACAGGTTCTTAGGTTTTCCTTATTTTTTTATGACTCTAATAATTTTGATGACTACTGCTTAATTATTTTGTAGAATGTCCCTCAACTAGAATTTGCCTTATATTTTTCTCATTAGACTTGGACTTTCGGGATTTGAGGAGAAAAACCAAAGAGATACAGTTCATTTTCTTCCAGTATATTAGGGGTATATACTATCAACATGACATCATCATTGAAGTTGACTTTGATCACCCAGTTGAGGAAATTACACAGGATTCTTTTGGTGCCATTTCGCTAGCCAGAAATCTCCATGGTCAGCAGTGGCTCTGACTTGGTTTCACTTGGCTCTGGGCTCACCACTGGGCTCACTCTGCCCACTCAGCCCAACAGGCTGTGCTTGGCTCATGCTTGGATTTTGCAACCACCATGTGCTCTGCACTCAACCAAGGCCTGGGTCTGACATGCCATGGCCTGCTTCCACCTTGGGCGCCTGCATCTGGATGAGGGGAACTCAGTGATGCCCCAAAACTCAGAAATGCCAGCAACTGCAGAGCCCCAAGTGGTGTTGTGGCTTTTGCCTGGGGATTCCCAAGGTCTGAGTCCCCAAGGACTCAGCATGGCAAACAAGGGCAGTGGGGAGCGTGTTGCAGCTCATTTGTGTTATGGCTCATGTTTGTTCCCACCACCCACAGTGCAGTGAATGGTGGAGTGGGGGCATGTTAGAGTTTATTCATGTTACAGTTCATTTTCCCCACTTGTAGCATGGTGAATAGGGGTGTGTGGTGCCCAGCAGCTTGGCAAACTGGAGGGAGGGTTTATGGTGTTACAGCTGCCTTCGCACCCTCTGTTTGGCAGGTTCTGTGTTATTGTCCCACGTCCAAGAGGAATGAGGTACGCTGACACCAGAGAGTGAGCAAGATGGAGAAGAGATTTTTTGAGCAACAGAAGGAAATTTCTCAGCAGAGAGGGGACTGAGAGTGGGTAACCCTCTGTGTGAGAGGGTCCCAAAAGTCAGTAGCCCAATGTGTGGCTGAGTCTGGGGCTTTTGTAGGCTCAGAATGAGGGAGTGAATGCTGACTGGTCCATGGGTGGGCCTAGGAAAAGCATCATTTGATTGGGTAAAAGACATTGAGGAAGTTCTCACTCCCGTTGTGGACTCTACCCAGAACCGGCAGCTCAGTTAAGGCTTTAAATTATCTTTGGTTTGAAGGTTGGGTTTCTTCAGGGACCCGCCCCTGTCTGCCTAGGAATTTGTCTGTCTCCTGCCACTATCAGTAATAATTGCCAATACTTACTCTCACTTATAAGTGGGAGCTAAATACTTTGTACACACAGACACAGAAAGTGGCATGATAGGCCTTGGAGACTCAGAAGGGAGTGAGGTTGGGAAGAAGGTGAGGGATGAGAAATTACTTAATGGATAAAATGTACATTGTTTGGGTGATGGTTACACTAAAAGTCCAGACTTCTATGCAATATATTCATGTAACAAAACTGTAGTTGTGTCCCTTAAAGTTATACAAACAAAACAAAATAAAAACAATACCTCACAGTTTATTTTTTTTTTAATTAACTCAAAATGAATCACGGCTGGGTGTAGTGGCTTGTGCCTATAATTCCAACACTTTGGGAGGCCAAGGTGGGTGGATCACTTGATGCCAGGAGTTCAAGACAAGCCTGAGCAACATGGCGAAACTCCATCTGTACTAAAAATAAAGGTTAGCCAGGCAATGTGATGTGTGCCTGTAGTCCCAGTTACTTAGGAAGCTGAGGCATGACAATTGCTAGAACCCAGGAGGCAGGAGTTGCAGTGAGCCAAGCTTGTGCCACCACACTCCAGCCTGGGTGACAGAGAGAGACTCTGTCTCAAAAATAAAATATAAAAAAAATTTTAAAAAATGGATCATGAACATAAGTGTAAGGCATCAAACTATAAAATTTTAAAATAAAAAATAAGAGAAAACTAATCTGACCTTTAGCTTGGTGAAGAGTTCTTAGACTTGACATCAAAAGCACAAGCCATAAAAGAAAAAAATTTAAATTGTATCTTATCAAAATTAATTGTTTTTACTCTATAAAAGCACCCATTAAGCTATAGGCCTGGAGAAAATATTTCTAAACCACATTTCTGACAAAGGACTCATGTCTAAAATATACAAAGAACTTCCAAAACTCACTGCTAGAAAAAAAAGCCCATTAGAAAATAGACAAAAGACATAAGCAGACATTTCTCTGGCATTTAAGTGTATTAAAACATGGTCAGTATCATTAGCTATTAGGAAAATGCAAATTAAGGCCATAATGAAATATTCCTGCATGCCTATCACAATAGCTAATTTTTTTAAATGACAGTAACAATGCTGACTAGAATCTGGAAAACCTGATTACTCATACATTGTTGCCGGGAATGTCAGCTAGCACAGCTTCTCTGAAAACAGTTTTTTAGTTTCTTTTTCTTTCTTTCTTTTTTGAAGGAGTTTCACTCTTGTTTTCTATGCTGGAGTGCGATGGTGTGATCTTGGCTCACCACAACCTCCATCTCCTAGGTTCAAGCAATTCTCCTGCTTCACTCGGATTACAGACCTGCACCACCACACTCAGCTAATTTTGTATTTTTAGTTGAGGCAGGGTTTCTCCATGTTGGTCAAGCTGGTCTCAGGTGATCCACCCGCCTCAGCCTCCCAAAGTGCTGGGATTACAGGCGTGAGCCACCATGCCCGGCCCGTTAGTCAATTTCTTACAAACTAAACGTGTGTTGGGGAAACCAGCCCCACACCACCCAGAGGGTACCCTGAGTCTGGTGGAGACAAAGGAGTTAGAAAGAGACAGAATAAGCCTTTAAAAGGCGGGTCCAGGGGACCAGAGCATCGGAGGCTTTCTCACGGCCCAGATCTCTCGGGCTCCACCCAATTTATAGGTTTACAAGCTCTTTGTTGTTAGGGCAGATGGGAAGGGGAGGAAGGGATGAGGAAAAGGATTAATCAGTGAAGGAGAACTTGTGAGTCATTCAGTAAGTTGTATAGCAGTGGCAGTTTCTGTGAATTTCCTTGAGCAAAGGCGTGTGTCTAAACTACTTAAGATCTTTAACTTATCGGGACTGAAACGGGTGGGAGCAGGTTTCAGGAGGAGCCAAGATGTTTGATTATACTCCACTGCTTCAAGGGAGTGTTATTTCCCTGAGCAACCTGTGGAATGCTGCTGAGTGGTTATGCTCTCAGGGCATAAAGACATGAAGGCAATAAGGAGACTTTTCTCCTCAGAGGCTGCCCATGGCTGCCCATGAGTGTCTCAAACAGGGGAGACCAACTCAACTGGCACCCCAGAAACTCTCTTTCCCACAATGTGCTTGGCATGTAACCCAGCAATTGCACTCCTGGGCATTTATCCCAGAAAAATAAAAGTGTATATTCACACAAAGTTTTGCATGTGAATGTTTCTAAAAGCTTTATTTGTAATAGTCAAACCACAGAAAAAACATGGATGTGTCCTTCAACAGTTGAATGATTAAAGAAACTGCAGTACATCAATACCACGAAATACCAGGTAGCAATAAAAGGGAAGGAACTATTGATAAACACAGCTTGATGGCTCTCCAGGGGATTTTGTTGAGTGAAAAAAGGCAGTTCCAAATGATTACATACTTTAAGATTCCATCTAATTAACATTATTAAAATGAGATGATTATGGTCCTGAAGAAGGCATTAGTGGTTTCTAGGGATTAGGTGAGAAAGAAAAAAAAACCTTTTTATCTGAGGAATGGGGAGCCCCTTTAAATTAACAAGCCCAGAGATGCATTTATAGTGTCACAGCAGTCAGGTCTCAGTCCCCCTTGAGCTAAATAATTATCTCTTGAAGCCACTTGCTATGCTCTAGACTAACTCACGCCAAGTAGCCATAAATGCCATATACCCTATAGCTCAACAACGTGTAGCCAATCACTAACCAATGCTATTTTGTAAGCCAATGACAATTCCTGATGAGCAATTTACATAATTGCCTCCTTTCCTGATTCATCATTTTTTTCTTTAAAACCTTGAGCCTCTCCTTTGTTCTCTGGAACACTCTCCATGGCAACCTGGAACTGTGCCCTGGGCTGCAGTCCCGGGCTGCAGTCCCAAACCTTGGCCCAAATAAACCCTCTATATTCATTTAGCCTCAGCTCCTGCCTTTTAGGGCAATGTAGTGATGGGTGAAGAGGGAGGTTGTGGCTTATAAAAGATCGCTCAAGGGAGGTTTGTGATGGAATTGTCCTCTTGCTTGACTGCAGTGGTGACTCTACAAATTCACACACAATAAAATCGCCAAGAACTAAATGCACACACACACATGACTACATTTAAAACCAATGATATTTGAATACAGCCAATGGTTTATATTAATATTCTCCTATTGTAATATCTTACTTTATCTAACCAAGGTGTTACCACTGGATGACACTGGGTAAAAAGTGTGTGGGCTCTGTATTATTTCTCACAACTGCATGTGAGCATACAGTTATGCAAATAATATAAATAAATCACTGAGACCAAATGCATCTTTTAGGTATTAAAAAAGTTAAAACCTTTATAATAATATTAACAATTATCATCATTATTATTAGTCACTTGTAATCTGAAGCCTGACCCCTTCCTCCTTATCTTCTCTCTAAGCTGTAGAAAATAATAAATCAAAGCTTGATTTTCTTCTAACAAGTTCATGAATCTTCTTAAAAATCATTCTGAACTGATTATCAATTACTTCTGCATTAGCTCAGTTTCATTTCACTGAACAGCCACCTTGTAGCTATTTAAACAGAACTCACTTATGATGCACCAAGTACTGTATCTTCCCCAAGAGACATATTCATAGTTTATATTTTAAATTTTAAATATATTTTACAATTTAAAGTGATTCATTTTAAAGTGATTCATTCCTGTCATAACATTGTCTTACTAATTAGGGACACATTTCTTCACCATTCCCTTCCAAATCTCCCAAATGTGACATCTAAACAGCCTCCTTTTAAGACTTGTTTCATCTATAAATGACTCCTTCAAGGTCATTGATACCTTTTTGCACTGCTGAGAACACTTTCTAAGTCCATTACTTTCTATCTACCTGATGTAAGTCAGTCCACATTAATGTTTTCCAGTCATCTTTCACAGGAGTAGTAGAGTTTTGAAATTAAATCAGTAAAATAAAAGTCAGAAAATCTTCCAACTCAATCATCCTATTGATTTACTGAGAATGTTTAAACAGCTAAGGTAGTGATATTTTTTTCAAAGAAATCAATGTTTCATATTTTTTTTCACAGTGGCAAATACTACTTTTAAATTAGCTCAATTTATTAATATTGATACTTGAGTGCTGGGAAGGGAAGAGTGTGGTCCCTTTAAATGATATGGAAGTGGGGAAGGGAAGTTCTGGGTAGACTAGGGCATGGTCCCTGGCTAGGGCTGTACCCCTAGGGACCTAGGTGGATACAGACACTTCTGCCTTCGCACCCAAATTTTGCATTTTCCAAGACCACCCTGGCCCACCATGCCCCCATCCTGGGCCTATAAAAACCCTAGACCCTAGCGGGCAGACAGAGCTGCTGGACGGCAAGAGGAACACATCGGCAGAAGACAAGTGGCCGGACATCAAGAGGACATCGAGGGGAGCACACCAGCGAAAGAGCAAACCGACAGATGCTGGCACTCCCGCAGGCCACTGATCAGTGGAACAAGGTGGAGTTTGACCGGGGCATTTGGAGGAGAGCCGGGTCGCTGAGCAGCCCAACTCTAGGCTAAAACCATCTCCTTTCTGGCTCTCCCATCTGCTGAGAGCTACTTCTACTCCACGAAACTTTGCACTCATCCCCGAAGCCCGCAGGTGATCTGATTCTTCCAGTATACTAAGGCAAGAATCCCCGGATACAGAAATCCCTCTGTCCTTGTGACAAGGTAGAGGGTCTAACTGATCTGGTCAACACAAGCTGCCTATGGACGGCAAAATTAAAAGACCAAAACTAAAAGAGCATCCTGTAACACACACCCACTGGGGCTTCAGCGGTAAACATTCACCCCTAGACACTGCCATGGGAATGGAGTCCCCACAGCCTGTCTGTATGACCCCCTAGAGGTTTCAGCAGGGGAGCACTGAAGAAGCGAGTCACCCCTCATCACACGCCCTGTGAGGCGGACAAGCGAACCTTTCCCATTTCAGTATTATTAAGACTGCTTGCTAATAACAGTGATTTGAAATGGGTACTCTTTCAAAATGTTAATATACAAAATATGCCCATGCCTTTATGTTTTTTACAATTAACATTATTATGTGTTTCTTGCCTTGAGATCTTTTCCAAGGTGCCCAATGATATTAATTGCTTTTTAAGTTACTTTTTGAATTGAAGTGTCTTCAAAACATTAAGCTGAACACAACAAATTAGTTTAAAAGGAAGTTATTTTTACTGCTTTCTATGTCAACTCTTTAAATATTCTGACCTAATAGTCTCAGGCCAACTCCTATTTTTGCTTTTGAGAAGCCTCACTTTAGGGAGCAGTTGGCTCCTCATACCCATTTCATGTTTGAAAATCTAAGCCTCTAAGCAGACATTCCATGTTTAAAGGGCTCCCAGAACTCCTGTGAGGTGAAAGTAGAGGTGGGGAAATGTGGATTGGTCACTGTGACAGTTGCTCACTTGCTTTTGTCACATAAAGACAAGCCCTTGAGCTCTTGCATAATGGAAGGAATGATTGAGGCTTGGCCTCATGCTTTTTATAACGTGGGATTTTTATGCCATGTTGTATTTTCTTTCATCTTTTCCTGGCATGCTAACTATTTTGCATACATAATCTCTTAACTGATTTCGTTTGCTCAGGGATCATAAACATTTTATATACTATTGACAGAAATTTTTGCCTTTGATGTAGGATGCCTGGAGCTTAAGTTTAAAATGTATCATTCATTACTGCACATTTTTCAACATTCTAAAATATATTTCAACCAAAACTATATCACAAACCAGAATATGTAACACTGACACGCTATTTGAAAGTTACAAGGACTAGGTCATTATCACCATTAAAATCACCCGTTTTGCCTCTATGTGGATGGATTCACATAGAAGTCTAAGTAAAAGAGAATTAAAATACAGCTAAGATGTTTAATTCTCTATTTCATATAATTATGTATAATAATGCAAATAAAATAGTCTGTTGAATCATAATGGTGTTTAAATAATATAATGTTAGCAACTCTAAATTTAGGAATGGAAGATAGAGTGCAGACTATCCTTTAATAAGTATAATGGCAATAACTAATGCAGTCACCCATTGGCATCCAGTGGGGATTGGTTCCAAGACCTCAACGATACTAAAATCCACGGATGCTGAAGTCCCTTATATAAAGTGGCTATTTGCATATAATCTACATACATCCTCTCCTATACTTTAAATCATGTTTAGATTATTTATAATACTTAATATATAAATGCTATGTCAATTGTTATCATACTGTGTTTTAATTTGTTGGTTTAAAATTTTTTAATATTTTTTATTAATAGTTGATTGAATTTGTTGATGTGAAACCAATGAATAGATGGCTGACTGTATATAGATACATCTTTACAGTTAGTGAAGAAATTTTATAAACATAGTTGACTGTCATAAACACACACACACATACACACAACACACAGTTCTTGTCTTTCCAATCAGAAAACAAACAGAATGGGTTAGCTTTTCTCAATAAATTTTCTTAGAACATACTTTATGTCCCCAGTTGTCTATCAAATGGTTCATAACTCCTTTGGCAGTTTCAGAAGAAATGGCAGAGGCAATTTTGTCTACAAACATTCCTCAATTTGCATGTATTTCCCACTGATAGTTTTACTTAGAGATTTTCTGATGTCTGTCAGTACCTTGGGTCATTTCAAGGAAAAAAGAAGATTCAATAAAGCTGATCCTAATGTAAAAGGTTGATATGTTTTTAATCATGAATTTTTGGATTCAGCACTATTTATTTGTATTAATGAGATTTTTGGTGCACCCTTAATTTTGTACCTAATAATAATAACAAGCATGGTTAATAACTCAATTGGTTCATATCTAACTTAAGTTAGTTAAGTACCATTCCTCTTGGGCAACCTATTTTCACATTGCTTACTTTTGTTGTATTTCTCTTATTAAAATATCGTTCATTGTGCCAGCAATTCATCAACATGCATCACTGACTTAAAAGGATTAATTAAAGCAAAGAATAGCAATTACTAATGAAGATAATACTAACATATAAAGTATAAAAATAAACAACTGATAATATAAATGTAAATGGTGAACATGAATCATGGAATGTGATTTGGAATATCAGTGAGAAGTAAATATTGAAATGTTCTGATTGCACAAACGTTCTGAAAAAGCAGACATTGGCTAGAAAGAACAAACATAATCATCTAAAAATTATCGTTCTAATACTGAAAATCCTTAGTTCCCTGTATATTATCTTTTACAAATTTTATTAGAAAATGGCATAAATCTAACAAACATATCATTCTCATTTTCTGAAAATTTTGGTTATCTAAAATTGAATTTAGGTTTTCTAAAGTAATACATTAATTTTTGCCCAGAAGGCTTACAGAAAACCTAAACTAAGGAAATATAATTTAAAGGAATACTAGTAATAGCAAAAACTTGTTCAAGTTACTTTATTACTAGCTAGGCACAGTGACCCACACCTGTAATCCCAGCACTTTGGGAGGCCAAGGAGGCTGAGGAGGAAGGATTTCTTGAGCCCCAGGAGTTTGAGGTTACAGTGAGCTATGATCACGCCACTGCACTCCAGCCTAGGTGACAGGGCAAGACAAGTGAGACCCTTTCTCTCAAAAAAGAAAGAAACAAAAACTCTTACTGAGAAAATTAACAAATTATACCAAAGTTAATTTTAAAAAATCTTATGATTAAGGCAGAAACAGAATGAATGTTGGCAGAATTAGTTGTCATTATAATGCTGTGGAAGTTGCGCAAAAGTGGAAGAATGATTAATCTTACATAAGCGAAGTCAAAAGAGAACATGAAGCATCCTCTGCCTCAGCCTCCTGAATAGCTGGGATTACAAGGCATCCACCACCATGCCCGGCTAATTTTTTTGTATTTTTAGTAGAGACGGGATTTCATCATGTTAGCCAGGATGGTCTCAATCTCCTGACCTCGTGATCTGCCCGCCTCGGCCTCCCAAAGTGCTGGGATTACAGGCGTGAGCCACCGTGCCCGGCGAGAACATGAAGCATCTCTTAGCGCACATGTGGTAGTCATTTAAGGGAGAACGCTTCCTCGGTGGTTTTCACTAAGTCAGAAAGTGTCTCATATTTACTGAACATTTTTTTGAGCCATGGCAGAGACTGAAATTATATTTCAGAATTAGGCTGCATTTCTAGGTACAGCAAGAAAATGCCTTAATGCCAGCCAGCAGAGTTGTCTGTTATATCCACAGACAATCCTTGGTGATGGATAGCGGACTTCAGGGTCGAAAGACCCAGGTCGCGTATGGCTTCGGTCAATTCCCGACATGACTGCTGGACTCTCAGTCGTGAATGGGCAGTAGGGCCAAGCCACACTTACAAAGATTTGTTCTGTGTCCAAGGGACAGACACACACTAAATTTATGAAAATGAGAGACAGGATTTTAAAAATTCTTCAGATATGCATATTTTAGCTTATTTGGTTCACTGAACTTCCTGACACTCTCACTTCACTGACGAGGTGGTTTTTTTTTTTTCAATGTTCAGAAAAAGTTATTATCATTTCTTAAGAAAGAAAACTGTGGAGAAAGAAACTCGACAACTGAATAATTAATTGAATTTTACCCAATTGTTAAGTCTTTTAAAACCATGTCTAAATTCGACAACAAAGCATGATGAAATTTATTCCAGACATGAATGCAACCAAAGAGATGATAGGAGATTATTTCCTTGCTTTCTTCAAAGCCAAAACTTTAGACTTTCAGTATGTTTATTACTCATGTACCATGAAAAATGTCTCCAAGGTTTCTGAAGTTGTCAAAGGCAAGTCGTTTCCAGTACTGTTTTACAAAGCTTCCAACACCCCTTTCCTTTTCCTAGGAGTATGATTTTGAATTAGAAATGACTGCCTTAAATAAAGATCAATTATAGAAACTAATGGAATATTAAACCTTGCTTATTGCTCAAGCTTTCTCTTATTGAGTTTTATAAAAATTCATTTGTGAAGAATTGCAAACAGTATAACTTCCTGATATGAGTGTGCAAACATACACGTGTACACAGAATGCATATTATTGCAACTTTAGTTTTTCTTAAATTTGTTTTTTCATGTGTGGTATAAGCATGATTAAGTGATTCACAGCAGCCAACAGTTTGAGAAATATTATTCTAAATTTAATATAATTTTATTTTTACTTTAATACAATATGGCATACATAACAATTGATTAGCTGTTAATCGTCATTAATTTATTAAATATTAATTAACAAAATTTATTTGACTGTGAAATGAACAGTTCAAACAAATTAAGATGTTGTTTCCTTTATGATTCTTGTCTCATCACATTTGTGAAGAAAGAACTAGCTACAAAATTTTTTTAGTCCTATGGATTATCTCTAATTGCTAAGAAAATAAGGAATTTATGTCATCTGGTGTATCTTAAGACCTTGCTATATTCAAAGTTGTAAGTGTATATTTTATCCTAAGGTGGGAAGGTTTGTAGGTCATAAGTAGAAAGGAGGATTTTTTTGAATTATATATTTAGAAAATCATTTTGTAGAGATAAGCAATGGGGAATGCTAAAATAAATCACAGGGTTCTGGATTAAGGTCAGCGACATCAGTATGAACCACTTAGCTTAATATAAATACAGATGGACATCTATGCATACATACATATATATGTGTGTATGTGTGTGTGTGTGTGTGTGTATGTTACAGAGGTGCAAATAGATACAATTAGTATCCATTCATACATATATTTCATAGTTCTGTGCACTAAAAAGGCCTAGAAACAATAACATCCCAGAAGCACATTTAGTGCCCTTATCTTGATTTCTGATACCATTCTCCAAGTATAAGAACAAGAACTCTTTGGAGAAATGGCTCATTCAAGTGCTGGGAGAGAGGTCACACAAGATGAGACTAGAACATTTTGCAGATCCAGAAAGAAAGGAAGTGCTAAAAAATAAAATGATAGGGTTGACTGAAAGAGATACAGGAGCCAAGTGAAAGAGCTCTTGATGGCAAGCTGGAAGCATTGAAGTGAAAATAAGTAAAATCATATTGGAGAATCACCCAAAGCATAAAATAAATATTAATGAGTTCTTACCAATATAATTAAATGACTAAATAAATAAGTAAATGGAGAAGAGAAAAATCTCCCAAGGAGAATACCAAATTATCTAGATATTCCCTCGTCAAGAAACTAGACCACTATAGGGATTACCCTTAGCGACTTGTTTACAAAGAGTATAGTAAAGAAGTGAGAGGAAGTAACTTGACATGGAGACACCTGGGGAACACTACCTCAGTCAGATGATCAAGGTGAGTGTCATCAGTGATGAGTCACGTTGACAGCACCGCCCTTGACACGTGTGACATGTTGGAATTGCACTTACCTCTGTCATCTTCTCCCCAAAACACAAAACCCCAGCCTGACTTTGAGAAAACCACCAGAGAAACACAAGCTGAGCGACATTTTACTGAATCTCTCTGACCAATACTCCTCAAAACTATTGAGGTCATCAAAATCAAAGAACATTTGAGAAACTGGCACAACCCAGAGCAGCCTAAGGAGATATAGTGACTTAATGCAGTATTATGGAAGGGCTCCTGGAGCCGAAAAAACACAAATAGGGAAACACTAACACATCCAAGTAAAATATGGAGCTTAGCTTAAAAAATGAACAAAAAATTACTCTGGCTACTCTAGAAAGAAAGAGATTTGGGGCATGTGCTTGCCTACATAGTACTCTTTCTCCCTTCTTTATAATTACCTATGTGTACTTAGTTAAGATCCTATATCTCCAAAACTCCTTTGTGGGAGCAAGCCTCTATTTACTTACTAATCAGATGTAAGCCAGATTTTGTGGAACCTCTGAGAAGTCTGCTGAGAGACAGCTGTTTCAGCTGGGTGGCGAGGTCTTACCCACCACTTCTCTGTGCAGCCTGAGATAATGACATGATGGAAGAAGCTCTGTAGCCATCTTGGATTAAAGTGACCTTGAGGATAGCAACCTCACAACGAAGATGGCTGAGTAGAGGATACATGAGCGTGGGTCCCTGATAACTGTAGAAACATCACACCGGGCTTTTATAACCTACCTTAAAACTGCTTATTTTGCAAGAGAAAAGTGAGCCTTTTTATATTGAAGGCATGAGTTTTCTGCATTGCACAACTGAACCTAATCTTACATGACATAGGCAATATTTGGAAGTGTCAAGGCTAGTTAATAGAGTATTAGTAGTGTGAACCATTTGACATTGCTTTTCCTGAAGGTGAAAAAAAAAATTCAAGAATTAGCAATTTAATTTGTTTCATTCTAAATAGTATTAGTCTAAGTAAAATTGTGACTTGGTCTAGGATTTGGAAATGGAAAAATCAGAAAGGTTCAGGGTATATGTCGAAGATCAAACTAATAAGACTTAATGATGAATTATATATTTTGGGTAATTAAAACAAATGAAATGAATGTGGCATCTAGCTTCCAGGCATTAGCTATTGGATGCATGCTGGGCAGAAATTGTTAGGTGAGCTGAGGTGAGTGCTGGGCAGAGCTAGCATCTGGCTACTGCCAACCGACACCCCTCAAAGCAGGGCAGCAGTTCTCCCTGAAGCAGGTCTGAGTCCAGCATGTCTGGGTGCTACAGTCTTCCAGGAGGTTGCCTTATTTTTGTCACTCCTTACTTCAGTTCATTCACCACCATCCCTGATATATTTCTCAAAGAAGCAAACACTAATTTGCTGTGCCATCCCCTTGTTTGCCAATTTTTAGAGACTAAAAAAACAAACTACTACACCAAGTTTTAACATTTTTCTCTATACATTTTAACACTCAGGTATCTGTTCCAAACTCAGTACTCCTCGCTTTCCTACCAAAAACCTCATTACCAATTAATCTACGTACTGTCCTTTTCATACCTGAGGTGTATTTCTTCCTCTGTGTCTTCTTTAGCTTCTCCAAACCTATTTCCACTCCTACTTCTCTACCTGAATCCAGTCTCTTCTACCTGCTCTTCCCTTCCCCCATCACTGAATCCAAACAGTTCTTCCTTCCTCTGATCCTGTTCAGCACTGAATTATAACATTATTCCACAGACATGTTGAATAAGGGAGTGCTGTGACTGAGCCCTTAGATTTGCTGCATTTGGTTCTTCTAATGATGTTATTAACTCCTTAGTAGATAGAAACAGGCCCTACGTGGCTATTTTTGGTATTTAGTATTCAGTTTAGTATTTATGTTAGTCATGAACACAACGTAACTTAAAAATATAGCAATTGCTGTAATTTCTCAGGGTGGTTCACCAAGTAAAGACAGTATTTGGTGTAGACACGATTAGTCATTTCTAGTCATTTGTGCCACCTTAAATGGTAGAATATTACATACAATGATACATTGTCTTTGTTTCGTAAAGAACAATGTCAAAAAGACCAGTTATTCAAATCTGCAAGCTAGAATATCAATATTGGTCATATTTAAATTTATTTTTGTAGAGAAAGGTTTATAGAAGCATAAACTATGGCTTAAAGAACAATTTAAAAAATTGAAATCATACCATATATCTTGTTTTATTAATCTATGTTACCATAATCCGTTCCACACATTTTAGTAGAACTGCTAGATCCCAAGAGTACATTTGTTTGGAAGGATTTTGCAGCCACATTTCCTCTAGATGTGAAAACACAGTGCATATGTCATCTCTTTCCTATGAAAGATGATGCTCTTGGCAGAGTTACCATCTAAAATACCCAGGACCACTCCACACAGACCACATGTGTCATCCATCATTTTACTCAGAACATTATAGTCCTAAAGAATGATTTCTTTTTTACCCTGAGGGCTGCATAACCTTCAGGAACAGCTATGGAAATGTTTGCCAAATGAGCCACATTTCTAGAGAGGGAGTGACAGCTATTTTGGTTGATCAAAATGTTATCATTTAAATTGGATAATTCTAATATAGAATGTGAGGCATAGCACTTTTCTAGAAACTTGAAATAGTTCTGTTTCAAGTCAGTCATTACTCCCAGGCTTAATGCTATACGTTCTTACCTGAACGTTGTCTTTGGACTACCCCTTTTGTGTTCCTTTTGTACACCCACTTGCAGTTTGTCTACTTCATTTTTTGTCACTTTTCGGTGGGTTCCTGTTAAAACACTTGACACCCTGGCTAACCTAACAATAATGAGTCAAATTGGAACTCAGAAAGCATTGTGTCACTGGCTTCATTATAATGTTGGTAATATTTTCAATATTTTGCATATGGAGAAACAATGATTAAGCAAAAAGCAACTATCCAAGGATAATCAATTAATAAATATGTGATGCATATTCAAATGCAGGTTTCCTAAATCTGCATGCTTCCATTGTATAATTATAGATTTCATAAATTGTGTGTTTTACATTTGCATATACAGGCACAATTCCTCTTTACTTTTGAAATAAGTCTTCAACTTCAAAAATGAGCTACTCTGCTTCCAATTTACTTTAAACAAAATACAATTTAAGAAGGCAAGAATAAAGGAAATAATATTTAGGGAATGCCTGCTACATGTCTGACATTAAGCTACAAATTTTATATGTTAATTAATCACTTCCAATTGGTAGCTTTCAACTAGCATTTTGTAGAAACTCTTAATCTCATTGGCAATTAAAAGTGCACTGTAGGGTGGATGAATTCAGCAAAGGCAATCTATCCTGGTGATCCTTCCTATTCACAGTGTATAGCTTCATGTCATTTTTAATTAAAGATAATAAATTGGTTTGACTTGAATAGTTCAATTTCATGCATACTCATTTACTTCAATTATCTATTCAATAATTTATAGTCCCAAGCTGATAGAACATCTTAAGGTAGTAACTAGAATCCTTAGTTTTTTTATCCTTTGACATTTCATGGGCTTTCATATTAATATATGAAAGGGACTTTCAAAGTGTTGAAAATTCAACAGTGCAGAAAGCAGACAATGGCCCTATTCTCATACAACAGGGCTGACTTTGCAGTAGGCTAAATAGATAATAAATGTAGTAAAGTAATACTAACTATAATTTTTTTTAAAAAAAAGTCTAGTCAGGCGCAGTGGCTCACACCTGTAATCCCAGCACTTTGGGAAGCCAAGGCGGGTGAATCACCTGAGGTCAGGAGTTCAAGACCAGCCTGGCCAACATGTCGAAACCCCACCTCTACTAAAAAATACAAAAATTAGCTGGGCGTGGTGGTGTGCACCTGTAATCCCAGCTACTTGGGGAGGCTGAGGCAGGATAATTGTTTGAACCCAGAAGGTGGAGGTTGCAGTGAGCTGAGATCGTGCCATTGCACTCCAGCCTGGGCAACAAGAGCAAAACCCTGTCTCAGAAAAAAAAAAAAAAAAATGTCCTTTGTTTCATTAGGCCTTTCTCCCCTTGTTATCCAGCCTTATTTCAAAGTGGCAGTGAGAGTTTTTAGCCCCTCTTTATTTTTATTCATTCAGATCAAATGCCTACCACGATGAGCAATAGTGAGGAAACAGGAACTTCCAAGAACCTTCCTGGAGCTCACCATAGAGGTTATATAGTGGTCTTAATTACCATCCATCATTCAACCTGGCTTTTTAATTGCAATTTTTTCTACACAATCTGCTTGTCCCTGTTTTACTTACTTATAAATAAGAGTAATTTCTGCCAAACACGTTTCTCATCTGTTAAGCACAATGGACACATGCAATTAATGCATTAACTGGGGTAGACCACATGGGTCTCTTTAACAGTGAGTAAAAAGAGCTAGGGTAAAAATGCTGATGTGATGTGTCTCTTTTAAAAATACTTTTACATGATGTGTCTTTAACTTAAATTCTTTGATGAGTCTGAAAGAAGAGAAATTCAGTGATTTAAGTGTTCGTTTTTTAAGAGCGTGCAGACTTTCTCTGTGTAACATTTATTTACTTGCTTCTGTTTTATTGAGCCTTTCACCTTCATTTAATTTTGCTGATGTTCTAATGAGTTGAAATTTGAAAAAAAAGAGCATAGTTTTATATTGATAAAGATGGACCCTGAAAAGAATAAAAAGAACATGCAAATCTCATTATTACTTTTATAATTTAGTTTATGCTTTCAGCTTTCCATGTTCAAAAAGGGTCCCATGACTAAATATCTAACCAGAAATGTTTGAAAATCTGTTTGAACACATCACTATTTTTTTGGAAATTGCCTGTCTACATTCCTTGGAGAATGTTTGATTGTTGTATTTATTGTAGCCAATTCTTTGGAAAATTAACAGTATCTCCTAACTTGCTTTTGCAATCTTTGTTAGCATCCAAAATTGCAAATAAGGATAAGAGAAAATAATCTAATAATCAGTATGAAATATATATATTTGAAAATGTCTTTCTCCTATCTTAAAATTCATAACAAACCTAGGTAAAAATAAATTATAGGGGATAATCAAAGTCTACCCTTTCTGTGATTAGAAATTTTGTGACATTCTTTTCTAACCACTATTTGGCTAGCACAATTGGAGGAAATCCTCTTAATGGATGCATGAGAGTCATTGATCATAGACTTTTCCATGTCTGCTTCTTACTACACGAGGGAATTTGAGTTAATAAAATTACACAATTTCTCTTCATTTACTTAGAGGAATTCTCTCTTTCTAGCTGCATAGTGAGGGATAATATCCTCAGGGATATGGGGACAAAAGAATTCATCCTATGCCAATTTATTGTGGTAGGAAGACGAATTCTCCTACGTTAACATAAGCCTGTGGGAGCTCCTTCCAGGGACTGATGGCAATATAGAAATACATAATACACCTAATGTAAAAGATACAACTACCATGTCTCTAAACGGAAGAAGGATACCTTATCTATCTTGGGATAGGCAAAGACTTCTTAAAGAGGGCACAAAAAGCATTAACCACAAGATAAAAAGGTTGACCTTATTAAAATAAAGAACTCAACAAATTAACAACACTCCTTAAGCTAGTGAATACATAAGGAAGACTGGGAGGAAACAGCTTCGATACATACTGAAGAGAGGTTTTACTTCCATAATATATAAAGAACTCCTAAAATCAACCAGAAAAATGGAGAAAACTAATTATCAGAAAATTAAACATTAAAATGAGAATGAAATATTACTGCAATCATTCTCAACTATCTAAAACAAAAATGAGAGACAACAGCAAGTGTAACATGGACATGGAGCAATTAAAACTCCCATACAGGCTGGGTGTGGTGGCCCATGCCTGTAATCTCAGAACTTTGGGAGGCCAAGTTGGGAGGATTGCTTGAGGCCAGAAGTTCAAGACCAGCCTGGAAAACATAGTTGACCCTTATCGCTACAAAACACACACACACACACACAGAGGGAGAGAGAAAAAATAAAACACTCTCATACATTGCTGAGTGGGAGTGTAAATTTCTTGTCCACATTGGTGAATCATTTGGCAGTATCTACTAGAGTGAATCATACATACACACTATGACCTAGCCCTTCCCTTCCTGCCAATGAGTGCTTATCCCCAACAAATTATATGCAAAAGAATGTCCATACTAGTGTAATTCATAATTGCCAAAAAGGAAAACAATTCACATGTCTGAAAACACCAGAATGAATAAATATAGCAAGACATGTTTATAAAAGTGTATTTGACACAGCAACAAAATAAAAATAATTATTACCATAAACGAGAAGATAAATAAATTTTACATCACAAAAAACCTTCATGCTGAGTAATTTCATTCGTTTGAAGTACAAAACCAGGCAAAACTGGTCTGTAAAGATGGTGATATGAATAGCATTGGCAGCTGACTCAGAGGTGTCCTGAGGAGGTCCTCTCAGGTGGGTAATGTTCTATACACTGATTTGCTCAATGGCTTCCTCCTGACATGCTCCCTTTACCCAAATCCAGTAATAATCCATAGGCCCTATAATCTACAGATGCTGAACATTTGGCTCATCCTCCTAGGACAGAGAAAGGTGGACATGGGAGCAGGGAGATCTGAAAGGACAAATGAATACCAATCTCATTTCAAGATTTTGAGCGAATATGTTCTAGAGCAGGTCTGGAATCATCCTTAGTCAAGGGTATGGCTTCTTATTTCAGTCTTCTGTTTTTTTTTCTGGCAAAATAGTATTATGATTAATTAGGTCAAGAGAGTGCCACCAAATAAATTTGGAAGCATAAAATAACGTCTTAAAAAGTAAGAGACATTAATGTTAAGTGGTTAAGAGCTTGGATTTTGGAATCATAGCTGGGTCTAATCTGTGCCCCAAGGTTCTTATTTCCAAACTTCCAGCACTAACATTTACATTGTTAAGATGTGTGAGGGTTCAGTGAGATATTGAAGGTGAAGCTTTTGATACAAGGCCCAGCACACAGTAAATGGCAGCTAACTGACATGAAGAAGTTGTGTTGCAATAGATGAAGGTTGTATGGTTTTCAACCCAGGTCAACATGAAACAAATGACTCCCGAAGTAACTTTGAGGTACATGGGGAAGTGAGATGGTTCTGAAAAACAGGGTTAGTCAAATATATCAGTCAAGCCAAGCACAGAAAATAAGTGACTTAGGACATTACACTTAGAGCAGATGGAATTTTGAGTCCCTGGAATATTTTTAAAATCATGATTAATGAATATGGTAAATACAATAGAAAATGGAAAACTGGTAAAAGATCATTGAGAAAGTTTCTATAATAATCAGTAGGACTCAGCCCAAATGACAAGGACATCAGAAATTGAATGAGATCAGCATGAAATAGGAATATAAAGCACTAACTCACTTTGTAGGGAAGAATTTGTTAGCCTCAAAAACAGTGTATTCAGGGAGAACAATGGCTATCGCTGAGTTCTGAATCCCTTCCCTCCCAACAAAGTAGAACAAATCACTCTTAACATAACTAAGGACAACAAGTCCACATGAGACTACAGTTTCAGGAAATACAGACGTGACATCTTCAAAATACTGTAAATAGCGACAAAATAATAATGAATCTGATAGATTCAAGCCCCCATGCACTGCTTGTGAGCCTGAGGACGCCAAGGGCTGGAAAGAGCCATGGAGTACAAGAAACACAGCAGCCAAATAAATAACCAATTCCAGTCAAAACCTGTGCAGAGGGAAAACTATGCTACAAAGAACATCATCAGTCAGCTGAAAAAAATAATATATAGGTGGTTAGATTTTTAAATACCATTTTTAAATGCAAGCTGAAGAGAATATGTATAGAAAGACTTTGAGATTTGAGTAAATAGCAGTGCTGGCCCTTTACAGCAAGGAACTGGTGACTGGTTGTGGAAAGGGTCAGAGAGAGGTGTTTGTACTTTTTAAAATGTTTCACCATGATTATGTGTATGTGTGTGTATGTTCATGCATGTATGTGTGTATATTTCTAATAATAAATACTTTTTCTGAATAAAGTGGGAGTTTTTTAAAGGCAACAAGCTCAGTTGCACAGAACATGGGCTCTGGAGTCAGACATATTCCATCTCCTCCCACTTACTGGTTTACCTCTGTCATGTTATTTAAAGTCTTAAGCCCTAGCTTAATATCTAGATTACAGAAGGATGGTCTATGGTTGTTATTAGCAGTAAGTGAAGGGATTGGTATAGACTTCTGAAGTTTGTTAGCTCCCTCAATATGTTGAAAGTGATCACCATTTGGCTCTGGGTACCTAACTGTTTACACAGACAGCTACAGTGACCACTAGGGTACCCAAGCTACCTGCAGCTCAGAACAACACTCGGTAGTCACTCTGCTCACTAAGATGAGGAAATATGGAACATATTTAGAAAGGGGCACAATAAAATGCTGTTGGGGCTGGGCCTGAAAATCCTAAATTTGCAAGGCCACCTATTCCTTAAACAAAGTGAAAGAATTTTTTGTTTGGTTTGTCTTTGGTTCATTTTAAGAGATTTGTGACATCTCTTATATTGACAATCGTTATTTAAAACTTTGAAAATTACACATGAAAGCTCTCAGTCTATGTGAGGAAAACCTTTAAACTCAGACACATGGAAACTTTGGCTCACTGTACTTCATTTTAAAAAATACAGAATTTTTATTTTTGACCCCAGGTTTATGTAAATAATTAAAAATTACTTAAACACTTAAGCACTCTTTTCTTGTGTGATTCTTTTGAACAACAACAACAAAAAAATTTTCAAGACAAGCTCCATGAAGATGCTTTGCTTTTTACTTTTTGTTTTCCCTGTGGACAACTTTATGGCAAATGCTCCAAGATGTCAAAAACTTAAAATAACTGCGCATTCAGAAAAAAATTTCAAAAATAAAAAATTTCAAAGAAGAGTAAAATGACTAGAATAAACAATGTGGATATTTATTTATTCTTATACTTTTCCAGTCAAATACATTTGAGGTCATTCTTTTAAACAAATACAAATAACAACATGGAAACCATAGATGAAGAAGGAAGATTGGGATACTTCTCAGCAACAAGGAAAAAGAGGCAACTGAGATGTCCTGCCCCTCCTCACTTGAGGGAAGGCTCCCCAACCCCTCTCAGGGATACACACATATTTTAAACAATGACAGTAACAACAGAGGGTCACCTACAATGACAGGTACATGCTATTGCCTCCATAATTAAATTTAAAATTGTATGTCTTTGTGGAAAAATACAAAAGTTAAATATATTCCAGAACATCAGAAATAAACGTATTTATATTTTTATCAGAGAAATAAGCCTTTTGATTTTTCCTTTTAAAAAGATTTTTATTTTAGAAGAGATTTAGATTCATAGAATTATTGCAAAGGTAGAGCAGAGAATCCCATGCATCCTAATCCCTAGCTTCCCTTATGAACACCTCATATCAGTATGGTACGTTTGTCACAATTAATAAAAAATATTGCTATATTATTATTAACGAAAGTCTATAAATTATTCAGATTTTCTGTTTTTGTCTATTTTTTTCTGTTCCAGGATCCCATCAAGGATACTACCTTTTACTTTGTAGTTATGTCTCCTTAGGTTGCTTTTGGTTGTGACAGGTTCTCAGACTTTGCTTTTGAATGTCATTAGAATTTAGAAAATTATTTGTCAGATATTTTGTTGAATATCAATCAATTGAGAATTGTCTGTTGTTTTTCTCCCGATTAGACTGGGGTTATGCGTTTGGGGAGTAAAAACACAGAGGCAAAGTTCTATTCTCATCACATTATATCAAGGGTATGTACTATCAGCATGACTTGTCACTGTTGATACTAACCTTGAAAATCTGGTGGAGGAAGGTTTTGTCCATTATTTCCACAGTAAAGTCACTGTTTCGTTTCTTCCTTCTATAATGTAATCTTTAAAAGAAAGTCACTATGTATAGCACACTTTTCTGATATATCCCATCATTTTTTTTGTGTGTGTGTGTGTGTGTGTGTGCATGTGTGTGTGTGTGTGTGTTGTGTTTTAACATTTTCTTATTTTCTGATCCTACAAGATGCTCAAGGCTGATCTTGTATTTCCTGTCCCAGCCATAGAGTCCGCCATTTCTTTAAGGAGTTCTGGTTTCTTTTGTCAGTGAATGGTACTAAAATCCAAGATATGGGATATCTTTTTATCTAGGGCTTTTCAACTGACAGGGCAAGCAGATATATAGGTGTGTATATATCTGTGTATAAAAACATATGCATAAATATTTCTATATATTATTTTATGTATGTTAAGGTAAACATGAGTTCATACTGGTATCTCCAACTGTGATCATTTCTACGTGGAACAGTCGCAACTTCTCCCCTGGTTTATCTGTAAGCTCCTACTCCAACACTTAAAAACAGGGCTCTCACCCTCTGCCATCTATTTACTAAATTGTTCAATTCCAGTGTACATGTATGGTGGCTTCAGAGTTATTAACCCATATCCCCATGGGAAACAACTTTATCAACTAGAATGCAATTCTTATGCACAGTTTCTTTTGTCTAATTTCTTGTGCACGGATCCCACACTGATTTTCAAAGATATTTAGGTCACCAACTAATTGCCCA
Organism: Homo sapiens; assembly: GCF_000001405.40. Lineage (NCBI taxonomy): Eukaryota > Metazoa > Chordata > Mammalia > Primates > Hominidae > Homo > Homo sapiens. The sequence continues at coordinate 51,198,013 of NC_000008.11, forward strand.
CTTCCATCAGTAAGGTTTTTGCTGACATTTTTAATACTATTAGATTATTTTATCACATTCTATACCTCATCCTGTTGTCACCCAATCTCCTAAATAATTTTCTAAATTTGCATACATTAAGGTGCAATCTTTGTTCTGTAATTTTCTATGGGTTTTGACAAATGCATAATCACATGGATCCACCATTAGAGTATCATATGTAATAGTTCCAATGCCCTATAAAATGCCCTATGTTTCACCTATTCAATCCTTTCTCACCCCAAACATCTGGCAATCATTGATGCTTTTTATTGTCTTTATAGCTTTTCCGTCTACAGAATGACATATAATTGAAATAATACAGTATATAGCTTTCAGTCAGGCTAGCTTCTTTCACAAAACACTACGAATTTAAGATTTATGTCTGGGCTGGGCGCGGTGGCTCACGCCTGTAATCCCAGCACTTTGGGAGGCCGAGGAGGCCGGATCATGAGGTCAGGAGATCGAGACCATCCTGGCTAACACAGTGAAACCCCGTCTCTACTAAAAATACAAAAAATTAGCAGGGCGTGGTGGCAGATGCCTGTAGTCCCAGCTACTCGGGAGGCTGAGGCAGGAGAATGGCGTAAACCCGGGAGGCGGAGCTTGCAGTGAGCCGAGATCGCGCCACTGCACTCCAGCCTGGTGACAGAGCGAGACTCCATTCAAAAAAAAAAAAAAAAAAAAAAAAAAAAAGATTTATGTCTGTTTTTTTTGTGGTTAAATAGTCCATTTTTAATCACTCCATAATATTGCATTGTATGGATATTCCACAGTTTGTCTATCAATGTCTATCCATTCACTTCTTGAAAGACATCTGGGTTGCATGTAGTTTTGAGTAATTATAAACGCATCTACTAGAAATACAAGCATGTAGGATTCCATATGGACATAAGTTTATTGGAGTGTAATTACTGCATTGTATGGTAAGACTATGTTTAGCTTTACACGAAGCTGCCAAACAGCCTTCCAAAGTGACTGTGCCATTTGCTTTCACACTGTGAATCACCAAGAATTTCTGCTGCTCTGCATCCCCCCAGCCATTTGTATTTTCAGTATTTTGAATTTTAAACATTCTAATGGGTGTATATCTTATTTTAAGGTGGTTTTCATTTGAAATCCCCTAATCACAAATAATGTTGAGTACTTCTTCACGGGTTTATTTCCTATTTGTATAACTTCTTTGGTGAAATGTCTGTCCAGATTTTGACTACTTCTAACTAGGTTGTTTGTTCCTTATTGTTGTTCATGTAGAAGGATGAAACAGAATAGAGCTACCACAAACAGACTGACAGAAATATAGTAAAGTGACTTTTGACAAAGGATTCAACTCAATGAAGAAAGGGTAGTCTTTCAACCAAATGCTGAGGAAAAATTAAAATGTCTTTATGTAAAAAATTAAAAAAAAATTCAAAACCTAGACAAAGACTTTAGACTTTTTACAAAATTATTTCAAAGTTGATTATAGACCTAACTGTAAAATGTAAAATAAACGCAACTTTTACATGAAAGTATAAGAGAAAAAATACTTTTTAATTCACTTAAAGGGCTTGATGATATTAATGTTGATCACTTTTGTATTTCTGATATTGGTAATTTCTTTATTCTCTCTCTTTCTTTCTTTCACCTGCCTAGAAATTTATTACTCCTATTAAACTTTTCAAAGGTGGATTGTTTGCTAACTTAAATTTTATTAATTTCTGTTCTAGTTTTTGTTATTTTCTTATGTTTTCTTTAGCTTAAAATGTTCTTTTGTCTCTATTTTTAAGGTAAGAACAAGATTAAGGATTCTAGATATTTCTTCTCTCTTAAATATACTTTGAATGCTATAAATGTTCCTCTAAGCACTGTTTTGCTGCTTTCCACCCATTTTTATAAAGTGTGTTTTATTTTCTTTAGTTCAAAACATTTTTAAATTTCTCTTAAAAATTCTTATTTGATCCATATGTTACTTAGATGTGAGTAGTTTAATTTTCAAATATTTTCGGATTTTCTAGGTGCCTTTCTGTTAGTCTTTTCTAGTTTAAGTAAATTGTTCCTAAGGACATATATAGTATGTTTTCAGTTTAAATGTTTTCCTTCATTTTGTTAATGTGGTGTATTACATTGATTGATTTTTATATGCTAAACTATCTTTGCATTCCAGGAGTAACCCTCACTTGGTTATGGTGTATAATCCTTTTAAAGTGCTGCCGTATCCTGTCTGCTGGTATTTTGTTGCAGATTTTTGCATCAGTTTTCAACAGGGTAATCGGTCTGCATTTTTTTTGTTTTCGTTTTTGTTTTTGTTTTGTTTTTCCCTATAGTTCTTTGTCTGGCTTTGTATCAGGATAGCGCTGGCCTCATAAAATGAGTTTGACTGTATTTTCTCCTCTGCAATTTTTTAGAAAAATTTGAGGAAGATTGGTGTTAATTTAATTCCTTTAAAATTTTTAAGGTGTGTTTATGATGCAGATTGTGGACTATCTTGATAAATGTTTCATGCAAGCTTGACATGAAGGTGCATTCTTCAGTTGTTGGATGTGACATTCCATAAATGTTAACTAGATCAAACTGACTGATAGTGCTGTTCAAATAAAATATACCTTTACTGCTTTTCTGGCTGCTTGAGCTATACATTACTGATAAGGTATGCCAACATCTCGAAACATAATAGTGGATTTATCTACTTCTTCTTTCAGTTATATCAATATTTGTCTCACATATTTTGATTATCTATTGTTTTGTGTTTATACATTTAAGATTTGTATGTTTTCTTGGAAAATTTGCCCCCTTATGATTGTAAAATGCTCTCCTTTTCACTAATAATTTCCCTTGCTCTAAAGACTTATTTGTCTTTAGTTAATATAGCCACTCAAGCTTTCTTTTGATTTTTGTTAGCAAGACACATTTTTCTCAATCTCTTTACTTTTAACCTGTCTTTATTTTAAAAGTGGATTCATTGTACACAACACATAGTGAGTCTTGTTGTATCATATATACTGACAATCTCTGCATTTTCATTGGCATATTTAGACCATTCAAATTTAAGGCAATTATTCCTATATTTGGAACAATATTAACTATATTTGTAACTCCTTTCTATATATTGCTGGAGACTTCTTTTTCTGCCTACTGTGGATTTATATGAGTATTTCTATGACTCAATTTTATATTCTCTTTCAAGATATCAATTATACCTTTTTAAATATTTATTTTATTATTATGTTTTCTTGATTTCTTAACTTTTATTTTAGATTCGGGGTAAATGGACAGGTTTGTAACATGGGTATATTTAAGGTCACTGAGGTTTAGTGTATGATTTATCCCATCACCCAGGTAATAATAATGCTACCCAATAGGTAGTTTTTCAACCCAACAACCTTCTCACTCTCCCCTCTCAAGCAGTTCTCAGTGTCTATTCTTCCAGCTTTGGTTTATGTGTATCCAATGTTTAGCTCCCGCTCATAAGTGAGAATGTGCAGTATTTGGTTTTCTGTTCTGGTGTTACCTCACTTAGAATAATGGCCTGTAATCCCAGCACTTTGGGAGGCTGAGGCAGGTGGATCATGAGATGAGGAGTTCGAGACCAGTCTGGCCAACATGGTGAAACCCTGTCTCTACTGAAAATACAAAAAATTAGCCGGGTGTGGCAGTGTGCACCTGTAATCCCACCTACTCGGGAGGCTGAGGAAGGGGAATAGCATTAACCCAGGAGGCGGAGGTGGCAGTGAGCTGAGATCATGCCATTGCACTCCAGCTGGGCGACAGTGCAGTGTGAGACTCTGTCTCAAAAAAAAAAGTATTTTTTCATATATCTGTTTGCCATATGCATGTTTTCTTTGGAAAAATGTCTGTTCATGTCCTTTGTACACTTTTTCTTCTTTTCTTTTTTTTTTTCTTTTTTTTTTGAGACAGGGTCTTGCTGTGTTGCCAGGCTGGGGTGCATTGGCGTGCTCTCAGCTCACTGCAACCTCCGCCTCCCAGGTTCAAGGGATTCCCCTGCCTCAGCCTCCCAAGTAGCTGGGATTAGAGGCAGGCACCACCACGCCCAGCTAAGTTTTTGTATTTTAGTAGAGATGGGGTTCACCATGTTGGCTAAGACACTCTTAATCTCCTGATCTCATGACCCGCCTGCCTCAGCCTCCCAAAGTGCTGGGGATTACAGGTGTGAGCCACCACGCCCGGCCCCTTTGTACACTTTTAATGGGGTCGTTTGTTTTTATTTGTTGAATTAAGTTCCCTGTAGATTGTGGATACTAGAACTTTTTTGGATGCATAGTTTGTGAATATTTTCTCTCATTCTGTGGGTTTTCTGTTTACTCAGTTGAGAGATTGTTTTGCTGTACAGAAGTTCTTTGGTTTGATTAGGTTGCACTTGTCAATTTTTGGTTTTGTTGCAATTGCTTTTGAGGACTTAGTCATTAATTCTTTCCCAAGACCGATTTCCAGAATGATATTTCATAAGTTTTCTTCTCAGATTCTTATAGTTTTAGATCACACATTTAAATTTTTAATCCATCTTGAGTTAATATTTGTATATGGTAAAAGGAAGCTTCAATCCTCTGCATATGGCTAGCCAGCTATCCTAACAGCATTTATTGAACAGGGACTCTTTTCCCCATTGCTTCTTATTGCTAACTTTGTCAAAGATCAGGTGATTGTAGGCGTGTTGCTTTATTTCTGGGTTCTTTTCTCTGTTCCATTGGTCTATGTGTCTGTTTTTGTACCAATACCATACTATTATGATTACTATAGACTTATAGTATAGTTTTATGTCAGATAGTGTGATGTCTTCATCTTTATTATTTTTGTCTAGTATTGTGCTGGTGATTTGGACTCTTTTTTGGTTCTATATAAATTTTAGAGTAATTTTTTTTCTAATTCTGTGAAAAATGACAAAGTATTTTCATAGTAATAGCGGTGAGTCTGTTCCCCTGCGCAGTATTGTCATTTTAACAACACTGATTCTCCCTATCCATGGGCGTGGAATGTTTTTCCATTTGAATGTGTCTTCTTTGATTTCTTTCAGCAGTGTTTGGTAATTCTCATTGTAGAGATCTTTACATCCCTGGTGAGTTGTTCTATAGGGGTGGTTGTAATGTCACCTCTGTCATTTTGGATTGTATATATTTGAATCTTTTGATTTTCTTTATTAATCTAGCTATCAATCCATCTTGTTTATTCTATTGAAGACCAACTTTGGGTTTCTTTGATCTTTTCTATGGATTTTTTGCATCTCAAATTCATTCAATTCAGGCCTGATTTTGATTATTTATTGTCTACTGCTAGTTTTAGGGTTGGTATGCTCTTGTTTTTGTAATTTTTCTAGGTGTGGCATTGTTATTAATTTGAGTTCTTTCTAACTTCTTGATGTAAGTGTTTAGTGCTATAAATTTTTCCTCTTAACATTACTTTAGCTATATCCCAAAGATTCTGCTATGTTGTGTCACTCTTTGTGTTAATTTCAAATAATTATTTTTATTTCTGCGTTATTATTTCTAACCAAGTCATTCAGGAGCAGGTTGTTTAGCTTGCATGTAATCGTATGGTTTTGAGATATTATCTTGGTGTTTATTTCTACTTTTATTGCACTGTGGTCTGAGAATGTGGTTGATATGATTTCAGTTTTTTTGAATCTGTTGAGACTTGCTTTATGGTGGAGGATTTGGTCAATCTTGAGTATATGCTGTGTACAGATAAGAAGAATGTATATTCTGTTATTGCTGGGTGGAGTGTTTTTTAGCTATCTATTAGGACAAATTGGTATTGAATTTAAGTCCAAAATATCCTTATTGGACTTCTGCCACAATGATCTGTCCAATACTGTCAGTGTGATTTCAAATCACACTATTCCTGTATGGTTATCTAAATCATTTTGTAGATCTCTAAGAACTTGTTTTGTGAAAATGAGTGCTCCAACATTGGATGTATATGTATTAAGGATTGTTAAGTCATCTTGTTGAATTAAACACTTTGTCATTATCTGATGCCTTTCTTTATCCTTTTGAATGGTCATTGTTGGTCAAAGTCTGTTTTATCTGTTATAATAATAGTGATGCCTGCTTTTTTTAATTTTTGTTTGCATGATAAATATTTCTCCATTTCTTTACTTTAAGCCTATGTGTATTGTTACTTGTGATATGGGTCTCCTGAAGACAGCAGACAGCTCAGTCTTGCTTCTTTATCCAACTTGCCACTCTATGCTTTTTAAGTGGAGCATTTAGCCTGTTTACATTAATCATCAATATTGATATGTGAGGATTTGATCTTGTCATCCTATCATTAGCTAATTGTTATATAGACTTGATTGTATAATTGCTTTATAGTGTCAATGGGCTATATACCTAAGTGTGTTTTGTGATGGCAGATATTCTTTCATTTCCATATTTAGCACTGCCTTTGGGACCTCTTGTAAGGCAGGTCTAGTGACAACAAATTCCCTCAGGATTTTCTTGTCTGAAAATGATTTTATTTCTTCTTTGCTCAGGTGGATGGAATATGAGATTCTCGGTTGGAATTTCTTTTCTTTAAGGATGTTGAAAATAGGCCCCCAATCTCTTCTGGCTTGTAAGGTTTCTGCTGAAAGTTCTGCTGTTAGTTTGATGGGATTCCCTTTGTAAGTGACCTTCCCCTTCTCTCTAGCTACCTTTAAGAATTTTTTTTTTCATGTTGACCTTGAAGAATCTGATTACTCTTATGTCTTGGGGATGGTCACCTTGTCCAGTACCTCACAGGGGTTCTCTGCATTTCTTGAATTTGCATGTCAACCTGTCTGCTGAAAATGCAGAAATTTTTATGAATTATTTCCTCCAATATATTTTGCAACTTGCTTGCTCTCTCTCCTTCTCATTTAGAAATGCCACTGAGTCATATGTTTACACAGTCCCATATTTCTGTACATAATCCCATATTTCTCAGAGGTTTTCTTCATTTGTCAATATTCTTTGTTCTTTATTTTTGTCTACCAGCGTTGCTTTGAAGGAGCTATTTTCAAGCTCTGAGATGCTTTCCTCAGCTTGGTCTATTCTGTCGTTTATGCTTTCAATTGTTTTATGAAATTCCTGTAGTGAATTTTTTATTTCTAATAATTCAGTTTGGTTCTTTCTTAAAATAGCTACGTCATCTTTTAACTCATGGATTGTTTTGCTGTTTTCCTTAGATTTGGTTTCAATCTTCTCTTATATCTCATTACACTGGATTGCCATCTAGTTTCTGAATTCCATTGCTGACATTTCAGCCATTTCTATTTAGTTAAGAACCAATGCTGAGGAGTTAGTGTGATCCTTTGCAAGTAAGAAGACACTCTTAACTTTAAGAGTTGCCAGAGTTCTTGCACTGGTTCTTTTGCATCTGTCAGGTCTGATGTCCCTTTATTCTTTGAAGTTGTTGTCCTTTGAATGGGGCTTTTTGTTTTTATGTTCTTTATTGCCCCTGAGGGTTTGACTGTGGTACGAGTTGTGTATAGTCGAATGGCTTCATTTCCAGATGCTTTCAGAGGGCCAAGTTTCAGCTCAGCAATCCTGGACTGCATGCTCCACCCTGGGTGGCTGGAATCAGGCCCTTAGCTTTGTCCTCTGGCCCTTGAGGTGCAGCACCGGCTGCACTGCAGGGCTGAGATGCTCCCAGACCACTGGCAACAGCACTCCATGGGGGTTGTGTGCAAAAGTGCACTGGCAGGCAGCATGGGGGCAGTGTGTGAAGGTGCTCCAGTGGGGCTGTGGCAGAGTCATGGCCAAATGTATTCCAGTAGGGCAGCGATTGGTGGGGGGCATCTTGGAGGGACACACTCTGGTGGGGGACTGTCAGCAAAAGTGTTGTGGTGGGGTGACAGGGGTTGCCTGCAAGAGCACTATGGCCATAGCGACTGCAAAAGTGCTTTAGTGAGACAGCTGAAGATGTTTGTGAACTGGTGTTGTCAGGCAGGGACTCTGGATGGGGCCAGCAGAAAGGGGGTGAGGGTGCACAGATGAAACTCACCCCTGTGCCAGAAGAAAGGCAGCCATGTTCTCTCCAGGTGCAGCAGATAACAAAGTTAAAGCTACCTGGGGGAATATGGAGAATGTTGGGGGATGGGTGCCTATAGCTGTGTTCCACCACATCCTTGCCCCCACTAACTCAACTGGGCTCTGTGCAGATTCAAGCTCTGTCTTTGCCAAATCTCTGGGCAGTTTCTCCTGCCAACTCAAATGACCGTGGGGATCATGGGGTCATCTAGACTAGGATCCCAGAGATCTGTGGAGATAGTGAGCTGTTCTATATTTATTTCGCTCACCCCTTCCTTAGAAGCCATTCAAGACCAGGAATGAGTCCTGATGCTTGGCCTCACTTCTACTTCCTCTGATTTTTTTTTTAGTGTTTTTCTTACAGTTTACAATATAAATTTTTAACTACTTCAAGGCCACTTTAAAATGATACTATTTTTCATATTACTTCAGGCAACTTATAACGGAGGATCCAAATTTTCACTCTCACATCCCTTGTGACAAAGCTGTCTTTCATTTAACTTATTAATAGGCTGTAAATGCATGATATTTTATTACTATTATTACTTATAATAAATAGTTATCTTTTACATCATTAAGAATTATAAATAATAAAACATATTAATTTACCAAAAGTCATTACTTCTCTGTTGTTCTGCATTTCTTCATGTTGATTCAATATTCTGACCTAAATGGTTCCTTCTTCCAGAATAAAAAATAATAATAAACCTTACAAAGTATGTCTGTTGGCCATGAATTCTATTTGTTTTTGTGTGAGAAAGACTATCTCTTTTTACTTTTGAAAGGTAATTTCACAGGATATAGAATTTTAGGTTGGTAGTTTTTGTTCTTTCAACATTTTAAAGAAATAACTATTTTTCAACTAGATTTTCTTTTGTTTATGTGGTTTCCATAAAGAATCTGATGTTTCTGTTATTCTTCCTCTATAGATAAGGTGTTTTCCTCAACTCTGGGTCTATTTAGAAGTTGATCTTTGTTTCCTGTTTCCTGGAGTTTTAATATATGTTTAAGGTGAAAGGTTTTTGGTGTTCTTGTTTTTGTATTTATTTTGCTGGATGTTCTATAACCTTCCTGAATCTGTGATCGATTGTCATTAATTTTAAAAAGTTATCAGCATCCTTACTTCGCAACTTTCTGCTCCATTCACTTTTTATTCTCCTCATGATACTCAATTACACATATACTACATCATTTTCATTGTTCAAGAGTACATAGACATTCTGTTCTATTTTTCATCCCCCCAACTTCACCTTTTAATTTCATTTTAGGAAGTTTCTGTTAACTTATATTAATGCTCACTGATCCTTTACTCAATGCTCTCTTGCTTCCTTGCCTACTGATGACTTCAAAAGGCATTTTTAATTTGTTATAGTGTTTTTTATTCTTAACATTTACCTTTGATTTTTAATTAAAAATCCCATATCTCTATTAGGCATCTGGTCTTTTATGTTCTTACTTTTTTATTAGAGCTCTTAACACATTGGAAATCTTTTTTGGTATTTTGTTTGGAGGATTTTTGGTATTTTTTTAATTGAGATAAGACTTAAATAACATGAAATTAATCTTTATAAAGTGAACAATTCAGTGTCATTTAGTTTATTCACAATGTTGTACAACTATCACCTTTATCTAGTTTCAAGATGTGTTCACCGTCCCAAAATAAACCCCAGGCACATCAAGGAGTTATCCCCTACTGCCTTCTCCCCAAAACCACCAATCTCCTTTGTGTTAAATGAATGTATTTATTAGGCTAATTCATATAAATGGAACCATACACTATGTCGCTTTTTGTGCTTGGCTTATTTATATTAGTATAATGCTTTCAAGGTTCATCTATACTGTGGTACATAGTAGATTTCATTCCTTTTTAAGGCTGAATAATATTCCATTGTGTGGATATACCACCTTTTGTCAAATGTCAAATGTCCCTTGATAAGCATTTGGGTTGTTCCCACCTTTTGGCTGTGTGAATTGTGCTGCTATGAGTATTTATGTGGAAATATTTGTTTGAGTATCTATTTTTACTACTTTTGAGTATATACTGAGGAGTGAAATTCCTGGGTCATATGGTAATTCTATGTTTAAAATTGTGAGGAACCTCCAGAGTGTTTCCCATCGTGGCTACAACATATTGAATTCCCATTAACAATGTACAAAGGTTTTCATTTCTTTATATCTTTCCCAACACTTGTTATATTTGTTTGCTATTATTATTTTTTGATTGTCACCACCTTAGTGGATGCAAAGTGATATTTCATTGTGGTATTACTACGTATTTTGCTAACAATTAATAATGTTGAGGTTCTTTTCATGTGCTTATTGGCCACTTGTATATCTTTGTTAGAGAAGAAAATAATAAAAATAAGAGCAGAGATCAATGAAATAGAACACACAAAAAGAGGAGAAAATCAACAAAACCATAAATTGATTCTTTAAAAGATTAGCAGATTTTTAAAAAGTCTAAAATGTTGGAGCAAGAGAAAAGAGTCAAAATACAAATTACTAATATCAGAAGTGACATATTGAATTTCAGTACAGATCCTACATGTTTTGAATCACTTCTGTCAATAAATTACAGGACTTAGATAAGTTGTACAAGAATATTGAAAAAATTAATTCATTAACATAAATGCAAGAATAAAATTAACATTACATATTAATCTTAAGGAAATTACATTTGCACTCAAAACATTCTATAGAAAAAATGTCAAAGCTCTAATTGCTTTACTGGTCAATTCTGCTAAAGTTTTATGAAAGAGATCAATAATACATTTTTAGAAAATAGAAGAAAAATAGCTTTACGATGACATTATAAGAAACAAATGTTATGACCAATTATTCTTCACAACAGACTGGCCAAAAGAAAATAACAAAAGTAGTATAAATCAAAACTATTATTAAACAAGAAGTGTAATCTATTATTACAAAGTGGGATTTATATTAGAATTACAAGTTTGCTTTTACATTAATAAATATATTAATGTAATTTGATATTTAAATCATAAATAGAATAAAAGACTATGTGTAAGGTTTAACAAAAACTTTCCTTTCCCTTTATTCATGAAAATTTGGTCTTTGGTTGATTTCCTGCTTTCGTTTCCATAGAAACTAATGGCATGTTTTACTAGACAATGCTGCTTATGGAAAAGCTGACCCTGGATAGGTACATTGCTCCTGTAGTGGCAATTACAAATACAGTATTCTTCCTTTATCCCCAGTTTTGTTTCCACAACTTCAGTCACCCCAGTCGACCATGGTCCAAAAATACTAAGTGGAAAATGACCCCCCAGATTCCTAAGTTTTAAATTACATGTCATTCTGAGTAGTGTGATGAAATCTTGCACCATTCTGCTTCATCCTGACTAGGATGTGAATCTTCCCTTTCTCCAGTATCTCCACTCTGTGGGGATCTCCTGTCTGCCTGTTAATCAATTAGCAGCCATCTCAGTTAACAGATGGATTGTGGTGATATCACAGTACTCATGTTCGAATCACCATTATTTTACTTAACAATGGCCCCAAAGCGCAAGAGTAGTAATAATGGCAATTTGGATATACCAAAGAGAAAATGTAAAGTGCTTTCTTTAAGTGAAAAGTTGAAAGTTCACGACTTTATAAGGAGAGAAAATCAAAGGTATGCTGTGATTGCTAGCATCTATTGAAAGAACAAATTTACCTGTGAAATTGTGAAGAAGGATAAAGAAGTTCAGGCTAGTTTAACTGTCTTAACTTGACACCATAAAATTACAACCACAGTACATGAAAGGTGCTTAATTTAGAAAAGGCATTACATTTGTGGGTGGAAGATATTAGCAGAAACGTGTTCCTTATTATGGCAATTGGGTTCAGCACTGTCCGTGGTTTCAGGCATCCACATGGGGTCTTGGAATGCATTCTCTGTGAAGAAGTAGGCACTACCACAAACAGTGTGGCCCTTCTATCTTTCGGCTTTTTTAAATGAGATAACTTGTGAATGGGCAGGTTATAGGGCACTGAAAACTATGGTTATGGAGCTACTACAGGGACTTGGTGAGGGAGTGCAGCTTCTAAGCTAGTGGAGCTCCTACGCCAATAGGAATTTTTGATAGAAATCCACATTTATAGTTGTATATCTTCACTGCATTTTACCATGGGTCTTATTGCAGACACCAACTCGTTTTAGGTAGATCTGTTTAATACAAGCAAAGAGTTTGATATATAACTCACTGAATCATGCAGTAGTTCTTATAATGTCAACATATTCACTTTTGATAATCAGTTATTTTATTGGCCAAATATTCTATAGTTTTAAACATATATCGTCATTGAGAATCAATGCATTTTCTTGACGGTGGGATAAGAAAAATAGTGTTATATTTCAATAGACCACTGTAAGTGATTTATTGAAGTATTATTCTTTAAAAGTTAGGCAATGCTAATTAACTAATTATCAATCAATTCTGCAATATGTGAAATTGCAAAGCAGGTTATAGTTTACAATGATCTTACATGGTTCTCTTAATCTAATTGTATTTTTTTCTTTATCATTTTCTCTACTAAACACTGAAATTACAAGTTTGTTCTCTTGAATAAAAAAATGTTAATGTATTCCTCCTGCTAAGATCAAACTAAATTTTTTTGGTGACTGGAGGGTACGTGTCCTGCTGAGGTAACATAAATTGCTACACTTCCCTAAGAGTGTTCAGTTCCAGTTACAATCTACCCTGCCAGGTCCCAGCAGGTGAAAATGACTCACTTCTAAATCTAGTGAATATCCAGACACATTTAACATCTTAAAGTGTAGTTTTACCAGATGATTTTTAATATATCTGATATTTGACAAAATTATTTTATGGATTGTTATCCCAAAAAGAACCACTCAAATCTGCAGATTATAAGCACTTATTGATTAATTACTCACACTTGTCAAGGGTTTATAAGGTTATGACAATTTAATAAAATTCACAGACAGTCCGGGCACGGTGGCTCATGCCTGTAATTCCAACACTTTGGTAGGCCAAGGCAGGCAGATCAGGAAGTCAGGAGTTTGAGACCAGTCTGGCTAACATGGTGAAACCCCATCTCTACTAAAAATACCAAAAAAAAGTAGCCGGGCATGGTAGCAGGTGCCTGTAATCCCAGCTACTGGAGAAGCTGAGGCAGGATAATCACTTGAACCCGGGAAGGTGGAGGTTGTAGTGAGCCGAGATCACGCCACTGCACTCCAGCCTGGCAACAAGAGCGAGACTCCATTTCAAAAAAAAAAAAAAAAAAAATTACAGGCAGAAACAAATTTTTCCTCTTTTGGAAAATACACATTTTTATGTCCAGTCTCCAGAACAATATTAGGTGAATGTAGGCTATGATGATTTGAACTTTGATCTTTTACATTTGCCGTGACACTAGAGTTGATATTTTGACATTGAAACATAAAATAACTACATCTTGCTGGAAAAAGGTCAGGAAAAGTGGTAATTCATAACAGTATAATATTAATGAAAATCAGACCAACTCCTGACTCCTGTAAGGAAGGATGTTATAGAAGTTGGGAGGTGTAAAATGCCTAAATTATCTTCACCTCTTCTCATTTCTCACCCTCTGCATCCTTATCCCCCGGGATGTTTTGGAAATCTCCAAGGCCACCAGAAAAAGACAAAATATTTTTCAAATGCTTAAAGGAAAGTACTGTTCGCCCAGAATCCGATTCCAGCACAAATATTCTTCAGGCATAAAGGGGAAGTCATGACTTTTCAGATGGTGAAAAACATACAGAACTTGTCCCCAATAGGTGTAACCTAAAAGAGCGCAGAAGGAAGTTCTCTAACCGTCATGATCTATGGCTAGGCAGTATTCTTAGAACTGACACGAAAAGCATAATCCATAGAAGGAAAAAATAATAACATATAGAACTTCATTCAAATGTTTAAAAGTTCCTCTGCTGAAATTCTCATTGTTTTTTTACCCACAAATAAGGCCTGTCTCTCTCTCTCCGCTTTGAAAATATTTTTCTTGGTTTTTAGTTTTAGAAGTTTGAAGATGATGTGTCTTGCTGTGAATGTATTTAAGTTTATCCTGTTTAGTGGTCACTCAGGTTTACGTCTTTTGCCAAATTTGGGAAGGTTCCAGCCATTATTTTTTCAAGTACTTTCTCAGCCAGCTTTTCTTTTTTCTCTCCTTTCAACAGTTTGATAACATGAATGTTATAAATTTTATTACAAACTTCTCTGTTTCTGAGGCTCCATTCCTTGCTTTTTAGTCGACTTTTTCTGTTATTCAGATTGAATAATTTCAATTATTCTATCTTTCAGTTCACTTTTTCATTTTATGCCCCCTCCATTCTATTGTTACACACATATATGGAAGTTTTATTTCAATTATTATATTTTTAAGTTCTAAAACTTCTATTTTTTTGTTTCTTTCCTGAGATGTTTCATTTTTTTACATTTGTATAAGGCATATTTATAACTGCTCCTTAAAGTATTTTAATAATGGCTGTTTGAAAGTCTTTAATATTCTAACATCTATATCATCTTGGTATTGTCGTCTGTGGATTATCTTTTCTCATTCAAGTTGAGATCTTCCTGTCTCTGGGTATGATGCATGATTTTCCATGGAAACCTGTGGAAAAAAGCTGGGATCTTCAGACTCTGCTATATCAAACATTGCTGGAACCCTTAGGGCCAACCTGAAGAACAAACCCCTCTCAATATTATATTAGTTTATCCAAGTTATTGAATGTAATCATACTTTGTTCATTCATGTCAATGTACAGTATTTCATTTCTATTGAGAGAATACACTTATTATATACACTTAAATATATACATGGATAGATTATACATTATTTCTGCATATACAGATAAACTTTATGTTGAAGGCATTTTATATATTTTTTAAATCTTGAAGCTTATGAATAGCTCTGCAGTGATAATCCTTGATATATCTTTTGGTGAATATATGTCCTTATTTTAGTTCACTATCTACATAAGAGTGGAATTGTTGAGTCATAAAGTGTACATATACTCAGCTTTGACGATACTTCCAAACAGTTTTCTGATATGGTTGTACTAATTTATATTCCCGTTAGCAGTGTATGAGAGTTTCAGTTGTTCCATACTCTTGACAGACCTTGGATCACTGTTTTCTTTTTAGCATCATTGATGATTGTGACATTGCACTGTTGTTTTAATTCACATTTCTTAGATGGAAAATATAGTGCTTCATGTGTTTATTGTACATCTGAATATCCTCTTATGTGAAATGTCTGTTCAAAACTTTTGCCCACTTTGTGTAGAATTGTCTTTTTCTTTATTGTTAATATATTGGAGTTCTTTATATACCCTGAATATTCATGTGTTTTGGGATCTATATCTATACTGACATAGATATAGATCTATATCTAAATAATTATCTTCTATGCCTCTGTAGGCTATCTTTTCAATTAATGTTGTCTGTTGATCTGAAGTTCTTATTTATAAATAAGTGTGATTCAGCAATATTTTCTTTGTGATTAGTGCATTTTTTCCTTCTTTAAGAAATGTTACCTCCTTTAGGGTCATAAAAATATTCTTCTCTGTATATTTCTAAAGGTTTCATTGTTTATATTTATATCTATAATTTATATTTATATGTCTATATATTTATATCTATAAAAAAGTGGAATTGATTATTGTAAAAGGCATGAAGTAGAGACAAGAGGTATTTTTAAATATAGTAGATTAAGAATTACTTATTTCCAAGACCATTTTTTTTCTACCACTACATTGCAGTATTACATTTTTTTCATTAGCAGGTGAATTACTTCTATTCCTGGATTCTGTCCTTGTTTCAATTTCACATTGCCTCATTTACTATCACGTTATAATAGATCTTAATATATACACACATTTATAAATTTATATATTCTATAAATTTGCTATAAATTTAATTTATCGTTATAGAAAATGTTTAAAGAAAATATTAACAGAATAGTTATAACTGCTAATTTCATATTATTTACACCTGTAGCAGTCAAAAGCATGGGATCTGAACTCACATTGCCTCACTATATCTTAATTTCCTAATCCATCAAATTAAGTATAATATTAGGACCTATCTCAAGGCTATTCTAAGTTTTAAATTAATTAACAAATATTAATTATTTATAGAATGCTCACTACATAGTACACAGTTGAGGTTTGTTAATAATAATCAGCATAAACATATATGCATGTGTGTACACACATAAATATACATATATATACACATATACATACACATGAAAGTACAAGAAATTCTAGAAGTTTGTTAGGACTTATTTACAGAACAAAATAATTTCATTTGAGCGCAATCAACACACATGGTTTGCAGTTGAATCAATGATATTTACATACTAATTTAGATGTACTTACTCATTTGATTATACCACTCAGTCTTAGAAGTTCTTTCAGAAAATGAAGGCATACTTTTCTAATATGAACATGATCATTTTAAGTTGCAGCCTTCAGTAATTTAGAGTTCTATGATTTATCTGTTTATTAAAAATACTATGGTATAAATAAGTCAAGCTGCACCAAGAATATAGGCTTTGTGGTGGCCAGAAAGCTGTACACAGCTTTAACAAACAATTTTTAAAATATAATATAAATTATATTTAAACATGATATCATCTGTATCATAGATCAATTGAATTAATTATATACTATATTCTCTTTTTAGTTCAGATGATATAAATATGCAAGATTCCTAAACTCTATATGATTCCCTCTAAAAACAGCAAAAGTCTTCAAAAATCTCATAGAAGCCACAATCTTTTATTAATCTTCTTAAACATCCAACCGTTAATTGCAAAATAGAGCATAACTTGCTCATCTTTTATGAGAGAACATTGGCAAGTTTGAATAAATAATAATTTTAAATTATCTATTAAAGAAAAATAGATCTTTGTTCTTTCAATTTTTTAATTTTAACTGAAAGACAGCCTTGTATGTTTTAATCATGTACACATGGTTTTTTGAAGTATCTATCATATTGTGGAATGCTTAAATATAGCTAAAAAACAAATTCATTTTTGTGATTTGATAACACACAAACTTCACACTCTTTAATCTTTTTAAAAATAGAATGTATCATAATTATAGTCACCTTCTGTGCAATAGATTTCTTGAAATATATTCCTTCTATGTAATTGTAGTTATGTATCTTTTGAACAAAAAGGATATTTTTCGTATGTAATAAAAAATTTTAGTTTTTATTTTTTAATTATTAAATTTTTCTGTATAAAATAAAACTCTTCATGTGATTTTTAAAATTTTCTTATATCTAAGAGCGGTGAACAGATCTAATTATAATAGTATTTGGGGACAAATTTACATTTGTAAATATAAATTAGTTATTTGTTTGTTTCTGGATAAGTCCACAAACATATCCAAATATTTTTTGCAGATAAAGCTGATATCACATAAATACCAACTTTTTCTGCAGAGTAAAGTTTATATTAATTATTAAAAATTTTATGAGTTTGCAATCTTATACAATCACTTATTACAATCTTATATAATATTTGATAAGAGTTTTGCAATCTTATATGATCTTATATAAGATCATCATTTTGATCAATGATGAACTGAACATTCATCTTATAAGGTTATAATGAAGGGGCTGTGCCTGGTGGTGCACACCTGTAATCCCAGCACTTTGAGAACCTGAGGTGGGCAGATTGCTTTAGCTCAGGAGTTTGAGACTAGCCTGGACAACATGGCGTAACCCCATCTTTACAAAAAATACAAAAGTTAACTGAGCGTGTGGCTGTACACCTGTAGTCCCAGCTACTCTGGGAGCTAAGGTGGGAAGATTGCTTGAGCCCAGGGAGTCGAGGCTGCAGTGAACCCAGTGCCACTGCATTTCAGCCTGGGTGACAGAGTGAGACTCCGTCTAAAAAAAAAAAAAAAGATAATGGAACTGTTACCGTCCCTAAAGACCTTCCAGTGGGATAAGATGTGGAGTTGGAAGACCGTGATATTGATGATCCTGATCCTGCAGGTAGGCCTAGCCTAAAGTGTGTGTTTGTATCTTAGTTTGCAATTAAAATTTTAAGAAGTAAAAAATTTTTTTAAAGAAAAAAGCATATAGACAAATGATAGAAAGAAAATGTTTTGTACAGTTGTACAATGTGTTTTGTTTTGGTTTCTTCTTTTTTTTTTTTTTTTTTTTGAGACATAGTATCACTCTGTTGCCTAGGCTGGAGTGTAGTGGCATGATCACAGCTCACTGCAACCTCCACCTCCCGGGTAAGCGATTCTCATGCCTCAGCCTCCCAAGTAGCTAGGATTACAGGCAACCGCCACCACATCCAGCTAATTTTTGTATTTTTAGTAGAGACAGGGTTTCACCATGTTGGCCAGGCTGGTCTCAAACTCCTGACCTCAGGTGATCCACCTGCCTCGGCCTCCCAAAGTGCTGGTATTACAGGCATGAGCCACCGCGCCCAACCATGTTTTGGTTTTAAGCCAAGTATTATTACAAAAGAGTAAAGGAGTATAAAAAAACAAGTTTATAAGGTAAAAAAGTTATGCTAAGCTACGTTTAATTTATTATTAAGAAAAGAAAATTTTTAAAAATTAAGTGTAGTGTAGCTTGAATGTACAGTTTTATAAAGTAATGCACAGTAATGTCCTAGGCCTTCACATTTAGTCACCACTCACTCAGTGGCCCAGAGCAACTTCCAGTCCTACAGACTCCATTCATGATAAGTTCCCTATACTGGGGTAACATCTTTCATCTCTTATACTTTATTTTTACTGTACATTTTCTATGTTTAGATACACAGATACTTATCATTGTGTTACAATTGCCTACAGTATTCAGTAGAGTAACATACTGTATAGCTTTGTAGCATAGAAGCAATGGGTTTTACCATGAATCCTAGGAGTGTGGCAGGCTCTACCATCTGGGGTTTAATTATGCATTTGTCAGATCATATCCCTATTATTAAGTGATGCACAATGATAAATCCTAATTCTGAAAAAAGTCAGGCATACTTAGTTACTTTGTTATTATCTCCCTGCACCTTGCCTAGCAGATTTAGCCTCAGGCCCTTGGCCAAATACTGACCATCCTGAATGATTTATGGCTTCAACTACTCATGAGACATACGGGGATTGATGATCTAGATGTACATAAATTTATGACTTAACTACTTTGATGTAAGTGATTGACAAACAGACACTTGTACAGATCAAGGAGCTAAATCAGTTTATAAATTTAAACCAGCCATGTACAGAGATACAGGCATAAATAAATGATGCATAGAATCTTTGAGACTATCTCCTTATCCTCAGAATACAACTATGTTGGATTTATATTCTAGCCTACTAATGATAGAAGTTGGAAAGTTGATGAAAACATCCACTTTTCTTACAAACAAGGTTATATTTTCTCTTCCTTACATTTCTACAAATCTATTACTTGCAAGCTATCTTTCTATATGCTCTCAGATAACTTATAACTTCTATCTATGACACTTTGGTACTAAAAACTGCTAAGATATTACATATGCTATGCAAATATATAACATAAATATTATGATTTGCAGAGGTCAAGAGTGTTGTATAAAATCTTATTTAGTTGAATTCAGTATAGACCCCCAAATGATTAATTATATGTGAAAAAATATAATTTTTAACCAAGACAATGCCAAATAGAAATGATGTACAGGATTAGAGAAGATATATCAAGAATCTGCTCTTGAAAGCCATTGTAAGTTGTCAAATAACCACTAAAGAATATTTAGCTCCCTACAAGAGACAGACTTCAGGCTAAAGACAGCTACATATTCAAAGTAAAGGGTGGAAAAAGATACATCATGCAAAGGTAAAACAAAAGCAACTAGGAGTAGCCATCTCATGTCAGAAAAATACTTTTCCTTTTTTTTTGAGATGGAGTCTCAGTCTGTGCCCAGGCTGGAGTGCAGTGGCACGATTTCAACTCACTGCAACCTCCATCTCCCTGGTTCAAGCAATTCCCCTGCTTCAGCCTCCTGAGTAGCTGAGATTACAGGCGCACACCACCACAGCCCGGCTAATTTTTGGTATTTTTATTGGAGACGGAGTTTCACCATGTTGGCTACACTGGTCTCGAACTCCTGACCTCAGGCAATCCGCCCGCCTCGGCCTTCCAAAGTGCTGGGATTACAGACTTGAGACACTGCACCCGGCCCCAGATAAAATACTTTAAACCAAAAACAGTAAAAGAAGACAAAGAAGGGCAAGGTTCAATACAAGAAGATATATGTATCCTAAATATATATGCACCCAACAATGGAGCACACATATTGATAAAACAAATGCTACTAGACCTAAGAAAACATATGGATAGCAATAGGAAAATGGTGGGGGAGGAGCAACTTCAACACCTCACTGACATCACTAGAGAGATCATTGAGACAGAAAATTTATAGGGAAACTCTGGATTTAAACTGTACTATAGACCAAAAAAACCTAATAGACATTTACATAACACTCTATACAATAAGTGCAAAATATACATTCTTCTCACCTCTGCATGGAGCACTATCCAAAATTTAGCATATGCTGAGTCATAAAGCAAGTATCAATAAATGCCAAAAAATCAAAATCACATCAAGTATCTTCTTGGACCACAACTGAATAAAATGTAAAACTGAAACTAAGAGGAACTCTCAAAACTACATAAGTACATGGAAGGTAAACACATTGGTCCTGCATGACTTTTGGGTAAACAATGAAATTAAAATAGAATCAAAAAAATTTTTGAAATGAATAAAAACAGAGACAAAACATACCAAAAGCTCTGAAAGATGGCAAAGGCAGTGCTAAGAGGAAAGTTTATAACAATAAATGTCCACATCAAAAAAATAGAAAGATCTCAAATTATTAACCTAATATCAAATCTCAAGTAACTAGAAAAACAAAAACAATTTCAACCCAAAGGTAAGGAAAGAAATACAAAGATCAGCATAGAACTAAATGACGTGGAGACCAAAAAAATGATACAACGAATTAATTAAACAAAATATTGGTTTTTTAAAAGGTTAAACAAAATTGGCAGACCACTAGCTAGATTAACCAAGAAAAAATGAGAGAAGAGTCAAATAAGTGCAATCAAAAATGAGAAAGAGAGGCATTTAAACTGATGCTACAGAAAAACAAAAGATCATCAGCTCTAAGCACACAAACTAGAAAACCTAGAGGATGGGACTGTTTGTTTTTTCTTGTAAATTTATTGGAGTTCTTTGTAGATTCTGGATATTAGCCCTTTGTCAGATGAGTAGATTGCAAAAATGTTCTCCTATTCTGTAGGTTGCCTTTTCACTCTAATGATAGTTTCTTTTGCTGTGCAGAAGCTCTTTAGTTTAATTAGATCCCATTTGTCAATTTTGGCTTTTGTTGCCATTGCTTTTGGTGTTTTAGACATGAAGTCCTTGCCCATGCCTATGTCCTGAATGGTATTGCCTAGGTTTTTTTCTTTTTCCCTTTTTATGGTTTTAGGTCTAACATTTAAGTCTTTAATCCATCTTGAATTAATTTTTGTATAAGGTGTAAGGAAGGGATCCAGTTTCAGCTTTCTACATATGGCTAGCCAGTTTTCCCCGCACCGTTTGTTAAATAGGGAATCCTTTCCCCATTTCTTGTTTTTGTTAGGTTTGTCAAAGATCAGATAGTTGTGGATGTGTGGTATTATTTCTGAGGGCTCTGTTCTGTTCCATTGGTCTCTATCTCTGTTTTGGTACCAGTATCATGCTGTTTTGGTTATTGTAGCCTTGTAGTATAGTTTGAAGTCAGGTAGCGTGATGCCTCCAGCTTTGTTCTTTTGGCTTAGGATTGACTTGGCAAACCATCATTCTGATCAAACTATTGCAAGGACAAAAAACCAAACATCACATGTTCTCACTCATAGGTGGGGATTGAATAATGAGAACACTTGGACACAGGAAGGGGGACATCACACACTGGGGCCTGTTGTGGGGTGGGGGGAGGGGGGAGGGATAGTATTAGGAGACATGCCTAATGTAAATGACAAGTTAATGGGTGCAGCACACCAACATGGCACATGTATACATATGTAACAAACCTGCACGTTGTGCACAAGTACCCTAGAACTCAAAGTATAATAATAAAAAATAAATAAATAAATAAATAAATAAATAAAAAGAAAACCTAGAGGAGATGGATGAATTCCTTGAAACATACAGCAGATCCCCAAGATTGAACCAGGTAGAAACAGAATCCCTTAACAGACTAACGATGAGTAATGAAATTGAATCAGTAATAAAAAATCTTCCAAGGTGGGGAAACGAACAAGCCAAGACCAGATCTGAATTTTACCAGACATATAAATAAGAGCTGGTAACAATCCCACTGAAACTATTTCAAAAAATCAAGAAGTGATTCTTCCCCAACTCATTCTATGAAACCAGTATCACCCTGATACCAAAAATCAGTCAAGCATACTACCAAAAAAAAAGAAAGAAAGAAAGAAAGAAAACTACAAGCCGATATCCCTGAGGAACAGAGATGCAAAAGTCCTCAACAAAACTCTAGCAAGCTGAATCCAATAGCAAATCAAAAAGATAATTCATCACTTTCAAGTTGGTTTTCTTCCAGGGATGCAAGAATAGTTCAATATTTACAAGTCAATAAATGTGGTGCATCTCATAAATAGAACTTAAAAAGCATAAGATCATCTCAATAGACATAGACATAGGCAAGGTGTTCAATAAAATCTGACTTTACTTCATAATTAAAAACTCTCAATAAACTAGGCATTGAAAGAACATACCTCAAAATAATAAAAGCCATCTATGAAAAACCCAGAGTCAACATTATACTGAATGGGGAATAGTGGAAAGCATTTACCCTAAGAACTGGAACAAGACAAGTATGTCCATTCTCACCAGTTCTATTCAACATAGTACGAGAAGTACTAGCCAGGGCAATCAGGCAAGAGAAAGAAATAAAAAGCATTCAAGTCAATGAGGAAGTCAAATTGTCTTTGTTTGGTGATTACATGAATGTATACCTAGAAAACCCCAGATTCTCCTCCAAAAGCCTCCTAGATTTAACAAACAAATTAAATAAGGCTTCATGATACAAAGTCAATGCACAAACATCAGTAGCATTTCTATACACCAATGACATTCAAGATGAGAAACAAATAAATAACCCAATTCTATTTACAATAGTCACAAGAAAGATAAAATACCTAGGAATACATTTAACCAAAGAGGTGAAAGATCTCTACAAGGAGAAACTATAAAACACTTGTGAAAGAAATCATAGATGACACAAGCAAATAGCAAAATATCCCATGCTCATGGAAGGGAAGAATCAATATTATTAAAATGGCCACACTGCTCAAAACAATCTATACATTCAATGCAATCCCTATCAAATTATCAATATCATTTTTCACAGAATTAGAAAAAACAACACTAAAGTTTATATGGAACTAAAAAGACCCCAAAGATCCAAAGCAATTCTAAATAAAAAGAACAAATCTAGGGGCATCACACTGCCTGACTTCAAATTATACTGTAAGGCTAGAGTAACTAAAACAGTGTGATCCTGTTCCAAAAAAATAGGCACATAGATCAACGGAACAGAATAGAGAACCTGGATATAATACCACATATCTACAACCAGCTAATCTTCAACAAAGTTGGCAAAAATAAACAATGGGGAAAAGACATCTTATTCAATAAATAGTGCTTGGAAAATTAGCCATATGCAGAAGAACAAAGCTGGACCTCTATCTCTCACCATATACAAAAATTAAGTCAAAATGGATTAATGACCATCTTGACATAAGACCTGCACATAAACTTCTGTACAACAACAGAAATAATTAACAGAATAAACAGACAACCTACAGAATGGGAGAAAATATTTGCAAATTATGACTCTGACAAACGACTAATATCCAGAATCTTAAAAGCAACACAAACAACTCAACAAGAAAAAAACAAACAACTTCACTAAAAGCTGAGCAAAGGACATGAACAGACACTTCTCAAAAGAAGAAATACAAACAACCAACAAACACATGAAAAAAGTGTTCAACATCACTAATCATCAGAGAAATGAAAATTAAAACCACAATGATGTATCATTTTATAATATCAATAAAGGCTATTAGTAAAACACCAAAAACAACAGATATTGATGCGGATATGGAGAAAAGGAAACATATACTGTCGCTGGGAATGTAAATTAATTTAACCTCTATGGAAAATAGTATGGAAATTTCTCAAAGAGCTAAAGACAAAACTACCATTCAACACAGCAATCCCACTATTAAGCATTTATCCAACGGAAAATAAATTGTTATATCAAAAGGGCAGCTACACTTGCATGTTCATCATGACACTATTCACAATAGTAAAGCTGACCAACCTAAGTGTCCATCAGTGTTTGACTGGATAAAGAAAATGTGGTACATATCCACCATAGAATAGTATGCAGATATAAAATCGAAGTAAATCATGTCCTTTGCAGCAATGGAGGTAGAGCTAGAGGTCATCATCCTAAGTGAACAAACTCAGAAAACCAAATACTACATGTTCTCACTTATAAGTTGGAGCTAAACGATGGGTAAATATGGTCATAAATAAGAAAATAATAGACATTGGGGACTCCAAAAGCAGGGGGAAGTTGAAAAACTAACAAGCACAGGTTCACTATTTGGATATTGGATACACTAGAATCCTAATCCCCACCAGTACGCTATATACTCATGTAACAAAAAAGCACATGTACCTTCTGGATTAAAATAAAATAACATAAAACAAAATAAAACTTTACAGTTAAAAAAAAAACCTGTTGTGGCTGGGCGCAGTGGCTCACGCCTGTAATCCCAACACTTTGGGAGGAGGAGGCAGGCAAATCACAAGGTCAGGAGTTCAAGACCAGCCTCATCAACATGGTGAAACCCCGTCTGTACTAAAAATACAAAAATTAGCCAGGCTTGGTGGCACGTGCCCATAATCCCAGCTACTCAGGAGGCTGAGGCAGGAGAATCACCTGAACCCAGGAGGCGGAGGTTGCAGTGAGCCGAGATGGCGCCACGGCACTCCAGCCTGGGTGACAGAGCGAGACTCCATCTCAAACAAAAAAACAAAGAAACCTGTTGCTGAATTAGCAGTCTGATTCAGAAAATATTTACTTATTTTACTTCAAAATTGACCCCAAAAGTTTTGTACCCATATCCATTAATATATTATCCAGTTTTCTATGCAATCATTATTTTACTCTGAGGCAATAAACATTTGTATTTTTCTTTGGAGTGCCAATTTCATCAAAGTTGCAATTACATGTATAAAAGCAATGTTTAATATACCTGAATTGCTTGTTTCAAACATAATTTATTGACGAAACAAACATATTTCCAGCTCTTTTCTCAATGGTCACTTCCACTAGAAAGGATAAAAAATAAATAAAACATCCATGTATAATTATGGTTTTGTAGTTAAGGACAACCCTGTGACATCATTTTGGTCAAAAAAGGATTTACAGAATTATAACAGTAGGGTATAGAAGGTCTTGATGCTTTTAGAGTAAGGGGGCATTCGCAGCTGGTGCCATTTCTCCATTCTCCTTCCCAAGCTTCCCACCTTTATAATCCCAACACTTTGGGAGGAGGAGGCAGGCAAATCACAAGGTCAGGAGTTCAAGACCAGCCTCATCAACATGGTGAAACCCCGTCTGTACTAAAAATACAAAAATTAGCCAGGCTTGGTGGCACGTGCCCGTAATCCCAGCTACTCAGGAGGCTGAGGCAGGAGAATCACTTGAACCCGGGATGGTTCAAGTGATTATAATGGTCATGATGTTTGGGACTATCCCAAGTGTTTCACAGGAATGAGCTGACAAACATAATGGAATGATTTCCAGAATGGCTACGTGAGGGGCTTGGCAATTCTTTTCCCAGTAAAACAACCAGTTAACTGGTAAAATATATAAGAAACATCCACTTAACTTAAAGTCTCTGAAAATTGATCTGATTGCATGTAGCAAATGGAGAAACAGTTATTCAAAAACACCTGCTAACTTTCTGTAAGAACAGCAAGAATCTGTAGCATTTGAACCGCAATCTGCTTCAACTATCTTCCCATGCATGTTGTAAGGAGTCTCTACCCTGACAGTACAACCAAGAAAGAAGCCTCCCTTTTCCCACTGGTGGTAACCTGAATAGTATTTTGCTCAAGTAGGAGCATGGCACTGGTAACTATTATCTTCCATACCCCAGCTCTCTGTCTTAATCTTAGAAGTCTTAATCCAAGAAGGCATAGCAAGAGGATTAGGCTTCCCTTCCCTCACCCAGCTGACACACATAGGGCAGAATCTCTATCCAGACATGTTAAAATAATACTAGGGCCCATATCTTTCCTGCCACAGCTAACTGGTATGACAGAAGTTCATACTAGGAAAGAATGATGGGAAGACCAGGGGCTATCAACCCTCTCCTCCACTCCCATGCCCACTCATGGAACAGTGGTGTCACTCTTGAAAAGAAAAATATAAGAATCAAAACACCTGAAAAATGTAAGCTATAGAGAGAAAAAGAGAAAAGCAGGTGCCAGAAGCTGCCTTAAACAGAGCTCAGATCTTAGATTTAGTGAACAAAAACTTCAAAACAGCTATTATAAATTTTTTCAAAGGACTACCAGGGACCATATCTAACGAATTAAAGTATAATGACAAGTTTTTATCAACTAGAGAATATCAACACATAAATATAAATGATAAAGAAGAATCAAAAGGAATTTTAAAGTTGACAAGTACAATAATAAAAAATTATTGAAGGGCTCATCAGTGGATTTGAGTTGACAGAAGTAAGAACAAATAAGCTTGATAAAATTAATAGCTAATTCATGATCAGAAAAACAGATTAGAATGAAGAAAAAGTTAACAGAACCACAGATAAATGTGGTACAACTTAAGCAGGCCAAAATATGCATAATAGGAATACCGGAAGAAGAGAGAGAGAAAGGAACAAAATACCATTACAAAATAGTGGCAGAGACTGCAAGTTTGACGAAAAACACAAATACTCTACATATTTATGAAAATAAACAATCCCTAAGTAGGATAAATACAGAAACATCCCCACCAAGAAACATCATAGTCAAAAGGTTAAAAGCCAAATATGAAAAGAAAACTGTGAAAGCAGCAAGAGAATAAAAACTCAGGCCGGGCACGGTGGCTCAGGGCTGTAATCCCAGCACTTTGCGAGGCTGAGGCGGATGGTCAGGAGTTCGAGACCAGCCTGGCCAACATGGTGAAACCCTGTCTCTACTAAAAAATACAAAAGAAAAAAAAACAATAGCTGGGGTCATGGCTGGTGCCTGTAATCACAGCTACTCGGGAGGTTGAGGCAGGATAATCTCTTGAACCCAGGAGGTGGAGGTTGCAGTGAGCCGAGATCTCGCCATTGCACTCCAGTCTGGGCAACAAGAGCAAAACTCCACCCACCCCACCCCCCAAAAAAGAAAGAAAGAAACAATAGGTGCAAGAGGTTCTGAGATGGCATATTAAAAATCCTGAAGACAAAAAGATAGTCAACCAAAAATCTTATTCCCAAGTATATATATTATTCAAAAATGAAGAAGAAATAAAGATGTTCCAAAACAAGAAAAACAGAAAATTGTTGCTAACACACCTGCCTTAAAAACATAATAAAGGAAATTCTTCGATGTGAGTATGACAACAGACAGTAGTATAACTATACACACTCCCACACACAAAATAGCGTCAGTAAAGGTAATTTTGTAGATAATGACAAAAGATAAAATAACTGTATGATAAATGGCCTTTTTTTTTCTTCACTTATTTACAAGGCACAGAGGTTGAATTAGTCATTTTTAAATTTCCCACAAAGAAAAGTCCAATTCCAATGGCTTCACTGATGAATTCTACCAGACATTTAAAGAAAACTTAAGGCTAATGCCTCATAAACTTTCAAAAAGTTGAAAATAGAGAACACATTCAAACTTAATTCTGTGAAACTAGAATTCCCTGATATTAGAACAAGGAAAAGACATCACAAGAAAAACTGCAGACCAATGCCTTTTATTAAAATAAACACGAAAATTCTCAACTATTAATTACCTGAAACCAGCTACATGCAAAACAGATTACACACCTTCAACAAGTGGGATGTAGCTCAGAAATGAAAGATAGGTGTAACATGTGAAAATAAATCAATGCAATATGCCATATTGATAGAATAAAGGACTAAAACCACACAGTTAATCTGAAGAGACCCAGAAAAACCATCAAACAAAATCCAACATCCATTCATAATAGAAACACTAGACAAACTAGAAGTAAAAGTGACCTTCCTCAATCTGACACACGGCATGTATGAAACACCCACAGCTAATATCATAATAAATAAAGAAGAACAATGCTTTCCCTCTAAAATAAGAAAGAGGATAACGATGTTTGCTCTCACTGCTTCTGTTCCACTGCATACTACACGTTCTAGCCAGAAAAGTTAAGCTAGAAAAAAGAAGTCCAGATTAGAAAGGAAGAAGTAAAACAATGTCTATTTACAGATGACATAGTATTTTATATCTACAACCCCCCAAATTTACTAAAATACTAATAAATGGGTTCACGGAGATTAAATGATACAAATTCCACATACAAAAATTAATCATCTTTCTATACATTAGCAATGAATAAAGTTAAGAAATGATTTTATTTATAATAGCATCAAAAGGATAATAAAATACATAGAAACACATTTATCAAAATAAGTGCAGTATTTGTAAACTGAAAACAACAAAATATTGTTGAAAGAAATTAAGTTATAAATTATTCATATAGCAATGAGTTAAGATTATTAAAGTGAAAATACTCCCTCAAATTTTATACATATACCATGAAATCAAAAATTCCAGCTAGATTTTTTGGAGAAGTTAACAAGCTCTTCCTAAAATGCACATGGAAGTCAAAGAACCAGAATAATTAGTTAAAACAATGTTGAAATCGAAAAAGTTGGAGGAGTCACAGTTCTCTCTATCAAAAGCTACAAGAAAGGTATGTGCTGGAATAAGACAATATGGTGCTGGAATAAGAATAAACATATGGATAAATGTATTAAAACTAAGAGTTGAGAAGTTAACCTGAATATCTATGATCAACTGATCTTTGGCAAAGAGTTCTTAGCCATGACACCCAAAAGCAAGATACATAACTTTTCCTCTGGAAAAGATCCTGTTAAGAAGATGCAAAAACAATTGACAGACTGGGAGAAAATATTTGCAAACGTGTTATCTGACAGAAATCTAGTATCTAGAATATATAAAGAACACAACAGAAAAATACAATCTACTCTAATCCAAAAATGGACAAAGTCATCAAGATTTATTTCACCAAGGATACCTGCTGCCAAATAAGCAAATGAAAAGATGTTCAACATCACCAGTCATTAGCAAAGTGCAAATTAACACGATGATGAGATGTCACTTTGTGCATATTAAAAGAGCAAGGCAAAAATATTATATATAGTATTGACAATACAAAAATGCTGACCAGGATTTGTAGAAACTGGTGTTCTCAATCATTGGTGGTAGAAATTTAGAATTGTACAGACACTCTGTAAAATAATTTTTCAGTTTCTTAATTGAAAACATAAGTAATCATACATTTAGTAGATAATCCAGCAATCGCCTTACTGGGTATTCATCCCAGAGAAACAAAAAGTTACGTGCATGCAGAAATATGTACATAATATCTCACAGAAACTTTATTTAAAATAGCCCCAAACTGGAAACAATTAAAATGTTTCTCAATAGGTGAATGATGAGATATACTTCTATGTTTATATGGAATACTACTCACCACTCAATAGAATTAACTATGAATACACACAACTTGTATGGATCTCAAGGGCATTATGCCGAGTGAAAAAAGTTTATCTCAAAATGTTGCATGCTATGTGATACCACTTATATAACATTCTTAATATGACACAATCATAGGACTGGAGAAAAGATTAAAGATTCACCAGGGTAAGCAATGGCAAACGGGGTTGGGGGAGGGCTGCGACTAAATGGGTTGCACAAAGGTGATCTTTGTGAAGGTGAAATAGTTCTGTATCTAGACTGCAGTGGTGGTTACACAAATATGAGCATGAAATAAAATGACATAGAGTTGTATTTACACATTGAGCCAATATCAGTTTCCTGTTTTGATGATGTATTAGAATTGTGCAAGATATGTGGAGGGAAGCCGGGTAAAGGATGCAGGTCTTTTCTGGAATATCTATCCAACTTTCTGTGGTTATATAATTACTTCAAAATAAAAATTTAACAAGAGAAAGAAATTCACAACACAGTTTTATCTAAAAAACATAATACTACGTGAAATACACCACTCAAAAATACTATTTATTGTATGATAACATTTATAGGAAAAGGCCAAAATAGGCAACTATAGAGAAAGATAGTCTGCGAGTGGTTGCCAAGGACTGGAGGTGAGGTGGGGCAGGACAATGGTGAAGAAGTTGTAGTAGGTACAAATATTTTTTTTTGGAGTGATAAAAATACTCAAAAATTATACTATGATCATATTTGCACAACTCTCTGAACATACTACACCCCATTGAATTGTGTACTTTAAACAGATGAACTTTATAGTATGTAAACCATAACTCCATACAACTGAAAAAAATGAAGAATATCTGAAAGTCCCTGAGGTTTACTGAACCCCTAGCCTTGGCCTTGAGCTGAGAAACTGGCATCATCAGGATCCACTGAAACTAGATGGTTCTGCAACTTGCTGTATATCATAGGCACTATATACTTTGAAAATACAGATAAAGCTCTAATTAATTATTTTTAACCTTTGCATGGCATTCCATTGTATGAATACACAATGTTTATGTATTCTTATTTCTATACATGAGTAATTTGTGTATTTCTCCTTATACTCATAAAGGGGAATTTTATATTGAAGAGAACAATTTTTGTGTTATGACATGAGCCTATCTTAAACTTTTTAGATGAAGGCATATTTTTCTAGGAAGCAATGGACCAATTACTCTCCTACTGACACACTATGTCATCCCTGTTTTTGAGGCTGTTTCCTATACTTGTTATTGTCAGACTTTATTTTTTCAGTGAATTGCTTTTAAATTGCACATCATTGTGATGTTACTTTGCATTTTCCTAATTTCTAGTAAAATAGAGTATGTTTTTAAATGCTTATTTATTTTACATTTACAAATCAGAAAAAAATCATTATATGATTTACTCATTTTCTATTATTTTAATTGAGGCATTTTCCTTTAATATTTGTATAGTAATTGTAGGAAACTTTATTGCAAATATCCTTTCCCAGCTTCTGATATGCCTGTTTTTGTTGTTTGTAAAGTCTTTTTTAGATTCCTAAAGTCTCTGTTCTAATGGAGGAGACATAATGGTTGTTTTTAAAATTGGTGTGCATTTTATATAATTGTTAATATTTTATTTTCATACTTTGATTTTTCTTAAACCAAAACATCTTTCTATGTTTTAGGTAAGGATATATTTTTTCCGTATAGATAATCAATAGCTCCAGTATAATTAATTAAATACTCCATTCTTTATGGATTCATACTACCACTCTAAGATGCTGACTCCAGAGATGTTTTGAGATTTACTAGATACGTGAGTGCACTATCTTGCTGTCATTACCATTTTGTATTATATATAAGCCTCTAGTTTTCAGGACAATGAAGTGAATATAAATTCAAACTCATGACTGATGACATATGATTATGAGTCTGCTGGATGAAATTTGTCCACCCAGTGCCCAGATGAGGCAGATGAACTTGATCTTGTTGCTTCTTTACACCAATGGGGAGATGTTTTGATACTCATTCTTTCACTGAAGATATAGGCAAGCATCAGCAGTTCCTCAGAACACATACGGTTAAAACATCTTATGTCACCCAACGTTCAGCTTATTTTTAGTATAAAAATTCACTATTTTAAAATGATTTTATTTTTTGATATTTGAAATAGTTGAGATAATTTGAGATATTTTATATCTCAGATTATAATCCTCTAAGACAGAAAGTTCTGAGCATATTTCTAAGGGGGAGGGGTGTGGAGACTATTTTAAGATATTTAATTAACTTCTAAATAAATACCATACGTACCAGCCCACAACTCTGTCAAAGCAAGATAGTCATATTTGCTATGCATTTCTTATAAAATCACTAAAATGTTTCTTGTATCACATTTTCAAAATTCCAAGTCACCTATACTGTAATATACTGTAGTATGTTTTCACCTTCAAGGAAATTCTATTATGTGGCATTAAACAATTGCTTTCCTAAGCTTTGCTACAGCTTACAATTTTTGTTATAGAATGTAATTACTGTTTTTTGAATCCTGAGATTAGCCGTTGTAGACTACACACATAACAGCTCATGTTTTCTTCTTTGCTTTTGTTATGCATGAAGGTATATTGATAAACTCAATTTAATCACTGAGTACATTACAAATGAAATAGATGTCTCTGAAAAAATTTGTATCAAAATAATTTTTTAAATTTCAAGCTCATTCTTCAGTAAACCTTATTATAAAATTAAAAGTGATTATCTTTAAGATAACATTTAGCCTTCGGCCGGGCGCCGTGGCTCACGCCTGTAATCCCAGTGAGAGGTGATAGCATGCTGGCAGCCCTCGCAGCCCTCCCTCACCAGCGCGACTTCCGGGTGCGCGTGGGCTGGGCTGGCCCGCACTTGGAGCGGCCAGCAGCCCCGGGCAGTGAGGGGCTTAGCACCTGGGCCAGCAGCTGCTGTGCTCGACTTCTCGCCAGGCCTTAGCTACCTCCCTGCAGGGCAGGGCTCGGGACATGCAGCCTGCCATGCCTGAGCCTCCCCCAACCTTGCGCTCCTGGGCAGCCCCAGCCTCCCTGATGAGCGCCGCTCCCTGCTCCATGGCACCCAGTCCCCATCCACCGCCCAAGGGCTGAGGAGTGTGGGCACACCGCGCGGGACTGGCAGGCAGCTCCACCTGCAGCCCGGTGCGAGATCCACTGGGTGAAGCCAGCTGGGCTCCTGAGTATAGTGGGGACTTGGAGAACCTTTATGTCTAGCTAAGGGATTGTAAATACACCAATCGGCACTCTGTATCTAGCTCAAGGTTTGTAAGCACACCATTCAGCACCCTGTGTCTAGCTCAGGGTTTGTGAATGCACCAATCCACACCCTGTATCCAGCTACTCTGGTGGGGCCCTGGAGAACCTTTGTGTGTAGCTCAGGGATTGTAAATGCACAAATAAGCACCCTGTGTCTAGCTCAGGGTTTGTGAATGCACCAATCCACACCCTGTATCCAGCTACTCTGGTGGGGCCCTGGAGAACCTTTGTGTGTAGCTCAGGGATTGTAAATGCACAAATCAGCACCCTGTGTCTAGCTCAGGGTTTGTGAATGCACCATTCGACACTCTGTATCTAGCTACTCTGGTGGGGACTTGGAGAACCTTTGTGTCCACACTGTATCTAGCTAATCTAGTGGGGACGTGGAGAACCTTTGTGTCTAGCTCAGGGATTGTAAACGTACCAGTCAGCGCCCTGTCACAACAGACCGCTGGGCTCTCTGTAAAATGAACCAATCAGCAGGATGTGGGTGGGGCCAGATAAGAGAATAAAAGCAGGCTGCCCTTAGCTAGCAGTGGCAACCTGCTCGGGTCCCCTTCCACACTGTGGAAGCTTTAGTCTTTCGCTCTTTGCAATAAATCTTGCTGCTGCTCACTCTTTGGGTCCACACTGCCTTTATAAGCTGTAACACTCACCTCCAAGGTCTGCAGCTTCACTCCTGAAGCCAGCGAGACCACGAACCCACCGGGAGGAAGGAACAACTCCAGACGCCCCGCCTTAAGAGCTGCAACACTCACCGCGAAGGTGGGCAGCTTCACTCCTGAGCCAGCCAGACCATGAACCCCACCAGAAGGAAGAAACTCGGAACACATCTGAACATCAGAAGGAACAAACTCCAGACATGCCGCCTTTAAGAACTGTAACACTCACCGCGAGGGTCCGTGGCTTCATTCTTGAAGTCAGTGAGACCAAGAACCCAGCAATTCCGGACACACCGGCACTTTGGGAGGGTGAGGCAGGCGGATCACGAAGTCAGGAGATCGAGACCATCCTGGCTAACACTGTGAAACCCGGTCTATACTAAAAATACAAAAAAAAAATTAGCCAGGCATGGTGGCGGGCGCCTGTAGTCCTAGCTACTGGGGAGGCTGAGGCAGGAGAGTGGCGTAAACCCCGGAGCAGAGCTTGCAGTGAGCCCAGATCGCACCACTGCACTCTAGCCTGGGTGACAGAGCGAGACTCTGTCTCAAAAAAAAAAAAAAAGAAAGAAAGAAAACATTTAGCCTTCAATCTTTTCTCTACACAACCAATTTAAAAACTCACATATTTTAGAAACATTCTAATTTGCTGACAAAATGTGAGAGCAATTTAAGTATATTTTAAAAATATGAGGCATGAAAGTATGAGAATCTATGAGATTGGTTTGTCAGATTCCACAGGCACTAGCAATGTGATCCCAACAACATACAAGAAGTTTTCATTAGGATTACACACAACTGGGCAGAGTGGTATTGCAGACTGCTGCTGATCAGCTTTAAAGTTTTTAAAAATAAAAAGAAAGAAGAAAAATTGACAAATAGGTAATAAATGTATTATTAAATACATTTTGTTGGACTGTTACCATCACCTATATCAATACTTATTATTTCTATTGCCAAAACATTATTCATATACACTGAAAAGACAAACAAAACACAGTTGTTAATGTTAAGTTTCCTTGCATTTTTTCCTCCATATTCATGAGGAAGTCAATGAGAAGGAGGATCATAGAGCTCACAAGATTAGTGAGGGCCCCCCAGCATTAGAAGGTAAGTGGTGCTGTTATTTGTTTATTCTTTTGTTCAGATTTTTCCCAGCCAAAGGTTTTCAGGTCTATAGATCCTAGAAGGTGATTATTAAAGTCTAGGAGCTATTTCTTTTTAAATGAATATATTGCTCAACTAATTCATATTTGTTGTGGAAAAACTATAAAATACAGATGATAAGCATACAATAAATAATCACTTCAGGTTCCAACAATTGAGGCAAAAACCCTATGCCAATTGAAACAATTTTAAATGTAGATATGTGTGTTTTATGAACGCAAAGAGTGAAATTGCCTTTGACTATGATAAGTCTAGAAACCAGAAAATTTTGCTACTGTATTGCTAATTATAATTCTCATAAATAAATCTCTTTTCTCAAATTCAAATTCAAACATGTCACTATTTTTTAAAATAAAGAAATCCATCCCAATGTACCCTAAAAAGCTCTGTGCTTTTATTTTACATGATCTTCGTCTTTCATAGCAGAAGGCAAGAAATTTACCTAAATTTATCTAAGCTTTGGCTTTTTTTGGACATATAATGTTTATATATCATAAAGTAAACAACGTATGTCAACACAAAAGAAAGAAAGCTGTGAAGTAATTTGAGGCTCCACCTCAATATTCTAATTTTATGGTCTCCTTTATTTCCTTGAAATAAGGGAAATGGAAATTAGGATGGCATTTAAGGGGAAGAAGATGTAGGGGCTCTAAGGAAGAAAATGAGCAGGATCCTTGTAGCTGTTTCCAGTGTGCTTACCTCTTGTGGCAGGCAGGAGAGTATTTCTGGTTTCATTACCCGTGAAGAGGCTTCCAAATGGATGCCTCCCCATAGGGTTCCCAAGCAATCATTCCATTAGTCAGTGAATCAAGAAACACTCAGTGACCACATCATCAGACTAATAGCACATTCAAAGGTTGTAATAAAGGAAAGTTAAACAAAGCCTCTGCTTCTCACAGAAAGTCCAGAGTCAGAGACATACCTCTTGACCCACATTCCACACCCAAAATATTCCCTTGTCCTCTTAACTAGGAAACTGATTTGTCTTTTCTTTCCATTCTCTGTGGCCATATACTAATTAAACAAATATGTGTTGGGTGTCAATAAGAAATAATTCCTGTCGTTAACAAGAATCCCTCCTTAAGTTCAAACTTGAATCTTTCTGATTTCAAAGCTGCTGCTCTCAGATAATAAAGTATACTGCCTTTTACAGAAATGGTATTATTTCATTTTCCTTCCATAAGTTTTTGTCTAACATGTGCAACATACATGTAAGGGGATACAATCTCCATCACATTGATGAGAACCTGAAAACTAGAAAGATTCAAGCTAGCTTTCCAAGGTAAAAAGTAGGTAAATTGCAGAGCCAATATATGAACACTGTTATTCCAAATATGTGAGTGGAGTAGAGATGAGGTGGACAAAGACAGTGCCCAGTTTCTGACCCTGGGTAACTTCCTGAGTGGTAATGCCACCTAAATTAGGCATAGCATGTTTGAGGAAGAAGAAAAATCAATGATCATTGTATCAATTGAGCGAATAGAAATTGGAGGTGAGATAGAAGACAAGGGTTTTCAAGGATTTTGCAGACCAAAGTCAAGGAAAGGTTTGAGAGTATCTAGATGCACAAATAAGATCAAATCAGCATGAAACTTTATTAGTTTAATTGCTTAGTTTGTTAGGTTAGTATGTTTCTAATAAGATGACAGAAACTTGAGGATATTTTTTGACTTGAGAAGCAAAAGGCAGAGATGAAGGAGCAACTGAAGAAGGGAATTTGGAAAGAGTGTTCTAAAGAAAAAGGAGAGAATAGGATCAAGAAACAAGAGTGCAGGCTTAATTTAGACAAAAAACACTTGATTTCAATCAAAAAGACATTTGATTTCAATAACCTTAATTAACTTCCATGGTATTCTGCTTTGATGTCACTAATTTTTTACTACCAATATTTGTCTACCTGTTACTTTGAATTTTATGACAATTGAATTATTTTTAATCAACTTCCTTATGAATTTATTACACAAGTATACACGGTATGGTTCTTAGTTTTGTGATTGGACACTGCATGATATTAGTAGTCATTAGGGTAGTCTGCATACTCCAAAGTGTAGCAGAAAGGGGATGACAGAAAGATCCTCTGTAATGTTGAATCTCAAACATTCCTATCAGTATCAGGCCTTCAAGCTGAATTGGGCAATTATTACTACTTCCAATACATGGGGATAGTCTTGTCTTCAGAATTCCAAATCTCAAAATTATGATAAAGTGACTAAAACATTACTAATGTAATCCATTTCAAATGAACAGCCACATACATATAAATAAGCTATAGATGGTTTAAGGAAAGAGCCATCAAATCAAAAATTTTAAAGCAAAGATTCCAGGTTGAAGCTTCGAAGTTCTGCTAACATGGTTGACTCTTGGACTCTTGGTTTTTTGCCAGTGGTGGTAGGACATCTTTGTATGCTTCTGAAACTTTTTAAATATGTTTATGTATGTCAGCGGAAGTTGTTAATCCAGGTGTTACTTTTCTCTATAATTAAGCTGCGTAGTCATCCAGCATTTTGGGTAATAGCATAGTTACCATCTCATTAAAAATGTGAATCCCAATGAAGAAACATGTTTCTAGAATGAAGCACTTTCTTTCTTTCTTTTTACCAGGTCACTGTGACAGAGATGAGGCATTTGATTTCAATAACCTTAATTAACTTCCATGGTATTCTGCCTTGATGTCACTAATTTTTTACTAGAAATATTTGCCTACCTGTTACTTTGAATTGTATGACAATTGAATTATTTTTAATCAACTTCCTTATGAATGTATAATACAAACATACATGGTATGTTTTTAGTTTTGTGATCGGACACGGCATGATATTAGTAGTCATGTCCTGCCACAAATATTTTGTGTCCCAGCCCTATGTTTGCTTCTTTATAACTTACCACAATGAAAGTTTGCTCATGAGTGTTTACTAAGTTTTTGCCAGTATCTCCACCTGGAATATAAGATACAAGCACAAAACTGTCTTTCTTTTCACTATTCAATTCTCACTGCCTAACCAAGGGTGTGGATTGGCCACTTAATGTTTGCTGAAGAAATGCCTGAATGAGCCAAATCATTGTAAATGATCCAATTGATTTGCTTTCTACAGACCTGGATTTTGATCTCCCCTTTTATTTTAGTTTAATAACTTTCGACTATTTTAATGATTTTCTTTAGCAGTAAGATGGATGGATGGATAGATAGATAGATAGATAGATAGATAGATAGATAGATAGATATGTGAACTTTACCCATGATATGATTTAGATCTGTGTCTCCACCCAAATCTCATGTCAAATTGTAATCACCAATGTTGGGGGTGCTGCCTGGTGGGAGGCGATTAGATCATGGGGGCGGTTTCTAATGGTTTAGTACCATCCCCCTTGTACTGTCTCATGATAGAATTCTCATGAGATCTGGTTGTTTAAAAGTGAGTAGCACCTCCACCCTCCCTCTCTCTTTTTCCTGGCCATGTGAGATGCCTTCCTTGCTCCCCGTTTCCCTTCCTAAGTTTCCTGAGGCTTCCCGAGAAGCAGAAACTGCTATGCTTCCTGTACAGCCTGCACAATCATGAGCCAATTAAACCTCTTTTCTTTATAAAGTACTCAGTTTCAGGTATTTCTTTACAGCAGTGCAAGAATGGATTAATACAACCCATTTCAACTCATTCTAGATGAACAAATTTTTTTTTTACTTTGTTCTAAATTACGGTGGTTTGGTTTTATATGTGTGCTTGCATCTTGTTTACAAATAATTACATTTTTAAAATCCAGCTGTACTTGAAATAATCAAATAAGTGGATTATAAAGGTATTTTCATTTTAACCACTATAACTACAGATGCTGCTAAGTTGTTAAGCTCCTGAAAATAATCTCTTACATCTCTTTAAATCCATTAGAACACAAATGGCGAGTGAGTCCTCTGACATTTCTTTTGATGTCCGTAAAATGTATTTATCTCTTTCTCAGAGAGCTAATTATTTGTTTTTTCCTTAAATATCCTGTTAGAAAGATATCATCAATGTTTATTGTTTTTTCTTCCTATTGCTTGACCTCATTTGTAGGTTTTCCACAAAACATAACAGCTTGGATTTGGTGAATGGCTCATCACACAAATCACAAAATATAAATTTTGCTTTGAGGTTTTTGTCTCTCCCTGGCCCTAGTTTAAGAATCCTTAACATGATTTATAACTTCTCCCAATTTCTTTTTACCTCACTTACCCATTTATTAACGTCTTTACAATTTTACTCTCCCTTCTAAATATATTTCTTCTCACCACAAATCAATTGTTTTAATACACTCATGTGAGGACAGGGAGAGCACCCTAATCCTGGAGAGGAATGACAGCCTGAGAGATTAGAGCATTATATGAGAAATTTGACTAAAATTAGAAAAGCAACAGATGCCTTTCTCACGAACAGGTCTCAGGAGCATGACTTGACCCGGGAGGCTTAGTACATTGTCCTGGGATTTGGCAGTGATGAGGGAAAATGTGCAGTGCCTTGGTACACTTGCCTGTTTAAATCAGTGTTGCCAATCATTGCCTTTGCCCTGAATTTTTAAATATTGACTTCCATATTTGCAAGGCAAATGCTCTTAATTTCTGATGCAGTTAGTGAAGTCTGCCATCTACTTTGTCCCAAGCCCTTTAACTGACATAAAGAGAAAGGAATTTTAAGAATTGAAGTATGTAAAGCCAAATTGTTCTCTGTCTCTCTCTCTCTCCCCCCAACCCCACCCAAACACACACACACGCACACACACACACACACACACACACACACGTACACAAAGAAATAACAGTCCAGAGAGTTTGAGTTATTTACCTGTTATCACAATGGATGGGACACTTTCCCTGCCTCTCATTACATTTATGCCTGCAGCCCCTCAGGAAGAGCAGAGCTTAAGAAGAGTCTGGCTCCCTGATCTCCATGTAACTCTACCAACCAGAAACATACGACCAAAAATATAAATCCAGGTATTCAGATTTCTAACATGATCATCTGGAGATTTAAATGATTTTTTTATGATTAATCAAGATGATCTAAATAAACAAAAATACTTATATTAATTATATTTTGGCCATATGATAAGAATCATACAAATTCCAACTCTTCTTGGCTGGTTAGCATGTTTAGCAGAACCCCTGAAGATAGAAAGATATTTCAACAGGTAAATACAACCTCTCCATGTTTATGATACATTGAAATTAGAAGCAACAGGAAAAAGGTGGTGAATGGAGGTAAATGATTCAATTGAGCAATTAGAAATATGGCCAAGTTCTGCTATAAACATACTTTGGGTTTTGTTTTTTTTCTTTGTTGTCATTTTTCTTTGCTGCACCTGAGCAAAACTATATTTACCAACCACATATGAGGTGCGGTCATCCTTTTTTTTTTTGAGACGGAGTCTCGCTCTATCGCCCAGGCTGGAGTGCAGTGGCTCGATCTCGGCTCACTGCAAACTACGCCTCCCGGGTTCACGCC
This sequence comes from Homo sapiens, assembly GCF_000001405.40. Classification (NCBI taxonomy): domain Eukaryota; kingdom Metazoa; phylum Chordata; class Mammalia; order Primates; family Hominidae; genus Homo; species Homo sapiens. Next base: position 51,238,442 of record NC_000008.11, read on the forward strand.
ATTCTCCTGCCTCAGCCTCCTGAGTAGCTGGGACTACAGGCGCCCACCTAATACTAATTTTTTGTATTTTTAGTAGAGACGGGGTTTCACCGTGTTAGGCAGGATGTTCTCCATCTCCCGACCTCGTGATCCACCCCCCTCAGCCTCCCAAAGTGCTGGGATTACAGGCGTGAGCCACCGTGCCCGGCCGGTGCGGTCATTCTTAAATACACTTTGACATGGAGAAGGTAAACCCAATAGAAACATGACTCATCCCCAAATGTATACACTGTAAATTCATGATGCCAAATTGAAAAATTTAAAGTTTAGAAGGATTAGTCGTCCACATTTATTTTTTTAAATAACTATAATTGCAAATAATGTACATTATACTGTAGGATGTAGTAATGATTGAATAAAACTCGATATAGGATAATTACATAAGATTACCCCAATAATACCTGTATTAATAATAATGCCTCTACCTGCTGTCAGTGATGAAAAAAGCATGAGTAGGAAACCTGGTTAGCTCAGTTAAGACTCACAATAATAACGTGAGTACTTCATGATAAGCACAATGTTTCACATTAAACATATTGGGTATATTGAATATTATGAAGGAAAATGGAAAATTCTAATTATGAGATAAAACTACAAAGATAAGTGATATCAGAAAATGGGAAGTAAAAAATATGGTCTTTGTCACCCAAGAAATAAAGGTATTAATTTTTCTTTTCTCTTCATTTATAGTTTTCATAGATAAGATAGTTAGTATTTAACTTGGTATTCTTGAGTAAAGTTGAATTACAAGAATTTCAAATTTGCGTTATAGATTCCAAACTACTTTGGAATATTCTCCACACATTTAAGTGACATCTTTTTCAAAGCACCATGGCTTTAGAGATAGAAAGGGTTTGACAGGGTGCTATTAATTATGAAATTTTCACAATTATTTTCAAAAACTAGCTGGAATTCTCATAAATAATGTATTAACCTGATTTGATGAATCTGGATAGTAAATTATCTCCTACACTTTTTTTTTTATAGAAGCTAATGGTACTTGTGGAAATACATTGATCTAACTCCATCAGAAAACACTTGTAATGGTAATGAAAACCTAAGTACCATAGATAAAACACAGCAAATGAATTTCCCCATGTTACGAGAGCAATATCAAGCACAATGTGAATGTTGCCATTAATTCTTGTTTTCCATTATTGTTGCAAAATGTTGTTAAAAGCATTTGTGAATTCAAAATAATTAAATCTTTTGACCTACTCAAAAGAAATGATCCCCCAAGACATAGCTTCAAAAATCGAATTTTCCTTCAAACTGTTGTATATTTGAGGGCTTTAATTAATTCATTAGTTTATTTAATATGATAAAATTAATCTTGATTTTGCATTTCATTTTAATAACTTTGATAGCTTAAGAACTGCATTTGATCTTATGATAATTTTGCCTGAGATGTGTTATTATCTTGAAGGATTTCTTGAAATTCCCATTTGCAAATAGTCTCAGAATTTGCAAGTGTTTGCTTGTTGAGCACAAATACATTTAAAGGTAAAAGTAGCAAAAATGCAGACAATCACAAATAAACATTGAAAATAAACACTAAAATGTGTTTCCAAGCTTCTTTACATTATTTTCTTATGGACTTAGCCTCTGATTGGAGAAGTGCTAATGTGAAGCTCGAAGGCTTCCCCCAGGAGACCTCTGATGCCTCTTTTAAAGTGTATTATTCAGACTAGAGTGAGCAGCTGCTCCTGTGCCCAGCTGTGAATGGTTCTGAAAGCTTTCCTCTACAAGCCACTCATCCAACTCTCATAGTTCACAATAATCATGCTTTAGGTTAAGGCCTTAAAATGTCCCCATTAAAATACATATGAATTAATTGGCAACGGGGTGGCAGGTAGAGGGAGACTAGATTAATCCAAAAATTTTGAAAAAATTTTTAAGGGTTTTATGAATAACTTTTATTCATAAAGTTTGAAACTTAATTCCACGTTAATTAATTCATTCACAAATATTTCCTTGTATGGGCCAGACACTATTCTTGGTATAGTAACCATTCAGGCACATGTACCAGGGGAGCATTCTGCTCTGCTGTGGCCTGCAAAGGACCCTTGGGTTTCCTGAAGCTCTCACTACTTATCCCACCTAGTGTCACTTAGCCTGAACTGCTTTGTATAGTATATTGCACAGGATAGACACCTCCTCCACCCATGGTGTGTCAGCTACTAGAGGGGGCGATTTTATTCTACATACAGCACTGATCAATGTCCCACTATGAAGTTTAGAGGATGCTGATGGGATGCTGAGTATTCTGGGCAGTATGCAGCAGGTCTAGAGATTGAACAGGTGTTTTACGCATGTATATTCTTTGACTTCCAACTCACGTATAGTGTCTTCTAGCTCTATTTCCCAATGAGCTATTTGAGCTGACTGGCTCATTTCCTACTGAAAATAAATTTGAACTTCACAGGAAAATATCCTGATTTACTTAATTGCAAAAGATATGTCAATATTTTAATATCCAACTTTTCAATTCCAATCATTAGGGACTATTTTCATAATATGTTTAATTCAAGGACTTCTAAAATATAAGCAATGATTTGGGAAAAGGAAAGATGAACTTGGAAGGAGCAGAGTCTCTACAGTAAAAAATAATTGGTTCTGTTCTAGCTGCATGGCTTTATTCATGTAACTCCTTCAATCACAGCAATGTTTACTTAATACCTACCATGCACTAAAAAGACATACAAGACATTTAAGACATAACTCTGAAACAATAGGCACCGTATCAACAATGAGCTTAGGGTCTAGGAACACCTAAATAACTACAAACAGGGCAATAAATACAGTCATGAGGTTTGTACAGAAAGCCAGGGGGATAAATGGAAACCATGTCTATTGTATTTTGGGGGATCAAGGTAGGAGTATTTCGAGAAATACAGCAGAAATCAGCCAAAAGAAGGAAGGAGATAAAGGATAAACAAATTCTTTCCGATAGAAAAAAACATGGACATAAGGTGGACAGATGACATAGAGTTCATTGATGAAACCAGTGTGAATTTCTATATTTCTATCTTTTCTCTCAAAATGGGAACCATAATGCTTGTTACACCTACCCTACAGGGATTTATTTATAAAGAGCAAATGAAATGGAAATGTTAGAGAATAAATATGAGAATTGGAGTATTTCTAGTTTCACTAGGGTGGCTTCTATTCATAGTAAAGACTTTTCTAAACTTCTTATTAACTATTATTCAGTTTGTTGAAGTACAAGTAGAAAAACAATTTTAGTTAGTCAAATGTTTAAATATTATTACTCTATGTATAAATATACTATATTTTATCAATTCTTTACAACATTTTTGTATCTTAGCTAAAATCCCTTATATATTATTACATTATAAATTTAACATATTAAATTTTTTAAATACCTAAATGTCTAACAAAACATTACCAATTATTAAATGTCCTATAAATCTAATGAGTTAAGCTCATAAAGTTGATAAATTTTGAATTCACATAAGCATTTCAGTGTTGCTTACAATCTTAATGAAAATCCCTTTATACTTTTTAATATTAAGTGTAAACATAATTAATCTCTTTATACATTTCAAACAGAAAAATGAGGCTTATCTGTTAGGTCTCTAGTCTACCAAATTCTTTTAAACATAACAAATCCCACAATGCTAAATATAAATAGTTGTTACAAATATAACACAAAAATATTCAAATGATGAGTTTGATTGGCTTCGAAATTTTGAATATTTATTTCTGACTATTCTAAAATTCATATTCAGTGCTTATCTACTACCAATTGTATTATTCCAAAAAAATCAGGATTCTCTTTTCAGTATTTTTACATCATCCATAGAGATATTTGATCAGAATGCTGGTGTCAATTCTTGCTTAATATACTAATTGAGACCATGAACCCCTATAGTCACAAAAACAAATTTCTATGATTTACTAAGAACTATAATCCTACATATTCACCTGATTTAAATCAGAACCTACCAACCAAATTTTCTGATCTGTTCATTGAATTCAACTAATTAATTTACTGCCAAATTCTATTCTAAAATATTGTTCCTCTTTCTCCTATGTGATAGGACCACAATTTATATAGCTATTTTTATTACATCCCATTAGATTTTTTCATCTCTCAAAAGTTTGTCACATAACTCACATTTGACATACATTAGTATCATGTACTGCCCTAGGCACTGATGTAGAACCAAGAGACACAAAATTCATTCTCCCATGAGGCTTACATTCTCATGGGGTCAGCATCTGATTAGGGCTTACATAGAAAATTAAATAAGATTACAGAATAGTAACCAAGTAACTTCTTTCATTAGTTGGTCAGATAAGCCTTTTCCCAATAGAAAATGAGCAGAAACTTTAAGATCAGGGAAGAAATGTGACTGAATAGAAGGAACTGCTATGCATTAGGATTGAACATAACGTATTTAAGTGTCTCAAAATCAGGCAAGCAGGCCAGAACATAGTAAATTAAGGAGGGAAGGGTTGGACAGATACCTGCAGGTCAGATCTTTCAGACAATTTTAGGCAAGGATAAATGGAATAAAAAAGTCACTGGATAGTGTTAAGCAAGGGTTCACATGGGTGCATTAAAAAATAAAAACCCTACTGATTACCATGCGTCAACTAATTTTAAGAAGCTAGATTGTAAAGTAGTGAGATAAGAATGCAATTAATCAGGTGCCAGTTTTTGGGAACTCAACCAAGGAAATAAACATGAAGGTGATAAGAAATGGTCCAACTCAGGATATATTTTAGGGTTAGAATACATATTGCTGAGGGACTGAATCTGGACTTTGAGGGTAGAAGGGAAAATCAATTATTACTGTTGATGTATTACTCTGAAATTTGGAGTTTGAGAATCATGGTTGTGACAGTTCTATTTTGGACATGTTAAGTTGGAAATGTAAATTTAACATCCAAATGGTGATGTCAAAGGCACCGTTTGATATACGTCTGGGGTAATGGAGAAAAATCAGGGCTAAGAAACATATTTTAGAGTCATTGACATATAGGTGTATTTGAAGCCATGAAAGAGCTGAGATAATAAAAAGAGTAGGTAGAGAGAACAAGATCAAAGGGCCTGGGAGCAAGTGATGCAATATTTTGTAGATGAGAAAAAAAGAAAGACGAGCCAGGAAGAAAAAAAAAAAAGAAAGAAAGAAAGTAGATGGTGAAATATTTTATAGAAGGAAATACTGAGCATTTTGTTTTCTTAGAAGCCCAGGGAAAAAAGAGTTCAAGATGGGAGGTATGGTCAACAGTGTCAAATACTGAAAATCAGCTGGGTGAGATATAAACAGAGAAGTGAACATTGGATTTGACAACACAGAAGTAAGGTCAGAGCCTGACTAGAGAGAATTGAGAAGAGAACATGAAGTAAGGAAATTATGATAGTGTCTGTAGAAAATTCTTTCAACAAATACACATTATCTTGTTATTCTTGTTAGTCTAGTAGAGAGACGAGACAATATCTAGAAACCTATGTGGCATCAAGGGGTCAGGAGACAGTTTAGTTTTAAAAGAACACATGATTTTATGCTGATATAACTAAAACAGTAAAAATAGAGATACGCTTATGCAGGGGAAAGAAGAGATAACTGGCAATAATTTAATATTTGAGAAGTAAGACCAGATGAGATCTAGTACTCAAGTAGAGGTGGATCTTTGGTAGGATGTTTGGTAGGAACTAGAACAGTTTATTTTTATAACAAGAAAATAGAAAATAGGGAGTAAGAAATATAGTAAGAAAATATGACCAGATTGCTTGGTCATATTTGAAAGATTCCAAATATCCATTTGAATTCTGTGATCATGAATTTGAGTTAGACTCTTTAGCACTATCTTGTCATGTTCTCAGGCAGAATAGGAGCTAGATGAAGCCTGCAATCTTTGATTTTCTGTCAAAGTAATTTAACCGGAGAAAGAAGTGAGAGAACCAAGAATGTCTGCAAAAGATAAATTATAGCAATGTACCATGAAATCCAGGCTGGCCAGGGAGGGTTTGACAGCACAACAGGGCAACTGACAATGAGAAAAAGAAGTGGTGATGCAGTTTTGTTGTTGGTGATGAGGTTAATGATATAATACGGAAATGGACTGGGTGGTGCTGCTAAGTAAAAATGTCGTCAGTGAGGAGATGCAATGAAGGCAAATATTATCTACAATTGTTGAAGTCACAAGGAATAGTGATAGGGAAATGGGAGGGGAGATGTTAAGCAGGATGTTAAACTCACAAATGAATGAAATAGAAATGACTAGGAGACAAGTAAATTATAAGTAACAAGAAGAGGTAGCAGAGGCAACATGAAAAGTTTAAAATTCAGAATGAAGACTTAATAAAAGGGAATAGTAACTAAAAAAAATTGCCATTTCTATACTCTATATTTGTAAATTTTTCAATGAAGTATATAAATATCAAATTTTCTTCCTTTTAAATTACCACCTTATAGCCATAGAAATATAGATGGCCTATAACAAATACAGGTTTTAAAAAAACCCACAAAACTAATGCAAATTCACCCCATAGAGTGTTTAGCTTATTAAATATATGTACACTGAAAAAACTCAAAATCTTCTCTATATCTTCAAGTAAGTTGGTAATCTTTTTTTCTGTAAAGGGTAAGAGAGTAAATGTCTTAAGTTTTATAGGACATGCAGGCTCTATGGCAATTACTCAACTCTACTACTGTAATGTGAATGCAGCCATAGATAATATGTAGATAAATTTTTGTTTGTGAAACAATACAACTTTATTTATAAAAACAAGTGATGGGTTAAATCTGACTTCCTGGTCTTAGTTTGCCAACACTTGAGTTAGAGTCCAACAACCAACTTAATTAGAATCTCAGTTTTAAACTCTAGTGGATTATAAAAATCAATAATAGCAATGCCTTTATATCTATGTCTCTAAATATATATTTAAGTGGAAGTATTTGGAATTGAGTATTGAACTATGAATATTTTGCCTTAGAAATATTTGAAATTTTGGAGATTAAAGACGACTGAGTTATGCATAGTTGCTCAGCATTCTAAAGACACAGCATGTAGACAAATTCAATATAACATACTTATCATCAACTGGGTGCCGTGGCTCATGCCTGTAATCCAGCACTTTGAGAAGCCGAGGCAGGCGGAATACAAGGTCAAGAGATCAAGACCATCCTGGCCAACATGGTGAAACCTCGTCCCTACTAAAAATACAAAAATTAGCTGGGCTTGGTGGCATGTGGCTGTAGTCCTAGCAACTCGGGAGGCTGAGGCAGGAGAATTGCTTGAACCCAGGAAGCAGAGGTTGCAGTGAGCCGAGACTACGCCACTGCATTCCAGCCTGGTGAATGTTACCTATATGTATTTCTTCAAAAGATAAAATAAGACAAAAGATGTTTGAGGAAAAAATTATCATACTAGTTGCTCTTAGAAGAGTTCATTTAAATAAAATTTTTAGATAAAATTGTACATCCATCATTCATGATTACAAGATGAAATAAAAATGAAGTTAAGATAAAAATGGCTTAGGGTAACTTCCAGTTTCCAGTCTGGCATCTAAGGGCTCCAAAAGTTATCACTTCCATCTCTACAAGAAGATAAAGGAAACTGAACAAATTGAAAATCATCAATTCCTTTTATATCTATCTGATAATTGAAGTCACAAAGTCAATCACTGTCTCCCATAATTAGAGAGACAAAGCAAACTAACACAGGAATACAAAAACAAAATACTGCATGTTCTCACTTGTAAGTGGGAACTAAACATCAAGTACATATAGACACAAAGAAGGAAAAACCCACACCAGGGTCTTCTTGAGAGCAGAGGATGGAGGAAGGTGAGGATCAAAAAACACCTATCAGGTACTATGCTAATTACATTGGTGATAAAATAACCTATACACCGAATCCCCATGATATGCAATTTACCTATATAACAAACCTGCACATGGGCACTTGAACCTAAAATAAAAGTTAAAAAAAATTGGAGAGACAGACAGGCACATACAAAGTATCACAATATATCAGAGCAGAAGTCAAGGAGCAAAAACTGCTGCTAGAGCCAGTAGTGAGGTAAGAAAATTTAACTGTAATTTAAAAAGTGTTGAAGGCTTAGTGTGGACAAGATAAAAATCTACCCCTAGTCATATTAGATTCAAACTGCAGAAAATCAAGATGAGAGAATATTCAAAGAAGTCAAAAGCAAAAATACACTTTACCTATAGAGAAGCCAGGATAAGATTATATCTGACTTCAGACACCATGCAAGTAAGAAAAGAGTATGACAAAATATTTAAAACAGTGAAAGAAGAAAATGTGACCAACCTAAATTTCTGTTTTCTATAAAATTATCCTTCAAAGGTAAAAGAAAAATACAGATTTTCTGAGATAAACAAAAATTGAGAGAATTTGTTACTATTAGACCCGCCTTGCAAGAAATGTTAAAGCAAATACTTCAGAAAGAAGAAAAATTATATAGGTCAGGAAGTCATATTTACATTTTATTAGTCTAATTGTGCTGCAATAACAAAATACTTCAAACTGGTAAATTTATAAATAATAGCAATTAATTTGTCCACAGTCTGAAGGCTGGGAAGTCCAAGATCAAGGTGCTGGCAGATTCATTGTCTGATAAGGACTCTCTCTTTCTGCTCCCAAGATGGTGTCTTGTCACTGTGTTCTCTAGAGGGAACAAACACTGTGTCCTCATATGGTGAAAGGGGAAAAAGGGGTGGTAGCTCTCTGAAGACCCTTTTATGAGGCTTTAATCCTATTCATGAAGACAGAGCCCTCATGACTTAATCACTTCCTCAAAGACCTCACCTCTTAATACTATCATGTTGGGGTTTTTGTTCCAGCATATACATTTTGAAGGAAAACATACATTTACACCATAGAGCCTGCAGTAGTAGCAGCCTTGAGGACATTTATTTCTCCTTGGCTTCACCCCTAAGGAGGTGCCATAGGATTCAGAGCTTATTTTTGGAACTATTTTCACAATTACCTATAAATCGGTACCTGGGGTGAAGGTATTACCTACTCTACTGTACCTTTAAGAAGTTTAACGATAGCAATTTGATGTCAAACTTAATGGTATGAATGTTATCACTCATGAACTAATAGTACCTTGCATGGATATGCTTAAGATTAAACACGGGCCTAGAACCATTGAATTGGGAAAAATGAAGAAACATTTTAGGAGAAGGAAAATATAAATTTTTGTAATTGCATTCTTCACTTGTGATTCTCACTCTTCTCAACCCAATAAACCTTACTTCCATTCCTTATGTTCCCTCATAGTCATTATAAAGACAAGATCATCTACACAATTAAGTCAACCTTTCAAACTTATTTTTTCCTATCTGCTTAAGGAGCATATGTTTCAGTTGTTCATTCCAATTTCCAATGAGATAACTGCACTAAGGCTGACAGGGATGGCGTATGTTCATGTTATGTTTTATTGCCTGCTTTTTTGTTTGTTTGTTTGTTTGCATTTCTTACCAAAAAAATAATTTCAGCTTCAATCAAGAATTTGCTGTTTCAAACCTTTGATTGTATTCTCTGAGACTACTTGCGTTACAAGTTAATTGAGAAATGGGTTAGAATAAGTGTTCATCTCAGTTAACACCCACTTATTATACCTCAAAGAAATCTGAAAGGCCAGCAATGAACTCAAACCTTTTATTAAGGAATTGTATTCACAGCTGTTTTCAAGCATTTATTTCCTATGAGTGATAGGTGTCATTTTTTAAATCACATTGGTAGTTTTCACTGATGCAAAGAAAAGTGTTATCTCTCTGCCCATTGATGAGTGGCTTAAGCAACTATCTGCCTTTGTATTTCATGAAGTCAACTAGCAAGCTTAGGAAACGGACTGAGGCATCTGAGCTGGTACCTGAGCTTTGGTTTTGTTTTGTTGTCTTATTAGTAGGAAGGCGGTAAATAACTCATAACCAATTAAATTGTCATAGAAGTTTACATATGAAGTGCAGTTATCTGGAGCAATCAATTCTGCCCTGTATTTTACTGAACAGTGTATGTTTGATATGTAGACATTAGCAGAAAACTGATTTATAGTGCTTAATATTATTAATAATGAGATATTCATTAGTGGCACAGGTTAATGAAATATCACTATAAATAATTATGTGTAATACCTCATTACCCAACATAAATGTAAATGCTCTTTAGTTTCAAAATTTTTGTAATATTCAATCTCCCTACTTTGAGAGAAAAGCATTTACTAATTGCCTGTCAATTATCAAAAATGCAACTATGCCATAGTGACTTACCATCCCTTTTCCAGTTTTTTGTTGGTTTGTTTGTTTACAAAATATTACTTGTCTTTGCATGAATCTAAAGCACCTAGTTACATTATGTGGTTCATTTGGCTCAAATTTTAATGAAGTATATCCATTAAATTATCTTGATACACCTACTCTAAATTATGAGTCTTCTAAATATTTCAAGGAAATTAACAAAGCAATGTATATGCTGTCTCCCTGTAACTGAATGAAAATTAGGTAAAACAGAAATGCCAGTGAAGAGTCAATATTATTTTAATGAGAGAAAAAATGAGGCAACAAAAGGATCATGCAGAACAGTAATGTCTTTTGACATGTCTCACAAGTCTGAAGTGGACATGTAGAACACTCTCCCTGACAAGCTCAGCCTCTGCGCTCTGTGCTGTCAAGTGCTGCCCACCCATCAGTGTGCAGAGGCAGCCTGTGGGAAAGCTTACCTCATGGGCAAAACCAGCATTTTGTAAAAAGCTTGAAGGAAGCGTTTTTATCTAAAGCTTGAAAAGCATCGATTCCACATAATTTGATTAAAAACATCTATTAATGTGAACCTTTAAAAATAACAGTGCAAAGCAAACAAACAACTCCATCCAAAAGTAGGTGAAGGATATGAACAGACACTTCTCAAAAGAAGACCTTTATGCGGCCAACAAACATATGAAAAAAAGCTCATCATCACTGGTATTAGAGAAATGCAAATCAAAACCACAATGAACTACCATCTTATGCCAGTCAGAATGGCAATTATTAAAAAGTCAGAAAACAACAGATGTTGGAGAGGCTCTGGAGAAATAGGAACCCTTTTACACTGTTGGTGGGAGTGCAAATTACTTCAAACATTGTGGAAGACAGTGTGGCGATTCCTCAAGGATTTAGAACCAGAAATACCATTTGACCAAATACCATTTGACCCAGCATCCTATTACTGGGTATATACCCAAAGGATTATAAATCATTCTACTATAAAGACACATGCACAGGTATGTTTATTGCAGCACTATTTACAATAGCAAAGACTTGGGACCAACCCAAATGCCTATCAGTGAAAGACTGGATAAAGAAAATGTGGCACATATATGCTGTGGAATACTATGCAGCCATTAAAAAGAATGAGTTCTGGTCCTTTGCAGGGACATGGATGAAGCTGGAAGCTATCATTCTCAGCAAACTAATACAGGAACAGAAAACCAAACACTGCATGTTCTCACTCATAAGTGGGAGGTGAACAACGAGAACACATGGACACAAGGAGGGTAGCATCACCTACCAGGGCCTGTTGGGGGGCAGGCCAAGGGGAGGGAGAACATCAGGACAAATACCTAATGCATGTGGGGCTTAAAACCTAGATGGCAGTTGATAGGTGCAGCAAACCACTACGGCACATGCATATCTATGTAACAAACCTGCACATTCTGCACATGTATCCTAGAACTTAAAATAAAATAAAATAATTTAATTTAAAAAGAAGTTGTTCAAATAGGACTCAGCTCAATGTCTCTGAAGTTCTCTCAGTCTTCTCACCTCTCTGTGTTGCTTTTATGCTTCAAGTTTTACATCTGTTCAAGGCCCAGAGGAAGAGGGAACCGACTTTCTGCAGATCACTCTTTTTTTGTTGTTTGTTTGAGACAGAGCCTGGCACTGTCATCCAGGCTGGAGTGCAGTGGCACGATCTCAGCTCACCGCAACCTCCACTTCCTGGGTTCGAGCTGTTCTCTGGCTTCAACCTCATGAGTAGCTGGGATTACAGTGGCCCACGACCACCCCTGGCTAATTTTTGTATTTTAGTAGAGACAGGGATTTGCCATGTTGGACAGGCTGGTCTAGAACTCCTGACCTCAAGTGATCTGCCCGCTTCGGCCACCCAAAGTGCTGGAATTACAGGCATGAACCACCATGCCCTGCCAGCTCACTCTTAAGAGTCAAAAGCAAGACTCCCTAGTCAGCCCTCACAACAACCACTGTGTCTTATTGTCTTATAGCTGGCCAAGTGCTCATTTCTGAAATAATGCTTTTGGCCAAGAAAATTGGAGCAACTAACATTGTCTGAAGAAATCACTGTGTGAAGGGAGATGGGAGTAATCTAATTTGGGTAAAATAATCAATGCCTATCATGAAGCAGGAAAAATGATCAATCTCTTCTCAAAGCACAGAGCTACTAAAGAGAGAAGGACACATGGAAGCATTTTGCAGAAATAGCCACACTACCAACTGTACTTCCTAAGCACAGAGATCTAGAAAGAAGAAAAGTTCCTAATTTTCAAGTCTTCAGGTAGGTCATTTATATTTTGCATGCATCCACTGCCAGTGTGTGTGGTATCCTGGGTCTCTAGGCATTACATCTTGCCTAGGAAATTAGCTCTGACCTATGTTTGGTTCACATGAGTCTATAATGAGCAAATACAATATAACAAAACACTTGTACTTTTCGTAAATCGGTACATTAGTAATGTGCTCATGCTTCAATAAAGACAATATTAGAATACTTAATAATAAAGTGATAAATATTATGTCAATTATGAAATAACTATTTTACTAAATAATGAATCAAGAAATATTATTTTTAAATGCCAACAGCTTGATCAAAACTTCACTTCTACCAGTTTTAATAAAAGCACGTCTATCAGTTTTGAGATGGTTCACTAATACAACAATGTCAATTTCTAAATAATTATAAACAATACAGAGGAAGAAAGCTGATTCTTAAATGCAGCAAATAAAGTCAGGAATAAGTTTGCTTTGTCCAACAAATACTCACCTAACAACCATCACACATTTAGCATTTGATTATGCATGTGTTAGAGAGGCATGCCATTCCATAATACAACATTATAACTAAAAGCCATCTGCTTCTGCTTATGTTTTAGCAAGTTTTTATAATATGAAAACTGCTATTTTCCACCAGAATAGACAGCTGGTTTGTCTTAATGTAGCTGGTCCTTAAATTTGACATGCCAGTCAAGCCACGAGGGGAGAACAAAATATATAATATGATATACCAGCAATGTCATTACAAGAGAATGAAATGTAGAAGCCAGTGTGTGTGTGTGTGTGTGTGTGTGTGTGTGTGTCTGTGTGTCTGTGTGTCTGTGTGGTGGGGGGTGTAATAGAAAGATAAAAATTAGAAGGGAAGAAAATTTTATTTACAAACAAGCATTACATAAGTTTCAGATGATTCACATTTAAAAGATATACTAATATTGATTTTTTTCAAAACACTCTACTTAAAACAAAAACAGCAAAATCTCCCTGAGATTATTTAAATAATTTAAGGTAAGCCATCCTCTGTCCTCAGCCCACTTGTATGGAACACTTCACCACAAATGTAAGGAATCTTAAACAATTTCTTCACCATCACTCCTCCATTTCACAAATGAAGAAACTAACCAAGTCCACACGAGGCAGAAGAAGAAAAGTCCAGATTACAACTCGGATACTAAAACTTTATCTCCACTGTATCAGACTATTTATCTGATGCAAATCATTCCCTGTGTCTCCACCTAATCTGCTAATTTTCACCTACATACAGTTACTCATTAAGATCCTTCAGGAATTCAATTGAAATTCTTTTCAGTCAAACATTTCCCTAATCCTGCTTTCCGTTAAAATTCGGCTTACATTTAATAAATTCCAGGAAGCTATTCATGATCACTCACATACTTCTTAAAGTCCCTGTGTCTGATCATTAAGATTCATCGTCAATAATCATACATAGAGATGATTAATAGTATATTGGTTTCATACTCATTACACATAGTTCAATAAGTAGTTAATTTAACTGTAAAAGGTATCCAATGTTAAAGTAAGTTACAAATAATGTGAGAATTTAACCAAGGCAAACTTTTGGAATGAGCTGTCAATTTCACTTCATTAAGGTTTTGGTGAACGTTTACTTTCTGTTTTCCGATTGTGATTAACTTTTGAACTTCTATGCCTCATGCTAATTTAAATTATTATACCCATTATATTAATAAAATCATCACTGATTATGGCACTGATTATGGCAAATAAGCATAGAATCCACAAATCCCCTCTATGGAAATTGGCAGTATTAAGTAAAAATTAGTATTATCATAAAGCATATCAACTGTGCTTTCTGATCTAGCTTTTAATTTATGACCACACTTCTCAAGTGGGTCTTCAGCTTCCATACCCTCAACCCCCAAAATTCTATTAAGCTTTCCCAATAGCCCTGCTACTCACTGTGCTGAATGAACTATTTCTCTCCCTTTCTGTCTTCTACAACTGCCAGCACCCCGTTTATTATTTTCTCTTAGTGAATCATCTTCATTTGTATTTCCTGAGAAAATACAAGCTCTAAGAATAAAATTACCAATTTTTCTACCATCCAACTAACTACAAATCTTCTTGATAATATGTGAAAGCTGTATCTTGTCCAACATAAGAACAACCCTTCTACATGTGAACGGATTTTACCTTCTCTTATCTTCCTAAAGCTTAACTCCTAAAATTATTTCTTCTTTCTCTTAAATCATAAATTTCCCTCTGTATAATCACATCCAAGAAATTGGATGAAATTGCTTCCATTTATTCAACGTATATCCTTAACCAAGGCAGAGGTTGCAGTGAGCCAAGATTGCACCACGGCACTCCAGCCTAGACAACAGAGTGAGGCTCCATCTTTAAAAAAAAAAAAAAAAAAAAAAAAGTATATCCTTAACACTTTAAGCTTTTTCATTTGTGTATTAGCCCATTTTCATACTGCTGTAAAGACATACCCAAGACTGGGTAATTTATAAATGAAAGAGGTTTAATTGACTCACAGTTCTGCAGGGCTGGGGAAGCCTCAGGAAACTTACAATCATGGTGTAAGGGGAAGAGGCATTTCTTACATGGCAGCAGATGAGAGAGAGAATGGCAAAAGAAGAGGGAAGAACCCCTTATATTAATAAAATCATCAGATCTTGTGAGAACTCATTCACTATCATAAGAACAGCAAGAGGCAAACCACCCCCATGATTCAATTACCTCCATCTGGATTCTCCCTAGCCACGTGGGGTTCATGGAGATTACAATTCAAGATGAGATTTTGGTGGGAACACAAAGCCTAACCATATAAATTTGCCACCTCATTTCTCTGCTCATTGTAATGGCAAAATTCTTTTAAAGAGGTGCCTAATCACAGTCTCCCCTTTTACATCTCCCACAAAACACTCTAATGTGAGTTTTCCCACCATCACTGTACTAAAATCATTCTCATCAAGGCCTCTGAGAGCCTTCCTTTCTTCCAATCAAATGACCTAACATCTTACTATTCTTCATCTACTCAAACCCTTAGCAATGATTGACATGGTCAAATCACTATTCAACTCTTGACTGTTCTACTGGAAACTGCCGTTTTTCACTTAGTCTTAGAGAATGCACTTCCTTGCTTTTCTGCTGACCCCACTAGACATTTTTCTCAATCTCATTTGCTGTCTCCCTTTTCCCCTTACCTAAATCTTGGATTGCCCTAAACCTCAGTTTTTTGCCTTTTTTTCCTTTTCAAACTGCACTCCCTCTATTTGTGATGTCATGCTGTATCATGGCTGTCACTGTTATGACTACAAAATATGTACCTCTAGTTCTGGACTTTCCCCTAGAGTTCTATGTTACTTGTTCAGTTTTCTATTGACATGCCCAATCACACCAAAATTTACATGAGCAAAAGGAAATGTCTGAATCGTGATGACTCCACTCCTTAAAAATACCTTCCTTTTTGGTCTTTCCAAACTCAGAATGACCGTTTGAGTAATTAGGCCAAAACATACATAATATGGTTTGGATCTCTGTCCCCACCCAAATCTCATGTTCAATTGTAATCCCCAGTGTTGGTGATGGGATGGTGGGAGGTGATTGGATCATGGGGGCAGATTTCTCACGAATGGCTTAGCACCATCCCCTGGGTGCCATCCATGAAATAGTGAGTGAGTTCTCATGAGTTCTGGTAGTTTAAAAGTGTGTGCCATCTCTTGTTCCTGCTCCAGCCAAGTAACATATCTGCTCTCCTTCACCTTCCACCATGATTGTCAGTTTCTTGAGGCCTCCCCAGAAGCCAAGCAGATGCCAGCATCATGCTTCCAACCGTGAGTCAATTAAACCTCTTTTCTTTATAAATTATCCAGTCTCAGGTATTTCTTTATAGCAATGCAAGAACAGTCTAACTCAATACACTTTACCCTTTATTCTTTACTTTCCAGTAAACCTACATTCAATCAATCAGAAAATCCTACTTTGAAATTACACCTTGAATGTGTCCACTTTATTCTATCACTTTTTACTGGTAATGCCTTCCAAACAGGTCTCCATGGTGACTTTCTTGTCACATTCATAAGCAATTCTTCATGCAGCATTCAGAAAACTCTTCCAAAAATGCAGAAGTTCTCTTGCTCGAACCTACCACTGGCTGTTAATAATACTTAGAATAAAATCCAACTTCTTAGATCCATCACGATATAGCCTCTGCCTACCTCTCCAGTCTCAAGTTCTCTTCTCCTTGTCTCTTGCAATCCAAATGCCAGATTTTTTTGTTCATCTTCAAATTTTATATATACCTTCACTCTAGCAATCTCACCTTTAGCAATTATTTGAAAGTTGAGTGACTTATTTTAATTCGCTTTACTCCTTTTTCAAAATCTAAGTGCTATTGTTCTCATCCTTCGATCTGATTGGTGGTTAGCAATTATTTGAAATAAAAAAATACACAGCTAATAATGTCAGATTTATACAGATATTTATTGTAGTGCTGTTAATGATAATATGAGATATTAAAATGACATGAACAATGTGAAATGTGTTTAATAAAGTTTCTTACATGGAGTAAATGAAATAATGGATTCAAGAGTAAATTTATTGATGTGATAATATATAATATATACTAGTAAATGAAAAAACTTTATAAAAGTTTCCACAGTATAATTCTGAATGTATGAGAAATAATAAATAACCAAACATGTAAAAAATGGAATATATACATTAATATGTTAACAGTAATAATTTAAGTATTGGAGAAAAGTTAATTTTAATCTTATTTGAGCTTATTTGTTTAAATATATTCTATAATAATGTGTATCACTTGGGAAATTAAGAAAATGTATATCTATAAAATATTGAGGATTATATTTACAAGAAGATTTTGAAAACACAGCCAGTTGATTGAGCCCTCATCTCCCTTTACTGTGAAATGCATGGGACTACCTCTTCAAATAAATACCAGGACTTAGAGGGGACAGCGTTTGATGCTTTGGATTATATTGGGGGTTTTGATGGAGATAACTGGTGTGAGAGTCCATCCACTCGGGTGGGAGCCTAACAATAGGAATTGGAAAGGGGTTGATATTAAGAAGATCTGTCTTTGCTGATATCTGGGGACTCCATGAAAAAAGGAAACTGTTGACCATTCTGAATCCCCAGAGTCCCAGAAAGCAAGAGTGAGTATAAGGATGATGTCTTTTGGGACTTCCAAAATGTAAGAATGAGGCCATAGTGAAACAAAGAGCCTTTCTTCAAGAACTTCAAAACAGAACCTGCTTTTAGACCTCAAGTGCAGGGATAGAAATGGGAAGCCCATTTGCATTTTGTCCCCACTGAACCTCTGCTATTTAGAATGCTGCAGCCACCTTGCCTAGGTACACAGGAGCTGACAACAGAGAAGCAGAGTGCCAATCTGAATTCACAAGAACTTACCACAAATCATTCGAAAGATGAGAACAATCGGACTTAGATTTTGAAAATGGAGTAAAGTGAAATAAAATAAATTACTCAACTTTCAAGTAAAGTTTCTTTCAAAAAAGAGAAAGAAACAAATTTTAAAAAGACATTGAAACAAACAAAAAACTTCAAACTGCACTGATCGTTTTCTACTACTCTGTAACAATGGCAACACTGCAGTTTAAAAAGCAGATGTTTGTTTTCTACAGTTTCCATGGTTTAGGAATACAGGTTAGGAGTACTGGGTCCTATGTTCAGGGTCTGCAATGCTGCAATGAAGGTACCAGCCGAGCTGCATTCCCATCTGGACATGCAGCCATTTCCAAACACGTCCAGGTTGTTGGCAAAATTCATTTCCTCCCAGGTATAGAATTTAGGGCCCCAGCTTCTTGCTGGCTATTGTCTGAGAGCTACTTCAGTTGACATGGGACCTCTCTGATGTGGCATTTTTCTTCTTCAGAGCCAGGAGGAGTAACATCCATCGACACTGTCATATTCTATTGATTAGAAATAAGTCCCAGTCCTGCCCCCATTGAAAGGCGGAGATTGTGTGGGAAGTAAACACCAGAGAGGAGAAGTTACTAGATATTATCTTAGAGTCTGTCTGACAAACAAAATTATGAAAAATGTAACTAAATTAAAGGAATTGGGTCATCACTGAGACCTATAATGAGCAAGAAATATATCAAGTCAGAGATCAAAAATTAAGAGGTTAAAATCATGAGGGGAAGGTCAGGGAACTGAGTGATGGAGTCAGAAGACCTAATGTATGATAACCTGGAGTCTTAGGGGTCGAAAACACACACAGGATAAAAGAAATAGAAGATCATGGAGACACAGTAATCAAATAATTAACAGAAAAATAATTCTTTTTACATGATGGAAACAATGTAATAGAAACATTGAAGTCTGAAAATCAAATGGGTTCATAGAGTTCCAATCTATATTGAGGAAAATACACCTACACACACACACAATTTATACACATACATATTTACACACACACACACACAGACAACATGGGATCTTCCTGAGTATACAACAACTAGTCTACATTTTCCAGTCTTCTTTGTAAGTAGATGTAGCCACAGATGAATAATTTTTGCTAATAAATTCTGAAAGGTATGCCACTTGCATACCTGGGCCATGGAAAATTATGAAAGCTCTTCATGTTCTCTTTTTACACGCACGGTAGATGGAATGGAAGCCACTCCTAAGGCAACTTTGTAAAGCACACTTGAGCTGGTAGAAGAATCGTCAGATGTGATGACAAGCTACAGGGAAAACTGCCTGCTGCCTTGTTCACCTGCCGCAAAGATAGAGCATATTTGTCAGTAAGTTTCTTGATCACAAAAATAGAAGTAAATCCTTCAGTTGCCTCTTAGAATCAACACTGTAGAAATAAAGATGAAAATACAAAGAACATATGAAAAATAATATTATTTTGAAGTCTGTGGACTTCGAACAAATAGAAGTTTTATAATTCGGGGCTTTGCTATAGATACAATGATATATCCACATCAAGATACATCATTCAGTTATTCAAAAGAATAAATTAGAATCGGTGAGTTGAAATGATTTCCATAGTGTCTCATCCTTGGAATGAAGAAGAAAAACAAAAAGTGGGAAAGTGTGTTTAATGAAGTGTCGTTAAAAAAGAAAAATGGCAACATTAACTTTAAAAAAACATCACTTTATTGGGCGGGTGTGGTGGCCAACACCTGTAATCCCAGCACTTTGGGAGGCCGAAGCGGGTGGATTGCCTGAGCTCAGGAGTTCGACATCAGCCTGGGCAACACGGTGAAACTCCGTCTCTACCTAAAATACAAAAAAATTAGCCGGGCTTGGTGGTAGGCCTCTGTAGTCCCAGCTACTCAGGAGGCTGAGGCAGGAGAATCGCTTGAACCTGGGAAGTGGAGGTTGCAGTGAGCCAAGATTGCAGCAGCACGGGTGACACAGCGAGACTCTGGTTCAAGAAAAAAAATCACTTTATAAATACTTCTATGTTTACAAAAAAAGAATGCTGAAGGATATACATGAGGTTGTTACAAAGACAACTTAAAGAGAGAAAGGAAATGGTATTGGGAATGGGAAGAAGAATGAGAAGGGGATCCAAGCAGAAAAATAATACACTAAAAAGAATTAATATGATCACATGCATAATTAATGTAAAAGCCTCTTTAAGTGTACACATGTGTAAGGAAGTTAAATAGATATTTATTAAACAATTTTAATTATCTCAAATTCGCTTTCTATAGCTATATGGCAGACCTAGAACAGGATAGTTACCAATGAAGTGTAATGTGTTGTTTCTCAAAGATATTGGGGGGCAAAGGATGCATGGAAAAACACAGGCATCCAATTGTTGTCCTAGATCCTGTATTACAACCTTAACTTTTTTTAGAAAATTTATTTTCTCTCATTTTAGTGTTTTAAAAAAATTTCAGATAAATGCCAACTGTTCCAATCTATTCAAACTGAAATGATGCAAATATCTATTCTATTATATATGCATTTATCTCAATATATTTTGATCTTTTATTCATCTTAATCTCAGTTGTTTTGAAAGCATATCAAAATTGAAAAATATAAGAATGATCTGATAAATTATTAAATATATTATATATTCTTCAAGCACATAAATCTAAACTTTGTTACCTGGGATTGTTTTAAAAATGGATTTCCACAAACCAATCATCTGCTTTCCTTGTTTCTATCATTTTTACATGTTAGTATTTTACAAGAAGCCAATTTATTATTATGGCTGTTTTTGAAATTTTTACTTTAAGAACTTTCATTTTGACAGAACTCTTTACATATTTGGCTTAATAATAATTTAGTAATTTAAATAAGCCAAAATGCTCTTTTGCAATTTTTAAAGTAATAGTCTTCATCTGCATTGCATTACAAATGTATCAAAACAATGAGAAATATGTT
This sequence comes from Homo sapiens, assembly GCF_000001405.40. Lineage (NCBI taxonomy): Eukaryota > Metazoa > Chordata > Mammalia > Primates > Hominidae > Homo > Homo sapiens. Next base: position 51,259,411 of record NC_000008.11, read on the forward strand.
AATATTCACAATATGAAATATACAAATTTAAGAATGATTTTAGGTGACATTATTCTATATACAGAATAACCAGTAGCCAGAAAACAAAACTAAACACTCAAGTTGTTACTTGTACTTTGTGAAGAATGACATTTTCTCTCTGAGCCTTCTTTCAGTCTCTAAGAATTGCTGGTTAATTAAGTGAAATCTTTAAAAAGCTTTTGGATCCTCAAAGTTTTGCTGGGTGGCACTTGAAATTCCTGATGTGCTCAGTTTGTTTTCTATAGCTTGCCATTGCTGTCTCATGTCAGAATTCTTCAGTTACTCCATTTGTTGTTGTGATTGGTTTGATTTAGTTTGATTTGGTTTTGGTTTTATTTGCCTCAAAGTAGGATGCTACAGATCTCTTTTCCATTGGGTAGTCCACTTCTCTGCAGTACACTAAGTAGATATTCATCCTCTCCAAAATTTTAGTGATTTTTTTCAGTGACTAATTTGTCACTCACTGACCTAACCAACGAATATCTAAATATGATACTAAAGAGCTGCTATTTTTGAAATAGTTCATTTAGAAAAATAATAAATTTCATTTTATTCCATCTATTAGAAATATAAATATTCACATTTAATTTTTGTAGAGCATTTTTCCACCGCATTCCAATAAGCCATGTATAATGGAGGTGGTCTTCCCCGTGAAAGAAAAAACAAATGGTCTGCTCTCTGGCAGTGTCTTTTTTCCATCAGATCAAGGAAGTACATGCAGTGTAATAATATCACAACATCCACACATGAGGAAAGTCATCTAGTCCTTCTAGTCCACACTATTTTGTGTGTCCCAAATAAATATAAACTCTTGTAGAAATCAATACTGATAATAAGAAGAAAGAAAAATAAATTAGCAAACCAAAAACGTTTTTGGTTTGTCTATTTCAAAAAAAAAATGATCTATTTATATCTCTTCCTTTGAGAAATGTCTGTTCAGATCCTTTGCCCATTTTTTAATTTGGTTATTTGTTTTCTTGCTTTTGAGTTGTTTTAGTTCCTTATATAATTTTAATATTAGTCCCTCATCAGATATATGGTTTGCAAATATTTTCTCCCAACTCACAGGTTGTCTCTTCACTTTGTTATTTCCTTTGCTGTGTGGAAGATTTTTAGTTTGATGCAATCCCATTTGTTTGTTTTTGCTTTCGTTGCCTGTACTTTTGGAGTCCTATCTAAGAAATCATTGCCCAGAACAATGTTGTGGATCATTTCTCCTATTTTCTTCTAGTGGCTTTACAGTTGAAAGTCTTACATGTAAGTCATTTATCCATTTTGAGCTGATTTTTAAAATACAATGTGAGGTAAGTTCTAATTTAATTCTTCAGCTTGTGCATATCCAGTTTTCCCAGCACCATTTATTAAAGAAACAATCCTTTCACCATTGTGTTCTTAACACCTTTATCAAAAATCAATTGACTGAGAAAAGTTGGGTTTATTTGTGGGTTTCCATCCTATTCCGTTGGTTGATGTATCTACTTTTTATGTCAGTGCAATGCTGTTTTGGGTTACAATAGCTTCACACTGCATTTTAAATAAAGGTGTGTGATGTCTCCAGCTTTGTTATTTTTGCCCAAGATTGTTTTGGCTATTTTGGGACTTTTTTGGTTTCATATGAATTTTAGGATTGTTTTTCATATTTCTGTGAAAAATTGCATTAGAATTTTCATAGGAACTGTATTGAATCTGCAGATTATTTTGGGTAGTATGCATATTTTAACAAGATTAATTCTTCCAATCTATGAACATGAGATATCTTTTTATTTAATTGTGTCTTCTTCAATTTCTTTCATGATATTATATAGTTTTCAGTATACAGATACTTCACTTTCTTGGCTAAATTTACTCCAACATATTTTATTTTCTGCAGCTAAATTATAAATGGGATTGTTTTCTGGATTTCTTTATTGAATAGTTTATTTTTACCATATAGATATGTTACAGATTTTTGAATGTTGATTAATGATTGGCCAACAGCTATTTAAAAAAATTTCAACCTCTTTAATCGTTAGAGAAATGGAAGTTAAAACCACAAGATATCTCATCCTGCCTGTTAGAATGGCTATTATCAAAAAGATGAATGATGACGTGTTGGTGAGAATATGGAGAAAAGGCAATCCTTGTACACTGTTGGTGGGAGTGTAAATTAGTACGTCTACTATGGAAAATAATATAGAGGTTTCTCAGAAAGCTTAAAATATAATTGCCATATAATCCAGTGCTTCTGGGTATATATCCAAAGGGATTTAATTAGTATGTTAAAGAATATCTGCACTTCCATATTCATTTCAGCATTTTTTTACATTAGCCAAGAAAGAGAAGCAACCTAAGTGTCCATCAATGGATGAATGGATAAAGAAAGGGTGATTATATATACATATATATATACACGTATATATACGTATATATACGTGTATGTATATATATATACGTATATATACGTGTATATATATATATGTATATATACGTATATATACGTGTATATATATATGTATATATACGTGTATATATATATGTATATATATGTATGTATTGATAATGGGGGAGGCTATGAATGCATCAGGGTAGGAAGTTATGGGATATTCCTATACCTTCCACTCAATTTTGCTCCTAACTTAAAATTGTTTTTTACAAAATAAGTCTAAAAAAAAACTTACAATAAAAGTGAAACTTTTAATAGTATATAGTATTTCCAAAGTGAGCATCTCATTTTATATTATAGCTGCCCTGTTTATTTATTTAAATAGATGCCTATATAATAGAATTGAACTATCTGGATTTTGTTAGTTGTTCACAGCTCTAATTTTGTATATATATTTATAATATAAAAATATATTAAAAAATACATACACACACACATAGACACACACACACAGGCAATGGAATACTATGCATCCTTAATATAGAAGGAAATCCTGTCATTTGAGACAATATGAATGAAACTGGAGGATATTACATTATGTGAAAAAAGACAGGCACAGAAAGGCAAATACTACACGTTCTCACTCATACATGGACTCTGTCAAAGTAGATCCCATAGAAACAGAGAGTAAAAAGGTAGTTACCAGAGCCTGACAGTGGTAAGGGGAGGAGAGAGAAAGAGAAGATGCTGATCCAAGGGTACAAAGTTTCAGTTAGACTGGAGGAAGAAGTTTTAGTGATCTATTGCACTCCGTGTTCACCACTGTTAATAATACTGTATTGCATATTTCAAAATTGCTAAAATTTATTTTTAATGTTTTCGCCACAGAAAAAGATAAACTGGGGAGGTGAAATATATGTTCATTAGCTCGATTTATCTTTTAATAATATATACATAGATCAAAACATCACACTACCCTCAAAAATATATGTAATTATTGTTTGTTAGTTAAAAATAATTTTTCAAACCCCTGGGGAGTAAGTCTCTAATAAACTTCCCTGGCAGACAGCATTTCATACGTGTTGCCATCCACGTCCTGTGTAATTACTGGGAGAGAATTTTTGGAAGCTTGTGCCTGATTTCCTGAGACTTTCACGCACCTTTTTCCTTTGCTGATTTTTCTTGATATCCTTCAGCTATAGTAAATTAGAGCTGTGAGTACAACTGAGAAAAAAAAACAATTCAATTCTATTATATAGGCATCTATTTAAATAAATAAGCAGGGCAGCTATAATATAAAATGAGATGCTCACTTTGGAAATATTACATATTATTAAAAGTTTCACTTTTATTGTAAGGTTTCTTTTTTAGACTTATTTTTACAAAAACAATTTTAGGTTAGGAGCAAAGTTGAGAGGAAGGTACAGGGATATCCCATAACTTCCTACCCTCATGCATGCATAGCCTCCCCCATTATCAATATCACCACAAAGGTGGTACATTTTTTCTAACTGATGAACTTATATTGGCACATCATTATCACTGAAAAGACTATAGTTTACATTGTGGTTACTCTTGGTGTTCTACATTTTCTGGGTTTGGGTAAATGTATAATGACATGTAGTTATCATATAGAATTGTTTCACTGCCTTTAAAGTCCTCTGTTCTCTACCTATTCATCTGTCTCTTCTAATCATTGGCAACCACTGATCTTTTTACTGTCTCCATAGTTTTGCCTTTTTCAGAATATAATGTAGTTTGAATCACACAGTATGCAGCCTTTTCAGATGGGCTTTTTTCACTTAATAATATGCTTTTAAGATTTCTTCATGGCTTAAGAGCTTGTTTCCTTTTAGTGTTAAATATTATCCCATTGTCTGGATGTATCTGTTTATCCATTTACCTATTGAGGGTCATCTTGGGGGCTTTAAAGTTCATCAATTATGAATAAAAAGGCTACAAATATCCATGTGCAGGTTTTTGTGTGGACATAAGTTCTAAACTCCTTTGGGAAAATACCAAGGAGCATGGTTGCTAGACCAGATGGTGACAGTATGTTTAGTTTTGTAAGAAATCATCAAACCATCTCCTAAAGTGTCTGTACTGCTTTGTATTCCTTCCAGCCATTAATAAGGATTTCTGCTGCTCCACATTCTCACCAGCACTTGCCGGTGTTATGAATTTGGCCCATTTTAATGGGTTTGTAGTGGTATTTCATTGTCGTTTTGATTTTCATTTACCTGATGACATATATATGATGTGGAGCACTTTTTCTCTCCCTATTTGCCATCTCTATATCTTCTTTGGTGAGGTTTCTGTTAAGGTCTTTGGCCTATTTTTAGTTGAGTCTTTTATTATTGTTACATTTTAAGAGTTTTGTCTATATTTTGGATAACTGTCCTTTATTAGGTATGTTTTCTGCACATGCTTTCTTTCAGTCTGCAGCTTGTGTTTTCACTCTCTTGACAGTATCTTTTGCAGAGTAGAAATATTTAATTTTAATGAGGGTCCACTTATCAATTACTTCATGGATTGTGCCTTTGGTGTCATAACTGAAAAGTCATCATCAAACTCAAGGTAATCTAGATTTTATTCTATGTTATCATCTAGGAGTTTGATAGTGTTGTGTTTTACATTTAGGTATGTTATCCATTTGCAGTTAATTTTTGTGAAAAGTGTAAGATCTGTGTCTAGATTCCTTTTTTTGGCATATGAATGTCCACTTGTTCCAGCACCATTTGGGAAAAACATAATCTTTGCTTTATCGTCTTGCCTTTGCTTCCTTGTCAAAGATCAGTGGACTATATTTATCTGGGTCTATTTCTGGGCTCTCTATCCTGTTCCATTAATTAATTGTCTATTTGTTCACCAATACAATATTGTCTTCACTATTCTAGCTTCATAGTAAGTCTTAAAATTGGGTAATACTTGTCCTCCCACTTTGTCCTTCTTCAAAAAAGTCATCAATTCTGGGTCTTCTGCCTCTCCATGTAAGCTTTACAATCAGTTTGTCAGTATTCATATACCACTTTTCTGAGATTTTTATGGGGATTGCATTTACTTTATAGATTGAGAAGAACTGGCAATATTGAGTCTTCCTATTCATTAACATGAAATATATCTGTTTTGTTAGTTCTTCTTTGATTTATTTTATCAGTGTTTTGGAGGTTTCCTTGTATAGATTTTGTACGTTTCATTAGATTTATACATAAGTATTTAATTTGAGGTGAAGTGTTAATATAAATGTATTATGTTTTTTTATTTCAAATTCCACTTGTTCATTGATGGAATATAGGAAAGTTGTTATCTCCTATTTATTAAACTTGCATCCTGCAAACTTGCTATAATTGCTTATTAGTCCAAGGACTACTTTGTTGATTCATTCCATTTTTCTGCACAGATGATCAAGTCATCTGCAAATGAAAAGTTTTCTTTCTTACCAAAATGTCTATCATTTATTTCCTTTTCTTATCTCATTGTAGTAGCTAGGACTTCCAATACAATGTTGAAAACCAGTGGTGAGAGGACATACTTGTTTTGTTTCTGATCTTAGTGGGAAAGTTTCTAATTTCTCACATTAAGCATGATGTTAACTTAGATTTCCTGTAGATGTTCTTGAACAAGTTCAGTAAGTTCACCTCTATTACTAATTTACTGAGAGTTTGTATCATGAATGAGTGTTGGATTTTGTCAAATTATTTTTCTGCATCTATTGTTGAGATCATTTGATTTTTCTTCTTAACCCATTGATGTGATAAATTACATTAGTTGATATCTGAATGTTGAACCAGCTTGCATACTTCAAATAAATCCCATTTTTTATCATGGTGTATAATTATTTTTATAAGTTGTGGAATTCAATTTTCTAATTCTGGGTTTTTGCACCTGTGTTCATGAGCAATCTTGGTCTATAGTTTTCCTTTCTCATAATATCTTCATCTGATTTTGGTATTAGGGTGATTCTAGCTTCATAGAATGAGCTAGAAAGTATTTTCACTGCTTCCATCACAAATAAAGAGATTGTAGAGAATTTGGTATAATTTATTTCTTAAATTGCTTGGTAGAATTTTCCAGTGAACTCATCTGAGCCAGATTTATCCTGTTTTGGAATGTTATTAATTATTGATTCAATTTATTTAATAGATATAGGCCTATTCTGATTGTCTATTTCTTCTTGTGTAAGCTTTATCAGATTGTTTCTTTCAAGGAATTTGTCCATTTCATCTGTTATCAAATTTGTGAGCACAGAGTTGTTCATAGTATTCCTTCGTTATCTTTTCAAGGTCCATTAATGTCCACTTAATGTACTGATGTCTCCTTGTTCATTTCTGACATTAGTACTTTATGTTCTCTCTCTTGTTTTCTTAGTTAGCCTAGCTAGAGGCTTGTCAATTTTATTAATCTTTGTGCAGCAGCAGCTTTTTGTTTCATTACTTATTCTTATTAATTTCCTGTTTTCAATTTATTGATTTCTGCTATTTCATCATTTATTTTATATTGCCAATTTTTGATGTAATTTGTTCTTTCTTTTCTAATTTGCTAAGGTGGAAACTTAGATGATCGATTGGTAATACAACAATCATCTTGGCAGGGTTGTTTTTTTCTGTTAACACTCAAGTATTTCACTTCATTTTTTTCTTGCTTATATGGCTTCTGAGGAAAAGTCAGATATAGCTATGATATTTTTCTTCTCTATAAGTAATATGTGTTTTTTTCTGGACTCTTTCAGGTTTTGTTATTTATGTTTGACTTTTTTTACTTTGAAAATGATACACCTAAGTGTAGGGTTATTTTGACATTTATCTTGTGTTATGTTCCCTCAATTTCCTGAATCTTCAGTTTGGTGTTTGACATTAATTTGGAGGAATCCTCAGTCATCACTGTTTCAAATATTTATTCTGTTCATTTTTTTCTTTCTTTCCCTTCTGGTATTCTCATTACATGTATGTTGCATCGTTTGTAGTTGTTTCACAACTCTTGAATATTTTGTTCTTTTTTTTCATTCTTTGTTCTCTTTGCTTTTCAGTTTTGGGGGTTTCCATTGATACATGCTCAAAGTCATAAATTTTTTTCCCTCAGCAGTGTCCAGTCTACCAAAAAGCCCATCAAAGGTATTCTTCATTTCTTTTACAGTGTTTTGATCCTTAGCATCTGTTGTTTCATTCTTTGGATTTCTATCATTCTGTTTGAATTGCCCATCTGTTCTTGTATATTGCCTACTTTAGACATCAGAGTCCTTAGCACATTAATCACAGTTGTTTTAAATTCCTTGTCTGATAATTCCAATATCCCTGCCATGTCTGGTTCTGGTGCTTGATCTGTCTCTTCAAAATGTGTGTGTGTGTGTGTGTGTGTGTGTGTGTGTGTGTGTGTGTATACATGGAGAGAGAGCACGCATGCCTTTTAGTATGCTTGCACTTTTTTGTTGATAGTCAGATAAGATGTACTGTATAAGAGGAACTTCAATGAATAGGTCTTTAGTAATGTGGTGGTAAGGTGTGGGGCTGGGAATAATTCTATAGTCTTATGATTAGGTATCTGTTTTTCAGTAAATCTCTGCTTCTGAGCTGTGACTTTCACAAGTGCTTCTCCATTTTTTCTTCTTCTTTTTCTGTTATTCCGCATGCAAGGCTGAAGTAGGCTAGACCTGGGTTATTTCCCTTTTCTCCAGTAAGTTATGCTCTGACATAACTCCAGCTGGTTTGGCTCTGGTTAACTGTATTAGTCAGAGTTCTCTAGAGGGACAGAACTAATAGGATAGATGTATATATGAAAGAGGGTTTATTAAGGAGTATTGTCTCGCACAATCACAAGGTGAAGTCCCCAACTGGCCATCTGCAACCTGAGGAGCAAGGAAGCCAGTCTGAGTCTTAAAACCTCAAAAGTAGGGAAGCTGACAGTGCAGCCTTCAATCTGTGGCCAAAGGCTGGAGAGCCCTGGCAAATCATTGGTGTAGGTCCAAGAGTCTAAAATCTGGAGAACTTGTAGTCTGATGTTCCAAGGCAGGAAGTATCTAGCACGGGAGAAAGATGAAGGCCGGAAGACTTAGCATGTCTACTCCTTCCAACTTCTTCTGCCTGCTTTATTCTAGCCATGCTGGCAGCTGATTAGATGGTGCCCACCCAGGTAGAGGGTGGGTCTGCCTCTCCCAGTCCGCTGACTCAAATGTTAACCTCCTTTGGCAACAGCCTCAAAGACACACCCAGGAACAACATTTTGCACCCTTCAATTCAATCAAGTTGACAATATTAACCATCACAAGTCCACCCCTTGTCAACTTGAATCCATACACATCTCCAGAAATCATATATAATCTTCAAATAAAGACAATAGTAAGGTCATAATTATGCCTAACATAATATGGCTATCCTTCATACAACCAGAAACACACTAATCCTTAACCTAAATGCTATTACATAAAGTTAACAAACACTTAAATGCTGATATGAAGTCAGTAAACATTATGCCACATGATAAAGAAAAAAATGAAAATGAAGATATTTTCTTACTACAAGTGTATACATGCACAAACATGTTCTTAACAAAATAAGGAGGAAATACTCATCACAATTACAGTCCTTGTTTCTGCAGCTGGTCATGTGGTTATAGCTGGTATTGATGACTACCTTCTTCTACTACTCATTCTGTATTCCCTTTGCTTTTAGCAAGCACCTCAGTGGGTCATGGATTTTTTATCTGGTGGGGTAAACCAAACCTTCATTCCTGAAGAGTCTGGGCCATTAGTAGTCCTGCCTGGATTGGGTTGTTGTAGTGTCTCACTGACCTTAATCACAGTGCATGGTAATACTAAGAGATGCCCTAAGGAATCTCCTGTATTTCACACATTCTTCCTTACCTCCATTGTGGGTAGTAGACTGATTTCATCTTGCTAGTTCAGATCAATCACTACAGCCAACACTGTACCTCCCTTCTTAGCCTGTTGACTTAGAGGTAAGAGGAGCCCAAAGTGGCCAGGTGGCAATCTTAATTTCCAGTTTAATGGAATTGTTGTTGTGTCTCCTGGTGGCAGTATTCCTCCCACTGAAACTAAGACCTCTTGGCCAGCAGAACATAATGTCTTGGGAACAGGAAACAAAATTTTGCTAGTGGGTCCCTAGGGGTGATGGTGAGTGGTGCCATTTCCACTTCTAACCCTTGATTCCCGGAACCATGAATCCTGGCCATAGGAGAAACAGTACCATATATTGGCACCATTCAGGGTAGACACAGCCTTCTAGAGTACTTATTTCTCAAGTTAAGAGGGCAAAACTTGTTACGAACAGAGTGCCCCAGCATATTTCAAAACGGTTCATTTTCCTTTTCTCCTGCTGGAAGTATGAGGGGATTTTTCTGGTTTTACTGTGAGAACACTGTGGAGCTCCTGAAGGTAAAACTCACAAAAGCTTGGTGGAAACCTGGAGATTTTAATTCTTAGATTTGTCCACACTTGGACTCCAGCAATTCTCAATTACATTTCAGGTTCTCCTACTCCAACACAGGTTCTTGTGGAGGTTTCTACTCTAGCATGTTGTAATTATTTTTCTCTACCTGTCTATCTCTTCAATGCTGGTAGCAGTAGTTTGCCTTGTGACCTCACTTCCCTTATGAATCTCAGAAGAGTTGCTGATTTTTTATTGTGTTTACCTTTTTTCCTGTGATTAAGAAAAGAGCAACATCCGAGGTCATGTGGAACCTGACCAACTGACTTTTAATATGGATTAAAATTTTTATATTTCTGACCAGTTCTTTTTTCCTAAGATTTTTAATAAAACATAAGTAAATGACTTTTCTACATCTTCATCCTCATCAACTATTAAAAAAAAATGCCTTAACAGATTCAGGAAAATAAGCATTTTATACACTTTCCATATTCTTATACAGAAAACAAATTTCAGGCACCTTAAGCTACTCTTATAGGTTAAACCCATCTTCAATAACCTTATTTTGTAAACTGCAGATTAAATGTTTTATACTTTAAAGTCACAATGTTTTAAACTTTTTTATTTGGTCAGTTTGTAACCTAGTCAACACATATTTGTGAAATGCCTACTAAGAAAATAGGCACTGTGTTAGACTGAGAATGGAAGAAGATAAAAGGTGTTTTGTTATTATAAACACTACAGTATTTTATAGCAGACAGGTGTGGAGAAATATTATACCATAATAACTTGTTATATTCGTATAAGTTGCAAAGGGCTCAAGGCTCCATCTGTCCATTTCAATTGTATATATGAACAGAATTCAGATGAGAAAGATTTATGGTTGTCCAGTATGAACTTTAGCTAATCTTCAGAAATTATAATATCTAATTAATGATTATGCAACTTTTACTACAAAAAGTAGAAATGGAGGGATATCAGCTGATGTGTTTACAAAATATCTTTCTTTTCTTTCTACTTTTTACTAAAGTAGTCACAATAGCAAAAGATGAAACTTTACTGTAACTAATAGAAGAAAATTATTCCATTTCTGTTATTCGTATGACACATTTTATATTTGCAGCAAAATAAATGTAATATATGCTAGAGTGCAAAGTTCTGTAATGAAATTGAAGGTGGAGAGGAGAAAGCAAAGGCAATCTCTACCAGGAAGAGAGACAGAAAAGTATCAGCACCTGCCAGAGCAGAAATGCCCTTAGGAAAAATGTGGCAACTGAAATAAATTGTAAACTAACCATAGCATAGGGATTAATAGGGCTCTTGGAATTAAATTTCTACCCAATTTACTTTGTCTAATGCTGTCTTTATAGTAAATTTTAAGACTCAGACCTCAAATAAATAATATAAATTTTTTAAGCAAGGTATTTTGCAAGAATTGGCTGATTTTGTTTTTATGCCACATAATATGTCTCTACTATTAAATTTTAAGTAATACACTCCTATTCTTCTATATTCTTATTCTATTATTATCTTATTGCCAAAATGGTTATTAAATTTCATTCCTTTTCTCCTTCAAAGACACCTTGCTGTTTTACTCTTTTATTATTTTTCTTTTTTTTTTTTCTTTTTTTGAGATGGAATCTCACTGTGTTGCCAGGCGGAAGTACAGTGGCGTGATCTGGGCTCACTGCGACCTCCGCCTCCCTGGTTCAAGTGATTCTCTTGCCTCAGCCTACCGAGTTGCTGGGACTACAGGAGCGCACCACCACTCACCGCTAATTTTTGTGTTTTTAGTAGAGATGGAGTTTCACCATGTTGGCCAGGATGGTCTTGGTCTCTTGACCTCATGATCTGCCCATCTCGGCCTCCCAAAGTGCTGGTGAGTGGTGACAGCGTGCTGGCAGCCCTGGCAGCACTCGCTCACTCTCAGCCTCAGCACCCACTCTGGTCACGCTTGAGGAGCCCTTCAGCCTGCCACTGCACTGTGGGAGGCCCTCTCTGGGCTGGCCAAGGCCAGAGCCGCTCCCTCAGCTTGCAGGGAGGTGTGGAAGGAGAGGCGAGGTGTGGAGGGAGAGGCGCAGGCGGGAACCAGGGCTGCCCAGCACTTGTGGGCCAGAACAAGTTCCGGGTGGGCATGGGCTCAGTGGGCCCTGCACTCGGAGCAGCCAGCCTGCGCCGCCGGCCCTGGGAAGTGAGGAGCTTAGCACCCTGGCCACCAGCTGCAGAGGGTGCACTGGGTCCCCCAGCAGTGCCGGCCTGCCGGTTCTGTGCTCTAATTCTCGCCAGGCCTCAGCTGCCTCCCCGCAGGGCAGGGCTCGGGACCTGCAGCCCATCATACCCGAGCCTCCCGCGACGCTGTCGGCTCCTGCGCAGCCCGAGCCTGCCAGATGAGTGCCGCCCCCTGCTCCACAGCACCTGGTCCCATCGACCGCCCAAGAGCTGAGGAGTGCGGGTGCACAGCGACTGGTGGGAAGCTATGCCTGCGGCCCCAGTGCAGGATCCACTAGGTGAAGCCAGCTGGGCTTCTGAGTCTAGTGGGGACTTGGAGGACCTTTATGTCTAGCTAAGGGATTGTAGATACACCAATCAGCACTCTGTGTCTAGCTCAAGTTTTGTAAATGCACCAATCCACACCCTGTGTCTAGCTCAAGGTTTGTAAATGCACCAGTCAGTGCTGTGTGTCTAGCTAATCTAGTGGGGACTTGGAGAATTTTTGTGTCTAGCTCAGGGATTGTAAACGCACCAATCAGCACCCTGTCAAACCAGACCAATCAGCTCTCTGTAAAACAGACCAATCAGCTCTCTGTAAAATGGACCAATCAGCAGGAACTGGGTGGGGCCAGATAAGGGAATAAAAGCAGGCTGCCTGAGCCAGCAGTGGCAACCCGCTGGGGTCCCCTTCCACGCTGTGGAAACTTTGTTCTTTCACTGTTTGCAATAAATCTTGCTGCTGCTCACTCTTTGGGTGCGCACTGCCTTTATGAGCTGTAACAATCACCGCGAAGGTCTGCAGCTTCACTCCTGAGGCCAGCGAGACCATGAACCCACCAGGAGGAATGAGCAACTCAAGACGGGAGGAACGAACAGAACAACTCCAGACACAACGCCTTAAGAGCTGTAGCACTAACCGCCAAGATCTGCAGCTTCACTCCTGAAGCCAGCGAGACCACGAGCCCATCAGAAGGAAGAAACTCCAAACATGTCCGAACATCAGAAGGAACGAACTCTGGACACATCATCTTTAAGAACTCTAACACTCACCCCGAGGGTCCACAGCTTCATTCTTGAAGTCAGTCGGACCAAGAACCCACCAATTCCGGACAAGCTGGGATTACAGGCATGAGCCACTGCCCCGGGCCTATTATTTTTCAACGACCTTTATTCTTCTTGCCTTAATATATACTTTATTTTTATTTCATATAACTATTTATTCCCCTGAAATTGCTGAAAAAAATTACTTCATTTGGATAGAGATTGAACAAATGATAGTGACTCAAAATGTTTACTGGTGATTAAATTTATGGATTACACATACCAATTATTTCCAACTCTACTTCATTCAGGTGGTTAATAACATATGGAAAACTCTTTGACCTGTTATGTTCCTTGAGACTTCACAACAAAAACTACTATTTATTTACTACTACTTTAAGTTCACTAAATTCCTCTAATTTCCAGGATACTTAATTTACTGGATACTTAATAGCCATTCTCAATTCAATTCTTACATCAATTATATAGGATATATAATATATGACCATAGTTTAGAAATAAAAATGATACTTTGACAAGTTTATTAATTTGTTCAAGTAATGCAACTCAGTAGAAAGTCAGAATTTAAACACATCTACCAAGTAGGTGATATTCTTTATCATCTATTTTAGCTCCACAAGGGAAAAAATACACTCTTAATTCAAAAGATTATATGTCCCTCAGGTGAAATAGAGGAATCTGAGAGGATCACAGGTATGAATTAGCCAAACTGCAAACAGAAATGAAAGGAAAACAGGAAAGAGCCGAAATTGGGAACTGTGTGGATGGAAAGCCAGATGTTTCAGAAACCTACGGAACAGGAAGGAGGCCTTGAACAAGCTCTTCAGATGGCCTCCAGCCATCTGTCATTAAATTGAGAGAAATGCTTGAGTTGAACAAGGAAGTAAAGAAACTAAGCAGTGGCACAAACTAATTTCAGAAGAACACTTTGATTTTGGCTACTGGCTGATGGAATTGGGTGGAGGCAACAGATCAAAAGTTTACCATCTAGGTCAGGGCCTCTAGAACCTAGAGCCTGAGGCCAGGATTCAAGTGTTGATACTTTATTTGGAAAATGCAGGCCCAGGGCTGTGAATGCAATGAAAAAATGGAAGTGAAGCACACAGAGATGAAAGTTTCATGATGAGCCTCAGAGACACGGGGGATTTCTCAGGCAGGGCTGTAATCCTATCTCAAAGTAGTTTACAGAAGGGACAGAGGAAGGGGGTGCATGGGCTTCACTCCTTCCCATGCCCGTTTCCTGTCAGTGGAGAGTTTCTCATGGTGGGTCATTCCAGGTTGTGTCCCCCGTCGCATGTTGGTATGCAGAAAGCATGTCACATACTCTCTGATGTGGCTTCTCAGCCAAGCCAAGGAATGGGAGTGTGACTCAATCTGAGGCGTGGCATGCAGGTGGCATGTAAGCCACAAGGTCTGGGCCTTCATGAGGACTCCAGCTGGCTTAGGAAGCTCAGCAAGGGTGATGGCAGCATCGCCTGGGCCGTGCGTGGTGCCGCTATGAAGGAAGCAATAGCTGAATCAGAAATATCTGTTATGGTGCATTACCTGTGAAACTACAAGCCTGGACTGAAAACGTCTGTGAGTTTTCAAGTCTCAAACTGATATTTATGCTCTCAAACTTATCCAGTCTATTAATTTTGTATGCCTGCCTTAACAAGTTACCACAGATTGAGTGGCTTAAAAAATATATTTTCTCATATTTCTGGAGACCAGAAGTCCAAAATCAAGGTGTTGGCAAGGCCATGCTACCTCTGAAGGCTCTAGGGAGAAACTTCCATGTATATTGAGACTCCTGGTAGCTCCATACATTGCTTACCTTGTGGCTGTCTAACTCCATTTTCTGCCTCCAACTTTGCCACTTTCTGCTTGTGCCCAGGTCTCTTTCTCTTTCTCTGAAAAGGACAGTCTTCTTTGCCTTTAAGGCTCATTCAGGTAATACAGGATTATCTCATCTCACAATCCTTAGTTATATATCCAGAATCCTTTTTCAGATAAGGTAACATTCAGGGATTCCAGGAATTGGGACATAAAGCTATTTTGGGAAGCCACTATTCAATCCACTACAGGAATAGGTTGTTAAATGCAACAGTCTTCAAAAAAGAATACTCTCTAACGTCCACTGCAAATGTGGCCAGAAGTACAAAGGTCAATGAATAATCTTCCAAGGGACTGAGTTGGAGGCCCTGGAGAATAAGATAAGGGAATTTTTCCATGTTTCAGCACTAGGGAAAGATGGATAGGCTAAACCTGAAAAGATGCTATAGCTGGGGCAGAGAATATTTGTAATCCTGTCCAGCAGGATTTAATAGTTGCTATAAAGTAATGCCATCTTGGTGTTTTCCATCCTTTCTTGCTCTTAGTGGGGGTTACTGGAACTGATGCAACAGTCCCATAGATAGTTTTTTGGATAAACAGAAATTGACCCTCTGGTCTTAAAGCTTGAAGCTTACATTTGTTTCATCTGAGTTCCTTCCTCAGGAAACCACCTTCAGGTCTCAAAAATACTATTAAAGAACTGAAACTCACCAAATCACCACATCCAGACAATATAATATGCCAGACCCTTCATTCATCATGATTGCTTCCTTACTCCTCCCTAGTTCCTGTTTTCTTACACATTGTTACATTTCTTCCCTGCATGGAAACCCCTACTTTTAGTCTGTCAGGAAGATGGATTTGAGACTGAGCTCGCGTCTTCCCTGCTGCAGCACCAGATTAAAGCCTTCTCCCTTGGTAATACTTGTCATCTCAGTGATTGGCTTTCTGTGCGGTGAGCAGCAGGGCCTAGGCTGAAGCCCTGGTGTTTTTGGTAACATCACATCATAAATAACTTGAGTGTGCTTCACCACTGGAAGTATCCAAGTGTGTGGATGCAGGAGAAGGTTGAAGGGGAGAAGGCAATTTTTCTTTGTATTTTTAAGAGGCATGGTCTCACTTTGTCATAATTTGCCTTTAATTTAAAAGTTATAGGGAGCTACCTCCCAATCTCATGAAAAATACTGTACATCACACACAAATCCTAGATTTAGTGGTTCCACCCTAATTATCTTGACTGAGTAAGGGATGACTATCTATTGCATGAAGAAAGGTAAATGGGGCCACCTGGCAGAAACCGCTAGTACACACACACACACACACACACACACACACACACACACACACACACGTTCTTTCTTTCTGAAGAGCAGAATTATAGCTTGTGGTTACAATATAGACCACATGGAGACTGCATTTATCAGTCCCTTTACTGCTAGCTGTGGCCACATGACTGTTCAAAACCAATGGATGGTGAGTGAATGCAGCACAGGTGTGTCCTGGAAAGTCTTTAGCATGCACCTTGCCATGCCATTTCTCCCTTCTTGCTGGCTGGAGTAAGCAGAAAGACCTTGAAAGTTCCATGATCCAGAGAGAAGAACCATTGTCAGTTGATGTCTGTGAATGATTTTTCAAGACAAAGACGCTATGGAGCTGCTCAGTGAAGTATAGGACACACTGCGAATTCTTATATATGTGAAAAATAAAGTACTTTGTCCTTTGTCTTATTCTTTTGAAGTCTCTTATTGTGGAAGCTAAGCTTTTTATTCTAAAAGAATTTTAGATAGTTCACTTCAATTAAAATTATTGTTTAGCAATTATTATTGTTACAGAATGCACTAGGTATTGTAGGGAAGAGAAAAAACACAGGCAGGTAGAGATGATCAATGTTTTAAGGAGCTTTAGGTTATTGGAGGTATCTGAAGAAATAACAGAGTAAAATACCAGACAAATAACTAGAATATGAACTCTCATACAAGTTCTAAAGGAGATCATAGGAAGAGCCAAATGTGCATGGGGAAATCAGAAAAGACATGGCAGAAAAATGTAACATTTGGACTGGAGATTTGGTTCAGACAAGAGGTTGTCAGGTGTAAATCCAGAGGAAAGAAAAGAGTAGCTGAGCAGTTTTACACACTATAGTAGGAGTTATTATGTGCATATTCAAATGTGTGATAAGCACATACCACGTGTAAAAAATTAGCTACATCCTGTGAGGAATATAAAAAAATAATGACTGCTTCTCCTCTCAATGGACTTGCAAGTTAGCAAGGAATATGACACAGCCACAGAATTAACACTACACACAGAATTTAATGAGTGCTACAAGGGACATATAAATAACCTGTTAAAAAGGAAGAGCTCCTCAAAATTCTTAACACTTTCAAGCAGCAATATTGTTTTCCTTAGTAAAATTAAAAAGGTATATAACAGAACCCACAATGTTATTGTTTTTAATGGTAAATGAGCTAAGGACTGCAGAATGTGTGAGTGCCTTAAACATGCTAAACATGCTGGTGTGGAGATTGCTGTGGTTTTCGTTGTGGTTGTTGCTGTGTTTTGCGTTGGGTCCTGGAGGTTGTGAAGAGCTTGGATAAGCAGACTTCACATCAATTTTGGTAGAAAGACTAGCTTGCACAAACTGTAAAATCGGGAATATCCAGGGACCATTCAGAGCATAGGGGACAGTTTGCTTTCAATGTGACATGATGTAGACAGGGTAGCAGATGGCCTCCCTTCACTGCCATGCTGAGGGGTTTGGATGTCATTTGATTGGTGGGGACACGCTATGCACTGAATGCATTTGAGCAAGGAAGCTACAAGTTAAAAGTTATCATAAGTGTTTCGGCTGGATTACATTTCAGAAAACCTGGAAGTAGAGTGGCCCAGATAAAAGGCTATTTTCAGTCTAGTGAGAGGTAATTAAAGTATAGAGATAGAGCCACAGATGTGGGGAAGAAAATGAAGGGAAGAGTCTGAGAAGCATCACAAATATAGAATTTATAGAACGTAGCAATTGATTACATATGAGAACTAGTAAAGTGAGAAAGAGAATATAAAAAAGCTTTCAGGTTTTTAAGTGATCAGGATAATGAAGATGATAATTTCAAGAAAGAAGTAAACAAAAAATGCTGGTTTGTTTTGGATATATTCTTTGATGCAATGGTGGAACATGTTGGTAGGATTCTCACTTAGCAGTTGGAAATTTCTGATTGGCAGTTGGAGTGAGAGCTAGCTAACATGCAAGCTGTGCTCTTAGCGGAGAGAGCTGAGGCAAAGAATATAAAGTAAGGTTGTTTTGATACTCTGGCCTGGAGATTACTCTGCTCTTTATTTCGAAGGGGGCATTCAATAAATATGCATGTCAACACAGCTGCGGAATTTGGCAATACCTCTGTCTGCTCACATTTATACCAGCAAAGTGTACACCTCGTTAACAGTCCTGTTATTCCGCATCTGTGCCCTTGTTGCTCAGGATGTCAGACAATGCTGCTAATGAGCCTGAGAGTGTATGTGTAATTCCTTTAGAAGATGAATACAAATGTTAGCTTGGCCTTCATCCCCTCAAAGGTGTACTGTTTGTCACAAGGCAGAGAAAAAAATATGAGATTCAGAATAGATTAGTAAAACTCTACCTCATTGTCATAAAAAAAAACCCTGAAGAACCTACTTTCTTGTTTTCAGTACACTCATTAGGTTCATTACTTCAGTTGATTCATTACTTTATCTCTCATATCTGTCTTGGTGATGGAAGTTTATTTGAAAGTTTATTTCCCCCAATTTTATAACAGTTTCCAACATGTGTTCATGTTCCAAAGAGCTTCTGTTTTTTCTTCCAAACAACTCAGTATTCTTAATTAAATATCCTAGTATTATCAGTATCTCCTGCTCTCTAAATCTTTACACACATGCACAGACACATGTTATTGAATAATTCATAATTTAGGATAATTCATAATCTTCTCAGAGGTTACAATAACTCATCTAATACTGAAAATAAAATTCAAAAATGTGAATTAGTCCCTTCTTCAGTTACTATGAATTTAACAAACTGAGAGGTAGCTTCTTCTCTGAATATTTTTACAAGTGGAGATTAATGTTACATGACGTATTTGAACCATTTATTTAATTATTTACTTGTCAATATGATCCCTGGAATTAGCTGACTTAAAATATTGCCCTGACCACATTTTGGCTATATATTTTTTAAGTCACTATAACTCTCTTAAGTGAAATATATCATTTGTAAAATAGATGCATAATTGGTTGTCATCCCTCTGGAATGTGAGCATGAGAGATAACTTAGTAGTGCCAGAGGTGATAATTAGGGGTAATGGCAGTAGTCGTCCTAGTGACAGTAGCAGTGATAGTAGTTAGTGGTGGTACTATTGGTAGTAGTGATGAATCAGTTAAGAATTTACTTCTAAAGTCCTAATGGATATTGAAGAGGGGCCATTCTGATGTAGGTAAGGATATAGGACTATGTAGAGTTGCCCAAGGATAAAATGAAGCATTAGGAGAGAGAAAGCTAAGACTGACCTGGGACAACTCCCCAAATTGAGAAGGCAAAGGAGGATGAGCCAGCAGTGGAAAACCCAGAGAAAAAGAAGGGACAGGGGTCAAAGAGGAAAGAGCAGTGAACCTTGCCAGATGCTGAGGAGAGTTTCAATAACCTGAACACTGAACAAGTGTGGAATGGGTTGAAAATTGTCTATCTTCAAGGCAGTGAGAACACAATACAGGTAATAATAGGCTTAAGGAAAAAAAGGTGGTAAACCTAAATATGCCATATGAGATGTTTTGCGGTAAAAGAAAAAAGAAGACAAAGATACGTCAGTCATGGGAGGTTGAGAGATGAGCATTTTTGCAAATGAAGTACAGAAACACAGCCAGGCCCATTTGTTTGCACATTGTGGATGGCCGCTTTCTCCGACAGACACAGCTGCCTCCCTAGGACAGAGTTGAGACGCTATGACAAAGGCTGCATGATACACAAAGCTGAAAGTACTTACCTTTTGGCTCTTTATGGAAAACGTTTACCAACCCCAACTCTACGCGATCCTGGGAAAACTGATTTTGGAACTTACAGATAGAAACGTGTTTACTCTTCCTCGAATATATGTATTCAAATACATAATATATATATATATATATTTTAAGAAAAAATATTTGTGCAGATTATTTATGTAGATACCAGCTCTCCTTTCTTGACTGATTAGCTTCTAAGTTCCATAAAGAATCCACTGTCCCATGATAACCTTTTTTACTATGTCACTAAACAAAACCAATAAATTCCATCATCATTCTATCAATTACATAAAACTAAATGCAAATGAAAGTTTAAAATTTTTCACCAAAATATACTTAGAAAAGCAACTTTACAAAAATGGAATGATTTTCCACATTTCCTACTATTTGAAGGTGCTTCTTAGAGTAAATGGTTGAATGTATGTATAATAAATCACGATTTGTGAGCATATTTAATCATTTTTATATTACAATTATTTTTAATATGAATCACTCAATAAATTATCACATAATGAATTAAGGAATAATAAAAAAGCATTTATTACTTGCAAATATGTATAGTGTCATGAGTAAAGAGAATTAACAGACTTGTTAAACGCCACCTTAGCGAGTTATGGTTTCTATAGTGCTCAATAAAAACAGATGCCAAATCTAATTCAATTTAATTAAACATTTCTAAGAATATTTTGGAGTATATTAAATTTTGAAAATGCTAAAAATTACTCATTGGCTCTAGGCACAAATAAACAGTATGTCTCATATATTTCAGGAAACGGATAATAATATCTGACTTCTCAATTTTCATGAGAAGCAAAACGGAATGTGCTATTAAAAGCCTTAATGCTGCATGTGTTGCAGCTGCCAAATTCTAAAATTTCAAATTAATGACTGTACAATAAACATTAAAATAATAAGCAAAATAATTAAGAGTGAAGCTTACATATGGCTTATATGCTTTTAACTAGGCTTTTAGAGTTTGCAAAGACCAAGAGCTGCAGCACTAATTTCATTGAGAGATTTTTTAAAAATTAGTGTTCTTCAGAGAATCTAGATGAATATTCAGAAACAGTTAAGCATGCTAAGTAAACTTTCATATAAGAATGTTTTTTAAAATTGTGTTTGAAATGTAGCCAACACTTTGGTGTTGATTCTCCCTTAGACAGTGTCAATATTTTTTAAATAAACCTAAAATGTTTGAAATTTATCTATTTGTATACTTTGTAATGAAATTAAACTTACTGCTAAGTTTCTTTATCAAAGTTTTTAGAACTCTTTTTAAATGTTCATATTATAATATTTTTGATAAATATACCTGAATTTCTAGCATCTTAAGAATTTTAAATGATCAGGCCAAGCACAGTGGCTCATGCCTGTAATCCCAGCACTTTGGGAGGCCAAGGCGGGCGGATCACCTGAAGTCAGGAGTTAGAGACTAGCTTGGCCAACATGGCGAAACCCCGTCTCTACTAAAAATACAAAAATTTTCCAGGTGTGGTGGCATATGCCTGTAGTCCCAGCTACTCAGGAAGCTGAGTCAGGAGACTTGCTTGAACCCGGGAGGCAGAGGTTGCAGTGAGCAAAGATTGCACCATTGCACTCTAGCCTGGGTGACAAGAGCAAAACACTGTCTCAAAAAAAAAAAAAATAAATGATCAACAATGACTTGGCTTTTATTGTTATACCTTCTCTTGGAAAAGTGAGCAAAACTGCCTTTGACGGTAAGAAAAAAATATTTTTTTCTTTTGAACTTGAAAACATTTTAGAGAAGAGATAGAGTAGATGATAATTGAGTCACTAATAATATCTAGATGCCTTAGCTGCAGAGAACAATCAACTCCCAGACTTTTTTATAGCTATCTTCTCAAGGATGCAAAGATATTCTGGCCTATCTGTAACACTTACTCTGAGGATAAGGCAACATCAACTAGAACATTTGCTACTTAAGATATGTTATTATTGAGAACTTGGGTCTCTCAAACTGATGTTTCAGAAGGTTGCCTCTTGCTCAACAAGAACAAAATGTCAGGACTTTCTCTGGGGCTCGATGCTGTTGGCCATGAAGAGTGTCCAGGGACTGACCAGGTGCAGGCTCTGTGCCAAGCAGGCCACAACATGAATCCAGCTTTGCTGTCACTAGTCCACCATCCATTCCTGCCTAGGGAGAGCAAAGTTGGGAATTCAGTAAGAAGTTACAGATAAAAAGGGGGACTGCTATGGCAACAAAAAATGCTGGAGTTCTGTTCTCACACACTCTGCATAAATGTCACAGGAGAGGGGCTCAAAAACCACTTCTCCCATGGCCTGTGTGGGACACAGGGACTTAAGACGCACATGGAGACGACTCTAGGTGGAGCTCAGACAGTGAACAGAGAGGGCTATGACTGGAAGGGGTTGCGTTCTCCCTATGGCAGGGCACAGGGTGTGCTTTCTACTGGCCAACTGTGGATCTCCTGAAAGAGATCCAAGGTGAGCCATCACCGACAGATCCTATGGCATTGAAGAGGACTGCCTGGGTGCATGACACTGACAAGAGCTGCTGCGTAGGGGCTGAGTGGTAGTCACCTGCCTCCACCTGGAGGAGGTTTCACCTGACTCAGAAAATTACCAGTTTCCCTGGCTGGGAAGTCTAAGAAATCCACCAGAGCCTTTACCTAAAAGGCAGCTTTTAATTCTTTTGGAGATTTGTGAACATATTGGAAATATGATTATTATTAATAAGTTGATAGAAACTTTATACCTCCTGGCATTCTCTCATTCTTAATTTGAAGCTCAAAAAGGGAGCTCTTTATTTTCCTCTACTGAACTAAGAATTCCTTTTGTGTGTTTGCCATTTCAGCAACCTTGCCAAGATATCTGTCACCTCCTAATTTCTTATCTTCACTCTCTTCCTCTCTCCGTGGGGTCTCCAATGTCTCCAAACTTTTGTTGGTCTCTACATAAACTTAAAAGAAAAAAAGCAAACAAAAATAAATAAAGGCTTAACTCATTTCTCCTCCTCACTTGAGAGGAGCTTTTTTCCATTGTTATAATTGTGAAACAAATGTTATATACCCATAGCTACTATTTCCTTACCAACAATTTGTCGTGAAATGTGTTCTTTCACACTTACTCTATCAAAATCACCCTTCCAAAGACCTTAACCATTTGCATCCTACCTACAAAAAAAAAGTCCTGTGCTTTTTCTTCATTTATTCTCAGTCACATCTTGAGTATTTTTGTTTTTTGCGCCATTTCTATGACAGGTTTCAGGTGTCGGAAATACTGAATAAAGCCTCATTGATGCAATGAATAAGAATAGAAAATTTTTATTCAAAGAGGAGATTTTGACAAATGTGGTTAAAATTACAACTTTAAGAAGTCAATGAGAGATTTATAAGACAATATAAATATATATGATTTTTTGAACTAAAAAATTACAGTAACAATACTTAATAAAATATAAAGATAATATGGCTTCTAAAGAATCCATCACACCAAAAGGTTTTTTTCCTCTTCCAGCTGCAATAGAGATGAGAGAATTTACCCAACAAACATATTGTCTATAATTTGACATACGAATGTTACACTGAATATAACTCAAAATGCCAGCAGTCATTAGTAAGTGTAAAATTGTGCTAAGATTAAATGACAAACTTTGGCTTTTTTGTTTTTCATTTGAATATGACTTTGTATATTTAAGAATATCATAATTTCAGGAGTGTGTTAATAAAGTTTCTGTCTTGATAAATTACTGTCATCTCTAATAATTTAGATTCTATAAATATATACACACTTAGGAAAATAATGATTGCATAATTCCTAAGAAGATAATTGATAACACATTAAAATTATGAAATTTTAAATAAGTTTACCCATATATATTGCGTATTAAGAATTCTTGGCTGGGCGCGGTGGCTCACGCCTGTAATCCCAGCACTTTGGGAGACCAAGGCAGGCGGATCATGAAGTCAGGAGATCAGGATCACCCTGGCTAACACAGTGAAACCCTGTCTCCACTAAAAAAATTTGAAAAATTAGCCGGACTTGGTGGCGGGTGCCTGTAGTCCCAGCTACTTGGGAGGCTGAGGCAGGAGAATGGCATGAACCCGGGAGGCAGAGCTTGCAGTGAGCTGAGATCGTGCCACTGCACTTCCAGCTTGGGCAACAGAGCAAGACTCCGTCAAAAAAAAAAAAAAAAAAAGAAAGAAAGAAAAGAATTCTTGACAGAGTGAACATCCTTGCCCTACTCAGAGGGGTACATATGAAGTGCTTCACCAACACACCAGTTGTATCTAAGTCTATATTGGCAGTAAAATGGAGAAAATGCTAGATATTTAAAACACTTTAACAGGTTTATTGATGGTCTAAGCTAAATGGGAGACTAATAGGAAAGAGCTTGGTTTATTTACCCTCATTGCCTTCAGATGGCTTCTAACCCATTTCTACCTCCAGCCTCTTCCCCGTCCAGGGCATATCTCACAGCTTTTCTGTTGGTCCTGAGCAGGCTAGTGCAGAAGCTCTATCTCACGTGCAATGCAAGAATTCTTCCCACCTGCCTGCTTAGCCATGATCCTTGGCTGGGTGGCCTGCAATGGGAAAAGAGATTGTGCCAGTGTCTTCCTCTTTCTATATGGCTCCTTTTCTTCAATGAATTCAAGAATAGGGCAGTGGAGAGTCAATTAGAGGAGATGGTTCGTACATGAAGTAGTACATGGCATGGCATGGATTCTGTTACTAGAGTTCTCTCTTGTCAATATGACAATGGTCAACATGCTTCCTATTTAGTATATCTCCAAATGTCAGTACGCACATGCAGTATCTTATGGATTCTTGAAAGTCTTCAGTGCTTCCCAATGCAAGCAGAACATTCACTAATTGCCAAGGAGACTACCTGTTGCCAGTTTTTCTGTAGTAACAGAGATTAACTGAACAAATGGAAGCCAAGCTAAGCAAGATAATTCTCAGCATAAACTGTAGCTTTCAGTGACTGCCTGACTAAGGTCTCACTGATGGGAAATGGAAATGATATAAGCCATTTTCACATAGAACTCAGCTAGTATCAGCTAGAACTCAGAGGTATCGCATTCCAGCTTTGACCACACAGAGGAGGACAGTGTCCTAGGAGATGACGAAACAACAGATGGAAGGATCCTGGATCCCTGAATGATTATGTGGAGCAGAGATGCCTCTTCAATCTGCACCACCAACCTCTAAAGAGTTATGTCAGAAAATCTGTAGGCCATTGTATTGTAGGACCTCTTTTTTATTAGCTTAGACATTTCCCTTTCTAATAGTCCAACTGAACTACTGTGACTTACCTTCAGCTCCTGCTGTGTCTCCCTCATTCTGACAGAAAGCACCTTCTTGGAAAGATCTTACCATAAGGATTCTGACCTGTCTACCTCCTGAGTTGTCCAAGATATCCAAGAGAAATTTACATACCATTGCCACTTCAAATAATGAAGGCACTGCTCCATGTAGCTGCTCTTTCAATCAAAGCAGATAGCACTGCCAACCTCCTACTTTCTGATTTCTACAGGCAGAAAACAGTAAAGAGTCTGTGCATCCTGGCTCCAAAACATGCTGTGAGAAGGGAGATCTCAGTGTTTACTTCCTCCATACCCTGACCTCTCCCTCAGTACCCCTAGAGTTTTACATGTGGCTCATTGGAGAAAGACCAATGAAAGGAGAAAGCCAACTGCATCCACACTGGGTAGCCAGTTTTTTCTAGCTTGGATAATTCTTTTCAGACATTTAGACTGGGATGGGGTGAGTTATTAATACTCCCTCAATCTGTTCTCTATTCAGCACTGTGATGGTTAATTTTATGTGTCTAATCAACTCAGTGCCCAAATATTTGTTCAAATATTGTTTTAGGTGTGTCTGTGAGGGTGCTTTTGGATGAGATCAACATTTAAATCAGTTGACTGAGTAAAGCAGACTGCCCTCTCTGATATGGGCGGGCCTCATCCAATCAGTTGAAAAAATGAATAGAACAAGAAAGGCCAACCATCCCCCTGGGCTGGAGGGAGTTTCTGTTGCTTGATTGCCTTCGAACTGAGACACCAGCTTTTTCCTGCCTTGAACTGAAACATTGTCTCTTCCTGGGTCTTCAGCCTGATGACTTTCAGACTTGAACCACACCATGGCCAGTTCTCCTGGGCCTCAGGCTTTGTATTCCAACTGAAACTATACCATTATCTCTGTGAGGTCACTAGCTTTCAAACTACCCTGCAAATTTTGGGACTTGTTAGTCTGCATCCAAAATCCTGTGATGAATTCCTTATAGTAAATCCCTTTATATGTATGTGTACATACACTCACACATATATTCATATACACATTATATATACACATATACATACACACACACATATACACATTATATATACACACATATATACACATATATACATTATATATACACATATACATACACATATATACATATACACATATACATATACACATATATACATACACACCTATATACATATGAACACTATATATACACATATACATACACACATATAAACACACATACACATATATACATATACACATTATATATACACATATACACATATGCACATATATACATATATACATACACACACACACATATATACATATACAAATTATGTATACACATACACACACACACACACACACATACACATACACATCCTATGTGCTCTGCTTCTCTGGAGAATCTGACTAGCACAAGCACCTTTTCTTTGAACGTGGGTACTTATCACCTAGTCTCCTTAACTTTGGGACTTTAATTAAATTTCTGAGACCACAAGAAAAATTACACTTATTATCTTAGTAAATATGTTTTAGTATCAAATCCAGTGAGAAACAGAAGAAAATACTTCAATATAACATGTGTTTTTGACCTAAAATTAAAAACAAAAAAACCCTTTTCAAACAATGGAAGCAACTAGAAGCTAAAGGATTCCAGGAATGGGGGTGGAGGGGAGAGGACTTGATCGAATTTTGTGTCAAATAAAGATTACTTATATGGTAATTTTAATATTTAATGAAATAAAGATTACTAATATGGAAGTGACCTTACTTCCAATGCATGTTGGTAAGCAGGCCATTTAAAGTTAGATTTCAGCACTATTTCTTTCTCTCTCTTTTGTCAGATACCAAATGCGGTCAATTAAGAAATAAACCTGGCCAGGCGCAGTGGCTCACCCCTGTAATCCCAGCACTTTGGGAGGCCGAGGCGGGTGGATCATGAGGTCAGGAGATCGAGACCATCCTGGCTTACATGGTGAAACCCTGTCTCTTCTAAAAAATACAAAAAAAATTAGCCAGGTATGGTGGCGGGTGCCTGTAGTCCCAGCTACTTGGGAGGCTGAGGCAGGAGAATGGCATGAACCCAGGAGGCGGAGCTTGCAGTGAGCCGAGATCAGCCACTGCACTCCAGCCTGGGTGACAGAGCAAGACTCTGTCTCAAAAAAAAAGAAATAAACCTAATTGACATGAGTTTGTATAAGTAAATGCTGTTTGACAATTCTTCTTAGAAATTGTAAGTAAAGTAAGAGGAATAATATATTTCTGTCTCTATGCATTTCAATAGTTTTTAAGATCAGGTGGTTTTGTTTACATGGATGAGTTCTTTAGTGATGAGTTACAAGATTTTTCATGCACCTGTCACCCAAGCAGTGTACACTGTATACAATATGTAGTGTTTTATCCCTCAGCCCACTCCCAACCACCCCCCAAAGTCCCCAAAGTCCATCACATCCCCCTATATGCTTCTGAGTCCTCATAGCTTAGCTCTCACTTATAAGTGAGAACATGTGATACTTGGTTTTTCATTCTCAGTTACTTCTGAGTTAGAATAATGTCCTCCAACTATATTTAAGTTTCTGCAAACAATATTATTTCATTCCTTTTTATGGAATGAAGTATTCCATGGTGTATATATACCACATTTTCCTTTTTTTTTTTTTTTTTCTGAGACTAAGTCTCACTCTGTCACCCAGGATGGAGTGCAGTGGTGCCATCTCGGCTCACTGCAACCTCCGTCTCCCGTGTTCAAGTGATTCTCCTGCCTCAGCCTCCCAAGTAGATGGGATTACAGGCACCCACCACCATGCCTGGCTAATTTTTGTATTTTTAGTAGAGAAAGGGTTTCACTATATTGGTCGGGCTGGTCTCAATCTCCCAACCTCAAGTGGTCTGCCTGCCTCAGCCTCCCAAAGTGCAAAGATTACAGATGTGAACCACCGCACCTGACCCCCATTTTCTTTATCCATTTGTTGGTCAATGATCACTTAGGTTGGTTCCATATCTTTGCAATTGCAAATTCTGCTGCTATAAACATGCATTTGCATGTGTCTTTTTAATAGAATGACTTCTTTTCCTTTGAGTAGAGACCCAGTAGTGAGATTGCTGGATTGAATGGTAGTTCTACTTTTAATTTTTAATGAGTCTGCATACTGTTTTTCAGAGTGATTGTACTAATTTACATTCCCACCAGCAGTGTAAAAGTGTTCCCTTTTCACCACATCTATGCCAACATCTATAGTTTTTCTTTACATTTTAATTGTGGACATTTGATATTGTTAATTTTTAAAACTATTTGCACATTCACCAATTTGATTTCCTGCAACAATTCTGAGATCCACCCAACTCCCTTAAATGGATGCCAGAGAGGACCTCAGAGCTTAGAGTCACCATTGTTTTCATGTCAGGGCAAGGAGAGGTATTTGGAGAATTATACTTTCCTTTAAGTAAAAATTTTGTATTTTTAAATTATTTTAAGCAGGAATTAATTATTTTCAGCTTTTATTTTAGATTCAGGGGATACATGTGCAGGTTTGTTACCTGAGTATATTGTGTGATATTAAGGATTGGAATACAATTGATGCTGTCACCCAGATACTGAGTACTCAATACTTAATTAAGTACTAAATACTTAATTTTTCAACATTTTTCCCCCTTCCCTTTCTCCCCTCTTATATTAGCCTGTTCTCATGCTACTAATAAAGACATACCCGAGACTGGGTAATTTATATAGGAAAGAGGTTTAATTGACTCACAGTTCTGCAGGGCTGTGGAGGCCTCAGGAAACTTATTAATACAATTATGGCAGAAGGGGAAGCAAACACGTCCATCTTCAAGAGCTGCAGGACAGAGAAGTGTTGAGCAAAAGGGGTAAAAGTCCCTTATAAAAACCATCAGATCTTGTGGGAACTCACTATCCCAAGAACAGCATTAGGGTAACCGACCCCATGTTTCAATTACCTCTCACTAAGTCCCTCCCATGACATGTGGGGATTATGGGAACTACAATTCAAGATAAGGTTTTGGTGGGGACACAGCCAAACCGTATCATTCTGCCCCAGACCTTTCCAAATCTCATGTCCTCACATTTCAAAACCAAATGGTCCCCCAAAGTCTTAACTCATTCCAGCATTAACTCAGAAGTCTAAGTCCAAAGTCTCATCTAAGAAAAGGCAAGTCCCTTTGTGTCTGGAGTTGGTTCCTTCTGGTGGGTTCATGGTCTCTCTGACTTCAAGAATGAAGCTGCAGACCTTCACGGTGAGTGTTACAGCTCTTAAAGATGGCACAGACCCAAAGTGTGAGCAGTAGCAAGGTTTATTGTGAACAGCAAAAGAACAAAGCTTCCACAGTGTGGAAGGTGACCCAAGTGGGTTACCACTGCTGGCTGGGGGTGGACAACTTTTAATCCCTTATTTGTCCCCTCCCATGTTCTGCTTCTGTCCTATCAGAATACCCTTTTTTCAATCCTCCTTGAGATTGGCTACTTTTAGAATCCTGCTGATTGGTGCATTTTTTTTTTTTTTTTGAGACAGAGTCTCACTCTGTCACCCAGGCTGGAGTGTAGTGACACAGTCTTGGCTCACTGCCAGCTCTGCCTCCCGGGTTCATGCCATTCTCCTACCTCAGTCTCCCAAGTAGCTGGGACTACAGGTGCCCACCACCACACCCAACTAATTTTTTGCATTTTTAGTAGAGACGGGGTTTCACCATGTTAGCCAGGATGGTCTCAATCTCTTGACCTTGTGATCTGCCCACCTCAGCCTCCCAAAGTGCTGGGATTACAGGCAGGAACCCAGCCTGATTGGTGCATTTTACAGAACACTGATTGGTGCATTTACAGAGTGTTGATTGGTGCGTTTATACAGAATGCTGATTTGTGCATTTTACAATCCTCTTGTAAGACAGAAAAGTTCTCCAAGTCCCCACTCGACCCAGGAAGTTCAGCTGGCTTCACATCTCAATACCCCCTCTAAACAAGATACCCCAACTGCTGCTGGGAATTGGGTGATGACCACTCTAGCTACTTCCTGCTGGATGGGGTGAAGAAGGGGCCCTGCAGTTGTAGTGTTCTCTGGAGGGGAAATCTCTAGGCCAGTTATCGGGGGAACCAGCCCCCAATATTTCAATGTAGGTTCTTTCTATTTTCCATAAGTGTCGACCAGCTGAGAAATAAACAGAAAGAGTACAAAGAGAAGAATTTTACAGCTGGGCCTCCAGGGGTGACATCACATATTGGTAGGACTGTGATGACCACCTGCGCCACAAAACCAGCAAGTTTTATTAAGGATTTCAAAAGGGGAGGGTGTACAAGAACAGGAAGTAGGTTCACAAGATCACATGCTTCAAATGGCAAAAAGGAGAACAAAGATCACATGCTTCTGAGGAAACAGGACAAGGGCAAATTCAGAACTACTGATAAGGGTCTATGTTCAGCTGTGCATGTATTGTCTTGGTAAACACCTTAAACAAAAGAAAACAGGGTTTGAGAGCAGAGAACCAGTCTGACGACAAGTTTACCAGGGTGATTTCCCAATCCTAGTAAGCTTGAGGGTACTGCAGGAGACCAAGGCATATTTCAGTCCTTATCTCAACCACATAAGACAGACACTCCCAGAGTGGCCGTTTATAGACCTCTCCCCAGGAATGCATTCCTTCCCCAGGGTATTAATTATTAATATTCCTTGCTAGGAAAAGAATTTAGTGATATCCTCCCTACTTGCACATCCATTTATAGGCTCTCTGCAAGAAGACCTTATGGTTGTCTTCCCTTGTTCCCTGAAAAATCACTGTTACTCTGTTCTTTTTCAAGGTGCACTGATTTCATATTGTTGAAACACACATGTTTTATAATAAATTTGTACAGTTAATTCAAATGTCATAGTGGTCCTGAGGTGATGTACATTCTCAGCTTACAAAGATAACAAGATTAATAGATTAAAGACAGGCATAAGAAATTATAAAAGTATTATTTGGGAATTGATAAATGTCCATATTAAAATGAAATCTTCACAATTTATGTTCCTCTGCCATGGCTCCAGCTGGTCCCTCCATTTGGGGTCTCTGACTTCCTGCAACCTCCAGTCAAATGGCCAGTGGGTTGATCCAGGGGTCCTCGGTAGAAGCTGTGAGTTGAGCTCATTTGGGGTTCCATCTGTAAGACCATCTGTAGCTTGATGGCCTCACTCCTGGAGGAAATATATTTGATAAGGAGGTTAAAAGTACAGGGTCCAAAGGCGAGTAATAGCAAGATGGCATTGTCTGATTTCAGAAGCCTTTTCCTGTAAATGCCAGGAGGGATCTTGTACTATCCCTGACTGATTAGTGTAAAAGCAAAACTCTTCCCCTAAGAAGATGCAAAGTCCTCCCTTCTCAGCAGTGAGGAGGTCTAGGCCTCTGCGGTTTTGGAAAGTCACTGCTGCCAAAGAGTCTATTTGGGGTTGTAAAGACATATTTTGTTATTTCTTGCAAACTGTCAGAAATCCTTTCAGAGTGAGTGGTAGTAGGATAGTGAAGTGGACAAACTTGCTATTCCGGCTCCTGTAGCAGTGGCCATTCCTAACCCTATAAGTAGGGGTATTAGTTGTACAGCCCTGTGCTGATGGACTTGAGCTTTGACAAGCACTGATAGGGTCTGATGTCCTGGAGCAATGTCAATGTTGGGACTCAGGAAGACTAAGGTGCAGGTGCCTGTCCAGTTGGTGGGGAGGCAGATATAAGTTGAAGTTCCACATAAGAAGAATATGCCTTGGCTGTGTAAACAGAACTGGTTGTGTAGGTTAAAAAGGTGTGTGAGTTTGTTGTTTTCATTTTCCCATACTCCTAGAGTACTTGCCAATGTGGCTCCGGTGAGCAGCTGGAAAGGAGTGTTGGGAGCAAACTGAGTGGCTCCCTGTGTTCTATTTTCCCATTAGAGAAAAAATCGTTTTGTATCTGCTAGGAACTATTCAAGGGAGTGATTGAAAGAGGGGATGAGAAATCATTCATTAGTGGTGGGGGCACTGCTGCAGGGGGTCCAGGGGTGAATCGTCATGCAGGGAGCATTTTTGCCATTACAAAATCCAGACTGTTTGTTAAGCAGGGAGAAGGTGATGATTTTTGGAGGCCCTGAGAAGCAGACAAGCCATCTGAATGGAGCTGTTTGGGTGATTCAGAAGTTACTATGATAAATTGGGGCTTGAAGTTGAAGGGTGTAATTACACTGATGGGATAGTAGGTGCCCCAGGGGCAGGCCTGATAAAAGGTTGTGTTGGATGCATAAGGGGGCTTGAAAAGTTAAGACAGTATTCGTGGTTACAGGGCTTTTCATTGCTCATGTAATAAGTGAAGTTGGAAATGTAAGACCGTAAAAGTTGGATTGTGCATCCTATTAGGGTATTCTTCGTCCTATCAAAGATGGGGAAGTTGGCTAATGATTGCATATTTAGAAGTCAGAAAGGGTCTTTTCCTTCATAACGAGGGTGGTAGGTTAAGTTAGTAAAGACAGGGTTTTTTGCAGGAACAGGGGTGGCAACACACGCAGTGGCTGATAGAGAGATACAAAGCCAGCAGTCATTTGCCAGAGAAGGGTTGGACTGGTTTAACAGAGAGTAGGTTAAGTTGAGAGTTTTGTAGAGGTAATTAGGAGCTAGTGGAAGGGGAGGGGTGACTATCTGGGGTGTCCAAGGAAGCAGGAGGGATAGATAGGCAAAGAGTAAGTAGGAGGGTAAAGAGGGTGCCCTAGAAGATGAGATCATTTTATCCAGTCTGAGTTAAAGGTAGCAGTAAATTGCTGTCAGCAGGAAGGATGATAGAAAAAAGGTTGACGTGATTAGGATTGTTGTCCCTGCAGAAGCTACAGTATATAGTCCTACTGCAAAGAATATGGTAGTATACTGCTTAATAATGCGATGAAACAGAAAAAGGATTCCATTCAAGGGGAAAGGAGAGGTGTTAAAGATTATGTAGGTTTTCACTTATCTTTTTACGTAGGAAAGGTTTTTCCTCAGGATCAGCTGTAGGAGTCTTTTTAGTCTGGGATGTTTCCTTCTGAAATAGGAGATGGAAGTCCTCCAATGGCTCACAGGTGTATCAAGTCTGGTCTGGCTGAACTTGGGACTCCTGAGCTGTCAGTCCTGCAGGTTCCTCAGGGGATGTCCAAAGTTTAACTCAGGTGTGGTGAATCCAAGATTCCACTCCTGCCACCATCACTGCAGTGGGGGTAGAGAGGATTACTGAGTATGGTCCTTCCCACAAAGAATCCATAGATGGGGAGGTAGAGGGGAGGGATTTGACCAACACTAGTTCTCTTGGTTGAAACAATTCCGTTCTCTTTTCTCTGTGACATCCTTTGGGTAGGTTTTAAAGGTTTTGTTGATATTTTGCCAAAGAAGTTATATATTTGACCAAGTTGGCTGTTTCCTGATCAAGTAGGAAGTCATTGGTGAGAAAAGGTCGTCCATACAACATTTCATATGGACTGAGCCCCATTTTGTAAGGAGAATTTCGGATTCTTAACAAGGCCATGGGCAAGAGAGTAGACCATAGGAGATGAGTTTCTTGTGTTAGCTTCCGTAAATGCCTCATGAGTGTTTCATTTGCCTTCTTGACCTTCCCTGAGGATTGTGGCCTCCAGATGCAGTGAAGGTGGTATTGTATCCCTAGCGCCCTGGAAATTCCCTGATTTACCGTGGCTTTAAAAGCCGGACCATTGTAGCTTTGTAAGCCTTGGGGAAGCCCACATCTAGGAATTATTTCATGAATTAGGACTTTAACCACTTCCTGAGCCTTCTCTGTCTTGCAGGGGAAGGCTTCTATCCAATTTGTAAAGGTATCAGCACAGACCAACAAGTGTTGAAATCCCCTTGACTAAGGCATATGGGTGAAGTCTAACTGCCAGTCCTCTCCAGGATAGTGATCTATTCTTTGTTCCCCCAGAGGGGCCTTACGATGAAGCAAGGGGTTATTCCTTTGGCACACCTCAGAGGCTTTGACTACTTGTCGGATTGTCCAGAGGAGATTTGGCCCTGTAAATAGGGATTTGGCCATTTGATGTGTGTTCTCAATACCTATATGAAAAGTTTGATGGAGGGTCTTAAGTATTTTCCACTGGCTGGCTTCAGGTATGAGTACCTTTCCCTCTTCTGTTGTTAACCACCCCTAGAGGAGAAAACTATGCCCCTGTGAAAGTCCCCATTCTGTTTTGGTCAGGGAATACTGGGGCTTAATCTATTGGAGAGGGTTGTTCCATATCAAGGGTCCTTCCATAGGTATTTCTAACGGGAAGTTCCACCTGGCAGCAATTTTGGCCTCAGCGTCTGCCCAGCGGTTTCCTTTTGCCATTTCTCCTTCACCTTTTTGATGGCTTTGGCAGTGTAAGACTGCCATCCACTTGGGTTTTTGCATTGGTTGCAATAACTCTATGATTTCCTTGTGGTATTTAATGGGGGTTCCCCCAGACATTAGGAGCTCCCTTTCTTTCCCTATTGCAGCATGGGCATGTAGGATTATATAAGCATACTTGCTATCTGTATACACATTTATTCTTTTTCCCTTTCCCAGTTCTAAGGCTCAGGTAAATGCCACTAGTTCTGCTAACTGGGCTCTGGTCCCTGGGGGAGGAGGCTTATTTTCAAGTACTGTTACATCACTAACTATGACACAACCAGCCCTTGGTATTGCATTCTCCACAAATGAACTTCCATCTATATATAGGTTAAGGTCAGGGTTAGCTAAAGGGACTTCTAAGAGTTCCTCTTGGGCGGCATGAGTCTGGTCTACAATTTGTTGGCAGTCATGCTCGATTGGTTCCCCATCCTCTGGGAGAAAAGTGGCAGGGTTGAGGGCTGCACATGTGTGTATTTGAAGCACTGGTCCCTCAAGGAGTAGCACCTGGTATCTAAGCAGGCAGTTATCTGATAGCCATGAACTTCCTTTGGCACCTAGTATGCCATTTACATCATGAGTAGTCCAGACAGTGAGATCCTTTCCTTGTATTATTTTGATAGCCTCTGACACTAAGATGGCCGCCACCACAACAAACTGTAAACAGTGAGGCCAGCCTTTTGTTATTACATCAATTTCCTTACTTAGGTATGCCACTGGTTGTGGGGTTATCCCACAAGTCTGAGTAAGGACTCTAAGAGCTATCTGTGCTCTCTCTGTGGCATATAAAGAGAAGTTTTGTTCTGTGGGAAGGCTAAGGCTGGAGCTTGTGCTAGGGCCTGCTTTAAGGTTTTGAAGGCTGTTTCTGCCTCTGGTTCCCATTCTACTAGATAAGTATTTGCCCTCTGTGTCTCCTTGATTAGAGTACAGAGTGGCCTGGCCATCTCGCTATATCCGGGGATCCACAGTCGGCAAAAGCCGGTGATTCCAAGGAACCCCCACAACTGTTGTAATGTCTTAGGGTGAGGATAAGCCAGTATAGGCTGTATTCATTCCTTGTTGAGGGCCCTAGTTCCTCTGGCTAAGATTAGGCCTACATATTTGACTTCTTTTAGGCAGAGCTGGGTCTTCGGTTTAGAAACCTTGTTCCCTTGATTAGCTAGAAAGTTCAAAAGATCTAGATTAGCCTGCTGGCATGAGACTTCCAAACAGGTAGCCAAAAGTAAATCATCCACATAATGAAGGACCAAAGTGCCTGGACTTGAGAAGTGGCCTAGAGCTTGGGCCAGTGGGTGATCAAACAGATGAGGACTATCCTTAAACCTTTGAGGCAAGACCGTCCATATAAGTTGGAACATGTGTTCTGTGAGATCCTCAAAGGCAAAGAGAAACTGGGAGCCAGAGTGCAGAGGAATGCAAAAGAAGGCATCCTTTAGGTCCAGAACAGTGAACCATTTTGCTTCCTCTGGTATTTGAGAGAGAAGGGTATAGGGGTTAAGTACAACTGGGTATAGAGGAATTACTGTCTCATTGATGAGTCTAAGATCTTGCACTAGTCTCCACTGACTGTTTGGTTTTTGTACTCCTAGAATTGGGGTGTTGCAGGGACTGCTACATTTTCTTACTAAGCCTTGAGTTTTTAAATGTCTAAAAATATCCCATAATCCTTTATGAGCTTCAGGCCTTAAGGGATATTGCCTTTGATAAGGAAAAGTGGTGGAGTCTTTTAGCTTGATTTGAACCAGACGGGTATTTTTTGCCCTTCTGAATTATCCTTCCAATGCCCAGACTTCAGAGTTGATTCACTCCTCAAGCAGAGGACAACAAATGGGTAACTTGTTCCCCATATTCATGTAGATAATATCTCCAGCTTCAGCTAATATGTCTCTCCCTAATAAGGGTGTGGGACTTTCAGGCATAACAGGACAGGCATGTGAAAAAAGCAAAGTCTCTGAATTACAACTGAGGAGGTGGGAGAAATACCTGGTTACAGGCTGTTCCAGGATTCCTCGTAAGGTAACAGACCTTGAGCACAGCCATCTGGGGGAGGAGATTAACACTGAGAAGGCTGCACCAGTGTCCAGGAGGAAGTCAATTTCCTGGCCCTCAATGGTTAAACTTACCCGGGACTCAGTGAGGGTGATGACATGAGCTGTCGCTTGCCCAGGCACCCTCAGTCCTGTTGTTGGATCATCTGGTTGGGAGCTTCTGGCCCAAAGAACCTTTGTCCTCTGGGGCAGTATGTCTTCCAGTAATTGCCTCGGCATAGTGGACATGGGCAAGGTGGCAGCTTGTTTCTCATTGGACAATCTTTTTTAAGGTGTCCTTGCAAACCACACTGATAACAAGCCCTACCAGGTAAT
This sequence comes from Homo sapiens, assembly GCF_000001405.40. NCBI lineage: Eukaryota > Metazoa > Chordata > Mammalia > Primates > Hominidae > Homo > Homo sapiens. The sequence continues at coordinate 51,296,295 of NC_000008.11, forward strand.
TGGCCTGCTCCATTTTCTGTCCTGTCTGAACCAGCAAGGTTTGTTTGCCTGAGGGCCATGCCTGAGGCTGCAGCGTTTCTTTTATGTCACTTTTCCTTTTTTGGCCTGTTCTTCTTGGTCCCTATTATAGAACCCCAAGGTTGCCAGCTTTAATAATGCCTCCAGATTTTGTTCAGGGCCCAAGGCTTGTTTTTGGAGCTTTCTCCTGATATCTGCAGCTGATTGTGTAATTAAGTTATATTTGAGGATCAATTGACTTTCGAGGGAGTCGGGTGATAGGGGAGTATATTTTCTTAAGGCCTCCCGTAGTCACTCGAGGAAGGCAAAAGGATTTTCTTCCTTTCCCTGAGTTATAGTGGACATCATTGAATAACTCATGGGCTTTTTCCTAATTCTTCTTAGTCCTTCTAGAACACAGGTGAACAGATGTTTGTGACACCAGTCCCCATGATCTGAGTTGAGGTCTTAGTGGGGATCCATACTAGGGACAGCTTACTGACCAGTAGGGAATTTGACCCTTTCTTCAGCTATCGTTCTATCATCTACTTGACTAAGAACCAGGTATCTCCAAACTCTCAGGCTGCAGCTAAAGCCACATTCTTTTCATCAAAGGCCAGTGTTTGATCTAATAATAGCATGATATCTCTCCAAGTGAGGTCAAGGATTTGCCCTAGACCTTGTAGGACAGGTATATACCTATCAGGATCATCTGAAAATTTCCCCAGGTCTACTTTGATCTGCTTTAATTCAGAAAGGGAGAAGGCGACATGTACCCAGCTTCGTCCAAATTCCTCTTCCCCTACAGCTTGAAGGGGACATAACCAATAACCCGGGGATTTTTGTGGTCCCTCGGAGATTTCTTTGCTTGTTTTCTTCTGGGTGGGGGAGATTAGAGGAGGCTCATCATTAATAGGAAGGGGAGCTGTAGGAAGGCTAGGATATGGAGGTAAGCTGAGAGGTCCTCCTGTGGGATGTAGATTGCAAGCTTTGCATACCTGTGGATTATCCTTCAATGAAAAGAAAGCTTTGACATAAGATATTTCACTCCATTTGTCTTCCCTCTTACAGAAAAGGTCAAGCTGCAGGATAGTATTGTAATTTATACTTCCATCAAGTGGCCATTTTTCCCCATCAGAGAGAGAATATTGGGGCCAGGCGATAGTGCAGAAAAAAATGAGCTGCCTCTTTTTCAGGGTTTGAGGGTCAAATTGGTCCCAATGGCTTAGGATGCATTTCATGGGTGAGCCTGTTGATGCTTGAGTGTTTCTCATCTGAAAAAAAAAAAAAAAACACTTTTTTTTTTTTCCTGCCCAAGAACCCACAACAGTCCCTGGACCCTGCTGTTTGGAATAATTGAGCTCACCGAAGCAGCAGCAGAAACACTAGTTTTCCTCCTAGACCACAAAGAGGACTGAGGAAGGTCGGATTTAGTGGCCTTTACCAACTCATTCTCAAAAACCTGCCCCCTTGCCTTTCCTCTTAGACCACAAAGAGGATCAAGAAAAAATCTAATTTAGTGGTCCTTACAGATACATTCTTTTTTTTTTTTTTTTGACAGAGTCTTACTCTGTTGCCCAGGCTGGAGTGCAGTGGTGCGATCTCGGCTTACTGCATGCTCCACCTCCTGGATTCAAGCCATTCTCCTGCCTCAACCTCCCAAGTAGCTGGGACTACAGGCACCCACCACCATATCTGGCTAATTTTTTTAATTTTTTTAGTGGAGACAGGGTTTCACCATGTTAGCCAGGATGGTCTCGATCTCCTGACCTCAAGATCCACCCACCTTGGCCTCCCAAAGTGCTGGGGTTACAAGCGTGAGCCACCACGCCCAGCCACTGATGCATTCTTGAAAACCTGTTAGAGTCCTAAGCATTTTCTCCTGTTGGTATTGGGACCTTACCCTTGTCCTATAAAGATGATATGCCTCAAAATGGAGCAGAGAGCCATACCCTGAGGGAGGGAAGGGATCTCCAGTGTTGGAAGAATGATGCCTTTTGTCCTCACTTCTCATCATATGAATAGAAAGGGTATGATTTCTGAGGCTCCCTATATCCTAGCTTTGGGAATAGCCTTTGTTAGGCCTGCTAGTCTGAGGAGGGATTCTAAAATTCCAGATAGTACCCTCCCCAATGGGGCTTTGGGCAGAAATTATCTTTCTGATTGGTGAGCCTAGGTGCCTAAGGAAGGGAACAGATTCCCAAAATTTATACTAGAAATCATTCTTATAGGAGAAACTAGAAAAGCACCAGAAACAGGAAGTGGTTTTTAGAAGTGGGACTAGCCTCGGAGAATAGGGGCGGGAGGAAGTTTGTCTGACAAGTGTTAGGACCCAGGAGGCAAGGGTCAGGATAGATAAGAAAGGTGGGTGAGTCTTGCTTGGGCAATGTAACTTTGAGAGTTCTGCTCATGGCTGCAGGGTCAACCAACTTTTTGTCGGGACCCCGAAGCTGAATGGCTTCCCTCTCTGTCAACCCCCGGCTCAGCCCTGAAGTACAGGAAAAGTGGAAGCTGGTTCCATGCAAACCAACACTCCTAACTCTGAAGAGTCGGGGATTGTTAGAGCGCCTTTCCCAGAAAGCCTGACACCCGTGTCTTTAGTCCGGCGGCCAAGAGGTGCCCGTTGTTTGGCCCCCAAATTCTAAGGGAAAATGGGACAGAATAGTAAGTGAAAGGAGTCCAAAGATACTCACTGCATGGCAATACCTTGGACGAGCCCCCAGGATGTGTCTGGATTTGGTTCCTTCTGGTGGGTTAGTGGTCTTGCTGACTTCAAGAGTGAAGCTGTGGATCTTTGCAGTGAGTGTTACAGCTCTTAAAGATGGCACAGACCCAAAGAGTGAGCAGTAGCAAGGTTTATTGTGAAGAGCAAAAGAACAAAGCTTCCACAGTGTGGAAGGGGACCAGAGTGGGATGCTGATGCTGGCTGGGGGTAGCCAGCTTTTATTCCCTTATTTATCCCCTCCCATGTTCCATTTCTGTCCTGTCAGAATGCCCTTTTTTCAATCCTCCCTGTGATTGGCTACTTTTAGGATCCTGCTGATTGGTGCGTTTTACAGAACATTGATTGGTGCATTTTACAGAGCACTGATTGGTGCATTTTACAATCCTCTTGCTAGCTACACAGCACTGATTGGTGCATTTTACAATCTCCTTGCTAACTACAGAGCACTGATTGTTGTGTTTTTACAGAGTGCTGATTGGTGCATTTTATAATCCTCTTGTAAGACAGAAAAGTTCTCCAAGTCCCCACTCAACCTAGGAAGTCCAGCTGGCTTCACCTCTCACCTTCTGCCTATGAGCCTGTGAAATCTAAAACAAGTTAGTTATTTCATAGACACAATGGTAGTAAAGGCATTTAGTAAATACGCCTGTTCCAAATAGGAGAAATTGGCCAAAACTAAAGGGCTACAAGCCCCATATAAGTCTGAAATCCAGTAGGGCAATCATTAATCCTGAAAGTTCCTAAATGATCTCCTTTGACTCCATGTCTCACATCCAGGTCATGCTGATGCAAGAGGTGGGCTCCCACAGCCTTGGGCAGCCTCGGTGGCTTTGCAGGGTATAGGCCCCCTTCCAGCTGCTTTCATGGGCTGACATTGAGCATCTATGAGTTTTCCAGGTACATGGTGCAATCTGTCAGTGGATCTACCATTCTGGGATCTGGAGGACAGTGGATCTCTTCTCACAGCTTCACTAGGCAGTGCCCCATTGGGGACTCTGTGTGGGAGCTCCAACCTCACATTTCCCCTCTGCCCTGCCCTAGCAGAGGGTCTCCATGAGGGCTCCACGACTGCAGCAAATTTCTGCCTGGACATCCAGGCATTTCCATACATCATCTGAAATCTAGGCAGAGGTTTCCAAACCTCAATTTTTTACCTCTGTGCAATTGCAGGCTCAACAACATGTGAAAGCTGCCAAGTCTTGGAGCTTGCACCCTCTGAAGCCACAACCTGAACTGTACCTTGGCCCTTTTTAGCCATGGTTGGAGCAGCTAGGGTGCAGGGCACCAAGTCCTGAGGCTGCACACTAGGCTGCACACAACAGGGAGACTTAGGCACTGCCCATTAAACCATTTTTAACTCCTAGGCTTCCTGGCCTGTGATGGGAGGGGCTGCTGTGAAGGTCTCTGGCATGCCCTGGAGACATTTTCATCATTGTCTTGGTGATTAACATTAGGCTTCTTGTTACTTATGTGAATTTTCTGCAGCTGGCTTGAATTTCTCCCCAGAAAATGAGATTTTCTTTTCTATTGCAGGGCAGGCTGCAAATTTTCCAAACTTTTATGCTCTGGTTCTTCTTGAAACCTTTGGCACTTAGAAATTTCTTCTGCCAGATACCCTAAATTATCTCCCTCAAATTTAAAGTTCCAAAGATCTCTAGGGCAGGGACAAAATGCCACCAGTCTCTGCATAGCAAGAATGACCTTTACTCCAGTTCCTAACAAGTTCCTCATCTCCATCTGAGACCACCTCAGCCTGGACTTTATTGTCCATATCACTAGCAGCATTTTGGTCAAAGCTACTCAACAAGTCTCTAGGAAGCTCCAAACATTCACACATTTTTCTTTCTTCTTCTGAGCCCTCTAAACTGTTCCAACCTCTGCCTGTTACCCAGTTCCAAAGTTGCTTCCACATTTTCAGGTGTCTTTACAGCAGCACCCCAATACCTGGTATCAACTTACTGTATTAATCTCTGCTCACACTGCTAATAAAGTCATACCCAAGCCTGGGTAATTTACAAAGGAAAGAGGTTTAATTGACTCACCGTTCCGCAGGGCTGTGGAGGCCTCAGGAAACTTATTAATATAATAATGGTGAAAGGGGAAAAAAGCAGTCCTTCATGCGGTGGAAGTGCTGAGCAAAAGGGGAAATGTCCCTCATAAAATCATCAGATCTTGTAAGAACTCACTCACTCATGTGAACTGAGGGTAACTTCCCCCATGATTCAATTACCTCCCACTGGGTCCCTCCCATAATGTGTGGGTATTGTGTGAACTACAATTCAAGATGAAATTTGGGTGGGGACACAGCCAAACCATATCACTCTTCTAGTAGTTTTCAGTGTCTATTATTGCCCTGTTATATCCATGTGTACCCAATGTTTAGCTTCCACTTATAAGTGAGAACATGCAGTATTTTGTTTCTGTTTCTGCATTAACTTGCTGAAGATAGTGACCTCCAGCTGCATCCACGTTACTGCAATGAACATGATTTCATTCTTTTTTATGGTTTCATAGTATTACATGGTGTGTATATATCACATTTTCTTTATCCAGTCCACCACTGATAGGCACTTAGGTTGATTCCATGTCTTTGCTATTGTGAATAGTGCTGTGATGAACATGTGAGTGCATGTCTTTTTTTGGTAGAACAATTTGTTTTCTTTTTGATATACATCCAGTAATGGGATTACTGAATTGAATGTAGTTCTGTAGTTCTAAGTTCTTTGAGAAATCTGAGGGACTTATACTTTATTTTTATTTCATTCATTACATTTGCTTTGCTAGTTATTGAATTTATGCTTATTAATTTGTACTTAATTACTTTTTATACAGACATGGTTTGTCATTTCTTACTCCAATTTTCATATAATAAAATGGGGTTTTTGTAAATGAAATGCAAACATGATTTTCATAGAAAATATTAACTCGACTAATTGCTTGGTAAAAACACTCAACTTTGTATTCAAAACAATATCTCAGAAACCCAGGTGCCTCATTCAACCTGTCTATATTCATTACATAGTTTATTTTTCATTTGTTTAAAAATCATATTCTAATAGTATTCTTCAAGGTAAAGTTTGTATTGTTTTGTATGCCCTGAAAGAAATTAAACTGTGTCTGTATTGTCGACATTGTTCAACCTTCTGTTTTTGTTCTTATTTTATCTGGTCTAGAAATAGAAATAAAACCTTGGAAATGTCAAGTTATAGAAGACTGAGCATGTGTCACAATACAGACGATGTTTCTGAGGGAAAAAGTAGGAATTGGCAGACCTAGTGATTTTCATGCTATCAGCATCCATGAGAGTTTGCAGAGGGGGGAGAGATGGGCAGCCAATTAGAGGCTGAGATGAATACAGATAAGCTGGCTGTCTATAAAAATATATATTAATAAAGAGTTCAACAGCTGAATTTAAAATTCATGCAACAAAGGAAAAAAAGCAATATCTGCATCCTTTGGTTAAATGAAACAACACAAATAAATAAACAGTAAAGCTTACAAAAGTATTAACGAGCCTTCTCACTCTCCCTTTCAGGCTTACAAAAAAATCCTAAGTACAGCAGCCAGAGGGTAGGGCTCATGACAGGCATGGGGCAGCTCCAAGTAAGTAGACTGATTTCTTTCTTTTTCTTTTCTTTTCTTTTCTTTTTTTTTTTTTTTTTTTTTTTGAGATGGAGTTTTGCTCTTGTTGCCTAGGCTGGAGTGCAATGCTGTGATCTCGGCTCACTGAAACCTCCACCTCCTGGGTTCAAGAGATTATCCCGTCTCAGCCTCCCAAGTAGCTGGGATTACAGGTGTGCGCCACCACGCCTGGCCAATTTTTTGCCTTTTTAATAGAGATGGGGTTTCACCATGTTGGTCAGGCTGGTCTCAAACTCCTGACCTCAGATGATCTGCCTGCCTCGGCCTCCCAAAGTGCTGGGATTACAGGTGTGAGCCACCTTGCCCAGCTGGCTTATTTGTTTATTAAAAGTCCTGCTCCAGCACTGAGCATGACACTTAAAAGATGGAAGACTTTCTAATTCATTAGAAACATCACAGGGAGAACCCTTTCCCAGTGCACAGTGGCATCATGTTTGGCAGCATGGAAACTGCCGCACTTGCTCCCCTGACCTGAGGGAAAGGGTTTACCTTGAAGCCAGCAGTGCACTGAAATGTGCCTCTGACTGGGAGTGCTTGGTCCCTGGTGGAGCTCATCTGGAGCCTGCTTGGGCTGACAGTCCACACCTAGACTGTGCACACACTGCTGCATTCCATGCATGAACAACACTTGGCCCAGGGAGGCTTTCTAGCAAGGCAGCACTATGTCTTAGAAAGGGAAAGGGCGTTAGGGTCTGTATTAGTCCATTTTCATGCTGCTGACAAAGACATATCCAAGACAGGGCAATTTACAAAAGAAAGAGGTTTATTGGACTTACAGTTCTACATGGCTGGAGAAGCCTCACAATCATGGTGGAAGGCAAGGAGGAGCAAGTCACGTCTTACATGGATGGCAGCAGGCAAAGAGAGAGAGTTTGTGCAGGAAAACTCCATTTTTAAAACCATCAGATCTCGTGAGAGTTACTATCATGAGAACAGCATGGGAAAGACCCACCCCAACAAATAAATTACCTCCCCCCGGGTTCCTCTTGTGAAACTTGGGAATTGTGGAAGTTGTAATTAAAAATGAGATTCAGGGGGGACACAGCCAAACCATATCAGTGTCATTCGTTCTGGGTTCTCTTCCTATTTTCGCCATTTTGAGTGATCTTACGCACATCATTTAATGTTACTAAGCCTCAGTTTTTTCAACTGCAAAATGACCACACTTGCCTCACAGTATTGATGTGACAATCTAATAAGTTTGACAGCAAATATCAAATTTAATTGTGAAATGCTAAAATCATTCCACTTAAATTCAAGACCAAGAGGAATGTTCTTTGTCATTACTTCTACTCAAAATTGAGTGGAAGATTCTAGTCAATATAGTAATAAAAAATTATGGAAAAAATAGAATGTATAGGATTAGAAAGGAAGAAACAAAAATTTGAATACTCATCTAGAGTACCATAGTTTGCCCAAAAACTCAAGATAATCTAGAAATATATTAATAGGACTAAAGAACTCAAAGGAGTTTCTAGCTCTATTATCGATATAAAAATTGATTGTACTCCCATATGTCAGCAACAAACATACAGAAAGCATATTTTTAAAGGCATACATTTTATAATACCTGCAAGAGTTTAATATTTATAGGAATTCATCTAAAATGATATGGAGCACATTGATGAGGGAAAATGCAGTACTACTGAAAAAAAGACCAGAAAAGACTTAAGTAAATGGAAAGACATAGTGTATCATACGTGAAAACACTCAATACAGTAAAATATCATTTGCCTAAATTTACCTATCAATTCAATGCAATTTCAACTAAAATCCCAATGGGATTCCTTTTAGGGAACTTCTAAAACTGACTTAAGTGTTCATATGGAAATGCTAAGGTCTAAATCTAGTCAAGACACTCCTGAAGAAAAGAGTGGCTACATTAGCCCTCCTAGATATCAAGACCTGCTATAAAGCTATGGTGATGAATGTCTTGCAGAACTGTCACCAGGATAGACCAATGCAACAGGGTAGACAGCCCAGAAACAAACCCACAACACAAGGAAACTTCATAAGTAGCAGAGGAGGCTTGAAGCAGCAGTGGAAGAGTGCTTTGATGAATAATGCTGTTTATACTTGTTGAAAGATTATAATTAGATATACATAAAAAGTAAATTTCAGGTAAATCCAAGATTAATGTGTGAAAAACGAAAAGTACTTTTACATTGTTTTTGAAAAATAATTTCAATAATTTATGAAAACATTATTGGAGAATATTTTGTACTCAAGGCTAGAAAAGTTTTCTTCAAAAAGCTCAAAATTGTAATTATAAAGGAAAAACTGATAAAGTCAACTATTTCAGAGCCCAACACTTCTATATTACAAAAAATACTATGACAGGTAGAAAGACATGTCTAGACTGGAGAAAACATTTGCAATTTTTCTCCAGTGACAACGGATTTGAATGGAAGATACATAAAGAACTCCTAAAAATCTATATATATATATATATATAGATTTCATATATATAAATAATATATATACATTTATATATTATGTATTATATATACATATATATTATATATACATGTACATTTTAGGGCAGGCCTGGTGATGACAAAATGTCTCAGCATTTGCTTGTCTGTGAAGTATTTTATTTCTCCTTCACTTATTATAATATATATAATATATAAATGTGTATATATATTATACATATATATTTTTTTCAGTTGGAGTCTTGTACTGTTGCCTGGGCTAGAGTGCAATGGTGCGATCTTAGCTCACTGCAACCTCCGCCTCCCGGGTTCAAGCGATTCTCCTGCCTCAGCCTCCCGAGTAGCTGGGATTACAGGCGCGTGCCACCACGCCCGGCTAATTTTTTGTATCTTTAGTAGAGACGGGGTTTCACTATGTTGGCCAGGCTGGTCTTGAACTCCTGACTTCATGATCTGCCCGCCTTGGCCTCCCAAAGTGCTGGGATTACAGGCATCAATATATTTTTTAAATGAGAATCCTAGTTGAAAATCAAGCAAACAATATGGAAAGGTAATTCATAAAACTTATAGGACATACTAGTGGAAAATAAGCATACAAAAATACTGTCCTTTGTATTTCTTGGAAGAGAAATGAATATTAAAATCACAATGAGACAGAATATAGCAAGAAGATTTTGCAAGTCTGACGATGCTAGGACTCCTAAGTAAGCATATGGGGACATAAAATTTCTAGCATTCAGCTAGTGGAATTTTAAATTTGCACAACCACTTTGCAGAGTAATTTGGCAATATTTGAGAAATATATGCATACACTATGAACCAGAAATTATATTAAATACATTCACATATACACATGAGGGTATACATTCATTGCATTCTCTCTACTGTTCTATTAAATATTTCATAATGAAAATATGCTTTCTTTGAAGGTGAAGAATGTTTGCATGTGCATATACCCAGATGAGAAGTAATTTGAATCTTTTTAGCTAACCTGAAAACTTACCATAATTTGTGCTTCTATAACACATTATTTTATTCTTAATTGTGTCACTAATAACCTCTCCACTTTTGGAAAATTGTTCTAGGCATTTATGTTTCCTGTTAGAAAGGGAATTATTGAATAAAAATAATTATATTTCATTCATGTCTTTATCTTCCCCACTATCATCGTCACATATTTTGCATTTAATGTGTGCTCAAAAACATTAAGAGTTTATTTGAGAAGCTTGGCGCTCACTAATCCAGGTCCAGCAAAGAAGCAGGATGTCCTTTGGGGTGAATGTCCAAGAAAGAGTCTTGGAAAACTACCCCTTTGTTTCTGAGCTACATATATGCACAAGCTCTGGTTTATGGATTCTTCTGAATTTTTAGGACTGGATGGAATACTGACAGGATAGTGTTTAGGGACTCATCTCCATTGACATAATTCCATTCCAAACCTCCAGTGTGGGTCGGTATCCCCAGTGTATTGAGACACCTTGGGAACCAGACTGTGAAACTAGAGGCCCGTTACACGGTGCACCCAGAAAGCAAACATGAACGCTTAAAAGTAGCAGTGTGAGACCGGGCACGTTGGCTCACGCCTGTAATCCCAGCATTTTGGGAGGCCGAGGTGGGCGGATCACCTGAGGTCGGGAGTTTGAGACCAGCCTGACCAACATGGAGTAACCTCATCTCTACTAAAAATACAAAATTAGCACGGTGTGGTGACACATACCTGTAATCACAGCTACTCAGGAGACTGAGGCAGGAGAATCACTTGAACCCAGGAGGCAAAGGTTGCGGTGAGCGGAAATTGCGCCATTGCACTCCAGCCTGGGCAACAAGAGCAAAACTCCATCTCAAAGGGAAAAAAAAAAGTAGCAGTGTGTTCCTCAGGATGAAAAGTTTATTTATTTATTTCCAGGGTCTAATATAGTAGTTACTGTCATTAAGAAGATTATGTCTAGTTTTAATGTTTTTTAACTACCCTTTTAATTGTACTTTGGACTAATCTGCTTTTGATCTAATTTTACAAATGTTTAATTGCATTCTGCTCAACCACTAAGAAAGTATTGTGATACACTGTCAGTAGTTTTGATTATATCATAAATTATGTGTTTCTGTCAAATGGTTATTTTCCATGGTTTTCCATGTCTTTTTTTGAGATATATAAGCATAAATAACTTCAAGATATGAATAATACATCAAAGTAGAGCTCAATAGTATTAATCCACTTTTATGTAAAAATAAATTGCTACTTTTTTGGCATTCAATTCCAACTTACTGCCTGTTCACAGTGATATCTGCTCATTTGACATTCTTGAAGAAAAACAGAACTGAGACAGCTGAAACGTATCATTCTTTCTATAATAAAAATCTGAAATATACATCTGTCAGATGACACAGTTTCAGTATAATAGAGGGATACTCAAAAGCCAGAATAATTGATTCAACTTGTATACTTCATTGATTCTTGGCTGGGAATACATAATAGAGCCCAATATCTGGAATAATTCCTTTACCTTTTTTTTGCCTTTTTAAAATTAAATGTTTTATTTTTAGATTTTGTGGGTACATAGTAGTAGTATATATTTCTGGGATACATAAAGTGTTTTGATACAGGAATGCAATGTGAAATAATCACATCATAGAGAATGGGTTATCCATCCCCTCAAGCATTTATTCTTTGTGGTACAAATAATCTTATTATACTCTTTTAGTTATTTAAAAATGTACAACTAAGTTATTGTTGACTACACTCACCCTATTTTGTGTTTAAATAGTATGTCTTATTCATTCTTTTTAACTATACATATTTTGTACCCATTAACTGTTATATAAGTTTGATATATAGAAATCAATGTAGTTGTGATTGACACCAAAGTCCTCTGATCAACAGCCATTTGCAACCTTTTTCTCCTATGTAGCCATCCCACTACAGAAACTATGAAACTTAATCACTCATGTTCCAAGGTTCCTTTGCTTTTATGGGTGCTGAAGCAGCTTGGTACTAGCCCATATAAGAGAAATTGACTGGAGGAAAGAGGTTCTGTGCAGGTTTTGATTTTCCAACAAAAGGGACAGAAAGCCTTAAGTATAAATGTCTCCTGGTGTTCACAGTTACATGAAAAACCTGAGGCACCACACATGGCAGGAAGAGCAAGAGTGCATCAAAGAGGTTGGCTCTGCCACTGTATGAATGCCGACAGACACTATATTCACACTTCTATTTTTAAGACATTATAAATAGGCTGATATTGTTTGGCCCTGTGTCCCCACCCAAGTCACATCTCAAATTGTAATCCTCACATGTCCTGGGGAGGGGCCTGGTGGGAGGCGATTGAATCATGGGGGTAGACTTCCCCCTTGCTATTCTTGTGACAGTGGGTTTTCATGAGATCTAGTTGTTTGAAAGTGTGTGGCACTTCCTGCTTCACGCTCTCTCTCTCTCTCTGCTGCCGCCACAAGAAGACATGCCTTGCTTCCCCTTTGCCTTCTGCCATAATTGTAACTTTCCTGAGACCCCCAAGTCATGCTTCCTGTCAAACCTGTGGAACTGTGAGTCAAATCTCTTTTCTTCATAAATTACCCAGTTTCAGATAGTTCTTTACAGCAGTGTGAAAACAGATAATGCAAAGGCTAAAATCTGCTCACAAACAAAAGGTACTTCTAACTCAAACACCAAATAAATAATCTTTCTATTAATCTGGTTACTTGATTTATAAAGAATTAGTTTCTATTTTTTCACATATCTCTTACAATCACATACTACTTTTAATTTTTTCTTTATAGTTCAGATTCTCACATCTTATGCCAGAAATTCAGTTAGCACCTTTGTCATTAGAGCATTAGATGAAAGAGTGCATTTAGCTGATAATGGGTCCATTACCATCTGTTCTCTGTGTCTCATCCATCTTGTCTTGACACAATCTACCCCAAGTATAAAATCTGGGTCCATAAGATAAAGGGATAAGCCTCTGAATAGTTCTGGCTAACAGAAACTTTCTTCATGATAGCAATGCCCTTTAGTGTGCTGTTCAAAATGGTAGTCACTAGTCACATTTAGCCATCAAGCATATGAAATATGGTCAGCACAAATGAAGAACACAAATGTTAATATTACTTAATTAAAATTGAATATGTCTTTGCCTTGTGACTACCATATTGGACAGTAGAGACTACAGAAACCAAGAGAGAGCAGTCTAAGTTCACTATGACTAGGGCTTTCAGACTAAATTTTAGACTTAGTTGTCTCTGGTGACTTCCCGTCTAACCAAATTTGCACATGTTCTTCAGACTTAAGTTTCTAAAGCACTAGGTGATTTCACCTGGTTGTTCAAAAGCTGTATGGGATACTCATGCCTTAAAAAATTAAATTTCAACTTCTGATATTGACATTCAAGATTCTTCATAACTTAGACTCTCTTTTTCTCCTGAAGTTCCTCCATATATATGTTTACTTTTACCAAAATGGTCTACTCATTGTTTTCTAATACATTCATAATTTTCTTTCCTGTTTTGCAGTATTTTACCACCTGCGATGTCCTGCACGTGTCCATAGGTCAAATTAAAAAGTTTTGTTATCTTAACAATATTAATTCTCTAATTCATAGACATAGAATGTCTTTCCATTTATTTAAGTCATCTTTAATTTTTCTAAACAATATTCATTGCTTCTAGCATAAACATTTTTCAGCTCCTTTGTTAAATTTATTCATAAGTATTTTTGTTAAATTTACTCAAAGTATTTTATTCTTTTTTGATGGTAATAGAGTCATTTCCTTGATTTTTTTCATTTTGCTTATTACTAGTTTATAGGAGTATAATTGAATCTTATATATTGATGTCATATTTCTGCAATGTTATTGAACTTGTTTATTATTTCTAGTAGTTGTTAGTGGGGTTCTTAAGACTTCCTCTATATAAGATCATGGTTTTCTTCAAACAGAAATAACTTTACTTCCTTTCCAAACTGAACAAACTGAATGCTTTTTTTTTTCATTTTCTTGCCTTATTGCATGGCTAGAACTTCCATCACGTAACTGAAGTGTTGAGAGTGGGCATCCTTGTTTTGCTCCTGATCTTAAGGGCAAAACATTGTTTTACAATATTAAATGATTATATTAGCTTTGGGTTTTACATAAGCGCCATTTTCAAGTTGAGAAAATGTCCCTCTATTTCTAATTTGTTGAGAGTTTTCATTGTGAAAAGATGTTAAATTTTGACAAATGCAATTTCCACATATTTAAGATAATTTTGTGAGTTTTTTGCCCTTTATTCTATTGATATTGTGTATTATATTAACTGACTTTAAGATGTAAAACCAACTTTTCAGTCTTGGGATAAATTTCACTTGGCTGTGCATATATCATATATATGTTGCTGTGTCCTGTTTGCTAGTATTAATTGAAGATTTTTGGATCTATATTCATAAGAGATATTGGTCTTTGATTGTAGTATATTTGACTGATTTGGGTATTAGAGTAATACTGGCCTCATGGAGTTTGTTTGAAAGTGTTCCCTTTTCCTGTGTTCTTTGGGGGAGTTTGCAGCAGTTCTAGAAGGGAGGTTTATAGCAAAAAAAAAAACACATCAAAAAAAGAAAGATTTCAAATAACCTAAAGTTACACCTCAAGGAACTAGAAGAAGAAGAACAAACCAAGCACAAAGTTAATGGAAGGAAGGACATACTAAAGAACAGAGCAGAAATAAAAGTAATAGAAACTAGATCAACAGTAGAAAAGATCAACTAAGAGTTGGTTTCTTGAAAAAAAAAACACAATTGCAAACCTTCAGCTGGACTAAGAAAAAAAGCCTCAAATAAATAAAATCAGAAACGATAGAGGATATATTAAAACTGATACCACAGAAATGCAAAGGATCATAGGAAACTACTATGGACAATTTTATACCAACAAATAGGATAACCTAGAAGGAATGGATACGTTCCTAGACACATACAACCTACCAAGATTTAATTACAACAAAATAGAGTATCTTAAGCCCAGCTGAATTCTACCAAACATTTCAAGAAGAACTATCAGTCTTCTCAAAACTTTCCAAAATAGTTAAGAAGAGGCAACACTTTCAAACTCATTTTTCAAGGCCAGTTTGATCCTGATATTAAAGCTTTATGAGGATACTACAAGAAAATAAAACTACAGGTCAATATTCCTCATGAACATAGATGCAAAAATCCTAAAAATATATAGCTAACTGGGCTGGGCATAATGGCTCACACCTGTAATCCCAGACAGGGTTTCACCATGTTGGCCAGGCTGGTCTCGAACTCCTGACCTCAGGTGATCCACCTGCCTCAACCTCCCAAAGTGCTCGGATTACAGGCATAAACCACAACACCTGGCAATTTCTGCCTTTTGATCAGGTTTTTAGACTAATTTTAAAGTGAATATATTTCTCTCAGTCAGCTCCCTAAGCATGAAAGAGTACATTGTGACAAAATTTATCCTTACCAAGTGTGTATGGTATACTAGTGCTGCTTAATATTATAGCTAAAAAACTGTTATATTTTTGTTTTGCTTTACTACTACAGGAAGCCTTGAACCTATTTTGTTTTTGATGTTATACAATAAAGTGATATGAACTTTAAACTATATTATTACAAAGTAGACGCTGCTTTTGCTCTCCAGCCAGGATACTTTAACATCTGTCTCAACTTTCCTTGCACAAAAGAATATTAAAAATGTGTTTTGAGAATGAAAATAGCTGCTATAATAGGCTTAACAAGTCAATGTTGGATTTTTTCAAATATCTCAATTGCAGAAGCAGAA
Organism: Homo sapiens; assembly: GCF_000001405.40. Lineage (NCBI taxonomy): Eukaryota > Metazoa > Chordata > Mammalia > Primates > Hominidae > Homo > Homo sapiens. Next base: position 51,311,867 of record NC_000008.11, read on the forward strand.
AAGTAGTGTCATGTTGATGTAGAAGATAACACATATACTATATGTATTTATCTTTCCCTACAAATTTTCAATCTGATTATTGGGTTCTTAGTTATTGAATATTGATTCCCCTTGCTTGCTTCTATTTTTAATGTTTGTTGATAACTAACCTCAAGTATAGACTGGATTTCTGTTCCAGTCTCAGTACACAGTCAAGCATGCAAAGCCCAGTGTCCATGCCCAGTCTCTACTTTGGAAAAGGGGCAGCCCCCTGAGCTCTGTGATACTCCCAGACATACCCATTATCTGTCTTGGCCTTTCTACTCCACAGGTAATTTAGGATTTTGTGCTAGTGTGTTTGTTGTAGGCCTGAGATTTGCATGTGTTTTGGCGTGGGGGTTGGGGGAGGGTAAGGGCAAATCTGATGGTTTGTTGATACTATCAAAAAGAAACAAGCTCACTTACGTTCCTAATCCCAGTCTTTGGAAACTTAAAACTGTATAGATTCTTTGTAGACCTACATCAACAAGACCACTTTTCTGCTTTTGCAATTGAGATATTTCATGATCATACTATTTAAATGGCTGTAACAGAGGTCTTTATTTTTTGTCTGGTTGTTCTAGTGTCATAGCGTTTGCAAAAAATATTTGAAGATGGTGAAAGTGTTGTGGGTGGCCTCCCAAAATTATAGCTGGTTTTGAAACTACCACTGTTGCTGCTACCCATAGAGCATCTTGCTACTTGGAACACTGCCGAGGGCTTCGAGTCAACATGACTTCATATTTAAAGGTCAGCTCAGGTTTTTGGAAGTCAAGCCACTCCATTTTGGACTGCCATCCGCAACCCTGAAGCCAGTGTGGTGTGCTGGCTCCTGTAATTTCCTAGCTGTTAATGTAATGACACATGGCTTCCAACTGTGCTTCAGTAAATTGCTTCTTCTTAAGATCCTTTACCATTCTTGGATCTCATAGTGCACACATATTTCAGTTTTAAAGCAAAAAGAAAAGGAAGAAAGAAAAAAATTCTATCTTATTGCCTGAAGGTAATTGTGTAAAAGAGCCATTCCCGCATCGTGATACAAAGACTGGCTCATATTTCATGCTGATTTCTTCCCTTTGCTCACACAGGAATCTCCAGCAGTGACAAGAAGAACACATGAATATTTCATCTATAATCAAGAAAGTTAGTTTATACATTAAACACTTTCAGGAGATACATATTTTATATGTCTAATTAATAAATTTAACATCCATTTAGTCCAACAAAATCAGTTTAGAAGACCAAAATACTCTATTGTGGCCTTCGTCACTTACAAATAGGAAGTGATTAAATAAACGAATACATTATTTATAAAATTTTCTCTTCAAGATTGCAGAAAACTCACTCATACCATGGGAATTCTTTGAATAAAAATATAATTCGTATCTTTTCCATAGCCTACTATCATGGATATATATTTGTCAGGAGAAATGATTTTAGTTAACTTATGCAAATATGAACTGTTTTTAAGAAGAATGGATGAGAGCAAAAGAAAATTTAAATAATTCATAAATGTCAGAGTTTTACAGAAACCAAATGAAGGATTTTAACATGAGGGAAATGAGAAGATAGTGGATTCCATTAAAAGAGACGTGTACTAAAAGTGACTGGGGAGAAATCTGATTCTTGCAACCCAAACTGCTTTAAATTTTTCAACATGCCATCAGTCACAATATATAAACCAAAGAATCTACTCCTAAGAATTGGTTTATTTACTGGCCCTGTTTTCACATAACAGTAATTAAACCCATTTATAATAAATATGAAAGGATTTGGAACTATTTGCAGCAACTAATGTAAACAGTGTTCTTTACAAAAATAAAGACAAAATAAAGAATTCATGGAGATCCAGATGCCTGGATTTTCTAATCTGGATTATTTTAATGGAGTGAAGAAATCATAACTGTATTTTGTCACGGGAGGAGAGTGCAGAAGGATCTTAACCAAATGTTTAGGATTTGCTTTTGCAGTTTTGTAAAATATAAAATGTATAATTTATGCATTAAAAATATGTAGTTGGTCACCAGGGACAGCGGCTCATGCCTGTAATCCCAGCACTTTGGGAGACCAAGGCAGGCAGATCATTTGAGGTCAAGAGTTCGAGACCAGCCTGCCAACATGGTGAAACACCGTCTCTACTAAAAATTCAAAAATTAGCTGGACTTGTTGGTGCGTGCCTGTAATCCCAGCTACTTGGGAAGCTGAGGCAGGAGAATCACTTGAACCTGGGGGATGGAGGTTGCTGTGAGCCGAGATCATGCCCCTGCACTCCAGCCTGGGTGACAGTGCCTCAAAAAAAATTAAACTAAAAAAAATGAAAAGAAATGCAGTTTGAGTGGAGGTAGGAGAAAGGTCAGACAAGACTCTGGGACTATATATATACACACACAAATATATACAAGCATATACACATGCATACACAAATACATATATGTACATGATACACACATACACTGTGTGTATGTATATTCCAAAGAAACTTTGCTTCTGTGACAGTATCAGTCAAATAAGTTGGTTTGCATGACTCTTCTATTTCATTTAAACTTCAAATCCTTTGAGAGCTTAGGAGGACATCCTTTACATTTTCTGCTGCTTAACATCTGAGGCAACATGATATTCAGTACTCTTAAGAAGCAGTGTTGCTTTCTTTCAAGGTATATGACTGACTTTTAACATACGGTCCCATGCCACAAGGCCGTGACTATACATACTGGTTATAAAACAGGCAGTATACATTTTGGCCAACATTATGCTCTTTTTGTTTTTTTTTTTGTTTTTTGAGACGGAGTCTCGCTCAGTCACCCGGGTTGGAGTGCAGTGGCACGATCTCGGCTCACTGCAAGCTCCACCTCCTGGGTTCAAGCCATTCTCCTGCCTCAGCCTCCCAAGTTGCTGGGACTAGAGGCACCGGCCACCATGCTGGGCTAATTTTTTATATTTTTTTGTAGAGATGGGGTTTCTCCGTGTTAGCCAGGATGTTCTCGATCTCCTGATCTCATGATCTGCCCTCTTCGGCCTCCCAAAGTGCTGAGATTATAGGCCTGAGCCACCGCGCTCCACGTTTTTTTTTTTTTTTTTAGAAGGTGTCTTACTCTGTCACTCAGGCTGGAGTGCAGTGGCACAATCTCGGCTCACTGCAACCTCCGCCTCCTGAGTTCAAGTGATTCTCTTGTCTCAGCCTCCCGAGTAGCAGGGATTACAGGTGTGCTCCACCATGCCTGGCTAATTTTTGTAATTTTAGTAGAGACGGGACTTTGCCATGTTGGCCAGGCTGGTCTCAAACTCCTGACCTTGGGTGATCCACCTGTCTCGGCCTCCCAAAGTGTTGGGATTACAGGTGTGAGCCACTGTGCCCGGCCTCATGCTCTCTTTTTTTAAAGATACTATTTCAAATGCCTTGTCATTCCCAATAGTGGTGATATCTCAATAGACGGGTGATTCCTAAGCCGTCATCAACTAGAAGGCTCTACTTAGGTGTTTTTTCCCCACTGGGTATTTTTATAACCCTCCACTGCTAGTGCAGAGGGGAGACAGTGACTAAAGGACTGTCACCTTCTTTCCAAAATGTTCTAAGATTCAAGCTTATTTCTCACATTTTCCATTACTCCCTTCCACCCCAAACGCCTACGGTGGCGCGGCCTATGCATCAGAGTCCTGTGTGCCAAGTGTTCTGTGCTTACCTGTGGTCAGAGAGAACTGCAGAGGCTAAAAATAGAAATCATTCAGATATGATCAAAGTGAACTAATGCTCATCACTCAATTATACTTCACAATTATAACTGCTTTCCACAAGTTTTGATATATATATTTTTTTTACTTTTTAGTTTTGGGTTCAGTCTAAATATTTTATAATTTCCATTCTAATCTCTTTTTTTATGAAAGTGTATTTTTTATGAAAGTGTATGTATATGCTATCATTTTGTTAATTATTAGTTTTCTATTTTGATTGTATTTGTTATGAAGTAACATACAATGTAAAATACCACTTGGTCACTGAAATTTGTTAAAATACAAAGTGCAGCACAGGGTCAGTTTTTCAAAATGTTTCTTATTTTCCACCAGCTCCATTCCTTCTCTTAGTATCCTTCAGAATTTTTTACTATCTTAAAATCTTGGGGTGCTCATAATCCTGTTTGTTGTGACTCTTGATTAATCTGTGTGATGTGCCATTTCCTCATATGGTTTGTGATTTCTTTATTGGGACAGGGCAACTGTTCACATCCGTTTCCTAGCTTGGGATTTCCAAACTTTAAGGCTAGTGTCAATTTGGTTGCAGACTTCCACAGGCCATGAGATAAGAGTTTCTTCTATCCCAAGCTGGAATAGAAAGGACCTTCTCTGCAGCATCCCTGGACTGGAGATCAGATTTTCCAGGTATCCTCCATGGGAAGGACGTCCTAAGGAAGCAACTTGGTTTATGCTCATAGTGTTGTCCTGGCCCCAGGCTGCACCATCCAATCCCGAGTGTGAATTTAAAACACCAGCCTCAACTTTACTGGGCCCTATATCTGACTTTATTTTGCCCCTGGCTTGCCTTTTATATCTCTTGATTTAGGTTCCTTCTGTTATAAAACTCAGAGATTTTCTGTGTTTTTTTCTCTCATATTGAATTACATATTTCATGTTCTGTATCACATTTTGTTCAGCATTTTAGAAATGTGAAACAGAACAGGATTCTGGTTAGTTCAGTTTTCCATGTCATTAGAAATTTGGGGCATGGGTTTAAAACATAAAACGTAGTCTTGCAGGCTCTTTGCACTTCTAGTGTCTGGGCTTTGATTTAACACTGGCCACTAGGGCTCCTTGTCTTTACTGTGCTTGGTTCATTACCATGATCAAATTGGAATGTTCTCCAGATTCATCAGCATAGATCTGTGTGGCTCCAGCCTGCTCCTTCAGCTCTGCCTCCATGCTCTGTCCTTCAGAGTTACTGGCACATCCAGTTCATGTGTTTTAGCTTTATACATTTTTTCTTTCTTTTGTGGGCAAACAATATCATATTGTCAATCACATATTCCATTCCCTGACAGCTAGTCATGTTGTTTCTTTCACATGCTTTTCCAAAAAACAGATTACTTGATACTTTCCACTTCTAAACAATTCTAAATTTCTAAAAATCCAGGTTCTTTTCTAACTTGACTTAGTTCCTTTTCTCTCAAGATATCATTACCACTTCACATGTGTAAGTCTTATCAGATTACGTAGCCTTTACCCAGCTCATTTATTTTGATGTGGTACTTTCTTTAACAATCTGATTAATGGAAATTTCTACTACACACACACAAAGGCACATACACACATATACATACACACACACACACACACACAACCTAAAACTAAAAATAATCATTGCACTTAGACTGGAGAAATGAAGGGCAGGGTATATATATCCTTGGGAAATACTTGAAATTTTTACCATTTGCAATATTATTTTCAAGAATAAAAACATTAAAAACATAGACAAATAAGTGTTGTAAAGTAAAATATACAAAGCAAAAAGCAATTTATATGACTAAATTATAATGATGTCTATAAAGTTGGCTGAATTTTCAAGTTTTCTTGTCAATCGACATACAGTTTTTAAAATCCTCATGTAGTCAATCCAGTTCTATTTTAAATGATAATTTCATTCTGTTATTTTAATATTTGTTTATGTTATATGAGCCAGTCATATTAACCATGTGACATCCAAGTTAACATGTGGTCAGTGTGTAAAAAATAAAATGAGCAATCACATAGGTCTTGCTTAAATGGCAGTAAGATGAAACAACGGCAAATGAATATTATGAGAAAACTAAACTTAAAAGTTCGTTCGTAATTGTCATTTTTTGTTTGTTTGTTTGTTTGTTTGTTTGTTGAGACGGAGTCTCGCTCTGTCGCCCAGGCTGGAGTGCAGTGGCGTGATCTCAGCTCACTGTAAGCTCCGCCTCCCAGGTTCACGCCATTCTCCTGCCTCAGCCTCCCCAGCAGCTGGGACTACCAGCGCACACCACCACGCCTGGCTAATTTTTTGTATTTGTAGTAGAGACGGGGTTTCACCATGTTAGCCAGGATGGTCTCGATCTCCTGACCTTGTGATCTGCCCGCCTCGGACTCCCAAAGTGCTGGTATTACAGGTGTGAGCCACCGTGCCCGGCCAGTAATTGTCATTTGTTACTGTCATCTGCAGGTAAGCTTACTGTGACTGTTTCTGAGAAACACATTACACTTACATTCATAAGATTTAGCTGCATTTCACAATGTTGGGCCTTAAAAGGCCACCAAATGTCAAGCATCTGAGATTTGTTAGGTTTTATCTTTTAAAACTTAGTATAATTAAAAATTATTTTGGATTTTGAAAGGCCATGAAATATGAAACTTTTATGGCATATTAGGATTTATCCTTTGAAACCTTTTTAGTAAAAATTAATTTGGATCTTGGGAATCATTAACACATTTTAAAACGATGAAATACACTACAAACTCTAGAAACATCTTTCCTCATTCATGATACAAAAGCCACCAGAATATTTTCTCTAAAACTAATACTGCATTTTACAAAAGGACTCTAAATATTGGGAAATGATGCCTATTTTTAAAAGTTTATTTTGTAATTGAAAAACAGTAGCACTCTCTCTTCGAGGCCCTCTCTTGGCAGGACACTACATGAAATCTTTCCTTAAAGGGTTTGGCTGTCATGGTGGCTTATGCTTGTAATTCCAGTGCTTTGGGAGGCTGAGGAGGGAGGACAGCTTGAGGCCAGAAGTTTGAGATCTGCCTGGGGAACACAGTGAAACCCTATTTCTACAAAATTAAAAAAAAAAAAACAATTAGTTGGACATGGTGACGTGCACCTGTAGTCCCACCTACTCAAGAGGCTGAGATGAGACTATTGCTTGAGCCCAGGAGGTGAAGCTGCAGTGAGCCGTGAAGGCACCACTGCACTGCACTCCAGCCTGGGTGACAGAGTGAGACCTTGTCTCAAAAAAAAAAAAAAAAAGTCTTGGCACAAAGTATTCTTTAAAAAGATCTATCAACCCCACATATGGGTACATATTTTTATATCAGATTTTAAAGGCTCTGATCTAATATGAAGTGAAAATCACCTAAATTACTTAATACTCAATTCTGAGTATAAATACACTTGTCTATGGGGTTCTGTGTCAAATGCTGTAAGAAAGTGCCCAAATTAGAAGAACCCCACAGTAACACCTTTTGTAAAAGTCAGAAACACTTTCAAGTCTGCTTATAGTAAATTCAGATTGCTCCTGAATTTCAGGCTTGGTTATATTTCAATTTTGACATCTCAGGAATGGCAATAATGCCAAGTAAGAGGAAGGTGGATATTGAGCAGTTCTACTTTAAAGTCTCTTTCTCTCAGAGAGTTTGCATTTTTCAGCCACATGCAGAACTAACAAGCTCCCTAAAATAATGATATTCCTTCACTGACTTTTTCCTTATGTCCGAGGACTTAGCGACTAATGATGGTTAAGATAAGTGCCTTCCCAGCAAAGTCTGACAATTGTCTAGGTTGTAGATCTGAGAAAGGGGGGTCAGTGGGGAGAACAGCATCACAACATTGTCACGAATGTATCACAGACCCTTCCAGATGTTTTCTGTAAGTGCAAAACTCATTATTTCAAAATTCCTGCAGATATGAAACCTTGAAACCTCTCTGAATTCCAAAATTAGAGATTTTCCACAATACTCATATATTTTTTAAATATTCCATGATATTCTTTTTATTTCCAGGTGTGGCATATAAAACTGACAGCTTACAGTAAGAAATATTTCTTATGATCAAACACTTCATATGCACTTTATTGCTTTTAGTTTTGAATTATTTCAAGGTATGTTAGAAAATGAAAAAATAAAAGATCGTAAGTATATGTAAGATTAGATGAACTAAGTTGCTTAAGTCAGTGGTTTCCATATCAACAATGTGACTACAAGTTAAAAGTTCTGAAGTCCTAAATGTCTCTTCCTGAGAAATTTCCCATTTGGGGCTCAACAGCACAAAACTTTTATTAGCGCTTCTCTGGGGAATCACTTGGCATTCCTCGGTCTCTGCAAACTGGACAGCAGGTTCCTTTCACCAATTCAGGACTGGGACAGGGAGCCGGGGGACAAATCTCCACCACACAGGTGACCTGGCCACTCTGAAAGGCAGCATGCACATATCACCTCCATGTTTCTTATAATCAAAGTACTTAAAAGACAAATAAATGTTTCTTATAATACATAATCTAATAAGCTGACTGTCTCAATATAATAAAAAATGCTCATAGTATGAGCTCATTTTTGCATGGTTTCTATTCATTCTTTCTTTCTATACATTTGCAGCACGAACAGCAAGCCTGCCCTATAAAATGTTACCTACCTTACTGTACCATATGGTAGGATTAGCTGAGGAAGTTCATGCATTTCTACATGGCTGGAAAGAATCAGCTCTGTTCAAAAAGCAAACTAAATAACGAATACAGAGCATTTTTATTTTCTTTTGTTTTGGTAGACACCATGATAACACTTTTTTATTTTTCCATAGAATTGTGTAGGTTTACCAAGTGCCTTTAGGCAGCATTTATAATGAGCCTGACTGAAGAATAATGAGATGAACTCAAGTCCCAGGTTGGCTCAGTTTACTTACTGACATAAACTTCCTTAGCCTTGGTTCCCTCGTCCATCAGTGAACATGGAAAAAGCTCGTGGTCTCTAGCGACTGCTCATTAGATTGTGACTATACTCTTTTATTAATAAGCAAAAGCCTCAAAATTTCACACCAGTACCTTGATCTTAAAAATATGCCTAGAATCTATTGACATAAAATATATTTTTTCTCCTTTTGAATTTTTCAAGTATGCTTCAACTGGCTGGCTAGAAGTGAAATGGGGAGTTGGACTGGAAAACTCGCAGCACAAACCTCACAAATGCAGTGAGTGCAGTCTTCTTTCATCCAGCGCTCCTCGGCCTTCCTTGGAACCCCTCTAACATCTGTACACCCTGCCTGCCTCAGGCGTGCCTCCAGCTTGTTTATCTGAAAGGGGAGGCAAAGGAAAGAAGAGTGGAAATTGAAGCGGATAGCAACAAAGCCAATCAATAACATGGTTTGATGAAATGCTCTATTCTGTAAGCACACACCTAGAAGGCAAAAGAAACTTCAAAGCCTACATAATTTTTCATTTTCCCCCAGGACTTAATGAGCTTGAATCATCCAGTATCCAAACAAATAAACAGTTCTGTAGGTGTTAAAAAATATTGAACATGGACCTAGAGTATGAAAGAGTTAATTTCTAAAGGAAGGGGAATTAAAATCAAATGAATGAAATTACATATTTGGAAAATCTTCTCAATAAGCACACTTGTAAATTCAACTAATAAGTATTTTATTTATTTTTTGTCCCCCAAGTTGTTATAAAATAATATTTATTTAACAAATATTTATTAAGTTTCAAAGATGAAAGCAAGCAGACCAGGGTCTCTCCAACTTTACAATTTGGTATAAAGGCCAATAAACCACAGCTATAAGCCTTTAGATAATAACGGTCTTTAGGAATCCCAAGGGGAGCAGAAGGGCAGTTGATATGGTTTGGCTTTGTGTCCCCACCCAATCTCATGTTGAATTGTAATTCCAAATGCTGGGGGAGGGACCTAGTGGGAGGTGATTGGATCTTGGGGGCAGATTTCCCCCATGCTGTTCTCGGGGTAGTGAATTCTCATGAGATCTGATGGTTTAAAGGTGTGTGGCAGTTCCTCCCCCATTTGCTCTCTCTCTCCTGCTGCCATGTGAAGAAGGTGCTTGCTTCCCCTTTGCCTTCCACCATGATTGTAAGCTTCCTGAGGCCTCCCAGTCATGCTTCCTGTTAACCCTATGGAACTGTAAGTCAACTAAACCTATTTTCTTCATAAATTGCCCAGTGTCAGGTAGTTCTTTATAGCAGTGTGAGAATGAACTAACACAGAAGCCACACTCAGTTCTGCCTCAGGGAATGAGGGGATGCCTGATATTATGGACTGAACTGTGTTCCCCCAAAATTCATAAGTTGAAGCCGTAATCCCCAATGTGACTATATTTGGGCATAGGGCCTCGAAGGATGTAATTAAGGTTAAATTAGGTCATGGGAGTGGGGCTCTAACCCAATAACATTGGTGTCCTTGTAAAAAAGAGGAAGAGACACCAGATGTGCTCACACAGCGAAGGCCATGTGAGGACACAGGGAGAAGGTGGCCATCAGCAAGCCAAGGCGTGAGGCCTTGGAAGAAACCATCCCTGCTGACACTTTGATCGTGGACTTTCAGCCTCCAGAACTGTGAAAAAACAAACTGTTTTAAGTTACCCATTTTCTTGTATTCTGCTATGGTGCCTGAGCAGACTAATATATGATATATGGAAAAAAGCATTTGAGCTGTGAGAGATGACCATGTCTTTCAGGAGAACAAGCAGGGAAAAGGCATTTCAGGCAAATGGAAAAAAAAAAATATGTGTTAAAGCATGGGTACCAGAAACAGATCAGTATTTCAGAAATGTACATTTCTCTCCCCTCCTTTGTTGGGGAGATCTACAGAGAACATGTTAGTGGGAACTGAGGTGGGATGAGTGGGCAGCAAAGAAAATTAGGCCCTTAAAAGTCACATAAATTAATTAAGTGCAGTCTCCAGGCAATGGGAAATAACATCACAATGATCACTCCTGTGGCAACATGAAGGATCACTGGTGAGAAACTAACATGGAGACCAATATGGGCTCCACTGAGGAAGGAGGGAGTGAGACAAAAAGAGCCATGTAGCAGGTAGAGGAGATTGGCTAGATGTGGGTTTAAGGAGAAGAGGAGAACCCAAAAAATCACGATGAACTCAGACTTCATTTAGAAAGCAAAAAGTCTTGATGTGAAAGAATTTTGATTCTGTAAATTCTTTTCACTGCTTTTGTATTGAAGTAGGACAGGAGGGTTGGTTCTTGGAAGATAATTTAGCATGAGTGCCTACACTTGGGCAGTGGCATCCACCCATTCATTACTCAATAGATATATTCAGTACCTGATATGTACCAGCTAATACACTAATAAACTAGCAGGACTTGACCCCTGACTTTAGGTGAGCAGTGAGAATGGAGAGGATGATAAGACAAATATTACAATGCAGGCTTGAATGACAAGGCTTCACAATAACCAGATGTGAACCAAATAATCCATTCTTGAGTGGGGTCATGGGTTTGAAGTATGAAAATCACAAAAAAATCTCTAAAGATATTAATGAATATGTCCTAGCAGACTAGGACATATAGAAAACTTTTATGTCCAAAAACACTGGGAAAATGCATATCTATTCTAAACTTTAGGCACTTAGGACAGTAAAGCTTTTTCAAATTTAAATAAGCTAACAAATTAATAAATTATTTAAGGGAAATAGTTTTGCTTTTTTTGTTTTGTTTTGTTTTTTGAGACAGTCTCGCTCTGTCACCCAGGCTGGAGTGTAGTGGCACCATCATGGCTCACTGTATCCTCAACCTCCTGGGCTTAAGTGATCATCCCTCCTCAGCCTCCCAGGTAGCTGGAACCACTGGTGTATGCCACCACGTCCAGCTAATTTTTTGTTGTTGCTGTTGTTTTGTAAAGATGGGGTCTCGCTATATTACCCAGGCTGATCCTAAACTCCTGGGCTCAAGCAATCACTCTGTCTTGGCTTCCCAAAGTGCTGGGATTACAGGCTTAAACCACCACACCCTGCTCTAAGAAGGGAAATAAATAGTTTAAGAATCTTGTATGTACCAGGGCTGGGTGCGGTGGCTCATGCTTATAATCTCAGCACTTTGGGAGGCTGAGGCAGGGGGATCACCTGAGGTCAGAAGTTCAAGACCAGCCGGGTCAACATGGTGAAACCCTGTCTCTACTAAATATACAAGAAAATTAGCCGGGCGTAGTGGTGGGTGCCTGTAATCCCAGCTACTCGGGAGGCTGAGGCAGGATAATCATTTGAACCCAAGAGGTAGAAGTTGCAGTGAGCCAAGATCATGCCATTGCACTCCAGCCTGGGTGACAAGAGCAAAACTTCATCTCAAAAAAAATAAAATAAAATAAAATAAAAAAATAAAAAAAAAAAGAATCTTGTACGGGTCATTAGTATAAGAAATACAGTGCGTGGCACTTTTATTCCAGGCTTAACTAAAAAGTCTTGATAATAAAAGGATGTAACTTTCCTTTTCCTATCACCCATGTGTTCATTGTTAGTATACAGAAATGCCATTAATTTTTTCTACGTTTATCTTGGGTTTATGTTGTATCCTGTAACCTTGCTCAACTCATGTATTCATTTTAGGAGTATTTTTGTAGATTCCTTGAGATTTTCTATGTAGGCAGCTGTATCATCTGAAAATAGTTTTATTTCTTCCTTTTCAATCTATAGGCCTTTTCATTTTCTTGACTTATTGCACTGGCAAGAACTTCCAGCATTAGGTTGAATAAGAGTGGTGAGAATGGACATCCTTGCCTTGTTTGCAATACCTTGCAGTTTTATGGGGAAAGCATTCAAGCATTCACCATTCAGCATGTAAATGGCAGGGTAATGTTTCTCTTTTGCTGCTTTCAAAATGTTTTCCTTTTTATTTTGTTGTCAAAAGTGTGACTATGATGTGTCTTGGTGTGCATTTCTTTGGAATTGTCCTTCCCTTCTCTCTTCTTTCTATCCAAGACCTGAATGACACAAATGTTGGATGTTTTATTATAATCCCACAGGCTTCTGAGGCTCTGCTCATCTTGTTTTTGTCTATGCTGTCTCTGTTGTTGAGAATGTATAATTGCTAGTCTTCTATCTTCCAGTTCACTGATTCTTTCCCCTCTGATCCATATTCCGTTTTGAGCCCATCAACTGATCTTTTTTATTTCTGTTATTGTAGTTTTCAGTTCCAAAATCTCCATCTTGTTTCCCTTTGTGTCTTGTATTACTTTGATGAAAATTTTCATCCATTTTTCATTTGTTTCCAGTGTGTTTGAAATTGCTCATTGAAGCATTTTTTATGACTGCTTTATTTATTTATTTGTTTGTTTATTTTGAGACAGAGTCTCACTCTGTTGCCCAGGCTGGAGTGCAGTGGTGTGATCTTGGCTCCCTGCAACCTCCTGCCTCAGCCTCCTGAGTAGCTAGGATTACAGGCATGCACCACCACACCCGGCTAATTTTTGTATTTTTAGTAGAGATGGGGTTTCACCATGTTGGTCAGACTGATCTCAAACTCCTGACCTTGTGATCCACCCGCCTCAGCCTCCCAAAATGCTAGGATTACAGGTGTGAGCCACTGCACCCAGCTTATGACTGCTTTGAAATCTTTTTCAGATAACTGCAACACCTCTATCACTTCAGTGTTGATTGCCTGTTTTCATTCCATTTGGGATCTTCTTGGTTCTTGGTATGATGAATAATTTCGTATTGAAACCTGGAGGTTTTGGATCTTACTTAAGCCTTCTGGTTTAGGTGTTTTCCTCTGAAACTGCTCTGGCATGGGAAGAGGGGTCCCACATCATTACTGCCATGTGGGAATAGAAGTCCAGGTTCCCTCCTTGGCCTCCGTTGACACACAAAGGGGTTCTCTTCATTACTGCTGGGTAGAGTTGGGGTTCTGGCTCCCTGTCAGGCCACCTCATAACCCTCCTGGATGGGAGGCATAGTATTCTGTGACTTCTCCCGACATGGCCTCCATGCACCTCAGGATGGTGAGGGGCAGGGCAGCCTCATCACCCCCTGGTAAATGGAGAGCACCTGGAACCTCCACTAGGCCTTCTCTGCAACCACCCCAGTGAAGAGGGAGGGGAGCTTCATTCCTGCTGGGTTAGGACGGAAGCCCAGGCTCCCCTTATGACCCCAAGTTTTTGCATGCAATCATCTGGCATGATGACCCCCTAGTTTCCTACTTGGCTTTCTCGGACAGCAGCCTCAAGGTGTCCTTAGGTGCCTCAGTATACCCTGGGGAGAGTGAAAGCCACCTCCTCACTTGGCCTTTGCTGGTCTTGCTGGAGGTGGGGGCCACAGTTTCTTCTGTGCTGTTTGGCTGGGGTAGAGTGGTTATTGTCTAGAAGTTACCTGTATTGCTAGGCCTCCACTTTTATGGCCTGTTGTCTAGAGGGACTCAGGTTTTGTTGGGCCTTTTTCTGTGTCTGTTGATGTGCTCAGGTTGCTGGCTTCTTCAGTTTCAAGCCTGAGCTACGTGAGGAAAAACTACCCAGGAAAGAGCATCACATTGTTCCTGGAGCCCAAGGTCCCTGATCAGTCTGCTTTCTTGCTCTTCACCATTCTGAGTCATCTTATGTTTGTTTTAAACGTGATATCCAGGGGTTGTAGCTGTCTATACTATAATCAAGAGGCGTCTGTGTGCGGTGGCTCATGCCTGTAGTCCCAGCACTTTGGGAGGCTGAGGCAGGTGGATCACTTGAGGTCAGGATTTCAAGACCAGCCTGGCCAACATGGTGAAACCCCATCTCTGCTAAAAATACAAAAATTAGCCAAGCGTGGTGGCAGGCACCTGTAATCTGAGCTACTCAGGAGGCTGAAGCACAAGAATCGCTTGAACCTGCAAAGCAGAGGTTGCAGTGAGCCGAGATTGCACCACTGCATTCTAGCCTGGGTGAGTGAGACTCAGTCTCAGAAAAAAAGTAAAAATAAAAGAAAAATAAGCAGGAGGCAAAAATACATCTACTCGGCCTTCCCAGAAATAGAATTCTCATTAGACACTATTTCATGTAACATTTTTACTTAATTTATTCAAACTATTGCAGTTTTAGATTTCCTAAGGATATATAATCAAAAGTGTAGCCTTCTCAGCCTCACTGCATTCCCCAAAAAGCAGCTGCTGTGTCAAAGTAGATAATACTGACAATGATTGCATCATTGTTCTGCATTCCAGAAGTATCCTTATCTGCATGGTTCCTGCTTGGGGTTGAGCTGCATCACTCCCCAAATTCAAATCTTGAGGTCCTAACCCTCTGTACCTCAGAATGTGATATTTTTTGGAAATAGGAGTATTGCAGATGTAACTAGTTATGATAAAGTCAGAGTAGAGTGAGCCCCTACTTCAATATGACTGATGCTCTCATAAACAAAGGAAATCTGAACACAGATTGGCACACAGGGATAATCCCATGTGAACAAAAAGACAGAGATCTACAAGCCAAAAAACATCACATTCTGAGGTACTGTCTAATGAGACTTCTATTGCCTATCTCCTTCTGCAACAGGAAGGTATACTCCATTTAGAGATGCTCCTTCCTCTGGGTTGGAAGATTGAAAAACTGTGGAGGACAGACACAGCTGAACCCCAAAGAGCAAGCAACGTGAGTGAAAAACAATCCTCCTTGTTGCCATAAACCAAGATTTGGGTTGTTACTAGAGCATAACTTAGCAAAACCTGTCTAATTCATGGCTTAATCTAGACCAAGCCGCTGTATAAAACGCCAGTGAAAGAAAAAACTCTCATCACAACAACAAGAATTACCAAGTTATCTTCTTCAGTGATGGCCCTGATACAATCATGTAAGTGTCTTTTCACTGGGAGCTGTACGGAAACAGTTACGGAAAATTTAGAAGAGCTTTCTTATTAACCAATTCATGTTGCTGAAAACCTTTTGTATGCAAAATTAAAAGGGTAATGGAAAGTACTGCAGAATTGTAACTACATAAGCTTGAACTATAAAGTCAAGAGCACTCCAAGACTCAATGTTGTAAAGTTCAATACTTTTGCTCAGTGTACTTAAGATGCATCTCCAAATGTTTTATGCAAGAGCATGGCCCATAAACCTGAAGAACCACATCTCCTACAAGATACCAGGACTTTTAAATTGGCAAAGAAGTCTCTTTGTGTTCAGAAATATGAGTAAAACATAAAGCAACTCCAGCATTAGTTCCAGCATGTGGCAAGCTTGTAAATCATCACTCCCATCCTCACGACAAGAAAAATTGGACACACTGAAAATCAATAAATTTCTTAGAGAGCTAAGGTTGAAGGGCAAACCACTAAGGTGAAATCTGAAGAGACAGGAGGATAACAAGAGAGGCAGCAACCAAGATCTGCTTACCTGGGACAGACTGACTGAGCATTGAGCCATACTGGTGGGAACACCCTGATGGTTAGTTTTATGAGTCAGCTTTGGGAGTGCTTTTGGATGAGATTAACATTTAAACTGGTGAATTCTGGGTAAAGCAGATTGCCCTCCATAATGTGGGTGGGCCTCATCCAGTAAGGTGAAGGCCTGAATAGAACACAAATAGCAGCCTCCCAGAGCAAGACTGACTTCTCCAGCAGATGGCCTTCCACTTCATCTGCACCATCAGCTGTCCTGGGTCTTCAGCCTGTCAGGCCAAGATTTTGGACTGTCCAGCCTCCATAATGGTGTGAGCCAATGCCTTTTAATACACATATCAGATGGACAGACAGACATTTCCTATTAATTCTAGTTCTCTGGAGAACTCTGACTAATGCAAACTCTTAAATGGTAAATTTTAAGAAGTTGCTGGAGGCTTCCTTCACTTTTTTGTTCCAGTCAGGCCCTGAACAAATTGAAGAATGCACCCCTACACTGGGGAAGGGCACCTGCTTTTCTCAGTCCACCAATTCTAATGCTAATCTCTTCAGAAATACTCTCACAGAAACATCCAGAAATATTGTTTAACCAGATAGCTGGGCATCCCACGATCCAGAAATTGACACATAAAATTAACTATCACACTCAAGGTGGCAGGGGAAAGAATCTGTTGACCTGAAGATATGTCAATAGTAACTTCCCGAACTAAAATGCAAAGAGAAAACTGAGAATGAAAAACTAACAGAAAATCTAAGAACTACAGGGCAATATAAAAAATGTGAGCATGACAAACTACTAGGTGTTACTGTCTTAGTGAGGTAAGGTATTCAAGAAGTTTACCTTAAGGAAACTTAAGAGGTTCTCATTGAAGAGATCCAAGAAACAGCCCCTCCTGGCCCTGGCAGCGGGAGGGGAAGATATCCTTCATGAAAAACACCCAAAGCCTTCTCCATAAAAAAGGCCTCTATACCAAGGGAAAGGAACTTGCCAGGGTACAGTACTAAATCCTAAAACAAACTGGGAAAAGGGATTCTAACTCACTGCATCCTACTCCAGGCTTCCTGACTCACTTAATCAGGAAAAAGCCAACAGAAAAACCAGGGGTCAGCCCTTCAGTGAAATCAATTAGCTGCACACCAGCCAGGGAAAGGAGTAGGAGGTGGAGAAAAGGCCACAGTACTGGAGCAATGCTTGTGAAAATCATAGCCTCAGAACATAAGCCCACTAGAAAGCTGAGGTTTCATCAGAGGATGATAAAATATTTCCCATCCCCACACCTGACCAGCACATCAACAGGATGCCAGCATAATAACAGTGATTACTGCTGAAGCAGCTGAAAGACACAGACTCTCTCTGAGGAAGAATACATAAGAAAGGCCAAAGTCAGTAGGAAAAACAAAAACAAAGACACTGGAGGAATTTAAAGCCATGGCATCTACAGCTACAGGAAACACTAAACACAGCACAACAGTCAGCCTTTTCAATACAAAAACCTAAAGCAAAGGCTTATCAACTACAGTTCCTATTACCCAAGACATCATGTATGGCTTTAAACAAAATTTACAAGGCGTGCTCCAAAGGAAGGGAAAAAACACAGTTTTAAGAGGCAAAACAAGCATCAGAAGCAGACCCACATGAGACACAGATGTTGAAATTATCTGGCAGGGATAAAAATAACTATGATTAATACATTCATGACCCTAGTAGAAAAAGTAGGCAACATTCAGGAAAACATGGGTAATGTAAGTAGAGAGATAAAAATGCAAAAGAAGAATTAAAAGAAAATGTTAGAAATCAAAACTATAACAGAAATGAAGAATGCCTTCGATGGCTTCATCAGTAGACGTAATGTATTAGTCAAGATTCTCCAGGGAAATAAAACCAATAAGACGTGAATATAAAGAGATTTACTATAAGGAATTGGATCCATGTTTATGGAGATTGAGAAGGGCCACAATCTTCTGTCTGCAAGCTGGAGACCCAGGAATGTCACTGGTACAGTTCAAAGGCTGGAGAGCCAGAGGACAAATGGTATAGATTAGTCTGAGTCTGAAGGCCTGAGAACCAGGAGTGCTGAGGGCAGGAGAGGCTTATGTCCCAACTCAAGCTGTCAGGCACAGTTAATTCAACCTTCCTCCAATTTTTTGTTCCATTCAGGCCTGAACAAATTGAAGGATGCCCCCCTACACTGGGAGGGGCACCTGCTTTTCTTAGTCCACCAATTCAAATGCTAATCTCTTCAGAAACACCCTCACAGAAACATGAAAAATACTGTTTAACCAGATAGCTGGGCATCCCATGATCCAGAATTTGACACATAAAATTAACTATCACACTCAAGGTTGCAGGGGAAAGAATCTGTTGACCTGAAGATATGTCAATAGTAACTTCCCAAACTAAAATGCAAAGAAAAAACTGAGAATGGAAAACTAATATAAAATCTAAGAACTACAGGGCAATATTAAAAAAAAAATGTGGCTATTCAGCATCCCTTATAATTCCATATGAATTTTCGACAGGCTGTTTCATTTCTGCAAAAACGGTATCTTAGTTTGCTAGGGCTGTCATAACAAAATACCACAGATTGGGTAGCCTAAACAACAGAAATTTACTTTCTCACAGCTCTAGAGGCTGAAAGTCCAAAATCAAGGTGCCAGCAGGGTTGATTTCTTCTCAGGCCTTTCTCTTGGCTTGCAGATGGTTATCAACTACATTCACATTATGAGGTACTGGGGATTAGAACTCAACATGAAAATTTGAGGAAAAGACACAATTTAGTCCATAACACTACACCCTTTGAACCCCTAAAATTCATGTCTTTCTCACATGCAAAATAATCAATTCACCCCATTGCAATAGCCCCTAAAGTCTTAATCCATTCCAAGCCTCAAATCTCATTAAAATATCATCTAAACCAATTATGGGTAAGACTAGAGTATGACTGATCCTGAGAGAAAATTCCTCTCAATCTGTGAACCTGAGAAACCAAACAAGTTATTTGCTTTCAGAATACAATGGATAAGGACTTCCGATAGATGATAGCAGACAGGAGGCAGGACTAGATTGCAGATCCGGATACTGCAGCATTGCGGAGGCTTGCATTGTGAAACTTAACTCCAGATCAACTGCAAGAACAAACCAGCAATCCCGAGAGGATCCACAGACCCTCTGCAGGAAGCAGACTGCTCCTGCAGGACCCAGGAGACACCCCAAATACTGTAAGTGCCCCAACTGCAGAAGTGGGAAAAGGAAACCCTCCTTTCCCGGACACACACCCCCACTGGAGAAGCTTAAGGTCTGTTTGTGGGAGATGTTCCCGACTTTACCTGGAGCTGAGTTGAGTTAGAGAGCCAAGCCAAGTGAAATACAGGGGTGGAGGAGGCAGCAGGGAGGCCCTGGGAGCTCACTGAATCCCCAAGCAGCCCTTTCCTGCCTGACACTGCAGGGATCCATCAGGAGAGAGGCTGGAGGAGCAGGGGATAAAACCGCACTGGAGAGAAGGACTTCCTTAGCTGAACTTTGTAACAATTTCAGTGGGGACAGAAGCTTCCTAGCCAGAACTCTGGGGAGGGCGTGAATCCGGCTTACAGACATCACAGGCAGGGGAAGAACTAAAGCCCTTTTCTTTCGTAGCTGGGAGGCAGAAAGCCTGAAAGCTTCTGGCAAGTTTTCAAGCCTGCCCTCCACCTGGAAACAGACTAGGGGCTGTTGCAGGTGTCACGGTGGGAATGGGACCGGCCCTTCGGTTTGCATGGGAGCTGGATGAGGCCTGTGACTGCCGGCTTTTCCTCACTTCCTCGACAACCTGCATGACTCAGCAGAGGCAGCCATAATCCTCCTAGGTACTAGGTACACAACTCCAGTGACCTGGGAATCTCATCCCCATCCCCCACAGCAGCGCAGCAAGACTGGCCCAAGGAGAGTCTAAGCTCACACACGCCTAGCCCGGCCCCCAACTGATGGTCCCTCCCTACCCACCCTGGTAGTGGAAAACAAAGGACATATAATCTTGGTAGTTCTAGGGCCCAGTCCCTCTCTATACTACTACAGCTGATGCTTTCTGCAGAGCACCACCTCCTGGCAGGAGGTCAACCAGCACAAAAATAGAACATTAAACCACCCAAGCTAAGAAACGTCATGGAATCCACTTCACCCTCTGCCACCTCCACCAGAACAGGTGCTGGCATCCATGGCTGAGAGACCCATAGAGAGTTCATATCACAGATTTCTGTGCAGAAACCACCAGGACCAGCCAGGAGCTGTGTAGACTCGCTGGATGGCTAGACCCAGAAGAGAGACAACAATCACTGCAGTTCAGCTCACAGGAAGCCACAACCATGGGAAAAGGGGGTGAGTACTACATCAAGAGAACACCCTGTGGGACAAAAGAATCTGAACAACAGCCTTCAGCCCTAGACCTTCCCTCTGACAGAGCCCACTCAAATGAGAAGGAACCAGAAAACCAACCCTGGTAATATGACAACACAAGGCTCATCAATGATCCCAAAAATCACACTAGTTCACCAGCAAAGGATCCAAACCAAGAAGAAATCCCTGACTTACGAGAAAAAGAATTCAGGAGGTTATTTATTAAGCTAATCAGAGAGGGACCAGAGAAAGGCGAAGCTCAATGCAAGAGCTTGTATCAAAAAAAAAAAGATACAAGAAGTGAAAGGAGAAATATTCAATGAAATAGAGTGCTTAAAGAAAAAAACAATAAAAAATTCAGGAAACTTTGGACACACTTTTAGAAATGTGAAATGCTCTGGAAAGTCTCAGCAATAAAATTGAACAAGTAGAAGAAAGAAATTCAGGCCTCGAAGACAAGGTCTTTGAACTAACCCAATCCAACAAAGACAAAGAAAAAAGAATAAGAAAATATGAACAAAGCCTCCAATAAGTCTGGGATTATGTTATATGACCAAACCTAAGAATAATCGGTGTTCCTTAGGAAGAAGACAATTCTAAAAGCTTGGAAAACATGTTTGGGGGAATAATCGAGGAAAACTTCCCCAGCCTTGCCAGAGACCTAGACGTGCAAATACAAGAAGCACAAAGAACACCTGGGGAATTCATTGCAAAAAGATCTTCACCTAGGCACATTGTCATCAGGTTATCCAAAGTTAAGATGAAGGAAAGAATCTTAAGAGCTGTGAGACAGAAGCACCAGGTAACCTGTAAAGGAAAACCTATCAGATTAACAGCAGACTTCTCAGCAGAAACCTTACAGGCTAGAAGGGAGTAAGGCCCTATCTTCAACCTCCTCAAACAAAACAATCTTCAGCCAAGAATTTTGTAAACAGCGAAACTAAGCAACATATATGAAGGAAAGATACAGTCATTTTCAGGCAAACAAATGCTGAATTCACCATTACCAAGCCACCACTACAAGAACTGCCAAAAGGAGCTCGAAATCTTGAAACAAATCCTGGCAACACATCAAAACAGAATCTCTTTAAAGCATAAGGCACACAGGACCAATAAAACAAAATATAAGTTAAAAAGTAAAAGCAAAAAACAAAGTATGCAGGCAACAAAGAGCACAATGAATGCAACAGTACCTCACATTTCAATACTAACATTGAATGTAAATGTACTCAATGCTCCACTTAAAAGATAAGGAACTGCAGAATGGATAAAAGCTCACCAACCAACTATCTGCTGCCTTCAGGAGACTCACCTCACACATAAGGACTCACATAAACTTAAAGTA
Source organism: Homo sapiens (assembly GCF_000001405.40). Lineage (NCBI taxonomy): Eukaryota > Metazoa > Chordata > Mammalia > Primates > Hominidae > Homo > Homo sapiens. Next base: position 51,333,641 of record NC_000008.11, read on the forward strand.
AAGGGGTGGAAAAAAGCATTTATGAAAATAGACACCCAGACAAAACAAACTTTAAAGCATCAGTGGTTAAAAGAGACAAAGAGGGACATTATATAACAGTAAAAGGCCTTGTCCAACAGGACAATATCACAATCCTAAACATATATGCACCTAACACTGGAGCTCCCAAATTTATAAAACAATTACTAATAGACCAAAGAAATGAGATAGACAGCAACACATTAATACTGGGGGACTTCAATACTCTACTGACAGCACTAGACAGGTCATCAAGACAGAAAATCAACAAGGAAATAATGGATCTAAACTATGCCTTGTAACAAATGGACATAACAGATATATACAGAACACTCCATTCAACAACCATAGAATACACATTCTATTCAACAGCCCATGGAACTTTCTCCAAGATAGATCATATGATAGGCCATAAAATGAGCCTCAATGAATTTAAGAAAATTGAAATCATATCAAGCATTCTCGCAGACCACAGTGGAATAAAATTGGAAATCAATTCCAAAAGGAACCCTCAAAACCATGGAAATACATGGAAATTAAATAACCTGCTCTTGATTGAGCATTGAGTCAAAAACAAAATCAAGATGGAAATTAAAAAATTCTTCAAACTGAATGACAATAATGACACAACATATCAAAATCTCTGGGATACAGCTAAGGTGGTGCTAAGAGGAAAGTTTATAGCCCTAAATGTCAACATCAAAAAGTCTGAAAGAGCACAAACAGACAATCTAAGATCATGCCTCAAGGAACTAGAGAAATAAGAACAAACCAAACCCAAACCCAGCAGAAGAAAGGAAATTACCAAGATCAGAGCAGAACTAAACAAAATCAAAACTAAAAAAAGTACAAAAGATAAGTGAAACAAAAAGCTGGTTCTTTGAAAAGATAAATAAAATTGATAGACCATTAGCAAGATTAACCAAGAAAAGAAGAGAGAGAATCCAAATAACCTCACTGAGAAATGAAACAGGAGATATTACAACTGACACCACCGGAATGCAAAAGATCATTCAAGGCTGCTATGAACACCTATACACATATAAAGTAGAAAACCTACAAGAGATGGATAAATTCCTGGAATTCCTATCCATCCAGAAGAAAAAATGTTTATTCCTTCCTCATATACTTAGATTCCAGAAGAAAATCTAATATGAGCTTATTAGGTCTTCTCATCTAGAAACTTTCTGCCTCACCAGGCTCCTTGTACATTGTTTTGACAATTTTGATTAGCTAATCTCCAGCCACACTGAACATCAATCTGTTCCTTACGTATGTCATAACCTATTTAATCTTAACTGTTTCACTTTCTATAATTGTTATTTGGTAATAACATTACCTGTCTCCTAATTTTAAGAAAGCCTCTGGAGTATCTTTTATTCCTTCCTTTCAACCATCTACATTTACTTGTTTAATGAAGTGAGGAGGCTGGATTTTCTAGAACAGTTCTAATGTATGCATTTTTTTCCAGACCTAATTAATTTTAGATTAACAAATTATAGTGGCCGACATAGTGATCTCCATATCTCTGTTTATATCAGTTTGTTTATTTGTTTTATGTAATTGGCATTCAGAACAGAATTCTGTCTTTGTGACCACAAAGTGTTTTTCTGGCGTCATGTACCATCTTTCCTGGATCTCTTTCCCTTTGTGGTTTTGGGTTAGAGTCTACCAATGAGAGGCACTGATATAAGATTTGGAAGGAGACGCCGATACTATCCTAAGTGCAGTTGTCAGCAGATGCATAAAGGAGGGCTGGGCTTGGGGATCCTGTACAAATGACTGAGATGTGCTATGGCTTCCTGGTGAGCTCCTTTCAGTAGCTGTTTCCATGACCTTTGTTCTCACTGCTCCAACAGTTGTGAGAATCTCTAACTTCTTTTATTAAAACCTCTCCTATTTGTAGTACCTCGAGTACATGCATGCACACATTTTTGTAATATCTGTGAAGACCTCATTAACATTTTTATTATAATTAAAAGTGTAAATTCTTATATCTCATCTCATTGTTCATTATATACCCTACACACACACACACACACACACACACACACACACACACATCCATGCCCTCTCCACAGTCAGGTAAACTAGATACAATCTCAAATAGAAATAATAAAATGTTCTGAGTGTAATTATGGCTCTAGTTATTCCCACAATAATCAGAATCAAACGAAAAGGGCAAATATAATTTACTGGGCCCAACTACTTACACAAGAGCTATAACATGTATGAAAATTTGCAGACCACTTTGGTTAGCTTGATCCCATCATGGTGATAAATCAAGACCAAAAATCATCATTCCTAGACATTCAAAAGTCACTTAACAAAGGTAAAACATCAACAGTGTGAAATGTCAAGACAGACCTTATGTTGCAGACCATAAATGTAATGTCACCTAGAGTTAGGAAGTAAAGGTAAGAAATCTTTAGCTGAAGTTTGGAATCCCCTCACATCTAAAGGATGAGTCTCAAGAACATTAGTAATCTCCCATGATGAGGCCCATTATGGTATATAGATTCTCTTAAACATTCTAGATTCTGTTTAATCTATTTCTTCACTAATTTCACTTCCAGAAATATACATGCCCTTTATCTCTATGCTGATTTTTCACAAAACAAAGGGTTTTTGTAAAAAGCAACCTTTTCACAGGACTTACTGCATCCACAATGGTGAGTAATAGAAAAACCACAAAGTGGCATACACTGAACAATCAGAAATTTCCTTCTCCAGCTAACAGGCTCACTGTTACAACCTACCTTTCAATGTGGACCATTAAAATTTATGTCTCAGTATAGTAAGTGACAGATCAGTAGTAAGTGCTAATTTCACAAATACTCAGGGCTTGTCGCATCTCAAAAGACCGTTGGCCCTCACAAAAGTCTGTCTTCGTCATCCCCATCTACCTTTGGGTGCTCCCCACTCTACTATAGTTGCACCTGACAGTCACCCAGGAAATCTGCAGTTTATCATTGCTATCTATCCTGGGTTCTTTATTTTTCTCAATCCCCTTTAGATGATCTGGGTTGATTTCTGGCTTTGGTCAATATTTCTTATTGCTGGTGTTATGTCATGTTTATTTATTGTTTAATTCCTATCAGTCAGGCATTTGCTACATGTCACTCAGTGTACATGAGGCACTGGGAACTGCTGCAACTTCTTTCCACCTCTACAGCCTGGTCATAGCTTGAGTAAGTCTCTGACCTCTATAAGAGATCACAGGACCTTCTAATTCTCTCATTGAACCGTGTCCAGCCTGTCACACACCTTAGATTATGGAGAGATCTAGAGCTAACTTTTCATGTTCCAACACAAAGAAACTGGCTATTTTTAAACACAGACTTTGTATCAGGCTCTGAAGATACCCCTGTGAAATAGTCACAACTATTAAGAAATTAACAGTGGAATGGAAGAGACAGACAATTAAACAGGCAAAAACACTCCATCTTGATAAATTTAGATATAAGTACTAAGAATGCTACTAAACACCTAGAAGGGGCAACTACTGCAGTCTTGGGGTATGTTTAAAAACATACATCTCTGGGATGTTTTTAATCACTACAGCACATATCAAATACACAATTATCACCACCAATATGTAATGAAATGGAAATTGAACTGAAATGTTGCTCATGGAATCTACCTGTGTCTGTAAATCCATAAATTAAATTTATGAAAAAATAGTTTGTTGAGTGATATATGAGTTAATGTTTAAATTGTTTGGGCCCACCTTCTCTAGCCCAGCTCTGAGGACTTTTCTTTGCTGTTACAACATCTCTTCCCTGATACACATTAACTCACGAGGATGAAATAGGGTTTCCGGACTCTGTGATGTCCAGAGTTCTCAGTCACCCCAACCATTGCATGCTATCTATCTTAAGGGTAACCTTCTAGAAGCAATGCCTCACGTCTTTCAGATTTTTATAAGGCTCAGACTGGGCTGGGCATGGTGGCTCAGGCCTGTAATCCCAGCACTTTGGGAGGCTGGCAGGCAGATCACCTGAGGTCAGGAGTTTGAGACCAGCCTGGCCAACATGGTGAAACCCCATCTCTATTAAAAATACAAAAATGAGCTGGGCATGGTGGTGGGCGCCTGTAGTCCCCCAGCTACACGGGAGGCTGAGGCTGTGCTTAAACCTGGGAAGCAGAGGTTGCAGCGAGCTGGGATTTCACCACTGCACTCCAGCCTGGGCAACAGAGCGAGACTCCATCTCAAAAAAAAAAAAAGCACATTGGATGGCCAGGCACAGTGGCTCACACCTGTAGTCCCAGCACTTTGGGAGGTCGAAGCGGGCAGATGACCTGAGGTCAGGAGTTTGAAACCAGCCTGGCCAACATGGCAAAACCCCATCTCTACTAAAAATACAAAAATTACTCAGGTGCAGTGGTGGACACCTGTAATCCCAGCTACTTGGGAGGCTGAGGCAGGAGAATTACTTGAGCCCGGGAGGCAGAGGTAGGTTGCAGTGAGCCAAGATCATGTCATTGCACTCCAGCCTGGGTGACAGAGCGAGACTCCATCTCAAAAAAAAAAAAAAAAAAAAGGGAAAAAAGATTCAGATTGGACAAGTGATTTCAATGGTGGCTATTTCTGGTCAAGTGAAGGCACTGATACAGACCACAGCTGCAGGCAGCTTAGCTTCCCAATGTGAGCCTCTCAGGGAAGCATATGCACCTGGTAATCACACCGCTCCACCTGGGACTAGACGTGTTCACATCCAAAAGAAGCAATCATATTTTAAGGGGCTTGTAGTTCACAAAGTCCTTCTGTTCTAGAATCTCTTTGGATCCTCACAATAGCCCTGAAGTTCAGATGAGGATACTTGTTCTGAATGATTAAATAAATTGACTGGGTCAGGCCAATAGTGAGGGCAGAACTTCCTGATGGCACAGCCTGGGCTCAGCCCATCCTCCTACAGTGTTTTCTGCTTTCAAGGCTTTGATGCTATGAAGAAAAGCATATACCTCACAGTGACATTACTGTCTAAGAAGCAGACAGCTTGGCACCATGCCTTGAAAGAAATCAGACATATATTTTTGAATAAAAATATCTACATCGCAATTTCTAATACAAGTCTTTTCCTTCTTGTTGATTCATCCTCAAGTTTTTGGAAAAATGAAATAAGGCATGAGCCAGAACAACTGGCAAAATAAGCAAAAGTATAGCGGGGTGTGGGAATGTTGTTTTCCACAACTTTGTCAGAAAAAGAAAGCCAGAGAAAACAGTACTTCCTAAGAAGCTTCTTTGACTCTACTCCACGAAAAATTGATAAGAAAAGTATACATCGTGCTGTTAAAAATTATCTCCATCTGTGGAGATGAAGCAGGCATCAAGTTCACAGTTATTCAGAAAAGTGCTGGTGAGGCAGTTGGAAGCAGCAAGCAGAGCCAGTGCCGACCAAATTCATGCCCATCAGAGCCCTGAGCGTTAGGTAGAAAGGATGAAGCTCTCTGCCTGTTTGTAGTGTGTTTCCCCAAGGCCTCCTTCCCTAACTCACTTCTTATTACAATACTACTCCCTGCCGGTGCAGTGACTCACACCCGTAATCCCAGCACTTTGGGAGGCCAAGGAGGGCAAATCACTTGAGTCCAGGAGTTCAAGACCAGCCTGGCCAACATGGCCAAACCCCATCTCTACTAAAAATACAAAACTTAGCTGGGTGTAGTGACGGACGCCTGTAATCCCAGCTACTTGGGAGGCTGAGGCAGAAGAATCACTTGAACCCAAGAGGTGGAGGCTCCAGTGAGCCAGAATTGTGCTACTACATTCCATCCGGCCGACAGAACAAGACTGTGTCTTTAAAAAAGCAAAAGTAAAAACAAAAAAAAAGCAATACAACTCCCTGTATAGGTTTTTATTATTCTGATACTGTGCTGTAATTGTGGAGAGTTACTGGACAAATCTTTTATGTTTAGTTATTCCAACGCATACAATAAGGACATGTTATTTGAAGAGAAAACAAACCTGCTCTCTGAGTGCTGTGATGGTTTCCTGAATTTCCGCTGCAAACGTGCTGAAATCTTGGGAGAACTTTGTTTTTGCCAGAACTGTCACATTTCTAGCATCTTCACCCACATATATTTTATCTTGTTGCCTATTTATAACAAGAAGCAAATAAAATGCTGAAAAATAAAAGTCGTGTGAGAATTTTAAAATATCATCAAATCTTCTTTGGTCATTTGGCATGTACAAGGCATTGTGATTGGTGTTCTTTGTGATCTTAAAAGGAAAATGGTATGAGTGGAATTCAAAATTAAAATTAAATGGCAGATAAGATGATAATCCAGAGTGTCACATCTGGTTCATGTAATTTATCTAAAATAATAAGAAAGTATTTCTTATGACATAAAGGAAATTTCATGTTGTATTACATATATATTTGATATATTATTTAGACCTTAAAGTATTTCTTTTGCTAACGAATTCTTCATTTCACTTTAAACAGTGAAAGAGCAGTGACAAATTTAATATAACATATTATCCAGTAGCCAGGTAGGGAAGCTGCTTTCTCTATTATAAATTCATGGCAAGAACTAAAATAAGATAAGGATACTATGAGTGACAAAAATCTAACCTTTAACCTGATGCAAAATAGCTCAGTCTTGTTGATAATAAAAGGATATAAGGAAACCTTGGGTTGAATTTAAGATATGTTTCTTTGAGTTTACTGAAACTTTCAAAAAACAGAAGCAAATAACTAATTTGGGAAATAGAAATGAAAGTTCTTTCTATTTACAATTATCATGTATTGTTAAAAATATTTTTAGATAGATTTGATTTATTGGGTATGATATCTGCATTTCAAGTGCTCTTACGTTTTTCCAAATTTTGTAAAAAGTTGTTCCTTGTGAAGAAACCATTATAACTTTCAAAATTGTTCTGCTTTATTCTATTTGAAATATGTCTTCCATTGTTTACTAAGAAAATGGCTTGCCAGAAACAGTACATTCTATGAGCTTGTAAAACAAGTCATAAATCAGAGACATAGTATAGAGTTTACATTAATCAGGGAATTTAAAAAAGGGAAACAAAGAAAAATAACAAAAGTTACCAACAGCAGTAGTTTAGTCACTGGATAACTCCATGTCCTCTGAGGCACTGTGAGCTAGAGGCACCATGAATCAGTACTGACCACATGCTAGCTTCTATACAGTACTGTGTTAAAACAGTTTAAATATACAAGTATTGTTAGGGATAATATTAATGCAAATGGTTGGACATTTTACTTTCATAATGCTCTCTTCTGTAAATCTTCAGTGTCTAATCAAAGGTATTTAATCCTGAAGAAGCCTGAATGAATGTATGAAGATATAACCAACAGTCAAAAGACCACACGTGGGAACACGGGGAAGTGGCTGATGTTGGTGAGCCCAGATGTTGTGGAGTAGGACGGTATTCACAATTTAACAAATATGTGTGGGTATGGGCCATGCATCAGGCATTCTGCTCAGGTAGATGGGTGCAGGATGTGAGGGTGCTGCCGTTAGGCTCCTCACATTCTTTCAAAGCAGAACAGTTGGCAAAGAAGCAAGACACATAGCATCTGCATTAGGAAGACAAATAAGAGGTATAACCTTGTATTTATAGGCAACAATACTACATTTTAAGCTTTACTGATGTACAACTGATACACACAAAAACACACATATTTAATGTATACATTTTGATGAGTTTGGACATGTGCATATATACCTGTGATATTACAAAGTACTAAATATAAATATATTCACCACCTCCAAAAATTTCCTTATTTTTTTTCACGTGTGCATGTGGTTTGTTTTGGTTTTTGTTTGTTTATTTTCATGATGATACTTAATATGAGATGTATCTTCTCAATCTATTTGAAACTATACAGTACCATTTATTAACTATGGGTACTAGGTTGTGCAGCGAATCTCTAGAACTAATTTGTCTTGCATAAGTAAAACTCTTTACTCATTGAGCAACAATTCTCCATTTCGTCCTCCTCCTAGCCCCTGGCAACCACCATTCTATTCTCTGCCACTAAGAATCCAACTATTTTAGATACCTCATATAAACAGAATCATGCAATATCTTCCTTTTGTGACTGGCTAATTTCACTTAGCATAATGTCCTCTAGAACTACAATGACATAGCACCTCACACCTGTTAGGATGACTATTACCAAAAAACAAAAGATAACAAAAATGTTAGTGAAGATTATACAACGTTGGTGGAAATGTGGGTTGGAGTAGCCACTGTGGAAAACAGTATGGAGACTCCTCAAAAAGCAACATGGAACTACCATTTCATCTAGCAATCCCACGCCTGGGTATACAGCCAAAATAATTGAAATGAGGATATCAAAGAGATGTCTGCACTCCCATGTTACCTGCAAAATTATTCATAATTAGCACAATATGGAAACAATATAAGTGTCCATCAATGGACAGATGAACAATACTGTATTGTACACTGACAAATGTGTTAAGAGGTATGATCTCATGTTAAGTGTTCTTATCACAATAAAATAAAATTAATAAAGTAAAATAAAATATATAAAAAATAAGGTTTTACCCATAAAAAATAGTATATGCTATTTAAGAAGATTTGCAAAATGCAGTAAAGTATAAGAGAAAAATCATCAGTACTCAATTAAAAAATAGGGGAGGGATGACCTATATTCATCAGAATAAACTTTTAACATAATTATTTATATTTTTAGTTTATTATTTCATTTACAAATAGGTTTTTTCCATAGTAAAGGTAGCACATGTTATTTTAGAAAAAAATTGTTTAAGCAGAAGTTCAGAAGAAAAAAATACCACTTAAATTAATCAGGAAAAATGGTTCTTTCATCTCAAAAATTACTTTGCATTGTTGATTTCTGATTGAAAAAAAATTAGAAATCTCTGAAAACACACAATATGAAGAATAAAATCCACGATAGTCTCAAACAAACATGAATGCATAAATAAGTAAGAAGGCAATGCCCTCTGCCTGGGAGCAGAGCAGTAATGAGTCTGGGAAGCTGTGTAAAGAGAATCCCACGTCAGGTCCATGTAGTTAGTGCCTGCTCTGCGCAGGCAGGAGTCGAAGTGCTAGCGTGCACTCTGTGTCACTTAACTGCCTAGTAGTTCTATAAGACACTATAACTAGCCTGTGTTTCAGGTAAGAATACTGCAGCTTAGAAAGTTGTTAACATGTCCACAGTATATAGAGCTGTTAAACTGCACAGCTGGGATGCTGATTAAGATTCAAAAAAAAAAAAAAAAAAAAGGGCCTTGCTCCTAACCAGTACACAGTCTATTTTCCATCCATAGAGAGTGGTGGGTGATTTAAAGAATGATCAGGTTTACATTTTAGACAATTTGGAAGGATAGAAGAGAGGCAACGAGCCCAGGTAGGAAGGTTATTGCAAAAAATGAAACACAAAAACCCAAGACACTGTGAATGTTGCTATATTTTGGATTCTTACCAAAAACATAAAACTCAACATATTGCTTATAAAAAAAGACTCTTGGATACTGTATTGAAAGCTAGCTTTAATTTGTGACCAAGACAGAAGAAAGAAAAGATAGAGAAGAGAGGATAAGTGCAAGTAAAATGGGCACACAGAGAAAACAAGAAGTGAAATTACAACCGCAATTCTTTGTGCATGTTGGTTGAGGGAATTTGACCTCCTCTGGTCTAAACAACTATGGTACATTTAAGCACAACAGAAACAATCTATAAAGGATTACTAAAGCGTGTGTTGTTATAAAACAAAACAAATCAGAGCTCTTCTTACCTTTTTATTGTCAGATTAATGATAAACTGAACTCATAATTGTAAAGTGTATGTTTGAGTAAAAGTTTGATAAGATTGGCAGGAGGCTAAAAATAAAATTAGCCAATCTTTAGCTGAGGCAACATCTGAGCTGGGCTTCAATGGGCCACCCAGAGTATTAAGTGTTTCGGTAATAAGTTAATTTTATCTCAAAAACAAGCAAAATGAGTCTTTGAGGTAAAACCTGGGTGTGGCTGTAGAAAAGGACAGAAGGTAGTAATGGGTGTTGTTATCCATGCCTGTGCTTGTGGACACCACTGGAAGGGACTGATCCCCATCACCATCTTATAAAACAAGGGAAATTGCCCTCCAATATTTGAGTCCGGTACCCACTTCTGATGACACACTGGTAAAACGCTTCACCTGAATCAATGGAAAAACAGATGAAATGCCAAATAAAAGGGCCAAGTGAATGTTTCCAACACTCAAATTATTTAAAAATGGTTCTCACTAGGACTCCAACTCCTGATCAGAGTTCCAATTACCTTGCCTGGATTAGCTCCAGGAACACAAAATATATTTCATTTCCTCACCCTGGAATTTACAGCTCTTCACTCTTTGCCTCAACCTTCTTTCAGAATGTTCTGGAAGAATGTTCTTCATTCCTAGTTATTGAACACACCAACTCATTCATTCATTCATTTTGGGTTTTTTGTTTGTTTTTTATAGAGGTCTATAGACAGTCTCGTTCTATCACTCAGGGTGGAGTATAGTGCCGTGATCGTAATTCATGGGAACCTCAAACTCCTTAGCTCAAGACATTTTCCTGCCTCAGCCTCCCTAGTAGCAGGGACTACTGGTGTATGCTACCATGCCCAGCTAATTTTTTAAATTAAAAAAAAAAAAACTTTTTTAGAGATGGAGTCTCACTTTGTGGCCCAGGCTGGTCTTGAACTCCTGGCTTCAGGTGATGCTCCCACCTCAGCTTCCTGAATATTTGGGACCAACTCATTTAGACACATGAATTGTACCATTCTCCAAACACACCTCACTTCCCTTTGCTCATGTTGTTCTTTCAGACTTGGACTCCCCTAAATGCTATCAAAATCTTAGCTTATCCTTCAAGAGCCCTCCTCTGTCTACCCGGTCAAAGGGCCCCAATAAGAATTAATCACCCCTTGCTCTGCACTACTCACTCCATGATTGGATTTCACTTCAGTACTCATATAAGCACTTTCGTTAAGTGAGTTAATATTTGTTTGATGCTTAAAAGAATGTTTGGCATTCAGTGAACACTACAACAGCATGTGTCATTACAGAATGTGTGTTACAGAATGCCTGTAAAATGCTAGGTACTATATTAGTATTCAGTGCTTTACATATGTATCCTCAAGTTAAGACAATAATCCTGTAAAGTAGGTATTACATGCCCATTTTACAGCAGAGGAAATGGAGATTTGGAAATTTTATATAACATGCATAGTTATGAAGCAGTAGAAACAGGATTTGAATCCATGTGCCTGACTCTAAAGCCTTCACACTTCTTGTCCAACAACACTATCTCCTCTCCTCAATTTTAAAACTTAGAGTACAGGGCCCATATATTGTTCAAGTTGACAACTGTAATTGAAGAAATGGATGCCAAAAATGGATTTTGAATTTGACTAAATTATACTACTTAGAAGGCAGCTATGGACAACAAAAATAGGATACATGGTTCCTTGAAAGAACCTGCATGGACTATGAAGCTGTGAATTGCAATGTTTATTTTGGTAACTTAATTTCACAAGTATGTACTGACTCCTTATTCAATGAAAAGGAGCTACTGGACATACCTATGCTCAAGGTAGTGTTTCTGCTTTCAGAAGCTTCCAAGTCAATGGTAGGGAGAAACTTTTTAAGGCAACACTTTGTATCAAGCTAATATACAAGCTACACAAAAGAAGTCCTAAGGGATTTCAAAGGAATAAGACTGACATTTCTCAATTTTCTAAGAGTTCAAAAATATTCCATCTTGGTCACAAATCAAGCCTTGCTTGCCATATATTATTCATGAATTCAAATCAACTTAACATGAATTAGCTTAAATAGATACTATTACCTTTCTCGCAAACAATATGCTGTTTCATATTTTCAAAAAGAATCTGAAAAATATCAACTCATAATGTCATTTAAGGGATCAAAACTAGCATCTAATACACTTAGTTTTCTGCACTTTACTGAGAAAAATTCATTGCCAAATACGCTCTGGTTGGGCTATTGCAGAGTGAAATGGAACCCAAACACATTACAGAATTCATTCTGTGTTTTCTCCTTTTCATGTGATTCATCCTATATGTAAATAAGTTAACTGTGGTCTCTATTAAAAAAGATAAAAACAAATTGTAGGTTTGAAGCAAATCTATAGTAAGTTGCCTAAAGAAATGAGATATTTCTATACATACCTACTTCTTAGATGACTTAACTCCATATCCTTATCAACAGGATAGCTGTATTGAGCTGAGCGTTTCTTTTGAGACTCTTGCGTCACTGCTCTGAACTGTCCTCTACTCCTACAGTCTGTGGGGAAAGAAGTAACCACAATAGCATCATGTGAGATGCGATGTCATGATCTCATCTAGATCATTTCTTTAACAGTCAGAGAGGGCAAGAGTACCAAGAAGAAAGAGTAGAGAGCGAGAGTGAGAGAGACTCATTTAGTCCGTTCCATTTTGCTGGGTGACCACAGTCTCAGATACCTGCTTTTGCATGTCACTGAATCTCTGTTTTGCAGCAGCAAGTGGGATGCAAGGCAGTCTGCAGAACCTCTGGAGGAGCCCCAGGCAGAGTGATGCTGAATCTTACTTAGTAAGGGCATGGATTGCATGGTGTCTTTTATTCACTAAGGACTTGGCACAATGAAGAAAGAAGCAGGACAGTCCTGAGTGGAATGCTTGAAATTTGGCAACTCCTCAAAGTGTCTCAGGCACACCTGATACCCACTAGGGATTTGTTTTTTAAGATACCCCCTGTTGCACAACTGTACTGTGTCCTCCAAGTGGTTAAAATTGTAAGTTTTATGTTATGTGTTTTTATCACAATCAAAAAGATATGAGAATAACATGAAAAACTTGTTGCAAATAAATATGGAACTTTAAAAAGTGGTCTCTGATATAGTACGGATATCCCCCTCAAACCTGCTGTTGAGATGTAATTCCCAGTGTTGGTGGAGCCTGGTGGGAGGTATCTGGATGTGGGAGCGGCTCCCTCACGTCTTTGTGCTGTGCCTGCCATAGTGAGTGAGTTCTTGGAGATCTGTCGTTTACAAGTGCGTGGGACCTCCCGTACTCTCTTGCTCCCACTCATGTCATGTGCCCTGCCTCCTGCTCCCTTTTGCCTTGGCCATGAGTGAAAGCTCCCCGAGGCCTCCCTAGAAGCTGAGCAGATAACTTGCACCAGGCTTCCAGTATGGCCTACAGAACTGTGAGCCCATTCAACTGCTTTTCTTTATAAATTACCCAGTCTTGGGTATTTTTTATAGCAATGCAAAAACTGCCTAATACACTCTCTAAAATTTCATATGAAAACAGATGGTCTGGAAACTAAGATATTTTGAAAATGAAAAAGAATGACGTAGGAATCAACATTCTCAGATAGTAAAACTACTATATATGAAGTTCAAAAATAAAAATTCTTAATATTGGTGGGAAAATACCTGAAAAAATAAAACAGGATAACAACCCGAGAGCATCTTACCATGCAATCGAATTTAACACATTATATTAGGCAGCATAAATTGGAAAATAGGCAGAGAGTACTTTTGTTCTGGGCAGCTAGCAAGTTATTCTTAAAAGAAGAGAAAGTGAAAACCACTTACATCTTCACCTTATCATATGTAAATTAAATTCAAGAGGAATATTACATGAAAGATTATTAAGCTAACATGAATATGAAATTTAGGATGATTTTTAAAATAACACAACAAACTGCAAATGCTATAATGCTAGACAAAATAAGAGTAAAACTTATACATATGAACTCACTGGTATTAAAACATACCAGAAATAAACTAAAATGAAAACATCCCAAAATTACCACAGTGACATTGTCTAGAATACTGGTTATGGTTGTTACTTGTTTTCTTTTTTATTTCTACTTCTACCTTTTGTTTTCAATTAAAAACGTCTTTATTTATAAAATCCAAACACAGTTCACTGAAGAAAATCCAAGCCTTCTTATAAGGTTTACAAGTTAATTATCATATTGTTGTATATTACCATAATTGGATAAAAAATTTCTGGAGGCCGGGTGCAGTGGCTCATGCCTCGGCCTCCCAAAGTGCTGAGATTACTGTCATGAGCCACCGCGCCCGACCTATTGCTACTTTTATAACGGTGAAGTCAAGACATTCTAGATAAAGCTGTACATTATACTAAGGGACCCACAGGTGCTTATTTTCCCCTACTGTTATGCTGTTACCTCGACTTAGTACTTTACTGATAATTAATAACGCATAAATATTTGCAGCTCTGAGTAAAAAAAAAATACATAGAAATATTTACGAAGAATACAACTAAAGAAAGTGAACTTCAATCGTAAAATGAAACTCAGTCTTTCTATTTCTGAATAGCACACAGCTTTTGTCAATAAATATTTATGGAGATCTTACTGAATTAAGGTATTAGGCTAGGCACTGTAGAGAAAATAAAAGTGGATAAGGCATGGTTCCTGATTTTCAATAGGTTGCAAGTATTCTCCCCACTACAATGCAGCATCTCCGGCTAAGCCAAATATCTTTCTTTTCAATTCTCATATAAAAAGGAAAAAATATAGAGAAAAGGCTCTGCAGATAAACTCTCATCATCTATGGTCTTTCATTATTTTTTAGAAAGATGAAGCTTTAGAATTTATTTACTTTAAAGCACCAATAGATTGTTCAAGGTCATATAAATAAAACCCAAAAAGCAAAGAATCATGTATATAACACTGCAGGTATACACAGATGAGTACACCTGAACAGAAACAACCCACCAGACTGCAGTGACATGGCAGGTTTCTTGTAATGTGACAGCTAAAATGTTGTAGTTCTGACATCATTTCTTTTAATTCACTTCGTTATTTATTCCTGGATACTGCCAAAGAAGCAGAGTATTCTTGATTGCTGAATGTTTGGCTCTTAAGCAAACAACATTACATTTACATTTAAATGCAATGTTAGTATAGTAGATGCTTTGATTTTATCCCTATGCATATTTATCTTATATAAATATATACATATGCATACATATATATCTATGTGCATGTGTATATATACATACATGTTTTCAAGCTCTGTTCTTAGGCTTTACATGAGTTATTTATTTGAAACTTTACAATAACCTATACTCAATATTATCTTCCCTATTGTTAACCTGAGGCACAGAAAGATTATATTATCTTGTACAAAGTCCTACAGCTTTTCAACAGAAGAGACAGGGTTTAAATCCGGACAGTCAGACTCAAAAGCCATAACACTACAGCACAGAATGAGGAAAACAGAAGAAAGTTAACTCCTAGATTTCTGGCTTATGCAACTTGCAAATAATAGGGTCATTATTTGTTAACTGAATGAATGGATGGATGAGTCTAGTGTGGAAAGTAAAATGAAATGACTTAAATTTAGATCAGCTTAAATTTCTGGTCTATGTGTGACATGCGGGTATGAATTACAGCAGATAGGGTGTTTGAAGACGGCAACAGATGTGGATGAAGATACAGCCAGATAACTCGTGTTCAAGAGGCATAACGGTGGGTGGGTGTGTGTGTGGGGGTGTGTGTGTGTGTGTGAATCTTCCCATTCAGGGCAGCCTTGGTTGCCCCCACCCTGACGCTGCTCCTGCCTTTGCTTTGTGAATGGTGACCTAGATTCTTAGTGGGTGAAACAAGGTTCTTCCCTATGCAGCACCTTCTTGCCTCTCCAGTCTCATTTCTCCCTAATGCACAATCCACAGCCAATGATCCTGCTCCAACTTCATTTGGTCTCACTTGAGTGACAAATGCCATAGGTGTCATGTCAGCCTTCTCCAGGAAGCCTTTCTTAACTGCCAAGAGCAAGTCGAATGTAAACTCATTGCACTCTCTCAGCACTCTCTGGATACATTGGGTCTTACTCCTCACATTCTCTGAGAAGAGCAGAAGAGAAGGGCCTTGTCCTACCTACCGGTTAATCCTCAGCACATGCTTGTGGCAGGTGCCTAGTAAATGCTTTAATAAAACTAGAAAATTCTCAAGACAGCAGGTTGCTTTCAGAATATGTCTGAATATTGCAGTTCATTGGAGTGGATTGACAGTCCGTGGTGAATAAACAAGGTCAAGTTTGGGAGATTGAGCTACAGTAGCTCAGGCAATCCTATGTCTTTCCACGAATTGATCAAAACTATGCAACTTTGGAACACTAGTATCCCAATGCTGCATTCCATAGATTAAAAATATGTCAAAATTGATTTTTCAAATTGGCAAAAATATATCTGATTTTTATTTTCAACACTTTCAACACCTCTTATTTGCTTGCAAAAAGGGGAAAAGTACAAATAACTGAAAGCAAACTTACAAAACTGACAATAAATTTGAGGGACACTTTGAGAATGAATGCATTCATATTGCATATGAAACATCTCTGTTGTCTGGGGTATATACCCTGGTTCTTTATCTCTTACCGAGAAAAAATTCAGGACACGGACACACACGAGGAGTGGGTTTAGAGGCATAAAGTTTAATAGACAAAAAAGAAGAGAAAGAAAAAAAGCTTCCTTATGCTGGGAAAGCTGGTCGCCCAAGATAGGGTCTCTGGTTTGGGACGGAATGCAATCAATTTTGTACAGAGGCTTGAGGAGGCAGTGATTGATTCGCATAGGGCCCAGGGGATTGGTCTGACCAGGTATGCCATTTAGATAACCTAGGAAAAGACTAGCCCTCCCACCCTAGTCTTTTATTAGCAAATGCAGCTTCTTTTTTTTTTTTTTTTTTTTTTGAGAGGGAGTTTCACTCTTGTCGCCCAGGCTAGAGTACAATGATGCGATCTCGGCTAACTGCAACCTCCGCCTCCCAGGTTCAAGCGATTCTCCTGCCCCAGCCTCCTGAGTAGCTGGGATTACAGGCCCACACTACCCGGCTAATTTTTGTATTATTAGTAGAGACGGGGTTTCACTGTGTTGGCCAAGCTGTTCTCGAGCTCCTGACCTCAGGTGATCCGCCCACCTCGGCCTCCCAAAGTGCTGGGATTACAGGTGTGAGCCATCGCGCCCAGCCGCAAATGCAGCTTCTACCTGGCAGCGGCCATGACACCCGCACACGTGGTGACAAGGAAAAGGGAGCAGGAACCGCCATGTTGGATGGACTTGGCTCTTAGCCACATGTATTTACACATGCATATCTATGCTTGCAGCCTGACCTTTCAGACTGCTTTTTGTTAGAGAAGAAATGATTTGGGGCTGCTTTTTATTAAAGGAAAATTCCACCGAGAACTTTTACCCTCGCTAACTTCCCAAAATAATTTCTTAATAACTCCTGTATTAATAGCAAAGTGGCTTCTAGTTCTCATAAAGGAACTGAGTATATTAATACATCATATCTTTAGATGATGTTTCACCTCAATTAGAATCAATACTGAACTATCCCCACAATTGTTTTGAAGTGAGACGGTTCCAGTAGCACCCCATTAATATTTCTTCATACTCTTACTGGTATTTCACTTTCTTATTACAATTGCTTTAGGAATCTATCACAGTGTTAACAGGTTACTACAAATGCAATGGCTTAAAATGATACAAACACATTTTTATGGATTGCTGTGTATTCCCTCAAAATTCATATGTTGAAATTCTAATCCCCAGTAACTCAGACTATAACATTATTTGGAAATAGGGTTGTTGCAGAGTAATTCGTTAAGAGACCACACTGGAGTAGATGGGCCACTAATTCAACATGATTAATGCCCTTATAAATAGAAGAAATTTGGACACAGCCATGAACACAGAATACTGTGTGAACATGAAGGTAGAGGTCAGAGAGATACAGCAGAAGCCAAGAAACAATGGATGTTGGCAAACCATGAAAAGTAGGGTGAGGGGCATAGAATGCATTCTCCCACACAGCCCTCAGTTGGAACCAGCCCTGCCAGCACTTGATCTTAGACTCCCAGCCTCTGGAGTGGGGAGACACATTTTGCTGTCTCGTTTGTGGTGCTTTGTTACAGAATCCCAAGCAAACTACCACACGCAGCACATCACACCTTCCGTGGCCAGAATGCAGGACTCCTGGCACAGGTTAGCAGGTCCTTTGCTCAGTCTCATGAGGCTCCAATCTGTTAGTTGGGCTACATTCTCATGTCATCTGGGGCAGAATCTGTGTTGGCAGAACTCACTTCCTCGTGGTTGTGTTACTGAAGGCCACCTGGAGGCCACCCACAGTTCCCTTCCATGAGGCCCTCTCCATAATAAATAAAAATCAGAAAAATGTTATCTCCACAACATAGTGGTTTGCTTTCTCACAATCAGCAGGGGAATCTTTCTCCCTCCATCTAGTAAGACAGAGTCTAATATGAGGTAGCTTCATCATGGGAGGGACATTTCATCACCTTTGCTGTATTCTGCTGATTAGAAGCAGGTCACAGGTTCTGCTCTCACTGAAGAAAAGGGATGACATGAGGGCGTGACTCCTCAGGGTTACATTAGTGTGTGGTCATCTCAACAACCATCCACTGCACACTGCCCTCGACTTACTCTCATGAATCAGGAAGATAATTCCCACCATAAAAAAAAATGTACTGTAGTATGGAGATTTTGCAAAAAGCTAAAAATAGAACTACCATTTGATCCAGCAATCCCACTACTGGGTATTTACCAAAAGGAAAAGAAATCATTATTTCAAAAAGGCACCTGCACTCATATGTTTATCACAGCTCTACTCAAAAGAGCAAAAACACGAGATCAACCTAAAAGTGCATCGGTGGATTAAAAAATGTGGTATATATACACCATGGATAATATGGTTTGGCTGTGTGTCCCCATTCAAATCACATCTCTAATTGTAAGCCCCACATGTCCAGGGAGGGACCTGGTGGGAGGTGATTGGACCATGAGGGTGGTTTCCCCCATGCTGTTCTCATGATAGTGAGGGGGTTCTCACGAGATCTGATGGTTTAAAAGTATGACACTTCCCCTTTGCTCTCTCTTCCTCCCGCCACCTTCTGAAGAAGGTGCTTTCTTCTCCTTTGCCTTCCAACATGATAGTGAGTTTCATGAGGCCTCCCCAGCCATGTGAAACTGTGAGTCAGAAACCCTCTTTTATTTGTAAATTATCCAATCTCAGGTAGTACCTCTATAACAGTGTGGAAATGGACTAATACAATGGAATAATACTCAGCCATAAAAAGAGTGAAATCATGTCTTTTTCAGCAATGTGGATGGAACTTGAGGCCATTATCCTAAGTGAAATAACTCAGAAACATAAAAGCAAATAGCACATATTCTCACTTATGAGTGGGAGCTAACAATGGGTACCCATGGATAGACAGAGTGGAATAACATGCTGGAGACTCCGAAAGGTAGGAGAGTGGGAGGAGAGTGAGTATTGAAGATTACCTATTGAGTACAATGGTACAAAGAAGTATACAACTAAAAAGCATTCCTATGTCTCAAGACTCCAAGAAAGAAAATGGCTACAATCTTCTTCTAATTTTCAATTTCATTTTTCTCTCTTTGTCATTATTGGAAAAAGCATGTTATTATTATGTTATTGTGTATATTACTATGTATTATATATATATTATACCTATATAATACATACTAGATATTAGATGAATATATAATTTCTTATAGTTATTACTTCTCCTTCCTTTATTTTTTAAGCCAGCTATTAGATTTATTCATCAATTCCACTTATATCTTTATTCAGGCTTTCTCAGTACATTCATATTTATTTAGCTGTCTTTTCTCTAACATCTTAAGCTGTGTGTTTTATTAATTTATTTTTATTATTTCATTTTTAATAAAACTACAAGTTTGTTTCTGTATTTACCTCTGTTACCCATAAATTTTGATAATAATGTTGTAATTAATATTTTTAGATATTACACTTCTTGATAAAATATTTATTTGGTCTAATGACTAAAAAATTCTCAGTAGCTATTTTCTTTTAAATTTGATTATTTTAGATTAGTTGCACTGTGGTAAAAGATAATGAAGTCTGCTTCTGGGAATTTTAGTGTTCCTAGTGACCTAGCATATAATCAATATTTGAGAATCTTTATGAATATTTGAAGATAAAGTTAATTTTAGCTTATAGGGACAAAGTTAAAGACATCTTTCACAAATTGATCTCATTAGTAATATTCAGACACAATTCTATTAAGCTGTGCTGAATGGATGCTAAGCTATTTCAAAATTGAGATTGAAATAAACTTCGTTTCAGTGAATGCTTTTCTTACTTACATTCAACTGTGTATTGTTATTGCCACTCCTGTTTCTGTGTGCCTGACTTAACTTTGATGTATGCTTTTATATGTGACCATTATCAATATTTTGCTTATGTATGGCCCTTGTTAATGGTATAGAGTTAAAAGCTGCTTTTTGGATAGATAAAGCAGTCTTCGACTTTCAGTAATTCTCTTAATGCACTGAAACTTCAGGCACATTTGGGTCTTATGAGGATTTTAAGATTTTTGTTCTTCAATGTTTCCTTTAAACTCCACATTGTTGGTTTTCCCTAGTGATCTGCAGAGCATATATCCTGTTTACCAAATATTTTGCCTTTTATGGGAACATATTTGAAACCAAATTTCATTAATTATCAATGTCATACTTTAACAATATTAATAATTACAAATGTAATGAGGATTTCTAAATTTTCTAATTTTTATCATTTATCATCATGCTTATGCTAAGTCAATTTTATCAGTAGAATTTTGACTTATTTGATTATGGCACAAACAAATGGACAATTACAAAATTTGCTGAAATAAGTAGATTGGTAACAAGGACTTGTGAATGTTGTTTAATTGCACCTGCAATGCCTAAAGTATTATGCGAACACTCTTGATCCTACTGATTAGCTGATATGAAAAATTAGCTTAAATTGATGTTAAAATGTCAAGATTGTTGCATTTGTAATTCATTAGCATAAGATTCTAAAAGGGAAGGTCATCAGCTAAAGACAGTTCTCATGTTTACTAAAAGGCACATATCTAACGGGAAAATACTAAGAGGAACATATCTGATGGGAAAATACCAAGAGGCACTTATTTTATGGTAAAATAAAGTTCTAGTATTAAGAAACCATTTTCTTAAATTAAGCAACTTGGTGAAGCCCTGCTAATGAATTACCTAATCCTGATATAGAAAAATTTTTCTTTCTTATGTGATAGAATAGATTGTAAATAAATGCAGAATGCTGTATTTGGAAGATAACTTATCCTTAGAACTTATGAGAGGGTTATTTTCAAGGGAATGCTTTGTACTCTATGTAAAGTCAACATCATCAGTAGAGTTTGATTAATCATCTATATCACTGAACACTCATTCTGTTTTGTATCATTTCAGGGCTATTATTTGCCCTTTTTCCTACTGTAATGTTCTCACCTTGATTTCAACAAGTTTTTCACACAAGATATTAGGTACTAACAGACCCAAGGAGAGTGGGAGATGTCCTTATGGTGTTCTATTAAAAATAGCAAAAACTGTCAAAGACAAACCTGAGATCACTGTTGCAATGTAATTGCTTCATTAAAGCTTTATAGGAGTTGCAGAAATCTTACTTCTTTAGTAATACTTCGAAGGCATTTTATAAGTTAAGCATGAAAATACTACAGTGTCATGAAATACGATGGTAATAAAATTAGTCTCTTATGAAAGAAATTAAACTTTCATTAGTTCACAAACATAAGCACAATTTATTTGAAAGAAAGTCATGAGCAAACCTAAATATATTTACATTTGTACATAAAATATACTGTATTTACAATTACTTGATGCTCTAAAGACAGAACTTAATGTGACGTATGCAGCTGGAAATTACAAGACCACATGGTTCAATAAATCCCAGTAGAAAATATACATCTGTTGACTCTTTGTGCAATTGTTTTATTTGAAGGAAGTTTTATTTAATCGAGTGGTATAGTGTCTTAGTACGTCACTTATCTTGTCTTAGGAAACATCCCACCTGCCTTAGGTGTAAGTTTTTAATTTCTAAAATAAATGAGAGTAAATCATTTTCTGTTCTATATTGAAGAGAATGCTTTCTGCTCTATGCAAAGTCAATTTTATCAGTAGAGTTTTGACTGATTTATGACACAAACAAATGTGTCAATTGTAGAGTTTGCTGAAATTAGTAGATTGGTAACAAGAACTTGTGAATATTATTTAATTGCATCTGTAATGCCTACAGTATTATGCAAAGACTCTTGATCTATTGATTAGCTGATACTGAAAATTAATTTGATGTTAAAATGTCAAGACTGTTGCATTTGCAATTTTTTAGGACAAGATTCTAAAAAAGAAGGCCACCCAGCTAAAGAAGAGTTCCTATGTTAACTACTGGTGAAAGAGATTTGGAGAAAATTACAGAAAGTATAACGAAAGGAAAACTAACGACGAGGTCACATGGTGGGGTGAGGAAAACAAATGGACTTGGCAATGGGGAGTCTGAGCTCTATCCCTAGGTCTGCTAATAAATAACTGAGAGCAAATTACTTAAACCTTTCCAACTTTTGCTTCCTAATCTTAAGATGAAGTGTTGGTTTTTTTGGTCTTGTTTCTTAGTCAAATACTCTCTTAGGCCACCTCCAGCTTCAAAAATCTATAACTGGCTGGGTGGGGTGGCCCATGCCTGCAATCCCAGCACCTTGGGAGGCCGAGGAGGGCAGATCACCTGAGGCTGGGAGTTTGAGACCAGCCTGGCCAACATGGTGAAACCCCATCTCTACTAAAAATACAAAAATTAGCTTGGTGTGGTGGCGGGTGCCTGTAATCTCAGCTACTCAGGCGCCTGAGGCAGGAGAATCACTTGAACCCGGGAGGTGGAGGTTGCAGTGAGCCGAGATTGCCCCATTGCACTCCAGTGGTGATAAGAGTGAAACTCCATCTCAAAAAAAGAATAAAAAAAAAAAAAAGAAAATCCGTACCTAAGATAGCTAAGGAAAGAAAAGAACCTAGTAATTTAATGTGAAATGTTCTGTAAAGTATGTTAAGTGATATAAAATATTAAATCTCAAAGAAAATTTGAAAATTTTTGCTTTATCTTTTATGCTGGTAAAATAAGATTCTTGGCTTTCTCGTTATAGTCATTCATTTATCAATCTTGGTTACTGTGATCTTTTGATAACTACAAATTTAGCATTTGTCTCATGAGGTTTCCCTTTTCCCTTTTCCTTAAAAGAAAATCCAATCAAACAACATTTTGAACACTTGCTGCTTATCACTTCACCAGCTACGCCTCTGTCGGAGCTCTCTTGGTTCCTTATCTTTTCTTAATATTTTCAGTGGGCACTTACTATTCCCTAGGCCTTACCTACAGCACTGAATTATTATGTTTCTGCTGGCTAAAAGAACAAAAACTCCAATCAAGCAGCTGATTCATCTGATAATTATCCCCCAAACCACCCTACTGTTTATATAAGCTCTGAGTCAACTTGTAAGTTGTTTTGACATAATTTGGACACTGTCAATGGAATAGCATTTTCTCAAGTACCCAGAAAAACAAAAACCCCTCCTCATGGACAACAAGCAACATAATCTTTGGCCAGAATATCCCATTATTTGAATCAGAATATAGTCTCATTATCCTTACCAGTATTAATCCTTCCAGAGTGCTGTATTAATGGACTAAGTTATAAGTATACTGGTTTTCTCCTATGTATCTTGTACCAAAGACATCCATCTACCTGAGGCAAGAGTACACACAGAAGCAGCACAGAACTCCTGGACTGCCTCGCCTCTGCCATGTTTCCACATTCTCTGGTACTACTGATGGCAGTTCCTGTGCAAATCACAGCATTCCCAGAATGACTTCCAGTAAAATGCTGGGTGGCCCAAAGATAAGTAATTATACAGAGAATATCAAGAAGTGGTCCCTGAAGGAGGTCATCTAAGCAGACAGTATCTGATGTGGCTTCTTCAGATGCATTTGCACATATTTTTTCATACATATTTAGATGCAACTTGCTCATATTGACAAAATCAGAGTCAGTATACACACACAATAGAGAGTATAAATCTATGTGTCAAAATAACATGGGCAGAGAAATTAACCCACAAGGTAAAAGAAAGAAGTTGGCAACACCAGAGTGGAACAAATAGGATGCCTAGGGAAGAAAGGATCCCTGACTTTTTTTGGAGATTAACCACATGATTTTTATTTTTTTCCTAATGGAGGGCTTGTAGGTTTGTTTTTGAGTAGGTAAGAAATATAACAGATTGGACAATTCTGTCAATATCCACAACATACCTTTAAAGCTATGCCTACTTCTGGGCATCACACTTTAATAAAGACCTTGATGAATTATAATGTTCTGAAAGAAAAACTGATAAGTAAAATCAGAATAATGAAGCAACTCTAAATCATGCAGCATGAAGAAACTAGGGAGTCTGGGATGGAAGGTGTCTGTTTAGTGCAGAAGAAAAGATTCATTATAAAAAAGAAAGCCATCTTCACAGGATAAACATGATGTCACACCAAAGGAGAATTAGAATTATCCCACGTTTCTCCACAAGGAGAAAAATGACCAAATAGAAACCTATTATGATAAGTTTCATCTTAGTATAAGATTAAAAATGAAACCTAATGAATTATCTTTAAATGAAATAGATTCTCAGATGATGTGGGCTCAGAGCCCATGGGATTTCATCTTCTCTCTTCCCAGGCTAAAAGACAGGAGGGGGCTAGCTGAAACAGTAAACAGGTAGTACCAGTTTTGCTTTTTACTTACGATAATCCTGAGGATCCTTCTAAGAGCTTTTTCGTCTTCAAAGAAATCAGTGTTTTAGAACTGAATTCCAGGTCACCCCTTGGTTTCAGATCAAAACTGGTTTTCTCAGACCTTGTGTCGGTACATTCCTGGCCCCCATAATAGTGTGTAAAAAAATGATTAAACAGGGTCTTCTGTGACCTTGAAAAACCAAATATGCTGATTAATGCTGTCAGACAGGAAAGCTCACATGCCTGTGCTCTCCCTGAAGAGCTCAGGCCTTGATCAGCATGTACCTCAACCAAAGACAAGAGGAATGGTCTCGCCTGGCCCCAGCATGAGGTCCTCATCACAGGACGCTCATTGCAGCACGCGGACAATGAGCTCACAGGGATTTGGGAGCACGGTGCCCTGAAGATGAGCACCCCAAAGATGGGCCTTCTTCCCCTCCCCCACAACCCCAGGGGACAGGCCTCCCCTGGGCAAGTGGCATAGGAATATAGAGGCCACAGTGTGCTTGAGAGGACAGGGGAACCCTGGGGAAAAATGCAGCACACAATCCTCCTAAAGGCTGCAGGCCTGGGGGAACCACGCCCAGCCCTGCTCAACTGAGGACTCAGAGCAGCTTACCTCTGAAAGGGCTTCATGTTCAGATTTCTGGCCGAGAGCTTCTGCCCTCAGAGTGTGCAGTGTGTCTCCACTTCTCAGAAAGCCAAGAATGAACTGAATAAGTGGGTTGTCTTCCTGCTTTAGCCTACGGGAGGCTGATGTCATAGCCCAGCCCAGTGAACCTGTCTCCTTCTGCTAGGTTTCTGCCATGGAGATAAACTTGACAACTTGAGCCAAGATAAAAAAAGTCACTGTCCATGAAAGGGTCCCGAATAGTTATCAGAGAGAGGAGCCACTTTCTCAGTGAAAACATGACCCAAGAGACAGAGATGACAAAAGAACATCTGTTTAAAATAGTAACAATAATAAATAATAATAATACAAACAGGGCATTTCCAATGCTGCAGAAAATGATGTCATAAAACTTAAACAGATGATCAGATGATGTTGGAACTAAGAAGTTAAATAGATAAATTTAAAAGGAGGTTGATCTCTGTTGAGACTGATTAGTGAATTTGATATAAGTGGTCATGGGCAAAAAATATATCAGAGCATTTAGCAAAAATATAAAAGAGAGTAATATGAAGGAAAAGAAAAGAGATTTGGAGGGTAGACCTAATGCTCAAATAAAGAACGTTTCAGAAGGAAAAAAAAATATTTGGAGGACACGTACAGATATATACAGTAAATAAGGAAATATATGTATAAATTTCCCCTTGTTGAAGAAATATGCAAATCTATGAATTGAAATTGTTCCCTAAGTTTGACACTGGATTGATAAGGAAAGTTACATCTAAGCATATTCTGCTCTAATTCTGAACAAAAGATCTTACGGAATCCCATTAAAAAAGCATTAGAGAACCCTATTTAAGCAGGGGAAAAAAAATCCAGACTGGCACCTATCGCACCTATCCATCCAATTGCAATATAAGAAACTAGAAATCAGGAAAGGAACACTGGCAAAGAATGGGAAAGACCACAGTCCAGGAATCCTATGCAAGTAAGATGCTCTTCACTGTTCAGCGGGAAAAAGATACTTGAGTACAAAATGCCATTTGTAGAATACTTTACACAAGTACTCAATTTGAAAGCATTACTTGATAGGCCACTTTAGGAAAAGAGAAAAGCAAAAAAAAAAAAAAAAGCAATGAGTAGTAAAGGCAAGCATTTTCCACCTATATATATGCACACACCTATACATGTGTACACTTACTCATGTGTATCCCAGACACGTATATACCTATACATGCATGTATACAACCATTCACGTATACACTTTTGTGTACACATATAAACATACCCATACATGTATACAAATATGCATGTACATACCCATATGTGTACACATCTATGCATGCATACACTCAAACATGCATACACCCATACATGTGCATGCTTACACATGTACACACATCTGCATATACACACCTGTACATGCCTATACATACAATACCTATTCATGCATATGACTATACATGTACATATGCATAACTTAAACATGCATGTATCATACGTGCACATAGCTATACATGCCTATACAATACATACATCTACATGTACATGTTTATGCATACACATGTATATATGTACACAACTACACATGCACACACCCATATGTGTACACACTCATGCATACACATACCTATCCACGTACACAGTTATATACACACATACATACGCATGTTGTTAAATTAGGTTTAGACCAAAGCTACTTCCTTACATATTTTAAGTTCAGCCTAAATGTTTTTCCAGACATAGTGAACTGTAACCTAACTGGATGTGTAAACAGACTGTAGTCTACTCTTGTGTCAATCGCTAAGTTTTGGCCAATCAAAGGCAGCCAACTCTTTCAAACTGTGTTCAATAATGCAAATGCTGGTCTGGAACCAATCTGGCTGTTTCTGTACCTCACTTCTGTTTTCTGTACATCAGTTCTCTTTTTCTGTCCGTAAATCTTCTTCCACCACATGGCTGTGCTGGAGTCTCTGAGCCTACTCTGGCTCAGGAGTCTTCTTAATTCACAAATCATTCTTTACTCAGTTAAATTTGCATAAGGTTTTTCTTTTAACAGATGGTGTCAGAAGTGGGACCTGAAGTAGAACTTCCTCCGATGCCCAGAAGCAACATGTGACCAAGTGAGATCCCTGCCAGGCCCACTGTGGCCACTGCTTTCTCACAGCAACTGGGGATCATGGTATTCTCTCTCAGATTCCAAAGCTCCACGGATTTGTTTTTAGCTCTCTGAGTTTGAGCAAATTTTTTTATCTGAACTGGGTTCAGAAAACACAACAGAAACTGGACTGGATGCAGAATCACGTTGGATCTGATATTAACTGGCTTGGATCCAGTTAGAGGCCTCTTATGTCTGACCCAGTCAGACAGAAACTGATAATAAATGGAAATATTGCAGAAGGTATAAATTTCAGCTTTTGCAAATTCACAGGGATTTTTGTGTTCTACCCCTTCCTTGCACTTTTCTCTTTTTGGTTGCTCAGGTAGAAAAAAAATCATTGACTAAGTTGATCAAGGAGATCTGATAGCCAAAGCCAAGATGTAAGGTAAAAAGGAGATCCTTAGTTTCTAAAGAACTGAATAATCCACCTTCCAGCTATGCCTACATTTGCATGTATAAATATCAGACTCTGGAAGCAGCAAACACTTATAGAAGTGGTAAAATCTTACTAAAGGTAATTTAAAATTAGAATGCAATGTTCCAAATGAATAATACCACACTTTAAGCAGTGCATCTGAAAATGAGAATTCCTGGCTAGGTGCAGTGGCTCACGCCTGTAATCTCAGCACTTTGAGAGGCCAAGGCAGGTGGATTACTTAAGGTCAGGAGTTTGAGACCAGCCTGGCTAACATGGTGAAACCCCATCTCTACTAAAAATACAAAAATTAGGCAGGAGTGATAGTGGACACCTGTAGTCCCAGCTACTTGGGAGGCTGAGGCAGGAGAATTACTTGAACCGCAGGTCTTGCCACTGCACACCAGCCTGGGCAACAGAGTGAGATTCCATCTCAAAAAAAAAAAAAAAAAAAAAAAAAAAAGAAAAGAAAAGAAAAAGAAAATGAGAATTCTTAAATTAGTCTTAACTAGGGATGCCTATTGATAGGCAAAAGCTTCTAAAAAGATTTTAATATCTTTACTGTTTTTTAAAAGAGACTTTTTACAAATGGCAAATAAAAAGTTTAAGTGACTAATTGATAAGAAAATATCTGTTAACATTTTGGTTTAGTTATTATTCTGCCCCAAAGGCAAAAAGAAAGCTATCCTAAAGTGTTTACAAAAGATAAGACCTCCGGTAAAGTAGGCTTGCTTCTTTCTCACAGCAATCCATGCTGAATCCAGTCATGGAAAATGCTTTCTTTGCTCTATTCCTTAATGGGCTCCATGCTGAACTCAGTAATTTTAGCTAAGAAATAGTAGCTAAGTTAAAAAGAACACCCATGGAACTAAAATATGCCTTTCTGGAATCTAACTGGCTATCTTTAAACCTTTTTGTAAAAAAACCTACATTTATAAAGGAAATCTCCATTTTTAAGGATATCTGCCTATGTACATTAGAAACTCTTGCCATTGTTTTCAATTTACATAACAAGTCAAACCTTTTTTAAAGTGCTTTTCAGACTATCTTGTCTTAACTGAACTTTTACTTCCACTACTTTTTTTTTGGTTTGAGCTGATGATACAATATTTAGGTCTAAAGTCTTAGCTCTGTGCTGTTGAAATACAGATTTTCTTGTTTGGCCTGGGAGTTGGCCCTTTAGAAGTACAGATTTGGAATTGCCTGGCTGGCAGTTGCTTAGGGCAATGAAGCATGTGATTG
Source organism: Homo sapiens (assembly GCF_000001405.40). NCBI lineage: Eukaryota > Metazoa > Chordata > Mammalia > Primates > Hominidae > Homo > Homo sapiens. The sequence goes on from NC_000008.11 coordinate 51,362,745, forward strand.
AAAGAGGGATAGTCTAAAGAGAGAAAGGAAAAATTATTTATAAGCTAGCTTTATGAAAACTAGAAGATCTGCTTCTGTGTTCATATGTGTACTATATATGTTAAGTGTATGTGATAAAATTTGGTAAATAAAACTAGTTTTTAAATTGTTGGCAAAATATGGTTTCAAAATTGTCAGTTAAATATAAGTAGGTACTTGTTTGATTTGACTGTGAGCTTACGGTTTGGTTTTGAGAGTCTGGATTCAGTGATCTGGACAGATGGCCATAGTGAGGCCTGGGGCAAAGTTCTCAGTTCCTAGAACAGCAGCTACCAGCCAGAATCAAGCCCAACATGACCCGTTCTTCCCTGGCCCAGTTTTGCCTCCTGGCTATTCTGGGAAGGGTTGTATCCTCCAGGCATCCTCCTCACAGCTGTCTTCCGTCCTGACTTCTACATCAGGCATGGAAATTCAGGACTTAGACAAGCACTGCCCTTCATAGTCCTCCTGGGTGCCACGTGGCTAAATGGCATATAGGGGAAGACATTAGGGAAGGTACCTGGGGGAAGACATTAGTGAAGGTACTGTAACAGGACAAGCCGTAGACAAAACCCCTCAGACACTGAGTTAAAGAAGGAAGGGCTTTATTCAGCCGGGAGGTTTCGCAAGACTCACGTCTGAAAAACCGAGCTCTCTGAGTGAGCAATTCCTGTCTCTCTTAAGGGCTTACAACTCTAGGGGTTCCACGTGAGAGGGTAGTGATTGATTGAGCAAGCAGGGGGTACATGACTGGGGGCTGCATACACCGGTAATTAGAATGGAACAGAACAGGACAGGGATTTTCACAGTGCTTTTCCATACGATGTCTGTAATTTATAGATAACATAACCGATTAGGTCAGGGGTCCATCTTTAACTACCAGGCCCAGGGCGTGGTGCTGCGCTGTATGTCTGTGGATTTCATTTCTGCCTTTTAGTTTTTACTTCTTCTTTCTTTGGAGGCAGAAATTGGGCATAAGATAATATGAGGGGTGGTCTCCTCCCTTAGTACCTGGGGGAAGACATTTTCAGTGCATGTTTTCTGGTTGTATAAAAGCTTTCCCATGCACAAGGGCTGATGTTATAACAGTAGCTAAAAGATTATTCCTGGAGAAATAGCCAGAGATAGGATACTTATTTCACTGGACAAGTTATAAAACAGTTAAATAAGGTATTATAGATACTATAGTACTGGGCAAAGCTAGAGGAACTGACTGAATTGTTTTGGTAAAAGGTATTGTAGATTAATGACAATCACATCCACTTCCAGTGTAAAACATAAGTTGACACCTTTATTATGTCATTGAAAGGACTATCCCCCTAATAACACAGTCTCATGTATCTTCCACTAATAAACTCTGACATAACTAAATGCTGCAAAGCCTTAATGCACTATGTCAAGGTGTATTTTCACAAGGTAAAGAAAGCTTTACATGGTGATCTGACTGAGCACAATCTAGAACCTGAAGACTGAATTTTCTGAGAACAACATCAGAGTTGTCCTTTGCCATCACATTGTAGCAAAACTTTGAGACCTTGAACCTTGGGTTCATGACCTCACAACTCAGAAGGTCCCCTCCACACTCTTACTGTATTCCCACTGGAAACCTTAAGGTTAAAGCTAACCAGGAAAATTTCTCCCCAGAAGAAGATAACACCATTGATGTGGGTAGCTTTTTCACCAGATCAAGAATCAAGACTTCTCTGCTATCATAAGACTCTTATCTTTCTATTTTTTTTCCTTGCTTATACTTCTATGAACAATAAAAGTGAAAAAGGAGATGGTTGTGTGGACTCATGGGGTATACTTTTATTTTGTGAAAGATATTGAAGCCAGCCTTATATACATAGACAACTTTATGCTTTGATAGATGGAAGATGAAGGGCCAGTGTAAGTGAGAAATGTTCATGGTACATTTGTTGTCTCACAATCAGTCAGAAACAGAACACGGATACCCTCCTCTTAACCTACATCATAGGTTAAAGAGAACATTGCTGCCATCGGTTATGGAGAAAATTAATAGGAAGACTTCACTCTTCCAAATGGGCATCTTTTGTTAGGTTTCTTTTCCCATGGTTTGGAGTAAATGAAGCAATGATTAGAAATTTATCCCTCATGATAGGCTCTTATAGCAGATAATACTGTAAATGCTATGTTATACAACAGACTTTATTTTTTTTTCTTTATTTTATTTTAGAGATGAAGTCTCGCTCTGTAGCCCAGGTTGGAGTGCAGTGGCATGATCTCGACTCACTGAAATCTCTGCCTCCTGGGTTCAAACAATTCTCTTGCCTCAGCCTCCCAAGTAGCTGGGATTACAGGCACCCACCACACCCAGCTAATTTTTGTACTTTTAGTAGAGATGGGGTTTTACTGTGTTGGCCAGCCTGGCCTCAAATTCCTGGCCTCAAGTGATCTGCCCACCTCGGCCTCCCAAAGTGCTGGGATTACAGGCTTGAGCCACCAGGCCCAGCCAGTTATACAACAGACTTTAAATGCTCCTTTGAAAGTTGTGCTAAATAATAAAATTGCTCTAGATCACTTAGTGATTAACAGAGAAGTGTCTGTGTAGTTGTTGGCACTTCTTGTCACCCATGGAGAAATACATCACATCAGGTATTACAGAGATTCAGTTGTAAGGAATTAATGAATAGACTGCTTGGTTAAAGTGAGTAGATTCTTTACCTAGCACATTCTTTGATCTATTTGATTTTATTTGGTTGGTTTGGTTTATGGGACCCCAGGTAAGGAGCATACTCCAAGCTCTTGGTATTATCCTCCTGATAATCATAACAGTAGTCTCCCTGCTGCGTTGTATTCTCTCAAAAATTTTAAACGTTTGCATGCAGCCATCTGTAGAATGTCAAATGGCCTTTCTTCAACTGGAATGACAAAAACTCAAAGAAACATGTGATCATGAGAACATCGTAGCCTGTGAGTGATATGCTGAGACAGAAAACCCAAAATGATGGTAACTGAGAGTGGTGATAAGGCCCTAAGTATTGGTCACATGCTCACCTAAGTGAGAACCTTACCAAAAAGGGAGAGGAGGTTTTTAAACAAAATTATGGGAGATCATTGTTTTGGACTGAGCTCCTGCACCAGGCCCCAACAAACCAGACAAAAGCAAAATGGAGGCACTTATGCTAAAAGCAGCATAACCAAACTGAAACTTTAAGGAAGGAGATAGGTCCTAAAGTGACCATTTTCTCCCCCTGTGAACAGTAGATTCCAACAAAAGAAGGTTGCCCCTACTGTAACCCTCATGAACACACAAAATTACTTGACATTTACGATGATGACAGAGTGACATTAATTCCTAAAGTTTTGGTCTATCTCCCAAAGTTGAGAGGATGACCAAAAGAGGGAAATTGCTAAATTAAGCTTAGCCCAAAGCTGCCTCCTTACATATTTTAAGTTTGGCCTAAAGATGTCTGGACATAGTGAACCTGACTTGAAGTGCAAACAGACTGTAATCAACTCCTGTGTCAGCTGAGCCTCATAATCAGTTGGCCAATCAAAGGCAGCCAACTCTTCAAATTGGGTTCAAATAAGGCAAAGCCCAAGCTGTGACCAATTTGGCTGTTCCTGAACCTCACTTCTGTTTTCCGTACATTGCTTCTCTTTTTCTGTCCATAAATCTTCTTCCACCACGTGGCTGTGCTGGAGTCTCTCTGAGCCTGCTCTGGCTCAGGAGGCTGCCCTTTGTCAAGTAAAGTCTGTTAAACTTAATTTGTCTAAGGTTTTTAACAATGTACACATCTGTATGTGTACACACCTATACATGTATACAGACATAGAAGATACGTTTTACGTATTTATGTATATAATGCATATGCAAATAATGGGAAAAATAAATAAGGCTAATTTGAAGAGGGAAGCTCTAAATAACAGTAAATGAAGTAACTAAATTAAAGAAAGCCCTCTGTACAGTAGGACCTGACAGTGGGCAGTGCACAGGGAGAAGGAGCAGCACAGGTGAAATGCAGCAGCTACTTTGTTACAGAGAGGACCAAGGGACTGAAAGAAATCTTCTTAAGCATAAAAAAATTCAAATAAACCGGGTGTGGTGGCTCACACCTGTAATCCCAGCACTTTGGGAGGCCGAGGCAGGCAGATCACAAGGTCAGGAGTTCAAGACCATCCTGGTCAACATGGTGAAACCCCTTCTCTACTAAAAATACAAAAATTAGCTGGGTGTGGTGGTGGGCACCTGTAGTCCCAGCTACTTTGGAGGCTGAGGCAGGGGAATCGCTTAAACCTGGGAGGTGGAGGTTTCAATAAGCCGAGATCACACCACTGCACTCCAGCCTTGCGACAGAGCAAGACTCTTGTCTCAAAAAAAAAAAAAAAAAAAAAAAAAAAAATTCATATAAAAGGAAGCAAGCATGTTGCTGCTGGGTAAATGATGAAACCATTTCAATTTAGTGGCAAGCCTGGGATGTTCACCCTCACCATTGTTAACACACAGCATTTGCAGAGAGCTCATACAGATTGATTAAAGGACAAAGACTATGAACACACAATGCACACAGCCAATCCCCAAAACCAAAAACCATGGAAAAAGCTGTTTAAACACACTAACAGAGAAATGAAAATTAAAATGAACTTGAGATAATTAAGTTTTTACTCACTGCACTATCAAAAAACCAAGGGCTATATTACCAATTGCTGGTGGGGAAATAAAGTGGGTATTAATATAATTGTTTGTGGAATCGTCATGTTTATCTTTTTAGAAATAAATCTGACAACACTTTTTTTCATTAAAAAGCCTATATCCTGTACCTCAGCAACTTTACTTTGGGAATTCTATAAGAACCTAGCCTATGGACATATAAGCCCTGATATGCAAAGTATGGCTGCATGAATTTTGGTATATACAATCCTATCCATTAAATACTAAGCAATATTTTAAAGGAATTACTTATATAACAGATACATAGAATGACTTGAGGAAATTTATGAAAAAAAATGCACGACAATGGATTTAGTTAAGGGCAAAAAGAAAAACAAAAACACCATGTTGTTTTAGAATAGTTTGAAGAGAAACTGAAATTCATGGGTTAAAAACTGTGGATAGGGCCACAGGGTGCAGTGGCTCATGCCTGTAATCCCAGCATTCTGGGAGGCCGAGACGGGTGGATCACCTGAGGTCAGGAGTTTGAGACCAGCCTGATCAACATGGAGAAACCACGTCTGTACTAAAAATACAAAAATTAGCCAGGTCTGATGGCGCAGGCCTGTAATCCCAGCTACTTGGGAGGCTGAGGCAGGAGAATCATTTGAACCCGGGAGGGAGAGGTTGCAGTGAGCCAAGATCCAAGATCACGCCATTGCACTCCAGGCTGGGTAACGAGCAAAACTCCATCTCAAAACAAAACAAAACAAAACAAAATGGTGGATAACAAAATTCTTCATCAAACATAATAAATGACACGAAAACTACAAACCAAGTCCTTAACACCCCAACTTTTTCCAGTTTGATCACCCATACAAACCCATAGCCTTACAGCTAAGTGACAGAAATCCCAGCTCCATTATTTAGATCTCATGCCTTCTACCTACAAAGAATAACAAGATATAATGATGTAAATCTTGACTGCATTTATATTATCACTGTTTAAACAGACTCAGAGTCCATTTCAATGTGTTTAGGAATTTAGGAGAAGAGTTTCTCCAGGATTTTAAAAAAATGTAGTTAAATTTGGAAGATGCTGGTATCAGTATTAACCAGTAAGCTATTATTCGTGGGAAACAAAAAATGAAAAAAAAAATAGCCCTGTTGAAAATAAAATTATTCTTTAAAAACAACATAAAGGGCTGAGGGTCAATTTAATCATACATTTCATTCTAACAAAATGAACCACTAGGACTGCTTGGAGTGGCCATTTACATCCCAAACGGAGGTCTCTATTTTACTCTAGGATAATGCCAGTTAAAACAATTAAATCCACTGGGCATGGTGGTTCACACCTGTAATCACAGCAATTTGGGAGGCTGAGGCAGGCAGATCACTTGAGATCAGGAGTTCAAGACCAGCCTGGCCAACATGGTGAAACCCTGTCTCTACTAAAAATACAAAAATTAGCCGGGCGCAGTGGTGCGGGCCTGTAGTCACAGCTACTCAGGAGGCTGAGGCAGGAGAATCACTTGAACCTGGGAGGCAGAAGTTGCAGTGAGCCGAGATTGCACCACTGCACTCCAGCCTAGGCAACAGAGCACAACTCTGTTTCAAAAAAAATAAAAATAAAAATAAATAAATAAATCATTTAAACACCATCACTTATTTTAGTCTGAGAGTGAGATTAGCAAAGGAGAGGGAAGAAATCTATTAATACAACATGAATGAACACACAACAAAGACAAGTGTACTGAGTAGTGACATAGTTTCTAGGTCCTTTAATACACCTTCTCTGTTTGGGAAATTCGCAACTTCAGGTCTCAGGGATGGACTCAATGTAGTCAATACCAGCACTTCTCAACTGCCTTACTTAACTCAGACCATTAAAATGTATAACCTACCTGAAACTACGGAGCCACAGTCTAGAAACTAGTTCCTCAGAGATCTGAATGTTCCAGCAGGCCTCTAATCTACATAGAGCAATGTTTCTGTTAATTGGGAAGTGTAAGAAGCCCATCCCATAAGAAAGTGGTCCACTTTGGAGCAGTTACTAAACACCTTTTGTTAAGCCACTCATTTTAAACTGTCTTTTAATTTTTCTGAAAAATCCACGCTTGTTAGTCAGAAAGTACACGGAAAAATACACATGTATCCATTTGTAATGGTTCTCATTACAAACATTACATTAGGATTGGAACTACATCAGGCATATTCATATCTTTAGGTAATTTTGCTACTGACATGACTTCTGAGCATTTTTATAGTGCCATAAAAAAAAAAACACTGTATGTTTGTATCCAGTTAAGGAGTAGATGTTTACTGCTGGCTTATTAATTTTCAGACATTTTTTAAAGACACTCACAGAGAAAGAGTATTCTTATTATTGATTGGGACCACAGATCTTGATAAGAACGCTGCACAAACTCAAGACCCCAACCCTCCTCTGGTCTGTTACATCCTTGCATTGCATTTTCCATAACAAACATTGCCCACAGCAGATTCATTACCATTTAAATAACCAGAGGAGCCCTCCTCCGAGTCTTCAACATGGAACAATGGCAATGGGGGGAGGGCAGCAGAGGAACTGCCCTTGGTGGGGGCCTGCTCACTGTCTCTGTGCCATGCACCTACCCTACACGTGCTACCAGGTGGCGGTGCGCACAGAGGAAAGAGCCGAGGCCTTCAGGTCAGCTGTGGGACCTTAGAAAATGGATTTAGTTTCCAGGAGCCTTATTTTCCTCATATGTAAATCAGGGATAATAACAACCACCTTGAAAGACTCAGGACAATTATATGAGCTAGGTGTTTCCCTGAATCACATATCACATGGGCAGAGGTGAGAAGAGCTAGAAATGGTATGTGTCAGTATGGGCACGCAGCCCTGGCCTCTACACGGAGCCATTGCTTCCTTGCAGGGCACTGCTCTGGTCATCACAGCCCACACCCTGCCATGCCATCTATCTCTCCCTCTGCTCAGCAGGCCCTATGTCCCATCCCAGGGACATTGGAGAAGAAGCAAAGGAGTGTTACAAGTTGCCATTTATATGGTTTGTATATTGCTCTCTGCTCCTCCAACATTCTGAAGAGGGGGGACTATTTCATTATTCCTGGATCTAATCACTAAGAACTTGAGGTAAGGGAAAGAATGCCACCCTCCCCGGGGTACCACATTCCTTTTTGCTGTGTCCGATAAAGCACCACCACAGTGAAAAAGACAACCGTGACTCAGGTGTCATTGAGTCTGGCTCTGTCACCCAGGCTGGAGTGCAATGGCACAATCTGGGCTCACTGCAACCTCCGCCTCCAGGGTTCAAGCGATTCTCTTGCCTTAGCCTCCCAAGTAGCTACGATTACAGGTACCCATCATCACGCCTGGCTAATTTTTGTATTTTTAGTGGAGATGGGGTTTCGCCATGTTGGCCAGGCTGGTCTTGAACTCCTGACCTCAAACAATCCACCCACCTTGGCTTCCCAAAGTGCTGGGATTACAGGCGTGAGCCTCCGCACCCGGCCAGTGTTCTATCACACTTCTAGCAGTGGCTTTCAATTTCCTCCCCTGACAACAAATCTCTAGTACTACTTAGGTACTGAGAATGATCATTTCAGTCCCAGAGAACATCAGAACTCCCAGGCCCATGGCCACTACACGGAGCAAGCATGAGGCTATGGTGGCCCTTGTGTCATTGGCGTCCAGAGGAACTGCAAATATCCTCCATGTGACAGACACCTGCTCACCTGTGAAGACGTCAGCATGTTCTGCTCCAGAATCATCAAGTCCTCAGTTCATCTCTAGGTTTCAACAAACAATACATCTTTTCTCTGGCCCTGGCTCCACCACTTACTCATCTTTGGACTTTGAGAAAGTCATCTAATATTTTTGAGCCACACTTTCATCAAAGGAGAAAGAAATCCACATTTCTAAAGGGATATTGTGAGCACAAAACAGATGCTTATAGAAGCACCTTAGGGAAAGTTTGGTTCGTAAACGGTGATGTTGTAGATATCACCAATTCTGTTGTGTCATTAGGGAAAGTTTTTCCTGACTCTATCAAAATTTCCTTGTACTTCCAATGAGCACTACTGCAACATCTTATGAAGAATGGATAGCCTAAGTTAGCCAAGTCACTATAAACTTTCATTTCTCTTTTGTTAGATGAACCCCAAGAAGTAGATATAGTCAGTACCAAGTGATTGGCATTTGATCTTTGGTGCAGAAATCTGAAATGCAGTAAGAAGGCAGAGGCCAGTTTTGCCAGCAAGAGTCCCCATTCTAACAAGGTTAGTGTGGAATGGAAGAGGATGGGCAGGTTGGGAGCCTTTTTCCTGGTGTCCACCCCTTCATCATCTGTCAGATTTCCAAAAGGAAAGTTCTGTGTTGTTGGCTTTTTGCGTATCTTTCTTTAAATCGCATAATCTTTACCACTGAAAACAATTCAAGCATGAGAACATGCACATCAATCCAGATCGTGCTCATTGCATTATTACTGACCTGCACAGCAGTCTTGCCACACTCGCAGGTCCACCTTCGGGATCTCGCTGCAGTTCAGGTAATCCTGTGGGTATTCTGCCTTTACAAAGACATCAGCCTGCACTTGCTGAATGCTGTCACCATTGTCACAAAGCACCCGGCTCAGGGACGCCTGCTTCAGCTGAGTGAGTTGTGCCGGGGTAAATACTCCAGGGTTTTCATACCAGAACCTGGTAGTCAACCAAAAAAAAAACATTGTCGTGGGTCTGTGGCCTGAGAACTCAGCTGCATGTCAAACAGCCACAATGCACCAAGAAGAGCTCAACATAAAAGACGCATACTGAAAGAATTATGCTTGTTCTCCAACTGAGTATCCTTTTAATTCTCTCCAATATTTACAACATTCTTAAATCACATTCTTCTGAACTATCACTTTCTACTCAAGCTCTACAAAATGATTCAAAGGAAAGTTTTCTAAGGTTTTCCTCCAAAAAAGAAAAGTCCATTATTACATTTTTAAATTTTTTTTAATTTTTAATTATTTTTTGAGACGGAGTCTCATTCACTCTGTAGCCCAGGTTGGAGTGCAGTGGCATGATCTCAGCTCACTGCAACCTCTACCTCCCGAGTTCACGCAACTCTCCTGCCTCAGCCTCCCAAGTAGCTGGGATTACAGGCTCCTGTCACCATGCCTGCCTAATTTTTATATCGTTACTAGAGACGGGGATTCGCCATGTTGGCCAGGCTAGTCTTGAACTCCTGGCCTCAAGTGATCTGCCCACCTCGGCCTCCCAAACTGTTGGGATTACAGGCGTGAGCCACCGCACCTAGCCCTATTGTTGCATTTAAATTCCATGAACTAACCTTAGAAACTGTCTGAGCAATGTAACATTAACACGTTTGCCTAAAAAGAAAATAGCACTTTTGATAATTAATATATACTATTTGGTTATATCCATCAACTAACTAGAATAAGCACATTCAATTTTAAATGAAAGGATACAATCAATTTTAAATGAAAGAACTATTAAAGTCAATCTTTGGGTACATTCAGCAAAGTCAATCCTTGGGTTCATTCATTCAGTAAATATTTGAATATCACATGCCAAGCACTTTTTTGTGCTGAGTATAGAGCAGGAAATTAAGATGGTAGGCAAAAAGACTTCTTGCCACTATCTTGATGTTATGGACTGAGCTGTGTCCCCCTAAAATGTATATGTTGAAGTCCTATGCCCCAGTACCTTCGAAGGTGACTCTATTTGGAGACAGGGCCTTTACATAGGTATTTAAGGTAAAAATAGATCACGTGTGTGAGCCCTAACCCAGTATGTCTGGTGTCCTTATAAGAAAAGGAAATGTGGACATAGATAACAGAGGGAAGACCACGTGAAGACACAGGGAGAAGATGCCACATACAAGCCAGAAGAGACGCCCCAGTAGGAATCAACCCTGCTGATGCCTTGATCAGCATCTAACCTCCAGAATTGTAAGAATAACAAATTTCTGTTGTCTAAGCTATCCAAGCTATGGGACTTTGTTACAACAGCCTGGTAAACTAATATATATGGGGAAGACAGCTTAACCCCCAAACTGAAGGTTTTTCAATTATTTTCAGTCTTTGACTACATATATTTTTAAACTATTGCCAATTGAGCACATTAACCCAATTATGTGAGTCAAGAAATTCAGTGTTAAAAATGATTTTAAAAAATTAATGAAATATACTATTAATTGTTACCAATGTGCAATAAAGGGAATTAAATCCTTTGCTACTTTCTCTATAATTTGTAAAGGGAAGGGATTTAAAGTAAAGAATAATTTTTATTGTAACTTTAATTAAAAACTAAGCTCTGGGCTTTGTTTCAAGTCTTATATACATCATCTCTGAAATAATACAAAAGGTTATATTGTCAAACAGATTCACAAGATTCCTAGATCTTACTCAACACTAAGCTTCACTAATGATTCAGAAGATACCATGCCCTGGAACATACTTGATTCCAAGCAATAGAAGAGCACATGTCCACTCAGGAGAGGCTGCTTAGGTTTGTATTTCTTGGTTTTTATTCTTGGTTAGTCTTGGAACAGTAAACAGATTACGTGACTAACTTACATTCTCCAGCCTGCTGTTTCCCATTATTTCATGATTAAATTTATTTACAATGAACATTTTAGACAAACCAAGAAATTTTAGAGAAGAGTTCCCAGTTATCTTTCCACTCGTAAATGCCCTCATAATGTAATTTTACAAGGAGATCTGGTCTAGGGTCATCAGGTCTTCCTCCATGAGAATGAAGGGAGGGAATCTCAAGGCTGCTACCAGTTCCTTCCTTCTCAACATCATTGAAGGCTGCAGACGTCCTATGGAATAGGTACAATTGTTACTCACACTTTACAGATGAGGAACCTGGTTCTGAGTGATACATGTCTAAAGTTAAACAGCTGTAAGTGGTGAGACTCAGATTTAAGCACAACGTAGTCCATCTAGCCTTCATCCTCTCAATCGCCAACTTCTATTGCCTTTTGAGAAATTCTGTTTCTTCTCTTCTTACAAAGATTTACAAAAATAAATGTTATCTGATAATATTGGTGGTTACAAAAGTTCTGTCACCTAATGCTATCTGATATTCATTATACTCAATATGCATTAAATCATAAAAATATGAATCACAATGTTAAACATATACATTTTGGGTCAAAAACAACTTTTGTGATATTTAATAAGTATAACAGATAATCATTCACCTATCTCCATCTCTTAGCCGCTGAAACTGGGTAACAAACAGGCACATAAGTGTTGGTCCCACTCTTGTACCAGGAATCAGGTCTTCAACCATAAGGGCGGGCCAGAGGTCAATGTCACCTGGAGAGCCGTACAACCTGGAACAGAGACAGGCAGACAGCGCACACCTGAGACTGAAAGTGGAATTGAAAATATTCCTTATGTGAATGACCACCAAGCATTATTTTATCCACACAAAAAAAGAAAAGTAGATATGATTACTGTATTCTCATTTCATGGGGGAAAGCACTCAAATGAAGGAACCCTCAGGGATCACCCCATAGGCAGGAGGCAGAGTCATAACCTAACCAAGGACATATGACACCAAGCCTCATGCAATGTCCCCTGTGCAATTCTTTATAATTATTCTCTAAACATATGGAGTATAACTGTATATATATATATATGCAAGTGTGTGTGTGTTATGTCATGTATAAATGCAACTAGCTAATTCCTTCAGAAATACATAGAAAATTAACAATTCAGCATTGAGAAATGTCCACATCAGTGTATATGCTAGGTATGCTAAAAAGTCAATAGAAAATCATAATTTGCGGAGATGATAAGATAAAAAGTGTTAGGTAAGTTTTCTCTTGATAAAAAGGCAATAAGTATTTGACCTAAGATTTGAAGCAATTTTTAAAAACAACAAACAAACAAAAAAGCACAATGCAAATGTTGATTATAAGCCAACAGCCTTGGCTCACCACTCAGAGAAAGAAAATATGTCCATATGCTTGACACTCCCAGTAGGAGCCACTCTGATTGTTTTTTTCTCTCTACTCTAATGATAAACGTGACACCAACTTAACTTGTCCCTTGTTTTATTTTGTTTCATACATATGATTCTCTAAACTACAAATAGTTTAGTTTGCATGTTTTAACCTTGTCACAAATGGAAATATAGTATTCATACTTCCTTTTTCTCACTCAACAGTTTACTTGGCGATGCAATTGTGTGGTTGCATATATTTGTACTTTCTTCATTTTCTCTGCTGTATAGTAAACAGTCTATTATTGGAAACCATTCCAATTTAGTTTAGTTACACTGGTGATGAATACTTGTGAGGTTTTCAACTTTTACACTATGAACATTCTCTACATGTTTCTTCATATGCACAAGAGTTTCTCTAGACTAGGCGTCAGCAAATTTTTACCATAAAGGGCCAGAGAGCCAGTATTTTCAGCTTTGTGGGACAACTGTGGGTTCTGTTGCAACTACCCAACTCCTGTTTTGCATAAAAGCAGCCATAGACAACATATAAACAAACAGACATAGTTGTGTTCCAATAAAACTTTATTTACAAAATTAGAAAAGTAGGTCAGATTTGGCCACTTGGCTGTGGTTTGCAGATCCCTGCTCTAGATTACGTTGTGCAAGAGCTAGAATTCTGAGGGCAGAGTATAGTATCTTCAATTTTAATAGTTAATGCCAAACTGCTATATGAAATTGATGTATGATTCATATTCCCATAATGAGTACACGGAATTACTCTATGATAGATATCCATATGTATATCTTCAATGTTAAAAGACAATGCCAAACTGCTATCCAAAATGGATGTACAATTCATACATCCACAAGAAGCATATCAAAATTCTCAATGTCACCTGGAGAGCTGTACAGCCTGGAACAGACAGGCATATTATTCCTCGACACATTGTAACTTATTCCATTTTACTTTATTTTGTTAGTCAACTCTCATCACTGCTGCCCTTCCCCACTTTCTCCTTCTTGGTTTCTGATAATAGATGGACTTTTTAGATTTCCAAGTGCCTGCTTGAATGTTTGAGTGCTGTTTAATTCTGGTTTGAATGTTGTGTTATTGTTTCCTCCTGTTTCAATTCTTTTTCTGAGAGATTTTTCCTCTGAAATGTTTTGATTTGCATTTCTGTTTTCTTGTTACATAGCTTTATTTGAAATACATCTCTCTCTCTCTCTTAATTCCTATGCATTTCACGAAACGAATTTCTGGTTGGGTAGCATACTCTTCTTTCACTACAGGGAAGTGCAGTCTTTTTGATGTCTGTTCTGGTGGTGATGGGGAGAAGTGAGAGTTAACATGTTTTGCTTCTCTTCTCTCTCTCTCTCTTTTTTTTTTTTATACGGAGTCTTACTCTGTCCCCCAGGCTGGAGTGCAGTGGCAGGATCTCAGTTCACTGCAAGCTCCACCTCCCGGGTTCACGCCATTCTCCTGCCTCAGCCTCCCGAGTAGCTGGGACTACAGGCGCCCGCCACAATGCCCGGCTAATTTTTTGTATTTTTAGTAGAGACGGGGTTTCACCGTGTTAGCCAGGATGGTCTCGATCTCCTGACCTCCTGATCCACCCTCCTCAGCCTCCCAAAGTGCTGGGTTACAGGCGTGAGCCACCGCGCCCAGCCTTGTTTCTCTTTAAGTGCTAGAGCATCCTTAATTTCATTTCATTCTGCTTTAATGTCACCATCAAATCTGAAGTGGCACTCTACCCTTTACACACACACACACACACACACACACACACACACACACAAAGCCAAAGCCATTTCTGGACACTCTCAGATTTGTAAATGGTGTTGATAACTTCCAGGTTTCCAGAATTTCACTTGACAACTTAGTACTTGGTGCTGGAGTTTTTCCTTCTAGGGGATTTTTTTTTTTCTTTTTAAGAGACAGGGTCTCACTTTCTCGCCCATGCTGGACTGCAGTGGTGCAATTGAGAGGTGACAGCGTGCTGGCAGCCCTGGCAGCCCTCACTCGCTGTCGCGGCCTCCTCAGCCTCAGTGGCCAGAGGCCACTCTGGCCGTGCTTGAGGGGCCTTTCAGCCCGCCGCCGCACTGTGGGAACCCCTCTCTGAGCTAAACGAGGCCGGAGCCGGCTCCCTCAGCTTGCAGGGAGGTGTGGAGGGAGAGGTGCAGGCAGGAACCGGGGCTGCACAGGGTGCTTGCGGGCCAGCGCGAGTTCCGGGTGGGCGTGGGCTCAGCTGGCACACACTGAGAGCAGCTCGCCGGCACCACCCGTCCCAGGCAGTGAGGGGCTTAGCACCTGGGCCAGCAGCTGCGGAGGGTGCACCGGGTCCCCCAGCAGTTCTGGCTGGCCAGCGCTGCGCTCGAATTCTCGTGGGGCCTCAGCTGCCTCCCTGCGGGGCAGGGCTGAGGACCTGCAGCCCGCCATGCCTGAGCCTCCCCCACACCGCGGGCTCCTGCGCAGCCCCAGCCTCCCGGAGGAGCGCCACTGCCTGCTCCTGCTCCACAGCACCAGGTCCCATCAACTGCCCAAGGGCTGAGGAGTGCAGGAGCAGAGCAGGGGACTGGCAGGCAGCTCCACCTGCAGCCCCGTGCGGTATCCACTGGGTGAAGCCAGCTGGGCTCCTGAGTCTAGTGGGGACTTGGAGAACCTTTATGTCTAGCTAAGGGATTGTAAATACACCAATTAGCACTCTGTGTCTAGCTCAAGGTTTGTAAATGCACTAATCAGCACTCTGTATCTAGCTAATCTGGTGGGGCGTTGGAGAACCTTTATGTCTAGCTAAGGGATTGTAAATACACCAATCAGCACTCTGTGTCTAGCTCAAGGTCTGTAAATGCACCAATCAGCACTCTGTATCTAGCTAATCTGGTGGGGACTTGGAGAACCTTTATGTCTAGCTAAGGGATTGTAAATACACCAATCAGCACTCTGTGTCTAGCTCAAGGTTTGTAAATGCACCAATCAGCACCCTGTGTCTAGCTCAAGGTTTGTAAATGCACCAGTCACTGCTCTGTCTAGCTAATCTAGTGAGGACTTGGAGAACTTTTGTGCCTAGCTCAGGGATTGTAAACTCACCAATCAGCACCCTGTCAAAACAGACCAATCAGCTCTCTGTAAAATGGACCAATCAGCAGGATGTGGGTGGGGCCAGAAAAGGGTGAAAAAGCAGGCTGCCCCAGCCAGCAGTGGCAATCCTCTGGGGTACCATTCCACTCTGTGGAAGATTTGTTCTTTTGCGCTTTGCAATAAATCTTGCTGCTGCTCACTCTTTGGGTGTGCACTGGCTTTATGAGCTGTAACACTCACTGTGAAGATCTGCAACTTCACTGCTGAGGCCAGCAAGACCAGGATCCCACTGGGACAGGACGGGAGGAACGAACAACTCCACACGTGCGGCCTTAAGAGCTGTAACACTCACTGCGAAGGTCTGCAGCTTCACTCCTGAAGCCAGCAAGACTATGAACCCACCAGAAGGAAGAAACTCTGAACATGTTCGAACATCAGAAGGAACAAACTCTGGACACATCACCTTTAAGAACTGTAACACTCACGGCGAGGGTCTGCGACTTCATTCTTGAAGTCAGTGAGACCAAGAACCCACCAATTCTGGACACACAATCACAGCTCACTGTAGCTTCAAGCTCCTGGGTTCAAGGGCTCCTCTTGCCACAGCGCTAGGACTCCCCAGCCTTTTCTGCATTTTTTCTTCTGTCCTTCCCATTTTTTTGTCCATGGAGATTTTTTTAATTAGTTTCCCTTCTTTTTCCCAATCCACAAACTTCCAGTGAACGTGGAGTTCCAGTGGCAGCTCCGATAACTTGTTATTTTCAAACTTGCCATTGAAACTCATGCCATTTTCTGTCTCTCACTAATTGAAGGTATGAGTCATGTTATTTTGTGTTCTCTTTGTTGATCTTACAGATTTGGAGAAGGCTGTGGTGAGAGATTTAGAAGTAAGGGACAATTATTTTCCTAGGGCTAACCTGAAAATATGTCTTTTTCAAAAAATTTTTGGTAATCTGAGGGGTGTGAAATGGTGTTTCATTATGATTCTGGATCTTCCTAATTAATTATACAATTGAATATCTTCTACGTGTTGATTGAAAATTTAGTTTTTTTCTTACTGAAATGTGTATTTATACTTTTTACCCTTTTTTAATTGGGTTTTTTTTTCTTACTGTTAATTATCTATATATTCTGAATGCTAATACTGTGATCTATGTCAAAATGTATTCCTTGTATTTGTGGTGCTTTTAATCATTCTCATTATGTTAGATTCTGATGAAAATATTTTCTTAATCTTAAGGTCATTTTATCAATTTTTATATCAATTTTACAATTTTGTGTACCTTACTAAAAATTTCTTTCTTTCCCCAATGCCATAGAGATATTCTCTTTTATTTTTTGTGAAGTTAAAATTTTGCCTCTCAGATTTAATTCCTATATCTATCTGGAATTGATTTTCATATATGATATGAGATCAGAATCCATACTCATTTTTAATCCAAGGGTAGCCACTTGGTACCGCACCACTTACTGAATATGTCCTCACTTCTCACTAATGTTTCTTGCAGCTCTTTCAAATAGGATATTTCCATATATGAGCCCTTTTTCTTGTGGCTTTCTATTCTATTCTATTGTCTTAATTACTAAAAGCTTTATATCAGGGTATCCAATCTCTTGGCTTCCCTGGGCCACATTGAAAAAAGAAGAAGTGTCTTGGGCCACACATAAAATACACTAACACTAAGAATAGCTGACGAGCTAAAAAAAAAAAAATAACAAAAAAACTCATAATATTTTAAGAAAGTCTATGAATTTGTATGGGACCACAGTCAAAGCCATCCTGGGCTGCGTGCCTCCCACAAGCTGCAGGTTGGACAAGTTTGCTTTATAGGAAGGGTTGCTAACTGGAACATCAAGCCACCCTACCATGTTCCTCTTGGCCATCAGCTTTACCAGTTTAATTTTAAAATCAGCTGTTGATGCCACAAAGAAGCACTACTAAGCTCTTCATTGGCACTACAATAAGTATATCATTTGTGGGAAGTACTGACCTATCAATATTACTGAATCTTTCTACACCTGAGAATGTTCGTTGTCTCCACTCTTTAATAACTATCTGTAAGTCTTCTAATTATCATTACAACACAATGCACAACTTGTTAGACTTCTTTACCTTTTCTTCTCTTTGGAAGAGCAATTTTTCTTTATATTCATTCCCATTTACTACATAGAGTATTTGCAAAAAAAAGTAATATGGCAGTTTTATCCTTTCTGATCTTTATCTTTTTCTTATGTTATTGTCTTGATTGTACTTTTCAATACAATTTTGAAGTTGCTGCCATTTATGTCTATTCATGTTTTTAAATGGAATGCTTCTAACAATTAATGCTTACAGTGTATTTTTGAGATGTTCTTTATTTAGTTAGGATGTTTCATTTTTCCTAGAATTCTAACAGCCTTTCTTAAATTCTAGAGAAATGTTGCATTTTACATGGAATGTTTTTTTCTGCCAATACTGAAATAATCACCTTTTTCTTTTTAATCGGCTTATGTCCTAAATTATATCAACACTTTAAAAATCTTGGACTAATTATATTACTGAAACGAACCTATTATGATCATGTTATATATGTATGTATATATGGCATTCAACTTGAGTTTTCAATGCTTTGTTTATAATTTTTATATACATTTATATGAGATGTTGTCTTGTAAATTTCCTTGCCTCGTACTGTTATTGTTTATTTTAATATCAAAATGTTACTGGCCTGAGAAAGTAAGTTAGATAGTGTTCCTTCTTTTGCATTCCCTAAATGACTCCATGGGCCTTTGGAACCACCCAAATTACATTTATAAACGGAACACTAGGTTTGATTGAAGAGCATATGTCAAAACTTTTTCTGAAACTCTTCTTTCCCACTTAGGTCTTCTAGAGTCTTTTGCCAAAGCATTTTGTTTCTCTTTATTGTTCTGTGTCTTATCCTGTGTTTCCAATAAAATGAGTAAAAAAAAAAATTTTGTCCAAGGCTACACCAACCTCCAAAATAAGTAAACAATATTTTGTTAGGTAAGAACTAAATTTTAATTATTGCTATGAGTTGAGTTGTGTTCCCATGAAAAGATATTAACATGGGGAAGTACTGCCCCCCAGTATCTGCTAATATGGTAATACTATTTGGAGGTAGGATCTTTGCTGATGTGATCAAGTTAAGATTAGGTCATTAGGGTGGACCCTGATCCAATATGACTGGTGTCTTTATTTATTTATTTATTTATTTATTTATTTATTTATTTATTTATTTTTGAGACAGAGTCTCACTCTGTCGCCCAGGCTAGAGTGCAGTGGTGCAATCTCGGCTACTGAAAGCTCCACCTCCCGGGTTCATGCCATTCTCCTGTCTCAGCCTCCCGAGTAGCTGGGACTATAGGCACCCGTCCCCACGCCCAGCTAATTTTTTTTTTTTGACCAGAGGCCCAAAAGATATGATTTAATAAGAAAAATAGAAACACTAATGACAGGTTAACTGCTAAATTATGGCTACTGCTGACTTTAACTTTCATAACAATAGTGAATTTTTTTATTATTATTATACTTTAAGTTTTAGGGTACATGTGCAAGAACGTGCAGGTTTGTTACATATGTATACATGTGCAGAGACGGGGTTTCACCATGTTAACCCAGGATGGTCTCGATCTCCTGACCTTGTGATCTGCCCGCCTTGGCCTCCCAAAGTGCTGGGATTACGTGTGTGAGCCACCGCTCCGGGCCATGGTGTCCTTATCTTTAAAAGGGCAGTTTGAACAAAGACCGAGAGTGAGAATGCTGTCCTACAGCAGAGGCAGGGACTGAGGCACTGCAGCTGCAAGCCAGGGAAACCAAGGGTTGCCGGGAAACCACCAGAAACTAGGAAAAGCAAAGGATTCTCTCCTCCAAGGTCCTGAGGAAGCGTGGCCCTGCTGACACCTTGATTCCAGACTTCCAGACTCCAGAACTGTGGGATGATAAACTTCTGATGTCTTAAGCCACCCAGTGTGTGGTCTGTTGTTACAACAGCCTAGAAAACTAATATAATTATGACCTTCCATTGACTTTATGCTAAATTCACTCCTAATTTTTAAAACAGTTTGCCTGCCAAAAATGAGACTATTGTCCTAAACCTTACACCTGCTTATTTTTAGTATAATGTAATTTTAATGTATCTTTGAAGAGACCATTCAATTAATTTTTTAATAGGCTTGATTTTGTACAGCAGTTTTAGGTTCACAGCAAAACTGAGTGAAAGGTACAGAGACTTATCATACACCCCTGCATTACTTCTTTAAAATAAGTTAAAAAAAAAGATATATTGATCTCTGAATGGTTAGAATTAAATTATGCAGAATATGAGAAATAATAATAATGGAAATCAGAAAGTTACATAGGGTCAGATTTATGTCTATGAACTATAAGAGTCCAGAAAAAAATAGTACTTAGAAGTTTTAGAAGTTAGAACATTGAACTTTCCCAGAGAGTATAATCCTGGCTTTGTTAATTTCAGTTCTTCATCATTGATCTTTTTCTCATGTCTTAAATAATTCAGCTAAACATTAACTATTCCTATCCTTATTGTTCCATATTACTTTACCATGGCTCACCACAGCAGCTCCAAGAAATGTTGGGAGTCTTCGTGCATATCCTATATAAGTAACTTATTAATCATGTAGAGCCTATGTTTGGAAAAATAAATCCTCTCCACTTTCCTTAGAGGGAAGTCTGAGATCCATAAGCTCTCAAAACATTTCTTATTAATTCATCTGCATTACTCTGGAGAATGTCAATTCTATTTTTTTTAACTTTTTCAATCGTAGACATTGTAGCTCTTCTTTTGTGGTTATAATTGGTCATTAGTAAGATTATAAAGCAGCTTCTGTATTAATAGCTTTGGTATGTCATTTCACTTGTCAACTTTCGCCCCCAAACCATTTGTTCCATATCTTAAAATGATAATCCAATACAAAGCGGCATGGTTTTATGACAGCAAAGACATCTGTAATCTGAGATGGCATCCGAGGGCATTGTCCCTGAAAGTGAGAATGACAATACACACCAAGCCCCTTTCTGTTGTGTGCAGCAGCAAATACAAAGGGCGCTGGTAACTTTGGCCAGAATTCCCCTAAATGCAGACAACATGAGAGAGTACCGCCCAAAGCAGGGCTGCAAACTGCCATCATAAAATCTCCTGGCTTTGTTAATGTACCATCTAACTGTGTTTAAATTTACCTTTTAACCTTTTCCATGATTGCAAACCAAAAACACACATGGAATAATAAGAGTAAACAGTCTAGCTATATTTTAAAAAAAGTGGTGCTTTTGTCGGTATTTTGATATACAGAGAGTTGAAAGAAAAGATTTGCAGACCTTGAAATGAACTATTTCTTGCCACAGAGACCACAGTGTCAAGCCATATCTAATTTCATAATGACAGTTTGACTTAAAGTTGGCTTTAGAAGGAAGGATAATAATAATAACAACTTTCATTCAGCTGGATCATTCACAGAGACACAAGGGCAGAGGTCCTGTATGGAATCTTTTCAGGGTTATACATGCTCACCTGATTGAGAGAGTGCAAGATAGATATGCAGCAATGTATGGTGTTAATGAAACAAATAAAAATCCTTCCCCAAAACACAAAGGAAAGGTGCTTTGTGATAAAGTGTCCTTGTGGAAAAGCTTTCTGAGAGACATCTGGATTTTCAGAGCAAATATGATCATTTAGTAGCTTTTAGAGAAAAAATATATTTGAAACATGTCCTTTGGCAAAAAAGGCAAAATGCCCTTGTGTACTCTCACACAGAACAAAATTTCCTCTGCCTCAGGATGACTGCATCAATTTAAGGGAAGTAAATGACATTTTACATCAGAGAAATTAAAACAATGAAAACATCCTACCCCACTAGCATGATTAGTCAGATCAGACACATGGTACAAAATAATCTTATGGTTACCAGCACTGAAATAAAGGTGAATGACAAAAAAAAAAAATCTTATGGTTAATTTGTCATTAACAACACCAGACAGAAAAATTGTTTCTTTACTTGAAAGAAAATTTTCCCAGAATACTTTTTATTAAAAGCTATCTCGGGACTCTAGATATCTAATTTCCTCAAAAATCTTAAGGACATCACATTTTTGTAAAAATAAATTC
This sequence comes from Homo sapiens, assembly GCF_000001405.40. Lineage (NCBI taxonomy): Eukaryota > Metazoa > Chordata > Mammalia > Primates > Hominidae > Homo > Homo sapiens. The sequence continues at coordinate 51,384,553 of NC_000008.11, forward strand.
TTCTACAATTAAAAAGTATGCATTTTAGAAAACTATATATAAAGCTCTATGTTAACAAACATCTCTGTAACAGAAATAGCACAGAAAAGTAAACAAATGGGAAAAATAACTCAAGCGACTTTTGTTTTTAAACAAGTATATAATACTATTCATTTTTTGCTTTTATGGGAGGAGGAACTTTTCTTTCTACTACTACTTTAAAGGAGGAAAATAATCTAAGCTATTTATATAAGATTTTACATAGAACTAAAATGTGATAGTCATCAAATTTTCAAAAGCAGAGTACAGAATATAGAACTCTGTAATTATGTCTAGTAATAAAAATAATCATCTATACTTTGTTTTTTGATTAGAGGAAAAAGGAAAGAAGGGATATAAATATAAGGAAAAAATTAAGAAACAGAATAAAATCAAAGAAGGCAGAGACATCAACAATAAGACAGAGATAAGTCCAGGCAGTCATTGAGACTGAGATAGACTTCCACATAAGAAAAGAGACAGGTCCATATCCAATAAAAATTCACATGTATTGAACAATAGCATGTTTGAACAATACTTACAGCATGACAGCTATTAACAATTATATCATTTTTTAACTCCAGTGGAGAAATTTGCTTTCTCCACTGGTTACATACAGTAACCCTTTGAAATCCTGGGCCTGAGACATATTCCCCTTTTATTTAAAAGATTGACTAAATAAACATCAAGTGTTAAAGACACACAGTCTCCAGGTGAGACTCCCTACATCATAACCACAGAAGCAGAAAAATAGCTAAAAAGGAAAAAAAAAAAACACTTTCCACTGTGTAGGACAATGTCATTAAATGTTATGTTTACACACTACATAAGATTAGTTAGCATACATTCTGGGGTAAGTAATCTACAGTAATAAATCATGCTTTTAATTTCTGATTGAGAAATTAAAGATTAACTTTCCATTCAATCCACATATTCCTAAGGATTCCCTGAGTTTTCTAGCCACCAATCTAGACTAAAAAACGACTAATTAACAGCCCCTGATTTAAAGAGCATAGGCCAGTCAGAAGGCATAAACAGATATTTAAAACATAAACTACGTTTTTATACCATGTGATATGGTTTGGCTGTGTCCTTGCCCAAATCTCATCTTGAATTGTAGCTCCCATAATTCCCATGTGTTGTGGAGGGGATCTGGTGGAAGATAACTGAATCATAGGGTGGTTTCCCCATACTGTTCTCCTGGTACTGAGTAAGTCTCACAAGAGCTAATGGTTTTATAAGGGGTTTCTCCTTTCACTTGGCTCTCATTCTCTCTTGCCTGCCACCAGGTAAGACATGCCTTTCACCTTCCACCATGATTGTGAGGCCTCCCAGCCGAGTGGAACTGTAAGTTCATTAAACCTCTTTTTCTTTATAAATTACCCAATCTCCAGTATGTGTTTATCAAGCAGCATGAAAATGGACTAATAGACCATGGTATTGATATAAAAGCAGATAACGAATAAAAGAATAGCTCTCCATTGGTGGAATTCAAGACATTTAACAGAAATGTTGGGTGATTCATTCTTTTTTTTTTTTGACATAAGACTCTTGCTCTGTCACCCAGGCTAGAGTGCAGTGGCGTGATCTCAGCTCACCACAACCTCTGCCTCCCAGGTTCAAGCAATTCTTCTGCCTCAGCCTCCGGAGTAGCTGGGACTACAGGCACGTGCCACCATGCCCGGCTAATTTTTGTATTTTTAGTAGAGATGGGGTTTCACCATATCGGCCAGGCTGGTCTCGAACTCCTGACCTCGTGATCCGCCTGCCTCGGCCTCCCAAAGTGCTGGGATTACAGGCGTGAGCCACTGTGCCCGGCCAGGTGATTTATTCTAAGCTTCAGAAATCACACCCCTATGTCATGATACTGGCAGTAGTAAGATAGATAGATGACTGATAGAAAAAGAGATAAAGATAGATACAGAGAGATGACAGAGAATTAGAAGCAAGTGATAGATGACTGATAAAGAGAGGTAGAGATGATATAGATAGATAAGAGATAAAGAGAGATAATAGAAATAGATAATATATATATAGGTAGTTAAGTGGATAAATAGATGATAGATGGAAACGTCGTCTCTACTAAAAATACAAAAATTAGCCAAGCATGGTGGCACGCACCTGTAGTCCCAGCTACTAGGGAGGCTGAGGCAGAAAAATTGCTTGAACCCAGGAGGTGGAGGTTGTAGTGAGCCAAGATAGCACCACTGCACTCCAGCCTGAGTGACAGATGACAGAGCAAGACTTCATCTTGAAAAAAAAAAAAAGAAAGAGTCTTTTCTACATGTCAGCCAAGTGACAAGCATTTTATTTCTATTATTCTATTTAATCAACTGTATACACTTGATTTATAAATTTCATTTATGTCCTCAAAACTGCAAAACTATTTTGGCTTGATGCTCTGACTTTTTTTCCAGTCTTATGAAGTCCATTACGATGTGAGAGCTTCTCCACTCAAATCTGATTTCCCACTGTTCTACTCTTTCACAGTCAGAGATGAACTAAGCTTATCCTTCATTCAGCAAAGGAAGCCTATAGTTAAGACCTCCTCAACTGTCCACAACAAACCATGCCACTGCATAGATCTCATAATTACCACCCACTCTTACAATTCTCCCTTTTAGACAACATTCTAAACTGATGAAAATTATGCAGTTATAAAAATGAGCAGTCTTCATTTCGTTTCTCCAGCTCATAAGTCCCAATAGGGCCTGCTGCACTGAAATTTAAAAGCAATGTTAACTATGGTAATAGAGCCATGTTTTGTTTCCAGGTGGGCATGCTCCAGTGAGGGGCTATAAGGAGGTCTCATTTTGTATGCCAGGTCCCATCAAGTAGAGTAACTGCTGGCTGTCATGAGAGCCATGTCTAGAAGAAGTCAGAGATTGCCTCTATGTTCGGTAGGAAAAAATCCTGAGAGAGTTTAGTAGTGTTTGTCACAGATGCAGTAGGGGAGACTGGTCTCACAATTGCTAGATTTTTGCCGGTTCTAAGCCAGTGAGTGCTTCATCATTCACTACAGTATCAGTTGCATACCTTTTATTAAGGAAATAGGTGGAATAAAGTAGATATAATACATATTTATGAATTAACGTAATTACTAATTGAATGAATACATGAATATTACGGTAAAAAGATGTTTCTATTTCAAAACCGCTAAAAATGTTTTTGTTGTTTTTATTTTCACCTTAAATATGTTTTCAAGTTTTACCAAATGTCATTTTGGTATACTCTGAGATGACTGAATGGGTTTTATAACTGTATATTCTAATATAATGCCCTATATTGATACTAACTCAGTTTTATATTCTGGACTTATATTAATTATTCCTCCTTAATCATGTTGCACTATTCTTAAACTATTCATGATTTGACTGACAAGCATTTTTTAATGTTATTCCCTGTAAAAAATGACTTCAGGGTTAACATTACAGATCCTTTCTTAAGGTTTATACCAGAGGCATGCTAATTTCAGCTAATAAATCAAGTAGGTTATCATCTTTTTATATATTCCATAATACTGTATAATGTGCTCTTTAAAATTTGAAATATTTTGTCTAGCTAGAACTCAGAAACTATTAAAAGTAATTTTTCAATGATTTCAAATTGATGTAGGCTCTGTTTTGATATTGGCTTTCTTATTATTCGAAGACCAAATAGAAAATTATTCAATTACTATTATTTTCAAGCTATCTTTATAAAAACACAAACAGTAACTTCTTAGAAATCTGGTTTTTTTATGTTTTTGTAACTTAACTTTCAGTTTGGGAATATATTAATCAGTCTTTTTTTCAACTTTTTACTTTATTAACTTTCGCTTTTCTATTTATTCTTTCCAACTTGAGTTAGACACTTAATGTAAGTGAAAAATATCTGCTATGCTCATCCTGTGAGATTTTTGGTTGTTGATTACCATAATCTCGCATATCTAGACTGATACAGGTTTCAAATACATACATTCTACTTCCTAAGTGAGATGTTCTGCAGATGAGTACATTGGTACTGGTTCTGTTCATTAAATGTGAGGACTCAAGTCTTTCTTCAATTTTATAACTCTTCTATTGCTAACCCTTCAAACTGGGTCTCTCTCTCTCATTCCTGTTTTCTACCTCTTGGAACTTCTATAAATATTTGATGTTTTCAATCTTTTCTCCCTATCTCTAAATCTCCCTTATTATTTATTATTCTCATCTGTCTGTACTACACACTGAGTGAATTCTTCAGATTTATCTTCCAGTTCACTATTTTTTTAATTCAGCTATTTCTAGTATGCTGTTTCACTAGCTACTGAGATCTTAATTTAAATTATATATATCATGTCTTGAAATTCAGTTTTTCAAATACCTGTATTTTTACCTTTTCCTTTTAACATGGTTTCTATTCATTCTCTTACTTAATTTAATGTTAAATGCACAGAGTCTCTCCTATTGTTTTAATCTCCCTAAGTTCCATTTTAATTTTGTTTTGTTTTGTTGCTTTTCATTTATTCTCATTGCTGACTATCTTGCAGCTACATATTTGCTGAAATGAATTTTAACTTGCATGTGTGAGAAGGAGAGAACTTCTTGGGAGTTTGGTTTGTCATTCCCGTGATTGTCTGTATGCACCAGGTCGTAAAAGAATGCCTAGAGAGTGATTTGACATGTGCTTGTGCGAGGATTTCAGGGGTTTCATGTGCCCCTGGGCTGTTTTTCATGTTAATTTATCTTCTTTTCTTTCCAGCACCATGATGTTTGAGTAAATTCAGATTCTTTTCCTGTGTAACACAGGCTGGGATTCGAATTTCAAAAATTTTCCTGTTTCATTTCAGCCTCGGTCCCTGATGTTTACTTGAGAAACCATATTGCTGCTTCCTCTTTCCTGATGGGAAGGCATTTTCTAGTTCCCTTCATCCTTGCAGAGATGAGGCAGGATTTCAGGCTTTCTGCAGAGAACTCTGTTTCAGGCCTCTGACTAGGTGGATTCTGTATCCCCTTACCCTGTGTGGGTACTAAAACCTCAACTTCTGATCCCTCAGAGCAATGTCTATGACTGATAATCATGGGCCAAGAAAGCACATTCATTCCTGATTTCTCCCTGGCTTTTAAGTTTCCTTGTCCTTTGTGACATATAAGAATTGCCCATTTGTTTGAGCTTCTTTATGTTTAAAGCCATTCTTTATAGTTTTACTTTTTGTTCAATGGTTCTATGTATTTTTTAGCAAAAAGGAAGCTCATTTTACTGAACTTATTATTTGCCAAGAAATTCTCAAACTGCCAGTGAAAAGAGGCTATTAGTCAAATGCCTTATAAAACACATCATTCTCTGTTTAAAGTAGCTTTTATGTCACATTTCCCCATAATGGAACAGGCAAGAAAAACAAAGAAAAGGTTTTAATATTATATATAGCACAAATGTTTATATATTTTAATTCATTTTCAATTATTATTTCAGGTAATTAAAAATACAAAATAAGCTAATGACTTCACTGGCTATGGAAGCCATGCCCCCCCCACCAAAAAAAAATTCCATTCTAGCTAAAAAATGTTATGAAGTACCAATCATTGTTAATGAGAAAATGAGGATATAGGCCAAACTATCCAAATGTTGCAAAGAACATCTGGCATTATGCAAAATGAAAGTAAATGTTGACTCAATTCACTCTTTAAAAACATTCTAAACTGATTCAAACTAGTTTTTGTCTGCCTTAGGCTCATAAGTATTTGCAAAGGAGAATATTTTAGAGCCATTTAAAAGCATTCAGTAAGTTTCCTGTGGCAACCAATGAATAATATGCCCAGGGAAGTGGAAACTCAGATAGATCATGCAATTTGCCTAAGATCACAAAGTTAATTACTAGGAACCCAAAAAAGCACCTAGGTAGTATTTTCAGCACATTTTCTGAAATTCTCCGCCTTCTCCATATTAATTCTGGATGAAATAAGTACAAATATTAATTCATAAATATCTTTATTATAATTTATAAAGCCTTTAAAATATTTTCTGGGTATTCTATAAATTTGCATGATAACAGTTATGGCTCTCTTCACACAAAAACATAAAGCACATTGACTGCTTTCCTCATTTCTAGCCAAGAAGTGATGTGGATTCAGGTTCTCTGAGGATCGCTATTTGTTTAATGAGGTGACAAGCCGACCTCACTAAATGGCATAAAGCACAGATTTTCTTTTTTTTTTATTTTATTATTATTATACTTTAAGTTTTAGGGTACATGTGCACAATGTGCAGGTTAGTTACATATGTATACATGTGCCATGCTGGTGTGCTGCACCCATTAACTCGTCATTTAGCATTAGGTATATGTCCTAATGCTATCCCTCCCCCCTCCTCCGACCCCACAACAGTCCCCAGAGTGTGATGTTCCCCTTCCTGTGTCCATGTGTTCTCACTGTTCAATTCCCACCTATGAGTGAGAACATGCGGTGTTTGGTTTTTTGTCCTTGCGATAGTTTACTGAGAATGATGATTTCCAATTTCATCCATGTCCTTACAAAGGACATGAACTCATCATTTGTTATGGCTGCATAGTATTCCATGGTGTATATGTGCCACATTTTCTTAATCCAGTCTATGTTGGACATTTGGGTTGGTTCCAAGTCTTTGATATTGTGAATAGTGCCGCAATAAACATATGTGTGCGTGTGTCTTTATAGCAGCATGATTTATAGTCCTTTGGGTATATACCCAGTAATGGGATGGCTGGGTCAAATGGTATTTCTAGTTCTAGATCCCTGAGGAATTGCCACACTGACTTCCACAATGGTTGAACTAGTTTACAGTCCCACCAACAGTGTAAAAGTGTTCCTATTTCTCCACATCCTCTCCAGCACCTGTTGTTTCCTGACTTTTTAATGATCGTCATTCTAACTGGTGTGAGATGGTATCTCATTGTGGTTTTGATTTGCATTTCTCTGATGGCAAGTGATGGTGAGCATTTTTTCATGTGTTTTTTGGCTACATAAATGTCTTCTTTTGAGAAGTGTCTGTTCGTGTCCTTCACCCACTTTTTGATGGGGTTGTTTGTTTTTTTCTTGTAAATTTGAGTTCATTGTAGATTCTGGATATTGGCCCTCTGTCAGATGAGCAGGTTGCGAAAATTTTCTCCCATTTTGTATGTTGCCTGTTCACTCTGATGGTAGTTTCTTTTGCTGTGCAGAAGCTCTTTAGTTTAATTAGATCCCATTTGTCAATTTTGGCTTTTGTTGCCATTGCTTTTGGTGTTTTAGACATGAAGTCCTTGCCCATGCCTATGTCCTGAATGGTAATGCCTAGGTTTTCTTCTAGGATTTTTATGGTTTTAGGTCTAATGTTTAAGTCTTTAATCCATCTTGAATTAATTTTTGTATAAGGTGTAAGGAAGGGATCCACTTTCAGCTTTCTACATATGACTAGCCAGTTTTCCCAGCACCATTTATGAAATAGGGAATCCTTTCCCCATTGCTTGTTTTTCTCAGGCTTGTCAAAGATCAGATAGTTGTAGATATGTGACGTTATTTCTAAGGGCTCTGTTCTGTTCCATTGATCTATATCTCTGTTTTGGTACCAGTACCATGCTGTTTTGGTTACTGTGGCCTTGTAGTATAGTTTGAAGTCAGGTAGTGTGATGCCTCCAGCTTTGTTCTTTTGGCTTAGGATTGACTTGGTGATGTGGGCTCTTTTTTGGTTCCATATGAACTTTAAAATAGTTTTTTCCACTTCTGTGAAGAAAGTCATTGGTAGCTTGATGGGGATGGCGTTGAATCTATAAATTACCTTGAGCAGTATGGCCATTTTCACGATATTGATTCTTCCTATCCATGAGCATGGAATGTTCTTCCATTTCTTTGTATCCTCTTTTATTTCATTGAGCAGTGGTTTATAGTTCTCCTTGAAGAGGTCCTTCACGTCCCTTGTAAGTTGGATTTCTAGGTATTTTATTCTCTTTGAAGCAATTGTGAATGGGAGTTCACTCATGATTTGGCTCTCTGTTTGTCTGTTATTGGTGTACAAGAATGTTTGTGATTTTTGTACATTGATTTTGTATCCTGAGACTTCACTGAAGTTGCTTATCAGCTTAAGGATATTTTGGGCTGAGACAATGGGGTTTTCTAGATATACAATCATGTCATCTGCAAACAGGAACAATTTGACTTCCTCTTTTCCTAATTGAATACCCTTTATTTCCTTCTCCTGCCTAATTGCCCTGGCCAGAACTTCCAACACTATGTTGAATAGGAGTGGTGAGAGAGGGCATACCTGTCTTGAAAGCACAGATTTTCAACAGCAACAGTGGTGCCATTTCTATTGTGAGGTTAGGAGAAATTGATTGGCATAAAAATTAATATCAAAATTCCTCAATTTTAATGTAAAGAGAAGATTAGAGAGTACACTATTGGGAGTAGTCTCACTTACAGCCATTTGAAAATATATTTCCTGAGCAAAAGAAAATACTGAGTTACATGTCACTGACCATGAATTTTACTTAATTTAAAGCCAGTCTCCTGTGTTTTCATTCTGAAGTATACATTTTATGTGAATGTCATGCCGCTCTGAAATGAAAAGGAAAGAATTGCTACCTATAGAAAGACAGGTTTCCACCTTTACTTAGAGAATGTTTTTTCTTTAATTTTCCTGAATTTTAATTTCCTAAATTTCCATAATTGGAGACCAATGCAGATTCACTTACACATGGCACTCAGATGTGTGCATAGACTTAGCATCCAGGCAGTCTGCTAAGTTCTTGACATACTTTAAATTATTTCATCTTCTCAGTAAACTGATGAGACACATACAATGATCGTCATATTCGGGATGAGAAGTATGAGACTAAGAACAAGTACAAAAGGCTCCACAGTGAGAAGGAAATGAAGAGAGCACGTGTAACACCATGGTCTGACATCAGAGCCTTTATTGCTGTATTGCCAAGTGCTGGGTTATGCTGTTTCTCATAGTCTCCTTCTATGCTAAAGCTGAAGCAAAACAGAAAATAAAAACAAACATTGGCAGTTGCGTAATAGCAGTGCACCACCCTTCAAAGATGTCCATGGCCTAATCTTTGGAACCTGTGAATATGTCACCTTACGTGGCAAAAGAGATTTTGCCAATGTGATTCACCAAAGGATATCAAGAGGGGAAGACCATTGTGCATTATCTGGGTGGGCCCAATGTAATCACAAGAGTTCTTAAAAGTGGAAAAGGGAATAGGAGAGTGAAAAGAAGGGGCCCCAGCGAAGGAGTGTGGGCAGCCTCTAGAAGGGGGAAAGACAGGGAAACAAATCATCCCATGAAGCCTCCTGAAAGGGCACAGCCCTGATTTTAGCCCAGCAAGACCAATTTCCGACTCCTGACCTCTGAAGTACAAGACATTAAATCTGTCTTTTTTTAAGGCATCTATTTTATGGTAATTCATTACAGCAGTCGCAGGAAATAATATAGTGGCTAAAAGCATCAACTTTGGAATCATATAGATTCAGATTAAAACCTGCATTCTCCAGTTGACAACTCCGTGTCCTTGGGAAAGTTAACACCAGCTCATGAGATAACAAAAGTGTTAATGAAAAGTGTGAATGTGCCCAGGGCATATACAGAAGAGATTTGCCTCAAACTATTCTATATATGTTGGAGCATGAATAATTATTTTAAAAAATAGCACTTCATGTAATAAATTGTCTTACAGAATGAGAGGTGATATATGTCACAAAACACTCCTTTTTGTGCAACAAACGCCAGCCAAATATGAAGGAAATATTATTACTATTAGAGTAAAGCTATCCCATCCATAAAACCTAAGAGGTTAACAAGAAAAATATGGCTTCCATTTGGGGACTTTTTTGATTTGACTGTCTCATATTGAGGTGAGAAAATTATAACTCTGAAGAGGAACAGTATCATTCCTAAGTCCTGAGACATATTAGAAAAACTCATCAAAGAATATCCTTCTTCAATCGTGCTTTGATTCTGTAACAGTAGGCATCGGCAAACTATTCTTAAAGGGTGGCTAGTATACCCTTGGACTTTTCAAGCCATACAATCTTTGTTCCAACTATTCCACTCTGCCAGGTAGTGGGACATAGGGAATGTTAAGTAAATGTGTCTGACTATGTAACAAACTATTCATAAGAACAACGGCCAGCCTGCATGCTGTGGTTTGCCAAACCCTGTGTTAAAGTGGCATCTTGACCTGAAGGATGTTCACTCTAACTAGCATTCATAGTGCCCTCTTTTATTCTCAAAAATGCCCTGGGGTACATAGCGCTGGTCCTGTGGCCACATAGGCCTAGAAGTCTCTGCTCTGCCCAGGATCCAACAAAGGCACTTGATTGTGGAATACAAGGTGTATTTATTCACCTTGGAAGACCCCAAGTGTAGATAGGGACTGTCCTAGACATGTGGTACAATGGTCATCCCACATCTGCCTCACATTTCACAAAGATGAGCACATTCAGCAACCCCATGAGATATAACCTGCTCAAAGGAAGGGAAAGGATGTGTCATGGGTCTGTATTTGCTGAGTAACTACCCAGAGGCAGAGTTCCCAGGAAGCAAGTGAAGATGACTCTGCAGAGCCCTAACCACAAGGGCCACTCCCAAGACCCTAGAGAGGGCCTGCAGGGTATTCACACAGTCACAAGTGTGCATAAAGTGTGTGTGCATATAAGCATCAGGCCCTCCTTGACTTTGTAGACACTATTCCAGATGCTGGGTGAACACACTCAACAAAAGAGCTCTCAGAGGACTGGGATGGGGCTCAACCAATTCAGAACTATCACCTGCTCACTCACCCTCCAGAAATCATCGATGCAGGTATGGTGTTCAATTCACTTGTGCTGCCTCTCCCTCAAATTCTGGTTTATAACAGTGACTTAATAAATGTCTGTGAAATGTAGATATCAATGCATTCAATGCAAGAGAAGAGGTAAGTCATTCTAAAAGAAAATATTTTTAAAAAATGGTTTAGGGAGTTAAAGAGATTAGAAAAAAGGGAATTCAAATTATGAGACAAAAGAAACAACCAATATTTTTTAAGTATATATTGAATTGAAAAATAAAGGGTGAAGCTGTGAAAGAGAGGATCTAGAAAGATTAAAAGATGATATAATTTGGTTTCAAAGAGGATACGAAATGTTATAGAGGAACTGAAAAAGCAGTAGAAGACTGGACACTGAGAAGAGATACATAGAAAAACAGGAAATAAATGGCTATGTTCCTTCTTGCTTGCTTGCTTTTGTTTTGGCAGAGGATAAAAGAGCTTTCCAAAACTTTAAAAAATCTATTACTGCCTAATGAGACCCATACTTAACTCCAATTTACTCTCAGGGCAGTTAGCCCACCACCCCCAACTCTGCCAGCAGAACTCCACTGAGTAATGGGACTGTCACAGGACAATCCCACAGCTCCCCACTGCTCCTTTCTTGTTTTTCTAAAGGAAGATTATCTAAGATTATAGCTAATTTATGACTACTTACACCTCTCTTGCTACAGGTACTGACACTAATGGATCTTAGCTGCACTTGGCTGAGAAATAAATCGGTTCTATAGATCGGCAATAAACACAGCTACAGCAGGGAACGCAGCTTCAGCAGTCCACCTATGCCTGCGAGAAGAAAGGGATGGGCTAGACGGGGAATGGGAATTTGACTGCAGATTCATGTGTGTATGATGTGTGATTTGGATGGATGGCTAAACTGAGTTTTTTCTCTTTCCACACGCCAACGCCAGATACCTGGTTGCAGGCCTCTGGCTGCAGGAACCATATGTGCTGCTGGATGGGGTAGTGCAGCACAGGGACGTGGGAAGACCCACTGTCCCCAGAGGCCTTCCCGACCAGAGTGCAGAGCGCCTGTGTCTCCACATGACTCAGCAATGACTGTGGCCTGAGAATGCCTGGCTGCACAGAAACATCAATCTGGGATTTAAAAATAAACAGGCTGGGTGCAGTGGCTCATGCCTGTAATCCCAGCACTTTGGGAGGCCAAGGCAGGTGGATCACCTGAGGTCGGGAGTTCCAGACCAGCCTGACCAACATGGAGAAACTCCATCTCTACTAAAAATACAAAAATTAGCCGGGCATAGTGGTGCATGCCTGTAATCCCAGATACTCGGGAGGCTGAGGGCAGGAGAAACGCTTGAACGTGGGAGGCAAAGGTTGAGGTGAGCTGAGATTGCACCATTGCATTCCAGCCTGGGCAACAAGAATGAAACTCCGTCTCAAAAATAACGGTAATAATAATAATAATAAACAAATAAACCATTCATACTGTAGTCCAGATATTCTTTCCAATCAGCCCTGCTACAAGATCTTGTGTTGGAAGCAATTTTCAAGCTTTTCCTCATGGAAGGAAAAAAGGACTTACTTATATTTTTAGCCTCTAAACAGTCACTTTGCACTTGAAACCTGTAAACTTATTTGCTATACTTTATTTTTGAATATTTTGATGGCTGTCTCTGCCATAGCCACTCAACTGTGGTCTTCACACGTCTGTCATAAATGAACCCATATATACATTAGGTCTGATACAAAACCAAAATATGTTATTAAGGGTTTGGGCAGATATATAAAAAGTTGAACACATTTTAGTTTACTGCTGTTCTTAAAGTGATTACCAACTGCGGACCATTCTTGTACTTATGAAATAAAATATAAGCATGCCTGCTAACAATTCCAATTTTAGTACCTTAGCTAGAAATGGGTTTTGAATCAGTTCTAATGTTTATATTCATGTTACAATTATGACCAAATTATACTATTACTTTTAAAGATTTTGGAACTGTTGTTTAAATTTCTGGTTTGCTATTTAGGTATGTTAAAAATGCAAATTGTTTACATAGTTCAAATCCCTAATCTAAGGCCACAGGAAATATAATACCTCAAAAACAAAAAACTAAACCAACAAAACTTATGAGATCCATCCATTAATCCTTCTGCTTGTTTAACAAATACTAAGAATCAGGCATTGTTAGACATTTAAGGAGATAAGCCATACTCCTCCAGAATGTTCACATTTTAATATGGAGGTTGCACACATAAATAGTTGCAATGTACTGTAAGTATTTTAATATTAATAAGTGCAAAGTCCTGCAATATTACTAAAGAAAAAATAGCTCTGCAGGGGTAACAATATTAGGTGCCATAGAAAAGAAGAAATGCATTGCAGGAGGACATAAAGAGAGCTGCTGTGAACACTCAGGTCTAAGTAGGGAGAGGCCTTTTTTTTTATTATTATACTTTAAGTTCTAGGGTACATGTGCACAACGTGCATGTTTGTTACATATGTATACATGTGCCATGTTGGTGTGCTGCACCCATTAACTCGTCTTTTAGCATTACATATATCTCCTAATGCTATCCCTCCCCCCTCCACCCACCCCACAACAGGCCCCGGTGTGAAGACACATAGTTAATTATGGTAAAAATCTTTCATTTAAACAATTGCTCAGGAGCTAAAATTGTAGGGGAAAAATATAATTTAGAATGAATGTAAGCTTCTGTTTCTGGCTATGGTGTGATGGAAAGGAGACTAGTTTTCCCATTATAAACAATCACAAAAGAGGACAACATGTGTGAGCCCACAGCTTCCAAACACTGGACAACAAGCAGCCTAAGACTGGGGAGCCTGAGAAGAGGGAAACTCATGACAGTGGCCTCAGTTTCCCTTCGGGAGAAATCTCGCCCACACTGCACAGGGCACTAGAATCCCAGCACAGCAAGGTGCAGCTGCACTCGAGGCTGCCATCCCAGTTCCGGAAAGCTGAAGCAGCTGGGAACAGGTGGCGGGACCTGCGGTGGGGAGTGGGCAGACATTTACCTTGGGGCCCCCCACAGTCCTGGGGATGGCTGGCTGACACCTGAGCAAGAGGAACTGCATGAGGTATACACAGGGCAACTGCTGCAGGAAGTTGAATCAGAACACGGTGATGGCTGTAACACCTCAGTAATACCCAGAGAGCAGCCAGACAGCAGCTTGCCAAGTCTTAACAGAATAACTTCTATCCTTATAAGGATAAACTCTACTCAACAGAGCTGAAAACCAAGCCCTGCCAAGATTAGCATGGCCAACAGCATTTGGAAGTTCAGCCACCCCACATCAGCGGAGCTTAGGCAACATTCCTGGGGTTTCTACATTCCCACCCAAATGAAGCATAAAGCAAAACCTATGCAAATGCAAGGCGGAATCACAGTAATTGATATGCATTTAGAAATTACGAGACAGAGAAGGAAGCAAAATTGGAATTCACACTTAGGAAAGTAATGAACCCCTGAATGATGGCTGTGATGTTTAATTTATCAGAAAAGGACATTAAAGCCACTATTATACATGTATTTAACAAATTAAAGAAGGTATGCTCTTATTGAATTAACATTTAAACAAATGTAGAAAGAAAATTAAGAATCATAAAAATGTAAATTCTAGAACTAGTACAATAATCAAAATGAAAATTTCACTTGATATATATAAGAGGAGATTGAAGATGACAGTAGAAAGTCTGTGAACTAGCAAGAAAAATCAATAGAATATTTCCAACCAGAAGAACAGACAGGAGAAAAAAATTAAGCAAATATAAAGTCTTCTACACTGCCAGTGGGAGTGAATAATATTACAACCACTTTGGGTAACAATTTGGCAGTTTCTTATAAAGTTAAATACAGAGTTACTAAGTGACCTAGAAATTATACTGTTAGGTTTTTTATTCAAGAAAAATGGAATCATAGGCCCACAAAAAGACGTGCATGTAAGAGTTCATCGCAGTTATTCAGAAGAGATAAATACGGGAAACAACCCAAATGGCTGCTTCAAATGGAAGAGTAAACAAATATTTGTATATTCATACAAACAATACCACTCACAATGAACAAAATATATGATCTACAGGTGCACTTCACAATATAGGTGAACTCCAAAAACATTCCAAGCAAAATAAGCTTAAAACAATACATACGGTGTGATTCAATTTATGTGAAGTTCTAGAAGAGACAAAATGAATGTACAGTGAGAGGAATCCAATATGTGGTTGCTGGGAAGGGTCTGGAAGAGAAGACAGACTGCAAAGACCATGAGCTATGCTTCTGGAATGATGACAATGCTCTTTGTCTTCACTGGGGTAATGATTACAGAGGTATGAATATTGTTCAAAGGCATCAAATTGTACACTTAAAATGTGTGCATTGTACCACATGCCACTTTTGATACATGATGTTAACTGAAAATTTAGTTTAGTTTAGTCAGATTTTGGGGATTTAAAGACGAAATGCATTAAATTGCATTCAGATGTATACTCTGGTGGTAAAATAGAATTTAGAAGTGAAATAAAGCATAAAGTTTTCTATAAAATATTTGCTATGATTTTGTATGGCATATAATGAGGAACAACTGAATGTCTTTATTTCTGTAAGTGTTAGATTTTGATAATATAATGGTAAAGATTTCTTCAGTTGAATATTTATAATTGTAAAATAATCTATCATAGTACTAAACAATTTTCAAAGGCAGGAATAAAAAGCAGATTCTAAAAGTGAAGAATTTACATACAGGTTGTGAGTATCCCTTATCCAGCTTGGGATCAGCAATGTTTCAGATTTAGAATCTTTTCAGATTTGGGAATACATGCACATACATAATGAGATATCATGGGAATGGAACCCAACTCTAAACACCAAATTCATTTATGTTTCACACACACCTTAAAAGATATATTGCAGCTGAAGGGGGCTGTGGAAGTCTTTTTTCCCTTGAGGATGCTTTTGTGCACCTGTTTTAACTGAAACTGGTCACATGAGTTCAGGATGGAATTTTCCACTTGTGGCATCATGATAGTACTAAAAAATTTTGGATTTTTGATTTTTGAGCATTTCAGGAATTTTGAATTTTTGGATTGGTGATGCTCAACCTGTTTATAACTTCTAAAACGCGTTACTAAGACTCACCACTGTCTACACAACTGATGTTAAATTAATGTCATACTTTAAGGCGTTAAATTATTTTGCACTCTGTTTTTGCTAGACAAATAGAGCTGCACGCCTTCTAAGAAATGGACCTTGGAGGATAATTGACTGACCACCTTATTTTTAATATGGCCTTGTCACTTTTTATTTGCTCAGGCATGTGTGTCTTCTGTGTTGCAGGTCTATAGTGTTGACAGAATGAGTTTTGATTGGTTAAGTGTGTGCATTTTTAACTTTTTGAAATTGGGGTTAAGGTCATGTAAGAATCAAATGTGTTGTTCTCTGTTGTAACTTCTCATTCCTTTGTACAAAAGATTATAATACATCATAGTTCATTGATGCCACTCAATAGTTGATGAAAAAATAAATTGGTAGGAATAAGTGTAAAAATCTAGTTTTCACCTAAGAAAATTTGTCTTGTCAAAGGTGTTCAAGCAAAGAATAATTTTCAAATCAAAGCCTCTTGGAAAATTAAAATGAGTCTCACCCAAGCATGTCCCACTTCCCCTAATGAAATATCTAGAGAGCAGCTGCTTTGTGCTAGGCCCTGGACTGAACTCTGGGGATTCAAAGATAAATTAGACAATTTATTTGCAACCAAGGAGTACATACTCTTGGAACCTGTCATTCAACTAATATGTTCTCTAGAAAAGCAGAAATACTGTGCAATGAAAATGACCAGGGGTAGCAAGGCTCTAAAACTGGCATTTAGAGTCAAACAACAGGACTTGGTCTAATTGTACAATACCCTTATAAAAGTATTGTTTAGAAAAAAAATGTGATACTCAAAACCCTTGTGCTAGCTTTACCATAAAAGACTATGTAAACCTGGGAGCTAGGAGAGAGCCTTCATCAGTGCACCATATGCATAAGTAAGGAGATAGGAGATCTGAGGGAGAAGGGAATAAAACGCTGAACAGAAAGCAGCAGAGACTAGAGATGAAGACAAGACGCTGGTCCTCCAGAGGCCCAGCTATGTTTGAGCAGCTCAGTACCCTTCTGTGACGTAAAGAACAAAGTCACTGCCTCCAAATGGGATAGGAGAAAAGGACTGGTCCTTGACTAAGAGCGCATGGTAGTCACAAATCTGGGGGCTGCTTTTTGGCCAAGAGAGCAGCCATTTGAAGGCATATGGGAGAGAAGCACCCTTTTCCTATGTCTGAGATGCCAGCGAGGAAGAGACACTACATCAGTGAAGGAATAGGGGGCACCCAGGAATCTGTGAGTCTTCTGAAAATACACACAGATTTGGGTCTATTTTTCTCTCTTTGCTGTATCTTCCTGCAAAAGGAGGTTCATAGATTCTACTAGATTTGGGAAATGGTCTTACATGAAATGGTCAACAATCACTGTTTTACAGCAATTAAAGTTGCTCCTGGGCCTACTAAACACTCAGGAAAGGTGACGGGGTGGTGTCGATGCAAGGTCTTTAAAGGCTGACATGAATATGAAAGTTGATAAATATTTAGCAGAGGAATGACAGCTGAACATGCAGAAGAAGGAAAAGCCAAGCCCACAGGAAAGGGGCAACCTTTTCGGGCAAAGGAAGACAAAGACAGAGAATGCAAGTTTTTGGGAAGGAATCATGCGGTTTGATCTCCTGAAACCCAAGAGTAGAAAGAGGAAAGAAATTAAGAATTTTTTGTTAATTTGTCTATTTTTAATATAGAGTGAAGCTATCATAAAATAGGTACATATACTGAATACAAGTTACTTAATTGGTGAAATATGAGCTATTCTTTTAAGGAGCGGAGGCAGGGCTGGGCACGATGGCTCACATCTGTAATCCCAGTACTTTGGGAGGCTGAAGCAGATCACATGTGGTCAGGAGTTTGAGACCGGCCTGGCTAACATGGTGAGACCCAATCTCTACCAAATATACAACCAGGCATGGTGGCATGCACCTGTAATCCCAGCTACTCGGGAGGCTGAGGCAGGAGAATCACTTGAATCTTGGAGGTGGACGCTGCAGCAAGCCGAGATCGCACCACTGCACTCCAGCGTGGGTGACAGAGAAAGACTCCGTCTCAAAATAAATAAATAAATAAAGCCGAGGCAGTTACACATCCCTGTGATTATGAGTGACAAATAAACTTATACTTACTCAAAACCAAAAGTAACCGTATCCACAAAAAATTACACACAGTATTATATTTTCAAAAGAGGATTCAAAAATAGCTTTCAAAATGGCCCATGGCCTCTCTGGAAATTTATGTTCACCATTCAGTGAATAACTGATCTTCACCTTCTGCTCATTAAATGTTTTAGAAACAATAAAAAGAAACAGAGTGGCCAGGCGTGGTGTAATCACGCCTGTAATCCCAGCACTTTGGGAGGCTGAGGCGGGTGGATCACGAGGTCAGGAGATCGAGACCATCCTGGCTAACATGGTAAAACCCCGTCTCTACTAAAAATACACACACACACACACACACACACACACACACAAAATTAGCCGGGCGAGGTGGCCGGCGCCTATAGTCCCAGCTACTGGGGAGGCTGAGGCAGGAGAATGGCGTGAACCCGGGAGGTGGAGCTTGCAGTAAGCTGAGATCGCCACTGCACTTCAGCCTAGGCGATAGAGCCAAACTCCCTCTCCAAAAAAAAAAAAAAAGAAAAAGAAAAAGAAAAAAAAAGAAACAGTGTGATTCTTGAGAGCAAGAATAATCTTATAAAAAGAAAATAATTCATTTTCATATGATCCTGGAATAAAATAAGCTCTTTAAAAAATAATAAAACACTTTTGACCAAGAAAAAAATGAAAAAAAGATTTCCTGAGCTCTTGGTACTGAAGGAGGCAGGATATTTGTACATGTCACAAATCCTTCTGGCAAATGCTGTGGTCTGTGGATCTGACAGCAGTGAACTCTGAGGAGTAGATGCCAAGGAACCACACCCAGCCCCCACCCACCTCTCCCGGAACTCCTCTGCTGTCCTCCCCTCTAAGGGGCAGTGTTCCATGTACAATTCCACTTAGAAAAAAGTGTCAGCTTCCCTGGCGCATCTTAATGTTTTGGGGGTGAGATGAGTCCGATGCTAATTCTAGGATTGGACTCCTTGGTGCAGCAAGACCCATGGCTTTACACGTCTCACACATATCACACGGGCCCTGGTGCCAGTCTTTACCCTACTTCTCATGTATCTCAAATGTCCTTCTTGGCACTCACAGCCAGGTCTTTCACAGACAGCTGCCATCTGCTTTAGGATTGGGTTTCCGCACCGCTATGATCTAAATGTGTCTACCCAAAATTCAAATGTGGAAGCTTCATCTCCGATGTTATGGTATTAATAAGCGGGGCCTTAGGTGGTGATTAGGTCATGATGTGTTCGGAATTGGTGAGGTCTCGGTCTCACTGACTTCAAGAATGAACTTGCGGACCCTCACGGTGAGTGTTACAGGTCTTAAAGGTGGTGTGTCCGGAGTTTGTTCCTTCTGATGTTCGGACGTGTTCAGAGTTTCTTCCTTCTGGTGGGTTCGTGGTCTCACTGGCTTCAAGAGTGAAATTGCAGACCTTCGCAGTGAGTGTTACAGCTCTTAAGGCCACATGTCTGGAGTTACTAGATCCTCCTGTCTGGGCTTGTTCATTCTTCCTGGTGGGTTCATGGTCTCGCTGGCCTCAGGAATGAAGCTGCATACCCTTGGGGTGAGTGTTTCAGCTCATAAAGGCAGTGTGAACCCAAAGAGTAAGCAGCAGCAATATTTATCGCAAAGAGCGAAAGAACAAAGCTTCCACACTGTCGAAAGAGACCGGAGTGGATTGCCACTGTTGGCTCAGGCAGCCTGCTTTTATTCCCTTATCTGGCTCCACCCACATCCTGCTGATTGGTCCATTTTACAGAGAGCTGATTGGTCTGGTTTGACAGGGTGCTGATTGGTGTGTTTACAATCCCTGAGCTAGACACAGAGTCCTGATTGGTGCATTTATAATCCCCTAGCTAGACATAAAAGTTCTCCAAGTCCCCACCAGATTAGCCACATACAGAGTGCTGATTGGTGCATTTACAAACCTTGAGCTAGACACAGAGTGCTGATTGGTGTGTTTACAATCCCATAGCTAGACATAAAGGTTCTCCAAGTCCCCACCAGATTAGCCAGGTACAGAGTGCTAATTGGTGCATTCACAAACCTTGCGCTAGACACAGGGTGCTGATTGGTGCATTTACAAACCTTGAGCTAGACACAGAGTGCTGATTGGTGTATCTACAATCCCTTAGCTAGACATAAAGGTCCTCCAAGTCCCCACTAGACTCAGGAGCCCAGCTGGCTTCACCCAGTGGATCCTGCACCAGGGTGGCAGGCAGAGCTGCCCACCAGTCCCACGCAGTGCGCCGGCACTCCTCAGCCCTTGGGCGGTCGATGGGACTGGGTGCCCCAGAGCAGGGGACGGTGATCGTCAGGGAGGCTCGGGCTGCACAGGAGCCCACGGCAAGGGTTGGGGGAGGCTCGGGCATGGTGGGCTGCAGGTCCGAGTCCTGCCCCGCAGGGAGGCAGCTGAGGCCCTGGGAGAATTCGAGCTCAGCACCGGGACCCAGCGCACCCTCCGCAGCTGCTGGCCCGGGTGCTAAGCCCCTCACTGCCTGGGGCCGGCAGCCCCGGCCAGCCACTGGGAGTGCGGGGCCCACTGAGCCCACGCCCACCCAGAACTGGCGCTGGCCCGCCCGCGCCTCTCCTTCCACACCTCCTGGCAAGCAGAGGGAGCCGGCTTCCGCCTGGGCCAGCCCAGAAAGGGGCTCCCACAGTGCAACCGCGGGGTGAAGGGCTCCTCAACAGCGGCCTGAGTGGGTACCGAGGCCGAGGAGGTGCCCAGAGCGAGGGATTGCTGCGAGGGCTGCCAGCATGCCGTCACCTCTCAATGAGGGTGAAGTCCTCATTAAAGTTATTAATGAATTATAAAAGAGGCTTCACACGACATTTGCTCCTTTTGTCTTCCCTCCACTTGGCCATGTGAGGATGCGGGGCTCAAGATACATCTTAGAGGCAGAGACAAGGGCCTCCACCCAGTGGACTGAAGTGATTTAAAAACAAAGTCCTAAAACCACACTTGTAAATTAATACAAAAAGGAAAAGAAGTAATAAGATAAAGAAATACTTTGTAAATTAAACTACTTAAAGCTATATCATCTTCAGCAGCTCCTGAGAAATTGCAATCTACATATTTGAGAACTGACCGTAAAAACCATTTTATTTTGCACTCATAGTTGAATGAGTATATGTTTCATATTTTACAAATTTGCCGTTAATGAAAGGGGAAAGTCAGGCATCTGTGACAGCCTAAGCAAAAAGCATCTGGCTTCTACTGACTTCTGGCAACCCACCCATGCCAGTCAGCAATGCTCTCTCCTCCTCTGGCTGATGCCAAGCACCAGGCTGCATAGAGTTCCACTAGTTCAAACATTCTCCCAGGCAAGGATAATGACTCAATGTTTAGGCTGCACAGACTCTTGGGGCCAATATCCCATAGGCATGAAAGGAACAAATAGAAAGGCTACTGAGTGAATGCTCAATGAAGTCTCCCCAGCTGCTGTCCGTCTGAAAGGCCACTCATACTTCACATCAGCCACTGTAAGGATGGACAGTGGCCGACAGTGGAGGCTAACACAGCTAACACTAGAACCACATGATTTAGGAGGAATTTGGGACAGGAAATTTGTAAGAAGAAACATTCCGGGTACTCTAATTTGTGGTGAATTTACAAGTTAGCTGCCAATTGAGAAGTGAGACTCAAATTGCACAAGACGTCATACCCCTAACTTTTTCCAATCCAGATAATCTACCCACAGGAAACATTTAAAATTCTGATAGGATTGCATACATGGCCACAAGCCTATCTGTGCCATCTTTGAGCTTCTCCTGGATGACTCTAGCAGCTGTTGGATTCTTGGCTCCTATGCTAGTCTCTCCTCCTTGCAATACACCTTCCAGATGCCTGCCAGTTACCATGTCAGGGAAGAGTCTCTCTTCAGGTCACTCTCTTGCTTTAGAGTTAAATACGGAGTGAAGATCAGATTCCCTTGCATGGCACACAGCCTCTTTAAAACCCGTCCCCTATTACCTCTTTGTTCTCTCCTCCTGACACTCAACCCCATGCCTTCCTGCTTCCAGTCCCTCACCCCAGATGCCACCTGGTGTTCCCCCATCATCTAGCCTCTTACACTTAAACTTCTAAGACCAGATCAAATGACATCTCTTATCAGTGGCTTGCTGTGAGCCTTCCATTTCTCAGCTCTGTGTGCTCACAGCATTTAATCGCGACTTCTACCAAGCCCTTTCCACACTGGTCACAGCAGCTCCCCGGCTCCCCCGCACGCTGTCAGGCTTTCCCTGGTGGATGCTGTTCAGTCATCTCGGCTCCCACGCCTACCACAGGGCTACATCTGAGCAGATGTGCAATATCGTAATGTCCCTGACAACTGAAATGATCATGTTATAATAAAACATCTACGGCTAACATTTATTGATTGCCTGTGATGCAGGAGGAATGGGGCCAAGTATCTGATGCATTTTATGTAATTTAATCTTTAAACAATTCTGAGAAGAAGGTGCTACTTTCTCATTTTATAGGTATCCTGAGATTGAAAACTGTTTACTTTTCACAGGCTCTCGGTACTATTGGGTGGTAGAACAGAGATTTAAACCAGGTCTTCGTGAATCCAAATCAATGTCCTTTCCAAAAGAAATGTGCAAATTCAATCTGCAGGGTACTCTGATTTCTTTTAAATACATTACACATTTTCACAGTTTGAGATTCCACATATGTGACAAATTCTATTGACACAGAAGTATTTATAGCCTTAGTTTTGCAAAGAAAGGCCTAATCTTGACAATTGGCTATAGAACTTATAATTTTAAACTTCTTTGAAATATTTCACAGAAATATACCTTAAAATATTAATAAATATTAGTCTCCTATATTTAACCTACTACAGACAAAACTTCTTTGTGAAACTGTTTTTAAAAAAATATTTTTAAAGGAGGAATGTTGGTGACCATGAGGAACAGTTGAATCTCATTCCTGGAAATGTATACTTGTAGTTTTAATGAAACTTCAAATCCCGTATGTAGAAAAAGTTAACAGTAATACTTTACCGAAAGACATTAAGGATGCAGTGAAAAAGCCCTAACTTAAATTCCGACCATGAATTTAGAACTACCACAAAAAATAATTTGTTTTTATTATCACTACTTTTCTCTCCCTAAGAAGGCCTATGTGATCGGCCAGTTTATTTTATGAATTTATATCGAATGTATGGCCTCATATCAACAAAAGGGCCTTGCTTGGATTACCGCAGAACACGAATGGGCTAGATATGCTTACCTCACCTCTCCTAACTGAAATGCAAGTTAATAGGAGGCAGCAATATTTGCATTTCCAAGGAGGTGGATAGAAAAAGGAGCAGAAAGGGGGATTTCGGTTTCTGGTGAATCCTTCCTTTAATATTAAACCTCTCCAACAATAACAAGTACTAAAAGCTCTGCAGCACCCCCAGGGAACCAAATTCCAGCCACACAAAATGACCTTTAACACTTTTACCTCTCCTAAGAAATGTTTAAATCCAGGCAGCATTTGCATACTTACTTTCTCAGTTTTTGTCTAATCTCTGAATCTTTAATTTCATTTTGAAGATCCTCAAAGTTCTTAACTGAAGTCAAATTACAGAAAACTCTGAAGTCAACATATGGTGGGATCCCGTGGTCTCTACCCCTTTGAATGATGGTGGCAGCCGAATCCACGGCCGCAGAATAAGCCGCGGAGAAGAGCCTCTGGGTCAGCTCAGGACTGAGAAGGTAGGAGGGTGCCCGCCATTTAGCAGCCACGCCAAACAGCCCCCGGAGAACCGGGTCTATCCCACCTTCCTTGATTATTCTGGACGGTGAAAAGAGCGCTTTATGGAACGGAAGGTGGCCTTCGGAAATTTCACCTAAGGTGGCATTCAGTCGGTAAAGAATAGGATTGATTAATGTGTGGCCAAATCTAAAGGCTGCAGTAGCAAAAGAGTTAATGATGCCTGCATTCACGTTGGGGTTGTAGCCTCGGTAACCCCTCAGCATCCTAGTGCCAGGGTCCCCCAGGACCTTAGGCAGCCAGTGGCTGTAGGTGATGTGCTGCAGCTCCGCGCCCACGATCTTCCTGGCTTCCTGGTAAACCGTGTTTCCCTCCCAGTGGGGGTTCAGGGCGGACAGCTCCGTGGCCATCCTGTTGTGTTCCCGGAACCACAGGGTGTGCATGGCGGCCAGAGCCAGATGCTCGTTGGCCCGGTGGTCCCCGGCCAGGAAACAGGGGCTCTCCTGCTCCTGTCGCGCGCACTCGGTGGGTGGGCCTGTAGAAAAGGGCAATAAGGGCTTTCCGGAGGGAGGCCAAGGAAAGCCTGTCTTCAGGAGACCCCGAGGCACCGAAGGGTCTCTGAGAGCCTGGGATTCCCGCTCCGAGCTCCCGTAAACGTTGGAGCCATCGATGTAGGCTGTTTGCTGGTTGATCTGCTCTCGTGCATAGACTGAATCCACCGTCGCAGAGGGACGGCCGCTGGCACACGCGGGGCTGGAGCGCGCGAAGAGCATGCAGGGCGCGTGGGTGCCCCGGGGGTCGGCGTGCCGGGTGTTCATGGGGAAACAAGGAGGGTCGTTGGTGCAGACGGAGCTGCACGGCCGCCCATCCGAGAAGCGGGCTGTGCTCAGCGCAGGCACTGTGTGGTCCAAGTCGTGCTCTAGAAACCAGCCCCAGTGCATGAGCATGCGCGTGTAGCTGTGGTCGGGGGTGACGGCCGCCGCGCGCGCCCACACTGTGGCGACCAGCCGGGGCGGCGGGAGGGGCTGGCGGGAGCCCACAGGAAGGCCGAGCCCGCGGGGCGCGCGGATGCCGTCCCGGTAGGCTGGCTGCAGCAGGCGCGCGAAGGCGGTCAGCGCCGCGCCCCACGTGGGCTGCTGCAGGTTGTTGCACGTGCCGTCGTGGGCGCGGTACTTCGCATGGAAACACCGGTTGGAGCAGTTTGGCAGAGGCCTGCGAGCTGTGCATCCAGATAAATTGGCGATGAGGCTGAGGGAGCGCGGGGACACCAAGTCATTGTACCGGAATTCTGAAAGGCAAGCGGCGAAAGCCGTGAGGAGGGCGGGCCTGGGAGGGCGCGGGCAACTTGGAACTCCAGATGCTGCGGGAACCACCTCCCACCCCGCCCGCCCTGAGTGAAAAGAGGCCTTTCTTACTTCCAAAAACATTTCGTTAGCTCACAACAAAAGGGGGGATCATTCTATAACACTAAAAGATGTTTCCAGAAGATCCCGGGATTACTTTTGAGCGTTCATCCTGTAAACAATGGCTAGCTGCTAGAAGGAGCAAAATGGAAGGAGAGCAGATGCCAGCCAGACACTAAAAGATGTTTCCAGAAGACCCGGGATTACTTTTGTGCTGTTCATCCTGTAAACAATGGCTAGCTGCTAGAAGAAGCAAAATGGAAAGAGAACAGGTGCCAGCCAGCTCCTAACTTCTACTCTGTGCCTTTACAAGAACGATGTTGGCAAGGATTTGTTCTTCCACATCCCAGAATTGTTTTGTTGATTTTTGTTTGTTTCATTTCAGAATTTTTTCTCTCAAGTTTTGTGCTTCTAGAGAACAAGGTCAAAGAAATATCAATATGGATCATGTGAATATTAACCCACATGATACTTGACAAGGAGGGATTAAGCAACAACTTTCTGAACTACTATAAGCTGTCATTCCCTGGCAAACGGGCAAAATAATAAGGGACATGCTTGGAGCTCTACCTTTTAACAGGGCTTAAACTTCCAGCATTCTCCCAGTGCTACAAAGATTGTTCACTAATCATACTAAAAGTTACCATCCTTATTTAATCTTCAGAAACTGGCAAGCAATAATGGGACCATTTGCACTTTATCCATGTTAGCCAGTCCCTGGCTGGATCCTGAGATATCTTAATCTTGGGTATCTGGATATTTTGCCTCAGGAAGCTTTGAAAACCCATCATACTGGGTGACCAGGGACAGTCAAATGCCAGTTAGTTAGAGAAATTGTACAGAGCTCTAAGGGCTGAGGCAAGCTCACAGATAGGCCTTCTGCACCACGTCTCGGTTGATTTCCTAAAGGAGAATAAAGAAAGGGTAAGCCAATAGAAATTGATGCTGTACTCACAGCACAAATAGTATATAGCAAAGAATCACATTCACTTATTTCATTTGAAAGAGAACAACTTAGAAAATCTGAAAGCTTTCTATATCATCTCATTTGACATCTACTAACTAGATGTCTGGTTTTAAAAAGAAATACACAAGAACTTGGATATACCAAAAAACAAAACAACAACAACAAAAAAACAAAAATCAAAAGAACTGGGGAGGTATTATAAATATTATAAGTGGTAGAAGAAATTTCAAGTAAATTCACTGAATGATTCAGGTGATTGAAAGGATAAGTGGAAGAATATCCCCCTGGTAATAAAGCATTTCTCTATAAGACACAATAATATCTTTTACATTTGAAACACAAGTTCACTTAATGTAGGTTCCCTAGATTTGTTCTCTATACATATAACTTAAAAGTTGAGACAAGTTTGAATATATATTTATCATCCTTACTTTGGAATTACAGTTCCTATGAGAAACATCTGCATTTATTTGGTAAAAGTAGTGAGTAAATTAATTTCTAAATCCCATGATATTCTGGAGATTAAAAGTTCAGTGTCCTTTGCTAAGGTGGTGGTCAGTTTTTCTGTGGGCAGTAGGCTGAGAATAAAATGGCTTTGTGGCTGACCTTTGCCTTCCAAGTCCACAGTGAGCCCCTGCTTCACACGTTCCCGTATCAGCTGCAGCGTGTGCTCAAAAATCTCCCCTGCTCTTGCCATTTCCACAATCAGTGGGTCACGCGGGTAATGAAATTGAGCCAGCAGGTCACTGGAGGTGTGAGGTTTTCTGCAAATGACAAAACACATGATTCTTTACAAGGCAAAACAGCAGAGTCCATGAAGCTTGCAAATACTGTGCATTTAAAAAGGCATTTCCCAAACATTCGAGAAGAATGAAAGCTCCACCACTACAATAGAGGCTCTACAGAGGAGCTGTGGGTTCTTTTCCTATTTTGCTAACAACTTATTCCAAATGTTAGTCCCAGTGCTGAACTCAAAAATATATATTTTTAATGAATGGATGATTTAAACAATAGTTTTAGGAAACAACATCTATGGTGGGGTTCTAAACTGGGGGGGTCGGTTGATGAATGGATTATAGGAGGCTCAGTAAACCTTCTGAAGTACTATGCAATACTCTCGGTCTGCAGGACTTGGCATTTTGTGTCTTCTCTTTCCCTGAGTGTAATCTCCTAGAAATTCCTCCTTGCCTTTAGAATCCTCCTCAGGCCTCACTCTCCCTGTAGAGTTTCACTGAGAGCTCTGACAAGCTATCACTCCATCTTCTCTAGTACTCCTGTATCCTTAAATATGTGTCTTATATACTCAGTAAAATGTACTTGAATTGCTGACATATTGTCTCCTCTGCTAAAGAAAGAACTAGGTTGCTGATGAGATGTTGACCTATTATTTATCTTGTATCCCAAATACCAAGCCCACTGACCAGCACATAATAGCAGTTTATGCACATTTGTAGAACTGAACCAAATATGTTAAAAAGAAATTTAAAAGCACTGAGAATGTGAAGCAAACTGTTTTAGAGACTTTGATCAACTGAGGCACATCTCATCCTCTATGTCTTGAATCTTAACTACTTGAGGTCACAGAATAATAATAATGATGCTAATAGTTCACTTTGGTTAAGCACTTTCTATTCTCCAGGCACTGTTGAAGCACTTTTTACATATTATCTTATTTTTTCTTCCTAGCAAGCACATCCATGAAGTAGATCCTACTGTTATCCCAACTTTAGAGAGCAAGGAGCCTGAGGTACAAAGATGTTAAGTCACTTGCTCAAGGTCACCCAGACAGAAAGTAATGAAGTGAGGAATCAGGAAGAGAATATAAATCTAAATCGGCTGCGTGGTTCTAGAACACACATGCATGATCACAAAGCCATTCTATTTATGGATGTGCAGGAAGCCAGAAGAGACTCAATTTGGGATTTTACGATGTCCCTTTTTGACCACTAACTGCAAATACTGAATATATACTTTATCCGATTATGATGAAATCAACAATCATTTTTTTGTTAATGCATCCTGATGTTACAAACACAGAGAAGTTAATGGGATTGGAAGGTTTCACTAGTCCATGAACATTCCAATTCAAATTAAAATAATGTAAAATGCCAAATATCCTAAACATAATGTTTGTCGTAGGCTCCCAGTTTATACCAAGGTGTGTTCAACTTGATAATCATTCTCAATTCACACATTGCAGGAGCACTGCATCTGACACTGTTTGGTGGATGCTGAGGTAACCCAGCCCATTGCCTAGTGTCTATTGTCAGCCTGTATAGCATGGACCTTTGGCATAAATTAATGCCATTTAGATTCTATGGGGAAGAAGTTTCCCCTTTTTTAGGGTGAACTGATAATGATGGCTAGCCCAGATGGGGATGCATACACAAGGACTAAAGAAAGCACTCTATTGCATATGCACTATAATGTGACTTATGGAGATGATAAAAACTAAGTAGAACAGAAATGAAAACAAGGTTTCAATCTGTGTAAAATAAATTCTTACTGTGAAAACAAATGTCTTCGTGTGGAGTTAATTGCACTGTCAACTCTCTGTACAGCATCAAGAATGGAAGATTCAACAAAGTCATCGCCAGCTTGTCTACCCTGTATAGCTTTGAAAATCAATTCCATGATTAAAAATATCAAACAGACCTTGAAGTTAGGCATGATATTATATGAATGGCATTACATTTTTAAATGTAATGCCATTACATTTAAAACCTCTAAGACAATGAAAATGTTATACAATATCTACATGATAATGCCCATTGCAGAGAGGTAGGTAATTATCTTGAAGCAAGGCTTCATCTAACAATAATAATGTTATTTAGGGAATTAAAGTATTCCAAAATCTAGTAAAGCTATGTAAAATATTTCCTTTTGAACAATGCTGATTCACACAGGATCCAAGTATGTCAGCAATTTGTCATCTTGGAGAAGGTATGAAATACCTATCTCTTCAGCCACCTTGCTTTAATGTTAAACATTAAAGCAAAGTAAATATTCTCCCATCCCATAGAGGCTTCTTAAGGCAAGAATTGAACTCTCAATAAGATTTATGGGAAAATTAATTTATGCTTTTTTTATAGCTCTCTAACATGTGAAAATACTGCAAAGTTGAATCCTGTAGACAAAGGAAGCTATTTACTTACAGCTGATCATTTCCAGGCTATTGAATCTTCTTCAAATAATGGTTTAAGAAGTTTAACAGTAAAGGAACAAATACTAAATAAAAATAATTACGAATGAATATTTACAGTTCATATCAGAGAAATAATCAGCACAGTATCTAGTTCATTTTTGAGATACTAAAAGTACAGTAACATTTTATGTGACACAGGCAATGAAAACAATAACTTTTTGGCACTGCTAAATATTGAAAGCAAAAGTCAATATAGCTTTAAATGTTGAGTTTGAAAATAATGTCATTTAGGGGAAGTAAAAGTGATTAAAAACTTGAATAGTAATAGGAAGGTATTGTATGTATTATCCAAAAGAACTCCCAATGAAGTAACTAATATAAGCTTAAGTCAAGGTGTTACCACAATATAGTATGATAGATATATACATATTATATGTATATATCTATATATGTGTTTCTATACATATTTAAGCATATATATTTGACAATAGATGGGCCCATATAGCATTCTCCATCTAGATATTACAGGAAAATTCCTGTATATTATGACCATCTATATAGCCTAGATTTTATTGTCTTAAAAAGACCACCAACATAAAATAATTTTAAGAAAAAAAATACCAATGGTATGGAAATATTGTAAGGAAAGAATAAAATTCAGGACCATACTGAAAATTCTTCTTGGCAAACTAGATTATGTGCAGCAATTCTGAGTAAGTAGGGTGGCTCCACTGTCAAGTCATTGCAGCCTTTATGATGACCACAAGATTGAGGCTCTAAATGGCCAATGTTGCCTTTCCTAGTCCAAAAAATACATGGGATTGATTTAGCTAAAGATAATTGAAAGAAAAAAAGACAAAAATTGATTAATTCAATTGGATGAAATTAACAATTTCAAGAACATGAACAAAATAACTAATAAATGACACAAATAGCTGACAATATTTGCAATCTCAAACTCTGAGGCAGAAATGATATTCTGTTTCATACAAAGAAACGTTATAATACACTAAGAAACAAATATATAGGCAAGTTATAAAAGAGGAAAGCTCAAAAGTTAATAAGGATATAACATGCTCAAAATCACTTGTAACCTCAGAAATGAAAAAGTGTCAATGAACTACCATTTTATGCTTATTCTAGCAAAAAATAAAAAGCTGATTAAAGCCAAATTTTGACAGGAGTGAGAGTTCCTATAAATCCTCAGGCAGACTGATAGGACTGTGGAATTGACACCTATTTTGGGGATTGTATTTAGAGCCTTCTTTGGCGGGGGGGAGATGGCAGTTGTTACTTTGTAATATTGCATATGCACACATCCTCTCATCCAGTAATTTCAATCCCATGCATATATGCAGAAAAATTATAATTGAAATCCACAAGGGTATGTATGAGAATGTTTATTGCAACTTTGTGCAGTAGGAATTGTAGAAAATTGGTTGTACAACAGTGGAAGTATGGGTGTATTAGTCTGTTCTCGCATTGCTATAAAGAACTACCTGAGACTGTGTAATTTACAAAGAAAAGAGGTTTAATTGGCTTACAGTTCCTCGGGCTGTACAGGAAGGATCACTGGGGAGGCCTTAGGAAGCTTACAGTAGTGGTAGATGAAGAGGAAGGAAGCACATGTTACATGGCTGGAACAGGAGAGAGAGCAAAGGGAGAGAGGCTACACAATTTTAAACAACCAGATCTCATGAGAATTCACTCATTATCACAAGAACAGCAAGAGGGAAACTCACCCCAATCACCTCCCACCAGGCCCCTCCTCCAACACTGGGGATTACAACTGGACATGAGATATGGACAGGGACACAAATCTAAACCATACCAGTGTGCAAGGAAAATGTGGTGGATGTTCAACGTGGAATGTCATGCAACAGTTAGAATTGTCTGGGCATACATGGATGGACACTTAAAAGATGCTTAAGGTAAAAATTCGAAAACTAGAAAGAGATAACCATAAAATGATCGAATTAAAATATATAATACTTAGATGTAGTATAGTTGTTACATATATAGCAATGATGATGAAAGCAGAGTATGGACATAAAAGGTAATGAATTAATTAGTTAACCAATTGAGGAATCAATCAATATAATTACTGTGATTATAAGAAAACAATACTATAAACATAGCTACATTAGTCTGCTTATGTGTTCAAAAAAAGTCAGTAGGAATGAGCCTACTTAATTTACTTTTATCTTAGAAATAAAGAAACTAAAATCAATCAAATCAATCTGCACTGGCATGTATGACTTGATTATTTAATCAACATATTAGCTTTTTCTTTGTCCCTTTTACTCCTTCACTTTTGGACCTCAAATATAGAAAGCAGCATTAATTACATGCTTCTGTTTGTGACAAGTATTGTCATTGGGCTACTGCATCTGGGACAAAATATGTTATCAAAGGTCTACGTGGATTTGGAAGTAAGAAGATTGTGTGCTAGGACTGAGTTACCGTACAGGACATAGTGCTATTGAGATGCCAAAACTTAAAAGGCTATTCACAATGGTGGACAGAAGTTGATATAAAGTATAAATTTCAGGAAACCATCATTTAATATGTGAATGTGAATTGGATTGATGTTTTTGCTTTTATTCTGTTTATAAAATTGTTTTGCTGTTATAGTTGTATAAGATTTACAAGCATAGGGATTTTGCAGCACTTGTCTTCATCTGTTAGCTCATCCATTAAATGGAGAGAGAAAGCCTTGCTCAGCACAGAGCTCAGGGCTGATGTGTTTATCAGATAGCAAAGATACGCAAAATTCTTTTAAAACTGCATGTTGCAATGCACATATAAGGTGGCTTTCACGATTAATGTGTTTTAAAACCTATAGGCAATCTGTATCCTCACATGATTATCAATTGATACTGTGTTATACTGTCAATATGATTTGCTATTTATTTATATGAATCAGAAGTCAACCAGTGTGTAAAAGTGAAAAGGAGAAGAAAATTTTAAAAATGGAATTGTATGCAAATATTTTTTGAAATATTTAAGCTCTAAACTACACAAATAGAAAACACATAAAGTTGTTCAGATTCTTAAAAGCACATTAAATACGTGATATAGTCAAACAAAAACATTCTTGATAATAAAGCTTTCTCGTTTTTATGTCAGTTATGATTTTTTAAGTTTATGTGGTTTAAGAGTAAACTAAAACTAACTCTTTTATTATTCATTTGATTTCAGTGTTGTTTTGTTTGATTTGGTACAAACTGCAAAAATATTTTTATAAATTTCTTTAGAACAGCACTGTGTTATGTAAGCAAATCCAATGTGTTGGGGACACATTAGAATTAATCAATACTGTTGTAGTTATTTGTCTCAAAAATCATCTCAGTTAATGGCTTAAGGAATAGAACAATCAGAAAATTCTGAGCATATTCTCCATCTTTTTATGCAAAATTTTACAGGAGTAGAGGGACAACTAGATCATTTTTCTTTGTTAAGTCTCAGGGTAATAAAAATGAGAAAAAGGCTTCAGTATATTTACAAAATAAACATGTTTAAAGTTATTGATGCACATCTATTTGCAATCCTATCCCTGCATCTATGAGGCTATCACTACTATTGATGGTAAAATCCAATGGTAATATTGAGTCCTTTCAGAAAAGGGGGAGCTTAGGCCACGTGGCCACTCACTGCTCTGCATGAAAGGCCTGGCTCTGGGTGACTTGGGGACTGGACCTAGAGATGGGATGCAGAAACAAAACAGCTGTGCTCCTCTGTCACCCTTGCTAAAAAATGCCTAGACCTCAATAAAGGCTGAGATTTTTTCACAATTACCAATTGGGTTTTGAGTATTTTTTATCCTCCCCCTTTTTCCCCCTGGGGAAGAAAATTAGCAGATAATGTAACTATCGTAACCAAATAGGTCTTATCATACTCAGTCTTTCCCTATAAAGAGTGATGCTAAAACTGACACATGTGAGGGCTGTCCCAGGACACCAGAGACAGGTCCACATTACCATACACACTGATGGTAATGACTGCCTTTATGAAATCATTTTGTTTAAACAGCAGAGAATCTGTCTTACTCATCACTTTGCATCATTAAACATGGAAACCAATTCATTGCCCTGGAGAGCTCCACTGTTTTTTCAGAGACTGGAAAAGGAAAGGCACCATCTACTTTGTTTAAGGTTATGGTGCTTAGATTAAGACGTTTTATTTGTTTTCTTTATAATGTTTAAACTATTCAAACACTACAACACCAAAAATCTGGAAATGCTACTTACACATATTAAAATGTATATGTTAAAATTTTGAGAGCATTTATCTCAGGATAGAAGTATGTGGTCACTGTATATTTTATGTATAAAATGGATGAGAAATGTGTTACCTTTAACATAAAGCTAATACAAACATACGTGTATGTATACTAGGTAGATGCTGTTGTTTACAAAAATATTTCCCCACTCATTGTATTATTAAAGTTTGACAAAAATAAAATAGAAAACAAAATTAAAAGCTTGGCAAGATAGCAAAGATTGTCATGTATCTCTTAATTAGTTTGTAAACTAATTTATACCCTATTCAGAGTAAATTTTAAAATGTAGTAAAATAGCAATTTAAAACTCTTCAGTTACCAATTTCACTTCATTAATGTTTGAATAAATATAACTAATGAAAATATTTTGATACTTTATTGTCCACTTATAACTCTGCAACAACTTCAGTGGCTTAGAAATTGATGTTTGTCTACCCCATGACAAATATTGGGATTAAAATGTCAAATAATTCAAATAGTGAATTGTTTATACAGAGTTTTGGAAAATAACTAGAACTCACAAGAACTGAACAGGTTAATTAATGTATAGCATTTGGAACACATGGTAAATGCTCAATAAATGTTAACTGTTTATTTTTACTACTGATATTCCTATGAGTTTAGTATAGGTTATTTCATTAACTTCAAAGAAAAGGTCCCACTAACCTAAAGTCAGCTAACGTAGCCTTAAATCTTCAATCAGTTTAGTTTGATAATAATTTATTGGGTTAAGGATACAGTTGAAGTAGCAAATATTATGGGTGGGAGGATAATTTGGAAAGTTATTTCCAAACCTACGTTCAAAATGATGAAAGGCTGAGCCATAGAACAGGAGTCACATAAAGAAGAGAAGTGGAAAAGAAGCAATTTTAGGGAAGGAAAGACGAGGGAGGCTTTGAGTTGGAGTAAGGGAGCTGGGGAGGAAGATAAATCGTGAGGGCTCAGCTTCCTGCTTCTGCTATGAAGGCATGCTAGGAGGAGACAAGGTCCTCGGGGAAAGACCAGGGGTTCAGATTCGAATATGTTCAAAATCAGTTTTTAACATGAGGAATTGCAAGGACTGTGGGTCCACCAAAATGAGGTGCCACACAGACAATTAGACACTTACCTAGGAATTTCAGAGGAGATAACATTGCCTAGCATTATTTTCATACAATTTGAACCAGTATATGCATGTTACATGGTCCAAGTTTTTCATTTAATAAATTCTGGGTCACCTTTGCATTTTTCACTTTGTCCATATATTAGTTCAATGTCTCAATGGTAAGAATTTTATCACAGACATGCTATAAAGTGTTTCCTCATTACTGTTGTACTATTTTCATAACTATTGTTTGAATTCTATCATGGAAACATAGAAATTCTATGCCAAGAAATACTCTTGAGAGAGTTCAGGTCCATCTTTTTAAAAAATAAGAAAATCAATTCCAGTTATGGGTAAGGAAGTTATCCAAAGTGGCCGAGATCAGTGAAGTCTGATGGCTTAACCCAGGGTTTTCTTCTCACTATCTCACACTTCTAATGTTTCATATAAATGTGTTTTGTGCCTTCAGTCAAACCGAATCATTTTCACGAGGACGAAATGAGTCTATACTTCACAGCACTTACCAGCACTTTGTAGTTAATATAATATAGGGAGTGTTACAGTAAGTTATTATTAAATATTTTTTAAAAACAATAAATATATAAACATTTTATCTAAATAAAATGTGTAGCATTTGGATACAAAATATTATCTAGAAAAAAAGAGAGAAGTGGGCAAATAGAATTAATATTTGCTGATATAAAATACATTGACAACATCCTAAACAAAAGGATAGATTCCCAGGAAATACTGTATCAGTCTTACAGGTTATTTATGTAAACTGTTTACAAATCTATTAGCTCTAAAGGGAAAATGAGCTTTCTGAAAAAATTACAACTGTGGAAATCTTTTTGTTCTTTTGCTATCATAGATGCCCTGCTATAAACATCAGTCAGTAAAAGGTAAATTTTATATAATGCGTAGATGGTTGTGTACTTTTCATTATTGTGCATTACTTTCTATGGCTGTAATTCCCAAGGTAAATTAGAAACTCAAAAGTCATGATCACTTACTTGTGTCATTTATTCCACAAATGGAATTACAACATTCTACAATAACTAAGTGGGGGCATCAAGATTGGAAAATCCTCCTGTAAGGTATGAACTTTTCCTTTTAGTTATAATGACCTGGTGAATGAAAGGGTCTCAGTCATAAAACATTCAGCAAATGTTACTTTAGTTTGCCATATTTCCCCTTATTCTGCTAATTTGGGTTTTATAAACACATACACACTCCTTGTCTTGGATCTTAAATTTACCCAAAACTTTTAAATTTGTATTCTTTCATCTTTCTTTTACTTTATTAAAAAATATTTCTAACATTATGAAATTTATTTGGTATAAATTACTTTTCCCTCATATTGACATATAAATGTCCCAGAGACAAAAAAGTTTTTCTTTGTGGAATAACATTTATTTTACTGTATTATTATCTCCTTATAGCCTGTTTCAACACCATAGAACAGAATATCATTGAATGCTATCACTATTCTAAAATCTGGTAAATAAAGTGATTAATACATTTTACTGAATGTTTTACTTTTGTTTTGTTTTTGAGATGAAGTCTCACTCTGTCATCCAGGCTGGAGTGCAGTGGTGTGATCTTGACACTGCAACATCCACCTCCCAGGTTCAAGTGATTCTCTTGCCTCGGCCTCCCAAGTAGCTGGGACTACAGGTAAGCGCCACCATGTCTAGTTAATTTTTTGTATTTTTAGTAGAGACAGGGTTTCACTATGTTGGCCAGGCTGGTCTCGAACTCCTGACATTGTGATCTGCCTGCCTCAGCTTCCCAAAGTGCTGGGATTACAGGCATGAGCCACTGCACCCAGCCTGAATGTTTTACTTTTAATATGTATGTATAATTACAATTAGTTAAATTTCTGTTAAAGAAGATGAAATTCTTGTGTTGGAGATTCTGAAATGTTTTTTCACTGAGATTACAGTGCTTCTGTGTATGTGGAAGAGCAAGACAGAGGGGCAATACAGAGAGAGAGGATGTTTGTTTGTATGTGTGTTTGTTTAATGGTAAAGATTTTTAGCATTTCTAAAACATGGTGATATTAATATAAATTCTGTAATAATTTTTTCCCAAACTATCTCAAGGGCATTTTTCCACAGGTCTCATAAATAGTTGAATAGCAAAATGTGAACTCCATAAATTTATAGGAAGCACAACTACCACAGATTTTAAATCAGGAAAATCATGAACTCATAGAGAATAGCAGAGTGAGACTAAGATTTTGTAACGTTAAGAAACTTTAGGTCAGGCGAAGTGGCTCTGGCTTGTAATCCCAGCACTTTGGGAGGCTAAGGTGGGCAGATCACCTGAGGTCAGGAGTTCAAGACAGGCCTGGCCTACATGGTGAAACCACATCTCTACTAAAAATACAAAAATTAGCCTGGCGTGTGATAGGCACCTGTAACCCCAGCAACTCGGGAGGCTGGGGCAGGAGAATTGCTTGAACCCGAGAGTCGGAAGTTGCAGTGAGCCGAGATTGTGCCCCTGCACTCCAGCCTGGGCAACAGAGTGAGACTCCGTCTCAAAAAAAATAAAAAGCAATTTTAAACAACCTCTGACATTATTAGGACAAATATTTGCCGGTTACTAAACTACATTGTTAAAATTTTAAGAATATTATTCTACAAAAGACATTTTTACAATATGGATACATTTTATTTAAAATACCTAGACCAGGGGTTCCCAACCCCAGCGCCTTCAGAATAAATCCGTGCTCCTCACTGAGGTTCGAAGATCCTATGACAGAGGTCCCCAACCCCCAATACTGGTCACAGCCTGTTAGTAACACAGCAGGAGGCGAGCAGCAGGCAAGCGAGCATTACTGCCTGAGCTCCACCTCCTGTCAGATCAGCAGGGGCACTAGATTCTAATAGGAGCACAAACCCTATTGTGAACTGCACATGTGAGGGATCTAGGTTGTGCACTCCTTATGAGAATCTAATGCCTGATGATCTGTCACTGTCTCCCATCACCCCCAGATGGGACCATCTAGTTGCAGAAAAACAAGGTCAGGGCTCCCACTGATTCTACATTATGGTGAGTTGTATAATTATTTCATTATATGTTACAATGTAATAATAATAGATATAAAGTGCACAATAAATGTAATGCACTTGAATCATCCCAAAGCCATCTCCCCACCCCGGTCAGTGGAAAAATTGTCTTCAACAAAACCAGTTCCTGGTGCCAAAAAGGTTGGGGACCACTGACCTAGGCAAAATAAATGCTCAGAAGTTTGATATTTCAGAATATGTAAGTGGAAGAATGTGAAAGTATTCATATGATAGGAAAATGGCAAATCTTTATAAATATGAGTTGATAAGCTAAATCTATTTTTAGTGAGGCCTGTGTTATGAAATATTATTGTACGTAATGAAACAGTTACCCAATCTCTTCTATAAACCCATAAGGCGTGGAAAAACTAAAAGGTAAAAAAGAATCTGCGAAACCATATTTATGAAATTTGTTCATTTTTAAGGAAACTGAAAGCTGAGCAAAGCCCAAAATAGCACTCCAGATGCTTGTAGCTAAACTCATTTATTTCAACTGTGGATTGTCAATACAGCAAAAACTCCTGAACCCATTTGCAAAAAAAGCAACACTAATGTGAACTCCCACATGCAGACATGCTGTGCTTTCCTTCAATGCCTCTCCGTGTAGAGAACACACCAGGCAATCTTAACAGCCTGTGTCCACTTGTAAATAACCTCAGCTGAGTTTCAGTACAGTCTACTCAAGTCTGCCTACAAATGGACTCTCCCATGTCCCTTGTGAACTGAATAATCAAAAAAAGAAAAAATATATTTTTTATAAGACTACAGTAAACAGTATTTTAAACAGTCATTATATATAATCAACCTGCAGAGGGTTCCAGCTATATAACCAGATTGGTGATAGAATGTAAAAAGCTATGTCAATTATGTTGGCCAATTATAAATGCCTGGAAACACTGAGATATTTGTTCTAGTGGTTGTAAAGTTTACTTGGGAGTTTGATGGATTGATTTCTAATTTTAAACTGGGATTAAATATACTAGGCTAGAGTATGTAGTACATGTTGAATTCCATATTATGCTTCCACCTCCGGCTCCACATTTTGGCTATAAATACATCTTGCATTCTATTATTTTTGGTTTGTAAGAAAACATGATATATATTTGCAAATCTTTGCTATTTATGTTCTTTTTTTAATTTGTTATTTTTCACTTTATATCCTTTAAGATTGTTTATATTTAAATTTTTTTATTTTAAAAAGAATAAAACAGCTTTGACTATAAACACACTTGACCAGAAAGAAAGTATAAGAGAGCATGATTAGTGAGATCAGTCAAATAGGATTGGGGTAGAAGCTGTTCAAAGACAGTTATTTGGATGTTGTAAATGGAGCTATAGACACCTACCCGTGACTGTAAGAAACATGTTGGTCACAGCAAGGCCAAAAGAATTCCGAGCCACACATTCATATCTTCCCTGGTCAGGGAACCCTGCGTCGTAGATAGTCAGCGTGCCTTCATCATCCACATGGAATTTACCACTCTCAGTAATCTGCACACCTTCCTAGGGAGCAAAAAAGAGTTGCCACTGAATGAGTGTGGTTCCTTAAAAAATCATTTATTTACTTTTTAAAATGTGGGTTCATTTATTCAACAGATATCTATTGCACGTTTGCTGTGTGTCAAGTACTGGAGGAGATACATGAATCTAGTGGAGAGAAGGAAGAGAGGAAAAGAGGTTTCTAGGAAGTGTGGTTTTTCTCTCTCTCTAATTATTAAATATGATAACCAAAAGTTCAATCATGTAATTATTTAACATAATAATAATTTTAAAATTATCACTCCAATGAATGGATAGACACAATTGATTCATATATTGCTTACTGCTAAAGATAATTCTGACAACTACATTTGGTCGGGCACAGTGGCTCATGCCTATAATCCCAGCACTTTGGAAGGCTGAGGCAGGAGGATCACTTGAGCTCAGGAGTTCAAGACCAGCCTGGGTGACATAGCAAGACCCCATCCCTACAAAAAAAAATAGAACAAAAGTCAGCCAGGCATGGTAGTGTGTGCCTGTAGTTCTAGCTACTCAGGAGGCTGAAGCAAAAGGGTTGCTTGAGTCCAGAAGTGTGAATCTGTAATGAACTATGATCATGCCACTGTACTGTAGCCTGGGCAACATAGCAAGATCCCATATCTAAAATAAAAAAAATAAAAATTAACGAGGAGAAGTATGCTCACAAATCCATCATCTAAAAACATCAAAATATTTTTATTAATGTATTTCTAATTTCCCTTCTATTTCTACCTTGTATGTACTCATATGTTTTGTATAGCTACACTGATATGTGTATTATATATATATATATACACAATTAAAAATATAAGAAGATAAAAATAACTACATTTTATATGAGCTATTATTAAAGTGCATTTACTTTTAATTAATATAGACTTACATACATTTTCATTATTATGGATTTAATTTTAAAAAGTAAAAGGAAATGGCCTTATGAAATTGCAGTTAAAATGGTGTGCCTCTGCCCTGCCTCTCCACAAAAGACTCACAGGAAACAGAGGATGGGAGATATTTTTTCAAAAGAACTCACACTCCAGCTATGGCCAATAGGCCAGAGTGTAACCATGAACGTTTAGAGTGAAAATAACATTTCACAGGTCTTCGGATTCTCACAGCTGACTTTACCCCATGCTTGAAAACAAGTCCAGGTGATTGGTAGCTGGTAACTCAGAGTAGGGAGTGAGAAGTTGCAGGGCCCCACCAGGTGAGAGGGCGGATGAGAGAGACCAGACATAAGGCATGGATGAGGCAACCAGGTGCACAGGTCACAGGGCCTAGTAGGTCCTTCCTTCAGAACCACACCTTCTCTGCCTCAGGTTGGGCCACTTCTAAATTTTCTTTCAAAGTTGCTCCCTTCTCCTCACCTATTGCCAGAACTCCAGACCAAATGTATTGCTCTGAAATATTCGCTTGGAGTCTCAGCAATCAGATGGCTTTCCAGCACATTCCTTATCTGCTTATGGTAGGGCGTTTCTATCGCTGGTAGCAAAGTATGCTAACTCATACCTTTTCCAAACTTGTGAGCTGAAGAGGACTGTTATGAAGAGTAAATGTGATAGTGTGTGTAAAATGTCTGGCATAGAGTCAGCACTCAATCAGTTTGTGATTAAAAGCTACCTTTTACAAAGTAGACGCTGAGATAGTCTGCTGATGTGATTACATAATGATGCATGTCGTACAGTGTCGAATAAGGCTTTAGAGACTGCCCAAAATGTATATTTTTCACACTTTCTATTTTTAGCATAAAAATATTTTAATATATAATATCAAATTAAAAGGGGGTTATAAAAATATTCAGACTAGGCTGGGCGTGGTGGCTCACACTTGTAATCCCAGCACGTTGGGAGGCCGAGGCAGGAGGATCATGAGGTCAGGGGATCGAGACCACAGTGAAACCCCGTCTCTACTAAAAATACAAAAACTTAGTCGGGCGTGGTGGCGGGCGCCTGTAGTCCCAGCTACTCGGAGAGGCTGAGGCAGGACAATGGCGTGAACCCAGGAGGCAGAACTTGTAGTGAGCCGAGATCGCGCCACTGCACTCCAGCCTGGGCGACAAAGCGA
Organism: Homo sapiens; assembly: GCF_000001405.40. NCBI lineage: Eukaryota > Metazoa > Chordata > Mammalia > Primates > Hominidae > Homo > Homo sapiens. Next base: position 51,425,811 of record NC_000008.11, read on the forward strand.
GACTCCGTCTCAAAAAAAAAAAACAAAAAAATTCAGACTACTGAGAGGACATGAACCGAAAGACACCTAAACTTACTCTTCATAGAGACTGGCATGTGAGACTTGCTACAGCACAAAAGAAGGCCTTGTTAATATATGGTAGCAATAAAAATAAGCCAAGTGGTTTTGGAAAACAGTTTTGTAACCTTTCACAGATTTTATATTTTGTCAAAATGTTTCAAAAACTGACATTCAAGTGTGCAAATTTGTAGATTTTTAAGAACACTGAAATCTGAGACCGACCATTTTGTTTTGATGAAAAACTTAAAACAGAAGAAGCAGTTATGTTGGAAGAATATGGCTTCCAAAAGATGTAAGATATATAAATAAGGAGCTATTGTTTTTTTAAAGCCATTCAGGTTTTGAAACTTCAGAACTACTTTTTCTTGTTTAACACCAAGCTTTTCATTCCTTTCCTGTTTCAGCCAATGACCTACTTTTAATCCACTTCTGAGTTATTAACTTAAAATGGTTTCTTATTAGCCACTAAACTCTTAATTTATATGTGTCAAAACCAATTTTCCTTAGAGGAATTCAGTTATGCTTATGAAGTGTTCATCACCAGGCAAATTAGAAAGGATAAACCTTATCAAAACACTGAACCAAAATCAGATAGAGTCACTTAAAAAAAAAAAAGAAGAAACAGGAAGTAAACCTGCTGCAATGTAAAAGGTATTATTTGCTAGCAAAAGTCGCAACAGTAAAAAATCAATATGAGAATCATTACCTCCATTTCAGTGGGTCGATACATCTGTCAGTGTTTTTAATATTACTGTACTTTTAGTTGAGATCTTACCTTATTCCAAGTAATTATGGGCTGTGGTTCTCCTTGAGCATGACATGAAATGTTTATATTCTTTCCAACCTCGACACTTGTATCCTGAGGAAGTTGAGTAAACACTGCAAGAGCTGTGGAAACAAACCAAAATAACATCATGTCAAATAATATCATTTTTGTCAACATATGCCAGCTGAGTCAAAGGTATGAACCTGAATGCCATATTGGTTAAGCACACTAGTTTTTTAAAAATCAATTACTTGGACGTCTAGGGGAATAACAAGCATCACACCCAGGCTGGCGGCAAGTACAGCAGAGGCCGGAGCAGGTATTAGGCAAAAGGAATGCACTGAAACTTTAACTACATTTGTATTTTTAACATGCATCTCTTCAGCTGAGCTGTGGGTACAGGACTTTCATTATTCTTTCTCAGTACTTTTTGTTAAGCGTGAAATAAAACTATACGGTAACATCAAAATTTATTTGTAGCTAAGATAAAAAGATCCAGCTCTTCAGTGAGCATCTCATTTCCTCAAAAAACACAAACTACCATAACACACCTAATATGAAATAGATAATTGAGATAGCTCTGTAACTATTAAAAAAATGAATTCCTAATCCTTAAAACTCCCCAAATAAGAAATCCCCAGGAAGGAATTAAAATTATTTTACTGGAGAATTTGACCCAGTGTTTAAAAAATTTAACAGGATTTTTATAGACTCTCCTCTGTAAAATAACAGAGGAGGGAATACTTCCCAACTCCTTTTGGAAGGCTCACCCTAATATCAAAACCAGAAGATAACTACAAACAAAGAAAAAAAAAGACTACAGTCAAATACTTCTTATGAACATATATACAAAAATCATTAACAAAATATCAGCAAATAGAATTTATCAATATGAAAAGGTTTATACACCATGAGCAAGTAAGGTTTATTCCCAGGATGCAATACTGGTTCAATATTTGAAAATAAATAAATGTAATCCATCATATTAATGGCTAAAGAAGAAAAGCCACATAATAGTATCAATACATAAAAAGTGTTTGCCTATATTCAACGCTCATTATGAGTTACAGACCTCTCAGAAAGAAAATAAAAGTAGAGGGGAACTTCCACAACTTGGAAAAGAACATATACAAAAGCCCTAGAGTAATTAAACACAGTGAATACTTTTCACATAGAAAATAAGGCAGGGATATCTGTTCTCTCTAGTCTTATTCAACACAGTGCTGCAAGTTCTAGCCTGTGCACCATGGCAGGAAAAGGACATAGAAAGCAAACAGAATGGAAAAGAAGAGATAAAACTGTCCCTATTTGCAGATGAAATTATTGTCTATGTAGAAAATCCCAATATATATCAAAAATACTCCAAAGTGAGTTCACCAAGGTCTCTGGATACAAGACAAATGTATTAATATATAGATAGTATTTATTTTATATGCAATCAACGAACATATGGACATAGATCTTTTTAAAAAATACAATTTACAATTGCTCAAAAGCATGAAATAATTAGGTATAAATTTAACAAAACATCTACAGTACTTATAAACTAAAAACTACAAAATACTGAAGTACAAAATCAAAGATTTAAAAAAATGAATAAGCATATATGCATGGATTGAAAGTCTAAAGACAGTAAAGATGTCATTTCTTTACAAATTGATATACAGGTTTAATACAATTCTCATTAAATCCCAGCAAGATTTTTTCATAAATATAGATCAGATTATTCTAAAATTTATGCAGAAATGCAAAGGAACTAGAATAGCTAAATGTTTTTGACAAAAAAGAATAAAGTGAGAGCAACTGATCTACTTGATTTTAAGACGGGTCATATAGCTGCAGTAATCAAGACTGTGTGGTATTGAGGAATACGGGAGACACAGACACAAATATCAATGGGACACAGCAGACAGCCCAGTAATAGACCCATACAATATGCTCCATTGATTTTAATGAAAGAGCAGAAGCAGTTCACTGGAAGCCTTTCAACCAACGGTAAAATAGCAAATGGATAACCATAGGCAGAAAAATAAACCTTTACCTAAGTCTCATACTTTATAAAAAATTAACTCGAAATGGACAACAAACTTAAATATAAAATGTAAAACTATTATTCAAAAAAATAGGAGAAAATCTTTGATATTTAAGCCAAAAGTTCTTTGACTTTGCATAAAAAATTGATCTATTAAAGAAAAAAAATGATAATCAGGATTTCACCAAAATAAAAAATTCTGTGCTGTGAACACCATGCTGAGAGTATCAAAGGGCAAGTTATAGACGGAGAAAATATTTGCAAACCACATATGCAGAAAGGAATAGTGTCTAAAATATATAAAGAACCCAAAAATTCAACAGTAAAATACCAAACACTTCAGAGAATGGGCAAAAGGCATGACATTGTACTGTAGAGGATATACAGATGGCAAGTCAGCATATGAAAAGGTGCTAAAGATCAGAAGTCATTAGGGACATGCAAATTAAAACCACAATGTGATATTACTACACACCTATGAAAATGGTGAAAATACAAAATAATGACATTACAAATTGCAGGCAAGGATGCAGGTAAACTGAATTACTCATACATTGTTGGTGGGAATGTAAGATGGTACAGACACTCTGGAAAAGAGTTTGGAAACTTCTTTAAAAATTTAAACATGTGGCCGGGTGCAGTGGCTCATGCCTATAATCCCAGCACTTTGTGAGGCCGAGGTTGACGGATCACCTGAGGTCAAGAGTTTGAAACTAGCCTGGCCAGCATGGTGAAACCCTGTCTCTACTAAAAATACAATAAATTAGCCAGGCGTGGAGGTGTGAGCCTTTAATTCCAACTACTTGGGAGGCTGAGGCAGGAGAATTGCTTGAACTGGGGAGGTGGAGGTTGCGGTGAGCCACTGCACTCCAGCCTGGGCGACAGAGTGAGACTCCATCTCAAAACAAAATAAAGCAAAAAAAGTCCAAAAGTGCACAAGCTAAGTCCTGTGGTAGTAAAATATGTAGCATTTTAGGAAAGCTACCAAACTGTCTTCCTCGTGTTCTTTTTTTCCTTTCTTTTTTTTTTTTTTTTTTTATGAGACATGGTCTCACTCTGTCACCCAGGCTGGATCTTCGACTAAGGAAATAAGAGCTTTCATCATATCTTTCTTGTATGTTTCTGTATTTCTGAAAAAAATTATAGTAAACATGAAACATTTATTGCTGAGAAAGATAAAAAGGTTCAGTTCCTCTGTTGGAATCTTATTTTTCTTATGTATTTAAATCACATGGTATATTCTAAGTTAACACATGCATTTCAGAATGCTGAGACCATGGCTGATTGATGCCTGACAATGCATAATGGACATCTCATGAGAACCAGGGTCAGCCTACGTGCCAGTGATGCTCCTGATCCAATCAAGAAGTCTCCAGTGTCTCACTCTTCACATCATAGCCTCCTTTGTCTGATGTCCTTTATCGCCAGCTGCTTTCACCTCCTGACACAACAGTTGCTCATTACCACAAGCTGTGCCATCACTTATAATATTTTGGAAATATCTAACACCACACTCTAAAGCAAAGCTCTTCTCACTATGCCCTTGCATCTCCTCATTTGGACTTTATCTAGACTTGGAAGGCGATCTGCTTCTTTCCTGTTGACCAACAATCTTCTAGTCTCATTCCCTTTCCTTTTCAGCCAAGCTCCTGTGAATAAACAGAAGCTTAAAAGATCCAATCCTTCAGGATGAATCCCAAGCGGCTAACTGGGCTTAAATTTAAAATAGAGCCAAACAGCCATTTCCTGACTAGAGGTGACACACATGCCCTGAGTTCCCTGAAAACACACACCTTTTTAACTTCAAGACCTTCAGAGCTTACCTGAACCAACCAATCAGAACTCAGCAAGTTTGAATCCTTCATTTGCATAAATGGACCTGATTGGGAACATGGGTGGAAACTTTTGCTACAGAACTTGAACTCTCTCTTTGTTTTCTGGAACGCACCTTTGTTTTACACTAGGGGCTGTGTCTCTCCAGTTTGCAAACTGTTCGCTGGAATAAAGTCTCTGCTTCAAATTCCTTTGCAAAGAACTTTTGTTCAAGATCCCAAGTTTTGTCACCTTTACCACTTTTCTTCCAAAATGCTAAACTCCTTTACCCCATTATTATTTCATTCAACAACTCTCCACCATTTTCTTGCATTTCTTCTCACAAAATATCTGCAGTAAAAATAGAGTGATTCTATGTCCTGGATTGTCAGGAACAAACTGCCCTTGTCAATTCAGATCCTATTTCACATCAACAGCAACGAATTTCAAGCATTTACTTCTCTTTCAAGTCACCTACTTCATCTCTTGGAATACCCTTCTCCTACACAATATTGACTTCTCCACAAAGAAAACAGAAGCCATCAGACTATAAATTCCTCAACTCCTATACTCTTCTCCCACAGAGGTATCATTCAATCCATACAACCATTCTTACCTCCCCTCCTATCCTCATCTAAACTGAAAAAAATAACTCTTCTCTTAAAGGTCAATTGGATCATTAGAGTTGCAAATCTCACCCCATCTTGCCACCTGAGTGATCTTAAATTATTTAATGCTCATGCTCTTCCATCTTTTCAGCCTCTCCTTCCTTTAGAAAATACCTAGGAAAAACAGGCCCTTCCACTTATTTCTGCATGACCCAGCCCCATCTCCACTGCTGTCTCTTTACTGTTTCCCTCTTCACTTGTTTCCAAGAAACTTATTGGTTTCTTCGAAAACAAAAACATTCTCTGCTCATGGCACTTCTATACCCTTTATTCCACAGCCCACTTCATTAAGGCTTCGATTTCCTTGACTGTATGAAACTGCCTTTGTTCAGGCCCTTAAACAAAATTCCAGTCTTTATTGAATGCACCTTTTTGTGGCTTTTGACACATTTGATTCTCTCCTTCTGGGAATAACTTTTTCTTAGCTGCTAAGACTCTTGTCTCCTCAGGGTTTTTGTGTAACCCAGAGGCTGGGAATTCCTCTATAATATCGCTCATAGCTTTTTCTTCTCTCTACATTCCAAGGGGGTCCAATTCTTGGTCCTCTCACCTTCTCACTCAATGCACCACCTTAGTTCTAAATTAGTTCATTAATAACCATGGACTCTACATCTTAGGTCCACGCTCAGAAACCAACCATTTCATGGACATCTACATTAATTCTCAGCAAGCATACCGATTTAACTTTTTCCCAAGCTGTATTGACTGTGTTTTCCCATTTGTTAATTGAATTCTTTTTATTAAATTTGGGAATTCTCTATATATTACAGATATCAAAACACACTTGCCAGTTATATATATTGCAAATATCTTCTATTTCTGACTTGTGAATAGAATATCCAAATTTTAATGTAGATAAGATTATCATCTTTTCTGATAGGCTAATAGTTTTCTGTAATTTGTTTTGCAAATCTTTCTATACTATCATAATGATTTTACTTCTTATTGAAAAAGAGTTAAATGTTTTAAATATTAAAACTTTTTTATCTGGAATTGATTTTGGTGTGTAGGGTGATGTAAAGATGTAATTTCACCTTCTCCCTGTGGATAATGAGTTGCCCAGGACTATTACTGAGAAGCCATAGTTTCTGCAGCCATGAGCAATGACACTGCTTATACATACGGGTTTTTTGTCTCTTTGGTAAGTTGTTAATCCTTGAGCCAACCATACAATATGTTATCCCTGAGCAGTATACAGTAATACCATCTTGCTATTTGGATGATCTAGGTTATTTCTGGATTTTTGTTATTCCATATGCCTTCCAGAATCATCCTTTCAGTTTCCATCAAGAACTCTTCTAGGGTTTTGATTGGAATTGCATTGATCTATAAATCAATGTTGGAAGAATTAGCATCTTTACAATAGTAAGTCTGTCTTCTTCAATTTCTTTCAATGACATTTTATTTTTCTTCTACACAATTCTTGCACATCTTTTGTTAGATTTATTTTTAACTTATACTTTCTTGTCATTTTAAGGAGCTTTGCTTTTAAAATAAAATTAGGCATTTTGTTGCTGGCATGTAGAACGAAAAACAGTTTTTACTTGTTAATGTCATATCCAATGATCTTGCTGAACTCTTAGGTCTGATAGTTTATTTGTAGATGTTTTTGGATTGTGTTTGAGGATAATCCTATTATATACAAATAAAATTGTACGTATTTCTTCTAAAGTCATAACATTTGTTTTCTATGTCTTGCCTTTCCGTAAAGGCTAGGACCTTCCATTACAACATTGAGTACATGCAATCTTCTTCCTAATTTTAAAAGGAATATTTCGGCCAGGCGCAGTGGCTCATGCCTGTAATCCCAGCACTTTGGGAGGCCAAGGCGGGTGGGGAACACTTGAGCCCAGGACTTTGAGACCAGCCTGGCCAACATGGTAAAAACCTGTCTCTATTAAAATACAAAAATTAGCTGGATGTGGCAGGGCGCCCCTGTAGTCCCAGCTACTGAGGAAGCTGAGCCAGGAGAATCACTTGAATCTGAGAGGCAGAGATTGCGGTGAGCGGAGGTCGCACCACAGCACTCCAGCCTGGGTGACAGAGTAAGACTCTATCTCAAATAATAATAATAATAATAATAATAATAATAATAATAATAGAAATATTTCTAACATTTCATCTTTAAAAATGTAATTTTCTATTGTTTTATTTCTAAAAAAAGGGTTTTTTTGTAGAAAATATTTTATTTCTATGTTGCTAAGATCTTCTCTTAATAATTAGTTAATAAATTTGATCGAATGTTTTCCCTGCATCTGTTAAAATGATTTGTCCTCCATTAATCTAGCAATGTCAGTGGAGTCAGTGGGGCAATATTTTGTACAGAGATTAAGTTTTTTGTCCATAATTTCCTTTATTAGTTAATTTGTAATGTATTTCCTCTTATATTATCTGCAAAACTTTGTTTAAGACTGGGTTGACTTTTAGAACATTTACAGAATTCATCTGTAAATTTGCTGCCACTTCTCCTTTCTTAGCTTTTATTTAAACAATTAATTTGCTGGTTTCCTAATTCATCATTTTCACTTTTCCAATTTGAAACTTATAATCGTATTTTTATACTTTACTATTTACCCTTAGTATCTGTGGCATTTATACTTACGAGCCTGAAATTAACAGATTAACCAACCTATTAACCAACACCTCATCTCAGATATATAAGAATATTATAAAACTTTAACTTCAATAAACATTTTTCCAACATATATTCCATTGTAAGTCAGTATTTAATTGTATAATTTTATTCAATGTCACACCTTAATGATTACAATTATTATTATTGCATATAGAAAATATTTTAATATTATCTATATGTTCATCAGGTTCTTTTATTCACTATTGAATTTCTTTTTTTGAATCTCAGCTCTTTTAAGATTTTGTCCTTCTTCAAGAAGATAATCTTTAGCCCTCATTCTTGAACACTTTGATGGATATACAATACTATATTCTCAGTTTTATTTTCTGAAAATATCTTTACTTAGCTCCTATCCATGAAGGAGTTGATGCTTATATAATATTAGATTTACAGTTATTTTTGTCGAAACACTTTGAAGAATCGATTCCAGCGTCTTTTGGCTTCTGTTGCTACTGACATAAAGCCTGTTGTTAGTTTAAATGCTCTAAGTGATTTGCCTTTTTTCTCTGACTGTCACTTCACTCAGCTCTCTGCTCAAATGTCATGTCCTTCTAGAGGTATCCCCTGACCTCTCTTTTTAAATGACATGTCCTGGTACATTTTTCTGGCCCTATGCCTTGTTGCTTCTTCATCACACTTAACACTCTCTGGAATACACGATATTTACTTCATTTTTTCCCTTTAGATGAGGAGCATCTTTTCCAAGAGAACAGAGATTCTTCTGCTGTATTTACTGCTAAGTCACCAGTGAGTAAAATAGTGATACCACATGGTTTGTACTCAATATACATTAAATGTATTTTCTACCATGTAACAAATGGTTCCAGAATGTTTGCTAATAATCTTTTTGGAACTACTAGGAAATAAGAAGGTTAAAAATACTAGAATTAAGACACTATGAATTCTAGTATGCTCTACTGAAGATTAATGGCATTGATATTATTACCCCCAAATTATGATAATCATGAGCATTTATTAGATGAGGAAACTGAGTCACAGAATTATGACAGAATGTAACACAGATCAGTTTGCCATAGACACAATATATCTTGATTTTAGCATTCTATAGATTGCCTCTTTACAGAGATGAGGTAGTAAAAACAGGTAGAAAGGAGCTCTTAAGGATATATAATGATTGAACATCTATACCCAAGAAATAACAATTAATATATCAATGTCACCCAGATAAAGTGCTCTGTCCTTTCCACATTTCATCAAATACATGGACATAAACACACACAAGAGTCTTCATTGGCCGGATGCGATGGCTCAGGCCTGTAGTCACAGCACTTTGGGAGGCCGAGGCGGGCAGATCACAAGGTCAGGAGATCGGAGACCATCCTGGCTAACATGGTGAAACTCCTTCTCTACTAAAAACACAAAAAAAATTAGCCAGGCATGGTGGCACATGCTTGTAATCCCAGCTACTCAGGAGGCGGAGGCAGGAGAATCACTTGAACCCGGGAAGTGAAGGTTGCAGTGAGCCACGATCACGCCACTGCACTCCAGCCTGGGTGATAGAGCGAGACTCTGTCTCAAAAAACTAAAAAAAAAAAGTCCTCATCAGTGTTTTTTGTTTGCTTGTTTTTGTTTGTTTGTTTGTTTTTTAGATGCAACATATTTGGAAGAGAAAATAATTACACTGGACTCCAGTCAAGAATGGAAAGGTATCGTTGCAGCCTGGTAGAATGGCTGAAATAAACAAGTTAAAATTTTTAAAAAAAGTAATAAATTTGGGGAATTTTTCAGATTAAATAAAATTTTCTTTACAAATAGAAGATGTAGATAATGAGAACAAATAATTAATGTGGAGGCAAGATGGCGGCAACCAAGAGGAAACAGCATGGAGGCGTGGCAGTTCAGGCGAAGAACCCAGAAAGAAGCGAAAAAGAGGCGGAGCAGCCAGCTAAGCTGGGCACCACCGCAGAGGAGGTGGAAGAAGAAGATAGAGACTGGATCCCAGGCCCCGTTTGCAAGGGGGAGTGAAAAAACAAGGAATGGATTTTCATCTTTTCTTCCAGAGGAATAAATAAATTTCAGAACAAGACATTTTATGCAGGACTTGAGAATGTTGATGCCTCATTCTAAAGCAGATACTAAAATGGATCGTAAGCATAAATAATTTGAGATTAGTGAGTTCTGTGAAATGAAAAACTGTAATAAATGCATCTACTTTGAAGCTAAGAAAAAAACAGGATCTCTTTATGTAGCTTTCAAATTCACCTCATGGACCATCTGCTAAATTCCTTGTTCAAAATAGTCATAGCCTAGCTGAACTACAGATGACTGGAAACCTTTTGAAAGGTTCTTGCCCCTTTTGTCTTGACCCAGCTTTTGATGAATTACTACATTATGCTTTGTTAAAAGAACTCTTAATTCAGATCTTTAGTACACCGTGGTATCATCCCAAAAGCCAACCATTCGTGGGCCATGTGTTGACTTTCACCATTTTGGATAATAGGATATGGTTTCAGAAGTTTTATATCATAGAAGAAGGTGTTGCTCTTGTAGAAATAGGACCTTGTTTTGTCTTAAATCTCATAAACATTATTCAGGGAAGTTTTGGAGGACCAACTTTATATAAAAATTCTCACTACCAGGCACCAAAAATGCATTGCCATGTCATAAGATCCATCACACCTGCAAAATACAGAGAGAATCAGCAAGCGAAAGATGTGCAGAAACTGAGAAAGAAAGAGCCAAAGATCCTTCTTCCATGTGATCCCACTGTTCAGACCACAGTGGAATAAAATTGAAAATCAACTCCAAAAGGATCCCTCAAAACCATGCAAATACATGGAAATTAAACAATCTGCTCCTGAATGATCACTGGGTCAACAGTGAAATCAAGATGGAAATTTCAGATTGTTTGAGCTGAACAATAATACCCAACCTATTAAAACCTCTGGGATAAAGCAAACACAGCGCTAAGAGGGAAGTTCATAGCCTTAAATGCCTACACCATGAAGTCTGAAAGGGCACAAACAGACAATCTAAGGTCACACCTCAAGGAACTAGAGAAAGAAGAACAAACCAAATATAAACCCAGCAGAATAAAAGAAATAACAAAGACCAGAGCAGAACTACATGAAATTGAAGCAAACAAATTACAAAAGATAAATGAAAAAAAAGCTGGTTCTTTGAAAAGATAAATAAAATTCATAGGTCATTAGCAAGATTAACCAAGAAGAGAAAAGAACCAAATAAGCTCAATTAGAAATGAAACAGGAGATATTACAACCAATACCACAGAAATGCAAAAGATCATTCAAGGCTACTATGCAAACCTTCATGTGCACAAACTAGAAAACCTAGAGGAGATGGATATATTCCTGGAAATATACAACCTTCCTAGATTAAACCAGGAAGAAATAGAAACTCTGAACAGACCAACAGTAAGTAGTGAGATTAACACAGTAATAAAAAATTTGTCAACAAAAAAGTCTAGAATTCATAGCTGAATTCTATCAGACATTCAAAGAAGAATTGGTATCACTCTTATTGACACTATTCCACAAGACAGAGACGGGGGAATTTTCCCTAAATCATTCTATGAAGCCAGTATCATCCTAATACCAAAAACCAGGAAAGGACATAACAGAAAAAGAAAACTACAGACCAATATCCCTGATGAATATAGATGCAAAAATCCTTAACAAAATACTAGCTAACCAAATTCAACAGCATATCAAAATGATAATCCACCATGATCAAGTGGGTTTTATACCAGGGATGCACAGATGGTTTAACATATGCAAATCAATAAGTGTGATACACCACATAAACAGAATTAAAAACATAAATCACATGATCATATCAATAGATGCAGAAAAAGCATTTGACAAAATCCAGCATCTCTTTATGACTAAAACCCTCACCAAAATTTGCATAGAAGGGAAATATCCTAAGGTAATAAAAGCCATCTATGATAAACCCACAACCAACATAATACTGAATGGAGAAAAGTTGACGGCACTATCCCTCAGAACTACTTCTATTCAACATAGTACTGGAAGTCCTAGACAGAGCAGTTGGACAAGAGAAAGAAATAAGGGCCATCCAAATGAGTAAAGAGGAAATCAAACTCACTGTTTGCTGATGATATGATTGTATACCTAGAAAACCCTAAAGGCTCCTCAAAAAAGTTCCTAGAACTGATAAATGTATTCAGCAAAGTTTCAGAATACAAAATTAATGTACACAAATCAGTAGCACTGGTATATACAGGAGCAACCAAATTGAGAATCAAATCAGGAACTCAACTCCTTTTACAATAGCTGCAAAAAATAAAATAAAATAAACTACTTAGAAGTATACCTAATCAAGGAGGTGAAAGAGCTCTATAATGAAAACTTCAAAACACTGCTGAAAGAAATCATAGATGACACAAATGAATTGAAACACATCCTGTGCTCATGAATGGGGAGAATCAATATTGTGAAAATGACCATACTGACAAAAGCAGTCTAAAAATTCATGCAATTCCCATCAAAATACCACCATCATTCTTCACAGAACTAAAAAAAGCAATTCTAAAATTCATATGGAAGCAAAAAAAGCCCACATAACCAAAGCAAGACTAAGCAAAAAGAGCAAATCTAGAGGCATCTCATTACCTGACTTCAAACTATACTATAAGGTCATAGTCACCAATAAAGCATGGAACTGTTATAAAAATAGGCACATATTTGGGAGGCCAAAGCAGGCGGATCATGAGGTCAGGAGATCGAGACCATCCTGGCTAACATGGTGAAACCCTGTCTCCACTAAAAATACAAAAAATTAGCCAGGCATGGTGGCGGGTGCCTATAGTCCCAGCTACTCAGGAGGCTGAGGCAGGAGAATGGCGTGAACCTGGGAGATGGAGCTTGCAGTGAGCCGAGATTGTGCCACTGCACTCCAGCCTGGGCAACAGAGCAAGACTCCATCAAAAAAAAATGGCACATAAACCAATGGAACAGAATAGAGAACCCAGAAATTAAGCCAAATACTTATGGCCCACTGATCTTCAACAAGGCAAACAAAAACGTAAAGTGGGGAAAGGATACCCTATTCAACAAATGGTGCTGGGATAATTGGCAAGCCACATGGAGAAGAATGAAACTGGATCCTCATCTTTCACCTTATACAAAAATCAACACGAGATTGATCAAGGACTTAAATCTAAGACCTGAAAGCATAAAAACTGTAGAAGATGACATCGGGAAAAACCCTTCTAGACATTGGCTTGGGCAAGGACTTCATGACCAAGAATCCAAAAGCAAATGCAAAACAAACAAAGATAAATAAATGGTTGTTAATTAAAATAACAAGCTTCTGCATAGTAAAAGAAATAATCAGCAGAGTAAACAGACAACCCACAGAATAGAAGAAAATCTTTGCAATCTATGCATCCAGTGAGGACTAATATCCAGAATCTACAAGGAAATCAAACAAATCAGCAAGAAAAAAACAAACAATCCATCAAAAAGTGGTCTAAGGACATGAATAGACAATTCTCAAAAGAAGATATACAAAGGGCCAACAAACATATGAAAAAATGCTCAATATCACAAATGATCAGAGAGATGCAAATCAAAGCAAAAATGTGATACCACCTTACTCCTGCAAGAATGGCCATAATCAAAAAAATAAAAAAATAATAGATGTTGGCATGGATATAGTGGAAAGGGAACACTTTTACACTGCTGGTGGGAATGTAAACTAGTATAACCACTATGGAAAAGAGTGTGGAGATTCCTTAAAGAATTAACAGTACAGGTTGGGTGTGGTGGCTTACGCTTGTAATCCCAACACTTTGGGAGGCTGAGGTAGGTGGATCACTTGAGGCCAAGAGTTCAAGACCAGCCTGGCCAACAGGGCGAAAAACTGTCTCTACTAAAAATATAAATATTAGCAAGGCATGTTAACACACACCTGTAATCCCAGCTACTTGGGAGGCTGAGGCAGGAGAATTGCTTGAACCCTGGAGGCAGAGGTTGCAGTAAGCCAAGATCGCACCACTGCACTCCAGCCTAGGTGACAAAGTCAGACTCCATCTCAAAAAAAAAAAAAAAAAAAGAATTAAAACTAGAACTACCATTTGATCCAACAATTCCCCTACTGGATATTTACCCAGAGGAAAAGAAGTCATTGCACCAAAAAGATACTTGCACATGCAGGTTTATAACAGCACAATTTGCAATTGCAAAAATATGAAACCAGCCCAAATGCCCATCAATCAACAAGTGGGTGAAGAAATTGTGAGACAGATATACATATATATATATGTATATATACACACACACACACACACCATGGAATACTACTCAGCCATAAAAGGGAATGAAATAATGGCATTTGCAGCAACCTGGATGGAATTGAAGACTATTATTCTAAGTGAAGTAACTCAGGAATGGAAAACCAAATATCTTACATTCTCACTCATAAGTGGGAGCCAAGCTATGAGGATGAAAAGAGATAATAATGATACAATGGACTTTGGGGATTCGGGGGAAAGGATGGGAGGGTGGTGAGGGATGAAAGACTACACATTGGGTACAATGTACACTGCTTGGGTAATGGGTGCACCAAAATCTCAGAAATCACCACTAAAGAACTTATTCATGTAACCAAACACCACCTATTCCCCCAAAACCTACTGAAATTTAAAAAAATCCATTGAAAAATAATAATAATAATAATAATTCATGTGGCAGTGACCTTTGGGGATATTACCAGTGAAACATCATGAATGAGTCCACACCATCCATGAAAGCTCTCCCACATTGCAGCTATCCCACAACACTCTACATAGCTCACAACACATGTTACCCTTACTTACTGATGGTGCAAATTTATTCAATATTTACCTTCTGCTTACAAAATATATTTTAAAATTAAAAAATAGCTAAAGTATCTATCTAGGAAGGAAATTACACATTTGAGTCTGAATTGGGACACAGAGAAATACCTGAGACCAGGAAGGGCCTGAAAACACAGCAGGGTATTAAGGGGGCTTTTCCAGCTGTCTTAGTGTTGCTGCTAGGGCCTATGGCACAGGGAGAAGAGTGAGATGTGTCCCAGCCATGAGGTGCAGAGGGCCAGCAGGATTGCACTGCCTCTCCCCTGTGGGGCTTACTGAGCAGATCCAGAGCCTGTCCAGGTGACTGTGGGAGAGAGGGACCCATGTTTTTGGGCAGTGCAGTGCTGAGGGGAAGAGACTTCATATGGTTTGGTTCTGTGTCCCCACCCACATCTCACTTTGAATTGTAATAATTCCCACGTGTCAAGGGCTGGACTGGGTGGAGATAATTGAATCATGGGGGTGGTTTCTGCCATACTGTTCTAGTAATATTGAGTTCTCACGAGATCTGATGGTTTTATAAGGGGCTTCCCCCTCTGCTCGGCACTCATTCTCTCTCCTGCCACCGTGTGAAGAGGTGTCTTCTGCCACAATTGTAAGTTTCCTGAGGCCTCCCCAGCCATACAGAACTGTGAGCCAATTAAACCTCTTTTCTTTATAAATTACCCAGTCTCAGGTATTTCTTCATGGTAGCAGGAGAACAGACTAATACAAGGTCCTTCATTTTCTTGTATATGGAGAAGAGAGTTGCCTCCCTTCAAATTGAAAGTGTCACACAGAAGCGGAGACTAGCAATTACTTCCCTAGTTAGATGTCTGCTTGGTCAGTGGACTTGATGACATGGTAGAGGTGAACAGCAGCAGAGAACTAGAAAGCAAAGGCAGAGCTGAGAGACAGAGCAGCATGGCAATGTGACATGCTATAACAAGTCAGTGCCAATTTATTTTAGTGCAAAAAAAATTGAAATCAATGCACAGTTTTTTCCTAATATACATTCTCCATGAACTTTCTGAAGTCCCTCAGTACTGGTACACAGATAGATCACTGTGATGATTACAGCTTGATCACTGTGATGGTTAGTGGTATCCATAGAAAATGGTGACTTAAGCTATCTTTCAAGTAATAAATGCCCTGTAGGACTGTCCATTGAATGAGGAAACCCTATTAGCTGGGGTTGGTTCTAAGAGGAGGTAAGATTGGCTGAAAGACCAAATGCTGGAGCTGGATGTCCCACATCAGGGAATAGAGTACTGGGAGGACTTCAATATGGCCTCTGAATAATACACACATGAAGCCTGGGGGCTGGCCACGCAGAGCACCCTGATGACCAAATAAGGCCACAAAGCAACAGAAGGAGAGGTCGCCACACTGCTGGCTTCCAGTCAGCAGGCTTTTCTTCTCCTTTTTTCTGTACCCTTATTGGGAAGGACACCTCCAGAACAAAACCCATGTGACATGGACCCAGGGTCACTCTTCCATATGTCTACTGAGTTATTATTCCCAACTCTTTTATTATTGAGTTGCTTTCTTTACTGACAGAAAATGATACCTTCTTCCCACATTAATTCCCAGATAAAATGGAACAAATTTGTGGGTTACATATTGTTTTCTAATATACTGTCTGGGTACATTTTAATTATTGTAGGTTTATCATGTGTTTCAGTATCTAGTATGATTAGCCCTCCTTGATTCTGGTTCTTTTTCAGAATTTTCTTGGTTATTCTTTCTTGCATATCTTACCTAATGTTGATGACTTATCACTCAACTCTATGTTAAATGACAGTGATGACAGTAGAAATCTTTGGTCTGTTCCTTTCTTTATGAAAATATTATCTCATTTATTGATTAAGCAAGATTCTAGCTAATGAGTTCAGTAGACCTATTTTATCATGTTAAAGAAATATCTATTCAGACCTATGTTATGAAGAGTTTTTGATGAGAATGAATGTTGAATGTTTAACAAATGCCTTTTTAGTAGCTATGGAAATACTCATGATTCTTCTTCCTAAATCTATTAATATAAAATATGTTAATTAATAAAATATATTCTTTTCTACTACTCTTTTGTTCTTAAATTTCTGGAATAAATACCACTAATGTTTTTAATGTGCTACTGGATTCTTTGATATCTATGATTACATTTATTTATTTTCATTTTGTATTTTCGTGTGGATACGCAAGGGCTTTGCTTTTTTTATTTTTAATTAATTCTTAGAGTTTTATTATCAAGATTATGCTTGTTTTTAAAAAATACCTTATGGCATTAATTATTTTCTAATTCTCTAAGCAATTTAAGTAACATTGGAAATGTTATTTAAAGGAATGATAGTTCCTCCTGGAAAAGCACCTGACCACATGATTTAGTAAAGGTAGCTCTTCCACAGGTTTAACACGTGGAATAATTAACAACCTCTACAGCCATGCCAGAGAGTCATAATTTGAGTATCTGTTCTGTTCTGATCTCTGGCAACTTGTTTTCTCCTTGTAACATTCTGTTTAGATTTCTCTCTCTTTTGACATAAATTTTCATTAGTTACATTTTTCTGTAAAATTACTAATTTTATTCATTGCTTACAAATATTTGCATATAATTATCCAAAATACTAGTGGAAAAAATAAAATGCATAAGTAAGGGTTAGAAGCATCTCTGGAGTGAAAAGACACTGTCAAAAACACATGAGGGATATGAAGACAGATACGAAAAAAGCCAGCTCTTTTTTCATTATGTTTTCATAATGCTCTGAAAACAAAGAGCTAAAAGGGATTGAAGAGAAAGAGAGAGAGCTAGAAATTGGGCAAAGAAGATCAACAGATGAGTGGCACCCAATCATTTTGGCCTCAGGAACCCTTTACTTTTAAAAATTATTGACAAGCACTAAGAGCTTTTATTTACATGGCTTACATGTAGCTATGCTTACTGCATTGGGAACTAAAACTGAGAATTTAAAAATTTATGTGTTCATTTTAAAATTACAATTATAAACTCATGGCATTTTTAAATAACATGTTTTTATGAAAATTAATTATATTTTCTACAAAAAAGTAGTGAGTAGAGTAGCATTGTTTTACAAATCTCAGTAGTAGAAGAACTGCTTTCAAATTCAATCTCTTACAATTAGTTGTTTTGGTTGAAGTCTATGAATAAAATATTACCTCACAAAGACATGTTTTCAAAAGTATAGGAGTATTTTTAAAGATTTTTCAGATAACTGTAAACATTCCTTTATGCTATACCAAAATTTGACAATTGGTAGCTTCTTTTTTTTATTATCCTTTAAGTTTTAGGGTATATGTGCACAATGTGCAGGTTAGTTACAAATGTATACATGTGCCATGTTGGTGTGCTGCACCCAGTAACTCATCATTTAACTTTACTTATCATTTAACTTTAGGTAGCTTCTTTTGACATTTCCTTTATCACACAAACTACTGAAAGTATACGTATGTAAAGGTCAAGATTTAATAAAAGTAATATTTCCCCCTGTTTCATCAATAACAGCATCAAGTAAAATTACTTTTCTTTTTTACTTTCTGCTACAAACAAAGGATATAATGATATACTCCTACCATTTGGCACCCTCTGTCTTGGTTCAGGCTGAGGCTCCAGCAGATTTACCCACCATGACTTTTGCACCATCAGCGCAAATTTCAACCCAGTGAAGAGGCAAATTACTGATACTATTATGAGAAAGTTTTAACCTAGGAAACCCCCTCAAGGGTCTCTGGATCTCCCTCAACCAGCAACCACAGAACACACTTTGAGAAGTACTGCAACATACACAAAATGTGGAGGTTCCCCAAAAAGAAACAAATAATGAGACAGAAGTGATATTAAAAGAATTAATTCAAGAGAACATTCCTTAAATAAAATAGTATCTGATTCTTCATAGTAAAAAAATCACCTAATACCCGAAGGAAATTCAAAACTAAGACACCTTAGGCAGAATAAGACTGTCATAGCACATGAAATTCATGTGCAATATGCCCAAAATATAGTTAAGGAAGCTGATTCCTTAGCTGGAAACAGATGAAGGTTCTGCAAAGTATTACTGGGAACAGGTACTGGGGGGAAAAATATTCCTCATAATCTCAGAGATAAAATGATTCAACCTGCTATACTTTTTCTTGAATTAATTCACTCTTCCATTCCCACCACTGTGATCCTAGTTTATAGATCTCATAACGTGTCACTTGGTGACAGTAGTAGCTCCCGTGGTTTCTGACTTTCATTTTTCTCCACTCCAACCTATCCTATCCTCTTTAGGTTAACAAATATTATTTTTCTATTTTTTTTTTCAACATGGAGTCTTGCTTTGTTGCCCAGGCTGGAGTGCGGTGGCATGATCTTGACTCACTGAAACCTCCACCTCCCAGGTTCAAACGATTCTCCCTCCTCAGCCTCCCACCTCAGCCTCCCGAGTAGCTGGGACTACAGGCACATGCCACCATGCCTGGCTAATTTTTGTATTTTTAGTAGAGACAGGGTTTCACCATGTTGGCCAGGCTGGTCTCGAACACCTGATCTCAGGTGATCCACTAGCCTCAGCCTCTCAAAGTGTTGGGATTACAGGTGTGAGCAACCACCACGCTCGCCCCAGGTTAATGAATATTCTGAATAATCGATCTGATCAAGACTTTCAATAGTTCTATAGTCTGAAGTCTAGATCTGGTGTGTTCCAACTCAACCAACAATCCCAACTAACTCCTTCCATATGGCTCTCACCTGCCACCATTCACAAAATCTGGTGCCACACTTAGGGCTCTTTGTTCTCTAAAACACTTGTTTGCTTCCATATTCATGCCAATTGCTAGTGGTATTTTCTCACCTACGGATATGTAGTAGATTTATCAAATTCTTCTACATATGTCAACTCCTAGATTAAATGGTGTATTCTAACACTAATTTCAACAGGGGCAACTTACAGTGGTCTTAGAGAGTCGACGAAGCCTCCATAGGGAAGTGAAGTGGCTTCTAGATTGAGATCTAAAGCATCAACAGGAGCAAGTCAAGTGAAAGGATTTGGCAACAGGGAAAAATCAAGATGAGGCTCTTTAGTGTCCTTACCTCATATTTGGTTTTAATAATATGTGTGGACTTACTATTGGTCCCATTTTAAAAGATATAATGTAAATACCACCTAATTTTTGGATTTTAGTTGAACACCAATTCAAAAGTAGTTTGAAACATTCTGCAGACAAGCTTTTGGTATTTCCTCTTAGACAGAAAGGTTTGCCAGGGCACGTCATAGCCTGACACCTTTCCACAATTGTATTTTCAAATCTTCCCACTCGTTTGAGTTGCTATTTTCATATCTTCCCTACAATCCTTTTTCCCCCCCGTAGAACCTCAACTTCCTTTAAAAAAAAAAAAAATTTAGTATGTCTAAAATATAAGGGAACCTCAACTTCTTTTTTAAAAAAAACATTTAATATGTCTAAAATATAAGGGGAAAGTAATTGCTAACAGACCATATGTAGACAGTAGCTCAGTGTAGGCCTTCATCTGTGTTCAGGCATCATGAACATGTCAGCATTCCCAGTGCTTCTTCTCACACCTACGTTGATGCATGCAGCAGAGCTTTGCTTTTCCTTCTCCTATGCTCTCATCAATATATGTTACCTCTGAATTGAGATCTAATACGTCAGAACAAATTGTAGCAAATTGTGGAGAGACTTAGGAAATTATATCAAAATGTAAAGCAGTGCTGAAAACGCAGTTTAGGTGCTATGCATTTTGTAATTAAGTTCCATCATTTCACCATAAGCCAGAAACTAAGAAAAAATTTCAGCAGTAATTAATAACAACCATTTTTCATTTTTATATTGGAATTATCTTTAAAAATTCAAATCTTGATTTTTTTCCCTTTTTATATATCAGTTGACAATAAATTATGGATGAATAACACAATCTCATTCCACAATATATATTATGTAGGATAAACCTAAGTACAGTTGTCACATGAAGAGTCTGAAGGGGAGTGTCTTCACTGTATTCCTAATACCACTCAGCATAAAACATACTTCAGTGTCAGAGTGAGATTCAGCACGTCAGGCCGAGAAGCTGCATTCTTTTGTAAGACAGTCTAGGCAAGTAGGACTAATTAATCATAGTAATTGTAAAAAATTTTGTAAGAAAACCTGAAATGGCATTTTTAAGGAAAACATAATCATAATTAGTATGAATGAAAATAGAATTCTAAAAACTGAAGTTATATAAAAGACTGATTGGAAGAAGATATCAAATTTGCATTTCTTAGATCATATGACTATATATATATATATAGTCATATATGTCATAAGATCCCTGTCAGGTGTGTTAAAGACACAGGCAGAAGGCACACTTCAGAATGTGAATATGAATCACAGTATATATTACCTTTGGGTTTTACAGTCAGCTGCACAGACACCTTTTTCACCCCCAACGAACTGACTGCTTGACATTCATATTGGCCTTGATCGTGCTGTGCTGCACGGTCAATTCTCAAAGTGCCAGAGGAGAGAACTGTATGCTGGCCTTCCACAGGGAGCTGCCCTCCTGCAAAAAGAGGTAAAGAAAGTATTCTTCATGGCCCAGAGCACTGAAAGCCAGAGCTGCTGGCTGTCCTGGCTAAAGGGTGAGGCCTGTCTTTCAGGAAATTCTCGGTGCTAGGGTGTACTGTGTGCGTTGTGCCCTAGGATTGCAACCCCAGAAACACAGCACCCCCATGCCGCTTGTCCCCGAAACTCTGCCACTGTATCATAAGGAATTCTCATCTGTCACCAGAACAGCCCAGCCTCCTAATGAATTTTTAATCTTCATGTTTGTGCCCCTCGGCCTTACTATAATCAGAAAGCAAATTTCAAAACCAATCTGATTCTTAAATTTGATTTTCAGATATCTTCGTGACAGTTGTTTATCATGTGTATGCAATATTTGGAATACAATAACGTGATTAAAATACATTTAAAATGCAGAGGCAGCATATCGAAAATGGTGATTTTGTGACATTCATGCTGTTATCTACACAGTCAACCAGAGGCCATTGTACTTTGCACTGCTGAGCTTATATGAGCCTCTGAATCCTTCTTAACACTTTACTCTTATGGTCATTAACAATTAAATGAGATTATAATTTTCAACTAGTTCAGTGAAAACTTGTATCTTATTGAATGTCTTGTTACAGATGGAAAAAGGAATAGCTAACCCTATTGAGCGTACACACACTGTGCCATCAACTATTCTAAATGTTGAAGAGTATAAATTATTCAAATCAAACCCCACAACCACCCTATGATGTAGGAAACGTCATCACCCCCAACACAGCAACAAAGACTCTGGCAAACAGCAGTTAACAGGTTTGCTCAAGGTCACATGATAAGCAAATGGAGGAGTGGAGATGTGAGCCAAGGCTTTATGGTTCCAAAGTCTACCTCCTATCAACTAATCTCATAAAGAATAGAGCAAAAATGTTAAGACAAGAAATTCATAAATGTAGATTTTGAATTTTATTTCGTACCTGAACTAATATGGAAAGTAGGATTCCCAAGCCCGGAGGAACCTTAGACAAGCTCTCATCCAGCCAATCGTCAATCCTGTTCTGTTATGTGCCCAGATTCCCTGTAAGTGTCTGGCGCCTTGGTGGGGCATAGGGGGTTAGATCCTGCCTGCCAGGCCCACGCCCCACCACCCACACTTCAGGAACAGCAGCTCTTTTTTGGAGCTTCACTTCGGATTTCATTTCACTTGTGATTTCATTTTGTACTAGAAGAAAATTATCCCACTGAAAAAAGAAATGTCTAAAACTGCTACACTTGCGGCCGGGCGCGGTGGCTCACTCCTGCAATCCCAGAACTTTGGGAGGCCGAGGCGGGCGGATCACGAGATCAGCAGATTGAGACCATCCTGGCTAACACGGTGAAACCCCGTCTCTATTAAAAATACAGAAAAAGTAGCCGGGCGTGGTGGCGGGCACCTGTAGTCCCAGCTACAGGCTGAGGCAGAAGAATGGCGTGAACCCGGGAGGCGGAGCTTGCAGTGAGCCGAGATTGCACCACTGCACTCCAGCCTGGGCGACAGAACAAGACTCTGTCTCAAAACAAACAAACAAACAAACAAACAAACAAAACAACTGTACGCTTTCCAGTAATTTTATTTTAAAAATCAGGAAACCGAGTCCCAGAGGGGATGATCTCAGGAAGGCCACACACTCAAATGCCAAAACTCAAAACACCACGAAAATTATGATGATGTCATATTTAGATCAAAGATTATTTTCTGTGTAATTTTTTCATGTCCATGATACACCTTCGATAATTAATTTAAACTATTTTTTTTTACTATCCACAAAAGAAGGCACTTATTTTTCCCCACAATTACCTGCAGATGTTCTAATACCTGTTTTTGTCCAGACAATAACAGGAGGTGGGTTGCCGTCAGCTTCACAGAGCCACTCTACAGCATGTTCTTCCAGCACCACTTGATCCTTGGGGGTTACTGTAAATTGTGGAGGAGCTAAAGAGAATGAAACATACATCAAAATTGAAAATTATTTTACAAATTTTCAGTGCCAATAGAAAAAAGAAAATGTCTTCAAATATGTCATGTGATCAGAATTTGTTTACAATTATATATAAACAAGGTTATAAAGAGTGTGGAGGTGCTTCTGTATGTTTGTGCCTGTTTGCAAGGAAGCCAGAAATACACACATCTGGTCTGCAAAGCAAAACAGCAGTAGCCAACAAGAAGAAACCATTTCTAAATCTTACGGCAGCTGTTTCCCATGATTGAATCATATTGGTTATCATTTTAGTAGATGTGATAAACATATTTAAAGCTACAAATTGTACTTTAAACTATTAACAAAACCGTCTTCTCCAAACTTTCACATGCACAATAAAATTTGAAACGAGTTGATCTTTCGATTTCAGAAAGAAAAATAAGCTCCTTAAGATTAATGTTCCTGCAACACTTGAAATTATACTTTTGAAAAAGTCATATTTATGTCAAAATTCAGAGTTCCAAATATTCAGATTTTGTATTATTGCTTTTGTATAAATAAGAAATAGCTAATAGCTGCATATGCCATTCCTGAAAAGGGATTCTGTCCGTGACTCTTTGATTGAATAAAAAAATAAATCAATGTGGCCATTTAAGAAGAGCGCAATGATCCCCAGTAACGCCTAAGTGATCAAAAGAACTTTCGCAGATGACTTTGTAACTGGAAAGGTGTCCCAATCCAGATCCCAAAAAAGGATTCTTGGACTTTGTGCAAAAAAGAATATGAGGCAAATCCATACAGTAAAGTGAAAGCAGGTTTATTAGGAAAGTAAAGGAATCAAGAATGGCTACTCCACAGGCAGAGAAGCAGTATAGGCTGCTGGGCTGAGTATACTTACAGTTATTTCTCGATTATGTGCTAAACATGGGGTGGATTATTTACGAGTTTTCTGGAAAGCGGTGGGCAATTCCCAGCACTTAGAGTTCCTCCCCATTTTAGACCATAAAAGGCAACTTCCTGACATTGCCATGGCATTTGTAAACTGTCCTGGTGCTGGTAGGAGTGTTTTGTAACATGCTAATGCATTATAATTAGCATAAAATGAGCAGTGAGAACAACCAGGGGTCACTGTCATCGCCATCTTGCTTTTGGCAGGTTTTTGCCAGCTCCTTTACTGCATCATGTTTTATCAGCAGGGTCTTTGTGCCCTGTATATTGTGCCAACCTCCTATCTCATCCTGTGACTAAAAATACTAAACCTGCTAGGAATCCAGCCCAGCAGGTCTCATCCTCATTTTACCCAGCCCTCATTCAAGATGGAGTCACTCTGGTTCAAATGCCTTTAACAACTTGACAAATCATTTCTCTGCCTTGTTAGATTTTTGCACAATTCCTACTACCCCCTTCTTTTCACCTGCATCTGGAAATACAAGAAACATGATAAAGTAAATAATATTTGGCAAAGTGTATTTGTTGCAAGTTTCATACTGTGTGCAAGTACTAAAGAGTTTTTTAAAGTCTTCATCCATTCTAAGTAAGGTGCTGGACTAAATATGGTATAAAATAAATTTCCAAGTCACACAAATTCATGGAAACCCTCAGGAATGCCTGCAAGCTATTTGTAATAGAGTTCTAGAAAAGTCAAGCTGGAAAACAGCCCACAAATCAGCAATCTCAGGCTCCTCACTGCACAGATGAGAAAATTCAGACTCTGGGAGGTAGGATTGAATTTCTCTCGGTCAGAACTAATAAGTAGAAAAGATAGTAGAGAATCTGGGCCGCTCAACCCCCAGCCTGATGTTCTTTCCAGAACATTACACTAACTCCCAAAATTACTAGGAACAACTTAAAAAGAACAAAAATATTTCTACATTAAAAAATAGATTCATGACACAGTAAAAGAGCTATATAACAAAAGATGGTAGTAGTTAAGAGAAATAATGTAGTCCTGGTTCTAGTGTTGGGAAATTTGATTTCAACTTTTGAATAATAATAACTTTAATAATTATTAACATATTAAAATTTAATTTTATTTTAATTATTAAAAATATTAACATTTAATAACTTTAATAATAATTAAAGTTCACGGTTAGCCAAGTCTGTGTGAAAAGAATTGTTAAACTTCACGTGTTCTCACTTTTAACAGAACCCAAGATCCACATCTTAGCAAAGCATAGAAAACATTTAAGAAAATAGTCAATTTACATTTGTTTCTAACACTAAAATGAGCAGCTTGCTAGGTCGATGAAGAAATTATGAACATCACCAAAGCAGGCAGAGAAGGTGGAATAATTAGACAGGAATGATGAAGCTGACATCTTTGGGCTTTCCATTTAAAATGATGGCCTTCTGAGTCCCACCTCCAGTGCTAAAATAGCACATGCCGAGATGAAGTGTTTTGCTATTTTATTAAAATCTAAAATTCTGGCTACTCATTAAGGTGCTGCCTCACACACAAAGCATTTTGACTTACACTGTTGATGACCATAGGCCTTTTTACCTATATGTCCACACTGTGATTCATATCTTTCATTGAAGCTTTTTTGTGTCATTTTATTTGTGTTATTTTATTTTAGTCAGTCTAAAAAAGGAAGTTTATCTGTGGATAACTGTGATCTCAGTTTAAATAGACATTAAAAGATCAAGAACATGGATAGAAACCTGTTAAAATGACACAAAAGGATACATCTTAAAATGTTTCATCTATGATTAGGCAAATAAAATCAGCCTTTTAAATAAATGTATAGAATGATTAATGGACCGTTTCAAAATCAATTAAAAATCTGGGCACACAGATCCAAAAGTGACACAAGTAGATGGTCACAAATAACAAAGGACAAGCAGATGGCCATTTCAGTGCAAACTCACTGGCAACAAGAAATCATTAGCATATTGTGGTAGAAGAAATAGGCAGGATGGTAAAGGTTACCAGAGTTCTGTTAAGCAATGACTGACGCAGATGGGCAGATGGAAGCATAGAAAGGAAGTACATGGAAAAAGCTGAGAAACAAAAGCCTAGCACAGTGTGGAATACAGGCAACCACTAAAGTGTGAAAGTGATCAGGCGTTAGGTTTCTAAAAAACAGACATTGAACACAAAATGATGTAAGCAAAACAAAACCCAAACACAGTTTCTTTGAAGGTATTTTTCAATCTCAACATATTAAAAGTTTAAAAATAACGTTTGGGTCCTTTAAAAGTAATTTCCCCCAGAAGTTACCAAAGACCTCAAGAAAATATTTCATTTCTGTGCCTTCTTATTAGAGCAAGGAAAGTATTTTTGGGATATTAGCAGTTCTAGGGAAAAACACAATTTTTTTTCCTGAGACATGTAAATAGGAATAAGAAAGTATTGATCTATTGCTATTAAAGGAGTTGATGCTAAACAGTTCAATTTAGAAAACATTCTCTGAATGCAGGAAGACTAGGCTGGAGGAAGCCTTGTGCTTTGTGGGGGCCAAGATCACTCTTGGGGCCACTGGGGCTCACTGTTCTGAAGCCCTCCCAACCCAGGCACTGCACTAGGCTGGCCACTTCCCTTTTTCTCTGTTCTGTGTTTCACACGGTTCAGTGTTTTGGTAGATAACATCCTATGCAAATCTTAAAATAATGAAACTTAACTCAATCAAAATATGCACATATCAGGAAGCCCCTAAAACGGATCATGTAAATTACCGTACTCTCATCAACTGATGAAAAACTAGTTTAGAAAAAACTGGACCTTTGATATGACTCCAATAGCACTTATATTCTGCTGTTTACTAAACTCTAACCCTACAGGAAGATGGCATGCAGGCACACATGCACACACACACAAACGCACACACACAAACACACACACACACACACACATGCACGCACACACACCAGAAAGGGGCCACCCCAGGCTGAGAACCAAAGTACAAAGAAGAATGTGCCTTCTTTATAACACGATTGCATGCCCATGCATATAAATTAATTTCTGGATTCAGAATAGTTTTACTATTGCTGTTGTTACGCAGTCTGGCCTCGTAGGAGCCTTCAGCATGTCCTCAAGCTCTGTTGAGTAGACAGTTTGGTAAGTGACTATGAACACAGGGCACAGCCTTTTCACTTTCATATCTGTACTGTCTTTCCTGTATCTGTGAAATATTCTGAAGCACAAATATCTCTTGACAGTTTCCTTCCAGATTAATGACTCCATCTCTTTTGTTGCTAATGGTTGAGTCTGACCTTTGGATAAAGATTGAAGTAGGAAAGAAAAAAAACAACTTTTAACTTGAAACAGATTAGCTTTGAAAATCTTATTGTGTCAAAAAATAATTGGCAAATAAAAATATTTCTCCACTGATGTACATGACATTATTTAAGTTGAAAAATAATTTTCTGAGTGTGGCAGGAGGAACATTTCAATCATGACCTTCTGCTCCCATACCTTGTACAATTATGTTTGCTGCAGCTTGAACAGTGCCGTGGCTATTGTTGGCATGACAGGTAAATCGACCATGATCCCGTTGTGTGATGTTCTGTAAGTAAAGTCCACTGGACGTTGCCACGTGCCTGGATCCATCCAGCTCCAATCCATTGTCCCTGGTCCAAGTGATAAGAGGGTGTGGGTGGCCTGTGGCCATACATTCCAAAGTTGTGCTGGTGCCAATTAAAACCTCTGTGTCCTGAGGCTGGATTACAAAGCTTGGTTTGGCTGATGGTAAAGGGGGAACAAAACGAAATCCAGCAAGTAGCAGTTAGGAAGATTTATTTATTCTGCATTGTGGTTTTAAGATTATTGTCATTTTCAAAATTCCTTTAAACTAAAATATTACACATATATATATATACACATTTAATTCCCAGAAAATTAAATCTAAAATAATGAAATGTGGATTTGCTGTAAGTACATACTTTTTTAAAAAGATTGCTTGCCTTGATATCACGATGTGTTATAGATACTGCAAAGCACCTACACAATACATATTCCTTATTTTAGGGGTTAAATGTTTAAACATTCCTTCTTAAGAATACTCACATTTTTTTAAACACAGTTTAGGCACATGTCACTGGGAATAAATAAAAGTGCTAAGTTTAAGTAGTCATTTCTTCCTCCTGTTTGCTACCTGGAATTCGGGCAGGAATGCCTTTGGGTTACAGGAGCCACTTTGTGATTAAGAGGTGAAAATTATGAGGAATAAAGAAACCTATGTGCAAAGCAGATCAAAAAGCAGAAAGAAGAATATTATTGGCTCACTATAGGTAATGTGGCAGCTCTGTGACAGATTACCCTTGTCCTACTTGTGGCATACAATTAAAATATGCACAGACACAAACACACACACATAGAAGCTATGCATTTAAGCCATATCTAGCCAAGCTTTCAGTTACTTTCAGCTAAACGTATTATAAATTGATTCATCAAGTATACATGTAAATAGAAAATTTAGACTTTCATATAAGGAGTTCCACTCTTACAAATTCATAGGAGTTTCTCTTTTCTGGGAATCTCAAGCAAAAATTAAATATTTGCTAAGGTGTTAAAAATGCCTAATGATTGATTCTAAGTTTGGGGAAGGGGGATCAACCATTCCTGAGATGAACATATTCTGGAAAGTGGAAATAAATTAAATTAATCCAATTCAACAATAAATGTTTAATTTAATTCCTAACAATATCGAATGTCTTAAGTATATTAGTAACATACTGGATGTTGGAAAGATACAGAGATGAACAAACACACTCCTCCTTGTGTGCTCCTACTCTAGCTGCATGAACAGAGGACAGAACACATCATCTGTAAAACCACAACATGCCTCGGAAAGAATTGTCTCAGAGTTAGGTGTAAATGTGATAGGAGAACATTCTGGCAAGAGGTAAGGGAAAAATTAGCCGGGCGCGGTGGCGGGCGCCTGTAGTCCCAGCTACTCGGGAGGCTGAGGCAGGAGAATGGCGTGAACCCGGGAAGCGGAGCTTGCAGTGAGCCGAGATTGCGCCACTGCAGTCCGCAGTCCGGCCTGGGCGACAGAGCGAGACTCCGTCTCAAAAAAAAAAAAAAAAAAGAGGTAAGGGAAAGTATAGGGAAAGTTATTATAATAATTGAAATAAATGTTCCGAGGTAAGTCAGTGGCAGTAGAACTGGAAAAGGAGATAATCTGATGCATGCATGGAACTAAATTTTTAGAGAATTGTGGAAGAAGGAGTAGCACTAGAGGGTGAATCAGAGGTTACTGGAGGAGAGTAATGATACCAATAGAGATAGCAAACACAGGATGCTGTGGGTTTGTGTGGGCAAATGTGTTTGACAGATGTAAAGATTTACATGTGAAGATAAAAACAAAGTCCTGGCAATGTCCATTGAAATCTCAGGAAGGATCTCAGCAATAAAGACTATAAATTTTACATGAAGTATGAAAGCTGAAGGTTTGGGAAGAGCTCAGATGGAAGAGGAAAAAAATGTGATTAGGGCACGGGGGACTAGAGAAAGGGAGGGGAGGACAGCGCTATAAGGAACACCACATTTTAGGCAGGCAAAAGAGATTTAAAAAGAGAATTGAGGACATTAGGAAAGGATCAAGAGGAAGTCGTGTTCTCAAAGTAGAAATGCTCCTGTGTGCAGGGTCAGACTTGACCTAGAGGCAGAAGGGAAGGAGGCTTTGGAAGGAGACAGTGGTGTTTCAATCAGAAATTACTTGGTGTAATCCCAGCACTTTGGGAGGCCTAGGCAGGAGGATCACTTAAGGACAGGAGTTTCAGTCTGCAGTGAGCTATGATCATGCCACTGCACTCCAGCCTGGGTGACAGAGTGAGACCTTGTCTCTACAAACATTTTTTTAAATAAATTACTTGGAAACTATGTGAGGAATTATCATATTCAATCAATCGCTAACTCAAGTGTCTTTTTTTCCTGGAAAACCTCTTGATTCACTGCAATTTCCTCCATTCACTTTGCCACTACCCTATCCATGCCACCACCAACTCTCTTCTGCCCTGTGGCAATTGCCGCTGCTGACTTCCTCATCCTGACATGCCTATCTTACCATGCCCTCCTGTTTGTTCTCTGAACTGCCACCAGAGACATTTTTCTAAAAGAAAAATCTAATTTTAATCATCTCAGTGTAGCGTCATGAATACCCTGAGTGATCTGACCCCACTTTATACCTCACCAAATCTCGTGTCATTCCCAGCCTCTCCTCTGTATGCTCCAGGATCTCCATCTCTTGAATGTGCCTTGCTCTGTCTTCCCTATGCTGTCTTTTCTCCTGAAATGATGCTTCAACCCTACTTCTCTGGCTCTCTCCCACTTGTTGTTGCTTTCAACTTAAAGGTCAATGCTCTTGGGAAGACCTGAATGAATGCAATCCTCCGAGGCTGCTGCTTCAAGTGCTCCCCTCCACTGGGATGGGCTGGAGCCGGCTCTGGAGAGCCAGTTGTCAAATTTTCAGTATTCTGCAAGCTGACTGCTACACAAAGCCATTCTTAAAATTTTAACTAAATAAACTTACAATCAAATAAATTTTATTAGCATCAAAACTAACAAATTCATCCCTATTTTTTACTACATTTTATTATTATCTTCGGTCTCAGGGTTATTATGCCTACTGTGTCTGCACGCTAGAAGTGCTATATTATGATGAACTTCTGTGCATCTCTTCCCAACTCCACATTCAGTGATATCATTTCGGTAACTAGGAATTGGCCATGGTGAGATTATTTATAGAACAGATACTGACAAATGCTGCAAATCAGGGCTCCCTGCTCCTCAGAGCCAATTTACAAACATTTACCAGCACACAACTGTCCTTTATGCTTCTCTCCCTCTCCTTACACATCATAAAACTTATTTCTTGAATTATGGCTATCATCTAATAGATGATGGGCTCAGTAAGGTGAGAGACAATGTATTTCCACCATGTCAACATGCTATTAATGAAAATTTGTTGCAGTCATTATGTCTGGTTTATATAAGCCACTGAAATTATGACAAAGCAAAGCCCCTGGAAAGTTGAATAAGGAACGTGGTTGATAACCATGCAATCTTCAACAGCTAGCTCAGTGGGCATTCAATAAATATGTGTTGGATTAATTCATGATGAATGAATGATTGAATGAATTTTTGAAAAGAGTAATATTCCTGCCTAAGTAACACTGGTTCACTCTGCATAAGGATGCTGGATAGCTGGATGGGGAATCAAAAGGAGAATAGAAAAGTCTTGGAACCACAATGTGCTGTACCAGAAAGGAACTAAGGCAGGAAATTAAAATAAACTTCAAGAGAAAAAAATTCAAGTTTCTCTAAAACAAAATTTAAAAAATCACAGTCAATGGGAATAGTTTCACTTTGAAGTATTACATACTCTAAAGCAGCAATATTAGATCATTTTCCAGTGCAGATAATTGATAGAACTAGAAAATAATAGTTTTACCTGGAAGACTGGAGTATCTGAGCATGGCACTCTGTGTCTTGGCTTCCCCAGCGGAATTTCTGGCCATGCACTGATAGACACCTTGGTCTGACTCTCTGGTGTTTCGGATCATGAGTGTGCCATCATCAAACACATTAAGTCGAGTATCATCTTCCAAATCCAATGAGTGGCTGGAAATATAGGTTATACATGTATATTATTTAATCCCATTCATGTTTAAAACTCTTAACAAGACTGAGAATATAGTACTATATAGCTATGTTTCATGTCTACCAAATTTGTTAAATTTATTTTATCTGAATAATTTTAATTATTTCACTTTAAATCCTAGTTATCTTGTTCCTATTTCAAGAATACACCCTGAACAAAGGCTCTGAGTCAACATTTGATAGAGGGAAATGAGGTTGAGATGTTCTGCCTTCCTGAGTGGCATGAATTTAGACACTGAAGCAAGCGCTCCCATATGACAGACACTTCAGCACATTTTTATATATTTGAATGCCCACTTTTCAGAAAAGAAATCACCAGATGGTAATATGTAATCCTTTTACCTCCTTCCATGAGTCATTCAGTATTCTTTCATATTTTGTTAAAGTGTAAAAAAAATATTCCTATTCAAACCAGCACGGGCTCAAAGCCAAGTATAATTATATGACTAAGCAATAAATAACAAACCTAACCTACCAAGTTGTTGAATATTAGGCCCCCTTCTCTGAGGTGCACCATTTGGATATACTAGGAAAGTCCCATTTATCAATTAAGTGCATAATCCATTGAGTGCAAGTAGGTTCAGATGTGCAACACCATATCACATCAATAATCATAAGAAAGGGAGGGCCTGCATGAGTTATTTTTAACAATAAATGCAAAGCTACTGACACAGAAACATATGTTAGAAATGTTTACAGATTTTTTTTCTGGCAAAGATTTTTTTCCTTTAAAAATATTTAATGATTATGTATGAGAAGGTATATAGATTTTCACATGTGTACACTTAGTACTAATGAACGTTTTAGGCATAGATAAAGGAAATCTACTCTCCTCCATCTTCATCACTCAATACATATTTTCTAAACACCGATGTTTTGTCACCCATAAAAACATCATTCCCAGAAAAGAAAAAGTGCATTAGGAGAATTCCATAGTTCTCCCTTTAACTCATGTATTTGTTTTATAAAGCCAGGTAAACATTTTCCCACTAATTTCAAAATGTACCCACACTAAAGAATAACAGCCTATTCCCACATAGGTAAAAACAGTAAAGTTTGTTAAAGAGATGAATAAATTGTCATTCTTATCTAACCATTTTTTGTTGTGAAAGATAAGAAAGAAACAGACAATGGCCATATTTGACTTTTATGTTTTAGAGCGGAATCACAGAGTGAAGGCAGGAAAGATGAAGACAATCTGATCTTCTTCAGCTATTGGGTATAAAAACCCAATGTGAAGAAGTACCAATTAGCCAAAAAAGAAATTCGAGTTGTCATTTTTGAACAGATTAGTTTCAGAAAAAACAGGCATGCTTTTGAAAAGCCAGCAATGCAAGACAAAGGCAAGAAAAGGAGAAACTGGATGCTCCTATCCATATCACCCGTGAAGTTTCTCAGTGTAAGTAGCATGAAACGAACATCAGAAAGAATGTTTTTTCAAGGCCAGGTGCAGTGCCTCATGCCTGTAATCCCAGCACTTTGGGAGGCCAAGGCAGGCAGATCGCCTGAGGTCAGGAGTTCAAGAAATAATATTTTTTCTTAAAGTTCCCCATTCAAGGGGCTCATTTAGTATTAAGCAATTTAATTATTTTAAATGCAATTCTAAAATTATCTAACACTGAACCCAAATAAGACTACTTGCAAAGGAATATGACAAATGATGAAATCACATTTTTCAGAAGGTGATTTAAGTTCCTGGAATTTTGTTCCAAAACTTTGCAGCCCAAAATTTCAAAGGCTACCAGATGTGTATGTGCTATCTATCATCTGGCTACACAATGCAATAGAATTCACCAGGATTCATTATGTTAAAAATGATATAAAACAGGCAGTAGCACATCACACCCATAAATTCAAAATGCATCATTCCTTTTCCTAGTAATTTCCCTCTTTGTCCATAACCTCTTCGTTATGCTCATAAAACTTGTTTGCTCATGAATCATGATGTTCCTTCCCAAAAAATCAAAGTCTTCATGTTTCAATATATTCCATTCACATTGTCAGTTTGATGCAAATAGCAATCATATGTAAAAACACAAAGGTTTGCAGAGGTAGAATATATCTGAATATATTCTATTTTTCCTTGAAAATGTACAAATAAACATATTTGATTTAATGAAGACATACAAATAACTTCTATTAAGGTGTTTCATTACAACAGTCATTTGTTAAGTGCTTTCTAAGAACTAGGTGCTGTAGCTAGATACCAGAAATATTGACAAACAAGTTATCACCACACAAATTAAAACTATCTTCTATGGTCACGCACAGTGACTCACACCTGTGATGCCAGCACTATGGGAGGCTGAGGTGGGAGGATTGCTTGAGGCCAGGAGCTTGAGACAAGCCTGGGCAACACAGTGAGACCCTGTCTCTACAAAAAAAATCTAAAAATTAGCCAGATATGGTGGCATAAGCCTGTAGTCCCAGCTACTTGGAGGCTGAGGTAGGAGGATTGCTTGAGCTCAGAAGTTCAAGCCTGCAGTGAACTATAATTGTGCCACTGAACTCCAGCCTGGGCAACAGAGTGAGACTGTCTGTCTCAAAAAAAAAAAAAATCTTCCATATACAAAACCACCATCAACCACAAATTATAGTATAGTTGTAAAGTTTGCTTATAATCTACTGGAACTGTCAATCATATTTACCATGTTTACTAGAATATGAATTTATTTAGAATGGCCTAAATTTCCATAGCTAAACCTCAACATTATGAAAAGTGTGGAAGACAGCCAACTAGATGCAGCCAGGAAGCCCTTCTCCCACCAAGAGAAGCCAAAATACTGAAAAAGCCATCACACTTTAAACAGATCTTTTGAGGGAAAACACTGAGAGTTGCTAGAGGGGAAACACAGCCACTGAGGCTGAATAGGATGGAAGCTGGGAAGCCTGCACAGAGTCGCCAAGTGCCAAGACCCGTTCCTAGTCCTGATCAGGTCCTAAAGAAGAGGTGAGTGAAGGAAACTGCAGGGCACCACACCCCCACAATGGACCTCTGGGATCCTAGCTGCAAGAGATCCCACGACCCCCATAGACATTTTAATTGGTGGAGGATCTGCCGGAGAGAAGGCAGAGGCAGAGCATGAGCCTGCATGGAGCCCAGGTTTTACACACGGGGCAACTCCAGCAAAATGTGACCATAGGTGCCCATGCCCCAAGGCTCTCCATCTTGCTCTGAGTCACTCCAGCCCCTGCTGACTGCTGGGCTGGGATAGAGCAGGGCTGCCTTTCCTACAGGACTGGGACCAATCTGATCTGCATGCTCCCTTGTCTCTGGACCCTCCCAAGGCACCCACCCAGCTGCTCCCATAAAAGCATGCACACTACACAGCCTCCACTACCCAGGGTGAGTGCTTTGCCAGCAGCCTGAGAGCACTACAGCCTCCCCAGCACAGCCAGTGCTAGACCCCAAAGGGCTAAAGGACAAAACCACAGGCCCAATCCCACCCTCCCAGGGTCTAGGCACACAGCTGAAGGATATCAAGCTGAGATCTGTGACTAGAGATTGAGCAGAGGAGGAACTGCCAATCTCAGAACACTGAGAAGAGTGAAATGCAGATTTGTGTTCTGGCACAGGAGCTGGGTGTGCTTCCCCGCCACAGGGCTAGTATGGGAAGGGTGTGACCTTTCTGCTAGCCACAGCCTCTGCCTGAGGGAGCTCCATGGCCTGAAACACCTGACAGCCCAGCGATCTGGGTGCAGAAGGCTTGGGATAAAACCAGCAGATGGAGTAAGCTAGAGGGCAGCCACCAGGAGACCTAGTCAAAGGAGCACAGGCTGGGCAGTCCCTGCAGCCATCTGCTGGGCAAAAAACCCAAGCCGTGGGCACTACACCAACTGCATAGCCAAAACAACTCCACCATGCCTGGGGTCCTCTGCCATTGACCTCCTACACAAACACACCACCCATAGACATATCACAAAGCACAGAGGACCAGTGGGCCCCTAGGGAGCTGCAAGTCTCGTGATAAGCTATCCTTTGGCTCGGGTTTCCCCTAAGAGTGAGGGTAGAACAGCCTGTCAGGGCCCCTTTGGGCCTAAGAAAATGTAGGTGTGTCAACAGTGATTGGAGGAGGGTCTTCCAAGGCCCAGGAATAGACTTGGCAAGGAAGTATATCTCTCACTTCCTGTCTCCCCCACCCCTAGAGCACTGTAGCAAATAAGAACAAGCTGAAATACAAAAGAAGTGCATAGCTGAGGAAGAGTCTGTCAGCCCTTACTCTTAAGCACCATCTACTCAATTGCAGCCTGAAATACACCACCAAACAAAAATTCTTTCAGCACATATCACCCATGAAACACGATGCAAAAATCTAGCCACAAATTAAGTTCCCACACAGGGCCTTGATATTTAGAAAGCACACAGAAGCAAAGTCATTCAATGATATTCAACATACACCACAGTCAAAACCTCAAGGGAAATAACATAAAAACAAAAAGCCCCATACAACTGACAGCAACTTCAAAGAGATAAAGGAACACCAGCCCTCTCAAATGAGTAAGAATCAGTGCAAAAACTCAGGCAATTAAAAAAGTCAGAGCATCTTATTACTTCCAAATGACTGTACTGACTCCCCAGCAATGGATCCTAACCAGATTGAAATGGCTGAAATGACAGACATAAAATTCAGAATCTGGATGGCAAGGAAGCTCAATGAGATAAGGAGAAAGTTGAAACCTAATCCAAGGAAGCCAATAGAATGACTCAATAGTTGAAAGATAATGTAGACATTTTAAGAAAGAACCAAATTGAACTTCTGGAATTGAAAAAATCACTACAGGAATTTCATAATACAGTTAGAAGCATTAACAACAGAACAGACCAAGCTGAGGCAAGAATCTCAGAGCTCAAAAACTGGTTCTTTGAATCAACCCAGTCAGACAAAAAGAGAGAAAAAAGAATTAAAAAGAAGGAATAAAATCTCTGAGAAATATGGGATTACATAAGGAGACCAAACCTACAATTCATTGGCATTCCTGAGAGAAAATGAAGAAGAGTAAACAACTGGGAAAACATATCTGAGAATATAGTCCACAAAAATTTCCCCAATATTGCTAGAGACATCAGCATGCAAATTCAAGAAATTCAGAGAATCCCTGCAAGATATTACACAAGATGCCCCCAAGACACACAGTCATCAGATTCTGTGAGGTCAACATGAAAAAAAAACCTAAAAGGGTTAGATTTCTTACAAAGGGAGCCCCATAGGGCTAACAGCAGACTTCTCAGCAGAAACCTTGCAAGCCAGAAGAGATTTTGGACCTTTTCTCAAAATACTTAAAGAAAAGAAATTCCAACCAAGAATTTCATATCCAGCCAAACTAAACTTTATAAGTGAAGGATAAATAAAATTCTTCCCAGACAAGCAAATGTTAAGAGAATTAGTTAACACTAGAACAGCCTTATAAGAGGACCTTAAGGGAGTTCTAAACATGGAAACAAAAGAATGATGCCTACTATCACCAAGACATATTTAAGTACATACCCCATAGATAGACCCTATAAAGCAACTACACAGTCAAGCCTACCAAACAACAAGCTAAACAAGAAGATCAAAACATCACATATCAATATTAACCTTGAATGTAAATAGTCTAAATGGTCCATTAAAAAGGCACAGAGTGGCAAGTTGGATTTTTAAAAAGACCCAATCTTTTGCTGTCTTCAACAGACTCATCTCACATGTAATGACACTCAAAGGCTCAAAGTAAAAGGATGGAGAAAGATTTCTCATGTAATTGGAAAACAAAAAAGGGTAGGAGGTTGCTATTCTTACATAAGATAAAATGACTTTAAACCACCAATTATAAAAAAAGGACAAATAAGGGCACTACATAATGATAATTAGTTCAATTCAACAAGAAGGCAAAGAAATTCTGAATTAAATTTGACACTTGACCAACCAGACTTGATAGATAGCTACAGAACACTTTATCCAATAATAACAGAATATACTTTCTTCTCATCTGTACATGGAAGATGACCATGTACTTAGCCATAAAGCAAGTCTCAATAAATGCAAAAACATCAAAATCATACCAACCATACTCTCAGACACAGTGTAATAAAAATAAAAAATGAATACCAAGAATATCTCTCAAAATACGGAAATTGAACAACTTAATCCTGAATGACTTTTGGGTAAACAACAAAATTAAAACAAATCAAAAAATTCTTTGAAATTCATTAAAATAGAAACACAACATACCAAAATCTCTAGAATGCAGCAAAAGCAATGTTAAGAGGAGAGTTTATAAAGCTAAAAGCCTACATGAAGTTAAGAAAGATCTCAAATTAACAATCTAAAGGAACTAAAAAAAAAAAAAACCTAAAATAAACTAACCCAAAAGTGAAGCAGAAGAAAAAATATAACTGACTGGGCACAGTGGCTCATGCCTGTAATACCAGCACTTTGGGAGGCTGAGGCAGGAGGACTTTTTAAGCCCAGGAGTTTGAGACCAGCCTAGGCAATGCAGCAAGACCCTGTATCTACAAAAAATGAAAATATTAGCTGGGTGTGCTGGCATGTGCCTGTAGTCTCAGCTACTCAGGAGCCTGAGGTGGAATGATTGTTTGAGCCCGGGAGGTCAAGGCTGCAGTAAGCCATGGTTGCACCATTACAATTTAGCCTGGGTGACAGAGTGAGACCCCATCTCTAAATCAGAGCAGAACTACATGAAACTGAGACACAAGATCCATACAAAAGATCAATGAAACCAAAAGTTGGTCATTGGAAAGGATAAAGAGGATTGCTAGAACATTGGCTAGATTAACAAAGAAAAAAAGAGAGATGTTTCAAATAAGCACAATCAGAAATGACAAAGAT
Organism: Homo sapiens; assembly: GCF_000001405.40. NCBI lineage: Eukaryota > Metazoa > Chordata > Mammalia > Primates > Hominidae > Homo > Homo sapiens. The sequence continues at coordinate 51,464,534 of NC_000008.11, forward strand.
GATACTACAACAATTCCCACAGAAATACAAAAGACCAGAGAGTCTATTAAGAGGAAATGGACAATTCCCATAAACACACAACCTCCCAAATTAAACCAGGAAGAAGCTGAAACCCTGAATAGATAAATAATGAGTTCTGATACATGGGCACAGGGAGGGTAACATCACACACCAGGGCCTGTCGCGGGGTGGGGAGCTAGGGGAGGGATAGCATTAGGAGAAATACCTAATGTAGATGACAGGTTGATGGGTGCAGAAACCACCAAGGCACATGTATACTTATGTAACAAACCTGCACGTTCTGCACATGTATCCCAGAACTTAAAGTATAATAATAACAATAATAATGATAATGAGTTCTGAAATTGAATCTGTAATAAAAATCCTACCAATCAAAAAAGGCTTGGACTACATGGAGTCACAGCCAAATTTTACCTGACATACAAAGAAGAGCTTGTGCGAATTCTACTTTACCTATTCTAAAAAGTCAAGGAAGAAGGATCCTCCCTCGCTCATTCTATGAAGTGAATATCATCCTGATACTAAAATCTGGCAGAGACACAACAAAAAAGGAAACCATGGGCCAGTATCCCTGATAAACATAAATCCCAAAATCCTCAACAAAATGCTAGCAAACTGAATCCAGCAGTACATCAGAAAGTTGATTTACCATGACCAAGTAGGCTTTATTCCTGAGATACAAAGTTGTTTCAACATATGCAAATCAATACATGTCATTCACCACATAAACAGAATTTTAAAAAATTATATGATCATCTCAATAGATGTGGAGAAAGCTTTCTATAAAATCCAACATTCCTTCATGATAAAAAAAAAACCTCAACAAACTAGGCGTCAAAGCAACATACCTCAAAATAATAAAAGCCATCAATTACAAACCCACAGCCAATATCATACTGAATGGGCAAAAGCTGGAAGCATTCCCCTTGAGAACCAAAACAAGACAAGAATGTCCACTTTCACCATTCCTATTCAACATAGTACTGGAAGTCCTAGCCAGAGCAATCAGGTAAGAGAAGGAAATAAATGACATCCAAATAGAAGAAAAGTCAAACTATCTCTATTTGCTGATAATATGATTCTATACCATGAAAACCCTACACTCCACCAAAGCCTCCTAGAACTGATAAAGGATTTCAGTAAATTTTCAGGATACAAAATCAATGTGTAAAAAATAGTAGCATTTCTGTACACCAATAATGTTCAAGCTGAGAGCCACATCAAATATGTAATCTCACTTACAATAGCCACAAAAAGAAAAAATATCTAGAACTACATCTAACCAAGTAAGTGAAATATTGCTGCAAGGAGAACTCAAAACATTGTTGAAAGAAACCACAGATGACACCAATAAATAAGAAAGCATTTCATGCTCATAAATTGGAAGAATCAATATTGTTCAAATGGCCATACTGCCCAAGGCAATTTACAAATTCAATGCTATTCCTATCAAAACACCAATGTCATTTTTCACAGATTTAGAAAAAAAAAACCTATTCTAAAATTCATATGAAACAGAAAAAGAGCCTGAGTAGCCAAAGCAATTCTAAGCAAAAAGAACAAAGCTGGAAGCATCACATTATCCAACATCAAACTATTCTACAAGGCTACACTAAACAAAACATGGTGCTAGTACAAAAACAGAAACATAGACAAACAGAACAGAATAGAGAACCCAGAAATAAAACTGCACCTCTACATCCATCTGATCTTCAACAAAGTCAACAAAACTAAGCAATGGAAAAGGATTCCCTATTCAATAAATGGTGCTGGGAGAACTGGCTATCCATATGCAGAAAGATGAAACGAGACCCCTATATATCACCATATACAAAAATCAACTCAGGATGGATTAAAGACTTAAATATAAGACCTCAAACTGTAAAAATTTTAGAAAACCTAAGAAATACCCTTCTCACCATCAGTCTTGGCAAAGAATTTATGGCTAAGTCCTCAAAGCAATTGCAATGAAAACAAAAATTGACAAGTGGGACCTAATTAAACTAAAGAGCTTCTGCACAGCAAGATAAACTATCAACAGAATAAATAGACAACTTACAGTCTGGGAGAAAGTATCCACAAACTACACATCTGACAAAAGCCTAATATCCTGAATCTACAAGGAACTTAAACAAATCAACAAACAAAACACAAATAACCTTATTAATAAGCAGGCGAACTACAAGAACAGACACTTCCCACAGGAAGGCACACAGGCAGCCAACAAACTTATGAAAAAATGTTCATTATCACAAATCATCAGATAAATGCAAATCAAAACCACAGTAATATGCCATCTAGCACCTGCCAGAATGGCTTTCATTAAAAAGTCAAAAAATAACAGGTCTTGTTGGGGCTGCAGAGAAAAGCTAATGCTTCCACACTGTTGGAAATGTAGATTAGTTTAGCCACTGCAGAGAGCAGTTTGAAGATTTCTCAAAGAAGTAAAAGTTGAGCTACCATCCAACACAGCAACCCCATTACTGGATACCCAAAGAAAAATAAATCCTTCTACCAAAAAGACCCATGTGTCTGTATGTTAATTACAGCACCGTTAGCAATAGCAAAAACATAGAATCAACACAGGTTCCTATCAATGGTGGACTGGATAAAGAAAATGTACTACATACACACCTTGGAATACTGTGCAGCCATAAAAAAGAATGGAATCATGTCCTTTGCAACAACTTGAATGCAGTTGAAGGCCATTATGCTAAGTGAACTAATGCAGGAACAACAACGACAACAAACAAATTCTGTTTGTCTTTACAAACTTACAAATATTCTCATTGTAAGTGAGAGCTAAATATTGTAAGTCTACAGACCTACAAATATTCCCACTTGTAAGTGGGCACTAAATATTGGGTACATATGGACATAAAGATGGGAATATTAGACACTGGGGAATACATGATGGAGAGGTAGGGAGGGACATAAGTGTTGAAAAACTACCTATTTGTTACTATGCTCACTTCTTGGGTAGTGGTTCTGTCATATTCCAAACCTCAGCATCATGTAGTATACCTTTGTAACAAACCTGCACTTGTACCTCCAGAATGTGCAATAAAAGTTGAAAAAGAAACAGAAAAGTCTGGTTGGCTTTTAAATCTCTTTCATCAAGTCATTGTCTTGCTCAACATCTTCTAATGGGTCTCAAAGTTTATAAACTGAAAGCCCAAGTCATTAGTTTTGCCATTATTATGCAATCTTTTTCTATTTCTCCCCAAGGTAAAACCTTAATTCTCACAAATTTGCTCTACACACTTTCCTGAAACTAACCTTCGTTCTGAGCTTTTAATTATTCTTCCTTCAGCCTGGCAGGTTTCTCTCATCTTTGAATCTATTCAATTATTCTAAAACTACTTATTAAGTGCTGGTAATCATTTCATTTTTCTACTGAGAGACGTAAAGAATCTCTAAAATTATCTTGACAAATGGCTGTTTTCTAAAACTTGTTTAAATTGTAATAAAAGAAAGGGATTTTTATGAAATTGATTCTTGGCTATGAGTTGAGATTTTGTATCTTTGCATGTGATCAATCTTGATAAGTGTTCCATAACTGCTTGAAAAGATAGTAAGGTTTAGCTTTGTATGTAGTAGATATCATCAGTGTTTTAAGCTATGTTTAGATATTGCTGCTAATTTTTGTTCCTAATCGTTCTGGGAAAGCAGTATTAAAATTTCTTGCTATAATTGGATTTCCGTAAATACATCCTTATAATTCTCTCAATCTTGTTTTATTCTTCATCAGCTATTTTGTTAGGTATATAAAGGTTCATGAATTTTAAATTCAGGTGAATTACATCTTTTATCATTAAGTATGATCTAATGATTTGTGATTACACTATAATAGTCTTACATCATCCTTATCTTGATCAGTATAACTTGGTTGATATATTTGTTTACCTATCGACTTTCCACCTCTCAGTGTCATAATGTTTCAGATACACCTCTTATAAATAGCATATAGCTGGATTTTAAAATTCAATATTATGTCTTCCAATAGACTACTGTTTTCACGAATGTATTTAAATTTATTTCTGATGAGTTATTTTATATTTTCTCTTTCCCAAGCCTTTTCTCTGCCTTTTTAATCCATCCCTGCTTCCCTTTTGTGGATTGATCCAGTTTTCTTTATCCACTTTTTTTCTCCTCCTAGTCTGGAAGGATCTTTCTATTTGTTAATATTCCATCTTAATTGTTAATATGCACTCTTGACTTAACAGAATTCACAGTATCACTCTTCACCTCAAAAATGAGGCATGTAAAATAATTTAACTATGTTCTCTCTCCTTATAACTCTTCTATTAATATTGTCTAACGTTCTACTTTTTTCTTACTTTAAAGTTGTTCAGTCCTTAATAATCTAAGTGTATTCATATTTATCAACATGTTTAAAACTTTCTTTGTTCAACTTTGCTTTTTGCAAATCACATCTTTCTTATTGGATCAAACTCCTACTTACTGAAACACAACCACTTGAAGCTCTTTCAGCAAATACTCCTGAATAAAGCTCTATTCTTTGCCTGAAAATGTTTTTATTTCACCTTGTCAGATAATTTACCTGGATGTAAAACTGAAGGAAATCAGTTATTTTTCCTTAACACTCTAAATATATTTCATTGTCGTCTGTCTGATGTAAAGTTTACCGCAAATATAACTGCTGTACATTTGAAGGTAATCTGCAGATTACTTGGGAATGAAAGATTTTGTCTCTGACTTTCAATGTTGTGATCACAGTGAAGAGTATAGATTTATTTTTTAAATCCTATTTTGGAAGCAATATAATTCTCATTCTGAAATTTTCTGATTTTTTTATTTCTGGATAATTCTATCATTACCTTTTCAAATGTTGCGTTTAGCTCATTCTTTCCTACCTGTCTTTCTGGAACTCCTACTGGATAGACACCAGACCTTTGCATTGTAGTCTCGATGTCTCTTAACCACACTTAAATCTGGTTATTCCCACATACCTACTTTCTAATCCTCCATTTCTACCTCTGGTTGTGTCTAATCAGTTTTTAATCCACTCCTCTAAGGACCCTAAATCCAGGTCCTCTCCAGGGGAGTAGAAAAGGATAATGATAATGAAAGGAAACATGGGTAGCTTCTGAGTTGGGGTATTTTTTCTTAGCCTGGTTCATGTTGAACAGATGTTTGTTTAAAATAATTTGCTATACCACACTTTATGCTCCATGCACTTTCAGGATATATATTATCTTTCTATAAAAAATACTCAACAGTAAATAATCAGTAAGTTAATAGTTACTCATGTTAAACATTTCTTGTCATAAACTCTTCTCTTTCATCTTTAATTTTTTGGTATAAAATGATTAACATTTTGACAGACATTTTTACCCATACTTTTCTTTATTCTATTCTTTCTTTTTAGATTTCTTTGTTTTCCTTTCAAATACATCTTAGCTTCTTTAGTCACTATATTTGAAACTTTTATGTCATAAGTTAAAACAGGCAATGTGATTTTTTCACTTGTTTCTTTCTAAATACTAGTGAGTATCTTTGTAACCTTGAACACACCATTTTAAAATTTAAATTGTAAGAAAGCAGAAAAAGCAGTTTTAAGACATTACAAGCAGCGATTTCTGTTTATCAAGTGCACTTGAGCAATCTAAAGAAGGAAATAAATTGAACACTTCTATCAATTGAAGTCTTTCTCGTGGGCTAGTTTCCAGATTTAATAGTATTCATAATTGCCTTCTATACAAGCTATTTTTAACCTACACTTACTAGACTTTTTACAAGAATTTAAAACACATGGCTGAGTTTCTGGCTACAATTATAAATCCAAATTACACACAAAAAGCAAAAAAGTTGTATAATATATTTTAGAATGTTTTATACAAACAAGCAAAAAAAATCAGAGTTGATTATACACGTGACAAAAGAAAGTCAGTGAAAGTCTGTGCAAGAATGGAAGGGACACATGAAAACCATGGTAATTATCATTACCATAACTAATGATAATATAATTGTCCAAGTGCTATCGTTGAATTGTATTAGGTATATAGTGCACTTAATGTTTCTATTTTATGTTAACTACCAGTTCAGTTTTAAAACAGATATACAAACCAATGGAACAGAACAGAGGCCTCGGAAATAGTGCCATACATCTACAAATATCTGATCTTTGACAAACCTGACAAAAACAAGAAATGGGAAAAGGATTCTCTATTTAATAAATGGTATTGGGAAAACTGGCTAGCCATATTCAGAAAACTGAAACTGGACCCCTTCCTTACACCTTATACAAAAATTAACTCGAGATGGATTGAAGACTTCAATGTAAGACCTAAAACCATAAAAACCCTAGAAGAAAAGCTAGGTAATACCATTCAGGACATAGGCACGGGCAAAGGCTTCATGACGAAAACATGAAAAGCAATGGCAACAAAAGCCAAAATTGACAAATGGGATCTAGTTAAACTAAAGAGCTTCTGCACAGCAAAAAAAAAAACTGTCATCAGAGTGAACAGGCAACCTACAGAATGGGAGAAGATTTTTGCAATCTATCCGTCTGACAAAGGGCTAATATCCAGAATCTACAAGGAACTTAAACAAATTTACAAAAAAAAAAAAAAAAGCATCAAAAAGTGAGCAAAGGATATGAACAGACACTTCTCAAAAGAAGACATTTATGCAGCCAACAAACATGAAAAAAAGCTCTTCATCACTGGTCATTAGAGAAAAGCAAATCAAAACTACAACGAGATACCATCTCACGCCAGTTAGAATGGTGATCACATTTAACTTTTTTAACATTTGTTATTACTATTTAATTTTATGCTCACAGGTTTTTGGACTCATTGGTTTTATGTTTTATCAAACAGTACCATGGGCATAAAATAAATGACTAGCCATTTAAATAATTTTGCATGTCATTTTTGCCAGTTTGCTTAAATAATCCTATACTGATTTACCATAGGAAAGTTGCAATGTCAAATACGAACTATCAGTTTAAATCTGAAACAACTTAGATGTGGCTACATCAAATTATATTCAGCTTTAAAACAAACTAGTTTGTTATTAATCCCAACATTTCCTTCTAGAAATAACACAGAATTATTTTAGTCAGTTTCAGAATCACTGAGGTCTGGAAATGCATAATTTTTTTTTTTGGTTTTTTTTTTTTGAGATGGAGTCTTGCTCTGTTGCCCAGGCTGGAGTGCAGTGGCACGATCTCAGCTCACTGCAAGCTCCGCCTCCCGGGTTCACGCCATTCTCCTGCCTCAGCCTCCCGAGTAGCTGGGACTACAGGCGCTCACCACCACGCCCAGCTAATTTTTTGTATTTTTAGTAGAGACGGGGTTTCACCGTGTTAGCCAGGATGGTCTCGATCTCCTGACCTTGTGTGTGATCCGCCCACCTCGGCCTCCCAAAGTGCTGGGATTACAGGCATGAGCCACCGCGCCCGGCCGGAAATGTGTAAGTTTTAAGAAAAAGGCCTTAACATAGCTTGAGTAAGTCAACAGATAAAAGTTAAAAGGCATTTTATCTTTAAGAAACTCTGAAAATTTTAGTAATTTCTTCTCTAGATAAAGGAGTTAAATTGAGTTAAAAAGATTGCTGGAATCAGAAGGAGAATCACAACCCATGTCCATGCTCAGTATTTACTTGTTGTGTATCCAAATAATCTCAGGTTTGGGGTTTCCTTCCGCCCGGCAGGTGAAGTAGACGGTATTTCCTGATGGTACCTCCACATCCTGCGGCTCAAAAGTAATTCGGGGGCTCTCTGCAACAAAAGAATTATTGATGTATTTTTCAGAGATACAAAATTATGGCCTTCCAAGATGCTGAGAAAGAGATATAGGCAATTTAAATTTATTTCTACATTAAAGTTTTACACATCGAACTGCATTTACCCGGTAATACATGTACCAGGTTAGAGATTAGACATATATTTGACTTATACTTTAGAAGTTTGAAAAATTCACTGCACAAAGGGATCTCCAATGAAGTAAATTAAGTAAATTTTCCTGTGCTTTTATTTCTAGGAGCTCAATACAACCATATTTATGGAAGGAGTTTGATTTTATGGGTCAATTTTTCAAACCAAGTACTTAAACTGAGCTTGCAGTTTTGCAGGCACTCTTCCTAGACAATTAGCTATCTAAGCACCCAACCACCCACTTTACACAATTTACAACAAGTGATATGTCTAGACCTCAAAACTGGTTGAGCAAAATTCTTATCTATATAAATGAATGATTCCATCTTCCAATAATAATTGAGTGGTAAAACATGAAAACACTTAAATTATTTCAATAAGAAGATGGAGTGATTGATTTTGTAATGAATCAGGTAGTATTATTGAACTTAAATTATAAAGAACAATGTACAAAAGGGACTTTTAGTTTTCTATAGTTTCACCTAATTCTCTTTAAACCTTTCTAAATAATAAAACTCTTCCTTTTATAAGTGCCTTATCTGAAATTTCCTGTCATTAACCATGACTATTATGTCTGTAGAACATTCCGTAGATCTTTAGTAATCTTGCTTACTTCATTAAAACTCCATATAATTAATATCTTGGCTTTATTCTTTTTAGATAAATGATTTTATTCATTTGTGTAATTTAAAAAAAAATTCAACGTCAGTTATGTGCCAGACAAGGCGCTAGGACTAGTGATGAAGCAGTGTTCAAAATAGACAAGGTCTCTGTACCAAGGGGTTTACAGTTTCATTGAAGCAGTAGAAAATAAACACACACACACACACACACACACACACACACACACAAATACATATTAACATATGCGGCAAATGCTTAGATGGAAAATAAACGATGTTTTGATGGATTATAAAAAGGGACCTGATTCAGTATGGAGGGATAGGTAGGTCAGTGGGAAGGGGGTTTGAATGAAGGCTTTCCATGTAATTCATATTTAAAAGGAGGACCATTAAAAGAAGTAGAATCAGAATATTGTAGGCAGGAAAGACAGCATGTAAAAAGTCCTTGGGTTGAAGAAAGGCTTAAGAACTTCCAAGAATGGAGAACACTGAGTTGGCTACAACACTGAGAAAAGAGTAAGTGACTGGAGGGATAGCATTAGGAGATATACCTAATGTTAAATGATGAGTTAATGGGTGCAGCACACCAACATGGCACATGTATACATATGTAACTAACCTGCGCACTGAGCACACATACCCTAAAACTTAATGTCTAATTTAAAAAAAAAAAAAAAAAACAGTAAGTGACTGGAGGAGCAGAGTGTAGCCAGCAAGGACCGTACAAAAAGAATCAACCATGTTAAGAATTTTGTGCTTTATTTTAAGGTAGGAACCTGTATAAGGATTATAGATGAAGAAATGATGTATTAAGATGTGTTTTTAAACAATTTTCCCAAACATAAAGGAGCAAGAAAAATGAAAGCTGGGATATCAGTTAAGATGTGAAGCAATCCAGCCAAACTTGACTGTGGTTTGAACTGGAAGTTAGTAGTAAAGATGGGAGCTATGGACAAGCTTGAGAATTTTTTGGCAGTAAAGACCAAGTCAATTTTCTTGTCAATTTGAATATAAATTAATTATATTGATATGATTTTTAATTACTTGTTTAGAGAAATTCAAAAAATGGCTTGCCAGCGAGGGAGTGGAAAGCAAATTTTTGCTGTAATTACAGCAGTCATGTGAGTGAATCTCCAAGACACGAATTATCACACACATGCACACACACACACGAAGGTATTCATTTATTTCTATTTAAACCGAAATATAGGAATAGAGATACATAGAGACATATTCTTATATTCACATGAAAAGCTTTAAATGAAAATCAAATAATATTGTAAGCAGCCGTAATAAATTATTTAGGTAAAGCTTATTGCTTTAGTAAGGTTGTCAGAATATAACCATATGCTTATTAAATCCAAGGTTTCCATTATTTAAAAATTTACAAAGAGATGGTAAAACTGATTTTCATTATTTTAGTCGTATTCATGGTCCCATTATACATTTAAAAAATCAATTACTGAATTTGTTGAGGGCTTTCTCAGCAATGAATATTAGCAATTATTTGATTTAAAGTTGAAACCCCTAAATTACTGATTATTAACACTAAGTCATACCAAGGAATAAGTGGAGATTTTAACGTTGGACACCACTTCTGGTGACCTTGTTGAAAATCAGTTTTCTCAATATTTCTCCTCTGAAATTACGGAAATTAGATTAAATCTTCCTCAAAGACTCTCTCAGCTCTTAATTTTATGTTGATAAAAACTTCTTTAAATGAAAATGCAGATGATGGAAAGGAAATTGGCCATACTTTTACCACATTCCTTAAAAACACTTTCTGATAACACGTTCTTCTAAAATGCAATATTATATAATAAACCTTTACAAAAAGAGAGCAAATGAGAGACAGTTCTATCTTATGTACACATTGAAATTTACGTACGGCAATTGAATTCCTCTACTGTTACTGAAGCAACTGCACGCCCATGGAGTCTCCTGGGATATTCGCAGGTAGCCGCAGCCTGGGTGTGGCCGTGTTGGGCAAAGCCTTGTAAAAGCTCCCCCAGCCACATCAGATCACAGTCACAAACCAGGGCGTTGGAATCCAGACGCCTAGGCATGCAGGCAAGAAGTACAACTGTTAAAAGGGACTATTAATTTCTATGATGAATCTTTTGAGTGGTAATATTTAATTTCCCCTGATTTACCTTGTCTGTTACATTTTTGACTCCAGGATTCTATTAACCAATAAACAGATTTTAAGAATCACTTAACTCATTGCATATCTTGCACAGAGTAGACACATTTTCAAATTAACCATGTTTTTGAGAAGCCACTTTAAAACTGGAAAAGTGGTTTTCCCTTAATGTGCACTATGTCTATTATAAATAAATGTGAGGTGAAATGAATCCTTATTTGTTTCAGAGAAATGTAGAATTAAAACTGTAAGTATGGCCAGGTGCAGTAGCTCATGCCTGTAATTCAAGTGCTTTGGGAGGCCTAGGCAAAAGGATCACTCGAGGCCAGGAGTTTGAGACCAGCCTGGGCATTCTAGCAAGGCTCCCTCTCCAAAGATAAAAATTTTCTTTAATTTCTTTATAGTTTCAACTTTTATTCTAGATTCAGGGGGTACATATGCAGTTTGTTACCTGGGTATATTGCATAATGCTGAGGTTTGCGGTCCTATTGATCTCATCACCAAAGTACTGAACATAGTACCCAATAGTTTTGCAACCCTCACCCCCCTCCCTCCCTTCCCTCACCAGTAGTCCCCAGTGTCTATCGTTGTCATTTTTATAACTATGAGTACCCAATATTTAGATCCCACTTATAAGTGAGAACATATGGTGTTTGGTTTACTGTTCCTGCATTAATTCATTACTTCATTCTTTTTTATGGCTGTGTCTACAATTTTTTAGTTAGCCAAGCATGGTGGCACCCACCTATAGTCCCAGCCACTTGGGAGGCTGAGGTGGGAGAATCACTTGAGCCCAGGAGTTGGAGGCTGCAGTGAGCTATGAAGGCACCACTGCACTCCAGCCTGGGTGACAGAGTGTGACCCTGTCCCAAAAGCAAAAACAAACAAACAAAAAAGCTGTAAGCACTGAAGTGTTCCAGTTTGCTTTGTTTATGTGTTACAGAACAAGGAAGCTGTAATGTGGTGGTGGTATTTCAATATTTTTGGATTACTCAAAAGAGTGGTAGAAGCTTTGCTGCCCAAAGGAGGCTTATAAATGTGACGTGTGATCCACGCAGCTCCCCCAGGAGTTGGCTTTTTTCTTTTGTAAACTCCTTGGCATCAATATGGATAGGCATGTGTTCTCTGTGTTTTCCACTTGCTCTAAAGGACAGAAGCCAAGCTTTCCTTTTTTATAATGCTCAAAGTCCCAGTTAGAAGGTCCCCCTCTGGAATTGCTACATGTAGACTGTAACAGGAAGGCGATGGCTCTTTTCATTTCTTTATGGTGTTTCCTAAGATAGGCACACAAGTTATTCATTTTTGCCAAGTTATACTATACTTCACTAATTTTTCTGTCACATTTTTCCTCATGAAATAAAATAGATCACCAAAGAGATTTATGATATACCTCCATTCTTGCCAAAAGATGCGTGGCAAAAAGGCGCAGAAATGATTAATACTTTTTTTCATTTCTCCCAATGGGTTAAAAAGGGAGCTTTTGCTAAGTAGAATTCACAAGTCTGTCTATGGTGGCAGTTGGATCACACTCTATGCAAGGAAGTCCAGCAATAAAAGGGTAATGTGAACATATTTTATGATAGGTGTTAGATTGCTTATACCTGATTGTAAGAAGTAGTGTCCAATGTGACTGGAGGAGAATACAAAATGCCATAAATTTAATAACTTTTAATCAAAATTATTCATGCACAAAAAGTCCTTACAAACATGGAAAAACAAATACACAAACACAAATTAAATCTAAAGATACCAATTTGCAAATAAAAAAATCACTTCATTGTATTAATTTGGAAATTTGCATCAATATCACGTTACTGGAAGAGACAAACCTGAAAGTAAAGAAATTGTGCTATTCTCTGGATTTAGAAACTAAAACACTTCCTAAAACAACTGTATACATTTTAATAAATTAAGAAAGTTTTATTATCTGACAGTTTTGTAAAATGTTTTGTAGATACCCAATTCATAAGACTAATTTTTATAACTGTATCTAAATTTTATTATATTACCCTGAAAATGATAGCTATGTTTAGTAGCTTTAAATTGCTAAAGGGAAAACATTTGCACTTATTGAAAAGTTAGTTAACCATACACATATTATTTGCTTAATGTTTCCAACAAGACTTCACACTAACGTGAGAATATAAAGCCATGGCTAAAGTAGGGAATTCTGTCAGCCTTGTCGGGAGTGAGGTGTAAGTCATAAAAGTCAACTAGCCCTTGTTCAGGACAGCGCTGTTGGTTCAGTGGGCCTCGGCTGTTCCTTGTCACTGACTGACTTATTGTACCAGCTACGTGGCTATAAAACAAATCTAGTTCAACAGTATTGTGTTCGAAGTTCACATTTATATTTTGAGTTTAATTTCTCGTAATTTTATCAAAAAGGAACATGCAAGAACTTACTCCTCTAAATATAAAGGAGTAAGTTCTCACTTCAGCATCACCATGACGTTCCTCTGACTTGAACATAAGCAAGGATGTGAATACACATCCCCTGGGAGCATCCCGAGCATGGCAGCCTCACCATGCAATTGCCCCATCTTCCAGAGGTCATCACTGCTTGCTCATCACCTTCCCTCAGTCATACCTTCCCTTAACGCAACCTCATGCTTATGTGTTTTGGTAATAACTGAGCACAAGATTTCATTTCTTTCTAATTATTATTTTCAACTTAAGATATCAATAGTGGGGATGCAAAACATGAAGAAAACAACAAAAGGATATAGATTTTCACTTGCCAGTCGAAAAACTCCTTTTATGTTCAGAAAATAAAAGTATACTTTTAGTATAGTATAGTATAAAAGTATAGTAAAAGTATACTTTTATATGATAATCTGAGTAATCTTTATAAATAATTTTCAAATTTATCATGAGAAAACGTTTTCAAAATTTTGCCTGTAATTTAGAGCCATGAATATTGAAAACCAAGGAGCAATAGAGTCAATCAATAAGAAAGATGGTTCTTATGAATCTTTATTAGACTATACTAAATATTGAATACACTATGTTTAAAATCATTATCATTTTACTGTTCTCCATTTTGAAAGTACTCTTACATCAAATATCATACCAAGTATAATAAATAAAAGCCCTCTGATGGTATGCAGTCAAGAACCACAGCACTAAAATAATTACTCACTTGGAATATATTCTCTGCTCAATGAAAAATTTCAAAGGAAATAAGTGGTGCTAGGTAAATTAATCTTTTCTATTTGAAAACAGTAACACCTCACTTGTACTTACACAATCCCTTTCACTTAAAGATCCAAAAACACTTTTAAACAAAACAAAATCAAAAACATTTTATTGATTTTTACAGTCCACTTGTGAGGAGTGTAGTTGTCATGAGTTAGAAATGGCATGGTACAGATGGAGAACCCAGTGTCGGGTGATCCTTCAAAGTGCCACGCCCAGAGTCAAGGGCAGAATTCCCGCTGGTTTCTCTGCCCTCACAAGCTATCAGTGAATGGACACTCCTCAGTTGAAAAACTTTATTGTTGAAGGTGGAATTCATTTAATAGTAGGTGTAGCCCTCTATTGCTCTCCTGTATTCTGTTGTTCTCATCTAAATTGTAGCCAAAATAGGACAGGAGTTGAGGATTTGGAATAAACAGGTGCCCAGTTTCCACCCCGTCTTGGACCCATCGGGACTTCATGGACCCTGAGCAGGTTGCTCAAATCATCTGTATATCAGTTTCCCATAAAATAAATTCATAACATAAAGATAGTTTGTCAAAATAACAAACCAAAAAAATCATCTTAAAACATTTGGAATAAGCACAGTGCATGCATGTAAGGTGCATACTGGCACATCACTGTAAGGAGAACTCCCTCAGCCTCTTTATTGGCAGTTATTTTTGCATGTGTGTTCCAGCAATTGAGTGAATGCTGTTTCAGTAAATGTAAGAGGAGGCTAGAACAAAAAAGCTGCTACTAAGATTTAACATGAAAGAATAATAAAAAGAGATTAGAAAAGACTAAGGAATTTGGCACTTCAAGACTTTCTCTGAGTCACAGAAGGCAAGAATGACCCAGATAGAAATTTATGTAGACAAGAAACACTGCATGGGAATTATAATTGCAAATATACAAAGACAGTGACTCTAACCATAACTGATGTAACAAATCCAAAAAAGGAGAGAAAACAGACAAGTAGAAAATAATACACAATATTTCTCCCACCACCAAAATGGAACATCCTATGACCCTGTTACAAAATGTCTTGGCATTTTGCATATCCCACATAGGATTGAAAAACAAGAATAAATGGATGTGTTATTCCAAATGGCTGTTGCAGCCAGTTCTGACAAGTAAGAAAACTTTGGCAAAAAGCAGAGTCATCATGGATGGAACTGGAAGCCATTATCTTTAGTGAAATAGAAAGAGGAAGTCAAATGTCTCATGTTTTCAAGCTTACAAGTGGGAGCTAAATAATGCATGCACACGGACGTAGGGAGTGAAATAATAGACACTGGACACTCAAAAAAGTGGAAGGGTGGGGTGGGAGTGAGGGATGAGAAATTATCTAATGGGTGCAGTGCACACTATTAAGGTGATGGTTACACTAAAAACCCAGACTTCACCACTATGTTATATATCCATGTAACAAATCTGTACTTGTACCCCTTTACAGATAGATTAGATAGACAGATAGATATGGTCAGTTGATGACCATATCCAAGACTTTTGAGGGCTTGGATACAATCAAAGAACACCAAGAAGACTGGGAAGCAGCATTATGTGTGTCTGACATGAGAATTACCAAGAAAGAAGGAAATAAAGACTTGAAGAAAAGGATTAGGAGTGGGTGAAATGCCTCCTTGATTAAACTCAAAGATTACAAGCATTATTTCTGGGCACAAATAGGGGCCTGGATTTATTTTCCTCAGGGCTCTGATTTTTACTTAATCATAACATTCTTTTGCTCATGGACCTGTGTCTAGGAACACAATATTAGAAGAGCAACCACAACAAAAGTGGCCTCTGTATTAGGCCATTCTTGCATTGCCATAAAGAAATACCTAAGACAGGGTAATTTATAAGAAAAGAGATTTAATTGGCTCATGGTTCTGTAGACTGTACAGGAAGCATAGTGCCAGCATTAGCTCTGGGGGAGGCCTCAGGAAGCTTTTACTCATGGCGGAAGGAGGAGCAGAAGCAGGCACTTCACATAGTGAAAGCAGGAGAAAAGGTGGAGGATGCCACACTTTATAATGACCAGATCTCAAGAAAACACACTCAATATTGGGAGGACAGCACCCAGCCAGGAAGGATCTGCCCCCATGAACCTCCCATCACGCCCCACGACTGACATTAGGGATTACAATTGCACATGAGATTTAGAGGGGAGAACATCCAAACTATATCAGCCTCTGATATGGTTTGGCTGTGTCCCCACCCAAATCTCACCTTGAATTGTAAAAATCCCTACATGTCAAGGGTGGGGCCAGCTGAAGATAATTGAATCATGGGGGTGGTTTCCCCCATACTGTTCTCATGGTAGTGAATAAGTCTCACAAGATCTGATGGTTTTATAAATGGGAGTTCCCCTGCGCAGGCTCTCTTGCCTGCTGCCATGTAAGATATTCCTTTGCTCTTTCTTCATTTTCTGCCATGATTGTGAGGCCTCCCTAGCCATGTGGAAATGTGAGTCCATTAAACCTCTTTTTCTTTATAAATTACCCAGTCTCATGTATGTCTTTATTAACAGTATAAGAACAGACTAATATAATAAATTGGTACTGGGAGTGGGGCACTGCTGTAAAGATACCCAAAAATGTGGAAGGGACTTTGGAACTGCATAACAGGCAGATGTTGGAACAGTTTAGAGGGCTCAGAAGCAGATAGAAAAATGTTTGAAAGTTTGGAACTTCCTAGAGACTTGGAGGGCTCAGAAGACAGGCAGATGTGGGAAAGCTTGGAACCTCCGAGAGACTTGTTTAATGGCTTTGACCAAAATGCTGATAGTGACATGGACAATAAAATTCAGACTGAGGGAGTCTCAGATGGAGATAAGGAACTTGTTGGGAACTGGAGTGAAGGTCACTCTTCCTATGCAAAGAGACTGGTGGCATTTTGCCCCGCCCTAGAGATCTGTGGAAATTTGAACTTCAGAGAGATGATTTCAGGTATCTGGTAGAAGAAATTTCTAGTTAGCAAAGAATTCAAGAGGTGACGAGGCATAAAAATTTTGGAAATTTGCAGCCTCATGATGCAGTAGAAAATAAAAACCCATTTTCTGGGAAGAAATTCAAGCTGGCTGCAGAAATATGCAAAAGTCATGAGGGACCAAAGGCTAATCACCAAGACAATGGGGAAAATGTCTCCAGGGTATGTCAGAGACCTTCACAGCAGCTCCTCCCATCACTGGCCTGGAGGCCTAGGAGGGAAAAATGGTTTCATGGACTGGGCCTAGGGCCCCCCTGATCTATGCAGTTTCTGAACATGGTGCCCTGCATCCCAGCTGTTTCAGCTCTAGCCATGACTAAAAGGGGCCAACATACTTCTGAGGCCATTGCTTCAGAGGGTGCAAGTCCAAAGCCTTAGAAGCTTACATGTGGTGTTGGGCCTGTGGGTACACAGAAGTCAAGAATTGAGGTTTGGGAACCTCCACCTAGATTTTACAGAATGTATAGAAATGCCTGAATGTCCAGGCAGAAGTTTGCTGCAGGGGTGGGGCCCTCATGGAGAACCTCTGCCAGGGCAGTGTGGAAGGGAAATGTGGGGTTGGAGCCCCCAGACAGAGTCCCTACTGGGGTACTCCCTGCCTAGTGGAGCTGTGAGAAGAAGGCCAACGTCCTCCAGATCCCGGAATGGTAGATTCACTGATAGCTTGTACTGTGCACCTGGAAAAGCTGCATACACTCAACACACCCCATGAAAGAAACCAGGAGGGAAGCTGTGCCCTGCAAAGCCACAGGAGCAGAGCTGCCCAAGACCATGGGAGCCCATCTCTTCCATCAATGTGACCTGGTCGTGAGACATGGAGTCAAAGGAGATCATTTTGGAGCTTTAAGATTTGACTGCCCCACTGGATTTTGGACTTGCAGGGGACTTGTAGCCCCTTCATTCTGGCCAATTTCTGCCATTTGGAATGACTGTATTTACCCAACACCTGTACCCCCACTGTATCTAGGAAGTAACTAACTTGCTTTTGATTTTACAGGCTCATAGGCAGAAGGGACTTGCCTTGTCTTAGATGAAACTTTGGACTGTGGACTTTTGAGTTAATGCTGAAATGAGCTAAGACTTTGGGGGACCGTTGGGAAGGCATGATTTGTTTTCAAATGTGAGGATATGAGATTTGGGAGGGGCCAGGGGCGGAATGATATGGTTTGGCTGTGTCCCCACCCAAATCTCATCTTGAATTGTAATAATCCCCATGTGTCAAGGGGACTAAATCATAGAGGCAGTTTCCCCCATATTGTTCTCATGGTAGTGAATAAGTCTCATGAGATCTGATGGTTTTATAAACAGGAGTTCCCTGCACAGGCTCTCTTGCCTGCCACCATGTAAGACATTCCTTTGCTCTCTCTTCATCTTCTGCCATGATTGTGAGGCCTCCCCAGCCATGAGGAACTGTGAGTCCATTAAACCTCCTTTTCTTTATAAGCTACCCAGTCATGGGTACGTCTTTATTAGCAGCAGGAGAACAGACTAATACAGCCTCCAAGGCCCATGATGGATACACCTGTGTGAGTTTTCCACTATGTGCTCTCTGACTGACATCTGGGAAGCAGGCATCTATCTTTTTCTGATAACTGGAACTTATACTTGTGTTTGGGGTTGAGGATTAGTGGAGGGGGTGGGTAACCACAAAATAAAGACATCAACAGTGTAGAAGGCTACACACAGATGGGAGTGAAGAGACAGCTGGAATGCAGGAGGGTGGAGACACAGGTGGAAAAAAGTGATGGACATCAGCCCACGGATGGGAGCAGGGAAGCTGTGGAGAACACAGACCTTGCAAGCATGGGGATTTTTGTTTTGTTTTGCTTAATGTAGGAGGAAATGAGTAGGAAGACAACTCCGTACAACAAGGGAAAACTGAAGCCTGGCCCGAGGAGTCAGACTTTCTTTGGAACTTCTCACATCTCTTATCTCATGAAAAAGTTAAAGGAAAAAGAAGTCTTGGGAGCCTTTAGATTTAGCCAGCAAGGATATTACAGAGAAACGAGGAAAACGTCTATTTTCAATACTCCTTTTGAATGTCACTTCTAAGAGAATACATGAAAGCCCAGAAGACTATCTGGGTTCTCTATCGCTCTGCAGTTAACAAAACCATTTTCTCCCTAACATGCTAGAATTGCAATGTCTTTCACAGGAAAAGCAGGAGAAGGCAACCAACCATTGTTTGGGATGGATTTTGGAGGAAATTATAAAAGGTTTTTGTGTTAATGCACTTGCTTTCACTTACAATCTTTTTAATGAATCCAGATTAGAAAAGCTCCCAGCTGGAATTTTAGATAATTTGTTGTTATGCAAAAATCTGAAAAAGAAAAGATAAACTTTAATCACCATACAATAATAATGAATTTGACAAACAAAACCTTTCTTTCACCTAACTGTGAATCCAATACCTTTTTTGAAATATTTCAGTGAGAAAGGGCAAACAGAAGTCAGAGTGTCATTTATACAACCATCTGTTTTAAAGATTTACATATCTCTATCTACCACTACTATATGGGTATTTTTTCACATCTGTGTACTTTTGATTTTTTTAGTTTACTTAGTTACAGATTACAAATGCTAAAGAGAAATACATAAAAATAAATATTTAAGTATGAGGAAATCAAAGTAAATAGTCAATGTATTCATTATCAGCAGGCAATGTATACATATATCAAATCAGCATGTTGTACACCTTGAATGCATACAATTTTTATTTGTGAACTAAATATTTTAAATTTAAATATTTTAAATTTAAAAATACAGGCGTGGTGGCTCACGCCTGTAATCCCAGCACTTTGGGAGGCCAAGCTGGGCGGATGACTTGAGGCCAGGAGTTCGAGACCAGCCTGGCCAACATGGTGAAACCCTGTCTACCAAATATACAAAAATTAGCCAGGCATGGTGGCAGGTACCTGTAATCCCAGCTACTCCAGAGGCTGAGGCATGAGAATTGCTTGAACTGGGCAGGCAGAGGTTTTAGTGAGCCGAGATTGCACCCCTACACTTCAGCCTGGGTGACAGAGCAAGACTCTGTCTCGAAAAAAAAAAAAAAGGCACAACAATATATGACAACAGATGCCTACAGATGTAGCATGAGTAACTGTTGTAATCCTGCAAATGTGGGATCACATGGAGATGTGCAAGCTCTGCCTGTCGCTTACTGGCCAGCACAGTTTTGCTGATCCAGAGTCCCGTTGGGTGCTGCTATGGTTACTGCTCAGCCAGCCATTTCTACATGTCCGGAGCTGGATCACAGAGAGGTGCACTTATGAGGTCATGCCCCATGCCAGGTGATGGAAGGTGGCGGGAGTAGGAGAAGATCCAGGCCTCAGTACCTCTCCCTCTCCCTCCACCCTAGTAGTCTTGCACTTGCTTTGGCTCCCTCCATGCTGCCTTGGCTATACCCATTCCCCTCATTATGACCAGAGAAATTATGACCAAGAAAAGCACCAGCCAGGGATTGTCTAGTCACCAGGACTACTGAATACATATTTGGCAAAGAGCCTATGTGTGAAGAGAGAAAACACGATGGTCTCTGCAATATAGAGAAAAGATGGAGACCAGTTTTCTTAAGACTCAAGGATATGAGCATAAATAATCAATTTATATCTGAAACTTAACTATTAGCTACATCCAGCCACTTTATGAGCTGTACTTCATGACTAGTATCTCTGTCACAAAATTAAATAAAATCATGTGGCCATATTTTCTTATCAGTGTTTTGGCTTTATGTTTTTGGCTTTATTTTAACTGTATTAAGTGTTAAGGTCAGGGGGAGTGAGCTGGGGCCAAACTATTTCTACTATTTTGGGAACTTGAATTTCACTGATGCACATCTGAGAAGATAAAAAGTTTTCCTGATCCTTCCTGTTTTGATTCCCTGTGCTTATCTTTACCGGCCCCATCTAATTTACCCAACTCAGAAGCAGTAGCTAGAAAAGAAATGATGATGTGAAGATGGATATTGACAAAGACTCTCTTCTTGACCAAACTCTACTCAGGTTCTCCTGAGCTCTTTTCCAACTAGTCCTGACTTTCGGATTTCCATGTCCATCTCTACATTGTCCGATTTTAGCAAGAACCCTGCTGCTAAGTTTAACCAGTACCTCCCACCCCTTGATACCTGAAATTCCTCATCCCCATCATTTCCCAGGTGATATTTGATCATCACCAAGATCATCACCCTATCCTGTTAAATAGGGTCAGCCTGAGCCTTTCTCCTAATGTTTCCTCTGAGTAATTTTCCATCCATTGGCTCCACCCTGCTCCTGGGCTATCAACTCCCACTTGCTCATGGCGTATTTGGAGTTCAGCCCAATCTTTCTCCCTCAGTGCAAAACTCCATTGCACTGGTCCCTATACCTATCACCATGGTCCCCCTTGAATAACATCTTTCTTGCCATGCTTTAACAAGTATTGTTGAATAACCTTTTCTTCAACAGTGTGCAGATGGATGACACAGTAATTCTCATTCTCTACCACAAGCCCTAGCCATATGCCATTTCCTTATCTTAAGGAACACTGGAACAGAGTTTCATGATGGAGAAACAGCTTATAGTAGATTGCACTAAACCTCGGGAAAAGCCAAATTACCAGGACAATTTATGCCTGCTTTATTTTTGCTAGGTAAAATGAAAGCTTTCTTCATTATTTTATAAGTGGTGCAGTTCTGCAAGATAACCACAGTAGAAAGACTGTTGTTCTTTCTTTAAACGTATTTTAGAGGCTGGAAATTGCATCCATGATTGAATATTGAAAGATATTATCTATTTTCCAATCCAAGCAGACCAGAATTAATTGCTTAACAGGCAAAACAAATCAAAAGAAAAGTAAAACATTTCCATCATCACAGATTTTGAAGCAAGGTATGTAAATATTGAAAAATCATTCTTGAATTTTTTTAATTTTGTACAAATGGTGACAAAATATCCAAATTAATGATATTTTACATCAGTTTATATCAAACATGATATATGATTCCCAAATCAGATATTACTGCTACTTGATATTTCTATAACAACTTGCTTTCAAGCAGATTAATCTAAGTCTCAGTCCCTTTATGTATAAAGGAAAAATTATGATAATAATAACTGTCATTGGTTATCTCCTAGAATACTATCCCAGTAGTATTCAGTAAATTAAAACAGTAGTACTGTTCCAGCAGTACTGATTTGCATGGGGTGCAAAAATGTATGCTTGTAGTTTCCTTTTTTTCTTTCTTCTTTCCAACTTTCCTGAAATTAATTTTCAAAACAGTTATGCAATGTATTTGTTGATTTCTGCTTGTAGATGACTTTGATTGCTTTACTCCCAACAAGAAGCTAAAAAGCACTTCTTCCTATGTTAAAAAGTTTATATATATATATATATATATATATATATATATATATATATATATTTTTTTTTTTTTTTTTTTTTTTTTTTGAGACGGAGTCTCACTCTTGCCAGGCTGCAGTGCAGTGGCACAATCTTGGCTCACTGAAACCTCCGCCTCCTGGGTTCAAGCAATTCTCCTGCCTCAGCCTCCCAAGTAGCTACAGGCGCATGCCACCCCGCCCAGCTAATTTTTTGTATTTTTGTAGAGACGGGGTTTCACCATGTTGGCCAGAATGGCCTCCATCTCTTGACCTCGTGATCGGCCCGCCCCGGCTTCCCAAAGTGCTGGGATTACAGGAGGGAGCCACCGCACCCGGCCGAAAAGTTTATATAATTATTTGCTGCTGCTGTCTTCTGTCAAAGATGCTTGATCAAAAAAATAATATTTGAGCAGTATCTACTTTTATACAAAGTTTATACAGAGTTTATACAAAGACTTGTCTCCTTCCTGTGACAGAAACATGCATATTATCTAAAAAAGTCAAGTCATGAATGAGCATTTTCCTCATAAATGTTCTAAGAAAGTAAATCTTCTGCCTAAGGTTTAGGTTAATGTTTCAAGATGTATCCCTTGAAAATCCAGGAGACTTTTGAGAAGTAGAGTTAAAGTCATATTCAGCTCCTACTCCTTGAGAAAACTTCGTGAAATGGCCTCAGCTTTAGTGAGGTGCATACCAGATAGAGAAAACATTGTCCAGTCTGGTCGACTCTGTGTTCTTTAATACCAACCATAAATTTTTAGCCAAAAAGTCCAAATTCTGTAATGCTTGACATACTTTAACGAAAGCACTCATTCAATTTTCTGCCGGAGCACCAAGCTCTAAAGTAACTTGAACATTTTAAACCACATGGCTCCACTAAATGTGCTTGGATTCTTTTGCTTGGTAACGTAGTAGTAAGAAGTTGATTGTGTTTGAAGATAAGACTTATCTTTTGGAGAAAACCTAACTTGGTAAAGTGAAGATTTTCAAATCAATCCTTCTTTTAATAGAAAAGAGGAAGATGCAGGACTTTCTTGATTGTATTGAGATCATGACTTCATTGAAAAGAACATTCCTATCCAGGTGTTAGAGGTTAGTACTTATGAATGTAACACAAAGGCGCTTTTGTCAAATCATAACAATAAAGAACCATTCTAGGCATTGTGCTGCTCCTGCTGAACGCACATTACTCGACTATGTGCAGTCTGCAGATAAAGTCATGGTAAATTTGCTTGAATTTAGAAATGCCTTAATAGGATAATTTTAGCACTAAAAAATATTATTTCAGCAAACAAATTTCAAAGTTCCGGGGAAAAGAATTTTAGTCCAAAATAGTGAAGTAGATATGCAAATCTTCCTCAATCTCTTTTGAATCTCCATTGAAATAATTACCAGGATGCTTAATAAGAAAAAATATATCCATATTCAAGAGGGCAGAATGTGGAAGTTCACCAACAGATAAGAGTATTCAGCAAATTCTGGAAAAATAAAATACATGAGAAAATGTTGACAGATGAAATAGGAGAGAAAGCTGCAGCCCAGAGAATCCTATGAGGCAGGAGCAATCTGACTGTGTGTCGCCCAGAGACCCCAAACAGTTACGGCAGGGGCAGAGGAGGGAGAAGTGAGATTGCAAACAAGGGTTCACAAAGACCTGGATGGAGAAACACAATAATTAGTAGCCACCATCCATACAGAACACCGACAGCTAAGAGGAAAATGTTATTGACATACTGATAGATGAGACAGACATAGAAATAGAGATTTTTTCCAAAGAAATTGAACAAATTGAAAGAAGAAAAGTAACGGAATTTTTGTGGAGCTGAAACTCAAGAGAAAAAGCCTTCCTCATTCTGGAATTTAGGAAGATAAATCTGCATTTTACATCCAATTGTTCAAACTAAAATTTACACCAAAGGGAAAATTTTGTAAGAAAATAAACTTATCTAAAGGAGAGCAGGTGAAACTCACACTACCAATTGAAATGCTATTAATTTCAAATATCAATAGACAATGAAGAATCACAAGGCATGGGAGGTTAATTAGGAACATGAAAAAGAAAGGCCAAGATTTTCAAAAAGGAAAACAATGCCAGAAGAAACAGGGAAATTCCAAGAACTAGAGAAAAAGAGTAAGAAAGCATTACAATTATTACATGTACTCAGAGACTGCAATATGTATCATACTTGTAAAACAAGGATAAGTTTCTATAGAAGACAAATCGGAAACAAGAAAGATCTCTTAGGAATTAAACTCTGATTAAAAAATGTTTTTATGTAGTAAATGTTAAAAAGTAAGTAAAACATACCAGGTTAGGAATCAAAATGACGAAATAACAGATATTATGAAACAAAAGATAAAAAATACAGAGATCCAGATGATCTAATATTCAATTAAGGTATCTCTAGAAGAGAAGACAGAAAGAATAAAGGGAAACATAGTCAAATAAATAATTAAAGAGAATCTTTCAAAATTGTGGATGGATTTGTCTTTACATTGAAAACTCCAATAATTGAAAAGTCTCATTCCTTGATGTAAATTTATAAGATCTTATTTTTATTTTAACTATATGTTTATTTAGAGACAGGTTCTCACCCTTCACTCAGGATGGAGTACAGTGGCCCAATCATGGTTCATTGCAGCCTCAACCTCCTAGGCTCAAGCAGTCCTCCTGCCTCACCCTCCCAAGTAGCTGAGACTACAGGTGCCTGCCATCATGCTCAGCTAATTTATTTTTATTTTTTGTAGAGATTGGGTTTTGCTATGTTGCCCAGGCTAGTCTGGAACTCCTGGGCTCAAGCAATCCTCCCACTTCAGCCTCTCAAAGTGCAGGCCATTACATTTGACCTGTAAGATTTTTAAAAATAAAGAATAATCATAAAATTTTAAACCTCTCTGTGAAAATAAAATTGATTTCCTATAAAATAGAATCATAATAGGCTAGAAGAAATAGAATGGATTCTTCAAAGATCAAGGGAAACTTCTTGAACTTATAATTTTATAACAGACAACCTATCAACTAATTATGAGGAAATAATACATACAATTTCAGGCATTCAAGGATTATCAAAACTATCTCCCTTAAGCCTTTTCATAGCAAGTTCTTCAACATGTATTCCAGCAGAACAAAGAAGTAACACAAGAAAAAGGAAGAATGGAGACCAGAAACCATGGACTTCACTCAAGCAATTAGTGAAGGGAAATCCCAGGTTTATGGCAGGTGACACTAATCCTAATGAAAAGCCAGTTCAAATTAGAAGACAGGGGTCTCTGGTGTAAAAGAGAAATGACATGGTTTATATAATTTGATTGTATAAAAAATGTGAAGATATTGCAAAGACACATAATGCATTTAGAATGTCCAGGAAAAGCAAAAATTATGTAAGAAAATAACAGTTCAAATATGAACCAAAGACATGACATTATTTTAAATAATTTAAATCACACAAGAAAATAGCCCTTTTATTAAGACAATTATTTTTGAAGTGGCCAGATTTATAATATTTACACATAGAGAAAGAAATAAAATCTGAGCATGTTTCCTGATCCTACAATAATTTAGTTAAAATGATATATACTTCTAATTGTTCAAGGTAATTTATGGTCAACAGCAAGAAATTTCATTGTAGTTGCAGGAAAAACGTTGAATATCTGAGTAATATAAAGATAATAACATAGCTAACAGAGTGAAGATGTAAAAGGTGAAGAAAATGCAAGTATGGGATTGGGTAGTAGTTTCAAAACTTTAAATAAAGAAGACAGGCTATCAAAATTAATGCCACAAGAATTAGAAGGTCAATTACATACCAATGAATGGACGAAATATGTATATGTATATATATATATTTAGTGGACTTTATTTATGAGTCACATATATATATACATATATATACATATATATACACATATATACATATATATACATATATACACATACAAATAGTTCACTCATCAGTATGTAATTGACTTTCTAGTGTGTGTGTGTGTGTGTGTGTGTGTGTGTGTGTGTATCACACAGGGGTAGCATAAGCAAGATAAATCCTCATCTTCAGAGTGAAAATTGATATCTCCTACAGTTGAAAATGAATGAAATAAAAATCTATTACCTAGCTGTGATGGTTAATACTGAGTGTTAATTTGATTGGATTGAAGGCTGCAAAATATTGATCCTTGGTGTGCTTGTGAGGGTGTTGCCAAAGGAGATTAACATTTGAGTCAGTGAACTGGGAAAGGCAGACCCACCCTTAATCTGAGTAGGCACCATCTAATCAGCTGCCGGCGTGGCCAGAATAAAAAGCAGGCAGAAGAACGTAAAAAGACTAGACTGGCTTAGCCTCCCAGACTACATTTTTCTACTGAGCTGCATTCTTCTTGCCCTCAAACATCAGACTCCAAATTCTTCAAGTCTGGGACTTAGACTGGCTTCCTTACTCCTCAGCTTGCAAATGGTCTATTGTGGGACCCTGTGATAATGTAAGTTAATATCCCTTAATAAACTCCCTTTTTTATACATCTATCTATCCTATTAATTCTGTCCCTCTAGAGAACCCTAATACACTAGACAATTATGATGGCAACAACCAAAGAATATAAAAGAGAAATACCTAAAAGAAGCTGCCTCTGGAGAGAGGGTCCAGGCTCGAGTTTTCTTTCAGGAGCTCTATTTTATGATATGATTTGATATCACATGTCTGTACTACAAGGTTAAAATAGATGCAAATATATTTAGACAATAGGAAAGAAACCAGAAGCTAAAACTTTTTTAGTTAGTCCATTCCCTGCCTTCCAAGCCCGCTGATGGATCCCAAGCTAAGAAGTCCCTTCTATAAAGGCAAACCCCACCACCACTGCCATGGGCCTGCCTGCCAGGGCTTCCACACCTCCCCAGGCAGCAGGACTCTCCCCTTCCCATCTTCACAGTTTTCAGGGCTGCTGTTGGTGAGGACTTTGAATCTTGGTGGTTTATTGGCTACACGACAAAAATACAAGGCTTGGTGGTTTATTGCTACACCACAAGAACACAAGGTTAACAATGTGACAAAGAAATTTCCCCCAAATTAAAGTTGGAGTCCCATGTCTTTTGAAGTTATTAACCATTGTGATGCTAAATCTTGAACAATCCATCTGTCTTGCACCAGGGCTGTCCTGCACAGGGCTGGCTCCCTGCTCACACAGGTTAGAGCAGAAAAGGAGTAGTATAACACACTTTCCTACCTCATTTCATATTCATGATCACATGTCTCCAGCACAAAGCAAACAAAAGCAAACCATGTGATTTTATGCCTTGCAACTGCTATACTTCTATAGGCAAATGAGGTTGCAGTAACTGCATAAGAAAGTGGTTGACTGGCTCTTCTTAGCCTTTAATTTTACTAATTTATTTTGTATATTAATTAAGGGCATCCTTTTTTAAACATAAATTTTTAATTCAAATTTTCTTTAAGGGAAAACATTTTTCTGCTTAAGGTTAGCTATGTAATTCTGCATTTTCTTTCTTTTCAGAGAGAAATAGCATATCATCAGCTAGATACAGTAAATTTATTGGGGTGGAGCCAAGATGGCCAAATAGGAACAGCTCCAGTCTACAGTTCCCAGCATGAGCGACACAGAAGACAGGTGATTTCTGCATTTCCAACTGAGGTACCGGGTTCATCTCACTGGAGAGTGTCAGAAAGTGGGTGCAGGACAGTGGGTGCAGCACACTGAGCATGAGCCAAAGCTGGGCAAGGCATCACCTCACCCAGAAAGCTCAAGGGGTCAGGGAATTCCCTTTCCTAGTCAAAGAAAGGGGTGACAGATGGCACCTGGAAAATCAGGCCACTCCCACCCTAATACTATGCTTTTCCAATAGTCTTAGCAAATGGCACACCAGGAGATTGTATCCCGCACCTGGCTCGGAGGGTCCTACGCCCACGGAGCCTCTCTCATTGCTAGCACAGCAGTCTCAGATCAAACTGCAAGGAGGTAGTGAGGCTGGGGGAGGGGCGCCTGCGATTGCCCAGGCTTGACTACGTAAACAAAGCAGCCCAGAAGCTCGAACTGGGTGGAGCCCACCGCAGCGTAAGGAGGCCTGCCTGCCTCTGTAGACTCCACCTCTGGGGGCAGGGCATAGCCAAACAAAAGGCAGCATAATCCTCTGCAGACTTAAATGTCCCTGTCTGACAGCTTTGAAGAGAGTAGTGGTTCTCCCAGCACCCAGCTGGAGACCTGAGAATGGACAAACTGCCTCCTCAAGTGGGTCTCTGAACCCTGAGTAGCCTAACTGGGAGGCACCCCCCAGTAGGGGCAGACTGACAACTCACACGGCCAGGTACTCCTCTGAGACAAAACTTCCAGAGGAACGATCAGGCAGCAACATTTGCTGCTCACCAATATCCACTGTTCTGCAGACTGCGCTGCTGATACCCAGGCAAACAGGATCTGGAGTGGACCTCCAGCAAACTCCAACAGACCTGCAGCTGAGGGTCCTGACTGTTAGAAGGAAAACTAACAAACAGAAAGGACATCTACACCAAAACCCCATCTGTACGTCACCATCATCAAAGACCAAAAGTAGATAAAACCACAAAGATGGGGAAAAAAACAGAGCACAAAAACTGGAAACTCTAAAAATCAGAGCGCCTCTCCTCCTCCAAAGGAAGGCAGCTCCTCACCAGCAACGGAACAAAGCTGGAAGGAGAATGACTTTTGACGAATTGAGAGAAGGTGTCAGATGATCAAACTACTCCGAGCTAAAGGAGGAAGTTCGAACCCATGGCAAAGAAGTTAAAAACCTTGAAAAAAAATTAGACGAATGGCTAACTAGAATAACCAATGCAGAGAAGTCCTTAAAGGACCTGATGGAGCTGAAAACCAAGGCACAAGAACTACATGACGAATGCACAAGCCTCAGTAGCCGATTTGATCATGTGGAAGAAACTGTATCAGTGATGGAAGATCAAATGAATGAAATGAAGCAAGAAGAGAAGTTTAGAGAAAAAAGAATAAAAAGAAATGAACAAAGCCTCCAAGAAATATGGGACTGTGTGAAAAGACCAAATCTACATCTGACTAGTGTACCTGAAAGTGACAGGGAGAATGGAACCAAGTTGGAAAACAGTCTGCAGGATATTATCCAGGAGAACTTCCCAATCTAGCAAGGCAGGCCAACATTCAAATTCAGGAAATACAGAGAACGCCACAAAGATACTCCTCAAGAAGAGTAACTCCAAGACACATAATTGTCAGATTCACCAAAGTTGAAATGAAGGAAAAAATGTTAAGGGCAGCCAGAGAGAAAGGTCGGGTTACCCACAAAGGGAAGCCCATCAGACTAACAGCGGATCTCTCAGCAGAAACTCTACAAGCCAGAAGAGAGTGGGGGCCAATATTCAACATTCTTAAAGAAAAGAATTTTCAACCCAGAATTTCATATCCAGCCAAACTAAGCTTCATAACTGAAGGATAAATAAAATACTTTACAGACAAACAAATGCTGAGAGACTTTGTCACCACCAGGCCTGCCCTAAAAGAGCTCCTGAAGGAAGCACTAAACATGGAAAGGAACAACCGGCACCACCCACTGCAAAAACATGCCAAATTGTAAAGACCATCGAGACTAGGAAGAAACTGCACCAACTAATGAGAAAATAACCAGCTAACATCATAATGACAGGATCAGATTCACACATAACAATATTAACCTTAAATGTAAATGGGCTAAATGCTCCAATTAAAAGACACAGACTGGCAAATTGGATAAAGAGTCAAGACCCATCAGTGTGCTGTATTTAGCAAACCCATCTCACGTGCAGAGACACACATAGGCTCAAAATAAAGGGATGGAAGAAGATCTACCAAGCAAATAGAAAACAACAAAAGGCAGGGGTTGCAATCCTAGTCTATGATAAAACAGACTTTAAACCAACAAAGATCAAAAGAGACAAAGAAGGCCATTACATAATGGTGAAGGGATCAATTCAACAAGAAGAGCTAACTCTCCTAAATATATATGCACCCAATACAGGAGCACCCAGATTCATAAAGCAAGTACTTAGAGACCTACAAAGAGACTTAGAATCCCACACAATAATAATGGGAGACTTTAACACCCCACTGTCAACATTAGACAGATCAACGAGACAGAAAGTTAACAAGGATATCCAGGAATTGAACTCGGCTCTGCACCAAGCAGACCTAATAGACATCTACAGAACTCTCCACCCCAAATCAACAGAATATACATTCTTTTCAGCACCACACCACACCTATTCCAAAATTGACCACATAGTTGGAAGTAAAGCACTCCTCAGCAAAAGGAAAAGAACAGAAATTACAACAAACTGTCTCTCAGACCACAGTGCAATCAAACTAGAACCCAGGATTAAGAAACTCACTCAAAACCACTCAACTACATGGAAACTGAACAACCTGCTCCTGAATGACTACTGGGTACATAACAAAATGAAGGCAGAAATAAAGATGTTCTTTGAAACCAATGAGAACAAAGACACAACATACCAGAATCTCTGGGACACATTCAAAGCAGTGTGTAGAGGGAAATTTATAGCACTAAATGCCCACAAGAGAAAGCAAGAAAGATCTAAAATTGACACCCTAACATCACAATTAAAAGAACTAGAAAAGCAAGAGCAAACACATTCAAAAGCTAGCAGAAGGCAAGAAATAACTAAGATCAGAGCAGAATTGAAGGAAATAGAGACACAAAAAACCCTTCAAAAAATCAATGAATCCAGGAGCTGGTTTTTGAAAAGATCAACAAAATTGATAGACCGCTAGCAAGACTAATAAAGAAGAAAAGAGAGAAGAATCAAATAGATGCAATAAAAAATGATAAAGGGGATATCACCACCGATCCCACAGACACACAAACTACCATCAGAGAATACTATAAACACCTCTATGCAAATAAACTAGAAAATCTAGAAGAAATGGATAAATTCCTCGACACATACACCCTCCCAAGACTAAACCAGGAAGAAGTTGAATCTCTGAATAGACCAATAACAGGCTCTGAAAGTGAGGCAATAATTAATAGCTTACCAACCAAAAAAAGGCCAGGACCAGAAGGAGTCACAGCCAAATTCTACCAGAGGTACCAGGAGGAGCTGGTACCATTCCTTCTGAAACTATTCCAATCAACAGAAAAAGAGGGAATCCTCTCTAACTCATTTTATGAGGCTGGCATCATCCTGATACCAAAGCCTGGCAGAGACACAACAAAAAAAGAGAATTTTAGACCAATGACCCTGATGAACATCGATGCAAAAATCCTCAATAAAATACTGGCAAACCGAATCCAGCAGCACATCAAAAAGCTTATCCACCATGATCAAGTGGGCTTCATCCCTGGGATGCAAGGCTGGTTCAACATATGGAAATCAATAAATGTAATCCAGCATATAAACAGAACCAATGACAAAAACCATATGATTATCTCAATAGATGCAGAAAAGGCCTTTGACAAAATTCAACAACCTTCATGCTAAAAACTCTCAATAAATTAGGTATTGATGAGATGTATCTCAAAATAATAAGAACTATCTATGACAAACCTACAGCCAATATCATACTGAATGGGCAAAAACTGGAAGCATTCCCTTTGAAAATGGGCACAAGACAGGGATGCCCTCTCTCACCACTCCTATTCAACATAGTGCTGGAAGTTCTGGCCAGGGCAATTAGGCAGGAGAAGGAAATAAAGGGTATTCAATCAGGAAAAGAGGAAGTCAAATTGTCCCTGTTTGCAGATGACATGATTGTATATTTAGAAAACCCCGTCGTCTCAGCCCAAAATCTTCTTAAGCTGATAGGCAACTTCAGCAAAGTCTCAAGATACAGGATACAAAATCAATGTGCAAAAATCACAAGCATTCTTATACACCAATAACAGACAAACAGAGAGCCAAATCATGAGTGAAATCCCATTCACAATTGCTTCAAAGAGAATGAAATACCTAGGAATCCAACTTGCAAGGGACGTGAAGGACCCCCAAGGAGAACTACAAACCACTGCTCAATGAAATAAAAGAGGATACAAACAAATGGAAGAACATTCCATGCTCATGGGTAGGAAGAATCAATGTCATGAAAATGGCCAACTGCCCAAGGTAATTTATAGATTCAATGCCATCCCCATCAAGCTACCAATGACTTTCTTCACAGAATTGGAAAAAACTACTTTAAAGTTCATATAGAACCAAAAAAGAGCCCGGATTGCCAAGTCAATCCTAAGCCAAAAGAACAAAGCTGGAGGCATCACCCTACCTGACTTCAAACTATACTACAAGGCTACAGTAACCAAAACAGCATGGTACTGGCACCAAAACAGAGACAGAGACCTATGGAACAGAACAGAGCCCTCAGAAATAATGCCGCATATCTACAACCATCTGATCTTTGACAAACCTGATGGAAACAAGAAATAGGGAAAGGATTCCCTATTTAATAAATGGTGCTGGGAAAACTGGCTAGCCATATGTAGAAAGCTGAAACTGGATCCCTTCCTGACACCTTATACAAAAATTCACTCGAGATGGATTAAAGACTTAAATGTTAGACCCAAAACATAAAAACCCTAGAAGAAAACCTAGGCAATACCATTCAGGACATAGGCATGGGCAAGGACTTCATGTCTAAAACACCAAAAGCAATGGCAACAAAATCCAAAATTGACAAACAGGATCTAATTAAACTAAAGAGCTTCTGCACAGCAAAAGAAACTACCATCAGAGTGAACAGGCAACCTACAGACTAGGAGAAAATTTTTGCAATCTACTCATCTGACAAAGGGCTAATATCCAGAATCTACACTGAACTCAAATTTACAAGAAAAAAGCAAACAACCCCATCAAAAAGTGGGTGAAGGACACGAACAGACACTTCTCAAAAGAAGACATTTATGCAGCCAACAGACACTTAAAAAAATGCTCATCATCATTGGCCATCAGAGAAATGCAAATCAAAACCACAATGAGATACCATCTCACACCAGTTAGAATGACGATCATTAAAAAGTCAGGAAACAACAGGTGCTGGAGAGGATGTGGAGAAACAGGAACACTTTTACACTGTGGGTGGGACTCTAAACTAGTTTAACCATTGTGGAAGTCAGTGTGGTGATTCCTCAGGGATCTAGAACTAGAAATATCATTTGACCCAGCCATCCCATTACTGGGTATATACCCAAAGGATTATAAATCATGCTGCTATAAAGACACATGCACATGTATGTTTATTGTGGCACTATTCACAATAGCAAAGACTTGGAACCAACCCAAATGTCCAACAATGATAGACTGGATTAAGAAAATATGGCACATATACACCATGGAATACTATGCAGCCATAAAAAGTGATGAGTTCATGTCCTTTGTAGGGACATGGATGAAACTGGAAACCATCATTCTCAGCAAACTATCGCAAGGACAGAAAACGAAACACCGCATGTTGTCACTCATAGGTGGGAATTGAACAATGAGAACACATGGACACAGGAAGGGAAACATCACACACCGGGGCCTGTTGTGGGGTCGGGGGAGGGGGGAGGGATAGCATTAGGAGATATACCTAATGTTAAATAATGACTTAATGGGTGCAGCACACCAACATGGCACATGTATACATATGTAACTAACCTGCATGTTGTACACATGTACCCTAAAACTTAAAGTATAATAAAAAAATTAAATAAATAAATAAATTTATTAATATAAGGTATTAGAAAAACTGAAGTAGCAGAGTAACTTCATTTGATAAAAGACAAAACAGAAGAAGGATATCCAAGTGCCCTTGTTGTTTGTCATTGTTTATTTAATAAGCCTTTATTGAAATACAACATTCATCTGGAAAAGTGTAGACATCGTGATGTAGAGTACAATGCCTTGCCTGAAAGTGAACACAGCTGTGTAATTACCACCCAGGAAAAACCAAGAATACAAAACATTGCCAGGCCTACGGAGGCTCCTCCTGCCATTTCCAATGGCCTCTCTCCTACTAAAGGTAAGCACCATTCAACTTCTCAATACCACATATATTTCTGCTACCTCTTTTAAAATTTCTTTTGAGAATAAAATAGAACTATGCAAGTTTCAGCGTTTAGATTATTATTCTCAGAATGTTTCTGACATCCATCCGTGTTGCAGTATAGTATTATATTTTATGAATATACAACAGCTTATTTCTCTACTCTTTTGTTGTTGGAGACTTGAGTAGTTCTCAGTGTGGAGCTACCAGAAACAATGCTGCTGCAATACAAGAACACATCTTCTGGTGCGTACATATGTGAATTTCTGCTGTGCATGTTCCTGAAAGTGAAACTGCTAGATCTTAGGGGATGTATATGTTCAACTATACTAGATTCTGCTGTAAGGTTATGTTTGTTTGTTTGTTTTTGAGATGGAGTCTCACTCTGTCACCCAGGCTGGAGTGCAGTGGCACGATCTCGGCTCACTGCAACCTACGCCTCCCGGACTCAAGTGATTCTCATGCCTCAGCCTCCTGAGTAGCTGGGATTACAGGAGTGTGCCACCAGGTCCAGCTACTTTTTTGTATTTTTAGCAGAGGCAGGGTTTCACTATCTTGGCCAAGCTGGTATCGAACTCCTGAACTCAGGTGATCCGCCCACCTCGGCCTCCCAAAGTACTGGGATTACAGGTGTGAGCCACCTTGCCTGACCCCTGATGTAAGTTTTTTAAATAGCTTTCTCTCATTTGTGAAGTGCTTCTTCCTCTCTTTTGCCCTGTTTTTCATTGGCTATTTCACCTTTTCTCCATTGATCTTAAAGTATAGAAAGCTTTATATTAACTCTGTTTTGTAGTGCCAAGGTACAGGCTCTGCCTCTAAAGCTTACAGCAAAGTGGCCTGATCTCCACGGCAGTCAGATGGGTTGTATAAATGGAAAATGTAAAGCAGAAGCAAAGGACATCTAAAGGGTCAACACTTACAGTCGCTCTAATCTCAGAAGGTCTCCAAAGGTCTCTGGCTGTAGCATTTCTAGTTGGTTGAAATGAATATACCTGGAAGGCAAAAAATCAAGTTGGTTACTCCTTGTGCTGGTGAGTAAAATAAAATGTTTGAAGAATTAGCAATTGCTTCAGCTGAAATTATGAATTTCACTGGCCCCAACCACTATATATCACATACAAAAATCAGAAACTCTGAGATATTTTGTCTCTTCTGTTCGTCACAGTCCCGGGTCTAAAAACCTGATGTTCCAAAGGGGAATCCAAAGCCCACCCAGAAAGGAGCATGATGCTGCCCCCTTTTCCCAGGGAGCCTCTTGAGTCGATGCTAACTGGTTGTTGAAATTACTCTTTTATTCATTAAAATGTTTAAAGTAAGCAAAGTTACGGTAATAATTAAGATTACAAACATAATAAGATACATTACAAGTGACCACATGCTTATTTACATTTCAGAACAGGGAGAAGTGTCCTGTCTGACGGAGTCAAAGTATGGCATATTTGATGTCATATGATCATCATACTTGAAATGAATTAATCTTAACCCTGGGGGATGGATGAGAAGTAATGTGTCTTGTTTTAATCCTTTTGGAATTAGGAATTAGACTTTTTCAGACCTTGGTATCCCCTCTGTGCAACTGATCCAGGAGTTATTTCCTAAGCTTCCATTTCAGAAAGGCTTCTCTTAAAGCAGGGCAACTGAAGACAGAAAGGCTTGCATTTCCTTCAGAAATCCTGTGATGAAATGGAGAAGCATGTTTCCAAAGCAGACAGTTGAGCAGACCTTTGTGAAGCAAATCTTCCCAACAGACAGAAAGATCCATGGGGAAGGCTGCACACTCCTCTTAGAAAATTTAAGTGTATTCCCTGCACCTGACTTCTGAACACAGCTTTTTCAAACAATCTCAGTGAAACCAACAGTGATATATAGCAGTCTATAGTGAACTGCTGAAGAAAGCACTGCAGATACAAAGTTTCCATGAAAAGTAACAAACTTTCACACCAAATTGGAAAAGAGGATATTGTACATTTATGTGGGAAGACACAGTGAATAGTACTTGATTTTGTCAATGGGAAGCTCTCTGACTTGAAGTAATGGCAGGCAAGTAAAAAGAAAGCTTTACAACCCACGTTTCCATAAAATGTATTTATTTCATCACAGTTAGAAATATTTTTGAAAGGAGAAAAGAAAAATGTTTAAGAAAAAGAAATACTTTTACTTCATTCCTAGGCTTCCTTCTTATAAATCATTATTATAGTAAGAGTACTTCAGACACCTAATGAAAAAGTATAATAATCACAAGAGAATGAAAACCATGTCACTGGAAAGGTATGATTGTTTCAGACTGCCTTAGGTTGGATCCAGAAGCAGTGCCACACTGTACTACTCTCTGAAATTCAGCATCCTGGCCCGTATCCCATGCATTCCTCCCAGGAGTTCTGTTCATTTTAAAAGTGGTGACATTTTACCGTGGTGACATTGTATAAGACCTGGCAATAATTGCCTTTGGGTTAGCATGAAACAACTTTACCTTGGTTGCCTTGAATTATACACACACTCACACTCACTAACAGACTCTCACACACACAGACACTCTCAGCTTCACACATACTTTCATACTGACACACACTCTCACATTGTCTCACACTGACACACTCTGACACACCTACATGAACACACTCTCACATGCTCAGACTCCCTCATACCCACACATGCTCACACTCACACACTTACATATACTCATATGCACTACCACACTTACACTAACACACACACGGACACTCGTGCACACTCACACTTGTTCACATACACTCTCACATACACTAACACACAGCATCACACTCAGATACACATCTACACACTCACACACACTCACCTAATCTCACACACTCACACTGTCATGCTCACACTCACACTGTCTCATGTACACTAACACACTTTCACGCACTGACACATGTATTCACATATATGCTCACATACACTAACACAGTCACACACACATACTCCCACACACTCACACACTGTCCCCCACAAAATCATTACCTGTGTCATTGGTCTAGCACATTAAAAAGGAGGTAGGGGCTGGGAGAGTGAAAGAGGATGTGGGGGAGGAGTGTTAGGCAGAGACTGGCTGCTGAAAGCAGGGAAGAGAGAGAAGTCTCTGTGACTGCAGTGAAGAAAGAGTTAGAAGGAGGGTCCATTACAAGGTTTCTCTTCCCAAGTGAAATGTATCGCATGGTTGGATTCCAATCTCTGTGTATACTGGACAGGCCCAGGCCTGTAGAGTACAAATAGACATTTTATGAAGACTAGGAATAAGTGCTGATGAGGGCATCAAACTTAGCATAAAGTAAATAAGAGCAACAGCAAAAAAAAATTTATTGTCCTAAGTGCTTTACATGTATTTAGTCATTTTTAATTTTTGCAACTACACTGTGTGGTAGGTTCTATAAATACACCATTATTTACTTAGGAAAAATGTGGTACAGAGATAAAGTAATTTGTTCAATTTCACACAGCCAGCCTCTCTAGCAGCAAGTGGGGGGCGGCCGTGCACAGGCTCAGCTGACACAGATCACCCAGAGATGAGCTATGGAAACCTGATCCAAGAATCCCGGAGCAGAGCCTTTCTTGGGTATGGAAACAGATACTCCACAGGGAGAAGGAAAGTGCCCAAAGCCACAAAGCCAATCAATGGTAAATCCAAGCCACAAACCCAGCAAAACCCATGCTCTCTACACTCCTGTTCTCAGTTTGCCTACATTAGTGGCTTTTTAAATGTGAAGCTGTGGGGTTCTTAACTGGAGGCAAGCATCACATTCCAGTCATAAAACAACCTAACAGGTCACAGGAAAGGAGTCACGAGCCGGGTCTGTGGTTTAGCCAACCTAACAACTCCCAGATTTTCAAAGGGAGTATTCTAGCTTATGTATAAGCCCAGTAGAAGTGTTTTTTTTTTTCCTTTCAACTTTTTAATGCTTTGAAACAATTTATTATAAAGAAAACTTGAGTTTAGCATAAGAATTTTTAAGTAGCACTAGTATTCCTGCCATCATTGATCAAATGTGCATCCTCCATAGTTTGCACAGGTGTCTGCATTGCTAGAAGTAGAAAGACAGCTTTCGCTTGGGAGGGCATCTTATATACTGAGCCACCTAAAATTAGAGCAAAGAGACAATCTAAGGGGTAGAATAACATACAACAGTTTATCCAATATCACTTAGCTACTATGTGTTTTATTATC
The DNA here is from genome assembly GCF_000001405.40 of Homo sapiens. NCBI lineage: Eukaryota > Metazoa > Chordata > Mammalia > Primates > Hominidae > Homo > Homo sapiens. The sequence goes on from NC_000008.11 coordinate 51,502,962, forward strand.
CACAGTAATTAATAATTATCGATTTAATATTTAAATATTTCACAGGTAGCAATTCATATTTACTATGAATTGCTCATAATTCATGAGAAATGCATAATCTCCTTTTCCACAATGCACCCACTGAGAGCCCACTAATCACAGAGCCCTGTCTATTCCCCATTCCAGCCATGCTTCCCTAGAATAAATCACTGCAATCTTAGACTCACCCAGAGATGCCCTGAAGGACAAATGTTTTCTGCTGGACTTCAATCTAATACACAGTAGGGTAAGCAACTGGTATTGGAATTCACTACTAATGAATGAGAAAAATGCATGTAAGTAGACTTTGTTCCTTGCAGGAAAGTAAGACAACCCAGAGAGTTCTGTTGATTATAGTGCAAGCATATTTAAGTTTTGTGTCCATATGATTTGACAAATTTTCTAACAAAATCTTTTTCAAAATTTTTTTTAAAACTTTAAGCCAATTTAAAGCAGTAGGATGTTTTAGGTTATATGTGTTTGATTTATGTGATGGCTTTAGCAGATTCAAATAAGGAGGGAGTCAGCTTTGATCTCCACTCCCTTCTGTGCCTTGATAAGAGAGCAAGACTATCCTCTCCTACATCTTATTTTTCTAGGCTGTGGATAACCCTGCCATTTTTGGATATCTATTGCAGGTAGATAAATATGAATGATTACTTGAGAGGATTTTAAATCTGTTTAAGTCACTTCATAAAGTTTATATGTAAATGAATTACTAGTTATCCCTTTATTTAAAGCAGGCAGGAAATTATTGCCATTGTCATGTCATGTTGATTCATACTTAGCTTCCCCAGATGATTTCATCAACATCCATGGCTTCAATTATTATCTCTATGCAGAAGACCTACAAATTACATATCCAACCCAAATTTACCTCTAGGACCTAAATTCATGCACCCAATGTCTTCTTAAAATATCATCTAGATGTCTCAAGGAACCTCAAATCCAACATGTCTGAAACCCAGCCCAGGAATCCTCCTTCACCATACTGGCTGTCCTCCATTTTTGCTTGTCTCAATTTATGGCACTGCTGTATATCTATTTGCGCAACTCAGAAAACTAGCAATGACCCCTCTGTCTCCCTCACTCCCTGTATCTTACCCAATTCTGCGTTTTTTATTTTGCCTCCTAAATATCTCTTGAATGTATTCCATTCTCCTCTTACCCACTACTTCCACACTAGAGCAAACTATACCCTCGGTTACTAAAATACAAGAACAAACTGGTCTGCCTACATCTATCTGGTCTACCCTCAATAGAAATATAAGACCCTTAAATGGCTTTTAATTTCTATAGAAATAAAGACAGAATTTTTTCAACAGAGCCCAAGTTCCAGCCTGGTCTTGCCTGTAAATGCCCTTCCAGTATCCCCTTTATCCCCTTCTTGCTCTACCTCAATCCCAGTGCTCTGGCCTCCTCCCAGCCACATACCTGCCATACTCCTGCCTACAGCAGTCTCTGAATGATTGTCTTTGTAGCCCAGTAAACCTTCCCACCCTTCTTGCCTGGTAATTCTGGACCTGTTTTCAGATCTTACTGTGCTCTTTCCTTGGAAAGCCTTCCCTGAGCTCCTGGTCAAATCCCCCTGTTATGGGCTCACCCAGCATTGTACTGTTGCAATGTAATATTTGAGTGATTATGTAATCCATGCCTGTCTGCCCTAACGAAACTCTAAGATCCATGAAGACAGAAATTATATTGGATTTAAAGTAATATTCACATCCCTAGTTTCTTAGCAGAGTTTGACAAATAGATAGTCAGTACATAGTTGATCACTGAAAGAATGAATGACCAGCCAGTATTTTTGCATGAGCATTGTCTTTGCAAACGTGAGGATAAGACATTGAACTTTTCATATGTTCTATGGTATAAAGCAAAAGATGGGAGTATGAATCCTAATAAAAGCTTTCTGAGTTAATATCAGCTCAACAATCTATAATGGCATTACATTTCCTTGGGGAAGAACCATCCCAAACATTTACACAAGTCTGACTTTAGTAAGCTCTGTCATAATGTATGTTTAATTGTATCTCCTAAAACTTTGTAGAATCCTTGAGCACTAATGAACCTAGAGGGCATCTAGCAAAGTCTTCCTGGGGCTTCTCCAAGAGAATCCATCTCACTCCAAAGGGACATGTTTGAATCACACATTTTTGTGAGCACTGACAACACATTTGACATCTCGTATCTGAGTAAATATTTATTTACACAACCACCCCGAGGTATCAGGCCACCAAAGAGAGGACAAAAATCTTCCTATGATCTTTAAAACATGCAGAGCAAGAACATGTGGTCAGAGAATGACAACAAAAATAATAGAGAGAGAATGATTCTCAGTGTGAGAAGTTGCTGGTATCGCTGGTATCGCTTTAGCTTTCAGCGTGAACTCACTGAGCCACATAAAAACAAATGTTCTGTGCCGTATGATCACCTTGGCAACCCCGATCTAAGGCAAGAGCAGAGATGGGGAGAAAAACACTATATTTATCTGTATCTAACTGCACAATCAAAATAGCATATACGGTCAATGTTCTCAACCTTTTTGTACAAAGTGGCTGCTTTTTATTTTCTCAAAATCCATGAGATTGTAAAGAAAAAAGGAGTACTGTTGGCAGAAGGAGGCTGCACACCAGAGTGTCTCTGTGTCTCTGTGTGTCTGTGTATGTAATTTTGCATGTGTCTATATGTGTGTAACATAAGCTAAGGACATCTGAATCTGAAGCTTGCAATACAGGGGATCTTGAATATAAGATGTCAACAATCCTAGCACATGAAACAGAGCTCAGAGGAAAAGCAGTTTGCTGACAGCTGGCTTGGAGATCCACCATGTCCTGCCTCACATCCACAGGCTGGGTGCATTGAGATGACACAAACTTTCTGTATAATAATCTCAGCTAAGATTAAAATAGGCACGCTTTAGCTTCATTGCACAATAGCAAGCAAGAATTATCTATTACACCAACAAATTATTCATACTATTCAGGAATTAATTAAACATCTGAATGAAGATCCTTATTTCAGAGCACGGTAAATTATTTCAACTGATTTTAAAGGAAAAATTGACTGAATTATCATAATCTGTTAGTTTCCAGAGAAAAGCTTTCCAGCATCTCATTTGCATGCTGTGCTAAAGTCAATAACAGTGTATTCTACCAAAATTCATTATAAAGAGAATTATATTTATTCTTAAAGAGTTAAAACCAGTTAAAAATCATACTGCACAAGCTTCACTCTTTGGGAAGTTATTTCAATCCTAAATTAGAATAGTTACAGAAAAAGGCTGGGCACAGTGGCTCACGCCTATAATCCCAGCACTTTGGGAGGCCAAGGCGGGCGGATCACGAGATCAGGAGATTGAGACCATCCTGGCCAACATGGTGAAACCCCGTCTCTACTAAAAATACAAAAATTAGCTGGGCATGGTGGCGCGTGCCTGTAATCCCAGCTACTCGGGAGGCTGAGGCAGGAGAATCGCTTGAACCAGGGATTCGGAGGTTGCAGTGAGCCGAGATCGCACCACTGCACTCCAGCCTGGGTGACAGAGTGAGACTCTGTCTCAAAAAAAAAAAAAAAAAAAAAAAAAAAACTAGTTACAGAAAAAGTCATGTTTCTACAATAGTTTAGATACAGTATGATTGAGAGTTATGAAAAATCTTTCTCACTCTTTGTTCAATCTCTACCTCTTTTTGCCTGAACTAATAGCTATAAATGTTCCATGTAAATCCAGTCTCTTCTTTCCAATCTACACTATGTTGAATTATTTGGTGGTTCTTCCTGGAAAAATGCAGATTAGACCATCCCCTTTATTAAGGATCATCAATGTCTTCTCACTGTCTTTAGCAGGAATTCAAGGCTTTTCAAGATTGAGCGCCAACCTGTGACTTTCCCCTCCCTCATAAGTCTGAGCACCCTCTAACCAAATTCATTATCTCTGGAAACTCTCCGATTTTTTTCATAGTGTCTAACAGTCAAAGTGTTTTCTCACCCATTTAAGATCAACAGTACTTTTTTTTCCATTAAGGACTTAGTGACTGCTTGTGTCAGATGTAACTTCATTCCTCTGGCTCCTTTAGTATATTAAAACATTAATAAGTACTTATTGAGTGCCCGTGAAGTGTGAGACAAGATCCTTGACCGTCTCAGAGACTGGAATTAGGTGAGTGGTCAAATACAAGGAATCAATGACCACAGTCTTGTAGAATACCTATTATAATAATGGGATGCAAGGAATACCATGAGAATCCAAATATCTACATTAGATTTAAAGATAAAGAAAGGTTATACAAAGAAAAGGATTCTCTACCTAACTTTTGTGGACAAACAGTACTGACCTAGATGCAAAAGAGAAAAGACAGTGTAGAAAGTGGGGAGACAAATGTATGTGAAGTGCAGAGATATGAAAATGCAGGACTCTTGCACAGAACAGTAAGGAGCTGAGCGGGACAGAAGCACTGGTTGCCTGCAGAACTCTGCAAAGATGGACTTGGGCAGGAACTGAATCACACATTTCCTTTGTGCTCAACAAGGTGATTTGAACTTTACCTTAAAGATATAAGGACACATGACAAGATTCAAAGAAATGAAATTTCTAAGTGAAATTTTTATTTTACAACATTGCCAGCAGCTATGCAAACAAAGGACTGGAAGTTAGCTAGAGAGAGACTCCAGCTAGAGCAATGGTTTGCAGTGGTTTTCAGCTTAGGATGATTTTGTTTTGTCCCCCTCCATCCTCCCAGGGAATATCTGGCAATGTCTGGAGATGCTTTTAGTTGTCGCAGCTGGAAGTGGTGGTGCTACTAGCCTCCAGTGGGGAGGGACCAGGGTGTTGCTCAACGTCCTATCCTACATGACCTGGGCCAGCCCCACAACATTACTAAGCCCAAAATGTCAACAGTGCCAGGTTGAGAAACACCTGAGCTACAGCCTGCTTTATTTTCTGAGCGGGAAGGAGTGGTGGTGACGATGCCTGCCATGTGGAGCCTCAATTGAAGGCTGCAAGAGCTTTTCCAAAGGATCCTAGAAAAATGAAATGATAGAAAACTATTAAAGGGGTGCCAAATAAGAAGGGGAAAGAATTAATAGAAGCAAAGTGAGGAAGACCCTGCACAGGACCAATGGTACTCGATGGCACCAAAAGGGCTATTGGAAGATGTTACTGTAAAAAGGAGGCAGGAATGTGTCCCAGTGAAACAGGCTGGAATAAAGGAAATGGGCACTAACTCACAATCGTCTCTTGTCACAAGGAAAGCTAGTGAGAGGTCTATTAGCTTTGCCCTCAATTTTCCCCTTAAGGTAAAAGGCAAAGTCAACTGTGAAATGTAAGAGAAATGTAGAAAAGAAAAACAAGGCTGTGAATTTTGAATTGTGGCTATGTCATGCAGGACAAGGAGCTCAGCTCCTTTTGATCATTGCTGCTAAAGCTGGGACTGACTTCTTAGTCCTTTCCCTAGTGGATTTTCAGCAGCATTGGAATGCGTCGGTTAGTCCCTCTCCCTGCCATGTTCTTCCCTGGCTTCCAGGATGCCATCCTCCCAGATCTTCTCCCACCTCAATGGGCCTCCTGCTCAGGGCCCTTCACTACTTCCTTCTCTTTCCCCAGCCTCCTGGACTGGAGTGCCTGGGGCTGAGTCCTGAGGCTTCTCCCTTTTTCCAGCCAAACTCAACAGCATCCAGTACCAGGAACATGAGCACTTTCAGGTGCCAAAGATACCCACATTGCACAGCCAGCCCTCACCGCCGCCTTACATTGGAGACCCATGCCCTACTGCCAGCCCCATGCCCATGTGGCTGCCTAGTAGACAACTCAAACTTGTTGTGTGCAAATCTGCAGTCCTGATTAGTCTTCATGCCCACTTCCCAGCATGTCCATCTCAGCTGAGGACCACACTTCCTTCTAGTTGTTTAGGGCAAGAATCTCAGTAATTCCTTTTACTTCTTTCTTTCTCCAACATCCTACATCTAAGTGGTTGGTTGTAAAAGAGATCCAGATGCTGCACCCATCCCAAACCTACCCTACTGCCTCCTTACTCTGAAGCCACACCACTTCTGGCCTAGTGTACAGCAAAGCAACCAACTGGTCCCCCACCCTTGCCAGGCCATAGCCTATTGTCTACGTAGCCATCCTTGTTGAGATAGTAGATTTTAGATGCTCTCACCACACACACAAAACAATAAGTGTATGAGGTAAGACATAGGTTAATTAGCTTGACTTGGCCATTTCACAATGTATACATGTATCTAAGCATCATGTCGTACATTATAAATATATACAACATTTATGTGTCAAATACATTTTTATAAAGAAGAATGCAAGAAACACAGAAATCAGAGTGACCATTATAAGGCCTGTTGGATCAGGCATGCCAACTGTCCTTCAAAACCCTCCAGTGCTCACTCAGAATAAAATGTACATCGCTCACAATGATACAAATCAAATCTGTTCCTCTGATCTACACAGTTCTGTGCTAACTGGGCCTGTCTCTCTGCTCCAGCCACATCAGCATTCAAGCTGTTGCTCTCACATGCCAGGCTCACTCCTAACTTAGGGTGTTAGCAGCGGCTGCCTTTCTGCCTGCGCTGTGCCTCCCTGGCATGCATGTGTCTCCTTCCCTGACCACCAAGCCTTTGCTCAAATGCCACCCACTCAATGAGCCCAACTGTGACCCTTCCTTTTTCAAATTACAACCACATTCCCACGTCCTGGCACTTCTCAACCCCTCCCTCCCCTGGTTCTGTGTGTACATATATATATACATATATACACACACACACACACACACACACACACACACAAATATATACACACACACGTATATGTATATATATACATATACGTGTGTGTGTGTATATACCGATTTAAATATTTGCCAAAAACTTGCATTATACTATGCAATATGCTTGTTCATTTATTAGTTTTAAAGCTTGCCTTCCCTGCTAGAATGTTAGCAGGCCCCTCAAGGTCAGGGATTTTATGTTTTGTTTAGTGCCACAGCCCAGATCCTAAAGAGTTTTGGCATGCAAAAGACACCCATTAAAACTGAAAAATGACAATATTATCTATATTGCAGGGCTGCTGCAAGATCAGAGATAATGCTCTACAGACCCTTAGCACAAGGTTCTAGAAAGGCAGAAGGCCAAGTCACCTATGAAATGTAGGGGGAGTATTGGATCTAAGGCAAGAAAGGCACATTGGGAAGAGTCCACAGAGCCAGCGAGAGAAGGAGTTCCATTGTGCTCCTTGTCATTGCTAGACCATGGTCAAGTTTTAGTTTTCACCTTTATTGACCCATCGAGAGCATGATCTTACTGAGAAACTCATCTCACCTAGTTCTAGAAGATCACGCTAAGACTTCCTCTTACCAAACATGAGTTTCTGGAAAAATTGAATTATTTGAGGATCTACTTGAAATTCGAGATGGGTTTGTTGTGACTCAAAATAGTACAGCCTTGTGATTTTGTGGTTTCCTCCAACACAGTGGAGTAGAAAGCAGAAATAAAGAAATAGACACTGAGGTTGGCTCATATTTGAATCTAAAGCACAGCAGGGGCATAGGACAAAGCATACAAGGGAAAGGAACTATAGGCCACATGCAGAGGGACTTAAATCTGGAAGGCATGGATAGATTTTAGATGAGATAAAACCGTCCCATGAGGGCAGGCCTGAGACATGACCTAAGAAGCCCAGGAGACCTGAGGCTCATCGGGTGATATTTTGGAATTTAAGATTCCTGGGGCCGGCCACTATGGTTCACACCTGTAATCTCAGCACTTCGGGAGGCCAAAGCGGGTGGATCATCTGAGGTCAGGAGTTTGTGACCAGCTTAGCCAACACAGGAAAAAACATTATTGTGTTTGCCTGTGAACACTGAGATATGTAGGGGCTGGTCTGTATTTTTTTAAGCACTAATTAAAGGGTTTCAGGCTCAGGAAATTGATGTTGTCAGTGCTGCAATTTAGGGTCACAATTCAGTCAAAGGTGGTACAATGGAACAGATCAAGGGATGTGTTAGCTATGAGGATGCTATCGTGGTCTAGGAAAGAAGAAATGAGGCAGCGGGTCTCATGTGAAGCAGAGATAATCCCAAGAGAAAATGCAGAAATGGATTCCAGAGGCTTTTACAGGGGCAGGATGGGGCAAGAGAAGCTTGAGCACTGGACACATGCAGGCCTGCACTCATCTTCTTATTTGACCCCTCAATCATTCTGTGATGCTGTGGCTGATGATACTTCATGCCAGGGCAGTGGAAGATTGCAGATCATCTGTAAAAATCACCTAGCACCTTCCTGATACATAGCAGAAGTCCAAGGCAACTAGAGAGAAGAGGAGGTTGAGAAAATCCTTATGGCTTAGAACTTTAGACAGGCGCTAGCAGTATTTGGCCTCCTTCCCTCCAGAGTTAATACAGCATACAATAGAGCAATACAATAATAGAGGGGCTGGTTGCTGATGGAGAAGTGACTCCCAGTGCAGGCCTCTTTGTGAAACACTGGAATGGACAACTTGGTTGGTGCTGAGGTCAGCACGGGGACTCTTACTTCCTGCTTCCAAATTAAAATCATCGGGTCCCCTTCCCAAGCTTATGTACAGAGATATGCAGGGCCTGGAGTATGTACTCCAAAGCCACTCACTGACCAGTTGCAAGGAGGGGGCTGCAGGCCAGACTCAGGCAGGCAGGGCAGAAAAAGGATGACTGAGGTCACCGCAGAGCCACCCTGATCCAGGAACATCAATCACCAACCAATCAAATGCACTCCCCCCTTTCTAGGGAGAAGTGCCCGAGAAGGGGGATAAACGCCCAGGATGAAGAGTGCAATGCTCCCTCTCATGGGTACAGTAGGCTTGAGAAGAAATGTGAGAAAAACACAAGAAAAGAGAAGGTAAAGCCCCCTTCCCCAGTATACTGTATCTGCTATATTTCTTGTCAGCCCTGAACCTGAATGCCCCCATCATCCAGCCAAGTTACTGGCTAAAAGACTTCAGTTGAATTTTTAAAAGCAAAGGAATGGCTGCCTGCTCTGACATCTCCTTCATGCACCATGATTTTATGGCACTGTGGCCGTGAACAATGCTCGACAGATCAGACCGCTCCCTCTGAAACCATTCCCATAAAAAAAAACTCAAGTGGGCAGGTGTGCACAATTTATACACCTACTGACATTTTGAAAACGGAACAAGTATAGGGTATTTCAGAGAAGGGCAGCATAATGTAGAAATTTCAGAACTCTTGCCATGAAGAAAAGAGAGCAACAAAGTTAGATCCAGGGGAGGAAATAAATGTGTGAAGAGGAGCAAAGACTGAGCCTCCTGAGATGTGAGGACAGGGGTAAGAAGTAGACCTGACATGACACGGATGGTGGGATTTCTAAGAAGTGAGAGAAGCACAGAGAGAAATCAGAGAAGAAGGACCTGATCACAAAGGAGGAGATATTCCAATACGTCCCCCTCTCAGCCATAAAGTGAAGATCTCTTTGGAAGAGTAATATAGAAAAAGGGAGATGGCGGCATTGATTCTGTAACAGGGAAACAGCAAATGAATGAATATAACACACTCCATTTTTGTTTAAGGGGTCTTTACCCAATCCTGCATGTAGGCTAGGATAACTTTAGAGCACTGAGATAAAATGCAGAAACAGCCACATGTAGTTTTTGAAGCTAACTCTGGGATTAAAGGGGACATATGTAAACAACTAATGATGTTTTGTTGAAGATTTACAAAAGCACTATGACCTCGCCAAGGACAAAGTTTCCAACCTTCTTGACCCTCGCTGGTGCCCAGATGGCTGCAGTCACAATCACGTGACTCTTGATCTCAATTCCCTCCTCCCCACCCTGCTTCCCTTAACATAAAAAAGAGTCTGAAATCTATACTGACTTAAGATGGTTACTTAGGACACTAGTCTGCCATCTTCTCAATTTGCTGGCTCTTGAATAAAGCTGCTTTTCCTCCCACCAACAGGGGCAAGCAGCCCAACCTAGGTTCTGTTCCAATTATAAGGCAAGGAAGGCATCCTGGAAGGGTCTGTGCCTGCATGCTGTGGAATGATCCACCTCTCCCTCTGCCTCTTGAGTTTTCATACAAACAAAATCAATTGTACATAACCATCAGGAAGCTAAGATTTGTTCAAACAAAACAGGACTCTAGCTAGCAGCAGTGTTGAAGACCTGGTTGCAGAGGGGAGATGAACAAGTGGTGGGTGGGGTGGAGGAGTCATGATGCAGGCTGATGCCCACAGGTGAGGCTGTGCTGCTCTCCAGATGAGGCTGTGCACTTGCAGGCAGGGCCTCGGCATAAACACTCTGAGGATGGAAGCAGTGAGGAAAGGGAAGTACAAGAGGTCAGCACTGACATGCCCTGCACTGTGCCTTGTGAAAGTTGCTTCAGGGCCACCCCGAGCATGAAGGTGGTGGGCCCACATCTTAGTAGCAGGGGAAGATGAGTCACACTGTGCAAGGGACCAGAAGAAGCCTCAGCTTGCACACCAATGCAACCTTACTGCATTCTTTTTGTGACTTCAGACAAGCATGGCATTTGATTACTACAACAACAGAAACTTTTAAATAAGAAAGAGAATGAAGCTATAATGAAAGTTACAGAAAAATTAGCATTGGTCACTGATGCACAATATTGAAACATTTTCTATAAATATATTTTCTCACAATAGTGAAAGAGAACAACACACTATAGATTAGTATTGGCATGCATGCATGCCTTCCTCCTTTATTCTAAATTGGCTTTAGAAACTCAAATTCACTTTTGTAAATGCATCTACTGTAAAAAGTTATATTTAAGTTTGCTCCACAAGAGTCTAACCAACTATAAAATTCTACAATGTTCTAAATATTCTGGCCTGGAAGACTCTCCCAATTAAACCCATAAAACCAGTTTCCAGATGTAGACGTAGTTGATTGTCACCTGGGGATTTATACCTCAGAGAGAACTAGACACAGCTTTAACCAAACCTGACCATAAATGAATATTGTTTCTCCTCTATTTCCATAACAATGGTTTTATTTTACATTTCACTTCTGGATGTAAGCCATATACAAATTAGAGGAGGACATTCTGCCATGAATAGAACCCCTTACAGTTATTGAAGAAGAACGCAGAGCTCTATTCCTCACTGAGGAAGTTGGTTGATGCTTGAAATCCTGAGCATATTTGCATTGCATTGAGAATAAATGGCTTTTATCTCAGCTGGAGCCATGAGAAATAAACTAATAGTAGGCTTTTAACATTTAGAGGATAATAGGGAAGGGAAAGATACTAGGACAAAACCATAATGATAGTTGTATGAAATAGTTAATGAATAAAATTGCAAAAAAGACTATATTGTTTCAGTCAGCAAACATATTTCCAAATTGCAATCCTTATTTCTTTCCTTTTAAATCATTAATTTCAGATGTAATAGAAAGTGTCAGGTTGCTATATACGGAACCATCCCTGGATGAAGCTTTCCAAATGCAACATTTAAGACGCGGGGCAGCAGACTCAATACTATATTATGAAAATTCACATGTTTTGATAATTCAAATGTTTATGATATAATTATCTGTAATGCACCAATCCTTCAGGTAGCATCTTCCAATAGTACAATCTAAATGCCTTCCAATACATAGGACTGACAAAGGAAGGCAGAATATAAATCAGTTGGTGCTCCTGAACCCCCTGTTCAATACTTTGAGCAAATGACACCACTTAAGTATGTCCATGCCCACATCCACTATGCCACTCCACAAAGTCCAAGCAACTGAGCAAGACCGTCTGGGGCTTGATGGAAATCCCAGAGACATAATAAATACAGCCCTGGAAATGGGAGAAAGTTGCATCCCCACACTGACCTCCAGAAACCAAAGTATTGAAGAAAAGAGGCATTTGAGACAAGCCAATGTCCTTTTCATCCCCACAATCGTTGCTCTGTGCAAAATTCCCATTTCATAACATACACATTGGAGAAACATACTTGGAGAAACTTTGGTCTGAAGCATCATGACATTGTCTTAAGCAGAGAAATACATAGTAAAGAATAAAGAGAATTAGACCTAAAGTTACACTAGATGCAAACAGCAGCGTGAAGCCAGGAGGAGGCTGCGTCCTCGCCAGAGCTTAGCCTCACCTTACAGGGGCGTGAGAACCTCAGTGTTGAAGCCCCCAGGTGGATGCCTGCTGAGGAGGGAAGGGGGCAAGGACAGTGAGGGACAATCGGGGTGATATGGAAGCACCCTGGTCATGGACTTGCAGGCTCTTCAGGGGCTCAGTGGAAGAGAGCTTAGATGGAAGAGCAGGGGGAGATCATCCACAGACGATAGGGTTCCAGGGGGCAGGTCACACCCTAGCTGGTCTGTGCTGCTGTGAGGCTCCAGGGGTGGAGGCATTGTCGAGAGGTGGAGAAGGAACCCACTGTGAACACATACCTGATAGTTCTGGGAAGCTGACTTGGAAACAAAGTGCCCGGCATCCATGTTCTCCAGGCACTCTTGACACACACCACTAAACATGTACCCAAGCGCACTGCGGATGTTTCTTTAGATGTTTCTCTTCCCTGTCCATGGCAAAAGTCCTTGGGAGCTGTGAGGAAAACACATTCCTTGCCTTCATTTTCTCTTCCTCTTGTCCTCCCTCGTGAACATCTCACGGGATTGATGGACTGTCAGCCTCCTCCCACAGGGGAGAGAATAAGCTCTTGGCTTGATTTGTCTGATCTCTGGAAAGTAATCAGAACTCCCTGAGAGCTAATGTTCTTACTTGTCACAAGTGGAAATAACAATCTTTTGGAAGTTTCATGGGTGTGAGTGAAATATTCTCATATATAGACATACAAAGCACAAAGCACAGACTGTCACAATAATTGTGATCATTTTGATATCAGATTTCTATTAGTTTTTTCCTCTTTCCTAATTTCATGTTTTACAAGATTTTAAAGTACTCGTCTGGTTCAAGTTTTTATATTAATAAAGATATATAGTAGTTTTTAAAACCCTCTAAGTAACTTTATAAGCCTCTGGGGGGTGAAATTTCAATTTCGAGTCATAACTGAGGTATAAGAAGACATATTTTCAATAATAAAACAATTGAAAGGATATAGCTTCAGCTTTGGGTGGATTTTTTTCTGTGTTTCTGACTTTTAAAGGATATTATTAAAGCCTCTGTTGAAATAAAATTATGTAACTTTAAAAAACAAATATTTACAAAGATCATTCTGAGATGAGTAACAACATCCTATAATTTAAATCAAAGAAACATGTTATATTTCTTCTATTCAATTTATGTAAAATATGCATGGTGAAAAGCAGAGCCCTGATTGTGAAAATATAGCACAGCCACTTTTGATTAGAAACACAAATTCAAGTCAACTCTAGAAAGAAGTTAATTTTCACTTGGGCTGTAGAGCAGATAAACTGGTATTTAAGCCTGGGCGTCTGTGAGTATCTTGGCTTTGACAGACACAAATTACAGCCTTTCCAAGAATATACTTTCATTTGTATTTCTCCTTCAAAGTAAGAGGATTGATAGTCAGAAAATCCACCATGATAAGTAATTAGGGTTTGTTGATGGCGCTTTATTTTACTTTAAATCGACATTCTATCCCAGTATATTTCTAGACGAAATTAGTTTTACAATATTAGCATTTTCTAGAGAGTGCTATATTATTCTCATCTGCCAGAATGAGATGAGACATACAAAGAAATGATATAACTTGCCTCAAGTCACACAGTCCTTTCTGTTCTTGCCATTGGCTACATCGTAAATCATTCCTTGGTAGTAAAATGCTGCCAGGGCCCCTTTAACTGTTTCCTGACACTAGGGACCAATTAAGATGTATAAATTATGCATTTAATAGATGCTCCCTGCCTAAAAGAGTTAAAATGCCTCTGAGGTCCTACTTCAACACCAAAGCCTGATAAATAAAAGAATTAGAAGCTAGCAAGCCATAGAGCTTGACACTATTAATTCCTATTTATTATTAACCCCAATTATCAGAAGTTCTAATTATCCACCTTTTATTTCATTTTAGCATGTTCTGTATATTCTTCCTTTTACTTTCTTTTCAGGAAAAGTATAAAACAAATAAGTAGAACACTAGTAATGATTTATTTCAATTCATTGTAACCTTTCACTACGGATGCTCAGCTCTGATTGAATATTATATTTGCCCGGATAACTTTTTTAAAAAATCTAGATTTTTTAGATTTTGTATCAAGTATCCACCCTGAGAGATTCTGATTTCATTGGGCTGGGTGATACCCAGGCAGTGTTATTTTTCAGAAATTCTCCAGGTGATTCTTACACAAAACTCTAATAGAAAACCATTGTTTTATAGCAATGAAATATAGATGCCATATCATAATCAAAATATACGAAAATATATTGAAGTACTTTCTGAAGAAAATATTAGTGTATACTGTGCAAAGTGCTTTTACTGTACTCAAGTTTAAAACCAATAATAATGGTATATATAATAATGCTCAGGGTGCTAAAATAGTAATAGAACCTTTTCCTATCCATTGTAGACACAATTGACTATGTCTTGCTCATGCTTTCTAAGACTTGGTCTAGCTTCTTTGCCAGAGCAGTAGATTTGTTATTTCTAAAATGCCAGTGCAAAATAAAATGTATCATACTAGCATTCTATGGCACATCAAAGATGAGTGATAACACTATTATATGTGTAATTGCCTCTTATATGTTTTATCAAGGGATAATTTTATATGATCTTGTTCTTTTTCCTAACTGGTGACAAGCTTTCAACTAGCTTCAGAGGGAGAGCCGAGATTAATTGCAATCTAGTACATTGTAACTGTTGCTTCCTGTTTGTGAAGATCAGCATCTAATCAATAAAATATTAATGACTATTTTTTTAGCCCTTCTAAATTAACAGCTAAAGGCAAAGAGTTGTTTTTGTTCTCCACTCTATTTCTTTATAGTTGGGTGTAAAATCAAATGAAACGTACTTTTCGGTGTGATTAATGCTGACTTTAACAGATTGCTTCTGTTTGGTGTAGTTAGTTCCTTAATTTATCTTCATATAATAGCAAGGCTGTGTCTCTAACAAACCTCTTTAAGGCTACTGTTTCTTCACAGTGTTCTTCCTAACGTCAGGGTCAGTGTATCTTGTTTTGTTTTTATCATAGACTTGTTTAACATGTTAATCTTTTTGAAGCACAAATAAAAAGGAAATGGCTAACTCTCATACCTACTGAATAAGAACTTCTGTGAGGACTTCTGTAAACCCACAGACGGATTCCAATGCTGAATTTCCAACTGGCCTATAAGAGCTCCTGGAGCTCCATCTGGGCACATGTCACTGATTCTTGGGCCAAGACTGCCAGAGTCCCTGTTCTCAAGGAGCACACAATACTTGGGAGAATCAAGTGTTTCTATGCACATCAAACCTATGCACATTAAACAATCACAGCATAAAACATATGCATATATATATATACATATGCATACAAGCATAGAACATATAATATGCTCAAAACTGTGGAATACAGCTGAGTGTTTTCATTGGTAGAGATCACTATGGACTGAAGTTGTCAGGTAAGATGTTAATGTAATCTTGATTTGTGTCCTGAGAAACTCTTACAGAGGCAGGAACATGAGAATGAGGTCAGTGATGGGAAAATAGCATAAATCATAGCAGAAAATAATGCTAACCTCACTAGAGGATTCACTGCACTGCAGAAAAAGGAGGAGGTGACTGACAGGTTAGATTACACTGCACCCTGAGAATGAGAGGGAGAGAATCTGATTTCATCACTGTAGGAGACATGCAGCAATTACATATTAATGAGAAAGAAAGTGGCTGAGGATGAGTCTGACAGAGACACAAAGAATGGGCTCGATAGGAGAAATGATGGTAGCAGAAAAACCTGGGAGGTGATAATTGCAGATGTCACCTAATGAAGAGAGGCACAAGTGAAGGAAGAAGGGGTGGGAGGAAGGAAATAATTAAAGGCTAATATGAAAGACAAAAGGGACAGGAAATAAACAAGGACTCCAGGATTTTGGTCAGAAATTTTTTAAAACAGTAGTGGAAACTTTGGGATAGGAAATGGATTTGGCCATTAGGAAAGTGAAAGTACTGACATAAGATGGATTTTTCTTATTTTGAGAATTTGAGAAGAAATACAAGTAAAAATTGTCATTGGTAGTTTTAATTCTGTGATGGTAGGATAAAAAATTAAAGTAAGATAAAAATCTAGATTGGATATGTAGAACAAAACTAACATATAAATAATATCTAAGTACAAGAGTGATCAAGAATTTCCTGAAGAAGGCCGGGTGCGGTGGCTCACCCCTGTAATCCCAGAACTTGGGAGGCTGAGGCAGGCAGATCACCTAAGGTCAGAAGTTCAAGACCAGCCTGGCCAACATGATGAAACCCCATCTCTACTAAAAATTAGCCAGGCGTGGTGGTGTGCGCCTATAATCCCAGGTACTTGGGAGACTGAGACAGGAGAATTGCTTGAACCTGGGAGGTAGAGGTTGCAGCGAGCAGACTTTGCACCACTGCACTCCGGCCTGGGCAACAGAGTGAGACACCATCTTAAAAAAAAACAAAGCTTCCTGAAGAAAATGGAGAAAAAGAAAACAAGGAAGAGGAGAAAGAGGAGGAAAGATAAATTGCTTATCATATGGAAGGGCTCAAGCTGGAATGGCTACACACATCTCAAGACTGAGTTCATCAAAAAATAAAGCAAGAGAGTTCATCAATAACAAAAACTGCAATGGTTGTGTAAGTGCCGAAAGGGTGAATTCTCTCAAGGGGTAAACAATAATGAGAGATTGGGGCATCCCAAGAGACTGGAAGTCAGGATTCCTGTCCTTACAATAAAAACAAGTTCAACGAAAAGAAAATAACTACTTTTTTTGGACCCACCAGAGAACTGAGGTCTCAGAGCAGTGAGCCATCCCTAAATCTGAAAAGACAGGCACCTTCAGGCAGAAAAAAACCACCTGAGATTTGCTTACCTAGAGCGGAACACCGCAGGATGCAACAGTCTAGGGGGAACAACAAGGTGGGAATTTGGAGGAGTTGCTGGCGTCCAAGTGTGGACTGCGGTTGTGGGTATCTGCCGGCTTTTCCTCCAGGAAGGAGTTCACTGAGACCCACAGAAAGAATGCCGGGGAATCTGTGGGAGCTTCCCTCCCACGCGGCAGGGAAAGGGAAAGAATTATCACAGTGCTGTCTGCCCAGGCCCTGCTCCCTCACAGAATTAAAGTCTCAACCTTGGGAAGAACACGGCCAGAGGGCAATAGTGAAATCCCGCCCTATCTGCCCCTCTTCAACCCAACTCTAGCTTCTGTTTTCCCTCAGAAAAATAAGTAAAAGAAAGAAAAGAAACCATCCCTCTAGAAGGGGCGAGCGCTTTGAATATGTGGACTGGAACCTGGCTGCGGGGAAGGGACTGGGGCAGGGAAGTGACTGGGGCCAATCACTCCACGCCGCACCAGGAGGAGGGACGGAAACGCGGGAGAGCCACACCCTGGAGACATAGGCCCGCCATGCACCCAGAGGACCCAAATCTCCTCGGAAGATCCGAGGACGGCCACCCACCATGTCCTCCCACCTATGCTAATAAAGCTCCAGGAACAGGAACTATGGGTCAGAGTGAGAAAAGCTCTAAGGAGCATCACAAAGGCCAAACCCGAAAGGGGAGGCGAAACAAGGTGCACCAGAAGAAACGGGAGACTCTCCTGCCCTCACAGCCAACAAACTTCACATTGCCCAGCTCCTGCAGAGCAATGCAAATCCTCACACTGAAGCCTGCATACCTCAGCACCTGCTGCCTTGCTCAACACTCCTGGCCCTCGAACAAAAAAAAAACTTAGAGGCATACCAAAAGTCATAAAAACGCAAACATTCCGAAGAAACAAAGCAATCACCAGAACCAGACCCAACATGACCAAGATGTTGACATTTATCATACAGGGAATTTAAAAAAACTATAACTAGGCCAGGTGCCCTGGCTCATGACTGTAATCCCAGCACTTCGGCTGGGTGGGAGGAGGCGGAGTTGGGAGGATTGCTAGACGCCAGGAGTTTGACACCAGCCCGGGCAACAGAGCACATAGCATGACCCCGTTTCTGCAAAAAAAAATTAAAATATTAGCCAGGCATTGTATTCCTGCCTGCAGTCCCAGCTACCTGGGAGGATGAGGTGGAAAGATCGCTTGAGCCCAGGAGTATGAGGCTACAGTGTGCTGTGATTGCATCACTGCACTGTAGTCTGAGTGACAGAATGAGACTCTGTCTCTAAAAATATAAAAATAAAAAAGTCTTTACTGGAAAAAGTAAATGACTTATAAGACTAGATAGATAATCTCAGAGAGATGGAAACTATAAAAAAAAAGAAAATATTTTAACTCAAAAACAATAGCAACAAAAATGCTCCAGCCTCATTAGCATATTTGACATAGTTGAGTAAAGAGTAGCTAACTTGAAAAAAGTCAACAAAAGTTGACTCAAAGAGAACTGAATTAAAATAATAATAATAAACAGATATCCAAGAAATGTGGGAAAATGGCAAAAGTTGTGATGTGTACCTAGTTAAAAACAGAAACTGGCAGAATAAATATTTAAAGAAATAAACAATGGCTTTTTTATAGAAGCAATAAAGGAAATAAAAGTTTCCAAAATTCAAATATCAAGCTAAAACTCTGAGGAGCTTAGAAACACCAAGCAAGATAAATACCAAAAACTGCATCTATGCATGACATATTCAAACTGCAGAAAAACAAAGACAAAGAGATATCCTTGAAGTCAGTCAAAAGGAAAGAAAAAAGAAAAAAAGATAAACTTATCTACAGAGGAACAAGGATAAGAATTACACTGAACTTCTCATTAGAAACCATGCAAGCAGAAAGAAAACAGAGTGAATTATTTAAAATACTAAAAGGGAAAAACTGCCAATCTAGAATTCTACACCCAGTGAAGTTGACTTCAAAGGTGAAAGAGAAATAGACTTTCTCAGACAAACAAAAACTGAGGCAAAATAAACATAACTAAGAAAATTCTTCCGGCAGAAAGAAATGCAATAGGTCAGAAACTGGGATCTATACAAACAAGGAATGAACATCATACAAAAAATTGAGAGAATAATCTTTTATTTTTCTTATTTTTAAGTTCTCTAAAATTCTAATGAGAAAAGGAAATACAGTGCAAACTTTAAAACTAACAAGTTGATTGAACCTGGACTATATGGAATGGGAATCAAATAGGAAGGAATAATATATTCTAAGTGATGTTTTTCAGAAAAAGATCATCAAAAATAAGAGAAACTATTTAGTAAATCTGTAAAAAGGTATTTGTAGTCCCTCTTGTTCTGGGTTCTCTGTTTTAACTGCCATCGGGTCAGGTCTGTGGAATGAGTTATGAAATGAGCATGGGTCTAAATGAGAAGATGACCATGCCCCACAGGCAGACTGGCACGCTGAGCTCCAGCATTAAAGGACTTATTGAAAAACTTATAGTAGAGTAGAGGAAACTAGAACAAACTACCAGAGAAGTTCATTTTCCATTGAAAATATAATATGTCCATTTTCTTCTATTGTAATTGGCCTTATAAGAGAATGTAAGGCCGGGGCGGTGGCTCTCGCCTGTAATCCCAGCACTTTGGGGGGCCGAAGTGGGTGGATCACCTGAGGTCAGGAGGTCAAGACCAGCCTGGCCAACATGATGAAACCCCATCTCTACTAAAACTACAAAAATTACCTGGGCATTGTGGTGCATGCCTGTAATCCCAGCTACTAGGGAGGCTGAGGCAGGAGAATCGCTTGAACTCAGGAGGCAGAGGTTGCAGTGAGCCAAGATCGTGCCATTGAACTCTAGCCTGGGCAACAAGAGTGAAATCCATCTCAAAACAAAAACAAAAACAAAAAACAAACAAACAAAAAAAAAACAGAGAATGTAATAGAAGTCTCTTTCCATTTAATAAAATACTTTATCTTTGTGGGAAACTTAAGACCATTAACTGATATAGTTTCTTTACCTAGAGATGGAATTACCTACAACAGTGATATCTTTTTATGAAATCAAGCTTCACCAAAAGAGAAAGATAACTATTTTAATGATAGTTTAAAATTGTATATATTCTATTTTAACCTATCATTAAAAAACCAGCCAAGTATCCTGCGGTTTAAGAAAAACAGAGCGTAAGAGGAGCACAGTTAAATATCTATGATGTGTCTAAAGAAATAGTATATGAAAAGTCGATTAAGATAGTAGGATTTTTAAGTGATATAGATATAAAAATATTCTCACTTATGATATAATGTTGTTAAACATCTATAAGATTTTTCCACTTTTATTATTTACTAATATGCTTTTGGTAATAACAGCTGTAAACTACATTTGGAAAATAAAATTTTCTCTCTATGCAAGTTGTGTATCCCATCAACATAGCCAACAATCTGTGGCATATGGGAAAATCACTGACTTGTGGTCTAAAAACCTGAATTCTAATTGTGTTCTGCTACTAACTTATCTTGTGATTTTGAGAAATTCAGTTCTGTCTCAAATATCTAGTTCTTTTTCAACATTTAGCTCTTAAGTGTATCAACTGAAAAACAAAACAAAGAAAACACAGAAGAATTCAGCTAGATGATGCCCAATGTCCCTTCCAGCATGATATGAAAATGCTTTCAGGAAAATGAAAGTTAACATCATCCCAGGAACCCAGTATTACTGCAAACTGCACCTGCTTTTGTAGTTGCTATCATGGAGGCTCCCATACTTTTACTTTAAGGTTGGCAAGCATGATCTTCCCCTTTGTACAGGAGGTCCCTCAGGCCCAGGGGTGAGCCTGAGCAATGACAGAAGAATATTAATTGATTCAAAATTGAACTAGACCAGGCAAGATTTCTTTTTTAATCCCTGAAAGAAATCAGAGAATTCTCTGATCTTTCAGAGATGAAATCAGGGCTGGAAAAGGAAAATCTCCATGATGTTTAAAGAGACCGATGGGGAAAAAAGTTAGAATCATGTCTCAACTGTGTCAAGATCAATCCCTTTAATAAATGCTTTAAGCATGTAACTGGGGCCTCTGCAGCAGGATCTGGGCACCCCACTGCCTGTGTGGCACCACCCATACGATGGGCTTGTCCACAGGGATTTGCCACCTCGGTTCCTCATGGCACCCAAGGGATTATGATGGAGTCATACCTGATATATGACCTAGTTTTAAATACAATCCTGTTATGACACATTGTTACATACGCTCCCTAACATGACATCTAGTTGTTTTCATCCTCTGAAAAGCTGTTTTCTTGTAATGAAAACAGATAACTTCAAAGCACATAATAGGTATACAATAAATAGTAGATCTTATTAAATTAAAGTTAAAATTAAAGTTCTTGCTGAGAAACATGTTGTAGAACTTGGAAATAAATTTTTATGGCTGGCATGTCATTGGCAATTGGCTTGGTAGCCTCCTTTTTCTCTAAAAGGGCAATACATTTAAACAGTTATAATAGCTTTCAAAAACCACTTCCTAAATCTCTTTTTCTAAGCTTTGTGAAATACCATCACAAATCTCAAAATTTAGGCAAATCTTTCCACCTAATATGGAGTGAAGCACAAAACATAAATGTATAAAATTCAGTTTTTATTTTAGATGTGAAACTTTTCTTATGATGCCACCATTAACTAAAAAAAAAGATTTCTATAAAATAAGTACTTCTCAATTAATTTTTTACTTATCTTTCAAAAGGTATCTTTTGAACAGTTTGAATGTGTCAGGAAAATGCATCTTTTACTTTTTGTGTGTGCCTAGTTACAGAATGGGAAATCATCAAATTCTCTTCTGTGGTCACTGTTCTACTGAAATAGAAACAGCACAATTTCAGAGGAAATTGCTCTTGGGAGTTTTCCAACCCAATACTGCAATCTTGAGATTTCTGGAATCTTTGAACAAGCTTAAGGTTAGAAATGCAAAAGTTCCAAACCAACCTAGAAAACACTAAAACTGTTGACTCATACACCCTCGCCTTGCTGGAACAGGGGTGTGTTGAACTCTTCCTGATGATGCGCCATCCCAGAAGACTGAGAACTAACAGGAAGGAAGAACAATTTTAAAGCAAACACTGCTTCTCCATTTTTAAAAATTGCTAGCTAAGTTTATGTGTCACCTTTATTTAAAAAAAAAAAATCTCTTTAAAATCTTCACACATCACTTTCCCCACAACAGGAAAAGTGCAGGAAAGCTCTGCAAAGCCTTATTTACTTTTCCTCTGACCCGCTCATGATTTCTAATGGCATTGTCATTTTTGTGAAGATTACATATTCTTTAAATGGGTAGATTTTATGGTATGTAAATTATAGCTGTTCAACAAAGCTGTTAAAATGATAAATGGGTTAAGAAAAATTCAAACGATACAGAAAAGTGCATTAACAAACCCTAAAAACCCAACTGTCCAGTAATTACCACGTGTAACATTTGTCACTGCCCCTCGGTCTGCTTCGCTCTCTATCTGTAATCACACACATTCAGAAACGTGTCTCCAACTTAATATAACATCTCTTTTCCCTCCTCCGTTTTGGTAAACAAAGTTCTAACATGGAGACAGAAGGAAAATCAAGTCCCAGTTAAAAGCATCAGCCTAGTCCAAAATGCTGGACAAAATAAAAAACATTCTAGTGTGGTGAGTCTGATGCTATAAATAAAAATAAAAATAAAAAACCCTAAAACCAGTGATCCTGGCTCAGGGAAGATTCTGGCAGCCTGTCTGTCCTCTTAGCAGAGCAACCCCTGAGCACTGAAGGAACCAGGGCATGTCCGTGGTCAGCGGTCGCGATGATGGCAAGCAGACAGCAGGACCAGGGGACAGCTCGTCACCCAGGAAATGTGCAGGCCAGAACTCCATGGTGAACCCTCCCACATATTTGCCCTAAAGACACAAACACTGGTTGAACGGAGTTGTGGCAAATAAGAAAGAGGAAAACCCAACCCAGAATACTGCGCTGTGTGTCAAATGGCATGCTCACTCATACGGTTCTTGTTAGGGGGAAATGCTGCTGAAACTGCAGAAATTTTTCCATCTGAAATTTTTTGCATGTATAGTTTTTTCCCCCTCACCGAAATGAAAATGTCACTGAAATGCCATCATTTTACTATAATCTGTCCTCAGAATGTTCCCAATGTGTGTGTGTCAATCACAGGAGTCCTGGATCATCCAGGACAGACAGGTGGACGCATTCTTGGTCTCTGCAGCTGGGCATGGGGCTGGCGAGGCAGGTATTGCGAGTTAACAGTGCCACCTTCAGGGCACAGACGGCATAACAGAGCATATCAGCAACAGAAACAGCTCTGTTTCAGAGTGAGAAATCTTCCCGTACCACTAAGTAGCTGATCTGTTTTTTTTTCTTTTTTTTTTAAATTTCATTTTGTGAGACAGCCTACGAGGTCAGTGCCAATGTTGATATTCAACATATGAAGCCAATAGTGTCTAAAGGTTATGTGACAGATGGTAGCTGAGGTTATACAGCCATCTAGAAGCGATGTGAGAAAAAATGTCCAGCAGTTAAGGAAAGTTTCCATTTGGGGTATAAAAGCTAAGGAGAGCTATTTTATCGTCTCTCCATCCAACCTCCTCCTGCCTCTGTATTTCTGTCACTAAATAATTGTTCTTCCTGTCACTGAAGCTCTGCATTCCCAGGCACACAACACATCCCTCTGATCGAATATGTTCTTTCCTAACATGTGATGTGATGTGAGGGGCATTTGGCATGGAGTGGGAATTTAAAGATGCTGTTGCTAATAATGACCAGGTCACCTCAGAGAGTGCCTGGACCACCATTACCTCTCTATCCTGATGACTTTCCATTTATTCTTCCAGGTCAGCCCTGCATCTCCTGCTGCCTACCAGACATCTCCACCTGGGTGTCCGGCAGGCACTTTCACATTGGCACAGCAATGCTTCCTCCGGCCAGCCCCCTCTGTGCTCCGCCCTGGGAATAACCATCATTCACCTGGTCAACCATGAGCCTCTCTTCACCCTCCTTCCCACTCAGCCATCTGCTTCTGTGGCTTCTACCTTCTTCATATACCTCTTTCCCTTCCCCACTGCAAGGGTCTTCAATTTGACTCATTTTTAAAAAGCTTTTATTTTCCTGCCTCTCAGTTTGGATGCATGCAGCCTATTTCTTGAAGAGTTGCCAGAATATCTTCCCAAAATGAAAGTCTGTCCTCCTGATCAGCCAGACACCTGAGCTTGCCATAGAAGACCCACAATGAGCTGGGACCTACCTACATGGGTTCTTGCCTTCACACACCCCCTTCCTACCTCCTGCGAGGATGTTGTTTCAGTTCCCTACCTGCCGTGTTTTCATGATTTAGCACGTTTGCTCCCTGCCACCTCATATTTCCATTTGCTTGATAGGCTCATTTTACCTGCCTTCTACCCTCAAATTCCAATCCACACCTGGTAAATATTCACTCCTCATTGTAGACCTCCACCAGAATGACAAGGAGAGCAAACAGGTTGTGGCATTTCATGGTTGCCAAACACTGTTCCAGCTGCTTTATATGAAGTATCCGATTTGTTCTACAACAACCCTGTGAGGTGAGTATTATTATCCACAGGAGATGTTATGGCCCAGGGCTCAGAACAGCTGTCTAAGTGGTATGACTTTTCTAAGTGTAAATACTTAAAGTGAGCTGCAGGCAGTAATGGTAGTGATTGCCAACACAGGTCTGGATCTCATAATCCTTATAACCTACATGTAGGAGAGAGAACCATCTGCAGGAGTGTGAAGGAAGGCTAGAGTTGCCATCATGAAATTGTGCAGAGGGTGCAACAGTGGGAATCCATGATGGAGAGACAGAGGTTACTTGTACTTAGCCTTGAAGAGAGAATCAGTCAGGGAAAATATGGAGAAAAGGAAGCTTGCTTGGAGGTTAGGAGTGTGGATCCGGGGCCCAGCTCCTGGGTTCCAGTCCTGGCTCCAACACTTACTGGCTGTTTGTGCTTGGCCAAGGAGTTTAACCTCAATGTGCCCCAGTTTCCTCATCTGTCTAATCTAGTAGTTTGTGTGTAAGATAATTTGGAAAAAGAAGAAACCAAAGGTATCAGAATTAATCAGAGGGCCATTGCAATATTACAACCAGGAGAGGATTCAAATATTAATAAAAATGGTCACTTGACTCATCCTTAAGTTATTTATACAATTACCATGAGACTGAAAACAACAGACCCCGCTTCTCCTGGCAGCTGAGAAGGTGACTCAGGGATGCAGAAAATCAAGAAACAAGTTCTACCAGCTAGTGTCATAAAGATGCAAATAATTTCACTTAAGGATATAACAAAAACTGAAGACAAAAAGTGTGTTCACCATAGTGCTATTTGCAAAATTTAAAAATGCGCAGATGCCCAATATATGTTTAAAATGTTTAAATGTTTAAAATGTTTTATATGAATTATAAATGTTTAAAATGAATTATAGCACATTCATATAGTTAATAAAATATACAGCCATTAAATTGTGTTACATGTTTAATGTTGTTATAGACAGCCCCTCAAAGATGTAAATGCCTTAATCTCCAAACCTGATTGTGTTACATTCCATGACAAAAGGGACTTTGCAGACGTGATTAAGATTAAGAGCTTTGAAATGAGAGATTATCTTGGATTATCTGGGTAGGTCCAATCTAATCACACCAGTTCTTAAAAGTGGAAAAGGGGGCAGAAGAGCCCATCAGGGAGATGTGGCAGAGGAAAAGGGCAGAGACTCAGATCATGGGAGGGACTCACTTTACTCTTGCTGGTTTTGAAGCTGGAAATGGGACTGCAGGCCCACGACTGCCAGCAACCTCTAGAAATTGGGTTTTTACAGCTTCCACAACCGCAAGAAACTGAATTCTGCCCACAACGCAAGTGAGTAGGAAGCGAATTATCCCCTAAAGCATCCAGAAAGGAGCACACCCATGCTGACACTTAGATTTAGCCAGGCAAGACCCACATGGAAATTCTGACCCATGGAAATGTAAAACAACTAATTTGTATTGTTTAAGATGCTATGGTTGTGGTGATTTGTTATGGGAACGAATATAGTTACAAATCTGTATATTGTTATACAGTTATAAACATTATGGACGATGTCAGGTTTTTTAAAAAGCCCAGCATCAGCACTACATAGATACTTTAACGTCAATCACATCCCAGTTGTATATACACAAGCAAGATGAAAAAGAAGTACACAAAAATATTTGTCAGAGTTTGGGGATTATGGGCATTTTCATTTCCTCTGGATATGTTACCCATCGTCACTCCCTCTTATCCCTTCTCCCACTCACTGTCTTTCTGGATGCTAATCCAACTGGGCTTCTGCCTCCATGTTTGCACCTGGAGCAATAGTAATGGGTAACTAGTTTGCAAAGTCAAATGCTGCTTCCACCATCATCTTACTTGACTTATCAACAGCATTGCCCACAGGTTATTACTCCTGAAGACCTAAAAGTATTGCTTGTTGGGCTCTGGGAAGCCTCCCCTAGGACCTTGTAATTTCATTTGCCTTTTCTAAGTCTCTTTTGCTGTTTCATTCTTACCTCTCGATCTCCAGATGTCTGGGTGAATTGGGATTCAAACATTAAATCTCTTTCTTCCACTGGGTACACTCTCCCTAACCCATCTCATCCATCCTTTGAATTTAAATTGTATCCACACAATGATGACTCCCAAATATTGATCTCCCAAGAAGACTTCTACTGTGAACTCCAGATGCACACAGCCAGCTACCTGCCCCTAAACATCTGATAGCCACCTGCAGCCTAACCTGTCCAACCTGAGTTCCCAGTCTCTCCCCACAACCACACCCCTTCCATTCTTCCACATCTTGGTACACGAAAACTCTTCTTCTAGGCCAGGCACTATGGATGTTTGTGAGGGGCTGTCCCATGCTTGGTAAGAAGTGTAGCAGCATCCCTGGCCTCTACTTACAAGATGCCTATAGCAATCCCCCTTCCCCAGCTGTACAACCAAAAATGCATCAGCATTGTTAAATGATCCCTAGGGAGGCAACTTCCTCAACTCTCCTGTGAGGAAGCACTCATCTAGGCCAAGAGCTTTGGAGTTCTTGTGGATATAGGTTGAAGATAAAGCAGATAGACTATCAGATGATCAAGGGGAGATGTGGGGTTGGCAGCTGGGTGTGTGCATCTGGAGTTCATGGCAGAGGTCTAGTTGGGAGACCAATATTTGAGAGTCATCATTGTATGGATACAATTTAAATTCAAAAGATGGATGAGATGGATTAGGGAGAGTATACCTAGCGGCAAAAAGGGATCTAGCGAGTGATTTCTAAGTTCTTCTCTTCTCCTTTTTGCTCACCTTATAAATCCATTTGTTCATGACATCTGTCTTCCTTACCTTCAACCTAAATCCACAGTAGAAACAGTTCTCCGCTGCTCCTCCAGGTCCCTGGCCTCTAGTCTTCCTCCTTCTCTCTTCTAAATAGATCAAAGCAGCCAGAATGATCCTTTCAAACATAAATCAGATCTGTCATTGCTCAGCTGGAAATCCCCAGTATATTTCTCCTGCTCAAAGTAGAGCCAACGTTGCTGCCATGACCACCCGGACTGCCCACTGCTGCTCAGGTGTCTCTGCGGCTCTCCACTCACCCCAGTACAGCACATCTGCCCAACCAGCTCCCTGCTTTTCCTTAAACACACAGTGCCTAGTTAGCTCCGACCTGTGGCCTCTGCGCTCACACTCTGCGTGTAGTGCTCTGTTCCTGAGGCTCCTTCGCTCCCTCCAGGCCTCAGTCCTGCTGTGAGGGCTTCCCTACACCCTATTTAACACCACATCCCACCCTTGCACCATTTCCCAGTAGCTACAACTCTCTTTCTGCTGCTGCACATATTAATGTGTTCCTTTATTTCTCTCTCCTTCCTAAAAAGGAAGAACCCTGAGGCCAGTACTTTGTTTTTTATTCACTGATTGATTTCCAGTGCCTAGAAAGAAAATGCCTAGCACAAAATAGATGCTCAGTAAATATTTTGAATGTGCACAAGAATAAATGAGTGAGTAAATGAATGAATTGTAAACACAAGAAAGTCCAAATACGGAAAGTTACTGTCTGTGACTTTTAAACTTTAAAGCAGTCTGTGAGCCTCTCATCTGACACTAACAGGAAGAGGGCAGCTAAAACTTCCAGGTCTACAGGCAGAAAAATCTCCCCAACAAATGCCCCCAAAAGTGTGTCAGCTAAAGCTGTCTAGAGCTACCAAATTGCTTAACCAAGGAATTGATTCCAGTGGAAGGAGTTATAATTTTGCCCATCAGGATGTGCCATGCATTGTAGACCAGTGATGACTGTGTCCTTCAAAATCTCCATGTTCTCTAACGAGTCTTTGCTTGCTTGCTTGGCTCTTATTAAACCTGTTCTATTCCTCCCTCCGCCCCACTGCCCACAGCATATACTGAAGCCGGGGAGTGGATAACCTGTCCGCCAGCCATCAGCCCCTGAGGGCCACATCTGGAGCAGCTGTGGAGAATGGCATGGTGCAGAGATCTCAGGCCCTCAGCTGCTGGCCTGAATGAGATGGGCTCAGGCCGGTCCCCAGGGAGAAGGTAGGTGCATTCTATAGCAAGTAAGGCATGAACACAGAGCTCTGTTGGGTCAGCAGAGAGATGGAGCATGAGACACTGTGAGATGGGCTTTTTGCTGCTGTGTTGTATGTAAACCCTAACTTATACAGATCTATGGGCAAGAAGGAGCTTAAGTCAAGTGAAGAAGATAGGGATGAGATGTGAGGAATGGTGGAGAGAATCTGAAAAGTCTTGGAGGTGATAGAAGAGGGAAGGCATTCAAAGAAAGGATGTGGATTGTCATCACACACCACAGTAGACAACACACAAGTTCAAGTATAGAAACAGGATTTGGCCATTGCCAAACTCCAATCATAAAGTAATGGTGAAGTGCTCCCCCCACCGTCATCATCCACATTCAGTTGCAGACATCCCAAGAAGCAAGAACACTCCCCAAACACGGTTTAATGTATACCTTCTCTTGACTAAATTTTGCTACAACAGCTTGCAAATCGTTGTGATGGCTTCTTGTGTAGATCAAGATTATAAATTGAGGTTGCGGGTCTGGTCTGTCTACGGTGCAGAATGCAGGTAAGTATGACTAATGCAAGGCATGCTTCTCTTAAGCTGGCTTAGTAATAGCCTTCGCATTAGAGGCACTGACACTAGAAACAACTTTTATACTTACCACTTGAGAATCAGTGGCCAGAATTAAGAAAAAAAAGAGATTGCTAAAACAGCAAAGCCTGTTATTTTTCACAGTATTATATAGTGATATTCTCATGAAGACCCAGAACTCAAAAGCAAAAGACTTCAGTTTGCATTTGGCAGTACCGTTCACCAACTGTGCAACAATGTGTGAGTGGGTGAAACTCTCTGAGACTCTGCTGCTTCTACAACCTTTCTGACAGCAATGGTTACCTCACAGTTACTACAGCATTAATGCCACAATGTGTACAAAAACACTGCTAACAAGGATGCCTGACACCAGTGTGTGATGTTATTACTATTATTGCTATTTCAGTAGAACTGAGAGTAGCATCTCTGAGTTTGTTTGTTTGTTTGTTTGTTTGCTTTTTGGTTTTTAACTTCTCCTTTGGTAAGTCATTGGTGCAGGTTCAATTGAAAAGATGTAAGCAGAATGTAAAGGCTTCAGACAGCTTGCTAATTCAAAGTGTGGTCTCTTTGACAAAGTCTCCCCAACGAGATATTAGCCATAGTCTTCTGGTGCTGTCTCTTCTATTTTCTCCTTTCACTACCCTGGAACATGGATGCAGAGCAGCCTTCACTAAAGATATTAAAACAAATGATAGAATAAGCTTTGTTCTCAGATGTAATCATTGAGGTACCATACTAACTCCCAAATGCCTATACCCAAACATCTTGTTGAATTAAATAAATGAACCGCTTTTTTGATTAAGCCACAACTCTGGCTTAATGTGAAATTGAATGCAATTCTAATTGAATCAAGTAGGAAAAAAAGGAAAAGAAAAAAAAGTGTGGCCTCCTGACAGCCACAGCAGCAACTCCAGAAGCTGATTCAAGAAGCAGAAACATGGCCCCATACTACAACTTCTGAATCAGAATCTTCTTTTAAAAAATATCACCAAGTATTCATATGCTGTTTATTTATTTATATTTATTTACTTTTTTATTTTTTGAGGCAGAGTCTTGCCCTGTCACCCAGGCTGGAGCACAGTGGCGCAATCTCAGCTCACTGCAACCTCTGCCTCCTGGGTTCAAGTGATTCTCCTGCCTTAGCCTCCAGAGTAGCTAGGATCACAGGCATGCACCACCACGCCTGGCTAATTTTTGTATTTTTAGTAGACACAGGGTTTCACCATGTTGGCCAGGCTGGTCTTGAACTCCTGACCTCAGGTGATCCACCTGCTTCGGCCTCCCAAAATGTTGGGATTACAGTCATGAGCCACTGTGCCCAGCCTCATACACTGTTTAAAGTTTGAGAAGACCTCTCCCTCCCCCTCCCCCTCCCCCTCCCTCTCCCTCTCCCTCCACGGTCTCCCTCTGATGCCGAGCCAAAGCTGGACGGTACTGCTGCCATCTCGGCTCACTGCAACCTCCCTGCCTGATTCTCCTGCCTCAGCCTGCCGAGTGCCTGCGGACGCCGCCACGCCTGACTGGTTTTCGTTTTTTTTTTGGTGGAGACGGGGTTTTGCTGTGTTGGCCGGGCTGGTCTCCAGCTCCTAACCGCGAGTGATCCGCCAGCCTCGGCCTCCCGAGGTGCCGGGATTGCAGACGGAGTCTCGTTCACTCAGTGCTCAATGGTGCCCAGGCTGGAGTGCAGTGGCGTGATCTCGGCTCGCTACAACCTCCACCTCCCAGCCGCCTGCCTTGGCCCCCTAAAGTGCCAAGATTGCAGCCTCTGCCCAGCCGCCACCCCGTCTGGGAAGTGAGGAGCGTCTCTGCCTGGCCCCCCATCGTCTGGGATACGAGGAGCCTCTCTGCCTGGCTGCCCAGTCTGGAAAGTGAGGAGCGTCTCTGCCCGGCCGCCATCCCATCTAGGAAGCGAGGAGCGCCTCTTCCCCGCCGCCATCCCATCTAGGAAGTGAGGCGTGTCTCTGCCCGGCCGCCCATGTCTGAGATGTGGGGAGCACCTCTGCCCCGCCGCCCTGTCTGGGATGTGAGGAGCGCCTCTGCTGGGCCACAACCCTGTCTGGGAGGTGAGGAGCGTCTCTGCCCGGCCGCCCCGTCTGAGAAGTAAGGAAACCCTCCGCCTGGCAACCGCCCCGTCTGAGAAGTGAGGAGCCCCTCCGTCCGGCAGCCACCCCGTCTGGGAAGTGAGGAGCGTCTACGCCCGGCAGCCACCCCGTCCGGGAGGGAGGTGGGGGGGGGTCAGCCCCCGCCAGGCCAGCCGCCCAGTCCGGGAGGTGAGGGGCGCCTCTGCCCGGCCGCCCCTACTGGGAAGTGAGGAGCCCCTCTGCCCGGCCAGCCGCCCCGTCCGGGAGGGAGGTGGGGGGGTCAGCCCCCCGCCCGGCCAGCCGCCCAGTCCGGGAGGAGGTGGGGGGATCAGCCCCCACCGGCCAGCCGCCCCGTCCAGGAGGGAGGTGGGGGGGTCAGCCCGCCCGGCCAGCCGCCCCGTCCAGGAGGGAGGTGGGGGGATCAGCCCCCACTGGCCAGCCGCCCCGTCCGGGAGGTGAGGGGCGCCTCTGCCCGGCCGCCCCTACTGGGAAGTGAGGACCCCTCTGCCCGGCCAGCCGCCCCGTCCGGGAGGGAGGTGGGGGGGTCAGCCCCCCGCCCGGCCAGCCGCCCCGTCCGGGAGGGAGGTGGGGGGGTCAGCCCCCCGCCCGGCCAGCCGCCCCGTCCGGGAGGGAGGTGGGGGGATCAGCCCCCCGCCTGGCCAGCCGCCCCGTCCGGGAGGTGAGGGGCGCCTCTGCCCGGCCGCCCCTAGGAAGTGAGGACCCCTCTGCCCGGCCAGCCGCCCCGTCCGGGAGGGAGGTGGGGGGGTCAGCCCCCCGCCCGGCCAGCCGCCCTATCCAGGAGGTGAGGGGCACCTCTGCCCGGCCGCCCCTACTGGGAAGTGAGGAGCCCCTCTGCCTGGCCAGCCGCCCCGTCCGGGAGGGTGGTGGGGGGGTCAGCCCCCCGCCCGGCCAGCCGCCCCATCCGGGAGGTGAGGGGCGCTTCTGCCCGGCCGCCCCTACTGGGAAGTGAGGAGCCTCTCTGCCCGGCCAGGACCCCGTCTGGGAGGTGTGCCCAGCGGCTCATTGGGGATGGGCCATGATGACAATGGCGGTTTTGTGGAATAGAAAGGCGGGAAGGGTGGGGAAAAAATTGAGAAATCGGATGGTTGCCGGGTCTGTGTGGATAGAAGTAGACATGGGAGACTTTTCATTTTGTTCTGTACTAAGAAAAATTCTTCTGCCTTGGGATCCTGTTGATCTGTGACCTTATCCCCAACCCTGTGCTCTCTGAAACATGTGCTGTGTCCACTCAGGGTTAAATGGATTAAGGGCGGTGCAAGATGTGCTTTGTTAAACAGATGCTTGAAGGCAGCATGCTCGTTAAGAGTCATCACCACTCCCTAATCTTAAGTACCCAGGGACACAAACACTGCGGAAGGCCGCAGGGTCCTCTGCCTAGGAAAACCAGAGACCTTTGTTCACTTGTTTATCTGCTGACCTTCCCTCCACTATTGTCCTATGACCCTGCCAAATCCCCCTCTGCGAGAAACACCCAAGAATGATCAATAAAAAAATAAATAAATAAATAAATAAAAATAAAGTTTGAGAAGAACTGGTATGGACTTCTCTTTTCTTCTTTCTTTTTCTCCTTTCTCCCATCTTTCCTCTCTTATTTTCCTTAAAAAGAAAAGAATATTCCTTAGTCCTTATAGAATCTCACAAGACAGGTATAGTGGAGATTTGCTCTTGCCCCCCTCCCTGCATTCGCTCTCTTTTACTGTGACTACAGTTCTTACCACGTTTCCAGCTTCTGTGATCTGTGTAAAGCTGACCCCAGCCCTGGACTTGGGGGATGGAACAAGTGATTAAGTTCAGTGCAACCAGAGCATGTGGACCCCTGGCCATGGTGATCGGGCCAGCAACAGGCACCTGACCATCCCAGTCAGTCCACTCAGGGCTACACCCTCTCGGGACCTGAAATTTTCCTGGATATTTGAGTACCAAGTTCTATCTTAATGAACAAGAATGGGGATAAAACGAGGAGGCTAGAGCCGAAGCAACCTTTTTATACAGTTATAGAGCTTGAGAATAAAGCTGACACCAAGGACACAGGAACTGGAAATGGAGAGAAAAAAACCTTGTACTAAGTCTGCATCTAGACTATGAGGCCTTGTTTTTTTCTTAAGCAAGTTGAGGTTGAGTTCTCTATCACTTACAGTGTAATGTATGCTTAATTATATACACAAAGGGAAGAAAAAGAACAGTAGCTAAACGGGAATGTTGGCTCAAGAATGGGCTTTCTTGGTAAGAAAAACTTGAGCCTAGGCTGAAATGAAAAAGGTAATGAAGGCGTGGAGGGGAAAAGCAAAAGAGAATGGGGAGGGCCCAGAGAGTGAGCATGACACCATCCAGGGAACAGGCACGACAGTGCCCAGGACAGGGTGGCACCGAGTTTTTTCAATATCCCAAGTCTTTCAGTTTTTTTTTTTTTTAAATGCATTTATTCTTTAAGCTTTTGGATTCTTCTTTCTTCGTAATATATCACAAATTTCATTCAATTTTCAAAGGTTTATGCTTGGCAAACATGAATATTTGCTGCAACACTAAATGGAACTGAAGAGGTCTGGTCCCCAACAGTTTTCACACAATTACATAAAAAATGAATGTCTGAGAAAGTGATTTTTGCAACAAACGTGCTCTGAGGTGCAGAAAAGTAAGTTAAGAAGATGACATTTTCACGACTTCTATTTCTTAGGTACCTGAACTCAATGTTTATAAAAATCCATTTAAAGCCCAAACCTAACGTGCTTATTGGCTGGTGCCTGGCACAGCTTTTATGCCAGATAAAGGCAGACTTTAGATAATGGGGCTTATAAAATACTGGTGATGATTGTTAGGCAAGGTTTGTAGACAGAAAAGCAAACATAAATCCCAGATAAGACTCGGATAGTATCTCTAGGACATGTAATACCTTTAAGGTAGAGATAATGATTCCTAACCCTGACCACACATTAGAGTCTCTTGGGGAACTTTGAAAAAAACCACTGATGCCAGCACCCTCCTCCTGAGATTCTGATTCACCGTGAATGTGGGCAGGCAGTGCCCAGGTGATTCTAACATGCTGCAGGCTGGACACCCTCTGGCTGGGGACACTACTGAGCACCATGATAAGACAAAAGTTTTCACTAATCTCCACCTATCCTCTTAAAACATGACTTAGAAAAGGAAACTTAATCAGAAACTCAGACATATAAATTGGCAGCAATTGCTTACATAGTCACTTCAAAACATATTCAGACCTATAAATTTTATTCTCCCCTCTAGCCATTTTAAAAACTGCACTGCTTGAAGCTGGACATGAGTCCCCTAACTCCCTGTGATCCCAGTCAGTCACAAGTACCTGTGAGCAAGCAAAGAGCAACAGGGGGGAAGAGGGACGTTCAGTTCCACCCCCTCCACTGACCTATTTCTCAGTGTGAGTGTCTGGGCCTTTTCCTTGGAAACCTTGAAGAGCCCCCAAAGGATATCAGAGAACTTCTCTGTTTTTAACATGTGCTTCCTATTGAAGAACAAACTTGGGCATTTTCAAAGTAAGTTATGCTCTTTACATCATACGGGTTTTATCTAGAATTGCACAGAAGAGGGAAAGGTCTTCAAACCCTATTTTTTTCATGCGGTGCCCAAAAAAGAGGTTTTACCAGTGTTAGACTCATGAGAAGGAATATCAATGAGGAATCAGAATGGAATAGATCGGAAAAGCCACACCACTTCCAGCTAGCATGACATGCAGCCAATCCTGCCCCAGAAAAGGATGCTCTCACAACTTAACAATAGAGAATATTGTATTACTATTTTCTCATCAAATGTATCTCAAACTTGTTACAAAGAATTGCATAATGCAGAATAGAGCTATTCCTAGAGAGGTACTTACAAATAGACGTTTACTGATGTGCAGGGAATACGGTGAAATTGCAATGCCCAAAACTGCTCTCCAGCCCTCGTATCCCTGAGGTTCTGTGAAAGAGACACCAGTGATTCTACCCAAGATACACAGGATGCTGTTTCCAGCCAAACATGCACTTTGATTTTTCCAAACAATTTAGATAACTAAAATTTTTGCTCTGGTATAATTCTACCAGAAAATAACACGTTTCATTTGTCTGTACATTTATAGTGTGTTTGGTGATAGAAATTCCAACAAACTGATCCATAGATTCAATATAGTTTCAATCAGAATTCAGAGGGCTTTTTTTTTTCAGACTGAGGGGATGATTAGAAATAGACAATCTAATTCTAAAATACATCTGAGAATGTGAACAATTTTTAAAAATAAATCGGCCGGGTGCAGTGGCTCACGCCTGTAATCCCAGCACTTTGGGAGGCTGAGGCGGGTGGATCACCTGAGGTCAAGAGTTTGAGACCAGGCTGGCCAACATGATGAAACCTCGTCTCTACTAAAAATACAAAAAATTAGGCGAGTCTGGTGGTGGGCGTCTGTAATCCCAGCTACTCAGGAGGCTGAGGCAGGAGAATCACTTGAATCTGGGAAGCGGAGGTTGCATGAGCCGAGATCGTGCCAGTACACTACAGTCTGGGCAACAAGAGCGAAACTCTATCTCAAATAAATAAATAAATTAATTAATTAATCAAAGTTGGAGACACTTTACTGTCTGATTTTAAGACTTGCTATAAACCACTAAACAAAAATAAGGGGAAAATCATGCAATTATGTGGTGAATAATAATAATGTATTTGTCTTTGCTTTTTGTTTTATGTTTTTTGTTTCTTCCTTCCCAATCTGAATTCCTTCCATTTATTTTCCTTTCCTTATTAGAATCATTAGAATCTCCAATAAAATACTGAGTTGAAATCGTGTAAGCAGACATCTTTTCCTTGTTCTTCACCTTAAGAGTTATTCAGTCTTTCACCACTGAGTATGAAATTCACCAAGGGTCTTTCCTAGATGTCTTTTACCAGGTTAAGGAAGTTCTCATTTGTTCTTAATTTGATAGAGGTTTTCTGTCATGAATGGACATTAAATTTTTCCATATGCTTTTTCTGCATATATTGAGATGTTTTTATTATTTTTATTTTTTAATCTGTTAATATAATAAATTACATTTTTGTTTTTCGAATGATAAACTAACTTGCATTCCTAAAATTAAACTTACTTATGCATGATATATTTTTATCTTTTTCTTATATTGCTGAACTCAATTTTCTAATATTTGGTTAAGGGATTTTGCTTTATTTTAATGAGAAATATAGTTATGTTGAAGGTTTTTCTTATGTCTGTGATTTTGGTGTCATAAAATAATTCTAACTCATAAAATGAGTTGAGAATTATCCCACTGTAAGAATTTGTACAGAATTGAATTTGTTTGTTTCTTAAATATTTGTTAGAATTTAACAGTGAAGACATTTGGGTGTAGAGTTTTGTTTTGTTTTGTTTTTTTAATTGGAAAAGCTTTAACTTCAAATATGATTTCTTTAAAAGATTTAGTTATGCAGTTTATCCTCTCTTCTTGAGTTAACTTTATAAGTTGTATTTTTCACAAATATTTTCATTTCATTAAGTTGTCAAATTTACTAATATAAAACTCTTCAGGATGCTTCCTCTTTATCCATTTAATATGCATATTATCTGTAATGAGATGCCTCCCTTCTTGATATTATGTATCTTCTTCCTTTTTTATGGTAGTTCAGCTTGAGGTCTATCAATATTATTACTCTTCTCAGCTATAATTTGTTCTATTGACTTCTCTCTATTGTTGTTCAGTTATCTACTACCTTTTTTTTTTTTTAGACAGAGTCTCACTCTGTCAATCAGGCTGGAGTGCAGTGGCTCAATCTCAACCTCCGCCTCTCAGGTCTTCTGAGTACTGGGACTACAGGTGCACACCACCATGACATCTAAATTTTGTATTTTTAGTAGAGATGGGATTTCTCCATGTTGGCCAGGCTGGTCTCGAACTCCTGGCCTCAAGTGATCCATACACCTCAGCCTCCCAAAGTGCTGGGGTTACTGGTGTGAGCCACTGAGTCTGGACCAGTTATCTCTCTGGTTTCTCTCTCTATGGTTTAACTCTTATCTCTATTGTTTCCTTTCTTTTGCTTACTTTGAATACAATTCTCCATTTTTTGTCCTGATTCTTAAGGTAGAAGATTGCATCACTGATTTAGGTCTTTATTAATTCCAAATATCACCATTTAATTTTATAAGTTTCTATCTAACTTCTACTTTCGCTTTAGATATATCCCCAAAATTTCTGAATATTGAGTTTTCGTTCTTATTCTGTTTGAGATATTTAACTTTCCTTATAATGTCTTCTTTGACACATTGATTACTTAATAGGTCTAAATATTTGAGAATTTTTATGACATCTACTATTGTGTTCTAGTTTAATCCTGTTTTGATAGGAAAATATATTTTATATGACTTAAATCCTTTAAAATTTATTGAGCTTTATTATGTAATCCACAATATAATCTATCTCGGGGAATGATACTTATGTGGTTGAAAAAGTTGTGTATTCTTCTGGCTTTGGGTGTAGTGCTCTATTAATATCAGTTAGGTCAAGTTGGTTGATTTTGTTATTCAGGTCTTCTTTATACTTACTTTCTGTTTACTTGTTCTATCAGTTACTAAAAGAGGAGCGTGGAATTTGTTTATTTCTTTTTTCAGTTGTATCACATTTTGGCACCTTGTATTTTGTAACTCTTGTATGATGTGCTTGCCTGGTAATTTTTGACTGGATGATGGAAACTGTGATTTTTAGTTTCTTGGGTGCAGATGTTGTTATTTTTTTTTTCAAGAATATTGGACTTTCAGCTGGTTGCAGTGGCTTATGCCTATAATCCCAGCACTTTGGGGGACCAAGGCATGTGGATCACAAGGTCAATAGATCGAGACCAGCCTGACCAACATGGTGAAATCTCGTCTCTACTAAAAATACAAAAATTAGCTGGGCGTGGTGGCATGTGCCTATAGTCCCAGCTACTCAGGAGGCTGAGGCAGGAGAATCACTTGAACCCGGGAGGCAGAGGTTGCAGTGAGCCAAGATGGCACCGCTGCACTCCGGCCTGGCGACAGAGTGAGACTCCATAAAAAAAAAAAAAAAAAGAATATTGGACTTTCTGCCACACAGTTACATTTCTTGGGATCGGTTTGATCCTTTCAGGTTTACTTTTGTGCTTTATAAAGCAAGCCCAGAATGATCTTCATAATAGGGCTCATATAGCCTTTCCACTAAGGTGACACCTTTCTGAGGGCTCCATCCAATGCTATGCAGCAAGGTCTTTCCACACTAGCTGGTAGTAACACAAAGTATTCCCCACCCTGAGTGATTTCTGGGAAGTTTTTGGCCCAGGAATTTTTACTGGTTCTTTTCTAGCCACAAGTAGTTTCCTCCGACACGTGCAGATCATTGTCCGGCCAAAGATTTTAGGGGAAGCCTCTGCAGGTCTCTAGGGCTCTCTGTGTAGCTCCCTGCTCACTGGTCTCCTACACCACTAATTTTCACACTAGGCTTCCTGAGCCCCAGTCTCTGTATCCTCAACTTAGCAAGCCTGCTGGTCTCTGGTTGGGAACCCTTCTCTGTACTTCAGCATGGAAACCACCTCTGGAAAACACCAGAGAAAACTCACAGAGATCACCCCGTGTGTCCCTTCCCTCATGGACCACAGCCCCTTGCAGCCTGCTCTCCAGTTCTCCAACACTGCCGTTTCATGTTTTCTCATTTTCTACGAGTTTTTTTAAGCAGAATATTAATCTGGTCTCTCCTATTCCATCATGGTTAAAAGCAGAAACTTGTCTCTGTTTTATAATTCAGTGAAAACTCTCCCAGATATTATATATCAAAGGTGCTTTTTGTACTAATAAGTTGCTAGTCATCATGATGGAAAAAAATTACAGTAAATAAAGTCTTTTGTAAAGAACACTTACCACCACAATAGTCTACGTTTTATTCTGAATTTCAGGCTTTAATTTATTTTGAGAAAGGGGGAAAAAAAGGAGTATCCTCAACATTTAAAAACTGGTTTCACACTCAAGGGCAGTCCATGATATTCTCCTATTAAATATTATCTAACAGAACACAACCTCAGACAAGGTTACCCTGAGACCATGATAAAATGGGCCAAAGCAATCCTACTTTATAATTTTGTCTCAGCATAGACAAAAGCAAGTTTATTGAATATTATGGACTGAATGTTTATGTTCCATACAATTCATATGTTGAAATCTTAACCCCAAATATAATAGTATTTGGAGATAGGGCCTTTGAGAGGTAATAGAATTAGATTAGATCACGAGGGTAGGGTCCTTGTGATGGAATTAATGCCCTTATAAAAAAAAAAAAAAAGAGAGAGAGAGAAGTCGACCAGGTGCTGTGGCTCATTTCTGTAATCTCAGCAATTTTGGAGGCCGAAGCAGATGAATCACATGAGGTCAGCAGTTTGAGACCAGCCGGACCAATATGGTGAAACTCTGTCTCTACTAAAAAATACAAAAGTTAGGCTGGGATGGTGGGAGGCGCCTGTAATCCCAGCTACTCAGGAGGCTGAGGCAGGAGAATCACTTGAACCCAGAAGGCAGAGGTTGCAGTAAGCCAAGATTGCACCATTGCACTCCAGCCCAGGTGACAAAGCGAGACTCCATCTCAAAAAAAAAAAAGAAAGAAAGAAAATGAGACACTCTTTTACAATAAACTAGACAGATCAACAAAGGCCAAAAGAATTAAGTTAGTGATACGTTATATCACTGGCTAAAGTTAATTATGTATTTTAAAATACACCATTTAAAGTTAGCTCTGTCAGAAAGTAATTGCTGAAATAATAATAACAAAATAATTAATATGGTAACAAAGAAAATAGGTATTATTATTTCAGAATCTGCTCTTACCAAATGTTTCATACATTACCTCTAGATTTCAGAGCCAGCCTGTCAAATCACTGTAATTATTCTCATTTTATAAACAATACCAAGAAACTCTAAGATTTAGAATTTTAAAGTGGAATTCTCAAGATCAAAGAGCTAAGTGCCAAACTTTCACTCAGTTCAAACTCAGGTCTGTTTGATTTCCAAGACTTTATGCCCGGTGATACTACTCTGCCTCTTTCCATAAATTTAGTAGATGATGAGATAAAAAGTTTATATTTAATACATGATGCAATATGTAGCAGTTTTATACAGGTGTAGAAGCTTCCTGTTGTCTAAAAAAGGTACTCTAGTAAAATATCCCACTTAGAAATAAGTAAACAGGTAAAGAAAAGAAGAGGTAATAAATATAAGGCTATATACTGAAGAGGAAATGTAAGTTAAAAAACAATGACTATGGGCGGATCACAAGGTCAGGAGATTGAGACAATCCTGGCTAACATGGTGAAACCCCTTCTCTACTAAAAATACAAAAAATTTGCCGGGCATGGTGGTGTGCACCTGTAATCCCAGATACTTGGGAGGCTGAGGGAGAAGAATCACTTGAATCTGGGAGGTGGAGGTCACAGTGAGTCGAGATCACGCCATTGCACTCCAGCCTGGTGACAGAGCGAGACTCCATATCAAAAAAAAAAAAAAAAAAAAAGAAAGAAAGAAATAATGACCAGTCAAAGTGGATTATAACACTTCTAGTTCAAGGGTCATATGAGGAACATGGCTAGAAGATACAATTTTTACAAAAGAGATATTTGCTGCCCACTAAGGAGGCAAGAAAAAAGAAAAATTTATTGGCAAGGATAATCAATAAAAATATGAAAATATGTCAGCTCTATCAGTGAAATAAAGGCAGAAATTGTAGATGAGGAATAACTGAAAGCAGGATGATTGATTAACATCAGCATTATTAAACAGTGCTTTCTAAGAACATACCAATTACTCTTGTTCTGAAAAGTGGAGTGATTAAAGAGTCCTCTGTGCCATTTGTAGAGCAGAAACATCCAGCTAACAGGATGTGTATGTAAAAGGAGAAAATAATACCTAATCAAAAGGTCTTTACCTTTGGTAAAAGTTCATTATATCCTCTCAAGTCTGATCATTTTAAAGTATGATATGCTTTATGCAACTGAGCATGAACTTTTCTGAACAAAATCTGGGGTGGAGGGTGAACATGAAGTGCAGGTATGAACACAGAAGCTCCAGCAGATGGTGCAGGTAGGTGGGGAGGGGTGAGGCCTGATAATAAATTATCATCCATTTTCTTTCATAAAAATTCGATGATTATAATTCTTACAAGATGATTACTCCTCCCTATGCTATCTTCTGCACTGACACAATCAATATAACATCAGGTTATTCTTCGGAACTATCTAGCCCTCACTGATGCTTAAAGTAACATTTTTGTTTATTCTATGACATTGTTGTGTTTACCAAATTTCTCCTGATGTAGCCAACACATAGAAAATAACCTAATGCAACATAAAGAGAACATTTATACTTGAAGCAAATGTAGTTTGGCAAATTTTCAATCAGCAAACAATCAAGAAAAGAATAAGGCTAACAAATCCTTCTTCAATATCCCTTCCTCACCCCCCACAACCTACTTTTTAGGGTCAAAGGCTATGTCATGAAGCCAACAGGAAAATCAAAAAGTGTATTTTTATACTCATTGTGAATATTTATATCTGTAGCAGGATTGGCATTTCTATACTGTGCTACTGTCAAGACCTCTGAAAAGATCTATTATTTATCTCTGCCTTCCTCAAAAATAAATTTAATTTAAAATGGATGATGTACAATAAGAAACATTAAAATAAAGGCAGTATAAAAACAAACATCTCCGGCACCTTAAGATCTATCATTGTTTTGCCAAGATATACTGAAATAAAATTGAATTTCAGAGTTTATGATTAAAATTATGATAAATTTTAAGGATTATAGATTACATGTTTGGAAACCAAAAATTCTCTCTGAATAGTGATTCACAACAGCATGGAATCAGTTTTAAAATAGAAAGAAAAAATGTCTGTTTTCTTGGCTTTAAATACTAAGATTACTCAATATTAGTAAGACTAGTAATTATTATCAGAATATAAAACACTTACTGCTGAGAATTATGTGCATTTTAAATAGGAATTAGAACTTTTTCATATGCTAATTTTTATAAGCCATCTGTAAATACGTTTGATGAAAAACATCACAGTGATAAGGGCTTTCCATTTTGTCTTTATTTAAAAATGTATACTTGATTGGTTAATGTGATGATTCAGCAATATAGTAAAAATTACCCAAAGCATTACACAATTTAAAATTATTTTTTAAAAAGACGAAGGCACACATTTTATCACAGTGATAGTTTAGTAGTCATTGTCTTAGTTTGTTTTGTACTGCTCTTAAAAAAAATATCACAGACTGGGTAATTTATAATGAATAGAAACATATTGGCTCATGGCTCTGAAGGCTGGGAAGTCCAAGATTGACAGGCCAATCATCCCCTCAATCCCATGTCATCCCATGGCAGAAAGGCATCCCATGGCCTTATGTCATCCCATGGCAGAAGGGCAAAGAGAGGGTGAGAGAGAGCCAAAAGGGAAAAAAGCACATCCTTTCATAAGGAACCCAATCCCAAGATGTGGAACTCACCCCCACAGTAATGGCATTAATCTATTCATGAGGGCACGGTCTTCTTGGTCTAATCACCTCTTAAAAGTCCAACCTCTTAATATTTCTACAAGGCAATTAAATTTCAATCTGATATTCAGAGGAAACAAACATTCAAACTTAGTCTGTCTTACATACAAAATATGTTATTTTCATCTCTATAGCCTCAAAATCTTAACTCATTCCAGCATCAACTGAAAAGTCTAAAGTCTCATTTAAATCAGACATGGGTGGGTAGGGAGGATGATGGACAGAAGACAGGACTAACATGCAGCTCCCATTTGGACAGACAGAACAGCATCTGAAG
Organism: Homo sapiens; assembly: GCF_000001405.40. Classification (NCBI taxonomy): domain Eukaryota; kingdom Metazoa; phylum Chordata; class Mammalia; order Primates; family Hominidae; genus Homo; species Homo sapiens. The sequence goes on from NC_000008.11 coordinate 51,546,051, forward strand.
ACTTACATTGTGAACTCTTGCTTCAATAACCACTATAGGAACATATGAGGAAAACCAAAAGAATTCACAGACCCTTTATAGCAGCTGCTTGCTGCTACAAGTGCTGTGAGACAGCCAGAAAACTGTGAGTTCCTAAATTGTTAGAGGGGGAAAATTCAGCCTCTGAACATGCATTCCCACTGGGGAACCTAAAAATCCAGATCACAAGGGAAGGATTTAACCTTACCTATACCTGAAATGGATTTAAGGAGCTGAGTCTATAGCCATACCACCCTGAAAGTGCCTGATCTTGTTTGATCTCAAAAGCTAAGCAAGATCCAGCCTGGTTAGTACTTGGATGGGATTTAGGGAGCTGAGTGAAATATAAAAGTAGATAAAGCAGCAGAAAGAGCCCTGTAGGCACTCCTGGTCACCAGCTTGAGTCCAGGGAAGCCATTCCTAGCCTTACCTCACAGAGGTCCTTGGGGAAGGGAAGGCAGCTAGCAGAATTGGGGAGGGGCCACAGGGTAAAGGAAGCTCCTAGTTGAACTTGGTAATAATTGCAACTGAGCATGAACTTTCCTGAACAAAATCTGGGGTGGAGGGTGAACATGAAGTGCAGAAATGAGCACAGAAGCTCCAGCGGATGGTGCAGGCAGGCAGGGAGGGGCGAGGCCTGAGACCCCTACTTGCTTTCTCAGTCAGGAAGCTTGTAGCCTGGGGCAAGATCTCAGCCCTGCACAGAGGCTGCATGGATATAAACTCAGTGCAGATGGGCGGGGCACAGCAGGAGTGAGACTGGCCTTGCTGACTCCATGGGAACAGGGTAAGGCCTGTCACTGCTGGCTTCCCCCAGTTCTCTGAAAACCTGAATGAAGCAGCAGAGGCATTCATAATCCCCCTTGGAACATAACTCCATTGGCCAAAGAACCACCCGCTCAATCCCTCACAGTGCCCGCAGCAAGCCCCACCAAAGAAGAGTCTGAGCTCGGTACTGCCCAATCCTGCCCCCACCTGATGGTTTTCTCTACCTGCCCTTATAGCCAAAGGCAAAAGACATAAACTTTTGGGAGCTCTATGGCCCTGCCCATCACCTCAGAAACCTGAGTACCTATCCTGACCAATGTAGGGCAAACCCATATCCCCCTCCTATTGCCACAGCTGGTACTCTCTAGAAAGTACCACCTCCTGGCTGGAGGCCACCAACTCAAGCTATTATTTCAACTCATAACAGAACAACCCTGCTCCAAAGAAGGAGCAAACAACAGCAAATTTCACCAGCTGCAACACCCTGGCTAACCACAGATCCTGACTCTGGCCATGTGACAGCTTCACCACTAGCATAATCAGCATTCAAGAAAACCAGCACACTAAATAAAACTCCAACAATGGACTCCAACAGAGTCCACTTCACTTCCCCACAACCTCCACCAGAGCAGATACTGGTATCCATGGCTGGGAGACCTAAAGACAGATCACATCACAAGACTCTTTGCAGACATTCTCCAGCACCAGCCTACAGCCCAGTAGCCCTACTGGGTGGCTAGACCCAGAAGGGCAATAATGGTTACCGAAGTCTGGCTCTCAGAAAACCCTATCCCTAGGGAAAAGGGGAGAAAACCACATCAAGGGATCACCCCATGGGACAAGAGAATCTGAACAGCAGCCCTTGAGTCCCAGATCTTTCCACTGAAACAGTCTACCCAAATGAGAAGGAACCAGAAAAGTAATTCTGAAAGTATGACAAAACACCGTTCTACAACATCCCCAAAAGCTCACACTAGCTCTCTAGCAATGGATCCAAACAAAGAAGAAATCTCTGAATTGCCAGATAAAGAATTCAGAAAGTTGATTATTAAGCTACTCAGGGAAGCATCAGAGAAAGGTGAAGAAGATATTTTTTAAAAATACAGAATATGAATGAAAAAGTCTGCAGAGAAATAGATAGCATAAAGAAAACACAATCACAACTTCTAGAAATGAAAGACACACTTAGAGAATACAAATACACTGGAAAGTTTTGAACAATAAAATCATACAAGTAGAAGAAACAACTTCAGAATTCAAAAAAAAAAAAAAAGAAGGCTTTTGATTAACCCAACCTGACAAAGACAAAGAAAAAAGAATTTTAAAAATGAACAAAGCCTCCCAGAAATTTTGGATTATGTTAAACAACCAAACATTAGAATAATTGGTGTTCCTGAAGAAGAGAAATCTAAAACTTTTGAAAACTTATTTGAGGGAATAATCAAGGAAATCTTCCCTGAACTTTCTAGAGGTCTAGACATCCAAATACAAGAGGCTCAAAGAATACTCAGGAAATTTAACACAAAAAGATCATCACCTAGCCACATAGTTATCATGTTATCTAAATTCAAGATGAAGGGAAAAATCTTAAGAGTTGTGAGGCAAAAGTACCAGGTAGTCTATAAAGGAAAACTTATCAGATTAGCAGCAGATTTTTCAGCAGAAACCTTACAAGCCAGGATTGAGGTTCTATCTTTAGCCTCCTTAAACAAAATAATTGTTAGTCAAGAATTATGTATCCAGCAAAACTAAGCTTCATAAATGAAGGAGAGATAAAGTATAATTCAGACAAACAAATGCTGAGAGAATTCACCTCTATCAACCCAGCACTACAAAAAAATGCTAACTCTTGAAACAAACCCTCAAAGTACACCAAAATAGAACCTCTGTAAAGCACAAATCTCATAGGACCTATAAAACATAACACAGTGGAAAAAAAACAAGGTATTCAGGCAATAACTAGCACAATAAATAGGACAGTACTTCACATCTCAATACTAGCATTGAATGTAAATGGCCTAAAGGATCCATTTAAAAGATATGGAATGGCAGAATGCACAAAAATCCAACAGCCAAGTCTTGCTGTCTTCAAGAGATCCACCTAACACATAAGGACTCACATAAACTTAAGGCAAAGGGATGGGAAAAGGGATTTCATGCAAATGGAAACCAAAAGCAAGCAGGAATAGCTATTCTTACATCAGACAAAACACACTATAAAGCAATAACAGTTTAAAAAGACAAAAAGAGACATTATATAATGCTAAAAGGATTAGCCCAATAGAAAAATATCACAATTTTAAATACATATGCACATAACACTGGAGCTCCAAAATTTATAAAACAATTATTACTAGACCTAAGAAATGAGATAGATGGCAACACAATCATAATGGGGACTTCAGTACTCCACTGACAGCACTGGACCAGTCACCAAGACGGAAAGTCCACAAAGAAGCAATGGACTTAAACTATACCCTAGGAAAAATGGACTTAACAGATATTTACAGAGCATTCTACGCAATAACTGAAGAACATATATATTTTTTTCATCAGAACATGGAACATTCTCCAAGATAGAACATTATGACAGGCCACAAAACAAGTCTCAAGAAATTTAAGAAAACTGAAATTATATCAAGTATTCTCTCAGATCACAGGTGAATAAAATTGGAAATTCACTCTAAAAGGAACTCTCAAAAATATACAAATACATGGAAATTTAAAAATCTGCCCCTGAATGATCTTTGGGTCAAAATTAAATCAAGATGGAAATTGAAAAATTGTTCAAACTGAATGATGATAGTGACACAACTTATCAAAACCTCTGGGATAGAGAAAAAGCAGTTCTAAGAGGAAAGTTCATAGCATTAAATGCATAAATCAAAAAATCTAAAAGAGCACAAACAGACAATCTAGGCTCACATCTCAAGGAACTAGAGAAACAAAAACAAGCCAAACCCAAAACCAGCAGAAGAAAAGAAATAACAATGATCAGAGCAGAACTAAATGAAATGGAAACAAACAATACAATACAAAAGACACAAAAACAAAAAGCTGGTTCTTTGAAAAGATAAACAAAATCAATAGACCATTAGTGAGATTAACCAAGAAAAGAAGGGAGAAGATCCAAATAAGCTCAATCAGAAATGAAATGGGTGATATTAAAACCAATACCACAGAAATACAAAATATCACTTGAGGCTACTATGAGCACATTCGTGTGCATAGACTAGAAAACCTAGAGGAGATGAATACATTCCTGGAAATATACAAACCTCCTAGATTAAACCTGGAAGAAATAGAAACTCTGAACAGACCAATAACAAGTAGTGAGATTGAACCAGTAATAAAAATTGCCAACAACAACAACAAAAAGTCCAGGACCAGATGGATTCACAGCTGAATTCTATCAGACATCCAAATAAGAATTGGTTCCAATCCTACTGAAACTATTCCAAAAGATAAAGAAAGAGGGAATCCTCCGTAAATCAGTCTATGAAGCCACTACCATAATACCAAAACGAGGAGATGATGTAACAAAAAAAGAAAACTACAGACCAATGTCCCTGATGAAAATGATGCAAAAATCCTCAACAAAAACCTAGCTAACCAAATCCAACAGCATATCAAAAAGATAATATACAATGATCAAGTGGGTTTCATACCATGGATGTAGGGTTGGTTTAACATACACTAGTCAATAAATGTGATACACCACATAAACAGAATTAAAACAAAAAATCGTATTATTATCTCAGTAGATGTAGGAAAAGCATTTGACAAAACTCAGCATCCTTTATGATTAAAACCCTCAGTGAAATTTGCATAGAAGGGAAATACCCTAAGGTAATAAAAGCCATCTATGACAAATCCACAGCCAACATTATACTGAAAGCACTACCCCTGAGAACTGGAACAAGACAAGGAGGCTCACTTTCACCACTTTTATTCAGCATAGTACTGGAAGTCCTAGCCAGAGCAATCAGACAAGAGAAAGAAAGAAAGGGCATCCTAATCAGTAAAGAGGAGTCAAACTGTCGTTGTTCACCAATGATATGATTGTACCAGAAAACCCTAAAGGCTCATCCAAAGAGCTCTTAGATCTGATAAATGAATTCAGTAAACTTTCAAAATACAAAATCAATGTACAGAAATCAGTAGCACTGCTATACACCAACAGTGACCAAGCTGAAAACCAAATCAAGAACTCAGCCCCTTTTACAACAGCTGAAAAACAACAAACAAACAAACAAACAAAAACCTTACGAATATACCTAACCAAAGAGGTAAAAGATCTCTAAAACAGAAACTAAAAAATGCTGCTGAAAGAAATCATAGATGACACAAACAAATGGAAACACATTCTATGTTCACAGATGGGTAGAATCAGTATTATGAAAATGACCATACTGCCAAAAGCAATCTATAAATTCAATACAATTTCCACCAAAATATCACTATAATCCTTCATAGAACTATGAAAAACAATCCTAAAATTCATATGGAACCAAAAAAGAGCCCACAAAAGCAAGACTAAGCAAAAAGAACAAATCTGGAGGCATCACATTATCTGACTATAAACTATACTACAAGGCTATAAATACCAAAACGGCATGGTACTACTGGTATAAAAACAGGCAAGTAGAACAATGGAATGAAATAGAGAACTCAGAAATAAAGCCAAATACTTACAGCCAACTGATCTTTGGCAAAGCAAATAAAAACATAAAGTGGGGAAAGGAGACCCTATTTAACAAATGGTGTTGGGATAATTGGAAAGCCACATGCAGAAGAATCAAACTGGATCCTTTTCTCATCTAATACAAAAATCAACTCAAGAAGGGTCAAAGATGTAAATCTAAGACCTGAAACCATAAAAATTCTAGAAGATAACATTGTAAAAACTCTTCTAGACATTGGCCTAGGCAAAGACTTCATGACCAAGAACCCAAAAGCAAATGCAACAAAAACAAAGATAAATAGATGGGACTTAATTAAACTAAAAAGCCTCTGCCCTGCAAAAGAAGCAATCAGCAAAGTAAAAGACAGCCCACAGAGTGGGAGAAAATATTTGCAAACTATGCAGCTGACAAAGGACTAACATCCAGAATCTATAAGGGAACTAAAACAAATCAGTCAGAAAAATGCAAGTAATCCCATCAAAAAGTGTGCTAAGGACATGAATAGACAATGCTGAAAAGAAGGTATACAAATGGCCAACAAATATATGAAAAAATGCTCAACATCACTCATTATCAGGAAAATGCAAATCAAAACCACAATGCGATACTACCTTACTCCTGCAAGAACGGCCATAATGTAATTAAAAAACCAAAAAATATCAGATGTTGGTGTGGATGTGGTTAAAAAGGAACACTTTTACAATGCTGGTGGGGCAACCACTAATACAACCACTATGGAAAACAGTATGGAGATTCTTAAAGAACTAAAAGTAGAACTACCATTTGATCCAGCAATCCCACTACTGGGTATCTACCCACAGAAAAAGAAGTTATTATATAAAACAGACACATGCACAACTATGTTTATAGCAGCACAATTTGCAATTGCAAAAATATGGAACCAGCTTGAATGCCCATCAACCAACAAGTGGAAAACGAAAATGTGGTATATATATATACCATGAAATACTACTCAGCCATAAAAATGAATGAAATAATGGCACTTGCAGCAACCTGGATGGAACTGGAGACCATTATTCTAAGTGCAGTAACTCAGAAATGGAAAGCCAAATATCGTAGGTTCTCATAAGTGCGAACTAAGCTATGAGGATGCAAAGGCATTAGAATTATATAAGGGACTCCAGGTATTCGGAGTAAGGATGGAAGCGGGGGTGAGGGATCAAAGACTACACATTGGGTGCAGTGTACACTGCTCAGGTGTTGGGTGCACCAAAATCTCAAAAATTACCACTAAAGAATTTATTCATGTAACCAAACGCCATGTGTTCCCCCCAAAACTATTGAAATAATTAATAGTAACAATAATAAAAGATAGACAAAAAATTAAATAAATCAGATATGGGTGAGACTCAAGGCATGATTCATCCTGAGGCAAATTTCCCCACAGCTGTGAGCCTGTGAAATCAAAACCAGTTATGTGCTTCCAAAATGCAATGTGGGACATACATAGAATAGACATTCCAATTACAAAAGGGAAAAACAGGAAAGAAAAAAGGAGCAACTGTTCCCAAGTAAGTCCACAATCCAACAGGGTGAATAACATTAAATCCTAAGGCTCTCGAATTATCTTCCTTGACTCTGTGTCCTGCCTCCTGGACAAGGTGGGGTAGGGGTTGGGCCCCCAAGGCCTCAAGCAGCCCAAGCCCTATGGCTCAGCACACCCAAAGCTCTCGTGGGTTGAAGTCTTGTGCTGCAAGCTCTCCCAGGCTGACATTGCACACTGGCAGCTCAATAGTTCTGGGATCTTGGTGGCAGTCCCACTCCCATTACTCCACTAGGCATTGTACTCGTATGGACTGTCTGCAATGGCTTTGCTCCTGTGAAAAGGCACTGCCTGGGGCCTCAGGCTGTCCAAAACATCCTTTGAAATCTAGGTGGAGACCATTTTTGACCCCATAGCCCACTCATTCTGTGCATCTGCAGAATTAATACCAAACTACGGACTCTGTAAGTAAGTGTATAAAATATGCTTTTTAAAGATGTTCTTCATCAGTTAGTTCAATGCCTTGCTGTGAGAAGTTTATATATGCGCATTGAAAACATGAAATGAGTGTGTTACTTCAAAGATGCATTGTGAGCTCCTTTATTACAGTGAATTGAACCGCTTCCCAAACAATGAACTCTATCAACAAATGTACAAATACACATTTAAAAGATGTTCCTTATCATTTAGTTTATTGCCTTATTGTGAGGGATTTTATATATATATATATATATATATATATATATACACACACTGAAAATATAAATCTCGGCATGTTACTTCAAAGATGCATTGTGAAGCACTTTATTAAAATGAATTGAACTGTTTAACACAGTGAACTTTTTAACCACATGTTTAAGACATGCTCTTTAAAGATGTCCCTTGCCCTTGTGTTCTAAGCCATAATGTGAGGAGTTTATACATCCACATTTAAAAGATGAATCGAAGTATGTTACTTCAAAGATGTATTGTGAGCTGACTTATTACAGTGAATTGGACTATTTACCATTCTGTGAATTCTGTAAACAAGCATATAAAATGTTTTTAAAGATGTTCTTTACCAATAAGTTTAAAGACTTATCGTGTGAGGTTTACAAATACATACTAAAACATAAATCTGCTGCCAAGGCTTACCACTTGCATTCCTCAAATTAGGGGCACAATCCACACCTAAGCCCACTTGAGTGACAGCTGAGATGACCAAGGAGCACTGTTTGGGAATTTGGGGGGCAGAGACTTAAGGTGGTGCAGGGTAGTGAATGCTGATTTTTTTTCAGGCATGCTGAGCTGCTCTCTTGAGGCTGCCTCAAAGATCTCTGAAATGAATTGGGTGTCATTCTCCCATTGTCTTGATGAATGGCACCTGGCTTATTTTATCTATGCTAATCCCTTTATCAAAGGATCAATTGGCTGCACCCTTGCACTTTTTTTGTTCTTTACTTGGCCAGGCTGTGAATTTTCTAAATCTTTATGTTACACTTCCCTTTTAATTATAAAGGTCATCTTTAAATCATTCATCTCTTCCTACATTTTACTCTAGGCATTTAATAGAAGCTGTGCAGCTCCTTCAACGTTTTGCTTAGAAATTTATTCCACCAGATGTCCCAGTTCATTCTCTTAAATTCAGCCTTACATAAAGCCCTCTGGTGTGGACACAATTCAGCCAAGTTATTTGCCACGTTAGAAAATAATGGCCTTTACTCCAGTTTCCATTACCTTGTTCCTCATTTCTGTCCAAGACCCCATCAGAATTGCCTTACTGTCCATATTTATACCAGCTTTCTGATCATAGCTACTTAAGCAACCTCTAAGAAGTTTTACACTTTCCCTACAGCTCTCCTTTTCTTTTGAGCCCTCGCCAGAACTGCCCTTAATGATCTGTTCATGGCAATACAAGCTTTTTCTATCCTGGTTCTCCAGATTCTTCCCATTTGTGCCCATTATCCAGTTCCAAAGTCACTTCCAAATATTCAGGTGTTTGTCACAGTAACACCCTACTCTTTGATACCAATTCTCTTTCTGAGTCATTTTATGCTGCTATAACAGAGTACCACAGATGGAGTAATTCATAATGAACAGAAATTCGTTGGCTCACAATTCTAGAGGATGGGAATTCCAAGATTGAAGGGCCGGCATCCTTTAAGGGCCTTCCTGCAGTATAATCCCATGGCAAAAGGGCAAGTGAGGGCAAGAGAGAGAGAGCAAGAAGAAACCAAGTTTGTCCTTTTATAAGGAACCCACTCCCATGATAAAGAGCTTGCTCCCACAATAAGAAACTCACTTCCACAATAACAACATTAATCTATTCATTACCTTTCATGGTCTAATCACCCCTTAAAGTTCCCACTTCTTAATGCTGCTACAATGGCAATTAAATTTCAGCATGAGTTTCAAACCATAGCAGTCATGTAAAAGGAAATTAATAAGAGACAAAAGTAGAGCAAAGGCAATTTAAAAAAATTTTTTTGATTGGTTGACTGTGTTTTAATACTATAACCTAACAGTTCAGCCTTCTATGAAAAAGAAATTTAGATTTCTTCTAACCATATTTATTATAGAAATAAAATCATGTTTTGAAACTAAGAAACCACATTGAATATGGAAACAAATTTCAGGATCAAAAGCTTCTGATATACAGAAATCCTGCCAATACTTAAAAACAGTCTGCATTCTACATATCCGAGTTTCAGAACTATCCCATAGGTTGTCATCAATGGGAAAAATCTTTTTAATTATCTAATTAGTATTTGTGTTTCAAACACTTGTAATTGAGAGAAATCTATGAATAAAACATCAAATTGCAGTTTAGTAGCAGTATTAGTAAACAATATGACCTTTTGATATTGAAGAATTCATATTTCACACTGAAATTATGATGGTGAATCTGAGGTTTTCATAAAGTATCAAATGCTAAAAAGTACACTAAGATAGCGGTCAGTTTGAGTTGTAATAATAATGCTACAGGGCTAGGCATGGAGGCTCATGACTATAATCTCAGCACTTTGGGAATCTGAGGCGGGCAGATCTCTTGAGGCCAAAAGTTCAAGACCAGACTGGCCAATGTGGTGAAACCCTGTCTCTACTAAAAACATATAAATTAGCTGGGCATGATGGGGCATACCTGTAATCCCAGCTACTTGGGGGGCTGAGGCACAAGAATCACTTGAACCCAGGAGGCGAATGAGCTGTGATGGGACAACTGCACTCCAGTCTGGGCAACAGAGAGAGACTCTGCCTCAAAAATAATAATAATGATAATAATAATTATAATACAGACTCATAATTTGGGGCAAATCAGTTAACTAACATTGAAGTTAATTTTATTATCTGTAAAATGAGAGGTATAATCCCATGTTTTGGAAGTTCTAATGTCAGTTAAAAGCTTGAACTTGTTTCATAAATTATAGTCACAGCTATAAATTACCTTCTATAAAATGCCTATTTTAAGTCAAGTAATAAACATTTTTGCTTAATAAACATTATTGCTCTTTGCATGCAGTACCTTAACATGCACCACGGAAATATGTGCATTTCAGGATTTGGAAACAAAGGTTCACGGAGGGTAAGTTGCCCAATGTCACACAAGTAATAAATGCAGTGCTGGAATTCCAGCTGAGTTCTGTCTGTCTTCCTATCCTTATGCCAACTCAATCATACATTCTGATTTTTATCCAACTGATGACAGATATTCAATCATTCAAGCCACATGGAGAAGCTTAAAATAATTGTTCAACTATCACATAATGGCATTTAAAAAGCTGTCTATTTGAACTGTCACCATGAGTGATTTAATAAAAAAGTTTCTATTACTTACAGATGTTCCAAAGATATGAGTCCTTTAAATGTTTGCTTATCTAGTGCATGGATTTCATTCTTATACAGGTACCTGGAAAATATATAGAATGTCATTAAATTATAAATTAGTAGAGATACCACATGTCTTAGATACAAACTTTTTAAACTATAAGCTGTGGACCTTAGGAGCTTTGTGGGATGTCCATAGATTCTCTAACAATATATAGAAACTGTTATTTCACTTAAATGTGTTCAATTGGTAAGAGTTCTAAGCCTCTCATCAAATTCTCAAATGGATCCTTGGTTCAAAATATTAAGAAACATAGAGTATTTGTGGAGAAATTCTGACTAATGGAGTCATATATACTGAGTAACAACTTCTCTAAGAAAAATATGTTTGACTATAAACAATTTTTTAAAATTTATTTTATGACACTGAATATATTCAACTGGTAGTTATAAAACTGGCAAATACCACCATGGGATTCATCTTAAGGGGATAAAAGCATCTTAGAGATGCATAAGATGAATTTTGATCCTCCTGTGGCTGCTGTTGAAAATCTGCAGGGAAGAATACTATAAATGGATTTATAAATACGATGATACAACTAATCTTTACCAAAGGGTTTAAAGAAAACAATTTATGTGACATATGAGCACTTTCTCCATCGTTTTTCTTCAACCATAGGTTAGTAAGGTGATTTCTTCTCCACACTCTTTGTTAATGTCATGAAAATGAAGCCCTGGATCTTTTCTACTTGTGCCTCTCAGGGTTTGAGACAATCAGAATTCCTGAAACCTTCTATCAAGTGTCTTCGGAATGTGCTCTTGCATATTGTCAGTGCATCAGAATCACCTGGTGGTTTGTTAAACACACCAATTCTAAAGTTCACCCACAAACCTACTCAATCGGACTCTCTCAGGATATTTTCTAGATAATTCAGTTGCAGCTCATCTGCAGTCCTGCCTTAAAGGCCATCAAAATCACAGTTCTGCCTAAAAATAAAGAAGGGACTGATTTTCTATAATTTGCTTAGTTAAGCTTTTAAAGTTCCAAACCAGTTTCTTTTCCCCCAGTTTAGGACTCCAGTCAGTTTCTAAAAGTAGCAGTGACCAGTGTGGATTTACATCTAACTAGATATTGTTTTTCCTCAGCATTAATTGATACTTCAGAAGATTTTGCTTTTACTCCAAATCTCAAAAATATAGCTATGTGTTAGAATTCAAGAAATACAATATTCTAGAACCATGTTTCTTCAAACAGTTTATAAGAAGCATTGAGAAGTCGTCTCAAAACTCACTAGTGGTTCTCAAGTGTGGATGTATGCAAATCATAGTGTAGGTACGTGAGTCAGTAGTATTTGTAAGGCCTCATTTTGAGTTCTACCCAAGCCTTATAGTAATGTCTGGGTCCCTGCCTCCACAAACTCTAATTTAATGATGGGTCCAGGGTACAGACTAGACATTGAGATTCTTCATAGCTCCACAGGAGATAATAATATGCAGCAAGGTTGAAAGCTACTGTTACTAGGTACAGAACAGGTGAAAGTATTCTGTAAATGTACCCCACTGGATTCAGAACTACCTCCTGGTAAAGGCCCTTAGACTATTAGAATGTTGAGAGCCACATGACTTCAAGGGTGTCATGTCTTGAGCATAAAGAAGTTGACTTCTACTGAGAGGCATACAAACACTATACTTGGTTTTTATTATTATCGTCAATTTTAAATAATGAGGAGTTGTTTCATAAAGATAAAATGAAATCATAAAATATTCATGAAGGAGTTTCAAAACTTAAAACTAAAGGTTTCCCATAATATTTTATCTCAGATACACAGATTCACTTTAGACTGTTATATTGTAGAAAATGGTTCAGGAAAAATAAGCACAAAGTAGGGGGAAAAGAGCAGAACTTCTGCAATCAGATCTGCACAAATTGATTAAATCAGTAAAGTATGAATTCCAGATATGTTACTACCTATATTCAAGTTATAGGACCAACAGGTTTGTATGCTCGCTGAAGAGTAACAGACCAATACACTGAGATAGCAGAGTTTGCAGCAGAGAAAGAGTTTAATTATCAACGGGCAGCCAAATAAAGAGACAGAAAGGACCCTCAAATTCTTCCCCCCAATGAGTTCTGGGCTGGGGTTTTTAATGGATTAGTAGAGGGAAAGAGGTTAGAAAATTGGGGTTGTTGATTGGCTGGAATAAGGGGGATATTATTTGGATGTGGAAACCGCATTCTTTGGTGAGTCAGCTCCTCATGAGGTCCTTCAGACCTTATTGGTGTGCAGGACCTAAAAGGATATCTCAAATGGAAAACTTAACATTTTATAATTCTCAAGTTGTTATCTACAGAGCAGTTAAGGAGAACTATAATCTTCATGGGTCTATGTGATTTTAGGACAATAGGCACAAAACAGCTATGAGGAAGGGGTCAGAGAGCAGCTGATCTCATGATGAATGCTGATGTGCTGAAAGTTTGGCTTATTTTTGTTTCTTCCAAACCCCCCCCCCCCCCGCCACCTTCTTTCCTGATTAATTTTATGAAGTTTATAGGGACAGTTTCATTAACACCAGTCACACAGCTTCCCGTTTCCCATAGGATAATGGTATTCAGCTAAATTCAAATCTCTCCACACACCTCTGAAAACCACACAGTTCAACGAAAGAAGAAAAACACATCACCCAGAGCACAATCTACCACAAAACCAGAGAAAGAGAGCATTAGCAACTTCAGTTTACATGTAAGTGGTGAAAACACTAAAGCATCTCTAGAGTCCACCCTCAGCAGAGTCAAGTGGGAATCCCCACTTTTTACAGATGAAGGGACTCTGGCAGAAGGGGTAGAACAACAAAGGGTGAGAGTACCATCCTGATGAGAACTTAAGATTGAGGAAATTAGAACCCTGGCTCCTAAGGAATTGAAAGAAAGGGCTTGGAAAATGAGTGGGAGAAAGCACCTTGCTAGCATGGGGTAACTTGTGGAGAATTGGTATTAACAGGAAAGAAGAAAGCAAGAAGTCAAAGTAAAATAAATTAGGACCAGGATTTTAAAAATCAAGATTATTGTGTACCAAGATAATCACTGTAAGGAAAATTACCTGTAAATACTAAAGGAAAATTAAGAAAAACAAATCTGATACTAAATTTGATAGAAATACAAAACCTAGAAATAGAAATTTTGATCAAAATCTAAATAAAAAATCAAAAAGATATTTCTCAACTATTTCATTTACAATAGCTTATAAATAATAAGCTACCTAGGAATAAACTTAACCAAGCGGGTTAAAGACTTCTACACTGAAAGATACAAAACATTACTGTAAGAAATTAAAGAGAATGTGAATGAATTGAAAGATTTCCCATACTCATGGCCTTAAAGATTTAATATCGTTAAAATGTCAATACTACTCAAAGTGATCTAAAAATTTAATACAATCCCTATCAGCATTTCAATGGCATTTTTTTTTGCAGAAATAGGGAATCTCATCCTAAAATCTATGTGACATTTCAAGAGGCCCTGAACAGTTAAAACAATCTTGAGAAAGAATAACATAGTTGAAGATTTTACACTTTCTGATTTCAAAACTTATAACAAATGTATAGTAATCAAAACAGCATGGTACTGGCATAGAAACAGATATACAGACCAGTAGGAAGTCCACAAATAAGCCCTTGCATATATGGTCAAATGATTATTTACAAGAGTACCAAGAATACACAATGAGGAAAGGAAAATCTGTTCAATAAATAGTGTTGGGAAAACTAGCTCTCCACATGGAAAAGAATAAAACTGGAACCTTGTACCATATACAAAAATTAACTCAAAATGAAGCGAAGACCTAAAACTGTTAGAAGGAAACATACAGAGAAAGCTCCATGACCTTGGGTTTGGCAAATATTTCTTAAATGTGACACCAAAAGCAAAGGCAACAAAAGTAAAAATAGGTAAACTGGACTACACCAAGATTTAAAAGTTTGGTATGTCAAAGAATACAGTCAGCAGAGTGAAAAGGCAACCTGCAGAATGGACGAAAATATTTGCAAATCATATATCTGATAAGGAGTTAATATCCAGAATATACAAAGGCCTTCTACAACTCAACAACAACCAAAAAAAAAAACCATTTAAAAATGGGTAAAGGACTTTAATAGACAGTTCATCAAAGAAAATATACAAGTGACCAACAAGAATTCACTAATCATTAGTGAAATGCAAATCAAAACCACAATGAGCTATCACCTCACATGTTAGGATAGCTACTTTCAAAAAGACAAAATAAGCATTTGTGAGGATGTGGAGAAATAAGAATCCTGTACACTGTTGGTAGGAATGTAAATTGGTACAGCCACTATGAAAAACTGTATGGAGAGTCCTTAAAAATTAAAAATTCAATTACCATCTAGCAATTCCTAGGCAAATATACTTCTGGGCATATATCTGAAAGAATTGAAAGTAGAGATATCTGCACACACATGTTCCACACCAGCACTACTCACATAGCCAAGAGGTGGATTCAACCCAAGTGTCCATTGGAGAGTGAATAGAAAAACAAAATGTGGTATATACATACAATGGTATATTATTCAGCCTTAGCATTTCAGGAAGCCAAGGCAGGAGGATCACTTGAGCCCAGAAGTTCAAGACCAGTCTGGAAAGATGAGATAGCAAGATCTTATCTCTACTAAAAAAATTTTGAATTAATTTTTTTTTAAAAAAACGAAGGAAATTCTGACACATGCTACAAAATGGATTAACATTGAGGACATTAAACTAAGTAAAGTAAACCGGTCACAAGAAGACAAATACTATGTGATTCCTCTTGTATGAGGAAGATAGAGTAGTAAACTCGTGGTGACAGAAAGTAGAATAGTGGTTGCCAGGGGCTACAGAGAGATGGAAATGGAGAGTTATTTAATGGGTATAGAGTTTCAGTTTTGCAAGATTAAAAGGTTCTGGAGATTGATTACACCACAATGTGAATATATTGAATAATACCAAATCATTTAGAAATGTTTAAGATGGTACATTTTATGTTTTGTATTTTTTACCACAATTACACTTTTTAAAAAATGTTAAACCGACATAAAATCATCTAAATTATATAAAATAACTGTGTCTACATAAAAATTAAAACTACATCCAAAACATTGACAGTGATAACAGGCCTGGGGTTTTGCACAAATTTATTTTCTTCATTGTTCTTTTTCATATTTCAATATTTTCTAAGATGATTATATATTGATATATTGCTTTTTCATATTTATTTCATATTTATTTTTATTATATGAGTAAGAAATTATATCCCTTTATAAAATATATAATTTTAAAGAAATAAATCAAACTCATCTACATGTTCTTCACCCTGGATAATAACATTACTTTTAAAATGTGTCATTTTATATTTTGTGCTATCTTTTTTTATAAAAATGATATTTAGTGTATAAAATATTATGTTACTTTTTATCTTAACAACTGGAAGACATTAACCAACTTATTTTATCCCTCCATGCTTCATTAAATTTATTTAGATAACTAAAGATTCTTTCCCTAATTCCAAAAAATATTATGTGAAATTTATAGCCCCAATAATAACTTATACGAATGAAATCACAGAACTCAAACATCATTTATTTCCTTTTAAGTCTCACATAGCTATTATATAGGTTTGACACTAAAATTTTGGGGAAATGCTTGCTGAACTAATGTATTAAGTTTTTCACTCCACCCTCTCAGTGTAGATAAAACTTATTGGGCTTTTGGACCAAGGAGTGTTATAGAGGGGAGCAATGAAAAGCCTAAACCCTCCCCATCAAACACAGAATTAGTTCCAAGGGAAAAGTAATAAAAATCAAAATAGTTGGTAGGTGTGAGAATAGAGTCTGTACCCTCATTTCCTGATGGTTGCTCTGGAAGATGACAGACATCACAGATAGGTTTCTAACCTACCATGGGACCATAGAGGTGCTGAGATGGCTGTAAGATGTATCAAGGCATAAAACTAACCTGACAAATCACTGAGCTCTTCAATGGGGTGGGGAAGAGACAAAGGTTTTTGCAGGCTTTATAGTGGGTGGATGTGACACCAAGAGTCATGGACTTGCGAGGGAGTTGCAGTTGTAATGGAGCTGTCACAGGAGAGGTTGGTTTGCTCTTGCAACCCTGTGACAAGAAAGAAATAGAGTAGCCCCAGATGTCATGACTGTGCTCAAGGACTACCTAGACTTGTGTTTCACCTCACAGAATGAGAATGATCACAGACTAGAGAGCAAGCATAATACCTCCATGAAAACAACCAAGAGGTCTCATGAAGCCATATGGAGCCTGGGCAGCCATCTTAGCCCAGGCTTCCATAACAAAAGTACATAGACTGGATGGCTTGAACAATAGCAATTTATATGCTAACAGTTCTAGAGGCTGCAAAGTCCAAGATCAAGGTCTGGCACTGTTTGGTTTCTGAAGTCTCTCTTCCTGGCTCGCAGATAGCCACTTTGTCACTGTGCCCTTACATGGCACAGAGAGAGCGAGAGCAAGCCCCCATGTCTCTTCCTCTTTCAAGGACACTACTCCCATACAGGGGCTCCACACTCATGACCTCACCTAAACCCAATTACCTGCTGAAGGCTCCACCTCCAAATACCATCACACTGGGTCTTAGGGCTTCAAGATAGGAGTCTTGGGAGGATACAAACATTCAATCCATAACAGTATTTTAGATTGAATAGAGAGAAAAGAATGAGTAACAGAGATTCTGAATGGACTCTATTTACCCCAAATGGTAAATTTACCCAAATTGGGCCAAGATGTTTTCTGCCATTATGTGGAATGAGGTCCAAAATAATAACTGGCTTACAAAAAAATTATTTTTTGCACTACTCAATACATAGACTGATAAATTCACAGTTGATACACACCCCATTGTAAACATATTTCCATGTGAAGAACTACACAGTAAGTTGCAAAAGTTGCACACCTCAGTCTCTGTGTGGTATCATGCTCTGCTCAATATATTTAAAAGACAGTACAGAGCAATGTAACTTTCTATTATCTATAAAAATTCCATGCAGATTTTCAAGTAATAATATATGTGAAAATAAAAATGCAAAATAACTTAAAATGTGAAATAAATCTAGTTGTTAATTCAAAGTTGGAAAGTCATTTCTATATACACAAAATCTAAAAGTCATGAAAAAATGTTTGACTACATGAAATGTCAAGGAAATTGAAATCTTGTTTTCTAAAAGATCCTACATTTAATTACCTCCCAGTATAAAAGGACACTTGCTATTCAGATTTTATTTTCAATTACTATTTTTCACTAGAAGAAATTCAACTCTTTGAAGACGCAGCTGCTTCAAGTTCTGGGGCAACAAAAGTATATGACACAATGTTTGACAAAAAGCACTCAAAGTCTAACGGGATTATGTCAAAAGGACAAAAGAGTTAGCTGGAAGAGTCTTCCACTGGCCAAATTTGGGACTATTTGTGGGTTAGAAAAAGGGATAATGGAACTGATTATAATACGTAGAATTTATTTTATTTCCAACTTTTATTTTCGGTTCTGAGGGTACTGTGCAGGTTTGTTACATACGTAAATTTCAGGTCACAGACGGTTGGTTCACAGATTATTTTGCCACCCAGATAATAAGCCTAGTGCTCATTAGGGAGTTTTTCCATGCTCACTCTCCTCCCAACCTCCACCCTCAAGTAGGCACACTGGTGCCTACTTGGACACATTTGTGTCCATATGTACTTAACATTTAGCATTTCATGAGTCCACCGAGATAAGGGAGAAGAAGAGAAAATGACAGAGACACAACATAATGGGGCATGGGAACAGATTCCTTCTTTTAAGAAGAATACCAGCTAGTACAGGGAGTCATGAAATTAGGAAATCATAATTTTGCAATACAATATAAAAGTATACTTATGCAAGGCTCATCAATGATGCCAAAACCATTGGTGAAATTTTGTATATGGGAAAGCAATTAACTTTGATACATTAACCTTGAATCTTATAAACCTTGTTATAATCACTTATTAGTTCTAAGAGATTTGTGTTGATTGTTTGGGATTTTATTGATAAGTAATCATGTAATTTGCAAACAAAGACAGTTTTACTTCTCCCTTCCCAATCTATTGTTTCCACATTTCATTAGCTAAGGCTTCCAGTACGATGGTGAATAGGGATGGAGAGAGGGGACATCCTGGCCTTGTTCCTGAGCCTAGTGGGAAAGCAATACAGGTTAAGCATCCCTAATCCAAAAATGTGAAATCTGAAATGCTCCAAAATCCAAAACTTTTTAAGTGCGGACATGATGCAAGGGTAAAATTCTATACCTGACTTCCTGTGGGAGGTCGTAGCTAAAACTCAGTCACACAACATACAGCTTATTCAGTGTCCCCAAAGGAAAAGGGCTCTCCTAGCCCCCTTCAGCTGCAATATATCTTTTCCTAAATAAATAAATAAATAAATAAATAAATAAATAAATAAATAGATAGATAGATAGATAGATAAATAAATAAATACAGTGCACAGTAACTTTTTAGTTGAAAAACCACACAATAGGTGGAGGCTGAAAGCCTGCCATTGTTTGTCATTGCTGTTGTTCAACAGCTGATGCAGGTATCTGGTGATGCCACTGCCCTGCTTAGGTACTCTGCACACTATATTTTTTCACTGTAATAATAATATGTCGTTTTTTACTATTAAGTACTTATGTGTGAATAAGTATAAAAAAAAGATTCCAAGTCAGGAATGAGAGTACTGTCAAATAACAACAGATTGTCTATATGGATGGCTGAGACAGTGACACCTTTGCTTTCTGATGGTTCAATGTACACATAATTTGTCTCATGCAAAAAATTATTAAAATATTTTATAAAATTACTATCAGTCTATGTGCATCAGGTGAATACATATAATGTATTGTGAAACATAAATGAATTTCATGTTTATATGAATTCCATCCCTAAGATATCTCATTATGTATATGCAAATACACCAAAATAAAAAAAAATCCATAATTCAAAGCATTTCTGGTCCCAAGCATTTCATATAAAGGATACTTAACCTGTAGTTTCTCACCATTAAGCATTATATTAGCCATAGGGGTTTTTTTTGGATCTTCTTTATTGAGTGAAGAGAGTACCCTCGCTTCCTAGTTTGCTCAGGTTTTATCACAAATGGGTGTTCAATGTTGCCAAACGCATTTTATGCATCTTCTGATATAATCATATCACTTTTCTTCCCTAACCTGTTGATATGATGGATTACATTATCTGATTTTCAAATGTTGAACCACCTTTGTATACCTGGGATAGTATAATTACTTTTATACAATGTTAGATTTGATTAGCTAATATTTTGTTGAGGATTCTTACATTTATATTTATGAGAGATATTGGTCTGTGGTTATTATTTCCTGTAATATATTTTTCTGGTTTTGGTATTAGGGTAATGTTGGCCTCAGATAATTAAAGTTAGGAAGTATTCCCTCTGTTTCTGTTTTTCTGGAACAAATTATAGATAATTAACGTCATTTTTTCTTTAAATGTTTGGTAGAATTCACCAGTAAAATCATCTGAATCTGGTGCTTTCTGTTTTAGAAGGTTATTAATTATTGATTCAATTTGTTTAATAAATATGGGCCTATTTAGATTATCTCTTTCTTCTTGTGTGGTTTGTTACATTGTGTCTTTCAAGAAATTAGTCCATTTTATCTAAGTTACCAAATTTATGGGCTTAAAATTGCTAATAATACCCTTTTATTATTCTTTTAACATCTATGGTTCACTAGAGATGGCCCAATTTTATGTGTGATATTAGTAATTTATGTTTATTCTTTTTTTTTTCTTCACTATCCAGGCTGGGAGTTTGTCAATTTTCACAATTTTTTCAAAGAACCAGTTTTCACTTTTGTCAAATTTCTGTATTGTTTCCCATTTTCACTTTTATTGATTTCTGCTCTATTTTGTAATTATCCATTTCTTCTGCTTGTTTAATTTTATATTGCTTTTTTTTCTCTTGTCTCCTATGATTGGAAGTCTAGATTATTGATTTTATATCTTTTTTCTTTTCTAATATATGCATTCAACACTATACCTCTAAGGACTGCTTTAACTGCATCCCGCGAAATCTGATGAGTTGTATTTTTACTTTTATTCAGTTCAAAATACTTTTAAATTTCCCTTGAGACTTCTTTGATCAGCATGTTACTTATAAATGTGTTTAATCTATAAATATTTTGTTATTTTCCAGCTATCTTTCAGTTATTAATTTCTAGTTTAATTCCATTGTGGTTTGAGAACATACTTTGTATGCTTTCTATTTTTTTAATTAGATGAGATGTGTTGTATGGCATATAATATGGTCCTTCTTGGTGAATGTTCTATGTGAGCTTGAGAAGACTGTGTATTTCTGTTGTCACTGGGTGGAGTATTTTACAAATTTCAATTAGACCCAGTTGAGTGATGGTGCTGTTCAGTTCAACTTACTAGTTTTCTGCCTGCTGGATCTGTCAATTGCTGATAGAGGCATGTTGAAGCCTTCAACTATCATAGTCGATTCCTCTATTTCTTCTTGCAGCTCTAACAGTTTTTGCCTCACATATTTTGCTGTTAGGTGCACATACATTAAGGATTGCTGTGTCATCTTGGAAAATGAATCACTTTATCATTACATAATACTCTCTTTATCCCTCAATACTTTTTGTTTTTGTCCTTAAGTCTGCTTTATCTGAAATTAATATAGCTATTCTAGTTTTCTTTTCATTTGTGTTAGCATGATGCAACTTTCTCCATCTCTTTATTTTTAATCTATCTATAATTGATTATACTATTTCATGGGTAGTGCTGGTACCTTGTAACAGAGTATAGTCATCCTTCAGTATCCATAAGGGATTGGTTTCAGGACCTCTCGAGGACACCAAAATCTGTAGATGCTCAAGTTCTGATATAAAACGATGCGACATTTACATATAACCTATGCACATCCTCCTATATACCCCAAATTATCTCTAAATTACTGATAATACCTAATACAATATAAAAACCTATGTAAATAGTTGTTGAACTGTTTAGAGAATAATATCAAGAAAAAAGTCCCTATATGTTCATACGGATGCAATTTTTTCCCAATATTTTCAATCTGTGATCAGCTGAATCCATGGATGTGAAACTCATAAATATGAAGGGCTGACTGTATTTCCAATTTCTTTTTTCTATCCCTTTTAACAATTATTCCTGTCATTCCACTTATCCATAAGCTACCAAATTTATTGTATTTATTTTTATTCTGAACAAATTTTTATCCGTTATATCAATAAATAATAAAAAATAAAAGATTATATTTTACCTTGATTTATTCCTTCTCTATTGCTCCACCTTCCTTTGTATAAGTCTGAGTTTCAGATCTACATCATTTCCCTTCTCTTTGAAGGATTTTTTAAACATTCATTGCAAGGCAGGTCTATTAGTAACAAATTTCCTCAATTCTTATTTGTCTAAGAAAGTCATTGTTTCCTCTTCAATTTGAAGGATTTTTATCAATACAGAAGTCTAAACTGGTGGTTTTTACTTTCAATGTTTTAAATATTTTACTTCATGCTCTTTTTGCTTACATGTTTTCTGAGAAGTCCAGTGTAATTTGTATCCTTTTTCCTATACAGGTAAGGTGTTTTTACCCCTGGCTTTCAAGATTTAATTCTTTGTCTGTTTTTCTGCAATGTGAATATGCTATGTCTAGGTGTAGATTCTTTGGTATTTATTCTGCTTTGTGTTCTCTGAGCTTTTGGGACCTGTGTTTCCCATCTGTCATTATTTTTGGAAAATTATCAGCCATTATTACTTCAAATGTTTTTTCTTCTCCTTTCACATTTTCTTCCGATCTGGTATTTCCATTACATGTATGTTACACCTTTTGTTATTATCCTGCCTTTCTTGAGTATTGTGTTTCATTTTTCCATCCTTTTTCTCTTTGTATTTCAGTTTACGAGGCCTCTATTAACATATCACCAAGGTCACTGATTCTTTCCTCAGCCATATCCAGTCGACTGGTGGGCCCATCAAAGTCATTCTTAATTTCTGCTACAGTGTTTTTATTTCTAGAATTTCCTTTTCATTCTTTCCTAGAGTTTCTGTTTCTCTGCTTAAATTACCCACCTATTCTTGCATGTTTTCCACTTTTCCCATTAGAGTCTTTGGCACATTAATATAGTTGTTTGAAATTCCTGAGTGAGCATTCCAAAATCTCTGCCGAATCTGAGTCTAGTTCTGATGCCAGCTTTCTCTCTTCTGGCTGCATGTTTTCTTGCTTTTTAACTTTCCTTATAATTTTTTTAAAAGGTGGAAATGACGTATCCTGTAACAGGAACTGAGGTAAATAATTTTTCAGTACTGAAAGGTGACTTGCAGCTTATTTTCATATGGTTCAGTAAAATGTATAATGCATACAAATATGTAATATGCGAATTTCTAATTAATTTCCATTCAATGGTGGTTTTACAGGTGTTTGCTTTCCTGCATGCTTGCACATTTTCAAAGTAAAATTTGGAGAGCAAATATGAACAGATTAGGGTGCTGATAACTAAAACACACGCTTTTTGTTCTTTCAAAAATGTTATGATGAACATACAGAGATAAACACACATGACAATTGTATGTCGCTCTAGGAAGGCAAATAAACATTTCCTTTATTTAAAAGCAACATAATTTAGTATTCAATATTATCCCTTCAAAAAGGATTAGGAATTTCTTCCAAGATGTGAAAATTCTATCTAAAAGTAACATTAACTTAAAATTTTTGGCACTACTGAATTATGAGATAGTTTTTATTATCATATTTACTCATCATATTTTTTTCAAATCATTCAAATATTTTAAACATTTTGAAAGGAAGATAATTCTATATAAGAAAAAACTGTAAATCTAAAATCAAATTAGTACTCCAGCAAAACTGACAGCTAATTTAATTCTGTAAAGCCATGTTTCTGACCAATAACACATCAGAGATACACGGGCATGAAAATCTTCTAAAGTGCCTTGCTTGAGACAGTTTTTCCAAAAAAGAGTTAAAATTTTTTCTCAGTAAATAATGCATTTAGATGTTTTACAGAAAATGGCACAATTTTCTGCAAGTGCTTTTGTTGCCCGGGATCACTGCGAAGCTGCAGAGCAGCTTTAGCAGCACCAACTTCCTCATTTCTTAGTTACAGTGTTTACACCCAGCCTCAGGCTGCAGTGACCGGCTCAGAGAAAGACATGAGCAGTGAGACACAAGTAGACATTTGCTGGGATTCTCATATATTAAAAAAGTTTAATCTCTTCCTCATGAGGCATCAGAAGAAATCCATCATTTTCCCTGGATGGGGCAGTATGAAGAGTCTGGCAGAGAAGTGTTGCTAACTGGAGGGGAAAACATGACGCTGTGGGTTCCACTAGGTAAAGCTAAGGATGAATTAAAGCTGGGAGAGGCCCACCCATCCGGAGAGATGCAGATGAACTAGGCTCTTGGCGAAATTGTTTGAGCCATTAGGTTCGTCTTAGTCAGCATTACTTCTAAGATATTTATATCTACCTGAGCAGTTTGTTTGTGTTTTTATTTGTTTGTTTTGGTCTATTGTCACCAAGAGAATCTAACCTGACATTATACTTTTTAAAAAGAAAGGAAAGGAAATAAAGGAGAAAAAAAGAAACTTTCATTTTTCTTTTATCATTGCCTCCTCATCCTTTTCGTCTATGAATTCTTCCTAATAATGGCTTCAGCAACATGAAAACCCACCAAATCTGAAGCATTTTTATTTTTAACAATACTACCATGGGAAGCTGTCCCCTGTCCTTTTATCCACTATTCATGTAGGTTTACTAACAATAGTGTATACTTATAATGTTACATTTTGCTCATTTGATAATTCCAGCATTCAAGCTAGAATTCATAAGGGTCAAAGAAGTAGATATAAACTGTATAAAATGGTAAATGAGAAATATACACAAAATTCTTACTCATAATTCAATACATTCAAAATTTATTATATATATTGTAACTAAAACAGATGATATATATGCAATAGTAGCTAAATAGGCAAAGTTTGTGCTGAAGTCATTTCTATTCTCACTATACTTG
Source organism: Homo sapiens (assembly GCF_000001405.40). NCBI lineage: Eukaryota > Metazoa > Chordata > Mammalia > Primates > Hominidae > Homo > Homo sapiens. Next base: position 51,570,950 of record NC_000008.11, read on the forward strand.
GGGGCAAACTGAAGTTTCTCCTATATCCTAAAACTATGTTCTGCATTATTTCAGAGTGTAATAATTCACTAATTTCCAAAGATCTTAAACAGTAATAGAAAAAGACAATTAAAAATTTTTCACCCCTTATATCAGTTCTTTTTTTTTGAAAAAAAAAATTGTCAGATAAGCCAATGACAGTAAAATTCTATCTATTAACATGTACAAACATTCTAAAAATATTTTCACTTGAGATTAGAGTGTGGTCTTCCAACAACAAATTTATGTTTGTTCTACAACAATCAAAGCTAAGAAGTTCAATCATCATTTTTGATTCGACATTTATTCATTTTGGAAATAAGGTATTAGATTATTGCCAGTGAGCTCCAAGAATACAGTCATCAGCTGAGAAACATCCTCACAGAATCCAGAAAAATATATTTACATAACAGATATGTATGGAAAATAAATAATTTGATAAGAATTTTATGTTGACATGTTTCATTAAATATTTACACATCAACCTATGTATTTACACTGATGATGTCATTTTGAGAGAGATTGTGCCCAACTGTAAAAATAAGGCTTAAGCTAAAATGATTTTTAAACTATAGAAAATGGATTATACATAATCTATAAGACTCCTTCTAAGGGCAAAGCTTCTGGAGTTTTGAACTAAAAAACACATTTTTAGAACATTCTTCTCAAATGATAATTTAAACTTTGCTTTAAAATCTCAAGGCTGTTAACCAAAAGCATGTTAAGCTCAATATCATAGGACAGAAATGTGAGTTTTGACTCAGTTATGGAATGCTCAGAATATTAAGCTTATTTGTGTAGTTAGAGAATTAATACATGAAATCATAAAACTAATCTGAAAATTCAATGAGGCACTTATAGAAATATTTTGTAAGACAGTATACAAAAGTAAGATATTAAAAATTACTATCAGTAAGGTGTTTGGCAAACAAACAATGATCAAGAAATGTGTAGAATAAGTGAATGACTATAGATTATCCCTTATTTACAATGGTTTCCCTTTATGACAGTGCAATAGCCATATGCAGTCAGTATGCTTTTGACTTACAATGGGATTTCAACCAGATAAACCCATTGTAAATTGAAAACAGTGTAGATCAAAAATGCACTTTCTACTTACAACATTTTAAATTTATAATGGGTTTATCAGGACATAACCCCATCATAAGTTAAGCAGCACTTGCATGTAAATTAATAAAAGTAATCAATGCATAAATAATTGCATGAAAATAAATTTTGGAATTCTACTTCTGTGATATACCAGAAGAATTGAAAGCAGCTACTCAAACAGATACATGCAAAGCAGTATTCATAGCAGCATAATTCATAATAGCCAAAATATAGAAATAACATTGAACAGATATACCACACTTAAGCAAAATATAGTATATCTGTACAAAGGAATATTATTTGGCATTTGAAATGAAATTCTGATACTTGTTGCAACATGGATGAATCTTAAGAACATTACCCTGAATGAAATAAACCAAAACGAAGGTGAAAATACTGAATTATTCATGAAGTATCTAGAAAAGAAAAATTCATGGAGACTGAAAGTAGAATGGGTGCTATAAGGGGCTGAGAGTGGGAGGAATAGAGGATTATTTAATAAGTATAGTTTTTGTTTGGGATGATGAAAAAATTCTAGAAATGGATAGTGGTGATGGTTGCACAATATGGTGAATGTACTTTATGATACTGCTTAGTACTTAATGATATTAACATGATTAAAATGGCACATTTTATGTAATATATGTCTTAACACATTTTAAGGAATAAAATTTTATCACATATTGGACAGCTGTGATTATTAACTAGTTCTCTTTTTTTAAAAACACACACACACGCATAAAGTAAAAATGCTCAGAAGTGCCTTTATCATATTTATCCCACTAAATACAACTAGAAATCTTGGACATTACATATAAGACAAACTAAAAGGCCTCTGAAAGGTAGAAAGCAAATCTCCCGGGAACTTCAGGGCCCAAGATATGACACAATGGTAATTTTCTAGGTTTTCTTTTTGCTTATTTATTTCAAACTTAGAGATGAACAAGCAAAAGCCTAGAAAATATCAATGAGTACAGATGACAAAAAGTCCAAACAAATAAGGGAAGAAATAAGTCTAGCAAGACAGAAAACTTTTAGAAAATAATAACTCTATTCTAGCCAAACACTACAGAAGAAACTATGGTTGCACTCCCACTCATGCCATTAAAAGTCAACTGGGGATCCTAGATCCTCACACTTGTGAGGCTATATTGAGGCACCCAACACCCCCATAGCTGTGTTGTCAGAGAAGTAAAGTAAGGAGCTGGAATTTTCATTCCCAAATGGTGATAATAATGAAACCCGCTCTGGTATCAGTACAGACCACATAGAAAGCCTTGACCTCCACCCAAACCAGCAATAAAGAGCTGTCCTTCCTGCTCCCCACTGGAAAGGTGTCAGAGGAGAACAAGTGGATAGTCAGTATTTTAACTAATATGAAGCAGTGATGATGCCACCCCCACTACATGGTATCAGTGCAGTTCATATGGGGAGCAATAATAAAGCATTTATACCCTCTTGGCAAAGAAATTATCAGTGGAGAGCCCGCACTCCCAACTCCAACTAGAAGTAACAAGGAATCTCACCACCATGTGGGAATCAATGGAAGCCACATGGGAAACCTAGACTCCTACCTGCACCTGACAATAACGAGGCAGCATTCCTTCCTTTGACAGCAATGTAGGAGGAAGTCAGCTAAAACAGAAAATTCAAATAAGATCCAGGATCTCCTCTCCACCCAAAAATATAATGTCAAAGTCTTTACCCCCAGTACCTCAGAATGTGACTGTATTTGAAGATAAGACCTTTAAAGAAGAAATTAAGGTAAAACAAGGTCATATAGATGGGCTCTAATTTTATAAAATTAACATCTTTAGTATTTCGAAGAAAATGAGATTAGGACACAGACACAGAGTAAAGACTATGTAAAGACAAAGAGAGAAGACAGTCATTCTGTCAGCCAAGGAAAGGGGCTTTAGAAGAGACCAAAATTACATTTCTATTGTAAGCCACCCAGCCTGCGGGACTTTCTTACGGCAGCCCTAGCAAAGTAATACAGATGACAACAGCAAGATGACAGAGACGTTAGGATTATATAATAGAGATTTTTAAAGAACATCATAAAAATGCCTCAGGAAACAATCACAAACAAGCTGGAAATAACTTTTTTAAACCAGCCTTAAAAAACAAATAGGAAATATAAAAAACACCCAAACAGAAACTTTAGAACTGAAAAATACTTATCTACTGAAGTAAAAAAAACTCAATGTATGGGTCAGTGGCAGGATGGAGAGGACAACAGAAAAATAAGTGCACTTGATGAAGAGCAGTAGATATTACTCAATCTGAACCACAGAGAGAAGAACATAGACATTAAAATATACACCGAGTCTCAGGGACTTGTGTGACCATAACAAAATATCTGGTATTTTTTTTTCAACACAGTCCTAGGAAGAGAGGAGAAAAAAAGGATGAGGCTAAAAAGTCTTTAAAGAAACAATGACTGAAAACTTCCAATTTTGGCCAAAGAAATAAATCTACAGATTCAAGTTGCTGAGTGAGCCCTAAACAGGGTAAACTCAAAGAAATCTAAATCAAGATACTTCATATTCAAATATCAGAAAACTAAAAAAAAAGAAAATCTCGAAAGCAGTGACAGAGGAAAGAGAGCTCAAAGAATCATAGGTATGACAGCAGATTTCTCATCAGAAACCACAGACGCAAAAGGAATTGGTACATTTTTCCAGTGGTGAAAGGAAAGATTTGTCAACCCAGAATCCTATATCTAGCTAAAGTACTCTTCAGGAATAAAGGGTAAACCAAGACATTCTCAGATGAGGGGAAATCAAGAGCATTTGTCAACAGCAGAGCTATTTTGAAGGAATGGTTAAATGAAATTCTCTAAGAGGAAAGAAAATAATACAAGAAGGAAATATGAGGCGTCGAGAAGAAAGAATAATAGAGTAAAAATCATGGATAAATACCTTTTACCTTTTCTCTTCAGCATCCTAAATTATGGTTGATAACTGAATAAAAAATAATAGCATTTTCTGAAGTAATTCTCAATGTATGTAGAGAAAATAGTTAAGACAATTATATTATAAATCAGGGAGGGTAAAGGGACTTAAGAGGAGGAAAGATTTTTATACTTAAATAGAATGATACTTGAGGAGAATGTGATAAATTATGTATATGTATTTAATACCTGAGCACCCACTAAAAAAGCTGCACAAAGACATAAGAACACTAACAGATAAATCAAAGTAAAATTCTAAAAAATGTACAAGTAACCAACAGGAAGGTAGAAAAAAGAGAAAGCACAGAAAAGGGAGAAAATAAACAGAAAAAAAATTAAAATGTGAAACTTAAACCCAATATATCAATAATTACATTAAATAAAAATAGTCTAAACACACTGATTAAAAGACAAGGTTGCCCCTGAATCCCAGCACATTGGGAGGCCAAAGTGAGTGGATCACTTGAGGTCAGGAGTTCTAGACCAGCTTGGCCAATATGGTGAAACCCCATCTCTATTAAAAATACAAAAATTAGCCAGGTGGTGTGGTGCACGCCTGTAGTCCCAGCTACTCAGGAGGCTAAGGTAGGAGAATTGGTCGAACCTGGAAGGTGGAGGTTGCAGTGAGCAGAGATCACACCATTGCACTCCAGTCTGGGCGACAGAGTGACTCCTTCTCAAAAAGAAAAAGACAAAGATTGGCAAAACAGATTTTAAAATATGACTAGCTGTATGCTGTCTATAAGAAAAATGAGTTCAAGTAAAATGATATGAAAGTAAAAGTATGAAAAAAGTTAGGTCATGCAAACATCAATCAAAAGAAAACAGGAATGGTTCTATTAATATCAGATAAAGTAGGCTTCCAAACAAAAACAATGACTAAAGTTAGGGAAGAATATTTTATAATTATTTTAAAAAGGTCAGTCCACCAAGAAGACATAGAAATCTTAAATGTATGCATCAAGAAACAGAGCTAGAAAACATGCGAAGCAAAAAATAGAACTGACGAGAGAAACAGATAAATGCATAGTTATAGTTAAAGATTTTAATACCCTTTTCTCAACAATTGATGGAAGACCTAAACAGAAAATCACCCAAGAAATAGAAGAACTCAATAACTTCATAAAACAACACAGTCTAACTCACATTATTAGAACACTGCTCCAAAAAAAAAAAAAAAACAAACAAAAAAACTCAATTCACATCCTTTTTGAGTTCCCTGAGAATACATATCAAGATAGATCATGTCCTGAGCTATAAAGAATCCTCAACAATTTAAAATATTGAAATCATACAGAGTATATTTCCTGAACACACACAAAAAACCAATAGCAAAAAGATAACAGGAGAATATCTAAACACTTGGAAACCAAACAACGTACTTACAAACAATCCCTGAGTCAGAAAATCTGAAAAGAGCTAAAAAAAAATCGGACTAAATCAAAGTGAAAATACAACATCAAAAATTAATGGGATATAGATAAGGTAGTATAGAAAGGAAAATCTATCATATGACATGCTTACATTATAAAAGAGCAAAAGTTTTGAGTTAATAATCAAAACAACCACTTCAGAAACATAGAATACAAGAGCAAAATGAACTCAAAGCAAGAAGAAAATAATAAAAATAAGCAAAACTTAATGAAATTCAAAACAGATAAACAACAGAAAATCAGAGAACTAAAAAAAAGCTGATTATTTTAAAAAATTAATAAAATTGAAAAACCTCTACCAAGACTGACAAAGAACAAAAGAGAGAAAACACAAATACCAATATGAGAAAATCACTACAAATCCTGCAGACATTAAAAGGATACTAACAGAACACAACAAACAATTCTACACATATATATTTGACAAATTAGAAAAAATGGACAACTTCCTCAAAAAGCACAAACTATCAGTTCACTCAGTGTGAAAGAGATAATGTGAATAGTGCTATAACTATTTAAAAAATTGAATTCAGAACTTAAACATTCTTGAAAAAGAAATCTCCAGGCTCATGTTGTGTCACTGAGGAATTTTATCAGACATTTAATGACAAATTTAATACCAAATCTACACAATCTCTTCCAGAAAAATAACAGAGAAAGAATACTTCTCGATTCACTTTACAAAGTTAGTATTAATGCGATACCAAAACCTGAGAGATAGTAAGAAAAAAGGAAACAACATATCAATAACCCTCATGAATATGGATACACAAATTGTCAAGAAAATATTAGCAATATATTTGAGCAATATATTTAAGAATTATACTCCATAATATAGGGAAGTGTATTTCAGGAATACAAAAGTAGTTCAATATTCAAAAATTAATGAATAAAATCCACTCTCTACATATTTATGTGTGTATATATGCATTTATATATGTATGTATTTGTGTATATATGTATATAGAGAGGGTGGATTTTATTTATTACTTTGAAAAGATCAATATAATTGAAAAACCTCTGGCAAGACTGACAAAGAACAAGAGAGAGAAAACACAAGTACCAATATGAAAAAATCACTACAAATACATATATTTTATATATATATATAAAATCTATCTATCTACATATATATATATATATAATCAGGCTAAAAAAGAAGTTATATAGTCACAGCAATAAATAAGGAAAAAACCTTTGACTAAATTCTATGCCCATTCATGATCAAAGCTCCAGGAAAATAGAACTGTAGGGAAATTTCCTTCACTTGGTAAAGAGTTTGACAAAAAACCTACAGGTAATCTTATCAGTAATGGTTTAAGACTGAATCCTTCCCTCTAAGGTCAGGAGCAAGGCAGGAATGTCTGCTCTTACCACTCCATTGGAAGATCTAGGCAATGAAAACAGATTGGGAAAAATAACATACAAATAAGAAAGAAAGAGAAAGAAAAGAAAGAAAAGAAAGAAAGAAAGAAAGAAAGAAAGAAAGAAAGAAAGAAAGAAAGAAAGAAAGAAAGAAAGAAAGAAAGAAAGAGGAAGGAAGGAAGGAAGGAAGGAAGGAAGGAAGGAAGGAAGGAAGGAAGGAAAGAAAGAAAGGAAAGAAAGAAAAGAAAGAAAAAGAGAAAGAAAGAAAGAAAAAGAAAGAAAGAAAGAAGGAAAGAAAGAAAGAGTGAGAGAGAGAGAAAGAAAGAGAAAGAAAGAAGGAAAGAAAGAAAATATATTCCTGTTTACAGATAATATGCTTATGTATGTAAAACATTTCAAAGAATCTACTCCCCAAAATAATCTTAGAATTTAAAAAGTGAGATCAGCAAGGTCACAGTATACAAGGGAATATGAAAATCAATTGCATTACTAGTTTCTGGCAATGAAAATGTCAACACTGAAATTATACTAAAAAGCAATACTCTTTGCAGTCACTTGAAAACAAAATACCTAGGTATAAACCTACCAAAAGCTTTAGATAATGTTTATTTTAAAACTATAAAACACTGATTTTAAAAAATTAAACAGATCTAAATAAATGGAGACTTACCTTGTTCATGAATTTAAAGTTTCATAGAGTAAATATGTCATTTAGCCCCAAACTGCCATACAAATTTAAAACAATCTATAAAAATTCAAGCAAGACTTTTGTACATGTAGACAAAATTATTTTATGTTTTAATGGAAAGGCAAAGAATCTAGACTAACTAAAAATTTTGAAAAAAAATAAAATGGAAGGAAACTGTCTACCTGGCTTCAGGATGTATTATTTAGCTATAGTAATCAAGATTATTTGGCAAAGGGGTAAGCATATAGGTAAATGTAATAAAATAGAGAGCCTAGAAATAGACCTGCAAAATATAGCCAACTTATTTTTGACAAAGGTGCAGAAGCAATTCAGTGGAGGAAAGAAAGCATCTTAACAACAGGTGCTGATGCAACTGAACATTCATGGCAAAAACACGAGCCTTGATCTAAGCCTCACACCTTTTACAAAAACTAACTCTATGTGGGTTGCAGAATTAAATGTAAATATGTAAACTATAAATCTTTTAAGAAAAAAAGTTAGGAGAAAATCTTCTGGATGGATAGGCAGGAAAAGAACTGTGAGACTTGACACCAAAGGTGTAACCCATAGAAAAGAACTTTGATAAATTGAACTTCATCAAAATGAAAACACCTGCTCTTCAAAAGACCCTGTTAAGAAGACTAAAAGTAAGTTACAGACTGGAAGAAAATATTTGAAAAGTACATATCTGATAAAGGACTAATCTCCAGAATATATAAACTCTCCAAACTTAACAGTACAAAACCCCACAATCTCATTAGAAGTTAAGCAAAAGACATGAGCAGACATGAATAGAAGATAAACAGATGGTAAATGTTCATGACAGATGTTCAACATCATTAGCCATCAGAGAAGTATAAACTAGAACTGCAATGAGATATTCCTATACACATATCTGAACGGCTAAAATTAAAAATAGTGACAATGCAAAATGTTGGCAGGGGTACAGAGAAACTGGATCACATACTGGTGAGAATATAAAATGGTACAGCTCCTCTGGAAAACAATTTATCAGTGTCTTTAAAACCAAACATCCAATTACCATGTAACCCAGCAATCACACTCCAGGATGTTTATTCTAAAGAATAAAAAATTTAAATTCACCCAAAAATAGTTGTGTAAATTTTTATTTATGTGTGAAGCAATGTTAATCACCACCATAAAGATTTTAATTCTTAATAGCCAGAAACTGGAAATAACTCAGATGTCTTTCAATAGGTGAACGGTTAAACAAACTGGTATATTGATATCATGGAATATTACTCAGCAATAAAAAGTAATAAACTATTGATATTACGCAAAAACCAGGATGACTCTCCAGAGAATGATGCTGATGAAAAAAGGCTTTTTGTCCTTGTGATAGTTTGCTGAGAATGATGGTTTCCAGTTGACGAGTTAATGGGTGCAGCACACCAACATGGCACATGTATACATATGTAACAAACCTGCACATTGTGCACATGTACACTAAAACTTAAAGTATAATAATAATAAAATTAAATAAATAAATAAATAAATAAAAAGAAAAAAGGCAATCACAAAAGGTTATATATTTTATGTTTCCATTTAAATAACATTTTTAAATAAAACTGTGGAAATGGAGAATTGACTGGTAGTTGCCAGGATTTGAAGAAGGTGTGGGCAGAGGGAAGCGAATGCAGCTATAAAAGAGCAACATGAGGGACCTTGGGTGATAGAAATGTTCTTTATCTTGACTGTATCAATGCCAGTATTCTGGTCATACATTCCATTATATTTTTGCTATATTTATCATCAGTAGAAACTGGATAAATAGTAGATGTTATCTCTCTGCGTATTATTTCTTACAGTGGCATGTGAATTTATAATTATCTCAGAATAAAACATTTTATTTAAAAAATGTCTGTTGAATGAATGTAGATTGAAATGAATGAATAAGTTAACTGAAATCATTTTCCCTGTAACTGTATCTAAGTCCAAATTCCATTCTCTGGAACTACTAAGATTAATTTAATCCATTTTATCATACAAAACCAATTTGTTCCACACATCTGTTCATTAGACTTTTGAATATCATGTTCCACCAAAGTCATCCATTCTACAGATTAAAAATACAGTTGATGTACATAATAATTTATTTAACATGTGTAAGTACCAGAGACTGCATACCATTGCCTGGAAGACAAAAGTAGCTAAAAAATTCCTTGATACCAAGTAGCTTATCACTTTGTAGAATAGAAGGATACAACAGCTATATGACAAACTCAAATATTGAAATCAGAGGGAGAGAAAAAGAAATAACGTCTCACATGTGAGAAATAACTCTGGTTGGGGAAATCTAGAAAAGTTACATAAAGGATGTGAGCTGCTGGCTGTTCATGAAATAGATGCATAATAGAAGGCAAACTCCATAGATATTTTTTTGCATAATTAGCAAATATACAATGCAAAACAGTGCTGAGTCTATTTCTCCCTCTCTTTTCGCAAACCTGAAAAGGATTCTCTCACTATGGACCTTACCCTAGTGAGTAGGCAACAGGCAGAAAGGTGGCTGATTAGGAGAACTGGTCTTGAGTAGCCTGAAATCAAAGAAAAATCAGGAAATAGGAAGGAGTGAGAAAAACGTCTGGAGGAAAAGAAATCTTGTAGCCTTGGATCATTCTGGTTAGGGTAACAGTATGACTGATTCCAATCATCTGTAAGGTTGACCTTGTATTACCAAACAGCTTCATAAAAGCATATGCTTGGGAGGCCAAGACGGGCAGATTGCCTGAGCTCAGGAGTTCAAGACCAGCATGGACAACATGGCAAAACCCTATCTCTACTAAAAATACAAAAAAATTAGCTGGGCATGGTGGCATGTGTCTGTAATCCCAGCTACTCAAGAGGTTAAGGCACAAGAATTGCTTGAACCTGGGAGGCGGAGGTTGCAGTGCAGTGAGCTGAGATCGCACCACTGCACTCCAGCCTAGATGACAGAGTGAGACCCTGTCTCTAAATAAATAAATAAATAAATTTTAAAAATTAAAAATTAAATTAGAAAATAAAACATATGCACCAGAAAAAGAAATGAAATAAGTTATCTTCGTGAGAAATTCATGAAAGCATAAAATTAGGTATCAAAGAGTTTGAGTCAAATTGAAACACCTGTGTTCATCAGGGATACTGGCTTGCAATTTTCTTTTCTTGTAGCATCCTTGCCTGGCTTTGATTTCAGAGCAATTCTGGTCTCATAAAAGCAGTTTGGAAGTATTCCTTAATATTAAATCTTTCAAAAGATTTTGAGAAGGATTGGCATTAGTCCTTGAAATGTTTGGTAGAATTCAGCAGTGAAGCCATGAGGTCCTCAGCTTTTGATGGGAGATGTTTCATTACTGATGCAATCTGCTTATTCATATGCCTGTTCAGATTTTCTATTTCTCCCTCATCAATCTTTTTTTACCTGTCACAGAAAAATTTAATTACATGGAACACATGGGAATATATTAGGATTTTTTTAAAGCAGGCTACAAAATGATATAATTTTTTAAATGTATGTGTATATATAAGAAGTATACTTTTAAGTTTCCTATGGAGCTATGGACTGAATTGCATCACCTCAAAATTCATATGTTGAAGCTCTAACCTCAAATGTGAGTATATTTGGAGATAGGACTTTTATAAAATAGAGTTAATGAGGTCATGGGTTGGGATGCTAATCCTACAGGATTATTACAAAGCACATGTACTGAGGAAAGAGGGTGGCTGTCTGCAAGGAAGAAAGCACTCACTAGAACTTGACTATGCTAGCACTCTGATATCAGGCTTCCAGACTCCAGAACTGGGAGAAAATCAGGGTTTGTTGGTTGAGCCATCTAGTCTATGGTATTTTGTTATGGTATCCTGAGCCGATCAAGATATACAGTAAATGTATGTTATTCTCATGACTAGAAAAAGATCTTTTCAGCAACAGCAACAACTTTGAAAGGCTCTGACAGGTAAATTTTATTTAAAAAGTGTTGCACACAAAAACACTTGTCTATATTCAGGGTCATAGAGTTCTTTTGAAGGACAATGTTATGATACTTTATAAGAAATCCTACATTACCTTATCTGATGCTTAGTAACACTGATATTTATCACTTATTACTCCCTCTTACTCTTGATTTTATGATTTGAGCAGATAGAATGTAAAATGATGTTTTTTTAAATGACTTCATCAATTATGATAAAATTATATGCTTTAAATTCCTCAAAAGTAAGACACTACAGTTATCCTATGTTAAAGCAGTCTTTTGAAATTAGTCTTATGTAACTAGAATGACCACATGCTTGACTTGCTTGGGACGGCCTAGGTTTATACTCTATACTGGCATAATTGTTAGCAGTGCCAGCTTTCACTCTCAAAAAAAAAATCCTGGTAAACGATGGCTGATCTACACATAATCAATTGCAGAATAGGATAGTTACATTGAAGGAATTTTATAAATGTAGTGTTTCATCTGGGGAAGGAAATACCATCTAGCACTAAAATCTGAAAAATATGGTTGTCACAGTATATAATATTCAATTATTTAAATATTTTTCTCACAGGGAACCAAAGTAAATTTTGTGAGTGAATTGAAAAGTACTAAGAACAAGGTGCCAAAATATTTTTTAGGTGATTGTGTTAGTCCATTGGCATCGCTTTAAAGGAATATCTGAGGCTGGGTAATTTATAAAGAAGAGAGTTTTATTTTGGCTCCCAGTTCAGCAGGTTGTATGAGGAACATGGCGCCAGCATCTGCTTGGCTTCTGGTGAGGGCTACAGGAAGCTGACCATCGTGGTGGAAGGCAAAGGGGGACCCAGCATCACATATGGAGAAAGGAAGCAAAAGCTTCCTTATCAATCTTGAAAGGTTGCATGTTTCTAGAAATCTCTTTCTTCTAGGTTATCAAATTTTGGGGTGTATAGTTGTTCATAGCAGTTTCATTATCTTTTGCATTTCTGTGGTATTAGTTGTAATGTCTCCTCTTCCCTCCTCAAAATTCCTGAATCTCATTCTGGACATTTTGACTCCAAATGCATAGGACATAGTAACTTACTATTAAAATATTAAGATAGAAAATAAATGAATAATGTTCCTCTACTATATCAGTTCATAGATTTTATGAGGACAGAGCCAAATCTTTTTTGCTCACCACGACATAACTAGAGCCTAGTATAGTACTTCCATGGTAGGTGTTTATTACATTATTGTTGGATGGATGAATAGATAAATAGATGGATAGATGGATATTAGATAGATAGACTGTTGGATGGATGGACAGATGGATGAACACATGGATGAAAACTAAAATTTCTTAATCAAAATATGCTGACAAAGTAATTATATGTCAAGATTATAAAGTAATGCTACCTAATTTTCACGAAGAGAAAATAGTTGCCAGTACAGAGAGAAAAGATAGACGTATAGGAAGGCTGGATGAGTCGCCCAAAGAGGACCTTCCAGAGGTTCCTCAACTTGGCCTACAAAATGAATTTAGTCAGAGCATCTAAATATATTTTATTCTTTTGGAAACTAATTTTCCCTATCCAAAGTCATAAAAAAATCAATAAATCAATTAATTAATAAGATATGTTACTTCCTTGAAGATTGGGCTATTTTTCTCAGGTAGTCAGCATATTCTTTCCTTGATGGCAAATCTGTACAAGATGACAATCAGGATGCTTGATGAAAACGGATTCAGAGCTAGATGATGCTAATGCTTGTTCTCATTGAGTTATGATCATTTGATGCAGCTATTTCTCTAAGTGGGTAAACCTGCTGAGTGACCAGTCCACCCCACTCTGTAAGGCAGGGAATACTTTCCCAGGCAGGGTAGGAGAGGTGTCACTGCTCTTCACTCCCACCCCAGACTGCCTGCTCTGCTTCTGTTCCTACAATTTTTCTTAGAAGGGCCTGGTATTTTCATATTTGTGTTCTTGGTAAAATTAATTGCTGTGTTCATCTATTCCATATATAAAACCTTACAGGTTTGTTGCACAGATTACTGACAATGTACATCTCTAATAACATAGTAGGTAAAAATAAGTGATCTGTTATGTGATCATCAGAGTCATGCAGCGGGACGTATTTTCAGGAAGACACAATATCCCAACATAATACAGTTGCCAAGAGAGTATGTGAAGGTGGCAATTCAGAAGGATATCAAATGCCACATACCAGGAACTTTAGAACTCAGAGTTTGAGGAGGTGATTGTCATGAAGGCTGAAGATATAAATAAAGTTGAATCTTATATGTTCTGTTAATGAGATTTTACTTCATCCCAAAAACAATGGGAGCCATTGAAGAACCCTAAGAAGAGTGGGCTAATCAAGTCTTTTTTTTAGAAAAGATGACTAGTCGCCCTTCAGAGATTTAGAAAGGGAAAGATTTGGACAAAGAAATAAAGTTTTGTACCGGCAAGGGTAATGGATATGGAAGATAGAAGGTAAGGCAGCACAATGCGGGTAGATTGGAGGGGAATAGAGCAATGTTAACCTAGAAACTTTAGGACTTAACAACTAACTAGACACAGCAGGAGAGAAAATGTGAGAAGGCCAATATGATGCACAGATATTTAGTTTGGATGACTGTATGAGTCTGTCATCATTTCATAAAATAAGCACATTTGAAGGGGAAAGTAAGGAGTGCGTTTGAAGGGAGAAAGATAATGAGTTAAATTTAAGTCACGTTAAGTTTGAAGCTCCTGTGGGACATATCAGGGAAATATTGAGTTAGAAATTGCATGTGTATGGATTGGGAAACATAAAAGCAATCCAGGCTAGAAATAAAGATTTGGGAGCCAGGAGCATCTACATAATGACTGAAACCATGGAAGCAGATATGTTCCACCTCAGGGAGGTGTAAAGTGGGAAAAGAGAACAGCACATGGGCAAGAACTCAGGGTGAAGGAGTCTGAGCAGGCAGGTCAGCAAATGGCACACCAGGAACATGCAATGTCACTAACACCAAGGAGATTAGAGGGTGAGCAGTCAATGGAGGAGACCATGAAGCCTCATGAAACATAATTAAACACAGAATGGTTCCATATGTTTAACAACATGAGTGGCCTTCATCAAAAAACCTTTAGTAGAGTGGTAGGAATGAAGGCTGGTTTGGAGTGAGTAGAAGTAAGTAAGAGCTAACTACACGGAGACAGAAAGCTTGGCACACAAACCCTCTTCCCCCATGATTCGGTCCTTGTCAAACTTGCTAGCCTTATTTCTCATCATGCTCCATTCAGGCCCTTCCATCCATTCATTAAAAGATACTTGCCATAACACAAACATACCAGACTATTTGCTGAATTTTCTCACAACCTTCTTGCTCCTTCCATCAAGACCAACCTGCCACCCACCCCTTGTGGCTCTCCAGATAGATATGGCCCCTTTTCTCTTTGAGTTCCTACTGCATAATCCATCCTGGATACTAACCCAGGATGTGCTTGATTGTGATTGCAACCTGTACCTCAACCCCTGGAAGCCCCAGACCTATATGAATGTGACAGAGTGCAGAAATGGCAAAAAATTCCTCCCATCCCTGATTCATACCCCTTTGCAAGGTGATTAAGCTGCTTCATCCACCAAAATATGGAGCCTGTTTCTCCAGTGCTGAATCACATCTTGGTCATGTGGCTTAACTGGCCAAATGGAACACTAGCAAACATGACAGAAGCAAGGCGTGGAAAGCACTCATCCCTGACTATGCTAGGGATAAGATCATTGTGTGAACAAGCACAATCTAGCTGGCTAGAGAAAGAGAAGCCACATGGAAAAGAAAAGGATCCCAGCTAATACTGAGAAATTGCCAGCTATGTGAAAAAAGTCATTCTAGACCAGAAGATCTGAGCCAGCCTAGACAAAAAGAACTGACTCATTAGTCCATGGAACAATCATGAGAGATAGAAATGCTTGATTGTTTTAGGCCACTAAATTCTGCAGTGGTTTGTTTCACAGCAAAAGCTGAGAGAGTGGACAAGAAACCACAAGGAAATTGCACTCATTTTGTTAAGATTGTCATTAAAACCCAGTGAGTGAGAGATTTCAGACCTGGTGAGAGTTGTGTCCTTCAAGCTTACACTATTAAAGGTCACATTCTTCAATGGCACTTACTTGCCTAATATTTCAAAAAAAATCTTTTTATCTATAGGATACAATAGAAATAGGGCAGACTCCCAATAAATTCAAAGAAACTGGAGAGAAATGGAAAATGCCAATGCTAAGGATACAATTGCAAGTGACGCATTCAGCCAATAATCTAAGTAGGTGAGTTTGTGCAAAAAGAGCAGCATTTAGTAATAGGAGTTCAAAAGGACAAAGCTGCTCAGAGCTGGGCTAGTAGGAAGAAGCTATAATTCAGAGAAAATACTAAACTTAGAGAATGATAACCATGGCCAGAAACAGAATCACAGATTTGAATATGGAATAAATTTCCTCTTTAAATGCTAGCATTGATGCCTAGTTTATCGTAAACATGCACAGAGATGCATCAGTTTTTTGCCCCATGGGTAATTTGAAACTTGTGAAATTATCAGTGCCCTTAAGTAACATGACTATTATCACATTTTGTATTACAGTGATTTGATATCATTATCAATGCCCGTAAGTAACAAGATCATTATAATTTGGATGTCAAGATGTTTCTGAATAAATAAACTTTATTTTTGGAGTTTATCATTAGATTAAGTCAAATGGTTAAAAATAATGAACATTGCAAATGCTATTCTTAAGGGTTGCTAAATCAAAGAAAAGAAGCTAAAGTTTAAGTGTCTGCTAAACCAAAGAAAAGGAGAATTTTGCTCTTAGATCTTCAAGAAATCTTAGCTCTAAAATTCAGCTAACATTAAATGAATCACTATATCCAAAGATATTCTCAAACAATTGTATTTTTTTAATTTGAAAGCACAACTTGTCTTAAGACATTTCAATTTATTTTTGCCCAAGGGGATCAGAGATACATTTTGGATCAAAACTCACTAGAATTTCAGATGAGTTTACAAATGCTTGTGTCTTAGAGGAAAAGCTATGCTATCCTTTGTGTTTGGCAGGGTAAAACTGCAATTCTGTGGTATAGTCAAATGAAAATTAACCTCCTGAATATACAAGCACTATAACTACCTTATGTAATATAAATACTTGTAATCTTTGGGAAAATGCACGCTATAAATAATTGATAAATACACATGTTGTTGAAACAACAGAGGCATTTAATAGTGTTATCATTCCTCTCTTAAGATTAACTCAACATAACTGAGAGTCTTAATTAAGCAAATATCAAGCATTTATTGAGTACCTTATGTTCATACATTTATTCAACAAATATTTAATGAGTAGTTCCTGTGTTCTAGATACTAATTCTAGATGCTGACCTATGTGATAAATAAGGAGAGCATGGCCACCCGACCTCACAGAATCCAGTGGGGAAATCAGAAAATAAATAATTTAACAAATAGATGAGAAAAAATAAACTTTTGTGGTATATGCAATAAATGAAATACACAGGGTACCATGTTAGGGAGAAAAAGAGAAGTACTGGTTGGCTTAAGGTGATTGCTAGAGGACATGACATTAAAGCTGGGACAAGAAAGGGAAAATAGCCAAGGAACAAACAATAAGCAGGACATGCCCAGGGTCAGAGAGTAGAAAGGCAATGCTTACCATATTTGAAGAAATAAAAGAGCAATGGATCAAGTATAAAGAGCAAAGAAAAGATATAAGAACTTGCAGATACTGTATGCATTGAATGGGTCTTCTAACTCACAACCCTCTTTCTCTACAAAATTCCCTGGTTTGAAAGGCAATGGTTACTTGGCAATGTTATTGAAAACATGGCAAAATTTACTGCAGTGGGTACATGAATGTGTTCACCATGTACTGCTTCACACATCTGTTATCCTTGCCTTTTAAATAACATGTCTTACAAGAGCCCAGACTCTTTTTTCACTTAATAACTAGTGTTTTTAATTGGCCAGAGCATTGATTAGAAGTTGTGTGAAATGATTTTTTGTTCTCACTCAGAGCAGAGAATACACTTGTGTATGTAATTGATCCAAGCCTCTGCAACATTGAACATCTGTCTTATTCAAAATTAATTTCCTGCTAATAACTGTCATTTTACTTATTTCCTCATTGAATATTAGTGCTAGTAATGAGATTCCTTCTAAATGGATATTTGAAAAGCCATAAAGGTTCTTGTTTTGTTTTATTAATTTGTTTGTCTTACTCTAAGGGAGTTACTCGTGACATGCCCATGAGTAGAGAACTACAGAGCAGGATTGAGATGAAACACAGGGAGAAGGTCAAGCTCCTTCACTAATGAGGAGCAGGCTTTGCACACCCCCAAAGTTTGAAGGATCCTTAGTAATATGTAAAATATGGAAATAAAGAATGGCATGCACCTGGGCAAGTGCTATGGTTTTAATATTCCATCCAAAATTCACTGAAATTTAATTTCCAGTGTAACTATGATAAGAGATAAGACCTTTAAGAGGTGATTAGGTCATGAGGACTCTTCCCTCATGAATGGGTTAATGCCATTATCACAGGAGTAAGTTGGTTATCACAGACGTTTGGCCCTTTTTCTCTCTGTCTTGTGTGTTTGTTTGTTCTTCCACTATGTTGTGACACAGCAAGAAGGCCCTCTCCAGATGCAGCCCCTCAGTCTTGGAGCTCCCAGCCTCCAGAACCATGAGTCGAATAAACTTTTCTTTATAAATTTCCCAGTCTGTAGTGTTCTCTCACAGTAGCAGAAAACTAAGACAGATAATTGGTATTGAGAGGTGGATCTGTTGTTCTAACAGATACCAAACAACGCAGAAGTAGCTTTGGAACTGGGTAATGGGTAAAGGCTAGAAGAGTCTGGAGGAGTAGGCTAGAAAAACCCTAGATTGCCATGAACAGAATGTTAAAGGTGATTCTGTTAAGGGCTTAGAAGAAAGAAGAATCTGTAGAAAAGGTATGGAATGTCTTAGATATTAAGCGGTCATGGCCAGAATGTTGATAGAAATATGGACAGTAAAAGCCATTCTCATGAGGTCTCAGACAGAAATGAAGAACAAGTTATTGGAAGCTGGATTAAAGGTCACCCTGTTACACAGTTGCAAAGAACTTGGCTGAATTGTGTTGGTGTCCTAGG
This sequence comes from Homo sapiens, assembly GCF_000001405.40. Lineage (NCBI taxonomy): Eukaryota > Metazoa > Chordata > Mammalia > Primates > Hominidae > Homo > Homo sapiens. The sequence goes on from NC_000008.11 coordinate 51,589,638, forward strand.
ACTTTATGGAATGAAGAACTTAAGGGTGATTAACTAAGATGTCTCATGCGAGAAATATCTAAAGAGCAGAGCACTCAGGTTGCTGCATGGCTACTTCTAACCACATGCATTGAGAAGCTAGAGGAAAAAACTTAAAGATGGAATTTATAATTAAAAGGTAAAAAACAGAAAGATTTGGAAAATTTGCAGGCTGGCCATGTAAAGAGTAAAAAAGCATGTAAAAGAGAGAATACTACAGGTGTGCCCAAGTGACCATTTGCTAAAGAGGTTATCACAGATAGTGATTCAGGTGCTATTCATCAAGTGAACAGGAGAAAGACTTCAAAGGCATTTCAGAGGCCTTCAAGGCTACCCCTTCCCATCGCAGGCCCTGAGCTCTAGAAAAACAGAATAGTTTCAGGGAATGGGCTCAAGATACCTTCCATGGACTTGCTGCTCAGAGCCACATTGGGTCTCTGCTTCCTGTGTTCCAGCACAGTGCATGACTCAGCCAACCCCACCTATAGCCTAAGTGGGTTCCTGCAGTGTGCATGCAGTAAGCCTTGACAGTGTCCACATGGTATAAGTCTCCAGGCTCACAGAATACAAGAGCTGTGGGAGTAGGGCTCCCTTCACCTAGATTTCAAAGGATGTACCAAATAAACTGAGAACCCAAGCAGAAACCTGCCACAGGTAGAGCCTCCACAGAGAGTGCTCACTAGGGCAAAGCCTAGTGGATCCGTGGGATTGGGGCTGCCACTGAGACCCCAGAGCTACAGGGCCACCTATAGCCAGAGTGGAAACTCCGGCCTGGGAAGGTCATAGGCATGAGACTCCAACCCAAGAGAACTGAAGCATGGCTGAGCCCAGCAAAGACATGGGGTCGTGGCCACCTGAGGCTTTGGAGACCCAAATTCCCCATGTCCAGAAGGTGGCAAATGGAGTAAATGATTATTGTGGAAGTCTAAGGTTTAACATTGTTTTCCCTATTAGATTTTGGATTAACTTAGGGCCTCTTGCTCCTTTCTTTTTGCCTATCTCTCCCTTTTGTAATGGGAATGTCTATCACATGCCAGCAACATTGTCGTATTTTGGAAGTAGATATCTTGTTTTTTTTTATTTCACAAGCTTACAGCTGGAGAGGAATTTGCCTCAGGATGAATCACACCTTGAGTCTCACCCATACCAGATTCAGATGAGATTCTGGGCTTTGGACTTTTGAGTTTGTGCTAAAATAAGTCAAGATTTTTGGGGCCACTGAGATGGAATAAATGTATTTTTGTATATAAGAAGGACATGAGTTTTGTGAGGCGAAGAGGCAGAATGCTACAGTTTAAATGTTTGTTTCCTCTAAAACTCATATAGAAATTTAATTGTCACTGTGATGGTATTAAGAGGAGGGACTATTAAGAAGTGATTAGGTCATCAGGGCTCTGCCCTTATAAATGCCATAATGCCATTATCATGGGAGTGGATTAGTGATTGAGGGATTTCAACCCCCCTTTTTCTCCATGTCTGTATGCTCATTTGTCCTTCCATCATGTTAGGATACAACCCCTTGATCTTGGACTTCCCAGCCTCCAGAATGATGAGCCAAATAAACTTTTTTTAAAAAAATTAATTACCTAGTCTGTGGTATTCTGTTACATCAGCAGAAAATTGACTAAGACGGTATGTTAGATTTGTTATGAAAGGTTAGGCGAGCAGATGGAATTGACTAAACTAAGAGGAAACTGAAACTTTAGGACTCAGTAATTAGCAGAGCTGTGGGAGACCTCTATGTTAGGCTGAGGTGTCTCAGCTGAACACAGGAGGCTTTGAGGCTCTTGACCTGGGTTTAACAGGAATTTCAGTGGTTTCGGGAGATACTACAGTTGTATAAATTTGGTCAGAGCTAAAGATTGGAATGGTGTCTTCTCTTTAAGAGAATAATTAACTTTTTAGCAGTATGCTTAATTAATCTGCAGATGAACATATTTGTATAAAAATGTTCATTATCGCCTTAGCATTTTTTTTTTTTGAGACAGAGTCTCACTTTGTTGGCCAGGCTGGAGTGCAGTGGCGCCATCTCGGCTCACTGCAAGCTCCGCCTCCTGGGTTCACGCCATTCTCCTGCCTCAGCCTCCCGAGTAGCTGGGACTACAGGTGCCCACCACCATGCCTGGCTAATTTTTTTGTATTTTTGTAGAGACGGGGTTTCACTGTGTTAACCAGGATGGTCTCCATCTCCTGACCTCGTGATCCGCCCGCCTGGGCCTCCCCAAAGTGCTGGGATTACAGGCGTGAGCCACCGTGCCCGGCCCATTATTGCCTTAACATTTTTTTAAAAAGAAAGTTGTAGCACTCACTCTAGCTGAGATAAAAGCCCTTGTAGTTTGTTTCTTCAGCCTCCAACATAACCATATCCAATCATGACCTCCCAACATTCAAATTACCAAACACCAATGTTTCTGAGTCAAACAGGCAGTTGTTTAAAATATCTTTATTCCCATTTACCAATAATACACAAAAACCATGACAATTGTCAGTGATCATATTTGTGACCTAATTTTTCAGAAATTTGGTCCTTACCCAAGTTTATTAAAGTTCCTAACTAACTGTAATGTGTTCACTGGCTTTGGAAGGTCTTGGATAGATACTCTGTTGGCATAAAGCTCCTTTAGCCAACAACAAAAAAACCCTTTTCTGTGTGTATGGAATTTTTTTAAATTACTGAGTAATTAAATTTGAATGTGAAATATTGGAAAACTGTTTTGTTTTTATTTTTCTCCAATTTAGAACTTGTGGCAGGAGAAATGTGCATAAATATTTGAATATTTTCAGATGCACAATCTATTGAAAGCAATAATTTATTGCACTTAAGACATGTTCATATGTGAGTTTTATATAAAGGTTGAAACTGCTTTTCACGAAGGTAAAGAATTATTTTAATTTAAAGTAAACACACACAAAAAAGGCAAAAATAGTCAAACAACACCATAAGGCATTGTTGTTTTTTCTTATAACTTACAGATATAGCAAATTTTCAAGTCCTTCAAAAGCATTTCTGGAAATCTTTCTGATGTGGTTGTTGTTCAGCAGACTGAAAAAGCAAAAACAAACAAATAATTCCCAAATGAGAAACAGACTCTGCAAACATTAAAATAGTTCTGCTAAGTATAGTGCTTTACACAACAGAAAAATATTTACTGACATGGTTCACTAAATTTGGAAATTTATACTTTAATTCCCTATTCAAAAAAGTGATATAAAACATTAATTTGTCACAAAGACTTTAAAATAATTTATATTCATTAAATTACCCTAAAACACTCCTAAAACAACACTGCAACCCAGAGGTAAAATTCTTGTTCTCCTGAAGCATACCATCTAAAAAGAAAATTATCAACATAGTCATGGTAACAAAGGAACATATTCCTAAACAGATGGAGAGTATTGAACACTCAGGCTTAAGCATCTTCCTTGGAAAAATAAATATCACAGATATTGACACACAGTAGACTTTCATTGTGTATTTGTTAAACTGTCAAACCAAGAGTCAATTACACCATAGGAAGTGAGGCTCTTATTATAGTAGTATCCAGTGGTCCAAAAACGATTTCTAAAAAATCCAGGGAGAAAAATAATAGGTGGCAGAAATAAATCGAATTTGAACCGTAAAACAAGTTACTGAAAAATCAACTTGCAGTAACCTTGAAAGCTTCAGTAAAAGCACCCTGGCAAATGAAAATTATAAATTTTTTTCTAGTAAAAACACTTAAAATTTCTTTCAAATTTAAATTATTATGGCATGTCTAAATATAGAGGGAAAGTCTGCTAATTAGATTGGCACACATGTTCCTGAATATTCTATGTCTAAAACCCTCAAAGCTTTTAAAAATCTACTGCCGAAGTCCAATGCTGGAGGATTCACTTTTAGCATATTACAAAATATTTGTTTTGTGGGGTTTTTGTATGAATGATTAGGAAAACAGAAGTGTTTTGGCCACTGGAGCAGGTGATTATTTCAGTTATTATGCACAATTTCACAGGCAGCCTAGAGATCCCCAAGCTCATCTGTTCCTAACTGATTCACTGTAGGCCTCACTGTTAAATTCCCCAAACAGCATCTGAAGTGGCTGACACCTCACCTATGGCACCAGAGCCATTTCTCACCATTTGTGACTGCCTGGTGTCCTGGCCATTGGGAGGCAGAACAACCAATCTACAGCTTGCATTGGAGGTGATGCCATACAGAGATAATGTCAATTTTCATGGATAATTCTAAGCTTCAGTCAATGAGCCATTCAACTTTATAGTCCACCATGTGTTCAAGGAATTTTTAAACAGGCTGAAAGCAATATAACTAGTTAATGTGTAATTAATACCAGACACAAACCTTGTCCTGGGAGAATTTGCTGTTTAGGCACTCTCCCATTCTATTGTTCAAAATCAATTAATGCACTTCTGTTAGTTTCCCAAACCACCACCATGCAAATATATTTACTTGAAGAAATGACTATTCTGTCCACCTTAGTCTATTAAATACAACATGCACCAATGCATGTAGAATAAACTATACGTGTGTATACATACATATGTGCATGTGTGTATGTAATTTGCATGTCTGCTATGATGCATGTGTATGTGTGGTATGTGACACATGTATATAGTCTCAACCTCATATTAATCACAGATCACAAAAAACAATTTGAGTGACTATTTTCTTAAATCTTCCAACGGTGGTGCCTAGGAGAGAGAAATTGACTCATTTCATACAAAAGGTGTCTTTGGGCATTAGTGTTAATTATCTTTCAAAGCCACAATTAGAAACGGAAAAGATATTACATACCATAATTAGTCTTTCTTCAGTATATTAAATGTGCTTGAAGCCTAGGTTTCTGCATATTCTTTTAGAGTTATTTAAATTTTAACAAAAATGAAACATAAGATTTCAAAAAAATTACACTGAAATTATGATGTGCATAACCTAAAGTATGAGATCAAACAATTTAACTTGTTTTCTTGAGAATTTTTTTATTGCTGACAAGAAATCAACTCATTAAAATGGTTCACAGTTGAATGTATTTTCCAATCACAAGTACATATTTCTTGTCAAGTTTTATTCAAAGCATTATGGTTTCCATCAAAATATCTTTATTATAATTTTAATGGTTGGAACCTTACCCAAGTAATGTTTTGGTTAAGTGGTTATAGAAACGGTCATTTATGTTATGTTGTTTTATTATTCAGAAAGAAAATGCATTCAAAATGTATGAGTGGGTCTGCTAAAATTCAGGGCGTAAAACAATACCTAACATTATTTCATCAAAACTCAGCACAAGCATAGGGAAATTTGTGGCTGTACCCTATATCCTCATGATGCCCATGATGCCAAAGGAACAAAACAAAACAAAAAAGAAGCGAACAAAACAAAACAAAAAAGAGGCAAGCAAAACTCTCAAGAAGAAAATGTAAAAATGTTACAGTTTTTATTGAGAAAATAAAACAATTTCTGAAAACAGGATATCTGAATATACTGATGATCAAACTTTTGGGGTAAAAGAGGAACCAGCAATATGGACCAATGGCCCAGTTTATTAGCTGTTTTTTGCTGAAACACAAAGCCTTACCCAGAGTATGCCCATATACACTTGCATATTTACTAGTATAGAAATGTATACTGTGTGGTTGGAAATATTTTATTAAAAACCAATAAATGACTGCTAGAAAAGATTAAGGCTATTTGCATAGTCATCAATTCATCAAAGTGTAAAATAAAAAATAAAAATAATAAAATTTATAAAGAAAAATAGAACTCTCTCCCACCTCACATAAAATTTCTACTAGGATAATGCCAAGATTTACTCCACAAGTGAATCATTATCTCTACATTTAAATGCAAATAATATATTTTTTGTAAGGGGCAATCATGTTGGTCTGTTCCTGCTTGTTATGGTTATGCTTATTTTCATTTGGATACTCCAGAAATATGGTTCTGCTACTGTTAACATGAAAGGGTTGTGAACTTCATTTCTGTGCGTACCAAAGTAAACATAGTATGAAACTTTCAGTGAGCATAAACCATTATTCTGGAGTGATTTGCATAGTCACCAAGCAAGAGATTCATGGCAAAAGTCACTTATAGCTACCCTTGATAATCTGTCACAGCCACAGAAAAATATTTATGTGATCATAAACAACGCATAAATCATTTGCAGTTCAAAACTGTAGGAAAAAAAAAGAGGAAAATGAGCAAGGAAAGGAAGTCATCAGGCTGATTTAAAGAATATAAATTTATTATTTTTACCAACTTTTATTTTAGATTCAGGGGGCACATGTGCAGATATGTTACCTCGGTATATTGCATGATTCTGAGGTTTGGGGTATGGATAATCCCATCACCCCGGTACTGAGAATAGTACCAAATAGTTTTCCAGCCCTTGCCACCCTCCCTTCCTCTCCACTCTAGTAATCCCCAGTGTCTATTGTTGCCCTCATTATGTCCGAGTATCCAGTGTTTAGCTCCCACCTATAAGTGAAAACCTGTAGTATTTGTTTTTTTGGTTCATGCATTAATTCACTTAGGATAATGACTTCCAGATGCATCCATGTTGTTGCAAGGAACATGATTTCATTCTTCTTATGGCTGCATAGTATTCCATGGTGTATATGGACCACATTTTCCTTATCCAGTCTACCACTGATGAACACCTGTGTTGATTCCATGATTTTGCTATTATGTAGAGAGCTGTGATTAACATATGAGCATATGTGTCTTTTTGGTAGAACGATATGTTTTCTTTTGGATATATACCCAGTAATAGGATTGCTGGGTCAACTGGTAGTTCTGTTTTAAATTCTTTGAGCAATCTCCAACCTGCTTTCCACAGTGGCTGAACTAATTTACTTTCCCATCAACACTGTATAAGCATTCCCTTTTCTCCACAGCCTCAACCACAGCTGTTGCTGTTTTTTACTTTTTAATAATAGCCATTCTGACTATTATTATAGAGGTAGTATCTTATTGTGGTTTTGATTTGCTTTCATCTGATGATTCGTGATGATGAGCATTTTATCATACATTTGTTGGCCACATGTATGCCTTCTTTTCAGATGTCTCTGTTCATGTCCTTTGCCCATTTTTATTGAGGTTATTTGTTTTTTGCTTGTTCAATTGTTTAAGTTCCTTAAAGATCCTAGATAGTAGACCTTTATCGGATGCACAGTTTGTAGATATTTTCTCCCATTCTGTAGGTTGTCTGTTTACTCTGTTTTTAGTTTATTTTGCTGTGCAGAAGCTCTTTATTTTTATTAGGGCCCACTTGTTGATTTTTGTTTTCTTTGCATTTGCTTTTGAGGACGTAGTCAAAAATGTTCTCCCAATGCCCATGCCCAGATGGTATTTCGTAGGTTTTCTTCTAGAATTCTTAGAGTCTGACGTCTTAGATTCAAATATTTAATCCATCTTGAGTTAATGTTTGTACACAGTGAAAGGTAGGGGTCAAGTTTCATTCTTCTACATATGGCTAGCCAGCTATTCTAGCACCATTTATTGAATAGGGAGTTTTTCCCCATTGCTTGTTTATGTCGACTTCATCAAAGATTAAATGATTGTAGGTGTGTGGCCCTATTTCAAGTCTCTGTATTCTGTTCCAGTGGTCTATGTGTCTGTTTTTGTACCAGTACAATGCTGTCTTGGTTACTGTGGCCTTCTAATATAGTTTGAAGTTGGGTAATGTGATGCCTCTGGCTTTGTTCTTTTTTTAAGATTGCTTTGGTTTTTGGAGGTATTTAGGGTTTCATATAAATTTTAGAATAGTTTTTTTCCAATTCTGTGAAAAACTACACTGGTACTTTGCTAGGCATAGCATTGAATCTATAGGTCACTTTGAGCAGAATGTCCATTTTAGCGGATATTGATTCTTCCAATCCATGAGCATGGAATATTTTTCCATTTGCTTGTGTCATCTGTGATTTCTTTTAGCAGTTTTTTTTGTTTTGTTTTCCTTGTAGAGGTCTTTCACTTCCTTTGTTAGATATATCTCTAAGTATTTGTGTGTGTGTGTGTGTGTGTTTATGTGTGTGTATGTGTCTACTGTAAATAGGATTGCATTTTTTTTCTTTTTTTTTTTTGAGATGGAGTTTCACTCTTGTTGCCCAGGCTGGAGTACAATGGTGCGATCATAGCTCACCGCAACCTCCGCCTCCTGGGTTCAAGCAATTCTCCTGCCTCAGCCTCCCGAGTAGCTGGGATTACAGGCATGTGCCACCATGCCTGGCTAATTTTGTATTTCTAGCAGAGAAGGGATTTCTCCATGTTGGTCAGGATGGTCTCAAACTCCCAACCTCAGGTGATCCATCTGCCTTGGCCTCCCAAAGTACTGGGATTACAGGCATGAGCCACTGCGTCTGGCCTAGGATTGCACTCTTAATTTGGCTATCAGCTTGAAGGTAATTTATGTATAAAAATGCTACTACTACTTTTTGTATGTTTATTTTGTATCCTGAACTTTGTTATCAGTTCCAGAAGGTTTATGGTGGAATTTTTAGAATTTTAAGGCATAAAATCATATTGTCCACAAAGAGAGGTAGTTTGACTTTTTTTCCTATTTTGATGCCTTTTATTTCTTTTTCTTGCCTGATTGCTTTTGCTAGCACTTTTAGTAGTATTTTGAATAGGAATGATGGGTGTTGGCTTCCTTGTCTTATTCCAGTTCTCAAAGGGAATGCTTCCAATTTTTGCCTGTTCAGTATGATGTTGGCTGTGGGCTTATCATAGATGGCTTATTATTTTGAAGTAGATTCCTTTAATGCCTTGTTTCTTGAGAGTTTTCATTATGAAGGGACGTTGAATTTCATCAAAAGCTCTTTCTGCATTTATTAAGATTATCATATGGTTTTTCTTTTTTAATTCTGCTTATGTGGTGAATCACATTCTCACATTTATTGATTTTCATATGCTGAACCAATCTTGAATCCCAGAAATGAAGCATATGTGATCATGGTGAACTAATTTTTTGATGTGCTGCTGGATTCAGTTTGCTAGTATTTTGTTGAGGAATTTTATATCTATGTTCATCAGGGATATTGGCCTGTAGTTTCATTTTTTATTGTATCTTTGCTAGATGTGCGTATCTAGGTGATGCTGGCTTCAGAGAATGAGTTATGGAAAGGTGCCTCCTCGATTTTCTAACATAGGTTTGAGCAGAATTCATGTCAACTCTTTTCTGTACATCTGGTAGCATTCGGCTGTGAATCCATTTGGTACAAGGCTTATTTTGGTTGACAGGTTTTTATTACTGATTCAATTTTGGAAGTTGATATTGGCCCATCCAGTATTTCAATTTTTTCCTGATTCAATCTTGGGAGATGTGTGCTTACAGGAATTTATCAATTTCCTCTAGATTTTCTAGTTTGTGTATATAGAGGTGTTCATAACAGTCTCTGAGGATCTTTTGTATATCTGTAGGATTGGTTGTAATATCTCCTTTGTTATTTCTCATTGTGCTAATTTGGATCTTCTCTTTTTCTCTTTGTTAATCTAGCTAGTGGTCTATCCATCTTGTTTGCCTTTTTGAACAACCAACTTTTGGTTTTGTTGATTCTTTGTATGGATTTTGGGTCTCAGTTTTATTCATTTCTGCTTTGATTTTATTTACTTCTTTTCTCCTGCTAGTTCTAGGGTTAGTTTGTTCTTGTTTTTCTCATTTTTCCAGGTGTGATATCAGATTGTTAATTTGAGATCTTCCTAATTTTTTGAGGTAGGCATTTATTGCTCTCAACTTTCCTCTTAACATTGCTTTTGTTTTGATATGTTATGTATCTGTTTTTATTTATTTCCAATAATTTTTTGATTTCTGATTCATTGTTTACCCAAAAGTCATTCAGAAACAAGTTGTTTAATTTCCATGTAAGGGTGAGGTTTTGAGAAATGAAATTGATATATATTTTTATTCCACTGTGGCCCAAGGGTATGAGTTGCTATTCTTATATCAAGATATAATAAATTATATCTTATATAAATTATCTTATATAAATGATATCATTTATATAATAAATTATATCTTATATAAATGATATCATTTATATAATAAATTATATCTTATATAAATGATGTCATTTATATAATAAATTATATCTTATATAAATGATATCGTTTATATAATAAATTATATCTTATATAAATGATATCGTTTAGATAATAAATTATACCTTATATAAATGACATCGTTTAGATAATAAATTATACCTTATATAAATGACATCGTTTAGATAATAAATTATACCTTATATAAATGACATCGTTTAGATAATAAATTATACCTTATATAAATGACATCGTTTAGATAATAAATTATACCTTATATAAATGACATCGTTTAGATAATAAATTATACCTTATATAAATGACATCGTTTAGATAATAAATTATACCTTATATAAATGACATCGTTTAGATAATAAATTATACCTTATATAAATGACATCGTTTAGATAATAAATTATATCATATAAATTATATCGTTTAGATAATAAATTATACCTTATATAAATTATATCGTTTAGATAATAAATTATACCTTATATAAATTATATCGTTTAGATAATAAATTATATCTCATATAAATTATATCGTTTAGATAATAAATTATATCTCATATAAATTATATCGTTTAGATAATAAATTATATCTTATATAAATTATATGGTTTAGATAATAAATTATATCTTATATAAATTATATCGTTTAGATAATAAATTATATCTTGTATAAATTATATCGTTTAGATAATAAATTATATCTTATATAAATTATATCGTTTAGATAATAAATTATATCTTATATAAATTATATGGTTTAGATAATAAATTATATCTTATATAAATTATATCGTTTAGATAATAAATTATATCTTATATAAATTATATCATTTAGATAATAAATTATATCTTATATAAATTATATCGTTTAGATAATAAATTATATCTTATATAAATTATATCGTTTAGATAATAAATTATATCTTATATAAATTATATAGTTAGATAATAAATTATATCTTATATAAATTATATAATTTATATGATAAATTACATCTTATATAAATTATATAGTTTAGATGATAAATTATATCTTATATAAATTATATAGTTTAGATAATAAATTACATCTTATATAAATTATATAGTTTTGATAATAAATTATATCTTATATAAATTATATGGTTTAGATAATAAATTACATCTTATATAAATTATATAGTTTAGATAATAAATTACATCTTATATAAATTATATAGTTTAGATAATTACATCTTATATAAATTATATAATTTATATAATAAATTATATCTTCTATAAATTATATAATTTATATAATTAATTATATCTTATATAAATTATATAGTTTAGATAATAAATTACATCTTATATAAATTATATCTTATAAATATATTATATCTTATATCAAGATATAATAAAGTTATATCTTGGTATAATTTTGATTCTTTTAAAATTTATTGATACTTGCTTTATGGCCAAGCATATGGTCAATCTTGGAGTATGCTCCATGTGCAGGTGAGAGAATATATATTCTGTGGTTGATCCATGGAGTATTCCGTAATGTTTATTAGGTTTAACTGGCCAAGGGTTGTGTTTAAGTCTATAGTTTTGTTTTGTTAATTTTCTGCCTTGATGCTCTGTCCAATGTTGTCGTTGGGGTGTTGAAGTTCATGAATATTACTGTGTGGCTGTCTAAGTCATTGCAGATCCAGAAATACTTTTTTTATAAGTCTGGGTGCTCCATTGTTGGGTGTGCATATATTTAGGATAGTTAAGTCTTCTTGTTGAAGTGAACCCTTGGTCATTATGTAATGCCCTTCTTTGTCTTCATTTTACTGTTGTTGATTTAATCTCTGTTTTATCTGATATAAGAATAGCAACTCCTGCTTTTTTTTCCATTTGCATGGCAGATTTTTCACTAACCCTCTGCTTTGAGCCTATCGGTGTCATCATGTCTGAGTTGAATCTCTTGAAGACAGTAAATAGATGGGTCTTCTTTTTTTATCCAACTTGCCACTCTGTGCCTTTAAAGTAGGGCATTTAGAACGTGTACATTCAAGGTTAATATTCATATGTAAGAGTTTGACCCTATTACAAAGTTGTTAGCTATTTGCTTTGTAGTAGTTTCTATTGTGGGTTTTTTTTTTAATGTAGGGTCTGTAGGCTATGCACTTAAATGTGTTTTATGGTAGTAGGTATCATTCTTTTGTTTCCATGTTTAGAACTTCATTAAGAATCTCATGTAAGGCTGGTCTAGTGGTGACAAGTTCCCTTAGCACTTGCTTGTCTGGAAAAGATTTTATTTCTCCTTCATTTATGAAGCTTATTTTGGTGGGATATGAAATTCTTGGTTGGAATCTCTTTTCTTTAAGAATGATGAAAATAGGCCCCCAAACTCTCCTCACTTGCAAGGCCGTTAGCCTGATGGGCTTCCCTTTGTATGTGATTTTTTTTTTCTTGAGCATTGATTTTGGACAGTCTGGTGACTATACGCCTTGGTGATGTTTGTTTTGTGTAGTATCTCACAGGTGTGCTCTAGATTTTTTGTATCTAGATGTCTACATCTCCAACTAGATTAAGGAAGTTTTCTTGAATTATTCCAAGTACATTTTCCATGTTGTTTGCTTTTTCTCCTTCTCTCTCAGGAATACCAATAATTCATAGGTTATTTTGCTTTACATAATCCCATATTTCTTAAAGACTTCGCTTATTTAAACATTTTCTTCCTTTTTTTTAAATCAGATTATGTTAATTCAAAAGACCAGTCTTCAAGCTCTGAAATTCTTTTATCTGCTTAGTCCACATAAATTTATTATTAAGTGAATTTGGTAACTTTTTTCTTCATGCATATTTCTCAAAAAAAGCAGATTTACATGTTAAATATAGGAGTGACAAATTCTAAGACTTCAAAATTCAAATGTTATTTGAAACAAATGTTATTTGAAAGAAAGATCTAGTTATTCTCAAAATTTATGTTAAGAACCATGTGTTTCTTTTGATGGACATTAACTTAAAAAATCCTTTGTCTCATATTTTCACTTTGTTTTGTATCTTTTCTTTATCAACTTATTAAAAACCCTTTGTAAGCAAAAAATTAAACGTTTGTTTATGTTTTACAATTATTTTTTCAAAGTTTATGTAATTTCTACTTTTAGCTTTCTTTATTGTTTTTATTATACAGATGTTTTAAATTTTTATATAATAACATTTATTGTTTTTTTTCTTTATGGCTTTGGATTTTGTATCATACTTAGGCTTTCCTGAATCTAAGATTACATTAAAATCCCAATATTTTTCTTAAGCTTTGTAGTTTCATTTTAATGCTTTAATCTCTGAATCATCTTGAATTAATATTTTTTCCAAATTATTTACATATTATCATTACTATTGATTGATATATTTATAGTTTCCCCTGTGATATGCAATATTAATGTAATTATATGCAAATCTCCAACATGTATCTGGTTCCCTTTCTAGACATACTGCAATGGAAATATTTCCAATATCATTGTTTTTTAATATTTTACTCTTTATATAGGATAGTTTCTACCCCTCTTTTTTATTATTTTAATGATTAATTTTAAAGATTTTTTTCTGGGTAAATTTTAGGAACATCCGTCAAGCTTCAAAAATTTCCTTTGCATATTTTGACTAATATTCAAATTTTACCATATCGACTTTACCTATCTAACAACATCATTCATTTTTCTGCTTATCTAAACCATCTTTTTAATCTTAGTATGTTTTTGAAGTAGTCACCTTGTGTGTGCTATGTAGTTCTTAATGAGTCTATTGATACTTCTTATATCTTCCAGTTTGCTAAGTTGGATATTTTCTTTCATCATATTTTGTAACAGATGACTTTTTGAATATAGGATATTGATTTTTTCTTATCAGTTGTTACTATACTTCCTTATTATATTTCCTTATTGTTTTTAACCATTTCTAAGGTGAATGTGGGTTGCACTATATAAGCATATCCTGTAATGACCATGATTTTTTACTTTCTCTTTTCCATAATTATAATTTATTTCTATCCCAGACCTAATAATAGTAGATAATATGTCTTTAAAATTAGCTTTGAAATAATGATGATAATGGACATTCTTTTAGAGTTTTGCCCTTAATAATTATGATAGTTTCAGACTAGTCAGGTTGGAAGAGAAAAAATTGTAAAGAAAATATTTACCAGGCAACTCTGTTGCTAAATCAGGAAACAGGGCAGTGACAAAGTAGTGTCACTGTGCTCATGCTTTCTCTTACCACAAGTAATTACTATCATAAGCAGTACTAAAGATATGGCTTTTTTTTGGATCTATACCAAAACCAAAGAAGTAGTACATTTTTCATAATACTGTCAACATATTATAATTGCTTTAAGAAACCTTCCTCCAAAATTATAATAAAATTAGTTTGTTAAATTATTCAATTCCTAAAATCCATTACTAATACTAGAAATACCATTTGACCCAGCCATCCCATTACTGGGTATATACCCAAAGGATTATAAATCATGCTGCTATAAAGACACATGCACACATATGTTTATTGTGGCACTATTCACAATAGCAAAGACTTGGAACCAACCCAAATGTCCAACAACAATAGACTGGATTAAGAAAATGTGGCACATGTACACCATGGAATACTATGCAGCCATAAAAAATGATGAGTTCATGTCCTTTGTAGGGACATGGATGAAACTGGAAACCATCATTCTCAGCAAACTATCGCAAGGACAAAAAACCAAACACTGCATGTTCTCACTCATAGGTGGGAATTGAACAATGAGAACACATGGACACAGGAAGGGGAACATCACACACTGGGAACTGTTGTGGGGTGGAGGGAGTGGGGAGGGATAGCATTAGGAGATATACCCAATGCTAAATGACGAGTTAATGGGTGCAGCACACCAACATGGCACATGTATATATATGTAACAAACCTGCACGTTGTGCACATGTACCCTAAAACTTAAAGTATAATAATAATAAAAAAAATACTTAAACATTTGCCCATAAATTTAGGCTTCTAAACAGTTTTAGGTCTTTCTGTTATTTTCAGACATTATTAATTTCAAGACTTTTTACCATCCTGTATCTGGATACACAATACATCTCTATATACATCCAAACACACATGCAACTGCTATTGTGTCATCTTCTGACACACAGAGCAAATATCTCGTCAGAGTTTGTATAGTATTAGGAATATACATCATCACATGACTTCCATTTTAGTAGAACTATAATGCTACCATGTATCACATAAGTAATCCATGACAATTATATAAAAGTTAGAAAATACACATTTGCCCAAGTAAAACTAAAAGAAACAAAACTATTCAGAAATACCAAGTTAATTTTGGTAAATATCTTCTAAGTTTTAGAATTACTCAATATTTATAAATTGCCCGCGATCAGCAGCTAGTAATTTTGTATTTTCTTATATTATTGCCTTGTACCATATAAAATATAAATATTATTCTAGGACATATTTATGATAGATATAATGACATATACTAAGTGAAAAGCAATAATTTTCTCTCATATGGACATATAGGTCTCAAGATTAAATAATTTTGAATGAGTCAAGATGAGAAACTATCAATTTGATAAAGTAATTTTAAAGAATTGCTGAAATATAAAAGAGGTCAGATTGGTTACTATTTTCCAAGGCTTCCTGGTCTTTCTTCCAGGTTTGGCGATATGACTATTTGTTGCCAGTGGGTTATGGTCATATGCTTTATGTAATTTTAAAAGAAAAAAAGAAAGAATCTGAATTCAAAAATATGAAATGCATACAGATATAGTCATTATTAAAATTATTAATATAAATATTCATTATTAAAAAGAAAATCACAAGGCTATGTTTAATATCAATTTGCTAAATACATTTTAAAATCTAAGATCGAAGATGAGGCTCTTAAATGTATGAGTTTAATAATGAATCATTTGATTTCCTAAATGTAGAATAAAAGAAAAATTATAGTTAGATGTTGTTGGATTTGAATGTGTCCCCCAAAAGTTCATGTGTTGGAAACTTAATCCCTCTGTTCTCATGAATAAATTAATGGATTAATGAGGGCCCTGCCCTCATGAATGAGTTAATGTTGCTATCAAAGGTGTGGGTTTGTTATCTCCCTCATGAATGAATGAATGTTGCTATCACAGGAGTGGGTTCATTATCTCCAGAGTGGCTTTGTTATAAAAATGAGCTGTCTGATTCTCTTGCTCTTGCCCTCTCACCATGTAATGCCCCCTATCACATTACGAGGCAGCAAGAAAGCCCTCACGAGATGCTAGTGCCATGCACTCGGACTTCTCAGCCTCCATAACTGTAAGAAATTAATTTATTTTATTCATATATTATCTTGTTATAGCAACATAAAATAGACTAAGACAGATCTCTTTTTAAAAAAAGAAAAGATGCCAGATTCTATGAGATTGTGAATTGTGATAAGATTAACTTTCAGCAAACGAAGAAAATCTCCTGTTGTTAAATTACTCATATACGTGCCATGAGAGGCTGAAGTGACATTGCCATGGAGTATCACAGAGTTTTAGACATAAAGAGATCTCAAAAGTTATTTAACTTTGAATTTTTTGTCTGTTTTGGCTTTTATGATAACAAAACTAATGAAACATGATTTTATCTCTCATCGTAGCATATTTTTAGGGAATGGGTCTATTTGTGCCCGCCAGCAGTGGATCCTTCATGTTCCCCTGGGAATGCAGAACATAGGACACTTTCTGTTTGTGGTTCTTGTATAGCTCATTGTAAAAGGCAAAATACAATTAACCTTTAGGTATATGCATTTGCCACAAGTAGAAATAATACTCTAACTATAAAGTTCTTTAACCAAACTTTTAAAAGCAGAGTTTTAAAGAAGTTCAAACTAGCCTTTAACATCTAGAACTGTGCTGCCCAACTGAAATATAATCTGAGCCACAAATGCAAGTCACATATGTGATTTCTAATTTTCTAGTAGCCACATTTTAAAAAAGTAAAAACAACTGGGTAAAATTGATTTTTATGATATATCTTTATCTAATTCAATGTATTGAAATGATTATCATTCTAATGTATAACCAATATAAAAATTATAAATAAGATATTTTATATTATTATTTTCACATGTCTTTGCAATCTGAATGTCTTTCACACATACAACACATAGCAACTTGGACTAACTACATATCAAGTGCTCAACAGGCACCCACCTGTGGCTCATACATGTGGTTACCATATTGGACAGCATAGTTCTTTTGCTCACTGTCAACAGTCTCCTACAAAATCTTTCCTCTCTAAAAATGCCCTATAACCCAGGAAGAACTCACATCACCATCACCTCTTCATGCAAAGTAAAACTTATGTGTTTGGGATTTTTTTTCTGATACAATAATGTACTTAAATATATTGTGGAATATAATTTACTTGATCCACATCTTTAACTGAACACTTTAGAAACCAATATTTATTGATTCTCAGGCTCCATGATCCCACAGACTGATCTGTATAGCAGTGGACATAGGAAATGGGGAGGGACACAGTTAGAAGCACTTTCCTAAACCCTTCAGATGATTGTCCATATGCAGCTCACAGATCTCCACCTGCCAAACATCACATGCCACTTTTGAGAGTTAATTGGCACTAATAGAAGTAATTACTATGATCTCATTTCTTTCTTCCAGAGCCTTCAATCCCTGATGTTCATAACAAAGGAGGCACGAAGCCCAGTTATTTTTGGCTCTTGGGCTGGTTGTGGTCATCATACCTTAACCAATTTTCTACCCCCACTGCCAATAAGTGCTGGGGCTGCTAACTGCAATTGTTGGGAACCCACTCCTCCTCTACCCACCAATACTGCTTGGCACTGTAAGAAAGCAGAGAGGGGCCGGGCACAGTGGCTCATGCCTGTAATCCCAGCACTTTGGGAGGCCGAGGTGGGTGGATCACCTGAGGTCAGGAGTTCGAGACAAGCCTGGCCAACATGGCAAAACCCCATCTCTACTAAAAATACAAAATTAGCCAGGCACGGTGGTGCATGCCTGTAGTCCCACCTACTTGGGAGGCTGAGGCAAGAGAATTGCTTAAGCCCAGGAAGCAGAGGCTGCAGTGAGCTGAGATGGCACCACTGCACTCCAATTTGAGCAACAGAGTGAGACTCCATCTCAAAAAAAAGGAAGAGAGGAAGGAAGGAAGGAAGGAAGGAAGGAAGGAAGGAAGGAAGGTGGGGAGGGAGGGAGGGAAGGAAGGAAGGAAAGAAAGAAAGAGAGAGAAAGAAGAAAGAAATAAAGAGAAAGAAAGGAAGGAAGGAAGAGAGAGAGGAAGGAAGGAAGAAAGAAAGAAAGAAAGAAAGAAAGAAAGAAAGAAAGAAAGAAAGAAAGAAAGCAAGCAAGCAAGCAAGCAAGCAAGCAAGCAAGCAAGCAAGCAAGCAAGCAAGCCGGGCACGGTCGCTCACGCCTGTAATCCCAGCACTTTGGGAGGCCGAGGTGGGCAGATCATGAGGTCAGGAGATCAAGACCATCCTGGCTAACATGGTGAAACCCCGTCTCTACTAAAAATACAAAAAATTAGCCAGGCGTGGTGGCGGGTGCCTGTAATCCCAGCTACTGTAGAGGCTGAGGCAGGAGAATGGCGTGAACCCGGGAGGCGGAGTTTGCAGTGAGCCGAGATTGCACCACTGCACTCCAGCCTCAGCGACAGGGAGAGACTCCGTCAAAAAAAAAAAAAAAAAGAAAGAAAGGAAGGAAGGAAGAAAGAAAGGGGCCCAAAGTCATGATGTCATCAGGCTCATCTCAGGACAACTCTTTCATTGACTTCCAGGTTTCGTTTTTATTACAAAGCCACAAAGCATTAATAGGACAAAGGTAAAGAGAAAGTATTGCAGGCCGGGCGCGGTGGCTCACGCCTGTAATCCCAGCACTTTGGGAGGCCAAGGCGGGCAGATCACGAGGTCAGGAGATCCAGACCATCCTGGCTAACACGGTGAAACCCCGTCTTTACTAAAAATACAAAAAATTAGCCGGGCGTGGTGGTGGGTGCCTGTAGTCCCAGCTGCTCGGGAGGCTGAGGCAGGAGAATGGCGTGAACCCGGGAGGCGGAGCTTGCAGTGAGCCGAGATTGCGCCACTGCACTCCAGCCTAGGTGACAGAGCAAGACTCTGTCTCAAAAAAAAAAAAAAAAAAAAAAAGAAAGTATTGCATTGAGTGAAGCCTAAGGAAAAGCATATGTTTTCTCTGAATGTAATTTTATGTATAACTCTTGAATATGAAAATACTCAAATTGACGAGGTGCTCTTTCAAGTCACTTATCCCAGTCCTCTCCCAACTCTATCAGGATTAAGTGGAAAATTCTAGAGATTTCACTGTTAGCAACTCCTTGTTCTCACAAAGGCATCTTTAAGGATTTACAGTTCTCTAAGGATGAATGACAACCTTGAAAGAGAGACTCCAATGCACTGCAAGGAGCAGTATTTAATAACTCAAGGTCATGTGTTCTAATTCTCAATAAATCTTCTTGATTACTTACTATTTTGGAGTTTGACTTTTCCCATCTGTAAAAAAGAAAAAGTAATAACAACTGATATCACACAGTTGATTAAAATATTGTACATAAGAATAAAAAACTAGAAAAAATTCAAGTGGTAATTTATAGAGTATGAGGACTCCAGTGGGGGCAGGTGGTAATGGACTACCTGGAAATATGGGATTGTCCTTGGGAGGACACATCAGGAAGTGTCCTCTATCCCGGGGTCCTTGACCCCTGTGCTCTTGACCTTTGGGGCCACATAATTCCATGTTGGGAGGGGTGATGTCCTGTGATTGTAGTGTGATTAACAGGGTAAATTCAGAAGTGGGAACCAGGTAGTTAAAGTGAATTAAGCCAAAATGGGTCAACATGGTGATAGAGATGAATAGAGTTGGTAGGAAATAGGAAACAAAGGTGAAACACACATAGATGGACAAATGCAGGTGGAAGGATAAATCCAAGAACAAGAATAACATGGGAAGAAATGGGAAATCTCAGGAAGAGTTAAAGGGAAAATAGCAGCGAGAGTTGTGAAAGCAGAAGAAATTATTCTGGAGGGCTGCTTACTGCTTGAAATGCCTTTTGTTTCCACTCGTTCTTCACAGGATTTGGGGAAGCTCTCAACATTTTAAATGTACGTAGAGAAGTGCTTCTGATATCACCTGCTAACAACCAGATAACCAGATCACACCTGGACAATTTCTGGGAGCAGGGGGTTCTCTGTCCCACTGTCTATGTTTGCAAAGCCCCGTTTTTCACTCGCTTGTGACCATTTGCTGAAGGAGATCAAGTTGCAAGGTCACATGTTACTGGCCTTCTATTAATACAATAATCTTTCCATTTTTTTTCAACACGCAGCTCTAGCAACCAGGAATAGGTATAATAATTCACATTTAATTAAAGTCAAAGAAAAGAGAGCACAAGAATTTGTCCACAGGTCAAGTTCCTTTAGGTGGTTACCCTAAAGACAAATTACACCTGTTGGTCCTTGTGAGAAGAGACACCCATTTTAAGCAACAAGAAGCCTGTGCCATTTGGGACTAACTGGGCTTGGAGTCCACATTAGATTACATTGTTTCAAGTTCCTTAGGCATCATTAGCACCATCCATAGTTCTGGAGCTATAAAGAACACATTTTTAATAAACTAGTGTGAAGGTTTTATTTATAATAGTATATAAATATTAGAAATTAAAAACTATACATTTGCTATTATAATTCTATTAGTATTCAGTCTTCAGGACTACCAGTATTAATAGATAGACCTTTCCCTCTCTTTATGTCAAAATATTCCTGGAAGAAATTTAATAGAGAAACTATTTTAGGGAGGAGGGTGAGTATATTTATTAATTTTCTATTGCTATATAACAAATTACCGCCAATTCAATTGCTGTAAACAATACTCCTTTATTATCTCAATTGGTTTAGGAGTACAGGCATGGCTCTGTTGCATCCTCTGCTAAGCGTCTCACCAGGCTGAAATCAAATTGTTGGCCAGGCTGAATTCCCATCTAGAGTAAGGGTCCTCTTCCAAACTCTTTCAAGTTGTCAGAATTCAGGACTTTGCAGCTGGAGAACTGCAGCCCTCAGCTGCTGCTGGACACATTTCTCCATAGGCATCTCATGGCATACTCTGTTTCTTCTTCCAGCCTCTTTTAAAGAGCCCATCTGGTTAGGCCAGGCCCACACAAGATGATCTCCCTTTTGATTGACTCAAAGTCAATTAACAGACCTTCACTAAATATGAAAAAAATCTCTCCATCTTTGCAGTAGTGTAAGTAATCACAAACACTGAGTCTAAGCAACATGAGTGACATGAGTGATGCCCATCATATGCAGAGGCCCCGTCCACATTCCAGGGCAGGGTCATTGTATGGGTATTAGGGGGTCATCTTGGAATTTCTCCTATCACCTTGAGTTTGGGATTAGTAATTGAGGCAGATTGCTTGGCTTTATTTGTATATCCAAGCAAAATATTATTATTATTTTAATTAGCATGCCATGTAATATTTAATAAAAACGTTAAACATGAAAAAACTATGTTTTATTTAGGGATATATGACACCCTTATTAGAAACAGAAATAAGTATTTAGAAATTTAAAATAGCAATTTCAGCATAGCAGTTACTTCGATCATGAAAAAAGAATGTAACTGGATTTATTGTTGGTTAGTTTTTTAAGTGGGATGGTAGTTACACGAGTGTTTATTATATTGTTTTAGACCTTTTAAGGAGTCTTAACTATTTTATGATAAATGTTTAAATATAGTGATTAAACACTTTTTTGTGTAATTGACTGTTTTCAAAGTTATGTGACAAAGCTTCTGCCTTCAACAATCTCAAAAATCTAACAAGGGAAGAACCAGAGAAATAAGAAATGACAAATGTCTTACAAATTTTTGTGTGAAAAGGACTATGGGATAGGTCATGCACCCAAACTAAGGTTTGAATGAAAGAAGCAGGAAGTTTCCCAGGAGGGAGCACGGCACTCTGGAGGAGGGGTGGGAATTGTCTGCCAAGTGGGAGGGGTGAGTCCAGAGATTCCCAGGAGGGAGCACGGCTTTCTGGAAGAGAGGTGGGAACTTCCTGCAAAGTAAGAGGAGCAAGGCCAGACTTTCCCAGGAAGGAGCACGGCACTTTGGAGGAAGGGTGGGAACTGTCTGCGGAGTAGGAGGAGCGAGGCCAGGAGCAGCCGGGATGCCGAAGGGAAGGCCCGGGGCACCAGCGATGGGCAGCTCAGAGCGGGCTATGGGGTAGGGAGGAAGCCAGAGGAGCAGATGCAGGCAGATCTGGAAAGACCTGGGTCACTCTGCTATGCTTCCCCTTCTCTTGAAAGCACTGGGGACTCAAGAGTCCTTTAACCAAAGGAATAATGGTATTGACAAATATCGACCTGGCAACAGGATAAAAGTGAGTTCCTTTGTTAGTTTGAATTGGAGGGAGGTAGAGGAAGGTAGAGGAAAGGAGGCTGGAGTTTTGAAGAGCACATTGGTGGTTTTGCTCCCGGCCTCCACTCCTCCTCTCTTTCCCAGCAACCCTGTCCTGTTCTGTAGGGCCTGCTTCCTTTGTCCTCTGACCTCCAGCTGGCTTCATGAAATGGGCAGCAGCAGATATAGGAGGAGAAAGGCGAGTAAAATTGAGATATTTAATCCCTACCTACAGATTTGTGGGGGGCTAACAATCGCCATCGAAAAGCCCACAGTTCATGCTGAGTATCTCTCTCCACGCAACTCTCTCTGCATCTCTGGTGTTTGCTTCTTCCCCTTTTCCCTTTAGGGGTGGTAAAGTCTGCCAGGCATGGTTCTATGGTCTGAACGTTTGTGCCCCCCACTGCCCCCAAATACCTGTGTTGAAATCCTAACTCCTAAGGTGATGGTATTGGGAAGTGGGACCTTTGAGAGGTGATCAGGTCATGAGGGAGGAGCTCCCTTTAATGGGATTAGCGCCCTTATAAAAGAGACCCCCACAGAGCTCCCTCCCCAATTCCACCATGGGAGGACACAGGGAGAAGTTGGCAGCCTGCTTCCTGGAAGAGCCCTCGCCAGCCCCTGGCCATGCTGGTGCCCTGACGCAGGATTTGTGGCCTCCAGAATTGTGAGAAATAAATTTCTGTTATTCATAAGCCACTCAGTCTATGATATTTTGTTATATAACAGCCTGAATAAACTAAGACACATGGGATATTGCATTTTTCCTTGTTTTTCTACACCATGTCTGAACCTTTGTAAGAGTCCCTTAACTAAATTATCTTCAGAATGCCCAATCTGTATGTCATCTGTTTCCTGTCAGCACACAGGGCGCCTAACTTGGGAGGTTACTGCTGCGATGTAAGGCAGATGCCGCAAGGACCTAAACTAAGACTGCAGATAGGGAGAGGAAGCATCAGAAGGATTCGATGGAAAATTGATCACAGCTGATAAGCAATTGACTATGGGGCCATAAGTGAATGTCAAAGGTTATTCTCAGGTTTCAGATCTGGATTACCAGAGGATGCTGTCACTGTTCACCAAAAAAAATATATATATATGTATATATATGGCCAGAGGGATGTGAAGATGTTAAGCCAGGGTTGATCATGAGTTCAGTTTAGGAGAGAATATATTTGAGGTGCTTTACAGGCAGCAAAGTGTAAACACATTGATTCAGATCTCAGGACTGAGATAAGGCCTAAAGACATCAATTTGAGCGTCACTTGATGTACAGGCAGTATCTGAAGACAAGAAAGTACACGTGATCACCCAGAGATTTTAGGTAAAGAGGATCCGGGGAAACCTCACAGCTTAAGGGGGCGGGGGGGGGGCAGGGCGGCAGAGGGGGAAGACAAGCTTGCAGAGAAAAAGATGATTTCAAGGATGGAGTGATCATTACTACCAGAATTACTAAGAAGTCGAATAAGAGAAAAACTTGGCTGTCCACAATAATTTAGCAACTGCTTCTCATGGACGTTGACATATTGTAACTAAAATGCCACTTCCTCAGGTTGTCTCTATTTTTCTCCATTTTCTTCATAGGATTAATCATGATATTTACTTTTTATATGACAGCCTCACCCTCTAAAATGCAAACTCCACGAGGCACATCTTCTATTGCTTGTTCATCCTTACATCAAGGGAGCAAGCATGGTTGAATACGCATTGCTTAAGTGAAAGTCAAGGAACTAGGAGGCCATTATTATCTTTTGATGTTGTCTCAACCTAACCATCATCCAAATTATTCTATTTATGTACTGTTAGGTGCCCCAGTCTCTCTGTCCTAGGTTTCTGGGCCTGAAAGAAAGTGTGCTGAAGCAGCAGGAAGTGATTCTGCACTGCTTGTCGCATTAGCCTCCCTCCCACCTGATGGTTGTGCCATCTTCATATTTTGTACGCTATTGACTAAGTGAACAGCTATTTTCATGTATTCCTTTAAAGAAATGATATATGAAAAATAACTTTCAGAATTATAGAATCTAAGAATCTAAGAGCAACAGATCAGTCAGCACCAGTCATTCTCTTATAATTTATCTTCCATTACTCTACCGATTATTTCAGTCATATTAGTGTTGTTAAATTAAGATTAGCCTAAAGCTGTCTCCTTACATATTTCAAGTTTGGCCTAAAGGTTTCTTCGTACATAGTGAACTGTAACCTAACTGTATGTGTAAACAGACTGTAACCTACTCTTGTAACACGCAGCTGAGTCTCAGCCAATTGCAGGTGGCCAACTGTTCAAACAAGGCAAACTCCAAGCTATAACCAATCTGGCTGTTTCTCTACCTCACTTACATTTACTATACCTTATTTTCCCTTTTTCGCCCATAAACTCTGGCCATGTGGCAGCACCTGAATCACTCTGAACCTATTCTGGTTGGGAGTAGAGATGACCAATTCACGAATTGTTACTTCCTCAGTTAAACTCTGTTAAATTTAATTTGTCTAAAGTTTTTCTTTTAACCCTGTATTATAGAGATCAACTTATAAATTCACTCAGATGATTTTTAAAATCGACTTTAGATTTTTTTACATTTTTATTATCTACAAGTTTTATGAAAATAATGATCATCTGCCTGTATCTGACATAGTACAAGAATTTAAGAAAAACTTAAATGTTTCCAAAAAGGAAGTAAATATAAGACTCCTCAGAGGGCAACACGATCTGGAAATACTTCAACTTCTTAGTAGGAGAAATAATCTCAAGATAGAAACTTAAAAAGTACAAGATGATAGAAGTAAGTATATAAGCAAATAAAAAACTATCTCATTTTCAGTTAATTTGAATAAAAACAGATATTTTGGTTATTAATTATGTGCTTCGAATTCCATTTTATAGTTGAACTTCAAAAAGTTTAATATTATATTATGTTCATAGAAAATCAAATGCAGATTTTCATACCTTTTCCTGTGACTTCAATCAGACATGCTCAGTGGTTTTCTACTCAGAATGTGCAAGTTAATCTCTATGTTGTAAATGGCACAAATTTCCACTAGCAGTACAACATAAAATAGCATGTCTGAGCTCACAAACCTATTCCTTCTTACTGGCATTTTTTAAATGCATGAGAATTTACTCATTTAAAAAAAATCCTTACAATTTTTTTCTACTTCTCAGTCAACCTAAGAAGCTGACTTGTTTTTTTTTTCATCAGTTTCTCTATGAAAATTATATGAAATAGAAAATAGACAATATTATCTATGTAAATGGTTTTTGCCCAGCTGTATTATGGGCACAAAAATATTTATTTCTGTGATGTCAGACTACACCATATTTTCTCTTGAAATACATATTTCAGAATTAATCAAAGCAAAATTAATTTTTTTAGCATTGTTAAAGTAGAGAATTCAAACTTAAAGAGTCTGGGGGGAAAAGAGAGGAAAAGGCTGGAAATGGAGTCACAAAGTCCTACATAAATCTATATGAGGGATTGCACCTAGAAACAAGAATTTAGTTTGAGAGTTAATTTATTCAATGTGAGTGAAATTTCAAAGCTTCAATCACTGGCAGGTTTCAAGCATTCATTATAAGGTAATCTCCTTAAGATAGATTTTACCAATGATGACAATTCACTGAAATAACACATTTACAATTCATAATAAGTCAAAGATACAATTTAACAAATGAGAATTTCCAATATGATGTTAAGATCAGCCCTCTGCATACATTCCTTGCTCCTCAGTGTTGTAGCCCATCAGTGCATGATGACAGTGCATTAACATGGCAGCAGAGAATGGCCATCACCACGGCAGCCTGAACATGGTGCCTCTATGAGACTGTCCATGCAAGTGTCACCTGCCCTCCACCACCCAGCCACTGGCTCTGCCCAGTGACTGCCTTTCTCTATCAGAGCAATGGCCCCACATGCTAAACCACAAAGATCCACTCCAACTGACATACAAAAGTATCTGGCAGGTGGGGTGGAGCCCATGCCTGAGATGGACTAGCCTGGGGCAATTAAGGAGCCATTAGGTTGTGCCTCTGAAGATGTCTGCACACATTCAGGGACCAACAGACAGCTCATTTTCAGTCTCGTATTTTGAAAAACGCAGGAAATCTTACATTTGAAAAATCTGCACAGATGGTTTCTGGTACTTTTCTAAAGCATCCATATGAGAGCAGCCACAGATAGAAGGGAGGACACAGCCATGTGTGTAGGTTTGTCTGAGAGAGAACACCAAGGCCCACTCTGGGATCAGCCACGATGCCATACTCCCTACAACTTACCTTCGAAAGAGATTTTCTTTGGGCCAAAAACTAAACTGAAGAATGTATTTCTAGGGAAAAATACACAGAAACACACACACACACTCATTTGTATCCATAGCTATACAGATATCTGTGTATGTACAGTGGTCCCTGGGTATCTGTGAGGCATTGGTTCAAGGACCTTCCTCTGACACCAAAATTCAAGGATGCTCAAGTTCCTTATGTAAGATGATTGTAGTATTGGCATATAACCTACATGTGTATACTTTCAGTACTCCTGTATACTTTAAATCATCTCTAGATTACTTAAATACCTAAAATAATGCCTACACATCACTTCATTCCCATGGATTCAATGAGGCACATGGTGTGAAATTCAACTTTTTCTTTTGAAACTTTGTAGGATTTTTTTTCCAAATATTTTCAATCCGAGGTCAGTTGAATCCAAATTTGAAACCCACAGATGTGATTGACTGTACTTTAAATCATCTCTAGATTGCTTATAATATAATATAATGTAAATGCTATGTAAATAGTTGTTATTCTATATTGTATTTTTATTAGTATTATTTTAATTGTTTTTTATTGTTTTCTTTTAAATATTTCTATCTGTGGTTGGTTGAACTCTGAGAATCAGAACCTGCAGATTCAGAGGGCCAACTGTACTTACATGTATATCTAAAAGAGGAAAAGGGAGTTTGAGAAGAATTGGGAGAATAGACCGTTAACAGGGAGTCCTGGCGAAGCTTGAGAGGAAGAAATGAAAAACACAATTCGCCAATTTGTCAGTTTGGCCAAATGGCATCTCAATCTTCCTCAATCTCTATAAATTAAATAAATGCACATGAAATTTAAAAGCAGTATAATTTTAATGGATCCATTTCTTAAAATTAGTTGACATTAAAAGACAGCATTTGTTACTGTATATTATTTGGTCATTTCAATTTCCAGAGATTAATAGGAGATAGCAAAAAATAATGCAAATAAAGGATACAAACACTCTGCCAATTGTTTGAATTAACTTCAAATTAGAATTGCATTCTTCAAGTATGATGCTTTTCTGTTAAATGCTATAAGTGTCTTGGTTGTTTCACTGCCACTGCAAACAGAAATGCCAAAAAGAATGCTGGATTTCCATCGAGTTTTCACATGCGCCACATAGAGGCTGGGAAGCTTAGAGAAATATGACTTCGAACAGATAATGACTTCAGGCTCAGTCAATACTGCATGGAAATCTACTAAACATTAGTAAGCTGGTGCTCTCTGAGTGTTGGGACTTTCTTTCAGGTTTAATGGCTAACATTCCATTTTTTTTGTCTTTTACAAAATGTCTGTAGCAAGTATGCATTAATTTTGCATTAAAAAAGTGAAACAAGCACAGTAATTTAAAAACACAAATGACATATTGGTTTAAGAGATGCCCAGCAGAGCTACTTCTCCCACTGACAATGGAAAGGGAAGAGAAAGCCAAGAAAGAGGTTTTGACAATTGTCCTTTTCTTTTTCCTTCTGCCTGTAATGGAAAACACACAAACACACATGCATGCAGGCGCACACGCACACACTGTGAGGGGTCTTCCGTGACAGCCTTGCTCCAATACGGGGATTTCCAAGTGGTTATAAAATGCCTTTTGAAGAAAATCCCACCATTTTGAAAGTCGCTGCTTCTTTTCTGACTGCCAAGTTGCAGCTCCCTGGTGAGTCATTGTGCAACAAAAATGGCCTTCTGGGCCCCCAGGCGCTACCTCGCCACACAAGCTGCCAGTCACCCAGACCTCCAGATGGCAACAGCAGGACTGAAGCTAAAGGGCAAAGACACTGGCGATTACCAGAGCAGAGAATGGGACAGAAATAGGAAATACAAACAAAGCAAAGTCTGAAAGGCGAGGGCCTACAACCTGGAAATCAGCGGGTGTTGGCATTCAGGAGAAAGTTCTTTTCCTTGGACTTCAATATACTTAATAGTAAATGAAAAAACTGAATAAAAACTTGCTGGATGGATTGACTAGGGGCAGAATCAGGATGCAGCTGCAACTGGGAACCAGGCATCATGGAAATGCTATAATAATCCTCCAGTAAACTTTATCTGCTTTTAAAGAGAAAGTGCAGTAGTCTCCAGCTACCTGCTGCATGGTTCATGTTTTAGCTCTCCTTTCTCAGCTCATGGTGAAGTCAGCCTGAGAGTGTGGAACCTGATAGGAGGCCTCGCAATAAAAGTCAGTGCCTGGGGCCTCTCCCAGGGAGGAGCAGGTTTGCAGAAGAATAAACTTGAAATCAAACTCCCTGTGGGAACTGATAATTCCTAAAGAGAAGCAGTGAGGAACAGTGACTGACATTTTGTGCTCTGCACTCATGCAGACTTAAGTTTGAATCCCAGATCCAGGTCCACCCTCCTAGCCTGCAAAATGAGAAACATAATAACACCTTCCTTCCCTTGTACAATTGTTCTGAGTGGTGCCCAGTCTGGATCTTCATGAGCACTCAAAAAATGTCGGTGGTTCTTATTAAAAGAATGGTGAATCTCCTGAGCTCCAGCATTCTTTTACGCAGGCAGATGCTTTAGTATTTCTTTATATTTCAAGAAGTATTTCTAGACTTGAAAGCACAGTTCTGAGAGTATGACCTGTAACATAGATCAGACCTCTCATAGGATTCAGAAAATGATACCCCAAAGTGATAGCCTCCAAACTAGCCTCAGAAGCAAAGTCTCTCTCTGACCTGCTCTTCTGTCTCTCACCATTCATTCTCCCTCAAGTCTAGCCATAATAACTAGAATTCTTCTTCCCCAAGGTGGACATAGAAACTAGAATTCTTCTTCCCCAAGGTGGATGTAGAAACCAGAAGGCCCTTTCCCTAAAGTCAGCAATAAACCATAAAAATATTTCTCCAGCCTTCCCTGCCTTTCTGTGTAAGGGCTGGCCATAAAGAAATTCTCTGACCTATTTTGTTTAATGGTAGATCACATGACCCCCTTTACAGAAAGGGTTTAGCCTCACACCCTGGAGAAAGGAACGCTGCATGAAGAGGCCAAGAAGAATCTGAGCAGACAGGCCTTGCCAGGTAATATGATTTGGGTCTGTGTTCCCACCCAAATCTTATGTCCAATTTTAATTCCCAATGTTGGAGGTGGGGCCTGGTGGGAGGTGATTAGATCACGGGGGTGGATTTCCCCTTCGGTGCTCCTCTCATGATACTGAGTGAGAGCTCATGAGATCCAGTTGTTTAAAAGTCTGTGGCACCTCCCCGCTTTCTCTTCCTCTTGCTCCAGCCATGTAAGGCATGCCTTCTCCCCCTTAGCCTTCCACCATGATTGTAAGTTTCCTGAGGGCTTCCCAGACATGCTTCCTGTACAACCTACAGAACCGTGAGCCAATTAAACCTCTTTTCTTTATAAATTGACCAGTCTCAGGTATTTCTTTATAGTAGTGCAAGAACAAACTAATACACTGGGTTTTCTCACTCCGTCTGTTAGCATTAGATGATACCCTTTTCATCCAATCAGATTTCCACCCAGCTGCTCATTTTTCATCAAACCTAGGCATAAAAATGGGCTGTTTCTCTATATTTGGAGGCCTTCATTTTGAAGGCTCCCATATCTCAAAAAGCTTTGATTAAATAAATCCGTTCTACTTTTCTATTGTTAGCCTGTCTTTTGTTACTGGAGTATCGGCCATCACCCTTATGATGGGGAAGGAAAGGCAACACACCATTTTGCCCTCATATCTCAAAAATTTTGTTGTGAAAACCTAGTTTTAAAAGAACACCTGAAAATATAGTTTTGAACAAAATGAAGGTGTTGTAAAGACAAATTTGGATAAAATTTGTCAATGAATTGAGAATAATAGCCAAAGACCAGATAAAATATATGGCCATATCTTTTAGATATCCCAAAGTAATTTTCTATATTTTGAAGGTTTCACGAATGCCTCTAATCCTGAAGAGGTCAAAAAAAATCTCAATATGTGAGATGGAAAATAAAGAAGTTTCCAAATCTGCTGTACACAACACTGTAGTTTATTCCTAGAGTGATTTTAGCTAACACATGGCCAACATTTTCCCGTAATTTCTTGCCTATTACTGTTTTCTCAGAATTCCAGGCATTATAAAAGCCAATTTCATTGTGTGAGCATGGCATTTGCATATTTCCAGCTGAGACTTTCTTACAACTCAATCACTTTTTTTTTTTTTTGAGACAGAGTCTCGCTCTGTCACCCAGGCTGGAGTGCAGTGGCACGATCTCGGCTCACTGCAACCTCCGCCTCCCAGGTTCAAGCAATTCTCCTGTCTCAACCTCTCAAGTAGCTGGGACTACAGGTGCACGCTGCCACGCCCGGCTAATTTTTTTTTGTACTTTAGTAGAGACGAGGTTTCCTCGTGTTGCCCAGGCTGGTCTGAACTCCTGAGCTCAGGCAATCCACCTGCCTTGGCCTCCCAAAGTACTAGGATTATAGGCGTGGGCCACCATGCCTGGCCTTAAATACTTTTATTGTTACAAAAATAGTTTCTTTTGACAACTGAATAAATTCCTTTTGTGCACTTCCTCAGGACAATATATTGTTATTTTTGTAAGCTGCTACAGATATGAGAATTAGATTGCTAAATACCAATGTTGTTTGCCCTTTAAGAGCTTAGTCATGGATTGATTCATGAGTCACACTTTTCATAATATTACTAATATACTATGAAATAAAGATGAACTACTTTCTATCTTGCTAATTCCTCCCTTTAAAAATTGGTAGGAGCATATATCAAGTATATCTGTATTCAAATGGATTTTATAAATATTATTCTCAAATTTTCTCTGCTCTCATGCATAAGGATATATTACACATATCTACACATCATAAAATTTCTACCCATCTGTAGATTCTAGAATAGTGGTTGATTGCTAAATAGTAATACACAAACATGTATTCTGTATAATATAAATAGAATGATAACAACAGTTGGTATTCTAAAACTATAGAGCACTTAAAATAATTGCCTGTTATGTGTTGGTATAATTAAAATATTGTTGATAAAACTATTATGCATTTATATAAAATAACATTACAAAAGAATGAGTGTGTGTGTGTCTGTGTGTGTGTGTGTGTGTGTGTGTGTGTGTGTGTGTGTACAGCAAAAGCGTTATATAGTGCAGCAGAAATTCAGACTTTGGAGGATATGGTAGACGGGATTCTAAGATGCCAGACCCCAGGATCTATTCCTCAAGAATGGGACTTTGAATATAATGAGATATCATGCCTGTGACTATGATAACTTACATATATAAAAGTAATTTTGCAGGCCGAGTGTGGTGGCTCACACCTGTAATCCCCACACTTTGAGAGGCTGAGGTGGGCGGATCACTTGAGCCCAGGAGTTTGAGACCAGCCTGGGCAATATGGCAAAACCTTGTCTCTACAAAAAATACAAAAATTAGCTAGGCCTGGTGACTTGCACCTGTAGTTTTGCTACTCAGGAGGCTGAGGTGACAGGATCACTTGAGCCCAAGAGGCAGAGGTTGAGTTGCAGTGACCCAAGATCATGCCATTGCAGGCCAGCATGGGTGACAGAGTGAGACCCTGTCTCAAAAAAAAAAAAAAAAAAAGCAATTTTGCAGATGTAGTTAAGTTTACTAATCAGTTGACTGATTAACTGGGTGGTTCTGGTTTAATCTCAGGAGCCCTTTAAAAGTAGAGTTTTCTGTAGTTCTGGCAGAAGGGGAAGTCAGATTCAAAGCATAAAAAGGATTTAGTGGGGCTTTGCTGGCTTCCAAGATGCAGGGGCCACCTGTCAGGACCAAAGAGGGGCCTCTGGTAGCTGAGAATAACCTCACCCACTGGCCGGCAAGGAAGCAGGAATCTCAGATCCACAATTCCAGGAACTGAACCCTGCCTGAGTGAGCCTGGAGTAGGTGTTTCCCCAGAGCCTCTGGGTGAGGGCCCAGCCACAGACTCCATGATGAGAGTTGAAGCTGCCAGACTTTGAGCCCACAGAACTGTGAGCTAATAAATGGGCACTGCTTTAAGCCACTGTGTTTGTGGGAATTTGCTATGCTGCCATTGAAAATTAGTACAGAGGAATACTTTGTTGTTTGGGGTTATATAAATGCCTGAAAATCTGCAATGCAACAATGTATAAATTAAGCAATGTGGATTAATATTAGAAATCACCTAGAACAATGCCTTACACATTTTTATTATGATGTATTAACATTTAAGAAGCAGAAACCTAATAAAAAGTGACTGCGTGATAACATAATAGCCACGAACAACCAGATGAACAAGCGGTGGTAGAAAATGCTCTGGATAAGGACGTAAGGGAAGCTGGTGCTCCTACCAAGTGATCAATACAAATAGCTCACCTGGGCTCAGTTTCTTCTGCAAAGGAGTTAAGTGTACTAATTTATTTCTAATGATTGATAAAGACTAAACCAACTCTCAGTTCTCTGAAGGCACCTACCCTGGGCCCACTCTGGCCGGAGCTCCTGCGCTCATTCTGCCTGCCTGCCCACTGGGCCACACTTGCTGGGCCCAGCTCACCCCAACATGGAACAAACGGGGGTGCTAAGCAGCTTAGCAGATTCACATTCATATCTAAGTGGAAAGACAAAAGGAACTGCTGCCTTCCCTTTATAGGTAGCTGTTCAAAACCTGCTCTGCTCAGTATAAAGCTTCTATTGTTACTTCAATAAGAAGTACAAAGGTTTCCATACTTCCTGGTTTAAAATTTCAATTTTCAGTTTTTGTTAGCCTGTATCTTCTAGCCGCACTACCCAAAGGGCCTCTTTCATTGTCCTCTCTCTGGCTACAGCCCCTAAGACAAAAAGCCTCTGCCTCTGCTGGAGAAAGCGATTCCCCAGGGCAGGGAACAGAGGCAGAGAGCAGCACTCTGGGCCCCAGCTTGTTTAGGTCTGATGTTGGCACCACCCCTAAGGTAGCCTTGTTTCACCCAACCTTGCAGTGCCTCAGTTTCTCCAGTGGGTAATAGTAGTACCACAAGGAACTGTTAAAAAGATCACATGAATTCTGTATGCAAAGCACTTAGAAGAGGTGGTGGTAAGTGTCGCTAAGTCTTCCCTATTCTGTTGCTCCAGGCTGTTTCACTCTCCACCTAGAAGCACATGTGTGTGCCTGTGCATGAGCATGCATGTGTATTTGGCACATTATCATATTAGCATGTAATTATGCATTCTCTGCCCTCCTCCATTGTGGGGAAGGTGTTGGAGGGCTTTTTATCTTTCACTGAGGACCATCCACAGCACCCAGCAGACCCGTGGGCACGCCTCTGGCTCCACATGTGCTCTCGGCAGGACCGAGTGTGCAGAGCGCAGCCCAGCTGTTGTGTTCCTCCCTTTCTCACACTGTTATTTCCATTCTTTTGCTGTTTTGAAAAAGGGATGCCATAAAGTTTGTTTAAAGTGTGTGAAACTAGCAATCAGGATGAATCCACAAGCCAGGCATGGTGGGTGACTCACACTTATAATCCCAGCACTCTGTGAGGCCAAGGTGGAAGGCTCACTTCAGGCCAGGAGTTGGAGACCAGCCTGGTCAACAGAGGGAGACCCCATCTCTACAAAAATTAAAAAAGTAGCCTGCTGTGGTGGCGTATTCCTGTAGTCCCAGCTACTTGGGAAGCTGAGGTGGGAGGATCACTTGAGTCTGGGAGGTCAAGGCTGAAACAAGCTGTGATCATACCACTGTACTCCAGCCTGGGTGACAGGGCAAGACCCTGTCTCAAATTACAAAAAAAAAAAAAAAAAAAAAAAATCCACACAGGTAAAATACCTCCTTCTTCCTTGTCAGAATCCTATCTGCCCCCGGAGCATAAAGTCAGCCAGAAGTGACTCTGAAGATCCACCTGACCCCAGATACTGGGGAGCCAAAGGACCACAGACCGGTGGTATTTACCTCTCTATGCAGCACCAGACCAGGCCTTGCCAGGAGTAATTCATCCAACCCAAGGTGGGGAGAAAATACAACAGTAAGTCAGGTGTTGTTTTGTTTTCTAGTTTAACCATGAGATAAGTACTTATTACCAAAATTGTTTTGGTACTATTACCTTTGAATGTAGCCTTTTCACATTGCTACTAATCATAGTATTCTTACTGCAGTCATTTTATGTTGTACTGTAGGAAATATTTACATTTGTTCTCATAGTCTGTTATAGCTCTGTTGACTAGAAATAATATTTTCTAAAACAAACTATAACTCACTATAAATAATCACAAATATAATTACCAACATTAAAAATAAAGAAATAAAAGTGTTTAGAGCCTATTCTACCTTAACATGTCTTTCTGATGATATATATATTATATATTATATATATAATATATATGTCCTTCCTTTTTCAGACTGGAGTCAACATCATTAAAATCAAACCCTGCCCAGGGAATGTGACATAGCCAAGGTCTCAGGATTCCCAGTCTGAAAGCCAGAGCTTAGGTGTCATATCAAACATGAATCTGCAATCAATGAGTGAAGATAAAGGAATTATGTATATTTGATGGTCATCATTACCCATCTATTATTGTGCAGATGTCTTATTAATAAAACTTACATTTTACATAACGTAATTCTAAATGTTAAATAGTTAACACCTAAATCATGAGTTTTAAATAATTTAAAATTTTTTATAGTTATTATGAAAAGTTACCTACCATGTTCAAGACATATTCCTAAATCCTGGGGGATATAAAGATAATAAAATACAGACCATGAAAACCTGAAAAGTTACTGAAGGTACCTGAAAAGGTAGCTACACAATAGAGAGAGCATTTACTTTGGAGTCAGAGTGAAAGGTCACTGCACATAAGCTCTTGCATAAGTCACCCAACATCTGCTCCCAGGGAAAATGATGACTTTATCAGAAACTTCGTTAGCATCCTTAAGATGCTAAAGACAAAAGCAAGCTAAGACTCTTTCTTCAATAGAGAAAAAAGCGATGTATGATTTTAAAATATTACTCTCAAATTACGTAGCGCCCCTGTGACTTCTAAACATCACCACCATCAAATATTTATAAAGGCAAATATTAGTAAATAGAATAATCCTCAATCCCAAGCAAGTCAAATCACACTGACTAATTCAGTCATTTTACAACCAACTGCATAGACTCTTTAAGATTCATTTAAATTGAAAACCAGTATAAAAAATAAAATACACGATAATTTCATTCTCTTAGAGAAAAATCTGTTCAGACTGTGAAAAATATCAGGGTTCAAATTTCTTGCCATGGTCTGGAGGGATAGCAGGAAGAAAAGTAAAAATTTTGATCAGAACATGATAGCACATGACTGGAATTGCTTAAAGGAAAAATCAAGTTGGTAAGTTGGAAAGAACAACGTAGAAAGTTATAGTCACACAATTGAAAAATAGAGGGAAATTAAAATCAGCATTGAAATGATGATTTCCTGGCTAATGCCCAATAATTGTCTCTCTTTAAAATATTTATTTAAAACAGATTTTTTTAGTACTCTGTGATCTGGCATTTTCTCTCTTTCCTCTTCTTCATAATCAGACTTACTTAACAGCCAAGCGAAGATTTAAAGTTTGCCTTCGACTATCTTACAGTCTTTGAGCCTTCTCAAAATAATGAGCAAATTAGAATTTCATTGTACCATACCAGAAATAAGTTCTTTTACATACAAATGTCTGTCATAAAGTAATAATCTAAAGATGCAACAAAAAATGTAATTTTAGAACCTAATTTTATTGGTATGCTAAAAATGTGCTAATCACCACTATCAAATGACCTGCATTAATGAGGAGGCAATAACAAAAATTATTTTATCATAGATAATAACGAGAATGAACACATATAATACTTGCTATGCACCTGCCACTGTTCTGATAGTTTTCTATCTGCCTACTTACCTGTCTATGTCTACCTGACTACTCATCTATACAACTACATAAACCGTGCAACCTTAGTGGCTTTTATTCTATCTGATGTATGGATATAAAAACTACAGTTTGGTTATGAAAAGAAAACCATTCTCTATCTCAATCCATGCTTCTAAAACCTCATTTGGTAATGAGGGTGCTCTAATGGCAACAGCTGTCACTTATTGTGGTGAGATTCCCAGTTTGGCTGACTTGCAGAGGGCCCCTTCTTTCTCTAATTTTTTATCTCTACACTAAACTACTCCCTCTGCTATCCTCACAGCTTTCCCAGGCAGCAGATATGTGCCCTGTTTGGAGCCTCCAAACAAATACCCAAGCTTGCTGCACTCGGTTTTTACCTAACAGCACCTGGCACAGGTAAACTTAGTTATGTCAGCAACCATTCAAGAGTAGACCCAGAAAAGTGTAAATACAACCTCTTTCAAAAGCCAATCAGCTCGTCAATGTGAACCAAAGAGGCAATTTCTATTTTGACAAATATTTAATTTAAATACCCAAATCAGTAAACCTAGTAAAATATTAATATAACTTCATATACAAGCCAGTTTGTTATGATGAACCAAAGAGGCAATTTTTGTGATAAAAATGTAAGTGGTGAGTGATGGCAGAAAGAATCAAAGCTGTTGTCATCCAGGCCCTGTCCACTGAGCAGCCTTTGATGTCTGCTCACATTAGCTGTGCTTTCTTGAGGTTGCCCAGTCATACTTATATTGAATCCATATTTTCTCACAATAGAGATTAAAAAACTTACAAGAGCACATTTAATAAGTTTTTTTAACATCAACAAAGCATATATCTTTATTTGACTGGATATTTTTGATTTGGGTAATTATAAATGGTATATTTTCCTGAAACAAATTAATCATGAACCATGTGTAAAGTAGCAAGCCAACTGTACTTTTAGGAGTACAATTAAATTTCTCTGTGACTTTGCTTCCAGCGATTCTGGATAAATTTGAATACTAGCAGGTCACTAGTGGTTACCAAGTTAAAGAGATAAAATTCAGAGCAGGGCCTCCAAAAGATAAAATCAAGACACTTGGAAAAATTAACAGGTGAGATTTAATAGGAAGTCAGCTATTTTTAATTATTTGTATATGATCATCCAATTTACTGAAAATTTTAAAAATCTTAACCTTCATTAGGCAATTATGTCTATGTGGTTAAGGAATACACATTGAATATCAATTATGCACTACTAGACAATATATTTATTATATTTCATTATAGTGGCAAGAAACAGAAGATAAAATGTCAGAATAAAAAAAATACCATGAGACGAGGTGAGGTCAGCAAACATAAAATAGTAGGTAGCTCCAAGGGGTCCTCAGAGAAACATTAAAATATCAAGCAGTAACTGTCAAAACCAACTTCGTCAGAACTCTAGGAAAGTCAAAGGTTTACAGCAACAAAGCAAAGGCTGAATCAAGAAAAAGACAGCTTATAAATTGTAAGAAAGCTTTGTGGTGTTTTTACTTGCCCTTGCCCCACCCCCATCCTGGGTTCAAAGGTAGTCTTGAAATCAGCAGTCCAGGGTCCTGGGCCCTGGTTCTGGAAGGAGCAAAGCAGATTCATTCTCAGAGAATTCTCAAAGTATTTGTCCATTCGAACCTGTCTGGGGCCTACCTAAAAGACTGAGACAAGGTGCTTGTCTTCATTTCACTGAACTTAGAATTCACTCAGGGAAGAAAAGCAGCAGCCATTCCTCAAAACCATTCTAAAGCCAAAAAACAACTCAGGGACATGTGGGCACAAGATTATAGTGTAGGCAAATAACAGAGCAGCAAAAGCCTAGAAGGAAAGTTGAGAAAAGGGTTTCTTCGGAAAATTAGGATATTCAAAATTGCTGTGTACACTGGGAAATTTAGAAAGCCACAAGCATATCCAGGACTGAACTCAGGCTCAGAAAAGACCCAAGAAAACCCTGTTTGCATTTTTTGGCTGATCTCTTGGTTTAACACAAACAGAAAGTAAAGACTGAGACAGAGTTGTAAATGGTCTGGCTAAGCACTGAAGGAGTCCCCAGGCACAAGTCAATCTACAAGCTTTGGGAGAGGCTTCTCTCTTCTTCTTTATTTCTTTCTTTCTTTCTTTTCTTTCTTTCCTTTTTCATCTCTCTCTGTTTTCTTTTCTTTTCTTTTTTTTTTTTTTTTTTTTTTTGGAGACAGAGTCTCACTCTGTCACCCAGGCTGGAGTACAGTGGCGCTGTCTCAGCTCACTGCAACCTCTAACTCCTGGGTTCAAGCAATTATCCTGCCTCAGCCTCCTGAGTATCTGGGACTATAGATGCATGCCACCACACCCAGCTAATTTTTATATTTTTAGTAGAGATGGGGTTTCACCATGTAGGCAGGAGGATCTCGATCTCCTGACCTTG
The DNA here is from genome assembly GCF_000001405.40 of Homo sapiens. Taxonomy (NCBI): domain Eukaryota; kingdom Metazoa; phylum Chordata; class Mammalia; order Primates; family Hominidae; genus Homo; species Homo sapiens. The sequence continues at coordinate 51,628,640 of NC_000008.11, forward strand.
TGATCCACCCACCTTGGCCTCTCAAAGTGCTGGGATTACAGACGTGAGCCACCACACCCGGCCTCTGTTTTCTTGTTTTTATTTTTCATTTTGATTCCTGGCATTAGGGAAATCTCTACCAAAATTCTAGCTGGACACAAGTAAAAAGAACAGTCTTCAGAGACTACATGTAACAAAAAGAAGACTTTACAAAAAAGTAGTTTAGAAAAGTCACTAACAGCAAACAGCTACAGACCATAGCAAACAAAAACAAATCTTGAAGAGGGGAAAAAAACTGATTTCCAGAGTCACCATATTATCTATTCAAAATATCCAAGTTGCAACAGAAACTATGAGCCTTGCAAAGAAGCAAGAAAGTTTGTCCAGTTTGCAAAAGGCACTAATGAAAATTGTCCATGATGAAACAAACACAAACATTGGACTAACTAGACAAAGACTTTCAAATCAACTGTCTTAAATATGCTTTAAAAAAAGCCAAAAGAAACCACGGCAAAGAGATAAAGGAAACTGGAGAACAATGTATGAACAAATAGAGAATATCCATAGAGAAATAGAAAGTATGTAAAGGAAGCAGACATAGTGGAGATTAAAAATATAAAAAGACATATTGTAGCTGAAAAATACAGTAGCCAAATGAAAGACTCACTAGACAGTTTCAACAGCACATTTGAGAAGGCAAAAGAAAGAATCAGCACTCTGGAAGATAGGTCAACTGAAATTATCCAGCCTGAGGAGCAGAAAGTAAAAAGAATGAAGAAAAATGAACAGAACCTAAGAGACTGTGGGACACTATCAAGCATGTTAACATACACATAAATGAGAAATCCCAAGAAAAGAGAGAGAGAAAAAGGAAAATAAAGAATACTTCAAGAAATAGTAGACAAAACCTTTCCAAATTTGATAAAAGATAAGAATCTGAACATCCAAGAAGTTCAGTGAGTTCCAAGAAAGATAAATGCAAAAGATCCGCAGAGAGACAAATTATTATCACATTTTGATAGCCAAAAACAAGAGCATGTTTAAAGCACTAAGAGAGAAGCAACTTGTCATGTACAAGCGACCCACAGTAAGATTAACAGCAGATTTATCATCAGAAACCATGCAGACATGAAGGAAACAGAATGACATTTTAAAGTGCTGAAAATTTTTAAAACTGTCAACAAAAGTCTTTTATATCTAGCAAATGTATCCCTCGAAAATGAATAATAAGATGGCATACTGCCCAAAGCAATTTGCAGATTCAATGCTATTCGTAGCAAACTACAAATGACATTTTTCAAAGAATTAGAAAAATCTATTTTACAATTAATATGGAACCAAAAAAAAACCCATATAGCCAAGGCAATCCGAAGCAAAAAGAATAAAACTGGAGGCATTACATTATCCAACTTCAAACTATAATACAAGGCTATAGTAATCAAAACAACATGGTACTGGTACAAAAACAAACACATAGACCAATGGAAAAGAATAGAGTCCAAAAATAATGCCACACACTTACAATCAATTGATCTTAGACAAAATTGACAAAAACAAGCAGTGGGAAATTACTTCCTATTCAATAAATAATGCTGGGATAACTGGCTAGCCATATGCAGAAGATTAAAACTGGATGCCTTCCTTACACCATATATAAAAATAAATTCAAGATGGATTGAACACTGAAATGTAACATGTAAAACTATAAAAACCTTGTAAGATAACCTAGAAAATATGATTCTGGACATAGGCCTTGGCAAAGATTTTATGACAAAGATGCCAAAAGCAATTGCAACACAAACAAAAAGTGACAAATGTGACCTAATTAAACTAAAGAGCTTCTACGCAGCAAAATAAAGTATCAACAGAGTAAACAGACAGCCTACAAAACGGGAGAAAATATTTGCAAACTATGCATCCAACAAAGGTCTAATATCCAGAATCTATAAGGAATGTAAAGAAATCACCAAGCAAACCACAAACAACCCCGTTAAAAAGTAGGCAAGGGACATAAACACTTTTCAAAAAAGTCATACGCACAGCCAACAAGCATATGAAAAAATGCTCAACATCACTAATCATTAGAGAAATGTAAATCAAACCCACAATGAGATACTGTCTCATAACAGTCAGAATAGTTATTATCTAAGAGTCAAAAATAACAGATGCTGGCAAGGTTGTAGAGAAAAGGGAATGCTTATACACTGCTGGTGAGAACATAAATTAGTTCAGCCATTGGGGAAAGCAGTGTGGCTATTTCTCAAAGAACTTAAAGCAGTATTACCATTCGACCTACCAACCTCTTTGTTGGGTATATACCCAAAGAAATATAAATTGTTCTGTCATAAAGACACATGCATACTTATGTTCATCACAGCACTATTCATAACAACGAAGACACAGAATCAACTTAAAAGGCCATCAACGGTAAACTGGATAAAGAAAATGTAGTATATATACACCATGGAATACCGTGCAACCATTAAAAAGAATGAGATCATGTTCTTTACAGCAATATGGATGGAGTTGGAGGACATTATCCTTAGTAAACTAATGCAGGAACAGAAAACCAAATACCACATGTTCTTACTTATAAGTGGAAGCTAAACAATGAGAACACATGGACACAAAGAAGAGAACAACAGACACCAGAGCCTACTTAGGGTGAGGAATGGGAGGAGGGAAAAAAATTGAGAAACTACCTATTGGGTATGATGCTCATTAGCTGGGTAATGAAATAATCTGTACACCAAACCCCCATGACATGCAATTTACCTGTATTACAAAGCTGCACATGTACCCCTCAACCTAAAATAAAAGCTTTTTAAAAATGAAGATATTAAGACATTTCCAGATAAACAAGAGCTAAGAGATTTTATTGTTAGTGGACCTATCCTACAAGAAATTTTAGAGGGAATCTTTTGAGCTGACATGAAAGGACACTAAATAACAGCTCTAAACAATACAGAGAAGTGAAAATATCCAGTAGAGATAACTATATAGGTAATTATAAAGGACACAATTATTAAATTTCAGGGTTTAAGTCTTCTTTTGATTTCCCATATGATCTAAAATGTAAATACATAAAATAATAGCTATAAATTTATGTTCACAGGCACACCATAATAAAGATGTAATATGTAATAGTAACAACATAACAGTGGAGGTACAGATTGTATAGGGCAGAGTTTATGCTATTGAAGCTAAGTTGATATCAATTACCTCGTGTCTCATTTCTCAAGGAAATGGGATCAGAATCAAAATAGTAAAATAAAAAATTAATTAAATGCAAAAGAAGGTAGTAATGGAGGAGAAGAAGAACAGGAAAGGTATAAAACATACAGAAAACAGGAAAATGACAGAAGTAAGTCCTTTCTTACCAGTAATTATTTTTAATATAAATAGATTGAGTTCTCCAATCAAAAGGCAGAGAGCAGCAGAATGACTTTTAAAACATGATGCAAATAATTTTTTTGGCTATGACTCCAAAACAACAAACAACAGGGCCCCAAATTATATGAAGAAAAAAGGACCACTGAAGAGAGAAAGTGATAGTTCTACAGTAATAGTTGGAGACTCCAATACCCTACTTTTAATAATGGATAGAACATGTAGACAGAAGATAAATAACAATATAGAGGACTTGAAAAGCACTGTAAATCAACTACATCTAACAGGCTATATTATTTACACCACAACAGGCAGGGTGGGGTGGCTCATGCCTGTAATCCCAGCACTTTGGGAAGCTGAGGCAGGCAGATCACTTGAGCCCAGGAGTTCAAGACTACCCTGGTCAACATGGCAAAATCTTGTCTCTACAAAATGTAAAGAAAAATGAGCCAGGCATGGTGGCACATGCCTGTAGTCCCAGCTACTCAGGAGGCTAAGGTGGGAGGATCATGTGAGCCAAGAGTTCAAGGCTGCAGTGAACTATGATTGCATTACTGCCTGGGCAACAGAATGAGACCCTATCTCAATCAATCAATCAATCAATAAAGTATTTAAAAAATAAAAATATTTACACCACGATGCAGTTATAGAATAAACATTTTTTCAAGTACTTATGGAACGTTTAAGATGGACCACATATCAAACCATAAGTAAGTCCAAAGTATTAATAAGCTTTAATAGATTGAAATAATACAAAATATCTTCCCTAACCAAATAGAATGAATTTAGAAATCAGTAACAGAAGTAAAACTGGAAAATTCATAAATATGTGGCAATTAAACTATATACCCTTTTGTTTTTTGTTTTGTTTTGTTTTCTGTAATTTTAGATTTTCTGTTATTTTAGATTCAGGGGGTACATGTGTAGGTTTGTTACATGGGTATACTGGGTGATGCTGAGTTTTGGAGTATAAATGATCCTGTCATACAGATAGTGATCGCATTACACAATATGTAGCTTTTCAGTCCTTGCACCCTTCCCTCTCTCACCATTCTAATACCCCCCGTGTCAATTTGTTCCCATATTTATGTCCATATGTACCCAATGTTTAGCTCACACTTACAAGTGAGAACACATGGTATTTGGTTTTTCTGTTTCTGCATTAATGTGCTTAGGATAATGAGCTCCAGCTGCATCCACGTTACTGCAAAGGACATGATTTCATTCTCTTTTGTGGATGCATAGTAGTCCATGGTGTATGTGTACCACATTTTCTGTATCCAATCCACTGTTGATAGGCACCTAGGTTGATTCTGTCTTTGTTATCGTGAGAGTGCTATAATGAACATATGAATGCATGTGTCTTTTTGGTAGTACAGTTGTTTTTCCTTTGGGTATATACCCTGCAATGAGATTGCTGGGTCGAATGGTAGTTTAAGTTCTTTGAGAAATCTCCAACCTGCTTTCCACAGAGACTGAACTAATTTACATTCCCACCAACAGCATATATGTGTTCTCCTTTCTCTGCAGCCTTACCAGCATCTGTTGTTTTTTAACTTCTTAATAATAGCCATTATCTGCAGTGAGCTATGGTCATGTCACTGCATTCTAGCCTGTGTGACAGAGCAAGACCCCATCTCTAAAAAGAAGAAGAAGAATAGCCATTCTGACAGGTGTGAAATAGTGTTTTACTGTGGTTTCAATTTGCATTTCTCAGATGATTAGTGACGTGGAGCATTTTTTCATATGTTTGTTGGCCGCTTGTATGTCTTTCTTTGAGAAGTGTCTGTTCATGTTCTTTGTTCACTTTTTGATGGGGTTATGTGTTTTTGGCTTCTTTAATTGTTTAAGTTCCTTATACATTCTGAATACTAGACTGTTATTGGATGCACAGTTTGTAAATATTTCCTTCTATCCTATAGCCTATTTATTCTGTTGATAGTTTCTTTTGTTATGGAGGAGCTCTATAGTTTAATCAGGTCCTGCTTGTCAATTTTTGTTTTTGTTGCAATTGCTTTTGAGGACTTAGTCATAAATTATTTCCCAAGTCCAGCATCCAGAATGGTATTTCCTAGGTTTTCTAGGATTTTTAGAGTTTGTGATCTTATATCTGTATCTTTAGTGCAATTTGAGCTAATTTTTTTATACAGTGAAATGTAGGGATCCAGTATCCTTCTTCTGCATATGGCTAGCCAGTTATCGCAGCACCATTTATTGAATAGGGAGTCTTTTCCCCATTGTTTATTTTTGTTGTTGGCTTTTTCAAAGATCAGTTGGCTGTAGGTGTGAAGCTTTCTTTCTGGGTTCTCTATTCTGTTCCATTGGTTTATATGTCTGTTTTTGAATCAGTACCATGCTGTTTTGGTTACTATAGCCTCATAATATAGTTTGAAGTTGGGTTATGTGATGCCTCTGGCTTTGCTCTTTTTGCTTAAGACTTCTTTGGCTATTTGGCTGTCATTTGGTTCCGTATTAATTTTAGAATAGTTTTTTACAATTCTGTGAAAAATGACATCCGTAGTTTGATAGGAACAGTGCTGAATCTGTAGATTCTTTGGGCAGTGTGGCCATTTTAATAATGTTTATTCTTCCAATCCATGAGCATGGACTGTTTTTCCATTTGTTTGTGACATCTATGATTTCTTTCAGCAGTGTTTTGTACTTTTCCTTATAGAGCTCTTTCACCTCTTTGGTTAGATGTATTCCTACATATTTTATTTTTTTGTGGCTATTGAAAATGGGATTGCACTCTTGATATGGCTCCCGGTTTGAACATTATTAGTGTATAGAAATGATATTGATTTCTGTACATTGACTTTGTACTGTGAAACCTTACTGAAGTCACTTATCAGTTCTGGGAGCCTTTTGGTGGAATCTTTAGGGTTTTGTAGGTACAGAATCATATTGTCAGTGAAGACAGATAATTTGACTTCTTCTTTTCCTATTTGGAAGTCTTTTATTTCTTTCTCTAGTCTGATTTCTCTGAATAGGACTTTCAGTACTATGTTGAATAGGGGTGGTGAGAGTAGGTATCCTGTCTTCTTCTAGTTTTTAAGGGGAATGCTTCCAGCTTTTGCCCATCCAGTATGATGTCAGATGACAACACACTCTTTAAATGACAAGTGGGTCAGAGAAGAAATCATGAGGGAAATTTAAAAATACTTAGGACAAACGAAAACAAAAATACTATATACCAAAACTTACGGGATGCAGTGAAAGCAGTGCTGAGAGAGAAATTTATAACTGTAAAGGCCTACATTTTCAAAAAGTAGAAGATCTCAAATGGATAACCTAACTTTACATCTGAAGGAGTTAGAAACAGAAAAGCAAGCTAAATGCAAAGCAACCAGAAGGAAGAAAATTAAGATTAGAGTGGAGATAAATGAAACAGAGAAGAGAAAAACAATAAATAGAGTCAATGAAACCAAAAGTTGGTTCTTTGAAAAGATCAATACAATTTTAAAAACTTTAGCTAGGCTAACCATGAAAGCAAGAAAAATAAAAAGTGAAGACAATACTACTGACTTTATTAAAAGAGATAAATAAAATATGAGAGTACTATTAAAATTGTACACCAACAAATTAGATAACCTAAATAAAATAGAGAAATTATTAGAAATAGACAAATTACAAAAACTGTCTCAAAAAAAGCAGAAAATCTGAGTGGGGGGCGAAGTACTTTTTAAGAGATTGAATCAATAATCAAAAACCTCACAACAAAGAAAACCTCAAGACCAGATAGTTTCACTCGTAAATTTTATCAAATATTTAAAGAATTAATACCACCTCTTCTCAAAATTTTCCAAAAAAATAGAAGAGGAAAGAACGCTTCTTAACTCACTCTATGAGTTTAGTATTAGCCTGCTACTAAACACAGACAAGACACCACAAGAGAAGAAAATACAGAGCAATATCTTTTAGTAATAGTGATGCAAAAATTGTTCAACAAAATACTGGAAAATTGAATAAAAAACATAACATAAACATTATTCACCAGGATCAAGTAGATTTAACCTAAGAATGCAAGGATAGTTTAACATAAGAAAGTCAACCAATGTTATGCACCACATTAATGGAATGATGGAGGAGAAAACACAATCCTATCAAATGATACGTAAAAAGTATTTGACAAAATTCAACACCCTTTTATAATCAACAAAGAATACTCAAAAAACAAGTAATAGCAGGAAATTTCTGAACATAATAAAGGACATTTATTAAAAATCCAGATAACATTATACTTAATGGTGAAAGAAACCTTCCCCCTAAGATCAAGAACATGACAAAGATGCCTATTTTCATCACTACTATTTAACGCTATATTGGAAGTTCTAGCCAGAGCAGTTAGGCAATAAAAAGAAATACAGGCATCCAAACTGGAAAATAAGAAGTAAAACTATCTCTATTCACAGATGGCATAATGTGTATCTAGAAAATCTCAAAGATTTCAGAAAATAACTACTATAGATAATAAATCAATTTATCACACTTGCAGGTACAAAGTCAACATGCAAAAATCTGCTGTGTTCTGTACATAAGCAATAAATAATCTGAAAAGAAAATTAAGAAAACAATTATACTTATCATCAAAAAGAATAAAATGTCTAGAAATAAATTTAATCAAAGTAAACATTTATACATTAAAAACTACAAACATTGCTAAAAGAATAAGGAAGACCTAAATAAATGAAAAAGGATTTCATGTTTATGAATTGGAAAGCTTAAGATGTTGAGATTACAACTACCAAAGTGATACACAGATGTAATACAATCCTTATAAAATTTCCAATGACTTTTTTTTTTTTTCTGCAGAAGTAGAAAACCTGTCCTGAGTAGTGGTTCTCCCAGCATGGAGTGTGAGATCTGAGAATGGACAGACTGCCTCCTCAAGTGGGTCCCTGACCCCAGAGTAGCCTAACTGGGAGGTAACCCCCAGTAGGGGCAGACTGACACCTCACACGGCTGGGTACCCCTCTGAGATGAAGCTTCCAGAGGAACGATCAGGTAGCAACATTTGCTGCTCAGCAACATTCACTGCTCTGCAGCCTCCACTGCTAATTCCCAGGCAAACAGGGTCTGGAGTGGACCTCCAGGAAACTCCAACAGACCTGCAGCTGAGGGTCCTGACTATTAGAAGGAAAACTAACAAACAGAAAGGACATCCACACCAAAACCCCATCTGTATGTTACCATCATCAAAGACCAAAGGTAGATAAAACCATAAAACCACAAAGATGGGGAAAAAAACAGAGCAGAAAAGCTGAAAAGTCTAAAAATCAGAGTGCCTCTCCCCCTACAAATGAACGCAGCTCCTCACCAGCAATGGAACAAAGCAGGACAGAGAATGACTTTGACGAGTTGAAAGAAGAAGGCTTCAGACGATCAAACTTACCTGAGATAAAGGACTAAGTTCGAACCCATCGCAAAGAAGCCAAAAACCTTGAAAAAAGATTAGACGAATGGCTAACTAGAATAAACAGTGTAGAGAAGTCCTTAAATGACCTGATGGAGCTGAAAACCATTGCACAAGAACTACATAATGAATGCACAAGCTTCAGTAGCCGATTCTATCAACCGGAAGAAAGGGTATCAGTGATGGAAGACCAAATGAATGAAATGAAGTGAAAAGAGAAGTTTAGAGAAAAAAGAGTAAAAAGAAATGAACAAAGCCTCCAAGAAATATGGGACTATGTGAAAAGACCAAATCTACATCTGATTGGTCTACCTGAAAGTGACAGGGAGAATGGAACCAAGTTAGAAAACACTCTTCAGGATATTATCCAGGAGAACTTCCCCAACATAGCAAGGCAGGCCAACATTCAAATTCAGGAAATACAGAGAACGCCACAAAGATACTCCTCAAGAAGAGCAACTCCAAGACATATAATTGTCAGATTCACCAAAGTTGAAATGAAGGAAAAAATGTTAAGGGCAGCCAGAGAGAAAGGTCGGGTTACCCACAAGGGGAAGCCCATCAGACTAACGGCAGATCTGTCAGCAGAAACTCTACAAGCCAGAAGAGACTGGCGGCGAATATTCAACATTCTTAAAGAAAAGAATTTTCAACCCAGAATTTCATATCCAGCCAAACTAGCTTCATAACTGAAGGATAAATAAAATACTTTACAGACAAACAAATGCTGAGAGATTTTGTCACCACCAGGCCTGCCCTAAAAGAGCTCCTGAAGGAAGCACTAAACATGGAAAGGAACAACCGGTACCAGCCACTGCAAAAACATGCCAAATTGTAAAGACCATCGAGGCTAGGAAGAAACTGCATCAACTAACGACCAAAATAACCAGCTAACATCATAATGACAGGATCAAATTCACACATAACAATATTAACCTTCAATGTAAATGGGCTAAATGCTCCAATTAAAAGACACAGACTGGCAAATTGGATAAAGAGTCAAGACCCATCAGTGTGCTGTATTCAGGAGACCCATCTCACGTGCAGAGACACACATAGGCTCAAAATAAAGGAATGGAGGAAGATCTACCAAGCAAATAGAAAACGAAAAAAGGCAGGGGTTGCAATCCTAGTCTCTGATAAAACAGACTTTAAACCAACAAAGATCAAAAGAGACAAAGAAGGCCATTACATAACAGTAAAGGGATCAATTCAACAAGAAGAGCTAACTATCCTAAATATATATGCACCCAATACAGGAGCACCCAGATTCATGAAGCAAGTACTTAGAGACCTACAAAGAGACTTAGACTCCCACACAATAATAATGGGAGACTTTAACACCCCACTGTCAACATTAGACAGATCAACGAGACAGAAAGTTAAAAAGGATATCCAGGAATTGAACTCAGCTCTGAACCAAGCAGACCTAATAGACATCTACAGAACTCTCCACCCCAAATCAACAGAATATACATTCATGTCAGCACCACATCACAATTATTCCAAAATTGAACACATAGTTGGAAGTAAAGCACTCCTCAGCAAATGTAAAAGAACAGAAATTACAACAAACTGTCTCTCAGACGACAGTACAATCAAACTAGAACTCAGGATTAAGAAACTCGCTCAAAACCGCTCAACTACATGGAGACTGAACAACCTGCTCCTGAATGACTACTGGGTACATAACGAAATGAAGGCAGAAATAAAGATGTTCTTTGAAACCAAGGAGAACAAAGACACAACATACCAGAATCTCTGGGACACATTTAAAGCAGTGTGTAGAGGGAAATTTATAGCACTAAATGCCCACAAGAGAAAGCAAGAAAGATCTAAAACTGACACCCTAACATCACAATTAAAAGAACTAGAAAAGCACGAGCAAACACATTCAAAAGCTAGCAGAAGGCAAGAAATAACTAAGATCAGAGCAGAACTGAAGGAGATACAGACACAAAAAACCCTTCAAAAACATCAACGAATCCAGGAGCTGGTTTTTTGAAAAGATAAACAAAATTGATAGACCACTAGCAAGACTAATAAAGAAGAAAAGAGAGAAGAATCAAATAGACGCATTAAAAAATGATAAAGGGGATATCACCACCGATCCCACAGAAATACAAATTACCATCAGAGAATACTACAAACACCTCTATGCAAATAAACTAGAAAATCTAGAAGAAATGGATAAATTCCTTGACACATACACCCTCCCAAGACTAAACCAGGAAGAAGTTGAATCTCTGAATAGACCAGTAACAGGAGCTGAAATTGTGGCAATAATCAATAGCTTACCAACCAAAAAGAGTCCAGGACCAGATGGATTCACAGCCGAATTCTACCAGAGGTACAAGGAGGAACTGGTACCATTCCTTCTGAAACTATTCCAATCAATAGAAAAAGTGGGAATCCTCCCTAACTCATTTTATGAGGCCAGCATCATCCTGATACCAAAGCCAGGAAGAGACGCAACCAAAAAAGAGAATTTTAGACCAATATACTTGATGAACATTGACGCAAAAATCCTCAATAAAATACTGGCAAACCGAATCCAGCAGCACATCAAAAAGCTTATCCACCATGATCAAGTGGGCTTCATCCCTGGGATGGAAGGCTGGTTCAATATATGCAAATCAATACATGTAATCCAGCATAGAAACAGAACCAAAGACAAAAACCACATGATTATCTCAATAGATGCAGATAAGGCCTTTGACAAAATTCAACAACCCTTCATGCTAAAAACTCTCAAAAAATTAGGTATTGATGGGACATATCTCAAAATAATAAGAGCTATCTATGACAAACCCACAGCCAATATCACACTGAATGGGCAAAAACTGGAAGCATTCCCTTTGAAAACTGGCACAAGACAGGGATGCCGTCTCTCACCACTCCTATTCAACATAGTGTTGGAAGTTCTGGCCAGGGCAATTAGGCAGGAGAAGGAAATAAAGGGTATTCAATTAGGAAAAGAGGAAGTCAAATTGTCCCTGTTTGCAGATGACATGATTGTATACCTAGAAAACCCCATTGTCTCAGCCCAAATTCTCCTTAAGCTGATAAGCAACTTCAGCAAAATCTCAGGATACAAAATCAATGTACAAAAATCACAAGCATTCTTACACACCAATAACAGACCAACAGAGAGCCAAATCATGAGTGAACTCCCATTCACAATTGCTTCAAAGAGAATAAAATACCTAGGAATCCACCTTACAAGGGACGTGAATGACCTCTTCAAGGAGAACTACAAAACACTGCTCAGTGAAATTAAAGAGGATACAAAGAAACGGAAGAACATTCCATGCTCATGGGTAGGAAGAATCAATATTGTGACAATGGCCATACTGCCCAAGGTAATTTATAGATTCAATGCCATCCCCATCAAGCTACCAATGACTTTCTTCACAGAATTGGAAAAAACTACTTTAAAGTTCATATGGAACCAAAAAAGAGCCCGCATCGCCAAGTCAATCCTAAGCCAAAAGAACAAAGCTGGAGGCATCACGCTACCTGACTTCAAACTATACCACAAGGCTACAGTAACCCAAACAGCATGGTACTGGTACCAAAACAGAGATATAGATCAATGGAACAGCACAGAGCCCTCAGAAATAACGCCACATATCTACAACCATCTGATCTTTGACAAACCTGAGAAAAACAAGCAATGGGGAAAGGATTCCCTATTTAATAAATGGTGCTGGGAAAACTGGCTAGCCATATGTAGAAAGCTGAAAGTGGATCCCTTCCTTACACCTTATACAAAAATTAATTCAAGATGGATTAAAGACTTAAACGTTAGACCTAAACCATAAAAACCCTAGAACAAAACCTAGGCATTACCATTCAGGACACAGGCATGGGCAAGGACTTCATGTCTAAAACACCAAAGGCAATGGCAACAAAAGCCAAAATTGACAAATGGGATCTAATTAAACTCAAGAGCTTCTGCACAGCAAAAGAAACTACCATCAGAGTGAACAGGCAACCTAAAAAATGGGAGAAAATTTTTGCAACCTACTTATCTGACAAAGGGCTAATATTCCAGAATCTACAATGAACTCAAACAAATTTACAAGAAAAAAACAAACAACCCTATCAAAAAGTGGGCGAAGGACATGAACAGACACTTCTCAAAAGAAGACATTTATGCAGCCAAAAAACACATGAAAAAATGCTCACCATCACTGGCCATCAGAGAAATGCAAATCAAAACCACAATGAGATACCATCTCACACCAGTTAGAATGGCAATCATTAAAAAGTCAGGAAACAACAGGTGCTGGAGAGGATGTGGAGAAATAGGAACACTTTTACACTCTTGGTGGGACTGTAAACTAGTGCAACCATTGTGGAAGTCAGTGTGGCGATTCCTCAGGGATCTAGAACTAGAAATACCATTTGACCCAGCCATCCCATTACTGGGTATATACCAAAAGGACTATAAATCATGCTGCTATAAAGACACATGCACACGTATGTTTATTGCAGCTCTATTCACAATAGCAAAGACTTGGAACCAACCCAAATGTCCAACAATGATAGACTGGATTAAGAAAATGTGGCACATATACACCATGGAATACTATACAGCCATAAAAAAGGATGAGTTCATGTCCTTTGTAGGGACATGGATGAAATTGGAAACCATCATTCTCAGTAAACTATCACAAGAACAAAAAACCAAACACCGCATATTCTCACTCATAGGTGGGAATTGAACAATGAGAACACATGGACACAGGAAGGGGAACATCATACTCTGGGGACTGTTGTGGGGTGGAGGGAGGGGGGAGGGATAGCATTAGGAGATATACCTAATGCTAAATGATGAGTTAATGGGTGCAGCACACCAGCATGGGCACATGTATACATATGTAACTAACCCACACATTGTGCACATGTACCCTAAAACTTAAAGTATAATAATATAAAATAAAGTGAAATAAAATAAAAAAATGCAAATCAATAAACATAATCCAGCATATAAACAGAACCAAAGACAAAAACTACATGATTATCTCAATAGATGCAGATAAGGCCTTTGACAAAATTCAACAGCCCTTCAGGCTAAAAACTGTCAACAAATTAGGTATTGATTGGACATATCTCAAAATAATAAGAGTTATTTATGACAAACCCACAGCCAATATCACACTGAATGGGCAAAAACTGGAAGCATTCCCTTTGAAAACTGGCACAAGACAGGGATGCCCTCACTCACCACTCCTATTCAACATAGCGTTGGAAGTTCTGGCCAGGGCAATCAGGCAGGAGAAGGAAATAAAGGGTATTCAATTAGGAAAAGAGGGAGTCACATTTTCCCTGTCTGCAGATGACATGACTGTATATTTAGAAAACCCCATTGTCTCAGCCCAAAATCTCCTTAAGCTGATAAACAACTTCAGCAAAGTCTCAGGATACAAAATCAACGTGCAAAAATCACAAGCATTCTTATACACCAATAACAGGCAAACAGAGAGCCAAATCATGAGTGAAATCCCATTCACAATTGCTTCAAAGAGAATAAAATACCTAGGAATCCAACTTACAAGGGATGTGAAGGACCTCTTCAAGGAGAACTACAAAACACTGCTCAATGAAATAAAAGAGGACACAAACAAATGGAAGAATATTCCATGCTCATGGGTAGGAAGAATCAATATTGTGAAAATGGCCATACTGCCCAAGGTAATTTATAGATACAATGCCATCCCCATCAAGCTACCAATGACTTTCTTCATAGAATTGGAAAAAACTACTTTAAAGTTCATATGGAACCAAAAAAGAGCCCACATTGCCAAGACAATCCTAAGCAAAAAGAACAAAGCTGGAGGCATCACCCTACCTGACTTCAAACTATACCACAAGGCTACAGTAACCAAGACAGCATGGTACTGGTACCAAAACAGAGATATAGACCAATGGAACAGAACAGAGCCCTCAGAAATAATACCACACATCTACAACCATCTGATCTTTGACAAACCTGACAAAAACAAGCAATGGGGAAATGATTCCCTATTTAATAAATGGTGTTGGGAAAACTGGCCTGCCATATGTAGAAAGCTGAAACTGGATCCCTTCCTTACACCTTATACAAAAATTAATTCAAGATGGATTAAAGACTTAAATGTTAGACCTAAAACCATAAAAACCCTAGAACAAAACCTAGGCAATACCATTCAGGACATAGGCATGGGCAAGGACTTCACGTCTAAAACACCAAAAGCAATGGCAACAAAAGCCAAAATTGACAAGTGGGATCTAATTAAACTCAAGAGCTTCTGCACAGCAAAAGAAACTACCGTCAGAGTGAACAGGCAACCTACAGAATGGGAGAAAATTTTTGCAATCTACTCATCTGACAAGGGGCTAATAGCCAGAATCTAGAAAGAACTCAAACAAATTTACAAGAAAAAAACAACCCCATCAAAAAATGGGTGAAGGATATGAACAGACACTTCTCAAAAGAAGACAATTATGCAGCCAACAGACACGTGAAAAAATGCTCATCATCACTGGCCAACGTGGTGAAGCCCCATCTCTACTAAAAATACAAAAAATTAGCCGGGCATGGTGGCAGGCACCTGTAGTTCCAGCTACTGGGGAGGCTGAGGCAGGAGAATGGCGTGAACCTGGGAGGCAGAGCTTACAGTGAGCCGAGATCATGCCACTGAACTCCAGCCTGGGCAACAGCGTGAGACTCCATCTCAAAAAAATAAATAAATAAATAAAGTTAAATAAGTAAAATAAAACAATTATAATATTTTAAAAAGATCACATTTGATCAGAGAACTAAAAGTGAAGGAGACAGTTATGCCAGTCTCTAATAGTCTGGGTGGAGATCAGGGCAAATATATAAACCCTGTAGCAAAGGCACATTTTTACATATATATATATATATACACACACACACACACACACACACACATATGTATATATATACACACACATATGTGTATATATATACACATGTGTGTGTATATATATACACATATGTGTGTGTATATATATATGGGTTGTTTTTGTTTTTGTTTTTGTTTTGAGACGGAGTCTCGATCTGTCGCCCAGGCTGGAGTGCAGTGGCACTATCTCAGCTCATTGCAAGCTCCACCTCCCAGGTTCACGCCATTCTCCTGCCTCAGCCTCCCAAGTAGCTGGGACTACAAGCTCCTGCCACCGCGCCCAGCTATTTTTGTATTTTTAGTAGAGATGGGGTTTCACCGTGTTAGCCAGGATGGTCTCGATCTCCTGACCTCATGATCCACCCGCCTCGGCCTCCCAAAGTGCTGGGATTACAGGTGTGAGTCACCGCGCCGGGATGATATTTATATTTTTAAAAAAATAAAAGCCTATAGTAGCAGCAGCAGCGTGAAGGGGGCTGAGTCTAGGAGCTCACGTCAGAAAAGGGCCCCAGGCTGATTGTAGACGGCCACATAGGTTATGGCGGGGACACGGATCCATAGGTGGAAGAGAAGACTTTTGAATCAGTCAGGGTTCTCCAGAGAAACAGAACCAATAGGAAATACATGGAGACATAAAAGAGAAGATTTACACAGGAATTGCCTCACATGGTTGTGGAAGCCGAGAAGTCCCATGATCTGCCCTCTGCAAGCTGAAGACCCAGGAAAGCCCGTGGTACAGTCTGAAGGCCTGAGAGCTGGCCGGCTGTTGGTGCAGATTCCAGTTTTGAAGTCTGAGAGCCAGGAGAGCCATGGGCAAAAGATGGATGTCCCAGCTCAGCATTCAGGCAGAGTGCAAATTCCTCCTCCCTCTGACTTTTTGTTCTATGCAGGCCCTCAGTGGATAGGATAGCACCCACCCACACTAGGGACAGCCATCTGCTGTCCTCAGGCCACCAATTCATGCTTATCTCTTCCAGAAACACCCTCTCAGACACACTCAGAAATCATGTCTAATCACATATCTGGGCATCCTGCGCCCTGATTAATTTAAAATTAACCATCATACCATCAACGGATGGTGTTGAGCAGATGATTGAGATCATATAACATCTATTTAGAGGATCACACGGCTGCTTGAGGAGCTGGTAAAAAGAGACAGGGAGACCATTTAATTAGCTTTGGCTGTAGGTGAAAGGCAGTGAAGCCAGAGTGACTGCTGATAGCAGTGAGGTGGTGAACAGATCAGATCTGTAGTACATTTAAAGATAGAATGAAGTGCATTTGCTGATAGATGTAGGGTTTGAGGTAAAGAGAGATTAGAATGACTTTAATATTACAGGCCACCTGATAGAATAAAAGTAACACAGCCTGAAATGGAGAAATTTACAGGAGGAGCAAATTTGGTAAAATATATGAATCAAAAGTTTGATTTTATAAATACTGAGCTCGGGATGCTGACAGGCCTCAGATGTTGTGCAGACAGTTACGTGAAATCGCAGTTCAAAGTCATAGTGAAAACATAAATGTGGAGGGCCCAGTGTTGAAAACCATGGTGCTGGACATGCTCACCTTGAAGGTGAGTGTAAGGAAAGTGCTGCGTGCTGAGCTGTGAGGCATTGCAGCATAAAGACTGAGAAGAGGAAAGACAGAGGGAAAGGAAAACAAGAGCCAAGCAATGAGTTAGGAGGATACCAAGGAAAGGACTGTGTTATGGGATGAACTGTGTTCCCCGAAATGGGTATGTTGATGCCCTAACCCCTCACGTGACTAAATTTGCAGGTAGGGCCCCTCAAGAAGGAATTAATGTTAAGTGAAGTCTTAAGGACACTGCCCTGATCCAGTGACACTGGTGTCCTTATAAGGAGAGGAAGAGACAGCAGGATATCTGTGTGCAGAGAAAAGGCCAGTGAGGATGCAGGGAGAGATGACATTTACACACCAAGGAGAGAAGCCTCGGGAGAAACCAGACCTGCTGGCACCATGATCTTGGACTTCCATACTCCAGGACTGTGAGAAAATACACTTCTGTTTTTAAAGCCACCTGGTCTGTGGCATTTTGTTGTGATAGCCGTAGCCAGCTAATACAAGTGATAACACAAAGTGCAATTAAGGAAAATATTTCAAAAAGGAGGAGTTGACCCCCTGTGTCAGATATTGCTGATTGGGCAAGCAAAACAAGCACTGAAGAATACCCACGAGATGGGGCACTTCCATGGCAGCCAACGGTTACCTTTCAGTGGCGTGGTAGTGCTCCAGACTGACCTGGGTAGGTTTAAGAGAGGAAGGGAGGAAAGCACACAGATAGAATGAGAAATGACAACACTTCTAGGAGCCTTGCTCCTAAGGGGAGCAGGAAAATAGGGAGATAGCAAGAGAGAGGGAAAGAGGTGTCAGATCAAAGGAAGACATGTTACAGAAATTATTAAATGTCAGTATGTTTGTGTGAAAAGTACAAAAGAAAATGACAAACCAATGATTAGGAGAGATAGGGGACAACCGCAAGAATCTGCCACTGCCTGGGAGAGAAAGGAAATGATCCAGGGCACAGGTGGTTGTAGAAAGGGGCCAGGACGGTTTATTCAGTGCAGCAGGAGTGGAGAGAGAGCCGATGGCCTGGGAGTGCAAATGTCTATTACTACTGGTACTTCAG
This sequence comes from Homo sapiens, assembly GCF_000001405.40. Classification (NCBI taxonomy): domain Eukaryota; kingdom Metazoa; phylum Chordata; class Mammalia; order Primates; family Hominidae; genus Homo; species Homo sapiens. Next base: position 51,646,989 of record NC_000008.11, read on the forward strand.
CACATAGATATACTGTAAAAAGGATACAACGTACTTTTAAGAGAAATGTATGCTCTTGGGTGTTTTCACCATTTTGGAGCTTTCTTTTTGGAAGCTAGGATGTATCATCCCTTATACAGGGTCTGTGAATTCTGAGTAACATAAATTGAGGCAAAGGCAAATGATAAGAAGTCTCTAAGGAGACTTCATGACCCAATTAGTAAAGCCCACGCCTTAGAGCCAAGAAATATCTTGGATGTGCCAATCAGAGAACGGCAACATAGAGTTTTTATAAGCCAAATTTTCCTGGCATCCACCCCAGAAATTTCTCTCTATTTCTGGCCAGTATCAAAATACCGACACATGACAAGAAGTTGGGCCAAGGGGGAAATGAAGGTGAAGAGAACTTCTCAGAGAAGGTGAGTGATGGTAATTGTGCTGCTGAAGCTTCACCTATGTGTTCTGGGAGTTCCCCAAAACGAGGCAGAGAGAAACTAAACAATTCCACTGAGCACTGTGCAAGCCTTTTGAAAAATACAGCAGGTTCTGTATTTGCATTATGTAGAAAAATATGAGTCATCATTTTACAATGCAGAAGTTAAAATTTCCCCAAATCACAAAGAGATGGTAGTATATGAGGGGCAGTATTATGGAGTGGCTAGGAGCATGAACTTTGTAGCCAGAGCGCCTGTGTCAAGGAAAGATCTACCACTGCATTTTTCTGCAAGACTGACAAAGTTAACTGACTTCTCTGTGCATCAGTGTCCTCAGCTATAATATAAGGATCATGATAGTGCTTCATGGGCTTTATTAAATCACAGGTAAATGAAAAACACTTACAATAGTGTCTCCATAATATTGACTTTATTTTTAATATTTATTATTAGAATTTATAATTAGACACAGAGAAGGGACTCAACAATATTAGCTTCTTTCTTTTTACTTTTTGCCTATTTTTTAATATCAAGAAAAGCACTGTAAAATATTGAATATTTGATTCTTAGATGGTATGACATCTTGGGCTTCATATAACGTTTGCTTTTATGGTGTTAGTTTCCAAAGTCACATAAAGGATAGCCTTTTTCATGCATCATTCTTCTTTTTGCAACTCAAAAGTAGGGTGTCTAAATATATGTCACTCTTACAGTACAACTACTATAATTACTCTCATTACGACTATTACTACCACCGCCAATCATAACTAATGATAATAAACTTTTACCTTTCTGTAGTAGGCTGAATAATGGCCACCCAAAAATATCAGGTCGTAATTCCTGGAATCTGTAAATTTTATCTGATAAGGAAAAGGGATCTTCGGGGATGTGATTAAATTAAGGATCTTGAAATGGGATTATTCAGAGTGGGCCCTTAATCCAATCACAACTATCCCTGTAAAAGAGAGACTCTACAGACACTGAATAGAAAGCAATTCTTAGTGAGAGATAGAGGCAGAGATTGGAGTGATGTGGACTCAAGGCAAGAAACACCAAAGGATGCCAGCAGGGCCTGGATGCTAAAAGAGGCAAGGAGAAGTTTCTCTCCCAGAGCCTCTGGAGGGAAGGCAGTCCTGCCCACACCTTCGTTTCAGGCTTCTGGTCTCTAGAATTGTGAGAGAATCCATTTCTTTCCATTTAAGACACCAAGGCTTTGGTGATTTTTTTTAAAGCAGCCCTAGAAAATTAATATAACTTCTTTGCATTCCTTACACTATATTTTACATGTATTATTTTGTTTAATCATTACATTAATTATATGCGCTATGATTATCCTCTTTTATAGATATGGAAACTAACATCATACAGCTAATGAAAGTCAGAACTTGAGCTCTCACCCAGGTAGAAGATTCTAAAAGCTATCATTATGTTTATACTTATGCTGTTATAATGATTTCATGTGTTTTTACTAAAATGTTTTACTATGCTTAAAAACTTTGTCAAAAATCACATTTAAACAACATAATAAAAAATTACAAATGGGTAGAAATTCCAAATTTGATTTAGTGCTCATACATTTCCTATTTATATACTTTCCTTTTTCTTCTACTAACAGGACACACAAGTGAAGAACAATGAATAAGAGGATGAAACAATTAATATGGGTGCAAACATTTCATCATTAATTTTTAAGGGATTTTTAAAGAAAAGCTAGTAAAATTTCCGTGTCAAACAACATGCTTTAAGAAAAGAGAAACCTCTTTGGCTGGTAACTGTGTCTTCAGCCCTTCAGACAAGACATGCTCGAGGAAAAAAACGGCAGTAGTTGCAGCACCGACATAGACCCCAGCCTTGGTTTAATTGTCATTTTCTCATGAATCTGAAAACAGCCTTTTCACCTTGAAAGAGGAAAGTCGGCAAATAACACACGTGTTATGAGACTTGAAACTTTCCCATTAAACGTACTGTGTTTTTTAACCTGTAATTATAACAATTTTCCTTTTAAATCTTGTCTAGAGCTGAATCTTTTATTCTTTTGGAAATTGGGTAAATGTTTAATACTAGAAGACATAATCTCTTAGCTTTGTAGGTGAAGAAACTGTGATCCAAGGAGTAAAACAATTTACTCAAGGTCACATATTTAGTCATTGTAAAGCACCTACCACAACACTTCACACATAACATGTTTACAATAAAGAGAAAATCCCCTTATAATTTTTAATTTTATATTTCTAGTTGGGGGGGAGTCTGTAATATATTTAGTATTGCTAATTGTGCATACATTAATGCTATTTCTTTCTTTTTAATTATGTTTTTATTTTACTTTTTATTTTTGATTAAACATTTTATTGACTTTAGAAAAATTCTCATTATTGATCTGTTTTGCAGATGAAACATTCTTTGGACAGTGAAAATCCAGGCCAGGCATGGTGGCTCATGCCTGTAATCTCAGCACTTTGGGAGGCCGAGGTGGGTGGATCACCTGAGGTCAGGAGTTTGAGACCAGCCTGGCCAACATGGTAAAACCTCATCTCTACTAAAAATACAAAAAATTGGCTAGGTGTGCTGGTGCATGCCTGTAATCCCAGCTAGTTGGGAGGCTGAGGCAGGAGAATCACTTAAACCCCTGAGGCAGAGGTTGTAGTGAGCTGAGATCTGCTACCGTACTCCAGCCTCAACAACAGAGAGAGACTTTGTCTCAAAAAAAAAAAAAAAAAAAATTCCAGTTAGTCACCTTTGAATTGATTCCATAGGAGTACTGTATCTTAAATGCTCCTTTATTATATACAGCAAAATAGTATTATATACAGACAAAGTCAAGAGATTAAGAGTAATATTCAAAATTTAACAATGTACAGGCATAGATTAAAAAAAAATAAGTCTTCCAGTAGATTTTAAAGTCAACTATTTACTAATTGGAAGTTTCCTTTGATCTGCCCTGACTCTTCTCACTCACCCTATAGCCACCCAAAACGTTTCTGCCATGATCGAGTATAAAAGTTTGAAAAATAGACAAGACCACTTAACTTGGTTTTATTCTCCTGATGTTGTGATTTTGTTTTGTAGGATAATGAGGAAGAGAAATTTATTAGGAAGAGATCAGCCAGAGTCTTTTTTACATTGCCTTACCATGACCATTTTCCAATAAGCTAGCACTGTATTCAGTGCTCAGGCCCTGTTGCTTGTGGAAATTGCCCTAGGAGAACTACCTCTAGGATCAGATCAGGTCAATAGGCAGAAGACTTGGTCTCATGTTGGTGAAGTTCAGTGCAATTTATGCTGCAGTGCCAAGTTTGTGGAGATAAATTAGTCTATTAGCCACTAGTGATAAGGTTGATTGTTGAACAGCAAAAGTGAGAATGATGCATTTAGTTTTGAATTTGGTAAGAGCAAAGACAAAATGACCTAACTCTTATCAGTGGTTTTGCCACAAATCGATCACTAGTTCATCATATGCCACTATCTTCTCAATACAAGCTTTACAAAAAAAGCTACAGCTAATATCACGTGCTGTCCCCTGAGACTGTATACAGATTGGAAAGGAAAACTGTTTATTTCCAAAGGACATGATTGTGTAATTACAAAAATCCAAAGGATATAAGCAAATGAGTAGAATTAGTGAGGATTAATTTAGTAAGGTCACTGGATACAATATCAATATACAAAAATCAATTGCATTTTATCTACTAGCATGAAATAAATAGAACATATAATTTAATGCCATTTAACAATAATATTAATACATACATTAACTAATTATATGTGATATTTAGTTAAACACTCTACAAACTGCACCTGTATCTATATAGCTTACCTAGGAATAAAGCGTAGTATATAATTTGGAAGCGATTCGGCCAAATTAGAATAAACACACATAGATGAGTGTGGGGAGACAGAGAAACGTGAATGTGGCAAAATGTTAACTAGTGAATTTTACGTAAAATGTACAAAGCAATTATCATGCCCTTCTTTTGAGATTTGGGTAGCTTTGAAATTTTCAAAATAAAACGTCAGAGGAAATGTTAGTAAACTTAAGGTTTAAGGAGTTAAATAACTTGCCACACTTCACAAAACAATTGGAAGGACCAGAAATACCCCCCAACCCCTCCCTTTTGACGTTCTTCTCAAGGTTCTTTTCATCTTGCTTTTCAATTAGGCCTTCCTTCCAGAAGGCAGATGAGTGAGGAGTATCAGCCCTAGAATCAGATCTTCGTATTTCTGTTGTTGCTATTTAAATAGTGGCATGCATTTATTTTATTTTTGTGGTATAGTCTAACCTTTTGTCCTTGGCATTTATTAGCATTGCTCTTCCTCCAGGGCTCAATCATCTTTTTTATAAGCATGACTGTGTTGTCCAGAATTGAATTTGAGCCTGTTTCCCAAATGTATTACTCTTATCAGTGTCATCCAGAAACTGGAAGGCAGAGGCACCCTGGCAAGTCACAGAGCTCTGCCAGGCACCACTTGGCTGTGCTGCAGCGGGTGAAATTCAGGGTCTGATAACAGATCCTTGATCTTACCCTCTAGCTCTTAGGCTCCAGCAATACATAACATTTCCGGATTTTTTATTAAGTAAACCTCTTAGCAAGCTCTGTTTAATACAAAAATGCCAACTGTTTTTGAGAAAACCCTCTCTTTTACAATATAGAAGCAATGTGGTTGGCATTTTTTTAAATTGTAAGAAAACATTGGAGTTTCTGTGCAATTTACTATAAAGGCAACCCAAGGAAATAGAATCACCAGATGCTTGATTTCATTTTGTGATGCTGTGTTCATATAAGAGCCATATGGTCAAAATTTTTAATATTCTTCATGAAAAATTTAACTTTATTTTTTAAAAAATGTGTCCTTATTTCTTTTGCTTTTACAATAAATTAGTAAAGACCTTTGGATCTTCACTTAACTGGACTAACAAATTCCTCTGAAGTCTCAGGAGTGGTAAGTGTCTCATTGCTTAACTCATTTTCTAGACAGAAATCTCTCTCTCTCTCTCTCTCTCTCTCTTACTGTCTGTCTCTCTGTCTCTCTCTCTCTCTCTCACACACACACACACACACACAAACACACACACACACACACACCAACCACATGTACACACAACTTACTGTTTAAATGATCTACCATCTGTATTCCAGGGAAGTACTTTTCCTGAATGCTATCATGAGAAACCATATAGTCCAGCAGTTAACAGATCAAACTCTGTGGAACCCTGACTCTGCTCTTTTCTATCTGCCTCAATTTGGGTAAATTACATTACAGCCATGAACCTCAATTTCCTCATCTGTAAAATGAACGTAGTAACACCTACCACAAAGCATGAAAGAAAGGAATATAGATAATGTATATAAAGCAACTAGTATAAAATGAGGCTTGCAATTAACAACATAATTACTATTTTATTACGGTTTTCTAATAAAAAATATTTAGAAACAAATTAATATTATCCATGGTTTCTGCCAAGTGAAGAAGTGGATTATTCATCAATAATTAGTGTTCATCAATAATTGTGTACTGTAACTCCAAAAAGTGGCCAAACCCCAATAGATTTTATCAGTTTGTCACACTCCTTGAATTTTTTAAATGGCAACTATCTCTAATGAAAATATTTTATAACATTTTATCATATTCACAATTTAATCAATGGATAAAATATTTGATTATCTATCATATACATGTTTCAGTAGACAGTGGTGAAAGGCTTCACCCAGAAATACTCATTAGAAGATACTCAATAGCCTGGGCGTGGTGGTTCATGCCTGTAATCCCAACACTTTTTGGGAGGCCGAGGCGGATGGATCACAAGGTCAGGAGATTGAGACCATCCTGGCCAACATGGCAAAACCCTGTCTCTACTAAAAATACAAAAATTAGCCGGGCATGGTGGCAGACACCTGTAATCCCAGCAACTCAGGAGGCTGAGGCAGGAGAATTGCTTGAACCCGGGAGGCACAGGTTGCAGTGAGCCGAGATTGTGCCACTGCATTCCAGCCTGGGCGACAGAGCAAGGCTCTGTCTCAAAGAAAAAAATAATAATAATCAAATGCAGATCTTTGGGCCCATCCTGAGAAGTCCTAAATTAGGATCCCTGGGGAAGAGGGCTAGGAATTTGCATGTCCACAAGCACTCCAGGAAATGTTTTCGTACATTGCACTTTGATAATCATTGCTTTATTGTAAAACAAAGAATAAACCCTGCAGTCCTTACTTTCTTATGTTCTTACATCATCCCAAACAGAGATACTGTGATAAAAATATGTGTGTTCCGGCATCAGTTACTGGAAAGAAACCAGATGGGAGAAGCACAAGTGTAAAGTTATGATCTCAACTCTAAAGTTAGAAGGGCTAGCTTGGCCTGAATATGGTGAGTTCAGCCAAGTTGATAAAATTGCTAACTCTATCATGAGAATATTATGACAAGAAGACAAACACGCCCACATGGGTCTAGCCTCACTGAAGATTCTTAACTTTCAGTGTGTTCACTCAGTGGATTAATCTAAATGCAGCATAGGAAGATTTTATATATTGAACCTCCAGTCATCATCTCTCATAGGTCTCTTCTCCTTATAGCACTTACTATACATAGGAATTTTTTCTATTACAGACATATTACAGTTGGGTGTTGGCTACCTGACTGCCCCACAATGTCAGACCATCAGTTGTATCATAGCAGGGGCATGTGCATTCGGATCCAAATACAAAACCAGCCAACTGGTAGCCCACAATAGATAATAGATACTGTTAAGTGAATAAAATAAATGCCTTTAAACTTGGAAACATTTATCAGTGCTTAGCCATAAAGTTGTCATTTTTTTCTCTACATGATATGTTTTCATTTAAGACTATCATAAAACAGCATCTCTACATGATTCTAAAGCTATTCTTTGTTTTAGAGTATCACAAATAAGAAGGCCTAGTAGCATACTGAGTAGAGCATGGGCTTTGCAGTTAGAAAGTTGTGAATTTTAATTTCATTTCTATTGCTTTCTTGCCATGGGACTCATAGACAAGTTACTTAACCCCTCCTTCTCCCTATTTCTTCTTCTCATGAAGCTTTTCTAAACCAATAGAATACAAATAAATTGGATAAATAAGAATCTCTTCCATGTTCAAAAGGTTATAAAAACATAGGCAGTGTAAAGAAGCAGCAGAATTTTCCCAGTTATAAGACATCTACAAGGTGTCATTCTTCTACTAGCTGTTCTTGACACTCAGAATGACTTTCACGGTAAATTGCCATCCAACCAGCATATAATTTTAGGAACCTTACAGATAAGCAATAAGTACTCACAGTGTGTTCAAATTCTTGAGTTTCTTGAAGGCGCTCCCTGGAATTTCTCTTATTCTGTTAAACCTCAAGTCTCTGGGAACATAAAAAGGTGAAGAACGATTATAATATGTTGACTGCATTCTGCCATTATTTCCAGAAGCTTGAAGGCTAAATCTCCTTTTATGATCAAACATACAGTACTAAAGGACTAAATATAATTAAGACAGAACTAGTGCACATCATACACTAATCATTAGGGAGGTGCACTGTTTATAGCAAATTTTGCATCTCTGGGGCCATATGCTTGTCACAGGATGCCAGACAAATGTGGCTATTTATAGAGCTCTGCAAAGTGTTAAAGACAGTTACACCATTTATTTTAGGTTTTATTTGTATGCCAGTAAAACAAATTCTATACATGGCAATATGTCAGTTGAGTACATTTAGTTTGGAAAATAATTGATATATTAGATGTCACATATCAACTCAACACCACTGTTTGAATTTAGCAAAAATTATTAATTACTTAATTTTTCTTCACAGTACAGGAATACAATGGCCTTCTACAAAGTATTAAATCAACAGAACAATTAGTTTGAGAGAGACGTTACTCCACAACCAACATTCTCTTTCATGAGTCCACATCTTTTTTATTCAGCATGTAAATAATTGCGTGTCAGCTATGTGCCACCTATCATGTTAAGTAATAGGGATGCAAAGATAAGCAAGATAGGGTCCCTGCTACTGAGCACAGATAGTTCAGTGGGGGGATGTCAAGCAAGTTATTACAGGACTAGGGTGCATAGTGTTTGTGATACAACAGAGGATCAAACAAATGCCATGCACACTTGGAAGACTTAGGGACTGCTCTGCCTAGAGCCCCTCTTTCAGTTGGAGAACGAGGCGCCCCACTCCATGTCATTATGGTAAAGACGTCAAGCAGGGGCCTCTTCCTGCCCGGAACAGGGTGGTTAACTGGGGGCAGCATCTCCACGGGCATACTGTTTCTTCCATGGGGAACATATGACCCAAGCCAGGCCAGCTGGAGTTGTTTTTAAGCATTGACATGGCTGCTGAATAAAAGTCATGTTCTCTCTCTGGGGTTCAGAGCTCTAAGGAAAATGAACATCTAGGGTCACTACCTCATCTTGTCCACTCAAGAAAGCGCCAGCCTAGGAATAAAGGCCCAGCAGAAACACATAGGGCCAAAATAGCAAATGAAAGAAACAAAGCCCTGGACCCAGGATTGCCTGAGACCAAATTTACTCCTTGACTTTCCAGATCCCTGACACCAGATGCTGTCATTTTGATAAACTAATTTGAGCTGAATTTCTCTCTCTAACGCAAGGAGTATAGAAGAAAGATGAAGTTATTTGCTTGGAAATGTTAGGCCCAAGGAGAAGTATATCAGGGAAATTTTATAGGGCGCTAGAATGGCAGTAATAGAATAAAATGAAAACAAAAACTATTTACTTCCCCTCAATTAATTTCTCAAAACAAAACTCTTCACCACCATAAAAAGTTGTTCTATCTTAGAATACTTGACTCACAAAACTTTATAAGAGTACCTTAAAATCTATCATCTATCACTTCATCTTTCTCTAGACTTTGCCAAAATGAGCAAAATTTTATAGGAGCTATTATTTTCAATTAAAATTATTAAATAACTCAGTGACTATACCTCCTTGCTAAATGGAATGCACTGCTTATACACCATCCATTGCTGTTTGGTATGTCTAGACTATATCAGTAAAAGAAACTGTAAGCTATATGAGATCCTCCCTATAAACATATAAGACATTAAGTTATGTAGACCCGAATACCCTGGAAACCACTGGTTTCTCTTAAAAACAGAAGCTAAAAATTAACAGTTATAGAAAGGGCTCTCCTCTTGCATTAAACAATAATCCTAATAATTCTCCCAAAATGAGATTCCAATACAACAAGGAAGCAAATATAAAAAGATAAACCATTTTCCTTATTTTCGGCTTTGAAATTTCTGAAAAATTCAGAAAAGTACAAATGAGAAAATAATAATCCTTACTGTCTACATCCAGAATTAACTACTATTAATATTTATACCTTGATATAGTTGCTTCTACTCATAATTTCACGTGTGTATGTTTACTACACAAATTATATATAAAAACACATTGTAGATAAAATGAACATCTTTTAAGCACCATCTTAATTTTAGCTTTGCCTCCCACTCCAGATGTAACCACTCATGTATTTGATGCTCCTCTTCAGACATAACATTTCTATATATGTGGATAAATATAAGATGAAATGTAAACACATGCAGATACTCCTTGACTTATGACGGGGTTATGTCCTTATAAATCCACTGTAAGTTGAAAACATTGTAAGTCAAAAATGCATTTAATACAACTGAACTACCAACATCATAGCTTAGCCTAGCCTACCTTAAACACGCTCAGAACACTTGCATTAGCCTGCAGTGGGGCAAAATTATCTAACACACTCCTTATTTTATAATAAATGTTGACTATCTCATGCAATTTACTCACTAATGTACATTACATCAAAATTGTAACCATTTCACAACACGGTAAAGTCAAAAATCATAAGTTGCACCATTGTAAGTCAACAACTGTCTATATATGAAAATAAACCTAATATATAGGCAAATTTAAAATATTTTGTGCTTTTAAATTTACAAAAAAGCTATCAAATGTTATATGGTTGTTAAAACTTCCCTTTTCCCTTCCACTACATATTTTCTATGTTGTTCCTTGTCTACACATAAAGGACTAGGTATTTTTGTCTAACTTCTCCACAGTACTCCACAGTGCAGACAGACCACACCGTTCCTTTATAGATTCCTTTACTGACAGACAGTTTGGTCGTTTCCAAATTTTTGCAACATTATTTACTAACAATATTGCAATAAATATGCATGCATGTCTCCTTGTACACTTGGAAAAATGTTTGCCTATGCTAAATATTTGGAATTGGGATTGCTAGATTATAGGGTAGGTACATTTTCAGTTGTACAAAATGATGCCATTGCAAATTTATTTTCAGCTACATACAATATAATGGTAATTTAACTGAAAATAATGTGAAAAGATGCTTGAACTCATCACCAAATTATAGATTTAAACTTATCACTGGATTGATTTGAAAGCCAAGGTGCTATATGTATCTATTATCAGAATTCCCTTCTTGTTTTTCTCCACAAGTAAGCAGACATAAGCTCTTCTGCCATAAAGACAGTCTTGCTTGTAAGCTGGTGCCATAGAAAGGTCTCCAGGGTACCCAGGCTCAGTGGACTGTAAGACTCTGCCCACTGACTTTGGCCACACCCTATTCTCACCAGTGAGGCATGCTCAGGGACTCACTCTCTTCCTGAGAAGCAGAGTGTGGGCTGGGCTGGGTGCAGTAGCTCATGCCTGTAATCCCAGCACTTTGGGAGGCTGAGGCAGGAGGACCCTTGAGCACAGGAGTTCGAGACCAGCCTGGGCAACATGACAAGACCCATCTCTACAAAAAATACAAAAATTAGCCAGGCATGGTGGTACACACCTGTGGTTGTAGCTACTCAGGAGGTCGAGGTGGGAAGATCGCTTGGGCCCAGGAGGTAAAAGCTATAATGAGCCGTGATCACACCACTGCACTCCAACCTGGGCCACAGAGTAAGACCCTGTCTCAAGAAAAAAAAAAAAAAAAAGAAAAGAAAAGGAAAAAAAAAGAAAAAAAAGTATGATTGGACACCCAAAGATTTTCTCGAGATCGACTTAAACTCCAATAAGTCACATTCAAATATACCAAAATGAATATGTTAGCACTCGATCCTCTTTGGCTAGTACATTCTGGCACATAAATTTTTATAGGTAAGTACATTATAAGCTGAAATTCTAGGAAAACATACCCCTTCCTAATTTGAATCCCAGGTCTTTAGGATTGCATACAGGGCCTTGCACAGTGTATTACCTATCGTAGGGTAAGTATATTTCTGAAAATTAGATTATTTAAATTCAAATGGCCACCAAATTTGGATAATGATACTGTGTAAGTATGTACATTTACCCAGAAATACAATTCATTTCCCATGTTATATGGTTGTTAAAACTTCCCTTTTCCCTTCCACTACATATTTTCTATGTTGTTCCTTGTCTACACATAAAGGACTAGGTATTTTTGTCTAACTTCTCCACAGTACTCCACAGTGCAGACAGACCACACCGTTCCTTTATAGATTCCTTTACTGACAGACATTTTGGTTGTTTCCAAATTTTTGCAACATTATTTACTAACAATATTGCAATAAATATGCATGCATGTCTCCTTGTACACTTGAAAAAATGTTTGCCTATGCTAAATATTTCACTCAAGATCGGTCACTAGCAATTTCATTTATATAAAATTTGTCATTCATATAAAACTTCCCTTAGCCTAAAATGTAGCATTGTATTTTTACTCCTTACACAGAGTGGAAATTAAGTTATTATATCTCCTTCATCCCATTGTAATATAAATAATATTGATGAAATAATATTTATGATAATAACAACCCTTGTATAACACAATTTTCATCCCATTCATTGTTCTTTGGAACTCAGTTCAGAAGCAATCCTAGTCATTGTACCAAGATAAAAGTTGGGCACATGGAATTTGCTGGGAGGGTTAGACAAGTGTGTCTGTCTGTCTCCTCTACTCTCCCCAGCACAAGCTGATGAAGCTGGGGAAGAAATGTTTAATGCTCTTCTGCAGAAGCAATTCGGAATCAACATTTTTAACTAATAAGATGTGAGTTTCTAGCTCAAACTCAATTCAGAAATTCCTGCTGCCAAAAAGAGATGAAAATGACTCCCCGTGGCAGATTGAGGATGAAGAAAAGGGATGGACAGAGAGCAACATGAACTAGCTCCACGCGAACTATCATAGCTCCAAGTCATGTCAGTTGGTCCCCGAGTTAACAGTGCACACCAGACTCACCTCACAGCCCATTATGCCTCCTCTCAGTGGGTTACATGGAGTTACACCACATGGATGTGCAGAAATGTGCAGAGAAAGACCTAGCAGAGTGATAGAAAAGCCCAGGCCTTGTCTAAAATCCAGAAGTTCCCAGTGGATTTTAGGGCAAATTTTACATTAACAATAAACAAACAGAAATTTAATATAAAGAATACAGTTATCTATGACTGTCCAATTCACAAATTGCAGTATTTATTTATTTATTTATTTATTTATTTATTTATTTATTTATTTATTTTGAGAAGGAGTCTTGCTCTTGTCGCCCAGGCTGGAGTGCAGTGGTGAGATCTTAGCTCACTGCAACCTCCACCTCCGAGTTCAAGCGATTCTCCTGCCTTAGCCCCCTGAGTAGCTGGGATTGCAGGCGCCCACCACCATGTCGGGCTAATGTTTGTACTTTTAGTAGAGACAGGGTTTCACCATGTTGGCCAGGCTGGTCTGGAACACCTGATCTCAGGTGATCCGCCCACCTAGGCCTCCCAAAGTGCTGAGATTACAGGCATGAGCCACCGCGCCCAGCCCACAATTTAAGATATTAAATAGTGTGCGCAGTACAGATGGTGCAGTCCAGTGTAAGTTGTAAGATAAATGTGATCCTTTTGAAATACTATGTGTAGCTGAGACTGAATGCAAAATGTCGTTAAGACATAAAATCAAGTCTGAACTTGAGCCCCTTCCTGAGGATACCCAGGCCACATAGCTCATCCAGTGAGGTGGGGCCTCCTGGTAATCCCTGGGTTGAACACAGTCTCCAGATTTGTTGTGAGTAGATGCTTGGCTATCATAGCTAAGAATCTCATGCTCAGAGAGCAAAACAAATGAGCTGAAACATTCAGAGAGTGCCGTCTTACCAGACTGATTTCTGTTTGCGTGTGGTACTTGTTTGTCTCAAATCCGAGAAATATTCTTTCTGGGAGAAAGCCTGTCTTCCTGAGAAAAAGATCAACCAGATCTGTACCTGGGCCAAAAGCATTCCTATTGAAGGTAAGGATGCAATTAAGTCACTGGAATGGCACAAGCCTGCCACCGCAGAAAGAAAGGCAAACAGGTTCCTGTCTCCCTGAGCTACCATGAAGGGCAGGAGGGAGAAGCTGATTCCTAAAAGCTGGGCTGTTATTTTATTGGGAAACATGCACTCCTGTGCACTCCTGCCCTGCAGCCCATTTTTGGCATCAGAGTGAGGGCAGACTCTACTCCCTGTAGCCAGGCCGTCAGTCACTCCAATCAGCCCTGCTCCAGCTCCCCGCCACAACCCCTCCCTCAGGCGATGCCCTTTGCGACCGCCCCCCATCCAGCATTTCAGGACGGTGCTGGGACACTGTCGGGACACTGCCGCACTGCCCGGCCTTGGAGTCAGGGGAAGAATCAAGGAGATTTTTCCACACCTCTCCCTGTTGCTCTAAAACAAGTCGTCTTCATCATTTCATTTGACAGCCCTGTCATTGTAGAAATTGGAAATACATTTTCCAGGCTTGAGACAAGCATCTGGAGGACACCCTCCATCTTGCCCGATTCCCAGTCATGTTCCCAGCTGAGGAAGGCTCCTGAATTTTCTCGAATCTCCAGTGCACTTCCTGCCTCCCAGCTGCCAGAGCTTGAGGCCATCTTCCGCTGTTGATTGCTGGCCCAGTATTAACCTGCTGTGGTGGTTAATTTTAGGGATCAACTTGGCTAGGTCACAGCACCCATGGAACTCAGCTTTTGGCCAAAAACCAGTCTAGATTTTGCTCTGAAGGTATTTTTTACAATATTATTAATATTTAAATCAGTGGGCTTTGAGTAAAGCAGATCACGCTCCACAACGTAGTTGGGCCTCATCCAGTCAGTTGAAGGCCTTAAGAGGAAAGCCCCAGGTCCGCTGAGGAAGAGGGAAGCTGTCCTCAGACTGCCTTGGACTTGATCTGCAACATCAGCTCTTTCCTGGGTCCCCAGCCTGCCGGCTGCCCTGAAGATATCAGAGCAGCCAGCCCCCACAATTGTGTGAGCCAATTCCTTAAAATCTCCCTCTCCTTATACACACGCACATCGCCTGCTCCCTGGTGTGCAGCTGTTGGTCTGGCAAAATCTGTAGGGAGACCACAGTGTGAGGAAAGCCAGAAAGGAAGGGCATTCCCTGTGGGAAACTTGTCTGCAGTTAGTGTGGGGCAGGTGGCAGTGGGGTGATTTTTTCTTTCTTTTCTTTTTTTTTTTTTTGTACATGTTTGATACTTATCTACAGATCTCCAACAATGGCTAAAGCAGCACTTATACATAAAAAGGAATACTATAAAGGCTTCAAAGAAGACACTCAAACAACTTTGTAAAAGTTCTTCTATCTAGCGTCTTCACTTTGCTCCTCAATGAAATTCCCATCCCACATCTACACTATTTTCCAGAAATCAGTTTAATTCCCTCTCAAGCTCATGAATTAGACCAAGGAGAGCTGAGACTTGCTCTGCTAAAGTGCTTGTTCACAAAGTCCCTGGGATCAGAAAATCAATTATAATTGGCCTTCCTTATTTTCGGGTCTGCAGATTCAATGGACTGCAGATCAAAAATATTTGGAAGAAGCAACAAAAAATAAAAATATGGCCGGGCATGGTGGCTCATACCTATAATCCCAGCACTTTGGGAGGCTGAGGCAGGCAGATCACAAGGTCAAGAGTTCGAGACCAGCCTGGCCAATATGGTGAAACCCAGTCTCTACTGAAAATACAAAAATTAGCCGGGCATGGTGGCAGGCCCCTGTAGTCCCAGCTACTTGGGAGGCTGAGGCAGGAGAATCTCTTGAACCCAGGAGGTGGAGTGAGCTGAGATTGTGCCACTGCACTCTAGCCTGGGTGAAAGAGTGAGACTCCATCTCAAAAAATAAAATAAATAAAAAATAATTTTAAAATACAACAATAAAAATACACATTTTAAAAAATAAAGAATCATAACTATTTGCACAGCACTTACCTTGTATTAGTTATAAGCAATCTAGAGATTATTGAAAGTATGGGGGAGAATGTACATAGTTTATAAGCAAATACTACACCATTTTCCATCAGAAATTTGAACAGCTACGGATTTTGATATCCTGGGGGTTCCAGGGACCAATCCCCCTCAGATACCAAAAAAACAGTGTACTTTATGAGTCTTACTGTTGAGCGCTGTCAGGCACTCATGGGAAGTTAAAATAGGTCAGCAGCAAGGGAGCACACATATGTATAAACATAAAAACTAAGGGGTGCACATTTCATCAACATCCCAGTTTTTATAAACATCCAGTACTACTTTTATAAACTTGAAAGACTTGATCTTTTTTAAATGAATCTGGCTTGCCAATGAATTGGCCCAGCCTTTGGCTTTACCTAAGAGAAAGCCAAAAGGGAAGTGGAGAGAACAGGAAGGCACTCACATACTCATCCCAGCTGAAGCTCCACACACCGTTTCAAGGCAGGTGTTAACATGATGATTTTAGAACTGAAGAAGTTAAGACCCAGAACATCAGATTCCCCTCAAAGCAAAGCCAGTGGACCCGGGAAATGGCCCTCAAGTGTATCTGCTGACACAGCAGGCACTGCCTCCATTGCCCTGCCTGCGCTTAAATGTGTTGTGAGGAAGCTGAGACCCCAGTGATGGACCAGCAGGCCCACCATTGGCTGACTACCAAGGGCCCGAGGCTGCACCGGAAAACCCATCTCCTGATTTCCTTGTTAGTACAATTTCCCCCTCATTATCCTAAACCAAGTT
The DNA here is from genome assembly GCF_000001405.40 of Homo sapiens. Taxonomy (NCBI): domain Eukaryota; kingdom Metazoa; phylum Chordata; class Mammalia; order Primates; family Hominidae; genus Homo; species Homo sapiens. The sequence goes on from NC_000008.11 coordinate 51,663,383, forward strand.
CCCACTTTTCTCAGGCAGGGCAATTAGTGTTCCACGTTAAATCCCTTCTTTTTCAGGGATTATGTGGTTACAGCTTACAAACACCCTTTATTTCCTCTAATGAACTGACATTGACCGAGTTAATGGAAGGTGTTAACCAGTTCAAGGCAAGTCAGCGTTGACAGGGGTATGCGGCCACCTTCTCCAGATCATTAAAAGCATCTGAAAGTAAGGAGAACATTGCGGTTTTGACGGTGGTATCCCTGTATGTGGGAACCCAGAGTAAACTGAGAAAACCTGGATAGAAAGTCCCTTCCAGATTTCTTCATCTGCTACATACCTGGTTCTACCAGCAGGTGTCACTAAAAGGTAGCCCTCTCTTACAGGTCAGAGAGCTGATCAAGAGAGATGAGGGGGCCACGGTGGGTGCTGTAATCCCAGCACTTTGGGAAGCCCGAGACAGGCAGATCACTTGAGATCAGGAGTTCATGACCAGCCTGGCCAACACAGTGAAACCCCGTTTCTACTAAAATATAAACATTAGCCAGACATGGTGGCACACGCCCATGATCCCAGCTACTTGGGAGGCTGAGGCAGGAGAATCACTTGAACCTGGGAAGCGGAGGTTGCAGTGAGTGGAGACTGCACCACTGCACTTCAGCTTGGGCAACAGAGCGAGACTCTGTCTCAAAAAAAAAAAAAAAAAAGAGCGAGAAAGAGAGAAATGAGGGGGTTTGATCTGTCCTGAACGTTGCAGTGGGAGAAGGACTAGGCTACATCTGAACAGCGTCATTGGGTCACATTCATTGGCGTGTGAAAATAGCTTCCAACTGCAAAGTCTAACTCGGAGGTCATCATATACCATGTTATATAAAGTAATGTCTTTCACTTGGAAACAAGAAGCTCTAAGTGAATTTTTACACAAAACCAAAGCATAACCTCTTGAATTGCTAACTTTGTCATTCTGGAGAAAGTGAGTTTAAAAGTAATAAGATTTAACTTTTCAAATGAATTAACATAATTCACAGTTTTAGGATCATTGTTATATTATGCAATGATTTCCACTGTTTCTGTGCCCCACACTCCATGTTAAATGTGGCTCCTCCAAATGCCCGTGTGCCTGGGAAGACAGACTGGCATTACTGGATCTCACTAGACAATACCAGCCCATTTGCACGTGAGCCAATAAACACAGCATGAAGACAGAAAATGATGGTATCGCTGAGATCAGACTTGGCTGTATTTTTATCTGGCATTATATTTACCTTGATAGTCCTTCCTGTCTCCTACTGCTCAGCTGCTGCTTGACTCTGGGGGAGTCAGACACATCCTCCCAGCCTGGTTCTTGACCATTTATATAGTGACCTGGGACTTGGCAGGAGTGAGATGCGCTCCCAGGTGCCCTGCGGTCCCACTGTGGATGAAGCTGAGCCTGTCTGCATGGCTGTCACCCATCTCCACACCCTGGCCTCCCCCAGCCCTCCCAGGCACACTGAACCTGCTCATCACAGCCTGGTCATACTGTTTTCCAGCTCTATGCAGGTGCACATGTGGTTCCTCTTCCTGGAATGCCCTTGCCTTTCTTCTCTCCTTCCTACATCCATGGTGAAGTCGAGGGCACCACATCTCCTGGGAGCACCCGCACAGGAGGTCAGGAGACGCACAGATGGTGGCAGCTGCCCTGCCAGCTGCACCATCTGCTCGGGTGCCTCTTGCTGCCAATGCCAGGACTGGCTGCCACACTGGAATGTGGATTTCAAATTTACCCTTCCTTTCCTTAGAGAGACATTCCCTGACAACTGTGCTCTGGGAACCCCTGTGCTCCCCTAAGGCCTTTGCAATGGAGGCAGTTAGCGCAGTGGTTGGGAGTCCAGGCTTCAGCCAGGAAAGCGAACCCGCGGTGGGTCTCCCTGGACACCCCTGAGCCTGGCAGCTTGGACAGGCCCACACTCTCAGGACTCCTCATTATAAAATAAGCATAATGATGCTCAGTACTAAATGTGAGGATTTATCTAGAGCATTTAGAATAGTGGCTAATAAGTGCTTGTAGTCATGACATGACCAATATCAATACAGATATTGCTTTTATAACATTTTAAACACCATGTTGTCATTGTCTCCTAACAGTGTCTCTGTTCCCACCCAACACAGGCAAACTGCGAGCTCTTGAAGAGCAGGGAAATGTCTAACTATCTTCCTTATATGCAAAATAAAGCATAAATACTGACACAGAGTATTGGACCAAAATAATAGCAATAATAATATTGCTAGTGAATGAATCACTTATGGCTCATAATTGGCGAAATTCAAAGTATTCTTTCCTTCCAATCCAAAATCAATTAAGGAAAAGAAAAATCCAGTTAACAGAATGTACATTCCTCTACAAGGATAGCCAAGCTGGTCACTGTCACTTGCAGTTCTGTGCAGATCTGCCTGAGTGTTGGGAAATGTGTACTGTACACCACAAAAATCAGATCTCCATACACCAACCATTTCATTCCTGTGATGATGTGAGGAAGCTGACAGAGACAGTGTATTCTGCAATAGTCTGGAACTGTCAACTATGCGATGTTCTTTTGGGAAACTATATTTTTCTGTCAAAATTTTAGTGACTTATTTAACATTTTTGCTTTATCTCTTACACCGATATTTGGATACCAATGATAACAACTGAAAAAATATTTAGCAATTTTGTTGCATTTCTTCTTCAACCCACTGCAAGCTAACCTCCTCCTTTACCACTTCGTTCAAATCATCCTGGCCTACGTCACCTCTGAACTCTTGATGCATAGTCAGTGAACTGGAGTCATCATTTTACTTGATCTTTCGGTGGCATTTGATCATGTTAGCTCCCTTCCTTTTTAAGCTATCCTTGATCTTCCCCTTTCTCTTTGAACAGTCTGTCTCAGACTCTTTTTCCAGACCATGTTCTTCTGCCTGCCTCTGTATGAGCCCTCTTCCCTCTTCCCTTGACCTTCCTTTAGCAATTCCATCCACTGTTTGGTTTCCATGCAGCTATATATAAGTAAGTAAGCAGAAAGTATATGCATGAGGAAGCATAAGTGTGTGTCTATACTTAGGGAGATACATATACATATATACATGCATATATCCATATACATACACATAAACCAAATCTTTCCCTTTCTCTTAGATATTGACTATGCCCTTCATACTTGATATTCATCTACCCATTTGACCTCTCTAATAAATGGGCGTACCAAAGATACCTGTCAACTTTACCCAAAGTCTTAAAAAATGCTTCTCTTCTCACTATTTTTCTATTCTCAGCCCAGACACAAAATCAGAGTCCTAGGAGCCACCCATTCTTTCTGACCCTACACATCCATGCAGCTACCAAGTCCTCTGCACCTCCCAAGTCCCATGCCTGCATAATCACTGTCCTGATGGGCCATTCTCCTGCACTCTATATGCCCCTCTTGCATGCAGCTGTGGGGGATTTTTGTAGGAAAGCAAACTATGTTGGTTTTTCTGTCAATTTATTTTAATTCTCCCAGTTTAAAATCCTTCCAGGCATGGCTGTCCATCACCAGCAGAGGCTAACCATAGCTGCCTGTGTGTTCTGAGACCCACCCCGATTTTCTGTTTCCCTCCCTTAGGCTTGCCTCTGACACCCTGTGCATGAGCCCAGCCCAGTGCTTCCCACCCTAGCACACTGCAGGACATGTCATACTCATCATCATCCCACCCAATTTCTTTCTAGAATTCCTTCTCACCATCCAATCCTAGAAAATACCCATCTGTCTTCAAAAATTCTGCTCAATCATGATCTCTTCCGTAAAGCCTTGAATCTGATAAGAAAGCCTGAATATGCCCCGGGTGTGATAGCCCCTCCCTTGGCTACTATTCTGTAAGTGCCCCGACAGCCCACAGCTTCTGTGCCGCACAGAGCATGGCCCCAAGTCACTGTGTTCATTCAACAAAAAGATGAATTAATGAATGTTTTACACTCCTTGCAGTTCCAACAAAATCTACCTTTTCCAAAAACAGTGTGCTTTTCTTTCTCAACCCTCCATGTTAGTTTTACACGTGATGTAAACTACTAACTTTACACGTGGTGAAAACTGCACAAAATGTATTTATCTACTACTTACGCAAAAATAGTTGCCCTCTTTTCTTCACCAATTTGATATTTTTCATGGCTGGTTTACTGCAACAGTATTTTTGTGCTGTAATTTTCCCTACAGTGAGATCAGTAATAACTTCTCATCCAAAGAGCTATGGATGCCAAATACATAAATATCTACAACCTCACTACACTATAGAACTAGATAGCAACCCAGAGAAATCAATGTGCCAAGAATGTGACCACAAGAGCTAAGGGCTATTCACAGCAGAACTGTTTGGAAGTACAGCTTCAGTTCTTCTTGCTAAAAACGCACAAGGAGGGGGTTGCTTTTTCTAAATCTGTTTGCACTAGAGGCATGCTTAGAATTAGCCTCTAGTATATGGTTACATCACATTTGCTCATTCCATGGCAAAAACCTTTTGTTTTAAAGGTCAGAAATGAGTTTTCACAAATCTGCTTCCATCTGCATTCCATGCCTGAAAATCATTCTGTGTGAAATGTCAGCTGACACTGAACTCGCCTGCAACATAGCTGAACACCGGGTGAGGAGGCACCGGACTCACAATTTCTGATGTCACAGGTGAGGAATTCTTGTACCAACACCAGAATTTACCACCAATGTAGCCACTTAAAAGAAGAGCCGACCAGCTGGGTATTTTGATGAATGTTATTCTTCCTCTTCCACAAGTTTTTACCATAATACAAGGCTTCCTTCTCGCTCTCTCTTTTTTTTTTTTTTTTTGAGACAGAGTCTCACTCTGTTGCCCAGGCTGCATGCAGTGGCGCTATCTCAGCTCACTGCATCCTCTGCTTCCTGGGTTCAAGCAATTCTCCTGCCTCAGCCTCCTGAGTAGCTGGAACTACAGGCGAGCACCACCACACCTGGCTAATTTCTATATTTTTAGTAGAGATGGTGTTTCACCATGCTGGCCAGGCTGGTCTCGAACCCCTGACCTCAAGTGATCCAGCTGCCTCGGCCTCCCAAAGTCCTGGGATTACAAGAGTGAGCCACCATGCCTGGCCACCAGGCTTATTTCTGACAGGACCATGGTAATAAGACAAAAGGCTAAAAGGAGAAAAGCACTCTTACGAGAAGGATTTTGCTTAACCTATGGTTTCAGCAGGGTCTACAACATGTCTGTACAAATGTATATGACTGCTGGTGCTGTATTTCAGTTCAGAGGATCCAATCATAATTCATATCACAGAATATTCTCCATATCCCATTTACATACACAATTCTGGCATCATTATCAATATTACTAAAAATTCCAATAGTATATTAAACAATATCATCTTCTTTTCAAAAAATTATTCTTCCTTTAGGTGACATGTGTGGTAAACACTTTAACATATTTTTGTCAATTATTCCAGAAATTTATAGAAATATTAGCTAGTCAGAAGGTCCATAAACTTTTAAATGTTCTTGCATATAATAACTGATCAATAACCATTTGTTGACAAATGATAGATGGATGGATGGGTGGACAAGTGCATGGATGGATGGATGTAGGCTCTTTGGAGAAAATAAATATTAATTAAAATAAGTATCATTAAAAATAACACAGTAGCTTGCATACTGAAGTCACTCAGATATTCTATGATAAATAAATCAATGAATTAATGAATAATAATGAATGAATACATTAAAATGTCAACTTATTTTCTTTCAGGTGAACTAAAAACAATTATTTCAACATTATGCTGAAAGAAATTTTGTTAATCAAGTATTTTGATTCAGATTTTTTAAATGCGGAAACTTAATGTAGAAAGTTCACGGAATTAACTAGGATCAAAAAGAGAACTAGACTTTAAGTCTTCTGACTTTGATTAAAGTGATATTCCATTAGAGCACATTATTTACTTCTAGTAACTAAAAAGAAAAAACTTCTGTTATGACCTACTTTCAGAATGTATTATAATGAGTGAAGGAATACTGTACAATTCATTGTAGTTTCTAGTCAGCAGTTTTATTGTGTGACTGGAATGATGGAATAATTATAATTGCTTACTTAGGTTTTGGAAACATTTCCAACCTCCCAGCCAATTTGTAATTTAAAGCATCCTTTAGTCTCTTAAGAGATGGTTGGTTGGTCAGACTTTGGAGGGGTAATTTCAGGGTTTCATATGGGCTGTAGATTGGCAGGAATTTACCACATATATGGGCATACACATACACACAACACACACTCCAAAAGTTAGATGGAATTCCTGATTTAATTAGCCAAGGATTAGAAAATGACTATCAAAAGCAAAATGTCCATGCTGGGCAGAATTAAATTTAGCTGAGCTTCCCTGACCGCTGGAATCCAAAACAAAGACACGCTAATCTAATGGATGGGATTTCTTAACCATTTATAAAATTGTACTTTTTCACACACATTTAAAAAAATAACTCCATGAATACCTTAAGAATATAAATATACTCCATCTTTTCATATGTTCACTAATTCAACAAATTGTGAACCATGAAGTAATACCATTATGAACATTTCTTGCTTCAGGCTGAGCACGGTGGCTCATGCCTGTAATCTCAGTACTTTGGGAGGCCAAGGTGGGCAGATCACTTGAGGTCAAGAGTTCTAGACCAGCCTGGCCAACATGGTGAAACCCCATCTCTACTAAAAATACAAAAATATAGCCGGTTGTGGTGGTGCATGCCTGTAATCCCAGCTACTCGGGCAGCTGAGGCAGGAGAATTGCTTGAACCCAGGAGGCAGAGGTTGCAGTGAGCCAAGATCATGCTTGCACTCCAGCCTGAGCAACAAGAGTGAAATTCCGTCTCACACACACACACACACAAAAGATTTCTTGCTTCAGTTGGAAGAATTACATGAAGAGAATACAATCATGCCTGACTTAATGATGGGGATACGTTCATAGAAATATGTTGTTCGATGATTTTGTCCTTGCGCAAAGATCATAGAGTGCATTTACACAAACCTACACATGGTAGAGCCTACTACACACACAAACTATATAGTGTATAGGGTGTACCCTATTGTTCCTAGGCTACACACGTGTACAGCATATTATTGTACTGAATATTGTAGGCAATTGTAATACAATGGTAACTATTTGTGTATCTAAACATAGATAAGGTATAATAAAAATATGATATTATAATCTTATGGGACCACCATCATATGTGGCTCATCATTAACCATAACATCATTATGTGGCACATGACTGTATCTCCAATTTTTTATTTATCATTTTTAAATTTTTCATTGCTGATAAAATGTGATGCAGTAGAAAGATCACTAGATTTTACTATGAGATTTGTTAACCCACTGCATGACACTGGCAACTCTCTTTAACATCTAGAAACTAATGTGTCCCCCAGTGAGGAAAACAGGAACTGTATTTGGCTCTGTACTAAGTGGCACTCCTGGCAAATTTAACAATTATGTATAAAATTATAAAATCACCATTAGTCTGTATTAGCTTAATAATTCTTACCGATATCTTTTCATTGCCATGCATAAAGAAGAATGCCATGACTCAATATTCTATTGAGACATCTTAAGAAACTTCAAAATGAAACAAGACTAAGAAAAATAAGACTTTAAACCAAGTATTGGGTTCAAAGAATATGCAAAATCTTTGTAAAGGTCATTTCTGTTAGCCAAGAAACAATTGTTGTGTGACTTGACTTGAACTAGTATGAATTTTGCTGTATATTCTTATTTGGAAGACTTGACTCGAAATAGTATGAATTATGCTGTATATCCTTATTTGGAAGAGATCGACAGATAGAATTCCATTCAATTGTAATTGAAGCTGGTGACTAGAAAGAACCAATGTTTTCGTGGGTACACAAATACACATATTCATGCACAGAGAAAAACAGCAGTTGTGCATGGTACTTGAAATTCATTTTCCCCAAACAAAAATTTTATAGTGTCCTCCTTTGGAATTAGAAGCTACAGTTCAACCTGGGAAGTTTTCTCCTTTTCTGATCTTCCAGAAATAACAGCAACAGAGACCTCTATAATTTTTCACTTTTTACAAAATCTATTTAAAAAAATAAAGGGTTGAGTTTTCTCCAGAGTAGAAAAAAATTAAACATTCTACCACCACCATCATTTTTCAAATAACCTACTAATTTTATTTTCAGAGTTTACTTACAGTAAACCGGAAGGAAAACCAGAAACTAAGTGGAACTGTTCTTCAGTAGCCCCAGGCCCCTGTCTCTCCAGACTGCTCCCCCAGGACTGTGGCCCCAGACCAGCTCCCAGCAGGCTCTGCCAAACACTTGATCACTTACAGACCTTCATACCACTCTCCTTTATCCCAAATTGCCCTGAACCTCCATCCTCACTGACTTCATCACGTGTCAGAACACTGCACACTCACTTTCTCTCCGTCTCCTCCCTATCTCACACTCACCAGTATATAGTAGTCATAAACATTTCAGAATTAGACAAATTTGAGTTATTTGAAGAAGGTTGATAAGCGCATATTTTAAATAATGATTACCAAGAATTAGCATGGTTTCACCGAGAATAAATTAACTATTGCAAGTCAAAACATTCTTATTTTTTTGAGACAGAGTCTCACTTTGTCACCCAGGCTGGAGTGCAGTGTTGCCATCTCAGCTCACCACAAAATTCGCCTCCCAGGTTCAAGCGATTCTTGTGCCTCAGCCTCCCAAGTAGCTGGGATTACAGGTGCACACCACCACACTCAGCTAATTTTTGTATTTTTAATACAGACAGGTTTCACCATGTTGGCCAGGCTGGTCTCGAACTCCTGACCTCAAGTGATCTGCCTAGCCTCAGCCTCCCAAAGTGCTGGGATTAGAGGCATGAGCCACCGTGCCTGGCTTCAAATCATTCTTTAACAGAGTCTTGGAAACTGACTAATGCAGCAAACATAATAGAAGTGGCTTTAAGTAAATTATCTCACAAGGACCAGGTGGAAATGTTGTCAGAAGTTGGTCCATAGCTGCAGGATGAATGGATTAATTTCACATTAGAAGGAGGTTTCTACAAGACTGCTGGAATCCTATGGCTTCGTTTCTGCCTGGCTCAACATGGTATTAATGAAAAGAAGAATAGTAGAGAAGGAAATGTCAAAATTACAAATAACCTGAAGCTCTTGGGGAAAGGTCATATGTTGCCTATTACAGTCATACTCTAAGTGGTTGTTGGAATCATGGCACATTTTAAATATAAAAGAAATATAAAAGAATTAAATGTTCTTTCCAATACAAATAACATATAAGTCTAGGGTGAGGAGAAATAACTGTGGGACTTAATTTATATTATAAATTAGTGCCTTTAAGGACTACACACTAGGTATTCCCTGAGGTTCTATAAACTAAAAATAATTAGTTCTGTGGAAAGCTAGTATTAGCCAGTATTAGTCAATGAAAAGAACTAAGAAAATAGGATACTGTATTATCAGACTATAGAAGAAAATTCACCAATTTTAAGAAAATATATTCCTGATTTGCTGTGAAATTCTTTGGTTGTGGGTGAAAGTTACAAGAAAACAGGATTAAATTCAGGAGAAATAGATTCAGATGGTGCAATGCAGATAAATCATATTAGAGGAGAAACGATTGAAAAAAATCTGAGGGGTGTTAAATTTTGAAAACACTTGGGAAATACGCACACACATTCTTCAAATATTAGAAAGTATAGAAATTCCAAGTTTTACACATGTATGTTTAACTGAACTAAGTGACCAACAAACAGAGAATGATAAATTATGGTACATCAATATTTAATGATGTGGGGAAATGTTCACAACATAAAATGTAGTTCTGAAAATAGCGTATCAAGCCAGAGTTCAATTACAATTTTGCAGCTGAATGTGTTTATAAGCACATATAGGAAAACCTATAAGAAAAGATACTAAATGATAATAGTGACTCTTGCTGCAGGGTAGAAATATAGGTGAATTTCATTTTCTTTTTTACTCTGTTACATTTTCCAAACTTTACACAATGAACAAATGCTTCTTTTATAAGTTCAAACAACATGAGTTACAATAAAAAATATACTTATAGGCTTCCTCCAAAAAGATAAGAAGAAAGATCAGAAGCTGTAGAGAGACAGATTTCAGCTGAATAAACATTTTAAGTTTCTAAATCAGGAAAATGAATGACCTTGAGAAGCAAGCAATGCCCTTGACTATGGGCATTTTGATAAAGACTAAATGATGACCCAACTGGTATAGCATAAAGAAAAATCAATTAACAGATGTTTTTAACTTTTTCAATCCTTTTAATGCAAAGAATCTATAATCCCTTAACTGCGCAAACCAAGATTAGAAACCCAAGAATGCAAAAGCCCTGCCTCTCTACATAGTTTAGTTAAATATGGAGATGATGAACAGAAAAACATCAGGCCTTCAGCAATTTAGACTTAAAAGTTTAGCCTTTTATAGGTTTTTCATGTGGGCATAACTTTTTTCATATGTAATTAAGGCATGCCACCAGGTCACAGATGCCAAATAAAATAAAAATCCCTGAAGACTTAAATAAGAACTTAAGAAGTTATTTTTAAATGCATTGGTTAAAACAATAAGACTAAAAACTTGAAGCTGCATTGAGTGTATGGGCCCTACATGTATTTTCTTGCTTTCGATGGTTTTCAACCATTTAATTTCAGAAATGCCTTTTCATCTCTTTAATACTCAGTGCCTCTGAATTACATACATTTTTCTTCTATTTCCTATGTACTAGGAACAGGATTTAAGTCATTGCCTCTCTTCCTCCAACTATTGCTGAGAAGGCACTCTATTGCATATCCTAAAAAGACAAAAAGATTGCATTGAGGCTTTGTGAATCTGCTCAGTGACACATGAAACTCAGGCTGACTGGTACTGAGATGGATTCGATGACTCCAGCTGAATAGCCCTGGGAGCTGGAACCCCTCAGCACTCGTTAACTGAAACGTAAAGGAAATAATGGCAAATTGACTGTCTTGAATCAAGTATAAAGGAGAATGCCTGAAATAATTAGATGTCATGAATTTGGAAAGAGAAACTTCTTGCAGATTGCTTCCTTCAGATAACCTTGGACTCAGGAGTTTTGTATTGTTCACTTAACATAAGTGACTATGATTGAGTTATAAGTTCTCTAGGGAAAGCAGCACACTGAAATGGGTTATATCATGAGTTTAGCCTGGATGAAAGTGTTTACTCCGAAATTCCAAGTGGCATTGGTGTGGCTATTGGGGCAGCTTGCTGTGCTGAGGAGCATGGACCTGAGCGTCAGAGATTTGGCTCCTGGTCCTGCCATACCCATCACGGCAGCAAAAGTGACTACCCCATGGGCGCTGTGCAGCCTTCTTACACTTTGCCATGTTAGACTGGCATGCCGCTCCTATTTTATATAAAATGTAACTGAATATTAACTTGCCCAAGCATAAACCAAGCCCAGTTTCAGGTCCAGATTTGTCTCATTCCAAAGTGTTTAGTTAACACTCTGCTACCCTTTGTTAGATGTGGACAAATTACATTATTTCCCCTGGACTTAGATTTCTTAATTCGATGACCTGGAAGGCCTTCTCTAGTAGAAATGGTCCATGAGTCCTTGGGAAACTGAGAACTAACTCTGAGCTATTACCTGCCATTTATTCTATGTGGCCCATCATTTGCTACGCACTCTCCTACTTCTTCAATGCACCTGTTCCACACCCTTGGAACTCACTTGCTCTTATAAACCCTAGTCATTTCTCCATTTGGAGCACTGTTGCTCCCCTTTTCGAGGTCTGAATGTCTCCCCTCCAAAATTCAGATGTTGCCAATGCGATAGTATTAAGAGGTGGGGCCTTTAAGACATGATTAGGCCACAGAAGCTCCTCTTTTGTGGATGAGATTAAGGCCCTTATAAAAGAGGCTTCCTGCAGCATTGGATTCACTTGCTTTCCACCTTCTGCAACCTGAGGATACAGCATTCCTTCCCTCCAGAAGACACAGCAACAAGGCACCACCTTGGAATCAGACAGCATCCCTCATCAGACAACCAAACCTACCAGCCCTTTGATCTCAGACTTCCAGAACTGTGAGACATAAATTTCTGTCCTGTAGAAATTGCCCAGGCTTGGCCAGATGCAGTGGCTCACACCTGTAATCCCAGCACTTTGGGAGGCAGAGGCAGGCGGATCATAAGGTCAGGAGTTCAAGACCAGCCTGACCAATATGGTGAAACCCTGTCTCTACTAAAAATACAAAAATTAGCTGGGTGCAGTGACATGTGCCTGTAGTCCCAGCTACTCGGGAGGCTGAGGCAGGAGAATCACTCAAACCCGGGAGGCAGAGGTTGCAGTGAGCCGAGATCACACCACTGCACTCCAGCCTGGGCGACACAGCAAGGCTCCGTCTCAAAAAAAAAAAAAAAAAAATTGCCCAGACTCATAATCTGTTATAGCAGCACAGATAGACAAAGACACCCTTCGATGATTTTCCTGCTGCAACGGAGCTCCACTTCAGTCAATATAGAAAGCAGACTTTCTAAAAGTCACGTATATAGATTCATAACCCATTACATCTCTTACAATTCTTATCTGGTCATCCATTGCATAACATTCAATAATCTGTGTTGTTTGGAGCAAGTTACTAACAGCTCTAAGCTTTTGTTCCTCCTTATAACAGGGTTAAGATAATCACATGGAAGAACAGATATAGATGGTAAGTCCTCAGTAAATGTGCCTTATTACTTAGATTGTTGTTGACTCTATTACTGATGTTGTTATCTTTACCTCCTAAGAATGCTCCACTTGCATCTTCTAAACCCTTTGGTGCCTTCACCTATGCTGGCCATTTGCTCTCTGATGAGTGTCCATTTTCTCTGTGGTTCTCCCAGGATGTATTCACTTTTTTTTTTTGAGATGGAATCTTGCTCTGTCACCCAGGCTGGAGTGCAGTAGCATGATTTCGGCTCACCACAACCTCTGCTTGCCAGGTTCAAGCAATTCTCCTGCCTCAGCCTCCCAAGTAGCTAGAATTACAGGCACATGCCACCATGCCTGGCTAATTTTTGTATTTTTAGTAGAGATGGGGTTTCACCATGTTGGCCAGGCTGGTCTCGAACTCGTGACCTCAAGTGATCTGCCCGCCCTGGCCTCCCAAAATACTGGGATTACAGGCGTGAGCCACCATGCCTGGCCGGACTCATCTTTGACCACCAGTCCTCCCTATCCTGTTCTCCAACAGCCCCTGTGCCAGAACTGTCTAGCTGCTCCTACCTGGTGTAGAATTACCAAACCGTGTGGAAATAATGTATCTCTTGCCAAATGCCTCCATCTCTTCTATCACAATTAGTTTTTTGAATAATTAGGACAGGTTCATTTTCATATTCTTTTCTCATCACTATGTATTATCAAGCTCAGTGTCATATATCCCTTGGCCAAGTAATAAGCATTCTTTGATTAATGAAAAAGAAGAAGATCAATAAGTAACCCTGTCAAAAATTTTTTCAGACAACCCAGGAATAAACACCTCAGGGCTAAGAGTAGCATTCCAGGTGGGAATCAGCTCCTGAAATGGGTCAAGATACGAAGAAAAACGAACCAGAGAGCACAGAGGCTTATCCTCTTAACTGAATCATTAAGCCAAAACAGTTCCAGTTGCAGTAGCTGCAGGATTCAAACAGGATTGTTTACTTGAAGCTCTAATTTAGAAGATGAAAGCCTACTGCTTTGTTTCTAATTACTTTTCCCATTTGTTTTGGTGAAGTGGAGGAAAATACTTAGTAAGCATTTCTGTTGCCAAATAGCTGAGTAATTTTCTGTTGTTCAGAGCCTGGCATCACCCTGCATACCTCTTGGTCATTATCACATGATCTCCTGATTATTTTTTGACACAAACAGATAATCTGTGTAATATATTACATACGTTTCCTATAATCAGCCAAATCATTATTCTCTGCTGCTTAAAGCAACAGAAAAAAATGTATTCGTCTACTCCGTTCAGGAGAAGATAAATGTTTCAAATGTTTGATGAGGATTTAGAGTGATAACCTAGTTAAAACCTAAAGACTTGCTTGATCATACAGTGACTGACCAGTTCCAGTGCATAAAATGACTCAATCCAGAGTTATCTGAGAGCCTTGCTTATAAAACATCATTTTGTGCTATATTTCCGGTATGCAATAGAACTGACAGCTCCTGTATTAATTAATGGACTTAGGTGTTAAAAAGTTAAAAATAAATGAGTAAATAACAATTATTTTGAAGTCACCATTTCCAAAACAAATGGCTTTTACTTAGGAAATAGCCTAAAACATAATGTAGAATGGTGGTTTCTTCTAAATAGACATATACTACTTCATATAAAATCTTTTCCCAAAATAAAATCTTTGGATAATTTATAACTTTTCTAAAAGCACACTAATTTATTTATCATTCCATAATGAAAGTAAATATAGAACCTTCAGTTTAACTCCTCAAGTATTTGGTAGCTGCACTAAACCATAAGGATAGCTGGGTTCCAGCTAATACTGCTAGAAGGAACAGGGCCTCCTTCCTCATAAAGGCTATGATGAGTTCCTGGAGTATGTGCTGAGTGACAATAAAGAGTTTGCAGGGCTTAAAATCACATAACTAAGAAGGGCCATAAAGATTTTCTCATAAAACCTCTTGTAAAGAGAAGGCATGTTGCTCACAGAACATCGTGTATGAAGAAGGATATCTTTGGATCTCCATTGTGGCATAAAACATTATTCTTGAAGCATTTGTCCTGACGCAGCTCTGGCACTCCTCAGTATAAGGAGAAGTAGGAGGCATATGGTGGATCTTCAAGAACCAAACTTGAAGGAGAATTACATTCTTGGGTACCTTAGTATCATCAGTTCTCAGACTTGTTTCTTCAGTAGAGATCACTGAAACGCTTAAAGCATAGCACCTGCTTGTCATGTTGTAATGGGTTACTTACACATTTAGTCCACACCTATTTTTGTGTGTCCCGAAGGTACTCTGTAGAATTTAACATTAAAAAATGGAATCTGATAATGATTTTATTGCGGCACTATTCACAATAGCAAAGACTTGGAACCAACCCAGATGTCCAACAATGATAGACTGGATTAAGAAAATGTGGCACATATACACCATGGAATACTATGCAGCCATAAAAAATGATGAGTTCATGTCCTTTGTAGGGACATGGATGAAATTGGAAATCATCATTCTCAGTAAACTATCGCAAGAACAAAAAACCAAACACCGCATATTCTCACTCATAGGTGGGAATTGAACAATGAGAACACATGGACACAGGAAGGGGAACATCACACTCTGGGGACTGTTGTGGGGTGGCGGGGTGGGGGAGGGATAGCATTGGGATATATACCTAATGCTAGATGACGAGTTAATGGGTGCAGCACACCAGCATGGCACATGTATACATATGTAACTAACCTGCACATTGTGCACATGTACCCTAAAACTTAAAGTATAATAAAAAAAAATTACTACTTATTTTAACTGGATTGTTTTGACTACATAAAACCAAACTCAATCTATCAGCATTTGTTTCATACCTACCACATGCCTGACGTTGTTCTAAGTTCTGGAGAAATGATGAGTGAGACACAAATCTTTGAAGACAAGGGTTTCAAAGAATCTGGTTTGGCAGAAAAAACATATAAGCAAATAGTCCCAAGAAATCAGGTGGATGCAGTCCTATGATCGAGGTAATGCAGAGGAAAAAACTGGCACTTTTCCCATTCTAAAGTTATAAGCATTCCTTCTTCCTTTTAGTTGAAAATTTGTTTTAGGCTAGACAATGCATCCTCTTTATTTTGAAGCCTGGGAAATGGGCTGTTACAGTGGAAAGAGTACACACATATTGGACAGAGAAACCTGCTCAGAAGTCTAGGCCTCGCACTTATAGTATTATGACATCAGGTACTTTGCATAAACCCCTTAAGCCCCAGTCTTCTCATCTACAAATAGGGATTCCATGAGATACTATGATACATATAGATCACCTAAAACACCCTAGGTCAGTCATAGGTCTTGTGCAACCTTGAACAAATTACTTAACATATCATTTGTAAATAGGAGTAGGATTTGCTAAATCAGGGGTGGAGAATATAGAGATTGCTGACATTAAGCGACTGACACATCATGCTCAATAATTTATATCTACTATTAGTAGTAGTATGACTTTATGCCCATCCTTGGATCTACATGCATCCTTTTTATTTAATGTGGTCATTCCTGAGGAGTCAGGGACTAGACATTTTGCTTTGCATGTGGGCTTCATGCTTTGACTTCCAGAGGGACATTTTGGCATGTGGTGTAGTGTTGTGCATGCTTTGTTAGAACTTCAAAGCCTGGTAGTTGAATGTCCTTACCTTGCACAGAACAATGGCCTGATAAGTGCTCATTTCATGAATAAGCATCGCCTTCAGGAAGCTAAGCATCCCATCAGAACAACTTCACCAGAGTCAGGATGCTTCATGAAAGGGCCAAAGTTATCCCTGTTTGTGCACTCATAACTCTCTCCTGGGACACATGCTCATTAGCTACAAAGAATTGTTTCATTTAATTTTAAGTTATTCCCTGAAACTTGTATGTGAATGAGACACTGTAAAGTTCACAGGCTACTTCTATTCCTATCACTTATATTTGATTTATGCTTGAAAATATTCACTTGATCTCTTCATTTACAATAAGCTCTGATTATTTCCTTCCAATTTATGATGGAGCATCCAAGTCTTGAGGCTCATGCTGATGACCTAGCACTGTGATCTCATCTTATCCACAATGGAGAGTCACTGCGTAGGCAGAAATGGTTTCACCAAAGGCCGGGTGTCTGTGTGGTGCCTGGATGTGGGGTGCATGTGGCTTGGGAAGAGGCTCTTGAGGTGTGAAATAGAGTTGTCGTCTTCAAAACACAGAAAACTAGGAGTAATACTCTTTGCTTGGCTCTTTCTTGAATTTTCCAGAGTTTTCATGAGTGCCTTGACAATGAAGTTTATATCTAATAGTGCACAGGCATCTTCCAGTGACAATTTTATAAATGAAGGTGTATTACAGAGAAAAAAATTGTTTCTTGATATATTTAATCTTGTATATGTGTGTTTAAAAAAACTGATTACATATATACATATTTTCAAAAACAATGTTTTGTTGGTATTATTCAGTGAAACTAAGTCCTAGTGGCAAACACAAATTTACTTTTATTGAGTGGGGAAAAAAACGCCAGTAAATCTCTGGTGCCTTCCTGTCATCTCACGGAGGTGCGAGGCCACAGCAGTGACCATGGGTGCCCTGCAGCCGGGTGGCCAGACAGCGAGTCTCCCATGTAGGACTACTGCTCGCTCGCTGTGTGATCTTGGGCAGGTTTTTAGCGTCCCTGTGCCTCAATTTTCTTGTCAAATTGTTTCTGTCTCATAGGACTGTTGTGAAGATATGTGATTAAGGGAATTAATGAGGTGGAACACGTTCAGTTAATCAGCAGGAGATGGTGCTATTTTAGTATGGAATTTCCCCTCACACCACATTTCTAGAACTAACTGAACCCTAGAAGACCAGGGTTTTGGGATTTGCCCAGAAAAGTCAGTGGGACATGTTGTGGTTTTCGTCCAGACACATGTGGTTTTTCGTGCAGAAGAGAGAGCTAACTGTCACCCCCAGAGCCAGAAGGGGATCTTAAGACTGTCGATTCAATACAGGACTGGTGCACCTTTTTCAGTGGACCTGAGCATGCATGGAGCTGACCCATTCAATGGACCAAACTCTTTGTAAGAACACAGGAAAACAAGGAAAGAAGGAGGTTTCTTCAGATTTCATAGGCCAAACACAAACCCTCCCATCCCCAAGACCCCAGCCCCCTAACGCCACCAGTCACCCTACGGAAGTCCCCATAAGAGAACTGCTCTTCATCGTTGTTTTACCTCTTATTTCCACACTCCACCCCCACCTTGCCTATCAGTACCAATCCCGGAATTGTTTGTGCATTTCTCTCTGAACTTTCTCTCCCACTTCTGGTCCCACAGAATCAAAAATGGGTATCTGGCTCCCTGGTATGTATTCATTCTTGAGGTTCCCTAGAGGAGTCTACATGCATCCTCTGGCTTTCCTGGGCAAGGGCCCTGGGGCCCTCAGCCCACATGCTGCTGCAGATCTGGGGGTAAACAGGGCTGCAGAGTCACCCAGGGCCTGGCATGTGTCCCAAGCCCTGCTGCCCTCTCCTCCCACCCTGTCTCAGGAAATGTCCAGCATATGGCCACGGACAACAATATTGTTATGAGGTTGTGACATTAATTGAAAAGAACACTAGCATTTTCAAAATAATCCAACTTGTAAATTGAAGCCATAGCTTTACTGCAGTTTTGAAGCATTTTTTTCCACATATGTGCGATGCCATATTTGTAGCACATGGTCTGCACACAGCACCCACTGGGACTCCACCTCTCAGTGGGCACCATGTTTCCACTGGGCATGAGTACACTCAACATTCTTGATTATGAGATCTGTATAAATCTATCATACAAATGACAGCAGATAGGCTAAGATCATATTTAAGATATATTTCATAATGTACTAGTATACGCTCATTGTAAAAATATTTAAAAATATGAAAAGCTATAAAGCAGAAAAGTACGTAGAATCATACCATTCAGAGATAACTGCAAGAGGAAAGTGATTTTTACATTCCAATGCTAAAAAAATTTTAGCAAATTATGTTATATAAATGCTATGGTTTAAAAAAACAGCTATTATATCTTGAACATTACAAAGACCATAAAATGATCTGCATGGAATATTTTAAATATGATCTTACATGCTCAGAAAGAGTTTTATAGAAAAAAATTCCAGCCAGGGAATTTTTATTTGAAAGGACTGCCAAAACAGTTGGCATTTTCTGGATATGTTTGCTACTGTGGGCTACTGTCTACCATTGCACTGTTCAAATATTAAAAACCAAAAGAGAATAGGCAATGACACCAAGAATCTTACAGCATGTCTTTTGCCTCATCTCCTCCTGCGAGTGCTGAGGAACTCTTTGAAGGGGGTGAGGGGCCCTTGTAATTGGTACGGTGTCCACATGCCTGGAGAATGAGCAGCTCTACGTATGCATTCAGGGCCCTCTGTTCACACACAGCTCTGTCCTTAATCTGTTTGCTGCTGAATGACTGGGCTGCACATCTGCGACAGCCTCATGCCACTTATTCTCCCCTAACCTACCTCCTCTTCAGCTGCAGTCAAGCTTGCCTTTGTTAACCCAAATAGTCTGTTTTCTTAGAAATGTGTATAATGTTGTTTATTGCTTTTTCAGTAAGAAGCTCAGAGACAAAGTAGAGAAACAAATGATACAGATATGACCATACGAGAGAGAGAGAAAGTTGTATGATTTGACTAAAGCAGTGGTTCTCAATCCAGAGGTTATCAGCATTTCCCGAAGGGCTTGTTAAGAAGGGATTGCTGGGCCCCACCCTAGAGGTTGAAGAAGTAGTAGTGCTGGAGTGGGAGGCTGGGAATTTCCAGTTCTAACAAGTTCCCAGGTGCTGCCAATCCTACAATTAAGGAACGACCAGAGCGCTAATATCTCTTCGAGATCCTGATTTCAATCATTTTTGATAAATATTCAGAAGTGGAATTTTTGGATCATATGGTAGTTATATTTTTAATTTTCTGAGGAATCTCCATACTGTTTTCCATGGTGGCTGCACCATTTTGCATTCCTACCAACAGTGTACAAGGGTTCCAATTTCTCCACATCCTTACTAACACCAATTGTCTTTCATATATATATATATATATATATATATATATATATATGCCTATTAGAAATGCACATCAAAGCCACAGTGAGGTATCACCTCACCCCAACTGATACCTCATTTGGTATCAATTGAGGCGATACCTCACTGTGGCTTTGATTTGCATCTCCCTAATGATTAGTGACATTAAGCGATTTTTCATCTGCCTGTTGGCTATTTGTATGTCTTCTTTGGAGAAATGATTCAAGTCTTTAGCCTATTTTAAAAATCAGATTTTTGCTTCTTTTTGCTACTGAGTTATAGAATCTCCTTATATATTTTGGAAAATAATCCTTTACCTAATATTGGGGAGAGGGGAATGGGGAATTAGTAAGAAGCAGACATAAAGTCTCAATTATGCAAGAGGGAAGAGATCCAGAGATCTGCTGTACAACATTGCCCCTGGAATTAGCAATGTGGTATTCTACACTTAAAATTTTGTTCATAAGTAAGATCCTGGACCAAAGAAGCTCCCCTAAGAGGTGGTTTTTTCTTGTCTTCTCCTCTAAGCTCCTCTAAATTCCCTGAACAAAAAAGCCTCTTGATAGAACATGCTTTCAGGCTGTCCTGAGTTTTAGCAGGACTATAAGAAAAGAGGCAGAGATTCCAAGGCATGCGAGACTGATGTGTAGGCAAACAGCTCCAGTGTAGCAAGGAGGAAGGCAGAAAGCACAATCAGATTTCAAGGTTCACTTTCCTCTTCCCCTTCGAATATATTGTTCTTACCTTAAGTGTTCCAAAATGGATTTTCTGCCCCTTTCCCTCCCACCCACTTACATGTCAAAACCTCCAGATTGAATAAAATAATGTATAAAAGAAAATTACACTTGACAAATGGGCCAGTTTAAATTAGCAGTTCAGAATCACTACAATATGACACCAATATCTATGCTATGTGTTCCCACCTAGAGGGCAGTAAATCAAAGCTGCGTTTGGTTTTATGGCTGCTAGCACATGCATCCACATGCTTATAAAGTATCTATAATGATTTCTAACAGGAAAGGAGCAGTCATTGTGTCCAGTTCACAGATCTCACATAATCTCTTTGCAACTGATCCACTGTCAAGGCCAAAGCAAAAGTTAAGACTAGGATTTACCAGGTCTGATTAAGTATTCCATCGTCACCATGAACATGTGTCCCAGCGCAAAGTAGTCTGGATGCTTCTAGACAGTGTAAAAGGCATTAATTCCAGGATAGCCCCCAAGATTCCCATATCCTCAACTTTCAAAATTTCCCAGCAGACATTAATCGATGTGGAAAACCTGTGCATAATGATCTAAGCCCAGAACCCAACTCCATTTTACACACTGCATATGCTTGTATAATTCTCTTCCATTCAGTGTGGGCAGAGCCTATGGGATGTCACTGTGTGATTATACTGTTACATGCAAAAGGAATTTTGGAGATATGATTAAGGTTACTAATCAGTTGACTTTGACTTAATAAATGGGAGTTTATTCAGGTGGGCCTGACTTAATTACATGAGCTCTTTAAATCTGGGTCCAGAGGTCAGAGGAAAAGTCAGTGATTGGAAGCAACAGACATTCTCTTGCTGGTCTTGAAGGAGCAAATGGACATTTTGTGGAGAAAGCCACATGGAAGAGAGCAGTGGGCAGTCACGAAGAGCTAAGAATGGTCCCCAGATGACAGCCAGGAAACAGGACCTCAGCCCTATGACTACAAGGAAGTTAATTTTGCCAACAGCCTGCGTGGCCTGCAAAGAACCCCAGCCTCAGATGAGACAGCAGTCCAAGCTGACACAATCTCAGCTATGGGAGACCCTGAGCAAGAACCTAGCCATGGGATGCCCAGACAGCTGACTGGCAAACTGGGAACTAATAAATGGATATTGTAGGCAGGCACTCAGTGTTACTCAGCAATAGAAAACAAATTCAGACAATTTCTGTTTGTTTTTGTCATTGGCACAAACCAATGTGTCTCACTGTGCTGCTTTTATTCTCTTCCCTTCCTATTCTGATTATAGGTATCACCACACTCTGACAACTCTACTAGAAACCTCGTGTAGAATGCAGGTGAGTTCTGGGCTCAGATCATTATGCACAGTTTTTCACCTAGATTAATGTCTGCTGGGAAATTTTGAAAGTTGAGGACATGGGAAAGTTCTTTACAAATTAGGTCTGCCCCACATAATACAGGTTGTCTAACAGGCCATGCCTTCATTCTTCAAATGCCAGTTCATGTTCCCCAATTACTATGGCAACCAAAATCATAGCCCTACATTTGGCAAAGCCCTCACGAGTAAAGCCATCTCCCCAAAAACCACTAATTTAGCCCCATATAGCTGGGCTCTCCTAGTCTCACCGCTGCCTACTTAGCCTCTCTGGGAACTCTGCTGTCACTTATTCTCTGGGTCAGGGCTAATATCATTTTCTCCACTCTGAATTCTTCTCTATCCTCTTCAATTTTAACCCTTTCTTTGTTTACCTACATACACACATACATACATATACACATAGGCATTGTGGTGTTTAAAACAAAATTGGCTTCAAAGCACTCATCAAATCTGCCTTCCTCTTGAAGTCTCAGAACCTCATCTCCCTTATTCATACACACTAATGAACATGTTGTCTCCCAACTTCTTGAATCCATTTTTTACTTTTATTGCTATATTATTTATCAAGAATATTGGCATATTGTTATGTTTTTGTGTTATCTGTTACGTTTTCCATTACATTTTTAAAGGTGTACCCACAGCAACAAATATTTAATGAATTAATGAGTATTACATAAGGAGTATAAGTAATAAGTAACATGATATATTTTAGCATCGATTTAGATATTCAAATTTCAGAAGTTCTTCCCATTGAGTAAATTCAAATACTCTTGCCACACTCTGAGATGGAATGCTTAAAGATTAACATCCTCTGCCACTAATATTCTCATTCTTTCTAATGAGCCATAGGGAAGTATGTGTAATCTCTGTCCTCAGTTCTTCTTCCCAATGGGATGAGGAGGAGATCAGTCTGGGAAACAGATTCACTTTCGAGCCAAGTACACTATGAAGTTGTTTTTAAACAGTCCTCTAGAACTCTCTTGGTAATGTGATAACAGCCCAAAGCAATGGCTTGGCATGTCCATGTCCCTGGAGATAATGTAATATAAGAAACCACAGCCATGCTTTCTTCCCAGCCTGGAATGATTCATAGTGGCCATGAGCCGGTACTTGGAGTAACAGAAGCATGGAAGCCTCTGCTGCCCCACTGCCTCATACAATGAAATAGAAATCAGCAAAATAGCAGTAATTGCTAGTGGTTCTCCTCCTGTTCCCCAATCGGGGGGGCAAGGTCTCTAATTTAATAAGTCCTACTTGACTAGCAGGCTCCCAGACCAGTATTTGCAGCACTCATTGAGCAGGATGCCTGGAGACAACAGTAGTTTTTATAATCGTGTTGCTTTATATGCATGAGAATTAACCTAGAATTAATGGAAAAAAGTTAAATCCTCAACTCATCTGAAATATCAAAATCTTTTCCAAATAGATAAGAAGTTAAATCTAACTCAAAAAAATCAAATAGTAAAAATATAAGATTTGAATGATGAAATATTTTGTGGGCATAAAAAATGAAACAAGTGACAAATGATTACTTCAAAAGATATGTATAACTTTAAAAATGTAATACCTCACAATAAAAAATAAAAAGCAAAAGGCAAACAATCTAAGAAATGACTATTATAAATTAGAAAGGGTTAATAGTCTTATTATTTTGCCTTTTACAAATAAATAAGGAAAACATCAAAAACTCCAGTAGAAACTTTGATAAAGATTAATAAAGGGACATTTTTCAGTAAAATAAATAGAAATTAATTTTAGACTTAAGAAAATTGTCATTCTTATTAATAACCAAAGGAATGCAAATACAATTTCTCATCTTGTGATAAGATGTGATATGACATGGTAAAAGTTTAAATAATAATATTAAAGAGTCTTAGGAAGTAGTAACTACAAAACAAAATATATACGTTTCTACTTAATATAGGTTAAATAGTCAGCGGTAGCAAGAATGTAGCAAAACCAAACACTCCTGCTATGAAAACAGAAATTGTCAACCACCCTTCTCTAAAGAAATTTGTCATTATATTTTAGGAGTCTCAATATGTCAGATGCTTTAGTCTAACAATTGCATTTCTAGAAATATGAAAAATAACAAGATATGGTAAAAATGTTGATGATACAATGTTTAAAAATTATGTCTATAGTCATTATCTCAACTGTATTATATACGGTATATAGCTAGAAGTAAACCTAGCAGAAAGTGTTAATTATAACCACTTCCAATTTGTAAAAATGAGTGTTGCTTCTTTTCTAAGTTTTCTATGTGAGAATGTAAATAATTTTATTATTAGAAGATCACAAAAGACCTACTGAATGGAATTAGAAAAGTCACATGACTGATTCCACTTGACCCAACAGTTTTATTGGGTTCTTTCTGTGTGGCAGGCCAAGTGTAATCACCAGAGATTGAAGTTCTTGTGTTCATGGAACTCATCGTCCAATGCAGGAGACTGATAATTTTTAAAAATAGTTATTGTAATAAAGTATGACAAGAGTGATAATGAGAATGGAGCTGTCCTAGTGAAGAAGCCAAAGACATTCCATGGGAGTGGAGGGAAAGTCAGGCCTCAGTCACCAAAGCTGTATGTAATGAGTGAACCATGGCCCATGTGCCAAATATAGCCTGAATAACTTCACTTTAGAGCCCTCAGCATATTTCCAGCATGAAGGATTAGAAAGCTGTGAATGTGTTGCCATTTTTAAAATAGCACAGATTTTGACATTTCAATTTCTATACAATTCCAATGATCTCAATGATATTCTTCTGCTCAGTGAAGTAGGAAATGTAGATTACAAGAAAATATAGATTTCCTAGAGCAAGAGAAAATCATTTACCTTTGGCAAGAAAAAATCGTGATCAGTAAACATTTTTTCCTTACATGTCTTAATATGACAAATCTTGCTACACAGCCACTGCGGCAGATCAGTATGACCAGAGGCAATGCCACTGGGTGAGGGGAGGGGAGCCAGTGGCATGGGTGCAGGAAGACCGGAGTCAGAAGCATGTCAGCCTCATAGTCAGGCAAAGAGACTGTGACCTTATCTTTCAAGTATCTAGTATTCATTTAAGAATTTTTAAAAAAAGAATAAAATAATCTGATTTGTGTTTTAGAAAGGGCATTCTGTTGGCTGAGGAATTTACAAGAACCACACACAGAACACACTGCAGAACAGAAAGTGAGGTCAAAGCAACACATTAACAATTTATGGAGGCAGGTCTGGGTTCAATGATAAGAAAGTTGAACAAACACAATTTGGTGACCCTGTGGACTGCGGCCAGTTGGAGGAAGAGGGCAGAATCTTGGGTGATCCTGAGTTTTCTGACACAGGTGACAGCAACAACATCCAATGGTAACATTTAATTTTTATTAGCCCCTCTATCCTAACCTCTAATGCTTGCAGTTCCCATCCTGATGGCATGGTGCCACAACCATATCTGTACAGTCACTACTCTTTAAGGAGAAATCAAGCACTAGCCAATCTGAAGACAGAAAATCAACCTGAGGGGAACAGATGTTTCCAAAATAAAGGAGGGCATGCATATTTTTTAAAAGAATAATCTAACTACAAAAGCTAACTTCATTATTACTGCAAGAAAGCCAGGTGGATTAGATCTCCAGGAACAGCACCATCTTTATCCTTGAGCAGAAATCCTCGTAACCCACCAAGTTTCAGGGCCTTGCTTTACATTGCTGTAAATGAGGAAGTTCAGACATCTCTTGGCTGGATGGGCCCCAGCACGTCTCCCTTGCCACGCCATTAGGAATCGGGAATCGGCCTTTCAGACACTCCTGGCTGGGAATCACCCAACAGGCGCACTCCTGGGGCTGCCTGTATGGGGCCCATCTGTTCAAACAGCAGGTTGCCAGCCCACAAGTCTCTTGGAGCCCAGCCACAGGTCAAGGATGAAGCCACACAGAGTCTTCTTGGGCATCTATTGAAGTGTGGGAGCTGCTCTGCAGCAGGAGGATCATCTGCCCAAGCAACCATGCTGTCAGCTTCTTCATGATTTCTTTCAGCTCTCTGCACTCAGCTCCAACTTATGGGCCATCTCAGACATCCAGATTTTTTTTTTTTTTTGCTTCATTTTGGGGATTAATATGTAAATCTACTGCAGAACGTCTTTAAATATTTATGACCTGCATTTCACAACCTCTCTATTGATCAAACCAACGCAGGGCAAATCTTTCTATCCTCTTTTGACTCATTAGTTTACTTTGCTTGGGGAAGTGGTTGGTTATCTCTTCCACATGTGTACCAGTTAGTCTTATGGGTGATGCCCCAAGTAATGATATATTAAGAGGCTATTATCCGACTCTTTTTTTTTTCCCTAATAAGGTAACTGCTCCCTTAATTTCCCACCCCAGTGCGCCCTATGCTGAAGGAAGAGAAGACAGACCATGAGTATATTTACGAGAAAACCAAAACAACAGGGAAGTTTCTGGAAAGTTATGTCCTAGCAACTTTGATTCCGGTAATATAAGGAAATAACATAGAGAGGAGCATGGTTCTAAGAAAACAGGATTTAGCCATTCTGAGAAGAATGACGTTCCACTGAGGCACAGTGTGGGCCGTCACTCAACTAGCACAGATTTAGCTTTTAACATCTCTGATAAATACGAGCCTTCGGCACAGGTTCACTGCCACAGGGATGTCTCCTCGAGGTTCACAGGCTGCATATTCAATTTCCTGCCAAACAGCTAGTGGAGAAAGTCTAATAAAGACTATATCAGACTCTGTGAAGTAGTAAAGAAATACTAAAGAAAGTCATGTCCTCCTAACCTCTCTGATAATAAAACCGAGCTTTTTATATTTTCCTTCGTGCAAAGACCAAACCAACACAACTGCGTTTGGATTGTCAATGGCTGATGAGCTAATCTCATATGTGGAAAAAAGTACTGTTTTTCTTTTTTTGTTGTTATTATTATTATACTTTAAGTTTTAGGGTACATGTGCACAATGTGCAGGTTAGTTACATATGTATACATGTGCCATGTTGGTGTGCTGCACCCATTAACTTGTCATTTAGCATTAGGTATATCTCCTAATGCTATCCCTCCCCCTTCCCCACACCCTACAACAGTCCCCAGAGTGTGATGTTCCCCTTCCTGTGTCCAAGTGTTCTCATTGTTCAATTCCATCTGTGAGTGAGAACATGTGGTGTTTGGTTTTTTGTCCTTGCGATAGTTTACTGAGAATGATGATTTCCAATTTCATCCATGTCCCTACAAAGGACATGAACTCATCATTTGTTATGGCTGCATAGTATTCCATGGTGTATATGTGCCACATTTTCTTAATCCAGTCTATCATTGTTGGACATTTGGGTTGGTTCCAAGTCTTTGCTATTGTGAATACTGCCGCAATAAACATATGTGTCCATGTGTCGTTATAGCAGTATGATTTATAGTCCTTTGGGTATATACCCAGTAATGGGATGGCTGGGTCAAATGGTATTTCTAGTTCTAGATCCCTGAGGAATCGCCACACTGACTTCCACAATGGTTGAACTAGTTTACAGTCCCACCCACAGTGTAAAAGTGTTCCTATTTCTCCACATCCTCTCTAGCACCTGTTGTTTCCTGACTTTTTAATGATCGCCATTCTAACTGCTGTGAGATGGTATCTCATTGTGGTTTTGATTTGCATTTCTCTGATGGCCAGTGATGATGAGCATTTTTTCATGTGTCTTTTGGCTGCATAAATGTCTTCTTTTGAGAAGTGTCTGTTCATATCCTTTGCCCACTTTTTGATGGGGTTGTTTGTTCTTTCTTGTAAATTTGTTTGAGTTCATTGTAGATTCTGGATATTAGCCCTTTGTCAGATGAGCAGGTTGCAAAAGTTTTCTCCCATTTTTTAGGTTGCCTGTTCACTCTGATGGTAGTTTCTTTTGCTGTGCAGAAGCTCTTTAGTTTAATTAGATCCCATTTGTCAATTTTGGCTTTTGTTGCCATTGCTTTTGGTGTTTTAGACATGAAGTCCTTGCCCATGCCTATGTCCTGAATGGTAATGCCTAGGTTTTGTTCTAGGGTTTTTATGGTTTTAGGTCTAACATTTAAGTCTTTAATCCATCTTGAATTAATTTTTGTATAAGGTGTAAGGAAGGGATCCACTTTCAGCTTTCTGCCTATGGCTAGCCAGTTTTCCCAGCACCATTTATTAAATAGGGAATCTTTTCCCCTTTGCTTGTTTTTTTCAGGTTTGTCAAAGATCAGATAGTTGTAGACATGCGGCGTTATACTGTTTTTCTAAAAAACATGGCTATTAACTAGAGACAAACATTTACAAGTAAGTTTGACTTAAGAAAGTTAATTTAAAATGAAAAAAAAAACACCTAAATATAAAATAAAGTTTAAAGTTGAACAAAACCTTCTAAGGAAGGTCATGAAAAGTCATTAAGACAAAGGCACAACTAATTAATAGTACCACTAAACAATGCCAAGACAATCCCTCTTTCTTCCCTTCTTTTCTTTCTTCCATGATGCATACTTCTAAAAGCACTACCTTATGAACGTTTTTACCATATCTTGTTATTTTTCAGAACACTTATCCTCAGCCCCGGCCAGCAGAGGGAGGAAGGCAAATGTGTGATTCTGTACATCCATAGAGGAAGTTTCAAAGGTTGCATTTCAAATCCCCACCATCTTAGGTGATCTAACTAAGCAGTCTCTTATTAATTCAGGTCTCCATTGAATTTATAACCTAAATTTGAATTGTTCATAGGTAGAACCAATACAACCATAAGCATCTGAGGCAAAAGTAGACTCGTGCTGTTGCAAGTAGCAGCAAGGGCCCCTGATTAAGGTCTGTAATATAAGCCATCCCTCTCCATCCCCTCTTTACCTAGGCCACCCTGTAAAAGACAACTAGCCTTAAAAGCAGAGTCTGAGACTTTTTATTATTCAATTCTTTCTGTCAACGTGTGCTATATTACAAAACTACAAGGATCTGACTGATGAGCATAAAACAATATCCAATACCAATTAGATTTGCTAATTATCATTGGTTCTCAAAAATCTCTTTCCAAGAAACACAAAAAGAAGTCCAGAGAAAGACAACTATTAAATTATTTGAATATTAAATTATTTGAATATTAAATCATTTAAAATATTTTTTAGTCAGTATCCACATGGGAATTTGGAGTGGTAAATGTAGTAAGTTCAAGGGGAATAAAGGAAACAGAAAAATTAAGTTTTACATGAGGAAAGTCCATGAAAGTATAACACATTTTCTTTGCCTTTTTTACAAAAACCCCTCAAACAAGTCTTTGAAAATTTAGAAATAAATCAAAAGGTCAAAGAAATGAGAGGTTATGGGTGGGGGCCAAATTTCACTGGAGAATAACCCAAGAGAAAATCAAGGAAGAAGTCATTGAAGTCAGGAAGGGGAGCTGCTTCCAGATGGACATATCTTCCCATGCCAACACCGTAATTCTAAGGCTTCAAGTCAAAATGGACTAATTTCTTAACTATGATTAAACCATAGCTCACTAGGTGTGGTACACCACAGTCTAAAATGTGACTTCTCCCACTGAAAATACTCTTTGCTTTAACAAACAAGTAAAAGTTCTCATCTTCCCCATGGAAAACATGCCCTAGCAGAGTTACGTAAGTTCCTGTCTCAACTGTTCCAAATTGAAACACAAAAATTACACAAAATACAATAGTTAAATACATTTTACAGATTATATCTATATTTAGGCTCACATCAGAAGTCACAATTTTATAGCTTCAATCATTATTCTTGCTGGAAAATTTGAAATTTATTTTCAGGCAGATCCTCCAGACTTAAACATAATCTATGTCTTCAAAGAGATCAGAGCCTCTATCTGTCCAAAGAATATTACTCAGTGATCCTAATACACTCAAAATAACTGAAATTGTTTAGTCAATTCTAACATAAAAAGAAATACCATGAAAGTTGCAGACAATAAGAAAATCTTTTCCCTTTAGTACAGGAGGGCAGCACAAAAGAGTAAACAGTCCAATTTGTTCAAAACACAAAGCAAGCTTAGTGTGGTAAAGAATGTACTGAAGATTTGTATCTAAGCTCTAAATCACTGCTACCAGTGTATGCTGTCATTACATTAGGATCAGTAGCAATACAAGGTATTTATTTCATGAGAAACACTAGGTTTATGCTCTACATTATTTATCCTCATTTTACACATGAGCACAGACTGAGTTTAAGTTTCTTGCACAACATAAACTGTTCAATCTTTCAAATTTGAAACATGGCCAGGCACGATGGCTCACACCTGTAATCCCAACACTCTGGGAGGCGGAAGTGAGCAGATCACTGAGCCCAGGAGTTTGAGACCAGCCTGGGCAACATGGCAAAACCCCCTCCCTTCTAAAAATACAATTAGCCAGGCATGGTGGTGTGCGCCTGTGGTCCCAGCTACTTGGGAGGCTGAGGTGAAAGGATCAATTGAGCAAGGGAGGCAGAAGTTGCAGTGAGCCAAGCTCACGCCACTGCACTCCGCCCTGGGTGACAGAGCAAGACCCTGTCTCAAAAACAACAATAATAGTAACAAAAAGGAATTTGAAACCAGCTCTACTATCTCTTTGATTCAGGCTTTTAATACATAGACTATAAATGACACAAAACATCTTTCATTGTTGATAGGTATGTGATCAAAGCATATGTTGTTTTGAGGAAATCTCTAGAAACCACAATTTTATCTTAATGAAGATGATAATATATTCAAAGTCACCAAATCACACTTCTGTTTTTCAAGTAATATTCCAAAGCATCACTCTTTTTGGGGAAACAGCCACTTTCTTCTTATCACCTTCCACCCACCAATGGGAGGCAACATGTGTTAGCCTAGTATCCTGCGGAAAAATGCTTCACCATGGGAGGCCGAGGTGGGCGGATCACTTGAGGTCAGGAGTTGGAGACCAACTTTGCCAAAATGGTGAAACCCTGTTTCTGCTAAACAAAATACAAAAATTAGCTGGGGGTGGTGGTGTGTGTGCTTGTAATCCCAGCCACTTGGAAGGCTGAGGCTGGGGAATCACTTGAATCCAGGAGGCGGAGGTTGCACTGAGCCAAGATGGTGCTACTGCCCTCCGGCCTGAGCAATAGAGCGAGACTCCGTCTCAAACAAACAAAAAAAAAAAGGGTTTCACTAATAACTCTGTGACACAACTGAGGGATCACTCACATTCAAGCCTCGCAGATATGTTAAATAGACCAACAGGAACTTAGGTGCCCACGTTCTCACATTTACAGTAACCCTTCATCAAAGAGAGCTGCTGATGCCTTAAATCTTGATTCGTATATTGTCTGACACTAAAAGAACCACGTGACTCCCAAACTAATCTCTAGTATCTAGGCATTGTCAATCATGCAAGAGCAATGAATTCTAAGCAAAGTCATCTGGGGTTTTTCCCTGGCTTTTCTATTAGCAAGCTGTGTGATCTCAAACAAAGCATTAACCTCTCTATTCTCCAGCTTTTCCATTTGTAACATAACAAGGCAAGATTAGACTTAACTTTATTTAAAGTTAAACAAACAGACAATGAGCTGTAAGGTAGACATTAGGACCATCTGAGTGTACTTTCTAGAATAAAATTTTATGAAATCTACATACATCCAAATCTTATGATGTTTTATGGTACATTGCATTTAAAGTATATTGTTAATGTTTAAGCTCTGAGACTTCTATTGTCTTTTTCTGGCTACAGAGAAGTTGAAACCAATAAACCATACATCGTGATTCTATCTGAGTGGGTTCAGAGCCTCTCTGAAGGCTGGGCCAATAGGTGAGGCCATGTGCATAACTATGTTTATTAGAAATGAAAGGATGGATGCTAAGGGCTGGATACCTTCAGAGGCTGTGTCAGCAGAACCTGTGCTGCTGTCTGTACCTGCTGTGTTTCTGTGGTTTGTTCTGACTGTAACAGCACTTTTATTTAATCATAGTTCCCTTTACTTCCCACTACCCCACTTAATCAATATAGTTTTTTGCTTAAGAATGAAAGAAAAGGTGAAAATAAATGAATTATCATTTCCTATCAGTAGTCATGCTTAGTTTCTCATTTAATAGGGGTTACGTTTACCTTCAGCAGAGGATTTTTGCAAGAATGAACTGTTATCACCTATTAAAGCACTTAGCACAGAATTGGCACATATTAGGTTCCCATCTTATCATTATTATTACCAATTATATCAGGGAGACAGATCAGAGCAGTAAATTCCAGTGCTACAACACACACACGCACACACGCACGCACGCATACTTCTTGTGTTTGGTGTCATTATGTTTTGGTCTTGGTGTCATAATGATTATTTAACAAATTCGTTGGGTGAGTGAGACCTCAGAGACAACAATCCATAGCACAGGGCACCCCAGCATGCTCATTAACTGTTCCCTCCCCAAGTGAAAATGGCAGCCATTTGTATGAGGCAGTATGGTTCCCCTCACTTGCACATTAAATGATTCAACTTGTTCGTTATTTTAAGAAAACATGAGCTTTCTTCTGCTAGAAAAGCTAAGATGACTCTGAAAGCAAGTGAATGTGAGAGCTGAGAAGCTTCAAGAACTGAGTGCCTGGGGACTCTGATAATTGGAAGGTTATTTGATCTCTAACTCCATGCTCCCTCGACTATTACTGAGTATCCTTCACAGGCTAGTGGTTTGGACAACCAGCTTTTGCAGTTTCCTCGGGGAACAGAACAGGGCTGACACAAAGAAGTACATTTAGAGGTGAATAAAATTTCAGCTCCCAATTTCCTAAAATACTGCACAAAGGTACAAATTCAGGCCTGACATTGTCTGAAACAAATGTCATGCATTTCATTTCACCCTGATCTACTTTAGTTCTTGGCCTTGTACACTTGATACAGCAATGAAAATAGCACTGGTTTCATCTTAGGCAACAAAGAGACCCTGGCTGCTGTGGACTTAATTGTGTCCCCCTAAAATTCTTATGTTGAAGCCCTAAACCCCCATCTGACTGCATTAGAGACAGGGCCTTCAGGGAGGTAATTAAGGTTAATCGAAGTCATAATGGTGGAGCCCTGATCCAAGGAACTATTGCCGTTATAAGAAGAGGAAGAGGCCCAGATCTCTTGCTCTGCCATGTGAGGACACAAAGAGAAGGCGGCCGTCTGCAAGCCAAGAAGATTCTCACTATGCTGGCACCCTAATCTCAAACTCCCAGCCTCCAGAACGGTGAGAAATAAATTTTGGTCATTTAATCCACCAAGTCTGTGGTCTTTGTTATGGCAGCCCTCGCTGACTAAAACACTGATTCAACTGGGAGGATCTTCTGGGCAGAGCAGGATGTAGGAACCTGCTCCCCGCTAGACACAACTCAAGGCCCATGACTTTCTCTGTGCCGACAGGAAACACACAGATCCATTCACAGGCATACGCACATCCACACACATCCACACACAGGTCCACACACATCCACACACACAGGTCCACACACATCCACACACAGGTTCACACACATCCACACACAGGTCCACACACATACCCACCCACACATAGGTCTTCACAGGTCCACACACATACCCACCCACACATAGGTCTTCACACACACACACACACACACACACACACACACAGGTCCTGACACACACACAGGTCCACACACATGTGCACACACACATTCTACTCTGCAACAGCCTTTGCTGATTATATTGTTGCTGTTTCAAAGCAGAAACCAATAAACACTAATAGATGCATCTCTCAGGAAAGTTATAGGTGAAGAAAGCTTTTTAGATTTTCACTTAAACATGGAGAAATAGGCCAGGCACAGTGGCTCACACCTGTAATCCCAACACTTTGGGAGGCCGAGGTGGCAGGATCACTTGAGGTCAGGAGTTCGAGACCAGCCTGGCCAACATGTTGAAACCCCATGTCTACTAAAAATACAAAACTTAGCCGAGCGTGGTGGCGGGCGCCTGTAATTCCAGCTACTTAGGAGGCTGAGGTAGGAGAATCACTTGAACCTGGGAGGCAGAGGTTGCAGTGAGCCAAGATCGTGCCACTGCATTCCAGCCTGGGCGACAGAGCAAGACTCTGTTTTTGCGGGGTGGGGGTGGGTTGTGAGGGGAAGAAATATACTAAATAAGGAAATAGCAAAGGTAATTATTTTTATTTTCAAAAGATTCACTGGGTTTATTGGCTTACATATATTTAATACAAGCATATATAGTGTGACAGGTCCCCACAGGGTTACTTAAGGATGTATGTCCAATGCCTGAACCCTGCAGGCCAGGCAGTGAGCCAAGGCCACAGTTCCCAGTCAAGGAGTAGATGTCCCTGAGAGCTCAAACATCTTGGAGAGTATCTGAGAACCTACCAAGGAAAACAGTGTCTTCACACACACATATTAAGCAAAGAGCCAGAAAATTAGATTAAAAGTAGCTTAGAGACAGGGGTGATGCAGGTCCCTAGAGCATCCCTGCACCATCCAGGAGTGCCCTGTCTGTAAGTCTTAATAAACTCATCTATTCATCAAGCTGAACTTGTCTGAGTCATTCTTTGGTCTCTTGGCTCCTTCCTAGTTTCAAGGGAGACATTACAGTCCCAAGTTTTTCTCATAACAGCATAGTTTGGAGATATTGTGGGTTCCATTCCAGGCCAACTCAATAAAGCAAGTATCACAATAAAATGAGTTAAATGAATTTTTTGGTTTTCCTGTACAAACATGTTACGTTTAGACTATACTATGGTCTTTTAAGTGTGCAATAGCACTGTGACTTTAAAAAGTACTTAAGTAAAACATACTTTACTGCTAAAACGTGCTAATGACCATCTGAGCCCTCAGCAAGTTCACAATAAATTTTGCTGGTGGAGAGTTTTGCCTCAGTGTTGATGGCTGCTGACTGATCAGGGTGGTAGTTGCTGAAAGCTTAGGTAGCTGTAACGATTCCTCAAAATAATTCAATAATGAAGTTTGGTGCATTGATTGACTCTTTCATGAAGAATTTCTCTGTATCATGCAATGCTGTCAGATAGTATTTTACCTACAGTAGAACTTCCTTCAGAATTGGAGTAAATTCTCTCAATCTTTGCTACTGCCTTATCAACTAAGTTGACGTAATATTCTAAATTGCTTTGTTTTCATTTCAACAATGTTCACAGCATCTTCACTGACAGCAGATTCCATCTCAAAGAAGCCACTTTTTTTGCTCATCCATAAGAAGCAAGTCCTCATCCATTCATGTTTGATCATGAGATTGCAGCAATTTAGTCACATCCTCAGGCTCCACTTCTAATTTTAGTTCTCTTGCTATTTTTACCACATCTGCAGTTATTTCTTCCACTGAAGTCTTGAAGCCCTCAAAGTCATCCATGAAAGTTGGAATCGACTTCTTCCAAACTCCTGTTAATGTTGATATTTTTATTATACCTTCTCTCATGGATCACGCCTGTTCTTAACATTATCTAAAATGGTAAATCCTTTCCAGAAACCTTTCAATTTACTTTTCCCAGGTCCCTCAGAGGAATCATTGTCTATGGCAGCTATACACTTAAGAAATGTATTTCTGAAATTATAAGACTTGAAAGTCAAAATTACTCCTTGATCCATATGCTGCAAAGCAAATATTGTATTAGCAAGCATGAAACCATTAATCTCCTTGTACATCTCCATCAGAGCTCTTGGGTGACCAGGTGCTTATCAATGAGTGGTAATATTTTGAAAGGAATCTTTTTTTCTGGGCAGTAGGTCTCAGCAGTGGGCTTTAAATACTCACTAAACCTTGCGGTAAAGAAATGTGCTGTCATCCAGGCTTTGTTGTTCCACTTCTAGAGCACAGGCAGAGTACATTTAACATAATTCTTGAGGACTCTAGGATCTTCAGAATGGTAAAAGAGATGTGGCTTCAACTTAAAGTCACCACTGCATTAGCCCCTAACAAGAGAGTCAATCTGTCCTTCGAAGATTTGAAGGCAGGCATTGACTTCTCCTCTCTATCTATGAAAGTCCTAGATGGTATTTTCTTCCAGTAGAAATCTGGAACCACCTTCATCAATTATCTTAGCTGGATCTTCTGGATAACTCGATGCTAAGCACTTGCACTTTTATGTTATAGAGATGGCTTTTTCTCTTCAACCTCATGAACCAATCTCTACTAGCTTCAAATTTTCTTCTCTAGCTTTCTCAAATCTCCCAGCCTTCATAGAATTGAAGAGAGAGGGTGTGGGCCTTACTCTGTGTTAGGCTTTGGCTTAAGGGAATGTTGTGGCTGATTTGCTCTTCTATGCAGATTTCTGCAACTTTCTTCATATTAGCAATAAGGCTGTTTCGCTTATTCATGTGTTCACTGGAGTAGCACTTTTAGTTTCCTTCAAGAACTTTTCCTTTGCATTCACAACTTGGCTGTTCGGCACAAGAGGCCTAGCTTTCAGCCTATCTCAGCTTTCCACATGCCTTCCTCACTAAGCATAATCATTTCTAGCTTTTAATTTAAGGTGAGAGACATGCAACTCTTCCTTTCACTTGAGCACTTATGGGCCATTGTAGGGTTATTAATTGGCCTAATTTCAATATCATGTCTTAAGGAATAGGAAGGCCTGAGAAGAGGGAAACAAATTAGGTAACAAATAGCTGGTCAAGTAGTAAGAACACACAGGACATTTGTCAGTTAAGTTCACCATCCTATATGGACATGGTTCGTAGCACCCTAAAACAACTACAATAGCCGCATCAAAGACCACTGACCACAGACCACCATGACAAATATGATAATAATGAAAAGGTTTGAAATATTGTGAGAATTACCAAATTGTGAGACTGAGACAGGAAGTGAGCACATGCTGTTAAGAAAACAGAGCCAACAGACTTGCTGGAGGCAGGGTAGTGACAAACCTTCAACTTGTAAAAAATGCAATCGTCTGTGAAATGCAATAAAGTGAAGTGCAATAAAACAAGGTATGCCTGCATACACACACACACACACACACACACACACCATCACACACATATACACAGATGCATACAGACACATATACATACCCACACATATACACTCAAACACACACACACACACATATATACATACATACACATGTACACATGTATACACACATACAAAAATAAATACACACATATACACACACATACATACACCCACAAGTATATGCACATGTATAGACACATACACACAGAGATATAAATACACACACACAAACATATGCACACCCATATGCACACACATACATATATACACACATATATCTACACACACATGCATACACACATATACATATATACACACATATAAACATAACATATATACACAGACACACACAAATACACAAACATACATACATACACATTTACATATATACCCATATACACACATATACACACATACAGACACAAATACATGTGCACACACATACACACACAAGTATATGCACATGTATACACACATATAAACATACATAAACACACACATGCATACACATACACACAGACACACATAGACATATATACACATAAATACACATACACTTATACATACTCATACGCACACACATATACACACATACACACATATAAACACATACACACAAATGCATATACACACATATGCACACATACACACATATACACATACACTCACAAATATATACACATATACACACACTCATATACATACACAATATACTCCTATACATACACAATATACTCATATACATACACAATATACACACATATACAGACACATACACACATACACAAATTCATATACACACATATACATACAGACACAGAGATGCACACACAGATACACACACATATACACACAGAGAGAAATTCTAATACAATACTATCCAGGTTTCTTATAGAAAGCTTCCTAACATTGAACATTGTCTTTTTTTTCTCAAAATTGTATGATTACAAGTACATTCAGGATACCAGTTTCTACATTAGATGATAAATTGTATGAATTATTATTAGCAATTCAGTTGCTAGCATTTACCATTTTTGCCTTCATATTTTTTCAATAATATTATATGTATATTACAGGTGAAAATAAAAACTGATGGATGCAGGCGAATTTCAAACAGTGAGTCACTGGCCTCCTTCACCCAACCTGCATTATATACTTCTCTTTCAATTCAATAGGTCTTCAGATATTGTTTTGAATAATTTGCAGTGACTATCACTTCAATACAGATTTAATGCATTATTCAATTATAATCATTTTCTCCTTGCCATAGAGGAGGGTGAGTTAGAAATTCCAGGGCTTAGCTTTCAGGCCAAAAAATTACAGAACTGTTCTTCCATTCTACTTTGCCTATACTAAGTGATCCTCTTGGTTTTGAGCCTTGGTAGCTAATTAAAGCAATTAGCATCATCTCTGCAGTCATATATTTCACACTGCATTCCACATTGCTGTAATTAAATCGATTACCAAAACAATTGATTTACATTAGTGAGAATTCTCTTTTCCATTATAAATTTTTCTAATTCTTGCAAAACAAATTTTATCTCTGACAGTCTGATTGCTTTTCAATAAAGGGAAGTTGAGATACTCAACTATATCTTGATTTAAAAGCAAGGACAAGATTTTTCAGACATTTTCGAAATGCAGTCTCTTTGTTTAGAACCAAGTCCAGTGGTTCTTGGATGGGAAATCTTGAAGCCAGTGGTTCTCAGCTCAGACTGCCCATGAAATTCACCCAAGTGAATTTTTAAACTCCTGAAGCCTGAGCCCCATCCCAGCCATTAATCAACTTATTTTTTGTTACAACACT
Organism: Homo sapiens; assembly: GCF_000001405.40. Taxonomy (NCBI): domain Eukaryota; kingdom Metazoa; phylum Chordata; class Mammalia; order Primates; family Hominidae; genus Homo; species Homo sapiens. The sequence goes on from NC_000008.11 coordinate 51,701,992, forward strand.
GAAAGTGAAAACACTGTATTAATTAAAAATTACTTATTTAAATATGTTTACAATACTAGAAAAATAAATGTTTTCCATCCAGGCTCACTTTTGAAACAACTTATTCTGGTTTTTATTTTTTCCCAATTTTTCAAATACAGAATGGTCAATTTGCATAATGTATCTGATAAATATTGCAGAGGCACACCCTGTTATTTTATCCATTTGTCTTCTATAGTAAGCTGGATGAAGAAAGACTGACTTTTAGACTGACTTCAGAATGACTTGTTTGCTAGTTGGCATCGACTCTGCTACTTCCGTAAGTGATGGAATGCTGGAACTGAGAGCTGAAGTGGAAACGTGACTCTTCCACATCAGAGCCCTGGGAAATTTAGGGTAAGAATTGAATGAGAATAGAGGTAAAGGTTTCAGTAATAAACTCTGGCAATATGGTAGAGGGAAAAACTTATTTTAAATCCAAGTACATAGCCATGCGAACAAACCTTGCAGTTTTCACTAGAACTTGCAGGTCAGAATCAACTAACACGCTCCCTTTTTCCAACAATCCTGTTCGAAAGATTCTAGCATAGTTATTAGGGTGTGAATTTCGATCCTGCTTTTTATTAACTGTGGGACATTGACAAGGTACTTAAGCGGGGTGCCTCAATCTCCCCATCTATCACATGGATGTAATAACAGTACCTATGGCATTCCACTGATAGGAAGATTAAATAACATCACCGACTTCAAGAATCAATGTGAATTGTTATCATGTTCCCAGAACTGTACTTAGAGCATCAGAATTTGGTCTAAGTACATCAATGGCCCCCACTTGATCAGTTGTTGTCAAATGTATCCAATCAATCCAGAAATATATTGAAACGCAGAAACAAAAGAAAACTTCCGGGGTCTGTTTTCTATTTCAACATAATCTATTTGGCCACAAAGAGGGATTCTGGAATCTGAAAACTTGGGTAGATTCCACATTTTTCATTATCTCATTTTTATCATCACGTTTCCTCTATATTCAGAATAATCTTTTTCAGTGACAATCTTTTTCTACACTTTACATTCACTAATGCTATCTGAACTCTTTATTAATCAGCTAATGTTGAATGTGCATACAGTACCAGGTATACTGTGTGCAAAGCTGCTGAACCCATGACATTTTGCCATTAATCTTTTAGTTTTCAGGGAACTTCTTTTAATTTTCTGTGCTATCTAAGTAATTTAAATTGAATACATTAATCAAATTTTTCATTCTACACAGGAGTAATTTAACAGTAGAGCACAGATTCTTCAATTTGAGGCTCTTTTCATACCAAAAAAAAAAAAGATAGTGGCATTTCTTATTAACATCTGTGCACAGAATGCAGCCAAAGAAAACATTTCAAAATATTTCCCCAACAATTACATGTTATTTATGGGGAATTGATCATTAATTTGTCTGTTAATTTTATTGCATTTTTCATATAAACCAGTACAATCGTATCTTTGCCAACAATCTCAGGATTTGATTTGTTTTTGTTTTTGTTTCTCTACCTTTTATTTGCCATCTTGCAAACTATTAATGTCAACTTTAACCCAAAGCTTCTCAAAATGTGGTCACTAGAATACCTGCATCTGGTATGCTTGATAAAAACACTAGAATCCAGACCCAGCCTCGCTGAGCCACCCTATCAGAAACTGTGGCCAGCAAGTACTGCCTAGTCCTGCGAGTAACTTCTTGTGTCCACTCATAATCAATCCCTGTAGGATTTTCTATTTAATTTAATGTGTTCATACATTTTAAAGAATAAGCAATTTAAATGCAGCATGATTAAAAATCCTTTTGTAAATTTGAGTTGCATAGTTTTTCACGCCAAAATCTTTTCTTGGACAATTAATTTAGAATGTTTGCCTTTATTTCTTCTAATGTTTTCCAGAGCAAAGCAGTATAAAATTATGTTAGTATTTTTATTTTATCTGTGTTTTAGTTGGGAAAAAAACTATTATCACAAGTCTTTCCGACTTGGCAAATCCCAAAACCAACGTACTACAAATATGCATGTACTCATGGCATTGCCTATAAAATAGAGAACTACCAAGAACATTGAAGTCCCATGTATGTGCCCCTTTCTGGTCTCATGCTCCCATAGAGATGCAATCACTAACCTACACTTTTCTCTTTGTCCCTTCCTGGATTTTCTTTCAATTTACCATATAAATGTGTACCCACAGACAATATATATTTAAGTTTTATATGTTTTAAGCACTATATAATGTGGGATCATATGCATATATTTTGCAAATTGCTTTTTTAACTGATGTTTTCAGGAGTCATTTATGTGGATGTGTGTAGTAGCAGTTCATTTATTTTTTACTGCTGTATAGTATTTCATTTTGTGAGTATACCATAGTCTGTGCATTCAACTATTCGAAGATATTTGGGTTGCTAAGAGTTACTTGCTGTTACAAAGATGTCATTAGTAGTCTTGTTCATATTTCCTAGTGTCTGTGTGCAAGAATGTATCTAAGTTATGTACCTGGAAATTAAATTACCTGCCCTAAGTTATGCATATATTCCACTTTACTAGTTAAGAACAAATTGTTTCCCTGAGTGTTTGTATCAGTTCAGACTCCCATCAGCAGTGTATAACACTTCTCATTGCTCCACATGGATGACCACACTTGGGGTACTCAAACTTTAATTTTAGCCAATGTGGAGGATGTGAAATATACCTTATTGCTGTTGCAACCAACTTGCAACCTCTGATTTCTAATGAGGTTAAGCATTTTTTGGTGGTTTATTGGACATGAATGTGATCACTTACATAAAATGCCTTTTGTATTGTAGTTTCCCTTCTACTCTTTTTTCATTCTTATTGATTTCTAGGACTGTGTATATTCTAGATCTTAATCATTAGTCTGATGTATGTAATATATATACATTTTCTTTATTGGACCTTAGTAAACAGCACCTACACATAAACACTTTATACTAAATTCTCTTCTCAGGGATACTGGAGCCATTCAAGTAATGTGAATTCATGCCCCAACACTGTGGGCTGGCTTATGGTTAGGATTTCTCAGAAAAAAAATAAATAAATGGTTTCCGTTTTTTCACTTGGTGATAAGACTGAGACCAGAAAGAATTTGTACTGCCCGCTGGATCATCCTTTGACTGAAGCTTTGATTCTCAGGCATGGGGGGTCTCCACATAACTGAAGGGGGCCCTGGGCCACCAGGGAAGTGACCCACCCTCTAGGAGACCTCTGCCCCAGGACTCAGTCACTTCTCTATGTCCGGGCTCTCTCTTCACCTTAACATTTGAGAATAGCCCTCATTTTTTCTCATGTCTACTGTAAAATTAAAGGAAAGCTCTTGCTACACGTCTTGTACTGGAAGAGCTCCTTAGGTTACTTGGTCTGGCATATTGCTAATAAAACATCCAAGAAATTAAATTAAGGACTAATGCTACAGGGACAATAACATGGTTCATAGTGACAATAAGCTTCATGGGAAGCTCATGGTCATCTAAACAGTACTTGTACTGGCTAACTCTGAGGGAGAAGAAGGAGAAAGAGTAGGAGAAAGAGAAGGTGATAATTTCTCTATCAGAAAGCGCATATTACTTAAACAAGATAAATTAATGCGGTGAGATAATGTGTGTAAGAAATAATATTTTCTGGATTAGGAATTCCTTGTTTTACTTAGATTTGTAGTACATTTAAAATAAAGGAGTGAGCGTGTTTATTCTCTCAGTCAATTGATTTCCTTCTTTAATGTCAGCTACAGCATTCAGCTTCTGGCAAAGACAGACCAAATAGTTCAGACAAACCCTCCTGGTGAAAACACTGTGTGTGTGTGTGTGTGTGTGTGTGCGCGCGCGCGCGCGCGCGCGTGCATGCACATGTGTGCAGATTCTTACATGCACAAAGATATTCATAATTTACATTTATTTAAATTGCATTTCCAGACAAAGTGGAAAGAATAAGTTAGAAGCAGTATTTAAAAGATAATGGCTGAGAATTTTCCAAAACTGACAGAAGGCACGAAGATGAAAATAGCTAAGACTTGGCGGGGTGCAGTGGCTCATGCCTATAATCCCAGCACTTTGGGAGGCCAAGATGGGCAGATCACCTGAGGTCAGGAGTTCGTGACCAGCCTGACCAACATGGTGAAACCCCTTCTCTACTAAAAATACAAATATTAGGTGGGCTTGGTGGAGGGTGTCTGTAATCCCAGTTACTCGGGAGACTGAGGCATGAAAATTACTTGAACCTGGGAGGTAGAAGAGGTGGAGGTTGCAGTGAGCTGAGATCGTGCCACTGCACTCCAGGCTGGGTGATAATGAGAGCGAAACTCCGTCTCAAAAAAAAAAAATTGGTAAGACTCTTTACCTCCAATACTTCACAGTCTATTTAGATCAATGAGTAAATGCATAGTTAAAATACTGGTGTCAAGGGAGGAAGTAGGGAATTCACACAGGAGGAACACCCAATGCAAATTGGAGCCATCAGAAAAGGCTTCCACAGTAGATTTTGTGAGAGCTAAAGCATGAAGAGAACAACTACTTATTTTAACATAGTTATATTTATTTTCATTAACTACCATAATAATTTGAATTATTTTTATGGTAATCATTTTCTTATGCAAATGAAGGAGTAACAGGATTGAAATAGTAAAGTTGAGTTTACAAGCTGAGCGCCAGAAAAACAAATAAAAGAGACTAATTTTTAACATCTTACCTATTTGAGTTTCAAAGATTCCCTCAGAAAAGCTTAGATTTGTCAAACATTTGAAATAAATGCCATTGGCAAATCAAACTTCAATATGAGGTTTCTTACGCTCCTCTTTGCTAAGAGTGTAATTTTCCCAACTCAGTGAATTTCTTAAAAAGCCTATCAAACAGACGTCAACCTTTGAAGCTTCAATTCTCAGGTATGGAGGGTCTCCACATAACTGCCCACTGAAGGGGTCTCTGGGTTTTCAGCAGAAAAAAAATGCTTGGATTCCAATGAGTTCTGCTCTCTGTAGCATTCAAAAGAGAATTGCACCATTACTGAATCTACATAGACGGTTTTACTACTTATGATAGCCTGAAATTTAAACCCAGTTCTCATAAACAAATTTATGAAATAAGCTATTTTAATAATTTGTTTTGGATCATGCTCACTTCTAGTAGAACTGAGCATCTCTGATATTTTCAGTGGTTTGTTTTGCTCGCTCTCTCTCTGTCCAGTGGAATAAATAATCCTTTAATAAAAACAGAGGCAGACACATGACAAGCAGTTCATCATGTGAGGAAATTCACATTTAGACAAGCATGCTTTCAAATATAGAGTCCCTTTTTAAATCTTTCAGGGGAATTTTTAAGCTCTATTGAGACATAGTTGATATTTGCATATTTAAAATGCACTTAATGTATATATTTTGATGAGTTTGGACATATGCCTATACTCATGATACCACAGCCAAGTAGTACTAAACATACTCATCACCTCCACAAATTTTCTTGTATTTTTGTGTGGTTTCATTTTTGTTTGGTTTGGTTTGGTTTTGTTTGTGGTAAGAGCACTTAACATGAGATCTATCATCTTAAAACATTTTAAAGTATACAATTCTGTTTTGTTAACCGCAGATACTGTTCTGCAAAACACATCTCTAGAACTTATTTGTCTTGAATAATTGAAATGTCATACCTACTGAGCAACAAATCCCCATTTCCTCCTCCCCACAACCCCTGGCAACCACCATTCTATTCTCTGCTTCTGTGAATTTGACTATTTTAGATTCTTCATATGAATGGAATCATGCAGTGTTTGTCCTTCTGTGACTGGCTTATTTCACTTAACATAATATCTTTCAGGTCAGTTTATGTTGTCACAAATGGTAGGATTTCCTTTTCTTTTAAGGCTGAATAATAGTCCACGTGTGTGTGTGCGCGTGCATACATATATATACATGCACACACGCACATACAAATATATATATATAATATTTTCTTTATTCATTCAGATGTCCTTGACCTTTTGTGTAGCAAAGGTCAATAAATAAATTGCATCATAAGAACCACATCTAAATTAAAATCTTCTTGATATTTACTCATGCACTGATTCATTAAATCAATAAATATTTCTAAAAGGCCCACTTTGTGCCAGTCTCCTGTACTAGCTCCTGAGAATATATGTCGAGTAAGAGAAAGTTTTTGTCCTCTCAAAATTCCAAGTTGAAAGAGAGAAAAACAGGTAAGTCAGAGTATGATGAGCACATTGATCGTGATTCACCTGGAATGACAGAGAAGGGCACCTGAGTCACCCTGGAGCAGGAAGGGGAGGCCCTGGATCTGGCCTGTCAACAAGACAACTGGCTCCAGGAAGTCACTGTCTGTAGTCATTTATCTTTTTATCTTCCATAAGCACCTACTGTAGGCTCTGCACAATGGAGGTGAAAAGACAATGGAGCTAAGAAAGCAGACTAAAATAAAAAGAGAGTTCACAGAGAGAAGAATAATGTAAAAGAAACAGAACCCTTATGAACTTAAATTGTAGGAAATTGTAAAGAATAGAATTGCCATTGCAGAGAAGTGAAGTACATCAGCAATGTGGAGTACAGGCTGAAATTCAAAGGAAAAGAACACAGATATAAAAATCAGAGAGCTCATAGATACGGAAGAAAAATAATGGAGACCCTTTGTAGGAATAATTAGAATCCTTGAAGAAGAGAACCGAATCTATGGGAAAGAATGCTCAAAAACATGATAGACCAAAACGTTGAACTGAGAGGAGACCTTAGGTTCAATTTATACCAAACAAAATTGATGAAAAATAATTAATTGCTAAACCTGTGTTCCATAGGACGTTAGTTCAAGTGTTGAAGTTTCAGGTAGGCACTGAAATTCGGAGAGAAGTCAAAGCTGGAGTTATAAATCTGGGAGTTACTAGCATGTCAATATTTAAAATGTGGGACCAGATGAGATAATTAGGGAGGGGGGCAATAGGAGAAAAAGAGGATTTGAAATGACATGTTTGGGGATTCCAGCCTTTGGGGTTTAAGCAGAAGACGAGCAGACTGCTAAGGGATGAAGAAGGAGCCCTGCTGAGGAAGAGGAAGTGAGTCAATTAGCAGATAAATGTAGAAGTGTGGTAAGCCTCATTTGTAATCAAATAAATGCAAATTAAAGAGATCAAATTTGATTAATTGTATTGGCAAGAATTAGTAAATTTCATTACTAATGTCAGTTGGAAGTCAAACTTGCAAAATGTAATTATAAATTTTGAACATCTTTTGACCCCAAATCCCTTTTTTTTTTTTCTTTTTGAGACGGAGTCTCACTCTGTTGCCCAGGCTGGAGTGCAATGGTGCAATCTTGGCTCACTGCAAGCTCCGCCTCCCGGGTTCACGCCATTCTCCCGCCTCAGCCTCCCAAGTAGCTGGGACTACAGGTGCCGGCCACCACGCCCGGCTAATTTTTTTTATTTTTAGTAGAGACAGGGTTTCACCGTGTTCGCCAGGATGTTCTCAATTTCCTGACCTCGTGATCCACCCACCTCCGCCTCCCAAAGTGCTGGATTACAGGCGTAAGCCACCATGCCTGGCCCCCAAAATCCCATTTTTAAGAATTTATTCTAAGAAACTGACCAGACAAGAGCACAAGAATGCAAACTCATCACAGTATTGTTTATAATCAGTAAATTACTAAATTTCTACAAAGAAATGAAGGATAAGTTAATTATGGTACATGAACATGGTGAGATTTTATGTAGTCATTAAAGTAAAAAGGATATCCATGTACTTAACTACATATGTATATATGTATGTACCAACATCATTTACATGATATTCACAATATAGTATAACAAAAATATTGTTCATAGAATATCATTAAACAAAATTGATTCACAAAGTTTTGCACATTATCTATGTGAAATTTTAGTCAATATGCAAATATCTATGCACACAAATAGTCCAGAATGATAGACTCTAAATGTTAATGAGGAGTAGGAGTTTTGACAACTTTGATTATAATGTTTATATTATCCATAAGCATTTTTATAATAACCATCTATTGCCTTTTTAGCCAGAGGAGCCAATCAAGGTATTTAAACTTTGAAAAAAGAGATAAAAATATTTCCTGTCCTTATTTCCCAGCTTTCCCTTTTGTCTGCTCTGCTAATCCCTTTAACTGCACCACTCCCAGTGTAGGCTCTGAGACTCCACCAAAAATTGATTCTGGGCAGCCAGACAAAATCTGTCTTGCTCTAGATTTTATATTGTATCACTTTTATAGAAGCAAATAGATTTCTCCTTCCATTCAAGTGAACATGAAATTGTCTCTTTTTAAATTTTTAGAATCTATTTTAACTGACAAAGAAAAATTATACATATTTATGGTATACTACATGATGCTTTGATATATGTATATATTCTGGAATAGCTATATCAGGCTACCTAACAAATCTATTACTTCACATATGTATCAATTTTTTGGGGGGTGAGGACATTTAAAATGTGCTTTTATAGCAATTTTCAAATATACAATACAATGCAACCAACTATAGTCACCATGTTGTACAATAGATCTCCTGAACTTATTTCTCCTAATGAAAACTTTGTATCCTTTGACCAATCTCTTCACATACTCCACCTCCCTTAGGCCTTGGTAGCCGCCATTCTGCTCTCTGGTACTATGAATGAGTCTGACCATTTTAGATCCCCCATAGGAGTGAGCTCATGAAGTATTTGTCTTTCTGTGCCTGGCTTATTTCATTTAGCATAATGTCTTCTAGGTTCGTCCATGTTGTCACAAAGGGCAAAAACCATATGGTCATACCAATAGATACAGAAAAAGCATTTGACAAATTTTAACATCTTTTTATAATAAAAACTCAACAAATTAGATATAGAAGGCATGACCTCAACACAAAAAAGGCCATGTATGGCAAGCTCACAGCCCTCACACTCCATGGTGAAAAATGAAAAGCTTCTCCTCTAACATCAAGAACAAGATAAGAATGCCCACTCTCACCATATGTGTTCAACGTAGAACTGAAAATCCAGAGAAATCAGGTAAGAAAAAGAAATATATAAAAGATATCCAAATCAGAAATGAAGAAGTTAAATTGTCACAGTTTACAGATATCATGGTATTAAATATAGAAAACTAGCAATTAAAACTTTGAAATTATCTTTTTTATTTTATTTTTGAGATAGAGTCTTGCTCTGTCACCCAGGCGGGAGTGCAATGGTGCAATCTTGGCTCACTGCAACCACCTTTCAGATTCAAAGGATTCTCTTGCCTCAACCTCTCAAGTAGCTGGGATTACAGGCACACACCACTATGCCTGGCTAATTTTTGTATTTTCAGTAGAGATAGGGTTTTGCCATGTTGGTCAGGCTGGTCTCAAACTCCTGACCTCAAGTGATCCACCTGCCTTGGCCTCCCTAAGTGTTGGGATTACAGGCATGAGCCACCGGACCCAGCCGAAATTATCTCTTGAACATATCAATGTATTGTGATTGTTTGCTTCAGTTATACATATGGCTTGTCTTCAAATTATAAACATTACAAAGATCTAATACAGTTGAGAGTTTGTCATGAAGCTCCAGAATTATGAAAAAGAAATAATACATGGTTGGGAACCAGAGAGCTATGAGTTCTAAAAACTACATGTATTCTATTCTCCAATTACTTTTGTCAACTTACTTTTGTTAAGTGACTTTGTTTTGTTAAGGAACTTTGTATTCTACAATTTCCAAATGGAAATGCTGGCCTAGACCACTGTTTCCAAAAGTATATATATGCAGTATACAGTTATTTTATAATGTGTCAACAAAAAATACTTGTAGCTGTCTAATTTTCATTAGGCATATCTGACTGTCCTTACCTTATTCTCATTTTTCTTTTTATCCAGCATTTATTGTTACTGAAACACCAGGGGTTTGTTCTAGGTCCTGCTGCTTGCAGCACAGAAAGCCAATCACTGAGACAACAAGTATTGCCAAAGAAGAAGTTTTACTCTGGTACTGCAGCCAAGGAGATGGGAATTCAGTCTCAAATCCATCTCCCTGATTGACTAAAACTAGGGGTTTAAATAGCAGGGAAGAAATGCAACAATGTATAAGAAACCAGGAACTAGGAGAGAGACAAGGAAGCAATTATGAGGAATGAGGCCTCTGGCATGTCATTGTCTGGGTGTGGTAACATGGTAAGTTTCAGTTCTTTGATTTTTTTTTTCTTTTTTGAGAGGCCTGAAGGCCATTTCCTGAGGAGGGAACTCAGATAAAACAAATGTAAGTTTCAACCTTTAAGACCAAAAGGGTCCATTTCTGTGTTTATCTAAAAAAAACTACCTATGGTACTACTGGGCTGATTTCAGCTAATTTTCATTAGGCACATCTGACTGGCTTTACTCTACTTTCATTTTTTCTTTTATGTAGAATTCCTTACCATCTGAAATACTATAGCATATGTTTATTTATTGTGTTTCTAATGTATTTTCTTTCTCTCTCTGCTAAAATGTAAGCCCAATGAGGGCAGTAGGTTTTCTCTGTTTAACTCACTCATATCCCAAGCACCTAGAATCATGCCTGGGACATAGTACTAACTTAATTAACATTTGTTGAATAAGTATTTGGACACTGATCACATGTATCAAAGTTAATGTAAACAGACAACCTTAGTTATTACAGTATAAGAAAATATAATGACTTTAGCTTCTATAGTATAAGAAAAAAAGTCTACATTCTATCTATGGCACATTTTACAGACAAATCTAGATTAAACACAATGCTCAGGAAACTGTATAATTGGGTTTATTGAATTCCTGGCAACTGTTAAAATATTCCTTTCAAACTTCTGTTTTGAAAATACTTCTAATACCTTATGATTAATGGGTAAGAAAAATATGACTTTTTTCAATTATTCATGATTTTGCAGAGTCTCAGAGCACTCATTCTAAACATTACTTCTCATTATGCAACAATAAACCATAGAAATAAAAAATCTGGAAGGCTGAGCTGAAAGGGTACTCATCACAATTAAATCTCTAACGTGAGCTAATTTTAAGATTATTTTTATCTTTCTCCTAAAAATGTGAGTCAATAAAAATTCTGCTAAACTAGTATTTGGAGTTTAAATATGTCTGGCTATTTCTAAATGACTTAATATGAAAAGCATTAACTTAAAACAAGCATACATTTGAATCTTCAGAAAATCATGTTAGATAAACTTGTGCTTTAGGAAGTATTTATAATATCAGCTTGCTGCTATGCAAAGGCATAGCTGCCCTAAGGCTAAACACATAGAAAATTTCACCTGAAATAGATAGCACCACAAGGCATTCCTTATCTCAGGTTTGATATGCCTGTCTTTTTTAAATAAAGGAACTTTAAATTCCTAGGCAGTCTTATCATAAGCAGCAGCTGGCTAAATGTAGAATGATTATATAACTTGGCATTCAAACAAGGACACTTGAGAATGAAATGAAATACCTTTAACCATCACCCAGAAACAGAGCCTTCTGTCACCCACCCCAGTTGAATAGGCAAGGCTGGCCAACGTTGTCCTCACACCTCGTTGAGCCGGTTTCTCTCAAGTAATCTGAAGATAAAACCACAGGCCCATGTATATTAAGGGCCAATTGTTTCACCACAAAAAATTCATTAAGTGTAAATTAATATGCTAAAAGACTTGGTTAGTCAAACAAGCTTTATCCTTTTGTAATCAAAGTAGAAAAAAAATTCAATGAAGAAATAAACTGCTTGCCATTTTTTTGAGGAATCGTTTGTAGTATAAGAAGAGCTGATTAGCAAAATCTGATTTACTGTTGCAGGCCTTTAATCTCAATTAGGGTTGAAATGTATTCCCAACAGATAATAATGTTAGATCCAAGCAAATAGTCACTTGTTTTATTGTAATAAAAGTGATCTACCAAAAAAACCCACAATCTTACCTTTCCTCCCTATCACTTTAATTCCCTACATATTTATGTTTGCAAAATCCATATAAATAAAACCATGAATTGTTTTTTGGAGTTTTCAAATGAAGAAAATTTTACAAAATAACAAGAGCCGGTAATTTTTATCACACTGAAATGCTTTTTAAAGCTCTTCAAAATGGATAGTACATTGAGTTCAACTCCTTTCTAAGATTAGAATATTGTAATAAGTAAAATTAAGTCATCCCTAATGATTATAGCATACATTGGCCACATTATGTAGAATGTTATCCTCTAGGCCTTATATTTTTGACTTAACAAATATGCCCATATTTTGTGCACCCAGATTCTCTCTTTTGCCACATGGAAGGATGACTTATCATTGGCTAGATTGCACTTTAATGAATTCAAGACATCATTTCTCTGTTTTAGTAATATTGCTGCGCTATTATCCACCATCTTCATTTCATAGCACTGAGGAATAGCATTCTATTACCACTATACTGTTGGCCATATAAGTACATCTAGAGCAAACAGACACTTCAGTCATTCTGGGAGGCTCTCTGTGCTTTTAATTTATTTTCTTTTTTTAATGGCTCAATGGGAAAAAAAGATTTTGGGGTTATAATATTCTGGAAAATGCTTAAGTTTAAATATGGAGATTGTTAAATATTGATCTCCCATTACCTGTTGCTATTCTGAAAGCATTTGAAAATCAAGAAGGTATAACATTTTCACACAGAGAACAGTTCAGAGGAGAGGATAACAGTCCAAAGGAAAAATAAATGACAAGAGGGGAAGGAAAATGGTAACATAGGTATTTGTTCCATTGCACCATTTTGTAAAGTAAAACAAATCTCCTGAATGGACAAATGAAATACCTTTCCATTCAGACACCTTTTTGCTTTGGTATTATCCTCTATTTTCCTACTCAACTTACAAATTCAAAAGCTGCAATTGTCTTTTTTCAAGGAAACAGAGAAAACATTACTGAGTTGTTAATATTCTTCCTTCTACCAAAGAATAAATTGTAAGTGCCATAAAGAGAGCATGTCCAACTTCTACAGTTGCCAAATGAAAACCCTTCATGAGTTTCCACTATGGGGAATATCATGAGAGCAGCATTAGTTGCCAATATTTTTTGCCATTTTCCTCAGCTCTTTAAAAGGCCTCTGTTGCTTCTTAAAAGATAAATATTAAATGTAGTATATATCTGATAAGGGATTAATATCAAAGTATTTTTTAAAACTCTGACAACTCAACAACAAAAGACAAACAACCCAATTCAAAAATAAGTGAAGGACTTGAATAGACATTTCGCCAAAGAAGACATACAGAGGGCCAAGAAGAATATGAAAAGATGCTCAACATCACTGATCATCAGGGAAATGCAAATCAAAACCACGATAAGATACACCTGATTTTGAATGGCAAAACAGAGAGGGTGAGAGATTGAGTTAGTTGCAGAAAGACATGGCTAGTCATCAGCGAAGCAGGGACTTGAACTCTGACTGACTCCACCACACACGATTTTAATCACTACACTAAGCAGTAGAGAAGAATGAAAAAAATGTCTTTTGAGTCAGACACATTAGGTTTGAACGTCAATTGTGCCATTTACTAGCTAAGTGACTGAGATAAGTGTTAACTTCTCTGATTCTTAGCTTCTCCAACTCCATAAACAGGCACCTCACTGACCTCCTGCGGCAGAACGTAACAAAAGAGCAACACGTAGCAAAGCACCTGCCATATGAGGAGGTCTGCAAATGCTACAATAGAAATAATTTATTCACCCTCCAAAGATCCTTATGAATATAGGGCGGGGTTTCTTGTCAAGTTAATGGTGCGGAGGTACCAGGTGTCAGCTGACTCAGGAGGTACAGTAACCTAAGGCAGGAGTAACTTCATTGCTTTGGCTATTGGTTCTTCTGATCAGCAACCCAGGGTTTTATCTGTGCTGCCTGTATTTCTCATCAGGCACAGTAAATGACATTACCTGAAAGTTCAACAGAAGTTTAAAAAAAAAAATGCTATTCAGTCCACTTGGAAGAATCTTACAATATGCAAATTTAAATTCAAAAGTTTGCCTCTACCCTTTTGATTTATAGATATGGATGCTGTACTATGATTGCTCAACCATAGACTGGCTTGACACCTACAGATCTCTGTATCATGAAAAGTTACAGTCACACCCTCAGCTAACATTCACTGACACCCCATAACAAAACTCCACGGAGAGATTCAGTCATTCGTCAATGTCAGAAACAAAATTCCATGTGGGTGCCTGCTTTCAAAACATTGAATTCCCATCTGGCAAGATCCTAATGAACAAAGGAAAGATCTATGTTTAATGAAGCAATACCCTTTCGGTAGATATTTCTTGACAGCTGTACCTTGGAGCCATTGCATTTCTGGCAGCCTTGCTACACCTTCAAAAAGACAAAAATCCTAAAACAATCATATATTCAAATGCTGAAGTGCACAACACATAAATTCCCCTTTCCCTCTTGCTGATTCCATGGAATGAGACTAACTTTCAGTCAAGCTAGTTGAAGTGAGGTGCAGTTAACTAATTCACTTCATGCTATGTGTTTTTGTAAACTACTGCACTCTTGCTGTGAAACAAGGCTGAATCAATGAAAGCCAAATGTACCTTTAGTGAGGAAAAGGCCCTGTGAGTGATAAAAGACATTTTAGAATCCATAAGGATAATAGTGTAAGAGCTCCAAACGTGTGCCATGATTTTCTCCATATTACTTTTTGTGTATCTAACTCATATTTCAGAAAGTAAATAATAATATGGAAAAGTAAAAGAACAAGAAGAAAACATTGGCAGCACTGGACCTACACCAGGCATCCCCAAAGGCAGGTGGAAAACGATTGCACCCCTAGCTCCTGTAATTGTCAGGAAGAGCAGAGAAGGCTCCCTCGGGCCCTTCATAGCAAGCAAGGGGAAGAGATGCAAGATTTTTCAAAAGGCAAGATTCTAATCACTACCCTAAGATTTGTAAATCCAAGAACTCTTTTTTTGTTGTTGTTTTCTACTCTATCAGTTAGGAATGATTTGGGCTGCAAATAACAGAAAATCCTAATCAGACCCAAACAGATGAACTATTTGCACCATACAAGACCAGAGGAGGTTGTCTAGGTGGCTGTAGTTGCTCAGCAGTGTCAACAGTGACAACGTTTGTGCTTTATTATCCTTAGTATGTGGCCTTCACACTCATCATGACAAAATGACTTTTGTCTTTACCAGTGGGAATGAGAAAGAAGGGGCTTACCAATTTTATCTGTCTCTTCCTTTTAAAAAGATGCCCTGGATTCCTGCTCTTGCAGACATCTTATAATACTATAGTTTCCCAGAAAACAGAGCTTGAGATAAAGACATAGCTGCAGGGAGTTTACATAGGAATGTGATCTCAGGGAGCAGGTGTGAGGAATGAAGAAAGCTGGAAAGGGGGAAAAACCATTCTAAGGACACATTATCCAGTTGGCCAGCACCATAGATGTCTTGCAAAAGAACTGCAGAGTCTTCCAAATGCTTCTCAGAACTTAGACCTGGCAGATAAAAGGGGACACATCTGTCTGTTGCTGCCATCCCATCAGTCACAGGTGCTCCACGAATGCTAACATCCCACATCTCTAGTGTGGGCTTCCCATGTTGCAGGATCTGAGAAGCCCCACAGCAGAAAATGAAAGCCATGACCTGGGCTGGAAGCACAAGCTACAAGGTTGTCCCTGCATAATCAGTGCTTGTGTGTGACCAGAGACCACAGGGCAGCTGGAATCAGAGGAGGGGCTCAGGGAAAAGGAAATAGTGCCCATGAGTGGGGCCAGGATAGGCCTCATTGGCCCAACCTTTCTGGCCTCTGCAGCAGCAGGAGAGGGAGAGAAGATGAGTATTTGTGGTCAGGCAGTGTCACCCTGCAGGATTCTGTTGGCAAAAGGGAACGAGAATGGATGCTGGGCAAGCCACCACCAGAGTCAGCTGCCACTCCCTGGCTAATTATAAGGGGGGTTTCCAAAACCTTATTGTCACCTAAAAGCAAAGTGAGAGTCATGCTGAATATGTTTTCTTTTAAACTGTTGTCCTTTGAGCAAATGAGCTAGATTTTTTTTTTTAATTACTACAACTTGTGCTAAATTCTTCTCTAATCAAGAGAAAGCAGAGAGCAGTCACCACTTGTCTTAAATGTCTTGCTTTTGACACAGCTGCCTGAGGAGGCAGGCCTGGTTGGAAGGAATAGGAGCATGGGCAAGTACACAGGAAGGAAAGCAAGGCCTGGGATTGATTGTCCCAAGCAGACCCCAACACCACAGCCACAGGCAGCCTCAGGGGTCTGGAAGGAGGGAGACCACCTTCCATGTGGGGGCCAGGGACTGAGGGGGAGGAGCTGGGAGATTGTGGGGGAATTCCATCTTTAGCACTGGACCCAGCAGGGAAGCTCTCCACCCTTTAGTGAGTGGCAAGGAATGGGGAGCGCCAATGTCTTTGGCTGTACTGGAGGTTAGGTGAAAAAAAGTAGAAGTTATCTGTAATTCAATCATGCATATACTTTCCAGCATTCATCTTTTTGGTTTTCTTCTCAAAAAAGATAGCAGGCTTCCAAAGTGAACCAAGAAATACCAACCGTGGCTCGAACTTCATAGTTTGCCTCTAACTGCATTTTCATACATTGCCCTAAAGGGGCACACTTCTCATTGCTTACTAGTCACATTTGCTTCAGTTATAGTTTTCATAGAATTCTTTTGAAAAGTATGCTGTGACATCTCATTCCCTGTGCTATAAAACTCAAAGATGGACACATCTGCTTGAAGTATCTTGTTTCACAGTCTCCACTGTGACAGCTCATATGCCCCCTGAGGACTGCCTCTTGGCCCCTCTGTGGTGTATTAGGGTACACTCATGCTGATCATCTGCATGAGCTCCTCCACTGATTTTACACTTTAAAAGGTGGATATTTTCAATTCACCAGGATCCTGAACTAGTCATTTGTGTTAAAAATCAGACTTCCTCCCTCGCCCAGCCAGCCGCCCCGTCCGGGAGGGAGGCGGGGGGCAGCCCCCACCCGGCCAGCCACCCCATCTGGGAGGGAGGCGGGGGGCAGCCCCCGATCGGCCAGCCGCCCCGTCCGGGAGGGAGGCGGGGGGCACCTCCGCCCGGCCGCCACCCCGTCTGGGAGGTGAGGGGCGCCTCTGCCCGGCCGCCCCTTCTAGGAAGTGAGGAGCCCCTCTGCCCTGCCGCCACCCGGTCTGGAAGGTGTACCCAACAGCTCATTGAGAATGATGGCTGTTTTGTCGAATAGAAAAGGGGTAAATGTGGGGAAAAGATAGAGAAATCAGATTGTTGCTGTGTCTGTGTAGAAAGAAGTAGACATAGGAGACTCCATTTTGTTCTGTACTAAGAAAAATTCTTCTGCCTTGGGATGCTGTTGATCTATGACCTTACCCCCAACCTGGTGCTCTCTAAAACATGTGCTGTGTCCACTCAGGGTTAAATGGATTAAGGGCGGTGCAAGATGTGCTTTGTTAAACAGATGCTTGAAGGCAGCATGCTCTTTAAGAGTCATCACCACTCCCTAATCTCAAGTACCCAGGGACACAAACACTGCGGAAGGCCGCAGGGTCCCCTGCCTAGGAAAACCAGAGACCTTTGTTCACTTGTTTATCTGCTGACTTTCCCTCCACTATTGTCCTATGACCCTGCCAAATCCCCCTCTGCGAGAAACACCCAAGAATGATCAATTTAAAAAAAAAAAAAAAACTATTTCTACCTTCTAATGAGAATTTTAAAAACTATAAACATGATTTTTTTAAAAAAATATTGAGTTTCCAAAAAGAAAGGAACGAGGATTAATCCAGAAACTCCACATCTTCCTGGATTGGAGGGTACCCTATCATTCAAAAATTCTTCCAGAGTATCATATGTTTCAGATGGATTCAAGCAGAATATTTTTTCAAAGATCAGTAAGCGGTGCGCTTAGAAGAGAAACAGCCTCTCTACATCTAAGACTGTGAGTATTAGAAGCCACATGTAGAAAGCACCTGCCTAACATAGAGCCAAACCAAATACAAGCAGAGCCAAAGGAACTGAGTCATGATGTGATCATTTGAACTTCTGGATTCAGCTAGGCCTGAAGCAGGGCCGGGACTAGGGTGAAGTAAGTGAGGCATTAATTTGAGGGGCAAATTTTAAAGGGATGCAAAGAAACCTCAGTAATAAAAGAAAATACAGTATTTTCTTTTTTATAATAAAAATATTTTAATTCTTTATTTCAATAAAATATATTATTCCCTCCTAAAAAAAAAAAAATCAGACTTCCTAAGTTTGGGGGAAGTTTTATACAGAAGCAAATTGTTCTTAAAAAACAACTTATGTGACATATTATCCTTTATGTCTGAATTGTTTTTTTAAAGCTATGTTTAATACTCAGTAATTTTTTATTACACTTTGAATATGTTTTTGGAAGGGTTTTCATTCATGTTTATTTTCCCAACTTCCTACTTTACTGTCAGCTGTTATTTGTAAATAGATACTATTTATAAATCAGACTTATTGGCATAATTGTGGTGTTATTTATATGAATCACATGTGAATAAGTATGTTCTTTTTTGAGAATTTATACATAGTATTTTTATTTTTATTAACCAAAATTTTAAAAAGAAATGTGCTATCCTGATATTCTGTAAATATTTTGGGTATTTTCTGAGCAGCATATAGATGAAGTCTCACTTGAATAATCCCTAAATTCAAGTTTATCAGATTAATTTAATAAACTCTTGAAAATTAGATATATTTCTCACTTCCTAGCTGGATATTTTGGTGAAGCATCTAGGACACCAACACCATCACCTTTACAGCAGAATAAAGAGCATATTCACACAGTCGGCTAGTGGTCACGGCGCTTTTCCCTCTTGCTGCCAGCTCCCCACTGGCCCTGTGCAGGCTCCTGCCTAGGCCGGTGAAGGCAAGATAAGAGCAAGTGTTCAGTACTTCCAGGCACAACAGAGGGAACTCCACAGGCTGACACAGACGCTCGATCGCATGCAAAGAAAATCTCATTTTCCTCCCAAAGCTGTCCCACCACGGCCCCAGGATATCCGTGGCTCTTCCAGATAGTGACAGGGACGGAGCTGAAGCACTGTCTCAGAGGCTGCAGAGCCCGTGAACAAGTCTCAGAGCCTCCTGGCTGAACCCCAAGACTCAGAGCTTTGGCTCCAGGTTGAGCTTCAACCTGCAGACAACCTTCAAAGGGCACACCAGCACTCCAGAATCAAGCATGGATGAAAGTGAGGCTGGCACTGAAAACGAGCAGAGACCACGAAAACTAAAACACTCTTCACACTCAAGAACTCACTTCTTTTGTTTTTAATTAGGCAAAGAACTCTATTCATCTTTGTTTCAAACTTTATTCCCAGGTTTTTTCAGCTTAATTAGCTGCAAAGAATGAATTGTGTATAAACAAAAACTAAAAACAGCTGCAGTATCCAAGGGACTTGGGCTTAAAAATATTATAGATTTAGATTTTATGAGATCCATAAACAATTTTGAAAAGCAGTCATAATATAAAATAGCAGCTCCCAGTAACTTCTTCAACTTCTACTTTCTTTAGAAGTTGACTCAATTCTATACCTAATGATAAATGACGAGTTAATGGGTGCAGCACACCAACATGGCACATGTATACATATGTAACAAACCTGCACGTTGTGCACATGTACCCTAAAACTTAAAGTATAATAATAATAAAATTAAAAAAAAAAAGAAGTTGACTCAATTCACTTTGCCTCATTCTTGGAAGCCTCATCAAAATTCTCCACAAGATCGGGAACTTCACTATCATCATCATCATCCTCTCCAGCAGCAAGTGCTGCTTTTCCATCTACAGATAGTTTGGTGGAGCTCCAGCCAGCCTCCTTAAACTAGTCAGTCTGCACCAAGCTGGTTTACAATGGTAAACCAGCTGGTAGCATTTCTTTCAGCAGCTTTGTCCCAGCATGGCCTGTCATGGTGAAAGTGTTCCCAGAGATACCTGACCTTTAGGGTTGCTAAAGTGGATTGCTGTTCATTGGTTTGTAAACATATTCACCTCTTCAGTACCAGAGATAGTGTTTACCCCTAACTTCTTTAAGGAGAGCTGTAGTTTTTTCTAATCTGCTGCTGCTGTTCTACGGACCACCTTCTTCCTTCCGCAAGCAGTTGCTTTCTCACCAATGCACACTGGTGCCTGCAGTCGGCTGAGCTTTCCCTGGTTCATGATTGTTGCTTTCAAATTGTTGGAGAGGAAAAGGGGTAGCAAGAGGGACTAGTGAAATGGGAGAGTTCCCTGATCCACCTTGCAGGACATGCGACAGGGATGTGGCTCATCTATTTGGCCACTATGCGCACTCCAACCCCTATGGGAGGGGGAGCACACAGACGAGCAGGTGCAGGAGCCAGGGCCAGAGCTCCTGGGCTCTGACCCCACAGCGGCATCCAGGGGTGGTAGCCTGAGACTCCTGAAGCCCAAGTGGGCACATGTCACAGTGCACTCTTCTAGCTTTGCAGTTCGCAGATGGCTTACATGTTAACCAACTCAGTGCCCTCTTGGTACCTGGGTCCTTGTTCAGCATCCAGGAAGAATCAGGTCACACACAGACTCAGGGATGAATGCAGGGTTTTTATTGAGTGGTGAGGTGGCTCTCAGAGGGATGGATAGGGAGCTGGAAAGGGGATGGAGTGGGAAGACGATCTTCCCCTGGGGTTTGGCTGCCCAGTGGCCAATCTTGTCTCCAACTGTCCCCAGCCAAACTCCTCTCAGCATTCAGACACTCCTTCTCTTCTTTATGTTGCACTATTCTGCCATTCTTCTGCTCTTCTGTTTGTCCCCTCATGGAGCCTGGGGTTTGGGGTTTATATGAGTACAGGATGGGGACATGGCAGACCAAAAGGCAGTATTTTTTTTTCTATTTTAGGGAGCAAAAATAGGAGTGCCTGTTCTCATTTAGGGCCATGGGTTTCCAAGCTTGGGGGTGGGGCCTTTGCCAGGGAACTTCTTTTTTCTATCCAGTATTTCCCTGTCTCCAGTCTGTATCACTAGGGTTGGCACTCAAGGGGTCTCAGGTAGAACAGCTGAGATTAGGTGCTGTATGTGGAGATGCAAAATGGCCTCAAGAATTCATTTCTATAGCATATACCTGCCCCACACACAATAAAAAAAGAAAAGAAAAGAAAAAGACACAAGATAGAGCTATATTAGCCAAAGTCTACAAGCAGAACATCTGGGGGAAAAATCTATAAAGGACAATTAGTCTCCCTTCTGGATAGTATTCAGAAAAAAAAAATCTTTACTTTTCTAATTAGTGTGAAGTTAACTTAGAGAAAACAGGAATGTGGTAAAGGAAACACAAATTGAGAGTCAAATGGACCTGGATTCAAATCCAGACTCGAATTTACTATTCCTAATTCATCTATGCCTTGCAGCTACAGATGAGAAAAGGAAAAATCAAAAGTGAAACCAGACTCAGATGCTGGCTTCCCAGAACTCGTGCCGTATCAGGTAAAAGAGACACTAGACAGGCAGTCCTGCACGGGCGATATCAGCCTCAAGCAAGCCCTGAGCCAACCCAACTACCCTAGTCCAGAATGTTAGGAAAGGCTCTGCTGTGGCCCAAATGGAGAGAAGTTCATCAAGGAGAGAAACACATTGTGTGCATTTCCTCAGTCACAGAGACCTGGGAGGGCTCCACTGTGACAGCAGTTCAGGGTCCCTATGTGGCGGGAGCAATTCAGCAGTGAGCCACCTGCCGAAGGTGGGCCCTGGGCTGCGGGAGCACCAGCAGGTCGACAAAGTTCCTCTGAGCGAGGTGGGGCTGTTTCCTAAGGGCAGTCGACAGCCACTGAAAACATTAGGCAGGGAGGGGGCGCGGTCAGGCTTGCCTTTATAGAAAGTTTACTTTTGTTGACAATGAGAGGACTGCATTGCGGACAGTAAAACTGGTAGCAGGGAGTCTGGTGGGAGCCACTTGGAATAATCCAGGAGAGAGATGATCTGCACCTGAACAAGACGACTGTAAGGCAGGGGTGGAGAAGAGGAAATAAGATGGAGGAGTTTGAGGGTTGAATTGAATAGGAGTGGAAGGTGCAGAAAAGGAAAGAGGGAGGCATGGAGCGGAACAGGCCTCTCTTGGCTATCGCCGGACCAGGGGTGGGGGTGGGGTGCTACTCACAGAGCAGTGACCCATCTAAGACAGGAGCAGGTTGGGAGGACGGGTGGAGACTGTTGGCCAGAGCTCAGGAGAGAGTTTGGGGCTACAATGGCTATTTGGGGAATCTCTGCAAGGTTGTTAATTGATGGCATCCAAGTAGAAGAGGCCACAAAGGGAGCGTATGTAGAGAAAGGATCCTAGAGGACAGGCCTATAAGGAACAGCTGCTTTTAAGAGCAGGCAGAGTAAGAGATGTCATCAGAGGAGATTGGGAAGCACACCCGGGGCTGCTGGAGAACAGAGACCCCATCTGTTTGGTTCTCCATTGCAGTCTCAGGTCTCCAAACAAGGCCTGAGACAACAGACATATCTGTTATGTAAATTAGCTGCTGATGACCACATGACATCGCAGAAAAAAAAAGGAAAAATCAGATCTCAGGAAGAAGAGCATTCTCAAGAGAACCTGAAGTTGTGTTTACCTGTGGAGGGTGTTTCTGCCCTTCGAGAGTAGGCCACTGCGTGCCACCATACATAGTTCTCCTTAGTCCATAAAATGCCATGGACACTACTAGCAAAGTCTACCATAGGCAGAGATGAGTAACAGGCTTTGTGTGGGTCGCCCCAGCCCTGTAGAAGCCATCTTAGCCCATGTGAGACCTGAAATAGTCTGAAAGCTCTCAGCTCCCTGTCCATGCTTTTTATCGTCTAAGGATCCCCTGCCCTGTCCTTGTGAGTGCCATGAACTCTATTGCCTTTCTCAGCAATCACTAAAATTCACGTGTGTTTCAGTTCACCCCAGCCCAGCTCTTCCTCCAGGAACTACCCCCTAATTGCTCCCCTCATCCAGGAGCCAGACTCCTCTAACTCACAGACTCCACCTATTGTCCTTGGACACTTAATTTTTTTTTCTTTTCTTTTTCTTTTTTGGAGATGGGGTCTCACTCTGTCACCCAGGCTGGAGTGCAGTGGCACCATTATGGCTCTCTGCAGGTTCGAACTCCGGGTGTTTATTACTAATTTCTGGGTATTTGCTGTCTTTTCTATTCAACCATGTAATAAGGTGCTGAGAACAAGATCATTTTATGGGTTTTCTGCACCCACAATGTCTAGAAAGTATCAGATCTTCCATAAATATTTGTTGACAATCAATAGCCCCATCCTCATTCCCATGGCACCATGTCCGTCGATCACAGAAATAATACAACATTTGCCACAGTGGGTGGGCATGTCGGTGTTTTTGTCTTTCCCATTGGCAAGAAATAAGAGCATTAGAAATAAAAGATGTGTTTTTATTAGTAGTAGTACTTGAAGAAATCTGAGTAAACTGATTGAAAATTCTATTTATTTTTGTAAACGTGTTTCTAACACCACTTATTTTATTTTCTTTGATCATTTTAGCTACAAAATAAAAGTAGCACTTCCAGAATAGAAGGCTTCTATGATAAGAACACATTCAGGGTCAGAGTGTTCTCTTTCCTTCCCGGGAGCGTTGTCCTGGCCTCCACCATGGAAGGAGAAGAACATCTCCCACCTCAGGCCCTTGAAGCTCCTCGTTGCATTAGCTGCCTGGTTGTGAAATCTGTGTTACCAAGCACTCCCAGGCATGAATTATAAGTCCTGGGACAGTGGGAACAACTAAAGAACATTTTGATTGGGGATAGAACCCAGTTCTCTTTAGTAAGACACCTTAAGGTGTTTTGCGTTCTGCAAGGACAGATAGTAAATGGTCAACAGGCAAGTATTCACACACAGGTAAGACACAGGTCATCTTACATGTGTAAGCTGATTTTATGGGCCCTAATTTTTCAAAAACTTTGCTTCATTAGGCTTAAGTGTGACCACTGACCATTTCAACAACATTGGCCTCTATGTTTTGGTTCAGTCGTTAATTATTGATGTAGCCTTGATAAAATCACTTCAGTCTCTGAACTTCAGCTTTAACTGTAAAATAAAAAGGATTTGTCCAATGTCATCTTGAATCTCTTGAAATTCTGTCCTTGATTCTGAGACTTAAACATTACAGAAAGAAATGCAGCGTTTTTTGATGCCCTGTGTGTATATCTCTATTGCAGCTCTAACTGCAATCTATTCAAATCAGTTCTTGAATAGTTCATTTCTCCCACTAAAACAAGCTCCATGGGAGCAGGAATGAGTCCCATTACCTCTGGCGCCCCAGGTAGAGCGAAGAGCTCTCAGCACCCATGGGCCCAAAGTCCCTTAACTAGTGGATGAACACGCCGGCTCTATGCCAGCTCTCATACTTCTGGATCCTCTAGCCTGCTTACATCCCACTTCACCTTTGGCTTGGTAAACCCAAGAGAAATGGAATTCATTGAAAGGCCCATGATGGCTGCCCTTACCTCCCTGTCTTACGTCTCTTTGTGCCCACAGAAACCGCCTGGGACCAGAAAAACATAGACGTGACTATGCAAACACACAGAAGATGAGGAAGACAGGTCTTCATACTTGCCTATAAGGCCTTTTTATTCATCACTATTCTTTGCCGTTCACCTGAACTATTCTTTAACTCACATTCTAGGTTAGAAGATAGCAGATTCCTAGAATGTTCAACGTTACATGATACTTAAAGCAGCACAAGGCTTCACCTAAAATAAATCTTGCAGTGACTTACAAAGCTAATGAATCTGGTGTGACTCCTTTCAATATTTTCATTACATTGAGCCACTAAAAGCTTATTTAAAAAAATCTAGGATTTGAAAAAAATAACCTACTATACTGAAAAGTTTAATTTCATTTATCACCATTTTGGAATAATCTACCTGAATAAAGTTTCAAAGTACTACTAGATTCTTAGACCCAGGCAATACTTTACAGTTTTAGTAAGGACTTTCAACCCTTTTCCTCCAGTTCAAGAAAGGCTCTATCATCTTCATAAATGACAGAACAATCATGGTCCTTGGCGGGCCTCCCTCCATGGCCAAGAGTGTGAAGCATATCTTGAATGAAAGTCTAACTACTCCATTTGTACTTATAAGATGACACCAATATAATACAAATTGGAAGAAATGTTTTGCCTCAAGAAATAAATTGTTCCTGAGATGCTACAAAACAAGTATTTATAATAAGTGCAGACTAGGAACAAGATAGTTTGCATGGGAATTTCAAACACTGACCCTAAATGCCTTATGTTGATTGTACTAAAGAGCATGGCATTTTGTTTTGTAATTTTGCTTTTAATCTATAGTATCATTTTACAATTACATACACTCAAATCAAAGTAAAAGCACATAAAAATGATTCCGTAGTACTACTACACAGTGGGGGTCCATAAACATCTGTGCCATAACCAACATAACAAAAACGAATGAAGTTAAACAATAATGCAAAATACTATAAAAACATTTCTCTTCATGGCAATGCTGGTGTTTACAATTGTCTACTGTTGCAGGATCACTTAGAAGAATACAAAACCCAAAAATTTACTTTGAGAATATAGAGTTGTTAAAGCAAATAAGAGGAGACCCTTGGCCTAAGGTTTCCTCTGTACCCAGAGCACTATGTAAGCAAACTGAAACTTGACTTGGAGGGCATTTTTTTATAACTGACTAAAAAAAGGAAAAAAAAGGAAGAAACACCTAGACTCAGTCAACCACAAACAGTCAAGCACCAGGTTAGCTGTGGAACTAGGGATCTACAATCACGCTATGCCTAAATGAGGCAAACACCTATGGTAGGCAATCAGGAAATGTCTTAACTTTGCTTCCACGTTCAGCCTCTGAAAGCTCAGTGCTCACTCTAGCAGAGCACTCTGAGCTCTGCCGGTTTTGACTGCTCCCAAGTTCATGAATTGTTCTTTGTTTAAATAGATTCTGTTAAATTTATTTTCTCTAAAGTTTTCCTTTTAAGAGAGTAAACAAAAAAGAAAAGTTAAAAGTAAAATTTTGTTCTCTTAAATTTCACATATGTATTCTATTGCTTAACACATTAAATACAGTCATGCACCACATAACGATGTTTCAGTCAGTGATGGACCACATATGCACTGGTGGTCCCATAGGATTACAATGGAACTGACAAATTCCTATTGTCTAGTGATGTCATCACCAAAGTAAGGTCATTGTGTAATGCATTACTCACATGTTTGTGGTTATGATGATGTAAACACACCTACTGTGCTGCCAGTGTTATAAAAGTCTAGCACATACAGTTATGTATAGTATATAATACTTGATAATGATAATAAATGACTATGTGACTGATTTATATACTCATTATACTTTTAATCATTATTTTAGTTACTCCTTCTGCTTATATATTTTTTCAGAGTAAACTGTAAATTAGCCTCAGGCAGGTCCTTCAAAATGTGTTCCAGAAGAAGGTATTGCTATCATAGGAGATGACAGCTCTATGGGTGCTACTGCCCCAAAGATGTTCTACTGGGACAAGATACGGAGGTGGAAGATGGTAATATTGATGATCCTGATCCTGTGCAGGCCTAGGCGAATGTGTGTGTTTGTGTCTTCATTTTTAACAAAAAGTATTAAATGAAAAAAAAATTTAAAAATTTAAGAATAAAAAATGTATAGAATAAGGAGATAAAGAGAGAAAATATGTTTGTACAGCTGTAAAATGTGTTTGTGTTTTAAGCTGAATGTTATTATAAAAGAATCAAAAAAGTTAAAAAAATTAAAGTTTATAATGAAAAACTTTATAGTAGGCTTAGTTTAATTATTATTGAAGACAGAAAAATGTTTTATAAATTTAGTGTAGCCTAAGTCTACAGTGTTTATAAAGTCTACAGTGGTGTACAGGAATGTCCTAGGCCTTCACATTTACTCGCCACTCACTCACTGACTTCCCCCAGAGCAACTTCCATCCTGCAAGCTCCATTCATGGTATGTGCCCTACATAGGTGTACCAGTTTTTGCCTTTTATATGGTATTTTTCTGTACCTTTTCTATTTTACATATGTTTAGATACATAAATACTTACCCTTGTATTCCAGTTGCCTACAGTACTCAGTACAGTAACATGCTGTATAGGTTTGTAGCCTGAGAGCACAATGACAGAATCACCTAATGATGCATTTCTCAGGACCTACCCCCATTGTTAAGTAACACATAACTTAAACTAGACTTCACTAAAATTAAAAACGCTATGTGAAAGACACTGTCAAGAGAATGAAAAGACAAGTGACAGACTGAAAGAAAATATGTGCAAAATATATTTCTGATAAAAGATAGTTATCCAAAATATACCTAAAAATAAAACTCAACAATAAGAAAACAAAAAATGGGTAAAAGCCCCACTAACACCTCACCAAAGAAGATATACAGATGAGAAATAAGCATATGAAAATACGCTTAATATCATAGTCATTAGAAAGTTACAAATTAAAACAATGAGATACCACTACACAATCATTTAGAATGGCCAAAATCCAAAACACTGACAACACTAAATACTGGTGAGGATGCTGAGCAGCAGAGACTCTTATTGGTTGCTGGTGGGAATGCAAAACAGTAGAGCCACTTTGGGAAAGTTTGGCAGTTTCTTACAAAAATAAGCATACTCTTGCCATATAATCCAGCATCTGTGCTCCTTGGCATTTACTCAAATAGAGGAAATCTTAATTCACACAGAACCTGCACACAGATGTTTATAGAAGGTTTAATCATCATTGTCAAGACTTGGGAGCAAATAAGATGTCTTTCATCAGGTGAATGGATAAACTGTAGTACATCCACACCAGGAACTATTAAGCAGAAATGAGCTATCAAGCCATAAAAAGACATGGAGGAAACTCAAATGCACACTACTAAGTGAAAGAAGCCAATCTGAAAAGGCTATGTGCTATGTGACACACTATGGCATTCAGGAAAAGGCAAAACTATGAAGACAATAAAAAGATCAATGTTTGCCAATGGTTAGAAGAGAAGGGGGAAGGATAGGTGGAGCACAGAGGACTTTTAGGGCAGGGAAACTATTCTGTATGATAGTATAATGGTGAATATATGCCATTACACGTCAGTCAAAACCCCTAGAGTGTACACCAAGAGTGAACCCAAGTGATAACTATGAACTTTAAGTAATAAATATGTGTCAATGTAGGTTCATCACTTGTAACATCTCATTCAGGGTATTGACAGGGGGTAGCTTACAGGAGCAAGATGGCATATGGGCCCTCTCTGTACTGTCCACTCAATTTTGCCATGAACCTAAACTGCTCTAAATAATAAAGTCTGCTTTAAAGTGTCAACATAATCAAATAACCTTTTCTGAATTTTTTTCCTTCATTACACATTTTAGATTTCAAAACCAATTTTTATGTCTAGCTCATTCTATGAATATATCATTGCTATATTTTCATAATCTGGGTGTCATCAAACTATAAGCCTTATTTTGGAGTGATAGGAAGAAAACCCCCAAGTAATCTCTGAACAGTTTACCAATTGTCTACTATGTACCATTGATGTGTCTATATGCCATGGATGTAGAGATGATTAAGATGAAATCTCTGTCCCTAATGGCTAACCCTCTAATTCTCTAACGGAAGAAGGCAGAAAAGTAAACAATCAATAAACATTTATGTACAAATAAACACTGACATTGTATATTAGTCTGTTCTCATGCTGTTAATAAAAACATACCCCAAGACTGGGTAATTGTTAAAGGAAAGAGGTTTAATGGACTCACAGTTCCACATGGCTGGGGAGGCCTCACATTCATGGCAGAAGGTGAAAGAGAAGCAAAGTCAAGTTTTACATGGTGGAAGGCAAGAAAGCATATGCAGAACTGCCCTTTATGATACCATCAGATCTCATGAGACTTACTCACTATCACAAGAACAGCACAAGAAAGACCCACCCCCATGATTCAATTACCTCCCACTGAGTCCCTCCCATGACATGTGGAAATTATGAGAGCTACAATTCAAGATGAGATTTAGGTGGGGACACAGCCAACCACATCATTCTGCCCCTGGCCCCTCCCAAATCTCATGTTCTCACATTTCAAAACCAATCATGCCTTCCCAACAGTCTCCCAAAGTCTTTATTCATGTCAGCATTAATACAAAAGTCCACAATCCAAAGTTTCATCAAAGACAAGACAAGTCCCTTCCACCTAAGAGCCTGTAAAATCAAAAGCAAGTTAGTTACTTCCTAGATACAATGGGGGTACAGGCATTGAATAAATACACCCATTCCAAATGGGAGAAATTGGCCAAAACAAAGGTGTTACAGACCCCATGCAAGTCTGAAATCCAAAGGTGTAGTCAAATCTTAAAGCTGCAAAATGATCTCCATTGACTCCATGTCTCACATCCAGGTCACACTGATGCAAGAGGTGGATTTCCATGGTCTTAGGCAGCTCCACCCCTGTGGCTTTGCAGGGTACAGCCCCCTCCTGGTTGCTTTCAGGAACTGGCGTTGAGTGTCTGCAGCTTTTCCAGGCACATAGTGCAAGCTATCCGTGGAACTACCATTTTGGGGTCCGGAGGACGGTGGCCCTCTTCTCACAGCTCCACTAGGACTCTGTGTGGGGGTTCCCATTCCACATTCCCTTTTGCACTGTCCTAGCAGAGGTTCTCCATTAGGGCTCTGCCCTGCAGCACACCTATGCCTGGACACCCAGGCATTTTCATACATCCTCTGAAATCTAGGCAGGGGTTCCCAAACCTCAATTCTTAACTTCTGTGGACTCACATGCTCAACACCATGTATAAGCCATCAAAGCTTGGGGCTTGCACCCTCTGAAGCAATGACCTGAGCTCTACTTTGGCCCCTTTTAGCCATGGCTGGGACACAGGGCATCAAGTCCTGAGACTGCACACAGCAAGGGGCCCGGAACCATTTTTTTTCCTTCTAGGCCTCCAAGGCCTGTGATGGGAGGGGCTGCTGTGGAGACCTCAGACATGTTCTGAAGATATTTTCCCCATTGTCTTGGCAATTAACACTGGACTCCTCATTACTTATGCAAATTTCTGCAGCCAGCTTGAATTTATCCTCAGAAAATGGGTTTCTCTTTTGTGTCACATCATCAGGCTCCAAATTTTCCAAACTTTTATGTTGTACTTCCCTTTTAAACTTAAGTTCCTATCCCAAAGCATATCTTTGTGAATACATAAAACCAAATGCTTTTAACAGGACCCAAGAGCACTTTGCTGCTTAGAAATTTCTTCTGCCAGATGCCCTAAATCATCTCTCTCTAGCTCAAAGTTCCACAAATCTCTAGGACAAGGGCAAAATGCCACCAGACTCTTTGCTAAAACATAGCAACGGTCACCTTAATTCCAGTTCCCAACAAGTTCCTCATCTCCATCTGAGACCACATCAGCCTGGACTTTATTTTCCATATCACTATCAGCATTTTGGTCAAAGCCATTTAACAAGTCTCTAGGAAGTTCCAAACTTTCCTACATCTTCCTCTCTTCTTCTGAGCCCCTCAAACTGTTCCAATCTCTGCCTGTTACCCAGTTCCAAAGTCGCTTCCACAGTTTCGGGTACCTTTACAACAGCGCCCCACTCTACCAGTACCAATTTACTGTATTAGTCTGTTCTCACCCTGCTAATAAAGACATACCTGAGACTGGGTAATTTATAAAGGAAAGAGGTTTAATGGACTCACATTTCCACATAGCTGGGGAGGCCTCACAATTATGGCAGAAGGCAAAGGAGAAGCAAAGACACATCTTACATGGCAGCAGGCAAGAGAGCGTGTGTAGGGAAACTCCCCTTTATAAAATCATCAGATCTCAAGAGACTTGTCCACTACCATGAGAACAGCTTGGGAAAGACCCATCCCCATAATTTAATTACCTCCCACTAGGTCCCTCCCATGATGTGTGGGAATTATGGGAGCTACAATTCAAGATGAGATTTGGGTGGGGACACAGCCAAACCATATCACATGGGATCCCAGGAGGGTTTCAACAATCTGTTCTTTTCTGTTCACTACAAACCCCAGGTGCCCTGTGGCCATTTTTAGAGCAATTTGTCACCTTGAGTAAGAGTCTAAATTCTGTTTGTCTGCTTTGTTCTGGCAACAGTGCCTGTCACATGGTAGGTGCTCAGTAGTTATCTGTGGATGAGCATGACTTCTAGAAACAGTTGCTTTAGAACCAAATCCAAGAGTAAATCTAAGAGGAAAAGGAAAACCCTGTAGTGACCTTACTTGAGACTGTAAAACATATTCACTAGCATTCTGAAGAATACAGATAAGTAACGTATTTTCCTCCGTCTTCCCTCATTTCTATGAAGCAGTTTAAGGCTATGGGCTTCCAAAATGTAACTCAAGTGTTCTCACTTGGTGGATTTTGGTTTTATAAAAGTAGAACAAAGTAAAAGATTTGCACACCCTATGTTTTAGTTTCTTATAAAACTAAGCATATTCTTGCCATTTCTTGGTGATTTGTTCTCAGAAAAGGAGGAAACATGAAGGAGGGAAGAACAAAGTGAGGGAGGAATATAAATAAAGGAAAAAACAGGCCAGGTATGGTAGCTGACGCCTGTAATCCCAGCACTTTGGGAGGCTGAGGTGGGCAGATCACTTGAGGTCAGGAGTTTGAGACCAGCCTGGCCAACATGGCGAAACCCTGTCTCTAATAAAAATACAAAAATTAGCTGGGCATAGTGGCGGGCACCTGTAGTCCCAGCTGCTCAGGTGGCTGAGGCAGGAGAATCACTTGAACCCAGGAGGTGGAGGTTACGGTGAGCCAAGGTCATGCCACTGCACTCCAGCCTGGGTGACACAGCAAGACTCTGTCTCAAATAATATATATATATATATATATAATTTATATATATATGATATATATGATATATGATATATTTTATATATATTACATATAAAGGAAAAAACAAAAGAAGGGATATGAGAAGGTTTGCTTGAATTTTGAGTAACATATCTGCAAAAGAATATTCCATTTTATGTTAATAAACATCTTGAATAGATGTTTTATGGTTAACTCTAGACATCATTGACTTAGAGTGTATCTTTCAAGCTGAGGAATGATGTTCTCACCTTATCAGCAAAGGGCTGTTAATTCCTGTCATTACATGAAACCTCACTATCAGTATAATGCGGAGCTTTGAAAGATCAATAGCATAGCACCTTTTTACGTTTCTTATTTGGATAATTATTTTAGGACTTAAAGCTCCAAAATTTTTTATTTTCAAAAAAGAGTTTGTTAGGGAAGAGTAGAGATTAACAGTGAATTCAAACAAACTAGTTTTTAAATTATACACTGAGAATAAGAATCAAAGAAATTAAAGTAAAAAAGGACATATTAGAAAATACTCTTTCAACACCCTAAATTCCTTTTGGCATACGGTTTAGATAAATTGGTCTATTTAAGTCCCACTTGACCTTTCAAAATGGTGGAAATTATGTGGTTGTGATAGTTGGGTTCTGAAACGGGAGTCTAAGTTGACGAGTGAATAATCTCTAACTCTTTAGGAACTCACAGCTCATCAACATCAATACATAATATTTATATGACAATCTTAACATCTTAATACAAGAGAGATAAAAGACATAGACAATAAAAATAGGCATTTTGCCTAGCAATTTCAAACAAGTATTTTTCTAAATACATGGCAGAAATACCAGACAAAACCATCTGGTATTTCCTATGTTGACACCTAATAAATCAAGTAAAGACAATATTTTCTACTCTGCTCTTTAAAACCTCCAAGGAAAATTAAAAGACAGTGTTAAGTCAAGCATGCAGCTGCTGAGACTCAAAGCAATATTACATAGCAAAATTAGAACTGCAGAAATCTGAGCATGAAAGGCAAATACAGTGAAGGTCTTGGAAGTCTCAGGTTTAAAACATTGAATTGAAATAAACATAATAGGGTTGGAGAGATTGGGGAGATGTTGATCAAAGGATATAAAATTTTGGTTAAACAGGAAGAATAAGTTCAGGAGATCAATTGTACAACATGGTGACTATGGTTAATAACAACATATATTCTTGAAAATTGCTAAGAGAGTATACTTTAAGTGTTCTCATCACAAAAAAGATAAGTATGTGAGATAATGCATGTTAATTGGCTTGATTTAGTCATTCTACAATGTAAACATATATTAAAACATCATGTTATATGCCATAAATATATACAATTTTTGTACATTTAAAAATAAATTAAAAATGTGGCCAGGTGCAGTGGCCCATGCCTGTAATCCCAGCACTTTGGGATGTCGAGGTGAGTGGATCACTTGAGGTCAGGAGTTTGAGATCAGCCTGGTCAACATGGTGAGACCCTGTATCTACTAAAAAAAAAGACAAAAATTAGCTGGGCATGGTGGTGCGTGCCTGTAATCCCAGCTACTCAGGAGGCTGAGGCAGGAGCATCACTTGAACCCTGAAGGCAGAGGTTGCAGTGAGTCGAGATCCTGCCGCTGCACCCCAGCCTGGGCAAGAGAGCAAGACTGTCTCAGAAAAAAATAAATAAATAAAATTAATTAATTAATTAAAAATTGTTTTTTTTTTTTTTTTTTTTTTTTTTTTTTTTTTTTTTGAGACGGAGTCTCGCTCTGTCGCCCAGGCTGGAGTGCAGTGGCGGGATCTCGGCTCACTGCAAGCTCCGCCTCCCGGGTTCACGCCATTCTCCTGCCTCAGCCTCCCAAGTAGCTGGGACTACAGGCGCCCGCCACTACGCCCGGCTAATTTTTTGTATTTTTAGTAGAGACGGGGTTTCACCGTTTTAGCCGGGATGGTCTCGATCTCCTGACCTCGTGATCCGCCCGCCTCGGCCTCCCAAAGTGCTGGGATTACAGGCGTGAGCCACCGCGCCCGGCCTAAAAATTGTTTTAATCATAATTAATTCTTCAACTTAATAGCCTAAAAAGAGATAAAAGTTCTATAACTGTTTCTGGACAGATTTAGGGGTTCCTCCCAGAAAATGTTATCTTTCTCCCTACCTGCCTACCACCACACCGTAAACCTAATAAACTCCCAAGTTGAATTGTTAATGACATTTTAATTGAGGCCTGTACCCTTGAGAGAGCCATAATTTTTAAAGTTAGACATTTAGAAGATAACATCATTGACATTTTTCCTGTGATTTTTATGTCTAAATAAATTAAGAGAGGGGATTTCAAAATATTTATCATTCGCAAGAAACAGCTCTGAGGAGAGGAACATACATTTATGTCGCACAGAATATGGCATTGTCATATACATTTGTATAGAGTGAATGTGCACTATGCCAGTTGATGTTTATCATAGACCTAAGACAGAAAATAAATTTTTTATGTGAGGAATGTGAACCTCTTTAAATTATCAGGCCCAGAGAGGCATTTAAAATGTGACAGCAGACATATCTCACTCCCCTTTTAACTAAAATAATGACCCCTTAAAGCCACTTGCTAGGCAGGCTCCAGACTAACTGACTCCAAGTAGCTGTAAAATGCCATACACCTTATGGTTCAACAGGGTACAGCCAATCACTAACCAGTGTTATTCTGTAAACCAATGAGAATGCCTGTCAAACAACTTTGGATCAGCCCACTCCTTGTTCCTGTTTGTCTTTAAAAACCTGCTTGTAACAAAGGCAAAGGAAGCATTCCCCAAGGCAACCTGAAAGTGTGTCCCTGGCAGCTATCCTCACTTTGGCTAAGGTCAACTCTATACATTATATTTTGTGCCCCAGTTTTTTCCCTTAGGTAGACAGACCTTTGTGGTACATAAGGGCAGTTGTAAAGAATAAATGATAAGTTCATCATTTCCTTCATCCCTTATTTCAACAAATATTCATTGCTGAAATCTTAATTTTAATGAAAATGTTTTGGAAAGCAAGAGTCTTAAAACTAATGAAAGAAAGCAATTCCACTTCTTCAAGTGTTAACTATATACAAAGTTTTAAGGTTGACATTTTTAATACCTAAAATGAATTTCTTTATCCATAAGAGCGGTTGTTCTTTAGATACCAAAACAACTCTAAAAAATTAACTGGCACATAATACAAAGAATTTCAAACTAATTTTCAAAATGTACTCCCTGGATTGTTTTTTCATTCCCACAAATTTGGCACCTCTTCATTCATCAATATCCTCAAGATTCCAGTTTGAATTTCCAGCTGCCCAAAGACACCTTGATTTTGGCCACCAAAATGACTATCTCCTTACCACATTTCTCTCATTTGAAAAAGAAATGCAAATAAAAGATAAAACTCTGTTTTTCTGCTAATGGAAACATCATGTATCCTCTACTCTAAACACTTACAGTAGTTTCAGTAAGAATGACATCGGATTTTATTGCATTTTGTTTTGTTCTGCGACTTCATATGTGACAAACTTATATGCCCAAAAAGAAGCACTGCATGAGACTTTAACTTTCATGTGGGCAATGACCAAGACTACCTAATTCAATCCCTTAGGCTTATCATTCAGGTGCAGCCTGGTACCCAGCAGGCATTAATGTGCATTTCTTCAATGAATAAAGGAATGAGCACCCTGCTCCAGGCCCAGCCAGGGCCAAGCACTCCCCTTTCTCCTCTTTCTACCCTGATGAAGAGTATCTCTCCCAACTAGACAGGAAGACCTCATGGTCTTTGCTCCTCTCACCTGCATAACCAACTCATGGCCAAGACTTATTCATTCTGCCTCTGAGACAGTTCTCCATCCTGCCTGCTCCTCCAGTTCACCCTGCTGATGTCTGAAAGATGTTCACATTCAGTGCAGTTATCTTTCTGCAAAGTTCACTGTCAGACCCCCCCCACCACTCCTTTCTGCCCATCTCTTCTCACTGGCCCCCATTAATACTCATTGCTCCTGCTGGCATGCTTTCTATATGTAGATGGGATTAAGATTCGCTCTCACTGAATACCTGTCCCTGTCGATTTGTGAAGCCCCCAATGATTGACATGGTATGGCCACCTGCCCACCCAGGGGCCCCACCTCTCAGTCTCACTCTTTTCCAATCTCTCATGTGCTCTGTCCTCTAGTCACGCAGATGACTGGAACCACAAACAAAGGACTGTGATGCTGGCAGCAGAGTTCACATTGAGTATTGGACAGACACACCAAAGTCAGTAATGTGCACCAATTGGACCCCACAGGGCTTTCTAGCAGGCTTTTCTGCATCCTTTTATCCCACCCACAATACAAATATAGTGAGCTTTTAAAAGCAAGTCTTACTGACCTTCCTCCTAAAATCTGTCAGTGTTTTCCTATTGTTTTCAGGGTTTTGTTTTAAGTAGAAATTTACAGTGATTTATGAGACTCTGCCCCTGATAGCCAGCCCTGCTCTCCAGGCTCAGCTCACCTTTGCTCTTCAGCCAAAGCCACCATCTTCTGTCTCCCAAAACGTGCTGTGCTCCTTCCAGTATGCATATCCAGTATGTGACTCTTGCACCTAACATTCCCTCTGCCAAGAACATTCCACTTTCTCCCCACTTGGTAATTCCTCTTTACTCTTCAAATTTGTCCTCAAATGTCACTTCCTCAGATTAAATCTTTCTAGGGCCTCCTCTTTACAATTTTATATTGCAACTTAGCTAAACTGGAAACACACGCACACACACACACACAAGATACTCTATGGGAATACTACAAACAACTTTACGCTCATAAACTTGACAGTGTAAAAAAAAAAGGAAAACTTCCTAAACAAAAAAATCACAAACTACCAAAACTCAATTGGGATGAAATAAACAAATTGAGTAGTCCTGTAACTATTAAATAAATTGAATTTGTAACTTAGAAATTCTCAAAAATGAAATAGTCAGTCCCAGATGGTTTCACTGGAGAATTCTAACAACACTTTTTAAAGAATAACACCTACATTACACAATCTCTTCCAAGAAATAGGAGACTAGAGAACACATCTCCACTTACTCATTGATGTCAGTATTACTCTGACAACAAAATTAGTCGAAAATAGTACAAAAAAAAAGAAAACTACACACCAATATCTCTCATGAACATAGGCAGAAGAGTTATTGGCAAAACATTATCAAATCAAACCCAGCAAATATAAAAGGAATTATATATTTCCCACGACCAATTGAAATTTATTTCAAGTGCACAGGCCTAATTCAACATTCAAAAAATCAACCACTATAACCAAATCACAGTAAACACAGTAAAGAAAAAAATATATAATCTTATCATTTTACACAGAAAAAGCACTTGACAAAATCCAACATCTGTTCATGATTAAAGAAAAAAAAACTTAGAAAACTACAAATGGAGCAGAAGTCAACCTGATAAAGAGCATCTATAAAAGTCCAACAGTAAACAATGGTCAGTGGTAAAAGACTGAAAGATTTCTTCTAAGATCAAGAACAAAAAAATGATTTCCCCTAAGATTAGAAACAGGAGTGTCACCGCTTTTATTCATGATAAGTATCAGAAGTTCTAGACAGTGCAATAAGGCAAGAAAAAGAAATAATAGGCATAAAAATTGGAAAGAAAAAATAAAACTGTTGTAATTTGTACATGAGAAAATCACAAAGATTACAAAGGAATATACTAAAAACAACTAAAAATCTCCTAGAAATAACAGGTGATTTCAGCAAGATTGCAGGATATAAGATAAATACACAAAAATCAATTTCATCTCACGCCTGTAATCCCAGCACTTTGGGAGGCCGAGGCGGGTGGATCACAAGGTCAGGAGATTGAGACCATCCTGGCTAACACAGTGAAGCCCCGTTTCTACTAAAAAAAAATAAAAAATTAGCTGGGCATGGTGGCAGGCACCTGTAGTCCCAGCTACTCAGGAGGCTGAGGCAGGAGAATGGCGTGAACCCAGGAGGTGGAGCTTGCAATGAGCCAAGATAGCACCACTGCACTCCAGCCTGAGAAAAAGAGCGAGATTCTGTCTCAAAAAAAAAAAAAAATCAATTTTATTTCTATATGCTAACAATGAACTTGTAGAATTCACAATCTGAAACACAAAACCATTTACAATCACACCAAAGAAAATGAAGTACTTAGAACATGTGTATAGGATCTGTATTCTTAAAATTACAAAATGCTGATTAAAGAAACTAATGAATATCTAAATAAATGGAAAGACATATAATGTTTGTGGATTTAATAACTCAACATAATAAAGATGTTACTACGTCCCAAATCGATCCTGATGTGTAATGCAATTCCTATCAAAATTTAACAAGGTTCTTCTTCTAGTAAAATGATATGATTATATAATTTTTTCTTTACTGTGTTAATGTGATTGGTTATAGTGATTGGATTGATTACATGTCCTTGCTAGTGTGAATAGTGCTGCAAAGAAGATAAGTGTGCATGTATCTTTATAACAGAATGATTTATATTCCTTTGGGTATATACCCAGTAATAATATTGCTGGGTCAAATGGCATTTCTGGTTTTAGATCCTTAAGAAAGCAGCATGCTGTCTTCCACAATGGTTGAACTAATTTACATTCCCACCAATAGTGTAAAAGAGTTCCTATTCCTCTACAGCCTCACTAGCATCTGTTGCTTCTTGACTTTTTAATAATCGCCACTCTGACTGGCATGAGATGGTATCTCATTGCGGTTTAGATTTGCATTTCTCTAATGATCAGTGATTTGCTTTTTTTCATATGTTTGTTGGCTGCATAAATGTCTTCCTTTGAGAATTTTTCTATTCACGTCCTTTGCCCACTTTTTAATGGGGTTGTTTTTTTTTCTTGTAATTTTGTTTAAATTCCTTGCAGATTATGGATATTAGACCTTTGTCAGATGGATATGTGATGAATTACATTTATTGATTTGCATATGTTGAACCAGTCTTGCATCCCGGTGATGAAGCTAACTTGATCACGGTAGGTAAGCTTTTTAACGTGCTGCTGGATTTGGTTTGCCAGTATTTTACTGAAGATTTTCA
Organism: Homo sapiens; assembly: GCF_000001405.40. Classification (NCBI taxonomy): domain Eukaryota; kingdom Metazoa; phylum Chordata; class Mammalia; order Primates; family Hominidae; genus Homo; species Homo sapiens. Next base: position 51,740,885 of record NC_000008.11, read on the forward strand.
CATCAATGTTCATCTGAGATACTGGCCTGAAGTTTCCTTCTTTTGTTGTATCTCCTCCAGGTTTTGGTATCAGGTTGATGCTAGCCTCATAAAATGAGTTAGGCAGAAGTTCCTCCTTTTCAGCTGTTTCGAATAGTTTCAGAAGGAATGGTACCAGCTTCTCTTTGAAACGCTGGTAGAATTTAACTGTAAATCTGTCTGGTCCTGGTTTTTTGTTTGTGTGTTTGTTTGTTTTTTGGTTGGTAGGCTATTTATTACTGCCTCAATTGTAGAACTTGCTATTGGCCTATTGAGGAATTGGACTTCTTTCTGGTTTAGTCTTGGGATGGTGTATGTGTCCAGTAATTTATCAATTTTTTCTAGATTTGCTAGTTTATTTGCGTAGAGGTGTTTATACTATACAATTAGTGTGTAGAAGTCTAAGTCTCTTTGTATGTCTCTAAGAACTTGTCTAATGATTTTAGGTGCTCCTATATTGGGTGCATATATATTTAGGATTATTCATTCTTCTTGTTGAATTGACCCCTTTACCATTATGTAATGTCCTTCTTTGTCTTTTTTATCTTTGTTAGTTTAAAGGACAGACAAGTTTATTCTAAGTTTTACAAGGAAAGACACAGGATCTAAACAGCTAAAAAAGACAACTCGCAAAATTTGAAAAAGAAGAATTTACCGAGAAGAATCAATCTAAGAAATGTTAAGGATTACTACATAGCTACAGTTTCAAGACAGTGTGGTATTAGAGGAGAAGCAGACATATAGGTCAATGAAACAAAATAGAGAACCCCAAAATAGAGCCATACAAATCTATTCAAATAATTTTGACATCAGAATAATTAAAATAAAAGATTGTAGTAAGGTCACATGTCAGTGATGCGGGTGAACTGATTACTCACACGTCGCTGGTGGGAATGTAAAATATCACAATTCTGGAAAATAATGTGGCAGTTTCTCATAAAACTAAATGTGTACTTACCATTGACCCAGCAATTACTCTATTTGGCGTTTGTACTAGAGAAATGAAAACAAATTATCACAAAAATACCTTTACATAAAAGATCACAGCGTTTTTATTCATAACACCCAAAATGTGGAAACAACCAAATATGCTTCAGTGTTTAATCAAAGGGTTAAACAACCTGTGCTACATCCATACCATGGAATATTACTCAGCAACAGCGAAAGAAATGAGCTCCTGATGCATGCCACAACTTGGCTGGATCTCAAGGGAATGACACTGAGTGAAAAGCCCATCTAAAATGTTACATACTGCATGAGTCCATCTATGCAGCACTATTGAAATGACATTATTAAAGAGACAAGAAGAGATTAGTGGTTACCAGGAGCTAGGAAATATGAGGAGGGATGACAGGGACTGTAAAAGGGGGGCAGGGTCAATCCTTGTGACGAAACTGTTATTTTGACTGTGGCAGTGATCACACGCATCTACTCAGGTGGTAAAGCTGAGTAGAACTAAACTCCTGTGGTTGGGGGAGAACAGTGTACACATAAAAACAGAAAATCTGAATAATATCCCTGGATTATGTCAGTGTTAATTTCCTCACTGTGATATTGCACTATAGTTTTGTAGGACGTTAGTTACCATTAAGGGATACCGAGTGACTGGTATACAAGATCTCTCTGTATTATTTCTTACAACTTCATGGGAATCCACAGTTATCTCAAGCAGTTTTTTAAATTTAGACAAAAAGGGGGACAAAACATCAACAAATGAAGAAAATGTTTATATATATAAACATTTTATATATATAAACAATATAAAAATTTTACATATAAATGTATATATATCAGAGAACAAGATGGCAGAAGTGAAGCCAGACAAATAAGCTATAACAAATTTCATGGACAGTGACTGTTTTGTTTGCCACAGTAGGCATTTCATGATTGTCACATGAAAATAGAAAGAGAATGTTTCCTGATAAGAAGAAATGTGACCCAAGCCCGAAGCACTTGGCAGATACTGTAAAGACAATCAAATGCAGCATGCTGAAAGAGCACAGGCTTTGGAATCATTGGAGCCTGTTGGTGATCTATAATTTAATCAAAAGTTTCCTAAAATTTAATAAACTCTGAAATATAAGTGGAACAATAGGTAGTCATTCAGTTCCAGTAAACTATTCATGCAACATTATCAATTTGCAGAAGGGCAAAGGGACACCAAAATGATCTTCTCTCTTCATTTGAAATTAAAATTATTTTGCCATCTCATTAAATGAAACAAAAGAATTGCCTTTAAAAGTACACTACCTGGAAATCCACGTGAGAGCCAAGATGGAATGAAGGAGGTAACTTCCACTTTTAATAATCCCTACTTTTGTTTTTGTTTTTTTGAGACAGGGTCTCACTCTGTCATCCAGGCTGGAATGCAGCGGCATGATCTCGGCTCACTGTAACCTCCGCCTCCCGGGTTCAAGCTATTCTCCTGCCTCAGCCTCCTGAGTAGTTGGGATTACAAGTGCCTGCCACCGTGCCTGGCTAATTTTTTTTTTTAAAGACAGAGTCTTGCTCTGTCCCCCAGGCTGCAGTAGTGCAGTGATGCGATCTTGGCTCACTGCAACCTCTACCTCCAGGGTTCAAGCGATTCTCATGCCTCAGCCTCCCAAGTAGCTGAGATTAGAGGTGCCTGCCACCACACCCAGCTAATTTTTGTATTTTTAGTAGAGTTGGGGTCTTGCCATGTTGGCCAGGCTGGTCTTGAACTCCTGACCTCAGGTAATCCACCTGCCTCAGCCTCCCAAAGTGCTGGGATTACAGGCATGAGCCACCATGCCCGGGCAATTTTTGTATTTTTAGTAGAGAAATGGTTTGACCATTTGGTCAGGCTGGTCTCAAACTCCCGACCTCAAGCAATCCACCAGCCTTGGCCTCCCAAAATGCTGGAATTACAGGTGTGAGCCACAGTGCCCGGCCCCTACTTTCATTTTGTTTGAGGATGTTTATCTTGGTCATTTGGGAAGATCTGGAATAAATGTTGGAACCTCTCTCTCTCTCTGCTGAGAGAGAAAGGAAGGAAGGAAGGAAGGAAGGAAGGAAGGAGAGAAAGAGAGAAAGAAAAAAGAGAGAGAAAAAAGAAAGGAAGGAAGGTGAGAGAGAAAGGAGAGAGAGAGAAAGAAAGAAGAAGAGGGAAGGAAGGAAGGAAGGAAGGAAGGAAGGAAGGAAGGAAGGAAGGAAGGAAGGAAGGAAGGAAGGAAAGAAAGAAAGAAAGAAAGAAAGAAAGGAAGAAAGAGAAAGGAAGGAAGAAGGGAGGGAGGAAGGAAGGAAAGAAGGAAGGAAGGTGAGAAAGAGAGAAAGAAAAAAGAAAAGAAAGGAAGGAAGGGAAGAAGAGAAAGAAAGAAAAGAGAGGAAAAGAAAGAAAAGAGAAAGAAAGGAAGGAAGGAAGGAAAGAAGGAAGAAAGAAAGAAAGAGAAAGAAAGAAAGAAGAAAGGAAGGAAAGAGAGAAAGAGAGAAAGAAAAGAGAGAGAAAGAGAAAAAAGAAAGGAAGGCTGGGCACGGTGGCTCACACCTGTAACCCCAACACTTTGGGAGGCCGAGGTGGATAGATCACGAGGTCAGGAGATCGAGACCATCCTAGCTAACATGGTGAAACCCCATCTCTACTAAAAATACAAAAAAAAAAAAAAATTAGCTGGGCGTGGTGGCAGGCGCCTGCAGTCCCAGCTACTCAGGAGGCTGAGGCAGGAGAATGGCATGAACCTGGGAGGTGGAGCTTGCAGTGAGCCAAGATGGCACCACTGCACTCTAGCCTGGGTACTTGAGCAAGACTCCATCTCAAAAAAAAAAAAAAAAAAAAAGGAAGGAAAGAAAGAAAGAAAAGAGAAAAAGAAAAGAAAGAAAGAGAAAAGAAAAGAGAGAGAAAGAAGGAAGGAGAGAAAGAAAAGAGAGAAAAAGAGAAAGAGAGAGAAAGAAAGAGAAAGAAGGACAGACAGAAAGAAAAGGAAGGAAGGAAAGAAGGAAAGAGAAAGAAAAGGGAAAGAGAAAGAGAAGGAAGGAAAGAAGGAAGGAAGGAAGGAAGGAAAGAAAGAAAAAGAAAGAAAGAAAGAAAGAAAGAAAGAAAGAAAGAAAGAAAGAAAGAAAGAAAGAAAGAAAGGGAGGGAGGGAAGAAAAGGAAGGAAGAAAGAAAGAAATCAATTTTAAAATATGGATGGTAATGACATTTACTGATATAATACTGTTAGTTAATTTTAAGATGGATGTTTATGATACAACAAATTGTTGAGAAACCCACTTATTTGTTATTTTGTCATCTATTGCTTACTTTGAGAAAATACCAAGTGCCTATAAGATAACTTAAATATAAAACCGGCTCTAGATAATTGCTATCCAATAGAATGAAATCTTAAAGGACCTTTCATCAGTAATTCAATGGTATGTCAAGATTAAGATTCTAGCTTTCAAAAAACCTCAAACCCTACTCAAAGAAAAAATAATACAAAACAAATAGAAGAAAGTCAATCCAACAAACAAATAACAACAAAAATAACCCTGATTCTGTTAGTCCAGCCTCTCTACCTTGCTTCCACTTAAAAATCCTATCCATCTCTCTAGCAAGTCTTTAAAATACAAAATTATTTTCAAATTTATATTCTTATAAAAAGCTAATTAAAAGAAAGTATGAACTAAAGCAGCAGATTTATTCATTTTCAGGCTACCTGATCTAAACCAGAAGGCAAATGGCCACCCTGTTCCCAGAGTCATGTCTCCTTTCAGGCCGTGACGGTGGAACATTACCTTGCCTCCATCCTGTCCTCTAACCTTCCTACTCCTTCAGGTGCAGAGGCACAGGCACCCTGAGGTCAACCTCCACACTCTTCCAAGAGTCATGGCAACATGAGAGGAATTCTCCACCACTACCATTTTTTTTTTTTTTTTTAGATGTAGTCTCACTCTGTCGCTGGAGTGCAGTGGTGAGACTGGAGTGCAGTGGTGCGACCTCAGCTCACTACAACCTCTGCCTCGCAGGTTCAGGTGATTCTCCTGCCTCAGCCTCCCGAGTAGCTGGGATTACAGCACGCTCAGCTAATTTTTGTACTTTTAGTAGAGAGAGGGTTTCACCATGTTGACCAGGCTGGTCTTGAATTCCTGACCTCAGGTGATCCTTCTGCCTCACCCTCCCAAAGTGCTGGGATTACAGGCGTGAGCCACCGTGCCCAGCCCTACCATTATTTTTTAAGACACACAATTCCATAGATCTTTAGCAAGACTTTCTATTAGCAAGACTTCCATCTCCAGAAAGCTCCAGAGATGTAGCCATCATCTCTAGATTTAGTTAAACCCCTCATCTTCAAGAATTCTTTCTCAAGGGACAATGCCAAAATGCACCTGCAATTAAAGAAGTATTCATTTGAGGAATCAGGTGTCAGTCTTCTCTTCTTGCAGGACTTCTCAATCTCTCCAAGACATTGCCCTAGAACAGTCCCACCCCTAGTAGAAGAGGGAGTGGCCACCAACCACGGAACTCCTTGAAAGCCCAAAGGACACTGATAACAGTTGATTTTCTCCCCTGTCCTCTCTTCATCTAGAACAGGCAGAGGGTGTTAGGTAATGGATAATTATAAAAGGGTCTTGTCTGTGTCCTATTAGGGTATCATTAACTTTCTTTATAAGGAGGGGAAACTGAGCATCCATTTTTGGCATTGGTGAGTCTTGATTACCATTTCTGGGGCAACAGATAAGTCCCCCTCAAAAGCTTGTTACACATGTAGCGTTTATCTCGGGGCTGTGGTATTAAGGAGGTGGATAGGTGAACTTTTATTATCTACTTTGTAAGCTCCAGTAATGTCTATTTGTTGCTTCTTGTGGTTGAAGAAAATGTTTTTGTTGTTTGTTAGTTTTTTGAGGCAAACTCTCACTCTGTGGCCCAGGCTGGAGTGCAGTGGTGTGATCACGGTTCACTGCAGCCTAGACTTCACTGGCTCAGGTGATTCTCCCACCTCAGCCTCCCAAGTAGCTGGGACTACAGGTGCACGCCACCACACCCAGTTAACTTTTGTATTTTTTTGTAGAGACAGGGTTTCGCCCTGTTGGCCAGGCTGGTCTTGAACTCCTGGGCTCAAGGGACCCTCCCACCTCAGCCTCCCAAAGTTCTGGGATTAAAGCGTGAGCCACTGTGCCAAGCCAAATGTGCTGTTTTTACAGTTAACAAAGCTATCAAAAATTTTTAAGAAAAACAAAAAGTTACAGACTAATATGGAAAATATTTTGTTGTAAACAAAAAAACTCATGATGGAGTTTTGTTTGTCGATAGCATGAAATTCAGGCTTCTCCCTGTGAGACTCAAAGACCTGATCCAACCTTCCTTCCTGGTGCCCACCCTCTCCACTGGACATGGGTACCACAGACACACACACCATGCACTGCTGCAGGCAAACACTGTGCTCCTTCACTTTTCTTTTTAATTGTCAATGTTATTTCATTCTTCTACGTTGCTCTTTGCCATCTTTGCCACCACCATCAGGTGAACTCAGTTGCTCTCCAGTATTTCTAAGTGAACTCAAAGTGTAGAAGGGTGGGAGAAGTATGAGTTAATCTACTCATTTACTCACAGTGGAGAATTACAAACTAACCACAACACAATGTAGACAGAAACAACATGTGGCATGTTTAATGTGGCATGCAAGCAAGGATTAAGAAGAAACTCATTTTCCCCTGGAATGCCAAGGAGCGGTCCAAGTTGATGCCGTTTTTTTGAGCTGGGTTTTGGATAGCAATTGAACCAGGAAATAAGGGGACTGGCAGAGCTAGGGCAATGCTCCAGCTGTCCAGAAACACTTCCAGGCTACACCTTGACACGAGTTCAAGTACAATTAGCTGGTGTCACAGTAGCTCTGTCTTTTAGCTAAATAGGATCAAACTTGGGTTAATTCCCGGGCCATAGTTTTAATGAATTCAACCTGGTCATTGAAGCAATAAAAGATTTGTTTGTGTATAAAAGTCACCTTATTCCAAAATAGCAGGAGTAGGGAAAGAGCTCATTCTCAGAGAACAGCCTGCCTTGGGGTCTGATCTCAGCCTTCACACACAAGCTGGCAGGATGGAAAAGGGTTAGTTATCCTCCCTGGGTCGCAGTTTCCTCTTGTATACATAGCAGCAATAACAGTACCTCTATAAGTATCTGAGTGTGAGTGGTAAATGAGTTAATATATTGAGAATGATTAGCAAGGTGATTTACTCAAGCTCATTTGAATAGTTTGGTAGTGTAGGACACAGTCAGAGGGCTTCTAACTCAAAGCCTCCTAGTCATATGACAGCAGCCGCTAAGCTACTAAGTGACAAATCATAAGACACACCGGGGACTTACACACACATGGTCAGTTTGCATCAGTAATTGATTCTCTAAATAACAAGTTAACGTTTGCCTCCTTTTTTGAGATTGCCTCCAAATGAATAAGGTGAACTGAATAAGTTCGATTTCTTTCTTTTAGTGCGTTTTTCAGAAGTGGGGATGGAAAGGGTTTTGTCCTCAGTTATCATCTTTCTGTTCATTGACATGGGCCCTTAGAGGGAGAGCTGGGATTGCTCCAGACGGTGAGCAGCTCAAACCCTGCATTGTGGGTGGGCAGAAAGGCAGGTGGGGTGGCACGCTCCTGGATGCCACTGCATTCCGACAGGACACCCGGTCCCAGCTGGAGCACAGCATCACTGCCTGGGCCAAGGTTCACTGTCCTGGATTAGCAAGAACAGCTGGAAAGTTTGTTTGGGCATGGGGGTGAAGCAGGAGTTATTTTAAAAAACTGTGAACAAGTGACCATAGAATTAAAAAGGAAATGAGGATCTGGACAAAGAACAACACGAGGTCACGAGCCCCTGGGCCCACCCAAGTGTCCAGAAGCCCCTACCTTCCTTAGTAGCCTCCTGCCGTGGGTCTTTCCCCCTGGTTCCTGGGGAAAACACTCATCAGTCCAAAACAACCTGCCTTAAAATACTCAACAGTCCGAAACAACCTGCAAAACTACTGGGAGAGTGCAGTGTTTGTTTTCAAAATTAGGACACTAAAAATAAGCAGAATGCATTTCATTTAAGAAACTCAATTTATTTAAAACTACCTATTGTCTCCTTCAAGTTCCTTAGAGTTCATTATGAATTTGAAGGCGTAACTAGTGTAAGTATGATAGGATAAATTTAGCCAAAACCTGAAAAAATCAAGTTAAAAGGAATAGTTATGAATTCTTTTAAAAATAATTTTAAACATTTTGGTATCAGTATTAATTACATGCTCTAAATTATTCATTGATACTAATTATGTAGTACAAGGAGGTATAATTACTTCAAGGAATGTCTGCAGATGATTATATAAAAATAATCTTCTAAGCTACATCCTACGACACTCTCGGAAGGTTTAAGATTTAAATAGATACTGAGTCATGGGTCACTTAACGACAAGGATATGTTCTGAGAAATATGTCCTTAGAAGATTTCAATGTTGTGCACACATCATAGAGTGTCCTTACACAAAGCTAGATGGTAGAGCCTACCATGCTCCTAGGCTATATGGTATACCCATTCACACCTGTGCAGTGTGTCACCACACTGAATACTGTAGGAAACTGAAACATATTGGTAAGTATAGTGTATCTAAACATATCTAAACATAGAAAAGGTACAGTAAAAATACAGCATAAAAGATTAAAAACGGTCCGCCTGCATAGGGCACTCACTTTGAATGGAGCTTGCAGGATAGAAGTTGCTCAGCGTGAGTCAGTGATTGAGGGGTGAGTGAATGTGAAGGCCTAGGACATTACTGTACGCTACTGTAGACTTCATTAACACTGAACACTTCAGCTACACTAAACTTATTTTATTTATTTATTTATTTTTGAGGCAGAGTCTTACTCTGTTACCAGGCTGGAGTGCAGTGGCATGATCTCGGCTCACTGCAACCTCCGACTCCCTGGTTCAAGCGATTCTCCTGCCTCAGCCTCCTGAGTAGCTGGGATTACAGGCACGTACCACCATGCCCAGCTAATTTTTGTATTTTTAGTAGAGACGGGGTTTCACCATGTTGGCCAGGATGGTCTCGATCTTCTGACCTTGTGATCCTCCCAACCTCGGCCTCCCAAAGTGCTAAGATTACAGGCGTGAGCCACCAGGCCCGGTCCACTAAACTTATTTTTTAAAATTTTCTATCTTCAACAAAAATTAACCTTAGCTTATGTAACATTTTTACTTTAGAAAGTTTTTATTTTTTTCCACATTTTTATCCTTGTGTAACACTTAGCTTAAAACACAAATACATTGTACAGCTGTACAAAAAAATTTTTATATCCTTATTTACAAGCTTTTTAAATTTTTTTTTCTTTTTAAACTTTTTTGTTAAAAACTAAGACACAGACACACACATTATCCCAGGCCTGCACAAGGTCAGGATCATCAATATCACTATCTTCCACCTCCACATCATATCCCACTGGAAGGTCCTCAGGGGCAAAAGCACGCATGGAGCTGTCATCTCTATGATAACAATGCCTCCTTCTCGATACCTTCTGAAGGACCTGTCTGAGGTTCTTCCTGAGTAGGTTCATTTATACCAACATCACCACAGACACCTGCGTAATGCATTGCTCTATGGCAGTAAGACAGCTATGACAGTGATAGGAAATTTTCAGCTGCATAATAATCGTATGGGACCACTGTCATATACACTGTCCATCATTGACCAAAACGTCATTATGTGGTGCATGACTGTATTATCTGACAATCAGTGTAAACCCAGGATAACATTTTAAGCAAGGGCTCTTTGTAAATCTTTCTTTAGTTCCAGATGGCAGGAGATGATGGTCTCTTATTTACTACCCTACCAGTTATCAAACCTACCTGAAAGTCCTTTTCTTCAAGCCAGATATTGTTAATATCTACTGTTCCTAGTTTATAAATTGAACTTTATCATAGGTATGTACGTATAGGAAGAAATAGTACATATAGGGTTCAGTACTATCCGCGGTTTCGGGCATCCACTGGGGGCCTTGCCATGTATCCCCCATGGAGAAGGGGGGATGGTTGTAAACAGACAGTTTAGACAAAGAACTCTTCCCTAGCTAGGGACAAAAGTTACAAATGCTTTGGTAGTTTTTAATTTTCTGCTGAGGCAGGTAAAAAAATACAAAGTCTATCCAGAGAAAATGCCAGTTATTTTTTTTTTGAAAAGTTTTAATTTTTATAGAGGAAAAGTGCTTTCAGACATTGCAAAGATTTTTCAAAAAAGAAATATCATTGCTCTTATTTTGCCAAGAAAAATTGGAAGACTTCATCATAGGTCATATCAACATGTTCTGGGTAACAAAATGCTCAGTCATACAAGGCTAAATATGTAAGCAGATCTGCTCTAATCTTAATTATCTGAAAGCTCAAAATTACTGATAAAATATAATTTACAATGACATGAGACTCTATTGACATATATCACTATTAAAGATCATGTTTTTAAGATCAAATACTATTAAATCTTAATTTTTGAGTAATTCTTTTACACACTTTGTCCCTATCAAAGTATCTTTTATTTTGTTCTAAAATTTTACCACCACTTCCAATCCATGACTTCTCCATGACAAATGAATAAATGAATTGGCGTGTTTATTTTACACCATGCTGGAGCTCATGTTTTCTCTGATATTTCACACAATTACTTCAGATATTAGATGACTTTGTCTGACCCCAAGTCACCATAGATTCGAAAGGTCTCAGCAGAAAAAAGGGAATTTGCATTAGAATATTTGGTCTCATTAAAAACTAAGTCCTCCAAGCATGCCATCTGATCATGCCCAGATTCCACAGTGAACAAACTATAAGAAGCTGGGGCTGGGGTGGGAAACAGATGTGTGCTTTAATACTTTTTCTTTCTGACTTCCTCATAATTCTACCCAGTCCTCAATAATCCTAAAAGAAAATAAAGGTTTAGAAAAGTAAATTCTTGTAGGATTGTACTTTCCTTCTAATTTCCCCTCTTTATCAGCTAAGAGAAATACTTCTGTACTTCAACTCAGGCATAGAAGTGTTCCCGGAACAAACTGAGGGTTGGGCTGCTATTTCTTGTGGCCCAATAACAAGATGCAGATGAACAGGGGAGGAAGAGAGTTTTTATTTCTGCCACCAGTTACAAGGAGAAGGCCTGGAAATTATCGCTAGACCAACTCAAAATTACAAAGTTTTCCAGGGCTTATACACGTTCTAAACTCTCTGTCTAACTGTAAGTATGCATTCATCTAAACAAATAAGTGATTAATTTCTTTTAATCTATAACTAAGCTCTGAGTCCTGAAGACCTTCCTCTGGAGCCTCAGTAAATTTACTTAAATTCAGTGGGTCCAGGTGCTGGGGTGATTACCCTTATCTCGTCTCCTGTTAAATCACGGAGGTTTGGGGAGCTCTTTTGGACCCCTAATAAACTTGTTTGCAGAGGCCTGGGGAGTTTCTTCAGACCCCCAATAAAACTTGTTTAATCCTAAATGGGTCCTGTTAAGAATTCCTTCATTATCTTCTCATGCTTTAAGGCCCACGAAAGGCCTATGCAAGACTCTTGGTGGGCTTTTGTTACATTCCAGCCTTTGTATAAGGGCACTGGCTCTCTCAGCTTTTAATATTTAACCACTCAGTCAGTGCTGAAACAGTTGCTATGGAGGCCTATGTTAGTGAGACCTGGCCTGCCACAGAAGGGCTATTTAATACAGATCATGTATGCCAGCATCATGAACCTCTGTCACCTACAATCTCCTGACTAAAGGATGTGGGGTGGGTTTGGGTATGCCCCCACCTGCACAGTAAGGTGTACTGTCCTCATTGTTCATTTTCCTAATGCCCATCTTATTTAAAATTACTGTTCATGCCTTTAGTGATATTTGTATATAAGAAAGCATCAAGTTATACCCTAGGGAATCTGTTTGGCATTGAAGGAAAAATCTTGACTTTGATGGCAGATGGAAGTTAATTTGGTGGTCACCTCTCAGCTCCTTGTGAATACTTTCCACATTATAAAGTCTGCTCACAGAGAATGAGCATCCATGGGGCATACCCATGGGCACAAATGTCTACAAATGGGGTGGCTGTGATGTCTCAGATCAAGACCAAGGTGTCTGCCAGAATCCTGGGGAAAGGCTTCGTGGCGACTGCCAACATGCGGCTGCCTCCAGCCGGTGCCATTCGTCCTGCACATCAGTGAATATTTGGCCATTTACAATGGAACAGTAAATATGGAATAGCACAATTATTATTCAGAGCACAGATTTATCCTACAAATGGATTTCTCTTGATTGCGTAACATTTAACAGGGAATATAGTTTCCGGAGAAATCAAATTCCCCTTTCCATTGTCCATTTCAATTTATCCAAAGCTATAATGTGCTATTGGCTATTTAAGACAAAAAAAAGAGGTATTTTTGAATATGAATCACTCATTTCCCTGTTTAAGCTACTGTCACATGATTTCCCAGGTAGGAGATGAATGACGAATACCAGGCAGAATCCCTAACAAAGAGTGTCCTGAAGGAAAGAGTAGAGAGCCACAAGAATTATAATAATCCCTCATTTCTACCAGTTGGAGGATGAGAATGTATTTCAAGTGCTCATAAACTGACATAATTTCATTTGGAATTGCCTTTTAATCAAAAAAGAAGAGTATCTTTTTATGTGTTCATTCTGATCCATAGTATCGCATGATCATCCTTAAACAGGAACTCAATGAAGTACTTTAATCTGTGCATCGCACACTAAAAGGTTCATTGGGTTTTTTTGCCTGAAGCAAGCAGAATAAAAAGAACAGAGAGAAATTCAGCTGAGGTCATATTGGGAATACTCCTTTACAAGGAAGGAAAATGAAAAATCAAGTACATAACGGGAAATAAACCTTGATGAGGAAATTATAGCAGATGAAAGCTGATCATCTACAGCAAACAGGGCAAAGGTGGTTCCAAAAGCAGATGTACAATTAAATAAGCAAGGCTCAGAGATATTGACCCACAGCCTGGCTGGACTGCAGCTTGGCTCCTTACACACAGTGGGCATTCCTTTGTCTGATTTGATGAAAGTCTCACTTAACCTCAACCGATTAATATGCCTCTGGCCCTGAAATTATGTATCTCGATTATCAAGCCACTGGAGACCTGAGGCTTATTTCTACATTTTTCTCTTAGCTATTTTGATAACAAGCGCCAAGGATTTATACAGAAAGTTTTGTCAAAACTATTCTCAGTCTCAGAAAATGTACAGTGTTTGCTATGTGTGTATTTAATACAAGGCTACAAAATGACTTTCAAAGCCCGATGCAACAAGATAAAAGCAGTTCTTACTTCACATATGTGGAGGGAACAGGATTTTACTATAGGAATTTATTCATACTAATCTCTTAAAAATGTAGATTGTCAGTGAAAAAAAAATGTAATGAATACCCAGGTGCCAAATCCTGTGAGCACTGGGAAGTGTGGTTTTATGTGCCCCCAGGGGCTGTTGATCCCATTGCGGGTGGTTCTGAGAGCACACAAAAGAAACCCACCACTGGAGGCAGCCCCGATGAGAAGCCTGCCCAAGGGCAGGGGAAAAGCCATGGCTTCTGGCTGAAGGTAATAAAAAAGGCTTCCCTGAGAATGAGCTAGTTCATCCAGGCCTTGAAAGTCAAGTCATTTCTTTTTTTTTTGAGGCAGAGTCTCGCTCTGTCACCCAGGCTGGAGTCCAATGGCGCGATCTCAGCTCACTGCAAGCTCCGCCTCCTGGGTTCATTCCATTCTCCTGCCTCAGCCTCCCTAGTAGCTGGGACTACAGGCGCCCGCCACCATGCCCGGCTAATTTTTTGTATTTTTAGTAGAGATACGGTTTCACCGTGTTAGGTAGGATGGTCTCGATCTCCTGACCTCATGATCTGCCCATCTTGCCCTCCCAAAGTGCTGGGATTACAGGCATGAACCACTGCGCCCGGCCAAAAGTCAAGTCGTTTCTGACAGGTCATTTTTAACAAGTAGTTTTTAGAGAAGTAGGAGAAGGCAATATTTGTTCATTCAGCATTAAAAAAAAAATATTTTTTAGAGATGCGGTCTCACCAGGTGGCCTATACTGGCCTCAAACTCCTGGCCTCACGGGATCCTCCTGCCTGAGACTGGGATTACAGGTGTGAGCCTAGGCACCCTGCACTGCAAACAGTTATTAAATGCTTACTCTGCACAAGTTACTAGAGAATACAAGAGAGAACACAGGGAATGATGAAAGTTCCACCATTCAGGCTGGCCTCTAACATCTCTAGAGTCTGAACAAAAGGACAAATGGGCCCCATCCATCTAAACAGTGAAATCTAGTAAATTAAACTGTAAATAAAATATGTTCTATTCTCCTATCTTGAGAAGCATACCTTCATAATGATAAAATGTTAAAATGGTAGAGTCATGGTCATATATTTATGATGATGGAATAGAATGTTTTGTTTTTTTTTTTTTGAGACAGAGTCTCGCTGTTGTCGCCCAGGCTGGAGTGCAGGGGCACTATGTTGGCTCACTGCAATCCCCACCTCCTGGGTTCAAGCAATTCTCCTGCCTCAGCCTCCTGAGTAGCTGGGATTACAGGCGCCCACCACCACACTCGACTAATTTTTGTATTTTTAGTAGAGATGGATTTTGCCATGTTGCAGGCTGGTCTCAAACTCCTGACCTCAGGTGACCCACCTGCCTCGGCCTCCCAAAGTGCTGGGGTTTCAGGCATTAGCCGCCATGCTCGGCCTATTACCCAGTTTTGAGATGTCCTTATGATGTGCTGTGATGGTAGATGAATAAGAAAATCAAGACACACATAACTCATAAATGTTCATCTATATATTTCATAAAATTTATCTTTTACCTTTTTATTAACAAAATCACTAATTGTGTGTTCACAGTCAAAATTTTCCATGTAATTTTCTTCTGTTGAGGGTAATGCTAAAATTAGGGCATCTTTCTTGAGTCACTGTAGTTTATTTCAGTATAGAGAAATTTCACTCTGCTAAGTCAGCAGCAACTGTCAATAAAATTATTTTTAGGCGATATTTAGACTCAGAAAAAATAGATTTTCCATATATTAGGTTGGTGCAAAAGTAATTGCGGTTTTTGCTATTGCTTTCAATGGAATTAGAAATTCTAAGGACAGGTTGCAAATAAAATTATCATTATCCTAGGATAAAACTACAATATTTTTTAAATGTATCATATACATGAGTATCACATGTATTATAAATTACACCATCTCTTAAAAAAAATCTGAATTCAACCGGGTGCAGTGGCTCACCCCTGTCATCCCAGCACTTTGGGAGGCCAAGGTGGGCAGATCACTTAAGGTCAGGAGTTCGAGACCATCCTGGGCAACAAGGCAAAATACCATCTCTGCAAAACATACAAATATTAGCTGGGCAAGGTGGTGCGCCGGCAGTCTCTGCTACTCATGAGGCTGAGGTGGGAGAATGGCTTCAGCTCAGCAGGCAGAAGTTGCAGTGAGTCCAGATAGCATGATTGCACTACAGACTGGGTGACACAGTGAGACCCCATCACAGAAAAAAAAAAAAAAGGAAAGAAAGAGAAAGAGAGAAAGAAAAAGAAATGCCTGAACCCACACAATACTTATAAATTTTTTCAAATTTTTCTTTGCTGAAATATTTCATAGAAAACCTATGATTAAGACATCTCAGTATATAATGGTGAGAAAATAGTATCTATATACATTAGTTTTGGAATTATTTGTACAGGAAGCTTCATAGTAATGCAAATATTTCCATTTCCTTTTTCTAATGTCCTTATATTTTACAGCTATGTTACTTTAGATGTATCACATGAAATATCTTTCAATTTAGAAAAAAACTTTAAAAATTATTTTATTGTAATTTTTTCTCTCACTTCATTATGCATTAAAAGATAATTTCATTTTTATTTTGCCATTCTAGATAGTTTTAATTTGTTTTTTTTTAATCTGTACTACATGTTCAGACATTCTAGCTTCAAATTCCAAAATCATGTCTTCTAGACTTAGAAACTATCCACTCTTCTCAAGAAATGTTGGATAGTCAGTGTCAAAAGAAGCATCATTATGTTTGGCTAAAAAGTGGATATTCGTATGTTTAGAACATCATACCAAAGTTTTATATTGGTGATTACTTCTTTTTGTCAAATAGTACTAATTGTTTTGCTATTTGTTCATAATTTTTCAGTTCTAGTCATTGTATCAGGTATACTTTTCTCTGATAGTGATTTTTTTTTAATATTCACTTAATCAAGAACCTAAGTGTTTCCATCACAAATAACTTCATTGCCCAGAGGTGGTCTTGAAGATTGGCTATAAAACATGTAACAGTAGTAACAAGGATATACTATCTTTGAACTTAAAATAAGGGTCAATTCCTCTAGACTTGTTTTCCATCCAGTGAAAAATTGCAGTCATTATTCTGAATCAGATTGTTTTCTAAAAGAAAACCTCCTGACATCGAGGATTGAAAGGCACCCTCCAGGATCAGCTTCTGTAAGACAGCAGGCTCCGCAGTGCCCATCATCTGCACCCGTGGCTGGTTCTGGGAGGACAGCGTTCCTTGTCTATCAGCTGGCCCAGCTGCCTTTGCTGCTTCTAAGCTGGGAATTAGATGGGAACACTTTTGTGATTTATTCTTGTGATTTTGATCAGTATTTCAACCTTTGCTTAGTAAAAAATATAAACTTTCATGGAGTTTATCAGACCTGATTACCTGGGATATGACGAGAAAAATTTTCTTGCTCATCTCCATTGTTATGGCCAGTAGCAAAAGTCTAAATCATCTGCAATGTCCAATTGGCTTGTTTTTATTACTTTGATCAGTAACTAAATCTGGAAAATGTGTTTTGTACTCTTTGCAAATTTTATATGGGTCATGCTTGACAGAAGCCTACTCTTTCTTTCATTGTTTCAGGAATTTAAAAATGTAAGCAGATTGCCTCTGAATGTCTTTGGTTTTTTTCTGCTGCTTCCGCCCCTTTTCTGAGCTCTATTTTTGTCTTCTATTTCTAGCCCCATCTTGACATGAACTTATTCTAAGTGATCTAAAGAAATTTAAAAAATGTAATTGTATCCAAAGACTACAAAATTAGAATATATTCTCATGAAAATACCAATTAAATATAAAAAACTGAACATATTTTTCATGTACTTTGAAAAGTTTTTTTAATAATATAAACTACCTTAAAATTAAAGGCAAATGTAAATAATAATGTCAAATTTTAAATTAAATGTATTGAAATTCAACTAAAATCTTTTTCTTATGAAGATTTAATTACATCTTATTAAATATTTTTACAAAAGTAAAGCTATTTGTAATTAAACTTTCAAGGTCTTCCTAGTCACCAGTGGAGTCACCACCTCACACGTATTATAGCTAAACATACATATATATGAATGTAAGAATATTGTGAATTTAATAATAAGATGAATTGTCTAATATTCCTTAGCCACCATGTGCAAGTATCACAAATTCCATGCTAATGTATGAGTAATTCCCGACCATATTTGGTTCATAAAGAAATGCAAGGAAATAGATGTTCAACACTACATGGAAAAAATACTTTGCAACAATTAGAATGCTATTTCAAGCTGAGGGAAGGGATTTGACAAGTGATATGGTTAAGCTTTGTGTCCCACCCAAATCTCATCTTGAATTATAATCCCCATAATCCCCATGTGTCAAGGGCGAGACGTACTGGAGATAATTGGATCATGGTAGTGGTTTTCCTTATGCTGTTCTTGTGATAGTGAGTTTTCACGAGATCTGATGGTTTTATAAACGTTTGGTAGTTCCTCCCAGATGCATTCTCCTTCCTGCCACCTTGTGAAGAAGGTGCCTTCCCTTCACCTTCTGCCATGACTGTAAGTTTCTGAGGCCTCCCCAGTCATGCAGAACTGTGAGTCAATTAAACCTCTTTCCTTTATAAATCACCCAGTCTCAGGCAGGTCTCTACAGAAGTGTAAAAATGGACTCATACAGCCAGTTAATGTGCTTGTGCTTTCTCTTACCTACAAATTTCCACAGCTCTAATCCTCCCTGAGCAACAAAGCAGTGACTCTCTCCAGTGTTGCCACTGCTACTACCTATGAATCTTGGCAGATTTGGAAACTCAGTATCACCTTTTGTTTTGAGGACAAAGAGCAAGACATGGGGAGAAGCATTTCCTGGGGCTGGAATAGAATGGACCATGAGAATAGGAGTCAGGGTTTCAGGGTGCTCTGTGCCAGCACTGAGTACTGGACCTGATGTACAGAGGCTCCCAGGGGTTCTTTGTTTGCCCCCGCATTGGTTGAAGAAGGTACCTCATCTACTCAGTCTTGTGATGCTCTCCCACAGCCACTAAGCTCTAGCCAACCTCACTGCCCTCTTTCAGTCTCTGTCCAAATTTATTCCTGTCTTAGAATTCACATCTCTGCTTGGCTGCCTCTTCTATCTGAAAGCGTCAATTTAAATGCCACCTTCTCTGGCAGGCCAGCCCTGATGAAGTTTCTAAATAAGTTCATCCCCCACCACCAGTGCCCCCTCACTGCACTCCGCTTCCTGCATAGGACGTCTCAGAATTTGCACTCTGTATTTAATCATTTTCTCTTGATTATCTATGTCCCCGATTTGAGTGTGAGAGCCACAGGGAGGGCCATGAAGCACTCTGACCAGCACAAAATAGGCACGCCCTAAATACTGGAGGGAGAGAGAGAGTAGGAGAGCAGAGAATCCTCCTCAGGCAAGAATGACTGATGGATTAGTTCTCCATTTAAAAATACTTCCAGAGATGACCATTCCTTTGTCATGCTTTAAGAGCTGTGCTGCAAGAAACTAAATAGCAATAAGCAAGAAGAACACAAATTACATTGTTCTTATACTTGACTGAACGTCAAAGGAGCCAAGTTCCCCACCTGCTCCAGTTTCCTAGACAGATGTCTGAACATTTAATTTAACGTGGGTCTTCATTTCCTGCCCAGTGAAATATCTTGCTTGGTGACAGGGTTGTTACAAGGATGAATTGGCCAAGGCAATGCCCTCGGGGCACCTAACAGTCCTCAGTAAATCCTGCTGACCTCAGCCGCCCCAAAAGTTCAGGTGCTGTTTCTTGAGGGTCCACTTAAGGCCCCTCTCTAACTTCTCTATCAGTTCTGAGGCTACTCTTCTCCAGGTAAAGGAAGAAACTCGAATTCCCTAATAATTAGCTCAGAACCCAAGCTACCCTTGTTGGAATTTATATTTTATAAACAAAAATGTATTTTCATATGTTAAAACTCGGAAGTCCATCAAAAACTGATTGTCTGTCAAGACTAATTTGGAAATCTCTCATTCTTAACAAGTTTAAAGAGTAAAAGTATATATTAATACTTACACAAGTACAAGTTAAGTTTCACACTTGATTGCCTAACTCCACATTCTAGCTGGTGTTTAGTCTAAGATGCTAGACCAGTAGGAAGGAATAAGAGAGTTAGTGAGGTTAGTAAAGCTCACAAAGTAGTATGGTTTACTAGGCTTAATTAAAAAAAAAAAAGCTATTGTGAAATTACAATGAGTAGCATTGTGTTCTAAATAAATATTCAGAGCACAGAAATAAAATGAATCCTCCCTTGGAAATTTGTCAGAGTGTGAGACAAACATGTACACTGACTTACTCATTTACTCAAATGCAAATTTTGCTGTTTGATGAAGTGCTTGAACTTTCTAACTCCATGTATGTATTGCAATGAGATTTAGATCACCTTCTATTTGAATAGCACATCATTTATAAAGCAGTTTTTAAAATAATATGAACTGGTGGCATTTTAAAACTTTAGCATTTAACATCCACTATTTGTACCAGCAAAGAGTGCCCATAGTCATAATCATGCGTGCACATTGGGATTCCAAAGTAACTTTGAAATTCCCTTTGTCTCTTTATAACAGTAATACTTGTGTGCTTTAGTTCATGGTGAAATCCCTGTTCCCAGCCAGGTTCATGGTTAGCCTGAAGGAAATCACTTAAACTTTTTTTTTTTTTTTTTTTTTTTTTTTTTTTGAGACGGAGTCTCGCTCTGTCGCCCAGGCTGGAGTGCAGTGGCGCGATCTCAGCTCACTGCAAGCTCCGCCTCCCGGGTTCACGCCATTCTCCTGCCTCAGCCTCCGGAGTAGCTGGTTCGACAGGCGCCCGCCACAACGCCCGGCTAATTTTTTTTTTTTTTTTTTTTTGTATTTTTAGTAGAGACGGGGTTTCACCATGTTAGCCAGGATGGTCTCGAACTGCTGACCTCGTGATCCGCCCGCCTCGGCCTCCCAAAGTGCTAGGATTACAGGCGTGAGCCACCGCGGCCGGCCTGAAATCACTTAAACTGTTTAGTATCTCCTTGAACTGAATGAGAGGCATTACTTGATATTTACAAACAGCAGGGTTCTCCAAAATCCCATGGCATTTGCTGAGAATGTATTATGAAGAACATTTCCTAGAAGCTAACAGCTCTCTTCCTGATACTTGCTAACCTGATGGCTTTGGTTTTACTCATCTGTAAAACGGGATGAGAAATAATTTCTGCTATAAGGGATTATTTTGAGGATTAAATGAGACTGTATTCATGAATTTCTTAGCTCATATCCAGTGCTCAATAACTGTCAGCCATTATTTTATTATTACCCCTGATAAATATTAAGGCTATGCCTCACCGTATTTATGTATGCATATACAAACATGTATAATATGCATATATAACGTATATTTACAACAAAAAGCTAAGATTTAAAGCTCTTAATAGATTTGCTCATGTCAGAGTTAAAATTTAAACCAGGGTTTTCTGGTATTCTTTTTCAAAATGTACTTCCACCTGTGATGACTGTACTTACCTTATCTGAAATATTTCACTTACTTTAGTGCCTCTAAAGTTTGTTGTCTGAGAAAAGGTATTCCAAAGATGCTTAGTGAAAAAAATAAATATAACAGAAAATTTCACCTTATTTAAATCATTTCACTTGCTAGATTAAAATTCTCTTTTAAACCTAACACTCATAATGTATTGCATGCCCACACACTAATTTTTAAATAAGTGTGCATTTTTTGGAAGCTGTGAAATGTTTCTATACTCTGCAGAGCAACTGGAAGATACAGAATCTTAGAGTGTAGGATTAACAGAGAACATGGGAAATAAAAGTAAAGCATATCTGAGAATAAAACAATGAGTAAATAGGACTCTGCTTTTAAGATTTATTTCTGTATAACTTCAAAGGCATACATCCATTGAATAAATGAGCTGGAAGAAATGAGGACTAGAGCTCTGATTTTTTTTATCTTGCCTAAATTCTTATCTAAGGGGCCTGGGGAGTCATGCCCTACAAACCATAAATTCTCACCAGATACATATTGTGACTTACTTTTCAATCTGCCTCTGGCATAACATTATGAGACAAGGAAAAAATATTTAACCCCAAAATATATTTCCTTGCCATACCTTGAAATTATCCTGCAAAGTCTCTTGTGGGAAAAATCCACATTCTATAGAGAATCCCCTTCCCCCTTTGTATTCCTTCCTTCCTTCCTAGATCCAGGAGATAATCAACTAAGAGCCAGGCAAGCTTTTAAGTCCAATAAGAAACAGTTCACAACCTGCTGCTCTCTCTGAAGTCTGCTATCTGAGAGCTTCCTCTGCACAATAAAACATGGTCTCCACAATCCTTTATCTTTAACCTGAACATTCCTTTCTATTGATCCCAGGTCTTTAGACAAACTCAACTAATTGTCAACCAGACAATATTTAAATTTACCTATAGCCTGAAAGCTCCCACTTTGAGTTGTCCCACCTTTCTGAACCAAACCAATGTATTTATTAAATGTATTTGATTGATGTCTCATGTCTTCCTAAGATATATGAAACAAAGAGGTACCCCGACCACCTTGGGCACATGTTCTCAGGACCTCCCGAGGGCTGTGTCACGGGCCATCGTCACTCATATTTGGCTCAGAATAAATCACTTAAAATCATTTTACAGAGTTTGACTCTTTTCATCACCAGAAGCTATATAGATAATCAACCCCAGTCTCTCATCTTTCAAATGAGAAAACAAGCCAAAGGGAAAAAAGAAGTATAACAGCTTTCTTGAGATATACTTTGCATAAAATTTATCTATTTAAAATGTACAATTCAGTGGTTTCTAGCATATTGACATAGTTGTACAACCATCACCACCACCTAAGTTTAGAATATTTCCAACACCCCATAAAGAAACTCCATATCCATTAGCAGTAATTCCCCCATTATCCCTTATACCCAGCCCCAGAAAATCACTAACCTGCTTTTCTGTCTCTGTCATTTGTCTATTCCAGATATTTATATAAATGATATCATAGAATATGCAGCGTTTTGTGACTGGCTTCTTTCACTTAGCAAAAATGTTTTCAAATATCATCCATGTTGTCGTGCATGTATATATATAAGAAACCTGCACATTGTGCACATGTACCCTAGAACTTAAAGTATTAAAAAAAAAAAAAAGAACCAAAATGGCGGAGTATGACCTTCCTGGGGCATTCAACTGGAAAAGGGACGAAGCCCCAGGCAAGCAAGCGCCAGACTCCAGTAAACACACTGTGCATGCTCACCTCCCAGGTGTCAGTAGGCCACTGCACATGCTGGCAGGTCACCCTAAGGGAAGAATCAAGGAAAAAGGGACGCAGGACCCCAGAAGTATGCCAACATATAGCACCCTAAGTCAAAGGTCAAATGCCGCACTTGACCTCCAGGATGCCCACTTGGGCCTCTTCCAAGTGTACTTTCCTTTCTTTCGTTCCCGCTCTAAAGCTTTTTAATAAACTTCCATTCCTGCTCTGAAAAAAAAAATTTATTCCTGAATATTTTATACTTTTATGCTATTATGAATGAAATTTTCTAATTGTTCACCACAAGTACATACAAATAAAATTGCTTTGTGTATATTGACCTCCAAAAAAAATTATCCATGTTGTAGCATGAATTAATACGTACTACTTTTTATTGCCAAATCATATTTCCTCCTCTTCAATTTTTTGGAAAAATCTGTGAAGAATTGTTAATTATCCTTTAAATGTATGGTAGAATTCTTCAGCGAAGTCACCTGGACCTGGGATATAGCTATGAGAATTTTTAAAATTACTAATTTAATCCCTTTACTTGTTATAGATATATCCACTCAGATTTTCTAATACTTCTTAAGTCTGTTTTGGTAGTTTGTGCCTTTCTAGGAATTTGTTCATCTCATCTCGATTATCTAATTTGTTCATCATATTGCCTTATAATCCCTTTTATTTCTATAATTTCAGAAATAATGTCCTCTCTTTATTCCTGACTCTAGTAATTTGTAGTAATTTGAGTCTTTTCTCTATCTCCTTTTTGGTCTAGCTAAAGATTTGTCAATTTTTTGACCTTTTTAAAGAGCAAGCTTTTTTGGTTTTGTTGATTTTGTCTATTTTTCTCTAGTCTCTACTTCATTTATTTCAGCTTTGAACTTTATGATTTCTTTCATTCTGCTTGCTTTGGGTTCAGTTTGCCTTTCTTTTTCTAGTTTTTTTTTTTTAAGTGAAAGTTTATTTATTTGATGTCTTTTTTTTTTAATATGGGCATTTACAACTCCAAATATCTCTCTGGCCATGACTGCAGCTCCACCCTATAAGTGTTGTTATGTTTTTACTTTCATTCATCTTAAAGTATTTTCTAATTTCCATTAATATTTCTTCTCTGAATCATTGTTTATTTAGATGTGTTTTGCTTAATTTCCACATAATTGTTAATTCCCCCATTTACCTTCTATTATTGATTTCAAATTCTATTCCAGGTAGTTAGAGATCATACTTTACATTTGTATTATTTCAGTCCTTTTTAATTTAGTGAGGCTTGTTATATGGGCTACCATATGAACTATCCTAGAGCATGTTTTATGTGCACTGAGAAAAATGTGTACCCTGCTGTAGCTGAATGGTGCATTACATAGATGTCTGTTAGGTCTAGCTGCGTTATGGTGTTGTTCAAGTTTTCTATTTACTTGATCTTCTGCTTAGTTACTCTATCCATTATTGAAGTATTGAAGTTTCCAACTATTACTGTTGAATTGTCTTCAGTTTAATCTGTTTTTGTTGCATGTGTTTTGGGGCTCTGTTATTGAGTGCATATATAATTATTGTGTCTTTCTGATGAACTAACCATTTCATTATTTTAAAACAGTCTCCTTTGTCTCTAGCATAAATTTGTCTTCAATTGTATGTTGTCTGATATTACTACAGCCACTACAGTTCTCTGTTGGTTACTACTTGCACGGTTGATATGGTTTGGCTGTGTCTCACCCAAATCTCATCTTGAATTGTAGCTCCCATAATTCCCACATGTTGTGGGAGGGACCCAGTGGGAGATAATTGAACCATGGGGGCGGTTTCCCCCTTACTGTTCTCGTGGTAGTTAATAAGTCTCATGAGATCTGATGGTCTTATAAGGTGAAATCCCTTTGGCTTGGATCTCATTCTCTTTGCCTGCCACCATGTAAGACATGCTTTTCACCTTCTGACATGATTATGAGGCCTCCCCAGCCACGCAGAACTGTGAGTCCATTAAATCTCTTTTTGTTTATAAATTACCCAGTCTCGGGTATGTCTTTATCAGCAGCATGAAAACTGACTAATACAACACTATTTCATTCTTTTCCTTTCAACTTATTTGTGTCTTTGAAGCCAAAGTGTGTCTCATTAATACAATATAGTTGGTTCATGCTTTTTAATGCATTCTGCCAATCTCTGCCTTTTAATTAAATGTTTAATCCATTTGTATTACTAATTAACACAACTATTAATAAGGTGGAATTATATTAATTTGTATCATATTTCATTAATATTATTATAAATAAAGATAAGGTGGGATTTACATCTTCCATTTACTTTTTGTTTTCTATATTTATATCTTTTTGTTCCTCTATTTCTCCATTACTGCCTACTTCTTTGTTAAATCAAAATTCTCTACTGTAGCATTTTAATTCCCCTGTTTATTCTTTTTTTTTTTTGAGATGGAGTCTCACTCTATCCCCCAGGCTGGAGTGCAGTGGTGCGATTTCAGCTCACTGCAAGCTCCGCCTCCCGGGTTCACACCATTCTCCTGCCTCAGCCTCCCACGTAGCTGGCACTACAGGCGCCCGCCACCATGCCCGCCTAATTTTTTGTATTTTTTAGTAGAGACGGGATTTCAGCATGTTGGTCTCAATCTCCTGACCTCGTGATCCACCTGCCTTGGCCTCCCAAAGTGCTGGGATGACAGGCGTGAGCCACCGAGCTGTTTATTCTTTTACTATATTTTTGGAGCTGTTTTCTTAGGGATTACAGTTAACATTTTAAACAACTCGTTTGCATTAATACCACCTTAGTTTTAATAGTATAGAAAAAATTTTGCTCTACAGCTCTGTTCCCTTCCCACTCTTCTATATTACTATTGTCATGCAAATTTCACCTCTGTATTTTTAAAATCCATCAACAGCATTTTGTCATTATTATTTTATCCAGTTTTCTTTTAAATCAGAAGAAACAAGTTACTAGCAAAAATAAATTTACACTTTTACCTATGTAGTATACTTTGCAGTGCTTTTTCTTTGTATGTATTTGAAGAACTAGTTAGGGTCCTTTATTTCAGCCTAAAAAATTCACTTTATCATATCTCATAGAGCAGGTCTGCTAGTGATTAATCCTCTCCATATCTGTTTATCTGGGAATGTCTTAATTTTCCTTCACTTTTGGAGGATAACTTTGCTGGATATGCAATTGTTGTTTGACAGTCATTTTCTTTCTACGCTTTGAGTATGTCATCCCACTGCCTGAAGTCTCCATGGTTTATAATGAGAAATCAGCTATTAGTTTTATTGAGGATTACTTTATTTGTGATGCATCTTTTTTTTAAAAAAAAAAGATGTCTTCAACAGATTGATTATGGTCTTTCTAGGGATGGATCGCTGAGTTTATCCTACTTGGAGTTCATTGAACTTGTTTGATGTGTATAATTGTTTTCCATCAAATTTTGGAATTTGCTGGAATTATTTCTTTAAATATTCTTTCCGTCCCCTTCTCTCCCTCATCTCCTTTTAGAACTATGATCATGTGTATGTTGGTGCCCTTGATGGTACCCCATGGAGCTTTTTAGATTCTCTTCATTTTTCTTCACACTTTTTAAATAATTTATACCTCTATTGATGTTTTCTATTTGGTTAGACATCATTCCTATGTCTGTCCTTCTATTCTTTAGATATAATTTCCTTTAGTTCTTGGAACATATTTATAACAGCTGATTTAAAATCTTTATCTAGTTAGTCCAACATCTGAGTTTTCTTATGGATAGTTTCTATTGATTACTTTTCCTATGCTTGAGCTATACTTTCCTCTTTCCTATATATGTTCCTCTTTGCCTTTCTCTCTGTCTCTCCCCCTCTTTCTTCTACCCTCCTCCTTTCTCTGTGAAAACTGAACATTTAACATAATATAATAAGGCAACTTTTAAAATCTGAACCCCTTCCTAGTTTTCATGTTTTTGCTGCTTGATTAGTGATTTTCTTGAGTGAGTTTTGTAAAGTCTGTATTCTTTGTCATGCGAGGCCACTGAAGTTTCTACTCAGTTAGCTAATTGTTAGTTAGCTAATTATTAGACAGAGATTTCCTTAAACACCTTGAACCAATCAGTCTCCCATGCTTTGTTCAGGGGCTGTATATGTATGTGTCCTGAGGCATGCCTTCAACACTCTGAAAGCTTACTACTATGCCTTAGTCTTCACTTCCTGTTTTGCAGGGCCTCAAAGGTCACCTACAGATACTCTTTTCAAATCTTTACTGCATATTTGCATGGTCTTCTAGATCCCCTGGAATATGTCAGATAAACATGTTTTAAAAGCCTGCTACAGGTGTTTCGTTTTCTAGATTTTCCTTTTAAGATTTTTGGCCGTCCTCTTGTTTGCCCTAACTTGTATCACTGCCAGGGCAACTTTGATATATTAAACAATTGCTGCTGATGTTTTCAACCAAAGCCCTGAGGATAACACGTTACAGAGATAATTATGAGTCAAGTCAAGTCAAGACATTTGTGAATCTGAATTTTCCAAAAAGTTTCCAGATAGAACAAATAATGACAATCATTGTTCTTTGTTTAGGATCTCCAAACCTGTTCTTTCCTCTTAGTGGTTTCTAGGCTCCTGATTTTCAGAGTTACCATGGCTGTGAAGCTGTTGGTTTTCAAGAGTACTGCGGAGCTGGGGTGAAAATGAAGGGGATCAGCTAAGTTAAAACATCACAAAGCAGTGAACAAAGCTCACGATTCTTACTGAGATTCAGTCACTTTGTATAAATGTTCCTTCAACTGTTGAAAACCTTTAGTTAATTTCCAGACTTATGATTATTTTTAATTTATTTTGTCAGATTTTATCAGTGTTTTTTTTTTTTTGTTTTTGCTTTTGTGGAGAAGTGGATTTTTGAAAGTCCTTGCTCTGCCATTCCAAAAGTGTTTCCTCTGGCCAAGAGAATTTAACTGACTTGTTCAAGGTAAACAGCTAGTTGATAATTAAGGCTTTATATGAACAGAGTTTTATGTCAAATTTGGTGACCTTTCTGCTATAATAGGGGTAAATAAATTATAGGAAGTTAACTTCATTATATTCAAGTTTATATATGAGTGAAACTTCTGGGAAAAAATAACTCATGAGAAAACTCATGATGTCAATAACAATCAAGTTCCAAATTTTCAGATAATTATATTAATACAGGGCTAGAACAGCTTTCTCAGCATTCAAAACAAGCCATGAATAATTTAAAGAAAAAAAGGAAAAGGAACTTGTGAGCTCTAAGCTGGGTTGAATCATTTATATGCAGATATGTGCACACACACTCACATTATAACTACAAAACACAGAAGTGTGGTATGTCCAACAACCACCATTCTATGTATTATAAATTAGGCCAAAACAGAATGAATAAGAATGCACATTGGCCAGGCATGGTGGCTTACGCCTGTAATCCCAGCACTTTGGGAGGCCAAGGTGGGCGGATCACGAGGTCAGGAGATCGAGACTATCCTGGCTAACACAGTGAAACCCCGTCTCTACTAAAAATAAAAAATGAAAAAAATTAGCTGGGAGTGGTGGTTGGCACCTGTAGTCCCAGCTACTCAGGAGGCTGAGGCAGGAGAATGGCGTGAACCCGGGAGGCAGAGCTTGCAGCGAGCTGAGTTTGCTCCACTGCACTCCAGCCTGGGCAACAGAGCGAGACTCCGTCTCAAAAAAGAATGTGCATCACTGACAGAGGAATTGTGGAATGAACTGCACATTTTCTATTTGAGTCATATCAAAGTCATTCCACCATTTATTAATGGTTTACTATGTGCCCAGCAGTTCATATGGGAAGATATGCTAACTGCTCCTCAGAATTTGTAGTTGAGACCCAGAATCAGATGAAGACTCAGCCAGCCCTGCATCCACTCTCATAAAACTGGTCCAGTAGTTACCATTACTCCAAAATGCTGCTCAAATATTGGAAAAGCTTGAAGAATTCAAATCTCTGCCAACTCTGGGCTCCTGCCACCTGTCTCTACTCTTACTCCAACTCATGATGGGATTAACCTTTAGCTTGTTTTCCACTTCTGGATTTGTGGCTGAGTAGACTTTATTCTGGTTCATGATATTTGGTAGTTGAAGCTGCCTTCACAACTATTAGCCCCAGTTTCTGATTTGTCATTCTTCAATGATGCCCTTTTTTCCTGTGATACATGTTTTGACATGTAATCATAGATATTTCACACTAAAAGAAACTTAGAACCACCATGCCTTAGAACTGAAACTGAAAGCTAATCTGATTAGGCTCACCAATCTTGACCTGCCTTGCTTGTTCTTAGTCACTTGCTTTTAGTTGATTTTAAAAACCATATAGCTAAAAGTCATGTAGCTAAACAATATATAACTAAACTCCCACCATCTTTCTTATAGACGGTATCTCTGATGCATAGGTCACCATGGAAATGTTTGCTTAAGGTGTTTTCCAGGAACTTGGAGTCAGCTCTTGTCCAGTTCAAGCTAGCTGAGACCACTGACCCTTCAACTGGACCTGAGTGAATGTCCAATGGGTGACTTTTTGAGGTCAGAGGGCCAAAATCTCCACCCTCAGATCATGGTAATGCTATTTTGTGAACATGCATCCCATGAAGAGCTATGACGCTTGACTACATTCGCACAGATCACTCATTACCTCATTTTTCCTTATACCCAATCACCTTTCCCCATGCTTCAGACCACCTTGCTCCTCTATCCCATAAATGTCCCTAAAACACCATCTCCAAGGAGACAGATTTGAGAGCTGTTCTCCCATCTCCTCACTTAGCTGCCTTGTGAATAAAATCTTTTCTCCACTGCAAACTTGTCATGTCAGCAATTGGCTTACTGTGCAACAGGCAGAATGAGCCTGGTTTTGTACAGAACCACACACACCATTCTTTCAACAAGCTATGACTGAATAGCTATGATCAAAGTGAAAAAGACAGTCTTGGCCTTCATGGAGCTAATAGTAAAGCAAAAACGGGGCTCCAAGAACACTGGTTTAGCTGGAGGGGCTCAGCATGGGGACGGAGGTGTCCAAACTTCTGCTCTGAAGGAGTTTTTTCCTCCGGTTTTTTGCTTGTTACAGAATGTAACTAGCTTTTCTCCCCATTGGTCCATGAGTCCAGGAAGAAACAGTCTTTATATAATCCTTTCCATGTCTCCTGCTGTCTCCTCCTGTCTCTTGATCAGAATGCACAGGCCTTCGGCAGGATCTGAGATGTCAACTACTCATCTAATTTAAAGTCAAAACAGGTACACCATAGTTCTAAACCAGGAAAATCACTCTTATATCACCAGTGAGATAGATGTCTTCATAGCAAATTAAGGTGGAGAGAATGAACATGTTAAAGTTGGGAGAAATATTTCAGGATACCTTGGGGCAGTGAGCCGTGTGGTGCCCGCTCTCAATGATGGATGGAGCCGCTTGGCAGGCAGCTATCAGAGGGAGAGCAGCTCTTCATGTACAAGACATAAACATCTCTCCAACAGTGACCACTACTGCACACCACACCATCTTCCCACAAAAGGAAAGTGCTGTTCCCACCAGCCATCACAGACACATGGACGGCAGCAGCAGCGATGGCAGAATCTTGGAATCCTAAAGACAATGACACACATTCCAAAGCATGCTGCTATCAGTCTTGTCTCTGGAAGCCAAAAACAACAGCAAAACTGAAGAGTGTTTTAAAATCATGGACCTACAGTTTGATTTTCAAAAATATGTCCAAAATAAAAATATGTCCAGCCAAATTCACCAAGTGACACAAGAAACATTCTGTGCTCCTGATAAATCTCAACACCACAGAGAACGTTAAGGGAACGTTTCAAAACAAACAAAGCCAATCCACAGCAGTCCTATATGACAAACTTCAGCAAACAAAGATTACACTTATCCATTCATTTACAGCAAACATTGAATTAGAGTTATAAAGAGTACACTTTACTATCTACACCAGAAGCTTATAATTTAGAGGAAAAATAAACATTTAAATTATGAATAATGACACAGTCTACCCACTGTAATCCTCACATGGCCCGCGGTGACACGCAAAGTGCCCTTTGGTGTGTCACGGATGGCTCCTGACCCTGCTCCCTGACCAGCAGTCCTTCAGATGCCAAAGACCCCTATCCTTGGGGGCAAGTAAGGAAAGACGACCCTGCAAGTATGTCACTTGCTTTTGGGGTAGTCCTTGAGCACAGAATAGAGACAGAGACAGAGAGAAAAAGAAAAAGAAAGACAGAAGCAGGGAAAGTCAGAGAACAATAAAAAAGAGACAAAAGAGAGAAACAGAGAAACAGAAAGAGAGACAGACAGAAAGAGACAGAGAGACAGAGAGAAAGAGACAGGGCTCTTCTACCTGGAAGCAGCTAAGCATGAAGTTTCTGGACCAGGCGGTGCTGCCTGTGGGTGGCAAGTGCTCCCTTGATTCCACACCTCAGCTACTGGTCCACACACGTGGTTCCTCTGCCTCCCTCTCCTCCAGCTGTGGCACTGATATATATCTGCGAGGTTCTCTGACACAACACGATTCCCCAGAAAGCAAAAGTATCCAGCCAGAAAAGAGAGAGTGGGTCATGTGAGGAGGTGTGGTCCAGTGGAGCAGCTGGGAGGGTCCACTGTGGCCCCCTCTTCCTCCATGCCCACACCACCCCTTGGTGTCTCTCCCTCTCCTGCTCACCTCGTAGGTTACTCACCCCGCACACCATGTCTCACCTTCCTCCTGTTTCCCACTCTCTTTGATGAACCAGCAGCACTGCCTGGCTCTGGGTCTCTCTCTCTCTCTCTCTGTCTCTGTCTCTCTCTTTCTCTCTCTCTCTATATACACACACACACACACACACACACACATATACAGCTGCTCCGATGGGTCACACCTCCTTGCATGCCCCACTCTCTCTTTTCTGGCTGGATACCTGTGCTTTCTGGGGAAATCGTGTGGTGTCAGAGAACCTTGTGGACTTTCAGGATCCAATTTATTTTTTCAGAAGAAGATTCTGATAAACTATTTTGAGGGTGGGTGGGAGAGCCTGGAGCCAGGGTGGCCTAAGCTCGTCTAGGCAGACCTCAAGCAGCTACTGTGGTCATCAGCAAGCTGGGCAGAGCAGGGAGACACAGGAACCACCAGGCCAGGTCAGCCCTGAGGACTCCAGGAAGGTTCTGGGGGAATTCGTTCAGAGCAGGGGGAGGCTGAGGATCCTAAGTTCGGGACTGATCTTATTTTGCCTTCAGGCTGGGGTGACCCAGTGTCTCTAGGGTTGTATGAAGTCTGTGTGGAAGGTGGGAAGGAGGAAGAGGCTGAAGACATGGGGCTGAGACAAGGTAGCATGGGTCTGTCCTGCAAAGGTCAGGGGCAGAGTTAATGAAGTTAGAGTCACCATAGAACCAAGAGGACCAGGGAACCAACTACAGGGAGTGCCACAGGAGTGTCTTGGAGGGTCCAACTTGGAAAATTGAGGGGCACTGACCCCATTAAAGGCAAAAGCAAGACAACTACACAAGGCATTCACTGCACACTAATGTGCCTGCTATGGTTCCAGGTAAATTACACACACCTACTTCAACACTTATAGCAACACAACTGTGATCTAGAGTTTCAAAGATAGATGTAGCCTGGAATATGAAGAGAAAGGGCTAAAATAGTTTGGAATAAAGAGGGTCAGAAATAGCAGGATGATAATAGGATGAACTATGGATATATGCAAACCCACACATTTGAAAACAAAAGCACTAGCTAACATTTGACTATTTGCTCTATGTCAAACGCCATGCTTAGCCTTTACATATATCATTTAATCCTCATGACAAACAAGGAGGTAAGTAGTTTTCTTACCCTCCTGCCCACGCTTCTTTTTTAAAAAATCATATTCAAGGTCAGTGCTAGTAAGGCAGGGAGCCAGCCACAGCTTCTGCCTCTAGAGCATGACGTGGGAAGCATCACATTACAGCCATTCTTTCACTCAGCCACAGGACACAGACACAGGCTTCTGTGGACCCTCTGGGAGAAGAAGGGGCTGTAAGACAGTCTCACTGCATAATGCTACTAATGAGCAGGGAGGGACATCATAGTGCAGAGAAACAGACTCAGGGTGAACTAGACACCAAAAAGGAAGACCAATAGCCCAAACACCTTCTAGAATTCCACGACCACCTTCTAGAATTTGTTCCCAAGCTTCCATCTCAGGAAACAAGAAGGGCAACCCAGATTTATTTTTGTACTGGGACTCCTCTTTAGAAGTCAAATGAAGTCAAATTACTTTGCTACAGTTTTACAATGCTAGTTACTTTTATTCACATTTATTAAGTTTAACATTCTGCTAAGAAACAATGTTTTCAAACTTTCACATTGAAAAGTCCTTCCTTAATTAAGCATATACAATTTACCATTTTCAGCAGTAATCCATTTGCACAACTAATTCCTCAAGATTATTCCACTGAACTGAATCTTTATGTGTAATGTACAAAAAACTGATTTGTAGCCTTTCTTTCTTTCATGAAATACTAGCTTAAACATTAGCACTGCTATGGGGATTAAGATTCAGAAAATCTTAGGGACATGTAAATTGAGATAATGAAAAGATAGTTAATATGTAGAATAGAATTTTAAATGAGCATTAAATACTAATTGTAAGTGTAATTTCAGCACTTTGAAATGAATGTTTTTATTCAGTCTAATTTAGAAGAAAGTCATTTAAGTAAAATTCTGCAATTTTAACTGTTTAATGGTAGTTGAAACAACAGAATTCTTTCATTTTATAATATTCAAAACTTTAAGTGACTGTTTAAACTGTGATTTGCATTCTGTTTCTGCTACTGTTTGAGGCGAATATCAAAACAGTTCTCCCCACTTAAAAGCAATAATGTTGCACCTCCTAAAATTAAAAGGAATGTAACTTCCAATAGTACTCACTAGTTAATAAAATATTTTTTACTAACTATCATTTTTAAAGGCTATTCTTTATTGCTTTCCAGAGAAGTATGCTCAGTGTTACTTTTTCTAAATTGTCCATGGTTAGGAAGATTAAAATATTAACAACTTTAGATTGAGTAGGTGTTTAATTTAACCATGTAAACCTTCTGACTATGTAAGTTCACAAAAGAGGCTTAAAAAGGTAAATTAGGGGGCTGAGCACAGTGGCTCATGCCTGTAATCCTAGCACTTTGGGAGGCTGAGGCGGGTGGATCATGAAGTCAGGAGATCGAGACCATCCTGGGTAACACAGTGAAACCCTGTCTCTACTAAAAATACAAAAAATTAGCCAGGCATGGTGGTGGGTGCCTGTAGTCCCAGCAACTTGGGAGGCTGAGGCAGGAGAATGGTGTGAACCCAGGAGGCAGAGCTTGCAGTGAGCTGAGATCACGCCACTGCACTCCAGCCTGGGAGACAAAGGGAGACTCCATCTCAAAAACAATAATAAAAATAAAAATAAAAAATAATTCCCCTATGTTGTTTTATAAAGTTTACATAAAATGTCAAGAAAAATACATTTAATATCATAATACATTTTCAATCCTCAGATACATGATACATTTTAAAGTTATTGTGAAATTTTACTCTGCATAGAATTCACACAGTCAAGAGGTTTCTGAAAGTCTATGGTAACAGAATGATTTATTTCCTTCTAAAATTAAATATGTACCTAAGTATAATGTAGTGGGTTTTGTTCTCCCATTAAATACATTGAACATATATTTATACAATTGTTATTCACTTAGGTAGGTTGCTTATTAATTACTATCTATCCACCCACAAAGGCCATTATTACAAATTTATAGGCTGATCTGATTACTAAAATAAGAAGACTCAGTAGTTTAAGAGTGAAAACAAAGCTAATGAAATTTTGCATTCCCCAAAGAGAAGAAGCTATGTAGAGAATAAGCAGAAAATCAGTTGTCTTAATATTTATTAACTTTATCATGAAATTAATCAAAAATACCAAAACCAACTTAAATGGCTCGTTATATTGCCATTCCAATGGGTAACATTTTCAAGTCCACATGGAATACATTTCTCTGATTCTCTACAGGGTTCATCAGTGTCACCCTGTGTTGCGGGAAGTCAAGGACCTTGAACGGAGGGACTAGCTGAAGCCATGGCAGAAGAACATAAATTGTGAAGATTTCATGGGCATTTATTAGTTCCCCAAATTAATACTTTTATAATTTCTTATGCCTGCCTTTACTGCAATCTCTGAACATAAATTGTGAAGATTTCATGGACATTTATCACTTCCCCAATCAATACTCTTGTGATTTCCTATACCTGTCTTTACTTTAATCTCTTAATCCCATCATCTTCATAAGCTGAGGATGAATATCACCTCAGGACCCTGTGATGATTGCATTAACTGCACAAATTGTTTAAACAATTTGAAAGCTGGGCACCTTGAAAAAAGAACAGGATAACAGCGATGTTCAGGGAACAAGGGAGATAACTATGAGGTCTGGCTGCCTGAGAGCAGGGTGGAACAGAGCCATATTTCTCTTCTTTCAAAAGCAAATAGGAGAAATATCGCTGAATTCTTTTTCTCAGCAAGGAACATCCCTGAGAAAGAGAATGCGTTCCCAAGGGGAGGTCTCTAAAATGGCCACTTTAGGAACGGCTGTCTTTTACAGTTGTGTAAGGAACGAAATAAGCCCCGGTCTCCTGTAGCGCTCCCAGGCTTATTAGGACGAAGAAATTCCCGCCTAATAAATTTTGGTCAGACTGGTTGTCTGCTCTCAAACCCTGTCTCCTGATAAGATGTTATCAATGACAATGCGTGCCCAAAACTTCATTAGCAATTTTAATTTTGCCCCAGTCCTGTGGTCCTATGATCTCGCCCTGCCTCCATTTGCCTTGTGATATTTTATCACCTTGTGAAGCATGTGATCTCTGTGACCCACACCCTATTCGTATACTCCCTCCCCTTTTGAAAATCACTAATAAAAACTTGCTGGTTTTGCGGGTTGGGGGGCATCACAGAACCTGCCGACATGTGATGTCTGCCCCGGACACCCAGCTTTAAAATTTCCCTCTTTTGTACTCTTTCCATTTATTTCTCAGGCCAGCCGACACTTAGAGAAATAGAAAAGAACCTACGTGAAATAGCATTGAATTATCGGGGGCTGGTTTCCCCCAATAACCCTGACAAAGTCTCTATCCTTGACTAAACCTTATACAGGCTCCTCTAACCCCCTCTTCTCAATGAGGCCTTGACCTGGCACCTTGCTTTTGGTCTGCTAGTCCAGTGGTAGCAAGAATACTGTTAAGTTGTATTTTTTAGCAAGAATTCCTCCCACCCTTGATGTACCCTCTTAAGTCATTTTCCATCCAATGATTCCCTCATTCTGCTTGCTGGGTGTAATTCCCCAGCTGTCCTGACTGTATTTAAAGTAGAGCCCCACCTCTTTCCCCTCCTGCAATGGTCTTGACATGTATCACAATAGTCCTAAATAATTTTTTCTTTAACTCTCTCCCTTCTGTTTTGTTCTGGTTTTAATGCTGTTTATTAGCCTAGGAACAAATGTAGACATAGACAGTCCACAACAGATGGCCCCTCTACACCTTACAGCTGGCAACTTATGATACGTCACTATGGGTTTACAAAAGTCCAGATTCAAACTTCCAATATTTTCATATTAAAGTAAAAGCAAAGCAAGTATACAAAGTAAAATGCTTTAGCTACTCATTTCCTATATGATGTCTTACAGCCACATGCCCATTTAATATATGCAAAATGGGTGATAGTCTCTAAAACCTGTTAAATATCACTGCTTCCTCCCATGGTGGGAATACGAGTTCCAATCTTCCAACATTGACCCAGTAGGGTGACTGTGGCAAGTCGCTTAATGCCTCTAAGCCTGCTTCCACATCCCCAAAGTAGGAATAACATTATTATCTACCTTATAAGATGGCTGCGATAATTAAATGTGTCAATACACACCAAGTGCTTGGGATGACACTTGGAATGCAAGAATTCTTAATCAACATAAACTGCACAAAAATAAATCAGAACAAGAAAGTGAAACCATAGCTGCCACTGGGTACCAACTGCCAGATAAAATATCAAAATCAGCCATTCACAGAAAGTGGTCCACTTATTTTCCAAGTTTATGTTCAGTTCTCAAGTTTCGGTTCAGTGAATTTTTAACACAAATTTAGTCAGTACCAAGTACACAGCCTTCATGAAGTCAACTGGATGTCATAAGTTATTCTTTGGTGTCAGCCAGGCAAGGTGTCTCATTGCCTGTAATCCCAGCACTTTGGGAGGCCAAGATGGGCAGATCACCTGAGGTCAGGAGTCTGAGACCACCCTGGCCAACATGGCGAAACCCTGTCTCTACTAAAAATACAAAAATTAGCCAGGCGTGGTAGTGGGCGCCTGTAATCCCAGCTACTCAAGAGGCTGAGGCAGGAGAATCGCATGAACCCGGGAGGCGGAGGTTGCAATGAGACGAGATTGTGGCACTGCACTCCAGCCTGGGAGACAAGAGCAAAACTCCATCTCAAAAACAAAACAAAACAACAACAACAAAAAAGTTATTCTTTGGTGTGTATTGGAAAATACAAAAGGAACAGAAATATAGAGCCAGGGATGAAAGCCATAGATACTAGCAAATGCTCACAAGCTCAAGACCTGAAGTAAATACTTATCAATTGGCCGGGTGTGGTGGCTCACGCCTGTGATCCCAGCACTTTGGAAAGCAGAGGCGAGTATATCACAAGGTCAGGAGATCGAGACCATCCTGGCTAACACAATGAAACCCCTACTAAAAATGAAGCTGAGGCAGGAGAATGGTGTGAACCCAGGAGGTGGAGCTTGCAGTGAGCCGAGATCGCGCCACTTGCACCCCAGCCTGGGTGACAGAGCAAGAATCTGTCTCAAAAAAAAAATCAATAAATTAATAAATAAACAAAACCAGTGAGACCTTGTATTCCTTCACAAAAGATTTTTCACTACTATGAAATTCATGACGGTGACTTTGGAGGGTGACTACTGGGAAGTTCTTTCCTGTCTCCCACACGGCAGGCTATGTTTCTTAACTCAACCTATGTAATATCCTCATCACTCCTCTCCACACACATTTTTTAAGACATAATTCGCTAATAGAGTGGTTACTATGGATCAGGAGCTCTTGAGGGATGTGATGCTCATTATTTATTTCCTACTCACAACTTTTCCAGTGAGATATTATTATTATTACAGAAGAAGATACAGGCTCCAAGAGACTGCACATGTTGCCCAAAATGACAGGACTGGAAAGTGGCAGAGCCATGATCCAAGCTCAAGTCAGCTAGACTTAACATCCAGCTCGTTCTTCTCTGCTTTGGAGCCTCCCACGCTTTCACTTTTAAATGAAAGATAATGATAATTCTTAAAATAACTGCTATGTCTTCTTTTTGGCATTCCAATTGCTGCCAGAAGCTATATTTTATTTCTGATTCAGTTCTTGCGAGTATTCTTCCTTTCCAACAGTATGCTCTTTTACTTTCTAAAGAACACACTGAATTTTGCTATTTACAGTTCTGAGATTTAAAAACTGACAATCTAGGAGGAACTTTTATGTTGCTGATGACTTTTCACTGGATCTTGACTTTTTTCCACTTCAGGGATATCACCCTGACCTGGCTCTCATAGGATTATGAAACACTATATCCACTGATAACCATAAACAAAGAAACATGTTAAAATAAATGACCACTAATGAAAAGGGGGTAGAGTAGAAAAGATAATACTGTAGTGAGACTATGCATAGATATTAACATTTTATGTTTATAGGTTGATAGCTTCCCATCAGTACACAAGCTCTGTGTGATTAAAACATGCCCTCCTCCCCTATGCACCTCATCAACCAGTTTCCAAGTGTCCTCTAGGCCAAGGCTGTGTGCAAGGGAAGGCCACACATATCATGATCTGACGGCGAGGCGAAGTCCCTGTGGGCACCTATGTGAGTTTCCAGGGTATCTGAGTGAGAACTGCCATCCAATCCAAACAACCTGTCACAAAAATCCCAGATGTCGGGAACCCCTGACAGTAAGAGTGAGGAAAGGAATCAAAACAGGCCCAGTGGAGATGGCACAGTACAGTCATGCAGGGCACAGAGAGGAGGGGATGGGGCTGACACTGAGAACTGGCCCATTACCTGGAGAAAGCCTGTGCCCAGAGAAGTTAGGCCCAGGCAGCAGAAAGAAAGGATGAGCAGAGACAGGGAGTGCTGATGGCACGCAGCTCCCAGTTCTGGTCCACCAAGTATGTGTGCCCATAAATTCTATCTCATGGATTCCGCTCTGACAATTGTGCATGTTCTTGGTAACCAGAAGGCTGCCACATAATAGTTGGCTGTCTTCATCCCTTTTCAGCTGTGACAATGATAGCAGCACAACTTAGGTCAAATATAATCACACACAAACACAAGGCAGGCAGGGACATCACTTGCAGGCTGTAAGGGGGCATCTCAAGCCTGGCTTTTCAAAGCACTGTTCCCACACTCACACTGTAGTCACCAGACAGCTTGTTAGAAACGCAGAGCCTCAGCCTGGTGTGGTGGCTCATGCCTGTAATCCCAGCACTTTGGGAGGCTGAGGTGTGTGGATCACCTGAGGTCAGTAGTTCAAGACCAGCCTGGCCATCATGGGAAATCCCATATCTGCTAAAAATACAAAAATTAGCTGGGCGTGATGGCAGGTGTCTGTAATCCCAAACTACTGAGGAGGCTGAGGCAGGAGAATCACTTGAATTCAGGAGGTAGAGGTTGCAGTGAGCCAGGATCACGCTGCTGCACTTCAGCCCAGGCAATACAGTGAAACTCTGTCTTAAAAAAAAAGAAGTGCAGAGCCTCAGGCCCTCCTAGGACCTGCTGATTCCAAACAGGCTGTATAACCCAGTGATTTGCATGCACAATAAAGTTTGAGGGACACTAATGTAGATAGCTGAAAATGCCACCAAAATGAAATAATATATATTTTCTCAAAGAAAATTCTCAGACACCCAAAAATACATATGTAAATTCCCATATGGGTTTCCAAGAACCCCAGGTCAAGAAACACTGTTCTAGGAGACAGTGCGCATACTTGTTTATCCTACAATGAGAAACCTTTAAAACTCATGGATGGGGAGTTTCTCAGTCAGTTTGGGCTGCTGTAATAAACTACTACCATACGCTGAGTAGCTTATAAACGCATCTTACAGTGTCTTCAAATAATGGATAGCTGAGGGAGCTCTCTGGGGCCTCTTTCTTTTTCTTTTTCTTTTCTTTTCTTTTTTTTTTTTTTTTTTTTTTGAGATGGAGTTTCACTCTTGTCACCCAGGCTGGAGTGCTGTGGCGCGATCTCAGCTCATTGCAACCTCCGTCTCCCAGGTTCAAGGGATTCTCCTGCCTCAGCTTCCCGAGTAGCTGGAATTACAGGTGTGCACAACCATGCCTGGCTAATTTTTGTATTTTTAGTAGAGACAGGGTCTTGCCATGTTGGCCAGGCTGGTCTCGAACTCCTGACCTCAGGTGATCCACCTGCCTCGGCCTCCCAGGGTGCTGGGATTACAGGTGTGAACCACTGCACCTGGCCTCTGGGGCCTCTTTCATAGAACACCAACCCCATTCATGAGGGTTCCACCTTTATGACCTAATGAGACCTCCATCTTCATGACCTAATCATTTCCCAGAGGACCTGCCGATACTAACACATTGGGGTTAGGATTTTAACACATGAATTTTGGGTGTCACAAAAACTTAGGGGTCTACAGCACATAGGTTAAATAAAATATTTATATTATAGGCATGCATTGTGGAAAGGAGACCTCTATAAATCAGAAGGCTGTTTCCTTTGTGACGAATGTTTTCTACAGTGAAAAAGCGGAGAGGAAGCATGCAGCCTCTTATTTCTCTGACTTTGTGTGCCTTGTGTAGATGCTTGGCGCACATGCATGCATGTGGCCTTGATTTGCTATTTTCTGCCATGTTGTTTGCAAGTGTTAAAGAATGAGTAAACTTGCAGCCATCATAAAAGAGCTGCTGATTCAAATGGCTTTGGGCTGCGAAGTCACCATCAGCTGGGACTTCACAATGCATGGAGATACATCAGCTTTCTGGGAACACCTCAGTTTTCCCGTGGCTCTTCGTCCAGTTGTAGGGTTTGGTCTCTTGATATTGATTCACTTTACAATTTTTCTGATTTTTACTTTCTTCTACTCATAACCTTCCTTTTAGTGGAAACTCTTCAGTGGCATAACTGCATTCACATAAAACATGTTTCCTGGGCTCCTACCCTGCCAGAGACAGGAAAAGGCCAAGGAAAATATGTTACCACAGGGGAGAAACAGGGTGGTCCAGCCTGGCAAGAGGTGCCTGATATCTGCTGCTCACATGAGCTCACGAACTCATTGATCCTTGCTATTCAATATCCATTTCCAGATATTATCCTCTGATGTCATAATCCAATCCAGAGCAAGAAAAGCAAAAGCCCTCTTGGAACACAGGCACATGTGCACTCTCACCGCCAGCTTTGGCCAAGGCTGCTCCTGCCCAGAATACCGCCCCATCCTCCTCATGGTGACTTCCAGTTCATCCTTAGCTATGGCCTCCTCACCACATGTGTTCAAATGACCTGCTGCTACACAGTTAACCACAGTGTAGGTCAGGAATTTGGACAAAACACAGTAGGGTGGCTGTTCTCTGCCCATTGGTGTCTAGGGGCTCAGATGATAAGAAGGAAAGACTGACCTCACAGGACCATTGCCAGGAGTGCCCACCCACAGCCTCCGGGGGCTGGACTCTTACAAGGGGCCTACTGCTCCAGGAGTGAGTGTTCCAGCAAATAGAGCAGTGTTGCCTGGCCTTCAGAGATGCCTTGGGCTTCCCCCTTATTGTGTGGATTAAAGCAGTCACAGCACCTCCAGGTTCAAGGAGAAGGGCTTAGCTCCAAGCTCAAGGGAAAGAGGGTCAAAGAATCAGCCACCATGTTTCAAAGCCACCAAGAAAGAGAAGTGTTGAATCCTTAAATATCAGGATAAATGCTTCTCCTATCAGTTCCCTCCTATGGCAGGACTAATCACAGCCTTTGGAAGGTGTTTACTCTCATTCTCCATAGACTATCAGCTCCTTAAATAACTTATTCATCATCTTCTGCCTAATTATTGCTACAGTGCAGGGCACATAGTAGTCACTGATAAAATATTTGTTGAACAAATTGTTCCACACAAGAATACTTACAGATGCTTCTTAATCTCTTCTCATATGTATTGACTTACACTGAATAATCTGTCTAGCATATTCTCACTCCTTTATGGCGTGCTAAATACAAGGAAGAATTTCAGTCTATGAGGCATGGCTTCCAACCAACGTCTCCAAGTCATGGTACTTATCATGAAGCCAAGTTATCTAACAACAATCTTCTGGGGTTAACATAACCTTATCCCATAAAATTTCTCTTATAGGCAGAAAATTCACTTTAGTGGCTTATGAATGTCCTGAATATGTCAGACTGTTTCCTTACTGAGCATTCCCTCTGTATTCAATTTAAGAAACATGACAATCTGCGATTTTAATATTAATAAAGCAAATTGACTTACAAAAAGTGTACAGCATTCATGCATCCACAGTAGCTAATGGCTTAGGCAATAGGCAATATCCAGACATGCATACAATTGTATAAAATTTGAGTTAAAATGTATTATTGCATAATTATGAGAATAGCTTCCTCCTGGGTAAAAAGTGTCAAGATGGGTTAAAAATCAGTGCCGTTTTACTTGGAGACCACATTATTCCAGTTTCTTTTGCTACAGGATAAATTGCTAAGTTGTAAGCAATTGGTGCCTTGAAACCAGCTGGCATCACGTAGCTGTGCACAACCCAAACACCATCAAGTGAAGTGCTTTATTATGTCCACCAGGATGTATGCACAGCCCGAAGTGCCTGCAACTACTGGACACTGCAGAAAACCTCCTTCTGCTGCTGAGTCGAATAACACGTAATGCCTTCACTAATAGAGAATAAAGTGGTTCCAAATAGTTGTCCTTAGGGAAGAAATACAGAATGGAAATTGAATAACTTATCCCAGCTAGATGCTTTTGATTGGCCTTCTGGAATGTTCACATCCCTTTAAAACTTGGCAGAGTTCACCCCAGCAGTATAGGAGATGGAAGCCAAAAAGATAACACAAGATACTTTGAATTTCAGTTTTTTTCTACTCATGCATTATTATAACTAAACCGTATAAAAATAATGCTCTACTACCTTTGATATGGAACAAACAATGGATAAACTACTGGAAAGCCATTGCTGAAATACACATATCTAAATTTGGGGGAAAGGTGATCTCTAAGCAACAGGGAGAAATTCCATGTGTAACAGGAATTTTGAATGAAAGGGGCGTATTAGCCAGATAGCCAAGTTCCTACCACAGCATCCCCACAAAACTGTTGATATGTTTAGCGAGCCTTAGAAATAGTCTCACTGGAAAGAAATTGGTAAAATGGAACTAAACATTTCAAGTCAATAGGGCTAAAATTATGTTTTTAGATAGATTTGGAGGTTCAGTTCTTAAAATTCCAAAGTCATGATTGTTCATGTCTTCTGAAAGATACACAGACTGTGATTAAATATTTTCTTTCCCCCAAAAAAAAATCAATTTGAAAAACATGTGAACTAGCAGGTGTATGTTGATAGAATAGATATGGCATAACACTACTCAGAAATCTCTGCTCAACATACTCTTAGTTTAGCAAACTGTAAAGTCTTTTGAGACCAAGAACTATACAAGACTCTCCTCTCTTTTTCTAGCAAGAGGTGGACATATTTGATAAATAATTTTACTTTCTCTGTCAACTCTTGAAAAGACATTTCAATAAGACATCACTTTTATATTTGTTAATGTGTGAAAGATCCCTGTAAAACTACCAAGGAACCAAACTGCATATTTTATCAGTCAAAACTAATTATTTCTCCTTGACAAATTATGCTTTTCTATTGTTTTTACGAATTCTTAAGCAGATCAATCAGCATAATACACTCATACCAGAATCTCGCTCATGAACTTTATATGTTTCTTTCATATCTGCCATAAAGGCAATGGGAAATCCTTGTAAGTAGCAGAGTAACCATAGGGCCTTTAGACAGTTCATAAACATTAAATAGAAAATATAATAGTCAGATATTTGAGTTGATGTACTCCTCTCATTATAGTCAATCTCAGCATTGCTCCTAATTGGATCAACGTCGCATGGAAACAAGTGCAACATGCTTCTAGTAATAAAAGACAAAGGAATGCCTGAACACACAGTAAAGAGTGTGCTTGCTCATCAGAGAGGCACTTATTAGGAGGCACAGAAATTTTTCCTGCAGTTAGAAAAAAAAAATTATTCTGCTTTGCTTCCCTTTACAATGTTGCTATAAATTTCATAGCATAGAATAATATGTGTAGAAAAAATAA
The DNA here is from genome assembly GCF_000001405.40 of Homo sapiens. NCBI lineage: Eukaryota > Metazoa > Chordata > Mammalia > Primates > Hominidae > Homo > Homo sapiens. The sequence continues at coordinate 51,784,821 of NC_000008.11, forward strand.
TACTTTAATACCCAAAGCAACTGAAAACACAAAATCACTCATTTAACCCCCCTCTTTTTAGCAGGAAAAATTATATTTCTATTAAAATTAAAATACATTCATATATAGGTTTTGCTTATTGAAATAATGTAAATGCCCCAGAAAGCAATGCTTCTATGATCATAAAATTGTAAACAAACAACCAAGACACATTTTAAGCATCAGTGGTTATATATTTCTCTTAGGCAAATGGTCTTCAGTGAAACTCCTGGGCTTACCATCAAGATCTTTAGTGGAATTAAACATTTTAGATGGAACAAGCTGTTTCTAGGATGCACTTGATCGTGGTCCTTTACACTCTTCTAAAACTTGTCCTCACTCTAACTCCAGAATCCACTGTTTTGATTTTATTACCAAAAATACAATGCTGGTTGTTTGTACCTGCCAAAAAAAAAAACTTGAATGAAATGATTAACATGGTTCATTAGATAATGCCTGAGGACATGCACATTCAAGGCATATTTCAAAGGAACAAATGCCATTTTATTATTACGATGATTCATACAATGCACATTAGTAATACATGTACAGGCAGACTTTGTCTTACGGTGCTTTGCTTTACTGTGCTTCAGAGATACTGTGTTTCTTACAACCTGAAGGTCTGTGGCAACCCTGAGTGGAGCAAGTCTACTGGTGACATTTTCCCAACAGCATGTGCTCACTTTGTGTTTCTGTATCATATTTGGGTAATTCTCCCAATATTTCAAATGTTTTCATTATTATTATATCTGTTATAGTGGTCTGTGTTCAGTGATCTTTGGTGTTATCATTGTAATTGTTTGGGGGACCACGAACCACAGCCACACAAAATGGTGTACTTAAATGTTGTGTGTGTTCTGACTGCTCCAACCAGCTGTTCCCCCCATCTCTCTCCCTCTCCTTGGGCCTCCCAATTCCCTGAGAAAGAACAGTATTGAAATTAGACCAACTAATAACCCTCCCACAGCCTGTAAGTGTTCAAGGGAAAAGAAGAGTGGCAAGTCTGTCACTTTAAATCAAAAGCTAGAAATGATTAAACTAGTGAGGAAGGCATGTCAAAAGCCAAGATAGGCCTCTGTACCTTAGACCAGAGCAAAGCCCTCACTCTCTTCAATTTTGTGAAGACTGAGAGAGATGAGGAGGCTAGAGAAGAAAAGTTTGAAGCTAGGAGGGGTGAAGCAAGATGGCAGAATAGAAGACTCCACCAACCATCCCCGCTTCAAGGACACCAATTAAACAACTATCTACAGGAAAAAAGCACCTTTGTAAGAACCAAAAATCAGCTGAGCACTCACATTACCTGGTTTTAACTTCATATACTGAAAGAGGCACTGAAGAGGTAGGAAAAACATTCTTTTTCTTTTTTAAGAAAACAATTTTTTTTTTTGAGATGGAGTTTCACTCTTGTTGCCCCGGCTGGAGTGCAGTAGCACAGTCTCAGCTCACTGCAACCTCCACCTCCTGAGCTCCAGCGATTCTCCTGCCTTAGCCTCCCTAGTAGCTGGGACTACAGGCGCCCGCCACCACCCCCAGGTAATTTTTGCATTTTTAGTGGAGACAGGATTTCACCATGTTGGCCAGGCTGGTCTTGAACTCCTGACCTCAAGTGATCCGCCTGCCTTGGCCTCCCAAAGTGTGGAAAAATATTCTTGAATCACTGATGACAACCCTTCCTCACTCCCCGACCCCCATCCTCACCCCCACCCCCATGCCCACCTCTTCAATGTGGTGCTGAGAGCATTTCTGTGCCCTGGGAAGAAGAGGGCCAGCAACTGTGACACACTGAAGCTAGCGGAGGCTGTTCATGAAGTTTAAGGAAAGAAGGCATCTCCATAACATAAAAGTACAAGGTGAAGCAGCAAGTTTTGATCTAGAAGCTGCAGCAAGTTATCCAGAAGACCTGGCTAAAATCACTGATGAAAGTGGCCACACTAAACAACAGATTTTCAATGTAAAGGAAACAGCCTGCTATTGGAAAACAATGCCATCTAAGACTTTTGTAGCAAGAAAGAAGTCAATGACTGGCTTCAAAACTTTGAAGGACAGGCTGAACTCTCCTATCAGGGGCTAATGCAGTTGATGAATTTAAGTTGAAACCAAATTTTATTTACCCTTCTTAAGATCCTAGAGCCTTTAAGAATGATGCTAAATCTACTTAGCCTATGCCCTAGAAATGGAACAACAAAGCCTGGATGACAGCACATCTGTTTACAGCAGAGTTTACTGAATATTTTAAGTCTACTGCTGCAACCTACTTCCCAGAAAAAAAAAAAAAAAGAATCTTTTCAAAATATTACCACTCATTGACAATGCACCTGGTCACCCAAGAGCTCTGATGGAGATGTACAAGGAGATTAATGATGTTTTTCATGCCTACTAACACATTATTCCTTCAGCAAGCCTGGATCAAGAAGTAATTTTGACTTTCAAGTCTTATTATTTATGAAATACATTTCTTATGGCTACAGCTGCCATAGATAGTGAATCCTCTGATAGATCTAGACAAAGTACACTGAAAACCTTCTGGAAAAGATTCACCATTCTAAATGCCATTAAGAACATTCGTGATTCATGAGAGAAAGTCAAAATATCAACATTAACAAGAGTTTGTTGGAAGTGCATTTTAACCCTCGGGGATGACTTAGAGGGGTTCAAGACTTCAGTGGAGGAAGTAACTTCAGATGTGGTAGAGAATCTCAAGAAAACTAGAATTTGAAGTGGAGCCTGTGATATGACTGAATTGCTGCAATCTCATAATCAAACTTGAACAAATGAGTTCTTGCTTCTTATGGATGAGCAAAGAAAGTAGTTTCTTAAAATGGAGTCAACTGCTGGTGAAGATACTGTGAACACTTAAAATGACAACAAAGCATTTAGAATATTACATCAACTTAGTTGATAAGGCAGTAGCAAGGATTGAGAGAATTTACTCCAATTTTAATAGTTCTACTGTAGGTAAAATGCTATCAGACAGCCTCACATGCAAAAAAGAAATCTTTTGTGAAAAGAAGAGTCCATTAATGCAGGAAACTTCCTCATCTTATTTTAAGAAAATTCCACAGCTTCCCCAGCCTTCAGCAACCACCATCCTGATCAGTCAGCAGCCATCAACAGTGAGGGAAGACCCTCCACCAGAAAAAAAGCTTACAACTTGGCGAAGGCTCCAATGATCATCAGCATGTTTTAGCAATAAAGTGTTTTCAAATTAAGCTGTGTTCATTTTTTAGACATAATGCTATTGCACATTTAATAGGCTACAATATAGTGTAAACATAACTTTTATATATCCTGCAAAACCAAAAAACAATTGTGTGACTCACTTTTATGCGATATTAGCTTAATTGTAGTTGTCTGGGACTAAACCTGCAATATCTTTGTAATGACTGTATGTAAATTAGCTAATAATTTTGAGGACCATTAATGATTTTGAGGACCAGGAGATATTCCTCCTCTGGAGCTAGGAATGAAATCATTGTCACCCAGAATGAGTGGCTGAGAACGGGGCAAGGATGAATTCTCCAAAGGAAAGTCCCCTGTTGGGAAAGTGGTGGGGGTGCAAAAGCCACCACTCAATTGTTCAAGGAAAGCCTTTGGAGTGGAAGAGACAGTAATCATTCCAGCTTGGACATGAAATGAAAAACCAGGAGTAGAAATGTCATAGATAAAGATGTATTTGCACTTTAAGTCCTATGGAGTGTAACTAGTATAAGCTGCTTCACAATCTTAGACTTCAGACATCTTTGTAGTAGGGAGTCTGGAATCTCTCTCAGGGCTCCCTCTTTCCCCTACATGTCAAAAATCCTGCCCCATAGGGAGTTAGTCGAACCAGTGGTTCCCTTTCTCACTACTGCTCAGGACCACCTGTGAAGTTGAGTGCTCACAGTCCCACAGCTCGTGGTCCCAGTGCTGGGATGTGTTCTTGGCCTTGGTTCAGCTTTTCTGGAAAAAACAACCTCATTCTCACATTGCAGATCTCAAGTAGAGGTGTTCCAAGCTCTGGTTCCCAAGGCTTTAGGACTCAGTGCCCTATGCTTCAGTTCCGCACTAACTGCCTTCCAGAGCACCAACTACTCCACAAGGGCCAAGTCAAATGAACCCCAGTACTCCCTGTCCTGTGGATACAGAATTAATATTCCTGATTTCTCCCTGGGAATGCACACCACTAGTGCCTTTCCTTTTTCTTTTTCTTTTTTTTAATACCCCATTTATTTGGACATAGTGCTATCTGCCCATCCTTTTTAGGGCAGCCTCACTGAATACTTTCCTACTTTCCCTATTCTGTAAGACAAATTTCAGGTTCTCAGTAGTCATCAGTGTTGCAAAGAGTGGCCTATAGTTTTCTCTCCTCATTGTACCCATTTTTTTTTTTTTTGCTGTGTTTTTATGTTACTCATACGGTGAGTTCAATCCAAGTTGGAGATTTATCCTTGATTGATATATATAAGAATATTTCTAGAAAAGATTTGTCCTCAGAATGCCCTGCCAAAGAGGTAAAATTCAATTTTTCTCTTTTCCAGGAAGGATAAGCATTAACAAGCACAGATGGTGAACAAAGGTGAGACCGGGCGTGACACAAGTCTTCAGGGATGAACAATGAGGGGCACTCAGTAGTGCCAGGGCAGCTCTTGGATATAGTCTTCATTATATAGAGGGAGAAAAAAAGGAAAACCCAGAGGCTTGGGGATTAAATGATTTGCCCAAGATCATACACCTTCTTAGTGCCAGAAGAAAACAGGTATTCTGACTGGTGGCCTTCCATGACATCATGCCTGTGCAAATGACAATCACATCACAATAAATAACACAAAAGAAACTGTAGCCATTATCTTCTATTTTGCACTCTGCTTGCACTTGGTCTGTTTTTTCCTAACATACACCAGACTTGAATGACAAAAGGCTTATCTTTAGAAGATAAAATCCACCCAAGGAGTATCCTTCAGGGGAAAGAGCACACAAAGAAGCTTAGAGTTTAGAAGGAAGAACAAATATTAGGAAATTAAAGGGAACTTGTGTTACTTATCTTTAGACTCAATCATTTTTAAAAAATGAATTATTGTATTTATTATTATTGCCCTAAATATATATGCAAAATATTTTTCTAGTAAATTTTTTTCACTATTTTTCAAGTCTTGGAAGTTTAAGCCATCAATCTAAGATGTAACAAGACTTACAGTGAACAATCCAATGCTTGTTTTTTAAAAATGTCTCTAATGCATTAAAATCTATGAGGTTATTCAAGGATAATTAAATGTGATGTTTTAAAAGGGGAAAAAAGCACAGTATGACTGTATGGGAAAAGAAAACAAAATTAATTAGACACAGGCCTGGGAACAAGTCAATTTTTTTCATGTTAATTTTCATTAATAGATTTTTTTTTTTTTGCACAAACCTCCATTTCGAAAGAGAATGAAATGAAATATCATTCAAAAGGAAGAGGAGGACGATTCTTTGTCAACCACACAGGCATTCAAATGGCAAGTGTGGGATTTCCTCCACCACAAAGTGAGGTACAGCTGGCCTCAGACTCCAAAGAATGAACATTCAAAGAAACATTAAATTACTCTAAATTTTGCCTTTAAATTCCTATCTGGTTTGCTAATACTTTGGTGGAAGGTTCTACCACCTTTCTAAGATAAAGCCTTCTGTTTTCTAAGACGAGGTCCTGAGTTGCAAACCTTTTCTTATTTTCTCTTCTGGCATCCAGGAGCAACTAAGGGCAGCATTATTTTTTCTATGAGGCACAGAGATTCCAGGATCCCTTTCTTCCCTAGGCTACACGTGGGCCCATGCCGGAGTCGCAGCTCTCTGCGACACTGTCCTCCCTGATGGGCGAGGGAAGGGCCTGGAGGCGGCGGAGGGCAGCGGGGGCGAGGTCCGGATGGGCCCAGCCCCGGGTGCCAGCAGCCCTTGCTCCTGCTACAGCGTTGAGGAGGGCTGCCACTCTTTTATATATATATATGTGTGTGTGTGTGTGTGAGTGTTTCCAGTGCTTCCTCAACAAAAATAACTTTTTGGCTTCAAGAGACACTAATTGATCATTTTTGTAATCTTTGTAAATACACTTCTTTGTACCCTGCCTTATTTTTTAAAAAGAGATCCAGAATCTTTTAGAATTTACCATTTTCACCTCTGGGTTTTAATGGATACAATAATACTAGTACTAATAGGTGCAGCTAACATTCGAATAGTTCCTGGTACATGGTAAATAAGCACAAAATTATAGGCGAGGAGACTGACACCAAAGGATTGAAGCTACTTGCCCAAAGACACACAGCTCATAAACTGTGAAGGGAAAATTCAAGTGCAGGCAGTCAGGCTCTGGGATCCAGGGTCCTAAATACTGAGCTCTCTTGCCCCTCAACTAGATCTGTGAGCCAGAAATACATTGCAGGCAAAGCCTAAGCTTGCTAAGAGACGTCTTCTTACACAGAGAAAGACCGGTAGATCATGTGGTCACATGACTTCCATGGGCTTTATTCTGTGAGACTCAGATCATATTCACAACTGTGTAGTCCAAATTGGCCAGGACTGTGGGTGACAGTGCCTTCCAAACTACACAGAGGTGACCTGCAATCATTCAGGAAGGCACCCTTAACAAACAACGGCTCAGAGCTTGAAGGTCACGAAATGAAAAGCCATTCTCTAACAGTCAGAGAGTACCCAGGGATTGGGTTAACCCAACGCAGCTGTGACCATGTCATCCAGGTGACTTTCTGCTGCCTTAATTCCATCTCGTTGGTCAAATTCATTGGACGGAGAAAAGTATGGAAGGGTACACAAGTAGTTTTGCATAACTTATCAACCCTGCCGGTGCATGCAACCCTAAAAGTCAGGTGTTCATATAGCTCCCCCTTAGTAGAGTTAGCTTCCCACTCTCTCTGGACAGTTGAGGTTAGTACTTGTCCTGCTTTACCAGATAGTGGCAAAGAAAAATTCAATAGTGGATATAAAATCCTTCAATGCTTAATCATTATAGGGGCTGTTCTTGAAAGTTAGATTTTTTTGTATAGGCTCTATTCTCAGTACAAGGACCTAGATGCCCGGGTGAGTAAGATTTAGCAATACATTGTAAATCTGATGATGTCCCACTTAGAAAAAATAAATTCTTTTCTGTTTACAGAATCTGTTACCCTTCTTTTGCATTCAAAAAATTCAAAGAAATATTAAAAGAAAAATATAATCAGAAATTATACAAAAAAAGAAAATAAATGATTTAGAAAAAGTAGGTGGAAAACATTGAGTTTTACCTTCTGCCTTAAGTAAGAAGAGCAATCAGCTACTTGAAATCTTCCTTGAGGGGCCAAGATGGCTGACTAAAAACAGCTGCGGTCAGAGGCGCCCACTGAGAAGAATGAAAATGGCGAGTGAATCCTGCACCACAACTGAGGTATCGAGGTTCTCTCACTGGGACTGACTAGGTGGTTGGCATGACCCACGGACAGCAAGGAAAAGAAGAGTAGTGTGACAGCCCTCCTGGGAGCCACACAGGGCAAGGGGAGCTCCTACCCCCAGCCAAGAGATGTGATGAGTGATAGTGCTACCCTGTCTGGGAAACCACGCTTTTTCCACTGATCTATGTGACCGGGGGATCCTCGTGAGCCCACACCACCAGGGCCTTGGGTCCCAAGCATAGAGCTGTGCAGATTCTCAGCAACCACTCAGCTGGAGACTGCCTAAAACTACCGAATTCCCGGCAGGAGAGGTGTTCATCATCACTGCAGCTGCCTGCTGCCTAAGACAACTGAACTCCCAGGGCAGGGGTGGCAGCCATCACCGCAGCTCCAGTCTGCCATTTTTCCCCCTGCTGGTGCTGGGGAGACTGGATGGTTTGGACCCAGGAGGAATTCCCCACAGCACAGGATAATGGCTGTGGTACATTGTGGCCAGACAGCCTCTTCAGGCCAGACCTTGACCCAGCCCTCCTCACTGGGCGGGGCCTCCCTGCTGGAGTTTCCGCAACTCCAGCCTTGGGTTTAGGGACAGCACTCTGATCTTCCTGGGACTGAGCTCCTGTAGGGAGAGGCAGCCGTGGTCTCCATGAATCAGCAGACTTAGTCTTTACCCCTGAGGGCTCTGAGAACCAGGCAGTCTGGACAAATGGGATGTCCCCCAGCACAGCACACCCTATCCACCAAGGGGCAGCTAGAGTGCTTTGTTAAGCAGGTCCCAGATCCCATGCCTCCTGATTGGGTGAGACCCCCCACAACAGGGGTTGCCAGACACCTTATACAGGAGGGTTCCCACCGGCATCAGGTTGGTGCCCCTCTGGGACAGACAGCCCAGGGGAAGGAGCGGCAGCCATCTTTGCTGTTCTGTAACCTCCACTGATGACACTTGCACGAGGGACCCAGGTCTGGAGTGGACCCCCAGGAAACCACAGCAGCCCTATGAAAGAGGGGTCTGACTGTTAACAACAAACAAGCAAACAAACAGAAAGCAACAATAACAACAACAGCATCAACAAAAAAGCCCCCACAAAAACTCCACAAAGGTCAGCAGCCTCAAAGATCAAAACCAGATAATATCACTCATGAAGATGAGAAAGAATCAACAAAAAAATGCTGGTAATTCAAAAAGACAGAGCACCACTTCTCCTCCAAATGATCACAACACCTCTCCAGCAAGGGCACAGCGCTGAGCAGAGACTGAGATGGATGAATTAACAGAAGTAGGCTTCAGAAGGTGGGTAATAATGAACTTTGCTGAACTAAAGGAACATGTTCTAACCCAATGTAGAGCAGCTAAGAACCATGATAAAACATTATAGGAACTGGGCACAAGGACTCACGCCTGTAATCCCAGCACTTTGGGAGGCCAAGGTGGTCAGATCACTAGAGGTCAGGAGTTCAAGACCAGCCTGGCGAACATAGTGAAACACCGTCTGTACTAAAAATACAAAAATTAGTTGGGCGTGGTGACTGACACATGTCTGTAATCCCAGCTACTCAGGAGGCTAAGGCATGAGAATCACTTGAATCTGGGAGGCAGAGGCTGCAATGAGCCAAGATCATGCCACTGCACTACCCTGGGCAACAGAGCAAGACTCTGTCAACAACAACAACAACAACAACAAAAGATGGAAAAAAAAGTTACAGGAGCTGTTGACCAGAATAACCAGTTTAGAGAGGAGCATAAATGACCTGATGGAGCTGAAAAACACAACATGAGAATTTCACAATGCAACCACAAGTATCATTAACCGAATAGACCAAGCAGAAGAAAGAATTTCAGAGCTTGAAGACTATCTTGCTGAAGCAAGACAGGCAGACAAGATTAGAGAGAAAAGAAAAGGAATGAACAAGACCTCTGAGAACTATGGGATTATGTGAAAAGACGGAACCTATGACCGATTGGGGTACTTGAAAGAGATGGGGAGAATAGAACCAAGTTGGAAAACATACTTCAGGATATCATTCAGGAGAACTTACCAAACCTAACAAGACAGGCCAACATTCAAATTCAGGAAATCCAGAGAACCCCAGTAAGATCCTCCATGAGAAGATCAACACCAAGACACACAGTCATCAGATTCTCCAAGGTCAAAATGAAGGAAAAAATGTTAAAGGCACCTGGAGAGAAAGGCCAGGTCCCCTATGAAGGGAAGCCCATCAAACTAACTGCAGACCTCTCAGCAGAAACCCTACAAGCCAGAAGAGATTAGTGGCCAATATTAAACATTCTTAAAAGAATTTCCAACCCAGAATTTCATATCTGCCAAACTAAGCTTCATAAGCAAAGGAGAAATAAAATCCTTTTCAGACATGCAAATTCTGAGGGAATTCATCACCACCAGGCCTGCCTTGCAAGAGCTCCTGAAGGAAGTACTAAATATGGAAAAGAAAAACTGTTACCAGCCACTGCAAAAACACACTGAAGCACAAAGACCAATGACACTGTGAAGCAACTACATCAACAAGTCTCCAAAATAACCAGCCAACATCATGATGACAGGATCAAATTCATACATAATAATATTAATCTTAAATGTAAATGGACTAATTGTCCCAATTAAAAGACACAGAATGGCAAGCTGAATTAAGTCAAGACCCATCAGTGTACTGTATTCAAGAGACTCATCTCGTGCAGACACAGATAGGCTTCAAATAAAGGGATGGAGGAAAATTTACTAAGAAAATGGAAAGTAGGAAAAAGCATCCTAGTTTCTGACAAAACAGACTTTACACTAACCAAGATCCAAAAAGACAAAGAAGGGCATTACATAATGGTAAAGGGATCAATTCAACAAGAAGAGATAACTATCCTAAATGTATATGCACAAAATACAGGAGCACCCAGATTCATAAAAAAAGCTCTTAGAGACCTACAAAGGGACTTAGACTCCCAAAAAATAATAGTGGGAGACTTTAACACCACACTGTCAATATTAGACAGATCATCAAGACAGAAAATTAACTAGGATATTCAGGACTTGAACTCAGCTCTGGATCAAGTGGACATGATAGATATCTACAGAACTCTCCATCCAGAAAACAACACAATATACATTCTTCTTGGTGCCACATGGCACTTACTCTAAAATCAATCACATAATTGGAAGTAAAACGCTCCACAGCAAATGCAAAATAACTGAAATCATAGCAAACAGTATCTCAGAATACAGTGCAATCAAATTAGAACTCAAGATAAAGAAACTCATTCAAAACCACACAACTACATGTAAATTGAACAACCTGCTCCTGAATGACTCCTGGGTAAATAACGAAATTAAGGCAGAAATCAAGAAGTTCTTTAAAGCCAATGGGAACACAGAGACAATGTACCACAATCTCTGGGACACAGCTAAAGCAGTGTTAAGAGGCAAATTTATAGCACTAAATGCCCAAAAAGCTAGATGCGGGGGTCTGTCCTGCAGACCCTGACCCAATGATGGATGAATAAAGTACACTGACACACAGATACTCTGCTTTGCCAGTTCAGCTGAGTGTCTGGGCCACTATTTGCAACCGTGGCCCCGACTTGCCAGTGAGACTTACATTTATTCAGTAAAGATTAATTGACAAAGGTCATGACTAAACACACCTGTGGGTAATTAACCTGGTCACCCCGACCCTGGAGAGAGACATCGTGCACCCGCAAATGATCAAAGGTTGGTCTTAAGACCACATGAGTAAATAAGCTCATTAGGTAAACTCCCCACATTCCTTTGTACTCACTTTAAGCTATTTACTTAAGGTAAGGATCAGGTTGCCTTCAGCTATAATCCTTACTAAAGCTATGCAAATTTCTCGGCCTTCCAAGAAGGTTTGTGGCTATTACTATAACTATCTTTAATATTTTTCCCACCAGCCTGAATGAACCCCCACAACTAGAAAGATCTCAAATTGACACCTTAACATCACAATTAAAAGAACCAGAGAACTAAGAGAAAACAAACTCCAAAGCTAGCAGAAAACAAAAAATAACCAAGATCAGAGTGGAAATGAAAGGAATAACCAAGATCAGAGTGGAAATGAAAGGAGATAGAGACACACACAACAACAACAACCAAAAAAAAAAAAACCTTCAAAAAAATCAATGAATACACGAGCTGGTGTTTTGAAAAAAAAATTAATAAAATAGACTACTAGCTAGACTAATAAAGAAGAAAAGAGAGAAAAATCAAATAGACACAATAAAAAATGACAAAGGGGTTATCACCACTGACCCCACAGAAATACAAACAACCATCAGAGAATACTATAAACACCTCTATGCAAATAAACTAGAAAATCTAGAAAAAATGGTTAAATTCCTAGACACATACACCCTTTCAAGACTAAACCAGGAAGAAGTCAAATCCCTGAATAGACCAATAACGAGTTCTGAAATTGAGGCAGAAATACATAGCTTATCAACAAAAAAAAGCCCAGGACCAGATGGATTTACAGCTGAATTCTACCAGAGGTACAAAGAGGAGCTGGTACCATTTCTTCTGAAACTATTCCAAACAATTGAAAAGGAAGGACTTCTACCTAACTCATTTTATGAAGCCAGAATCATCCTGATACCAAAACCCGGCACAGATGCAACAAAAAAAGAGAACTTCAGGCCAATATCCTTGATGAGTATCAATGCAAAAATCCTCAATAAAATACTGGCAAACCAAATCCAGCAGCACATTTAAAAGCTTATCCACCATGATCAAGTTGGCATCATCCCCAGGATGCAAGGCTGGTCAACATATGCAAATTAGTAAATGTCATTCATCACATAAGCAGAACTAAAGATAAAAACCACATGATTATCTCAATAGACACAGAAAAGGCCTTTGATAAAATTCAACACTGATTCATGTTAAAAACTCTCAATAAACTTGGTATTGATAGAACATACCTCAAAATAATAAGAGCCATTTATGACAAACCCACTGCAAATATCACACTGAATGGGCAAAAGCTAGAAGCATTCCCCTTGAAAACTGGCACAAGACGAGGATGTCCTCTCTCACCACTCCTATTCAACATGGTATTGGACCTTCTGGCCAGGGAAATCAGGCAAGAAAAAGAAATAAAGGGTATTCAAACTGGAAAAGAGGAAGTCAAAATGTCTCTGTTTGCAGATGACATGATCCGATATCTAGAAAACCCCATTGTTTAAGCCTGAAAGCTTATTAAGCTGATAAGCCCCTTTGGCAAAGTCTCAGGATACAAAGTCAATGTGCAAAAATCACAAGCATTCCTATAAACCAACAACAGACAAGCAGAGAGCCAAATCATGAATAAACTCCCATTCACAATTGCTACAAAGAGAATAAAATACCTAGGAATACAACTTACAAGGTACGTGAATGACCTCTTCAAAAAGAACTATAAGCCACTGCTCTAGGAAATAAGAGAGGACACAAACAAATGGAAAAACATTCCATGTTCATGGATAGGAAGAATTAATATCATGAAAATGGCCATACTGCCCAAAGTAATTTGTAGATTCAATGCTATTCCCATTAAACTACCACTGACATTCTTCACAGAGTTAGAAAAAAAACTACTTTAAAATTCATTTGGAACCAAAAAAGAGCCTGTATAGCCAAGACAATCCTAAGCAAAAAGAACAAACCTGGAGGCATCATGCTACCTGACGTCAAACAATACAACAAGGCTACAGTAACCAAAACAGCATGGTACTGATACAAAAACAGACACATAGACCAATGGAACAGAATAGAGATCTCAGAAATAAGACCACACATCTACAATCAGCTGATCTTCAACAAACCTGACAAAAACAAGCAATGGGGGAAGGATTCTCTATTTATTAAAAGGTGCTGGGTAAACTGGCTAGCCATATGCAGAAAATTGAAACTGGACTCATTATACAAAAATTATACCTTATACAAAAATTAACTCAAGATGGATTAAAGACTTAAATGTAAAACCCAGAACCATAAAAACCCTAGAAGGAAACCTAGGCAATACCATTCAGGACATAGGCACAGGCAAAGATTTCATGATGAAAACATCAAAAGCAATTGCAACAAAAGCAAGAATTGACTAACGGAATCTAATTAAACTATAGAGCTTTTGCAAAGCAAAAGAAACTATCATCAGAGTGAACAGACAACATACAGAATGGGAAAAAATTTTTGCAATCTATTCATCTGAGAAAGCCTAATATCCAAAATCTGCAAGGAACTTAAACAAATTTACAAGGAAGAAACAAAACAACCCCATTAAAACCTGGGCAAAGGACATGAACAGACACTTCTCAAAAGAAGACATTTATGCAGTCAACAAACATATGAAAAAAGGCACATTACTGATCATTAGAGAAATGCAAATCAAAACCACAATAAGATACCATTTGATGCAAATCAGAGTGGTGATTATTAAAAAGTCAAGAAACAACAGATGCTGGCAAGGCTGTGGAGAAACAGGAACCTTTTTACACTGTTGGTGGGAATGTAAATTAGTTCAACCATTGTGGAAGACAGTGTGGTGATTCCTCAAAGACCTAGAACCAGAAATACCATTTGACCCAGCAATCCCATTACTGGGTATATACCCAAAGGAATATAAATCACCTAGAATCAGAAATACCATTTGACCCAGCAATCCCATTACTGGGTATATGCCCAAAGGAATATAAATCATTCTATTATAAAGATACATGCACACATATCTTCACAATAGTTAAGACATGGAATCAACCCAAATCCCCATCAATGATAGACTGGATAAAGAAAATGTAGTACATATACACCATGGAATACTATGCAGCCATAAAAAGGAACAAGATAATTTCCTTTGCAGGGACATGGATGGAGCTGGAAGCCATTATCCTTAGCAAACTAATACAGGAACAGAACACCATACACCACTTTTTCTCACTTATAAGTGGGAGCTGAACAATGAGATCACATGGACACAAGGAGGAGAAAAACACACACAGGAGCCTGTGGGGGCAGGGCAGGGAGGGAGAGCATCAGGATAAACAGCTAATGCACGTGGAGTTTAATACCTAGGTGATGGGTTGATAGGTGCAGCGAGTCACTATAGCACACATTTACTTATGTAACAAACCTGCAAGTCCTGCACATGTATCCTGGAACTTAAAATTAAATTAAATTTTAAAAAAAGATATCTTCCTGAGAAAATGTGAGGTACAAGTAAATAAAATAATTATTACTATAACCAACATTGGGAAGTGTAAAAATATAATAATTGATTGTTGTCTTGGGCTGGTGCCATGAGAGCTGTCTAGGATTCCCATGCAAACAGAGTTATAGTCCCTACTTGGTGGCTGCTTTTAGCTAACTTGGAACATTTTAAAAATAAATTCTCAACACTGCAACAGCTTTTCAACTATACTTGTCTTTAGAGTTGGCCAAAATATAGACCATGGCAAAATCAGCCTCTCTATAACAGGGCAAGGTGAGCCAGGAAGGGAACGGCTCCAGGTAAGGAGGCATTCTGATCTAGGTATGAAGAACAAACCATTTTACTGTGCACCTACATCTGGCTTAAAACAAGGGTGCCAACTAGAGAGATGGAGATCTTTGTAAGTTTCTCCCTACCCATGCCCAACCCTCACAGCATTACAGGATTAACCATCACATCAGCACTCAAATATTTCTCATATCTGCTTGTCAGAATATTTAGCCTCTAATTCTCTTTTCTCCCTTAGCTGATTTTCCCTAGAAATTTTTGTCTTTGGAATCTATTTTCCTCTTTGAACAGGCACATACCACAAGCCTTTTCTGTAAAAGTAGTCATCAACACAGGTGAGGTAGTAAGTGAGGCTTACAACTAAAATCGTTTCAGTCCAGGCAACTCCCTGTTAAACACAGAGTGGTCCACAGCACTCTTAGAATGGAGGGCCTGCCCCATGTCAAACTTTCAAATGGGCAATATTTTCAGCACCCCTCAAGTTTCACTGGGCCAATTGGCTCATTCCTGCATGCAACATATTTTATGTTAATATCCCAACATAAAATATGTTGGTATGTAAAATATTTTATGTTAATATATTTTATATTGTCTATCTTCTCTGTTCTCTGCCCTGAAGGAACTCAGTCTCTCAGAAAGACAAGTTAATAACGCTAATTCCACGTGGTATATTCCCTGATTCAGATAAGACAGGAAAGGTGTGTCACGCAGCCTGGGAGTAACAGGGAGAAGAAAGGCTTCCCCAAGGTGAGCTCTGAGCTGCTTCTGCAGAACAAGCACAGGCAGACTCAGTGTGGAGAAAATGGCCAAGGATGCATTCCTGGCAGGAAGAACTGTTGTGGGAAGTCAGGGACCCTGAACGGAGGGACCAGCTGGAGCCACGGCAGAGGAACATAAATTGTGAAGATTTCATTTTAATATGGACACATATCAGTTCCCAAAATTAATACTTTCATAATTTCTTATGCCTGTCTTTACTGCAATCTCTGAACATAAATTGTGAAGATTTCATGGACATTTATCAGTTCCCCAAAATAATACTCTTATAATTTCTTATGCCTGTCTTACTTTACTCTCTTAATCCTGTTATCTTTGTAAGCTGAGGATGTACATCACCTCAGGACCACTATTGTACAAATTGATTATAGAACATGTGTTTGACAATATGAAATCTGATTGTAAAACACGGGTGTTTGAACAATATGAAATCAGTGCACCTTGGAAACAAACAGAATAGCAGTGATTTTAGGGAACAAGGGAAGACAACCAAAGGTCTGACTGCCTGCGGGGTTGGGCAGAATAGAACCATATTTTTCTTTTTGCAGAGAGCCTATAAATTGACGTGCAAGTAGGAGAAATATCACTAAATTCTTCTCCTAGCAAGGAATATTAAATATTAAGACCCTAGGAAAAGAATTGCATTCCTGGGGGGAGGTCTATAAACAGCCGCTCTGGGAGTGTCTGTCCTATGTGGTTGAGATAAGGACTGAAATACGCCCTGGTCTCCTGCAGTACCCTCAGGCTTATTAGGGTGGGGAAAAGATCCCGCCCTGGTAAATTTGAGGTCAGACCAGTTCTCTGTTCTCGAACCCTGTTTTCTGTTAAGATGTTTATCAAGACAGTATGTGCACAGCTGAACATAGACCTTCATCAGTAATTCTAATTTTGCCCTTTGCCTTGTGATCTTTATTGCCCTTTAAAGCTTGTGATCTTTGTGACCAACTCCATGTTCATACACCCCCTCCCCTTTTAAAGTCCTTAATAAAAACCTGCTGGTTTTGTGGCTCAGGCGGACATCATGGACCTACTGATATGTGATGTCACCCCCGGAGGCCCAGCTGTAAAATTCCTCTCTTTGCACTCTTTCTCTTTATTTCTCAGACTGGCTGACACTTAGGGAAAATAGAAAGGACCTATGTTGAAATATTGGGGGCTGGTTCCCGATAAAGAACAGTGTGCACAAAGCCCATTTGGGTTCCTGCCTCTCTAGACTTTCTGCTGCACCTTCATAAACACAATCCACTTATGTTCTAATTGTATTGTGGCTGGACTGGTAGGCACTAATTTAATAAGCTGAGGTCATTCTATTTAGTTAGATAAAATGTCTATCTTTCATTGGGATATTAGTTGAACTGGTAAGCTGTTGGGAAATCTACCTTTGGGGGACCTCTAGGTTTGTCTCAAACCATGCATGTAGGCAGGTGCCTCTTTTACTTATTCCTGGGGCTCACACTCCAGGCGACATGAGTACATGAATCTTAAGATCTGTGTTGTTACTCTTGGAAATCATTTGCACAAAATATCATGCATGTCTCTCATAGCATATGTAACCATTAGCACTCTGTAGCATTTGTGGTTAAATGAGGGCTTTTAGTTCTGATTTTTTTTTTAAAGAAGTTAGTAGACAGGAATTTTTTTAAGTATTTTTAGCTGGAGTCATGTTCAAGGTTTTTTTTTTTTTAATTTTAAAATGCATGCATAAAACAGTCAGAATTGCACAGTTAATGTTTCTTGGTGTTTTTACTACTCCGATGAAGAATCACTGGAGAAGACCAACAAAGTTATGTAAATTAATCAGAAGGAGCAGCAAAACAACATGGATTTTAAACATAACTCTGAGTTTCTCCACTTCATTGTCTAGAGCAAGCTTGTCCAACCCACAATCTGCAGGTCACATGTGGTCCAGGATGGCTTTGAATGTGGCCCAAAGCAAATTCGTAAACTTTCTTGAAACATTATGAGATTTTCTGTGAATTTTTTTTCAGGTTATCAGCTATTGTTAGTGTTAGTGTATTTTATGTGTGGCCCAAGACAATTCTTCTTCCAGTGTGGCCCAGGAATGCCAAAAGATTGGACATCGCTGGTCTAGAGTTTGACAATAAAACTGTGCTGTGTCATTTGTTGTGGCTACTCTGTTGCCTGAAACAAAAGGCAGAACATATGAATGCTTTTATATTGCATTTGAAAAGGGTCTGTGATTTGAATTTTGGTCAGACATGGCCAATTTTACATAATAGCAAGAACAAGGGCTGTGTGATATACCCCTTCATGCATCCTGTGAAGTAGCTTATTGAACTTCATGGCAGAATGGAATATACAGGCTAACAAAGAACACACCAGGATGTTTAAGTTATAGTGGTACCTATTTGTTTTTGATAAACATTTACATAACTTAAACCTACATCAACTTGAGTAAAGTTAACATTTCACTGAATAAAACAAAACTTTATAAACATTATTTGTGAAAGATGTCTAAGCAAAGGAATACATTTACAAAATAATGTAGTAGCTGAACATCCAGGTATCCTCAAAATTGTCCTAATGTTTCTCTCTCCCTTTGGGGCCAGAAGCATCAATGTCAGACCTATTCTGCACCTGGGTTAGAACATGTGCTGCAGCAACGAGGCTTCCAGAGGCCTTGGCTCACTGTGGGTTGGAGGCCTCCCATCTGTCCTGCTGGGTTCCCTGCCTCCCAGATAAGGAGGTCTGTGTCCTGACTGTTGATCTAGACAGGAAGCTCTCAGTTACTTGCTTATATCAATATCTCAGCGAGTATCTCTCTTTGGAAACTGCGAGGTCCAGTAGAAAACCTTTCCATTTCTCAGCTCTCACATCCTTCCTCTTCCCACACTACTCTCATTCCCTTTGCCTACCACACAAAAAAACTCTCCCTGTCCTTCATAAAAACAAACAGACCAACATAAACAACAAAATTCACTTGACCCTGTCCCTCTCTTCCAACTTCTTAGAGGTGGAATTTGCACTCTGCCACCTCGAGCTCTGACAGATGTGGCCCCCATCCTCTCTCTTGAAGAACAAACGATACTGTCTTCTGGGCTCCTCCTGAGTCTTCGGTAGATGTGTTCCTCTGTCTCTTCCCTCCTTTTCCTCCAGGACCACAGTGTTGCACAGCTGCAAGGGGGGCACATTTCCCAGCACACTTTGGAGTTGTGCAGTACACAGCCTACACAACCACTGGTGACCGTCCTGGCTTTTGTTCTTCTTTGTGTTTACTTGACCGTGGAGCATTCCAGAATTCTAGCCTATGTGGCCTTTTCCCATTCTTCCCTCTGGGAAATCTCATTTCTTCTGTTCAACCTAATTAATGTACACCGTTAGCCCAATGACTTTCAGAACTGCATGTTTTGCCTCTATCTCCCTCCTGAGCTTATATATTTCTGAGCCCCTACCCCTTCTACCAGAATGCCCATGTAAAACACAACAAAATTCAACAATGTATGAACCTCAAATATCCAAGACAGGTCTCAGTTAATTTAGAAAGTTTATTTTGCCAAGGTTGAGGACACACTCCCATGACACAGCCTCAGGAGGTCCTGATGACATGATAGAGCACAATTCGGTTTTATACATTTTAGGGAGACATGAGACATCAATCAGTTTATGTAAGATGAATATTGATTTGGTCTGGAAGGTGGGACAACTTGAAGCAAAGGAGGACAACTTGAAGTGGGGAGGGGGCTTCTAGGTCATACATAGATAAGAAACAAATGGTTACATTCTTTTGAGTTTCTGATTAGCCTCTCCAAAGGAGGCAATCGGATACAGATATATCTCAGTGAGCAGAGGGGTGACTTTGAGTAGAACGGGAGGAAGGTTGGCCCTAAGCAGTTCCTAGCTTGACCTTTCCCTTTAGCTTAGTGATTTTTGGGGACCCAAGATTTATTTTGCTTTCACACTCTCCATGATTCAATTTTTTTTCTCCTCTTTTTCACTCATTTCACTGTCTTTGTTGCCCATCTAGTTGACAAACGAGGACATTCACCATCCCTTTTTACTCCATAAATACAGAAGCAGAATTGGTCCTTCTAACACCAGACTTGTACTGTCATTCAACTTTTCCCATGTGCAGTAGCTCTCCAACTAGCACAGGGACCACAGCTTTGCTGCCTCAGGTTGCGGCTACTCCCCACAAAGCTACTATTCCATAACACATCCCTTCACTTCATTTATAGAATCTACAGTAGGGTTGAAAGGCAGCACTTAGTGTAGGGAACACTGTTCTAATACTTTAATCAGCATATACCATCTAAGTACAGGCTGTTGTAGGATATCCTGGCTCCACTGACCTTCTAAAACAATTTGTCTGTCCATTTGTTTCTTGAAGGATGACTCCCAAGTCTCCAGGGTACATTATACCCCAGCCAGTGGTGCTGGCCTTTACTCCTCTACCTCCTCAAGCTGTCACCTCCACATTGTCCCTATGTCCATTCTCCTGCTTGGGCTCCATCCACACTCACCTGCCCTTCCTTCCAGAACAGCCTCTTCCAGCCCCTCTCCACAGAACCACACTGGCCTGAGTCAGGAGGTCAGTGACAGCCCACTTTCAGTTTCATTTCTCTCCCCAACAAGTCAACCACTGGGGGAAGTTTGAATGTTGACACACTTCATCTGGGTCCCACTGTGCTTCCCCTCAACAATGCCAGGTGGGGGAAGGTCCAAAAAGTTCAGGCCTGTTCATTACTGCCAAGTGGTCATTCAAAGCCAGTAAGTTATGTCGGTTACAAACAAGCTACAAAAAATTTTGTAACAAAGGTAAAAGTAAGCCCTATTAAGTTGTATTTTATATATACATATATATATTTTAAATTATACAATTTTATATATAAAACTTTATATATAATTTAAATTATAAAATTATGTTTGCTGCCTCAGATTGCAGCTACTCCCTATTATTCCATAACACATCATTTTATGTATATATACAAAATGATATATATATTATATATATATAAAATGAATGGAAATTGGAAGAGCTGAAGGAATTCTATTTTCTTCTTGAACAAGGTGAAATTTTTTATCAGCTGGACACACTTTTTCATGACTGAGCATAAGACATTTTCCATTTCCCCACCCCCATCTTGTTCCTCAAGTTTTCTATTATTTGGACAGCAAAGAAAGCTTTCCACATAAAGAAAATGTCTTTAAATTAAATGTTTAGAATTTCACATTGTAAATACTTTTGTATTTATGACTTTTAGGAAAATCCTCGATCATTAAAACAGCCCTAAGCTTAAAACTTTTTCTAATCAAGGTGGTTTTTAGAGCATGTTCAATTTGCAGTCACTGAGTCCATTTCTTAACCAGTAACTAAGGAAATTAGGAAAGTACAACCTAATGACCCTGGAATAGGATGGAGTCAAATCACACTCACCATACACTGCTTCTGATTACTGAACAGGCTCCCTAAAGATGCTGTGTTCATTACTGGACATTTTTTTGTTTGCAAATTCTAATTCTGAAAGATTTGTTTTACTAAAATCCACGGCACAAAGAGTGAGATTTTCTCAATGGCAGCAGGCTTTTTGGTAAATGATATTAGTTTAGAAACACAATATCTTTATAGTCAGAATGAAATTAAAATTTGGAGGGACAGTTTTGCATTTTTCTAAACTTAAAACCCTGATCAACTGTAACCAATCTTAAAAATAATACAGTTTTCTTATCTATGATTTAGGAAAATATTTTCTGCATTCAGGCTAAAATTTTAAAACATGTAAAAATGGAAAAAATTAAGGAAATTTTAACACTACTACTAATAAGCATTTACTAAGCATGTTGGCCATTTGCAGAGCTAAATATATTATTTACATCATTTCCATGTTATAATGACAATAAACATACATAAGGGCGGTTTAACAAAAACTATTGGTTCTGCTGCTGGGGAGAAATTCATTCAGCTTCCATTTGCCTTAGTTTTCAAAAACTAATTGGCTTTTTCCCATAATTGTTATTGTCATCTTTCATGATATTGCTGACATAAAATGCAATCCTACATCAAGGATTTTTAGCCCCAGAGGAGTAGAGGAGCAATTTTTACAGGCTTTACATATACTTCTCAGCTTTTATACCATTTCTCTACTAGAAGTCACAAACTGAAGGTCCTAGGCAAAAAGCAACCTACAAATATGCATGGTTGGGCTTGTATATTTTTGCCTTTCCATTTCTAAAAATGTAATTAGCTGCTAATATTGAAAAGCTAGGGAATGTCACTTTTGGCTTCCATATTTTCTTGAAACTATGGCCCAAATCCCCAAAGGCCATCAATTAGCTAAGTAACTGGCTGCCCCATTAGCAAGAGCTGCCTCTGCCTTCATTACCATCCCCACACACTCCAAGCTTCAGGCTAGTTGCTATTCATCACACAGTAGTCTGCCTTTCATCTACCCCACTTCCCTCAAATTGTTTACTGGCAGGTTCCCAGAGATATTTAGGTTTGTAATTCCTGTCCTGAATTGCAAACATGATACTAATAGTGAAAACTTCCATAGTGTTTACTAGAGCTAAGCAATTTTCTAGGTACTTAAAATGCATTAATTCATTAAATCTTCAAGATAACCAATAGGGTGAAGAGTGCATCAGTCTGTTTTCACACACTGTGATAAAGAAATACCTGAAACTGGGTAATTTACAAAGAAAAGAGGTTTAATTGGTTCATGGTTCTGCAGGCTGTACAAGAAGTACAGCAACTTTTGCTTGGCTTCTGGGGAGGCCTCAGGAAACTTACAATCATCGCAGAAGGCAAAGGGGGAGTGAGAACTTCACATGGCCAGAGCAAGAGGAAGAGAGACGCAAGAAGAGCTATATACTTTTAAACAACCTGATCTTGTGATACCTCACTCTCGCCATGACAACACCAAGGGAGGTGGTGTTAAACCATGAGAATCCGCCCCCACTATCCAATCACCTCCCACTGCACCCCACCTCCAACATTGGGAGTTACAATTGAACATGAGATTTGGGTGGGGACACAGATCCAAACCATATCAAACACTGTTAGCATCTCCATTTTTACAGATTAGGAAACTGTGACACCAAGAAGTTAAGAATTTGTCCAAGGCAACACATTTTGTAAGTGGTGGCACCAGACTCCCAGACAGGAATCTAGCCAAGGGCCTGAGAATCCACCATTAAGCTTTATTTTTAAACATAGTGGAAGGCTCTGCATGACAACACTGACAACATCACTTCAGTTCTGCTCATTACATTTAGAGGTGTGTGTCTAATGCAAGCTAATCTCTTCTTTGAAACACCTAGGAAACAAAATTTAGGTCGAGTTGTACCTCATGTAGCTCCAAGATACTTCATTAGACAAGCAGCCCCTTCTCCAAGGCTTTGCTGCTATCTACCAAAAAACTGTCATTACAAAAGGACAAATGGCTGGTTCTGAGTCTGAAGGCACTTGCAGAACTGTGCTGTCCACATAGCAATAAGCAGTGCTCCCAAGTTCAAGAATCCTTTCAGTTATTACAGTAAGACGTATTTTGATATCTGCATGCATATAAAATTAATGAAATGCTTTATAGAAATGAAAATCTATGGATAATATGTCATTTTCTATGTAAATACCATCAAATTGGACTTTTTATTACCAAGTCCTCATTTCACGATTATGACTGACAAATGTGTGGCAATGATCCTCTTAAACATTTATATCTCAAAATTCCAGGAATTTTAAGCTATTTCCCTCTGCCCAAGAATGGACTTGAAACACTGCAAGCAGTTTTGTCTTCCATGAACATGACACAACCCACAAAATATTTATTATAGAGCAGGAAACCTCTTTAGTCTGCATCTTTCAGCATTTTTCCTTTTCTTCTTTTATTTTTTCTTAAATTTTTGAATTTGTCGTCTTTTTCTTTCTTTAAAAATAGACCCTAGAAACAGATCCTTTTCTTCTTTTGTGGTGATTTGCCCTTCTAATTATCTAATTATGACTTAATTTAATCTAAATAAATCTAAATGTTTGGGTTTATTATCTGAATATTAAAGATGAGAAGATAGGATTTGAACTCAGACCTGTTTGACTTCCAAATTCTGGTTTGCCCTACTATCCCGTAATGCCTCCTAGATGCCGATTAGTCTAAGCGGCTGCTCCACAAGGCTTTTAAGCATTCAAGAACTCTACTGGACCATTTGAGGGTCTGTTCTGGAGACAGACAGTGCTTCAAGTGCTGAGGGCTCAGGACTTCACCCTCCCAGGAGGTACACACAGTACAAAGCCTAACAATTTGTCAGCACATAATCAATTGAAACCACACTCTAAAGTTAAATTAGTTCCTTCCAAATGGGGCAGACACGTGCTGACCAATTAAGAGGCCCAAAGACTTGGGAGTAGAGGATGAATAGGAATAAATTGAGAAAGTATGCAGGAAAATTATTGAAGGAAGAATGAAGACGAGAATTCTCAATGCTAAGTTCTGGAAGATGCTGGAAGAGAACTGAATCCAAAACAAATATATTTATGTCAACTCATCATTGCTTACATTTTCTAGTCTAACAGAGCAGAACCATGAAATTGTTTGAAAAGTGAAAAGCCTCTTCTAAGTATACAAGCAGGGAGAGCATTAGGAATCGTAAATTAAAAGGACACAGGTCCTAGCAGAGAAGCAATGAAGCATTGGGGAAGAGGGTTTCTGGGGAATTTATGTGAACTTACAGAACTGTGGTCTGCTGTGGTACCTGAGGAATGTGGTCCAGCATCAAGTGCATGCAGCGGACGGTGCTCTTAAAGCAAAGGCACCGGCTGGGGCAGGGCAACCCTGGCAGGCACCACCCGGCCAGGAGAAAGAGAGTGGTCCAGCAGAACAGTCTGGGCTCCATCGCTCCATTCGCTGCTGGCCACGCGAAGAAGCAGCCGGAGGGAGAGCAGCAGCTGCAGCTGCAGCAGCAACCGCAGTGGTGGTGATGGTGGCTGCTGGACTGAGCCAAGTTTGGGAGCCGTGGTGGAAAGCAGCTCCCAGGGAAAGGACACCCCTCTGACCAATCCAGGAGGAGGGATATCACATTACAGGGCTGAGGGCACAAGCAGCTCTAGGAAGCACTAGACTCCCAGAGGCGAGGACGAGAAGCTTTTCAATGCAAAAGCCTCTTTCTAAAACACCGTGTTTTAGGCAGCATAATGCAAACAAACTTTTCCAAAATTACTTCCACTGCGCATTTGATGAAAAACCCGACCTCTTAGCCTCCAGCTGTCCTCTTGAAGCCCAAGTTGATTAAGAATGTATTGAAACAATGCAGAACAGCTTTTCTTCTTTTTTATCTGGTAACATTACCAAACCCTAAAGGGCAGGCAGAGTTCTAATTCGTTCATCTAGGTGCACATATTCTT
The DNA here is from genome assembly GCF_000001405.40 of Homo sapiens. Classification (NCBI taxonomy): domain Eukaryota; kingdom Metazoa; phylum Chordata; class Mammalia; order Primates; family Hominidae; genus Homo; species Homo sapiens. Next base: position 51,809,853 of record NC_000008.11, read on the forward strand.
TCTTTATTCCAAACTATGCTCTTTAATAAAAATTGTTTCATTTCCTTCTATATATTCTGCTGCTGAAACCCAACACATTTCACTCATGTAAGACTCAAACGGGCTACTTCTGATTTCTTCTTTTAACGTTTAAATTTATATGCTTAAAACCATGAACTCACATACCTCCTTCAAGAGGATACAACTGATGGACAAACCTAAGTATGTATATGTAAAGTCAAACAGATGCAAGCTCCCTCAGGACACACTGGCAGCAGTGGTCTTGCTGGTTGCAGACTTTTCATCAGCAGTTTGAACTGGCCATCTTTCCCTGAAGTGAGCAGCACCTCGTTGAGGACGTGTCTGAAAACTTAATAAATATGAAAACATCTACTTTTTGGTCATTCTGTAAGCAGGTATTTTTAAACAGATTTTTGGCTTTATCTTTAAAGACTAACATTTTCAAACAAAAATGTTTTAAATCCATAAAAGTAATAGAAAACAAATTAAAACTTGCATGGTCAATCCCAGATGATCAGACTAGTAGACCAATCTTAAGAGGAAAATAAGTTCATCCTTGTCTCTGCAGAAATGTTTCAGTCCCTTTACATTCTACTGTAGGCGAATACTGCCCTCTTTTGGCAAAATGTTCATATCTAAATATGTGATTTTGGGGAGATTAAAATGTAAAAAGATCTAAAAAACAAAACTAATCTCCATGAACAAGAATGATTTATTTTAAACTTTACATTTGACATTGTTCACATGACTTTTATTGTCCAAGTATACCAATAAAGCCAAAAAACGAAATTTATTCCTTTAAATCCCAACAATCACTATGCTCTTGGCAGTGCCTGTGATTTGGAGGACATAGACAAGACCTGCAGGTTTGTGCCTTGTTTGCAGTTCAAAATATAAAATACAAAAAATATAAATAATATAAAATATATAAAATACAAAAATATAAAAATATCTTGCATTCATAAAGTAGACTTAAAAAGGGTAGGGACTCAGAAATATGTAAGTTCAGGAGGGAGAAAAAGGCAAGACATGCGGTTCTAAAAGTCATTGAGCTAAGGGTGTATAATAATTAGGTCGAAGGAAAAAAATTCTGCAAGTTTTTGTGCCTTGTTTTCAGTTCGAATTATAAAAAAAAATCTAGCATTCATAAAGCTTTTTTTTTTTTTTTTTTTGAGATGGAGTCTCACTCTGTTGCCAGGCTAGAGTGCAATGGCGCAATCTTGGCTCACTGCAACCTCTGCCTTCCAGGTTCAAGCGATTCTCCTGCCTCAGCCTCCTGAGTAGCTGGGATTACAGGTGCCTGTCACCACACCTGGTTAATTTTTTGTATTTTAGTAGAGACAGGGTTTCACCATGTTGACCAGGATGGTCTCGATCTCCTGACCTTGTGATCTACCCGCTCTGGCCTCCCAAAGTGCTGGGATTACAGGGGTGAGCCACCGCACGCAGCCCATAAAGCATTTTTTTTACAGAAAAAAAAATACAAAAAACTTTCCACTTTAGAAACCTAAACTTATGTTGAATGAAAAAAAAATCTACTGATTACCAACTGTCAGTACAGGACTAAGAACTGCAAGGCATGGCCCTGCTCAGGAAGTCCTTTTGGATAGTGACTTAGGACAACTTTCCAGCTGAAAACGACTAAATGCGCTAATTTATTAAAATACCTTTAAAATTGCATAAATGCATCAATGTGCTATTAATGAGGAAATCAGTAAGACATATACAAGAGTCCAAAAAATGAAGTGAACATAAGAAGCCAGCAAGGTGGGTAAACAATGAAGGCCGATGCAGCTTGAGACTGTTCAACCTGTGAAAAGAACTGCAGGAATTGGAGTAGCAGGGATACAGGAAAAAGAAAAGTCCTTTCTTATGAGAGAGTCTTATTTCAAAAATCTCCTGTATAAAGCCACAGCCATATCTTAAGGATGAACTAGAAATAATTCTGCCCCCTGCCTCCACTTCCACCCACCCACCTACCTATACAACCCAGAAGACACAAGTAAAATGACCTATTTCAAAGCTTGCTACGGGGAGGCAGCAAACAAATCTTCCTGGAGGCGTGCTATCTCCAAAGTAGCCTTCACATGGATTTTTGGGCCACTCTACTTGGATGGCACAAAAAACTTTTAGGTGGAGCATTTAAAAAGGTCATAAGTTGGCAGTGCTCCTTGGCAAAAACAACCTGGGGCCTCTAATAATTCCCACAGTTTACAATACAAGCTCAGTCAAAACCCACAAAATACAAAAGAAACAGAAACAGTGTTATGAAAGCTAGCAATCAAACCTTATGAACATGAGCCCACTTTGAGCGTTCACATACTGGAATCCAACATAGAATAGAATTAGGCAGTATGTTTACAGAGTTGAACATATTAATAAAGAGTAGAAGACCATAAAAACAAACAGGCAGACTTGAAAACACAGAACTATAAACTAAAATACAACAAGCATTAAAACTCAATGTAAAGGTTTAACAGCAGATTTAAAGCAACTAAAGAGAAGATTCGTGATAAGAAGATATTATCTAAGGAAATCTAGATTTCAATGCTGAGAAACATAAAGTTGAGACAACATTTGTAAGAAAAAACACAGCCAAGAATTTCTAGAACTGATGAAAGAGATGAACCCGCACAGCTACAAGAATAGGCAGAATAAATGAAAAGAAATTCATACCCAGGCACATTATATCAAACTACAGAAAATTAACAGTGCCAAGACAAGAATATCAACAATGTCAAGATGAAATCTTTAAAGCACACAGAAGTAAAAGACAGATGACCTTCAAAGGAATGGCTGTCAGTTGACATAATAGCTACAATGAAAGCCAGAATGCAAAGAAATCATAATTCTTGTGTTTTAAAGTGTTGATTTAAAATTCTATAACAAATGGACATTTTTTTTCAAGAACAAAGTCAAAATAAAACATTTTCAGACAGAAAAAAATAAGAGTTAGCTACAGTCTTTCATTAAAATAATTTGAAAAGATGTACTTTAGGCAAAAGGAAATTGAGATGGTCCAAAATGAAGAAGAAATAATGAGCAAAAAACAAGTGTAAGTGGGAGTAAAACTAAGCATTGGTTAGATAAATAATAGTTATGGTGTACCACAGGGGCTTAAAATTATATAGTTCAAACACAATAGACTAGCATATAATTTTGAGGTAATGACTCCAGAGTTTATCGAAGTATTCTAAAGTGGCTTGTATCAAGTAGGAAGAAACTAACTTTAGAAGTTTGTAAGTTAGGTGAGTGCATTAAAATGTCGAGAGTAATCACTGAGAGCAGAAAAAATAAATATATAACTTTCAAACTAATAATGGACAAAAAACGAAACAATAATCAATCCTAAAAAATGGAGGAAAAAAACTTGATAGATATATAGCACAAAATATCACTCTATAGTAACAATGAAAATGAAAAGAATGCAATGCTTCAAGTAAAATTCAAAGACTGCCAGAGTAACTTTTAAGAAACTCAGCTATATGTTGTTTATAAGAAACACACCTAAAACATAAGGATACAAAAAAGGTTGACAATAAGAATAGAAAGATATACTAGGTGACTACTCACCAAAAGAAAACTGCTAAATGAGTATCAGACAAAATAGACTTGGAAGCAAAGAATATTACTAAAGATAAAGAGTGCTCCTACATGATGTTAAAGGTTCAAATCACCAAATGGACATAATCCACATATTATCACACTGAAATAAAGCAAAAATCAAAAGAATTAACAAGAAAAAAACTGACATTCTACCATCAAAATGAGAGTTTTTGCCAAGTCTCTCTCCACAGTTGATAGATGATGTGGGTACACACACAAATTTGCTTAGGCTATACTGAATTTGAACACAATTTTAACTCACTCAATTAGCATTAACAGAACACTACAATGAACATCTGAAGAACATTCTTTGTAAACACACCATGCTATTTACTTAAAAATGACCATACAAAGGCAGTAAAATAAGAAATAAGGCTCCACCATCATTCTTCACAGAATTAGAAAAAACAATTCTAAAATTCATATGGAACCAAAAAAGAGCCCACATAGCCAAAGCAAGACTAATTAAGCAAAAAGAACATATCTGGAGATGTCACACTACCTGATTTCAAACTATACTATAAGGCTGCAGTCACCAAAACAGCATGGTACTGGTATAAAAATAGGCACATAAACCAATGGAATAGAATAGAGAACTCAGAGAAATAAACCCAAATACTTACAGACAACTGATCTTTGACAAAGCAAACAAAAACAAAGTGGGGAAAGGACACCCTTTTCAGCAAGTGGTGCTGGGATAATCAGCTAGCCACACACAGGAGAATGAAACTGGATCCTCATCTCTCATCTTATACAAAAATCAACTCAAGATGGATTAAGGACTTAAATATAAGACCTGAAACTATAAAAATTCTAGAAGTTAACATCGGAAAAACCCTTCTAGATATTGGCATAGGCAAGGATTTCATGACCAAGAACCCAAAGCAAATGCAATAAAAACAAAGATAAATAGCTGGGACTTAATTAAACTAAAGAGCTTTTGCATGGCAAAAGGAACAGTCAGCAGAGTAAACAGACAACCCACAGAGTGGGAGAAAATCTTCACAATCTGTATGTCTAACAAATGACTAATATCCAGAATCTCCAACAAACTTAAATCAGTAAGAAAAAAACAATCCCATCAAAAAGTGGGCTAAGGACATGAATAGACAATTCTCAAAAGATGTACAAATACAAAAAAATTAGCCAGGAGCGGTGGCAGGCACCTGTAGTCCCAGCTACTTGGGAGGCTGAGGCAGGAGAATGGCGTGAACCCAGGAGGTGGAGTTTGCAGTGAGCCGAGATCACGCCACTGCACTCCAGCCTGGGCGACAGAGCGAGACTCTGTCTCAAAAAAAAAAAGTTGTACAAATGGCCAACAAACATGAAAACGTGACAAAAAAGCTCAACACCACTAATGATGAGGGAAATGTAAATCATAACCACAATGCAATACCACCTTACTCCTGCAAGAATGGCCATAATAAAAAAGCAGCAGACATTGCCATGGATGCGGTGATCAGGGAACGCTTCTACACTGCTAGTGGGAACGTAAACTAGTACAACCACTACGGAAAAGAGTGTGGAGATTCCTTAAAGAACTAAAAGTAGAACTACCATTTGATCCAGCAATCCCACTACTGGGTATTTACCCAGAGGAAAAGTAGTCGTTATACAAAAAAGATACTTGCACATGCATGTTTATAGCAGCACAATTCATAATTGCGAAATCATGGAACCAACCTAAATGCCCATCAATCAACGAGTCGGTAAAGAAACTGTGAGATATATATATATATGATGGAATACTACTCAGCCATAAAAAGGAATGAATGAATAGCATTTGCAGCGACCTGGATGAGATTGGAGATTATTCTTCTAAGGGAAGTAACTCAAAAATGGAAAAATCAAATACCATGATAACATCTATGTTCTCACTGATATGTGGGAACTAAGCTATGAGGTTGTAAAGGCATAAGAATACAATGGACTTTGGGGATGTAGGGGGAAGAACGGGAGGGGGGTGAGGGATAAGACTACAAATAGGGTGCAGTGTATACTGCTCTGGTGATGGGTGCACCAAAATCTCACAAAGCACCACTGAAGAACTTACTCATGTAACCAAATACCACCTGTTCCCCAATAACCTATGGAAAAATTAAAAAATTAAAATAAAGAAATAAGGCTGTTCTTGCTCATCACTATTCAGTTACACTGGAGGCCACAGCTGGCAAATCTGGTAAAATAAAAAAACCCAGAAGAAAAAAAATAAAACTGTCTAAAATTTATTCAAATATATGATTTCCTATACAGAAAACCTAAAAGAATCAAAAGAGATAGTACTGGATTTAATCAATGTACAAAAACCAATAAAAGGAATAAAATACAATTTTAATAAACTACAACATCATTGAAAAATATAAAATATCTGCAACTAAATCTGACAAAAGATATTAGATCTTAGAGCCAAACCATACTTAATAAGTCCTAACTAAAAAAAAGAGAAGTACCATATTCATGGACTGGAGGACTGCCTATCATAAACATGTTAATTCTTGCATAAACTGATCTATAAATTCAAAGTGATTCTCAAGGAACTCCCAAAGAAGAGTGTGTGTGTGTGCATGTATGTAATCTGAGAAGCCAATTCTGAAATTTAAAGTCTACAGTCTACAGGTTCAAGAAACTCCTAGCATATAAAGTGAAGGGATTTATCTTCCTAGATCAAGAATTATTGTAAATCTCCAGTAAATAAAATTGTGTAGTGTCGGCAACGGGTTATATAAACTGACTAATAAAACAAAAAAGAAAGCCTAGACACATAGCAAAAATATATGAAAACTTACGATAAAGTTAACACTGCAGATCAGAGAAGAAAAAAGAAACTTCAAAACATGGTCCTCAAACAGTTGATCAATAAAGTAAAAAAAAGAAACTGGACTATTAGTTCTCACCATACACAAACATCAATTCCAGCTATTGTGCAGATTTAAATGTGAAAGGCAAAATCACAGACCTTCTGTAAGAAAATATAGGTTAATATTTCCATGACCTTGAGACTGAGGGTGAAGGAAGATGAATCTGACAATTAAAATTGAAAATGTCAATTCATCAAAAAACATCATAAACAGAGTAAGAAACCATAAACTGAGAAAAGATACTTACAACACATATAATTGACAGTGGAATATATCTAGACTGCAAAAGGAAATCCCACAAAACAGTTTTTTAAAAGAAACTACCCAATAAAAAAATGTACAGAAGACTTGAACAGCACTTTGCAGAAAGGAATCCTAAAACCAAGAAACGCTTGAAGATAAAACCCCCTTAATAAATAACCTTTATAAGTAACAAAGTCCCCTAAGAAGATACGTCACACTACTAAACAGGCAAAAGTCTGTCATGTGTAGGTGAAGATGTGGAATAACTGGGACATTTAGACATTGCTAGAAGAAACATACTGTTAAACTATTTTGGGAAGCAAATTTGCACCATCTAGGTAAAAGTGAATAGAAATGATTTCCTATGACCCAGTAATTCTACTCCTAGATGTACACCCTAAGCAGACTCTCACACATGTAGTCACAAGACATATAAAAGAATGTTCACAACTGAACTATTCGAGGGAACAAAAAATGTCCACCAACAGTAGAATAAACTGTGAAGTGTGAATGTAACAGAACAACATACGACATGGGGCAATCTCAGAAAGGTAATGTGAAAAAGAGAGCTGCTGAATGCGTACAGTAGGATCCTAGCATATATGAAGCCAAATACATTGTTTAGAGATGCAGGCAGGTGATTGAGAACAAAAAGGCAGATTATGATAAACACAAAATCCCTCCTCCTGAGAAGGGAGGGATTAAGATGTGGATGGGAAGGGGCACACAGGAGACTGTAAAGCTATTAGTTGAACCTAATGGGTACACACACATGTACCTACATGTACACTAAATTATTTCTTATATTTCATGAATATTTTATAAATTTCCCTACCTATTTTATAAAAATAAATTTTAAAAAACTTCCATACTCTTCAGAAGTGGCAATAGTCAAAAGACAGTGAGATGTCCAAATAAAGACAATTGTATGCCATAATTGAGCATATCCATAGGTGTACTGAGATTGCCTAAATTTAAAAAGAAGAAGACAAACATAAAAGTCAGGCCATGGGAGAAAAATGCTTAATTACATGTAATTGTTTATTTAAAATAATTTTCCAAGTCTTCCAATGATTTAACAGGCTTTGCTTCACTTTTATCATCTCAAACAGCTATAAATCAACACACTTTTTGTATTTTATTTTACTACTATGTATGCTATTTTAATAACATTTTTCTTTATTAATACTAGAACCAAATATATTGACCAATAAGCAGTATAGATTTAAATTATCTTCTTGGGTTGGTCTGAGGTTGCTGATGGATTCTTGGGATTGATCTGATGCTAGAAGCTATCTTAGGCCCTGTCTCTAACTCACTGTATGTTTCAGGCAAAACATGCCACGGTTCTAGGTCTGTTTTCTCATCTGCAAAATAAACACCCAAATTAGATGATACTTACTGTTTTAACTAGCTATAAAATTCCAATACTATATTCCCCATCATTTTCACTTACTTTTACTTAATCTTTATTTGCTACTTTTCCACCTATAAAGCGTAATTTTCCATATCAAGTAAACATAAATTCATTAAAAAATAAACACAAACCCAAAATATTCTTATTCTAATATATCTGCATTAATAGATAAAAAGGCTTTAGCTTTAATTTTCATTTTTCATTTCTACCTCTTAAAGTCAATGATAAACTCACAAGTGTAAAATGAATGCATTTAAAAACATAAAAGATACATTTCAATGACAAGAAATATGCAATGATCATGAAAATCTACTGTACACTTTGCCATGGTCAAAGAATGAAGGACAATATGGAAAAGCCAATCTTCAAATATATCCTTAACAAAAACTCTCTCCTGCATAGTAAAAGCATCATCTAAACAGCAGCTCCAACCAAAAAAAAAAAAAAAAACAAGCAGGGGAGATGGGACAGATAACTTTCTCCAGGTTTTCCAGATAAAAACATGTGGTCACCAGGAATTCAAGGTAACTAGGTACTTCAAAAGCCACATTTAATTCAAAATAAAATGAGCATTTCTGACAGATGACAACAGTATGAAACTGATTTTTTTCTTTCCTAGATACAAAAATGATATGGGGCATTTCTTAACAGTTTAGTAATCGTCTAAGAATAATTGTAGAAATAACCCCAATTCCACCATCCCAGCCACTGGTATAAAACAAATACCTTCCATGAAACTGTCTTTCACATAACTAAAATATCCTCACTTACTTGGAACAATTTCATGCTTACACATGATCACAAACATTTGTTTTTAGATGTTGTGGAATTACTGGAGCTGAGATTTCTGAAACAATATCTGAATCTTAGCAGAGAGATAATAATCCTTTCACTATACATTGCTTGGGCTTCCTTAACCAAATCTGAGTAACTACTGTAATAATAATGCTGGTGGTAGTCCATGATACTCTCAAATTTTTCCCTTTAAGAAATATATAATCCATGTAACTCTAGCAAATATGTTACATTGTACACTTTCTTAACAAGGAATGGCTGTTTTCAGGCCTTATTAGGAAAACAAACAAACAATGGCAGTTACTACCTGTTTTTTATCACTGATAAGCTAAAATAAAGCTCAAATATGGACAGTTTAACTGTGTGATATTAAGTAAAAAATGAAAACCATTATAGTTTTACCAAAAGAAACACAAAAAATATGGGAAGGAGTGAAATGAACATGGCATAGGTCCCAAAGATTACACTATGATTCTGAACAGCATTTTCAAAACAAAGGGTATCTACATACAATTTCTGTGAATATTTCTTATACTAGATAGATCAAAAGCAAATGTAGGCTCAGCCCTACCTTGTCAAAGATAAATATTCAGATAAACTAGAAGTTCCATCTGCTAAAGTGCATCCGCTGACCAGGTCTACCCTGGCCCTGCTACTTACAGCCATCCAAGAAAGTGGCCTCACTCATGCTCATTCACTCGTTCTGTGTCCTATCAAGAGTCACACATAACAATGGTTTTGCTTTTTTTAAAAAACCAAATACTTTATACAGTGAACTACAGAAAAAACAATTCTAAATATACTTTTAAAATTCTATAGAGTTAAGATAACCTCATTTTTTTAAATACTGAAAATGTAAAGGGTCCATATAAAGAGTTGTATTAAGTATAGACTTTGTTTTAATAATTCACTTGCTGTGCTCTTAAAATCTCTATGAGAGAGGCAGATATTTTACCCATGTCTTTTGGCAAGAGATTCAAAAGCAAAAGTAGCAGGGCTGTAAAATTTCATAAAATTTGTGGGATTTTTTAAAGCTAAATTATTCAATATCTTGTATTGTTATTGCACTCATATATTGCCCGGAATATATATACAGCAACCCAACAACAGTGATTGCAACAAAAGTAAGGTAAATAGTCTACAAAGCATTTGACTTCCTTATTAGATAAATGAAGTTTTCATAGAGGAAATGCAAACAACTGCAATTCAGATCAGGTTATATAAGCTTAACAATTATTTAAACCATATATAAAATTAAATCTAAACCTCATCACTACAAATCTGTAAGGAATCAGAAAAGGATTTATAGTACACAAGTCTTGACTACTGTTGCATTCCACTTTGAAATCACTCTGAGCTAAAACAACATTTTTCCAAGATTTAAAGAAAAATAGATTTTATAAAAGGGATTCTTTTATTCACTGAATACATCATTTGTGTTACTGACAGAAACAAGTGATTTTTTTTCCACTATAATTTGCTCTGATGAAAGAAATAATTCTCTCTTTTAACTCCTAACAAATGCTACATTTTCAAGACTAAAGGAATTATCAGTAGGCATTTTTCTTCTTGATCTAAGTTATTTGTCTCTAAAATATGTCAAGTAAGCTTTTAAAGATTCAGGGAGGGGCAGCTTCATGATTTTTTCTCTCAGTAAATTTTGAGGTGGCTCCTCTGGCTTCATTGCTTCATTGTGATCTTTTTCCTCCTCTTCTTTGTTATCCTCTTCCATTTTTTCATCCTCTTCACTGTCTAGAGGCTGAGGAATAAGCTGATTACCCACAAATACGTAAGTGTTAATTCTCTGTTTAACTCTCTTTCTTTTCCTTTTGGGTGGAGCCCTTTGAGGAATCCCCTTGGCCTGCATCTCATCATTTATGAAATTTCTAAGTGTGCGTCGAATGTAAATACGAGCCAAGTCCTGTAGATTCCTGACAGCACAGGGAGCTAAAAACAAACATAAAACGCAAGAAAGAAAATATTAACAATAAAACATTATCTATTGTTTATTTTTTTCATAGAACAAAATGTGTTTCTTAGCATATTTTAGAAAATACAGAAAATATGAAAACTCTACCTTTCATCTAACAAAGGTTTTGGAGTAGTCATTATATGCCAAGGACCGATGGATGGCACTGAAGTTAAAATGTACAGGGGCATGTGTGTGTGTCTGTGTGTTGGCATTTACATGCATAAAAGTTCTCTGGAAGCATAAGAATTTGGAAACAGGGTACATGACTGTGAAGTAATTAGGAGACAAGACCAGGAGAGAGACTATCCTGTGTATCTTTTATACTTTTTGATGTATAAATCATATGAAAAGTACTACTTATTCATAACAACAGATGTGAGATCCCATCCCCTATGAAGTTTTTGTTTGTTTGTTTTGAAACAAGGTCTCACTACAGCCCAGGCTGAAGTGTGATGGCACAATCATGGCCTACTGGAGCCTCAACCACCCAGGCTCAGGTGATCCTCCTGCCTCAGCCTCCCAAGTAGCTGGGACATAAGCACACGCCAGCACACCTGGATAATTTTTAAATTATTTGTTGAAACGGGATCTCACTATATTGCCTAGGCAGGTCTCTTTAACTCCTGAGCTCATGTGATCCTCTCATCTCAGCCTCCCCAAATATTGGGGTTACAGGTGTAAACCATCATGCCCGGCCCTCTACATGTAAAAATACACAAAAACCATCTGCTCTGCCCATCTTCCAAAATTGTTCACTAAGTTATTTAACATTCATCATCAAGTAAGTATTAACCTATATCTGCCAGGCACTGTTAAAGAACCCATGCAGACACACTGGATGATTTAGACTACCAAGTCTGCACTCCCTGCACTTATGCAACTTGCATAATCAGGGAGGAGTTGCTAAACAAAAATCAATTATAAAGAAGAAAAATAAGGAATACAAGAAAAAAATCAAAACGCCAATGATATGATAGAAAGTGGGGTTCTGGTTTTGTTTTTTTTTTTTTTTGAGACGGAGTTTCACTCTGTCACCAGGCTGGAGTGCAGTGGCGTGATCTCAGCTACTGCAACCTCCACCTCCCGGGTTCAAGCGATTCTCCTGCCTCAGCCTCCCAAGTAGCTGGGACTACAGGCATGTGCCACCACACCAGTGTAATTTTTTGTATTTTTAGTACAGATGGGGTTTCACCATGTTAGTCAGGATGGTCTCAATCTCCTGACCTCGTGATCCGCCCACCTTGGCCTCCCAAAGTGCTGGGATTACAGGCGTGAGCCACCGTGCCTGGCCCTGGTTGCTTTCTATTGGGTGGTCATAAAGGTCTCCCTGAGAAGATCCTGTCCTAGCTAAGATCTAGATGATATAACAGCCATGTAAACATCTTGCGGGCAGAGGGAACCTAAAAGGTAAATGAGCTTAGCATGTCCAAGGAGCCGAAGGAAGACTAGTGCAGATGAAGTTGGGAGCACGAGATCAGCTGGAATATTTTGGTAATCCACTAGAAATATGAACACACTCTGACGGAGGGTGGCAGTATAGATGGGAGAGATGGACAAATTTCAGGTATAATATATTTTGAAGATAGGATGGAAATGGATTGGCTGTAGGGGATGAGGGAGGGAAAAAAAAATAATCAAGGAAAACATCTAAGGTTTTGGCCTGAGCAACTGGGCAGATGCTGATATCAGTGACTGACATGACAAAGATACAGGGGAGAACAGGTTGAGAAGAAAATTTTAAAGTGTACTTACTTTGTGTTAGATGTGAATTGTCTATCATTTATCCAAAGTGGAGATTTCAGAGATAATAATAACTACAATGTTATACTCGTCACCATTTTCAATGTTTTACAAGTAATAACTGAATGCTAGGAGATTACGTACTGAATGCAGGTTTTGACTGCAGAGTGTGTGCTGCCTTTCCCACCATAAGCCACCATAAGATTATGACTCTGGAGCTCAGGGGCAAGGTCGGGGCTGGAGATGCTAATCTCATGTCATCAGCCCATCGTGACATGCAAAGACCAAGAGTAGAAGAAAGCACCCAGAACTAAGCCTGAGAGGGCTCTGTAAAGGGACAGAGTGAAGAATAAATCTACCCTAAAGTTTTAGAAATTATAAAGGAGCTAGGAAATAGAAACTATATCAGTCTTTTCCGCTGATCTTGGCTCTTGAATTTTTCTGTTACTGGTATTCTCTGTCAACACTGTAATTATGTTCTTCCTTTGCCAATACTGTAATTATGTTCTTCCTTTGCCAACACTGTGTGCTATTCCAGCGATGTATCTTTCAATCCTAAATCATCAGAGGAATACCAGAAATTTATCAAGACCAACTGGACCCAGCATGGAAAAAGATTCAGACTTGACTTCAGTAGCTGCTAACACTCAGGACTCCTAAAGTAGCATTCATGTGAGCTTCATTTAAAAGTTCTTTTGGGCCAGGCACAATGGCTCAAGCCTGTAATCCCAGCACTTTGAGAGGCTGAAGCAGGTGGATCACTTGAGCCCATGATCTTGAGACCACTCTGGGCAACATGGTGAAATCCTGTCTCTACAAAAAAGAGAAAAATTAGCCGGGCATGGTGGTACACGCCTGTATTCCCAGCTAGTCAGTAGGCTGAGATGGGAGGATCATCTGAGTCTGGCTAGGTCGAGGCTGCACTGAGCCATGGTCATGCCACTGCACTCCAGCCTGGGCAATAGAGTGAGACCCTGTCTCAAACAATTAATAAAAAAAAGTTCTTTTGAATGACACAAAACCTTTTAGATAAGTCTCAGTCCTAATTATTTAAACATCCTCCATATTGTCTATTCCTTAACGGTCTCATTTCCAATGCCTCCAGTTATGAGATTAGGATTTAACAGATAAGACAATACTAATCCTGACTGCTAGGAAAACTTATTTTAAATTTAAATAGAAAAAGAAGGAATCCTCCCTAACTCATTTTATGAGGCCAGCATCATCCTGATACCAAAACCTGGCAGAGACACAACAAAAAAAGAAAATTTCAGGCCAATATCCCTGATGAACATCGATGCAAAAATCCTCAATAAAATACTGGCAAACCGAATCCAGCAGCACATCTAAAAGCTTATCCACCACAATCAAGTCTGCTTCATCCCTGGGATGCAAGGATGATTCAACATATGCAAATCAATAAACGTAATCCATCACATAAATAGAACCAATGACAAAAAACCATATGACTATCTCAACAGATGCAGAAAAGGCCTTTGACAAAATTCCACACCCCTTCATGCTAAAAAATCTCAATAAACTAGGTATCGATGGAACGTATCTCAAAATAATAAGAGCTATTTATGACAAACCCACAGCCAATATCATACTGAATGGGCAAAAACTGGAAGCATTCCCTTTGAAAACCAGCACAAGACAAGGATGTACTCTCTCACCACTCCTATTCAACATAGTATTGGAAGTTCTGGCCAAGGCAATCAGACAAGAGAAAGAAATAAAGCATAGTCAAATAGGAAGAGAGGAAGTCAAATTGTCTCTGTTTGCAGATGACATGATTGTATATTTAGAAAACCCCATCGTCTCAGCCCAAAATCTCCTTAAGCTGATTAGCAACTTTAGCAAAGTCTCAGATACAAAATCAACGTGCAAAAATCACTAGCATTCCTATACATCAATAACAGACAAACAGAAAGCCAAATCATGAGTGAACTCCCATTCGCAATTGCTACTAAGAGAATAAAATACCTAGGAATACAACTTACAAGGGATGTGAAGGACCTCTTCAAGGAGAACAACAAATCACTGTTCAAGGAAATAAGAGAGGGCACAAACAAATGGAAAAACATTCCATGTTCATGGATAGGAAGAATCAATATCATGAAAATGGCCATACTGTCCATAGTAATTTATAGATTCAATGCTATCCCCATCAAGCTACCACTGACTTTCTTCAGAGAACTGGAAAAAACTACTTTAAACTTCATATGGAACCCAAAGAGCCTGCATAGCCAAGACAATCTTAAACAAAAAGAACAAAGCTGGAGGCATCACACTACCTGACTTCAAACTATACCACAAGACTACAGTAACCAAAGCAGCATGGTATGGTACCAAAACAGATATACAGACCAATGGAAGAGAACAGAGACCTCAGAAATAACACTACACATCTACAACCATCTTATCTTTGACAAACCTGACAAAAACAAGCAATGGTGAAAAGATTCCCTATTTAATAAATGGTGTTGGGAAAACTGGCTAGCCATATGCAGAAAACTGAAACTGCACCCCTTCCTTACACCTTACACAAAAATCAACTCAAGATGGATTAAAGACTTAAATCTAAGACATAAAACCATAAAAATCCTAGAAGAAAACCTAGGCAATACCATTCAGGACACAGGCATGGGCAAAGACTTCATGTCTGAAACACCAAAAGCAATGGCAACAAAAGCCAAAATTGACAAATTGTATCTAATTAAACTAAAGAGCTTCTGCACAGCAAAATAAACTATCATCAGAGTGAACAGACAACCTACAGAATGGGAGAAAAATTCTGCAATCTATCCATCTGACAAAGGGCTAACATGCAGAATCTACAAAGAACTTAAATTTACAAGAAAAAAACAACCCCATCAAAAAGTGGGCAAAGGATATGAACAGACACTTCTCAAAATAAGATATTTATGGCCGGGCGCGGTGGCTCACGCCTGTAATCCCAGCACTTTGGGAGGCCGAGGCGGGTGGATCATGAGGTCAGGAGATCGAGACCATCCTGGCTAACAAGGTGAAACCCCGTCTCTACTAAAAATACAAAAAATTAGCCGGGCGCGGTGGCGGGCGCCTGTAGTCCCAGCTACTCGGGAGGCTGAGGCAGGAGAATGGCGTGAACCCAGGAAGCGGAGCTTGCAGTGAGCCGAGATTGCGCCACTGCAGTCCGCAGTCCGGCCTGGGCGACAGAGCGAGACTCCGTCTCAAAAAAAAAAAAAAAAAAAAAAAAAAGATATTTATGCAACCAACAAGCATACGAAAATGCTCATCATCACTGGTCGTTAAAGAAATGCAAATCAAAACCACAATGAAATGCCATTTCACACCAATTAGAATGCAATCATTAAAAAGGAAACAACAGATGCTCGAGAGGATGAGGAGAAATAGGAACACTTTTACACTGTTGGTGGGAGTGTAAATTAGTTCAACCATTGTTCAACCATTGTGGAGGACAGTGTGGCGATTCCTCAAGGATCTAGAACTAGAAATAACATTTGACCCAGCAATCCCATTACTGGGTATATACCCAAAGGATTATAAATCATTCTACTATAAAGACACATGCACATGTATGTTTACTGCAGCACTATTCACAAGAGCAAAGACTTGGAACCAACCAAAATGTCCATCAATGATATGCTGGATAAAGAAAATGTGGCACATATATACCATGGAATACTATGCAGCCATAAAAAAAGGATGAGTTCATGTCCTTTGCAGGAACATGGATGAAGCTGGAAACCATCATTCTCAGCAAACTATCACAAGAACCAAAAACCAAACACTGCATGTTCTCACTCATAACTGGGAGTTGAACAATGAGAACACATGGACACAGGTAGGGGAAGATCACCACACCAGGGCCTGTCAAGGGATGGGGGGCTAGGGGACGAGAGGGATAGCATTAGGAGAAATACCTAATGTAGGTCATGGGTTGATGGGTGCAGCAAACCACCATGGCACATGTATACCTATGTAACAAAACTGCACATTCTGCACATGTACCCCAGAACTTAAAATATAATAAAAAATAAAATAAACTTTTACTCCAAAACTACAGTTCAGGTTATCTCTAACACACACATTAGGCTCCATTTGTTTCCCAAAAGGTAGGCTGTATGTAGATTGTATAGGAGCCTAGGAGTCAGAAATCATTTTTGTTAACAAAGATTGAAAACGGCATTTTATTTACGTTGAACCATATAAAACTAATGATTTGGGGGTCTTTTATGACCTTCAAAAACAGCAACTTCATATAGCTCAATGTGATATAGTCCCAAAATTTATGAAGTCTCTTATGCCCCTGAACTTTAAACAATGCATCTTTCTTTTTAGAATGTCTTCTCCTCAACCCCAAACAAAAAAACCACAGAAAGAAATAGGATTTTTAAATGTAATAAAATTAGTGGTGAATCAAGATGAAAAATTATGACTCCACTTTAGTAAGTTGTTTAATATGAGCAACTTGATTACTACAAGATACATTTGGCAAATAATTTATATATATATTATTTTTGGGATTTTTGGAGTCGCGTTCTTTCATATTTTAATTTCCTGCAATTAAGGAATAATGTCCTCTCAACAGAAAGCTATTTTAACTTACTTCTACACACCCACAAAAACTTATTCTCCATACATCCTATTAAATTTTGGCAAATATCAATTTTCAAAACTATTTTCATGCTCTGAATATTACTATATGAAGCTTTTATTTTTTAGAAATTCACATAATTCCTGACTTATTTTTATAAGTTACTGTTGGTTACTGATGACTTTTCTCCTTATTGTAGAATTTCAAGTACAGTAGTCTCCCTTTATGCACAGTTTCACTTTCCACGGTTTCCGCTTTCTATGGTCAACCAAGGTCTGAAAATATTAAATGGAAAAATTGAGAAATAAGCAATTCATATGTTTTAAATTGTGAGCTGTTCTGAGTAGTGTAGTATAATTGCATGCTATCCTGCCTGGGATGTGAATCACCCCTCTGTCTACCATTTCCTCACCATACATACCACCCACCTGTTAGTAACTTAGCAGCTGCCTCAGTTATCAGATAAAAACACATAATATATATACAGGATTTTGTACTATTTGCAGGCCCAGGCATCCCCTGGAGGGTAATGGAACATACCCCCAAGAAAAAGGAGGGATGACTGTATACACAGAAAAGAGTCAATGGTTTAATAACTCCCATATATCTGGGCACTCAGCTTCAACAATTATCACTCTTCCCATCACCACCCCCAGATTATTTTGATGAAATATTTACAGATATATCATTTAGTCTGTAAATATTTCAGAGGTATAATGGATTTTTTTTAATTTAGGCTCCTCTCCATTTTACCCTATTCTATTGAATTTATTCCTATTTTACATTCACAGTTACAAATGTCATTCAATCCAACCAATGGCAGTCTTACCAGCTACTCAGATTTGTGTTGAAATTCTTAAAATGAGGCAAAATGCAAGTTGTGCATTCACAGCATATTATCTGTCATTAATGAATTATGTTATTATAAAACCATATTTATAACCAAAATGCTTCTAAAATAAACTAAGAAAACTATCAGATAAAAAAATGGAATGACTACTGATAGAATTCTGAGATTTTAACAGTGTCAGTTACAAAGTAAAATAGATAAACAGCTGCTGCACAGAAATCAACAAGGGATTCTATAAGCATTCCTAGGTATGATACTTATGGTTGGGTCACGGTCAAAGCCAAGCTGTGTCAGAAAATTTTTTTCATTACTTCCTTTTATTACTTCCCATCAAGTTAGGATAATTTAAACAAAATTATCATAAACTATAATTCTAGTGTTTGAAAACTAGGAAGGAGAAAACAGTTTTGTTACTATTGTTGCAAGAAGTAGGGACCAGTAACTACAGTATAGTCTACTATAATAAATAGTACTAATATAGCATAAATATATAGAGTACACAGATAGTCCCTGACTTATAATGGTTCAATGTAGGATTTTTCCACTTTACAATGTGTTTATCAGGATGTAACCCCACCTCAAGCTGAGGAGCTCCTTATGTCTCATGATGGGGTTCTGGTTTCTACTAAACAAGTATCACTTTTGCAACCAAAGTAAGGTCGAACCATCCTAAGTTGGGGACCATCTGCTGTGTTGCCAGCATTAAATCCATTTTCCACTCACAATATTTATGATTTACAATGGGTTTATCTGGCCATAGTTCCACCATAAGTCAAGGAGCATCTGTAGTCTACTAAAAAGTAGACTTCATGGAAATAATCATATAATGCATACACAGCCAAGTGATAATCACTGATTCTGGTGCTAGAAAGAAATGGATGTCCTGTACTTTTCTGTGTCCCAGAGAATACCCAGTGATACCAGTTTTTGACTAGACAGGAAGTTTAAATAAACATTTCAACACAGTAACCTCATGTTTCCAGTCTCCCTTATGATAATCCTTTGTTTTTTATCATTCTTATTTTACCTTTCATTTTCTTGTTTTATATGGATTGTTATATATGGATTAAAGTCCTTTTTGTAAGTAGCGAAAGTATACGTTACTAACAAGTATATTTGAAAAAACTGGTTGCTAACATTTTCTGAATTACGAAAGGTTGAAAATTTTTTAGAACTGACTGCTTAATTTCTTTCTAAATGAGATCACAGTAAGAGCACAGAATCAGATCTATGACTCTCACCAATCTGTAAAAAGTGGTCAACAAATCTCCTTTGATGGTGGCTCCCATTAGAGAAAAATGCTTACAAAGCACTCTCCCAAGGTCAAGCTGAAGAAACATTTATGCCACTAACACTCTCAGCAAGCAACACTCACCACAGAGCCATGCAAGCCTCTCTGCATCATCGCACACATTCTTCCCAAGGGTGGAGGAACGGCTAGGCTTGTATGTTTCAGGTGTGTAAAAAGCAGCTGGCCATGTTTGGCTGTCATTCCTTTCTCTTTTCCTCTGGGATGTGCCTACTTTAGTCTGGGAGTCACACACATTGACTAGGCTCTATTCACCATGTATTTACAGGTAGACTCCCATGGTGGCAGGCTGGTGCCAGTGCCTGAAACTGGGTGGGTGGTTGGGTCTGCCTAATGTAAGGGTTGTGAAACCCGGTCTCTACTAAATATAAAAAACTAGCCGAGCATGGTGGTGGGAGCCTGTAATCCCAGCTACTCAGGAGGCCGAGGCAGGAGAATTGCTTGAGCCCAGGAGGTGGAGATTGCAGTGAGCCGAGATCGTGCCACTGCATTACGGCCTGGGTGACAGAATGAGACTCCATCGTAAAAACAAAACAAAACAAATATTACTCCATATAGTTTTCACAAACACCCAAAAGTCCCAAAGTCATGCAGCTCAAAAGAGAGTAGAATGAACACTGAAAAAAAAATTGTATCTTTCTATAAACCCAAATTCCTATGCAATAAGTTCATTTAAAAGGCAAACTAAGTCAAGAGGTTCCTTTTTGGTAAAGAATTTTACCTCATGGTTAAAAAAACTATGATCTAAGTCAAACCAATTAATACCACCTCTCCTCTCCATTTCAAGCTCTCATTTGCCCCATTAGGTTCATCACTCCCTCCTTGAAACTTTTCTTTCTTGGTTTTCAACACCCTGGGGACCTGACCCTAGTTTGCCCCCACCACCTTTGTTGGCCCCTCCTTCGCTAATCCATTTTCCACCATTTTATCGCTAAATTGGTGGACCTCAGGTCCAACTCCAATATCTCCTCTTTATCTCCACTCTCCGCTAAATGATCTCATCCATTTCTATCTAACCCTAGCCTAAAATGCCATGTTCATGTTGAGGGGTCTCCATTTATAACTTGCTCATGAAGCAGGTTCGTGCCACCTGACATTTGTCTGTATGGTAACAGACAACTCAAACACGGTGAAAGGAAAATGTCAGACCTTTCTATGCCTATTTCCAAATTATGCCACTTCCAGTCTTCCTGGCAACAGTAAATAATGCCAGCACTCAGCTAGCCTCAAGGGAAAATGAATTCTTCTTTTCCCTCTACCCACACTCCCGAGTCAGCTATTCTTCTGCCTTTAGACAACACTATCCACACCAACATCCACTCTCCTGTGGGTGTAAGAAAAGCCACCTGACTGGCCTGCCTGCCTTTTTTTCCTATGATAATCCACCCTCCACAGGCAGCCAATGAGCTTCCACCACTCTGGACCTTATGCCTGATCTGGGAATGACCAAAGTTCTCTTCAGCCTAAAGCCTTTTGTATTTATTGTCTCTCTGTATGAAAAAATGCTGCCACTAAATCTTGATGTGGCAAGTTCTTTTATATCACTCTGGTCATAATTTAGATGTTGCCTTGGCAGAAAGTTCTTCCTTACCACCATACCTACAGTAGATGCCCTTCCCACAACCAGTAACTTGCCACCACATCACAAACTATAATTAATAAATTTGGTTTTGGTTTGACCTGCCCCTTCTTCTTATGTTTCCATGAAGGTAGCTAACAGTGTCTGGTACAAGGTGAGGGCTTTATTTTACCAAAAAAAAAAAAATTGAGGCCCAGTGCGGGTGGCTCACGCCTATAATCCCAGCACTTTGGGAGGCTGAGATGGGTGGATCACTCGAGGTCAGGTGTTTGAGGCCAGCCTGGCCAACATGGTGAAACAGCGTCTCTTCTAAAAATACAAAAATTAGCCAGGCGTGGCGGTGCACACCTGTAATCCCACCTACTTGGGTGTCTGAGGCACAAGAATCGCTTGAACCCAGGAGGCAGACGTTGCTGTGAGCCGACATGGCACCACTGCACTCGAGCCTGGGCAACAGAACAAGACTGTCTCCAAAAAAAAAAAAAAAGTTGAATAAATCCACCAAATATCTTACTGCATAAGTATTTAATTCTTCATAATTACATAGTCTTAAATCCCAAGCATAAAAGCCAAACACCATAAGTCATAATTCAATCAGAAAATATGAAGAGCTACTTACGGAGTCCCACAGAATCTGGTTTGCCATTATCATTCTTACTTGGTTGCACAAGTGGAGCAAATGAAACAGCAAGGATATTTTTACTTTCCCAAGTGTTCTGTCCAGTTCGCATAATCTGTGTTAACTATTTAGAGAAAAAAAAGAAAGAAAGTGAACAACTTAATCCCAACAATGTGGTCACCTTACAGTCAAAACTTTGTTTTAAGGGAACAACTGCCAGTTAGAGCTACACAATCACTTAAATGTAAATGTGACCAAATTAATTCCATTTAAATATTTACTATAAGATATAAAAGGAATGGAAATATTTGCTGTTAATACAGATGTTTTAACGCAAATGGGATACTCAAATATGGCCAAGTGAGTCTGCAATGTTAGATCTGTGGTCTGACAGTGTCTAGGAGAAGCACTACAATCTATACATGCCATTGCCTTTCAAAATACATGTCTGAGACAGGTGCAGTAATTTGGTTAAGGCATTATAGTAATAAGACCATATTTTGACTACATGTTGACTTCATGCTCTTCCATGATATTAATGGAATATAGATTCTAATTCGACCCCCAACTTGATATTTCACAAATAAATGTAATTACAAAGAGACTAGGAGTTTTATCATTTCAGCAAATGCCCATCACTGGTCACGGGAAAAAAATATTAGCTCAATACACATCTTGTTCAAGTTTAATTAGTATATTCAACTTCTATCACAAAAAGCAGCTCGTTATTACATCTGATGTTTGTAAAATAGTATAGAGTAAATGTTTAACAAAATATTGATGAGGAAGTCATATTTTACGTATTTGAAAATGTATCGTTAAAGAAAAACAAAATAAAAAACAAATTGTTTAACTGGGAGTTTAAGCCCTGGAAGCATTCTAATAACATTTCCATGAACTTTTAAAAATGAATATTTATATACTCTGCCTTTTTAATATCTGACAAATGACTTGCTACAGAGCACAGTACATGGTGATAGTGAGATCCACTGAGCTGCCAATGACACATGGTGATGTTAAGGGAACCCCAAGATGTATAAACTCCACAACTATCATGCTAGGTCTCAGTCATCTTAGATACTCTACCTCTACTATACAACTACAAGGTTATTGTAAACATTTCAGATTTCAGTTAACGTGAATATTGGAGATATTTTTTAAATGTGTTTTTATTAACTTTTTAAAGTAATTTGCTTTTGAAAGGTATACCCATTTTCTGAGTAAATTAGTATTTTATTCATTATACCTAATAATTCCAAACCAAGGCTAAAAAAATAAATTTAATAATGCTCATAAATAGCTGCAGAATATTTTCAAATGAGTCTATTCGGTACTAATGAAGATTTTTTTAGTTCACTTGTTTTATTAATGAAGTTAAGTAGTTCAAAATCAAACCACAAACAGGATTTATTTTCTTTTCTGAGACAGGGTCTCACTTTGTCACCCAGGCTGGATACAGAGGCACAATCATGGCACACTGCAGCCTCAACCTCCCGGGCTCAAGTGATCCTCCCACCTCAGCCTTCTGAGTAGCTGAGACTACAGGTGCATCACCACGCCTGGATAATTTTTGTATCTGTTTGTAGAGACGGGGTTTCGCCATGTTGCCCAGACTGATCTTGAACTCCTGGGCTCAAGCGATCTGCCTGCCTCAGCCGCCCAAAGCGCTGAGATTACAGGCGTGAGCCAGCATGCCTGGCTAGGATTTCCTTTCAGTATGTCCAAAGAACTGAAGAATATGGGAAACTGAGCAACTAGTAGAGATCATCACATTCAACTTCTGGGTAAGCAAAACAAAGGAGGAAGCAGCTTGCTGAACACCAGGCACAGGGAGTAGCTGAGCTGAGTTGAAAGCCCAAGTTACCTCCAGTCATAGTAGAGAGATCTTTTCTCTATCTCCTTTGTTTAAATAATTAAGATGTTTCAAGTTTTTTCTAAACAAATAAGATAAATCTGGTGAAAAGTAATTTTTTCTTTAAAAGTTACAATATACCTTTCACTGAATAAAATTTCTTAACCTTAAACAAATTTGCTTGCTTCCTAGGCCACTAAAGAAAAGGAGAGTGGAAGTTACCTGATCCTCTATAGGCATGACTAATATGCCTCCAACTTTTAGTAATATTTTCATGTAGTTTTCATGGTCTTTCTGCACTCCAGCTCCACAATAAATTCGATCATACTGATGACTGTCAGAAGCTATCTGGAGGCAATTACCAACAACAAATGCAGGTTCACAGAACTCAAATCTGCATTGAAAAACAAACATTTTAATTCAATTAAGCAAAACATTAGATCTAAAAAATTTACCATAATCCAGTCCTTTGAAATAATGACGTTACCCAAATTAATTATAAGGATAAAATGATTATAAACTTTATTTAAATATAATATTTATTAAGTTTAGCACTCATCAAATGTATTGTTATATTATCAATGACATAGGACGGACATGTGTTTTCAAAACATTAACATTTTTGCCCACACTGAAACCTCACTTAGGTCTTCAGAAGTAAATATAATGAAAAGTCCATCACAACCTCAATATTGTGACACCCCCCAAAATAACATAACAATGAGAATCATAAGGATCAATAAATGAGAAAAGGCTTCACTTTGCATTGTCCTTTCCAAAAAAGGTGAGGGGCCAGCAGAAATGAGAAGGGTTTGTGTAGAATTCATCTCAGTTTGACATTTTTGCTGAAGGTCAAAGTGGGAGAGCTTTATCAAAAAAAGATACGAGTGTCCTGACCACATACCCCTGCAACCAGTAAGGTTAGGAAGAGTTTCTAATAAATTTTGGCTGAGGAACATCACTGAATGGGACAAAGACCAGAATTAATACTATTTTTTTCATATTGCTGCTTTGGCCCCGATGATCTCCCTAAGCAACAAGAGATATGATTTCAAAGGTATTTTATCTGGGCTGCTTGTTCCTGGTAATAGTGTTGGTTCATGGTACACGGAGTTATGCTTTTACAAACTATCCTATTTGGACTTCTACTTTATTTCTTAAATTTTGATAAAACTGAAAACAGGCTCTAATATAAACGTAATTAAAACCCCAATGCACTAATAAGACAGGTAATCTTTTTAAAATTAATTCGTATCCTTTCACTTTTAAGTTGAATAAAGTTAATATGATCATAGAGCAAAAGCACACTATTATTTGAGGATGAAATAATTCATATTAAAAGGTTTAGCATGCAGTTAAAAATAACACTGATTTGAATCACAATCATTTTTACTCTGTAAAATATACCCTGTCCTTTAGTAATTAATAGACTTATTACACAATAAGTTTCCATTCAGAGTCACTAAAACACATACACATTATAAACATCTATTTCCTAAAGAAGAAAATTTACCAAAATATATGCCCTGCCCTTCATTTCTTGTCTTTTTGTTGGAAGGGTATAAAAGGTGGGGTGGGAAGGGTCAAGGGTGTCCCTGTACTATTGTCTTCATGCCCCCACGCTAAGGCAGTCCATGCCCCATTATTTCTTTTACTATAACTGTCACCTCACTGATCACATTTTTCAGGGCTCTCTTCCATCCCTCTGCTCTCTAATGCGCAGGATAAGTTCAAGCTCCTAGGAGTGCTACGGGGGAATCTTTATGAGTCTACCATCAAGTCTTTCTACTAGACTCCTTTCCTGTCTCTGCCCCAGCCTGAACGTACTACTCTGCAGGCAGACTGAATTACTTGCTTCTAATTCCTTACAGGAACCATCACACAGTGTTTTGAAATCCTGTATCTGTGTATGTGCTGTTCCCTTAACTTAAAATATCCTTCCCCTCTCCTTCTACCCTTAATAAATGCCTGATATCCCTTCAAGATATAGTTGAAATATCAGCTTTGCAATGAAATCTTACTCAATTCTTTAATAGCATCTCATCCTTTCTACTTGCACAGCACACACAAAATGTGAATTTACCTAGGTTAGAGAATCATATTTAATTTCTCTTTTATATTCAAAACTATGCCATAATCTCGGATTGTTTAAAATATGGCCAAAATATAATTTTTGGCTTTTAAGTAATTAGATACTGTAGATCACATGGTTTAATCATCTTATCAAATTCACAGTAAGCATTCTTTAATAATAAGTTGGACTATTTCAGTATGGTCTATCTAAAAATTTTACAGAAATTCATTTTAAATGCTTTAATTTTATAATAATTTATTTCAACCTCATAATTTTCAGGATGAATGTGACTAGGGAATTTAAATAATTAAAAATTTTTGAATTATTAAACCACTTTATCAAACATGTTAAATCAACTAAAAAATATGCTTACAGTTTTAAAAGCTTCCTACTAGTTAAAAATATGTGGTAGCTTACAGAACTACTGCCAAGGAAATCACCATTACAGGTAATGACAACTTACAATTAAAACCACTTTTCATTAATTAGTAGTATTTTATACATGTTCATCACAGCAAAATAAATTAGAAATAATTTAGTGTGTGATTCTAAAATTAAATGTGTGACACTGGGCAAGTTACCTTATACCACTAATTGCACACTTCCTTCAGTCAAATACTATTTATTGAGCACTAGCTTTGTGCAATGACTGAGAATACAATGGGAGACACTCGTGTCTATATCTAATGGAAGAGACAAACATCGAACAATCCTACTAATTGAAATATAAATTACAACTGTGATAAATGCTCTTAAAGGGAAACTGACAGGCATGGGGATCAGAGAAGGGCTCCCTGAGAAATGGCAAGCTGGGATCTGAAAGATGAGACAGGACAATCTAGAGCTGCACTATCAAGATGAAAGCCACCAACCACTGTGACAAGTAAACCCTTAAAATGTGGCTAATTCAAGTTTAGATCATCTGTAATGCGCATGGGTTTTCAGAGACTTTTTAGAACAATGTAAAATATCTAATTCTTTATATTTGCATATTAAAATATACATACTTTTTAAGTCACCTAAAATGAAAATACTAAATAACTATCCTTTTACTTAATAAAGAGTTGCTTCTAATACTTTCTTATCACAATCTTCCCTTTGAAACATTTTTAAAATTTATTTTCCTGCTGTCTTTGAATATTTCTTCTGAATTTAATTGTATCTCCATCACCTATTAGTCCTCAAAATACATTTATTAAATAAATGAACTAAATTAAAAAAAAGAAACATAAATGTTTTAACTTTTCTACCTACCAACGCTGAATATGAACCCAAATTTGACAAATTAAAAATCTCAGGAGTAGAAGAGAAGCTTTTCTAGAAATAAAGTTACAGAAAAAGCATATGCTTATGGTACTTCTTCTAATTGTTTTAATTTTTAAAATACAGACACAGAGTCTTGCTGTGTTGCCCAGGCTTGTCTTGTACTCCTGGCCTCAAGTGATCCTCCCACTCCAGCCTCCCAAAATGCTGGGATTCCAGGCATGAGCCACTGTGACCAGCCACCTATGGTACTTCTCTGTAGTAATACAATGGTTTATGTTTTGTTAAACTGGTTACTGTAATAACTGGAGCTTCATGTTACAGAATACAGTTTTTTCCCAACAGGCCAAAAAAGGAAAAACAAAACAAACTCTTACCTCTAATGAATAATCAACTCTCCTATAACTAAATGACAGGTTTTTCTTGGGCCAGGGGGGCCTTTCTGAAGATCTCAAATCAACCATCCTTATTATTCTAGTAAACAACATGAATGTTTTTCCCTCCAATGTAAAGCAGAACAAGTATAACTACTTCTATCTAAGGGAAATTATTAATACAAAGGATAACTGCAGAGAAAAATCAAATCTCTAAATTAATAAATTTCTAGTAATTGCAACTCCACTTCTAGCAAACACAAAAGGGGTCTTCATACTTTCCTTTAACATGTTTAAATTGATTTCCTTTACCAGAATACTCAAATTTGAAAGTTTCCTTGAATTTAAGACAATATTCAAAAAGGGATATACTATTACTAAATTTAAAAATAAAAATGGAAAGATATAAATAAAATTGGACAAAAAAGGATATCTTTAAATGTTAGCACTAAAAAATCTAGAACATATTAGAGAACTCATCTGCCAAACACACTACAAAGAAAACTGTAACACTACCAATTTTAGTGTCCTAAGGATTATTATTTAAATATGGCTTAACCTTTTCTAGCCATAATACATGGAACTTCACAATCAGTTAAAGAAAAAAGCTCTCAAACTGCATATTCTCACTTTTTTTCAATCTGTAAAGCGATTATGGATTAACTTTCCAATAAAGTACTTATAATATGAACTTAGGTTTTTCTGACTGGGCACACTGTTAAGAATCTTAGACGTTTTGTATTCTGATACTAATATCATGACTTATCTATCTATTTATTTATTTTTATTTTGAGAAGGGGTCTTGCTTTGTTGCCCAGGCTGGAGTGCAGTGGTGCGATCTTAGCTCACTGCAACCTCCACCTCTCGGGTTCAAGCAATTCTTGTGCCTCAGCCTCCCGAGTAGCTGGGACTACAGAGGTGGACCACCACAATCAGCTAATTTTTTGTATTTTAGTAGAGATGGGGCTGTACTAGTAGAGATGTTGCCCAGGCTGGTTCTGAACTCCTGAACTCCGGCAATCTACCTGCCTGGGCCTCCCAAAATGCTAGAATTACAGGCGTGAGCCACCACACCCGGCCCATAACTTACTTTTATACAGCATTTCATGTAAACAAATTCATACCAATCAGGTTATAGAGTGGCCAAAATTTCAGTTAATATTTTTTCCAAAAGTCTATGATTACAATTTTTCAGGTAGGCCAGGTATGGTTCTTCACTCCTGTAATCCCAGCATTTTCGGAGGCCAAGGCAGGAGGATCACTTGAGCCCAGGAGTTCTAGACCAGTCTGGGTAATGTGGCAAGACCCTGTCTCTACAAATTTTTTTTTTAAATCAGTTAGGCACGGTAGCACGCGCCTATAGTCCCAGCTACTCCAAAGGCCAAGGTGGGAAGATCGCTTGAGCCCACAAGCTGTAAACTACGGTGAGCTATGACCATGGCCACTGCACTCCAGCCTGTGCGACACAGCAAGACCCTGTCTCAAAGAAAAAAAAGAATTCAGGTAAATGTTTACTGATATTTATATATATATTTATATATGTGAATAACTAGATGACTGATTCAAGACACAGATGGTGGCTACCATGTTATCGAACACAGTAAATTACAACTCCTATTGATTCTTCCAAAGTAGAGAAAAAAATAAACATTTTTCCTCCTTAGGCCTTGACTATCTTCTGAAAACTGTATGTTACCTAAGTTTCCATAAACCTATAGAGGTAAAGGACATATTTTAAACTACAAATACAATTTCTGTATAATCTCTAAGACTGAACAATAAATTCAACGAAAGTTCTCAGTTTATCACAAAATAATACTACACTATTTATAAAATTACACACATAGGTTAAAAATGGTGAAAGAGAAAATCTGAAATCTACCTTTTTATATCAACGACACAATAAATGAAATCTGAGAAGGAAAAAAATGGCAAAAAGTCTACTAAAATGATACTTAATATGTGTTTATAATTACTCGTAAAAGAATGGTTGGCGTGTTCCTTCCCTAATTGTTATACTTGATTTAGGAGTTCATTAAAATTTTATGTTTGTAAGTAAAATAAAAAGTAGCAATCATTTTTATTCTTTGAAAAAAAAAATGTTCAAAACAAAATTTCCAAGATAGAGATGACCCACACTCCTAAATTACACTACCAAAAATGTTATATGTATACAGAAGGAAAAAAAAATCAACAGTCCTGAAATGTGTATAATAACCACAAAATCATTCATTCTAAGCTTATAATCATTTATTGATTTAAACCTGAAAATCCAATGAATATTCTCAGACTCTCTTAGGCAGATAAGGAAAAGTAATTGACATACTCTTAATAAAATGTACCCTGAAAATCATTTATGAAAAAAATATAGAGCACACAGATATCTCGGTTTAGAACATGAAGACTTGCCCAAAATAACACCAGGATTCTAATCACTTACCTTAGCAGTGGTTTTCTTTATAGGTGCATGTTGGAATATCTTCATCTTGAGATGGACAGATGATTTCGTTCACAGCAGGGACCTTGCCAACTTGCCCATATAATTCTTTTGATAAGCTGCTAGGAGATCAGGGTGACCTAGCCTTGCCCTGTAGCTTCCCTCTTAGACGGATAGTCTAGGTCTAGGAGCTGACTGAGAGTAGAAAAAACAACATTCCCCTTCAATACACTGTTGAAGTGGGGCTGACAATTTGCACACCTAGTTTATCACGTGCCACAGGATGCTGTTATTGAAATTTTAGACAATTATTCCAGTGGAATAGAGAAATTTCAAGGACGTGGAAAAGAATCCTACCTTGTTCTCACACCTCATCCAAAACAACCTGCCAAATGAATCAAAAAACTTCTTTTTCTTGAAATACTTTGTCAAAATACACATTTTGAGTTTTAAGAGCCATGACTGCTTTATTAAGACAAAATAAAACTTCAGACTTTTCCATTGTGAAGAAAACCAAGGGAAATGTTAAACTCTTGATCTCCAGATACACTGATACCATTCAAGGACTCTTGCAATCAATAATTAAGCTATTTAATTACAATTTTTTGAAAAACAAACCTTTACATTTTCAAGTGTTTTCCATTTCAAATGAATCAAAGTCATCTCAGAATAATTCAAGCATTATTCCAAGCAATGTGTTTCAAGTAAATACAGTTACTGTTCATTAAAGAAAGCATCAGAGAAATTCATAGTAACAAAAACAATCTCCAAACAGTTTACAGGAAATGTGACAGGTAAGTCATATAAAGGTGAGCCTTTTATTGCTGAAATTGTATTTCAACAATTTCTTCTCCTAAAAATGTGTTTGAAGCCATGAAATTTTTCCCCATGCCATTTCTAACAGAGGTTAAAACATATAACCGATAGTCCTGACAACTATTTTCAAGGATTTCTGTCTCAACATCTGAATGTCTGTCATAATTTTAAAATGTATTTACATATCTGTCATAACTTTAAAGTATATTTACAATCTCTAACAATTGTTATAAAACTACTTCTAAACATTATTAGAATACCAAAATGTTCACATATTTGAGAAATATTTTGGAATAATATTGAATATATAATGAATTATATATAGGAAAACTCCTTTAAATAAGTGTAATTCTCATAAAGATGAAGTGAATAAAAGATGACAGAATATAGAAGCATCTAATTTTCAAATGCAAATCATATGTGAAAAATGAACACATAATTTAAAATAAAATTAGGATAGTAGATATGACCATGTCAACTAAATCTTCTAAAATACAAAAGTCTAACTCTACATATAAAACTTATACCTCAACCAAATATGAGTAATGAATTGCCTCCCCGACCCATCCCTGACCCCAATAAAAATTCATGCCATAGGCAAGTCTCATTAATGAACAAGGTATGCTCTTTAATATAAATGCTATAGTGAATTAAGTGCATTAACAGCATTCCTTAATTCTAATGTGAAAAAAGTAAATTATGAAAATAAAAGTACTCCTTCAACTTTCCTATCTAGGAAACTTTCCTATACAAGTTGCTAGGCTGTAATTCATTGATGGCAGTAACTTGCTGGAAAGAAATATTAGAATAAATCAACGTTTACATCATAAGAGCCAAACAGAACTAAGTAAGAAGACTCCCAGGCTCAGGTTACAGCCTCTTTTTCTAACCCTCAGTTTTCTCATCTGGGAAATGTGAACACCAATTAATATTGTCTCTAGAACTGTGGATAAAACATTTAGAATGGTTAACACTAATGAACAGACAAATGCATATTAGGTGCTATTATTTTTTATCATCTCATTATTGTTTTCATTACTCATATCATGACTCATTTATATGGCAAACTATACAGAGACAATGGTCTTCCATTCATATGGAATGAAAATCTCCAATGATTCAAACTACATTATACTCATTTGGCTACTGACACTGTCATACTTTCAAAGTCACAGCTATAAGTCACCTAAAAGGGGACGAATATAGGATCTATTGGCCTAATTAATGCTTTACGAGAAAATGGCCCTCTCCAAAGCATGCATTCCAGGGAGCCAAATCAAATACATACATGTATATGCATTACATATGTGTGGCTATAAATAAATGCTATACTAATAATTCATTTTGAAAGTATTTACATGGTAAAAAGTTTATACTTCAGGCTCCTTTAACATACTCTTCTAATAAAGCTGGAGATAATTTTTTTAACTGTACATGAGCAAATACTGACTCATAATTTGACTTTCCCAATATCCTCCTTTCCTCTCAAAAGCCAGATATCTAAAGGCCTTTACTTGTCTAGCTAAAAACAGGATGTTTAGGAGAGAATGTATAAAAGTACAATAGGAGTCAGCAAACTGTTTACAGACAGTAGGCCAAGTCCAGACTACAGCTCGTAAACAGAGTGTTTTTGTAAATAAAATGTTACTGGAACACCCTCAAGCCCGTTCATTTTCATGGCATTTGCATCCAGTTTTATACTGCAAAGGCAGAGTCAGGTGGTGGCAACAGAGACCATCTAGCTTAGCAAGCCTAAAAGATTTACTAACTGGGATTTGTGGGAAAAACTTGCCAATGTTTCAGAGGACCCTTGAAATCACATCATTTTTATAAGAGAATTTCAGTGAATTTTAAAATACCATATGTATCAACGGAATACATCAGACATGAAACTTCCCCCTTCCCTCCCATCTCCAGTACAGTAAATCTAGTGCTATGTACTCTCCACATTATTTCATTTGATGATATAAGACTAAGACATACAAAGTTTAAAAGTACTTACAATACTTTTTTTTAAAGAAAGAATACTACTTTCAAAACACAGGAATCAAGCTCTATACAACATAAAAACATGTTTGTATTTTATTTGGAGAAAGGGTCTCACTCTGTTGCTCAGGCTGGAGTGCAATAGTGCAATCTTGGCTTACTGCAACCTCTGCATCCTCCCACCTCAGCCTCCCAAGTAGTTGGGAATACAGGTATGTGGAACCATACCCAGCTAATTTTTCTAATTTTTTTTTTTTTTGTAGAGACAGGGTTTTGCCATCTTTGCCCAGACTGGTCTCAAACTCCTGGACTCAAGCAATCTGCCCGCCTTGGCCTCCCAAAGTGCTATGATTATAGTGTCAGCCACCACACCCAGCCTATATTTGTATTCTTAAAAAGGTCATCTAACTTTATATATTCTAATGCAGATTAGCATATGGATTTTACCCCCTCTACTGTATTTGGGAGTTTACTATGATCTTAAATATATGTATATAAGAAAACTTTAAAAATGCAATTCAAATCATGACATGGTAATACTTTTGAAAAGGGGACTGATTAAAAAAGATCCAAACCGGCAGCATAAAAAAAACTGGAAGAATATTAGGTTTCAGCTATTTATTCTCTCTCCATTACACATAATCAACGATAATCTGGTACTAAGGAATATACAAATGGCAATTAATTTTCCTCAGTTATCTTATATTTTGTTAACATATATTTTGATGAACCATACATAATTAAATAAAACTGCTTAGAAATGAGATTTTTAAAACCACTTTGCATAGCAAGTTTGTAAAATATTTTAAACTTGAAAATAAGTTTAACTATTATCCACAAACATCAAGACAAACTGAAAATAATCAAAACACATGTAAGAACAATATCATTTTTATAATTTGTCATTGAAACCAAACTGTACAAAAGGAACAAAAAAAAAAACCATTGAATCCAGCCACTCATTATGCAAAATGTTTCATTATGCAAAATGAAACATTTCCCTAGTACCTACTACTCCTTGTATATAAGCTACTTTATAATCTGCAATACATAAGAGTAATGTTTTAGTACACTGAAAAGATTAGGATAATAAAATTTTCAGAACTGTCTTCTTCAAGACTAGTTCATGAATGTAAGAATCTGTTTCAAAAATAAGCTGTAACAAACACTTTAGAAACAACTACATATAATAACTAAAACAAGGCCATTAAAAATTACAGAGAAACATTTATACCAGTCATATCACTGTATTTTACGATTCATCATATTATGAATAACAAACCTGGGTAACACAGTAATGAAAATAAAACTAAAGAAACATAAGCCAGGGAAATTTGAGTATTTTACAATAACAAAAAAAAAAACAATTTGAGAATTTTTAAAAATTGAGATACTTATATAAGTGGTCTTCAAACTTATTTGTGTTGTGATTATTTAAATTACATCAACATAGAAACACTTCAAATCACAACATATTTTCCTGTTTCCCAGGACTATACCCTCTTGCCAGCAATAAGCTTGAGCTCCACAGACACTTGCACAGAGTTGCTTCACTGATTCAAGAGTCTTCCTTGAGTCTGTTCTGCTCAATTAATGACCCAAAATGGAATTATCTGTGTCTTCATGTATTAATAGGTGAAATCTATTAATAACTAACATATAACAGAGCTTAAAATAGACCTTAAAAATTTGCTTTCACTAATACTTTTATATTTTCTAAATTCAAATGTACTCAAAAAGCCCTTCTGTGTACATGAAGTTTCAAGATCAAAACAAATACTTAATAGCAATTAAATAAAATGAACAAAATTCTATAGTTCTAATTGTATAAAAATACATTCATGACTGCATCTTAAGCACTTACCATGCCACTATAATCCTTAAGACAGAGAGAAACAATAAAGACACAAAAAGATGCTAAAATTGAATCCAAATTTCTTATCAAATAATTTGGAGTAAAAACTTTTATTTCTGCCAAACGTGCTTTTCTTGGAACTAGGATATGAACCAACACAGTAAGCCTTGAAAAACGAATCAAAATGTGCATTACGTGTTGTTTATAAAGACAAGCATAAATAAGATACAGGATGGTGCTCAGTAAATTAATGCAGAAAATTCAAGTGGCTTGCTTAAATTCATTGAACTACAGTAAAAAAAAACCTGAGCATTTCCCAACTGCCCCATGCCTGCCTGCAATTTTTAACAGTTACAATCACACCTAGGTAGACACAAGACCTTGCCTTCACTGTTAAGTACTGAGGATTTTGCTCCATTACATCAGGTTTCTGTTCTTCAACCAATCAAATGCCACTTGCCAGACGATAAATACAAACTGGGATTGCAAAGGGGAATGAAACAAAAGTACAAGAGGAAGGGGAGGAAGGCCAAAGGCAGGAAGGGGAGGAAGGGCAAAGGCAGGAGGGGGAAAATAAACATTCCTCTGAAGATATTCACAAGGTTTTTTAGCTTCTTCTCTCTGGTGGTGTCCTTCAATCTAGATCTTTCTAGAGAAAAGCCCTCAGTTCTGATGTAGCCCCCTCCCTCAAGTTGTTGATGGTCATAGCCAAGGGCTGGATATAAATGAGGGCCAACTCCCAACAAGCCGAGTTGAAATTCTCAGTGTTTTTGCCTAAAACTTTGTTCTTTAAAGTGACTGTTCTAAGCTTGTGTTTTCTATCCTTTTTAACACTTTTTCTCTTTGAAAATCAGATACACAGTGAAATGAGAGATGTAAAAGCTCTCCAAATTTTACACAATTTCAAAGAGCTCATGGATTTCAGCGTAAGTGCTCTTGCTCTATAGCAATGCAGAATTTTAGGATTACACACCAAATGGACTTTTCCTGCCAGCCCAAGGACCAAAGCCCGTGCAATGTTTCTTCTAAGAGGAGTTATATTGTGAGTTCAAAACAATGGTTTTATAAACCAATTTCTTATTAACAATCCTATCACAAGATATATCAATGTATTTCTATGATCATTTCTTCTGGATATATTACAAAGTAGCTGAATATGTTAAAGTCCTTTGTATACTGACTGGTACCACCTCTCATGTCCTGAAGAGGACAGAACTACTAAATTACTATCCAAAAGGTAAAAAACCAGTTCCAGACAAATATTGCAATCACAGCATTATTACACTGTATCTCCAGAAAAGATAGCTGAATGTTTAATGAATTCAACATTACTAATAAAGTTGTAGTAGCAAAAAATCACATTATTTATAATTTACTATAGAATTACATATAGTAAAAGTTATACCACAGAATAATCTTAACTTTTTCTCATTTTATGGTGCACTGATTTTTGCTGCATTCAATTGAGCCAGTCAGGATCAATAATAGTGTTCAAGAATAGACATGTTGCATGTATCTATTAAGTGATTTTAAACCAAAACTATAGATATGAATACTTACTTATCAAAGCTATCACTATTTTTGATGAAGCTCTCCAGTTTTTCCTTGGCATATTCCACCACATCTGAATGAAGCTCAATCCCATGATTTATTCCAAAAGGACCTGCAATCGTAGCAGCATTTTTATAAAAAATATTAATAATATGCCCTTACAGAGCTCTTTTTTAAGTTCTGCTCATTTATACATCACAGGAGTATTTAAAGATGGCTTGAAATATGCAAATACTTCCTAGCCTCAGACTTAAAAGTTGAATGGAAATCCACGTACATTGCTTTAATGTAAAAAAAGGGGAAAAAAAAAAGTTCGCCTGAGTTTTCTATCAAAAACTACTACCAGGGATAAGGTTGAAACCTACAGAGTTCTCCCAAGAGAGTAGCTTATCTGGCAGGACAAAACTGCCAAAAGAATAGTATTTCTAAGTGAAGTTTAAGTTACTTGCTATTATTTTATCATTTGCTAAAAAATTGGTAATTCAAAATACCTAAAACCATGGGCTAACACAGATATTACATGAATGTCTCAGGGCATCGCTACCCCCAGCCAGTAGAGGCTAAATTCCCACCCCACTCCATGCCTTTTGGAGCTCCCAGTGCCTAGCAGAATGTGGCCATTGGGCAGCATGCTGGACTTGACTCTCATGCTCCAGCATCTTTTACACTTCTCACTTAGGCTTTCTCTTTGCATATGCCCATGGACGGACTACCTCCCAGGAAAAGGGGAATGAATAGAGGAGAGTTTTCCCAGCCCCGAGAGATGTTATTGGGCTGGCTCTTTTCCCTCACCCTGAAAATACGAGGACTCAGTGTCTCCTAAGGCTACTGTACATACATACTAACCTGCCCCATGACCCACATGAGAATATAACACACAAATTACAGTTAGTCCCTTTTCAACTTCTGAAATTCAGCCAACCAGGTTTTCCACTCAACATTTTTGTTTCACTTTGACATTGGTCCTGGAAGGTGTCTTATTTTCAGTATCTTTAGGAAATACTTAACTGGATGTGCCCTCTACCAAATGTCTAAAACAACAGTGCATATTTGGATTGTTTCTACTGACCATTAGGTACTTTTAACCAAAAAATCACAATCATAAATTGTCATGTTTGAATGTTGAAACAGTACATGTAAAATATGGTTTGCCATCTAGGAAATATCCAAACTATAAAAATTTAACCAAAATGTTCAGATATAATCTTAAACCCAAAATCCAATAAGGATAATGCCTTCCCCTACTATACTTTTATAAAAACATTGCTTTTACTTGAAAAATGTGTTCCAATAGGAAAAATAAATAAAAAGGTGCTTGATTCATCAAACCACAACAGAATTAACTTCCTTTGCAATGTTTTTACATTTTATAAATTGTCCTGGTTAAAGCAATGTCAAACTTTTTGCTTGTTTCCTTCCTTATGAACTCTTAGCCTTCAACTGAAAACTGGAACGTCTGCCCAAAATCATTTATGACTTCTTGTAATTCCTATTACTCCAGATAAACTGAGTAAAACTAAAATTTTTATATTCAAAATAATAAAGCAGCCAAAAAATTAAACTTAGAAAAGCACAGTGACTTTTCAATATATTAAATGTAAATATTCTGAGAATTTGAATTTCCATAGATGTCAACATATAAAATGTTTTAAAAAACCAAATAGTTTACCTCATTTAAAATAATTCAAATACAGGCAGGATGTGGTAGCTCATGCCTGTAATCCCAGCACTTTGGGAGGCCAAGGCGGGCAGATGGCTTGAGCCCAGGAGTTCGAGACCATCCTGGCCAACATGGCAAAACCCTGTCTCTACTAAAAATACAAAAATTAGTCAGGTGTGGTGGTGCACACCTGTAATCCCAGTTTCTTGGGAGGCTGAGGCTTGAGAATTGCTTCAACTCAGGAGACGGAGGTTGCACTGAGCCAAGATCTTGCCATTGCACTCCAGCATGGGTGACAGAGCAAGACTCTGTCTCAAAAAAAGAAAAAAAAATGAAATAAAACTACACTTACTTAACATTATGTACATAGTAAGAAAAATACTATCCTATGACATAAACCTAATTTCCCTTTCTTCCTTTTAGGGTGATCCATTGACTATAAAACATGAGATGTTTACATTTTCATTATCCATTAAGAACCAAGGGCCAGGCACGGTGACTCACACCTATAATCCCAGCACTTTGGGAGGCCAAGGTGGGAGGATTGCTTGAGCCTAGGACTTCGAGACCAGCCTGGGCAACATGGCAAGGCTTCGTCTCTACAATAAACTAAAAAAAAAGTAGCCGGGCTTAGTGGTGCATGCCTGTAATCCCAGCTACTCGAGAGGCTGAGGCAGGAGGATTGCTTGAGACCAGGAGGTAGAAGCTGCAGTGAGTTAGTTGTGTTGCTGCCATTGCACTCTGGGCTGGGCAACAGAGAGAGACCGTGGTTTTGTTTGTTTTAAAAGAAGAAAGAAAGAAAAAAGAGAAAGAAAAAAATCTGGTTACATGTTTATAAAAAAAGAAAAACCAGGGCTGCATAGATAGGAGTTCAATTGAAAAGGTTAATATTGCTGGCACTCTTATGTTTCCTATAAGACTCTTATGTTCCTGCCACTACAATCCGGGCTGGGCAACAGAGTGAGACCGTGTCTTTAAAGAGAAAAAAAAGAGAAGAGAGAGAGAGAAAAAAAATCTAGTTACATTTTTATGAAAAAAGAAAAACCAGGGCTGCATAGATACGAGATCAATTAAAAAGGTCAATACTGCTGGCACTCCATGTTTCCTATAAGACAGAATATATAAATATAATAACAAAGGTGTTAAGAATCTGTAATCAAGGCTTCTAATCCATAGTTCAAACTGCATTATTAACAGAAAGAATCTGAATTTCAAAGTTCTAGGCTCTCAGTTAAAGACGCCACTGGTCTCTTTTTCGTTTTATTTTTCCTGCTTTCTGCTTATTATCTAAAAGCAAAGTGTCAACTTTTGCAAATAAGCTTAAAGAAAATTTCTTAATTTTTTTAAACATAACTTGTTTTTCATACTACCTTGACACAAGATATTTAATAATGAAAGATAAAGACAATTCATTAATATGTAAAGAATTTGACAAACAATATAAATATACATGCAAAATATGCTATGCATTAATACTGAATTGTAAACACCATTTATGATTTTTTATAGATGAAACTGTTTAATTTTCAATGACATGGAGGCACATCTTTAATGATCACTACTTAACAATATGAATGGTAACTAACATGTTCAAAGTAAATTAAAAAGAAAAATGCATTAATAAAAGGCAGAATTTAAATAGCAATGTCACCAATATCTCATTTATTTAGAATGTGATATACACCTTGAATGCATTAAGTGTATAAAAATGTAATGCAATGCTGATTATTACAACTCACATTTGGTATCTGTATTAAATAGAACAACAGGAAAATAAAACAGAAAACTGAAAAAGCATACATAGCTGCTTCTGAGAAAGGGGACTAAGAGATCTAGGGTGGTAAGGAAACATTTTTATCATTATATGCTCTTGTATAAAATTTGTTTTAACCATTTGCGTGTATAACTTTTTCAATTAAAAAACAATGGGCTACTGAAAGATTAAAAAAAACATAAATGTTCAAATAAATAAACAAGTAATATATAGCTAATAGGTACAAGTTGTCAATGGAAAAAAGTGAAATGGTATCCAAAAGATGATGATATTAACAGGCCAACTGAGGCATGAATTTGACTCTGAATTCCAATGTTATTTTGTATTCGCCAATGTAAAGATGTTTCTATGAAACAAGGGCTTAATTTTTGTAACTTTTTTTTTAAAAAAAGAAAATATTGACCTTTAATAGCTAAATATTAAAGAGAACATAGAAACATACAGCAAAGTCAAAGTTTATTAAAACAAATACAGTTATTAGAAATTCCTAGGTATCTTTACATAAAAAATAATTTTTAAGGTTGACAAACCCCCATTGATAACAATAACAAATATAGTAAAATCTAGGCTGCTTTCAAGTTTTCAAATCACATTCATTGCACTCTTAAGAGTGCTTTTCTAATAATTGGATCTAATCTAGTTCATTTATCATTTACCAATTAGTCAAGAACCCAAGCTTGCACATAAAAGTTAATAATTATTAGGTTTAGGCATCAAGTGTCTATGCAATACCAATATTTTTTATTTATGTCTATGTTCGCCCCTTGTAATGTCCAACATTTTGACAGTGTGGTGCTGATGAGTAGAAGACTGAGGCAGACCAAGGAAACCTGAGAGTTCCACACTGCATTTGAATGAAGTTCACTGTGCCTTTAGTATTTTGTGTAAAGCTAACTTACAGAACATAGCCACAGGCAAAAAGTACTTCACAATACATAAAGTTCTGAAGATGAAATAATTCAAGATCCATCATTTCAGTTGAGGACTCTGAGGTCAAAATACTGGTGTGGTGAGAAAGATAGTAGATTAAAGGTCAGATGTCTTGGCTTCCAATCCCAATTCCTCCTAACTGTTGTATAATCTAAGACCAGTCACTGTAAGACCGGTTCCCACTGTATAATAGTAGTCCCTGGGAAAAAGCATTAAATTATGTAAAACTTTGCACACTATAATGTAATCGACAAACTGTTGTTAAAAAATTATGATGTGCTCTCCCCCCATATACAGAAATAGTTATAGAAGCATAATTATAACCTACATAAGGGGTTCTCAACCCTGACTGCCTACTAGAATAACCTGGGAATTTTTAATTTTTAAAAGTAGATTAAATTTAATTTGATTTAAACTGTAAATGCCTGGGTCCTACCACAAACAGATAAAATGGAATCTCTCAGGGCGTGACCCAGGGTCTGCAGATAATCCTAACATGCAACTGGGGCTGAGCAGTACTAGCCACCCCTCCTAATTATGATAAAGCCCCATCTGAATTATTTTTTAAAATCTGTTTTAGACTATCCAAATCTCTGTTCTCATTATAGTAAAGTAACATCAAGAGTTAACAGCTACCAATAAAAGTATTTTGGCTAAAACTAAATATTCACCACAAGGGGGAGTAGGTGGATCAGTCATTAGGTTTCTACGAAACTAATATAAAGTCAATGAGAATCAAAATATAAATATAAAAGGATCTTTCAATAAATTACAATGATATTTTATTACTAATTTTAGTTAGATAAAATAAGGTATCTTTATAAAGATTTATAAGCAACTTTGTAAGTATTCAGGGAGAGTAAAGGGTAAAAAGTCGACAGGAATAGGTTTCACTCTTTCTTTTCACAAATATCCTGTGGTATAATGCACAAAAATAAAACAGACCAAAGGTGAATAAAGGAAAAAGGAGGAAAGCAATCGGCGAAAGGCTAAGTAATTATTACCTAGACAACTAAGAGAAGCTGTTCTAATATATTCCGAACACTTATTAAGATATATTTAATTTATTTCTCCCATTCAACTATATCACATGGGGAAAAACATCAAACACTGTCAAATTTGTCCTGAGTCTTGCCATGTTAGCTTGACCACTCTGAAGCTAATAAGATCAGACCTTGTTATTTGCTCTCCAGTTTTGGGGGAGGCATCATGAAACAAGTCCTGGAATTTGCCAGAAACAAGTTCTAGTCCCTCAGGCTCCTCTCAGTCAATGGCTATGTAAATGCTACTCTCTTTTATCATACATGAATCTCAGAAATATGTTTACATAAGATCTCAAAGTGTTGGTTTCACAGTTACAGAGAATGGAACCAAGGCCCTAAGTAAACCATATCTCTAAAATGTCGAAATATCAACAACAGATGTCACGATTAGTTCATTTACATATTTCTACACAATGTACTAATATTCAAGACTAACAGGTCAAGAACAACCTATGACTATACCTCAATGTGCGCAATAGAATATTAAAATAGAGATTAAATTTCTAACAAAGCAAATTCAATAAGCTGAGAATAAGGTATATATAATACAGAATAGTTTCAAAAGCTAATTTAAACAGCTTCAGATTTTGACTCAAATTCTTTTTTTTTTTTTTGAGATGGAGTTTTGCGCTTATTACCCAGGCTGGAGTGCAATGGCATGACCTTGGCTCACCACAACCTCCGCCTCCCGGGTTCAAGTGATTCTCCTGCCTCAGCCTCCCAAGTAGCTTACAGGCATGAGCCACCACGCCCGGCTAATCTGGTATTTTTAGTAGGCACGGGGTTTCTCCATGTTGGTCAGGCTGGTCTCGAACTCCTGACCTCAGGTGATCCGCCCGCCTCAGCCTCCCAAAGTGCTGGGATTACAGGCATGAGACACCACCCCTAGCCTCAAATTTTTCTTAATGCAATCATTTTCCCTGGAAGACATTTTCATCAGCTCTTTCATTCCACTGCACATCTATTTGTGAAGTACTTGAAGACACTTGGGACCAGCATGGTGATAGATTCACATAAATACTCAATAAATATTTACTAGACTAAATGAAGAACAGCCAATAAGATTAACACCACACTTTTATTGCTAGTTCAGAAGCATCATGCACAATTTCAAGGGTAGGAGATGTGTCTTGAACACTTCCATATCCTCAGCAGCTGGCACAGGGTCTAACATAATACTTCTTTAAAGAATGATAAAGTACACAAATGTAGCTACAGTCTCAAATTTAAAAGGTTCACAACGAAGACTGAAACAAATGATATCCACAAAGCATAAAAATATTTTTCATGTCTTGATTTTTAAAATAGTGCCTGACCAAAAATTATGTTAAATCTATATTATCTGATGGTAGGGAATGATGCATACCACAGAAGTAAATGTTATTAAGTACATTCCATTCAAAATTAATTTCTTATTAATTTTAGCTGCTTGATAGAAATCTGTCAAAATTCAACAAACATTTTCCTTTTATTCCTAAATTTGCTTCTGACTCCAAGCCAACTATCATCCCTATAAAGCGGTATGTATTTGCAAAAATCACAGTGTCCTCAGAGCTCTATAAAGTTATCGTCAAAGTGGGGAGGCAACGAGGTAAAATATAGGAGAGGAAGAGAAGGAAAATATTTCAAAGTATGCCTTTTGATACTTTTGAATTTTCAGCCCTGTGATTATGTTACCTACTCCAGAAAATAAAATTAAAGAGGAGAGACTGGTACTCAAGTTTCTGCATTATGTAATTTAGAAGAAAAAAGTACTCTTCACTAAGAAAGGAAACAGAGGAGAAAGAAGAGAATTTGTTAAACTTTTTGTCACGTGTGGAAGAGGGCAGGAAAAGAATTGTTGGGGACAGGCCTCACTTCTGGAATCTTTTGTACACTGGAGAAGAAACAGGATGCAGGCACCACATGTTTAAGAACCCAGATTGGAGTGCAGCTTGGAAGATCAAGAGTGTCCAGAGCTCAGCTGCCGGACCTTGGAGGCAGAAATCTATGAATCCTTTGCATGTGGATGTTACTTGAAGAAAGACGAAAGATTCACCCTTCACTACAGGATAAAGCCAAAGTTGTTCATTCCCAAAAAAGGACAAAGTATTTATAAACGTAACACACAGAGATGTGAAATCCAAGGAAACAATTTTTGGCAAGGGTGTAGGAGGGTAGATGGACTGACCCTGCAAGAGCCAAACCCAGAGAGAATGTGAAGGCAGGTTCCAGACGAGACCAAGAACTCCAGCAGACCAAGCAGCCCTGCCAACTCCAGTCAACCTCTGGCTCTAACCTGACGCATTCAGTCCAATATCCAACTCAGCCTAGGGAAGACTTTGTCATAGAAAAACAAAGACAATTCTGTAGGTGCCAGCTCCTACACAGGGAGATAGAGATTCACAAATTTTACACTTAAGGAAACAAATTCAGAAAGGTTTAGTACTTTTCTCAAAGTAACACGCAGTCAATTGTCATTATTTACTGTATAATAGTTATGTTCTAAAAAACATACAGCAAACATTGAATTAGCAAAAGATGAACTATTGCTCCTTAGGAAGATATGTACATACATAAATATATTAAATAGATTATAATATTAAATCCTGAGAACTCATCCTGGTAGAGACTATATTATTTATTTTACAAAAGAGAAAATAAACTTAAGTGTTAGTGACTTGCCTGAGCCACCCCACGAACTGTTGCCAGA
This sequence comes from Homo sapiens, assembly GCF_000001405.40. Lineage (NCBI taxonomy): Eukaryota > Metazoa > Chordata > Mammalia > Primates > Hominidae > Homo > Homo sapiens. The sequence continues at coordinate 51,853,751 of NC_000008.11, forward strand.
ATTGGGATTCAAGCCATCAACAGGCCCCAGTGCAGACTGGGAGCTTGTGACATGCCTTTGGTCATCTTTGTATGACCACAGAGACAAGGCAGAGAGAACTTCACTTTATCCCACCTTAGCTAGGAAGATGCAAAGCAGGAAACTCAAATTTTTTGTTCCTCTCTGCAAGCTTGTTAGTGATCATAAAAGCAGTGTGAGTTTTGATTTGGGCAGTTCAAATAAGTATTAGTAAGTACGTGAATTCTCAAGAGACAAAATTTGCAAATAGTAAGGATTGGCTGTATTTGCTACATAGACAATCTTGGTTGGGAAACAGTTAATCACAAAGATAAAACTCAAAATGCTCAGAGAACCACCTAAGCCACTTCACATCACTGGAGAAATTTCTTCCTAACTTCTAAGAATAGTGTGAAAAAATATAACCAGAAGAAATTACTATGAAAACTCTGTAAAACCTGTATTGACTTCTAATATTTATTATTTTATTTACTATTACCCTGTAATCAGCAGTAATATTATCCATAAACACAAAATCACCTGGATGTTGATTTTCAGAGTTAGCAGCAATAAAAGAGGTGGTTGTCAGTAACGACTTCTACTCCACAACCAGTGTAAGTGAGAGGGGGAAAAAAAAAATCTAAGAAATAGAACAGTGGTGGCAACTCCATACAGAGAACAAGAGCAGAAAAAAGATGCCCAGAAGCCTAACTAGGACTAAGAAATAATAGTTCAAATAGTTAAGAGTTTCATGAATTTCATAAAATGTGATTAGCCTAAAATAAAAGGTTGTTTTCAAAACAGATTTGCTCACAGAGCCCCAAATAAATCACATATCAAGAATGGATGGGCCAGGCGCAGTGGTTTATGCCTGTAATCCCAGCACTTTGGGAGCCCGAGGTGGGCAGATCACAAGGTAAGGAGATCGAGACCATCTTGCCCAACACAGTGAAACCCCGTCTCTACTAAAAATACAAAAATTAGCTGGGCATGGCGGCACATGCCTGCAATCCCAGCTACTTGGGAGGATGAGGTAGGAGAATTGCTTGAACCTGGGAGGCGGAGGTTGCAGTGAGTGGAGATGGCACCACTGCACTCCAGCCTGGGCTCTGACAGAACAAGACTTGTCTCAAAAAAAAAAAAAAGGCTAGGCGTGGTGGCTCACGCCTGTAATCCAAGCACTTTGGGAGGCCAAGGAGGGTGGATCACCCGAAGTCGGGAGTTCGAGACGAGCCTGACCAACATGGAGAAATTCTGTCTCTACTAAAAATACAAAATTAGCCAGGCGTGGTGGCACATGCCTGTAATCCCAGCTACTAGGGAGGCTGAGGCAGGAGAATAGCTTGAACGTGGAAGGCGGAGGTTGCAGTGAGCCGAGATCATGCCATTGCACTCCAGCCTGGGCAACAAGAGTGAAACTCCATCTCAAAAAAAAAAAAAAACAAACAAAAAAAAAACATAATTTATAATTCCTAAAAAGAAAAAAAAAAAAAAACAGAGCAAGGCATGGTGGCTCACACCTGTAATCCCAGCACTTTGGGAGGCCAAAGTGGGCAGAACACTTGAGGTCAGGAGTTCAAAACCAGCCTGGCCAACATGGCGAAACCCCGTCTTTAATACCAAAAAAAAAAAAAAATTAGCCAAGCGTGGTGACGTGCACCTTTAGTTCTAGCTACTCAGGAGGCTGAGGCAGGAGAATCAACTGAACCTGGGAGGCACAGGCTGCAGTGAGCTGCGATCGTGTCACTGCACTCCAGCCTGGGCAACAGGGTGAGACTCTGTCTCAAAAACAAACAAACAAACAAAAAATTCCTTTTAAAAAAAAAGTGTAACACAGTATAGAGAAAAAACTCAGGTTCTGTTTGATGCATAAAACAGAGTATATCTTATACAGAAACCTTGATACCTGCAGAATGTGTTTTTTGTTTTGTTTTTGAGACAGAGTCTCGCCCTGTCGCCCAGGCTGGAGTGCAGTGGCATGGCTCACTGCAAGCTCCGCCTCCCGGGTTCACACCATTCTCCTGCCCTCAGCCTCCCGAGTAGCTGCAACTACAGGCGCCTGCCACCATGCCTGGCTAATTTTTTGATGTGTGTGTATTATTAGTAGAGATGGGGTTTCACCGTGTTAGCCAGGATGGTCTCAATCTCCTGACCTTGTGATCCACCCGCCTTGGCCTCCCAAAGTGCTCGGACTACAGACTGAGCCACCGCGCCTGGCCCAGAATGTGTTTTATCTTACCAAGAAGAATGAGAGTTGAGGGACGGGGGAACTGACCACCCTGGATCTCCCTAATCTTTTGGCCTAAAGTAAGCTAATAAAGAACATTCTTTAAGAGGCACTTAAAAGAGCATGAAAAAACATTTGAAAATTATATTTGTGATAAAGACTTATATCCAAAATATATAAAGAATACTAACAACTCAACAATCAACAACTCAATTAAAAAACAGGAAAAGATTTGACTAGTCATGTCACCAAAAAAATATACTAATGGCCCATAAGCACATGAATAGCTGTTCCATTATCATTAGTCATTAAGGAAGAGCAAATTAAAACCACAATGAAATACTACTTTATATCCACTAACACGGCTTTTTAAAAAATGAAGTAACAAGTATTAGTGAGGATGTGAATAAACTAGAACCTCATATAATGTTGGTGGGAATGGAAAATGGTGCAGCCACTCTGGAAAACACTTTGTTGGTCTCTTAAAAACATAAATTTACCATACAGGTCAGCAATTCTACTCTTTAAGAATCTACCTAACAGAAATGAAAATGTATATCCACACAAAGATTTGTACCTAAATGCTCATAATGGCATTATGCATTTGGTCAAAAACTAGTAACTCAAATGTCCATTAACTGGTGAATGGATAAACAAAACGTAGTGTATATCTATACAATGAAACAGCATTCAGCCATAAAAAGGAATAAAGTACTGAGACATGCTACAGCATGGATGAACCCTGAAAATGTAATGCTAAGTGAAAGAAGCTGGATTCAGAAGACCATATATTGTTATGATTTCATTTATATGAAATGTCCAGAAAGGACAAATCTATACAGACAGAAAGTAGGTAACTGGTTGTCAGGGACTGGCTGAGTACTGGGAGGGGATGCAACTAGGCATGGGGAATAATCTTTTTAGCACATTGGCAGTATCCTCAAACTGGATTGAAAATCACTGAATTGTACTCTTAAATGAGTAAACTTGATGGTATGTGAATCATACCTCATTAGAGGCAGAGCGAGCAAGAGAGAACATGCATAAGCATGCAGGCAAAAGAGAGAAAGCACGAGCACTGAGGTCAAAGGCAATATAGGTTAGCTGAATAAGGACCATTTAACGTCCCATGACAAAGAGAGAGAGTGTAGAGGTCAAACATCATGGCAGCAGATAGCTTAACTAATGCTTCTAAACAATATGGCAACTGCAGTAAGTTTCCTGCTTACCAATTATTTCACCTTTAGGAATGAATGTTGTAGCAGCAAGGTAGTGGCATCCACAGTGCTGGATGGCACTAGCAGTCTCCCCAGAGTCACTCCTATTAACTAGGGAAATAGGCAAGAGACTAAGAGAAAGTCATTAGGTGGGATGAATCTGTGTATTATATGTTTTATAAGATACCTAGAATTTTTATATTATGGTTTATACAAGAAAATGAAAATGAATCCCTAAGTAAAAAGGATCAGAATTCAGAATCCCTACCTGAATCACAAAGAGTTTATCAGAATAACTTGCCTTCGTGGTTCTGATACTCCATTCAGTTATGGAAAGCAGAGGTAAAATACAGGACGTGGGAGGCTGCTTTATTTGCATCCTGTTTTTCAAAGGAATTCCCTGAGAATGAAACGACAGTACTGAGAGGAGAATCAACTAAGTACTAGATCTTTACGAAAACCCTTAGTTCAGGGAAAATATTTAAGGAGAAGCAAACAGGACATGAATTATCTTCAATTTGAAATTGAAAAACATGTCTCAATGAGACATCTCAGGAGTTGATCTATTCTCCACTTTCTTCGATAAAAGTAAATTTATGAATAATTCCCTAAAGTGTGCTTTAATCCTAAGAAATTTTCTGAAGAAAACTCAATACAAAAATTAACCACGCGTGTTGGTACTACCAGCTACTCAGGAAGCTGAGGCGGGAGAATCACTTGAGCCCAGTAGGTCGAAGCTGCAGTGAGCCAAGACCGTGTCACCACGCTCCAGCCTAGGCAAGAGAGTGAGACCCTACCTAAAAATAAATGAATAAATTAATAATAATAATAATAAAAGAAAAACCTAACTTACTCTCACTGAATTCGTGTTTCTGGATTTGTGTTTCTGGAGTGAAGTGGAAATTCCCCAAGGAGTATCTTCTTTAACTGTGTTACCAAATCACAGATGCCCCACTCTCACTGAATTTGTTTCTGGATTTGTGTTTCTGGAGTCAAGTGGAAATTCCCCAAGGGGTATCTTCCTTAGCTGTGTTACCAAATCACAGATACCCCGCTCTCCCTGCTTTGGCCGGGACTCCCCCAGAGTTTACTACTAAATATGTAGTACCCATAGGACCCACTGTTTATGGGGGAGCACCTGTTATCCCTATCTTGTGAGTGGAAAAGAAAAATGGCTGAGCCATAGTGTTATAGTTTTTTGTTTTTAATAAAGAACTTTTGTTAATAAGGTGGCTGTGAAGCAGTGGAGCCAAATTTGATTCACTATACTCAATAATCACAGGGAGCATGTGAGCATCCTCCTCTGGATCCAGTTCTAAGTGATTTTTATGGATGTATACCTTCCCCTCCATGACATAAAACACACACAAAACACAAACTAAAAACAGAGAGCAGGGTAAAGATAAAGCTTCCTCAGAAGCCTGGTGAATTTAAGACTTATTAGCTGTAATCATAGTTTTACAGACTGTTGTTTCTGCTTCTCCTTCTTTATCTTTCTCACCAAAGGAATATTCCTAATCAAAACGAGAACAACTATATCTTGGTCTTAACTTAGCAGGATCATACAAAGATAAATCCTGGAATAGTATCCAGGAGCCACTGCCATATATGTAACTAAAGATCCATGACTCCCTACAGCTTTGTAACAGGAGGAAACTATCTAGTGCATTGTAGATCATTTACACAATGGTCTCTTTCCCCACATTGCCCATGTCGTGATTAAGACATTCATGATACAATAAGTTTGACATCTGCCTACAGTGCCATCTGGCCACAGACATCTAATCTCTTGGAGCCTGGGACTAAGGTAATGAGTCTAAGAAGGCAACCTCACTGCTGGCAAGATAGCAAATTATGATGCATACCTCCCCCATCCCAAGTTTGGCTAGATTGACCTCCCTCAGCACGAGCCAGTTGGCACATACTAGAGAAGGGTAAGACAGAATAAACAGGCACTTTCAGGCTGGCCAAACATGGTATAAGGCTTGGACTCCAGCCCAGAGTTGCCAGAGCTGGTTAAGAAATGTTCAAGGACAGCAATTCCCCCCTCTTTTTTTTTTTAAAGAAGCAACTCTCCCTACTCTCACCTCTAGATTTTGCAGACTGTCTCAAACCCTAGAGATTCCTTTTTCAAAGAAACCGGTGATAGAAGTGACAGATATCTGGAAGTTCCAACCTGTTAAGAAATTCCTGTCTCAGGACAGGGAGGAGCGCCAAATTTAAATGTAAGCTTCTAGATTTCTCTTTATCGATGAAAATTAATAATTTCCTATCACTTTTGAACAGTTCTTATACATTAAGAACTAACCCAGTTGCGGAATGAAAGGCTTCCATCCCCACACTCAAATGAAACAGATGGGAGGTCCCATGACTAATAGAGTAAGGAATTAGCTAGTGTGTAGGGAGGAAATTTCAGACCTGACTATACCTTAAAAGTCATAATGTGACCACATAATTTATTGTCCAAACTCAGACACTTCAAGGAATGAAAGGACATTATTAATACTGACACTAGGATAACAGAGATAAAGTAGGACTGTCCCAACACACTGGAACATAGAGTCACCCTACTAGAGGATATGTCATTCTCTATTTAAAATTCTTCAATGATTCCCCATCACTTTAGAATGAATTTTACACCACATTCTCATCCTTATTAACTTAGGGATATACCTCAACTATAGTACCTATCAGACTAGATGAAGGCTGTTGATTTTGTCTTCTCACACCCCACCCCCCTAAATAATGCTCTATTTTAACGTATGCCACACAGTAGCGGCCAGTGAATATGGCAGCTGAACTAAATGGCTTGGTAAACTTCATGGTTGGTCATCCTCCATCCAACATAATGTCTTATAGCAGATTTTCCTCCACCCATGTGTCTTCCACCTATATTCCATGTTATCCAGTTGTCACTTCCTAGATACGTGACTTTCAGGCAAGTTATTTAACCTCCCAGTGCCTTCATTTACTTGCCCATATAAAAGGATTAATAATTGTCTGTACTTCAAAGGAGTATTAGGAACACTGAATGAGTTAATACACACATACTGCTTTAAACAATACCTAGCATTTAACACCCAGTAAGCTCTTTGAGGGCAGAAATCTTAGTCCCTTTTGATCATTGGCATATGCACATGCCAGGAACAATGCTTGGCAGAGCAAACACTCATTAAATATGCTGAAAGCTTAATGAACATATACTTCTTTCTTCTCTATTTTTCTCCAATCTCTTGCTTTACCCTAACAGTGCCACATCTTATATATCCCACATTCTCCTGTCTCTCTTAACAAAAACCTGGCACAATGCTCTTAGATAACCATCAAACTTTATATGCCAGAAGACAGAACACTCTATCTGAAATAGATTAAATATTACTCCTGAGTTTCCTGCCCACCAGCGCTTGACTTTAAGTACAGACAATGACTAACAGAGAACAGTTAGTTTCCAGAGCTACTGTAGGTTGAGGTAAGGACTCGGAATGAAAAAAGATTACTACTACTTTGTGTTTTCACATCTAAGTAAGGAAGATACCTACACTGTGTATACACATTCAAACATACTGTACACAAAGTTACAACTCCTATAAATCATAAACCATAATACAAAATGGCTTATTTTTTAAAATAGAATTTTACAAAAATAAAATTACCTAAAATTAAGCCCACCATTGTACTTAAATATCCGGTTCCACTTCCCAGGTTAAGAAAAGACAATCCTGGTTGAAGTTTCAATGCTTCCATAACTTCAGAATAAATGCAAGGTGCTGACAAGTGGATGTTTCCATGCTTCCAGGCTAAGTCTTTGTAAGCATTGTCTCTGTAGCCTTCCAAATAGTAATCTCCACGATCAATCGCTCTGAAGGCTTGCTCCACTCTTTCAGTACGAATATACTGAGCTTCTTTTAAATTATCAATTAAGTCATCATTATCTTCCCCAGCACTCACAGCTCCTCCCATGATAGTATTCAAATCAAATCATAAATTTAAAAGTGAAATAAAATTAGTAGAAATGGCTTCCAATATTGCACTTGATTTCCAAAAATAAATTAATCCTGGAAGGGAAGAACAAAAATAAACAGGTTTAAATTAATGCTCAAAAGCAAAATAACTTGTTTATTAAATGTATGTCATTATAATTAACTACCATTTCTCATGGAAATATTCTGCTCCAGCATAGTGTTAAACTCCTTCTTAACTATATTATTTTATTTAATTCATATAGTAACCACAAAAGGTAACTTATATGATCTCATCTGTACAGATGGGAAAACTGGAACACAAAGAAGTCAAGTAAGTCACCTAGTACCGTGAAGCCCATTATGGTGGCCACTAGTCACACATGGCTACCTAGATCTAAATTAATAAAAATTAAATACAATTTAAAATTCCATTAGTCAACCTACCTGTATTTTAAGTGTTTAATAGCTACTTGTAGCTAGTGGCTACCATACTGGACAGTGCTGCTCTGCAAAGTGACACTGTCAAGACTTGGTCTTAGGTCTTTAGAGTCAGAAACCATGTTTTTTTTTTAATTTTTTTTTTTTTAAGATAAGGTCTCACTCTGTCACCCAGGCTGGAGTACAGTGGTATGATCTTGGCTCATCCCCTCCTGGGCTCAAGTAATCCTCCCACCTCAGCCTCCCAAGCAGCTAGGATTACAGGTGCATGCCACCACGCTCAGCTAATTTTTTTATTTTTTTGTAGAGACAGGGTTTCACCATGTTGCCCAAACTAGTCTCAAACTCCTGAGCTCAAGAGATCCATCCGCCCGGGCCGCACAAAGTGCTGGGATAACAGGCGTAAGCCACGTGCCCGACCTCCATGCTCTTAATCACTGAGCCACACTGGCTTCTTTATAGTACAGTATAGTATAGTATAGTACAGTATAGTATAGATTAATTTTAAAAATTAGTTGATTTTAAATTTCTGAACTTAAAAACCACAATTCAAAAATGCACTACATAAATTTACAATGTTAACACACAGAATAACATATTACTCGAAACACTGAACATAAAATGCAAAATAAACAAACCCCACACTCATGTTTATTAATGCGCTTGTGTGCTGATTGTTTTGTTTAGTAAACCTTGTTGTGACAGAAACCACAAATTTTATTAATAACCTCAATATTCCAAGCACTAGAACATGTTTTATACACATACACACACACACACACTCACACACACATACACTGAACTTCTTTAACAGATTAAACTCAGCATCAGAATGCAAATGTAAGTGCAATTTGAGAAAACTAAAAAAATTTCAAAACATAATACTGAATATACAATTTAAGCTTTATTCAACTATAGCTAGTAAGTTAATGTATCAATTCCTGAATTAATAAATCAGTAGAGGAGAAAGTGTGAAATGAAATACCCATGGCCAGTAACAAGAGTTATGACAGTTAACTCTGGCAAGGCTGTACTCCAACTCCTGACCATAGAGAAGTATACCAATTAGGGTCTCAAGTATCCCCAGGGTCCTCAGGCCCCTGGCACCACGAGGGCAGCTCCCCTAACACAGCCTATCATATTGTCTTTGTCTGTGTCCACTTTGTCCTTTCCTACAATTGCCTTAAGAACTTTTGGAGTAGAGGACATACTGTGAATTCACATTTAATTCATTCAAACTCACTTATAAAAAGTTGCCTGGCTCTAGCACCTTCAGTCCTCAAAAATATATAAGTACAAGGGCTTACAGCACCCTTCTCCTCAATGAATATACTTTGTAGAATGCAGTGCAATAGGAGATGCCAATTCACTATTCCTTCAACAGGTCTTAGCTGTGGCATCTCAACTTGCTGAGTCCAATTGTAGCATTTCAATACTTTTTTTTTTTTTAATAACATGGCCTTTAGCACAAGTCAACTTTTACATCTGGCACTCAGAGTGAATCTCTTCCTAAGGTGAAAGAAAAAATGGTTATATTACACTAGGAGATAGTCTCTGTCAGTATCCAGTGTGGCATTTGCCTAAGGATTTCATAAGAATAATTCTGACTACAAAGATATTTGGCAAATTGCTGTACCGTAAATGCCACAATTTACTAAAAAATTATTCCCTTTGAGTGGGCTCTAGGGCTTAAGAAGAATGATCTGACCCTCCTTAGGTCCTTCTGAATTCCATTCAATTCAAAATTATCATAGCAAAACAATCAATCAAATATGGTCTTTACCACATAGCTCACATTTTTGGTGAGAAAAAGGCAAGAAGAAGAATGAAATAAATAAGAACTACCACCATTTACTGACAAACACTGTACTGAGTGTATTTGTAGCTCATTAAAAATTACTATAACCCAGGCCAGGTGCAGTGGCTCATGCCTGTAATGCCAGCACTTTGGGAAGTCAAAGTGGGTGGGTGGATCACCTGAGGCCAGGAGTTCAAGACCAGCCTGGCCAGCATGGCGAAATCCTGTCTCTATTAAAAATACAAAGATTAGCCAGATGCGGTGGCTCACGCCTGTAATCCCAACACTTTGGGAGGTCGAGGCGGGCAGATCACTTGAAGTCAGGAGCTCAAGACCAGCTTGGCCAACATGGTGAAACCCTGTCTCTACTAAAAATACAAAAAAAAATTTAGCTGGGTGTGGTGGCACACAGCTGTAGTCCCAGCTACTCGGGAAGCTGAGCCAGGAGAACTGCTTGAACTTGGGAGGCAGAGATTGCAGTGAGCTGAGTTTGCACCACTGCACTCCAGTCTGGGCGACAGTGAGATTCCCTCTCAAAAAAAAAAAAAAAAATTATCCAATCAAATGACTGCATGGATTTTTAAAAACAATGACTGAATGGATTAGAAAGGCAAGACCCAACAATATGCCGCCTATGAAAAAGACTCACTTTAGCCTTAGGACACACACAGACTGAGAATAAAGTGATGAAAAATGATAACCAAAAGAGAGCACGGATGACTATACTTCCATCAGACAAAATAGACTTTAGGTCAAAAACTGCAAAAAGAGACAAAGAAGCAAAGAAGGCCATTATTTTATGTCCTGTTTAAGAGAACAGAACAATTTTAAATATATATGCAGTCAATATTGGAGCACCTAAATATATAAAGCAAATACTAATAGATCTGAAGGATGAGATCGACTGAAATACAATAATGGCAGAGGAATTCAAACTCCACGTTCAACAATGGACATATCATCCAGACAGAAACAGTGGACTTGAACAACGCTTTAGACCAAATGGACCTAAAAGACATATAGAACATTCTATCCAACAGCAACTGAAATGAGTATTCCCCAGGATATATTATATGTTTGTCTACAAAATAAGTCTCTATGAATTTAAGACTGAAATGATACCAAATATCTTTTCTACTCGTAATGGAATGAAACCAGAAACCAGTAACAGGAGGACTTTTGGGACGTTCACAAACACACAGAAATAAACAATATGCTCCTGAAAAACCAATTGGTCAAAGAAATTTAAAAAGAAAATAAAGATATCTTGAGACAAATGAAAATGGAAACATAACATACCATAACTTATGAGATGCATCAAAAGCAGTTCTAAAAGGGAAGTTTACAGCAATAAATGCCTGTATCAAAAGAGAGTAAAGATTTCAAATAAATTCAAGAAACTAGAGAAAAAAGAACCAGTTAAACCCCAATTAGCAGAAAGAATGAGATAAGATTCAGAACAGAAATAGATAAAATAGAAAACAGAAAGAAAACAGAAAAGATCAGTGAAACTAAGCGTTGGTTCTTTAAAAAGATAAACAAAATCAAAAAACCTTTAGCAACTAAGAAAAAAAGAAGGCTCTAACAATAAAGTCAGAAATGAAAGAGGAGATACCACAACTCAGAAGATATCACAGAAGTACAAAGGGTCATAAGAGACTATGAACAATTATCCACCAACAAATTGGATAACCTAGAATAAATTCCTGGAAATGTACAACCTACCCAAGTTGAATCAAGAAGGAACAGAAAATCTGAACAAACCAATAACAAGCAAGAAGACTGAATCAATAATTAAGAAATCTCCCATCAAAGAAAAGCTCAGCACCAGATGCCTCAAGGTGGAATTACGCCAAACATTTAAAGAACTAATACCAATTCCTTCTCAAATCCTTCCAAAAAATCAAGTGAAGAGAATACCTACAAACTCCACTTACGAGGCCAGTATTGCTCTGATACTGAAGCTAGATAAGGACACTACAAGAAAAGAAAAGAACAGGCTAATATCCCTGATGAACATATCTGCAAAAATCCTTAACAAAATACTAGCAAACCAAATTCAACAGAACATTGAAAGGATCACTCACCACCAAGTGAGACTGATCCTTGGAATACAAGGATTGTTGAATATACACAAATCAATAATGTGATGGATGTACCATATTAACAGAATGAGGACAAAAACCCTATGATCATTTCAATAGATGCAGAAAAAGCCGTTAACAAAAATTCAATATCCTTTCATAATAAAAACTCCCAATAAATTAGACACAGAGGGAAGATACCTCAACATAATAAAGGCTATTATGAAAATCCCACAACAAACATACTCAATGATGAAAAGTTGAAAGGTTTTCCACGATCAGGAATAAGGATTTCTATTCTTAACTACTTCTATTCAACACAGAACAAAATGCTAGCTGGAACAATTAAACAAGAAAAAAAAAATAAAGGGCATCTAAATAGGAAAGCAAAAATTGAAAATACCTATGTTAACTGATAACATAATCTTATATGCAGAAAATTGTAAAGACCCACCAAAAAACTATTAGAACTGCTAAACAAATCAGTAAAGTTGCAGGGTACAAAATCAACACATAAAAGTCAGTAGCATTTCTTTACACTAACAACAAATGATCTGAAAAAATAATTAAGAAATCAATCCCATTTACAACAACATCAAAAAAAAAATACCTAAAAGTAAACTTTAACCCAGGAGGTGAAAGATTTGTATACTAAACACTATTAAATATTGAAAAAAAATGTAGAAAACACAAATAAATGGAAAGGTATTCCATATTCATGGACTCACAGAAATAATAGTTAAAATGTCTGTACTACCAACAGTGGTTTACAGATTCAACATAATCTGTATTAAAATTCCAATGACATTTTTCACAAAAATAGGAAACAATCCTAAAATTTGTGAGGAATCATACAGGCAAAAAGAAGAAAACTAGAGGCCTCACATTATCTGACTTCAAAATCTATTACAAAGCTATAGTAATCAAAGCAGCATGGTACTGACATAAAAACAGACACAATGACCAATCAAAGTAGATGGAGAGACCAGAAAGAAACTTCACATATTTATGGTCAATTAATTTTCAACAAGGATACCAAGAACACACCATTAAGAAAGCACAGTCTCTTCAATAAGTGCTGCTGGGAAAACTGGATATCCACAAGCAGAAGAATGAAATTGAATCCTTATCTCACAACATATACAAAAATCAACTCAAAACAGATTAAAGATTTAAATATAAGACCTGAAACTGTGTAACTATTAGAAGAAAACATAGGGGAAATGCTCCATTACATTAGTCTGGGCAAAGATTTCTTGGATATGATCCCAAAAGCACAGGCAACAAAAGCAAAAATGAACAAATGAGACTGTATCAAACTAGAAAGCTTCTGTACAGTAAAGCTTTACTAATTGTTTACAAGCAGTAAAGTGAAGTGATAACATATATTGAAAAAACAAAACAAAACAAAAAAACTGCAAACCATACATCCATACATCCGATAAAGGATTGCAACCCATACATCTGATAAGGGATTGCAAACCATACATCTGATAAGGGATTAAGATTCAAAATATAAAATGAACTCAACTGAATAGCAAGAAAACAAATATGCCAATCAAAAAACAAACAAAAGACCTAATAATTATCAAAAGAAGACATATAAACAGCCAACACATATGAAAAAATGGTCATCGCAGAAATGCAAATTAAAACCCAAAATGAGTTATCACTTTACACCTGTCAGAATGGCTATCATCAAAAAGACAAAAGATAACAAGTATTGGCAAGGTTGTAGAGAAAAGAGAACCCTTGTGAACTGTTGGTGGAAATGAAAATTAATACAGCTTTATGAAAAACAGTATGGCTAATCAGAAAACTAAAATCAGCATTATCTTATGATCCAGTCAGTAATCCCACTTCTGAGTCTATATCCAAAAAGATTGAAATTAGTATGTCAAAGATATATCTGCATTCCCATGTTCACTGCAGCATTATTCACAATAGCCAAGATATGTAAGCAAGCTAGGTGTCCATCATCAGAGGAATGGGTAAAGAAAATGGTGTGTGTGTGTGTGTGTGTGTGTGTGTGTGTGTGTGTGTGTGTATAGGAATTTGAGAGAAAGAAGAAAAAGATAAATATAGACTTACATTATATACATATAAAATCCATTTATATATATATAAATGGATTACTATTCAGCCTTTAAAAGAAGGGTAATTCTGTCATTTGCAATAACATGTATGAACCTGTAAGACATTACACTAAGTCATAAGACATACTAAGACATAAGACAGGCATGGAAAGACAAACACTACATGATCTCACTCATGTGGAACCTAAAATGGTTAAACTTACAAAAGTAGAGCATAGAATGATGATTACCAGAGGCTGGGGCAGGAGGGTAGATGGGGGAAAGGAGAAATGCTGGTCAAAGGGCATAAAGTTTCTGCTAGACAGGAGAAATACGCTTTAGTAATCTTTACAGAATGGTGACTATAATAAATCACAATGCACTGTGTTATCTGTGATTGCTGAAACAATTATTGCTGAAACTGTAAATTGTAGATGTTTTCACCATACAAAATGATAGCTTTGAGAGGCAAATTTTTTAACTGGCCTGATTTAATCATTCCACACTGTAAACATATATTGAAACATCACATCGCACCCCATAAATATACAATTATTCTTTGCTAAAGATTAAATAGGATTTTAAGGAAAAACCAAAACTATAAAGAGAACTGTATTACTTGGTGTGGGGGGGTGTGGGAGAATGACACAGTTTACATAGTCAAAATACTATAAACATAATTCCTTATTTAGTTTTAATACTCGTTTAACCACACTGAGTGAGAGAGAAGAGGAAAAGAGGGGCATGGGAGCTAAAACCTTATCTATGATGACAGAAAGTAAATCTGTCCAAAAGTAATGAATAAAAAGGAAAAGCAGCATCTTAGTTAGCAATGTGTACATTAAATACCCTACAAAATGGCTATATGTGTTAAGTTCCTTCTGGAATGTGAGGCTGGGGGTGAAAACAGGTGAAGCCAGGGACTGCTATGCTTTGGCATCAAGGTTTGCGGTATCTTTACAAACTGTGTTACAAGTATTATTTGAACAAAATTGGCAAGTAAAGGTAAAATTAAAGGGGTTATAGAGAGAGCACAGATGAAGTATAATAAAGCCATATGGAAAATTTCCTAAGGAATAAAAATACATTTAATAAGACAGTCTAGGGCAGAAAAATAAAGATACAGAAAGAGAAGATTATTACATAAATAATAACTTAAACCACACCAAAGAGTTTCACAGATACAGCTCTTACCACATACATTATTGCTGAATGTGGAAACTGAATTATAAATTACCTTTTTATTATACTCACTGATTTGATGATAATGTGCCTTTGCAGAAAACATGAAAATAAAGTAAAATTAAAATTTTCATAATGCTAGCATTCAAAGAACCACTGTCATTATTAACTTTTAAGGAACTATATACTTCGTTTTTTTAAACATATGACTGGTATTATACTGTATATATTGTTCAGGACTTTCACTTAATAAGCATTTCCTAATACCATGAGACATTCTTTCCAAATCCAGAAGTATGATATTCTACCACATGGATACAGCAGGATGTAACCAATTCCCCCAATGTTAGACTATGAATAATCAATATAATCAATATTAGAATTGATTATAATTGATGTACACTTGAGAAGCTCGTAAATCGACGTCTGTAGTGAATACTGTGATAATTCAATAATAATCCTAACTTGAAATGTACAATTTTTTTTATGAAAGTAAAATAAACACTAATAAAAACCCAGTGTAGCATTAGGTCATCAGTGTCTGCCATTTGTTACTTCTAAGATAATCTCATTTCAATCATGGAAAAGTCAAATACAAGTCAAGAGACCAAGGTGTAGCCACGGTTCCACAGATAACTTTGCTGTATTGATCCGGCCAAATCCCCAAAATGTCGTTTCCTCACCTGTGAAATAAAAAGGCTATATTCTGCAGCTCCTAAGGTCCCTCAGAGCTCTAATTTCCATGCTATTTCAGCATTGGTCAAATCTATAATTCAATATAATCAAGTTTTAGTTATCTAGTAATGGCTGCTGTCCATGCCTTGGCATTTCTGTTACTTCAGTCACAATTTTTACTGCCTCACTCCTGCCATTTTCTTTTCCACAAAGAAGAAACAATTTTAGGAGTGTTCAAGTCCTGCACTGAACAATAAAACCAAAATAAGGAATTTGAGAGAAAGACGAAAAAGGTAAATATAGAAAAAGATCAAGTGTAAGAACAGAATAAAAGGTTCAACAACTTAAGCAGTTACAGAGTTATGTCTGTTTGAGAAGGAAGTCATCATGTTTACTCATAAAACACAATTTCATTCCTTGGTATTTTTCTCTCTGCTGTGTGTTAGGTAAGGGCTGCAGAGAAAATAAAGGGTACACTCACATATACACACCTGAAACTATCTGCAAAGTGTTCCAAACGTTTCTTGCTATTATTCCAAAATTTAGAATTGTGACTTAAATCTATTTAGGAAAGAACTGTCAAAGGCCCCATACAATATTATGGTGTCTCTTAGGCAGTTTAAGGATGCCTTCTGGAGGATTAAGCACTGACAAGTTAAAGGAGGTAGGAAGCAGACCAATGGCAGACAGATGTTGCAAGGTGGGAGGAGAACAAAATGAATGCTGACTCACTTTCCTTTCCTCCTAGCACCCAGAGGGAAGCAGTCAACTGCTCCTTGCTGCTCCTTTCTCTGCAAAACTGAGGACTAAGCTCACCCAGCTCTAGAGGGAAGCTTACTCACCAGTGATCCAAAGGAAAACACAGTATGTTTGAACAAAGAATGCTCCTCATGTCCTCAAAGCTCTTGTCATGGGATTCATGGACCAAGCCTGCTTTAAGTGCAGAGGCAACTATACAGTGAAAAAATTCTTCTCAGTGATGGGGCTGATAAAGAGATATGATGAAATATAAATAAAGAATTATTAAAGAAAATAAATGGCTAAACTAAGGTTCACTACTCACTTGCCAAAAGCTGCAAAGAGCATCTACTTTACTCTATATTCAATGATGAATACAAATCTTAAATTTTGTTTAAGTAGTGATAACATATAGCAGCAATTTCCTATGTGCCTACTATATACCTAGCACTGTGCTCTAGTTCTTTACCATACTTCTATGAAGAGTCACAAGATCATATGAGAAGCTCACAGACCTTGAATAACTGAAACACAACTCAAATCCTGTCTGTGAAGCTATGAAACCCTCTGACACAGAACAATTTGCTCAGAGGCTCCTGACGCATAATTCAAAACTAAACTTTTCATTAACTTTTAGCTGAAAAGATGTTCAATTCAGCTGTCTCCTACAATCTCCCATTTTTTCTTTTTCCTTTTAGTACTCTCAGCTTCAAAGGAAGAATGAAGCAGCAGGGGGCGGGCCGGGGTGAGCATCTGATGTCATTTATTGGTCGTGCAGCCTCAGGCAAATTACTTAATGGGGGATCTCCAGTTTCTTTATCTATAAAATGAAAATAATTACATCATAAATTTGTGATGATTAAATAGTACACTGAATATAAAGTTTCTAACATATAGCTGGTCCAATAATACCAACTTTCTTTCATTTCTGTGACAGAAAGGGCACATTCTAAACTTTCATTTTTAAGCACAGAAGACTGGAAAGGGGAAACAAAAAAACACTGCTTCTCAAATCTAGCAAAGCTATCGCCTACTGACCTCCTTAAAGAGGAACTAAAGAGAGTGGAAATGGAAATCCTGAAGTGAGAGGTGTCTAAAAGAAAAACAGTCAAGGACAGTACATACAGAAGTCTGTGGAAGAAAACTTACATTCACACATAAGATGACTGCAAGAGAGAAGTTAAAGCGAAGAAAAGACAACACAGTTATCTTCTGCCATGCTCTGGGCCATCAACTGTGCTGAAGGGCTTAAATTAAGAGTAGCTGCCCTTCCGTGCTCACAGGGAGTCTCAGAAGGAAGGATGAGCTTACCTGGGCTAAGACAGCAGTCAGATACCAAAACTCTTTGGTTTAATTCCATCTCACTAGCTAACTTTTGCCCTGGCTAATACTTTTTCCTCTAATAGAGCATTTGTTACATAATTTAGCAAAAATTGTCTTGTAAAGTTTTCTTTGGTTCCACCTATCTTTTCTGTCCAGACTATAAACTCACTGAAGAGAAAAATAACATCTTATATTTAATATATTTATCACAGTTGCATGGTCTTAGCGAACATCTAAGAAACAACTGTTGACTAAGTGTAAAAACACATGAAAGTTATAGTTTTCTACTTTGGAAAGTCCTGTCAAATTTCAATGCTCCCAACGGCTACAGCAAAGTCGAAGTACATGAAGTATATGTTTTCTTCTATATTCTCTTGACTATCTTTCTTCCCCTACCCCTCCAATTCAATACTACATATAATTTTTTAAAAAGAAGCTCTCTTGGAAACATCCACATTACACATTTTGATACATGGTGAGTTTTAAGATGCCTATATTCACAGATGTAGCTTCCAACTTCCTCCACATCCTTTTAATTTTCATATTCCACTTGGCTTGGAAACAGTGTGAACTCCAAGATAGAGAAACAGTAGATGGTAGTTCTATGACAGTTTTAGCGTATAATATTTGAAGTGATAAAGTAATATATAAAACTTTAAAGGACAAGATATGAGGTTCATCTAGCTGAAATTTTATTATTTTGAAAGTTATAGGACTTTATGGATCCCCAAAGCCTTTCCTCCTCTCCCTTTTACTCAACACAAGACTTTTTCAAACCTATATTACCACACGTATCTCCCTAAACACAACTGCCTATTACCAACACCCTCTACATGCAAAGATCCACATATCTTTCAGCTAACAAAATTAATCCTCAGGGAATAATGGCCTCAGATTTAAGGATTACTGCTTAGTATTATCTGGATTTTTCAAGAAACAGAAGTGCTACACTAACCATCCTTAACACTTTTTAAAATATATATCCTTATGGGAACTGCAGCCTAGAAAAACCTTTAAAACAAGTTGTTCACCTCCTCTAACTCAGGAAAAGTCTATAAACAAAAATATGTTCATTAACTGCCAATAGTTCTTAGGATGTGTACTAAGATCAACAGGGAAGCATGATTGAAAAAAACAACACACATTTTCAGCTCCTCCTGGGTCAGGATTTCATAGTGGGGCTTATTTTATTTGAAAAGCTATGAATTTATAAAGAACAATATTCGAATATAAGAATATTCCAAAGCAAAAATGCACAACTGGGGACTACTCATCGCTTCAGATGATCTGTATCTGTTCCCTTCCATGAATATACCATAAACCAAAACATGAGCTCATATCAAATGTACTCTTTCCATATATTAATGTACTGTGGAATGCAAAACTGGCCTTGTCACACTATATGATTTTAAGTCATTATCTTTTCTGGCTTTGGTTTTTTCACCTGCAAAATAAAGTCATTAATTCAAATTATCTCAATGATTCCTTTAAGAACTTTCAAAAAATCTAAGCATATTTACTTATTTACAAAGACATACACAGGTTAACTACAAAGTTTTTGGACTTATAAAATGGCATCTTTCCAAAGTCCAAAATGCTAATTTTATCTACGGATGAACACAAGTGAAAGCTATATAAAACAAAATAGCTAAAGTATTATCCATAAGTTTTCAAAGCACTTTAACATCATTTCATACAATTTCTTAAGTACCATAGGAATAGAGGCAGGATGCAAAGTATTACCTGCACCATAAAAATAAAAACAGACTGAGAAAGAGTAAATTACTTGTTCTGGATTTCCCATACAATAAAGGGATATTTCAATCTTATTCATAAATCTTATGCACTACTAAAAATATTGTAAGAAGAAACCATAACAAAAAAAGTCTGAGACCCCTGAGAAATGCACACTTAAAAAATGATACTATAGTTTAATTTCATTTACTGGAGCAAATTATTCTATCCCTACTTTTCTGAATGAACCAGAGAAAGTTTAATCAATTCTTGAAAATATACTGTCATCATCAAATCATAGTAATGGTATAGGCTCTAAAGTGCTTGGAGGGTTACTGATATAGTTTTAATATTGTCACATCCCAAATCCCATGTTGAACTGTAATCCCCAATTGCAGGCAGTGATTGGATCGTGGAAGTGGATCTCTCCTGTCTTGGTGCTGTCCTCATGATAGGGAGTGAGTTCTCCTGCGATACGGTATTTTAAAAGTATACAGCACCTCCCCCTACGCTCTCTGGCTCCTGCTTTGGCCATGTAACCTGCTTCTTCCCGAGTCACCTTCCAGCATGAGTAAAAGCTTCTTGGGGCCTCGCCAGAAGCCAAACAGATGTCAGTACCCCACTTCCTGTAAAGCCTGAAGAACCATGAGCCAAACAAGCCTATTTTCTTTAAAAATTACCCAGGCTCAGGTATTTCTTTTTTTTTTCTTTTTCTTTTTCTTTTTTTTTTTGAGACAGACTCTTGCTCTGTCACCAGGGTGGAGTGCAGTGGCGCAATCTCAGCTCACTGCAAGCTCCGCCTCCCGGGTTCAAGCAATTCACCTGCCTCAGCCTCCCAAGTAGCACGCACCACCACGCCTGGCTAATTTTTTGTATTTTAGTAGAGATGGGGTTTCACCATGTTGGCCAAGATGGTCTTGATCTCCTCACCTCCTGATCCGCCCACCTTGGCCTGCCAAATGCTCAGGTATTTCTCTATAGCAATGCCAGACTTGAACCTTAAATTATTAATCTGTCATCAATGATTCCATGAGTCAATAAAACTCACTTAAAGAACACCATCCAAACTGAGTAACCAAAATGTTTGTGAAAGCTTTTTAAACTACAGTTCAGAACTTCCCCCACCACCCCACCCATCCCCCGCCCCCGGGGCTGCATTTAACAACTCCTTCAACATGGAACCACCAAGTTAAGAAAGACTCAGGCACACCAGGGAAAGAATTTCAAAGAATGGTTTCAGGTCCCAGAGATAGTCTTTGCTCCAGAAAACCAGTCTCTTAAATGGTTACTGTATTTTCAATAAACTGTTTAAAAATTACTTTCAACTTGGTTATAATAAATTCATAAAACTAAAGACCTTTAAAATCATAAAGAATTATTTCATATTAATTGGTCTTCAAACTGTAAATAGCAGCCAAACAGTGTAAAATTACCTTTATTAACAGTGTATTTCAAAATACACTTCATATTTTAAATTCAACAAGTGCTCTCAAATGCTCTTTAAAATGCTTTCAATAAAAAATTACTCAACAGCATTACCTAGCATTTGGATATTTAAATTTTTAAGTGTCTTATACAAAAAGATTTCATGTGATGTTTTCCCCATTCAATAAACAAAAACTGATCACTTGTTTATGCCTCAGGAACTATAATAAGTATGAGGATTCAGGGACCATACTCCAGAAGCTAAACTCAACTTAAAGAGCTCTCTTATGAGGTAAGAACTGCAGAACAGATCACTCCATTTCATTAAGAAATTGAGCCTCAGCAGTTGCCTTGTTCAAGATGACACAAGTTAGTTGCAAGTTATATATTCTCAGAAAAGAGAAAACCTACTTCAAATATTAGAACACAGGAATACAAGGCCAAAAAGATCTAATGTATTCATTTGCTTGTATTTCTTAAAACTAAGTAAACATAATGCTTCTTTTAAAAAGAATTTCTTTATTTCAATATTCCAGTTACTTACAGTAACTAATATGACAGAAACTTATGACAGCTTGTAGAACATTTTAAGGAAAAAAATACCAAAAAGTGAAGCACTATAGAAAACAAAGTCAGGTTTTCCTATTATTTTTATTCTTAAGGGATTCACTCTCTTCACAGAAAAACTTCATGAATTATTTTCAACCTCCAAACACATATTATATAATTCAATTTAGTAAGTATTATCTAGACTAAATCCACACAGGTTATGGTGGTAAGTCACGACACTCAACAAATGTAAAATTCTACTGGTCACAATTCAATAGGATTTATATCAGTAGGAATATAATTTAATGTTACTTAATTCACTTGCTACTCCTTAGAAGGATCATTTGTAGAATGAATATTAGTATATCAAATCATAATTTCATATCAAGTTGTATGTTCATTATAAGTCATAGTCTAACAGAAAGTGCTCTTTTCAACATAAATAAAAATTACACGTAAGTAAAGGATCATATAGTGTGGGTGTTTGGACCAGTGGCTCATGCCTATAATCTCAGCACTCTGGGAAGCCAAGGAGGGAGGACAACTGGAGTTTGAGACCAACGTGGGCAACATGGAGAGACCTCATCTTTACAAAAAAAATTTAAGAATCAGCCAGGCATGGTGGCACATACCTGCAGTCCCAGCTACTTAGAAGGCCGAGACAGAAGGATCACTTGTGCCCAGGAGTTCAAGGCTGCAGTGAGCTATGACTGCACCACTGCACTCCAACATGGGTAACAGAGCAAGACCATCTCAAAAATGTGTTTGTGTGTGTGTGTGTGTGTGTCTGTGTGTGTGTGTGTGCATGTGCGTGCACGCATGCGTGTGTTATCACTATTATATCATTACTGATGTAATATATATAAACTGTCTACAATAGTCCCTGATGCCTACCACATGCTCAATAGGTGTCGCTTCTATTACTTAATACAGAAACTACTTAATCCTTCCATAAACAAACATATTACCATTTCAAGAAACATTAGTCAAGTTGATAAAACCGGGAGATTTTTGTACAGTTACTAAATACGCATAAAATACTTTTGATTTTAGGTGCCAATTTTCAACAAGATCTCAGCAGCTTCATGGTGTTTCTGAGGGAAAACAAAGCATGGAAAGATTGGGTATAGCCTAGACTATATCCTATGATGATGGATGGAAATGGAGGAGTCAGTGGGAAGTCAACAGTTTGAGTTTTAAAATATACATAAACACACACACAAAAAAAAATAGAAAACTGCAGAAATACACACATATACATATTTTTCCTTGCTTATGAAGGCCTAGAATACACAGGCAGATGTAAGAAACCCACCAGTAACCATAAGAAAATCTAGCACCCAGAGCTGGGTTTCTAAATACTGTTCTCCTAGCCAAAGAAAAGAAACTAGGGTTCCTTGGTAAAATGGCTGACTCTAAAATTCAGGCAGGGAAAATATGAGTCTGAAACACCTTCTTAAGACAAAATATGGAAGTCCTCAAAAAATGAGATGTCAAAGATAAAGAAGCCAGCTTGAAGAGTCCTCTGTTGGCCAAACTGAATACATTTTGGGAATCTAAACAAGAGATTGATGATAATAGTCATAAAATAAAATGAGAATCAAAGAGTCCATACCTAAATGATGAATGAACAAATAAGTTGGGGGAGAAGGAAAAGCTCTCACAGTAGAATGGCAACTAATAAATGTAGAAGAAATAATGGTGTTAGAAAAACACCAATGGATGCTAAAACCAGTGTGTGAAAATTTGGTGAGGAACAGGATTATCTGCGTAATCTCAAAGTATCTCTCCACAAATTACCAATTAATAAAGGAACAAAATAGTAACTTCACAATGGAGAAACCCAATGAATGCCATCTGAAGTAGTCAAAACTAACTTCACCAACATTGGGCCTGTATGAAATGCTTGCTTCTTGGTGCCGTTAAGAACTAGTATTTGAATATAAATTTAATTTTTTTAGCAAGGTCATTTTTTTACTTTTTGTAGAAAGCGTACACTCGCCGGCAGTTTTGCCATGAGAGTACACCGAACAAAGGAGACAGGGTCATTTATAACCTGATGCGGTCACTTTACTGCTCTGTCCGGTTTTCACTGGCTGCAACAGGACCTTACATTTTATATCTGTCCTGATTGGATAGTAACTCAGAACTTTTTAAAAGAGGCAAAGGTAGAGGAGAACAAAGGAAGGAGGAAGTAACTTGCAGGATGCTGAGAAAGGTAAAAACGCTTTTAAATAAAGAAGAGGAACGGCTATGACAATGTTTGCTTGGATTCAGTATAAGCATGCTAGGGCAAATATTTAGGCTAAATTGTGGGAGCTAAGAACATAAAGTACATTAATTTTTTTATTACGGCTAGCAGATATTTCAGAATGTTAGTACAGGTCTTTGAATTAATTTTGCTTTTAAGAGAAGTTACTATTTATTCCTAATTACATGGGGAGGAAAGTCTTTGAAGAGGAACCTTTACTTTACTTTACTTTTCATAGGCCAAACCAATGCACCTACTGATATATGCCCTGAGATGGACACTCATCACATCAGTGATATTATTCCTGGACTAGATCATAAACTAAGGGGGAAAAAGATACCTACAGGACACATTATTGAAAACAAGTGGCAGAATATGAATACAGGTTATATATAAATGGCATTGTATCATTATTAAAGTTCCTGATTTTAATAACTATACTGCGCTTCTCTAAGAAAACATCCTTGTTCTTGGAAAATATGTACTAAAGTTAAAAAAAAATTCTACTCCAAACTACTCCAAATGGTGCAGAAAACTCTGTGTGTGTGTAATAAAGCAAATGCATCAAAATGCAAGCAACTAATGAATCTAAGCAAAGGGTATACTGGAGTTCCTTGTACTGTTGTGCCAGTTCTTCTACAAGCTTGAAATTCTATCAAAATAAAAAGATACATAAATGTAAGCCATTGTGACTCTAAGCAAACGGTGTATAGCAAGCTTGTCCAACCCACAGCCCATGGGTCACATGCAGCCCAGGATGGCTTTGAATGCAGCCAAACACAAATTCGTAAACTTTCTTAAAATATTATGAGATTTTTTTTTTGGTTTTTTTTTTTTTTTAGCTCATCAGCTATCCTTAGCATTAGTGTATTTTACGTGTGGCCCATGACAATCTTTTTCCAATGTGGCCTGGGGAAGCCAAAAGATTGGACACCCCTGGTGTACAGGAAGAAGTTCCTTGTGCTATTTCTCACAATTTTTCTTTAAGTTTGAAACTATTTCAAAATGAAGTTATATAACTACATGAATTGTGAGTTAAAATGCAAGCAAGATCTTCATGCCTGTAATCCCAGCACTTTGGGAGGCTGAGGCAGGAGGACTGTTTGAGCCTAGGAGTTTGAGAACAGCCTGGGCAACATAGTGAGACCCTCATCTCTACAAAAAATTTAAAAAATTAGCCAGGCATGGTGGCTCGTGACTATAGTCCCAGCTACTCAGGAAATGGAGGTAGGATGATCCCTTGAGCCCAAGAGGTGAAGGCTGCAGCAAGCTGTGATCACATCACTATATTCCAGCCTGGATGATAGAGTGAAACCCTGTCTCAAAAACAAATAAAGCCTAAGGGAATATGCAGATTAATGGAAGAGAAGGCTATTTTGTGCAGACAGGAAACAGATGAAAGACAATTTGACTTTTAAAACTATGAGTAAGGCTCATGCCTATAATCCCAGCACTTTGGGAGGTCAAGGTGTGAGGACTGCTTGAGCCCAGGAGTTCGAGACCAGCCCTGGCAAAACAGTGAGACCCTATTTCTAT
Organism: Homo sapiens; assembly: GCF_000001405.40. Taxonomy (NCBI): domain Eukaryota; kingdom Metazoa; phylum Chordata; class Mammalia; order Primates; family Hominidae; genus Homo; species Homo sapiens. Next base: position 51,878,962 of record NC_000008.11, read on the forward strand.
AAAACATTTAAAATATTAGCCAGGTGTGGTAATGTGCACCTGTGATCCCAGCGACTCGGAACTCTGAGGTGGGAAGATTGCTTGAGCCTGGGAGGTCAAGGCTGCAGTGGGCCGTAGTCATGCCACTGTAGTCTGGCCTGGGAGACAGAGCAAGACCCTGTGTCTCAAAAGAAAAAAGAAAAAAAGCAAGAACTGAGCAATCAGCAAAGATAATTCCTTCACAGTATATATGTCCTAAAGCTCACTCCTAGATCTGTCACTTGAGGGGAAAAAAAAAAAAGAAAAATCACCTTAGGAATGAATGTCATATTGTTATTCTCAGTTTAAGTTAGAAAAAAGTGGCATGACTAAAAAAAAATAAAGTTGGAAATGTAACAGGAAACTTATAAGAGCCAAAACCAAATCATAGGAACAAACTATAACAAATCAACAAAGCTTTAAAGAAAATGGTAAATTAAAACTAAAGTCAGTATATTCGTGTTCATGATTGTCCCATCAAACTATCATTTAAGAATCTGAGGTGGGCTATAGGAATTCATATATAAATCAGGTCAAGGAAAACAAAGATTAATAGGAAAATGAAACTATGTGAAAACTGAGTACTTACAATTTACAAGTCAACAGGTTCTCCTCAATTAAAGCTCAGTCACAAAACACCTGCCTCTGAGCAACCAAAGCAAAATAAAATAACCAATAAAAAAGTGAGACAACTATGTATCTCATTTCAGGTAGAGAAGACATTCTAAATTAAAAAGCCACAGGCAAAACGTAAAAATGATAAAAATGATGTATTCTATCTGGCAAAGCACACAGTAAAACATCAAAATACAAAAACCAAACTGGGGGAAAAAATTGCAACATGTGGCAAAGGGTTGATAGCCAAATTTATAAGAATTATTTACAAAGAAACATTTTTAATTTTTTTAATAAAAGGGCAAAGGCCAGGTGCAGTGGCTCATGCCTATAATCCCAGAACCTTGGAATGCCAAGGCTGGAGGATTGCTTGAGGCCAGGAGTTAGAGATCAACCTAGGCAACATAGCGAGACCATCATCTCTAACCAAAAAAAAAAAGTTTAAAAAAAAAAATAGCCAGGCAAAGTGGTGGCATGTACCTGAAGTCCCAGCTACTCAGGAGGTTGAGGCAGGGGGATCCCTTGGGACCAGGAGTTTGAGGTTACAGTGAGCTACAATAGCACCACTGCACTCCAGCCTGGGCAACACAGCAAGATCCTGTCTCCTTTTAATGAAAAAAAAAAGAGGGGAGGGGGGCAGAGGAGACAATAGGTATTTGCCAGAAGAATTACTAAACCACCAGTAAATATGAAATTATGCCCAACCTCAGTGGCAATTAAAATGCAAAATTAGAAAGACAACTTTAGGCCTATAAGATTCATAATGATGTTTTTAAAAAAAACTTATTGAAAAAGGTATAGGAAAACATGTTTTGTATTTTCATCTCTTACTATGTTTTCTTACATATTAATAATAATCCCCCACTTCCTATCCTTAGGAAATATCAACTCTTCCACCTTTATTGGGAACTCTAGCATCTCTACTGTAGTCTTCTCTACTCCCCAACTCATACCATAATCAGGGGCATCCTCAACGTACATGAACAACCTTTTCAATCTCCAAAGGAACAACTATGACACCTTTAACTGAGGACTTATATCACCCAATTGTCCAACCTGAATCCTTACTTTTTTCTCTGACCTGATTTTATGTCTACTTTGCTTGTTGTCTGCCACTACAGTCAATGTCACTAGTACTCTACCCCAAGGATCAGCAAACTTTTTCTGAAAAGGCCAGTTAATAAACATTTTAGGATTTGCAGGCAATAGTTTCTGTCCCAACTACTGAACACCACTGTTGTAAGGCAAAAGTAGCTATAGACAACTTAAAAGTTAAAGAGTATGGCTTTGTTCCAATACAATTTTATTTCTGGACACTAAAATTGGAATGTCATATCATTTTCATGTCATAAAATAGTCTTCCAACCATTTGAAAGTAAACACCATTCTTAGTTTGCAGACCACACAAAAAAAGACAGTAGTCCAAGTTTGGCCCATGGGCTACAACCGGCTAACACCTACTCTCATCTTCTTCCCAAATCAACCCCACGAACACTGCTTCACTTACTGAGTCTTCATTACTCTCAATCCTTCATTCTAACTTTCTGCTTCACTCATCTTGCAAACTTCTGATCATGGAACAAGCCAATAATCTCTCTTCTCCATGGACTGTTTTATATTGTGAAGTGTTACTTAAGAAAGAAATCCAGTGCCTGTGTTGGTGGTGCCACTAAACATTTATATTCTTCAAGCTTAACTGGATTTTCAATAATGCCCAGCAATATCTCTTGTGTTTATTTACCTCTGGCTCCCACCTGCACAGCAAATTCATTACCACTACTACAACCAACAACCCCTCAAGACTAGGCTCCACAAGGGTCCTTCTTCGTCCTCCACAGAAAAACAGGTCATAAGACAAAACGCCTCAATTTGCCAGACTGTCATCCTAATCCCATCCCATTAGACAAGAATATTACAAATATGATAGCATCTATATTTACATCTACAGACAGGCAGAGTGTAGTAAGTTCAACCTTCATTTGGAGCCCAACAGATCTGATTTTGTCCAACTTAATTAATAATTACTACACTTAGTAGTTGCCTGGCATTCAACCAACTGTTTTAGAATTGTCTTTTAATTATTCTTCAAAAAAACCTTCAAGGTAGGTTTTATTATACCCATTTTACAAAGAAAAAAATTTAGAGCTGGGCTTAAAACCTCGGTGTAAGTCAAAAGCCACAGAACTTTGCTCATATCTGGGCTCCATTTTTTTCGATTTCAAAAGTGCATTATCTAATCTGAGCCCTGAATACTATTTCAGGGGCACCTCCAGCCATCTCTCCTCCCACAGCCTTTGCTGAAGTTCCCTTAACCACAATAAACTTCTTCAAGCATCCATGTTTTTGCATATGCATTAAGTCTCTACCTAGAAAGTTCTCCCTGTTCACTCAGATGCCACTAATGAGTCCCCCTCCTCTTAGAAATCTCTAAGTCCAACCCCAAAACACTTATAAGCCTTAGTCTTTTCAGGCGTCATAACAAAGTACCATAGACTGGGTGCCTTAAACAACCCAAATTTATTTTCTCAAGCTAGAAGTCCAAGATCAAAGTGCCAACAGAATCACTTTCTGGTAAGGCCTCTAGGCCTCTCTTCCTGGCTTGCCGATGGTCACCATCTTGCTGTGTTCTCACATGACCTCTTCTTTGTACACACAAAAAAGCATGAGGGAGCTCTCTGGTGTCACTTTTTAAAATGACGCTATTGGATCAGGGCCTCACCATTATGATCTTAATTACTTCCTCGGAAGCCCCGTATTCAAGTACAGCTGCACTGGGCATGGGGTAGGGGGCGGTCAGGGTTTCAACACGTGACTTTTAGGGGGACATGAACATTCAATTCATAACTGTACCTTCTTTCAAAAGCTCTCAAACACCCGCCTATGTATCTCTGTATCATCTCTCCACAAAGTGATTATCCTGTTTCCCACCCACTTGACTGTGGCCTCTTCAAAGTAAGGGTCTATATGCTAGTCACTTGTTTACTTCTGACACTTAGTTGAATGCCTTATAACAAAGATATTATTCAAGATCCCTGCTAATGAGTAACTGAGTGTAGTTTCTCAGTTATTTAAGATCATGAAAAGAACAGAAGACATATATCTATGTACTTGACAAATTATACACTCCACTGGACATTAACATAGCCTGTTTGGGGTATTATATTTCATTGGAGAGAAAACGCAAGTCTTTAAAAGCTTACAATTTAGTTATGAATAGCATACTTAAAAAAAAAAAAAAAGAAATAAAAAACGGCCGGACGCAGTGGCTCACACCTATAATCCCAGCACTTTGGGAGGCCGAGGCAGGCGGATCACGAGGTCAGGAGATAGAGACCATGCTTGCTAACACGGTGAAACTCCGTCTTTACTAAAAATACAAAAAAAAAAAAAAAATTAGCCAGGCGTGGTGGTGGGCGCCTGTAGTCCCAGCTACTCAGGAAGCTGAGGCGGGAGAATGGCGTGAACCCAGGAGGCAGAGCTTGCAGTGAGCTGAGATCGCGCCACTGGACTCCAGCCTGGGCGACACAGCGAGATTCCGTCTCAAAAAAAAAGAACAGACAAAAAAAGTAAGGTAAATGCTTCAGAGTTCAAAATGAGAGCAAATCAACAAGGAATATAATAGCTAGATGGAATAAAACCTATGAAACCAAAAGTATTATCATCAGATTATAAAGTATTTAAACTTGTAATTTTCCATGGCCTGAATTAAATTAAGTAGCAAAGACTGTAGTACAGATGCCACAGTTCCCATTAAAGGTGAAAGAGTTGATACTTCAGTGTCCTAAGGCTAGCAAGTGGGGAGATTGTTATTAAGAGTAAAATGTATATATATGCATATATAGATAATAATAGAGGGACACACACAAAAACACAGGGAGAGCAAAGAAATTCAACAGATTTTCTTCTTAATTATTAATGCAATATTAAACCACAGTAAATCTCACAAAAGAGTAAACAGTTTTATAAATATTATTAAGTATAAGGAGGTACAAAAAGGTTGACAAATGCCCGATATTTTTAAAACGTGTTCAGAAAGTCAAACTGAAAACAACCAAGGTATGTGTATTTTCTAAATCATTCCCTTGATGTACAGACCTAGGCTAGCATAAGGTTACAAGAGCTTTTTTTTGGCATCTGAATTCTCTGCAGTTGAATTACTGTGACAAAAGCAACAAAATGAGGCCAAGTAAAAATCAGTCGTATTATGTTGTTGACATTTAAAAACCTCATTCCAGAACTTTAAAACCATTTGCATTTACAAAAACAAAGACATAGTTCATAAATATTCCCGTGCAAATAAACCCAAACAAAATAGGCACTTTGATATTTGTGAAAGCAGGTCAACAGAAATAATTATAAAGAAAATCATAAAATTATCTAGTTCGCTGTCATGCATCAGACAAAACTACTTGTTCAAGGGCATACTGAAAGAATTTGTGGCTCCGTGTCTTGAGTTTCTTTTCAATACATCCTAAAATAAAAGCTACAAAATGTGACATTTTCTGAGATAAAATGCCTTCTTTGGGTGTGTTGCTGTCTGCTGAACATTACCTATCAGTTGAGATTGAGACAGTGTTAAAGCCTTATATTATTAAAATAAACCAGGTGTACCTCTTAAAGCTATAGACAGAGCCACTGATCTGAGTCAGTGTGGTAAAAACAAGCAGTGCCTAAATATTTGGTCCAGGACTATGGCTCCATTTTTATATTTCAGTATGAGAGAATACCGGAAGCAAGCAGGAAATAGCCACTATCAGCTGACTGGGAACAATCAAACACAAAAGCAGGAATTGGCCTCTAAGTCAAAAGGAATGTACCATCATTTTACCTAAAAGAAAAGTTTCTGAATGGCAAAAGGGAATAAAGTAACAAGTATGTTCTTCAAGAAAATCCTAGTGTAGTAATATGCTGCCCTGATCCCACCAGGGATTAGGCACAAAGAAATAGTCTTTTTAATACCCACTGTCTCAATCCCAACTGATAGGTAATGTTCAGCAGACAGCACTGGAGAAAACACTGCAAGGGGAAAGGACTTTGTTTCCCGGCCTGGTGCAATGCTTGGCAGGCTTCCCCAGCACGAGGATGCTGCAGTGCAGGACAATAGACAGCTTTCCCCAGCACTCTCTTTTGGACAGTTTGTAGAACACAACCTCTAGCAAAATGCCTCTCTATGAACATCTTTCTATGGTATCCTAGAGGATAGATTTCTGGCAAATTCCATCAACTTCTCTGCCATCCAATAAGCCATTGAGGTACCCTCTCCAACAAGACCTGTTCTCAGCCTGGGATGGGCCTCTTCTTTGGGTGCTCAATTGTAGTTCTGTAAGTAGTGGCTGTTTCTTAACATCTATTTCTATATCCTGTAGCACTCTCTGTACTTCCTACTGGTTCTGTTACAGTAAATAATCCTTTACACTAAACATTCTCTGCTCAAATTACTGCATGATTTCTCTTTCCTGACTGGACCCAGATTTATATAATCCTGAAAACCAGAAAGACTACACACAAGCCACCGAAATAAAGACAGCAGTTGAGCAATAAAATTAACTAAAATACAACAGATACTGATACTTGGCTAAAGCATCCACAACCTCCTCAATTTAACTTAAATTACTATATCCCACAAACATTCTCTCATCCTTTTAACTTTAACTTCTAAGTATTGGGGGGCGGGGAGGATATCTTCGCTTCTTGGCAAAATTTTAAACACCTGTCACCACATTTTCTGTGTTAAGAGAGCTGTCACAATGATCAGAGAGGGGAAGTTAGACGCCAGCCCTGACTAAGAGTACTGAGGGTGGCAGTTACCAATTCTGCCATCTTCAAGTTCCTGCCTAGGACAATATATCATACAAACTTTTAGACAGGAGGATGCCTTAGTGGCTTCATCTACTGCAGTCGGCTTGAAAAGAACTTGTTAACTGAAGCACATGTTCTTTCTGGTGCCCTTGCTTCTCTCCTATAAACTTACATGATTATTAACACACATGGGAAATGACAAAATAAAACCACTGAAAAACTCCTTAAATTTCATGTAGGCATAGGTAGGCAGACTAAAAATACAAATTCACAAAGGAGCTATCTGCAGAAAAACAATTTTACAATAAAGCAACAGTAAATGACACTAAATAAATCACATACTTTGCCACTGTATTAAAATGCAATACACTCAACACCACAGAAGAGTGGTAACTGTCGGATAGACAGCCTTATGTCTCTACAGGGGCATACGTTGTTTGTGCTGGGTCAGAAGGTTATATGTGTTTTGGAAAAACAAAAACACTTTCAAAGATAGCAATTTTTTGTAATTTGTGTTATCCAATGACATTACTATAATTTCTCCTTTAACAACTAGTGAGCATTGGAAATGCATTTTTAAATGTGTACTTACAGTGAATGCACAAGGATATTCTTTCCTACTAAGAACAAAGACTATGTACAGTTTCTTAAAGCACAAGGCTCTTTCCTCCAAACTGGTAAGAATCCTTGCAGCAAATCCACAAGGACCTCAACTTCTGTCTGCTTTTCTGCAATTTAAATAGCTGTTAATTTCGTCCCTTCCTCCAACATATTGCCGAAGAGACTTCAGAACAGCTATTTTTCCTTTCCCCTGTTCGACTTATTCAAAATCATCATCCTCTTTAGCTGAAATTTTCCAGTGCATTCAGTAAGTTTCTAGATTAATTTCACTGGGGAGGAAAGTTCTATCATTTCAAATTTAGAATATTTAAAACTATAGCCCCTCACCTTTCAGACCAGCTACTCTTTAATTACTCCCATTCCCCTTAGTGAAAAGCCCTTTTGTCAATACCCCTATCAATTTTTGCTAGATTACTGCAATGAACTTCAAGATGATCATACCTGTAGTTATCCCAATTTCAATGGGATTCCTATATGCCATTTTGATTCATCTGCCCAGTATACAACTTTTATCAATAAAGAAAGCAGCTCCAAAAATCCACAGGTGCCCCCAAGATTCTACAAAAATGGGAAGAAATCTCACCTGGCAGGACTCAATGCCACCCCCATTTAAACACAGCTGCACTAGTTTTATCAGTTTTATAAATGTCATCTTAATCTTTTGTTGGGGAGAGGCTGTTTAGAAATCATTTCCATAAGGAATCAAATGGCCACAGTATATTTACCTGTATTAGTTTTCTATCACTGTCATAGCAAATTAGCATAAACCTAATGGCTTAAAACCACACAAGTTTATTATCTGATAGTTCTGGAGGTCAGAAGTCTGACACAGGCTTCATGATACAAGTCTCACTGGGTTAAGATCAAGGTGTTGGGGAGACTGTTCCTTTCTGAAGGTTCTTTAGGAGAAATCTGTTCCCTCGCATCAGTGTCTAGTGTCCATCTGCTTTTTTTTTTTCTCTCTTGCCTCATGGCCCTTTCTTTCTTCCATCTGCAAAGCAAGAAACATGACGCTGATTCCTTTTCTGCTGTCTCTCTGGTTCTCTCGCTCTGCCTCCTCCTTCCATTTTTAAGGACCCTTATGATTACACTGGGCTTATCGGGATAATCCAGGATAATCTTCCTATCTTAAACTGATTAGCAACTTTAATTCATCTGCAACCTTAATTCCCCTTTGCCATATAAGGTCACATATTCGCAGGTTCCAGGGATTAGAACATGGACCTCTTTGGGGGGCTACTATTTGCCTAGCACACTACCCAAACTTTGACTCCTACTCTTCAGGGTAATGCTGTTCCATAGAGAATCAGATACAATCCATCTTAAAATGTATACCGGCAGCCCAAATCCATCCCTTCTCCCATTTCTCATCCAGCATACAGGTGAAGAAACAATATGGCAGAAAGGATCAGCAGAAGAAATATGCTTATTATTACTTGACAGACTTGGAATTTATTTTCTCTTACAGGTAAATAACGCAAGGTTATATTCTTAAGATAGTCTAAAATCCTCTAACTAAAGCAATAACTATGTATAAACTAACTGAACACCCTGAAACTCAATTTTAAGTAGCAACTAGAAACTGCAAAAAAACAAAACTATCAATCATTTGGTATGGTAATTATCAAGCCATGCAATCATTTTCCTCGTTTAAAATAAATTAAAAAAAAAAAAGAGTACGCTCAGTCCCAATATTTGAGAACAGTTTCACAAAAAAGTTTTCATAATTTCTTTTTTTTTTTTTTTGAGACAGAGTCTTGCTCTGTCACCAGGCTGGAGTGCAGTGGCACGATCTCAGCTCACTGCAACCTCTGCCTCCCGGGTTCAAGCGATTCTCCTGCCTCAGCCTCTCAAGTAGCTGGGATTACAGGCACGTGCCAACCACACTCAGCTAATTTTTTTGTATTTTTAGTAGAGACGGAGTTTCACCATGTTGGCCAGGATGGTCTCAATCTCTTGACCTCGTGATCCGCCCACCTCGGCCTCCAAAAGTGCTGGGATTACAGGCATGAGCCACCGTGCCCGGCCAAGTTTTCATAATTTCTAATATCTTACTCTATTAGAAGAAACTGTGCCTAAATATAAACTTCAAGTTTAAAACTGTTTAGAGTTCATTCCTAACTCCTGACCTTACTTTTAGGGTAGTAGAAAGCTACCATATAGATTCATTCTGAGTGCTTACAGAAGTTCAGTTCAATAGAGTAAGACCCTGTATATGATGGTCCATACCTTTCCTTAGCTGTTGACATCCAACAGGATATAGTAGCAGATTCAAAATTGTCAATTCAATGCAGGAGGATTCCAGGTTGGCCTCAAGAGGGAGCATCCTTTTAAAAATAGATTCCCCTTCAGGTAAATGACTTTTGTGTATCACAAAAAAATGAATGGGAAGATACACTAGATAACAAAATATTAAGACATTTAGGAGCAGGACCTGATTTTCGTAATGCTCCCACAGTAGAAGGCACTAAAGGGTATGAAAACAAACAAGCAGGCCCTGACCTTTATAAATAAGCTTTGGGTTAACAATGAGAAAGAGACCCAGAATCAAATATATGCATGAAAGTCTGAACTCATAGCCTTTATTTTACCATTGGCCATTAACCTTTCTATGACCTACTTAGTTTTAAGAATCAAATGAAATAATGTGCACATTCAAATTTAGTCATTTTTATCTAGCACCGAGTAAAACAAATTAATGTTACTGGTAACTGAAAAATACTCCTTTAAGTTGCAAAGATTAAAAACAAAGTAATGAAAGTCTTTATATAGTGTATTAGTTCTACAGTCTTAGCAAATTATCCCGCATAACTCAACCATTTCTTAGTGGCTGAGGGTCATTATGAGGAACAGTATGATAATGGTATGTCACGAGCACCTCAGAGACCAACACACACAGTAAAAGCATTCCACCATCTGGAACTGCTTTGCTCTCTCACTGCAGTAACTTCTCGTTTCTTTTTTGTGTGACTAGATGATTCAAATCTGCTTTATTTTACACACAACTATGGTGGGTCTAGTGTGACTCCAAAGTCTGTCCCTGACTATATAGGACACATTCTCCTTGCTTTTCCTAGGCCTTTTGTTGTTATTGTTAACTCCTCACTCACTGCCTACAATATTGGTAAGAGAGCATGAGGTTATCAGTCCAAGTTTGGCCTCTACTTAAAACGGATATTGCTTCTAGGTTAGGTCCGTCACTTTCTATCAAGTGTTAACTGACCTCATAATCTCTGAAAAGTAGTATACGACTCACAAAATAATATATAACCTTTATTACTGATTATTAATGCAACTATCATTAATTGAGCACTTACAGCATAAAGCTTTGAGGTGTTTTAAGTATATTAACTCATTTAAGTCTTCATAAAATTTCATGTAACAGCATTATTTTTAGGGATGGGAAACGAAGGAAAGGGATTAAATAACTTCCTTAAGCTTTTACAGCTAGTAGGAGGCAAAACTGAGGTTGAGTTCTAGATCTATCTGACACCAAACCCTGTGTCCCTCAACACTGTTGATTGCTGAGTCTGGTATCATCATTTTATAGAAAATAAAGCAGACTGAGGAAACTGAAGTCATTCTGAGTCTTAGTTCATGCATCTATAAAATGGGAATAACAATACTTTCCTACCTCTTTGACAAGATGCAAAGTTATACGAAAATGTGAAAATGTGGAAAGTATCAAATTTAACAGGGTCTCATGCTGACTACACAATGCCAGGAAGCACTATTCCCACATAAAGTGTCAGTTTTCCTGAAGCAGTAAAGGGAATGTCATTTATATTAGATTCTATGTTAATAGTGTCTCCTGAGCTGTGCACCACAAATGGCCATATGTAAGGATATACGTGTGTGTGTGTGTGTGTGTGTGTGTGTACACACAAAAATATATATTAGTGTGAAGTGAATTAATTTTATTGTGCTGCCTAGATACAATAAAACCAGTGATAACTAAACAGTGATAACTGAACAAGTCCTTAACAAAAAAAAAAAAAAAAGCTTATATAAAGCCTTTTTGTCATAAATAATGAGGTAATTAAACTACTTTAAGTCCATGGTGATTACCTCCCTTTTCTTTAAAGCCAAATCAACTGCATGAATGGTTATATTCACAGATATTTATATAGATCATTGTAGAAATGCCTACATCTATTTCTAATTTCTCTGGTTCATAAAAGAATAAAGGTTCAAATTACTCTATTTACAGGGAAAAGTCAAGCCTATTAAAAACGGTTTAGATGTATTTAAAATAATTCTTTCACAATGGGATTTACAATGCCTGGTAAATCAGTATATATCACTGCTAGGCTTTTCCTTGAAACTAAAATTAGAGTGACTGCCTTTGCATGTTCCAAAATTTGTTCTTATCCAGTTGAGTATGAAGACTGACCAGAAAATTTAAAATCCGCTCTAGCCGCCAAGACACTACAATGAAAACATGAAAATTTAGAATACCGAGACTTACAGGAGTAACAGGGATAAACCATCCTTCTAAAACAAAGACTGTTTTGCATTTGCTTTTTGAGCTATGACATTTCTAAATAGTTCCTTCTACTCAAGGCCCAGTATTTTAAATATGGACTACAAAGATATAATGATACATAATCAGAACAAAACCTCTGCACTACTTACGCAGTAGCAGTGACAGAGAAGCACCGACTGATCCATCCACCAGCACACCTGTGGCTCCCATAACCAACAGCTAAACACCCATGTGCTTGGCAGTATAAATGTAGAAATCCCCTAATAACATTAAGTCAAGGCCTTAACACAACCTTGGTTACTTAAAACACCACTTCCTAGCACAGATGCATCCAGGTCAGAGAAAATGCAAGCACTCACATTTTCCATACTTCTATCACCAAATACATCTGCCACAGGATTACATGGCAGAAGGACTTACAAAGCTGGACATTTCTAGTGGTGTTTTCATTAACACAGAGGTCCCTCAGAATTAAAAACCATACGAGCCTCAGGTGATAACATCCCCGTTAACCTGTTTCTCCTTTTCTTTATCCATATTTTCTAGTCTTTCCACAATAAATTTCTACTGCTGTTATACAGGGAAAAAAGCAAAATCAAATAAATGAGCTTTTACTTATTATGTTCACAATATCTAGGGAAGTATAATTGACCAAAGAGAATCGCAGGAGCTCAGAAATGGGTCAGTGCAAATGAACCACTGTTAAAAATAAATCTAAACCATATGAACCTAGGCAGCATACACATACCACCCTAAAAATAAATGACATGAGGCCGGGCAAGGTAGCTTTCTCCTCTAATCCACTTTGGGAGGACAAGGCAGGAGGATGGCTTGAGCCCATGACTTTGAGACAAGCCTGGGCAACATACTGAGACACCTATCTCTACAAAAAATGAAAGAAAAAAACAATTAGCCGGGCATCGTGGCACATGCCTGTAATCCCAGCTACTGGTGAGGTTGAGGTTGGATTGCTCGAGGTCAGGAGGTGGAGGATGCAGTGAGCCGAGATCGCACTACTGCACTCCAGGCTGGGTGACACAGCGAGGCCCTGTCTCAAAAAAAAGAAAACAAAAAAACACTCAAATCCCAAATTTAGCATAGAATGCCTGGAAAATAAAGAGAATATATCATTATTCAGTAAATTATATGCCACTAGTTAAAAAAAAAAACAAAAAATATATATATACATATATATGTATATATATATATATAGCTTCAGAAACCTTAAATGATCTGTAGAAATAACCTGATAAACTAGCTACAGAGGCTAAATAGGTAGTACAGTTTACACAATTAACAGTGTGTATTTACAGCCCCCTTGGATCTAAAGGAATCAAAGAACATTCACTATATAATTACCTGGTATCCCACCACCACCTTCTTCTCTTGTTAAAGATTCTGACTTTTACCATTCATTCCATGTACTTGTTATTCAACAGAATTCTGACTGACATTTTTAATATGCACGAATATATTGTTTCTGTTTATACATAAGTCTGAAAGCATTCATACCAAACTGTTAAAAAACCATTACCCCAGCAAACCATGAGGAGCAGACACAGATGATGGGGGCCTGCTTGTTTAACTCCATTTAATTTAGTAATTTAAATCTTATTTCTGAATATACAATAATTTTTCAATAAAAAGATTAATAACCACATACAATATTGTAAGCCACAACATTTCCTTCTAGATGACACAAAGGGATCTAAATTCATCCCCTGCATAGGTTTCCTACGTTAAATATACTAGCATAGGCCATAGATCCAGACACCAAACTCCAGATACCACGTATCATTTCTAAACACTGAACTGCTAACACATGCAGGGCTGACCCTTGCCCAGAGTGGACCATTGGTCATGGCAGCTGCTACCCATCACCACTACCATCCCAACTCTTCCAACTCGATTGTCAACTATGGCTTCTAGCAAATGTCTTCACATAACCCCACAGTTCTCTCCATTCACTTACACACTAATCATCAGGTCAGAAAAGGAACCAAAAAGCCCATTTCAGCTTTCAAACTTTATTTTCCCCTACAAGAAAAGACCACCTACTTTTTACTTTTCTTCCTTCAAAGTGTTGTCACAACGGTTGTAATAGTTAGAAACTAAATGCTCATTAGTAGGGAATATAGTTAAATCAATTATAATTGAAATACAATCTATAGCTGTAGCTATCTATAATATACTCTGAGGCTGAAATTGTTTTTTTAAGAATGAAGTGGTTCTTTATCTCCTCATAGAGATATATGGTTATGTGAAAATCCAAGTGAAAAAAACAGCAGTGTACCTCATCTTTATGTAAGTGGAAAGAAAATTTATTTATATTTCATTGTACATACAAATAAAAAAATAGTTTCCATTATATCATTCCAGAGGTAAGTGACTACTTCCCATCCCAGGGGGGAAAATGGGAGGCTGAGGAAGATACATTTTCAGTTTATATATTTTTTGTATCACTTAAAATTTGCAACATGTGATATATTAACTATTTTTAAAGTCAGTGAATTATTTTAAGCTCACTTACAATTTGTATCTTCAAAGAAGTATTTATGATTACTTTAATATTTTATAAAGCTAAGGGCAGGTAGACTACAAATGGATTAGTTTGAGAATCAGTCTCATTCCTTTATAAGCATGCATTTTAACATTCCAAAAAGAAAACGTCTCTTCCCATCACCAAGATATCCTACATTCAAAATTCTTAACAGAATTATATTTTTACTTTATAAAGCAAGAATTAATTACTTATTAGTTAGATAAACTATAAACAATACAGGGCACAATGGCAGATATAAGAAAAAACTGTAACTTCTGCATGATAACCATTAACATCGATAGATTATTTTTAAAAAGTCTGAAATTTCATATGAACTCTTCAGCAATGTAAGAATTATGTATAATCTGTGTGAGGGCATTTCAGCTGATTGTACAGCTGGAGCTTCCTGATATCACCAAAAGGAAGAAAACAATACTAAAGTATAGACAGAGTTGTACTCCATCTTTCACATCTATGCAAGCTTAAAGAAACTGTAAGATCAGAGAGTTTATGAGAATATTGCAGCTCATTAGAAAACTTGTCTGACTCAACAGCATGGAAAATAATTCAAATACTAAATCATTAATTTTTTTAAAAATTTATATACAGTACCAAGAAAGGATATGTGCACATGGAAAGACAAAACTGATTTGTCTTAAATAAACAATATAATTACCTTATAATCTGAAAACAATTCATGATAGCCTACAACAAGAAATTTAGTTCTGTTGTGGACACACACAATTAAAAACTCAAACAAGCTAGTGTGTGTGACAGAGAGAGAGAAACTAAAATCAAATATACTGCTTAAATACCAATGAAAGGGGTAGTTTACCAGTGATCATTTTCATACTTATTTACCCATACTTCCTGAGCACCCACTGGAAGACACAAGGAACAGTAAGACATAGTTTGTGCTTCAAGCATCTTATATAATCCAATTACAACTGTTAGAGTACTCAAAACAAATTTAGAGTACAAAGTATCATCACAGGTTAAACAGCTGTATGAATGTGCAGGAGATTTTACTACTGTACTACACAGACTGGGAGGTGGGGGCTCTAGGGAAATACGGTGTACGCTGTATAAACTAGACTTTTACATGGAAGACTTCTAAAGGCAGAGATGGGAGAAAGAAAAAAATTCCAAGAAATGGAAATGCATAAGAAATCAAAAAAGTAAAGTAAAACTGAAGTTTACATTCTTTTTGGAACAGCTGCTGGGACAGAAAGAATGTAACTTAATATTTTAAACTAAAACAAGAAATAAGTTTTGAAAGGGGCACTGAAGTCAAATAATGCAGTTTTGAAAGGCAACACTGAGGAACTCGGGCTTTCTTCCAGAGTGGATCAGGAGCCACTCAGCAGAGGCACAGTGGTCAAGAACACAGACTTGGAAGAAGACATGGTTGGGATTCAAATCCCAGAGCTCTTCTACCTACTAACAACTCCTTCAAGATCATGAAGTTCCAATTTCTTCACCTGTAGAATGGGGATAATATAAATTATAATGACCACATGAGAACAAAGGATTCAGCACACTGACTGACATAAACACCCAAGTGGGTTTGTTTTGTTTGCTTGTCATCAGGCAGGGAACATGATCAGGACTACATTTAGGACAATTAATAAGCAGTATTCACAATGAATGACAAACCTAGAGATTAATGTCTCTTGCTGTGTATATGGCTGCTGGAAGAACTGAAGAAAGATAGAAGAAATCAGGAACCACAATGCAGTAAGATGACAAAAAAAAAAAAAATTCTAAGAAAAGGAGAGAGAGAAGAACCAAGGATGACCTTTTGATTTTGAGTCTAGATGACTAAGAAAATGCAAAGGTCATTAATATAAACAAGCAAGAAGAATCAGGCTTGCAAAAAAAGTTTAATTCTGAATCTACTGATTCAAGATTACAAAATGACAGCTACTAAGTTGATCAGGGAGAACAACATTGGCAAATCTGAAGCTTGGGAATGAAAATAAGGCTGATGATACACAAGTGGAAGCCTGAGCAAAGAGGGTGAGGGGAATGAGCAGTTGAAACCACGGATCTGTGTGGGATTGCCAAAGAAGAGAACAAACTCTAAAAAGGAAAAGAACTAAACCTAAGGTAACACCTACAGGCAACATCTATCTATACTTCAGGAAGTGAGAGAGAAAAACAAACAAAGGCCCCAAGAAGGGAGAGTTGGAGATGCCAGTTTGTGAAAGTCACCAAGACAGACCTTCACAGCATTTCACATTCTACAGCTCTTTCAATGCTCATTATAACTTTAGATTATAAACTGAACTGACTTCATCAATTGATAACATGATTATCATTAAAGGTTTTTAAGAGCCTGCAAGTTACTGAAGAGTGCTCAGTAGAAAACACAGAAGAGTGTTTTATGCAAATTAGTTTTTAAACTCCAAGAATATTTTAAGCTCTAGAAATCATACCTGATGCATGTCTTGTATCAAGACATAAAGTTGAGTTATTTCTGGCTACCCGTGCATAATGTTCCAAAAAGGATTTTCAGGTTAAACTGGAAAATATGCTATGTCTTCCCATCAGCAATACCTCTCATTAATTTTTGAGAATACACATACACATAGTGTTTGATTCACAATCCTTCCCCACTTCAACAGCTGAAAAAATCTTACCATATTCTAAAAACGTCTTTAGGGGGCTGAAATATTTCTGTGTCACCTAATTATAAAACCCACTCACATCCAACATCCAATGTTACGTTGACCGAGAGATAATCAATGGCAGATACGCCATTTAGGTATGAATCCAATTATCATCCTTAACAATTGCCAGTAAAATGTCAAAGCTTTTCCTGTATTTTTGGTTTCTTCTCAAATACAGATTACAACTGACCATACTTTATTAATGTTAGTATTTGTCCCATTTCTTTTTTTTTTTTTTTTTTTTTTTTTGAGACAGAGTCTCACTCTTTTGACCAGGCTGGAGTGAAGTGGAGCGATCTTGGCTCACTGCAACCTCTGACTCGCAGGTTCAAGCGACTCTCCTGCCTCAGCCTCCCGAGTAGCTGGGATTACAGATGCCCACCACCAAGCTCGGCTAATTTTTGTATTTTTAGTAGAGACGGGGTTTTGCCATGTTGGCCAGGCTGGACTCGAACTCCTGACCTCAGGCGATCCACCTGCCTCAGCCTCCCAAAGTGCTAGGATTACAGGCGTGAGCCACTGCCCCCGGCCGCCACATTTCTTCCAACTATGTAGTTGCCACATCTAGTGGAAAATGAAAAAAGATTAATAAACCATATTATGACACCCTATTGTCTGTCATTATGCATTTTAAGTGACTACCAAATATTTTAAAATACCAATAATTACATAAGTAAATTTTAATCCTTTTAGACTTTTTTAGGGCCCTCTTGGTATTCTTTCCAGCACACTAATTTACAAAAAAGTTCAACTACGTTCATAAAAATGTTTACTGATATGAGACTATCCTTCCGAGTTTGTAAGCAATACGCAGCTGTGAGAGCTACAATTTACAATAACATCCCAATTTACCATGGCACCCAGCAGTGTCTAAAGTAACACAAATCCCCATCTTCTTGGTTAACAGCATAAGATCAAGGAGTTTAAAATTTTAGTAATATGCCACCAGAAACCTCATCTAAAAAAATACCATTATAGTTTCACACTATATTCTCTAGACTATTTTAAATGCATGTGATTACATTCATGTAGTTATTCTGTAAGGAACATTTCAAAGAAAGCAGAAAAAACCGTAAGGGCAACAATTTTTCGTTCATAGGAGGTAAAACAAGAGCAGAAAACACAGGTTCTTGGATTAAGCACTCCTGAATATAAACACGCACTATTACAAAAAAAAAAAAAAAGCAATGGGATCTTGAGCAGTTCTTTTACTCAAAGCCTCTATTTATTACTCTATAGAATGAGAAGAATGTCATTTATGTTGTTATGAGAAATATATGAGCATATTATTACCAAAAATAACTAAAATGTCATGGATTTTTTTATTCCTTTCGAGCACAGTTTCCAAATCATAAAATACTACACAATTTGGCTTAAAATTTCAGGCTATGCATGTTTAGAACCAGACGTTGTTCGTGATTATCTTCCTCAGTTGTTCTTTCCCTGGAAGCTAGCACCAAGATGAACACAGTACATTTTTAATAAATACAAGCTAGTGATTAAATCAACAAAGCCTCCAGCTCTTCTGCACACAGAAATACAGTATGCAATGGGAATTTCCTAGCTTTCTGTCTTACTTAATAGTAGGCAGTGTAGTATCACCCCTCCACTTCCAGTTTACTCCCTATAGCTTACTTACCAAAATATTTAATCCCTGTTGCTTTTTTTTTCTTGTCTCAGGCTAGGGCCACTAGCTTTCTATCTTTCCTACCTTACCTTTCCTTCACATATTAGCTACTTCATGTTAAAGAAATTACAAGTGTTCAACTGACCATATGGAATTAAAATTTACTTAGAAAAAAATGAAATAAAAAAAACCAAAAAGTAAACTAATTCAGCAACTTTATGTTTTATGGAGTCATCTAGCCTCATGTAAACTACCATTAAGCAATACGTAAACATATTAATCTGCTTAATACGAAAGTAATGTCGTCTGGCCGCAGACATTCTGAAAGTTTTGCCACATTGTTTCAAAATATTGGCTTGTAGCCCTTTTCAAAGCTACTGATTATTGAAAACTTGGCGACCATGTTTAACAATGAAGAAAAGGCTTCCCCAAGCCTACGTAGATTGGATTCTCTAATACATAGTAATAATGTTTTTTAAAATAATGAGGTGTGTAATAAAATGGAGGAATATCCATGATGCATTGTTGGCTAATAAAACGATATACTGTACTATATATGATCCCAATCTTGTTTCTAAAGCACACTCATTAAATGCACAGAAAAAAAAAATCCTGAATAACTACCCACCACACTTGGAGACTGGCTACCCTGGGTAGTAAGAAGGAGAAATATGGGGGGAAGGGCGCGAGAGAGGGCAGGTTTCCTCATTGTTTGGCTGCTTCATGTTTTTCTCAAGGAGCAAGCAGTACTTTTGTAATTAAAAAAATAAATAGGGGAAAAACACTGCTAAAAGCATACTTTTTTCCTCCGTAGCAAATTCTTCTGATTTGTAATGTTAAAAATATATCTCTGGTTTCTCGATTCTAAAAAGAGGACACACGAAAACAAAATTATAGAAGTTCCAAAAAATCTTGGATTTGCAAAATTACTCCCTCGGGTTCTGCCCGTGGGTCCTCCCCATGCCGGTGTCTGAAATTCCCCAAGCAAAACGCGGGCACTGCACTTCCCCGGAACGGTAGTAGACGCTCAAAAACACAAAAAGAGGCCTTGGCGCCTGCTATAACCTCTCAGTCCCCTCCCAGCCCCCGAGACTTCCCCGAGTCTACGTAGACTGGATTCTCTGCCTCCAAAACCAAAACAGAAGTCACTGGGCGGATCCAAAACGGCCCTAAGGGGCCCGCGGGCATCTCAAGACGCCAGCCTCGGGACTCTGGTCCCCAAGCCCAGGTCAGAGCCGAGGACGAGCCGAGGACGGGCCGAGGACGCGGCGCCCCGGCCTCCCTCGGGCCCCCGACCTCCCCGGCCCCAGGGACCCCGGCTCCCGACCTCCAGGCTTCGCTGGGCCCCTTTCGACTCCCCGACCTCCCAAGTCCTCCGCCCCCGGCCCGTCCTTCCCCCAACCTGCCCCGCAGCGCCTCAGTTTCCTGGCCCCCGACCTGCCCGCCCTTAAGTCCCCCTGCCCCCGACTCTTCGGCTGCCGTCCCCCTGGCCCTCTGGCCTCCAAGCGCATCCCAGTCGCCCGCCCGGCCCTAGCACGCGGGACTCGCACACCCCACGACCCCGAGCCCCCACTGGCGGCGGCGTTACCTGTGGCGCGGGCAGCGGCGCGCAGGCCAGGCGCTAGGACTCGGCGGGGTCCGCAGCAGCCAGACGCCGCTACCACCACAATAACAACACGGACGCCACCGCCGAGTGGAGAGGCGGGGCCCGGACCCGCGACTGGAGCAGCCAGAGCCTCCCGGACTCCGGAGCCGCCGGGGTCCGGGCATGCGCAGAGAACCACGGGCACAGGGGCAGCTCCCCGCGGACGCCAAAGTCAACAAGGCCGGGAGACGCCCCCATCTGGCCCCGCCCCCCTCAGGGCTCGCTCCGCCCCCAAGCCCAAACAACGCGAGGCCTTGACAGGCCAGAAGACGATGGCGGTAGGGGAGATCACGCGAGAGCATGGCCTCCACCTCTCCTCCCCACCGCCATCTCCACGTTCTCGCACCGGCGCTGGGGTGCAGGCTTTCAGTGGTCTCAGGGCTACGGCTTGTCGGTGCCTCGCCGCACAGTCCCCTTTGCATTGAAGGACACGGTCTTACGGTGTAGGAGCATTTTTGAGGTGCATTCCTGGATTTGGAGGCGAACCCCCAATGGTTACCTCCACAGAGGCTTTGCGAAGGGCGCTCACTGACTTAGGTGAAGAGCGAAGGCTCAAGACTGTGCCGCTTTATAGTGGCCCCTTGACGTCCAGAAGTTCCCCCCAGCGCCGGTCATAAGCACTCCCGCCGCCTGGGCCCCGCCCTGCCTGCCAGGCGCCCTCCAGCCTCAGCTCCCGGACGCCCGGCGTGGCCGCTTTCTCGCGTCTTGCTGACCCGGGCCGGGGGCGTGTGCTCCTCCTGCAGCGGACGGAAGATGCTGGGCCACGCAAGTTTCCCTGGGCTTGGTTAACCACCCCAAAGCCCATTTCCAGAAGGAAAGGGTGTTGAGGAGGAGGGATAGAAAGTCGAGAAGAGGGCCGGGTGAGTGGCTCACGCCTGTCATCCCAGCACTTTGGGAGGCCGAGACAGGCGGATCACCTGAGGTCAGGACTTAGAGACCAGCCTGGCCTACATGGTGAAACCCCGTCTCTACTAAAAATACAAAAATTAGCCGGGTGTGGTGCCGTGCGCCTGTAGTCCCAGCAACTCGGGAGGCTGAGGTAGGAGAATCGCTTGAACCCGGGAGTCGGAGGTTGCAGTGCTGAGATGGCACCTGGCCTGGGCGGCAAGAGCGAAACTCCATCTCAAAAAAAAAAAGAAGAGGAAATGAGGCATAGGGGCAGGCGAGCCGGGAAAATATTGCTACTAAGGATCCTAAGCAGTGAACATGCTGTTAATACTTGTAAGACTCCTAGCAAACTGCATTTAATTTTTTAAATTAGTTTTAGTGTACATAAAGGCATGTCTTTTCCAAATACTGTACTTTTTGAAGTGTTCTTTGTTGTTCATTAATCTTTGTGCGTTTCCCTTCAGTCTCTAATAGTAGGTTGTAGCATGATTTGCTTCCATCGTGTGAATTCTGTTCGGTTTTGATTTTCAAGTATGAGAGTGAGCGTAAGCTACCCTTATAGGTTACCTAAGGTAAGTTAGAATTAGAACGTCTTTATGCTAGGGTTACTACTCCCCACCATAACCAACCATCTGCAAAAGCGTTCAGAAAGAACATGCTAGCAAGGTCAAAAGCTTCAAATCACGAAATAAGAACTTGAAAACGAGCAAAATTGCTGCTGAGGCGCTCTGCCATTTAACTCAAAGGCTTCACTTTATTTAGGTTTAAAGTATGAGTGCATATTCAGTGGACATTGAGCTCCGAACTGTTCAAAATCTCTATTCATCTGCATTCTGGAGTAGAGCTGCGGGTCACATTATTAGCTCCATCTTTGGATTTCTGCCTGGACCCAGGGCACTCCTAACCGTTGTGGGATCATATAACAATCTTACAGGATGAATTTTCTGTTAGTCCAAGCAGAAATTTTGGCACATGAAAACTATCTTACCATAAACAAACAAAAAAAGTACAAATGGTAATCTAAGGAAAATAGCTAAAATCATTAAACAACTCTTACAGCCGTTTCCCCTGTTTTCTCTCCATTTTTTAAAAGCATATTTTCCTTTACTTTCTTCCTTCTGCTATGGGAATTTTTCAGGGTTCTAGACCTTTTTTCTCTTCTGCGGCTGGAAAGTTAAACACAGGTCATTTTTTAAATAAGACTGCTAGTAAATACCTTCTTAATAAACAACACCAAATGCTAGTCTTGTGGGTGAGTAGTTGAACAGCAAGTAAAGCACTCTATCACCTGTAATTTTCCTGTGGTAGGCACACCCCATCTCTACCTTCACGTAATTTCTGATTATGCCTCCATACCTTACACATATAATTCATTTGTGGGTGGGGGCGACAGAGTCTTTTGCTCTTTTGCCCAGGCTGGAGTGCAGTGGCAACCTCTGCTCACTGCAACCTCCACCTCCCGGCTTCAAGCAGTTCTGCCTCAGCCTCCCAAGTAGCTAGGATCACAGGAGCGCACCACCACCCCCTGCTAATTTTTGTATTTTTAGTAGAGATGGGGTTTCCCCTGTTGGCTAGGCTGGCCTCAAACTCCGATCTCAAGTGATCCACCCGCCTCGGCCTCCCAAAGTGTTGGGATTACAGGCATGAGCCACCACGTCTGGCTATAATTCACTTCTTGTGTGTGACTTCCTACTAATTTGTAATCATGAAAGTTGGGCACATACCCAGTATGCTCACTATTTCTCTGCAGGGCCTGATACAGTGGCTGCTACAACACTGATACTCTGCATTTGTTGAATGAGTAATTTAAATTTTAAATTATCATCTAGAATCATTTAGAGATTTATTTAGACTTTGATAA
This sequence comes from Homo sapiens, assembly GCF_000001405.40. Lineage (NCBI taxonomy): Eukaryota > Metazoa > Chordata > Mammalia > Primates > Hominidae > Homo > Homo sapiens. The sequence goes on from NC_000008.11 coordinate 51,901,736, forward strand.
ATTTAGATAACCCACACACAGTTTATTCCTAGAGTTCTTGATACATTGTTACAGTAAGTTTGGTCCTGGCAACAGCAATAACACTTACTGTAATAACTTAATTCTTCATACGAGGTTGCTTCACTTTTATTATTAAGCAGAAAATACCCAAAGTAAAATTGAGCTATTTGGGACTCCTTTCAGAATACTGTGTAGGCTGAAGCATTGTTGTATCAGAAGTGCTCTGTTATTTGAATGCATAAGGTATTCAACAAACAAATGCTTATTAAATTAAATGGTATTCAGCATACAGCTACTGTCACCGTGCTAGGAGTTCACATTTTTCATATGCGTGGCAGTTAGCACTGGTGCATGTTTCCTTCAGCCTCAGAAATGGAGGTGTCTGCGTGTTGCCCAGATCTACCTTGAAAACTCTAGTTGCTTCCTAACACCTAGGTTGTATAGTGGGACTTGATTATGTTTTATAAAGCCAAGTCTGGTCTGTGAGGACTGAAAGGATTTCCTCATCTTAACTCTAATTTGGCCTGCAATGTCTGGGGAAAACCCAAAACTAAAATGTAACTAAATGTGGAACTGTTTTTTTCTGCAGTTTGATTTCCTTGTACCATTTTCAGTACAGTTAAATTCATCACCTCCCCTACCTCACCATCCCCCTCCCCCTGCAAAAAAAAAAAAAGCAAAAACAGAAGTATTTTCTCTCTTAAAGAGAATTGTCATTGGCCAGGCACAGTGGCTCACGACTATAGTCCCAGCCCTATAGGAAGCAGAGGTGGGAGAATCATTTGAGCTCAGAAGTTGCAAGATTTCAAGATCAGCCTGAGCAACATAGTGAGACCTCATCTCTGCAAAAAATTTAAAAATTACCTGAGTGTGGTGATGCATGCCTGTAGTCCCAGCTATTCCAGAAGCTGAGATGGGAGGATTACTTGAGCCCAGGAGTTAGTTTCTAATTGGATGTAGTCTGCACAGGCAGATTTCATTTTCAGTATTAAAAAGGTCAGTAATTTCTGAAATATTCACTTGACAATTAATAGGATTAAATGACTTTGGGAAAGCATAATTTTATTTTAAATTGCACATATAATCCCTCAATTACATAGATTTTAATGCTAGGATAATCTTCCAATAAAAGGAAATATAAGTTATCAAAAAATGAATTTCTTTTAGAAAAATAAGCATTTATAATTTATTGTCTACAGTAAACAAAAAGTGACTTTAACTCACAAGTTAAAATTACTCTTATATGGTGCTTAATCTATATAAATATCTTTCCTTTATTAAAAATTCTGCTTCTTAAAAAACAGAATCATGGAGTGGAGAAAAAGGAAAACTTCTGCTTGTAAACTTAAGTGCATCAAAACTGTGGATAAACATCTTTTTAATGTATATGTAAAATTTAATATTTTTTAAAGAATCTATTAAAGTTCAATAAACATTTTCTGACACTATGATAGATGCTGAGGATATTGCAATAATATATGATATAGCTTCTGTCTTAATAAACTTACATTCAAATAATAGAAGGAGGAAAGTGACCCTTGACATAATAGTAAGGGTACAAATAAAATACTCTTGCTCCATAGTAGTGTTCCATGGCAGAAGTCAAATTTGAATCAAGCTTTGAAATTTGAATAGAATTTTTGAATTATGGAGATAAAGAGAATAGCTATTTTAGGAACATGGAATATAAAAGAATAACGCTTACATAGATCATTTGTTTTCAAAGAGCAGAGATTAATCTGATTTAGCTAGAACATAGAATGCAAAAAGGATAATGGGAGCTAAGCCTAGAAAGATAGACTGCAGCCAGATTTTGGTGGTCATTAGATTGGATGCAACAGCCAGCAAGGAGCCAAAACTTAAGTGTTCACTTTTATGTAAATGTAGCTGACGCAAGTACCTTGTATTAGAACTAAAAATTATGCTGTATATAACTATTACTGTAGTTAGGTGAAACCATTTCAGAGTCTGCTTTAGTGATTCATAGTGTAAATGAAGTTACTGTGTTTATGTGTGTGTGTGTGTGCACATTATATGTATGTATGTGTGTTTTTAAGTATGACATTTGAATTCTGAAATGAAGATGAAAAAGGCTTTGGTCAGTAAACCTGTCTTTCTTGGTCAGATACTGAACCACAGTAGTAAGTCCAGGCACTGAAATGATAATTCATATGTATGGATTCTTCTTGGCTCTAGGTTGATGAACAGAGCAATTATGAAGAGTTGACTAGAACCAACTGATCTTTTTTTTTTTAATTCCACTAAATAGAATAGTTTGCTAAAAATAATAGTAAAAATAGGAGCTGTGACAACAAATTCATTATTAGGGCAGAACAGAGACTTTGAAATGAAAAATCCTAAAACAAAAGCTAACCTCGATAATGAACTCTTTTTTCAGCAAAAATACCTCAAAATGTTATTTCAATTCTGTGTTCCTTCAAGGAGATATTTACAGAGCGTGATCCACACCAAAGTCCCTGGAAAAGTGTTCAGTGTTGCCCAACTTGAAGGTCATGGCTAAGTGATAAATGTAGTCTAAAAAACACAGGTGGTTGGATCACACTGTTTCCACTGCCCCTGCTGCCAGGACTAGCTATAAACCAGTGTGTAACATGAGCAGCATGTATTGCAGCTATCCTCCCTCCTTTCTTTTCCGTAACCTCAGTAAGCAGTGCCCTCAGGCTGCCTGCAGCTGTGCGGGTGCCCCCTCTATGGTGTCATCCATGCCTTCTCCATCAGTGCTGTCCTTTGACCCCACCTTTCTTCTCCTAATCTGCAATGTGTCCTGCTGGACACAGGACTCAGCTAGAACCATGTTAGAAAGACCATGTGATAAAAAAAAAAAAGTTAATGACAAGATACTTAATATATGAAATCAGCTTTATTTCCCTCCAGGAATATTTTTATTTAAACAGTTCTTAAAAACTCAATCTACAATTTTTACAAAGGAATTAAATAATGATGTTCTATTACTTATAAGGAATTTGAGGCCTCAGGAGTAAGCTATAGCTAGATTGTTTTAGGCAGGAGGACTTTCTGTGTTCTTAGCTTCCCTTGGTTTCTAATTAAAAGGTTGGAAAATGAGATACATCTCTGACATATTAGTTTATATAGTTGGCCTTCCATATCCATGGGTTCCACACCATAGAGTCAACCAACCACAGATGGAAAATATTCCCCCCAAAAATGGATGGTTGCATCTGTACTAAATGTGTAGACTTTTGTTTGATCATTATTCCCTAAACAATACATGCTGAATTTCCTACCAGAGACAAAAGCTTCAGTCATATTTTTTATATACTTATATCTTAGGCAAGACTTTAATAAACCAAGAAATGGTTAATTTTCACAAAATATATGTTAATAGACCATTAATGCCAGTGCATGAATTAGCTTATGGTTTTTGTTCCTAGCTACCGTTTTTTGTTGTTGTATTTTTTGGAGACAGAGTCTCACTCTGTTGCCCAGGCTGGAATGCAGTGATGTGATCATAGCTCACTGCAGTCTTGAACTCCTGGGTTTAAGCAATCCTCCTGCCTCTGCCTCCTAAGCAGCTGGAACTACATGCATGTGCCACATCATGGAGCTAATTTTTAAATTCTTAGTAGAGATGGAAGTCTCATAATGTTGCCCAGGCTGGTCTCAAACTCCTGGCCTCAAGTGATCCTCCTGCCTCAGCCTCCCAAAGTGCTAGGATTACTAGTGTCAGCCACCGTGCCTGCCCCTAGCTACTGTTTAAGTTCAGGAATATCAAAGAAAAAAAGCACCAGACGACTGGGCACGGTGGCTCACACCTGTAATCCCAGCACTTTGGTAGGCCGAGGCAGGCGGATCACGAGGTCAGGAGATCGAGACCATCCTGGCTAACACGGTGAAACCCCGTCTCTACTAAAAATACAAAAAATTAGCTGGGCGTGGTGGCGGGCACCTGTAGTCCCAGCTACTCGGGAGACTGAGGCAGGAGAATGGCGTGAACCTGGGAGGCGGAGCTTGCAGTGAGCCAAGATTGCGCCACTGCACTCCAGCCTGGGCGACAGAGTGACACTCCATCCCCCCCCCAAAAAAGAAAAAGAAAACAAAAGCACCAGACAAGGTAAACAGGAAAGGAAGACTTCATATAACATTTACATTATATTAGATATTATTAGTAATCTAGACATTATTTATCATATATGGGAGGATGTGCATAGGTTATATGCAAATACTACCGTATTTTATATCAGGGATTTGAGCATCCAGATGTTGGTATCCAAGGGTGGGAAGTCCTGGAACCAACCCCCTATGGATACCGAGGGGCAACTGTATTTTTATTTTACACCTTTTTCTTTTCCCCTAATGTATTTTAGCAGATAGCCAATTGTGTGATTCCTTGCCTTGGTGATGTAATGAAGTTTTTGGCAGGGCAAAAAGCAGACTTTTCTTGTACAGCAATGACCCTAATTTCCTCCCGACACTATAAATGGAAAAGAGGAATATGGATTCATTGAGCAGTAAAACAAGCCAAAATCTGTTTACCAAACAGCATCATAGCAGGTGGCAAAACCTCAGGGGAAATGGATGCATGCTACACATAGGCAGGAGTTTTCCACTTGGGGTTTCCACCTTTGCCTCATTTCCTCATGCCCCACATGTAGAATCGAATCTGCAGAACTTCCAGAACTGAAGGGTCCATCCCAGCTAGGACAACAAGCCTCTCACAACCAATGGCTTATGACCCACAGAGCCTCCTCAATGATTTGACTATATGTGAGATTCCAGAATATTTTAATCATCCTGTAGATAGGAGACCTGAGAGTATAACTCAAAGAAAAATTTCTCGTTTGTTTCAAAAAATATGAGCTCAAAGTCAAAAATAATTTATTAATTATTTTTAAAAATTTAAATAATTAGAATATACTTGGCTTACCAGATTTTCTAAACTGAGCTATCCTCTTTGACTAGGCTATATTACCTTATGATCTAAAACTTAAACAATCTCTTGTGGTTGTTTAATGACATTCCAACATGTCATGAGAAAATATTCTTGGAAAGCTGTCTGGTGGTCAGGGGTTCTCAACACCTCTACTTTTGCTTGCCACGTACTTCAGACGACCACACAGCCTGGTTTGCTCAAGTCAGTCCCAGTTTATGACTGTTATCCTGATGGAATGACTAATGGTTTTCCATGTCACTCTCAGAAGTGTCCAGGTTTGGATGATAAATTATATATATATATCTCTCTCTGCGTATAATTTATATATAAAAATTATAATGTATATATAATATATATCATACATACAGATATAATTTATATATCTATAATATATTTATATAAATTATGTAGTTATAATTTTTGTCATTAAAAAATTAGTTATATAGCTGTCTATATAATTTATATATTAAAATTATTTATATATATTATATCAGTATATCTTATATAGAGATATTATATATATAATATATATGTATATCTATATAAATTATATGGAGAGATATATATAATTTATCATCCAAACCTGGACACTGCTAATACAGAACTCATTTAACTGTATCAGTCTGGATAGGCTAGATTATCTGCTCTAACAAATGACACAAAATTGCAGTAGCCTATCATGGCAAAAGTTTATATATCAGACAGTATTCCAGGGCAGCTGTCCTCCATGAGTTGGCTCAGTACTCCTAACACCATCATATTGACATGTGCTTTCTATTGTTATGATGGAAAGAGAGTTCTTGCAGTGTCTTATGCTAGCAAATAAGTGATCCTGCCTGAAAATGGCACACATCACTTCTGTCCACGTTCATATGGCTCACACTGCCTGCAGGGGGACAGGTACTTTTCCCATTTTCCAAGAAGAACAGAATATGAGTATGAAAAGTCCCGGTGTTATATATTCAAACAAGAAGCCACATACCAATGAGATTATTTATTTTAATAACGAAAAATGTATTCTTATATGGGCAGATAAGTTCCTTTGCCACTACCTTAGTCACAATCTTGGTAATGATAAGTCTTTGAGGATACTAACTTAAAACAGTTCTTATGGTCAAGATAAGAGTTTTTAAAGTTTTGTCAGTAAGCAAGAGGAGCAGTAGCAAAGAAGAAAACAAAATCCAAAACATGATTCAAGATCCTTTTAGATAACAGGAATAATAAAAAATAAAAGTTGTAAAACAGAAACGCATACTTCACAAATATGTGCATTTTATAGTCCCCTAACTTAAATAATACTCAGGAATAAAAAACTGTAAGGTTTTTTATTTATTTATTTATTTATTTTTGGGACAGAGTCTCAAGCTGGAGTGCAGTGGCGCAATCTTGGCTCACTGCAACCTCTGCCTCCTGGGTTCAAGCAATTCTCCTACCTCAGCCTTCTGAGTAGCTGGAATTTCAGAACCCCACCACCACGCCCAGCTAATTTTTGTATGTTTAGTAGAGACGTGGTTTCGCCATGTTGGCCAGGCTGGTCTCAAACTCCTGACCTCAGGTGATCCACTCGCCTTGGCCTCCCAGAGTGCTGGGATTACAGGTGTGAGCCACTGCCCCCGGCCAAAAACTGTGAGTTAATTCATGTACATGCATTAATAGTCTATTATATATCTTGGGAAAATTAACTGTTTCTGACTGTAGAGACAAGTTCTTTGTTTCAGTAGAAAACTATTAACACCCCCTTGTGGGTTACCAGATTCTAGTCCTGTACATTGACTTTGAGCTATTTTTCACCTCTTTGTAACCCTACATAGTTTTGTTGCCTACTTGTAAATGGTACTGGACTCTGCTCTTTCACACATAGTGTCAGTCTTTATCAAATTTTCAATTCTTCTAGTTTCCTTTAATATCTGGCTACAACTCTCCAAATGTTTCTGATTTACTTCTACCTTCCTGACTTAACTAAAACCTGCCTATCCAGATTCTTATTGGGACTCTAGGTTGTCTTGTAGCCAGCCTTTTCTCCTAGATCTGCAGAAATCCTGCAGGATAAATTTCCAAGTGCTCATCATCACAAAAGATCATGTTAGGGCATCCTTCATGCCCAGAGCTACTGCTGTGGAGGCCACTCAGGAAGTTCACTGGAACTCCTGCCTCTGCCACACTCTGCTGTAGGAAATAACCATGATCGTGACAATCTCACGAAAACCTCCCTGAGGTCTGCGTCATCACCAAAGTGTTCAAACTGCAAACCAGAAACTGGTTTGCAGTGGCAGTTGGATTGCCACTGCCATCCTTATTCCATCTTCTACAGGTGCTTCACACCTGAAGTATAGAATCACCAGCTGGGTTCATAGTCTGCTCCAACAATTAATTTTTGTTTTTCTTTTATTTTCATAGGAATACCCTTCATTAAATGCTCTTGCCATCTAACAAATGTCTTTACTGCAAATCTCAAGAGAATAATTTAGCTTTTCCTTAATTAACAAAAGGAAGCCAACTTAGAAATGGACTTACTATTTAGAGGAAAGAAAAATGTCTGTTCTTTCCTTGAACAAGAGAAAAGACTGACCAAACTTTATTTATGTGTGTGTGTGTGTGTGTGTGTTTTGGGACAAGGTCTCACTTTGCCACCCAGGCTGGAGTGTGGTGGTACAGTCAGCTCACTGCAGCCTCATACTTCTGGATTCAAGAGGTCCTCCCACCTCAGTCTCCTGAGTAGCTATGACTACGGGCATACTCCACTGAACCTGGCTAATTTTTTTTTTTTTTATATACAGATAGGGGGTCTCACTTTGTTGCCCAGGCTGGTCTCAAACTCCTGGCTTTAAGTGATCCTCCTGCCTCAGTCTCCCAAAGAATTGGGTTTATAGGCGTGAGCCACTGCACCCTGCCTGACCAAACTTTTGTCCCACTACTCTCAGCCCTCTTCTTGGCTAGGCTTCATGTTTGACCTGCTGGGCCTGATTTTGCGAGAATCCCCACACCCTTGGTACTTGTATTAGTCTGCTCAGGCTGCCTTATGGCAAAATACCATAGACTGGGTGGCTTAAACAACAGACATCTTTACACAGTTCTGGAGGCCAAGGACAGTTTGCCAGCATGGATGGTTTCTGGTGAGAGCTCTCTTTTTGAGTTCAGTTGGTTGCCTCCTCACTGTGTTCTCACACGGCCTCTTTTCTGTGCACCAGCAGGGAGAGAGAGTATGTCTCTTCTCATAAGGACACTAATCCTAGTGAACCAGGGCCATATTCTTATTACCTCATTTTAACTTTAATTTTAATTTTAATTATTTCTTTACTCCATATATAGCCACAGTGGGAATTAGGGCTTCAACAAATGAATTTGGGTGGGGAGGGAGGACACAGACGTTCACACCATAACAATAAATCAAGTTCCCCTTAGTAATTTTTCATCCACTAACACCTCACCTTGCCCACTGGCTATAAATCCCCAGGTATCTAGAGTTGAGTTCAGTCTCTCTCCCTTATTACAGTTGTCTTGAATAAAGTCTACCTTGCCTGTTTAACTTGTCTGGCACATTTTTTCTTTGATAATCCTGAACTTGAACAGTAGCCAGGGCCAGGCATGGTGGCTCACACCTGTAATCCCAGCACATTGGGAGGCTGAGGCAGGAGGATCACTTGAGGCCAGGAGTTTGAGACTAGCCTAGGTAACATAGCAAGACCCTATCTCTACTAAAAATTTAAAATTAGCTGGATGTGGTGGCACACGCATATAGTCTCAGCTACTCAGGAGGTGGAGGCAGGATGATTGCTTGAGCCCAGAGGTTCAAGGCTACAGTGAGCTATGTTCACATGACTGCATTTCAGCCTGGGCAACAGAGTGAGACCCTGTCTCCAAAAAAAATTTTTTTTTTATTAAAAAAAATTAAAAACAATAGCTAGGAATAAAAACCATAAGCTAATACATATATTTGCATTAATGGTCTATTAGCATCTTTTGTAAAAATTAACCATTTATTGGCTTATGAAAGACTTGCGTAAGATATTAGTAGTAAAAAATATGAAGCTTTTTTACTCTGTTATGAAATTCAGCATGCTTGAAATTGTAACATAGCTATGATATGAAAACTCCTCAGTGAAAAGTATTTCCCACTAGATGTGAAAACTATTGCCCAACTAGATGTCACTGGCCATCTGCTATGATGCAGCAAAAGAAAAAATAATCTAGCTAACTCTTACACCAAATAGTTATTGAGTGTTGGGGTAGTATTTGGTGCTAGGAAGAAGTCAAGGACATATATAAGACAAAGGCCTTAACTTCAAATGCACTTGAGAGTGCCTGAAAATACATGTATAAAATCTTTCCATCTATGTATGGTAAAGTAAAATAACATAACAAAATCTTATTGCTGTATCAAAGGATTTCAGTATTTTCTACCTCACTATTAAGAAAAGTATGGGGAGCCAAAGATGTTGTTTTAGAATGGTGGCACCATTTATCTCATACTACCCAGCAAATGCTTTTTGTAATGAAAACCAGACTTAAAGAGGTGAGTGCCTCTTTTAAGCCAGGATTAATTATAATTAATTAATCATGTTAATCATGTAAAACCAGACTAGCTGGACTTAGAAGGAGATTAATATTCATAGTGACAAGGAAATTCTGAAGAAATCTTGCCACAGACAGTATTATATTTATGGAGTACTCAACCTGGGGTTGAAGAGCCCACCATCTTTTTTCCTCTATCCAAAGAAAGATTATAAGTCTTTCTTTTTCTTTTCTTTTTTTTTTTTTCTTTTTTGAGACAGGGTCTTGCTCTGTTGCTCAGGCTGGAGTGAAGTAGAGCATTCACAGCCCACTGCAACCTTGAACACCTGGGCTCAAGCAATCCTCCTGCCTCAGCCTCCTGAGTAGCTGGGACCACAGATGTGTACCACCATGCCCAGCTACATGTCTTTCTTTTGGGGGGACAGCAGAAACCTGGGCAGAGGAGGAATCCTGATACCCAGTTCTGAAACAAAGTGGCAGAATTTGTAATACAGAAGAAGGATCTTGTGACTGGTATTCTGTTATCCACAAGAGTAAATGTTCCCAAATAAACAAAACTGGGATATGAAATGGTGGAGTGTGTGGTGCCTGTTCATGAAAAAAAAAGGTCTAGATTGCAAGAGTAATATTAGAGGATTTTGGAGATGTTTTACAACCAGAGAATAAAAGACCATCCTTTTGTCTGACATGGTACAGTTTTATGCCCCTTACATGCAACAAGAAAACAAAAGCTAAATAAAATCGTAGGTCCTGATCCTCCAGTGCTTAGATACACTTAATTTAATTTTTGAAATACTTAAGCCTACGTCAGAGATCATTGAGTATTTATTTGGGGGAAACAGAGGAGGCAATGGCTCACCCCTGTCAGAGAGGATCAACAACATGCAGACATTCCTTATTATGAGAGATGGGTAACTGGAGTCTGCTTACCCTACTTCCAAAGCTTAAATATTTAGCAGTCAAAAATGGATATAGAGCTGTACAAAGGAATTGGAAACATTCATCTTTTTTTTTCATTGTAGTATCTCAAGCATATAGAATGGGACTTAAAATGAAATACAATAGCCCCTTGTTTGAATCCACCCCACCCTTACATTCACTCCCCGGAATCAACAAGTTTTAATTATTTCTGCTTTTAGTCCTATACTTCTATATCTCTATTACTTCTTCTTTAAATAAGGTGATTATGCCATTATTGCTTAATTTACCAACTTGGTTCATTAATTTTTATCAACTTTAGGATATTATGAGAATTTAGATTTAATGCCCCCATACAGTTTTATCCGCATTTGTTTTTTTGTTTGTTTTTTTTTTCTTTTTTACCTTTGTAACTTTGGCATTTACCATTGTAACTCAAAATCGTATCATGTTCCATTTACAAAGATAGATTGTCCCTACTCTGCAACTGAAGAAATGGACCAGGCATGGTGGCTCATGCCTGTAATCCCAGCACTTTGGGAGGCTGCGGTGGGCTGATCATGGGGTCAGCAGTTCAAGACCAGCCTGACCGATATGGTGAAACCCCACCTCTACTAAAAATACAAAAATTAGCTGAGCATGGTGGCGTTTTCCTGTAGCCTCAGCTACTCAGGAGGCTGAGGCACGAGAACCACTTGAACCTGGGAGGTGGAGGTTAAAGTGAGCCAAGATCGCTCCACTGCACTCCAACTTGGGAGACAGAGCAAGACTCCATCTCAAAAAAAAAAAAAAAAAAAGAAAAATGGAAATGTATTGCTTTGAGCCTCCTTCAACCTCTATTCTGTCTTTCCGTCTCCCAACTTTTATAAGCTGTGTTTTTGCTTTTGTATATCAGAGTTGATCATGATTATGTTCTGTTCTGCAGCCATAGCTCTCTGCCATCTTACTATGTAGGTTAATTTTTTTTTTTTTTTTGTAGAGATGAGATCTTGCTCTGTCACCCAGACTGGAGTGCAGTGGCACGATCATAGCTCACTGCACCCTCAAACTCCTGGACTCAAATCATCCTCTACCTCTGCCTCCATGAGTAACTGGAACTACAGGTACAAGCCCCCACACCTAGCTAATTTATTATTATTATTATTATTATTTTGTAGAGACAGGGTCTCACTATGTTGCTCGGGCTGGTCTCTAACTCCTGGCTTCAAGCAATCCTGCCCTGGACTCCCAAAGTGTTGGAATTACAGGTGTGAGCCACTACTGTGCCCAGCCCAGTTCCCTCATTACTAGAGCTATGTAAATACTGTTTTCTTCAGAAACAATGTACCATTTTAGAAGAAATATTCAAATTGATATTCGTTTCCTATAGCCTACCATTTTCTTAAAATCATGCCATGTTTTCATTTTGCTTTCTCACAGATTTTTGTTTTTTTTCTTTTAGAAACTGCTTTTGATTTCCTTGTTATTAAAAATTTTTTTCTTCAACATATTTCTATTATCTTTAAAATTCATACTCATTCTTTTATTTGATAAATTTCTTTTTTTTTTTTTTTTGAGACGGAGTCTTGCTCTGTTGACCAGGCTGGAGTGCAGTGGCACAATCTCAGCTCACTGCAAGCTCTGCCTCCCGGGTTCACGCCATTCTCCTGCCTCAGCCTCCTGAGTAGCTGGGACTACAGGTGCCCGCCACCATGCCTGGCTAATTTTTTTGTATTTTTGGTAGAGATGGGGTTTCACCATGTTAGCCAGGATGATCTCCATCTCCTGACCTCGTGATCCGCCCACCTCGGCCTCCCAAAGTGCTGGGATTACAGGCGTGAGCCACCGCGCCTGGCCTATTTGAATAAATTTCAATTTTTTTTCTGCTTTTACTTTTTATTTTTAAATAATTATATACTCACAGGAAGTTGTAAAGATAGTACAGAATTTCCATGTACCCATCATTCAATTTCTCCCAGTAGCTATATCTTACATAATTACAGAACAATATCAAAACCAACAACTTGATATTGGTGCAATATGTATATAATTTTCTGTAATTTTATCATACGTAGATTTCTGTAATTGCCACCATAATCAAGATAGAACTCTTCTGTCACCACAAAGCTGTCCCTTCTAGTACCCCTTTATAATCATATCCACTCCTCACCACCACTATCCCTAACCCTTGGGAACTACTAATCTGTTTTCCATCTCTATATTTCTTTTTTGGTAAGAATGGTTTAAAAATAGAATCACAGTATATGACCTCTTGAGATTGCCTTTTCCTTTTCACTCAGAATACTGCCATTTAGATTCATTGAAGCTGTTGCATATATCAGTAATACCTCTTTTATTGTTAAACAGTATTCCCTGATGATATGGGAATCTGTGATGATATGGGAATCTGTGATATGGGAATCCCTGATGATATGGGAATATGGCTCTGTGTCCCCACCCAAATCTCATCTCAAATTGTGATCCCCGTGTGTCCGAGGAGGGACCAAATGGTAGGTGATTCCCTTCCCCTTCCCCTTCCTGTTCCACTTCCCCTCCCCCCTTCCTTCCCTTTCCTTCCCTGCAAAACTGTGTGTCAATTAAAACTCCTTTATTTATAAATGACCCAGTCTCAGGTAGTATCTTTACAGCATTGAGAAAATGAACTAATACACCTGGTATGGATGTACCGGAGTTAATTGAACCATTTACCTATTGAGGTGCACTTAGGCTGTTTTTTTTCTATGTTGGGCTATAACAAATAAAGCTGCTATGAACATTTGTGTACAGGTTTTTCTGCAGACAGTGTTTCTTTCACTGGGATAAATACACAGAAGTGCAATTGCTGGGTCCTATGGTAAGCATATGTTTAGGTTTTTTAAGGATGTGCAAAAAAATATTTTCCAGAATAGCCGTACCATTTGACATTCTCACCAGCAACGTCTAAGAGATCTAACTTCTCCACAGCTTTACCAGTCTTAAGTTCACTACTTTTTACATTAATTATTCTAATAAGTAAGGATGTTGAATATCTTTTCATGTGCTTAGTTGCCATTGGTATATCCCCTTCAGTGAAATGTTATTTTGGGTCTTTCTCTGATTTTCTAATTGAACTTTTTTGATATATTTAATACCTCCCAAATTTACATTTTTGGAAAGTGTTTGTTTGCTTGTTGGTTTGTTTGTTTTGAGACAGGATCTCACTCTATAGCCCAGTCTGGAGTGCAGTGGTGCAATCACAGCTCACTGCTATCTTGACCTTCTGGGCCCCAGCAATTCCCCACCTCAACCTCCCCAAGTAGCTGGAACCACAGGCATGCGCTCCCATGTCCAACTAACTTTCTGTTGTTGTTTTGTAGTGATGAGGTCCCACTATGTTGCTCAGGCTGGTCTCCAACTCCTGGGCTCAAGCAGTCCTCCCTACTCAGCCTCCCAAAGTGCAGGCATGAGCCACCACGCCCAGCAAGAGTTCTTTATATGTTCTAGATCCTTTGTCAAATATGTGGTTTGCAAATAGTTTTTCCGTGTCTGTACTTGTCTTTTTATCTTTTAACAGGGGTTTTCATAGACTAAAAAAGTTTTTAATTTTGATGCAGTTCAGTTTATCATTTTTATCTTTTATGAATTGATATTTTGGGGTCACGTCCAAGAATTCACCAAACTTGAAGTCCCAGGAGTTTTCTATTATCTTCTAAAAGTTTTAGAGTTTTATATTTAAATCTGTATGATTCATTTTAAATTAATGTTTTATATAGGATTTGAAGTTTAGGTTGGATTTCATTTTTTTCCTATAATATCTATTTGCCCCAGGACCATTTATTGAAAAGACTATTCTTCCTCTATTACATAGCTGTTGCTATTTTAGCTGGTTTTCTATTATTTTGTCAATAATCAGTGGCAGTCCATATGTGGAGTTACTTTGGGGTTCTTTATTGTGTTCCATTGATTTATGAATCTGTCCCTACACCAGTGCCACCCAATCCTTGTTACTCTAGCTAAAAGTTTTGAAAATTAATAGAGATTTTGTCTACTTTGTTGTTCTCAGAATTGTTTTAGCTGTTCTAATTATTTTGCCTTTCCATATATAAATTTTAGAATGATCTATATCTACAGAAATAATAGTCTAGGATTTTAACAGTGTCATGTGCATCCATGTGAAGAGACCACCAAACAGGCTTTGTGTGAGAAACAAGGCTGTCTATTTCACCTGGGTGCAGGTGGGCTGAGTCCGAAAAGAGAGTCAGCAAAGGGTGGTGGGATTATCATTAGTTCTTATAGGTTTGGGGATAGGGGGTGGAGTTAGGAGCAATGTTTGTGGGCAGGGGATGGATCTCACAAAGTACATTATCAAGGGTGGGGAGAATTACAAAGAACCTTCTCAAGGGTGGGAGAGATTACAAAGAACCTACTTAAGGGTGGGGGAGATTACAAAGTACATTGATCACTTAGGGTGGGGCAGAAACAAATCACAATGGTGGGATGTCATCAGTTAAGGCTATTTTCACTTATTTTGTGGATTTTCAGTTACTTCAGGCCATTTGGATGTCTACATGCAGGTCACGGGGTATATGATGGTTTAGCTTGGAAATTGTGTTAAATTTGTACCTCAATTTGGAAAGAATTGGTATACTATGTTGTGTTTTCCCATTCATGGCCACAGAATATCTCCCAGTTTATAGTATCATTGATTCTTTTGTCTGTGTTTTATAGGTTTCACCATATAAGTACTGTACATATGTTATTAGATTTACATCTGAGTATTTCACCTTTCTTAAGTAATTGTAAGTGGTACTGAATTTTTAATTTCAATTTCCACATGTTTATTGCTAGAATATAGAAATGCAATTGATGTTTGTATGTTGATCCTGTATCCTGCCACCTTGCTAAACTCAGTATTTCTAGAAGTTTTTTGTGTCTATATGAGCATATTTCTTAGGGTTTTCTATGTCAGTTATCATGTCATCTGCAAATAGAGACAATTTATTTCTTTCTTTCCAATCTGTATGTCTTTATTTCCTTTTCATGTCATTTTGTGCTGCCTAAAACTTCTAGCACTATTTTGATTACACATGGTTAGAGGGCATATCCTTCCTTGTTTCTGATCTTAAGAGGAATTAATAGCCTTTCATAAATGAGTATATGTTATTTATAGGGTGTTTTTATAGGTGTTCTTTATAAAACTGAAGGTATTCTCATAATATGCTGCTGAATTTTGTTTGCTAATTTTTTGTTGAGGATTTTTACATTTATATTTATAAGGAGTATTTGTTGGTAGTTTTATTTCATGTAGTGTGGTCTCCCTGCCTGGCTTTGATATCAGTGTAATATGAGCCTCAGAAAATAAGTTAGGAATTGTCTGCTTATCTTCTATTTTTTTGGAAGACTTTGAGAAGTGTTGGTGTTAATTCTTTAAACATTTGGTAGAATTCAACAATGAAGCTATTTACTATTTGGCTTTTCTTTGTTGGGAGATTTCTCATTACTGATTCAATCACTTTACTTATTATGGGCTTAATAAAATTTTTTATTTCTTCTTGAGTCAATTTCTTCTTGAGTAATTTGCATATTTCTAGAAAATTGTCCACTTCACCTAGGTTATCTAATTTATTGGGGTACAAGTGTTCATAGTATCATCTCATACTTTTTTTTATTTCTGTAAGTTCATTGGAATGTCACCAATTTTATTTCTGATTTTAGGTTTTTGTGTCTTCTTGCTTTTTAAAAATATCAGCTAAACTAGACTGATTTTTTTTTTTTAAAAAAAAAAGCAAGAAGATGCAAAAACTTTGTCAATTATGTTGATCTTTTCAAAGTACCCACTTTTGGTTTTGTTGATTATTTTGTTTTCTAATTTCATTTATTGTTGCTATAATTTTTATTATTTCTTTTCTTCTGTTAACTTTGGTTTTAATTTGTTCATTGTGTCAGTCAGAGATCTTCAAAACCAATAGAAGATATACAAACCAAACATTGGTTTAAAGATGTAACACCAATTATACATAATCTCTTCCAGAAATTAGAAGAGGAAGAAACATATTGTAAATCATTCTATGAGGTAAATGTTACCCTAATAATAAAACCAAAGACATCAGAAAAAAAGAAAACTACAGACCAACATCTTTCTTGAATAAATATGCGGACATTCTTAACAAAGTAATAGTAAAGAGAATTCAGCAATATGTAAGTTGGCTTTTCCTTTACAGTGTTCACTTTGATTCTGTTTCCCACATTTCTGGCAAAGCTAATTCTGAGAGTTTCTGCTTGATTTTTTGTGTTGTTTTTGTGTTTTGGCAAAGCAAATTCTGAGAGTTCCTGCATGATTTGTGTGTTGTTTCTGTGGAGGACAGGGTGCTTGAAGCTGTATACTCTGCCATTTTTGCTGATCGCTGATTATTTCTTTAAAGTTTCCTCGGCTGACTCTAGTGAGGAGCCTAGGTAAGAACCATTGATGTCACTGCCTCCTTCCCCACTGTAATTTATTGCCACTATACCTCTAGTTATATCAAATAGCTTGTTGCCGTGGAGTCCTCTTATGCATTTGTTACTGTCTTTGAGGTTTCAATGCAAGGTATTCTACCTTTACTGACTCTTCCAGGGAGAAACATACAACCTCTTTACCACTTTTATAATTGCATATTTGTTTGCCTTCTCAACTGAATTGACTCTTTGAGGGCAAACCCTTTCTCTTACTCACCTTTCATACCATAATGTCAGACCCATAGTCAAGAGATGTTAAGTGAACCACAAACTATGTGTAGTAAGTGCTTGCTAAAAGTACATCAATTAAAAATGGTTTCTGGGTCTTAGTCTAAAGAGAAACAAACACTCACAATCTTTTGCTTTCTGTTTGGAACATCATTTTCTTTCTCAGGCAACAGCAGCCCCAGTAAGGATAACCAAAAGATATGAACAAAAATAACTGCAGTAAGAGAAATAGTTCTTAGTCTCAGACCCTACCAGTTTAATAAGTGGAGGTGCTACCTCATTTCCAAATGCATTCCTTCTCTTGGAAATGTGCAGGGATGGGTGCCTCCTGTGTCTACCTGCTGCAGCCTTGGGGCCATGCTCTGTTCTGCTGTCTTGACCTTAACTGCTGTAGCTTCTCTGGGCCTTGCAGATTAGGGATGTGTCACTTCTCCCTGTCACTGTCCATGTCATCCCAAGTGTCCATGCTTCCCATTTCACTGCCAACCCACGGGCTCTGGTAGCTATGGATCCAGTCAGACACCTAATAGCTACAGTGTCTTAGTCCGTTCAGGCTGCTGTGACAGAATACCACACACTGCATGGCTTAAAATCAATAGAAATTTATTTCTCACAGTTCTAGAGACTGCAAAGTCTGAAACCAAGGCACTGGTAGATTTGGCGACTGGTGAGGGCCCACTTCCTAGTTCATAGAGAGCTGGATTCTCATTTTGTCCTCATATGGTAGAAGGGACAAAGGAGCTCTCTGGGGTCTCTTTTATAAGGGCACTAACCTCATTCATGAGAGGTCCACCTGATGACCTAATCACCTTCCAAAACCCCACCTCCTAATATCATCACACTGGGAAGTAGGATTGTGACATAGGAAGTTTAGGGGGATGCAAACATTCATTCTACTGCATATGGATTCAGGCATTAACTCTATCCGCTATATTTTAAAACATTTGTTGGTTTAAGAGGTATCATTGTATTTCACACAGAGGTGGCCTTGAGAGCTCAGACTTTTATAGACTATATTATTCAAATGCTCTTTAGTCTCCTAACTCTCCAACTTGAAGACTTGAGCCTTTTTGTGTTAAAAATGTGAATTCTCACCATTCTCTCTTTCTTAGAATCAGAGTCTTAGTTCTGAGTTGGGCCCAGGAGTTGTAGTTTGTGACATATGCCTTAGGGGATGCTGATGCAGGCCTCATGGGCACAGGCAGCACAGAGATAACTATTGTCATCATCGTTTGCCAGTTGTAAGCACTCTAAGCATCACAACAGTGCTTACAGTTCACCTGAGGTTCCACCTGATTCACATATTTATTTGTAATGATATCTGGAAATTAACAATTAAAATTTTTAAATTTATATTTTTAAATTAGAACAAAGTAACATGTATGTCCTGGTTAATATAAATCATATATTGCTGCTGGACTTGTAACAAAATCAACAGTTCCTTCACCCCATCCTTCCTCACCCTTGACCCACCTATCCCCGGGAAACCCACTTTTAATCATTCCTTTTTAATTTTGTTGTGGTGCTCATTTCTTTAATCAAAATTATGTTAAGTGCTGTTTAATACTTATTTTCAGACATTGTCATCCTCTTGCAATGACGGTTGCAGAGATTCTTCACTTAGTACACTCATTGCTGCTCTCCTATTTTTTATTTCCTTGACTATATCTTCTGTCTTTAAAAAAATCTACGTAAGCCTAAATTTCCTATTCCATTGAGCATAGGCAGTCTCGTGAGTCCCTACTCTATAAAAGGATGACATTCACTTCCACACTTTCTCTTTACCTCTTCTTCCTGGCCCACCTTCCAATCTATGCAAGTGCTCAAGGTCGATGTCATTTTTATTATTTATAATAAAATTATAATTATAATTAAATTATAAGTGTTCTTCAACCTGGGACTTTATGAATATAGACAATACAAAGGATTTAATGATAAAGCTTACTATGGAATGAGAATCATAGTTTGCAGTTTAAGTAGCATGATTTTATGCAACAATTATGCCTAACATATATTAATATGCTTAAATGGTATTCTTAGATTAGCTTTCACTCTTTCTTCATTTAAAACTGATAAAAACTTTAGCCAGCTAGCTTTATCTATTGTATATTTCCCTCTTTTCTTGTTGCTTGAGTTCCATCAACCCTGTGCAGTTTTTGCCTACTGTGTATCTGCACCAAATGCTTGCTGCTTACTTGTAGCTGAATCTTGTTAAAGAAAAAAATTCTGTCTGGACATGGTGGCTCATGCCTGTAATCCCAACACTGTGGGAGTCTGAGGCTGGAGGATCGCTTGAACCCAGGAGTTAGAGACCATCCTGGGCCACACAGTGAAACCCTGTCTTGCCAAAAAATTTTTTTAAAAATTAGCTGGGCATGGTGGCACATACCTATGGTCCCAGCTACTCAGGAGGCTGAGGCAGGAGGATCACTTGAACCCAGGAGTTTGAGGCTGCAATGGGCTGTGATTGCGCCACTGCGCTCCAGCCTGGGTGACAGAGAGAGACTCTGTCTCTATAAAAAAAAGAAAAAGAAAAGAAAAAGTTATTCAATGACGCTTGTTAAAGTACAGTTAAAGAAGACTGTATTCAGGACGATCTCAATAGGTATAGGGACCATTGTAACAAGGTCTTGCATAGCAATGGGGAGAGAGATTGGGTTTAACTCCAAATACATCATGGGCAAGTGGGAGTTGATAGCCAAGGAGTAGGGTTGGGGTCAATGAATAGAAAATTAGTAAGAGGTAGCATAAGGGAAAGGGGAATTCTGGCTAAACTGACCTACAGGATTCTTGTTGAAGGCAGGCAGGGTGATCAGGCATCACCTGGCAGCTGGTGGGGATGAGGAACCTGATCAAGATATTGAGGATGATCCAGTATTGAGAATAGGAGCTTCTTGTTAAACTACCTAAGCAGTGCACTTTGCTAAAACTGGATTTTATAAGAAAGCACAGAGATGGGCCTTAGCAGAAGATTCAGAAGCCTGACTAAAGTTTGGCCAAGCAAGGACTCTATGTCAGTGGACAAGGTGGACTTTGTTACTCAAACATCCTTTGACCTAGTCTTGGGTACAATTGTTTCACATATCTTGACAGCAGAATGCAATATGCTATGCTCCCTTAGGAGGAAACTATAGCATTAATCTCAAGTGCTTGCTTAAAGCAGTTCTCAGTCTCTGCACCTCTAATGGCTCCAGATTTCAATTTCTATTAATAGCTTCCATTTGATTTCTAAGAATGTCTTTCTTCCACAAAAAGTGGATAAAATACTTGATTTTGGTTTTATATAATCTAAGAAGGGTGTGTGTATATGCTTGCCTGAATTTTAATAGTTAGAATTCTGGTAGACATACAACCTGTTACATACTATGCAGTTTATATTTTACTATCCTTTATTCTCTCTTTATCTCATCTGAAACATCAGCTCCTCAGAGAAGTTTTCCTTCTTGTCCCAGCCCCAGTCACTCTCCATCCCAGGTCCCCTTTTTGTTTTCATCGTAGCTCTTTTAGCTATGTGCAGTGATGCCATATGTGTGTTTGTGAGTCTTACCCCACTAGTATGTGAGTTCTGTGCTAGCAGGTACTTTGTTCCTTTTTCTCTCTCAGTGCTGTATCCTGAAAGCCAACAGTGACCAGTAGGGAGTGGCTTAGTGAAGATTGTTAGAAGGGACAAAATCTATCTATCTACTTCCTGGTACAGAACCAGGCTATGTTTCCCAGCAAGCTGCGTAGTGGCTTGGCCAAATGACTAAATGTTCATGAATGAAATGTGAGCAGTGGTGATCTGTGCCCTTGGAGACTTATGCCTTACGACAGTGTCTGCATTCTCCAGGGTCTCCTTCCCTTTCTCCCAGTGATCCAGCTTCAGCCAGGCAGATGTCACCAATGCCCTAAGGGAAAGAATGAGGTTCCTGAATATGAATCGCTTCCAAAAGTAGAGCTGCCCCACCAAAAAGATAGCTTACAGCTTGCAACTGTTAATGTGAAAAGAAGTAGGTTTTTTGTTTGAGTCTTTGTATTGTTGAGGCGCTTTGTAATGGTAGTGTCAACGAAAAGTCAAACTCTGTAAAATATTTAAAGATATTTATTCTGAGCCAAATATGAGTGACCATGGCCCATGACACAGCCCTCAGGAGGTCCTGAGAACATGTGCCCAAGGTGTTTGGGGTGCAGGTTGGTTTTACAAATTTTAGGGAAGCATAATCTATCAATCAAATACATTTAAGGAATACATTGGTTTGTTCCAGAAAGGCAGGTCAACTTGAAGGGGGCGGAGCTTCCAAGCTATAGGTAAATTTAAACATTTCTGGTTGACAGTTGATTGAGTTTTTGTCTAAGGACCTGGGATCAATAGAAAGCAAACATTCAGATTAAGATTGTTAGGGACAAATCACCCTGAAAGTGCTTCTTGGTACTGCCAACAACCCCCCTCTAAACTTCTCCGGGCTACCCCTCCCCTTCCCCTAAGACTTTTTACATTTCTAAGCCCTTATTTAGGCACCGTGGTGGAGCCAGCAGACCACTTATCAGACCTTGCTGCGATGAGCAAATCCCAATTACAAACCATCCAGACCACACGGGGGAGGTCGTGGGAAGCATAAGCAAAATTTACCTACACCCCCATGTATCATAAACATCATAAGGCGGTTTGTGGCAGAATTAACCAGCAAACAACCCCAGGGTCTCTCTGCCCCGTATAAACCCCTCATTTTTTAAGCTCAGGGCTGCCTCCTCTGTCTGTAATGGAGCAGCCGGCAGGTTGAATAAAGGTTTGCCTGAACTTGGGTCTCTCTCTCTTGTCCTTTCTCTTGGCTGACCTTACAAAGATAGAAGATTGTGGAAACCAAAGTTCTTTTGAAGTCTCATGGCGGCTCCCCTTAGAAACAATAGATGACAAATGTTTCCTATTCAGACCCTTTAAAGAGTGCTAGACTCTCAGTTAATCTATTTAGAATTGGAGGGGCCTGGAAGGAAAATGTCTAGTTGTGTTAATAGGGATTCTTTACAGATACGAATTTTCCCCCACAAAGGATGGCTTGCAGAGCTATTTCAAAATGTGACAAAAAACATGTTTTGCCGGTAAAATATTTTTATTTTCTCCCTTGTCTCATAATGTTATTGACAGAACAGGAGCATCGCCATCTTGGATGAGCACCACCATTTTAAAGTTCAGCTTGATCAAAAGCTGCCCAAATCCAAAGGGCGTCAGCCTAATGGCTAAGGTCAGCATGATCATAAAGCACAAATGACATTTATCACCAGAAACATTCCAAACATAAGATAAACCTGTCCCCGACCAGAGACATGCCAGCCCCGAGATTACCTCCCCTCCGGCTGGAGAGATGTCAGCCCCAAGATAACCCCCGTCCTGCCGGAAAGATGTCAGCCCCGAGATAACCTCCCCTCTGAGCAGAGACATTCCAACCCCACCATAAACTTCTCCCCTACACGGAAACATTCCAAGCTTGTGATAAGCTCTCTCACCCTAAAACCAATAAATTCTCTTAGTCTGTAAGAGATAGCATTCCTGACCAAAATCGGCCAGAAGCCCCTCTCAGGTTTATTCTCCAAAATAAATATGTCTTTGACTGTGGAGCCACTTTTCATGTTTCTTTCCACTTTCTTTAATTTACAGTTATGCCAGAATCAGGTTTGGAAAATAAGTCACAATATATAGGGTTAAATAAAACCTGTCTGATGAGAATCTATGGTTTGTAGGGCATGACTCCCTAGACACCTTAGATAGGAATTTGGGCAAGATAAAAAAAAAATCAGAGTTTAGTCATCAGTAGCTTAGCTTTTTACCCTAATAAAGTAAGTCTTAAATAAGTATTTGTTGAACAAAATGTTAGGGCTTAGAAACTGATACTCCAAGATATGGTAGTTTGATATGCTGAACTGAAGGAGCCTCAAGGTCTCTCTGACTCTCCCCTCTCTCTAGTCTCTCAATCCTCTGTCTCTCCCAAAACACAGGCTAAAGTTGTTCTCTGAAGTTCCCTTGTCTGCCCAAAGTCCAGACCTACCAAAGAAGAAAACAATTATCTCTGATTTCTTCCCTGAGTTTTCATTAACTGAACTTTTTACTGAAACACCAGGGATTCTGTCTAGGACTTGCTGCTCCATGTACAGAATGCCAATCACTGACTCAATGAGTATTGCCAGGGAAGAAGGCTTTATTGGGTGCTCAGTGGAGGAGAACAGGAGGTCAGTCTCAAATCTGTCTCTCCAACTGACCAAAATTGGGATGTTTATGATGCAGGATTTTTTGCTCCTTAGTTCACCTAACATCCTGGTTCTTGTTACATAACCAGGAAAAATTAGGCATGTGGAAACATTGAAAGGTGAGGAGAGCAGAATTTATTAAAAGAAAGCTCTCAGTGAATAAAAAGGGGGTCCTGACAGCAGGCTCCCACCTCACAGATTGAATATCAGGGCACCACACATACAAGCTGAGGAGTCCAGGCTCCTCCCTACTGCATAAGGTGCTGATCCCTGGTGGCTCCACCCCATACTCCCAGTGTGCAGGCAGGCCCCCAGTCCATTGTGGGCATGTCCAGACAAGGCCCTGGGCATGTTCCCCCTCTGCACAAAAGCATCTGATATGAACACTTGTGGGATGGATTGGAGATTCTCCAGGTAGCCTCCCTTATCTGCCTCCTGCATCTATCATTTATATAGAGGGGAAGGCAGGGAAAACAGAAATTAGGGAGGAGTAAGGAAGCAATTATGATGGATACGAGGTCTGGCATCTCATTGTCTGGATGCGGTGATCTGACGAGTTTTAGTCCCTTGCCTGAGGGTCAGTTTCCTGAAGAAGGAACACAGTTAAGACAAATATAAGTTTTAAATATTAAGATGGAGGGTCCATTTCTGTGTTATTCAAAAACCCATATATATCATTTCTATGAGACAGTTGGGCCTATTTCAAACTCATATCACAGGAAGCAAGAAACCATTGTCTGCCCTGTGGGCCCAAACAAAGTTTGTCCCAGGTTACTGAGTGTTTTTCAAGCCCATCGAATTCCCCTAAAACTAATTTACTACTCCCTAAAATAATCTACACTTTTCCATCGTCCTTTCCCCTAAGAAGAAAGGTATATAACCATCTGTATACTTTATGCGTGATGCAGCAATCACTCTGTGATTTCTCCTGCTCCCTGCACACTAATCAATGGGTATGCCATTTCTCCTATCAATCTGCCTTTGTCAGTTTATTTTCAGTGAACCTTCAGAGGTTGAAAGGAAAGTTTTCATTAGTCCCTACAGAATGAAAGAATGAATAATCGTATTTCCATTTATAGTTGGGGAAACAGAATAGAAACTTACAGGTGTTGCTCAAGGTCACCTAATTTTGGATTTAATCCCAATTCTCATTCCAAAGCCCATGATTTATTCTGTGCATTAACAGTTCATTCTTTTTTTAAAATAATTTTTTTGTGTGTGTTTATAGAGACAGTGTCTCACCATGTTGCCCAGGCTGGTCTCAAACTTCTGGGCTCAAGTGATCCTTCTGCCTCAGGCTCCCAAAGTGCTGGGATTATAGGCATGAGCCATCACACCCAGCTAGTTGTAACTTAAGCTTTAGCCACATGAAGACTACCAGAAGAGCTCCTCAGGTTGAGACAGAAATAATACAGGGTGGTCACAGGAGAAAATTCTAGGCAGCAGTTTCACATGGCTAGCCAAAGAAAACTGTTGAAATGGCTGCATGAGCTAGGGGATGAGAAAACCTGAAAACCAGGGAGTGGACCAAGCTTACTGAGACCAACTGGACCCAACATGGTGCTGGATTTGACCTAGGTTTTACCTAGGACCTCATTATATGCTCAGTAAAACATTAAATCCATTACCCACCAGTGCCATGACAGTTTTGGGAACATCTATATTTGGGGTAAAAATAGGTGGTACCGCAGTTCCAAGGAATCTTCACCTTTTTCCAGGAATCGGTGTGAATATTCCTTGGTTAAAGAAGTAGAAGCCTCAAACCCCATTGGGTGCTACTCTCTCTCGAGTACAGTTGCACTCCCTACTCCCCTTTCTTGATTACTTACTTCTTGCTTCGCAATAAATCCCCATAGCCTGCGAGGTCAAGGTTACAGTGAGCCTTGACTGTGCCACTGTACTCCAGCCTGGGCAACAGAAGGAGACACTGTCTCAATCCATCCATGCATCCATCCATCCATCCATCCATCCGGGTATTGCAAGGAGTTAAAAAAAACTCCCACACAAATTTAGGTTTTATTTTCAGATAAGCTCTTCTATCCATCCAGAATGAAAAGGTATCACAGGTTACTCACTTGAAGCTGCATCCTCCTTAGAGGAACTTTCACAGAAGCTGTGTCCCATCCTCCCTTTGCTGATTTGAAGCCCAAATTTCAACCCATGCAGAATCTTTTAGGGAAATTCTCAAGACCGTAATTATATTTTACCACTATAAAGGTGGACTGTAGTTTCTGCAGGTGACCACGTTGAAAAACATTTCTTCTTTTACTGAAAATTAAACTACTTCCTACGTATTCTTTGCAGAGAGGACCAAGAGCTGGCTCTGAGTCTCTAAGTCCCAGTAGTGTGGGGAGTGACAGCCTCCACCCTAGTGTCCTGGGCTCCACCCCCAGCAATTTGAAGTTGCAAGGTCTCAGACAGCACCCAGAGTTTTGGGGACTTCTTTTCCAAGTGTGAAAGGAGGCTCCTTTCCAATCATTATGTTTTAAATTTACTTCAGAGCTCCAAGGGACCACTGACAGAAGAGTTTTTTAATAGTCTTTTTATTTTTCACCCAGAGTAACATTTAAAAATAACAAGATATTTTATGCATCAGTTGCTTCACATCTTCTACTGGAGCAAACTTTTTGTTGGTAGTGTTTTGTTGTTGGCTGATGTTTCAAAGTTCCAAGAACTTGAGCCTCAAACCTCACAGAGAAGTGACTACAAAAATGTTCTTTCCTTATTTATCATGAGGCTAACAATAGTACCTACCTCACAGGCTCATCTAGAAGATTCCATAAGTCAACGTTGATTGTAAAGCACTCAGGTCACTGCCTGGCACATAAGGAGTGCCATTTATCAGTTTGTGAAGTGAAACCATGGTCAAGTTTTGTAGTGGCTGCTTTGCCCTGGCCAAGGGAAACTGCTGCTTTCTTTTATAGCTGTTAGTAGCATTAAATTGCAACTCTACCTTTCTTATTTAGGGGTACTAAGGGGGGAACTTCACTTTGTGACAAAAATATAACAAAATCTTAAGCATACAGAAGTGCTAGAACAAGGTGTAAAAACAAAAAGAACATCTGTATTAGTCCATTCTCACACCGCTATAAAGAACTACCTGAGACTGGATAATTTATAAAGAAAAGAGGGTTAATTGGCTCACAGTTCCATAGGCTGTACAGGAAGCATGGCTGGGGATGCTTCAAGAAGCTTACAATCATGGCAGAAAGTGAAGGGGAAGCAAAGACATCTTCACATGGCCAGCAGGAGAGAGAGAGAGAGAGCAAAGGGGGAAGCCCTACATACTTTTAAACAACCAGAGCTAGTGAGAACTCACTCACTATCACCAGAACAGCAGGGGGGTAAATTGACCCCATGATCCATTCATCTCCAACCAGATCCCTCCCCCAATATTGGGGATTACAATTCAATATGAGATTTGGGTGTGGACACAAATCCAAACCATATCATCACCTTATGCTTTTGTTCTGTTCCCATGTTGGCATTTATCTGGAGCCTGGAGTAGCAGTGCCAGATATTCCTTATGACAGTTTATCAAAGCCGGCTTTGCAGAGGTGAAGGAAGCATGGCCACATGGCAGTGAGCCAAGAGCGCAAACTGTGGGATCCAAGAGTGGCCAAGGCTTTCTTGCTACATGTAGGAAATGGTATTTTTGATACACATCTCAGATAATTCTGATAGAGGTAGCTTTGTTACAGACCACAGGCTCTTTGGCTACCCATATAATGGAAATTAACTCATGGCCAAGCAGATTTTCCAGATAAGACTTTTATTATGGGGCTTATGCTCAAGTGCAAGGGAGACAGCAACGGTGAGAAAGATCCTCTGGCTAGCTCCCAAAGAAACGCCATTAGGGATTTTTTTTTTTTTTAATTAGACAAAACATGGGAATTGATTTCAAGACTAGTGTATGCAGGCTGGGCTGGGCAAAGCATGTGAAGGGTAGGGGATGCAGGTCAGCATGTCTGGTTGTGATGGTTCTCTTGAGTAATGAACCACCTGGTGGTCTGGTGGGGGCAGCGAAGCAGTAATCAATTTTTCAGTTTTTCTTCCCAAGGAAGGACACTCGCAACCTTGTTTGATGTTTAGCTCTCCTAAGGTCAGTTTCTGGAATTCTCTAAGTAAAAGGAATGGTTGAACATTATGAGAGCACAGAAGAATGGCTATTTGCTTTGTGTGACAGAAGCCTCAGGGTTAATGGGTATACCATCCATGAAGTAGTGGTGTGGGTTTTGTGAAGAGAAGAAAAAAATAAAAAATGTATGAAGGAGAAGTCATGTCCCACTCCTGTTCATCAGTCTGAGGATTGCACTTTGAGAAACACAAGTCACCCTTATTAAATTTCAATCAAACTTATAACTTTTGAATATATATTGTAATTTTATGTATTTATTTATTTAATTTATTTATTTATTAGTGACAGAGTCTGACTTTGTCTCCCAGGCTGGAGTATAGTGGCATGATCATAGCTTACTACAGTCTCAACCTCCCGGGTTCAGGTAATCCTCTTGCCTAAGCCTCTTGCATAGCTGGGACTACAGGCATGTGCCACTACACTTGGGTAATTTTTAAATTTTTTTTAGTAGAGATGGGTCTCACTATGTTGCCTAGGCTGGTCTCGAACTCTTGACCTCAAGCTATCATCCCACCTTGGCCTCCCAAAATGGAATTACAGGCATGAGCCACCATGTCTCTCCCATATTATAATTTAATTGGACAAATTGCCTGAGCTTTTCCATTCTTTGTCATTTTAGATGAGATGGAAATAAAAGACTTAGTAACAGTTATGCTGGAATCTTACATGCAAATGCATGTTCTTTGAATAAGAGCAGGTTTCTTTATTTAGCATTTCTAATTTAATCCCTGACATTAAACCACATTAGAGTCTTTAATTCTTTTACTGTTTTATAAACTGCTGAAAAGCAATTGAGAGATTCAAGCAACTCTGGTGCATGTATTTTTAAAAACATACCATTTGTCTAGGTGTGAGCCCAGCATCTAAGCAATGAGTGTAATTTTGTACCCTGGGATTTTGTTTAGTGTGCCTGCAATACACCATGGAAGAAAGTCCAACAATGGTTTAACTAGGTTTATCAAAAATAAGGAAAAATTCAAGATGGATCCTGCTATTAAAATACGTATTCTTTTAGCCATAGCATGTATTTAGTACATGAAAGTGTGTGGGGTTTTTTTTTTTTTTGAGTTGATAAACATGAGAATATTTGCAGGTGAATATTACCCAAGGCTTAATTTGTAACTTTGTCCTTATGTAAGTATTGGAAAATGGCTCATGTCCGACAATTTTTAAAAAACAGAGCCATAAATAAATATCACATCTCGTAGAATTAATGGTTTTCCCCAAGATGAAAATTACAGGAAATAGAACTGTTGAATTCTAGGAAGTTGTCTACACCAAAGACAATGGCATTTTAAATCTTGACATTCCTTTTAAGTCACGCCTTTTTAGATAAGCATGTGGGACAGTGGGGGTTATCTACAGTGAATTTTGGTTATGTTTTTGGTATTACAAAAGCTCTGATCTTTTCAAAATGCTCAAGTTTACTATGTTATGGCCCAGCACCCTGCTAGTCTTAGTTGAAAATAAAAAGGAGCGTACCACTGAAAAATCAGTGTTTGTTTTCTTCACTATCTCTTAAAGAAAAAGAATGCCATTTAGTTAAAAAAAAAATGTCTTCTGTCTTCCAATATGACATAACAGAACCTTGAAGGATTTATATCTTGGAAGGTGAAACCAGCATTCCCTGGTTAAAATGATTAATTTACAAAACCAACAGAAGGTGAGGAGTAGAGGAGCTACAGTGTCACACTGCAAGGGAGAGAAAAGCGAAGTTGTTACCCTATTTAAAACAAACAAACAAACAGATAGAGAGAAAGAAACTCAGAAAATGCACACAGGAAGTGATTAGCGGCAATTGAACAAATGGCAGGTGTTAAATGAAACAGCATCAGGACTAAGGCTAAGTGAAATCATACAGGCTCTGAGTGATTTTATTAAGGATGATATTTATGACTTAAGTTTGGAACAGTGCATCAAGAAGATTCAAGAGTAAACTCCCTGGCCTCATCATAGGTGAGGGCATTGTCTTTTTGGCCTGAGCTATTTCCTTAGCCTCTTAAGTGACCACTCCGTTCTCAGTCTCTCCCAACTCCAGCCCAACTTTCGCATGACCACCGTGACCACCCTCTACGTTAAGGCCTTTATATCTTGACTATTACTTGGAGAAAAAATCCCAAACTTCTTAATAATAGTAACCCGGCCGGGCATGGTGGCTCACGCCTGTAATCCCAGCACTTTGGGAGGCCAAGGTGGGTGGATCACCTGAGGTCAGGAGTTTGAGACCAGCCTGGCCAACATGGTGAAACCCCATCTCTACTAAAAATACAAAAAATTAGCTGGGTGTGGTGACGGATGCCTGTAATCCCAGCTACTGAGGAGGCTGAGGCAGGAGAATTGCTTGAACCTGGGAGGTGGAGGTTATAGTGAGCCAAGATTACGCCGTTGCACTCCAGCCTGAGCAACGAGGGTGAAACTCCGTCTCAAAAAATAAATAAATAAATAAACAAAAAATAACCCATAATAGTTTGGAACTGTAAGATCTATGTAAAACTGAGCAAACCCTGGCAACTTTACAGTCTGTGGAAGACCAATAGCCCTGAAAGAGTTATAGGGATTTCAGGGCCTGTTCTGCCTTCACACTTCTGTGCAAAGGCTGTCCTTGGGTACCACCAAGTTGTTTTGATTCCTTGGAAACCTAGTTCCAAGGAAACCTAGTTCCAAGGAAACCTAGTTTCTTGATCAGTTTCCAGAAGAAAATAAATCAGTGATATGGTCACACAATGTGTCTACTTTGGGGTATACAGAGTCACTGAACACCTGTGGTTCTTTCTTGAGGAGGAGCTACACTGTGTACAGGCTAGACACAGTGGTTCTCTCCCTCCCTTTTCTCTTCTCTCTCCACATTCTTCCCTCATCTCCTTCTTTGGGGCAAAACAAAGCTTCTCTCACTGTTGCATGTGAGGCTTTTAGCAATGCTTTCAGCTGCCTGGACATGACTTTTGGGTCTCACCATCTATCTCAAGGTGCTAAAGCATTCTTCCCACTAAAGAGAATTCTCCAGTGCTGGGTATTTTCTTGTTGTCCCTCAGAATTTTCTTGCTGTCCTGCTCTGTGGTCCAGGAAGGGTGGGAACTGCATCAGCAAAAACCTCTTATCTTAGGCCTCCAGGTTGGTTCAACCAATGGGAGGCAGCAAGAGATGGCACGGGCCTGGGGGAAGGCAAGTTGTGGCAGGGACCTCCCCTGGCGCCTGCTCTGCACCAGGTCCTGAGGGTGCTCTGTGTTTCTTCTAGTTGTCCTCTCTGGGTTCTGATCTTCCTTCCTTTGCTCCTTCAGGCCTAGGGCTGGCAAAGGCTCTCTAGGGGGTGACATTATTCCTTCTTGGTATCTTTAAACTCAGACCCACCTTTGCAGATAACTTGTTAATACTCCTCAAATAAACCAGCTTGAGTATGCCAAGACCCTGACTTCCTATGAGGGATATGGTGCCTGACGTTGTGACAGTCATAGTTTCTCCACTTGCTGACACATAGCGTAGGAAGCATTTACAGTGCAGCCTCACTTTATGTTCCCATGCTCACCAAACCTCCTACCTTTCTTTGACCCTAACAGTGTTTTAACTTCATGTCTTTGTGCACTTGGGGTTTCCTCCTGCAATGGGGTGCCTTTTCCTCCTTTTCTGCCTAGCACCAATCTCTTTATCTTCAAGATCCCTCACAAACGTCACTTGTCTGAGAAGCCTTTCCTCTTACCTCCTCCCTAGAAAGACTTGAACTCTGTGCTTCCATGCAATAATTTATGGCATGTCTGTCTCCCCACAGAAATTATATCTTCATTCATTTATTCATTCCCCCCAAACGAATATCAGTTATCCTCTATGTTCCAGGCACTGTGATAAATTCATGGAAACACAGCATCAACAAAACAAAGTCCCTGCCCTCATGGAGTTTATATTCTAGTGAGGGGACAAACAATACACCTGTGAACAAGTAGATTGATGATTATCCAGTAAAGGTGAGTAGTATTGAGATAAATGAAGCAGGCCAAGAGATGACCTGTGTTAGAATGAGAAGTCTCCAGATAAGGACAGGACTGTTGCCAGGAGGTCTGAGTGAAGAGCTGGTAGTTGAGCAGAGACCTGGATGATGTGAGACTATCTGAGGGTAAATCTTTTAGCCACAGAAACAGCAGTGCAATAGTCCTGGGGGTGGGGAGGAAGTGTGCTTAGTATGTTTGAGGAAGGGCACAGAACCAGTGGGTTGGGGAAGCATGAGGATGTGAGATGAGGTCCACTCAGGGCAGGTGAGCCTAGGATGTCTTGCACCACAGGATCACAGATTTGGAGTTCCCTGGAGAGCTATGGGTAGGGGCTACCCTAACTTGACTATGCATTCTGTTAACCCCAGTGGTTTGTCTAGAGCCTGGCTGAAGGGATGACTAAATTGTAGTAGACCTCAGTTAATTCTGTAATTTTTTTCTCCTTTAGCCAATATAACTTTCCCAAGTGTTATAAAAATATCTGTGGCTTGTTTTAAAGATACAACACCAGGCAGTACAGCTGACATCCAAAATGACAAGGCTGAGAGGTGACAACCCTCAGCCAACCCTGACCCCTCCTGGTGTCTCTGCCTCTGTGTCTGTCTCTTCATAATGTGGAAAGTTTCATCCATGTTGGGAGCAAGCCCCCCAAAATCCGGCCATAAACTGGCCCCAAAACTGGCCATAAATAAAATCTCTGCAACACTGTAACATGTCCATAATGGCCCTAACGCCCAAGCTGGAAGGTTGTGGGTTTACAGGAATGAGGGCAAGGAACACCTGGCCTGCCCAGGGCGGAAAACCGCTTAAAGGCAGTCTTAAGCCACAAACAAAAGCCTGAGCGATCTGTGTCTTAAGGGCGTGTTCCTGCTGCAATTAATTTGGCCCATCCCTTCGTTTCCCTTAAGGGATACTTTTAGTTAATTTAATATCTATAGAAACAATGCTAATGACTAGTTTGCTGTTAATAAATATGTGGGTAAATCTCTGTTTGGGGCTCTCAGCTCTGAAGGCTGTGAGACCCCTGATTTCCCACTTCACATCTCTATATTTCTGTGTGTGTGTCTTTAATTCCTCTAGCGCCACTGGGTTAGGGTCTCCCTGACAGAGCTGGTCTCGGCACATTCAGATCTCAGGCTCCAGGCAAACTCTCAAACACCATGCAGCATGCTGTGTGAATTTGAAGCCAGGAGGCAAGGATGCCATTCTACCTATCAAAGCCATAAGCTTATTTTTCACAAAATGTGTCCAGTTAGGTCTATGCTCTTAAGCCATTTTTTCAAATTATAAATGACAGCAAAAAATAAAAAGACTTACACTAAGAAAAACAGATGCCGATAGCCCATGTACTAACTAGAATTATCTCCTTGCTAAAATATATATTTTTTAGGTACACACAGACATACAGAGGAAAATAACAAACACTGGGGACTCCAAAAGCTGGGAGAATAGGGAGGTGAGGGCTAAAATATCACCTAATGGCTACAATATTCAGTATTTGAGCAACAGGCATACCAGAAACCCAAACCTCACCATTGTACAATATATCCATATAATAAACCTGCATATATCTTGAATATATATATATAATGCTTTATGATATTGTCATTCATGAATCAAAATGTATAACTACCTATAAGAGATACTTTTCTTTTGTAAATTTTAGCATAATACAAATACGGCAAAGTAAGGAACTACAAAAGAGCAGAAAACAGTTGTCCTCTGGCTTCCCACTAAATATTTATTTTAGCTTCCAGATCATGCAAATATTTGAATAGAAGGAAACTGCATTGTAGAAATTTATTTTAGTTACAATGAGATTAATGGCATCTATTAGATATATTTTGTGATTGAGTGTTCTGAAAGGAAAACTGCTTAAAAATATATTTTTAAAATTTCATAACTCTACAATTCTGAATTCTTTATTGATTAAATAAATAGCACATCAAGAAGGCTGATTATACTTGAATATAAACAGATTGGTCACAGAAATCTAAACCTATGCTTAATTAAATTTAACCAATAAACCCAGCTCCCCACCAGGGTGAGAGTGTTGGCACACAGCAGATGATCCTCGTTGTTTCAGTAACATCACGGGGATTTACCCAAACCACTGTGATGCCAATCCAACCAAAGCTCCTGATGGAAAAGCTTCAATCTCAGGAATTCAGTTTGGCGACTTGCCCTGTGAAGAAGATGAAGCTATATAGAAATGTAGCGTAAAGTGATTGCTTTCCTAAAGATTGCTTAATTACCATATTTTTTTTAATTTTGGAAAAGAAATCTTTAATAAATAAAATACAACAAATCCACCAGACATCAAAAATGGAGAAATGAGATTTAATTTCATTGTAAGAGATTTGGTTTAAGCAGAAGAGAGACCTTTGTAACAGAAAAACTATCTAGACATAACCATCCTAAGAGATATTTACCTCTTCTGTAATAATATGGCAGAAAGCCAGTTTTGAAATGACTGAGGTGTTTTAGAGGTTAAAGATGAATGTTTTTGAGAAATTAAGCAGTCTTCTATTCAAATAATTGTGGGTGTTAAACATTTTTAGAACTCATCTTTATCCTTCATTATTAATAAATTGATATTATGTAAGAGTTCATTTTCATTCTTCATCAGTGCTGCAACTTTTTATCCATTAAACAATTAACTCCCCATTCCTCCTTCTCCCCAGCCCTTGCTAACTGACATTGTTTTCTGTCCCTCTAAATTTGACTACTCTAGTTACTTCATAAAAGTGGAATCACACAGTCTTTGTCCTTTTGTGTCTTACTTATTAGTGTAATGTCTTCACGGTTCATCTATGTTGTAGCATGTGTCAGACTTTCATTCCTTCTTAAGGCTGAACAGTTTTTTATTGTATGTATATAACACATTTTCTGTTCATCCATTGGTGGACATTTGGGTTGTTCCCACCTTTTGGCTACTGTGAATAATACTGTTATGAACATGGGTATATAAAGATGTGTTTGAGACCCTGCTGCTTTCAGTTCTTTTGGGTGTTTACTCAGAAGTATAATTTATGGATCCTTTAGTAATTCTGTCAGAGGTGTGTGAACCAGAGCAACTCCATCTTAAATACGAGCTGGGTAAAATGAGGCTGAAACCTACTGGGCTGCATTCCCAGACAGTTAAGGCATTCTAAGTCACAGGATGAGATAGGAGGTCAGCACAAAATACAGGTCATAAAGACCTTGCTGATAAAACAGTTGCAGTAAAGGAGCCAGCCAAGACCCACCAAAACCAAGATGGCCACAAGAGTGACCTCTGGTCGTCCTCACTAGTAGACTCCCATCAGCACCATGGTACTTTACAGGTGCCATGGCAATGTCAGGAAGTTACCCTATATGGTCTAAAAAGGGGAGGCATGAATAATCCACCACTTGTTTAGCATATCATCAAGAAATAAACCATAAAAATGGGCAACCAGCAGCCCTCAGGACTGCTCTGTCTATGG
The DNA here is from genome assembly GCF_000001405.40 of Homo sapiens. Taxonomy (NCBI): domain Eukaryota; kingdom Metazoa; phylum Chordata; class Mammalia; order Primates; family Hominidae; genus Homo; species Homo sapiens. Next base: position 51,936,563 of record NC_000008.11, read on the forward strand.
AGTAGCCATTCTTTTATTCCTCTACTTTCTTAATAAACTTGTTTTCACTTTGCACTGCAGACTCGCCATAAATTCTTTCTTGCACGAGACCAAAAACCCTTTCTTGCGGTCTGGATTGGGACCCCTTCCTGTAACAATTCTATGTTTAATTTTGGGGGGAACTGCCATACTGTTTTTTTCTGAGCTGTACCATTTTACATTCTTACCAGCAACGAACAAGGGTTCCTATTTATCCACATCCTTGCCAATGAAGTGGTGTAACTGTCTGGGGTAAATACCCAAGATTCATCTTCTCACACCAGAGAAATCAAGGATGCAGACACATGAAGTGAGTTTAAGAGCAGAGGTTTAATAGGTGAAAGAGAAAAGAGAACATCTCTCTCTCCTGCAGAGAGGGGTTCCCAAGTGGGTCTTCCGGTTTCATGGTAAAATGCAGGGGTTTTTATAGACAATCTTGAGAAGGTCGTGTCTGATTTACATAGGGCCCAAGGGATTGGTTGGACCTGTGTGTCATTTGCATAGTGCACAAAGAAGCTGGCCATCCCACTCTAATCTTTTTAAAATTTATTTTAATTAATTAATTAATTTAATTTAATTTTTTTTTTTTTGAGACGGAGTTTCATTCTTGTTGCCTGGGCTGGAGTGCAACTGGCTGATCTCTACTCACTGCAACCTCTGTCTTCCGGGTTCAAGCAACTCTCCTGCTTCAGCCTCCTAAGTAGCTGGGATTACAGGCATATGCCACCACACCTGGCTAATTTTGTATTTTTAGTAGAGATGGGGTGTCACCATGTTGGCCAGGCTGGTCTCGAACTCCTGACCTCAAGTGATCCGCCCGCCTCGATCTCCCAAAGGGCTGGGATTACAGGCGTGAGCCACCAGGGCCCAGCCCCACCCTAATCTTTTATTATGCAAATGGAGTATCTATCTGGCCTGCACCATATTGCCTGTCTTTTTAGTGCACATGTGGCCACAAAGAAAAGGGAAGTGGGAACTTCCACGCTGAACATGTCTGGCACCCAGGTAGCCCTTTTCTATTGGCGCAGCTGCCAGCATTTACCTATGCAAGCTTCCAGCTTGCTTATTTATGTCTGCAGCTTGATTTTTCAGGCTGCTGTTTGTTAGAAACGATGTGATTTGGGGGCTGCTTTTTGTTAAAAGGGAAGCCTTACCAGGGGTTCTCTTACCCTTACTAACTACCTGAATATTTCCTTTCTAGCTCCGGTATCACCAACACTAGTTATTTTTATTGAGTCTTTTGATAAAAGATTTTTTTTAGTGAGTGTAAAGTAATATCTCAATGTGGTTTTGATTTGTATTTCCCTAGTGATTAGTGATGGTGAGCATTTTCTCGTATGGTCATTGGTTTTTTGAATATCTTCTTTGGAAAAATATCTATTGAAATTCTTTGCCCATTTTTGAATTGGATTTTTTGTTTTTTGTTGTTGAGTTGTTAGGGTATTAAAATATATATAATTTTCAACATTAATCCTTTATCAGATATATAATTTGCAAATATTTTCTCCCATTCTATAAGTGGCTGTCTTAGCTAGGACAGCCATAACAAAATGTCGTAGACCACGTGGCTTAAGCAACAGAAATTCCTTTTCTTACACTTCTGGAGTCTGGAAAATCTGGTGGATTTGGTGCCTGGTGAGGACTTTTTTTGCAGTCTTGTAGGCGGCTCCCATCTTGTCTTGGGGCATTAAAAAAAGCCAATTATCATCTTAAAGAGAAGGTTGAAACCTACCTCTGTAAAGCAGGCATTCTCCAAATAGAGAGGAGATGCAATGATTTAGTTCATCATAGGAAGTGTGGCACCACCAAAGGTTAACCTGACACCTGTCTGAAGATTTGTTTTCAAGTCCCTGCTCAGCATGGTTCCCTTTGTGACCTCCAGAAAGTCACTCAGATTCTTTGGACCTTATTTTTTTCATCTCTAACCTCTCATTTCATTCTATTTAGACAGATTATAGGACTAGGACTCATGTTTTTCTTCTTAGCATTGAAAAGGCTATTCCAAGAAACCCACTTTACCATGAGAATCTAATCTGCAGAGGATACAAGGACTTGAAGTAGTTCAGATTATACTTTTAGAACATATTCAATCCAGAGTCATTACTCAGTTTACCTTCTGTATTTCTTTCTTTCCCCATACTCATTTTTTTAATTTAAAATATTATGTGGTGCCATAAATATATTTTGTAACTAACTTTTTTACATTCTTTCATGTAAGGTCACTTAGTGTTCTAACTTTATTAGCAAATTAATTTTACTCAGTATTATTGTACAAGTTATTAAAATTTTATTGCTAATAATTTTCAGTTTTAATTAATAAGCATTTAATATTCAACATTATGATGCCCATATTTGAAGTGTAATTTCCCCTTGCTTAGATTACTTTTCAATGTCCGCCAATACTGTCTTACAACACTAAACATTTCATATTATGGTAAATAAATGATGGTAAATTTAGGATAAGACATGTTTGGATTCAAGTTTGTAGACGTCGGTGCACTTTGAATGTATTGACTCATCTTACAGCTGGTCACTGTTAGTGGATTACTACGGTTTGTTATTCCTGTTTTGCTGATGGGTAGCTCATTCAGAACACAGGGTTTGCACACCATTAGTAAACAATAGAACTCCAGCTTCCTGTGTTGCTAGTTTTCTCTCTTTAAGATTCTTGACAACTATGCAATCAGCTTCTCTTGCTACATAGAGTTAAATGGGTGTTGGAAAGCTGTCACTATTTATTCTTAAAGGATTTCTTTAGATTGTGAGAAGGGCTTCTGCCCAGGAAGCTAGTCTGGTCAAAGTGTTGCATACATGAGAGGTCCGAGCACATTCACAGGTCCCTGTAGCTGTTAGCACCTGTCTGTGAGCAACCCTTGATCTTCAATCTTTTCTTCTGGTAGATGCTTTAATGGTGAGAAAAACCATATTCTGCGTGACTCCTGATGCCATATGGCTACTCTGGCCACTGAGAGCTGCCAAAACAACTAAAATAACAGCCTAACCTTTCATTTTCATTTTCTCCTTGAGCGGGAATGTGAAACATTGCAGCTTTTATCTGGGTTGTGTGTTCAAGTTTATTTGCTTGCTTGTTTATTTATTTAACGTGCAATTATTATGGTATACATCAGTCAAATGTAAAACTTTCAGATATTTCCATGGGATTACAATACTTTTGTATATTATATGAGTAGTTTAAAATTTTATTCCTCTGTTTTCCACTTTTCCATTTCAATCACCAGATTTAAAATGTCACATCTCTTTGAAAGAACTTAAAGGCAAGATATTTCCTAGTATCAGCAGGACTGAAACAGCCTTTGCAAAATTATGACAGTGAGAAAAAATTGACATCAGAACATTATCACAGTAAAGAATCTGCTTGCCTCTAACCTCCAGCCTACCCATATTCATTCCTGGGCACAGGCCAAACTAACTTTGGAAGGAATTTAGTTTATAGTTTAACTTTTTATTTTTTTTTTTCTGAGAGAGTCTCACTCTATCGCCCAGGCAGGAGTGCAGTGGTGTGATATTGCCTCTCTGCAGCCTCCGGCTCCCGGGTTGAAGCGATTCTCCCACCTCAGCCTCCAAAGTAGCTGGGATTACAGGTGTGTACCACCACGCTCGGCTAATTTTTGTATTTTTTGTAGAGATGGGGTTTCACTATGTTGGCCAGGCTGGTCTCAAACTCCTGACCTCAAATGATTCATCCTCCTCTGCCTCTCTAAATGCTGAGCCACCACACTCACCTTATAGTTTTACTTTGAAACAAAGATACTAATAGCCCTTTCCAGGACAAACAAAACAACAACAACAACAACAAAACAAACCCTCCTTGAGCCAAAGACCCCAAGATTCCCAACCTCCCCAATTGCTCCTATGGATAACATCACTACTGTAAAATCTCAGATTGGTGTTTGAGGTATTTTTTCCAACCCTGCATTCTGATAGCTCAACTGGCACCACCCAGACTAGTAAAGTGGCTCAACTGGTTGTGTGGCCCCCACCCACAAACTGACTCAGTGTAAGAAGATGGTTTCGAATCCCTGTGATTTCGTTCCCAACCCGATCAATCAGCATTCCTCGTTTCTCAGTCTCCTGCCTGCCAAATTATCCTTTAAAAACCCTAGTTCTTTATAACTTAAAAAACAGACTGATTTGAGTAAAGTCCAGTCTTTCACCTATCCAACTCTCTGTGCATTAAACTCTCTATTGCAATTCTCATCTTGATAAACTGACTGCATCTGGGCAGCAGGCAAGAGGAACCCATTGGGTGCTTACAGGACCTTTGTGATTTTGTGCTGCTTGTCTCAAGTTGTAGGTTCAGGATATGATGGTGGAGACAAATGACCAAGTTCTGCTTTTGGTTAGGCCCAGAGGGCATCACCTGTGCATTTCCATGCAGACTCCACATTGTGAGATGCAATGCCACAGTCCCACCTGTCTGACCACTTCCTATAGTAAGAGATATCCTGCAGATGACTCCAGCCAAAGACGTTGATGGCAAAACCAAATCAAAACAGATAACAGAAACAGGAGGAGGAGCCAATATTAGAAAAAAACAAGTCACTGATGTCAGTAAAACCACCGTGATAAATACTGTGGAGAAAGAGTGGTCATGAGTTGGACTCACTCAGATCAATAAAGCATTTTATACCTGGTGCTGTTCCTAGTTGCTTGCGTGCAGCAGCATGCCAGAAGTAGAATGAAATCTGTGGAAATCTTATAACTACTAGCTTCTGAGTATATGTCCTTTCTAATTTGTAGAGGAAGATTGATCCTAAGATAATTACCTGAAATTAAAGAGGATATCGACATCTATATTTCCACCCTTGACGTCTTCCCTAAGCTCCAGATTCATATATCCAGCTGTCTCTTGGAAAAAAACCAAACTCATTATGTTTCCCCAAACTCATTCGTCTTTATATATATATTTGTATATATTTAATGTGTATATATGTGTGTATAAATACACTCACATATGTGTGTGTGTGTATATATATATATATATTTTTTTTTTTTCTTTTAGAGACAGAGTCTCACTCTGTCATCCAGGCTAGAGTGCAATGCTGCTATCGTATCTTATTGCAGGCTTGAACTCCTGGGTTCAAGGGATCCTCCCACCTCAGCCTCTCAAGTAGGTAGGAATACAGGAGTACAGGAGTGCACCACCATGCCTGGCTATATATATTTTTTCAATCTCACCTCATTTATAGTTACGAACTCATTGTACATGTAGTGCTAGTACAAATTAGAAATTAAATCAATATTTTTTAAACTAAACTGACCCTGATGATGTAAGTTCACGTCAGTTAGGATCCTTTCTTCTACTTTTAACATATTCTAAGCTCAAGAAATCAGAAGACATATTTTTCCTTAGGAATGTTCTTAAGGGACACTTTTTCCCTTTCTATAACCCTCAGACAAACTCCAACATTGTCTATTGGGAATAAATAACACTCAGTGAAGAAAACTGGAAGAAGAGGAGAGAGGAAAGGCAAGGCCATCCATATAATGAAGAGAATGTTGTCTAGAAATGAAAATGACTAAGAGAAGGAATCATGTAAGTCAACCAGCAACAAAAGCCATTCTACGATTGCAGAACTCAGGTTAGGGCCTACAAATGGTGATAAGTTGACCTCTAAGTTCCCCAAGGCAGAGGGAAGTGGTGGGTTGAAGCGTTGCAGGGTAGGATACTCGGAGGATCTCCTCAGAGTGTGGCATCCTGAGCCATTGCTGCGAGTCGCTCAGATGCGCTGTGCATGCCTGACAGGGCATGATGCTTGGCCATATATGGGCCACAGGAAAAAACTTCTCCTTCACCCTCTGAAGATTCACTAAAAAATGAACTCGCAAAAGGCAGATATGTTGGAGAAAAGGCATATAGATCTATTAACATGCACACAAGGAGAACCACAGAGTACTCACCCACCTCCTAATGGGGTTCAGAAGCTTGTCTGCCATCCTGGCAAAACAGGGTGTGGGAGGGAGAGAAGAGGAATTCTGTTAAGGGGATTACTAGGAAGAATAAATAGATCAGAGAATAGAGATTAATTTATATGTTGTCTTGTGAGTGGGTCTGTTCAGGCATGGTTACATTCTTGGTCTTATAGGGAGGGGAATTTAAAACAACTGTTCTCCTTAATGGGTTTGGCTATTAGGCAGATAAAGAAATGTTAACTTCCTTCTGTGCTTTGGGAGAAATGGTAGGAGGTGGGCCGGGGAGAAAGACCTTGAGGCTTCTTCAGTTCAGCATGTCAATGTGCCATATTGTTGGGGTATTAACTTCTGAGCCCCAACAACCAGCGCCTCACCTCGTAGGACGCCTTGCCTGGGCACTTCCTTCTCTGCTTTCATGGCCCCTACTGCTCCTGAAATTGTATTGTCCCTGGTCCCCTCTCCACTCACTGCGAATCTTTGAGGTCCTAGGTAAAACAAGGCAGCACACAGGACTGCTTAGATCTGCCCACCAGGTCTCATGACCTCCCAGCCACACGGGCTGATTGTTTCTGCTCCTTGAAAACTCCGGGCATGTTTCTGCCGGCAGACCTCTGCACCTGGGGCTTCCTCCTGTCATTCAGGATCTGCGCAAATCTCACCTCACAGAGTGCTTCCCCAGTCACCCAATGCGGAGTAACATCCATGTCATATCCCTCTTTAAGACACTCTTCATAGCACTTATTGTTGATGTTGAGAAAAGAAAAATAGCTTAGCGCAGTCTGCACTATGTGAAGTATGCAGGTGCAGAGAGACAGGAGCAGGGCCTGCAGTCATTCCACCCTGCTCCCACCGTGGTTTAAAGCCATTTAGTTCCTGACTAGCCGCCTCACCCAGTATCTTCATGTTGCAGGAGTTTGTGATACAAAGAACAGTATGTAGTCCATCAATAGCTTATGTTATTTTAATGTAATTTTTTGCTAAACAACTGAGGAACTGCCTCTTTCTTTTACTTTAAAAACCTATTTGTAACTGTTGCTAACTGGATGTATGTTGAGGGCAACTCCAACCTATGGAATTGCAACTGAAACCACCTTTGCAAAGATTACGATTACTACAGTGACAGAAATCTAACAGGGCTGACTCCATCTTGCTTCTGACCACCTAGCTGTCCCGGTTAATTCCTAGGTAGAGGCCAAGCTAACTTTGGGAGGGATTTTGTTTCTAGTTCAACCTTAAAACAAAGATGATAATAGCTCTTCACAAAACTAAACTGCATTTGTAAAACTAATGAAAGTCCACAAGAATAAGATTATGAGAGGGGCCTGAACTCTGCTAAGATGTAGGTGTCGTTTCTATAATCTCTTACTGCTCCAGAGTCATGTGGCAGAAGGCACAGGATTCATGACTTCCCCAATTGCTCTTATAAATAACATCATGATTGTGGAAGCTAAGATTGATTTTTTGAAATGTTTTTCAAACTGACTGTATCCGGACGATGACTCATGACCCATCAGGTCCTGGGGCCCACCCAGAGGACCATTTTCCACATCTCTATGATTTCCTCCCCAACCAATCAGCACCACCCATTCCCTAGGTCCCTGCCCACCAAATTGTCCATAAAAACCCTAGCCTCTGAGTCCTTGGAGTGTCTGATTTGAGTAATAGCTCTGTCTCCCATGTGGCAGTCTCATGTCAATTACTCTTTCTTTCCTGCAATAGCATGGTCTCAGTGAATTGGTTTTGTCTATGCAGCAAGCAGGAAGAATTCATCTGGTAATTACACAACCCTCAAGCTTGGCCCAGATAAACTCTCTTATATTAGTTTTGCCTCAGGTTCTTCCTTTTAGCTCAATAATATTATTATTTTTTTATTTGCTTACTTGTCAGTTGACTGTTGTCCCCACACAAGAAAATAAACTGCACAAAAGGAGGCAGCTGAACTCTCATTTATTGGTGTAGATTCAGGATCTAGAGTGGTGCATGCAATTCTTGGAGCTCAACCAATGGTTGTTAAGTTAGTGGATAAATAAAATGCTGACTTGATGTAGCATCAGCATCATGGGGTAAAACATTGTATCTCAATCTTACTTCAAAGGAGATTTTGGTCAAGGCTCCGCTATAAACAAAAATCTTCCTTCTCTTAACATGTAAAGTCTATTTACTAACTTGTAAAGACCCCTTTCTAACTTGGAGAGGGTGAAGGCCTGACAAGATAAGACAGAAGGCAGGTTATCTGAGGGAACTCTTGAGTAGAAAAGGAAATTGACAGCCCAAAGCCTATGACAGTGTCTAATCCTGGAGATTAAAGTGGGGGAAATGCCACTGAAAGCAGGTCTGGGTTTCAGAGCTCCCTCCCTCAATTGTGATGCATACTATAAGATCACAGTTCTGAGGTTCTGATTAGCATGTCTTTTTTTTTTTTTTGAGAGAGAATCTCGCTTTGTCGCCCAGGCTGGAGTGCAGTGGTGCAATCTTGGCTCACTGCAACCTCCGCCTCTCAGGTTCAAGTGATTCTCCTGCCTCAGCCTCCCAAGTAGCTGGGACTACAGACGTGCACCACCACGCCCAGCTAATTTTTGTATCTTTAGTAGAGACAGGTTTTGCCATGTTGGTCAGGCTGGTCCCGAACTCCTGACCTCAAGTGATCCACCCACCTCAGGCTCCCAAAGTGCTAGGATTACAGGTATGAGCCACTGCACCTGGCCAAGCATGTCCCTTTAAATCTCACCTGGTATCACAGGGAGAGAGGGAATGAGAAGGGGTTTTAAAAGGACATGCTTTTAAATAGACATGCTTTTGAAACCCTCCTCATTCCCTTTCTTCCTATAATACCAAGTGAGAAAAGATAAGAACTTGTGGCCGGGTGCAGTGGCTCACGCCTGTAATCCCAGCACTTTGGGAGGCTGAGGTGGGTAGATCATGAGGTCAGGAGATGGAGACCATCCTGGCTAACACGGTGAAACCCCGTCTCCACTGAAAAATACACAAAATTAGCCGGGCATGGTGGCGGGCACATGTAGTCCCAGCTACTCGGGAGGCTGAGGCAGGAGAATCGCTTGAACCTGGGAGGCGGAGTTTGCAGTGAGCCGAGATTGTGCCACTGCACTCCAGCATGGGCAACAGAGTGAGACTCCATCTCAAAAAAAAAAAAAAAAAAAAAAGATAAGAATTTTTGTCTGAAGACTATGAGTCCTTTTAAACAATCAGGCCCAGAGTGTAAATCTGAGGACTATGTGTCCTTTTAAACCATCAGGCCCAGAGATTTAAAACTTCTTCTCATTCCCCCTCTCCCTATGATACTAGGTGAGAAAAGATAAGATAAGAACTTTTATCTGAGGACTATGAGTCCTTTTAAACAATCAGGCCCAGAGAGACATAATGAGACAGGAATCATGTCCTACTTCCCCACTGAGCTACATATTCATGTCTTCAAATTGCTTGCGGGTGGACACAGTGGCTCGTGCCTGTAATCCCAACACTTTGGGAGGCCAGGACAGGAGGATCACTTGAGACCAGGAGTTCAAGACCAGCCTGGGCAACAAAGTGAGAACCCTGTCTCTACGAAAAATAAAAATAAATAAATAAATAAATAAATAAAAACCTGCTCGCTCTTGCCACAAGTAGCTATCAATTAACCTAATAATGCCTCACTGGACACTATAACCCATACCCAGTAGCTTAACAAGGTATAGCCAATCACTATTTAATGTCATTTCTGTAAACCAATGTGAATTCCTGACAAATACTTCGTATGAGTCCACTCCCTATCCCCCTTTTCTGCCTTTAAAAATCTACTTGTAACTGCTGCTACTCAGAGTGTATATTCGGGGCAACTTGAATAATGCTCTTGGGTTGCAGTTCTCAAGCTTGGCCCAAATAAACTATTTCTGTTAATTTTGCCTCCGTTTCTCTTTTTTTTAGGTCAACACAGATTCTCGGAATTAAACACTTCCATGTCCCAGAGGATCAAAGTCACTTGCAAAAATACCTCAAAATGTGTTTGTCAAGAAATTACACTTTCTCTTGATTTTGTGGACCACTTTCTAATTTCCAACCCAGACAAAAGCCTCCTAGTGAAGCTGGTCTTTCCTAGCACATCCCCCTACCCCCCCAGCCACTGTCCCATCCCTGGATGGCCTGTCCACAGAGAGCACTGTCTGTGTGGCCACTGGGGGAGGCAGCTGCATCCCAGAGATGATGGTGTCCAGGGCATGACGAGGAAGCTCTTTGTGTGGCCTGGAGACGTCCCGGGAGCTGGCTGGCGCCCACCTTCTCTCACTTCCTTACCACCTTCTTTCTTGTGTTGCTGCTTTCTCCTTCCCAGCTCTAAACTCCCATGGTGCTGGAGCAGCCAGAGAAGAAGTGTTACTAGACCTGCCACTGCTACCTACAGTGAGCCCCATTCTGCACACAGAGGCTGCGGACTCCTTTTTCCCAATCATAGACCAGAATGCTTGTGAAAGAAGATGTGGCTGTTCTGCAGGTTGGAGCTCTAGGATCGGAAGAACTCATCTGTATCACATATGATCCAGCTGAAAGTCCCTACAAACTGGGCCCTCTGTGTCTTTAGAAGCAGCTTCCAAGGGCAGGAAGACTTCCAGAGTGCAGGACTGAGCGTGCTGCTAATCTTGTTCTGGTCGAGAGACTGATGAGAGAGACAAGAATTATGGCGCGAGAAAAGCAGCAGCAGCAGCAGCAAGTCTGCAGAGGGGAATGCCAAACTCGCTACTGGGTGTTTTTTTTTGTTTTGTTTTGTTTTGTTTTGTTTTGTTTTGTTTTGTTTGATACAGAGTTTCACTCTGTCACCCAGGCTGGAGTAGAGTGGTGCCATCTCAGCTCATTGCAACCTCTGCCCCCTGGGTTCAAGCAATTCTCCTGCCTCAGCCTTCCGAGTAGCTGGGATTATAGGCATGTGCCACCATGCCTGGCTAATTTTTGTATTTTTAGTAGAGACAGGGTTTTGCCATGTTGGCCAGGCTGGTCTCAAACTACTGACCTCAAGTGATCCGCCCGCCTGGCCCCCCAAAGTACTGGGATTACAGGTGTGAGCCACCATGCCTGGCCTGCTGTGATTTTTCATTGAACCTAATTAACTCATTTTTAGCCCCTATTTTTGGTACAATAATAGAACTTAGGTTGTAATCAACTGGTGGGTTCTTTCCGCACACTGCACAGATAAGATCAGTCCACAGAGACCACAGCGTTGCAGTAAAGAAAGAGTTTGATGTGAGGCCAGCCACGTGGGAAAACTGGAGTTATCACTCAAATCAGTCTCCCCAAAGGCTTGGAGGTCAGGATTTTTGTGGACAATTTGGTGGGCAGGGAGCTAGGGAATGGGTGTTGCTGATGGGTAGGGGGTGAAATCATAGGGGTGTGGAAAACAGTCCTGATGTGCTGAGTTTTCCTCTGGGTGGGGCCACAGGACCAGCTGAATCATGAATCCAGGTGGGGCCAGTGTGAAGAACGTATCAAAAAATCAATCTTAGGTTCTACAATAGTGATGTTATCTATAGGAGCAATTGGAGAAGTCACAAAGCTTGTGACCCCTGGCCACATGACTCCTGGGCAGTAAGAGATTACTATGTCTACATTTTAGCAGAGTTCATGCCTTTCCCACAACTCTAATCTTGTAGCCCTTCATTAATCTTACAAAGGCGGTTTTCAGTCCCTGAGCAAGGAGGGGTTTATTTTTGGGAGGGACTATTATCATCCTTTATTTCAGGTTAAACTATAAACTAGATTCCTGCCAAAGTTGGCTTGGTCTACGTCCAGGAATGACAAGGACAGCTGGGAGGGCAGAAGCAAGATGGAGTCAATTATGTCCAATTTATCTTACTGTCATAATTTTTCAAAGGCAGTTTCAAGGTTACTATTCTCATGATTCAACACATCCTCAAGGAGTGAGATTCAGTCTGTGTAAGTGTATCATGACTTTCTATAACACGCCTTGTCATGCACTCTTCTACCCTGCTAGAATTGGAGTCTGGCCTCAGCTGGTTCCTACCAGCAGTACTGCCATCACCTCATCCTCATCTGCCCCATCTGTTGTTTTGGAACCACTTGTGTCCTCTGAAATGCATATGTTGAAGTCCTAACCACCTGTGCCTCAGAATGGGACTATGTTTGGAGAAAGGGTTTTAAAGAGGTACTTAAAGTTAAATGAGATCATTACTGTGAACCCTGATCCAAATTGACTTATGCCCTTATAAGAAAAGGAAATTTGGCCACTTACACTCACAGAGGAAGAAATCATTTGAAGACACAGAGAGAAGAGGGCCGAGGAGAGAGGTCTCAGAGAAACCAACCCAATGACATTTCGTCTTGGATTTCCAGCCCCCAGAATTACTGGAAAATACATTTTTCTTGTTTAGGCCACCCAATCTGTACTACTTTGTTATGGCAACCCTAGCAAACTAATGCAGTCACCAACCCAGGGTGAAAATGGGACATTCCCAACTCTAGCTCTTAGGCCAAGCTTATTTGTAATAGATTCTTGTTTTCAAAGGATATAGATATTGAGATTCTCAATGTATTTGTTAAAATACATTGTTTCTTGTTAAAAGCATAAGACTTTGAAATGTCTCTGTGTTGCAGATATGTAGATGTTCTGAGCCATAATTTTTGGAAAATTCTTTCAAAGAAAAGGAAATCTACTGGACAAATAGCATGATTAATGGGGATCTAGTGACAAAATAATCTGCCCTAATTGGATTTGTGATGTTTTTGCAACTTGAAATTAGCTTCAAAATCCAACAATAATACGAAAGAATGTTCAGTATCACGAATCAAATTAAAACCATAATTAAATCACCTCCTTTCATTAGGGTAGCTACTATAAAAAAAAAGTAAAACAAAACAGAAAATAGCAACTGTCGGCAAAGATGTGGAGAAATTGGAACCCTTGTGAAACCATCCCACAGTGTTGACAAGAATTGCATGCTGGGTTCTGGACAGAAATAGTTCCAATTAAGTACTAATCAGTCTGCACTTGGGCCCACTTACTCGTTGTTAAAAGTCATGTAGCCCTGGATGCTGACCATGTACATCTGCATTGTTCCTATAGATAAGATCTCTGACATTAGAATCATAAGGCTTTTGTTTAAGGATCACTTATGATGTTTTTCACACCCCAAATTCCAGCAGCCAGTTTGAAGACTCCCACAGAGTAATGGGATCAATATGAGAATACAGCTTCTTCATCTCCCTATCTCATGACTTCACCCTCTACTCTTCCAACCAATCAGTGATCTCCACATTGCAGCCCATTCCAACACTCTTAAAAACCCCTACCCCCAAATGCCTCAGGGAGACAGATTTGAGGTTTCTTCTCATCTCATTTAGTGACCCTATGATTAAACCCCTTTCCTTGCTACAACCTGGTGTCTCAGCTTATTATTTGCTGTGTGCATGGGGCAATGAACCTATTTCAGTTACACTTGTGCACTGTTGGCAAGAAGGTAAAATGGTACAGCCACTATGGAAAATGGTATGAAAGTTTCTCCAAAAATTAAAAATAGAATTCTCATGTAACCCAGCAGTCCCACTTCTGGGCATATATATCCAAAGGAAGTCAAATTAGTATCTCAAAGAGACCTTTGTACACCCGTGTTCATAATAGCATTATTCACAGTAGCCAGAAGTTGGGAACAATCCAATGTCCATTGACAGATGCACAGATAAACAAAATACGGTATATACATAACAATGGAAAATTATTCAGCCTTGAAAAAAACTGAAAGTCTGACATGTACTATAACATGAGTGAACCTTGAGGACAGTATGATAAGTGAAATGAGTCAGAAGCAAAAAGACAAATATTGTATGATTCCATTTACATAAGGTACCCAGAGTAGTCAAATTCATAGAGATACAAGGTGTCTGCTGGAATGGCGGTTGCCAGGGGATGGGGGAAGGGAAAATGGGAAGCTGTTGAAATGAGTCCAGAGTTTCAGTTTGGAAATGATGACAGAGCTCTGGAGATTGGTTGCACCACAATATGAACATAGTTAACACTATGGCATTGTACATTTAGAAATGATTAAGATGGAAAATTTTACGTTAGATGTATTTTACCACAACTAAAAATTTAAAAGAAAGAAAAAAACAGCTATGAAGATTTCTAAGTCTTGGGCCTTATTTTGCCATGAGGAAAAATAAATACATCCCATAAAAAAAATCCTAAATGGATCTGGTAATGTTATTCTGTATGTAAAGTCATTTTCTTGAGCAACATAGGAAATAGTCTTTAATCTTTTGGAATATCATAGGAAAAAAAGCGGCTAAAAGTCACATTGTTCTGCCTCAATTCACCAGAGTTTTTATGGAACTCAATTATTGGTTAACAGTGGAAGTTCTTGCTGGATAATTTTTCACTTTTCTGATCATCTGGGATAGAGTTTTAAGACTTTCCTAGTTCCTCCAGGTACAGAGCTATAGGATTCACTTGGCTATGTTGCTCTCCCATTTCTACATAGTTTTAAAAATTATGGAATCTTTCTTTTCATGGTGTTTGGTTCTATAATAATCAGCGGCTGATAAAAAAAATCAGTGTTCTACCTCTTGATTCTGATGGCCGTTTTCATACTCCTTGTAGGAACTACAATACTGGTTTCTGTCTGAACTTGCAGCCGCAGAGCATGAGAGAAATAACCATTGAACTCTAAATAACTGCTTTCCAAATTTTGTGCTGGCTGTCTAATTCAAACTATTATCTATCTATCTATCATCTATCATCTATCTATCTATCTATCTATCTATCTATCTATCTTTTATCTCATAGCACTGTGGAATTTAATTTAATTAATTTAATTTAATTAATAGTTAACTATTGCAGCCTATAGAATGTTAAAATAATTCTGACATTATTAATGTTCCTAAACCTACCAGTAAGCCTCACAGAGAAAATAAGTTTGTTGGGCATGATTCTTAAACTTTAAGGGTATTATTTAATAAATTAATGGTTCACTGAACCAGACCATCTGTATAGCTTTATAAACATTTACTTGGTTTTACAAACAAAAACCTGCCATGGAAAATGTAATGCACCACTCTTGAAGGCATTGTAGGATATAAAATTGTTATTTTAAGGAAATATTTCCAGTTAGATTTCGTGTAGCCAATATTAGCAGGGGTGTTAGAGCAATGTGAATTAGGTGACAATTTACATACAGCCTCTGAGAAAAGCAAGAAACAACCCACTGTAATGGAGACTATATTAAGTAATTGTAAGATCTTATCAAAATTAAGAGAATCCTGGCCAGATGCAGTGGCTCATGCCTGTAATCTCAGCACTTTGGGAGGCAGAGACAGGGGGATTACTTGAGTCCAGGAGTTTGAGACCAGCATGGACAACATATTGAGACCCTGTCTGTACATAAAAATTAAATGAGTTGCCAGCTGTCATGACAAGTGCCTGTAGTCCCAGCTACTAAGAGGCTGAGGTGGGAGGATGGCTTGAGCCCAGACAGTTAAGGCTGCCATGAGCTGTGATTGCACCACTGTGCTCTAGTCTGGGTGAAAGAGTGAGACCTTGTCTCAAAAACTTTAAAATTTTTAATTAAAATTAAAAATAAAATAAAATTTAAAATAAATTTTAAAATTAAGATAATCTTAAACAATATTTACCCACACTTAAAATCCTTCCAGAAGCATTGCTGTTGAAAGAGGTCCTAAGGTAACAAGTACACCTGGGCCTTCTCAGATAGGGTAGTGGCCCACCTGAAAGTCTTTACTGCAGCGGATTTTTCAGTTGTACACACCTTCTAGCATGATTATTAACATATGGCAGAGGGCAATAATCACCCCCAAAGAACTATAATATTGTGGAAAACATTTTTTTCAAATAAAATTCCTACATTTCAATAATTACATTAAGCACCCCAATCTTGAAACTATCATGTGCCTTTGTCAATTTTCAACACCTTTATTGAGATTTTAACTGACATGCAAAATCATCACTCACTGCAAAAGTACAATTCAATGATTTTTCGTAAATATTACAGAGTTATGCAATTATCACCAGAATCCAATTTTAGAACACTGCCATCTCCCCAAAAAGATAATTCCCACCCCTACTCTCACCCTTTGGCCATCATTGATATGCTTTTCAGCTCCAAGAATTTGCCTTTTCTGAATATTTTATATCAATGGTGACATATAATATGTAGGCTTTTTTATTGGTTTCTTCCAGGTAGCCTAATATTTTTGAAGTTCAGCCATATTTTTGCATCTATCAGTAGTCCATTGCTTTCTGTTGCTTGATAGTATTCTATTGTATGGGTACACAACTTTTTTTTTCTTTTTTTTTTTTTTAAGATGGTATCTTACTCTGTTGTCCATGCTGGAGTGCAGTGGCACAATCACGGCTCACTGCAGAATTGACCTCTCAAGCGCAAGCTCCCACCTCAGCCTCTAGAGTAGCTGCAACTACAGGGGCTTGCCACCACACCTAGCTATTTTTTTTTCCTCTTTGTAGAGATGGGGTCTCACTACATTGCCTAGGCTGATCTCAAACTCCTGGATTCAAGCAACCTTCCTGCCTTGTCCTCCCAAAGTGTTGGGATTACAGGAGTGAGCCACTGCACCCAGCCTACGACATTTTGTAATGCACTCACCGCTTGGTACACATTTAAATTGTTTCCAGTTTGGGTCTATCATGAATAAGGATGCTATTAACTTTCACATATGTATCTTTATTTATTTATTTATTTATTTTTATTTATTTATTTTTTGAGACGGAGTCTCACTCTGTTGTCCAGGCTGGAGTGCAGTGGCATGATCTCTGCTCACTGCTACCTCTGTCTCCCGGGTTCAGGTGATTCTCCTGCCTCAGCCTCCTGAGTAGCTGGGACTACAGGCTTGTGCCACCACCACACGCGGCTAATTTTTGTATTTTTAGTAGAGATGAGGTTTCGCCATATTGGCCAGGCTGGTCTCGAACGCCTGACCTCAAGTGATCCACCCGTGTCAGCCTCCCAGAGTGCTGGGATTATGAGCATGAGCCACCACACCTGGCTCTCACATATATATCTTTGTATGGACATATGCTTTTACTTTTCTTGGGTGGATTCCTAGCAGTGAAATTGTTGTGTTGTATGGTAAGTTCATGTTTAACATTTTAAGAAATTGTCAAACTCTTTTCCAAAGCAGCTGCACCATTTGCATTCCCACCAGTGTATGTGAGGCTTCCATATTTTCCACTTCCTTGCCATCCCTTGGTATGGATTGCTGTATTCTCTATAGCCTTGTCACTTGGTTTTTATGATAAGTGATGCTCTTGATTGTCGGGTTTCTCTCTGAAAGGCCATTCACACTCCTCACAGTTGGGGAGGGAGGAGGAGGCAAGGATATCAAAGATATCTTTATTGAGGCAGAGCTAGATTAGAGAATGTGGCTTAGATTTGGGGCAAGTAGATAAGGTTTCTAATAATGTCTCCTCTGAGCAAAAATTATTCACCGCAGCCTGCAGGCTTCCCTCCCTTTCTCCTGCCACCATGCAGACGAGTCCCAGCCTCCCCAATGAAACCACCTTGGAGAGGAGATAAGCAGGAAGCCATGAGAGCAGGCAGCAAAGAGCCAGGCCTCGAGGTCCAGGTAAGCATCATAACCAGTAGATACCAGGGAGCAGATGAGAGTCAAACGCCGGCTTCTCCCTGCTCACAGAAATCAATTCATACGTGGAAAGCAGTGCCCAAGGCTTAACTTGTTCCTCAGTTAGAGTTCTCCTTGGGGGATTGGAGCAGCAATCCCCACTTACAAACATCAGCAATGAGGAAAGGAATCCCCACCAAGTTTGTGGCCATGACATTTTTTGCTCAAACACATTTGTAAACCTTTCTTCCCCATTTTCTAACCACATTAACGTTGATACCAATACCTATGTGTACATGGAATTTAGCGCCATAGAAAACGCTGCTGCCTGAGTAATCTTGCTCCAGGCTTGCAGAGGACGCTGATCTCTGAAGGCTGCAACAGCCTGCAAGTAACAAAGCCGAGTAGCAGAGCTGAAGCTGAGTGTCTGTGGCTGCAAGTGTGGGCCCTGCCCTCGCATCCTCACTGCTCAGCCTCAAAGCAGAACCCATCTTTTTTTTTTTGACAGAGTCTTGCTCTGTCGTCCAGGCAATGGTGCAGTGGTGAAATCTTGGCTCACTGCAACCTCCCCTTCTCGGGTTCAAGCGATTCTCCCACCTCAGCCTCCTGAGTAGCTGGAATTACAGGCTTGCGCCATCATGCCCAGCTAATTTTTGTACTTTTAGTAGAGACGGGGTTTTGCCATGTTGGCCAGACTGGTCTCGAACTGCTGACCTCAGATGATCCACCCGCCTTGGCCTCCCAAAGTACTGGGATTACAGGCGTGAGCCCGGCCAGCAGAACCTGTCTTTAGGAGACTCACAAAATTGCCCTGCGTGACTGCTTACTTTCTAAAAGAGAATGCAGTATTTGAAATACAGAATCACAAATTAAATCAATATTAGTAAAAATAAAGCAATACTAATATAGGCACTACCAAAATTAGCAGATTGTTTTCACAGTGCCGGAGTCAATAGAAATGTACACTTTTTTTTTTTGCCTTATATACAAATGTGCTGTTTCGCTTCACACCAATGATCTGAATGAAAATGACTTCCTTGATAACTGCAACTGTGCTACTGCCTTGTAATTACTCTGTAACTCAGAGCTCCTTAACAGCAGGGAAACACACACCAAATAATGATTCTCAACTCTTCCAGAATTCCTCCCTTGTGGTCATGCTTGCAGTTGTCTGATTTGTACCTTAGTAGTATCATCTTACATGTTCTAATAAAGTGTTCCCAAACCATGCTCTCTGTAACACTAGAGTTCAGCAAGTTAGTACTAGATGTTCTGTAAAAAAGAAAAAAAAAATTGTGACCAAATAATTTCAGAAAACATAGGTTAAAACAAATTTAAACAGATTCTTTAAGGATTTTCTGAGTCTTTATTATTCCAGTGAACATGTGGATTTTCAAGGGGACTAGCATATTCATTGTTTCCCAAATGTATTCATTTCAGAATTTTTAAAAAATTAATATATCGTGGGGTATTTTTTAACATATTAATATATTGCAAGGTATTCTCTTTGTACTTGTATTCCCATCTTTGAATATGCAGCCATATTGAGATATTGACATTAATTTGCCTGAAAAAAAAAACTGCATAGAGCCACTAAGTATGGTGGAAAGTGTTTGAGGGTTGAATGTGATAAAGCAAAGATATTAATCAGTTATCTTGAAGACTACAAAGCTTGTTTACTTCCACATTATGAATTTATGGTAAGAATAGCCATTGTCAAAAATACTCAGACCATTTATTGACTATTAAAGATGAGTCACCAGGCGTGGTGGCACACACCTGTAATCCCAGCTACTCAGGAGGCTGAGACAGAAGAATTACTTGAACCCGGGAGGCAGAGGTTGCAGTGGGCCGAGATCACACCACTGCACTCCAGCATGGGCAACAGAGTGAGACTCTGTCTCAAAAAAAAAAAAAAAAAAAAAAATGAGTCTGAAACTATTGTTATCCTATGTCAAGCTTCCTTATATCCTCTAAGATAGAAACCATTACCCTTAATTTACCAGAAACAAGGCTTAAATAATTGAAGTAATTTTCCCAAGATCGTTCAGCTAGTAAAAGTTGCAAAGCTATGATCCAAAGCAAAGTTTGTACAAATCTGTATCCCAACTATTCTCTGTACTTCTCTATTCTAAAATGTAATCTCTACTTCGAGTGATTTAATATTCTGTGACTATTAGAGATTTGATTGATAAGGATTATGACCATATAGAATTTAGAACTTTTGAAATAAAGATTACAGAGTAGCAAATATTATTCTGGCATTAATTTTCTTTCTTTCTTTCTTTTTTTTTTGAGATGGAGTTTTGCTCTGTCCCCCAGGCTGGAGTGCAATGGTGTGATCTCGCCTCTCTGCAATCTCGGCCTCCCGGGTTCAAGCGATTCTCTTTCCTCAGCCTCCCAAGCAGCTGGGATTACAGGTGCGCACCACCACACCTGGCTAATTTTTTTTTTTTTTGTATTTTTAGTAGAGATGGGGTTTCACCATGTTGGTCAGGCTGGTCTTGAACTCCTGACCCCAGGTGATCCACCTGCTTTAGCCTCCCAAAGTGCTGGTATTACAGTCATGAGCCACCACGCCTGGCCTTAGTTTTCTTTTTTTTTTTTTTGAGACGGAGTCTCGCTCTGTCACCCAGGCCAGACTGCGGACTGCAGTGGCGCAATCTCGGCTCACTGCAAGCTCCGCTTCCCGGGTTCACGCCATTCTCCTGCCTCAGCCTCCCGAGTAGCTGGGACTACAGGCGCCTGCCACTGCGCCCGGCTAATTTTTTGTATTTTTAGTAGAGACGGGGTTTCACCTTGTTAGCCAGGATGGTCTCAATCTCCTGACCTCATGATCCACCCGCCTCAGCCTCCCAAAGTGCTGGGATTACAGGCGTGAGCCACCGCGCCCGGCAACTTAGTTTTCTTTTTCCAGGCTTTGGCAATTAATTTTCACAAAGTCCTTGAGAAATTATAATTTTCTGGAAACAAAATAGAAACACTGTAAATACATTTAATATAGTAACACTTGATAATTCTGCTGGAAAACAAAAACACTCCTAAATGTGAAAAACAAGCTGTGGAGTGCAGCTATAAATTCCTTCATATCAGATTCTAGTACCAGATGCTGTGAGAAAAGATTTAAGAGTGTGTGTGTGTGTGTGTGTGTGTGTGTGTGTGTGTGTGTGTGATGTTACTTGGAGAAAGATCAAATTAAAATGGAGAATGGAGGAGGTCTTTTTATAGTCTCCTCATTTGCACTCCAAGTTAGGAAATGGCTGTATAAAGAGATGATCTCCAAGAACCTTTATAGGACTGATGTGGCTTGACCAAGACAAATACAAATAAAGAGTGGACAGTGGAGTCATGGCTTAGGGTGTGACAGCAGCCTCTAGTACTTGAAGAATTATACTTTGATGAGAGATTAAGGTTTTGTATCACCGGGAGGAACAATCCTGATGAATGGGTTGTGAAGGGGTCAGTCCACCAAGGTGGTTAAGCCTGAACCTGGAGTCCAGCAGCTCAAACTCACATGCCAGCTCACTCCTCAGTAGTTATGGGAGGTTGGACATGGTAGTCAATTTCTTTCAGCTTCATTTCTTCATCTTTGTTCTAAGGAAACTCATACTAACCTCATAGGGTTATTGTAAAAAAAAAATGAGATAACATTTGTAGCGTGCTCGGTCCATTGCCTGGTGCTCCGTAAAAACACTGTAAGTGGTAGTAATAACAACACAGTCATTGGGAGTCAGACTGTGGCTGAAGATAAGTTAGAACTTCCTAAAAGAAGGAGGTAACTTATTCTGGAAGTGCTAAAATTTAACTGGGATTGTCTCCAGTTAAGGAAATTAGAGAGACAATTTAAGATTGCAGATGGGCTTGCTGCATTCCCCTGACCCCTATCTCCTTTGTCTCTCAGCTGGTGGCTTGCTCATGCTGAGTCACCTCTGCATTTTCAGAACAGATGACGGAACATGAAGTGATATGGGTGTTAGCTTCTCACCTGGCCACCGTGAGGCCAGATGACAAAATCCGCAAGTGTAGGAGTTAGTCCTCTAACTCCTACATTGTTCAAAGGAGTGACCTTTGAACAATGAGAAATGGAACATAGAAGTGATGGGGGACAGGTGATCCCCCCAGATTGGGGCTTAGCCTGGGAGGGTTCTTAGCTTCACCCAGGAAGAAATTCAAGGACAAACCAGTGGTGTTAGACGGTACCTTTTATTGAAGCAACAGTGTACAGCAGTAGCAGAGGGACTGCTCCTTGCAGAGCAGGGCTCCCCCATAGGTAATGTGCCCAGAGTAACAGCTCAGAGGCAGTTCTGCAGGCATATTTACACCTACTTTTAATTGTATGCAAACCAAGGGAAGAATTATGCAGAAATTTCTAGAAAAAGGGTGGTAATTTCTGGGTCATCAGGTCTTTGCCAGGGAAAGGGGCAGTAACTTCTGAGTGCCATGGCAATGGTAAACTGACATGGCACACCAGTGGGTGTGTCTTAAGAAGAAGTGCCTTCACCTTTTCCCTTTTTTGGCTAGTTCTCAATCTGTTCTTGTGTCTGAACCCTGCCTCCAAAGTCAAGTCCCACTTCCTACCTCAGAAGGAGCTGGGCAAATACACCTCTCCCTCCTTTCATTCTGCTGTGGACTGCTCCAGAGTCCTGCATGAGGATAGGCTGGTTGAAAGGCTGTCTGTAATTTGCAGATGACTGTGGCGTATTGTAACACACAGTGTATTGTCTCATGTTCCTTTGCTTCACTTTGTCTTTTCCTCACCTCACCATTCTGGCTGTGCACCTCTCAGATAAACATTCAAAGCTGAAGCCTTGAGTCTGGCTCATCTTCGAAAAATAAAATAAAATAAAATAAATTTAAAAGGCCAGGCATGGTGGCTGGTGCCGTAATCCTAGCATTTTGGGAGGCCGAGGCAGGTGGATCACTTGAGGTCAGTAGTTCAAAACCAGCCTTGCCAACATGGTGAAACCCCGTCTCTACTAAAAATACAAAAAATTAGCTGGGCGTGGTGGTGCATGCCTGTAATTCCAGCTACTTGGGAGGCTGAGGCAGGAGAATCACTTGAACCTGGGAGGCAGAGGTTGCAGTGAGCTGAGATCACGCTACTGCACTCCAGCCTGGGAGACAGACTGAGACTCCATTTCAAAAATAAATAAAATAAAATAAAAAAATAAAAGATCTGGACTAACACAGGTGTTTCTTGAAATCTAAGATTTGCTTTCACTGTAAAGCTAACCTTTGAATTTTATCTCATTAGACAGGATGCCACACAGAAAATCAACTGATTTACCTAGGATTTCTCTACCTCTTTGAACTAAGTGAATCATGTTTTCATGATATTAGGCATTAACATAATACCTTTGGGGCCAAGTGGCCTCTTCTTTCATACAAAGTGTGATACTGCTATAGGGAACATTAATCTTATGCAGGCCAGGGTGCTGATTATTCTTGAAAAAATAGTATCTGGTGATTTTTGCCTTTTCTGCTACTTTGTTTTACCCTAGTACACTGTGACACCTCCCACTTGTAGTCAGGAAATAGTAAATGATGTGCTGCCTGTGTTGAAGATGTGACTGGAGTCACCATTTTATAGATTTGAAGCTTCAAGGGTTAGGGGCTAAAATCATAGTTTTTGTTTGTTTGTTTGTTTTTGTAGTTAGGAATAACTGAGAGCTGAGAGTACAGTTGTTTGTGCATTTTCTATAATATGTGCCCTTTGTGACTTAATGTTTATTGATCTGTTACTCACTAGACTCTGTGACAGGTGCTGGAGTTAAAACGATAAACTGGATAAACATGGTCCCTACCTCTGTGTAACTTACAGTGTGGTGGAGGAGATGGTGAAAAATACAATGACATAAACAAAATGAATAAAATAAAAATGGTGACACATGCAATGAAGAAAAAAACGAGATCAGGGCACTGGGAAAGAGAAACAGAGGGAAACCTGCTGTGGAGGATAGTCAGGGAAGTCCTGTCTTAGATGGCAACATATAAACCCAGCCCTGCCAGAAGCAAAGAAGCTGGCAGTATGCAGAGTGGCCATGGAGTGCTGAAGGGGACCAAGGAACCCATCTAGGGCAGGAAAGAGGCCATCCAGGTGGGCATTGGCATTGCGTTCTGTGAGCTGGGGTTTTTTTTGTCTTTTTTCTTTTTTTTTTTTTTTTGTGAGATGGAGTCTTGCTCTGTCGCCCAGGCTGGAGTGCAATGGCGCAATCTCAGCTCATTGCAACCTTCGCTTCCCAGGTTCAAGGGATTCTTCTGCTTCAGCCTCCTGAGTAGCTGGGATTACAGGCATGTGCTACCATGCCAGGCTAATTTTTGTATTTTTAGTAGAGACGGGGTTTCACCATGTTGGCCAGGCTGGTCTGGAACTCCTGACCTCAGGTGATCCACCCGCCTCAGCTTCCCAAAGTGTTGGTATTATAGATGTGAGCCACCACGCCCAGCTGAGCTGGGGTTTCAATTTATGTACAACCAGAAGCTGCTTGAGGATTTGAAGGAGGGAATTAACACATGCTTTAGTTTAGGTACTATGAATTTTACTCTGGTTTCTGTGTGAAAACTGATTTGAGTAAGGGGGAGACCAGTTAGTAAGTTGTTGACATTATTACAAACCCTATAATGAGAAGTGACCTACACCAGTGAATGGGAGAGAGAGTGGTAGATGATTCCAGATATGTTTTAAGGGGAAAATCGACAGGATTTACTGATTGGTTGGATATAATGGGTAACAAAAGATAGGGATCAAGATAGATCACTAGACTTTGACCTGAGATATTAGGAGGATGGTGGGAAAGATTGGGGAAGAAGGGTATGCTTAGAGGGGAAAAAAATCATTCCAATTTGAATGTTTACAGAGATATCTAAATAAAAAAGTCAAGCAAGCAGTCAAACATGTAAGTCTGGACTTCAGAGGAGTGTTCTGGGCTAAAATGATAAATTTACGAGGCATCTGACATAGTTGATATTTAAGACATAAGATAAGAAGAAACCACCTATGAGGAATGTGTAGAGAGAAAAGAGCACCAAGGGTCTAATCCTGAAGAAAGCTGGCAAAGAAGATTAAGGGGGATCAACCAGGTAGGAGGAAATAACCAGAGAGGGTAGAGCCCAGGAGCTGAGGGAGAGAGTGTTGCTGGAGTGGGGCTGGGCAGCTGTGTTGGATGCTACTGAAAGGTTGCCCAAGATAAAGGCAGAGAAGTTCCCTGCACAGAGTGACAGGGAAGCCAATGAGCTTGGCAAGGCTGGGTGGTGTGATCAAGGCTGGAACGAGACTGGATTTCCTCAGAGGAAAGGTGAGCCAAGGAGGCCAAGTCAGCGTATGTGTAGACAGAAGACATTTCGGTGGTGCCTGGACAAAGGATCAAGAGATGGTTTCCACACTGGCAAGGAGTAATCTTGGAGACAGGAAGAGACTGGTGATTCAAGAGAGAGTAGACAGAAGAAGGCGCTGTCTGGGGGAGACAGGTAGAGAGATGTACCAAACTACAGATAATGAGATTGTCCCTGGGTATTAGGAGTGTGTTAGTTTTGCTGGGGCTGTCATAATCAGGTACCCAAACTGGGTAACAGGGATAACAAAAAAGAACTGTGTCATGGTTCTGGAGGCTGAAGGTCCAAGATCAAGGCGTTGGTGGGGTTGGTTCTTTCTGAGGGCCGCGAGGGAAGCATCTGTGCAGGCTTCATCCCTCAACTTGTAGGTGGCGTCTTCTCCCAGGTCCTCACATCGCCTCCCCTTTGTGTGTGTCTGTGCCCACATTTCCTCTTCTTGTAAGGACACCAGTCACATTGGAGTAGAGCCTACCCTCATGACCTCATTTTAACTTTACATCTTTAAAGACCCTGTCTCCAAATACAGCCCCATTCTGAGTTACTGGGAGTTAAGAATTTCAACATATGAATTTGGTGGCTGGGGATGTTGGGGGTGGGTGAGAGGATATAATACATCCTGTAACAAGGAAAAACATTTCTTCTCCTGTAACTGAATGAGAAAGGGTTGGGGAAGGCAGCGCTAGGTGTTCAGATTGGCGGTGAAAGATAGAAAGGTGCCTAATTTCATGGCTTCTAGTCTCAATGCGACAACTATGGGTAAAAGATTAGAAAAGAAAAAAAGTTTGAAACAGTTGCCTGGGGAAATGGCAGCATTATATTACTAAAGAAACACAGTAGGATTCCTGGGCAGCAATAAGGGCCCATTTCAGTTTTGTGGTCATGAAGTTAAAGTGAAACCATTCAGCTCGGTTTGTAATTTCCTGTAGCAACACGCAGCTGCTCTGGAAGGCAGAAGGAAGCAGATGGGATTGTACCAGGCAAGCGTCACTCACCACTAGAAATTAAAATAGTGTGCAATTGTGAGAGAGGTTTAAAATAACACAAGCATTTAGATAGAAGCTATCACTCTTTTTCCCAAATATTAACTGTTGCCAATTGCACCTCTGTCTGTTTCTGTTCCTCTCTGAGCTTAAACAAATCAACTTGCATTAAGTCTTTTCTTAGAATCTGAGACTTTCTGCGGTCCATGTCACGTGTCTGGGTTTCAGACTACCTGAACCTGATAAGCAGGACCCTCTAGACTAGAGTCAGGGGTGTCCACAAGCAAGCCCTGAGGGAGGACAAAAGTTTGCCTGAGGCCAGAAGGTCAAACCAAATTCCTCCCTGGTGAAGAACTTGCGATTCATTTACTTTCACATTTCCTTATAGCTGGGGAGCTAGGAAAAGGTCACTACTTTTTGTGTTCACAGCCTAAAGTGAACTTTTATTTATTCAGTCAGCAAGTAGTGTTCTGTGTGCTCACTGTGTGCAGGTGCCATTCTCTTCAGTGTTAGTGAACAAGAAAATGTCTGCATATAAAGTTTGGTAGTGGAGATGGAAAGGATCACAAAACTAAACAAAATCGTAATTTTGTTTTAGACAGGGATAATGCTGTGAAGAAACAAAAGCATAGTAGAAAGTTAGGGAAGGTTGCATAAGCTCATGAGATAGGGTGATTGCATGAGCTCATGAAGGGTTGCATTTGGGCAGAGCATGATGAAAGCCAGAGAAAAACACACTTTAGATCTGGAATGTTGCTCTTTGCAGTAAATTTTTGCTAAGTTGCAGATTAAATGATGATAAATCTGCCTCGTGAGGGATTCTACTTCCTAAAACACAGTAGTTTGTATACAAAGTTTGATTTACCATTGCTTTGATTATAAACATGCAACAATGTAAAAAAGTTCTATTATAAAATTATTAGTGAGTACAGAATTATTTCCAATGTATCAAATGGTTCCTCTATGATTTGAAATCTTAGTGGATGACTAGTGTTCATAAAATGTTAATAGAAACCTTGAAGCCACTTGGATTCTTGATTTTCATGGACAACTGAGAGACACCAAAATAGTGCTCCTTAAATCATTACAACTGCAAAATAGGATTTAGTACATAGTCGACTCTTGTAACATAGAAGATATTTCCATAACACAGCATTATCACATGACCTTTTTCCAAATATAAATTCACTTCTCTGCCAGGTTTATGACATGATAGCTAAACAACTTTGGTATTAAACCCAGTGGAGACAGTGGGAGAGAGAAATAAGGAATGCTCCCATGCATATGACATATTATGTAGATGTGTGTATTCATGTCTAAGATTTCTATACTTCTACTTATTCAAGAAATCTAGAAATACATAAGAGAGTAGATTTGCATTAAGTAATTTCCAACTATGTTACTTCCTTTAGGTGGTGGCTTTTATAGGGCAGTATTTGGCATCTGGTTATTTGTCACATAGTTGAAAATATGCTGTTGACACAATCTCAATCATGAGCAACACCCACCAGGAATGGTGAGCTCTGGAGGTGTCTCAGAATCCCAGTGGACCCTCAGCCTCCTTTTTCTCCAGTAAACGACTGGGAAGAAAATCAACTGCTCAGTCAGAGGTGACTTAGGGAGATTGTAAGGTAATACCAGGCAAACAGTTGGTCTTTCAATCACTGGTTCAGTATGCTTTTCTCTACAGAAGGTATAAGTATTCCATGTCTTGCTCTCTCACTCCTAGTCAACAGCTGAAATATGTGGCAATCATTTAGGCTATTAGCTATTATTTACCAAAGGTGAATGGAGTTAATTTTATCTTCAAAAGTGTTTAAGACTGGAATCATTGAGGACAATGAAGCTAACATTAGACATATGCCATCCCAGACTCCTTTATTTACCTAAAAGTTAATAATAAGACTATAGCAACATCCTAGCAGTCTTTGCTTTTTTTTAAATAACAACTTTATTGTGATGTAACTCATATGCTGCAAAATCTACTCTTTTAAGATGTACAATTTAGTAGTTTTAAGTATATTCACAGATATAGTCTATTCATAGCATATTAACAGTATATTCTAATTTTAGACATTTTATAATACCTCAAAAGAAACTTCATGCCCATTTTCTCCTGCCAGCCTCTGGCAACCTTTCTGTCTATATTAATTTACCTATTCCTTATTAAATTACTTTCTTGTCTATAATTATTTCTTCCTGATTGATTCTTTAATTATTAAAAATATCCTTTATTTCTAGAAACAATTTTTGTCTAAAGATCATTTTGTGTAATGTTAATATAGCCACTCCATCTTTAGTTTGGTTACTATTCTCTTACAAGATCTTTTTCTAGATTTAGTTTCAACCAATTTGTGTCTTTGATCCTCAAGTGTATCTCTTGTAGACAGCATACAGTTGGAGCATTTTTTTCTTTTTTAAAACATATTTTGCCAGTCTCTCCCTTTTTATTATAATGTTTAATCAATTTACATTTAACATAATTACCAGTGAGGTAAGATTTACTTCTAGAATTTGGCTATGTAATTTCCTCACCTGTTACATCCTGTTGGTTTCTCTTGTTTGTTAGATAGGTGTTTCCTATTGTATCATTTTACTATAATTTCTACTTCTTGATTGACTTCTTACTATCTATTTTACTCACTACTTTAGATTTTACTTCTTGTTTCTTTTACTATATTTTTTGGAGTTATTTTCTCAGTGGTGCCCTAGAGATTACAACTAGCATCCTAATTTTAAAAATCTTAATTTCGGTAGTATACAAAAACTTCACACAAAAATAACACTCTTTCCTTCCCCATGTCCTTTGTGCTATGATTGTCATTCAAATTACCTTATACATGACAGGCTCATCAATACATTTTAAAAATTATTGCTATATGCAATTTTCTTTTAAATCAGATTGGAGAAGAAAACAGTTATATGTGTATTGTCTTTTATATTTGCCTGTGTGGCTATCTGTATCAACCCTCTTTATTTCTTCATGTGGATTTGAATCACTGTCTAATGTCCTTCATTTCAGCCTGAAGGGCTTCCTTTAGTATTTCTCGTACAGCAGGGCTGCTGGTGATAAATTTTCCTTTGTTTTTCTGGGAGTATCTTAATTTCTTCTACATTTTGAAGAATAGTCTTGCTGCATACAGAAATTTTGGTTGGCGGTTGTTCTCTTTCAGCACTTTTACATATGCCGTCCCACTGTCTTCTGGCTTCTGTAGTTTTGGATGATAAATCAACTGTTAATCTCATTGAGAATCACTTGTATATAATGTATCATTTTTCTCTTGCTGCTTTCAAGGTTCTATTTTTGTCTTTGTCTTTTAGCAGTTTGACTATGGTGCAGTTTGACTATAATGTAAATTTATTTAAATTTATCCTATTTGGGGTTTATAGAGTTTCTTAGTTGTCTAGATAAATGTTTTACATGATTTCTCTAAAATTTAATAATAAAATAATAACATAAATTTCAGCTTTATTTCTCTAAATATTCTTTTTGCCTCCCTTTCTTCTTCCTCCCCTTTCTAAGGAACTCCGTTACATGTATGTTGGCATATTTGATGGTGTTACACAGGTTTCTGAGGCTCTCTTTATTTTCTTCATTCTTATTCTTTGTCTTCCTCAGTTTGATTATCTTCAACTCCTTGGATTATCTTCAACTTTTATGAGTCTTCTGCCATTCAGGTCTGCTGCTGAGTCTTTTCAGTGAATTTTTTCTTTCAATTATTATACTTCTCAACTCCAGAATTTCTATTTGGTTAATTTCTACAATTTCTCTCTGTTTTTTGGTATGCTTCATCTCGTAAGGCAACATTGTCATGTATTATTTCTTGAGGAATTGTATTCTTTAGTTCTTTGATGTATTTATAATAGCAGATTTAAAGTCTTTTAGCAGTAAAGTGCTATATCAGTACTATATCAGCAATAAAGTACAGTATCTGAGCTTCCTTGGAAAAAGTTTCTATTAATTGCATTTTTTCCTATGCACAGGCCATACTTTCCTGTTTCTTTGCACATGTCATAAAATTTTTGTTGAAAAGTGAACACGTAAAATATAGTGCAGAAAAAGAGGGCATGACCAAAAAAAAGAACAAATTCTAGAAATGTAAAACAGTAACAAATAGAGTAGATATTAACTGAACTATATCGATCACTTTAAATGTGAATGGTCTAAATATACCAGTTAAGAAATAGAGACAGATGGAGTGGGTAAAAAAAGTCTCAATTATATATTGCTTACATAAAATTCACTTTATCATGACACAGATAGATTAAAAGCAAAAGGACGGATGGATGTTTAGTTGTGCAAACACTAAACAAAAGAAAGCTGGGGTAGATATTTATCCAGAATAAAGGACATAATTACATAATGATAAAGGAATCAATTATCCAAGAAGACATAACATCTTTAATGTGTATGTGCCTAACTACAAAGTGTCAAGATATATGGGATCAAAACTAATAGAACTGCAAGAAAAAATAGAAAAATCTATGATTATATTTGAAAACTTCAACACCTCTCTATTGTAACTGACAGATTAAGCAGGCAGAAATTCAGCAAAGATATAGTTCAACTGAAGACTTCTATCAATAAACTGGATCAGACTGACATTTAAAGAGCACATCATTCAACAACAGCAGAATGCACATTATTTTTAATTTCACATGGAACACTTACTATAGACTATGGAGATGATAGACCATATTCTAAGTCATAAAACACCTTGAGAAATTTCAACAAATACAAATCACACAACATATATTCTTACATCATAATAGAATTAAACTAGAAGTCAACAATAGAAATATAACTGAAAAATTCTAAGTATTTGGAGACCAAATAATGCAATTCTAAATAACACATGGGTCAAAGGAGAGTCACAAGAGAAATTAAAATGTATTTTGAACTAAATAAAATCATAATCCAGCTTATTAAAATTTTATGGATGTAGTAAACACAATGTTTACAGGGAAATTTACAGCATTCAATAGATACAGTAAAAAAGAAGAAAGATAAAAATTCGTAATTTTACCATAGGAAACTGGAGAAAGAGGAAGGATACAAACCTAAAGCAGGCAGAAGAAAATAAATAAAATTAGCATAAATCAATGAAATTGAAAGCAGAAAATCAATAGAGAAAATCAACAAAACCAAAAGCTGTTTCTGTGAGAAGATCAATGAAATTGATAAAACTGTAGCCAGGCTAACAGAGACAAAAAGAAAGAGTACAAAATTCTAATATAGGAAATGAAAGAGGAGCCATCACTGCTGTTACCATGGACACTAAAAGAATAATAAAAGAGGGTCAGGTGTAGTGGTTCACGCCTGTAATCCCAGCACTTTTGGAGGCCAAGGTGGGCGGATTGTGAGGTTAGGAGATCAAGACCATCGTGGCCAACATGGTCAAACCCTGTCTCTACTAAAAATAATAATAAAAAAAAATTAGCTGGGCGTGGCAGTGTGCACCTGTAGTCCCAGCTACTTGGGAGGCTGAGGCAGGAGAATTGCTTGAACCTAGGAGGTGGAGGCTGCAGTGAGCTGAGATCGTGGGTGCCAGAGTGAGACTCCATCTCAAAAAAAAAAAAAGACTAATAAAAGAATATTATAAACAAGTCTGTGCCACAAATTTGATAACCGAGATGAAATGGACAAATTTTTTTGAAAGGCATAATCTAACAAAATTCATTCAGGGAAAAATAGGTAATATTATTAAGTCTTATTTATTATAGGAATTGAATAAACAACCAATAAGCTTCCAAAATGATAGCTTCAGGCCCAGATGGTTTCACTGGTAAGTTCTACCAAAGAATTAAGTGAGAAATAATAGCAATTCTTTACATTCTCTTCCAGAAAATAGAAATAGAGGGACTTCTGAACTCATTCTATGAGGTAGCATTTTCTTAATACCAAAACCAGAAAAAGACCACTGGAACAACTAGATGTCTCATGTAAAATACATGAATAAATCTATATACAAACTTTAGACCTTTCACAAAAAATTAACTCAAAATGGATCATGGATTTAAATGTAAACCATAGAAACTTTACAGTTTCATAACTTCTAGAAGATAATAGAGAAAATCTAGGTGGGAGATGACTTACTAGATGCAACAGCAAAAGCACTATCCATGAAGGAAAAAAATTGATAAATTGGGTTTCGTTAAAATTTAAAATGTCAGGTTTGTGAAAAATACTGTTAAAAGAATGAAAAGACAAGCTTCAGAGTGGGTGACAGTGTTTATGGAACACATATCTGATAAAGAACTTTTAACCAAAATATACAAATAAACCCCCACCTTTTTTTTGAGACAGGTTCTCACTCTGTTGCCCAGCCTGGAGTGCAGTGGCACAATCTTGGTTCAGTGTAACCTCTGCCTCCTGGGCTCAAGTGATCCTTCCAAGTAACTGGGACTACAGCTAATTTTTTTTTGTAGTTTTTGTAGAGATGGAGTCTCACTATGTTGCCCAGGCTGGTCTTTAATTTCTGGGCTCAAGTGGTCCACCTGTTTCAGCCTCCCAAAGTGTTGGGATTACAGGAGTGATCCAGCGTGCCCAGCTCAAAGAACCCTTAAGCTTGACCATAAAGAAGGAAACAACTCAATTTAAAAATAGGCAAAAAAAAAATCTGAACAGAAAACCTCATCAAAGAATGTACACAGATGGCAAATAAGCATAGAAAACAATACTCAACATCATATGCCGTTAGAGAATTGCAAATTAAAACAATAGTGACATTATGACACACATACTAAAATTGCTAAAATCCAAACATCTGACCATACCAAGTACTGCAAGAATGTGGAGCAACAGGAACTCTCGTTCTTCACTAGTGGGAATGCAAAATGGTACAGCCACCTTGGCAGACAGTTTGGTAGTTTCTTACAAAGCAAAACGTAATCTAACCATGGAATTCAACAATTATGTTCCTATTTCCCCAAATGAGTTTAAAACTTATGTTCATAATTTACTCCCCCCTCCATGGCATTTTTTTAAAAAATTTTTGATTCAGGGGGTATATATGTGGATTTTTATATGGATATATTGTGTAATGCTGAGGTTTGGGCTTCTACTGAACCTGTCACCCAAATCATGAACACAATACCCAATAGGTAGTTTTTCAACCCTTGTTCCCCTCTCCTTCCTCCTCATTGGAGTCCTCAGTGTCTACTGTTTACAGCTTTATGTCTACTCACACAACTTGTACACAAATGTTTATATTCATAATTGCAAAATACTGGAATCAAACAATATATCCTTCATTAGGTAAATGGATAAACAAAGTATGGTACATCCATATAATGGCATATTACTCAATAATAAAAAGAAAATGAGCCATTAAGCCAAGAAAAGACATGGAAGAACTTTAAACCCATATTACTCAGTGAAAGAAGCCAGTGTGAGAAGACTGTATACTGTATGGCCCCAACCATGTAACATTCTGGGAAAGGCAAAAGTATGGAAACAGTAAAAAGATCAGGTGGGCGCAGGCAGCCTCAGTCTGGTTGACTTTGCAGAGCTATGGAGGGCAGCTTCTGCTTGGATTTCAGGGGTTCAAGCAGCAGAAGGCTTGACCCAGGGCTCGTTGTGGAGCAAGTGAAGGTGCAGATTGCATGGCACCTGCAGAAAGGTGCTTCTGGAAGCACATTGGGAAGGTGGGTTGGGGCCTCCCAGGACAATTTCAAGCAGAAGTGCATCCTCATGTGAATAGACTGCTACATGGACACCTGGAACACCGTGTCTTGTGCCCACAACTCCTGGCTTCAGCGAGAACAAGCCAACATGTGATCAGGAGACATGACACTAGCCGGAGGGCCACCCTCCGGCCGCCCCACACCATTTCTATTTCCATGTATGTGCATTATGAGGTGGGGGCCAACATGTGTGCACTGACTGCCCATTGCTTATGGGGATGGCACCGTGCCTGGACAGATGGGACTGTGTTGCTCCTGGCCCCCACCCTGCCCCCTGTCCCTTACCCCCTGCCAGTGAGTGTGGCTTGGGTCTGGTTCCTTCCTAAAGTGCTGGCAGCCCAGTGGCACCTCCTTCAGGCCTGAGGGTAGGTGGTTCCTCCCCTGGTGTGCCCAGGTCATCTTCGTGTCCTGGGCAGAGAACCCTTGTTTTATTTTATTATTATCATTTATTTCAATTTCAAGGAGAAGTGCATCCTCATGTGAACAGACTGCTACATGGACACCTGGAACACCGTGTCCTGTGCCCCCCTGTATTTTGGAGTACAAGTGGCTTTTGGTCACATGGATGAATTATATAGTGCTAAATTCTGAGGCTTTAGTGCACTGTCACTGGAATAGAGTACAATGTACCCAATATGTAGTTTTTTATCTTGCATCCTTCCTTCCCCCTTCCACTTCTGAGTCTACAAAGTTTATTATATCACTCTGTATGCCTTTGCATATTCATAGCTCAGTTCCCACTTGTAAGTGAGAACATACGGTGTTTGGTTTTCCATTCCTGAGTTTCTTCACTTAGAATAGTGACTTTCAGCTCCATCCAAGTTGCTGCAAAAGACATTATTTCATTCCTTTTTATGGCTGAGTGGTATTCCATGGTGCATATATACCATATTTTCTTTATTCACTCATTGGTTGATGAGCACTTAGGTTGGTTTCATATCTTTGCAATTGTGAATTGGGCTGCAAGAAACATATATGTGCCTGTATCTTTTTCATATAATGACTTCTTTTCCTTTGTGTAGAGACCCAAAGGTGGCATTGCTGGATCAAATGGTTGAACTACATTTAGTTCTTTAAGGAATCTCCATACTGTTTCCATAAAGTTGTACTAATTACATTCCTACAAGCAGTGTATAAACGATCACTTTACACCACATCCACACCAACATCTATTGTTTTTTGACTTTTTACTAATGGCCATTCTCCCAGGGGTAAGCTGGCATCTAATTGTGGTTTTACTTTACATTTCCCTGATGATTAGTGATGTTGAGCATTTTTTTCAGATGTTTTTTGGCCATTTGTATATCTTCTTCTTCTTTTTTACATTGCCACCGTAGAGGCACTGATTGTGTATCTTTTGAGAAATGTTTGTTCATGTTATTTCCCTTTTTTTTGATGGGATTATTTGCCTTTTTTCTTGCCGACTTGTTTGAGTTCCTTGTAGCTTCTGGATACTAGTTCTTTGTCAGATGCATAGTTTGCAAATATTTTCTCCCATCCTATGGTTTGTCTGTTTACTCTGATGATTATTTATTTTGTTGTGCAGAAGCTTTTTAATTTAATCATATCCTATTTATTTATTTTTGTTTTTGTTGCATTTGCTTTTGGGGTGTTAAGTCATGAATTCTTTGCCTATGCTGATGTCTTTATGAGTTTTTCCAATGTTATCTTCTACAATTTTTATGGTTTTGGGACTTCGATTTCAGTCTTTGATCCACTTTGAGTTGATTTTTGTAAGTGAGAGATGAGGATCCAGTTTTGTTCTTCTACATATGACTTGCCAGTTATCCCAGCACCATTTATTAAATACCCAATTTATGTTTCTGCATGCTTTGTTAAAGATCAGTTGGTTGTAAGTATTTGGCTTTATTTCTGGGTTCTCTATTCTGTTCCATTGGTCTATGTGCCTATTTGTATACCAGTACCATGCTGTTTTGGTCACTATAGCCTTGTAGTATAACTTGAAGTCTGGTAATGTGATGCCTCAAGATTTGTTCTTTTTTGCTTATGATTGCTTTGGCTATTTGGTCACTTTTTTGGTTCCATATGAAATTTAGGATTGTTTGTTTTTTCTAATTCTGTGAAAAACAGTGTTGTCATTTTTTATGGGAATTGCATTGAATCTCTAGGTTGCTTTGGGCAGTGTGGTCATTTTCTCAGTATTGGGAGAACCCTTATTTTGACCTTGTTGGAGTAGAGAGTGGTCAGACCCCACCTGAGCTGTGACCCCTTGAGGGTTGACAAATAAATTGCTGGAGGAGGGGCAGAGAAAGAAGCAGTAAAAAGATCAGTGGTTGTCAGTGCTTCACGGTGAGGGGATGAGGAATGAATAGGTGGAGCACAGTGGAGTTTTAGGGCAGTAAAACTATTCTATATGGTACTATAATGGTGGATTCATGTCTTTAGACTGATAGAATATAAAACATAAAGAGTGAACCTTTCCCAGCTTGCCAGGAGTCAAAAAAAAAAAAAAAAAAAAGGGCCAGGCGTGGTGGTTCATGCCTGTAATTTCTGGGAGGCTGAGGTGGGAGGATTGCTTGAGCCCAGGAGTTCAAGACCAGCCTGGGCAACATAGTGAGACCTGATCCCTAGAAAGAAAAAGAAAAAGTTAGTTGGGTGTGGTGGTGTACACACCTGTAGTCCCACCTATTCAGGAGGCCGAGGCAGGAGGATTGCTTGAACCCAGGAGGTTGAGGCTGCAGTGAGCTATGATTATGTCACTGCACACCAGCCTGAGCAATGACTGGAGGACCTGTACCAAAAAAATAAATAAAATAAAAAATAAAAAAAGAATGAACCCTAATGTAAACTATGGACTTCAGTTAATAATAATATATCAGTATAGGCACATCAATTATAACATATATATCACACTAATTCATTGTTAAGAACAGGGGAGCTGGCCTGGTGTGGTGGTTCACACCTGTAATCCCAGCACTTTGGGAGGCCAAGGCAGGAGGATCACTTGAGCTCAGGAGTTTGAGATCAGCCTGGCCAACATGGTGAAACCCTGTCTCTACTAAAAATACAAAAATTAGCCGGGTGTGGTGGCAGGCAGGTGTAGTCCCAGTTACTCAGAAGGCTGAGGCAGGAGAATTGCTTGAACCTGGGAGGCGGAGGTTGCAGTGAGCCGAGATCGCAACATTGTATTCCAGCCTGGGCAACAGAGCGAAGCTCCCTCTCAAAAAAAAAAAGAAAAAAAAAAAAAAAAAAAGAAAGAAACAGAGGAGCCGTGTGAACTCTGCACTAGCTGCTTAATTTTTTATTAAACCTAAAATGGCTCTACAAAAGGAAATCTATTAATGAAAACACTATTATAATGTGGCAACTCTTAAAACCAGTTTCCCCTCAATCCCCAGGGTCTGTTGTTGTTTATGTTGCTCTTTGTTTGTTTAAAGTTTACAAGTAAAGCCTCTATTCTTTGTTCTGTGTAGCCTCTGAAGTATGTGCCTGATTAGCTTAGGGGTCAGTTAATGATTAGACAGAAACTTCCCTGAAGGCCTTGAGCCAATGTCTCCCACTCTTACAAGGGGCTCTGAGTACATAGTGGGGCACATCTGCAATGCTCTGGAAGTTTGCCACTCTGCCTTAACCTTGACTTCCTGTTTGCATAAGGCCTTAAGGTCACCTCCAGGTGAGAGATTTGGGACTTTTCAAGTCTTTACTGGTTATGTACACAGCCTTGTACATGTGTGGGTCTTTATTTTTCCTATGATATCTTGGACGTATTCAAAGTCTCCTATTGATATCTCATTCCCTGAATTTTCGTTTTAATATTTGTGGCCAGGCTCTTGCTTTCCCCAGCTGTATCTTGGGATCAGGCTTGCCGGGAGCTCCGTCATTTTCCTGCTCCTTCCGGTGGCTGCTGACTTTCATAGCAGGAACAGCTGCCAGGCTGCTGCCTTTCAAGGCTGCCATGGGGATAGGTGCAGAGGGGTGGAAGAGGCTGTTTACAACATCGTGAAGCTCACTGTTTCTGCCATGCTCTTGAATAAATATTTCTCAGATTGTTGTGAGCCTTTGGCTAATTTTCAGAGTTGTGAAGATGTTTATTCTGACCATGTTGACAGTGTTCACGTTGCTTTTTGGAGGAACAGATTTTCAGAGGTCCTTATCCCACCAATTTGGAAGTGTTTCTCCCAGCCTTCTTTTCTTTTCTTTTCTTTCTTTTTTTTTTTTTTTTTTTGAGACAGAGTCTCACTCTGTCACCCAGGCCGGAGTGCAGTGCCGTGATCTCAGCTCACTGCAATCTCCGCTTCCTGGGTTCAAGCGATTCTCCTGCCTCAGCCTCCCCAAGTAGCTAAGACTACAGGTGCATGCCACTGTACCTGGCTAAGTTTTGTATTTTTAGTAGAGACAAGGTTTCACCATGTTGGCCAGGCCAGTCTTGAACTCCTGGCCTCAAGTTATCCTCCCACCTCAGCCTCCAAAAGTGCTGGGATTACAGGCATGAGCCACCATGCCCCGCCTCCCAGCCTTACTTTTTACATCAGCTTTGCTCCATACAAGTGCCAGGGGTTACATAGGTAAACCTTATTTAGTTAATCTAATCACTGAAACATTTACATTAAATATTAAGTAATTATTTTAAATATATGAGGTGTGGTTATTTTTAAAAAGTAGCTGCTAACTTATTTTACTTCACTTAAGGCCTCAGATTTTAATTCTCGAATTTATCATGCATGAGAACCCTGACTCTTGCTCCTGACTGTACTTTAGAATCACCTAAGGAACTCTAAAAATACTGATGCTGAGGCTGTACCTCAGGCAAATTGAACTGGAATCTCTGTGGGTGGGACCCAAGCCTCTGCAATATTATTTTTAAGCTCCTCAGCTTATTCTTATTCTCAGAGAGGGTTGAAGGTTGACAATCCCACAGCGTTGTCTGGCACTAATTGATTTGACCTACTTTTTGAGTATTCAGACAAAGAAGGAGGAATGAGCTCTAGAAAAAGCAATGGACAGTGATTGCCACCAGAGGTAGGTCAGCCTCAGGAGTGTCTTCAGTGGTGAATAACACAAGCGATGTAAAAGTACTGAAAACTGAAAATCACAATACAAATAAATAGTTTTATTGTGTTTCAAAACTATTCTAAGAACCATATATGTACATATATGTCCATCTGTAGGAACTGGTTAATTCTGATATATTATCATATATTGGATATTTATGGAAAGGTTCCAAATGCAAAGCTTCTATTGACGCCAGGACATGCTACCCTCTTGGCATTGACGTATGACAGTATGCTCAGTATTGCCAACCAGAAAAGCATCCCTAGCTTCAATGTCCAGAGTTTTTATTGGGGCTTCATTTTGTAGGCATGATTGACTGTTGATTGATTACCCCGTGGTTGAACTCGGTCTTCCCACCAAAGGTTGGGCTGATATCACATGGCCAAATGGACCTACCATGAGTCGACTTGCTAACATGAACCATTAGCTCTGGTCTGCAGGAGGATGAACATGAAAAAAAAGGTGCTCCTATCATTCCAAAATTCCAAGGTTTTAGAGAGTATCTCTCAGGACAAGGTCAAATTCTTTCTTACACATACATGGAAACTAAGATTTAAGCTGTTAGGCTGGTGTTATTTAACAAAATCATAAAAATTGAAATTTGTAAATATGAAAATTGTGCATATATTTACACATGCATGAATTGCCTACAGAAAATAAAAAGCAATTTTTTATTTAGGAAAACGGTTTGTCAGAATGTACCAACAAGCCTTTAAAAAAGCATACATTAGATTCAGTGATCTCATACTGTGACTAATTCAAAGAGTAACATCAAATGTTCAAAAATTTATGTCAAAAAAATGAAAAATAACTTAAACTGGAAAATGTTCACATTTGAGGGAGTTTAATGCAGTTATTTTCATGCATAAAATTGAGAAATGTTTTTACATAATGTTACCTGAAAATGTATGTAAAATTATATGTGTAACATGATTCAACTTATATTTCAGAAGGCATACTAAATTTTGTGTAGTAGTTATCTTTAATTCCTAGAAAAAAAGTAAATTGCTAACTCATTTTGCTTTGCTATGTATTTCAATTTTTCTATAAGCTGGAGTTCTTAAAAAAATTAAAATTTAGGCTGGGCATGGTGGTTCACGCCTGTAATCCCAGCACTTTGGGAGGCTAAGATGGGTGGATCACTTGAGGTCAGGAGTTTGAGACCAGCCTGGCCAATGTGGCGAAACCTCATTTCTACTAAAAATACAAAAAAAATTAGCTGGGTATTGTGGCATATGTCTGTAATCCCACCTACTTGGGAGGCCGAGGCAGGAGAATCACTTGAAAATGGAGGTAGAGGCAGGAGAATCGCTTGCATCAGGAGGTGGAGGTTGCAGTGAGCCAAGATCATGCCACTGCACTCCAGCCTGGGCAACAGAGTGAGACTCTGTCTCAAAAAAAAAAAAATTAAAATTAAGATTTGAAACAGACATTAAGTAGTTCTGGGTTTGACATATTTCTTATTGAGGTACCAATTGAACATTGAAAAGTGATTTTTAAAGACACAAGCTATTTAGAAAAACAGGATTTAGAATAGACTTTTGTTGACCACATTCTATGCAAGATTTTTGGGATTGACTTTCTTGTCTAGGCATTTTTTGCGGGGGTAGGACTTCTATCAGATATTCAAAGAATATGCAAACTCAAAAAAGTTAAGAACCGCTCAGAGAAAATTTACAAAAGGAACACAACAGGTGAAACTGTAAAAAGAAGAAGGAAGAGTAATATTTTGATGGGGAAAACAAGTCATAAAGGGTTTTCTTTCTTTCTTTTTTTTTTTTGGGACGTTGTCTCGCTCTGTTGCCCAGGCTGGAGTGCAGTGGAACCATCTAAGCTCACTGCAAGCTCCGCCTCCCGGGTTCACGCCATTCTCCCGTCTCAGCCTCCCGAGTAGCTAGGACTATAGGCGCCCTGCCACTACGCCCGGCTAATTTTTTTTTGTATTTTTCGTAGAGAAGGGGTTTCACCGTCTTAGCCAGGATGGTCTCGATCTCCTAACCTCGTGATCCGCCCGCCTGGGCCTCCCAAACTGCTGGTATTATAGGGGCGAGCCACCGCGCCCGGCCAAAGGTTTTCTTAACCCAAAAAGAGCTAGTATTGCAGGACAGTTTAAAAGGTATGGGTTTTGAAATTGGTGGATCTGGGGTCAAAGTCCAGTTCCATCACTTAACTAGAATTGTCATATGAGCAAAGTTATTCAGCATCCCTGCTATGGTTTGAGTATTTGTGTTCCCCGCCCGAAGTTGTATGATGAAATTTAATCTCCAATGTGATAGTTGTAAGAGGTGGGGCCTTTGAGGAAGTGATTAAGTCCTGAGGGCAGAGCCCTCAGGGATGGGATTAGTGCCCACATAAAAGAGGCCAGAAGGAGTTTGCCCACTTCTGCCATGTAAGGACACAGCAAGAAGTCACCATCTATGAAGCAGACACCAAATCTGCTGGTGCCTTGATCTCAGACTTCCCAGGCTCCAGAACAATGAGCAATTTCTGTTGTTTATTCATCAATGCAGTCTAAGATATTCTGTCACAGCGCTGAAATTGACTAAGACACTCCTACAGTGTATTGTCTATATAGTCCAAGTCTAGAATGTTGATTACAGCTGGGTGAGAGTTGCTAAGTACTGTGCTTGACAGTTTACGTGTAGCAGTTCATTGATCTAATGACCCTAGGAGGCAGGTAATATTGTTCTCATTTTAAAGGTAAGAAAGGTGAGACTACGCAACAGGATAACAAGGAAACGTGCAGTCAGTACTTAGCATATGCTGGCAAAGAAAACTAGAAACTGCTCATTTCAACACCTATTGAGTGTAACAATATTATTCTTGCCGCAGAGCCATTCCTATCCTTTCCTATCTGCTCCTCTCCCTGATATATTGAAGACTGCTGGAAATACAAATTAACATTTTTACTTTAATCCACATTGATACCCTTGAAGGAGTAAATATTCCAAACATGGCCAATTAAATTTCCCCAGAGGGACTCTGGAACGCAGGTCAGACTGAATGTTCATTGAATAAAACAAGTCTGTTGAGAGATTTTACTCCAAGGCAAAAGTTCTGTAAATAGAATATAGTAATTTATTGTTGAGAATGATAAAGTTGTGATTATTGAGAATACCAAATTATACCCACTTCAGGAAGACTCCTTCTA
This sequence comes from Homo sapiens, assembly GCF_000001405.40. Taxonomy (NCBI): domain Eukaryota; kingdom Metazoa; phylum Chordata; class Mammalia; order Primates; family Hominidae; genus Homo; species Homo sapiens. The sequence continues at coordinate 51,978,266 of NC_000008.11, forward strand.
TTCATTCTCCATCCACTCCACAAATGTTTGTTGAGCAGCTAATTAGTGTCAGATCATCCATAGGATCCGGGCACAGCAGGGAACAGACAGACACAAACCTCCTTCCAGGCATGTGCTCTTAAGAGTGCCTTATGTGCTCTTCATGCCTCTTATGTCTAGCCATTTCAATGAGCATACGCACCATGGGGTAAATATGGATTTACATATTTCTGGAAAATTCCTGATTAAAATTGGATCTCAAGAAACTACAGTACTAGATTACTTGAAGCAGTATACCTCTGCCACCTGGTGACACACGCCGCAAATTTTAGGGATACTGCCTAAAGCAGTGGTCCCTAATCTTTTTGGCACAAGGGATTGGTTTTGTGGAATACAATTTTGCCATGAACTAGGGTGGGAGGGATGGTGTTGGGATGACTCAAGTGCAATTGTGCAATTTATTTCTATTATTATTACATTGCAATATATAATTAAATAATTATACAACTCATCATAATGTAGAATAAGTGGGAGCCCTGAGCTTGTTTTCCTGCAACAAGGTCCCATCTGGGGGTGATGGGAGACAGTGACAGATCATAAGACATTAGATTCTCATAAGGAACATGCAACCTAGATCCCTTGAATGCACAGTTCACAATAGTGTGGTTTGTGTTCCCATAAGAATCTTTTTTTTAATTTATTTTTTATTTTTCTTATTTTTTTGAGATGCAGTTTCACCCTTGTTGCCCAGGCTGGAGTGCAATGGCTCTATCTCGGCTTACTGCAACCTCCACCTCCCGGGTTCCAGTGATTCTCCTGCCTCAGCCTCCTAAGTAGCTGGGATTACAGGTGCCTGCCACCACGGCCAGCTAACTTTTTTTTTTGTATTTTTAGTAGAGACGGGGTTTCTCCATGTTGAGCAGGCTAGTCTTGAACTCCTGACCTCAGGTGATCCACTCGCCTTGGCCTTTCAAAGTGCTGGGATTACAGGCGTGAGCCACCGTGCCCGGCCATTCCTATGAGAATCCAATGCCACTGCTGATCTGACAGGAGGCAGAGCTCAGGCAGTAATGCCAGTGATGGGTAGTGGTTGTAAATACTAAAGCTTTGGTTGCTCGCCCGCCGCTCACCCCCTGCTGTGTGGCCCGGTTCCTAACAGGCCACAGAGCGGTACCAGTCCACGGCCCAGGGGTTGGGGACCCCTGTCCTAAAGGAAATAAGGTCATTTGTTAATCTTATAAACCTTGCATTATAGGACCATGTTGTGATACTTCTAGATCACATTTGTGTCAAAAAAGTTGTCTATTTTTTTTAATAAGACAACTGACACCAAAAAAAATTAAGTGAAGAGTAACTCTTACTTACAAAATTTCCAGTCCAAAATATTTTTGTAGTGGATTTCAAAGCACTGCCCAAGGAGTAGTGAAACTGCCTTTGCAAAATTATAACTGAGGAGATTATGACAGTGAAAGAAATCAGACCTAACCCACTCCATCTTGCTTCTAACCTTTAAACTGTCCTTGTTCATTCTTGGGGGTAGGCCAAACCAACTTTGGGAAGAAATTCAGTTCATGGTTTGACTCTGAAGCAAAACTGATAATAGCCCTTTCCCAAAAAGACTCCCTTCTTGCCTGGGGACCAGTCTACCTTTGCTGGACTAACAAATTAGCTACAAGATTAGAAATGACAGTTTAGGGGTCATTCAGCATCTGGCTCCAAGAGTCTGAACCTTCCCAAACTGGTCCTGGTGATAACATCACTATTGTAAAACTTAAGATCAGTTCTTGAGATATTTTGCAATATCTCATGCAATATCTCATAGCTGCACTCAGTGGATCAGCTGACACTATCTAGACCAGTAATCTGGCTCAACCAGTTCTGCCATCCCACCCAGAACAGAAAGCAGCAAGAAAAACTCACTAAGATTCCACCTCCAACCTGGCCGCACTCCCCACTTTCCAAGCTCCTACCCGCCAAATTTTCTTTAAAAACTCTGATCCCTGAATGTTCCGGGAGACTGATTTGAGTAATAGTAAAATTCTGGTCTCCCACACAGCTGGCTCTGGGTGAATTACTTTTTCTCCGTTGCAAGTCCTTTGTCTTGATAAATTAATTGGCTCTGTCTAGGCAGCAGACAAGGTGAACCCATTGGGTGGTTACAGTAATCCTAAAAGAGTTACAGACTTAACTCTTACAATACAAATATTTATGTGAAGTTGTTGGTAAGTCCATTCCTTGCCAAAATTGTTAATTAATATTATTGCAAAGAAAATGTCACTTAATCTCTTCCTTTTTGTTCATTCTTTCATTTTCTCTTTGTGGCAGTAATGAAGAGTAGCAGAAGAATGTATTACTCAGGGTTCTTAAAGTTCTTAATCTACCAGAGTTTGTAACATGATTCTTATTTCTTTTTACCTAGTAGCATAGATGAGACAATTCATGTGTTTTGCTAACAGAGCAAATGTAGTCAATGTTGAAATGTAAAACTCCATTAGTTTCTATATGGGTCACTTAGCTTTGTGGTATCTCATGGCCATAGAATGTGGCTTTAACTAACTGTGGTCAGCCATTGTGAAAATATGCACCGAAAGTTATCCAGCGGATTGGGTGAGAGGCGATAACAAGGTAGAAATCCACCAACACCACAGAAAACCAGCTTCAGGCAACTATCCTCCTTGGTAACTGGCTGTCATTGTTATCCTAAATCTGAGGTAATAAACACTATGTAACAAATTATTGACGGATTATTTATTATTCATGACAGTCCAGATGAACAGATATCTTTGCGTTTCAAATGACTGATGTCCAGTGACAGATACACTGTCACAGATAGAAACCTTTTAAGAAAATTATTTATTTTATTTGTATTTGACATTACAAAAGGACTTTAAAGCACCAATCCTTTTCCAGTCATTATAGGAAAGCCTCATACACATGTGCATGTTATATGAAAGCCTCACCCACATGAGCACATAGACGTGCTTGACAAAACCATGGAGCTGAGCTGCGTAAGAATGCTCTGTCTCAGTGTAAACTGCTCGGGTGACGGTGCACCAAAATCTCACAAATCACACTAAAGAACTTACTTATGTAACCAAATACCACCTGCTCCCCAAAAACCTATGGAAACAAAAAATTTAATATAATAATAGTAAAGAATGCTCTGTCTTTCTGTTAGAAATAAGAATGCCTCTCTCAGTTGTTTTTTCTCACCCGACAGTCAAGGTTTGTGTTGTGGGAGTGGAGGCAGGGCTAGGTAAAGAGTTAATAACATTTACCTATGGGCAAAAAAAGCCAAAAAAATTAATTAGAAAATTAGTTTTACACAATAGTGGTTGGCTATTGATATTTTTTCTCAGAAAACATTTTAATGTTTAGTTCTTTCCATTGTGAAAACCCAAAACCAAGCGTACACTGGTAGTGGCTTCTCTCCCTTAAGGTCTTAGCATTCAAACTTGCAAATTACAATTAGATTAAAAAGTTCAATACTTCAAAGGGGTTGCTGAGTTCTAAGGAGGGAATGATGAACTGTTAATTTTGTTCTCCTAATGCAGCCTTTAGTGATTTTCAAAGTGACTGTGTTTATAGAAATTATTTAAGCAGACAATAGAGCAAACCTTTTTTTTTTCTGAGACAGTGTCGCTCTGTCACCCAGGCTGGAGTGCAACGGTGCAATCTCGGCTCCCTGCAACCTCTGCCCTCCCGGGTTCAAGCGATTCTCCTGCCTCAGCCTCCCGAGTAGCTGGGATTACAGGTGTCTGCCACCACGCTTAGCTAATTTTTTGTATTTTTAGTGGAGATGTGGTTTCACCATGTTGGCCAGGCTGGTCTCGAACTCCTGACCTCAGGTGATCCACCCACCTAGGCCTCCCAAAGTGCTGGGATTACAGGTATGAGCCACTGTGCCCAGCCAGAGCAAACTTTTTTTTTTTTTTTTGACATGGAGTCTCACTCTGTTACCCAGGCTGGAGTGCAGTGGCGCAATCTCAGCTCACTGCAAACTCCGCCTCCCGGGTTCAAGCGATTCTCCTGTCTCAGCCTCTTGGGTAGCTGGGACTACAGGTGTGCCATCACACCTGGCTAATTTTTGTGTTTTTAGTAGAGACGGGGTTTCACCATGTTGGTCAGGCTAGTCTCGAACTCCCGACCTTGTGATCCGCCCGGCTCGGCCTCCCAAAGTGCTGGGATTACAGGTGTGAGCCACTGTGCCCAGCCAAAGCAAACTTTTAACACACTAAACAGCTATGATCATTTGTTGACCATAACTCTAATAAATGTCAAGGAAGCAAGAATACTTTTCAGAGCTTTCCCAATCAGTCAGAATATGCAATGGCTCTCTTAGAGGGAAGCATGGGTGATAATAGGACACACTTTGCAGAGCATCATGTAAATAACATTTTTTGATGACCTACATTAATTTAGGTATTCAACTGTGAGGTTGTAACGTAATTATCTCTACTTTTATTTGAAGTAACACACATGCTTGTATATTTGAAAGTTGGTCATATAGATGGGGTCATTCTTGTCACACTCAACTGAAACAGAGTCAAGAGCCGGGGGAGAAAGCACTTAGGGCACAAAACATTGCTCCAAAACTGTAATCCACTGCAAGCTGGCTATTAAAGCTGGCTACTGTAGCCTGAAACCAGGTTTACCTAATAGCTACTGAAATAACTTGTTGCAACTCCACCAGTCATGCACAAATCAGAGCTTGCCAGCTTGCCAAAACTTTACTAGTGCCAATAAATTTTCTTTCAAAACAATATGTAACATTGCTCCTTTTTGTAAAATGCCCAAACTTCTCTTTGTTCTTCAGACACACTGAAGAGCATCTCATCTGTATGTATGCCCCGAGTTGCAATTCTTGCTTCCCAAATAAAATGTTTTAAATTTAGAGATTTATCTCTATATTTTATATGACTTTGACTTATTTGTAGTTTTTGTTTATTTTGTTTGAGATCAGATCTCGCTCTGTCACCCAGGCTGGAGTGGAGTGGTGGAGTGGCATGATATAGTTCTCACTACAGCTTCGAATTCCTGGGCTCAAGCAGTCCTCCTGGCTCATCCTCCCATGTAGCTGATACTATAGGTGTGAGCCACTTTGCTTGACTAATTCTTTTTTTTTTTTTAAGTAGAGATGAGATCTTAGTGTGTTGTCTAGGCTGATATCCAACTCCTGGGCCTCAAGTGATCCTCCTACCTCAGCATCCCAAAGCCCTGGGATTACAGGTGTGAGCCGTTCACATAGTTTTAAAAGTCAAATTGTCCTTCATCAATTTCCTGTCTTCACCTCCCTATCCCAAATCTTGCTCCTAGTTACAATCACTTTTAGCTTATTTAGCAATGTCCAATGGTCTTACTTTTAAATATCATATTTTGTTGTCATTTTTTGTTTTTTTGAGATGGAGTCTCACTCTGTTGCCCAGGCTGGAGTGCAATGGTGCGATCTTGGCTCACTGCAACCTCCACCTCCCAGGTTCAAGCGATTCTCCTGCCTCAGCCTCCTGAGTAGCTAGAATTACAGGTGCCTGCCGCCACACCTGGCTAATTTTTGTATTTTTGGTAGACATGGGGTTTCACCATGTTGGCCAGGCTGGTCTCAAACCCCTGACCTCAGGTGATCCACCCTCCTTAGCCTCCCAAAGTGCTGGGATTACGGGCGTAAGCCACCACGCCCGTCCTTGTTGTCATTTAAAATTTGTCTTTATTACTCATGATTTTTTACTTTCTATTATGGAAAATGAAGATTAAGCCATGTTATCCACCCACAACTTCCTTTCTCTCCAGCTTGCTATTATATGGTTTTATGGGACTTTGCATTCAGCATGATTAGCAAGTTCAGAGGAAAGCATGCTTTTTGGCAACCACCCTCCCTAATCCTCCAGCATGCTATCTGGCCCTATCTAACTCTAGGCCTCTTTTCTAGTATCCCTGGTACCCTGTGCTCCAGGCACAAAGGGCAGTTTACCCTTCTGAGTGCACCCCGGGGCCTCAAATACTTTCCTCACCCAGGGCCAGCTGCACCTGCCTCTGCACCTTGCAGACCCCTCACCCCTTCAAGCCTCACCTCTTCAGAAGCCTTCCCCTCCTCGCCAAGCAGAGGCTGCCACTCCCTTGCTGCATTCCCATGACACCATCCTAGTACCTCTGCTGCAGCCATTATTGGGTTAAAGAAGATTAGCGGCAAAATGGATCATTTAAGAGTGTTTTCATCCTGTCATGTTTTTCCAAACCAGAAGTGGAAGGGACAAGACTAAAAGCTGAAGGGAGTAGAAGTAGAAAAACTAGCCTTATTTTATTTATTTATTTATTTTTTCTAGGAAGACTGAGGGAAATGCAAGCAGTATTCCTAGGGTCTCTATGCTCATGTAAAGAGTTTGAGAAACATGTCTTAAGTCCATGGGATGCATGGCTGGTGCCTTCCCTCCCGATGTCCCCAGCAGTCACTATGGGCCAGTAGGCCTGACTTCTGAGCCAGCATCTGGTGTCCTCATGAGACTCAGCTCCAGGAGCCCCAAGGGGAACCCGCTTGTTATCACACACCTTAGTGGCTTCTTTCCCTTCCTGTTTCATTTCTCCACCCTCTACCGGTAGAGTTTCTTGGAATCAACTCCCAAATCATTGACTTACCTACTCCTTTTTTCAGAGTCTGGTCCTGGGAGAACCTAAGAAAGGGCTCAACTCATTTCAAAATTACTTAAGGTTGCATGCACTATGCCCGGACTGACCTCACTAGGGTCAGGATCCGCATGTGCCTTCCTTTCCTGCCAGATGGGTGGCAAATGCCTTATATTATTGATCTGACTCTTAACAGATTCTTTGTGAAATGAATAAATGTATGGATGAATGAAAGATGTCCCATAGGAGCCATAAGGTAATACAAGGGATTTCTAAAATTCAACAAGTTAGATTCCCTATTGCTTCTCTATTTCAGCAAACACATCCACTCATCATGAACTGGCTCATCTTAAGTAGTGAATAGGCTCATTAAATATTTTAGTGACATTCACACTCCCTTAATGAGTTGTTTTTTCCAAACTTACATAGCATATTATTGGCTTTAAATATATTTTCACTATTTAATAATAATAATAATGTTTCAGCAGAGGAATTTTTAATTTAGAGTTTAATGATCCTAGAGACTCATTACTTTGCTTTCTTGAAATACAGAACCAAAACATTTTCATCTCATCCTAAATCACTTTTATTAAGCTAATTTTCTCCACCACTGAATTTAGAGGAAATCCTCTTAATTTGGAGCCAGACATTATGTAAGATATGTGGTCTTAAACATATAAGTAAATATTAAAATAACATATTTTCTATATTATGGAGGATATTTAAATTGATATTTTAAAGAATCAATATACAGAAACTGAAAGGAATAAGTGTTATTTTTAAGTTGTCAGGAATCAGGTTTAAGATATTAAAAAAATATATATATATATACATATTCAGCCAAAGATGGTTGATACCTTTCATATCACATGCATAGCTGGAAGGCATTATAATTTGGTGGCATCCAAAGCAAATGTTGTTTGTCCTTTCTCTATCACTGCATGTGAACACAGCTTCAGGGATAGCACACTTCTTACTTTTTAACTCACATTCATGTGCTGCTAGGGTTTTGCTATAGGTGGAATATTTGTGTCTCTCCAAAATTCATATATTGAAGCTGGCTCAATACCAAATGTGACAGTATTTGGAGGTGAGGATTTGGGGAGGTAATTAGATCATGATGGTGGAGCCCTTATGAATGGGATTAGTTTCTTTATATAAGAGACTGAGGACACAGTGAGAAGGTGGCCATCTGCAAACCAGAAGGAGAGCCCGAGCCAGCAACTAAATAGGCCAGCACCTAGGTCTTGGACTTTCCTGCCTCCAGAACTTTGAGAAATAAATATTTGTTGTTTAACCTACCAAGTCTGTGGTATTTTTTAAAATAGCAGCCTCAGTTGAATAGCAGGTTTCCAAGAGTGAACTTTCACATGAGGCTCAGAGGAGGGCTCAGGAGGATTTGGCGGTGGGGATGGGGGTTGGTTCTCAGAAGACCATCTTGTCCCTGACAATCCAGCATTTGGTGAGTGACACTGGTCGGGTCACTTTTCTGGGCCTAAGAATTTCCAACTCATAGAGAAATGGTACGGTCTGCCCTTCACACTCTCTGAAATAGTGTGAGGATGAGATGAAACACTGATATGAAAAATGCCTTAAAATCTGTAAAAACTCATACATGAGTAAAGGTTTTGTTTATTCTAAGATTTATGTCTGCCATTTCTATTTTATGGAGGGAGAGACAATGAAATATTTTAGGTGTAAGGGGAAGGAAGAAGAGAGATAAGTGAATACCCACCTTATTGTATTGATTGGATGTCAAATCAACAGACACAAATTTTTCCCTTTAATTTCCACTGGTCAACTTCTCAGGTTCCTAGTTTTCTCCTACCTAACATAAAGGTTTGGAATGGTTTCTAAATTCTTTTGAGATACTATGAGGATAGGTTTCTACTAAATTTATGGATCACTTTTAGAAGGAATTTACTAACTATATGCTGTGGTTCCTTTGGAGAAAGTCCGTACTACAAAATTATGTTTATTTAGAATTAAAATTCCATTTTGGAATGTAAGCCCTTCTCATTTCTATCACACCTCAGTCATTTCTGTCATGAACAGTAGGCACCCCCACAAAGCCTACATAATTTTCTAGGCTGACAACGACTCGCTTCTTGACCAAACTGTAGTCAGGCTCCTCTGAACCCTTTTCTTGACTAGGCCTCAACCTCAACCTTTGCCTGTGAAAACTTGAAAACTGTAGACTCTCAGCACAGATGAGTTTGCTCACCTTCTGCACTAAGAGATTGAATAAACAGTCACATAGTTTCTAATAGCTCAAGGCCATGCCCCTGGAATGATGACTCCAAACCCGGTAAGTTTTTGCCTGGAAAAGCTCAAGGCTTCCAAAACAATTCACGGTGTGTTCCAGCTAAAACCTGCTCGTCTTCTAGGCTCTGTGGGAGGGTAAGACCCTGTCTTCCATGAGCACCAGTTAGCAAACCCGGATGGCCTAGGCACTTGGACCAGCCCCTGACTGATTTTTGTATTTTTTCACTTCTCTGACTCTACTGAGCCCCCACTGGCCCTCTTCCTACTCCCTCATTCTCCTTTTATAGCACAAAGTCACCTCTGCACAAATCTGAGTTGAGTTCAGTTCATTCTGGACTCTTTTCCCTATTGCAACAGTTATTCCTGGTTAAACGCTGTCCTTACCACTTGAACTAGTGTCCTCCTGCTTGGTTATCTCTTGACAAGGCCCAGTGCAAAATGAAAACACAGGTCTCATGTTCAAAAAGCATGAAAAAGTGTTATTACAGGTACTAAAATATAAAGTTTTTTTCTTTTCATCTAACATCTATTTCTGAACTGGTTTTTGTTTCGGTTTTCATTTTGTTGTTTAGTATTAAGTAAAGAAGGTTTAAAATTTTAAATATTAGATGAAGTTTATCATTCATCTTTATACTGTGCAATGCCATTTTTAAATGTAGGTGTAAAGCATTTAACTCTTATCACAGAAATTACACAAGTTATACTTGTACATGTCTATGCATTTCATTTTTAAGAGAATAGTGAAAATACTTGTGATCTGAGAGACCAAAATAGATGCCCCATTATCAACTAAGATGAACTCTAAAGTTAAGGAAGTTACCTATGGGTCCAGGGTTCAGGGCAGCTGGCATGGCAACTCCCTAAATTTCTACAGCTACAAGAAAAACCACGGTCTTGCTAAATTTGCTAAGAATAGGAGCTATTACACAAATTATCACATTCCTCCTAACTTTGATTTATAACTCAGATCACTGCAACTCTGGACAGAGTACTGACCTTACAAATACTCTTTTCTGACAAGCAACTGCAGACCTTAAGCTAGTTTCAGCAGCTTATAGAAAGTGCACACAAACTGTCCCTGTGTCTTGTAGTTCACCTTTTGATGTAAAGAACCAAATTCCATCTCGTTTGTTTGTCTGTTTTTGAGATGGAGCCTTGCTCTGTCACCCAGGCTGGAGTGCAGTATCAGGATCTTGGCTCACTGCAACCTCTGCCTCTTGGGTTCAAGTGATTCTCCTGCCTCAGCCTCCCGAGTAGCTGGGCTTACAGGCACCCGCCACCATGCCCAGCAATTCTTTTGTATTTTTAGTAGAGACAGGGTTTCACCACATTGGTCACGCTGGCCTCAAACTCCTGACCTCAAGTGATCCACCCGCTTTGGCCTCCTAAAGTGCTGGGATTACAGGTGTGAGCAACTGCACCTGGTCCCACCTCTTTTTGATGCTAAAACCCCACTCCAAAGTAAACATGGGATGTACGTTACATACATGTTTACCCATTGCATATGTGCTTGGCTCCCCTAATAAGTATGTCTAGCTTTCCCCCCTCAACATGCTGAATCCGTAGGACTCTATGATGTAACACAGACTTGCAGGGCATAAAACCCAAGCTGCCCTTTCCCTCTTCAAAGAGAGCACCTTCGATCCTTGCTACAAACTGTCTTTTCCTGATTTGCAAACTCATAGCACCAAAAAAGCTCTCCTTTCTACTGTTTAGCAATTCTGGTGGTCTTTTGGAGGACACATTGCACAAAGTAACTTTCTGTTTTGGTTCTTGATATGTGCACATTCTACCAATGCTCTCTGCCTTTGGCTTAGCAACAAGTAAGAGAGAACTGAAAGGTAAAAGTACTTTGTGTTGCCCCTTTTCCCTTTTCTTCCCATCATTATCTTCAGCAAATGTAGGGAAGAATGTAAGCAGGAATGAGTATGAGAGGACTCCTTGGTGGTTCGTATTTCTTAGCACACTTTCTGCCTTCTACTGGCAAGTTCTGGCTTGCAGGGAAAGCCTGTCCTCTCTTGGCTGTCTGCCATAGACTTTATTTTTATTTTATTTTATTTTTTTGAGACAGAGTCTTGCTGTCACCCATGCTGGAGTGCAGTGGCGTGATCATGGCTCACTGCAACCTGTGCCTCCTGAGTTCAAGGGATTCTTCTGCCTGAGCCTCCTGGGTAGCTGGGACTACAGGGACATGACACCATGCCCAGCTAATTTTTCTGTATTTAGTAGAGACAGGGTTTCACTGTGTTGGCCATGCTGGTCTCAAACTCTTGACCTTGAATAATCTGCCCTCCTCGGCCTCCGAAAGTGTGGGATTACAGGCGTGAGCCACTGCGCCTGGCTGATAGACTTTAGGCACTCACCTGGTCCTCACTTTGAATCTCTCTGAACTCCAGTGTGGCCCGGGTCCACTGGAATTCTGTTGTCATGGGGCGTCAGTGGGCTCTATATATCAATGAGGCTACAAGGAGCAGACCTGATCTCCTGTGCTCATGCACAGGCTCCGTTGTCCCATTGTACCTCACTGACAAAGCACAAGTTCAGAGATAAAATTATTAAGAATTTTAAACCAGCGACAGCAGAAAATTCAGCCAACCATGGGTGCTTCTGAAAGCCAAGCCACACGTGACTGCAAAGGTTGTGCAGTAAGCCGGTGCTAGCTCCCATTGCACCAATTGTTCACTGCGTCCTCAAGACTGCATGACTGATTACAACTGTTCACTGGTTTCCTCTTCTGTTTAGAATACCCTCTGCTCTCTTCTCTAAGTGGCTAATTCATTCTAAACTGGCAACTGTACCCAAGAGATCATTCTTGATTCATGCAGGTAGACTTACTAGTTATTTCTCCTTTGTTCCAATAGCATTTAGACTGTTTGCCAATGATCACCTTCATCACTTACAACACTGTGAAGACCTGTGCATTTATACACAAGAATAAACAAGAGTCCAGGCAAGGTTTTATTTATCATTATCTTTTCCCTTCTCCCTCCACCCACTGACCACATGCAGTAGGAACTCCAACGTTGGCTGAATAATAGGCTAAGGCTTTAAAATGACAAGAAACACTAGTTAGCATGAGTATAAATTACGATCTTAGGATCATTTGACTCCAAATAGTCCTAATTTTCAATTTTTCATTTAGCAAACAGGCTCTATTGTAGGCCCTCTGTAGAAGAGAGAAGGACAGAGGCAAATCCCTGTCTCCTGGAGCTTATGCTCCTAGTGAGGCGGGGTGTGATGGTGAGCTTTCAGCAGTAGGTAATTGTGTGATGTGAGCTCAGTTAATGCTACCAAGAGAAAGGAAAGATGGTCAAAGGATTAAGGGTGGCAGGTGCTGTTAAGACAGGGCTGTAAAGGAGGCATCTGAGTGCAGGCAGGAAGAAGTGGGGCGAGCACATGCTCCCCTTCTGGGGGAGAGCACCCAGGCAGGCACCTGGGAGCAGGGACATGGTAGATATACTTGAGGAGGAGCAAAAGGCTGAGCATGAAACTTTAAAGAGAAACAGTATGTTTGCACAGCTTCCAAAATATTTTCTCCTCACTATGGTACTTTTAATATAGATCCATACAGAATTTGATACTTCTCCCTCCAGGGGTGGAGCTTGACTCTCCTCCCCTTGACTGCAGGCTGGCTTCTAACAAATGGGGCACAGAAAGGGAAAAAGAGCATCTTCACAGTGGAGAAAACTGCCATTTCCCTCAGGACTTGGAAGATAATGTTCATCGCTTAATAGCAACTTAATGGGCAGTAAGGATTCTGCTGCCAATTTGGTTCTCATTCCCCCAGCTTCTATCTGAATGCTGTTAACAGTTTTATTTGTCCTTTGGGTTCTTTTATTTTATCAGGATGTGCACAGGTGTTGGTCTGGGACTACTTATCCCAAGTGGTATCTGATTAGTGATATTAGTTTGGACGTTTTTCCCCTCCAAATTTCTTGTTGAAATTTGATGCCCAGTATTGGAGGTTGGGCTGAATGGAAGGTGGTTGAGTCATGGGGGGAGATTCCCCCTTGAATGGCTTGGTCCTGTCCCTGCAGCAAGGAGTGAATTCTCTCTCTATTAGTTCATGTGAGAGCTAGTTGTTTAAAAGAACGTGGCACCTTCCCCTCTGTCTTGCCATGTGACATGCCAGGTCCCCTTCTCCTTCTGCCATGGGTGGAAGCTTCCTGAAACCCTCACCAGAAGCAGAAGCTGAAGCCATGCTCCTTGTCCAACCTGCAGAGCCATGAGCCAAATAAACCTCTTTATTAATTACCAGCCTCAGGTGTTCCTTTATAGCAGCACAAAATTGATCAATACAATTAGCAATTTGAATTTAAAGATGTATGTTTCAGCCCAGTGCGGTGGCTCACACCTGTAACCCCAGCATTTTGGGAGGCTGAGATGTGAGGATTGCTTGAGCCCACGAGTTCAAGACTAGCCTGGGTGACATAGCAAGTTCTCATCTCTACTAAAATTCAAAAAAATTTGCTGAGTGTGGTGTGCATACCTGTAGCCTCAGCTACTTAGGGGGTTGAGGCAAGCAGATCACTTGAACCTGGGAAGTTGAAGATGTGGTGAGGATGTGGTGAGCTGTAATCCCACCATTACACTGCAGCCTGGGGGACAGAGCAAGACCAAAAAAAAAAAAAAAAAAAAAAGGACTTGTGTGTGGGAAATATTATTCTTGATTTCTTTCCCTCTATTATTTCATTTGTTTCATCCTTCTAGAACTCCTGCTAAAAGCATGTTAGAGTTTGTGGATTTATCTTTCCTGCCTTGTAAAATGTTTTCTAATATTGTCCATCTCTTTGTCTTTCTCTTTTATGTTCTTGGAGAAGTTTTGACTTTGTCTTTTGACTCTGTATTTTAGATTATTAATTTACTTTAATCGTGTCTATTTTTTAAAGCATGGCTGTTCTAATTTTAAAAAAATTTTTGCAGTTGCATTTAAAACCATTTAAAAAGTCATGTTTATTAAGTGAAACTTACACAGAATAAAATTTACCCTTCTTAGGGTATAGTTCTATGAATTTTGACAAAGGCATAGACTCGTGGAACCATGACCACAATTAAGATATGGAATAATTCCATTACCCTAAATTACAATCACCTTTTAAATTATTGTTTTGGTTCCTTTTTCTATGCAAAGTTGTTCTTTTAGCAAAGCGGGAGGCATCTTACCGCCCAACTTCAAACTGTACTACAAGGCTACAGTAACCAAAATAGCATGGAACTGGTACAAAAAAAGACACATAGACCAATGGAACAGAGTAAAGAACTCAGAAATAAGACTGCACATCTACAACCATCTGATCTTTGACAAACCTGACCTGAAAAAACGAACAATGGGGGAAAGGATTCCTATTTAATAAATGGTGCTGGGAGAACTGGCTATCCATATGCAGGAAATTGAAACTGGACCCCTTCAATACGCATATAAAAATTAACTCAAGGTGGATTAAAGACTTAACTCAAGGTGGATTAAAGACTTAATGTAAAACCTAAAACTATAAAAACCCTAGAAGAAAATCTCGGCAGTACCATTCAGGACATAAGCATGGGCAAATATTTCATGACAAAAACACCAAAAGCAATTGTGACAAAAGCAAAAATTGACAAATGGGCTCTAATTGAACTAACGAGCTTCTGCACAGCAAAAGGAACTATCATCAGAGTGAACAGACAATCTACAGAATGGGAGGAAATTTTTGCCATCTATCCATCTGACAAGGGTCTAATATCTGGAGTGTACAAGGAACTTAAACAAATTTAAAGAAAAATACAACCCCATTAAAAAGTGGGGAAAGGACATGAACAGGTATTTCACAAAAGAAGACATAAATGCAGCCAACAAACATATGAAAACAAGCTCAACATCACTGATGATTACAGAAGTGCAAATCAAAACTACAATTAGAAACAATCTCATGCTAATCATAATGACTATTATTAAAAAGTCAAGGATCAACGGATGTTGGTGAGGTTGCAAAGAAAAGGTAATGCTTTTACACTGTCGGTGGGAGTGTAAATTAGTTCAACCATTGTGGAAGACCATGTGGCAATTCCTCAAAGATCTAGAAGCAGCATTTGACCCAGCAATCCCATTATGGCTATATACCCAAAGGAATATAAATCATTCTAATATAAAGATACATGCACACATATGTTCACTACAGCACTATTCACAATAGTAAAGACATGGAATCAACCCAAATGTCCATCAATGATAGGCTAGATAAAGAAAATGCAGTATATATACACCACGGAATACTATGAAGCCATAAAAAGGAACAAGATCTTGTTCTTTGCAGGGACATGGATGGAGCTGGAAGCTCTTATTCTCAGCAAACAAATGCAGGAACAGAAAACCAAACACCACATGTTCTCACCTATAAGTGGGAGCTGAACGATGAGAACACGTGGACACATGGGGAGGAACAACAGACACTGGGACTTGTTGGGGGTCCGGGGGAGGGAGAGCATCAGGAAGAATAGCTAATGGATGCTGGGCTTAATAGCTAGGTGATGGGTTGATCTGTGCAGCAAGCCACCATGGCATACATTTATGTATGTAACAAACCTGCACATCCTGCACATCCTGCACATGCTGCAAGTGTACCCTGGAACTTAAAATGAAACTTGAAGAAAAAAAAGTTAAAAAAAGAAAGCTTTTTTTTTTAGAGCAAATTAATTTTGTTCTAAAATATTTTCTGTTTCCTGAATTATTTTAGACTTTTCAGAATCAATTGCTCTGTCTGGTGGTTCTCCGCCCTCCCCCACAGATTGCTGATGAGGATTTCTCGGCAATTCATCACAGGTCCCTTTCTCTCTCCAGCAAGTCTCTCGCTTGAGTGAGAGCTGCATGCATGCAGGATCTGTGGAGGCGTGTGCCACCCGTAAGAGGAGCAGGCTGTGTGCACGGCAGGCTTTACTTTAGGGCCAGTGGGCACGATGCAGTCAGATGGACTGAAGTTCCCAAAGGTAGCAAAGGAAAGCCGCCTTCACCTTGGCTGTGGACTTCCACTCTGGGTGAAAGTTCCTTTCTTTATTCTTTTATGCTTGTCATGAAGGGCCAGAGGTTCTTGAGACACACGTTCCCTCTCTCAGGTATCTACTCCCCATTAGAAACCTTCCTGAGACAGTAGTTCTCTTTCTTCTGATGGCATGTTTCAGCTGGAAAGCACTTGTTGAGACCCACTGCTGATTGCTACCGTAGTCTCTGTGTGTGTGTTGTGGGGGTGGATCTGGGGGCAACCGGTCCACCTGCTCCACAGGAGGTGCTCATTATCATGGCCCAGATCCCTTGGCCTCGCCTCGGGGCTTAAGGTTCCCTGTAGTGTGCACCTTTTCATCTTTTCTTCTGCCCCGTGGCTTGCACTATGGTTTCCTTTACACACCTCAATCTGTCCAGGAATTGCTCAAAAGTTCTCTTCCATTCATACCTATTCCCTGTTTCCCACCACTGTTGTGGATTTCTTGTTTCTATCCTTCCTTCTTTTCTTTCGGCCTCTCTCTGTGCTTCCCTTCTTCCCTCTCTGCCTCTCTCCCTTCTTTCCTCAGTTCCTTCTTCTTGTGTGTTGTGTCATTTTTAAGGGATTTGTGTTTGGAAAGAAATTGGACTCTGTTCTCAGTCTACTATCTTAATCCAATCTTTATCGTTTATTTGACACTTTATTTTGTCAAAGTCAAATAAAATAAAGAGACAAATCCCTAAAATGAAAATGCTTTATTTGGGAGAAAAGAATCACAGTTCAGGGCATACACGCAGACTGGAAGGTCTTTAGTGAGTCCCAAGGAAAAAGAGGTTAGAGGTTTTATAGGAAGGAGAAATATTGCATATTGCTGTTTGAGAAATTTCACTGGCAGGTTCTGAGGAGCTGGCAAGTTCTGATTGGTGAGCGATGGCAGTGGGCAAAACTAGTCTTAGAATTGTAACAGGTTGTTTCGGTAGTCATTAGATGAAACTGTTTTCAAGTTACAGCAGGCAGCTTCAGCTGCCAGGCTTGCAGAAAATTACATTTTTGGAGCAATATTTTGTGCCCTGAGTACTTTTACCCTTGGCCTCTTCATTCAATTTGTATGATAAAGAAGAATGACCCACTTTGTATGAAAAACTTTCGCAATTTGTATACTCATTACAGAGGCAAGGTAGTATAATGGTTGAGAGGGTGTACTCTGATACCAGAGAGCCTGAGTTAGAATATCAGCTCTTTTGCATAATATCTGTGTGACCTTGGACAAGTTGCTTTATTTTTCTGTGCTTCAGTTTTATCTGTAAAATGGGATAAAAAATAGTTTCCATTTTTATCCCATTTAGTCCCATAGAATAGTCTTCTATGAGACTGTTCTAAGGATTAAAAGTGAATATATGTAAGTCACTTAGAACATTGCCTGGCACACATATTATTATTGTTTTATGTAATATGTTCTTAAAATTCAATGAGTTATCTCTTTAATATGTTTTTTTAATGTTTGGTTTTATAGATTGCGCCAACAATTCATTTTATTTACTTATTCTTAAGGTAGAGCAACATTATTTGTATGAAATAGTTGCACAATATATCAACAACTACTAACAACTCAAATATATAACAATTATAGAATTAATAAGTAAACCACAGAATATATTATAAATTAAAAGGCAGACATGGAAAAATAGATTCATGAAAATTTTTGTATTAAAAAAGACAAGAAAAAATAGAATAATGTTATTTTTCCATTGATTTTATATATAACTGAGTTCTTAAAGAATGGAATCAGAAAAGTTGTACTTTACCATTTTTAACATGGTGGATTATTATTTTAAAGGCAAAGGTAAAGAGAAGAGACACTGTGATTTATTTAACAACCATGCCAATTTTCAGGTACCTCTAAGCTCTTCCAGTCATGGGCATAGACAATGCCTGCTTTCACCGAGGCTGTCTGGAAGCAAAGGCTCCACCACCATAATTGCCACTGGGACCCACCCTAGTCTAAGGAAATGATTCCAAGACACTCTATTTTTCTTAAATGAAATAGCCCTTTGTGTCTCAACCTTTTGAAGGCAGCCCAACCCACCTATATTACAACACCACAGCTAGATTCAGATTTTCCAGCAAGATTTTTCCAATGAAGAACAAAGCTTTATTGTAGCTTAGATGACAGGACTCCAAAGAAGTCTGGAAAAGAGGAAAAAAAAGCTCATATTAAACAATAGGCAGTATAATGTAAGTTAAAATAGAAATTAGGATACCATTGATGAAAAATATTTTACGTTTTCGTTTAGGGCATGTACTAGGATAGGATGGGTGAAATATTTTAGAGAGTGTTTATTTCCTTCTGGTATAATTTAGGATCAGAAAACCAGCAAGATATCTATATCTATATCTATATATCTATATCTATATATATCTCTATCTCTATATCTCTATCTCTATCTCTATATCTATATCTATATCTATATCTATATCTATATCTATATTTTTTTGAGATGGAGTCACTCTGTTGCCCAGGCTGGAGTACAGTGGCACGGTCTTGGTTCATTGCAACTTCCACCACCTGGGTTCAGGTGATTCTCCTGCCACAGCCTCCCAAGTACTTTGGATTACAGGCATGAGCCACCACATCCAGCTAATTTTTTTTTTTTTTTTTTGAGACGGAGTCTCACTCTGTCGCCCAGGCTGGAGTGCAGTGGCATGATCTTGGCTCACTGCAAGCTCTGCCTCCCGGGTTCATGCCATTCTCCTGCCTCAGCCTCCTGAGTAGCTGGGACTACAGGTGTCTGCCACCATGCCTGGCTAATTTTTTGTATTTTTAGTAGAGACAGGGTTTCACTGTGTTAGCCAGGATGGTCTTGATCTCCTGACCTCTTGATCCGCTTGCCTCGGCCTCCCAAAGTGCTGGGATTACAGGCGTGAGCCACAGTGCCCGGCCTAGCAAGGTATTTTTTTTTTAAATGTGGGCAGAACATAGAGAACTAGGGATTTGGTTAACATGGGATTTAAGTAAAATACACCATTTCTCCAATTTTGACATCTAAAAATTATCTGCATTAAAATATTTTTAAAAGTGCAATCATATTCAGTGCTAGTATTGCGGGAACAAAACACATTTATATACAACTATCTTTGTTTTTAGCTAGTGTCTTCTTCAGCACATACTACTATCTTTTAAAAATTAATTTGTAAACTAATCTACAAATCGTGAAAATAGTGTTAAGCTTATTGTCATTAATATGTTGCTTAATCTTTGTGTTTTAAATATATAAACAAGGTGTTTACATTAATTATTTTTCTTTTAGCACATCAAACTTAGTATAGTAATATGGATAAACCCTGATTTGTATAACTTTTAAAATAACATTTGGAAAGATACATTACATTCCTTAACAATATCTCGCTGATATTTTTTTTTTCAGTTTTCAAATTAAGAGAAAAAATGAAATGTGACAACTGAGAAATATGAAAGAGTCTATTTACTATAAACTAGTTTACAGATTGAGTTAAAATAATGAGATGAGGAGACTTCTGGCAGACACACAGGACTTGTTTACATTTTGATTGCAGTTTAATAATTTGCTGATTGCATTATAATCACAGCAATATTGCATTTTAATCACATGCATACATGTGGTTAACTAAATTAATACCTTTAAATCACAATTTGATTTTTGCTAATACATAACCAGTTCTTTTTCTGTCCCTGCTCCAATGAGGATAATAACCAGTGAGCATGGTTTTGGATCAATTCTTTTTGGTAAACTCCCTAGCCACGTTCTGCTTCTTGCCTACTAAAGACATCATCTTTCACACAAATGTGGAATAATGAATAATGCTTCATAGAATAATATATAATAAACTGGAAGCAAGCTTCATTTAGCATAAACCTGCAATATTCTTTGTGTGACTAAAATCCACAATTACTGGAGCAGAGAATTGCCCTGCTCCTCTCAAATTGTGTGCCTTTCCTTCACGGTGCTGAGGCCGTTTGGTCTCAAGTGGGCAAGTGGTTGGAATGAGTCCTTGTAGAAGGGGGTCACAGGACAAGTCACAAGACCTTTTAGAATCTGCAAACACTGTTGCAAGTTTTCAGTGTACCCCTCTCTCCGTTAGTCAAGCATGGACTCATTTTTAGTAGAAAAAATTACAAGAAGGCAGAAAATTATTCACAGTCCCACTGCCCAGATAATCTCTGTGCCATTTAAAAAATAAAACATGGGGCCAGGCATGGTGGCTCATGCCTATAATCTCAACAGTTTGGGAGGCTGAGGCAGGCAGATCACCTGAGTTCAGCAGTTTAAGACCAGCCTGGCCAACATGGTGGAACCCTGTCTCTACAAAAATACAAAAATTAGCCAGGCATGATAGTGGATGCCTGTAATCCAGCTATTCGGGAGGCTGAGGTGGGAGAATTGCTTAAACCCGGGAGGCGGAGGTTGCAGTGAGCAGAGATCGCGCGACTGCACTCTAGCCTGGGTGACAGAGCGAGACTCCATCTCTCAAAAACAAAAAACAACCAAACAAAAAAACACGGGAAATACATGAATGGTAGAAAATTCAAAAAGTGTACAAAATAATTTGTAGTGAAAAGTAAATCCTTTGCATTTCTTTTCACCTCATTCTTTCTACAAAGCCAGTGCCTTGAGGTCGTTCGAGGACATTTTTTGTGTCTTTCTAGCAGGGTGAAAGGATGATGCCCCTGGGATGCTGGAGGCAGGGAGGCAATGGGCTCAAGCTTTTTTTTTTTACCTCCCTAAGCTCTGGGTGTGGGATGCAGAGGCCTTGGGAACAGAGCAAAGACTGAGGAAGGGTCTGACTTAGGGTGTTGGGTGGTGCAAGCATGTGGAGGGGTGGCTGGAGGGAGAAGGTGACTCAATACATTGAGAGTCATCAGAACAGACTGGTGTGGTATGAACCCTGAAGTAGGGACCAAGGCTGGAATCACACACCTAGAGACACAGTGGATGAAAGGCCTCAGAGAAAACCATGAGGACAGGATGCAATATGTTGACCTGGTGGTAGGCTTCCTATGAATCTCAAAGCCAATGAGGCCAGGAAAAAAGACAGGAGAGAAACCCTGAGAAGGGACTGTAACTGGAGTTAACTTGAGAGCGATGGGGTTAAACAGAAGCAATCACATTGGCAGGCAAGATTAAATTATTTCCACCATCAGTAGAAATGTGTGTTTCAGAGCTAAGTTAACTTCTTTTTTTTTTTTTGAGACAGAGTCTTGTTCTATCACCCAGGCTGGAGTGCGGTGGCACAATCCTTGCTCACTGCAACCTCTGCCTCCCAGGTTCAAGCAATTCTCCTGCCTCAGCCTCCCAAGCAGCTGGAATTAATAGGCGTGTACCACTATGCTCAGACAACTTTTGTATTTTTAGTAGAGACGGGGTTTTGCCATGTTGGCCAGGCTTGTCTTGAACTCCTGACTTCAGGTGATCTGCCCGCCTCGGCCTCCCAAAGTGCTGGGATTATAGGTGTGAGCCACCGTTCCCAGCCTAAGTTAACTTCTGTAATACAAAAACATTGTTTTAGTTCTTTATATTTGAGTTATGACTTTCATTAATAACCTTGTTCTACTTGAATTTTATTACTCAATCCTTACAGCTTTAGGCAATACAATTTTTTTTTTTTTTTGAGACGGAGTCTCGCTCTGTTGCCCAGGCTGGAGTGCAGTGGCGCGATCTCCGCTCACTGCAAGCTCCACCTCCTGGGTTCACGCCATTCTCCTGCCTTAGCCTCCTGAGTAGCTGGGACTACAGGCGCCCGCCACCGCGTCCGGCTACTTTTTTGTATTTTTGGTAGAGACGGGGTTTCACCGTGTTAGCCAGGATTGTCTCGATCTCCTGACCTCGTGATCCACCCGCCTTGGCCTCCCAAAGTGCTGGGATTACAGGTGTGAGCCACCACGCCCAGCCTAGGCAATACTATTATTTCATTTTTACAGATGAGAAAACTAAGGCTTAGATTGATGAATTGACTCAAAGTTATATAGCTAGTAAGTGATGCACCCAGGTTTTGTGTTCAGATCCCCAGAGTCCAAAGTTATTTTGCCCACTGGATCAGTCAGGGGACTGTTAGGAAGTAGAAACCACACCATTACTTTAGGAGAGAGAATCTATGTAACAACTGTTAACTAATACGAACAACTGGTGAGGTGGACACTAATTTTTCATAGTGGCAACAACTTCAGAAAGCAGCTACTACCTTTTGGGCTGAGGAGAACAAAGGGAAGTGGTTTGAATCAACAGAACTTAGATAGTTGGAGAAGGGCCTCTGCAGAGTTAGGCCTCCGTCTGAGGGCACGTGAACAGGCTGGGCCTGTAAGTCCACTAATGCTGTTGAAACAAACTACCACAGCCAGTGTGAGGGAACATTACTGGCTGCCAGGAAGAGGAGGCAGAGGCAGGATAGGCAAGAAACAGGAAGTGGTGTCTCCGTTCTTCTTCCTTCAACCTCCCGGTGGGTCACCCTCTTGCATGCTTAGGTTGCTGAAAACTGACGTGGAGCCAGTGGCCAGAATATAAATGTGCTCTGCAGGATCCTAGCACAGTTAGAAGGATGGGTTCAAGGCTGACAGTACATTGGTAATTGACATAGTCAATGCACACTCCTTTCCACACATTTTTGGATTTTCATACAATATCCAAAACAATTCCCTACATCTTCCTAATTAGCTGCAATTATCCTTAGTACAACGACTTTCCCAATCTCTCCTCCAAACAAGGACACACAAAGTCCCAATAGTTATAGTCTGTATTTCTAGACACTGTTAATCCTATTCAAATTCAGTCCCAAACCTATGTGAATATTCTGTTACCTAAGCAGAAAACTATCATGCTAACTATCACCACAGATTTTGAATAAAAAATAAAGGGAAGGAGAAGAGAAAATGAGTTAATGCTGCTCTAGTCCTCTGACTTTCTTTTTCTACTACTTACTGTATGTTTCCTTTGCCCTCTTACAGGAAATGAACTGATTGTGATATTTTACCTGACAGAACGACCCAAACCTTCTTTGCCAAAGTTTTTGAATTATCAGTGGTTCTGCATTTTTGTAGTAGTTGTTTTTGTTGCTACAATTTTCCTGGAAATTTTTAAACTGCGCATGGATATACTAAGAAGCACTCATAAAAGCCCCTTGTCTTTCAGACATTAATCCATTTTGCCCCTATGGTGTAGGAGAAACCCAATTTCTTCTTGATAATCAGGATCGAATAACCAGAGAAGTAGCCTCCTTCTTTGCCTATTGCTTCAGTAGCATGAGGATTCCAAAAGGCCAAATGGTGTTCTCTACTTCCAGTTCAATGGGGCTATCAAAAGGCCCCTGGTGAAAGAATTTCTGACATGTGAACCAAAACCTCTAGACTAGCAGAACTCAAAGTTTCAGTAATGGGAAGTGAAATTTTGTGAGAGGGTTATTAGGTGTTGTCATTGGTTTTCTTATCCTGATAGAGAATGTTTCAAAGGCTTCCACTAGGCCTTTCCTATCATAATGGACCTTGCTCCAAGGGTCAGAAGGTCAATGTGGGTATTCTGCCGGTTGTTGAGTGTGTTTATTCCAATGACAGATTTAGCAAAAGCAGGAAAATAAACTTTTAGGGCTTCTGTAGAAGCTTTTTTTGTTCTGTGATTTTGAGGGTTTAAACACCTGAGTTGTGCGTCTTTTCTTTTCCATATTTTTATCTTTGAGAGGGGGTCTTGCTATATTGCCCAGGCTAGTCTCAAACTCCTGGGCTCAAGTGATCCACCCACCATAGCCTCTGGAGCAGTTGGGACTCCAGGTGTGCAGCCATGTCCTGCCCAGTCATTTTCTTTCTGTGAGCAATCCAGGGCACTTAGAGGAAGATATTCCAAATCATGGTCTTTGTAGAATTCATTCCTGCAAAATGCCAATGGCAGCAGCCACTTGATCCTGTGGTCATTAATTACTCTCAAGCACAGGTAACTAGTTATGCCTAATCAGGATGCTCCTATGGGCCTGGGAGGACTAGCTCCTCCTCCCAGCAGGGAGGTCAGCACCATGCTTGGGCCCTAGTCACAATCCAAACCATGCCTTTTTGGGGTATACTTACTGGGACCACTTACAGCACAAATTTCTATATTTTCTTTAGAGTCAAATCAAGAGACAGAACCACACAAGTTATTTTAGCAGATAATTTAATACAAAGAATTGCTAACCAAGTATTGAAGGACAGACAACTCAAAAACCCAGACATCACCGAGGTAGCAACCTCAGGAAGCAGATACTATCCCTAGGGCTGGTGGAACAAGAAGTTGGAATATTTGAAATTTAGAAGCTTGGAGACCCACGGACCCCAGAGACACAGATCTCTGGGACTAGGATGCCCTTTGGCTGATGCTGATGTAGACACTGTGGGGCTGGGACCTTGGCTTCTAAGGAGGGACTGCCTGGTGGCTGATGTTGTTGTATTTTATATATGTGTATATAAAATATGTGTATGTGTATATATATTTATACAATAGATACTTTTTTGGAATCATTTCAAAATAAATATCAGACATCATGATATTTATGCCTAAATACATCTCTCCTATTCTCCTTTTACATTATTATTCCCATCTACCCCAAATTTTGTATTTATTCAATAATATTTAATATCCAGTCCATATTCAAAGTTATCCAATGGTTCATGAAAATCCTTCAAAGTTCTTTTTGTTTTTTAAAATTCAGGACTCAATAAAGTTTCCCTTCTTATAATTGGTTGCCCTGTCTCCTCTAGACCAGCTTTTCTTTTCCCTTTCTTTTTTTTCCTTTCTTTCTTTCCCTCCATCCCTCCCTCTCTTCCTCCCATCTTCCCTTTGTTTTTTATGACATAGACTTTTTGAAAGGTCCAGACCACGGTTTTCATTGAATGTCCCAGTTTCTGGATTTGTCTGATAGTTTTCTCACGATTAACTTTGGATTAAATATGTAGGGGAAGAATACAAAATCAATAATGTTGTATACATTCAATGGTAGCAATGACTCCCAGTATATCAAAACTATCTACCTGAAGTGGTACATACTAAATGACACTGTCGCTTTCCAAAATATAATATAATAATTATAGGCATTGGTCAGGTACTAAACTGGGTGCTGCACATATACTATTTGCATTCTCAAAACAATTCAGTAGGCATTATTTATACAATTTTACATATAAATACAGTGTTAGAGATGATTGCTGCCCAACATCCATTTTCTTCTTCTTTAGCAGCATAATTCTGATTATATTTGTAACTGACAATGTACCTAGTTAAAAGCCTAAATCTCTACCCTCTCTTATTTAGCTAGGTGAGGTCATGTGACCACATTCTGTTCACTGAGATGTAAGTGAATGTATTGTTTGAGATTTCTGGGAGTCTATTGAAGGAACTTAACTGGGCTTCTGACTGTCTCCTTTTTATTCTTCCTGCCTTCTGGACTATGAAAGTGGTAGCTCGAGCTCCAGGTGCCATACTGGACCATGAAGTAATTTTAAAGATGGAAGTCACTGAACTCAGGATTTAAGGGTGAAAGGGCAGAAAGATGGAAAGTCTCAGGAGGGCAGATAACTGTGGAGCTTATATGTAATAGAAATACATGTCTATGTTATTTGTCACTGCCATTTTGGATTTTCCTTTATATAACCAAACATAATCCTGATACAGAATTCCAGAAAAATTAAATACATTGCCTTAGGTAATGCAGTTTGTGAGCAGCAGATCCAGGATTCAAGCCTAAGATACAGTCTTCCTGTGCATCTCATAAAAATAATGCAGCAATGAATAATAACACATAATATATTCATACCAATTCATACCACTTCATTGATTCAGCACACTCTAACAACTCCACTGGCAAAGTTTATGGTACCTAAATAAACTAGCAAAAAACTATGTTACTTTATGTGAGCATCAAGGCAGGACAAGACAATTTTTTCAAAGTTCAAACAATCCATCATCCAGATCACAGATTGATTAAAATCTGTTTTAATCTCAGCAGTGAGCTTTATCGGCAGCAAGCTTCCTATAGTTGCAGTTTCTGAAAGAATACAGCTGTAGAAATCTCTAGAAATGGGGAGCTTTTTCAGGCTACTGCTGATCCAGTCCCAAACTGTTGGGGAAGCTCTGTGCCCACGTGGCTGAGGCCACGCTCGCTCTGCTGGCCTGGGTGCTGCTCTCTTCTGGGAGAAGCTGCTGTTGAAGTGCACGGTGGCTTCATGGCACATGCTGAGAAAGTAACCCTAAAGGAGCTAAAGAAAACTGGCGTCTTTTCTCTGAATTCATGATCCCCATGTTCTTTAGAGTTTAAAGCAGAATAAATTTTTACTGATTCACTAGCCTTGATTTTATATTTTAAACAATAAAGTCTAAATAAATAATGTGGAAGGACCACTTGTTAGAAAACATAAATCTCACCCAAAATGATAAAAGAAGTTTGGTTTCAACCTCTCTGAGACCATTGTCATCTTTTTCATTTACACATTCACTTTAAGCCATCTTAGGTATTTGATGATGTTTTAATAATTAATACAGTAAATTAGTCTAATTAAAATAATTATAACCTAACAAATTAAACTTTGTATTTTGTTTAACACTTAAACATATATTGGTGAGTTAGATAATGATTAACAATTACACCACTAGGGCCCTGATTTAATTAGTATTCTCTTGACAGGTACAGTTGCTAGGTGATAAAAATTAGACATTTTGTCATTTCATTATAAATTGTCATTATAAATCACTTAATGATTTCAAAGAAAAAGACACTTCCCTTGGTCCCATATGATATTATGAAGTCCCTAAAAGAAGATTTGCTGTTCAGAAAAGACAAACTGAGTGAGAGATTTTGTATGCTAACCATTCAGTTCTTATTGACTACTTTAACATAGTAATAAGGTATAATAACTTTGAGACTAACTGTAGAGGCATTTCAAGGTGAAGCATGTGGAAATGAGGGGAAAAGCCATAGGAGGCTGGGAAGCCACAAGGGGACTGATGCAGCCGGAAGGCTGTGCATGTAAAGTGTTCCTAATGATGTCATCATGGAGTCACCATCCAGCCCTGGAGGGTTGATGATCTCCCTGAGGTTTGTCCAGGCAGCATGATTGTCCCTGGGCTTTGGTAACCATATGGTAGACCACCTAACCTGGGACACTTTTGAGAATGAAAAGGGGCCCCTAAATTCTAAAAATTTTATAATTTTTGAAATACCAATTGATTAACCAACAAATTGGTATTATTATAGGGACGGGCTCATAACATTACTTTACATTAACAACTATTACATTAACAACTATCTTCAAATATGAATTCTAAAAATAGTACATATGTATGTATGTTAAAATATTTAAAACTACCTTATATTGATGATATCATTAAAATAATACAAGCAGAATCATTATTCTTGGTATATATTCAAATGTTTAAATTAATGTTTTAGACATTTAAAAAACACTATGGCACTGGTATTTTTCTGAAACTTTTTTTTTCACTCTGTGGCCCAAGCTGGAGCGCAGTGGTGTGATCTCAGCTCACTGCAACCTCTCTACCTCCCCGGTTCAAGCGATTCTCCTGTCTCAGCCTTCCGAGTAGCTGGGATTACAAGTACGTGCCACTATGCCAGCTAATTTTTGTATTTTTAGTAGAGACAGGGTTTCACCATGTTGACCAGGCTGGTCTTGAACTTCTGACCTCAAGTGATCTGCCAAGCTCGGCCTCCCAAAGTGCTGGGATTACAGGTGTGAGCCATCAGGCCTGGGTGAAATTATTTTTTAATGTAGCTTTTATTTTAAGTTTTTAAAAATAAAATTGCCTGCAGTCTTTTTCAAAGTTGCATTTAGAGCTAATAAACTTGAAATTACTGGTACTTTCCCCTGACTTCAGTCTATGGACCATAATAACTTTTAGTTGAGAAAATTCTCTACAGATTTTGAAGCACTTAGCCTAGGGTAAATTCTGACAAGTAGAAGATAATGTGTTTGGGGATGATAATACAAAACATTTTTGTCGGAGGCATGGTAAAAACAGGAATCTTACTAAGTCGAGAAAGCTGTGACATAGAAAAGACTTGGATTTGGCTGTGGTGCAGACATAATTCACAGTTGTGTCCACACCAGCTGCAGTGCTGTTTCAATCTACAGAAAAGCTGCAGCTGTCAGAATGCACACTTATTTGTAAATACAGCAGTTTCTGAGCGCAATTTTCTTTAATTTGCAAGTGCCTGCAGGTGTCTGTAAAAGGGAGGTGTGAGTACTACCGCTTCTGGCCAGGGTCAGGGAGAGGCAGGTGCTGGCAGAACCAAGCATACCTCAGTTAGCCTCTGTTGTCACACGTGTCTCACACACTAGTAGCTGACTGAGCAGGAAGTATGGAGTGCAGGTCCACAAACCCATTCCAACTTCTTTTAATGCACCTATTAGTACTGCTTTAATTTTTTTTTTTTTTTAAACCCAGTAAAAGTGTGAAACTGGGTGATTTCTTAAGGGCACTGGGCATCATTCTAGACTGTTCTGGCTGCCGCAGGACAGATGGCCATCCCTCTCGTGCTCTAGATCAGTGCTCTTAAGTAGAAAGAAAATGTGAGCTGGATATGTGGTATTATTACATTTTCAGGTAACCACATTAACAAGTAAAATAAACCGGTAGAATTAATTTCAGTATTTTCCCAATATATCCAAAATGTTATTTCTAATGTAATCAACATAAAAATAGTTAATGAGATATTTCACATTCTTCCTTTTTGTGCCAAGTTCTTCAAATCTTTTGTGAATTTTACAGTTATAGATCCTCTGTTTGGAGAGCCACATTTCAAGCCTCAATGACCACCTGCGGTCAGTAGCCACTGCACGGGGCAGCGAAGTTACAGATGAGAAACGTGTATCGTGCATGTTCACCACAGCACCTGAAATTGTACAGCTCGTAAGAAGCAGAGTCGTTTTTGAGCCCAGGTCTGATGACGCCAAGGCTGGTGTCTCACGCCTGTAATCCCAGCACTTTGGGAGGCCGAGGCAGGCAGATCACCTGAGGTCAGGAGTTCGAGACCAGCCTGGCCAACATGGCGAAACCCCCTCTCTACTAAAAATACAAAAATTAGCCGGGCGTGGTGGTGCACGCCTGTAATCCCAACTACTCAGAGGCTGAGGCAGGAGAATAGCTTGAACCTGGGAGGTGGAGGTTGTAGTGAGCCGAGATCGCACCACTGCACTCCAGCCTGGGCGACAGAGCGAGACTCCATCTCAAAAAAAAAAAAAAAAAGAAAGAAAAAAAGAAAAAAGAAAAACAAAGAACGGATGAAGTTCAGATGAGGTCCTATGGGTGGGACCTAATCCAGTATAATCCAGTATGACTGGTGTCCTTATCAGAGGAAGAGATTAGGACACAGACACACACAGGGAAGGCTGTGTGAGGACACGGGGAGATGCTCTTTACCGGCCATAGAGACAGGCTTCGAGAGAAACCTCCCCTGCCCTCACCTTGGTTTTGACCTTCTAGCCTCCAGAATTATGAAGAAATAAGTATCTGTTGGCTTAGTCCCCCAGTCCTTGATACTTTTTTTCCGGCAGCCTTAGCCAGCAAGTGCATGTGGCACAGGCTGAACTGCTCCATCTGTTTCCGGACCGCGCTCTGCTTTTAGGGCTGTTCATCTCAGACGCCCTGCTTCCCGGGTAGGTCTGACCTGCTGGCACATTTTCACTATTTATATTTCCCTTCTCTGAACTCCTTTTAGACTTTCATTATTACACCCAACCTACGAGACAGATTCTGTCACGATTTCCATGACTTTTGTGAGGTCAAGGGGCAATAGTACAAATTAGAAGGTATAAGTCAAGCTAAAAACTGTTTTAAAATGCCTGTTCTAGCCTCATACCTTTCCAAATAGTGAGGGAGTCCAGGCATGACGTTCCAGCTCTGGGCCTTTCTGAGTGCCCCTCTAGGATGCGGTGGTGGACCGGGTGGTCTCGCTTTCCGCTAGCCGCGGCTCCCTCCCGCACCATTGCAGCCTGTGACTCTCAAAAGCTACCGCTGGGCCAGTCCTCCTCGGACTAAGGATACAAATGGGGGCCAAGCCCAGCCTCTGGGGCATAGGCCCAGGAAGAGGAGCAAAGGGCCCTGGGGATGCGCATGGGCAGCTTGGGAAAGGAATTGTGAGTCCCTCGTAGCTGGAGGGTGTGGAGGGGACACCCTAGGACGACTTAAGGGGCAAGGGCCATGGCCTGGACCCATCTTTCCTGCATGTAAGGAAAGCGCTGAGCTTCATTTTAGTTTTCTTTACAAGTAAACTGACAGGGACTTAGCTCTCCTTTAGCCATTCGCTTATTATTCCAGCAATTCCCCAGACTGACTTGAGTTCTATTCACCATAATTGGTTCAATTCCATCGTTGTAGCAACATTCTGTTCTCTTTTCTAGCAAGTATAAACCCTGCAATTGCACAGCCCCAGGCACTGCCTATCTGCTTATGGTAAGGAAGGAGATTTCCCCTCTGCAGGGGAGCAGCACCTGCTCTTCCCCGCTCGGGGCTCAGCCACATCCTGTTCCAGCCCTGCCCTCCAGCGGCGCTCAGATGCAGCTGCCCTGCCCTCTGCTGGACGCCTGGGCACGGGCGCACGCACTTCTCCCTTCTCCAACTGACTGAAATCCAGGCCCTCCTGCAGTGTACTTTTACTCACTTGTTAGGAAGGAAAAGTGGGTTTACTATGGTCTGAATATTTGTGTTCTCTAAAAATTCATATGTTGAAACCTAATCCCTGCTGTGAGGGTATTGGGAGTTGGGGCCCTTGGAGGTGATTGGGTCATGAGGGTGGAGCCCTCATGAATGGGGTTGGTACCCTTGTGAAAGAGACCCCAAAGAGCTGCCTCCCCACTCCACCATGTAAGGACACAGCAAAAAGTCAGCCCCCTATGAACCAGGAAACAGGCCCTCACCAGACCTGGCATCTCCTGGTGCCTTGATCTTGGACTTCCAGCCTCCAGGAGTGTGAGAAATAAGTTTATGTTACAGCAGCGGAAACTGACTAACACAAGATTGAATTACTTTAGATTTAGATGACTGAGATTGTATTCTCCTTTCCATTGTGTTATCTTTTAGTTTGTGAAAAACTAGGATTGTTTTCATTATGTATTAAAGCAAAGTTGTCAAAAGTACTTACATATTTTACTTAAATAGTACCTTGTGCAAGGAGAAGTGAATACTTTTAGATGTTTCTAACTTAGTAAAAAAAAAAGACCTGTTCATAAATAATAGCCTACTTAATTGTAATAAAATCTATGAGGTCTTAGTAGTTCACTATGATGTGACAGTTGACTAAAATCAATCTCCTATGAGAAAAATTGTCTAGAACTTTAAGGAAACAAACAGTTTTCTACAATCAATATGCTTAAAATATAGTTTCAAAATCTTAAGGTTACAAATCCTTGGAATTACTAAGGTGAACCTTCCATTTGTATAGAAAAGTGTCTTTTGTTGTTGTTAAGAAACCGACAGAAGGAAAGAGATACACAAACATAGAGTGACTAGAGATGTAATTTTCCTCATATTTTTCTTGGAAGGATCATAGCTCACTGCAGCCTCAAATTCCTGGCAGCCTCAAATGGTCAGTCCTGGATTATAGGCTCCGGCTGCTGGCCCAGCTCTTGTCTTTCTTTCTAAACACAAAGTAATGGATAAGCTGCTATTTCGTATTGTTAAAACGAATTTGTCAAGGTTTTCTTAGTGAAAAACTTAGGATTCTTAGTTTCAACTATGATCTAAATCAAGTTTGAGTCAAAGAATCTGGGGCCCATAGTCTTACAGATTCTTAACCATTGCCATGTATTTATTTAAAATAACTTTTTTTTTCTGCCATTTCTGTGACTTCCGTGATTTCTGCCATATATATGTATACTTTTCTCTTTCATATCTTTCATTTTTTATACTGTTTGCCTGAAATTACTTAACATTTTCTTTAACTGGGCTGACCCCAACATCTAGCAAGGGAGTGGAGCTTGGTGGTGTGAGAGATTAGCAGCCTAGCAGCCTTTCTAATTTGGCCTCTGGCTGAGGTAGGATTCAAGAGCTTGGTTTTGTTTTCCTGAGTTTATTTTTTCTTTCTACTTTCTGTTTATGACAAGTAGTACTGTCATGCCACTTATGGTGGTAGTAAGAATGTAAGTTTTCCTTTTACAACGAGTCACTGAAAAGAAAAAAAATGATACTAATATTTACTGTACATATAAAAACAGTAAAAATGCGAGGTTATCATTCGAGTTTAGGAAACAGCCCTAATTCAGCCTTTATCAATTCTCCTAGACTGTTGTAAGAGCTTCCAAGGTGTTCTCCCTGCCTTTGTTTGCCTGCACACTGTACAGATATTTCCTCACACAAAAACATGAATCTGCTGAAGTTACTTCCTTGTCCCTTGATCACTGAGTGCCTGCAGAATGCCTTTTGCCACTGGCTGTAAAAAAATGGAAAGTCTTTGGTGTGGTATGAATAGAAGGGTGCTCAAAATCTGAGCTCTTGCCATCACTTTCTCCTATGAACTCTGTGCTTAGAGTAACTCTGAGGTAACATACGTATACTTCCCTAAAATGGATTTGTATAAATACATAATAATCTCGTATTGCTAGACAACCTAATTTGGTTTGCCTGCTATCTTTTAACCTTTCCCATTTAACAAACATTCATTCATAAATCCTTTAGTTTTCCCAAACTTCATTTTTACCCAGTCTATAAATGGAATAAACTACGTAACATCAAGAACATCTTGTTGGGCGTTGCTGCTGCGAAAGTGTATGTGCTATTAGCAGCATTTGAATACCAATGATATGCTGGATCCTATTCATAATGAGATACCCTTATAGCATTTTTTAATCCAGTCTTTTGATGGATATTACAGGCTAGTAACTGTGCCAGTGCTCAGATTACAATGGTGAACATTTCTGACATGGCTCCTGATCTCTTGGAGCACACACCCTGGGGGTGATACAGGTAAATAGGCGACTACAATCCAGGTGTGTTAGGGAAAGCCCAGAGTAATTTAAAGGAGTTTTTGACTGATACTTGGGAATCAAAAGAAGTGCATCTCAGCTGAGACCTGAATGATGAGTTAGCAATTAGCCAGGTGAAGACAGAGAAGAGGGTCTTAGCAGAGGGAATAGCATATGTACAAGCCTGGAGATGAGAGCACATAGCATATCAGTACCTGTGAAGCATCATAAACTATGCTTAGGTCAAGCCAAGCCACCTGAAACTCTTGAACATGGCATGCTTCTGTTAACAGTGACGCCTTCGTTTCTGTGAATGTGGCACATGGAAAAAGGATGTGTCACAATCCATGAAGCTAAACGTCAAAGAGAAAAGACTTTCATTGTCATCAACACTGGGCTATGTTCCTTTCCTAGGGCAAGGACTTGGTAGACACTTCTTTCCAGCAGAGACTGCTCGACAGGGATTTGGGAGGTACCAGTATTTTGAGACATGAACAACAGTTGACCTTGCGAGGTTTGAAATAAACATTTGATGGGAAGGTAAAAGCAGATGAAGATGTCATTTCAGAGCCTCCTCTTGTGTACTCTTTTGACAGGAATTAGGCTGTTATTCACCTTTGGGGTGAAGCGAAGTCTCTTCTGGAAATCCATTGGCATGGGTTTTGTAGTTACACCTGTAGTGTGTGGAAGTTTACAGGACGTACTCGAGGGCCCAGTGTGAAGCCTCTCTCTGTCACTCAGCAAGTGTGTGATTTGGGGCTGGTTACTTCATCACTCTGTGCCTCATTTCCCTACCCGGAAGATTGGTGCTAACATTAGTACCAACCTCAACATGCTTTTGTGAGATTAAAATTAAATAACTACAGCACTTAGCACAGTGCAAGGCATGTGGTGGGCACCATGTAAGTATCTGCTATGCTGTTATTTGCTGTCAGAATGCAAAGGCACAGGTTCACTGTTTGGGCTAGAGGCCACTATGCATCTAAACCTTCACTTACTTACCCTCTTCCTTCTTCCTTCCTGAAGTGGTTTGAAGCAAACCCAAGACATACCATTTCATCCACAAGTATTTCAGTATGATTGAAATCTAATTTAACAGTTGCATCATACTTTACCAAGTGGACCTTTTAAACGTGTATTTAAACATTCCTTTGTAGCCTGCCAGATTTTTAGGTGGCAGATTTTAGACTTTTTACTATTGAGCATAAATTGTTTTCTGTATACATAGTATATGTTTCTGTATATATATTTATATAACATATATATATTTCTATATGTTTAGAATTTTTTCCCTAAATTAATAAGACCAAAGGGTATGAACTTTTTAAAGATATTTACCTGATACATATTCCTGATTTTTAACATTTAGGATAAACATTTAGTGTTAATGAATACTCTATTCCAACAAGCAACATGAGACCAGGGATTTAGTCTATTGTGTTCAATGCTTTATCTCCAATAGTTCCACCAATGTCTAATACATAATAATGCTAAATAAATGTAAATGAATGAATGGTACTCCTTTTATATTGTTCCTGCTAATATTCATTCATTTGCTGGACAAATATTTGTTGAGGACACTCTCCATTCCAGACTTCATGGCAGGTATTGGATACACAGGGGGAAATGGTATTGCTGCCATTCCTACCTTCATGGAGCCAGTCGTCTCCTTTAGGGTTCTCGGCCGAGCTCCTGAGAGGGAGGTGCAGAGCTGGTGCTGGCCGGCAGATTCTTGGCCTGCAATGAGATCAGAATGGAAATCAGAGTGAGCATTCAGAAACACGTGCAGCGACGACATAACAGAGTAGTTTTACATTTTATGCATCTCATAATAACAAAAATTTATTTGTATTTTGTATGTTTAAAACAATCACTTTCCTAGTAATTTATTTTTATTGTATTCTTACAAAAGTATCTGTCCAGGAGAAAAATTAGCCCTTCACTAAAGATATAATGAAAAGCAATATTCTGCTTGATTTGGGTGCATGAGGAAAATACTAGAACTTTTTTGCATGTATTCATGTATTAGAAAGGCAAATGAACTTGAAGAGTGTTCAGTTTGGGTTGACTCTGTGTCAAAATGAGGCCTGTGTGGCCACTTTTCAAGAACAGTTGCCAGGCCTTCCCAGAGAACAGTGTGAATCCACTATACCTGGGATCAAGAGCATCACCTTCTCTCTGTTTGCTTTCCACATATTGTAATAGTTTATTACAATAGTTTGGCTGAGCCTAGTTAAATGTATTTGCAGATTACATTATCTGATACTAATTAAACCAACAGTACAAAATGAACAGGAGACTAAACAGATTCATGTGAGGAAATCATGAAGATAATGGCAACAATAAAAACACAAGCTAAAAATAAGAAATGGTAGAGTTCTCACTCTAACACCTAAAACAAGCTTGTGGCCGGGTGCAGTGGCTCGCACCTGTAATCCCAGCACTTTGGAAGGCCGAGGCAGGCGGATCACTTGAGGCCAGGAGTTCGAGACCATCCTGGCCAACATAGCGAAACCCCGTCTCTATTAAATTTTAATTAAAATTAAAAATACAAAAAATTAGCTGAGCATGGTGGTGCGTGCCTGTAATCCCAGCTGCTCCAGAGGCTAAGGCAGGAGAATTGCCTGAACCCAGGAGGCAGAGGTTGCAGTGAGCTGAGATCTCGCCACTGCACTCCAGGTCTGGGCGACAGAGTGACTCTGTCTCCAAACAACAACAACAACAACAACAACAACAACAACAAACCAAGCTCATTATCAGTCACATATAAGGCAGGAAAAAAAATCAGACCTAACAATAAATCACACAAAAATTGAAATTATCAGTAAGAAAAATTTGAAAAATACATTTATACCAGTAATAATAAGCCTCACCCTAGTGTTTTGATAGATATGTGAATACTAGCAAAAAGCAACCATAGATAGCCAAATACCTGCAAAGCAGGCATCTGGAACAAAAAAGACAGATCTCTACATTTTTGTAGACATGTTAATTAAGATAGAAGGTGCCTGGTAACCACCCAGTGCTGTGTATTGGTTGCTAGGAAAAAAGTTAAATCTCAGCACAAAAGCCTCTTTTTATGTCTATTTTTTTCAGTTTTTGTACTCATAGCAAAAGGCAAAAAGCTACATCATATTGGAGAACTACCAAAGACCCTCAGGAACACAACTGTGGTTGAGGAAGGTGGATCGTGCTTGTTGCAGCAAGAGAAAACAAACACCATGGAAAACCGTGGATGTCTCAGGAAGAGAGTGTTGAAAAGAAACTATTATAGGATTTGGGTTTGGAGTAGGTGATTTTGAAAGAGGGTTTCAGGGAATGGGGCTTTGGTAAGAATCAATACTGTCAGGAGGCAGGGGCAATTTTACAGTTGGATGGCTGAATCTTTTCTTACAAGATGAGAAACAAGGCTGAAGCTGTGATTTATAAAGAAGCAGCAGTTACCTATACTAGCCAGGAGAGGGAGATGTTTGGTCATTTTGTGGTTTGAAAAATGTTTTCTCAAGAATTTTTCATTTTATTGTGGTAAGAACACTTAACATGAGATCTATTTTTTAATGAATTTTAAGTGTACAATACATTATTGTTGACTCTAGGTACAGTGTTATACAGCAGATCTCTACAGCATATTCACCTTGCTTAACTGAAACTTTATGTCTGTTGATTAATAATTCCGCATTTCCCCATTACCAAGCCCTAGTCACCACCATTTCATTCTTTAATTTTATGAATTTGACTATTTTAGATACCTCATATAAATGCAATCATGCAGTACTTGGCTTTAAATATCCGGCTTATTTCACTTACCATCACATTCTCAAGGTCTTTCATGGTGTCATATTGCAGAATTTTCTTCTTTTTAAAGGCTGAATAGTATTTCATTACACACACGTGTGTTTATGTATGTACTTTTTTTTTCCTTTTTGTTTTTAGAGATGCGGTCTCGCTATTTTGCCCAGGCTGGTCTTGGACTCCTGGGCTTAAGCAGTCCTCCTGCCTCAGCCTCCTGAATAGCTGGAACTATAGGCATGCACCACTGTGCCCGATATGCCACATTTTCTTTATCCATTCATCCACTGATGATTAAACAACACTTAGATTGTTTCCACTTCTTGGCTGTTGTGAATAATGCTGCAAATGAGTATGGGAGGGCAGACATCTCTGCAAGATCCTGATTTCAATTCATTTGAATACCTAGGAGTGGGATGGTTGGATCATATGGTAGTTCGCATTTTAATTTTTTGAAGAACCTCCGTACTGTTTTCCACAGTGGCTGCACCATTTTGCATTCCTACCCACGGTGTGCAGTTTCCACATGCTTGCTAACAGGTGTCCTTTGTTTTTTGATAATAGCAGTCCTGGCAGGTGTCAATGAGATGACACTTAATTGTGGTTTGGATTTGCATTTCCCTAATACTTAGAGATGATGAGAATTTCTTTTCCTCCTCTGCTGTCTTTATTTGTGTTTTGTTTTTCTTATACTCTTTGTGTTGATGTCTGCCCGTTAGACAAAGCAGCCACCTCTGCTGGTCTTCATGGACTGGGCTCATACAGAAGATGACCCCCATCAATCAGACTGGGCAGAGATTCTGGGGGCCTCTACCAAATCTTTACCTTTCCAGGAAGAGGCAAGCAGCTATGAATTTTGTTCAGCTACTCTGTGGGGAGTGGGATGGGGAGCTATGGTCGTTGCCAGCCCGGGCTGCTGTTTCCACTCCCCTCCAGGATGGTAAGCTGTGGTAGACCTATCTGAGTCACTTCAAGTATAGCAGGACAGTGGTCGATATTCTGGGGAGCCCTCTTGGGAAACTTGGGGTGCTGGATATGGGAAACAACCCCTTCCCCACTTGGGAGAAACCAGGAGCTAAGAGGTCTCTTTCTGATTATATGGCACTGCACTAGGGACAGGGACCCCAGTGAGTGGGTGTCTCAAATTTCCCTACCAGCTTTGGTGAGTCAGGTTTCATGGATTGCAGGAGCTTGGAGCTTGTCACTTACTTTCTGAATTTCTTTTTCTTTTCTTTTCTTTTCTTTTTTTTTTTTTTTTTTTTTGAGATGGAGTCTCGCTCTGTCACCCAGGCTGGAGTGCAGTGGTGTGATCTCGGGTCACTGAAAGCTCCACC
Organism: Homo sapiens; assembly: GCF_000001405.40. NCBI lineage: Eukaryota > Metazoa > Chordata > Mammalia > Primates > Hominidae > Homo > Homo sapiens. The sequence continues at coordinate 52,016,167 of NC_000008.11, forward strand.
TCCCAGGTTCACGCCATTCTCCTGCCTCAGCCTCCTGAGTAGCTGGGACTATAGCTGCTCACCACAACACCTGGTTAATTTTTTTTGTATTTTTGGTAGACACAGGGTTTCACTGTGTTAGCCAGGATGGTCTTGATCTCCTGACCTCGTGATCCACCCGCTTCTGCCTCCCAAAGTGAGTGCCTGGGATTACAGGCGTGAGCCACCACACCCGACCTCTGAATTTCTTACAAAGGGAAATTGTCTTGATCAATCATGGTTGTCTTGATCAATCATGGTTGTCTTAATCAGTCAAGACCACAGAATGACCTTGTCTGATTTTTGTGTTCTGTGAAACAGTTTGTGTTCAACACTATAGAACACCCAGGCTTAGCTGTGAAAGCCAGTCTAGCACCAGGATGTCAGCGGCATGTTGATCTTTTCAAGAACTTTGGCATCTATTCTGAGGAACCAGGAAGCCACGTCAGTATTTGAACAGAAGAATACCATTTTCGCCTTGTGTTTAAGCAGGACCACCTGAGATGCTAGGTGGAGAATTTATTTTACAATATGGTACTTTTATATATTTAGGAAGACTTAAAGTTATGTACTAATCTTTCATAAAGTGGCTTCAAATACTCCTTTCTGGTGATCAGATTTTGTCAAGGCGTCTTGCATTATATCTTACTGAAAATGGCAGAATACGACCTGAAAAATAACAACCTTGATTTTTTTTTTTTGAGGCAGTGTCTTGCTTTGTTATCCAGGCCGGAGTGCAGTGGCACACTCCACTATAATACCTCATAATTAAACCATTAATTAGTTTATTTAATAAACTAATATAAAATTAGTTGTTATTTATCTTTTATCAAAAATTCAACCAAAGTTTTGAATATTAAAAAAAATCTGTAAAAATTTTACTTGGGTCTCTCTGACATCTTCACTGCACTTAATTACATTAGTTTAAACAGTAAAAAAAGAAGGAAAATACTAGGCACATTATATTATACTGTAGAAGTAAAGGAGAACTTTGTATTTTGCTTAGTCATCCTTTTATTTTCATAAAAGTTGAAGCTTATCGGTCAGCACATGCAGTGATACACACTCAAGCAAACACATAGAAAAACATCTCAGAGGTTGTGTCAAAGCGTAATAAAGCTTGTCCTCCTTTCTGGAATTAAATGAGCATTTAGAGAAATGTGGTTTGTGCCAGGCTGCCTGATCACAGAACGTCTCTGAGCCTGTCATGCCAAGCTTGAACAAACCAATGTGAAGATCCTCTTCAGATAACTTCTTTCTTTAAAATTTCATATCATTCTGCACCGACAAATATTCCTTTTTACTATCAATCATTTAAATATCTAATTATTAAATATTTAAAATGTTCAAAAAACACAGTGAAAAATGTAACAAGAACCTACCACCTGGATTTCACAGATGTCAGCATACTTCCATGAGAAAAAAATAGCCTTAGATATTTTCGTAGACATTAACAGACTTAATGTTGTGATTTTGTTGACAGGCAGTGGGAAGGGAATGATTCTATTTGATGTCAAATGGATGCGATATATCCATCTAATTTAAACACTGTTGATGCTATTTAAATATTTCTATGATATTTTCACCACATCTTTGTGATTTTAGGTTGTCTATTTTCCCTCTGCTATTGACACATTCCTTGTGAAATGCTACTTAGGATTTAGGATGTCTAGACTATGAACAATTTTATAAAGTGTGTTTTACAAAGTGAAAAAAATGTCTTTGAAAATAGTTCTGAAAGCGAGGATGCCTAAATAAATATTTTTCAAATCATGTTTTTTATATTTGCCACCCTTTCCTTTTATTCTTGGCATCTACTTTCTTTTGTTCTTAATCTTCTTTTTCTACCCTCAAACAGTCCTGGAAGATCTCAGTTGAAAACAATTCCATCTTCCCTTCGTATTCTCTTTCTTAGTTATGTCTACCCTAAGAGTTTGGGTAAGATATTAGGTTGTAATATATTTTCTCTGAATTAGATATGGTTCTAAAAGAAAAAACATATGTACCTAGATACCTACATATCATTCTGTAATGTATATATTTTCTAAAAACTATGAGATATAATTACATCTGTAAGATTATATCTCATAGTTTTTAGAAAATTAGAATTTAAAAAGCCAAAGTTGTAAAACTGGAATTAAAAAAACCAGAGTTGTAAAATTAGGTGCATTATTTTTGATAACCACTGTTTTGATTATAATTGTGTTACTAATACATAGAATTTAGTACTTGATTATTTTTCACTGTCAATATTGAGAATGTATTCATGTATATTCCAAATTAAAAGAAAACTAATTCTAATATATATATATATATCTATGTATTTCCCTCTCTCTCTCTCTCTGTCTCTCTCTCTCTCTCTCCTCTCTTTCTCTGGCCCCTAGGCTTATAATCTATATCTTTTACATTGAGAAAATGAAAGTTTCAGTTTATAATTCCTGCCAAATGACCACATTCAGCCACAGTCAGTATTTTGAGAGTACAAGAATAAATCGAGCAAGCAACATTGGAATATGCACTTGCTCCTTGCTTAGGCAATATTCCTGACTGGCCAAGAATGGATGGCTTTAGCACCCACTCACCTTCCTCAGGCCCCTTTTGATCAAACGTACGCCACCTAATCAGCATCTCCAATCTGTTCTTGACTTTCCATCTCAATAAGACTTTGTACTATTCTCACTCTGCTCCTCTTCACTCTGGCATCTCCCCTTTCTACCCATTTTCCACATAGCCAGTGATACTTTATATCTTATACAGCACTAATCTGACCATGTTCTGCTTAAAAACCAAGCTAGCATGCAAGGAATACAAAACTAATTTGGATGTCTTTCATGACCTTCATGAACCTGCTCTGGCCTGTCTTTTCAGCATCATCCTCAGGTACTCATTACAGCATATAGCCTACCACGTAGCAATTAGTCCTTCCATGAAAACTGTGTGTTTTATGTCTCTGTGCTCTTTTTGGCAAATTGTTTTTTCTAGATGCAATGTCTTTTCTTCCCCTCTTTGCTTGGCACAACATGGCATAATCTTCAAGGCCTAAGTCAATTGTCACTGTCTCTCCAGGAAGAAAGAATCATGCACTCTTCTGCGGCCCCATTGCTGTGTGTCCACTCTTAGAGCATTGTTCAAAGTATATGCAATTGGTACAAATCTAACTCCTTTGAGAAAGCCAAGTCTTTTATTAAAATAACACAAGCTTTGGAGCACAGAATTTAAATTCCAGCACTGCCACCTGCAGTTCTGAAGACTTTAGATACAACCTTTTCTATGCAAAGAGAATAATGTCTATCTTGGGGTGCTATTATGTATGAAGCAATCAATAGATGTATTGTTTGTTATCCGTACATGCTGTCCAGATTATGATATCTTTATGGTTCTATTCTTCCTTCTATTTTTGTATCCAGTACCTAGCATAGAGTCTAGCATGAGGTAAACTCTCAAATATTTATTGAATGAATGATAGCATATGTAAGCAGAGATTAACTATAGGCATTGGCAGAGAATGCAACTGAAATATATATGATATACTCTATTAATATCAACTCTAGCTGGACTTGAGGTATAGTTAACATGGAGAGAAAATTGTATCTTGTCATCTTATAATAAAGTATTTTCAATTTGACTTCTGATTAGGTAGGCAAACCAGAAACCCAAATTCTACTTCCTTGATTTACTTGTAGAAAATTATTTTCAGAATGAAACAACTGGCTTCTATCCTTTAAACTCAGAATTTATAACTCACAGGTCCTCAATCATTTGAAATTTGGTTAAATACAAAATCAAACCTAATTCAGGCCATTAATTACAGAGCTCCTAATGTTCTATTCAGCTTTGATAGCTATATTCTCTAGAAGAAAACAGCAACAATTGTAAAACAGTTATTTCTGTTGGCTAGGAAATTTCAAGTTCTTTGGGATTTTACCCAACTCTACATTTATTCACATATTTTTCCCTCTTGTTAGGAGTAAGGTGCATGGGGAAATTGCACAAATTAGCTTCAGCTACTTTGCATTCAGCATCACTAAGAGTAAGCCACGGCTGTGAAGCAGGAAGAGTGGACAGATGTCATTTTGCCAGCCCCGTGTTTGTTCCTCCTTCTGGTCATAGCACCCTCATTTTGCATTAGGGATTTAACCCCCTGCACTGCCTCAGTCTTGCCAGCACTGTAAACCAAGGCGTACTTTCCTGTCCCTTGCCACCAATGGTGACCTATCTAGGCCAACCAGATGCTCTCTACCCATCTTGGACACCACACTCAGATGTCAAGGTGTCTACTCATTCCTGCTTCCCAGGTCTCCAGAGCTGCCCTTCGTTCCAGTCTGCCCAAAGGCCAGTTCTGCAGCTTCCCTTCAATTCTGGGAACCACTTGAGGTCCTTACAATAAATCCCTTTTCACTTACAAAGGGTGGGTTCCTGTTACTTATAACCAGGGAATCCTAACTAATACATACAGGAAAATTTATTTTACAGGGAAAGATATTTTAATCCCAGCATTATGTTATGCAATGTCAAGTAGTTATACCCAATCAATCTACTGTAGAATGATCAATGTCTGACAACAGATGGCTCCAGTGACTGGGAGCGGGCTGCCAGCCCTCCAGAGCTCGGCTTTCTCATCTGTAAAATGATGATCATAAAACTACTAGATACTCTTTTTTTACTAGGCTTGCTGTGACAGGAAATTTTTTAAAAAAGGAATGAAAGTGTTTTTCGAATCACAAAGCACTCTGTAACGTAAGGTATTTAGCTTACATTTATTCTTTTAACAAACATTTCCTATAACACGAACTGTTCCTACAAAAAAATTACCATGAGGATATTTTTGTGTTCATAGTGAGTATTTCAAAGAAGTAGTCAACTCTATCCAAAAGTGTGAAATCCACATATCTGAACGCTGACAATGCCCAGCAGGTGTGATGGCTCCTTGTTTTGCTTTGGTTTGCAACAATCTCCAGATGGCCATTGCTTTGTTTTGTGTTTAATGAGTATGCATAGTAAAGAGTGTATACTTAGATATTTTGAGAGAGTTTTGAGGGAGAATATCATGGTATCTAATCAACAATTTCAGTTGGCCTTTTTCTATGTCAAAATGTAACATCAGGCTGGCTGCAGGGGCTTACGCCTGCAATCCCAGCACTTTGGGAGGCCGAGGCAGGCAGATCACTTGAGGTCAAGAATTCAAGACCAGCTTGGCCAACATGTCAAAACCCTGTCTCTATCAAAAATATAAAAAATTAGCTGATGTGGTAGTGCATGCCTGTAATCCCAGCTACTCGGGAGGCTGAGGCAGGAGAATCTCTTGAACCCAGGAGGCAGAGATTGCAGTGAGCTGAGATCATGCCACTGCACTGCAGCCTGTGAGACAGGGTGAAACTCCATCTCAAAAAAAAAAAAAAAAAAGTAACATCAGTCCTCATCGTCCTTCTTGAGGGGCAGCGATGTATAGTGGAAAAACACACTTAATGTCAACAGGAGCATTGGGGTCCAAGGCCAGGCTCCTCATTTATTACCTTTGTGTCTTTAGGAGATTGGTTTTCTATTCTACACCCTTTCCTTATCTGCCAAATAAATCTAATCTGTCCTAAGTTGTAAGAATTCAATTAGATCATGAATTCTTTCTGAAGTGCAAAACACTAACAAAATGTAAGTCAATGTTTATCCATCAGGAGTTATTATTTGCCTCCAATCAAATAGTTACTTATACTACTCACATTTCAACCATCTTATGATTACTTTTGGCCAAACAGGCATTCTTGCCTTTTTTTTTTCCACTAGGGCATTCTATGATTGATATTAAGAAAGTACAATGTGTGAATCAATGTCATTTAGACGAGGCTGCTCTGTGTGAACAGGGACAAGCAGCACTGCTATCCTCTTGGAGCTTGTTAGAGGCCTGCATTCCTGGTTCCACTCCAGACAGGCTGAGGCAGAGCCCTACAGCGGAGCCCAGGAATCCATGTTTGAGTATTTGAGTAGGTGTCTGAGCAGGTGCTTGAGCAAGTGGTTGAATAGATGTTTGAGCAGGTGTTTGAGCAGGGCCTTCAGGGAATTCTGATGTCCACTTAGGTAGAGAAGCACTGGCTCAGGCCTTTCCATTCCAGCTACTCATTTCTACACCAAATGTAATTTTTCATTTTAGTCATAATAACTATAACATTAATGATAGTACAGTCATAGTGATAGTATAATAATAATTATAATAACCATTTTGTCCCCTCCTTCCTTTAGGTTAATATTCATCTGTAGCCTGAGTGACCCCAAAAAGATGACACTCTTCTGTCCACCAAAACCTTCCAGAGGCTTCCTGTGCTCACTTGAAGTAAAATCCAAAGTGCTGACTGTGGTTACCAGCTCCCCGGGCTGGCCTGCTGCGGGACGGCTTCTCCACCAGCCTCCCGTTCAAGGCCTCCATTTCTGCCACTGCGGCGTCTGCATGGTTCCTGAGCATCCCAAGCACATTCCCACCTCAAGGCCTTGGTGCTTGCAGTTCATCTGCTTCTCTCCTGGTCTATGCCTGGCTGGTTCTTATTTCTTTTGAATTCGGACGAGGTGCACCTCATGAGAGAGGCCTTCCTTGACCTCCCTCCTCCATTCCTCTCACAGGCCCCATCTGACATGCTTGCCCTCCCCCTCCCCTACCCCCATCCCCTTGTGAGCCCCATGAGAGAAGGGCCTCTGTCCTTAGGTAGATGTGATTCCCCAGAACCCAGGACAGGACAGCCACACAGGAGGAAACTGACACACTTTTCTTAAATGATGGAATAAAGTACTGACTGTGTTTCAAGCACTGATGTGGTTTGGCTCTGTGTCTCCACCCAAATCTCATCTCCAGTTGTAATCCCCATGTATCCAGGAAGGACCTGGTGGGAAGTGACTGGATCACAGGGGCAGTCTCCCCCATGCTGTTCTCATGATAGTGAGGGATTTCTCACAATATCTAATGATTTAAAAATGTCAGTTTCCCCTGTTCTCTCTCTCTCCTGCTGCCATATAAGATATGTCTTGCTTCCCCTTTGCCTTTCACCATGATTGTAAGTTTCCTGAGGCCTTCCCAGCTATGTGGAACTCTGAGTCAACTAAGCCTCTTTTCTTTTTAAATTACCCAGTCTCAGGTATTCTTTATAAGTTAAAATGGACTAATGCAGATAATTGGTACCAAGGTAGTAGGGCATTGCTATAAGATACCTGAGAATGTGGAAGCCACTTTGGAACTGGGTAACTGACAGAGGCTGGAACAGTTTGGAGGGCTCAGAAGAAGACAGGAAGATGTGGGAAAGTTTGGAACTTCCTAGAACTTATTGAATGGTTTTGACCAAAATGCTCATAGTGACATGGACAATGAAGTCCATACTGAGGTGGTCTCAGATGGAGATGAGAAACTTATTGGAAACTGGAGCAAAGGCACTTTTGCTATGCTTTAGCAAAAAGACTGGTGGCATTTTGCCCTTCCCTAGAGATCTATGGAACTTTGAACTTGAGAGAGATGATTTAGGGTATGTGGTGGAAGAAATTTCTAAGCGGCAAAGCATTCAAGAAGTGACCTGGATTTTCCTGAAAGTGTACAGTTAAATGTGTTCACAAAGAGATGGTTTGAAATTGGAACTTATGTTTAAAAGGGAAACAAAGTATAAAAGTTTGGAAAATTTGCAGCTTGACCATATGGTAGAAAAGAAAAACTCATTTTCTGGGGAGAAATTCAAGCCAGCTGCTGAAATTTGCATAAGTAATGAGGAGCCGAATCTTATTAGCCAAGACAATGGAGAAAATTCTCTAGGGCATGTCAGAGATCTTAGCAGCAGCCCCTCTCATCACAGGCCCAGAGACCTAGGAAGAAAAAATGGTTTCGTGGGCCAGGCCTAAGGCCCAACTTCTCTGTGCATCCTTGGTACTTGGTGCCCTGTGTTCTAGCCACTCAGCTCCAGTACTGGCTAAAAGAGGCCAAGGTACAGCTTGGGCCATTGCTTCAGAGGGTGCAAGCCCCAAGCCATGGCAGCTTCCACATGGTGTTGGGCCTGTGGGTGCACAGAAGACAAAAATTGAGGTTTGGGAGCCTCCACCTAGATTTCAGAGAATGTATGGAAAAGCCTGGATGTCCAGGCAGAAGTCTGCTGCAGAGGCAGACCTCTCATGGAGAACCTCGGCTAGAGCAGTGTAGAAGGGAAATGTGGGGTTGGAGCCCCCACACATAATCCCCACTGGGGCACTGCCTAGTGGAGCTGTGAGAAGAGGGACACTGTCCTCCAGACCCCACAATGGTAGATCCACTGACAGCTTGCACCATGTCCTTGGAGAAGCTGCAGGCACTCAACACCAGCACGTGACAGCAGCTGTGGGGGCAGAGCTGCCCAAGGCCTTGGGAGCTCATCTCTGGATGTGATATATGAAGTCAAAGGAGATTTTGGAGTCTTAAGATTTAATGACTGCTTGGTCATGTTTCAGACTTGCATGGGACCTGTGGCCCCTTTGTTTTGAGCATTTCTCCCCATTTGGAATGGGAGCATTTACCCAATGTTTGTACCTCCATTGTATCTTGTGTGTAACTAACTTGCTTTTGATTGTGTAGGCTCATAGGTGGAAGGGACTAGCCTTGTCTGAGATGAGATTTGGACTTTGTGCATTTGAGTTAATGCTGGAATGAATTCAGACTTTGGGGATTATTAGGAAGACATGATTGTATTTGGCAATGTGAGAAGGACATGAGATTTGGGAGGGGTCAGGGTGGAATGATATGATTTGGATCTGTGTCTCCACACAAATCTCATGTCAAATTGCAATCCCCAGTGTTGAAGGTGGGACCTGGTAGGAGGTGACTGGATCATGGGGGTGGATTTCTTATGAATGGTTTAGTACCATCCACTTGGTACTGTTCTCGAAATAGTGAGTATGTTCTCCTGAGATCTGGTTGTTTAAAGTGTGTGGCATCTCCCCTTCCCCATTCTCTTGCTTACTACTGCTCTTGCCATGTAAGATGTTTCCCCTTTACCTTCTACCATCATTGGAAGTTTACTGAGGCTTTCCAAGGAGCAGAAGCCTCTATGCTTCCTGTATGGCCTGAAGAACTGTGAACCAGTTAAACTTCCTTTCTTATAAATTACTCAGTCTCAGGTATTTCTTTATAGCAATTCAAGAATGAACAAATACAGATATAAATGCAAACGTTTTATTTACTAAGACTGCCAGCTTTTGGCTCTCCTTTCTGACAGCTCAACAGAGTCCTTATATGTCCAAAATATTGAGTACTACACTTTGACTAAGCACAGCTTCCTATCTGGATGTTTTTCCTCCACTATCTTGAAGAATAGTTCAATGCAAAATATTCTATGAAACGAAAAAGAAAAGTAATAATTTAACCATGAGAAAAGTTTTTTGTTTTCTTTTTTCTTTCTTTCTTTCTTTTTTTTTGTGATAGGGTCTTATTCTGTCACACAGGCTGGAGTGCAGTGGCACAATTTTGGTATAGCCTCAAACTCTTCCAGGCTCAAGCAATCCTCCCACTTGAGCCTCCTGAGTAGTTGGGACTACAAGCATGTGTCACTATGCCTGGCTAATTTTTGCATTTATTTGTAGTGATGGGGTCTCCCCATGTTGCCCAGGCTGGTCTTTAACTCCTTGTTTCAAGTGATCCATCTGCCTCAGCCCCCCGAAGGGCTAGGATTATAGGCATGAGCCATTGTGCCTGGCCTAGTGTCTCATTCTTAATTATGAAATAATAGACAACAATCAGTAGCCATTTGAGGAAAGCCAATGAAGAAAGAAACTAAGAAAGAAAGAAAAAAAGAAAAAGAAAAAGGAGGTAAGGAGAGGAAGGAAGAAAAGGAGAAAGAATGAATGAACCAAAATAGGAAAAAAAAAAAGGAACTCAATGGGGAAAAATGATAAATATGTTAGAATAAAACAATAAAAATTACATTTAAGACCCTGGAAAAATAAGAGATGACATTTTATTCAAGAAAACATATCAGAAAGGTAAGAAAAGGGCAGTAAAAGGGAAGAACAAAGAACTCTGAAAAATATATAAGAACTGAAAGAAAAACTCAGTTGAAGATTCAGAAGATAGAGTGGAGAAAGCCTTCCAGAAGCAATTAAAAAGGTATAAAGAGAAAAACAGGAGAGGAAAGATAATAATTTTTTTAAAAGTCTGTGAGTTTTAAAGTCTCTTTAAGAATTTCATTAAAAGAAGAGAAAAAAATGGAAAAGAAGAAAATATTTCTTAAAATGCAGGGTTTTTTTGTTTGTTTTTTTAAATTTGAAGGACATGGAGAGACACGGTAGCTCACAGCTGTAATCCCAGCCCTTTGGGAGGCTGAGATGGGAGGATCCCTTGAGTCCAGGAGTTTGTCTGGGCAACAAAGTGAGACTCCCATCTCTATATGAAAAAATAAATTTAAAAAATTTTTTTAAGAATAACAAAAAATCTGAAGGACACTAGTTTCTGGGAAATTTAAGAAGAATTAATGATAGGGACATAGAAAATCAAGCTAATATAAATGATTTAATGAATAAAACTGTACAGAAAAGAAAATGTGTTAAAGTCTCCCATTATTATTGCGTGGGAGTCTAAGTCTCTTTGTAGGTCTTTAATGACTTGCTTTATGAATCTGAGTGCTCCTGTATGTATGGATGCATATATATTTAGGATAGTTAGCTCTTCTTGTTGAATTGATCTCTTTACCATTATGTAATGGCCTTCTTTGTCTCTTTTGATCTTTGTTGGTTTAAAGTCTGTTTTATCAGAGACTAGGATTGCAACCCCTGCCTTTTTTTGTTTTCTATTTCCTTGGTAGATCTTTCTCCATCCCTTCATTTTGAGCTTATGTGTGTCTTTGCACGTGAGATGGGTCTCCTGAATACAGCACACTGATGGGTCTTGACTCTTTATCCAATTTTCCAGTCTGTGCCTTTTAACTGGAGCATTTAGCCCATTTACATTTAAGGTTAATATTGTTATGTGTGAATTTGATCCTGTCATTATGATGTTAGCTGGTTATTTTGCTCGTTAGTTGATGCAGTCTGTTCCTAGCCTCTATGGTCTTTACAATTTGGCATGTTTTTGCAGTGGCTGGTACTGGTTGTTCCTTTCCATGTTTAGTGCTTCCTTCAGGAGCTCTTTTAGTGCAGGCCTGGTGGTGACAAAATCTCTCAGCATTTGCTTGTCTGTAAAGGATTTTATTTCTCCTTCACTTGTGAAGCTCAGTTTGGCTGGATATGAAATTCTGGGTTGAAAATTCTTTTCTTTAAGAATGTTGAATATTGGCCTCCACTCTCTTCTGGCTTGCAGAGTTTCTGCAGAGAGATCACCTGTTAGTCTGATGGGCTTCCCTTGTGGGTAACCCGACCTTTCTCTCTGGCTGCCCTTAACATTTTTTCCTTCATATCAACTTTGGTGAATCTGACAATTATGTGTCTTGGAGTTGCTCTTCTCAAGGAGTATCTTTGTGGCGTTCTCTGTATTTCCTGAATTTGAATGTTGGCCTGTCTTGCTAGACTGGGGAAGTTCTCCTGGATAATATCCTGCAGAGTGTTTTCCAACTTGGTTCCATTCTCCCCGTCACTTTCAGGTACACCAATCAGACGTAGATTTGGTCTCTTCACATAGTCCCGTATTTCTTGGAGGCTTTGTTCATTTCTTTTTATTCTTTATTCTCTAAACTTCTCTTCTCGCTTCGTTTCACTCGTTTGATCTTCCATCACTGATACCCTTTCTTCCAGTTGATCAAATCGGCTATTGAGGCTTGTGCATTCGCCATGTAGTTCTCGTGCCGTGGTTTTCAGCTCCATCAGATCCTTTAAGGACTTCTCTGCATTGGTTACTCTAGTTAGCCATTCATCTAATCTTTTTCCAAGGTTTTTAACTTCTTTGCCATGGGTTCAAACTTCCTCCTTTAGCTTGGAGTAGTTTGATCGTCTGAAGCCTTCTTCTCTCAACTCGTCAAAGTCATTCCCTGTCCAGCTTTGTTCCATTGCTGGTGAGGAGCTGCGTTCCTTTGGAGGAGGAGAGGCCCTCTGTCAACATTAGACAGATCAACGAGACAGAAATCAACAAGGATATCCAGGAATTGAACTCAGCTCTGCACCAAGCGGACCTAATAGACATCTACAGAACTCTCCACCCCAAGTCAACAGAATATACATTCTTTTCAGCACCACACCACACCTATTCCAAAATTGACCACATAGTTGGAAGTAAAGCACTCCTCAGCAAATGTAAAAGAACAGAAATTATAACAAACTGTCTCTCAGACCACAGTGCAATCAAACTAGAAATCAGGATTAAGAAACTCACTCAAAACCAATCAACTATATGGAAACTGAACAATCTGCTCCTGAATGACTACTGGGTTCATAACCAAATGAAGGCAGAAATAAAGATGTTCTTTGAAACCAATGAGAACAAAGACACAACATACCAGAATCTCTGGGACACATTCAAAGCAGTGTGTAGAGGGAAATTTGTAGCACTAAATGTCCACAAGAGAAAGCACGAAAGATCTAAAATTGACACCCTAACATCACAATTAAAAGAACTAGAGAAGCAAGAGAAAACACATTCAAAAGATAGCAGAAGTCAAGAAATAACTAAGATCAGAGCAGAGCTGAAGGAAATAGAGACACAAAAAAACCTTCAAAAAATCAGTGAATCCAGGAGCTGGTTTTTTGAAAAGATCAACAAAATTGATAGACTGCTAGCAAGACTCATAAAGAAGAAAAGAGAGAAGAATCAAACAGATGCAATAAAAAATGATAAAGGGGATATCACCACCGAACCCACAGAAATATAAACTACCGTCAGAGAATACTATAAAGAACTCTATGCAAATAAAATTGAAAATCTAGAAGAAATGGATAAATTCCTTGACACATACACCCTCCCAAGACTAAACCAGGAAGAAGTTGAATCTCTCAATAGACCAATAACAGGCTCTGAAATTGAGGCAATAATTAATAGCTTATCAATCAAAAAAAGTCCAGGACCAGATGGATTCACAGACAAATTCTACCCGAGGTAAAAGGAAGAGCTGGTACCACTCCTTCCGAAACTATTCCAATCAATAGAAAAAGTGGGAATCCTCCCTAACTCATTTTATGAGGCCAGCATCATCCTGATACCAAAGCCTGGCAGAGACACAGCAAAAAAAAGATTATTTTAGACCAATATCCTTGATGAACATCGATGCAAAAATCCTCAATAAAATACTGGCAAACCAAATCCAGCAGCACATCAAAAAGCTTATCCACCATGGTTAAGTGGGCTTCATCCCTGGGATGCAAGGCTGGTTCAATATACGCAAATCAATAAACGTAATCCAGCATATAAACAGAACCAAAGACAAAAACCACATGATTATCTCAATAGATGCAGAAAAGGCCTTTAACAAAATTCAACAACCTTCATGCTAAAAACTCTCAATAAATTAGGTATTGATGGGATATATCTCAAAATAATAAGAGCTATCTATGACAAACCCACAGCCAATATCATACTGAATGGGCAAAAACTGGAAGCATTCCCTTTGAAAACTGGTACAAGACAGGGATGCCCTCTCCCACCAGTCTTATTCAACATAGTGTTGGAAGTTCTGGCCAGGGCAAATCAGGCAGGAGAAGGAAATAAAGGGTATTCAATTAGGAAAAGAGGAAGTCAAACTGTCCCTGTTTGCAGATGACATGATTGTATATCTAGAAAACCCATCGTCTCAGCCCCAAATCTCCTTAAGCTGCTAAGCAACTTCAGCAAAGTCTCAGGATACAAAATCAATGTGCAAAAATCACAAGCATTCCTATACACCAATAAGAGACAAACAGAGAGCCAAATCATGAGTGAACCCCATTCACAATTGCTTCAAAGAGAATAAAATACCTAGGAATCCAACTTTCAAGGGATGTGAAGGACCTCTTCAAGGAGAACTACAAACCACTGCTCAACGAAATAAAAGAGGATACAAACAAATGGAAGAACATTCCATGCTCATGGGTAGGAGGAATCAATATCGTGAAAATGGCCATACTGCCCAAGGTAATTTATAGATTCAATGACATCCCCATCAAGCTACCAATTCTTCACAGAATTGGAAAAAACTACTTTAAAGTTCATATGGAACCAAAAAATAGCCCACGTTGCCAAATCAATCCTAAGCCAAAAGAACAAAGCTGGAGGCATCACGCTACCTGACTTCAAATGATACTACAAGGCTACAGTAACCAAAACAGCATGGTACTGGTAACAAAACAGAGATGTAGACCAATGGGACAGAACAGAGCCCTCAGAAATAATGCCACATATCTACAACTATCTGATCTTTGACAAACCTGACAAAAACAAGAAATGGGGAAAGGATTCCCTATTTAATAAATGGTGCTGGGAAAACTGGCTAGCCATATGTAGAAAGCTGAAACTGGATCCCTTCCTTACACCTTATACAAAAATTAATTCAAGATGGATTAAAGACTTAAACGTTAGACCTAAAACCATAAAAACCCTAGAAGAAAACCTAGGCAATACCATTCAGGACATAGGCATGGGCAAGGACTTCATGTCTAAAACACAAAAAGCAATAGCAACAAAAGCCAAAATTGACAAATGGGATCTAATTAAACTAACAGCTTCTGCATAGCAAAAGAAACTACCATCAGAGTGAACAGGCAACCTACAGAATGGGAGAAAATTTTTGCAATCTACTCATCTGACAAAGGGCTAATATCCACAATCTACAATGAACTCAAACAAATTTACAAGAAAAAAACAAACAACCCCATCAAAAAGCGGGCAAAGGATATGAACAGACATTTCTCACAAGAAGACATTTATGCAGACAAAAGACATGAAAAAATGCTCATCATCACTGGCCATCAGAGAAACGCAAATCAAAACCACAGTGAGATACCATCTCACACCAGTTAGAATGGCGATCATTAAAAAATCAGGAAACAGCAGGTGCTGGAGAGGATGTGGAGAAATAGGAACACTTTTACACTGTTGGTGGGACTGTAAACTAGTTCAACCATTGTAGAAGTCAGTGTGGCGATTCCTCAGGGATCTAGAGCTAGAAATACCATTTGACCCAGCCATCCCATTACTGGGTATATACCCAAAGGATTATAAATCATTCTGCTATAAAGACGCGTGCACACATATGTTTATTGTGGCACTCTTCACAATAGCAAAGACTTGGAACCAACCCAAATGTCCAACACTGATAGACTGGATTAAGAAAATGTGGCACATATACACCATGGAATACTATGCAGTCATAAAAAATGATGAGTTCATGTCCTTTGTAAGGACATGGATGAAATTGGAAACCATCATTCTCAGCAAACTATCGCAAGGACAAAAAACTAAACACCGCATGTTCTCATTCATATTTGGGAATTGAACAATGAGAACACGTGGACATAGGAAGGGGAACATCACACACTGGGGCCTGTTGTGGGGTGGGGGGAGGGGGGAGGGATAGCATTAGGAGATATACCTAATGTTAAATGACGAGTTAATGGGTACAGCACACCAACATAGCACATGTATACGTATGTAACAAACCTGCACGTTGTGCACACATACCCTAAAACTTAAAGTATAATTAAACAAACAAACAATCAAAAAAAGAAAATGTGTTTATATACCCTGATTGGCTCTGGAGTTAAAAAAAAATTGTCAATAGTGTTTACACTCAGTATTAATCAGGAAACTGTGATCTGCTTCTATTTTCCTCCCAATAGAATAAATTCTTTAATTTCCCACCAGTGCTCTCTGAACGCCTTTGGACCTGGTCCTCTGCAGAGCCCACATCTCCTGCAGTTTATCAGGTCCCATTTTCCTTCTTCCCTAGAATCCCTCATGCTCAGGCTCCCGTTGGCACTGGGTGCTCCCAAGCTGTGCTGCACGGCTGTCCACCTGGGCCCCGCTTCCCTCTTTTCTGTGTCTCATGGCCTGTTCTCTGGAACCTGCCTCTTATTCTATTCTGTTGCGTGCTTGGTGTCAGGGAACACACCCTCTTTTCTACAGAACTGTGTTTTAGGGCTGGAGAAAAGTGGGGGCAACCAGGACCTAAATCCCTGTCCTTCACATTGGTGTCAGGAGAATCTCTCTAAACAAATCAACAAACATATTTGAGACAGTTTCTACCTAAAACTGGAAACAGGAAGGTCAATGCTGAGGAAACAGCTAAATGAATTGAATGTGGCAGGCTCTGAGGAGGATGCCCAGGAGGGGTGAAGGGGCAGGACAGAGGCGGACTATGAGACTTTAATGGCATGGAAATGTATCACTGCAATGGTTCAAACATTAATTTTAAATAAATACATAATATAAAAATTTTAATAGATGTATTTAAATAAATTTTAGATAATAAGTATGATAAATTATGCTTTTCAGGAAAAGTATAATTTCTTTTTGATACTTTCCCTATACTATTTCTATATTTTCCATTATTTTCTATACTTTCCTAAGAATCTATGATGAAAATATTCCTGGAACTGGTTTTGTAACTATATGTGTGTACCAGACAGGGGACCTGTGGCGATAAGAAGCCACTCTTTAATGAGGATCATTTTAGGAAGATTTAATAAAAGGCTACATACAAGGAGTGGACCGAGTGTAAGAAACCACCAGGGCTGTGCCCAGAATGCAAAGGAAAGTCGTTTGCAGCCACTGCATTAGCAGAGCTGGGGCCTAGGTGGAGGGACTCACTGGCTAGGCTGGGGCGGGCCACAGGATAAAAGCATAGCTTCTCCTTCCTCCCTCAGTTGCCTTGCCCAGGCTCAGGAGCTCCTGGAGGCAGTGCAGGGCTGAGGGAAAAAGGATGAAGGCTGCATCTGCAAGAGGCACATTGAAATTACCTGCAAGACAGGTATGAGAGCAAAGCGAGGCATGCGCTCCCGCCGACTTACTTCAGGCACAACACAGGTGAAATGCGCCTAGCTCAGCCCCCGTATCTGGCAAGTCTCCTGCTCTGTGCCCAGCGGAAACTGGGACTCTGACATCTGTGTAAACACCTGGGCCCTATTTTCTCTTCCTGTTCAGTCCAGACTTCTAGACTTTGGCCCCTGTGCAACTGACTTCATTTTCTGAATCTACAAGCTGTTTGCCTTCTTCACCTCCACTAATCTTTTGTTGTGAGCAGCGTCATTTATCATGCACTACTTGCCCGAAAGGCAGGCAGCACAGAGGGATGTAAGTGCATGGGATCAAATCCCTACGGCTACGTGCCAGCTCCACGACTCGGGAAATCATTTCATCTCTTTGAGTCTCATTTTCTTCTTCAGAGCATTGGGGAAAATACTTCCTAAGTTTTCTGTGAGAACTAAATAAGATAATGTATATGAAGCAACTAGTACAATGCCCAGTAAGTGCCATCTCTTTCCTTTATTCCAGACAGAGAGGGCATAAGACATTCAGAGAATGTCAAAAGGGGGTTGTGAGAGTAGACTTGATGAATTCCAGGAATCAAGGGAGAAATAGTTTCATAGGAGAGAAACCCCTAGACGTTTTAGAAGCAAGTCAAAGAAAATGCTGTGAAAATAAGGCCTGCTTTCTTCTACGTTACAACACAGGTAATGGACTAACTATTATGTAAAATTTGGTGTCTTCACTTTAAAAATAGGGTGAATCATGATTGTCCTTCTCTGCTATGGTAATGCACAGCTAGTGCTTAGAACAACATCAAGCTCACAGAGGGACTCATGCCGGTTAGTTTCAGGTGGTTTCTTGAGCCTTTGAAACTTGTCCCATGCTCGCCACTATCCAAATTTCTTGTTGCCTTTTGGTAGAATAAAAGCCAACATATAACAAGAATGTGATTCTTTACTCTGAAACAACAAAGAGAAAGGGAACTGGAGCAATAAGAACAACCCTACAGCCAATCTTTAGAGAAAGGAATAGAGTGTTCTATGAGAAGTGCAATACGCAGAAAGAAAGAAAGCGAGCTCAATTTTTAGAGGATCCAGTTGCTTTAGGGGACCCAGCTGTCAGGAGGCACAGGTATGATTTTCTGACTCCAAAATATCCCTGCCCATCTGCAGGCTCCCGTTGGCACCCAATTGTATTGTGCATTTCCAGAGTTCTTCTACGTCCAGTTCTGGGGGTTATGCTTCCACACAGCATTCTCTGGTGTGCTTGGGAACATGTCTTCAGCCATACAAGCCAGGCACTGCTGGTGCCTTCTCCATGAAGTCATGCTTCAAGCATGCTTTCACCATCCCCAGGCTTTTGTGCTGATGTGTTTGCATTTATCTTTGTGCCTGGATCTCTTTGCTCCTTCTGAGCAATGTGTACTGCCAGCTGTAATGAGGAGTACTCTCTGGTAATGTCAATCAATATGTTCACTATATATTGAGCTTTGCCCATCATTGCAAAGCAGAATTCAGCATAATATGAGATAAATACGAAATGTTCATCTTCTGTCTGAAGCTTTTCTTGTCATTGAGTTATTATATTAGTATTAGGGACTTTTTGTCCATTCAGCAAATGTTCGTTAAATATCCATTACATACCAGATACTGTAAGGCTGAAGATAGAGAAGTTATAGATAGAAATAGCTAGGCATGGTGGCTCACACCTGTAATCCCAGCACTATGGTAGGCCAATGCGGGAGGATCACTTGAAGCCAGGGGTTCAAGACCAGCCTGGGCAACATAGTGATACCCCATCTCTACAAAAGAAAAAATGATTAAAAATAGCAGAGCATGGGGGCACGTGCATGTAGTCCCAGCTACTTGGGAGGCTGAGGCAGGAGGATCATTTGAGCCCAGAATTTTGCAGTGATCTAGGATTGCACCACTGCACTCCAGCCCGGGCAACAGAGCAAGACCTTACCTCAAAAAAAAAAAAAAAAAAAAAAAGAGAGAGAGAGAGAGACACCTCATCTTCATGGGCCTACTGTCATATTTATAAAATGTATTTGAGATTTTGCATATATGTTCATCCTAAGGTAAAAGATGACAGCCTTTGAACTACCAGGATTTGATCTGAAAAGTCTCCTTGGACAAGGCCAAGAGAGTGGACAGTGCCTTTCCCAGCTGGTTTATTTCCTTAAAAATCTGCTGGGGTTGCTATATAGGAGTCCATAGTAATTTTGTGAGGGCAAGCTAAGAAAATGTTTTCTTAATTAAAAATATTTATGTTTATCACAAGTGGTGATAAGAAGATAGAGACAGAAATGCTGCATTGGGATGGTTATCAGTGATGACTTTTTGAGTTTTTCAGAATAATATCTGGAGTCTTAAAAATCAAAGTTGTTCTTCTTCATCGGATTTTTCAATGTAATCAATATGTTAAAATATGCTTGTTATGTTGAATAGCAGACCTGGTATTTTCACAGACTTTAAGAAATACTTAGAGCCATGGAGTACTGAAAACATGACATATTTTTCAAGTTAGAACAGTGTGAATGGTGAATTGTACTTGCTTCTGGGTGAGCAAATAGTATTCTGCAATTTAATCCTATTATCAAAGTGAGTTAACAGAATCCGATTTAAATACCAATTCAGATTTGTTTATACAGATCTGAATAATGAGCATATACTGTAGATCTTCTGGCGTCTGACCTGAGATGAATACCTGTTTGTTTCAAACTTTCTAACATGCTTCTGATAAACTGAAGACCTCTGTGTGTGGGGGGTATATGTGAGGGCGTGTGTGTGATATGTGTGTAGTGTGTGTGTGACTGTGTGTGGTGTGTGTATATGAGTGTGTGTCAGCAATAAATACATCCCTGAAATTTGACTAGCTTTTACTTCTTCCATCTTCATTGAAAGAATGCAAATCCTATTCCAATAGCAAGCTTTTTTCCTTGACTAGCATTCAGATCCGTCACAATTTTCAGGAAGAAAAAGGAAATGCAGACATTCATAGACTTGAGCTGATTCCACACCAACATGTTTGTAGTAAACTTGTGTTTTATTATTGTTGAATAATAGTGTAATATTCAAGGACACGTTAGATATGCAGTTTTTCACTCTATAGAAAAAGCAGGAGAGAATAAAAATTCATAAGTCAAAATGAATTGAAATAAAAATAAAGCTGAAAAAGGGCAGAACAATACATCTTACAGGAATTCAAAAATCACAATCAGACATGCAACTTACAGAGCCATAAAAGATTTGATCTAGAAAAGCTCTTAATAATAAAATTTATTTTCTATGTTATACTCAAGTAGTCATAATTAAACTTGTTCCAAAATTTAAAGTGAGTCAACATTCCTAAAAGTTGTTTTGACATTGAGAGCTCTTTTCTAGAGGAAAAAAATTCTTTTATTTCAATACATTTAAAATAGAATAAACTTTTAAAGGAAGCCAATGTAGAACTTAGTGCTAATTTTTGGAAAAGTTTGCTGATTTTTAAAAATCTTTTTTAAACTTGAAAATTTAGAGTACATATAAATAAAATAAAGACCAGATAGGTATTAATTCAGATGTATTTTTGCCCTTGTCACTAACATTTATGACATACAAATGACCAAAAATGATGTTTTTATGAAGTGTAGGATAGAGTTTTAAATATTGGTATGTGGTGCTAGAGTTAGTAATGGAATCATTTGTTCAGGTAAGTAGGCTGAAATCATGTAACTAATTCACAAAGTACCTTTACAATAGATGTTATTTTAAAAAATACAAACATGACAATTTGTAAATGTAGTTCCTCTGCTTACTAGAATACTTTTTCATTTCTAATAGTACCCCAGATACTCAAGCTATATTTGGAAGGTTGAAATTATTTTCATAAAGACACAATGTAGAACGAACTTCAGGCTTTCTTTTGTATTAAATTTGCGAGGGACCCTCTTGAAGCCTACTACAGTGAAGGCATGATTGGATGTTTAATTATTATTATTTTTTTTTTGAGACTGAGTCTCGTTCTTTTGCCCAGGCTGGAGTGCAGTGGGGTGATCTCGGCTCACTGCAAGCTTCGTCTCCCGGGTTCACGCCACTGCCCTGCCTCAGCCTCCCGCCTCAGCCTCCCGAGTATCTGGTTGGACAGGCGCCGGCCACCACGCCTGCCTAATTTTTTGTGTTTCTTAGTAGAGACTGGGTTTCACCGTGTTAGCCAGAATGGTCTCGATCTCCTGACCTCGTGATCCTCCCGCCTCGGCCTCCCAAAGTGCTGGGATTACAGGCGTGAGCCACTGCGCCCGGCCCGGATGTTTAAATTTTTTTGAAATGAATCCCTCAAGCTGAGTCTATGCAGTATTATATTCATGAGCCACATAGCGACATTTCAGTCAATGGTGGGCTGCATATGTAATGATGGTCCTATTCTGTCTAATACTATATTTTTACTGTACTTTTTCTAGGTTTAGATATGTTTAGATACACAAATACCGTTGTGTTCCAATTGCCTGCAGTATCCAGTACAGTCCATGCTGTACAGGTTTGCGCCTAGGAGCAATGGGCTGTACCATATAGCCTGGGTGTGGGGTGGGCTCTACCATCTGGGTTTGTGTAAGTGTACTTTATGATGTTCGCAGTGTCGGAATTGCCTAACAGTGCGTTTCTCAGAAGGTATTGCTATCATTAAGCAACACATAACTGTAATTGAAACGACTTTGTGGAAATTATCTAATTTGGAGTGAATAACCGTACCAAGTTCAGATGAGTAAATCTCAAGGTAAATACTTGGAGAATGACTTGTTTAGTTAATTAGTTTGCTAGGGCTACCATAACGAAGTAGCACAGACTGGATGACTTAAGCAACAGAAATTTGTTGTCTCACTGTTCTAGAGGCTGGAAGTCTGAGATCAAGGTGTCAGCAGGGTTGGTTCTCCTGAGGGCTCTCTCCTCGGCTTGTAGAGGATGTAATCTTCCTGTGTCTTCAAATGGGCTTCCCTCTGTGTCTCTCTGTATCCTAATCTCTTTTTTTTTTTTTTTTTTTTTGAGATGGAGTCTCTCTCTGTTACCCAGGCTGGAGTGCAGTGGCGATATCTCGGCTCACTGCAAGCTCTGCTTCCCGGTTTCACGCCATTCTCCTGCCTCAGCCTTCCGAATAGCTGGGACTACATGTGCCTGCCACCATGCTCCGCTAATTTTTTGTATTTTTAGTAGAGACGGGGTTTCACCGTGTTAGCCAGGATGGTCTCGATCTCCTGACCTCGTGATCCGCCCGCCTCGGCCTCCCAAAGTGCTGGGATTACAGGCGTGAGCCACCTCGCCCGGCCCCCTAATCTCTTCTTAAAAGGACACCCGCCATACTGGATTAGGGCCCACCCTAATAACCTCATTTTAACTTAATCACCTCTTTAAAGGCCCTATCTGGAAATACAGTCCCTTACAAGGTACTGGAGGTTAGGACCTCAACATATGCATTTTGAAAGGACAGAAATCAGCCCACAATATTTAGCTTTTACAACTTAAATTAACCCGACAAATTTTGTGTCAGCCTAGAACTCTCAACATTTGGAACTTGCCTTGGTATTCTTCCGTTGTTTAAAATGTTCTCATTTCCTCTTTAGAGTCCCAACATTCAGAGGAACCAGATGTTTCAGTATCTTGGAGAGGAAACTCAAAGAGTGACAGATATTTTACAGAGGCAGGACCCCTTCACTGACTCAGGGACTGCACATGGCAAGCTCTGAAAAAACAACTTGGGGCTCCAGATGGGGGCTGGCACCCTCGCCTGCTTTCGGGGTTTCCTTCCTCTAAGACCCAATGCTTCTCTCTCTGTGCTTGGGTGGTTCACATGCAGGTGGGTAGCCCTGGACCTCTGTGCTTTTGTCAAAATCTTCTTTTCCTAATAACCTTAAGATCCCTCCCACTGCCATCCATGAGAGACATACTTAGCATGTTCCAATGTTTTATTTGCCTTTTCATTACTTTCCAACCCAAATCGAGAAATTAAAACACAAACCCACTTGCTCTACATCTCCCTCTCTCTCTGGACACTTTTTGTTCTACTTTCCCCAAATCCTTCTCTAGATGGTTGAGCAATAGACAATACTTGGTGATTCATTTCTGTCATTTTCCTTCTGCTTCACCTCCATGCTGTTGGTTTAGCATGATCTCATTACTTCTCATCTGCAAAGTTAACTGTCTGTCCTTTAAGTAAATTGGTCATTAATATCTCTCGTTGCTTTTAATTTTCACAACTTGAATTGGAAATGGAAATTCACTCTATTGTTGTGGTGAATTTTCCTCTACAGTCATCTGAGAGTCATCTGTGACATCTGCCTTCCCTCTCCATTCATGTAGTTTTCACCAGTTGCTATGGATGGCTCCTACCCCCATCTTCAACACACACCTTCTTTTCATTCCCGCTGTCACTGCCCAGTTCCCACCTGCATAATCTCCTGCCTGGATTAAGCCATAAAAGCCTCCAGTCTGGTTGCCACACCTCAAATATCACCCTCGCCTCAACACATTTGCTACAATGCTGGTGGAATAAAGGAATTTTCTAAAACTCATACCCAATGGGATGATACTCCTGCTTAAAATTCTTCAAAGGTTTCCAACTAAACAAATTCTAAAATCGTTTTCATGACATTTGAAACCCTTGAGAATAGAAATTGTCCCTATTTCTTGCATGTTTCCCAGTCACATCCATGCTAGGCTGTGCTGACCCCTGGCCCTGTCACTGGGAAGCCTTCCATGACCTCAGTCTGCCCTTCTAATTGACCTAATATGACACTTGCTTATTTCATACACTGTAGTCGATTATTTTTTACTTGTCTGATTTTCCTTCCAGAGTCTAGACAAGGAGCCTCAATGAGCACAGACTTCTCCCTTTAGATTGTATTTGTCTTTGCATATTTAACATAGAGTAAGTCCTCAGAACTTACAGTTGGATTAATACATATTTATAAAAATCTGAGGCCGGACTATATTCCTAGTAACTTTTAAAAAAGTTATATAATTATCAATAATTTCTTGAGTAATTGTCATTATTTACACTTCACATATTTCCAACAAACTGAGTTATCTAACAAGCTTATAGCATGTTAATATAGTGAGGCTAAATGGCAGGAGTTACCCAATGCAGAATGAATCAGTGTGTATAAAGCCATCTAGACTGCTGGGGGAGAACAAACGAAAAAGGAAAAACAAAACACACACAAAACTACCTGTCAATAGCATTTTTTTTTAAAGGTTGTTAATTGTGACTCTGAATTTAGTTTCTGACTTTTAAAAATCTTTAACTATTAAGCTATTCTCTTATAGCTATCATGTTTTTTCTGTTGAACACATTTCCCCTTCCCCTGTCAAACAGGGCTTGTGGTAAGATCATGGTCAGGATGATCTTGGTCTTTGGATTCCATTGGGGTCACATTTAGGACTTGGCTGGAGAGGGGATTTGGCAGCCGCTTACCCCTCTCTAACCAGCATTCTGTTTGGCAAAGCCTGCCAGGTGCCTGATTGTGCAGAGAAATGGGATAGGATCACTCAGTGTGACAGTCAGGAGAGATTTCACAGATCACAAGTGTTTGGAGAGGCAAGTCAGAGCTGAGCCATGGAAACGTGTCTGCGTCGCACTGAGTGGGAGTGGCCTGCCAGCAGGAGTCCAAGGTCATGGGAGTCACCTCGCCTTTGGACAAAGGCCCAATGCAGAGATACCTCAAGGTACACCACCGGTACATGTAATTCTTTTGAAAATTCCAAACTATGTTGTTTACCTGGTCAGCCTGCAAGCACAAGGAAATTGGAATTTAACATGACTTGGTGGATAATAAGCCTTTAAATAATGACATTTTTACAGTCCGTCCTCAAAGGAGTACAATGCCAACTTTGTTGTGAGGCAGATGGTGGGGAAAAAGGTGGATGTGAATATGATCATTTAGCAGGCAAATTAATTTATGTGACAATAACCAGCCTCCAAATTGGGTTTATTGACTCATTACATTTTCTCCCTATGAAATTTAGTAAAATGCCAAACTCTACATTTTAGAGGAGCTGAAGGTTATTTTCTCATTTTAAAAGGGAGCACATTCAGCATTTGTTTCAATCTACATAAATAATGCTCCCCCAGCTTCAAGAAAGTCGGTGATTTTTTTTGTAGTTTAAGGAAAATACATTTGTAATAAAATTATAGTTGCTTAGGCAATCCTCAATTAATCTTAAAAATAATCAATTACTTAACTTATGGATCACTTTTTTTTGGAGCCAAAGTAATTTTCCAAACAAAACTAAAATAAATTAGACCAGGAAAACCTCAAATGATCTTTTTTTAAAAAATTTTATTATTATTATACTTTAAGTTTTAGGGTACATGTGCACAACGTGCAGGTTTGTTACATATGTATACATGTGCCATGTTGGTGTGCTGCACCCATTAACTCGTCATTTAGCATTAGATATATCTCCTAATGCTATCCCTCCCCCCTCCCCCCACCCCACAACAGTCCCTGGTGTGTGATGTTCCCCTTCCTGTGTCCATGTGTTCTCATTGTTCAATTCCCACCTATGAGTGAGAACATGCAGTGTTCCGTTTTTTGTCCTTGCGATAGTTTGCTGAGAATGATGGTTTCCAGTTTCATCCATGTCCCTACAAAGGACATGAACTCATCACTTTTTATGGCTGCATAGTATTCCATAGTGTATATGTGCCACATTTTCTTAATCCAGTCTATTGTTGTTGGACATTTAGGTTGGTTCCAAGTCTTTGCTATTGTGAACAGTGCCGCAATAAACATACGTGTACATGTGTCTTTAGAGCAGCATGATTTATAATCCTTTGGGTATATACCCGGTAATGGGATGGCTGGGTCAAATGGTATTTCTAGTTCTACATCCCTAAGGAATCGCCACACTGACTTCTACAGTGGTTGAACTAGTTTACAGTTCCACCAACAGTGTAAAAGTGTTCCTATGTCTCCACATCCTCTCCAGCATCTGCTGTTTCCTGACTTTTTAATGATCACCATTCTAACTGGTGTGAGATGGTATCTCATTGTGGTTTTGATTTGCATTTCTCTGATGGCCAGTGATGATGAGCATTTTTTCATGTGTTTTTTGGCTGCATAAATGTCTTCTTTTGAGAAGTGTCTGTTCATGTCCTTCACCCACTTTTTGATCGGGTTGTTTGTTTTTTTCTTGTAAATTTGTTTGAGTTCATTGTAGATTGTGGATATTAGCCCTTTGTCAGATGAGTAGATTGCAAAAATTTTCTCCCATTCTGTAGGTTGCCTGTTCACTCTGATGGTAGTTTCTTTTGCTGTGCAGAAGCTCTTTAGTTTAATTAGATCCCATTTGTCAATTTTGGCTTTTGTTGCTATTGCTTTTTGTGTTTTAGACATGAAGTCCTTGCCCATGCCTATGTCCTGAATGGTATTGCCTAGGTTTTCTTCTAGGGTTTTTATGGTTTTAGGTCTAACATTTAAGTCTTTAATCCATCTTGAATTAATTTTTGTATAAGGTGTAAGGAAGGGTTTCAGTTTCAGCTTTCTACATATGGCGAGCCAGTTTTCCCAGCACCATTTATTAAATAGGGAATCCTTTCCCCATTACTTGTTTCTGTCAGGTTTGTCAAGGATCAGATAGTTATAGATATGTGGCATTATTTCTGAGGGCTCTGTTCTGTTCCATTGGTCTATGTCTCTGTTTTGTTACCAGTACCATGCTGTTTTGGTTACTGTAGCCTTGTGGTATAGTTTGAAGTCAGGTAGGGTGATGCCTCCAGCTTTGTTCTTTTGGCTTAGGATTGACTTGGCGATGCAGGCTATTTTTTGGTTCCATATGAACTTTAAAGTAGTTTTTTTCCAATTCTGTAAAGAAAGTCATTGGTAGCTTGATGGGGATGTCATTGAATCTATAAATTACCTTGGGCATTATGGTCATTTTGACGATATTGATTCTTCCTACCCATGAGCATGGAATGTTCTTCCATTTGTTTGTATCCTCTTTTATTTCATTGAGCAGTGGTTTGCAGTTCTCCCTGAAGAGGTCCTTCACATCCCTTGTAAGTTGGATTCCTAGGTATTTTATTCTCTTTGAAACAATTGTGAATGGGAGTTCACTCATGATTTGTCTCTCTGTTTGTCTGTTATTGGTGTATAAGACTGCTTGTGATTTTTGTACATTGATTTTGTATCCTGAGACTTTGCTGAATTTGCTTATCAGCTTGAGGAGATTTTGGGCTGAGAGGATTGGGTTTTCTATACATACAATCATGTCATCTGCAAACAGGGACAATTTGACTTCCTCTTTTCCTAATTGAATACCCTTTATTTCCTTCTCCTGCCTGATTGCCCTGGCCAGAACTTCCAACACTATGTTGAATAGGAGTGGTGAGAGAGGGCATCCCTGTCTTGTACCAGTTTTCAAAGGGAATGCTTCCAGTTTTTGCCCATTCAGTAAGATATTGGCTGTGGGTTTGTCATAGATAGCTCTTATTATTTTGAGACACGTCCCATCAATACCTAATTTATTGAGAGTTTTTAGCATGAAGGTTGTTGAATTTTGTTAAAGGCCTTTTCTGCATCTATTGAGATAATCATGTAGTTTTTGTCTTTGGTTCCGTTTATATGCTGGATTACATTTATTGATTTGCGCATATTGAAGCAGCCTTGCATCCCAGGGATGAAACCCACTTGATCATGGTGGATAAGCTTTTTGATGTGCTGCTGGATTTGGTTTGCCAGTATTTTATTGAGGATTTTTGCATCGATGTTCATCAAGGATATTGGTCTAAAATTCTCTTTTTTTGTTGTGTCTCTGCCAGGCTTTGGTATCAGGATGATGCTGGCCTCATAAAATGAGTTAGGGAGGATTCCCTCTTTTTCTATTGATTGGAATAGTTTCAGAAGGAATGGTACCAGCTCCTCTTTGTACCTCTGGTAGAATTTGGCTGTGAATCCATCTGGTCCTGGACTTTTTTTGGTTGGTAAGCTATTGATTATTGCCTCAATTTCAGAGCCTGTTATTGGTCTATTGAGAGATTCAACTTCTTCCTGGTTTAGTCTTGGGAGGATGTATGTGTCGAGGAATTTATCTATTTCTTCTAGATTTTCTAGTTTATTTGCATAGAGGTGTTTATAGTATTCTCTGATGGTAGTTTGTATTTCTGTGGGATCAGTGGTGATATCTCCTTTATCATTTTTTATTGCATCTATTTGATTCTTCTCTCTTTTCTTCTTTATTAGTCTTGCTAGCAGTCTATCAATTTTGTTGATCTTTTCAAAAAACCAGCTCCTGGATTCATTAATTTTTTGAAGGGTTTTTTGTGTCTCTATTTCCTTCAGTTCTTCTCTGATCTTAGTTATTTCTTGCTTTCTGCTATCTTTTGAATGTGTTTGCTCTTGCTTCTCTAGTTCTTTTAATTGTGATGTTAGGTTGTCAATTTTAGATCTTTTGTGCTTTCTCTTGTGGGCATTTAGTGCTATACATTTCCCTCTACACACTGCTTTGAATGTGTCCCAGAGATTCTGGTATGTTGTGTCTTTGTTCTCATTGGTTTCAAAGAGCATGTTTATTTCTGCCTTCATTTCATTATTTACCCAGTAGTCATTCAGGAGCAGGTTGTTCAGTTTCCATGTAGTAGAGCGGTTTTGAGTGAGTTTCTTAATCGTGAGTTCTAGTTTGATTGCACTGTGGTCTGAGAGACAGTTTGTTATAATTTCTGTTCTTTTACATTTGCTGAGGAGTGCTTTACTTCCAACTATGTGGTCAATTTTGGAGTAGGTGTGGTGTGGTGCTGAAAAGAATGTATATTCTGTTGATTTGGGGTGGAAAGTTCTGTAGATGTCTATTAGGTCTGCTTGTTGCAGAGCTGAGTTCAATTCCTGGATATCCTTGTTAACTTTCTGTCTCATTGATCTGTCTAATGTTAACAGTGGGGTGTTAAAGTCTCCCATTATTATTGTGTGGGAGTCTAAATCTCTTTGCACATCACTAAGGACTTGCTTTATGAATCTGGGTGCTCCTGTATTGGGTGCATATATATTTAGGATAGTTCGCTCTTCTTGTTGAATTGATCCCTTTTCCATTATGTAATGGCCTTCTTTGTCTCTTTTGATCTTTGTTGGTTTAAAGTCTGTTTTATCAGAGACTAGGATTGCAATGCCTGCCTTTTTTTTGTTTCCTATTTGCTTGGTAGATCTTCCTCGATCCCTTTATTTTGAGCCTATGTGTGTCTCTGCACGTGAGATGGGTCTCCTGAATACAGCACACTGATGGGTCTTGACTCTTTATCCAATTTGCCAGTCTATGTCTTTTAATTGGAGCATTTACATTTAAAGTTAATATTGTTATGTGTGAATTTGATCCTGTCATTATGATGTTAGCTGGTTATTTTGCTCATTAGTTGATGCAGTTTCTTCCTAGCCTCAATGGTCTTTACAATTTGGCATGTTTTTGCAGTGGCTGGTACCGGTCATTCCTTTCCATGTTTAGTGCTTCCTGTAGGAGCTCTTGTAGGGCAGGCCTGGTGGTGACAAAATCTCTCAGCATTTGCTTGTCTGTAAAGTATTTTATTTCTCCTTCACTTATGAAGCTTAGTTTGGCTGGATACGAAATTCTGGGTTGAAAATTATTTCCTTTAAGAATGTTGAATATTGGTCCCCACTCTCTTCTGGCATATAGAGTTTCTGCCGAGAGATCAGCTGTTAGTCTGATGGGCTTCCCTTTGTGGGTAACCCGAGCTTTCCCTCTGGCTGCCCTTAACATTTTTTGCTTCGTTTCAACTTTGGTGAATCTGACAATTGTGTGTCTTGGAGTTGCTCTTCTGGAGGAGTATCTTTGTGGCGTTCTCTGTATTTCCTGAATTTGAATGTTGGCCTACCTTGCTAGATTGGGGAAGTTCTCCTGGATAATATCCTGCAGAGTGTTTTCCAACTTGGTTCCATTCTCCCCGTCACTTTCAGGTACACCAATCAGATGTAGATTCGGTCTTTTCACATAGTCCCATATTTCTTGGAGGCTTTGCTCGTTTCTTTTTATTCTTTTTCTCTAAACTTCTCTTCTCGCTTCATTTCATTCATTTCGTCTTCCATCACTGATACCCTTCCTTCCAGTTGATCTAATCAGCTACTGAGTCTTGCGCATTCATCACGTAGCTCTCATGCCTTGGTTTTCAGCTCCATCAGGTCCTTTAAGGACTTCTCTGCATTGGTTATTCTAGTTATCCATTCGTCTAATTTTTTTTCAAAGCTTTTAACTTCTTTGCCATTGGTTCGAATTTCCTCATGTGGCTCGGAGTAGTTTGATCGTCTGAAGCCTTCTTCTCTCAGCTTGTCAAAGTCATTCTCCATTAGCTTTGTTCCATTGCTGGTGAGGAGGTGCATTCCTTTTGAGGAGGAGAGGCACTCTGATATTTAGTGTTTCCAGTTTTTCTGCTCTGTTTTTTTCCCATCTTTGTGGTTTTATCTACCTTTGGTCTTTGATGATGGTGACATACAGATGGGTTTTTGGTGTGGATGTCCTTTCTGTTTGTTAGTTTTCCTTTTAACAGACAGGACCCTCAGCTGCAGGTCTGTTGGAGTTTGCTAGAGGTCCACTCCAGACCCTATTTGCCTGGGTATCAGCAGTGGTGGCTGCAGAACAGCGTATATTGGTGACCCGCAAATGCTGCTGCCTGATCGTTCCTCTGGAAGTTTTGTCTCAGAGGAGTACCTGGCCGTGTGAGGTGTCAGTCCGCCCCTACTGGGGGGTGCCTCCCAGTTAGGCTACTCGGGGGTCAGGGACCCACTTGAGGAGGCAGTCTGCCCATTCTCAGATCTCCAGCTGTGTGCTGGGAGAACCACTGCTCTCTTCAAAGCTGTCAGAGAGGGACATTTAAGTTTGCAGAGGTTACTGCTGTCTTTTTGTTTGTCTGTGCCCTGCCCCCAGAGGTGGAGCCTACAGAGGCAGGCAGGCCTCCTTGAGCTGTGGTGGGCTCCACCCAGTTTGAGCTTCTGGCTGCTTTGTTTATCTAATCAAACAACTAACTCAGCAATGGTGGGCGCCCCTCCCCCAGCCTCGCTGCCACTTTGCAGTTTGATCTTGGACTGCTGTGTTAGCGATGAGAGAGACTCCATGGGCATAGGACCCTCCAAGCCAGGTGCGGATATAATCTCCTGGTGTGCCGTTTTTTAAGCCTGTTGGAAAAGCGTAGTATTAGGGTGGGAGTGACCTGATTTTCCAGGTGCCATCTGTCACCCCTTTCTTTGACTAGGAAAGGGAATTCCCTGACCCCTTGCACTTCCTGGGTGAGGCAATGCCTCACCCTGCTTCGGCTCATGCATGGTGCGCTGCACCCACCGTTCTGCACCTACTGTCAGGCACTCCCCATTGAGATGAACCCGGTACCTCAGTTGGAAATGCAGAAATCACCCGTCTTCTGCGTCGCTCACTCTGGGAGATGTAGACCGGAGCTGTTCCTATTCGGCCATCTTGGCCTCCCAAATCATCTTGATAAGTAAAAAAAAAAGAAAAAAAAAGAAGAAAGAAAAAAAGAAAAAATGAAGAGAAAAGAGAATGGACAAAAGATTTTAATGTCATATTAGCTGCTCTCTGAGTTGAAGAAATCTGCTTACTATGGAAAGCTGATCTTAATTGATCTTCTAAGGTCAACTGAGTAAAAAGGAAAGATTTTCATAATAGAAAATCAAGAAGGGAAACAGAAACACAGACACTTTCTTAAACTCTATGGTAGCTTATACAATAAAGTCTTATAGCCCACAACGTAGAATTGCTGTCCCCAGAGCACAGGTTCAGGGATGTCTGTGGCCTTCCAAAAGCTGGCCGGCCATGGCATGCCACCTCATCATGCTGACAGCTGAAGGCTCCTGGGACAGGTGCATACTTCACCCTCCTGGAACCCCCAGGACCTACCCAGTTACAGGCTTCTGGACCAGCTCAGCTCCATCTTTTTAGAGCCACATTCTCTCAAAGCTTTGTCATTCTAGTTTTTGCTCCTCTCCACATGCTAAGAAAATCAGGTAGAGATTTCTTTTCTGATGGCAATACAAACATCAGCAACTGTTTTTAAATGTATTTTTAAATATTACATAAATACATTGACACAGAGAGGGGAACATCATACACCAGGGTCTGTCAGGGGGTGGGGAGCAAGGGGAAGGAGAGCATTAGGACAAATACCTAATGCATGTGGGGCTTAAAACCTGGATGATGGGTTGATGGGTGCAGCAAACCACCATGGCACACGTATACCTATGTAACAAACCTGCACATTCTGCACATGTATCCCAGAACTTAAAGTAAAAATTAAAAAAATTACATAAATACGCTCTTGTTGGCAAAAATGTGAACAGTGGGGATAGATATAGACTAATGAGGGCATGCTCCCTTTTCC
The DNA here is from genome assembly GCF_000001405.40 of Homo sapiens. Taxonomy (NCBI): domain Eukaryota; kingdom Metazoa; phylum Chordata; class Mammalia; order Primates; family Hominidae; genus Homo; species Homo sapiens. The sequence continues at coordinate 52,048,397 of NC_000008.11, forward strand.
TCTCTTGAGCAATGAGGTATTTGGCTGTGTACTTATGAAAGCAGGGGTATGAATATGCTGGTATGGCCTGATTTGTTTTGAAATCATTAAGGTGATGCCATGATGATGGTTCCCTGACTTGTATTAGTCACAGAACAACGTGCATGTGCCACATCACTGCACACACGATACCTCAGGCTTTTAATGGCCGCATGGTATTCAAAAGTAAGGGTGCATTCCATTTTGTGCATCATAGCTTTTTGTTTCCTTCTCTGAGGCAGATGAAAGGGGATACATCTTCCTTTCTGTGGACAAAATTTCTGACTTCACCATTTCCTTATGTCTTTCTCAGAAGGAACATCTGGTAGGAGACATTGGAAAATAAGTGTGACAAAGCATGTGAAGGGTTAATAATCAACAATTTATTTGGAAAGCAATTTATCGAGAAATTATTCCTATACAATGGCATGCTGCCATTGCTGGTCCATCCAAAATATCCCCTGGTATGGCTGCATTGTCATCACGTCCTCACATGGCTCCTGCTGGCCCAGGTCTCTGCAGAACCCTCCCTGTCCTCTGCCTTTCCCTCCTCCCCCTAGCATGGACCTCCAGACTGTTCTTCCTAAATGCCGACCATGGTATCTTGTGCTCAGAACCTGTTAATGGCTTTCAGCAGCCAGACTTGAATGAACTCTGAGTTCCCCGCTGTGACATCCCTAGCCCCTCACAGCCCAACTTCAGTTGTAGCCAGGGGAGTGAGTGTTCTGACCGGTCTCAACAGGTGACCAGCTGTGATCCCATCATTGATCCTCCCCGGGTCTCAGTTTCCTCACCCATAAAAGTAAGGTCTTGACTGCATAACCTATGTCATTATTTTCCATTGTGAGACTCATAGCCTATTTCAGCATTGATCAAAGAGTTCCAAAGTTCTCTTTGCCATGCCAACTCTAAGATCAGCAGTATCTTTCATCCCCACTTCAATGCAGTTTAAGATCTTTTGAGGGATTTTGCTTCAGTTTTAAACATATGAGTATTGATGTTTATTGAAATCCCAAAGCTGGGTGAGACCTGGCTCATTCTCACATCCTGGCACCACTTTGCAGCCAGTGACATGAGGTGCCTCTGCCAGCAAGGCCTGTTTTAATCAAAAGCTTTCATCTGAAATGCAATTCACAATTTCTGGGTGGTAAAGAATGAATCCCCACAGGATGACAGTACAAAGCTGTAACGCTAAGCTCTTTAAATGCCTTTGACAGGAGGTAAAAGTCTGGAACACACTTGCTTCAAGTACTCTTTGCAGGGCATCATCCTAAAGACAAGGAATGAATAGGATGACGCCCCTGCCCTCAGGCAGATTAGAGTCCAGTAGCAGATAAGCCATGACTACACTGTGTCAGAACATGGAAAATGTCACTAGAGAAGCATTAAGAGCTCTGAGAATTCATAGAAGGGACACAAGCACTTGTGACTGGGAAAAGGAAGGAAAGATTCATAAAGAAAGTGGAATTAACGTTGCCTGGCTTTGTCATTGTTACTAGTAGCAGTTAAAGAGGCTATTAAGAAGGAAGTTGGAACTGTAGTTTAGAATTATGTATACAGTGAAGTGGATTTATTTTCCCTCACCTCCCCACCTAGCATAATTGTCAACTGATTCTCAGAGATTAAAAAATCCTGTGAAGGGACATATGTCATGCCTCCCTGGAGCACACGTCCAGGCATTTGAGTGGTGGGATAGCTGGAGAGGCAGAATTTCAGGCAGGAACCAGAGAGCTGGAGCTACCACTGTTTGTAAGTCTCAACCAGCCTAGCCTTATCCAGTAAAACCCTTGTTACCATGATTGAGGTTTTAGTGGCTATAATCCTGCATACTTTGGTTCCTTCTCCAAGCCTGGGAGCAGCAGAAAAATAGATGCAGAAATCAGACAGGTGGTCCAAGTCATATTCACTGTATTCCTGAAGAGTCTAAGGTGGGGAGTGCAGAGGGGTCTGGACACGACTGGGCTCTGCAGCAACCCCAGGCCCACTTCCTGCTATCTGTGTTGACTTGACCTCCCAAGCCACAGGCCTCCCTGCAGGGGAAGGGTGACTGAAGAACAAACATAGCTTGCAGGTCCTGAGGACAAGCAGCTAGCCACAGAAGAAAGGACAGCTATGCATACAGACGCGGTTCCCTCTTGGAACTGACCAATCTGAAGAGCCACATCTTCTCTGGGGACAACTGGGAAGCCACGCCTCCTTTGGGGATAGCAAGTGTCAGGCAGAGGCGGTGGCCAGAGGCCAGGTGTGCTTCTCTAGCAGGAGCCTCCCACAGTAATAGCCAAGGCATGTGAACATTCCTGAGGGCCTGTTTTTCTATTTTTATTTTTATTTATTTATTTTTTGAGATGGAGTCTCACTCTGTCACGCAGGCGGGAGTACAGTGGTGCGATCGTAGCTCACTGCAACCTCTGTCTCCCTGGTTCAAGCGATTCTCCTGCTTCAGCCTCCCAAGTAGCTGGAATTACAGGCGCCTGCCACCGCGCCCAGCTAATTTTTGTATTTTTAGTGGAGACAGGGTTTCACCATGTTAGCCAGGCTGGTCTCAAACTTTTGACCTCAGGCAATCTGTCTGCCTTGGCCTCCCAAAGTGCTAGGATTACAGGCTTGAGCCACCACACCTGGCCACAATTTTTACTTTTTTTTTGAAACAGGGTCTTGCTCTGTAACCCAGACCAGAGCACAGTGGCACAATCATGGCTTACTGCAGCCTCGAACTCCTAGGCTCAAGCAATCCTCCCACCTCAACCTCCTGAGTAGCTGGGGCCACAGGAATGTACCACCACACCCTGCCACTTAGTTTCCTTAAACAGGCTGTGGTTCATCCCCAAATGCAGGAAATGAGCAGTTTTCTTCATCAGCTGTGCTCCAGTTTATTTGAGGTGGGTGCCCTGACATTCAGGTTTGCCTGCAGCATTGCTCTGTTGAACCAGTTTAATTATTCCCATTTTGCTCCAGAACATTGTTGTCCCAAGGCTGGCAGTCACTTCCTATTCTACTCTTCAGCCCTTGGTATGTACATTTATATGCATACATATGCTCATGTATGTATACATGTACATATATAATACACACGTGGTATGGTGGCTCACGCCTGTAATCCCAGCATTTTGGGAGGCCAAGGCAGGTGGATCATGAGGTCAGGAGATCGAGACCATCCTGGCTAACACGGTGAAATCCCATCTCTACTAAAAATACAAAAAATTAGCCGGGCGTGATGCAGGGGCGCCTGTAGTTCCAGCTACTCCAGAGGCTGAGGCAGGAGAACGGCATGAACCCAGGAGGCGGAGCTTGCAGTAAGCCGAGATCGCACCACTGCACTCCAGCCTGGGCGACAGAGCGAGACTCCATCACACACGCGCGCGGGCACAGACACACACACAAATACACACATGCATAAGCAAATCACTGTTGGTATCACAGTTAACCCAAGCAAAGAACCCAGCGGTTAATATCATCTAGAACCACATGGTTGGCACCAACCTGAGACCAACCGGGGAAAGACAAGGTGACATCTGACAGAAGAAAGAAAATTGATGTCAGCCACGAGACCATTATATAGACTTGGGTTTAATGGCAGGACTCATTCATCAGGCTCATCATAGTTGGGGTAAAAGCTCATCTCCGCAGGCTGTTTCTCCTCAGTGCTTTGAAAATTTTCTTGCAAAATTTAGACATTTGCACTGCTCACAGCTGTAGACCCTAGATTTCTTTAACTTTTATTTTTGCATTTAATTAAATTAGTTTTTAAAAAAATTTTAGATTCAGTGAGGGTGTACATGTGCAGGTTTGTTTCACGGGTGTATTGTATGATGCTGAGATTTGGGCTTCTACTGGTCCAATCACATAGTTACATAGTACCCAATAGGCAGTTTTTCAACCCATGCCCCCTTCCTTCCCTCCCCACCCTGGTAGTCCCCAGTGTCTATTGTTGCCATCTTTATTTCCATGTGTACCCAATGGTTAGCCCCCACTTATGAGAACATGGGATATTTGTTTTTCTGTTCCTGTGTTAATTTGCTTAGGATAATGATCTCCAGCTGCATCCATTTTCCTGCAAAGGAATTTCATAAAAAAGAAAAATCTCATTCTTTTTTATGGCTGCATAGTATTCCATGGTGTATATATACCACATTTTCTTTATTCAGTCCACCATTGATGGGCACCTAGCTTGATTCCATGTCTTTGCTATTGTGAATAGTGCTGCAATGAATGTACGGATGCATGCGTGTTTTTGGTAGAATGATTTATTTTCCACTGGGTATATACCCAGTAGTGGGCTTGCTGTAGACCCTTGATATGTTGAGGTGTATTTCTTTCCCATCCAGCATAATCAAACCTCTATTTCTAATGCCCCCTTTTTCTGGTGGCCCTGACCTTTCAGGACTGAGCTGAGGACAGGGCTCTGATTAATGCCACAGCTCCTGCGCCTTCTCCTGAGCTTCGTCAGTGCTGCAGTGGCTGCCACCACTGCCTCTGGCTGTTGAGTCGCAGGGACTGTGCTGTCTGCCTCCCCTGCAGGAGTTCTCCCCTGGAGAGTCACTGTTGGCAGATGAAGAAACACAACTGATGCTGTGGAAGCCAGAGCCCTGCGGCTTCTGTAGAGGATCAGCCCTGCCAGTGTTCCTCCTCCACACCCTTCCTCTCCTCACTTCGCATTTCTCAGGCAATGGATATCCTGTGATTCTTTAATAACAACATAGATGCTTCTTTCTGCCATGTGATTTTCTAAAGTAGTGTAATATCCCTCTAGTATTCTATTTTCTCTGCCATTCCCTTGATCTCTTCTAAAATAATCAGATGAATTTTTACAAGTTTAACTTTTTAAAGAAACATTTGATCCCTCCCTTTGCAATTTGCTGAAACCGAGTGCTTTATTTATTTCCATTGTTTTAGACCTATATATTTCCAGATGTTCTTAGAGTCTACCTCACAGAAAAAGATATTCAGTCAAGGAGTTCTGGGTCAGCTGGCAGCATCCATCCTCTTGCCTCCCCACTATGTAGGGAAGGTTACCTGGGTGATTTGACATTATACACAGCTTTAACCAAGAACCGGGCATTTCAGCAAACCAGTGACTCTAGGTCTGTGGTTCCCAGGCCAATACCATCATCATCCCCTGAAAACTTGTTAGAATGTAAATTATTGGGTCCCACCTTATACCTGCTGAATTGGTAACTCTGGGTGTGGGGCCAGCATCTGTGTTTAAACTGCTGAAGCTCAGTCAATGCGTTAGCTCAGGCTTCTTCAGCAAAAACTCCATAGACCAGGTGGCTGAAACAACAGAAATCTATTCCTCACAGTCCTAAAGGCTGGGCCGTCCAAGATCCAAGTAGGGGCCAGTTGGATTCCTGGTAAGGGTTGTTTTCCTGCTTTGCAGACAGCTACCTTCTCACTATGTCTTCACCTGGCAGAGAGAGAAAAAGAGAGGTCATCTCTTTCATGTCTCTTTTTAATCCTCTCATAAGGGCACTAATTTCATTCATGAGGGCTCCACCCTCATGACCTAATTACCTCTCAAAGGTCCCACCTCCAAATACCATCACACCGGGGGGTTAGGATTTCAACATAGGAATGTTAGGGGCCCACAGACATTCAGCCCATAGCACTCAAGTTTGTGAGCCATTGCCTTAAACAATATCTAGGCTCTGACTAGCTCAGCCACGTGGGGTTAGGAGGAAGGCCTTCCTTTATTCCCTGGCCCACTGGAGAGTTCTGCAGGGTTCATGGATGTGGCAGCTCACCTTCTTTAGACAGTTAGTATAGCAGAGGTCATCGCAGCACTGTAGTGAGAGCCCCCCACACTGCCTGTGCTCCAGCCAGCTCCAGTGGTTCACAAAGAGCAACTCAATAGTCTTCATGACAGCCTTAATGAGATAGGTTCTCAGTTTATACTCATTTTTTTATCCCTCCCTCTCCCCTAACTGTGGGCAACCAGTGATTCTTTTACTGTCTCTATACTCTTCCTTTTTCCAGAATGTCATAGAGTTGGAATCATACATTGTGTAGCCTTTTCAGGTTGGCTTCCTTCACTTAGTAATATGCATTTAAGATTTCCACGTCTTTTCATGGCTTGAGAACTAATGTCTTTATAACTCTGAATAACATTCCACTTTCTGGATGTACCAAAGTTTGTTTATATATGCATCTACTAGTTTTATATTCATTTTACTGACAAGAAAGCTGAGGCACTTTGGGTTAACAACTTACCCAACCCCACATACACAATGGGAGGCAGGGGCAGGGCTGGGACCGAGGCCCCATGATCAGCAGCCATGCTCATTGCCAAAGAAACCCACTGTCCTCAGCTGACCGGGTCTGAAGCACCTCTATTCCGTCACTCACAAATACTCAAGCACTCAGAGACCTCCTTCACATAAACCAGTCTTCTGAGCCTCGTTAGTTCTTATAAAAATAACTCATATAACATACTTGTTTGAAATCATATCCTCAAACATGTGAAAAGCCTACATGGTTTCTTTCCTGTGGATTAGCTTTCTCCAAGAAGCTATTGAGAAAACATTTCACAAAAGATGCCACATATCAGGTTGCCACACATTGATGGCCAATCAGGGCCATGCATTTCCCCCCTACACACAACTGAAGGCATGTGCTACCAAAAGAGCATGGGTTTTGGTACTTGGAACCTGTTTGCCAAAAGGAAAGGAACTGCCCTGAACCTCAGGTTCAAGAAGGAAAGAAGGAAAGAAGGAAGGAAGGAAGGGAGGGAGGAAGGAAGCAGGGAGGGAGGGAAGGAAGGAAAAGAGGGAAGGAAGGAAGGAAGGAAGAAAGGAAGGAAAGGAGGGAGGGAGGAAGGGAGGGAGGGAGGAAAAGAGGGAGGGGAAGAGAAAAGAAGGAGAGGAATTAATATATCCCTCCCAGGCTTGTGAATATGAAGTGAGCAGATGAGCTGGAGAAATCTAGCATGAGCCTCACAAGAAGGTGCTCAGCCTGAATACTTTCTCCTTTCAGCCAGAGGCCAGGCAGCTCCAGTAGCTCTGTGGTTCCTCGCCTGCTTGGCTCCTTGGTTTTTTTTCCTCCTGTGGATCCCATGGCCCTCATAGCTCCCCTGGCCATAGGGCATTGCTCCCAAGAGCAATGTCCTGTCCTGGGGCTTCTCCACTGAACCTAGAATTGACCCCTGAACTCCAGAGGTTGTAAGACCAAGGATTACTCAAGCATCCTGAAACCATGAAGGTTTTATGGTAATAAGTCCTCAAGTCATAGCGATTAGAAATGTTAGGTGCCCAGAATATAAAGTGATTTATAAAAATACTTTCTGTGTAAAATTCCATATTTTGCGTATATAAAAATAAAAATGGCAAAATGTGTTTCTTACGTGCATACAAAGGTACCCTGTATTGAAAGTATTTAGCTTAAGTTTGAGCACTCCTGGAGAAAACATTGTCAGGGCAAAAGGCAGGCACCTGGCACCTCACCCCCCTGGAGCAGGACTCAGCTTGTTCCTGGAGAGGGAAGTACAGACAGCCTGGATGTCAGGGGCCCCAGTGCCTTGCTGATCACACTTGCAGCTGAGAAACGTAATATTTCTCCTCCTGTCGGCATCACTGGACCTATTTGCTGTGGGCAGAGCAGCTTTTCTGTAGTTAGCTGATGCCAGAGCCACCAGAAATGCAGAAGGACTGTGGGAGCCTAACCTTGTTAGTCTTAGGAAATTAAGGCGAACATTTTCTCTTTAGCTGAATGTCCAAAAATTTATTTTTCTTTCTGAAGATACTTAGGAGATTCTTTGACTCAGCTGTAGTAGTGAACATTTCATTAGAATTGAAAATGAGTATAAAAATCATCTCATTTTATTAAAGCAAAGAGCTTCTTTCAGAAAGTGGCACCGTGTGTGAGCCCAGCCTTGCTCCTGCTGGTGAGAGGGCAGGCTTTGCAGAGTGTGGTGAGCACCTGGAGCTCAAGCTGGGGCTCCTGGAGTGTTTTCGTCTATGTAACTGTGTGGACTGAATCATGTGCCTCATATCCACCTGCTGACATCCTAATCCCAGTACCTAACAATGTGGCTGTATTTGGAGACAGGGTCTCTAAAGAGGTAGTTAAGGTACATTGAGGTCATTAGGGTGGACCCTCATCCAATATGACTGGTGGTGTTTTTATACAAAGAGGAGATTAGGACACAGACAGAGATGCCAGACAAGTGCATACATGGAGAGACACCCCTGCAACATCTGGGGAAAGGCAGCCACCTGTGAGGCAAGGAGAGAGGCCTCAAAGAAACCAACCTTGATGACATCTTGATCTTAAACTTCCTGTCTCCAAAATTGTGAAAAAATACATTTCTGTTGTTTAAGGCACCCAGTTTGTGGTACATTGTTATGGCATACTAGAAAACTAATCAGTAACACATTCATTTCATTTTTCACTTTTGGTCTGAATGAACAATAGGGAATGAAGCATTTACCCTGATTTAGCCCCACAATCTCCCTTTTTCCAAGAAAGCAAGGAGAACATGTGTGAGCTCTATCTTCAAATCCTTATCTCCTACCAAGTGGTATGTTTTGTGAGAATAATAACAGATAGATTATAATTTTGAGTCAATTCCAAAGTTAAAAAATACACTATGATTAATCCAAATTCTTCTAAAAATAAACATGACATATACATTCCATTAAATTAGGGAATGAAACCATTTTACAGTTGGGAGGACAGCACCTGACTTATTGAAGCAAAACACTATTCAATGAAGTCAGGATTTTAAGGGTCTTAGTGAAATATTTTCCAATATAAAACCAACCAGTATTCATAAATTGGAATGTAAATTTGCCTTGCTCAGACTTCCGCAACTGCTTCTAACAAAGATAATTTTACAAGACTTTTAAGTATATGCTTGAATGATTATTCTAGCTTCCCAGACTTGATTGCAATCGGAACTAGCTACACTTCAAAATCCATTCTTCCTGGTGGAATGTTGGGAAGTTCCTGGATTATAAAATAACATGATCTCTGCCGCTAGTTGACACATCCGTGTCTGCGTGCCATTGTCAATCCTTTCAGGGAACTTCTTGATTCAAAAAGCCTGAAAACTTTCAAAAAGAAGAAGTGACTATTGTCCACATTTGTGTTGTATGCATTCATAAAAACGACCAGATGTTACCGTCATTAATTATCTGAATACCTCTAATCAATGACAAAAAGCCTAAAAAAATTTAAAAGCGATTAACAATGATGCTCTAAAAGCTTTCTTTAATGTGCATTCATCTGCAAGTGTCAGAGACTTTTAAAAGGTTTTGTATATATTGATATTAAAGCAGTCTTTTTTGTGTGATGTTTTGTCTACTTGCTTTTGAATAAGTAAAAATAAAAACCTATTGTAGCTGATAGCAACTGTAGAAAAAAAATTTCAGCCAATCTGCATTTCGGCCAAAGGATGTGAGCTGAACTTCTGATTCTGATTCTTGCTCACATGTTATTTCAGACTTCTTGTTGTGTAATTAGAAAAAAGGCCACTGAAAAAGTGAAATGAATGTTAAAACATGAGCGGACAAAAACGTGTCCATATTGTCTGATTTCTTAAACTGGATTCATGGTACATGAGTGTTTGTTATATTAGCCTCAGTGCTTTTTGATATGTCTGAAATATCTCATGATAAGAAAAATGAAGAAAAAAAGATCTGTTCCCAGCATTTATTTATTTCCCTCTTTTGTGAGTCTTCTGACAACTCTTGGCTCCACCCTTCTGTGCAGGGTGGGTCCTAGGGGTACATGGGCTGTGGCATCGCAGGTCTCAGGACTAGCTTTGGCATAATGTACCTTGGCTTTTAGTCTGTTTGTGCCATCATTTAAAAAAGATACTTGGATGGATTCTTGCATTGAAAAGCACATAGTAGGGGATGAAAATGGATTTTTGATGATTGGGAATATCATAGTGTTTCAGGAAGCTCATGTGGGATTGTTAGAGATTTAAAAGAAGGATTCCTTTGATACCGGGGTGGGAAAAGCAGAAAAGCCCCTGTCAGGAGGTACCCATCACCAGTCACTGGGGAAGGCAGATTATTTTTTTAAGTGTTGAAAATAAAAGAATGTTGGAAGCAAAGTAGCTGCTTATTAAATAAGGAGTGTAAGAAGCATTTGGGTAAAGGAGCTCTACATTTAAAGCCCTGACCTACCTATGCAAAAATATTGAAAATTTGTTATTTCACAAGTAATTATCAAGGAACTATTATATTGTAAAAACTACGAATAATACATTGGTATGATATACAGCCCAAATTCAGAAAGTTTACAAAAGTACCACTGATTTAATAGTAATGGTTTAGAAAAAAAGAAAGTATGATTTCATTAAAAATACGTATTATCGGCCGGGCGTGGTGGCTCACACCTGTAATCCCAGCACTTTGGGAGGCTGAGGTGGGTGGATCACGAGGTCAAGAGATTGAGACGATCCTGGTCAACATGGTGAAAACCTGGCCAACATGGTGAAAACCTGTCTCTACTAAAAATAAAAAAAGTAGCCGGGCGTGGTGGTGCATGCCTGTAGTCCCAGCTACTCAGGAGGCTGAGGCAGGAGAATCACTTGAACCCGGGAGGTGGAGGTTGCAGTAAGCCAAGATCGTGCCACTGCACTCCAGCCTGGTGACAGAGTGAGACTCTGTCTCAAAGACAAAACAAACAAACAAAAAAACCATATTATTTGTAAAGCACGTACTAATTGCAGAAGTGTTAAAATGTGAAAAATCATGCACTTTAGATTTGAGGAAATACGACACTATAGGAATTGACCTAAATCTTCACATACTGTATCCTAGAGAGGAGAGGATAATACAGACTTATAAGAGCTTATGCAAAGTGCTTTAGGTCAGGCATGGTTGCTCATGCCTGTAATCCCAGCACTTCGGGTGGCAGAGGCAGGATGAACACTTGAGCCCAGGAGTTGGAGACTAGCCGGGGCAACATGGTGAGACTCTCACCTCTGCAAGAAATAAAAAAAATTAGCCAGGCATGGTGGCACATGCCTATCGTCCCAGGTACTAGGGAGGCTGAGGCAGGAGGATCACTTGAGCCCAGGAAGTCGAGACAGCAGTGAGTCATGTTCCCACCACTGCACTCCAGCCTGGGCAACAGAGTGAGAGCACTATTAAGAGTTGGCTAATGTTATTACTCCTAGTTGCATGACTTTGGGCAAGTTGTTTAACTACTTTAAGCCTTGGTTTCCTCATTTATAACATGAGATTAATCATATTGTCTACTTCATATGGCTAGGGGAATTAAATGAACTATCAGACATAACATGCCTAGTAGTGTTGGGTAAGATCTTAGAAGTGACCATGGTTATTTTTATTTCATGCAATGTCAGGAGTCATCTGTGGGTCTCATTCATGCCTATGTCCCTGCTTGTTTATTTTCTGTGTTCCCTCTGTCCTCACAACAAATCAACCTAAAGTTCGCATTTCACCTACATGTTTTTGTGATTTTTGCCCTGGAATCTGGACAAATAGTGATCATTGATTGAGTGTCATACAGGTTCTTTCAATAAATTACCTCATTTAATCCCCTTGACAATTTCTGCAAAGTACATGGCATTAACTTCATTTTGCAGATTTACAACTAGGGACAGAGACATTAAGTGACTTGCTCAAGATTCTAGAAGAGTGAGGAATATGCCCAGAAATAAGAATTAGGTCTCCAAAGCCCATGCTCTTTTGACATGATTTTGTTCAGTACAGTCAAGCACGGCTAATTATTCAAACAAATAACCAACCTGGTTTCCTACTATGCTTTCTTAGATTTTTTAAATATTGTTTCCTTTCCCCATTCCCCACCCATGTTTAAAGTAGGCAACTGTTTTTTGACATCCTGTCATTACTTTTACATCATGTCGATGATTTATTATTCCATCCCTTCTCTGAGACCTGCACTTCTTCACTTTGGATTTAGTTGAGGGCTGTGTATTATTGCACGCTGAGCATAGCTAGGGAGATTCACCTAGTCTATGGGCAATGGCTCAAAGTCTGAGACCGCCAATCTACTTCTGCCTACTATGGCTATTTCACATAAACGGAATCACACAATATGTGGTCTTTAGTGGCAGACTACTTTCATTTAGCCTGATGTTCTCAAGGTTCATCCATATTGCAGCATGTATCAGTACTTCATTCCTCTTTATGGTTGAATAATATTTCATTGTGTGTATATAGTGTAATTTGTTCATCCATTCATCTGTCGGTGAACATTGGGCTGATTTTATATTTTGGCTCTTGTGAATGGTGCTGGTATTAACGTTCCTTTACAAGTATGTATTTTATTACCTGTTTTCAATTATTTGGATATATACCTAGGAGTGGAATTCCTGGATAATCTGGAAATCCTGTGTTTAACTTTTTGAGGAAATGTCAAACTACTTTTTCACAGTGGTTGAATAATTTTGTAGTCTCACCAGCTATGTGTGAATGTTCCAATGTCTCCAAATGCCCACCAATGTTTGTTATTTTCAATTTTTTAAAATTATAGACATCCTTTTGGGTGGTAAATGAAATCTCACTGCGGTTTTTGACCTGTGTTTACCTCATGCAGGCACTTTTTGGATATTTGTATATCTTCTTTGGAGAAATGTCTATTTATATCCTTTGCTCATATCTTTTCTATTTTTTCATGATGGCATTCTTTAAAAATTTTTAAAAAAATTTTTGTGGGTACATAGTAGGTGTATATATTTATGGGATACATGAGATGTTTTGATATATGCATGCAATGCATAATAAACATACCATGGAGAATGAGGTATCCATTCCCTCAAGCATTTCATTTATTCTTTGTGTTATAAACAATCCAATTACACTCTTTTAGTTATTTTTAAATATACAATTAAGTTTTTATTGACTATAGTCACCCTGTCATGCTATCAAACAGTAGGTCTTATTCATTCTATGTTTTTTATACCCATTCACCATCCCCACCTTCTCTCAACAGTCCCACTACCCTTCCCAGCCTCTGATAACCATCCTTCTACTCTCCATGTCCATGAGTTCAATTGTTTTGATTGTTAGATCCCACAAATAAGTGAGAATATGTGATGTTTGTCTTTCTGTGCCTGGCTTATTTCACTTAACATAATGATCTCCAGTTCCATCCATGTTGTTGCAAATGATTGTATCTCATTCTTTTTTATGGCTGAATAGTACTCCATTTGTATATGTACCACATTTTCTTTATCCATTCATCTGTTGATGGACACTTAGGTTGCTTCCAAATCCTAGCTATTGTGAACAGAGATGCAACAAATATAGGAGTGCAGATATCTCTTTGATATACTAATTTCCTTTGTTTTGGGTACACACATACAATTTTTAGTATTTCGAGGAGCCTCACAACTGTTCTCCATAGTGACTGTACTAATTTACCTTTGGCCGTATCTTAGTGTGTTATTTGTCTTTTTATTATTGTGTTGTAAGTATTCTTTATATATTTTAGATATGAGTTCTTTATCAGATACATGATTTACAATTTTTTTCAGTTTGTGGGTTGTCTTTTTTACTTTCTTGATAGTGTCCTTAGATGCACAAAACATTTATATTTTAAGTCCAATTTTTTTATTTTTCTTTTTTTGCTCGTGCTTTTGGTGTCATATCTAAGAATCCATTGCCAAATTTAATCTCATGAATATTTATTCCTGTGTTTCCTTCTAAGAGTTTTGTAGCTTTAGGTTTCAGTTTAGGTCTTTAATCCATTTTGAATTAATTTTTGTATATAGTATAAAGTTAAGAATTCAAATTCATTTTTTCTTTTTCTTTTTTTTTTTTTTGCATGTGGGTATCTGGTTGTCCTAGGACCATTTGTTGAATGCATTATTCTTTTTTAATTGAATAGTCTTGGCATTCTTGTAGAAACTCAATTGATCATAAATACATGGGTTTATTTCCATTTGATTCCACTGATCATATGTCTATACTTATGCTAGTATTAATTTGTCTTGACTATTGTTGCTTTATAGTAAGATGTGAAGTCAAGAATACTAAGTCCTTGAATTTTTTATTTCAAGATTGTTTTGGCACTTCTGAGCCACTTGAGTTTCCATACGAATTTGAGGATAAACTTGTCAATTTATACAAAAAGGTCAGCTGGTATTCTGATGTGGATTGCATTGGATATATTGATTGGTTTGGGGGGTATGAACATGGGATGGCTTTACATTTATTTAGATATTCTTTAATTTCTTTTACTAAGGAGTTGTAATTTTTGCAGCATAAGTTTTACACTCCTTTTGCTAAATTTAAAGCTAAGCATTTTTTGATGTTATATATAAAGTTGTTTTCATAATTATATTTAAAGATTGTTATCAATATTTAGAAATACCATTGATTTTTGTATATTGGTCTTATATCCTGCAACTTTGCTGAATACATTCTAATAATTTTAAAATAGATTAGCTTGGATTTTTAAAATTTCAAGGTCATATTATCTGTGAATAGAAATTCTATTAAGTCTTCCCTTCCAATCTGGTGCCTTTTATTTCTTTTCCTTGCCAAATTTCCCTGGCTAGATCCTCTAGTATAATGCTGAATATAAATGGTAGGAACAGATATTCCTCTTTTATTTATGACCTTAGGAGAAAGTAACCAGTTTTTCATATTGAGTATGATGTTAGCTATGGGATTTTTACAAATTTCCTTTGTCAGGTTAAAGAAATTTCCTTCTATTTTTAGTTTGCTAAGTGTTTTTTTCATGCAAGGGCATTGAATTTTGTCAAATGCTTTTTCTGCATTAATTGAGATCAACGTGGTTTTTGTTTATTATTCACTTGATATAGTATATTACATCAATTAATTTTTACATGTTAAACCTCGCATTACTGGTATAAATTCGAATTTGGTCATAGTGTATAATTTTTATTTTTTCATGTTTCAAGTTTTAGCTTGCTAGTATTTTGTTGAGAATTTTTGCATGTATATTCATAACATATATTTGTAGTTTAAAAAATCTTTGGCTGGCTTTGGTGTCAGGTTAATAACTAGTCTCATATAATTAGTTGAGAAGTGTTTTCTCTTCTTTTTATGAAGGGGAATTTGTTTATGAAGAACTGGTATTAATTCATCTCTAATATTTTTAGAATTTATTAGTGAAACCATCTTGGCCTAGGTGTTTCACGGAGGGTAATTTTTTGATTACTAATTTAATCTCTTTATTTGTGATAGGCCTATTCAGATTTTATTTTATTTTATTTTATTTGAACTTTAATTTTTTGTTTGTTTGTTTGCTTTGAGACAGGGTCTTGCTCTGTTGCCCAGGCTGTAGTGCAGTAACACAATCATGGCTCACTACAGACTTGACCTCCTGGGCTCAAGCTGTCTTCCCACCTCAGTCTCCCAACTAGCTGGGACTATAGACATGCACCACCATGCCCATCTAATTTGTTAATTTTAAAAAATGTTTTATTATTTATTAATTTTTTAGTTCAATAGTTTTTGGGGAACCGGTGGTTTTTGGTCACATGGATCAGTTCTTTAGTGCTGCTTTCTGAGATTTTGGTG
Source organism: Homo sapiens (assembly GCF_000001405.40). Classification (NCBI taxonomy): domain Eukaryota; kingdom Metazoa; phylum Chordata; class Mammalia; order Primates; family Hominidae; genus Homo; species Homo sapiens. The sequence continues at coordinate 52,063,900 of NC_000008.11, forward strand.
CACCCATCACAAGAGCAGTGTACACTGTACCCAATGTGTAGCCTTTTATCCCTCAACCCCCTCCCACCCTTCCCTTCGAGTCCCCAAAGTTCATTGTATAATTCTTATGCCTTTGCGTCCTCATAGCTTTAGCCCCCACTTACAAGTGAGAACATACAATGTTTGGTTTTCCATTCCTGAGTTACTTCACTTAGAATAATGGTCTCCAACTCCATCCAGGTTGCTGTGAATGCCATTATTTTGTTACTTTTTATGACTGAGTAGTATTCCATGGTGTGTGTGTGTGTATGTGTGCATATGTATACACATATATATGTATACGTATACATATATACGTATACATATATACAAATATGTGTATACGTATACGTATATATGTATATATACACACACACACACCATGGAATACTACTATATATATATATATACACACACACACATATATAACATTTTGTTTATCCACTCATTGGTTAATGGGCATTTAGGCTGGTTCCATATTTTTGCAATTGCAAGTTGTGCTGCTATAAACATGTGTATGCCGTGTTTTTTCATATAATGACTTCTTTTTCTCTTAGATAACCTGTAGTGGGATTGCTGACTCAAACGGTTGCTGTACTTTTACTACTTTAGGGACTCTCCATAATGTTTTCCATAGCAGTTGTACTAGTTTGCATTCCCACCTGCAGTGTAAAAATACTTCCTTTTTACCACATCCATACCAATATCTGTTATCTTTTGATTTTTAAATTATGGCCATTCTTGCTGGAGTAAGGTGGTATCACATTGTGGTTTTGATTTGTATTTCCCTGATCATTAGTGATGTTGAGCATTTTTTCATGTTTCTTGGCCATTTGTATATCTTCTTTTGAGAACTATTTTTTGCCCACTTTTTGATGGGATTATTATTTTTTTATTTTTTATTTTGCTGGCTTGTTTGAGTTTCTTGTAGGTTCTGGACATTAGTCTTTTGTCAGATGCATAATTTGTGAATATTTTCTCCTACACTGTGGGTTGTTTGTTTACTCTGCTGATTATTTCTTTTGCTATGCAGAAGCTTTTTAGTTTAATTAGGTCACATCTACTTATTTTTGTTTTTGTTGCAGTTGCTTTTGGGTTCTTTGTCATGAACTCTTTGCCTAAGCCTATGTCTAGCAGAGTTTTTCTGATGTTATCTTCTAAAATTTTTATGGTTTCAGATCTTAGATTTAAGTCTTTGATCCATCTTGAGTTGGTTTTTGTATAAGGTGAAAGGTGAGGATCCAGTTTCAATCTTATACATGTGGCTTGCCAATTATCACAGCACCACTATGTTGAATAGGGTGTCTTTTCTTCACTTTATGTTTTGTTTGCTTTGTTGAGGATCAGTTGGCTGTAAGTATTTGACTTTATTTTGGTTCTCTATTCTGTTCCATTTGTCTATGTGCCTATTTTTATACCAGTACCATGCTGTTTTGGTAACTCTAGCCTTGTAGTATAGTTTGAAGTCAGGTAATGTGATGCCTCCAGATTTGTTCTTTTTGCTTAGTCTTGCTTTGGCTATGGAGGCTCTTTTTTGGTTCCATATGGATTTAAGGATTTTTTTTCTAGTTCTGTGAAGAATGATGATGGTACTTTGATGGGAATAGCACTGATTCTTTTTTTTTAAATTTTATTATTATTATACTTTAAGTTTTAGGGTACATGTGCACAATGTGCAGGTTTGTTACATATGTATATATGTGCCATGTTGGTGTGCTGCACCCATTAACTCATCCTTTAGCATTAGGTATATCTCCTAATGCTATCCCTCCCCCCTCCGCCCACCCCACAACAGTCCCCGGAGTGTGATGTTCCCCTTCCTGTGTCCATGTGTTGTCATTGTTCAATTCCCACCTATGAGTGAGAACATGCGGTGTTCGGTTTTTTGTCCTTGCGATAGTTTGCTGAGAATGATGGTTTCCAGTTTCATCCATGTCCCTACAAAGGACATGAACTCATCATTTTTTATGGCTGCATAGTATTCCATGGTGTATATGTGCCACATTTTCTTAATCCAGTCTATCATTGTTGGACATTTGGGTTGATTCCAAGTCTTTGCTATTGTGAATAGTGCCACAATAAGCATACATGTGCATGTGTCTTTATAGCAGCATGATTTATAGTCCTTTGGGTATATATCCAGTAATGGGATGGCTGGGTCAAATGGTATTTCTAGTTCTAGATCCCTGAGGAATCGCCACACTGACTTCCACAATGGTTGAACTAGTTTACAGTCCCACCAAGATTCTTTATATTGCTTTTGGCAATATGGTCATTTTCACAATATTGATTCTACCCATCCATGAGCAGGAGATGTGTTTCCATTTGTTTGTGTCAATTTTTTGTTTCATTTATCTTCTATGATTTCTTTCAGCAGTGTTTTGAGTTTTTCTTTTAGAGATCTTTCACCTCCTTAGTTAGGTTTATTCCTAAGTACTATTTTTTCTGGCTGTTGTAAATGGGATTGAGTTCTTGATTTGTTTCTTGACTTGGTTGTTGTTGGTGTATAGCAGTGCTACTGACTTTTGTATATTGATTTGGTATCCTGAAACTTTGCTGGATTCATTTGGCATATCTAGGAGCTTTTTGGATGAGTCATTAAGGTTTTCTAGGTCATCAGCAACAGCGATAGTTTAACTTCCTCTTTGCTGATTTGGATGCCCCTTATTTCTTTCTCTTGTCTGATTGCTCTGGCTAGGACTTCCAGTACTACATTGAAGAGAAGTGGTGAGAGTGGGCGTCCTTGTCTTGTTCCAGTTCTCAGGGGGAATGCTTTCAACTTTTCCCCATTCAATATACTGTTGGCTGTGGATGTGGCATAGATGGCTTTTATTACTTTGAGTTATGTTCCTTCTATGCAGATTTTCCTGAGGGTTTTAATCATCAAGGAATACTGGATTTTGTCAAATGCTTTATCTATGTTTGTTGGGATGATCATAAGTTTTTTCTTTTTAATTCTGTCTATGTGATGTATCACATTTATTGATTTGTGTATGTTAAACCATCCTTGCATCCCTGGTATGAAACAGTTAGCTGTTTCTTGGATACAGTTAGCTAGTATTTTGTTGAGGATTTTTGCACCTATGTTCACCAGGGATATTGGTCTGTAGTTTTCTTTTTTTGTTATGTTTTTTCCTGGTTTTGGTATTATGGTGATACTGGCTTCATAGGATGCTTTAGGGAGGATTTCCTCTTTCTCTATCTTTTGGAATAGTTTCAGTAAGATTGGTACCAATTCTTTGAATATCTGATAGAATTCAACTGTGAGTCCATCTGGTTCTGGACTTTTTTTTTTTTTGGCAATTTTTGTATTACTATTTCTATCTTGCTACTTGTTACTGGTCTGTTTGGAGTTTATATTTCTTCCTGATTTAATTTAGGAAAGTTGTATATTTTCAGGAATTTTTTCATCTCCTCTAGATTTTCTCATTTGTGTGTGTAAAGGTGTTCATAGTAGCCTTGAATGATCTTTTGTATTTCTGTGGTATCAATTGTAATATCTCCTATTTCACTTCTACTTGAGCTTATTTGGATCTTCTCTCTTCTTTTCTTGGTTAATCTCACTAATTGTATATCAATTTTGTTTATCTTTTCAAAAACCCAGCTTTTTGTTTCATTTATCTTTTGTATTATTTTTGTTTGTTTGTTTTAATTTAATTTAGTTATGCTCTGAGCTTTGTTATTTCTTTTCTTCGGCTGGGTTTGGGTTTGGTTTGTTCTTGTTTCCCTAGTTCCTTGAGATGTGATCTTCAATTGTCTATTTGTGCTCTTTCAGACTTTTTGATGTAGGCATTTAATGCTATGAACTTTCCTCTTAGCACTGCTTTTGCTATATCCCAGAGGTTGTGATAAATTGTGTCATTGTTATCACTCAGTTCAAAGAATTTTTAAATTTCTATCTTGATTTCATTGTTGACCCAAATATCATCCAAGAGCAGATTATTTAATTTACATGTATTTATATAGTATCGAGAGTGCCTTTTCTAGTTAATTTCCAGTTTTATTCCATTGTGGTCTGAGAGAGTACTTGATACAATTTTGATTTTCTTAAATTTATTGAGACTTGTTTTGTGGCCTATCATATGGTCTATCTTAGGGAATGTTCCATGTGCTGATGAATAGAATGCATGTTGTTGGATAGAATGTTCTGTAAATATCTGATAAGTCCATTTGTTCTAGGGTATAGTTTAAGTCCATTGTTTCTTTGTTGACTTTCTGTCTTGATGACCTGTCTAGTGCTGTCAGTGGAGTATTGAAGTCTCCCACTATTATTGTGCTACTGTCTATCTCATTTCTTAGGTCTGCTAGTAATTATTTAATAAATTTGGGAGCTCTGGTGTTAGGTCCCTATATATTTAGAATCATGACACTTTCCTGTTGGAGTAAGACTTTTATCATTATATAATGTTCTCTTTGTCTTTTTAAACTGTTGTTGCATTAACATTTGTTTTGTCTGATATAAGAATAGCTACTCCTGCTTGCTTTTAGTTTATATTTACATGGAACATCTTTTTCCACCCCTTTACCTTAAGTTTATGTAAGTCCTTATGTGTTAGGTGAGTCTCTTGAAGATAGTAGATACTTGGTTGATGGACTTTTCAATTCATTCTGCCATTCTGTATCTTTTATATGGAGGATTTAGGCCATTTATATTCAGTGTTGGTATTGAGATGTGAGGTATGATTCTATTCATCATGCTAGTTGTTGCCTTAATACCTTGTGTTTTTTTAATCCTGTTATTGTTTTATAGACCCTATGAGAATTTTGCCTTAAGGAGGTTTATTTTGGTGTATTTTGAGGTTTTGTTTCAAGATTTGGAACTCCTTTTAGCATTTCTTATAGTGCTGGCTTGGTAGTGGCCAATTCTGCAGCATTTGTTTGTCTGAAAAAGACTTTATCTTTCCTTCATTTATGAAGCTTAGTTTTGCTGGATATAAAATTCTCAGCTGACAATTATTTTGTTTGAGGAGGCTAAAGATAGAACCCCAGACCCTAATTTCCTTTATAGGTTACCTGATACTTTTCTCTCACAGCTCCTAAAATTCTTTCCTTTGTCTTGACTTTAGTTAACCTGATAACTGTGTGCCTAGGTGACAATCTTTTTGCAATGAATTTCCCAGGTGTTCTTTGAGCTTCTTGTGTTTGGATGTACAAATCTCTAGCAAGGACAGGGAAGTTTTCCCCAATTATATCCTCAAGTAAGTTTTCCAGACTTTTAGATTTCTCTTCTTCCTCATGAACACCAATTATGCTTAGTTTTGGCCATTTAACATAATCCCAAATTTCTTGAAGGCTTTGCTCATTTTTAAAAAATTCTTTTTTCTTTGTCTTCGTTGGATTGGGTTAATTCAAAAACCTTGTCTTTGAGCTCTGAACTTCTTTATTATACTTGTTTGATTCTATTCATGAGACTTTCCAGTGCATTTTGTATTTCTCTAAGTGTGGCTTTCATTTCAAGAAGTTATGGTTGTTTTTTCTTTCATGTTATCTATTTATCTAGAGAATTTTTCATTCATATCATATCCTGTATTGTTTCATTCATATCCTGTATTGTTTCTGGCAATTCAGAGGTTTCTTCTTGGTTTGGATTCATTGCTGGGGAGCTCATGTGATTTTTTGGGGGTGTTATAGAACCTTCTTTTGTTGTATTACCAGAATTACTTTTCTGGTTCCTTCTCATTTTGGTAGACTATTTCAGTGGAAAGATCTGGAACTCAAAAGCTGCTGTTCAGATTCTTTTGTCCCATGGGGTGATCCCTTGATGTGGTGCTCTCACCCTTTTCCTAGGGATGGGGCTTCCTGAGAGCTGCAGTGATTGTTATTGCTCTTCTGGGTCTAGCCACCCAGTGGGGCTACCTTATCCTGTGCTGGTGCTGGGGAATGTCTGCAAAGAGTCCTGTGATGTTATCTGTCTTCAGGTCTTCCAGCCATGGGTACCAGCACCTGCTTTGATGGAGGTGGCAGGAGAGTGAAGTAGACTGTGTGACAGTCATTGGTTGTAGATGTGTTTAGTGTGCTGGCTTTCTCAGATGCTGGGTATTCTAGTAGTGAAGTTGATACATGGGTAGGCTCAGGACCTCTGGTTGCAGGCATTGGAATTAGCTATTGTTAACCCTATTTCTTGGGAGTAGAGTTATTCTGTCATGATTTGCTGTAACGGCCTGAGTTGGTGGCCTCCAGCCAGGAAGTGGCACTTTCAAGAGAGCACCAGCTGCAGTCGTAGAAGGGAGATATAAGCTTGCCCTAAGTTGGCCAGGATGAGTAAGGCCAGGGTAGGCAGTGGGCAGGGCCATAAAGTTCCCCAGGGTTTATGTCTTTTATGTTCAGCTGCAAGGGTGGGTAAAGAAAAGCCATCAGGTGGGAACAGGGTTAGGCAGGTCCGAGCTCAGACTCTCCTTGGGCAGGGCTTGCCACAGCCACTATGGGGGATGAAAGATTGTTCTCAGGCCAATGAGGTTATGTTCCAGAGGGGATTATGGCTGCCTCTGCTGTGCCATCTAGCTTGCCAGGGAAATGGGGGAAAGCCAGTAGTGATTGGCCCCACTCAGCTCCCATGCAGTTGGCGAGGCCGGTCTTCCTCCTGCAGTGCTCTGCCAGCAGTGACGAGTTTAGAACCAGGCAGCCAGTGCATGGGACTCAGACCTTGCCCTAGGCCATAAGCTTCGTTCCTGAGAAAGCAAGTGCAGCTTTCAGGCCTCATCCCTCCTCATCTGCCCACAATACCAGCAGTGGCTCCTGTGCTCATATCTGCAACAGTTCCCATTCAATCCCCAGATTCTGCTCAAGGAAATTTGTGCTCAGTCAAAATTATTACAAAATTCAGCTGGAAACTTCTTTTACCCCGTTCACCCTGTGACCCCTCCCTAATTCCACTGGCTGCCTTCCCCAAGGCCCCTGTGAGATATAGTCAGGGTTGTCTTCCCTGGGCCCAGGCTGGATACTGGGAGTGCCTACAAGGCTCTTCCTGCTGCTGCTTCTACTTTTATGTTTTGCATGGCTCCCTAAATCCGTTTCAGCTCCAGGTAAAGTTAAATCCTTCTCCTGGGATCTGGATTTTCAGGTTCTCCAGTGGGGATGTGTTTTCAGAGGTAGGTTTCCCCCCTCACACTTTGGGAACTCACAGTTTTTCACCTGTCTCATGGAATTTACAGCGACAGGCCACTCCTTTTAAAGGATTTGTGAATTCTTTTGGTTTTCTTGATATGTTCCTGCAGCGTTTCTTGGAGCAAAAGTTCATGGTGTGAGCCTCCACATGTTCTGTCTGTCCAAGTGGGAGCTGCATGTTAGCCCTGTCTCCTATCCGCCCTCTTCCTTCACTCTCCCTATTCAGATTTTCTATTCCTTCTTAAGTCTGTTTCAGTAATTTGTGTTCTCTAGGAATTTGTCCATTTCACCTAAATTTTCTAATTTATTGACAGAATTGCTTGTACTATTTCTTTATAATCCTTTTTCTTTTACCAAGACTGGAAATAAAGTCTTCTCTTTCATTTCTGATTTAGTTTTTCTTTCTTTCTTTCTTTTCTTTTTTTTTTTTTTTTTGAGACAGAGTCTCGCTCTTTCGCCCAGGCCGGACTGCAGTGACGCTCTCTCTGCTCACTGCAAGCTCTGCCTCCCGGGTTCACGCCATTCTCCTGCCTCAGCCTCCCGAGTAGCTGGGACTACAGGCGCCTGTCACCGCACCTGGCTAATTTTTTTTGTATTTTTAGTAGAGGCGGGGTTTCACCGTGTTAGCCAGGATGGTCTCGACCTCCTGACCTCGTGATCCGCCTGCCTCGGCCTCCCAAAGTGCTGGGATTACAGGCGTGAGCCATCGCGCCCGGCCTTAGTTTTTCTTTGTCTTTGAATATAAAGTACGTCTTCTGTTGACAGCATGTATTTCTATCTCGTTTTTCTTAAATCTTATCTGACAAGTTGCTTTTTGATTGGGTTATTTAATTTGATAACATTTAATGTTATTATTGCTATAGTTGGATTTACATCTAACTATAACATCCAATTTATGGAACTGGAATTCCATATATTGGATTTGTAACCAACTCTATCAATAATAACATTAAATGATTACATGCCATTTTGCTTTTTTGTTTTTGTTAATGTGTCATGTTTTTTCTGTTCCCTTATTACCCCTTTTTTGCTTTCGTTTGCATTTAGTGGATATTTTCTAAAGTACTATTTTTATTTCTTCAATAAAGTTTTGCCATTTTTTAAGTTGTTTTCTTAGTAGTTGCTCTAGGGCTTACAATATGCACCTTAACTTATGAAAATCAGTTTCAGATTTGTCTTAATTTAATTCCAATGAAATATACAAATGTTACTTATATGAAGCTCTATTCTTTTTTACTTTTTGTGGCATCATTGTTATACATATTACATCTATAAATGTTACAAATTCAACAATACTTTTTTATTATTTTGAGACAGAATCTCGCTTTGTCACCCAGGCTGGAGTGCAATGGTACAATCTCGGTTCACCTCCTCTTCCCGAGTTCAAGTGATTCTTCTCCCTCAGCCTCCCAAGTTGCTGGGATTACAGGCATGTGCCACCACCCCCGGCTACTTTTTGTACTTTTAGTAGAGACGGGATTTCACCATGTTGTCCAGGCTGGCCTTGAACTCCTCCTGATCTTGTGATCCGCCCGCCTCGGCCTCCCAAAGTGCTGGGATTACAGGCATGAGCCACCATGCCCGTCCTCAACAATATATTGTTATAAATGATTATGTTATACAATCTTATAAGTGTTTTAAAGAAGCTGAGAGAGAAAAGAAAAGCAAGTAAATATTTATAGTCTTTGTTATATTAACCCTGTTTTTTAAAATTAGTGCAGGTTCTCTTCATTTGCTCTGTGGCTTTGAGTTGCCATCTGAAGCCCTTTCCATAGTCCAGTATAGCTTTATTCCAACTCACCTCCTTTGTAATGCTATTGGCAAATATATTGCATTTTTATATGTTATAGGTCCAACAATAAAATTATATGTATTTTTGTTTTTTATCATTAATTTTTAAACCAGTTAGGAGAAGGAAGGAGAGAAATACGCATTTATGCTGTCTTTTGTAAATACATGAATACCTTTAATGATTAATTTTTAGCTCTTATTTTTTCCATGTGGATTATAATTATTATCACTTGCTTTCATATTAAATAAAGTTCTTTAGTATTTCTTATAAGGTAAGTCCGCTAGCAACAAATTCTCTTAGTGTTTGTTTGCATAGGGGTGTCTATATTTTGCCTTCATTTCTATAGAATAACTTTGCTGAATATAAGATTCTTCATTGATAGTTTTTTTCCATTTCTTCTGACCTCCTTCATTACTTTTCTTTAACTTAGTTTTTAACTGACAAGTACAAATTGTATATATTTATGGTGTACAAAATGTTGTTTTAAAGTATGTATACATTGTGGAATGGGTAAATTGAGCTAACTGACACATGCATTACCTCACTTTTTATGGTGAGAACACTTAAAATCTACTCTCTTAGCATTTTTCAAGAATAAAATACATTGTTATTAACTATAGTCATTATGTTGTGCAATAGATCTCTTGCACTGATTCATCCTAGCTAAAGTTTTGTATCCTTTAACCAACATCTCCCCAAACACACTTTCTTTTCCCAGACCCCAGTTAACCATCATTCTCCTCTGTACTTCCATGAATTCCTTTTTTAAATTCCACATATAAGTGAGATCATACGGTATTTGTCTTTCTGTGCCTGGGTTATTTTACTTAACACAGTGTTCTCCAGGTTCATCCATGTTTTTGCAAATGACAGGATTTTCTTCATTTTTAAAGGCTGAAAAGTATCCCATTCTGTATATACTGCATTTTCTTGGACTCCATAATTTCTGATACGTCAACTATAATCTTACTTGGGACACCATCTAGATAATCACTTATTTTTCTCTCACTGATTTCAAGATTTTCTCATGAGGTTATTCCACTTCCTTAGTGTATGGTTTTAATAATTTTAAAGCTTTGTTAATATTTATTTTGTTCAGTTCAGAAAACAAAATGTTATCTTATGGCTTCATTGTGCCATTATTTTATTATTTCATTCTGCCATCTTGCTTCAGAGGAGCCTCTCAAATAGAAGAAAGATGGTGGAAATTTGCAGTTTCATCAGCCTCCTTCTTGAGACCTATCTGAAAAGACTTTACATCTATCTTGAGGCAAACCAAGAATGTCCAAAAACTAAGCTTCTATATGTCTGGTGTGGTCTGGGTACAAGTGTCATAAGATACCTCTCTCCCACTTTGTAACTTAACATCAAGAAATGTGTGACCTTATGAAAACATACTGTGACCATCACCAGTGACATAATCCACCCCTCCGTGACTTACATTTTATAATTGAAATTAACAGTCCATGGATGGCATTGATGTTCAATAGCACAATTGTGCCATCTGTTTCAACACCACAGTTTGGGGGATTTCCACATAGTACATTGAAGGATTATTTTAAGAGGCGAATTTATGATGAAGTCCCCTAATAGTGCCTCTTTACTAAACCAATTTGGTATTTATAAATGCCTAGGGGGAGAAAAAGTTACTGAAATTGCATCACCACCTTCGGAAAAATTTTCAAAGGGCGTATTTAATATTAATGTAGTGTACAATTACTCTTGGGCTCCTGCCAAGAGTGCCAGCAGAACATAGGCTGTGAATGTCCCAATGTGCCTGAAAATTATTTTAATTTACAAAAACCTACTCAAGCTGCTGTTTGTAGATTTGAATTTGAGGGCAGATTCTGCAAAAAAAAAAAGTAGAACATTTGCAAAAGTATGCAAATAGACATCAGAACGAAGCCCTAGGTTTATAGCCCGTTAAAGTACCTGAGGTCACAAGACCCAAGAGGAGCTATTAAAGAATATTCAAAAGGACAAGGTGCTTCAGGAGTCTGCAGACCTTGCAGGAGAGTTCAAATGTGGTTATAAGAACAGGAGGGAGGCATGTAGCTTAGATAGCTCTCTCTTATGGGGTCTTTTTCACCTCGCCTTTTCTCTTTGTTCCGATAATTCCCAATTTCTCTCTCCTAGTCTATCATTTTATTAAGCTGCAAAAATCAGCTTTCTTTTCCTCTCCATCTCCTTCCAGATAACACCCTAAAAACCTTATTTTTCCCTGGAAAATATATTTTCATAAGCTAAGAGCCATCTATTTTAAAATGAATTATGTATCTTTTTTAGTATTTTACAAAGCATTTTCTCCCTTAGCACTATATCACATTATCATATTTTCATGTTTAATAGAATATTTTTGTATTGAAATTATGCACAATTGCAAATTATGATTAGACTGAAAGAGGACAACACAACATTTAAGCAGAGCTTGCATGAAAGACTCCGAATTGGAGCTTTTGTATCTTTGTTAATTATCTTTTGGATTATGCAGATAGTATTTTGCAATGAGACAGCAGAACCTCAGTTTTCTCTGAAGTTCGGCCATCTATTGGTTAATTCACACAATAAAAATTTATTCTAACATTAGTTAAAAACAACCACCATGGAAAGTCTATTTATGGAATAGAAAATATGTACATTCTTTGTAGAATTATGTAAAATTTTCAAAAAAATTCTCTATGATGGAGCTTTAAATATAAATTCTAGTGCCAGTACTTAAGTATAATTATTTTTATTAGACCTATTTTGTTTTTATGGCATTGTGGCCGAAGCTGAAGAAGAATGGAAAAATAACTTGATAAATATCAAAATATTATATCCAACCATCAAAAATATAATACTAAATGTGATGTGTATACTATTTCCATTTTATGGAAAAAGGAGGTAGTTTAAAGAAGTTAAGTCACATCCAAAATCATACACAGAGTAACCAACAAAGCCAGTATTTCAAGTCTGTTTGTCTAATTTTATTTTTTTCTCATTCACGAGGAAACAATGTTTGTTTAATTTTAAAGTTCATGCTAATGCCAAGTGGAAAAGCAGCTGCTCAAAGGATCTATAATCTCAGTGGTTATCAAAATAGTCACTTTAAAATATATATATATATATATATATATATATATATATATATATATATATATTTGTATAAATAAGTATGGAATGTGTCCCTAGGATGGCTGTGGCTTCTCCTTCTATGACAGGCATAGCTAATATCTTATAGTAACCAAGACACCTACTGAGCCGGCCCCATGCAGTCACCACACCCATGGTCCTGCAGTGGGCACACAAGGAGAAGGAAGTTCCCATGTCTAGAAATTAGAGTCTCAGTTATGGGGAAAAAGGAAGGAAGAATAAGCTTAGTTGTTTCAAAGACATCTCACTATTGTCATTTCACTTAATCATCATCATGAGGCAGTGAGGAATATTATTCCCATTTCTATGTGAGAAGACAAAACTTAAAGGTAAGGGATTCAGTCACAGAGCCAATGTGGTAGAATTGGACTCTGACTCAGGTCCTCAGACTCAGTATCCCATACTCTTTCTACCCACTAAATGAATGAATATTTAATAATTAACTCTGAACAAGAAGAAAGAACTGGTTGGTGAAACAAAAAGTGAGTGGACTCTTAGAAGAAAGTTGACTAGAATATATTTGTTGCTGCAAAACAAACTTAAAACTTTATATTTGTTGCTGCAAAACAAACTACTTAAAACTTTGTAGCTTAACACCACAATCATTGTAGGTTAGGCATTCAGAGAAGGCTCAGCAGGATGGTTCGTCACACGCTAAGTGATGTCTTCTGAGACTGGAAGGTACAAGATGTTCACTTCACTCATTTCTGGCTTCTCAGCTAAGTTGACTTCAGTAACTGAGGGCTGGTTGGGGCTGCTTAATGGGGACGATATACCTATGCCTAGGATTTTTGGATTTCTTTGTTGGCTGTGTTCCTTGGTTCTCACTGTTGTAGTCTCAGGAGTCTCTCTCTGTCTCTCCCCCTCTCCCCCTCCCCTGGTATCCTGTTTACATGGTGTTACTACATGGTTTCTTCAAATGATCTTTCCAGCAGCCTAGACAGACCTCTTGCTTGAAAGCTCAGGGCTCCCAAGAGTGCAAAAGTAGAAGCTTACAGAACTTCTCAAGATTAGTCAGAATGGGCACAACATCTTTCCTGACATATTTTAAAAATTAAGTCACAGGCTCAGCCTAGATTCAAGGATAGGCATGAATAATGAGAAGTATGGGTAAATGGAGGTATTAATTTAATGAATTACCATAATCCTGACCCCTAATGATTCACATTTCTACCATATACATTATATATTCACTCTCTAGAATGCCTTCCAAAGATGTCATTCTATTATGACATAGGGCTCAGGCTTGAGGTCCAGGGTCTCCTTATCTAATTTAGGTCCATGTGCAGATGATGCTCTTCAGAAGTGGGCTCTCTAATGAAATCAAAATTCAAGTTGTCTTCCATATCCCTAACACACATAGGTAAGGCTGTGCCAGGAAAACCAAAAAGAAATTCCTATTTACAAAGGGTGAAAACAGAAGGCCCACAGTAGCCACTGATTCATAGAAATTTTGAAATCCTGCAAGGCATAAATTTTTCATTCCTTGACTAGGTCCCAGTTCTGCCCTCTGGGAGTGTTTCTTCACGGCCCTTGGTTCCACCCTCAGAAGCAATTTTTTTCCTATGAGAAATGGCTTTTATTTGGAGTTGAGTGGTTTTCACAGTCTGTATGTTGGGGTTCCCAAGACCACCTCAGGCCCAATGATTTACTAGAAAGACACACTGGTCTTGGAAGCTTTATTCACACACTTATGGTTGATTACAGTGAAAAGATATAGATTAAAATCAGCAAAGGAAAGATGCAAATGGTGTGACTTCCAGGAGTAACCTGGTGCAAGCTTCCAGGTGTCCCATTCCTGTGGAAGGTACTTAATTCTCTCATCAAGGATGTATGACAACCAGAGAAGCTCCCCGAACCTTGGTGTCCAGTGCTTTTGTTGGGAAGTCACTCAGAATCCTTTTCCCCTCAGCAAAATAGGCATTCACTGTAAGTCACATTGTCAGTATAAACTAATTGTCAAACTGTTACTGCATGTCCCAAGACCTCAGGCATACCAAAACACTCATCAGGCAGCATATTCCAGGGTCATAGAGCTCATATCCCAGGAATCAGCAAAAGACTAGTCCTGAACACAGACTTTCCCTCAGAATGTGCAGGGTTTGAGTAACGTGGGTCTACTGAGTTAACCCTTTCTTGCACAATTTAAAATTCGTTTTTCATTTGAAACTCTCTCTGGTCTTTTGAGTTCAATATAGTATAATTTCTTTAGAAAGTTAATACATTTTCTATGTATCAAATTATAAATTCACTTTATTCAATAAAAGCTGTACCCATAAATATCTTCAAGACAGATCTCTTTCCACTTGGACCTCAAAATCAGAGTGATAGGGGATGAATTAAGATTCTTAAAAGCCCCACTGTCTATCTGAATTGTTCCATAATGTCTTAAGTCTTTCTGAAGTCTTAACAAAGTGTTTCACATATTTTTGTTCCTGTGATAACTCTTTTACTGAGAAGGCCCTGGATTTGATCTTTATTCTGAGGAAATTACTAATTCACTCTGAGAATCTTTTGTTATGAGAGATGGGATGAGAAACAGTTTTATGTTGGAATCCTACAGTCGTGGTTTTTCTTTATATTTACCCTAAATTCTGCTTGAAAACAAAACTTTTTTCTATCTTATTTTATTGCTCCAGGGTTTTATTATAGGCAGCTGAAAGAAGCTCCTTAGGCAGATCCATCATTTTATTAGGAGCTCTTTCTCCTGTCCATTTACGAAGGCAACAGTTCTGTGTATTCTTCTGCCCCCATTTTCTTATGGAGCTTCTGGTCTTCCCTCTTGGCGAGGCATCTTCAGGCTTGCCTCACTGCCTGGCCTCAAAGCTAATGTGGCACAGCCTGGTGGTAAAGTCTTCTACCATGATGATCGTTTTGGCAATTTCCCTTAAAATTCCATCAGGTTTTGCTATATCAACAGGAATCACAGAGCCACTTTTTAAGGTGCATACAAGTTCATAATTTCCTTATATCTATTAGCTTAATTGTTCCTTATAATTATTACCTATCATCTCATTTCATCTGTCTTAATGCTTTATCCTCAAAGTCTCTTTTGTTTGGTATTAATATCTCTGCCCTATCTTTTGTTTGCCAGTCATACCCTTTTCTAATTCTTTATTTTCAACGTTCTGAGCTTCTTTGCTTTACTTCTGTCTTACATAGGCGCCATATTGCTGGATTAAAAAAAACTCCTTCCAGTAATAATGGTTACAGATGCATTTAGACATGATTCTACCATCTTATTTTGTGTTCTGTTTGCCATTTCTGAGGCCAGGCCATTTGATCTGAGACCTTAGGGATGAAAAGCATCCAGCCTTGGGACGTGCCCTTTGGAGGCAGAGAAAAGAACAAATGCAAAGAGAGGAGGCAGAAAAGCACTTAACAGAGTCGAGGACTAGGAGGAGGCCATTGTGGCTGAGGTGTAGTGAAAGAGTCCTGCGGGGTGGAGTAGCTGCAGGGACCCCCATGGTGGAGGGGCTTGTAGCTGTGGTGAATGTTGAAGGAGTCCTATGTCCCCCTGGAGAGGGCTTTCCATTAGGAGAAGGGTCTTGGCTTCTTTCTGTCTGAGAGAAACCAGTGAGTTCACCAGATGGTGAGACATGGAGAGTGGCAGAGCAACCCTTCTGTGTTCTCCCTTTGTTGGGGATCCACCTGCCTGCAGAGGGCACGTGTCAGGTTCGTGCTCCACCATAGGATGAACTCGCCCTCTCCTGTGCTGGGACCCACAGTTGTCCAGCAATACCACTGTCTAGCCCAGGCCTCTGTGCCAGCAGCTCACAGGCCCACACTCAGAGGCTGCATTCCCCAGTGTTGTCCCAAGTAAAGGTTATGCTTCGACCTCTATATGCCTGGCTCCTGTGTCTGGTAGGATACAGAAATAGTATTTAGTCAGCCCATGGGAAAAAGAAACAAAAAAAATATCATACAACTTATGTACTTTTTTCAAACTGCAATGGGAAGATTTTGAAGGGTTTTAAGTAGTAGTTTGGGTTGAAATGATCTGATTTATGCTCTATAAAGATAATTTTTACTGCTTAGAATAGAATGGAACATAGTGGTCAAAATTAGAAGCCAAGAAGAGAAGTGAAATGAGTAATGGGGAGGAGTTTATGATATTCCTTGGACTTAGTGTTAGCAATTGAGTGGAAGGCACTGCTAGGAGTTTCAGTGGAAAGCCTGGTAGGGTATCACGTTTAGGAGTTTCTACATAAGAACTGTATTTGGGGTTTGTGCTCCTTACCTGAAAAGCACAGTGCAAAAGGATTGAGGGAAAACCTTAATATATAAGGGAACAGAAGCATATGCAAAATCTATGGATAAATATATGATTTTTCGTTATTGAAGAAAAGTTTTGATTCACTTGGAATAATGAAAAAAGGTAGGAGGAGAATGTCCCAAAGTATTTGCCTTTTTGGAATTGAAAGTTTTCAACTATAAAATTTAACAGCTTGATGACATAAAAGGATGAAACTCTTAAAACAAATAATACAAAGTGGACTAAAACCATCACAACCACTTGCAGGAAAATATCTATAAATAGATTGTCCTCCCATTATTAGATTGGTGTTAATAATTATTCAGGCGCCAAATGGTAGTTTGGAGAATTACTGAGGGAAGATTTTCAGACCAATTCTCCTATTTGAGACATTCTGAGACTCAGAAATGTGTGGAATTGAATTAAGCACTGGTAAAACAACTTGTTTTCTCTTCTCTGTTACAAATAAGCCTCTCTAGCATTCTGGTTGAACCTCATAGCCAAGGGGAGGGGAGAAAAGTACCTAACATTTATGGAGGCCAGTGGGGTGAGGTCCGCAGTTAGTCCATAAGGTTTCAAGGGGAGTTAAGACCCTGTTGCTGCCTTCAAGGTGCTCATGTGGCTACTTGATCTCACAGCAGTTCCCTGTGACAAGTAAAATTGCTCCTGTTGGATGAGGACACTGAGGCTGAGGAGGAGGGAGTGAGAGGATGAAGGGAACCTGCCCAAGGTCTCCCCTGGTGTGGCGGGCAGGGAATCTGGCCCAACTTGGCTGCAGGGAGCAGTGGAAACTGAAGGTTCAAGATATGCTTTACGGGTAGAAGAGCATCAATAACAAAGAGTTCATTATCCATTCATTAAAGACATGCAATATATTGCCAGTGTAGCCATACCAGGCATATGAAGGGAAAAGAAATTACAATCATGAGAAGAGATGTGTCCTTTCTCTTAACAGTTTACAACCTAACAGGAGGTTGATACAGTAATTATGAGAAAAATGCAATGTGGAAAATACTCTGATAAGAAATACTATGAGTGTTTACACTTCACTCCTTAACAACTTATTCTGGTAATTAGCCCCCACAGAATTCCTGGGCCCCCTCAATCTCTTTTGATCAATATGGATAGTGATTATCAAGGGCTTATAATCAAACTTGAGCAAATTAATAGCTCTATATATGCATAACTGGTTGATTATTTGCAGGTTATATATGATTCTTCCTGCTCTAGTCACTCTCCATTATCCCACAATTTTCATTATTACATATTTCCTCAAAATTTTCAGGGAACACAGGAATTGCGGAAACAAAACTCAGTAACTGTATATCTTATTTGCATATTTGGTAAAAAACAGAGGATCAAAGATAAATTTTTAAACTACCTGTGGATTTCAATTATTCATGCCTTCATTGGCTTCTCTTTTCATTTACAAAAATGTTTATCTGCCTTTCTAATAATTTGTCTCAATATTATTAAGAAGTAGGTACATTAAGTTAATATCTTAAAAAATTGAATCAACATGAAAATTTAAAAAATTAATCTTGAAAGATATAATAAGTTTATGGTGATAAAATTTAAAAGTTCACATGAAAAGGAGATTTAAAAATATTTCAACTATAATTTTATTAACCCAAGATAACCACTGATAATATTTTGTACAATTTTACATTGTTCTGGAGCTTACTTTTTTTCTTGAAAGTATGTAAGACTTTTTTCTGTATTAGTGCATATGCATTTGGCCTTCCGTATTTGTGAGTTCCACATCTGTAGATTCAACTGAGGATTGAAAATATTCAAAAAAAAATTGCGTCTGTACTGAACATGTACAAACGTTTTTCTTGTCATTATTCCCTACACATTACAGTACAAGTACTATTTAGATAACATTTATATTGTATTAGGTAATATAAATAACCTAAAGATGATTTAAAGTATACAGGAGGGCCGGGTGCAGTGGCTCATGCCTGTAATCCCAGCACTTTGGAAGGCCAAGGCAGGAAGATTGCCTGAGCTCAGGAGTCCGAGACCAGCCTGGCCAATACAGTGAAACCCCGTCTCTACTAATACTACAAAAATTAGCTGGGCATGGTGGTGCACACCTGTGGTCCCACCTACTGGGGAGGCTGAGGTGGGAGAATCGCTTGAGCCCTGGAAGTCAAGTCTGCAGTGAGCTGTGATCACGCCACTGCACTCCAGCCTGGGTGACAGAGGGAGACCCTGTCTCAAAAATAAATAAATAAATAAATAAATAAATAAATAATAACAACAGAAGTATACAGGTGGATGTGTGTAGGTTATATGCAAATACTACGCCATTATATATCAGGGACTTGAGTTTTGTTGGCTTTTGATACCCACAGTGAGAGGTGGGGAAGAAGGTGTCCTGGAACCAATCCCCAGATACTGAGGAAGACTAACTCTTCATCACCTTTCAATGGTCATATAGCATTCTACCGTAAAAATGTGCCATAAATGACTAAACTATCCACTTGCTTAACAACATATTTCTATATATTCCTTATAAACAAGGCTTCTATGAGCATCTTTGAACATATATTTGTTTTATTAGGTCTCATATTTAGAAATAAAACTGCTAGGTCAACAGTACTAACATGTTTAAGGCTTTTGATACATATTGCCAAATCTTCCTCCAGAAATGAAGCAATCAATGCTTCTGACAGCAGTCTAGTAGAAAGCTTATTTTCCAAAACCCCCATCATTGCTAATTTGATGAATAAAGATAGTTCATTTTAATTAATAATGTAAAATCTAATACATTAACATTTAAAAGTATAACCTTTTGATTTTTAAAAAGTTGTATGCAGATGAGCATAAAATAGGAAGAATTAAACACCCACTTTAAGCACTGAGCACACCAAGTTTAATGAACGACTTGAAGAAAACCTCTTTTGGATTTCACACCAGGTAGGAACTGAGAAGCGCTAAGGATTAGGCCCAGCAAGGAAGAATAAAGGCAGGAGAAGGGACCTTCAGTCATGGCTGTTATCAGCCTTGGGCCCGCTTCACGAGGAAATTTGAGACTAGCTCAAGCTTTGGTAAACCCGCGTATGAATTGTCTGGAGATGCCTGGGGAAAGAGAATGAAAGTGAGAGGATAAGTAACCCTGGGACAGGAACCCAGTTGGAAATTATTATAGGAGAGTAATTAAAATGCCATGATAACCATCTGAAGTTGAAAGAGAACAGTGCACCGGAGTCTAAGGCTTTGTCTTTTCCCAGCTGTAACCATTGCCTTCCTGTCTCCTTCATAGACCTCAGTCACGGAGATCCGTGAAGGACAGTCATCACTGATACCTTGCTATTTTTTTTTTGATTATTTAAAAATGTTATTATACAGGTGTCTTTACTTTGCATTAACACATGATGCATCTCAGGTGAACATGTTGAGATAGTCTCCAGGGAAGTTGGTAGGGAGGGATGATGGGGAAGACACACAAAGTGTCTGCCCCTTCTGAAATAGGATTGCCAAGGAGCTGGCTAATGAGGGAGGACAACAGTGTGCCTTCACCAGCACTCCCAAGGACATAAATAAAGGAGTTAAATGAGCACCTGCTACATCCATACAGGCAGTCTGGAGTGTGCAGAGGGAGCATGACAGGGTGCAGCCTCTGAAGAGTCTTATACCAGCCTCCATCCTGGACAGAAAAACCTAACTTCCTTCTGGAGACTTCCAACTGCCCATCCAACTGATAAAGCAACAGCAACAAAGAGACAATTGTGGCTGCTCACAGATTTGCAGGTGGGAAATGCAGAGAAACTCTGGTCCAGAGTAAAAATAGCTTCTCTTATGTGTCCCAATTCTTCTTCATAATCTCTACCACTGAGAACACCAGTAGTGGGCATGGCGGCTCATGCCTGCAATCCCAGTGCTTTGGGAGGCCAAGGCAGAAGGATCATGAGCCAAGGATTTTGAAACCAGCTTGGGCAATATAGTGAGACCCCATCTCTACAGAAAAAAAAGAAAAAAGGAAAAAGAGAGAGAAAGAGAAAGAATGAAGGAAGGAAGGAAGGAAAGAAGGAAAGAAGGGAGGGAGGGGAAAGAAAGAAAGAAAGAGAAAGAAAGGAGAAAAGAAAGAAAAGAAAAGATAGCCAAGTGTGTTGGCATGTGCTTGTTGTCCCAGCTACCCAGGAAGCTGAGGTGGGAAGATAGCTTGAATGGAGGAGTTTGAGGCTGCAGTGAGCTATGATTGTGAAACTGTACTCCAGCCTGGGTAACAGAGCAAGACCTTGTCTCAAACACACACACATACACGCATGCACACACACATATATATCAGTATAATGTATATGACCAAGCATTTCTAGAGACTCTTTATAGGCACGATTGCTGTCCCTTCCTCATGGAAATAGTCCTGTGAAGGCAGCAAGCTATGACTGTTTTTAATTCTTGTGGCACTTTTAACGTTCTTATTAAATGAAAAGAGGGACCAGCCTATTGAACTTTCCTCAAATACAGAATGATTCCGTGCACAATGGCTCATCAGCTCTGTTACCCCAGGAAAAGTAATATGGGGTGCTGGGGACCTTAAACTGTCCTGTGGTTACACATTAAACTCTCTATCTGCCCTTCAAAAGAAGGTAGGGGTCAGAACTGGTTTGAACCTCTGAAAAAAAAAGAAGAAATCTCCCTAGCAGATGGCTTGGATAACTCCAGTAGAAGGCTGAAGCTAATGTAAATCATATCTAAATGTTTAATACTTTTTAAAGTAGAGGATAAATGGATGATAGAAAACTTTGGCTAGCCTCAGTCTCTTATTCCTACATAATGAACACCTTGTTTGTTTTCAAAGAATCAATATTTAGTTTAGCTGAAATATTTGGGACGTCATTAATTTTGACCAAAGGTTTCCAGTTATAGCATTTATTTCAAAACCAAGCTTGTGATAGTTGAATTAAAACATAAATATTACTTTTTCTTTCCACAAATAATGTCACGAAACAAATTTTTTACTCATGGTATACATCAGAAGAAATTTACCATGTGTTAATGGTTCTCCATTCTAAAGTTAGAAAGTACCCACCTTTTAGGAATTTCAACGCATATTGTAATTTTTTTCTACTGTGAATTTGATATTCTAGTATAATCTGTCATCACTAGAATCCTTTCCCTTAGGTCCTCTTAGGGAAGTGGCTGTAAAATCTAGAAGAAAGATGTTGATTTGATCTGTTCATGCATAAATAAGCTTGCATGTGACTCAGCCCCAAACAGAAAATTATATTAATGTGGAAATATTCGATTAAATGAGATTACTCGTTCCCGAACAATTCTCTTGATGGGCATAGAATTTCTTTTGTTTGTTCCAACATGTTTTTTAAGCAAACTCTAACCTTCTTAATTTTGCTTTGATCTAACATCCACTGTAAACTGCAGCCTTGACCAGATGACTTTTGTTCTAAGAGTATTAGCTTCTATTATCAGTGCTTGTGTTAAAAAGGAGACTCAGAGGGAGATACAAGGAGCAATAGAGAGGTGACAAAATGACTGCAGGAGTTGAAATTGCTTCACTAGGAGGATTTTAATAATATGTCCTTTGAAGAAAAAATACCTAAAAGATCATCTAATCCAACTTCTTATTGTATTATTGTGGAACATTGAGCTAGAGGACATAAATGGCTCAACCAAGGTTAGAGGCAGGTAGAAAGCTAGAATATGTGTCAACTGAGTTTAATTTAATGTTCTTTCTACCTTGATGTCTCTATTCATCTGTCCATCCATCCATCCATCCACCCACCCACCCAACCATCTATTGATCTCTATGCCAGTATCTATGTAATCATGACTCTCTTTCTGTGTGTGTGTGTGTGTGTGTGTGTGTGTGTGTGTGTGTGTGTGTGTGTGTGTAGTATTTTGGGGTACAATTTTTTGAAGTATTTTGTTCTCAGAAAGTATTTAAATTTGAAAGAAAGTCTAGAACAATTTCCTCCGGACTATGTGACCTTGATTCTTGAAGGAAACTCAGAATATGAAATAATATAAACATGGCTTACTAAAGAATTTAATTGACTAATTCTGAATTGGGGATTTAAATTACATATTACTCACATTAACATATTTTTATCACCTCTATACATCATAATTAATTTATTACTAATTTAATATATTGTTGCAAAGTCACCTAACCTGCCAAAGAAATGAGGTTGTGGTAGCAAAGCTCGACGAATATACTACTTGTGGGAAAAATGCTTCAGAAGGAAGATACACAAAAATATTTGGATTACAATAAAAAAAGATAGATCAATAAATCTCTGCTTGGCCCATGTGTTTCTCCTGACCTAAGTAAAACTTCATTAATATATTTTTGCTTTAGATGTTGTAGATCAGAAATTTACTTCTCAGATTTAGTTCCTAATGACACTAATAATAATAAAATGTTAACAGCCAATGTGCCAAGCACTTTTTAATTACACAATCAATTATTTTAGAGATAAGAGAACCTACGTTACCTCTAAGATTCTGACTCAGAGCCAAGACATTAACAAAGGTGAGGAGAGACTGATGGAGGAAGTGGTTACCTGGGAGAATTCAGATCCCTAATAATGCAGAACATCTGTTTCCTCAGTGTACAAGGGCAGGAGGAACAAGAAACATGTATTAATTAAAGAAGTAGAATATGACATTTCTCCACTACTCATCTATGCATTATTTTCTTCATTTTGACAAAAACTGAGGACGAAAAATTTCTACCATTTGCCCAGAGAATGTGCTTAGCACTTTATGAAAGTTACCTCACATCAACCTTGAGAGTAAATAGAATTGTATCCTATTTTAAGAAGATGGACATCACCCAAAGTCTGTCCCTGTTAGCCAATATGTCACTCTCCTATACCCATCTGCAAACCCGCCCAGCTTGTTCTGTCTGCACCTCCCTCTTTCAGTCTCATACCCTCCTGGTTCTTATCTCTGTTTCCTTTTTATAACCCCACTCTTATTCCTTTGTACTTAGCATTTGGTCTTCCTAGCTGTCCTTGAAGCTCCTTAAGGCTTTTGCTTTATTTTTTTCTGTGGGAAACTGGGCATGTCAGTTCTGTGTGATTCCTCTGACCAGGATGTTAATTCCAGCAAAGGCCTCCAAGCCTTGGGAAGGCCCACCTAGTGGGTGGTTGACAAGACAGGATTCTTTTGGTTGAAGTGAGAGAATCCCAAATCAAATGAGCTCCCATAAGAATGGCAATTAATTGTTGAGAAGAAGGTTCTGGAAACACTGTGCCCTGACATTTCCTTTCCTCTCCATTTATCACTGAATCATGCATCTCCTTAGATCTGTGGCCACTATCACCTGCAAAGCTCTGGGTTTGGGAGAGATCTCAGGTTCTGCTGAATGTCCCTGGGCACTTTGTTCTATGGTGATAGGCCAGGCAATTAGCTCACAGGCAGCTTAGTGATAGCGACTGAAGGGCTGAAGACGCTAGGGCAATCTTGAAGGTAAGGGATCTGTGGAACCCAGGGGGAGAACATCAGTCCTGTGTGATGGGTCATGACTGGCTGGATCTTTGAGGCTAGGCAAATACAGGGACGCTGGAAAGCAAGAAGCTTGGGCATGGCGAGGACCAGGAGGATAGTGTCAGTCTACTTTGCACTGAAAGTCCATAGCAAGAGTGGAGGGGAAAGAGACAGCAGGAGTCCAATTTGTCTCCCATTCCCTAATGAGCAATTGGTTCAAGGAAAGGCTGAAGAGGGGTGAGATGTCTGTATCAGATATTCCAGGAAATGAATCCTTGTTCCTAAGGGAGTGCCATAGGAAGAAGGGGACCATCTTCATCCTCTGTCTACATCAGCCTGAGCTGTGGGGAGTACAGGTACTGCTCAAGAGAGTAGAGCACAGAAATGGGAAGACCCTGGAGTCTGGCTGAACTCACTGAGCCAATGAGCCAACCAGCCCCAAAGCTCCTAACACTAGACTCCAAAGTTGCAGGAATCTGACAATTCACCAAAGACAAGGAGTTAAATTACTCCTTGAATTACCAGGGATGTTCTAATCTTTTTTTTTTTTTTTTTTTTTTTTTTGAGATAGAGTCTCACCTGTTGCCCAGGTGGGAGTGCAGTGGTGTGATCTCGGCTCACTGCAACCTCCACCTTCCAGGTTCAAGTGATTCTCCTGCCTCGACCTCCCGAGTAGCTGGGACCACAGGCACTTGCGACCACACCCGTCTAATTTTTGTATTTTAGTAGAGACGGGGTTTCACCACGTTGGCCAGGCTGGTCGCGAACTCCTGACCTCAAGTGATCTGCCCACCTTGGCCTCCCAAAGTGCTGGGATTACAGGCGTCAGTCAGTGCGCCTGGCCTCTAATCTCAAAAAAACTCTTACATATGGCATCAATTAGTAATTTACTTAATTAAAAAATCCATTCAACATGAAGAATCGTATACTTTTAATAGTAAGGAAATGTGATCACCCACATTTAGTATTATTATTTTAATCATTTGAAAATGTACTTCCACATTCTCACAGCAGTATTGCCAATTTATCCACCTACAGCACGAATCCCTCTCCCACCAGCAACCAGCCTTCATAAAAATGGAATTTGGAAAATCACAAAACTCCAGCTCCGTAATGTGTTTGAGTATTTACTGAAATTTATCATATGGAGCACGTGAGAGAGAATACCATGAGTTGTAAAATGACAGAACTGTTATTTCACATTTTTAGCTAACAACAATTTTTAATGCTAGGATGGACTTTTGAAAGCTGAGACTTATGTTTCCCACTAATTTTTAACAAGTTTATCAACTACATATTTTTTTTTCTACCAAAAACTGTGTTTTTTTATCAGGCAAGTTTCCCGGATTTACTCAGAGCAGGTCAAATGCTCCTTTACCTTGGATAAGAAACACTTCGTTTTTGTCTCTGAGTTTCAGACCTGCACACCAGCGCTGGTGCAGGGAAGGTAAACAGCACACGCTGACTGACTGCTTTTGTGGCTGAAACAACCTACGCAGGGGCCCCAGTGGGGACGTTTGTTTGAGCGCCCCTCAGCTGCCCAGGGAGAAACTGCAGCTACCTAGTGTGAGCAGTTCCTCTCTTCCACACTTATATTTTCTTTGTTTGTTTTAAACAAGATAGAAGAAGTAACAAGATAATTAGTTTGTCAGCCTGCTGCTTATATCTCAGTCAGGGCGGACTTCACATGACAGTCTTTAAGACTGGCTGAAAGTTTAAAATTTTTAAAAATCTAATATGGTATAAACAGAGTAAGTGATACATTTTAAAAGCATATGAGAGGCTGGGCACGGTGGCTCATGCCTGTAATCCCAGCACTTTGGGAGGCCGAGGCAGGCGGATCACGAAGTCGGGAGTTCAAGACCAGCCTGGCCAATATGGTGAAACCCCGTCTCTACTAAAAATACAAAAATTAGCCGGTCATGGTGGCAGGCGCCTGTAGTCCCAGCTACTCGGGAGGCTGAGGCAGAATTGCTTGAACCCAAGAGGCGGAGGTTTCGGTGCCACTGCATTCCAGCCTGGGCTACAGAGCAAGACTTCGTCTCAAAAACAGACAAACAAACAAAAGTATATGAGAAAAAAAGAAAAATAAATAAAAGTTCGTTGGGGATTGTTGTAGTTTGCTAGAGCTGCCATGTTAAAGTACCAAAAACTGCATAGCTTAAACAGGAAATATTTATCGTCTCACAGTTTTGTGGGCAAGAAGTTTGAGATCAAGGCATGGGCAGGTTTGGTTCCTTCTGCGGGTCCTGAGGGAAGGATTTCCTTGGCTTGTAGGTGGCTGTCTTCATGTTTATAGGGCATTCTTCCTGTATAGTCAGTGGCCTTATCTCATTTTCTTTTTTTCCTTTTTTTTTTTTTTTTTTTTTTGAGACGGAGTCTCACTCTGTAGCCCAAGCTGGAGTAAAGTGGTGTGATCTCTGCTCACTGCAACCTCCGCGTCTGGGGCTTAAGCGATTCTTCTGCCTCAGCCTCCCGAATAGCTGGGACTACAGGCATGCGCCACCAAGCCCAGGTATATATATATATATTTTTGTATTTTAGTAGAGACGGGGTTTCACCGTGTTGCCCAGGGCGGTCTCGAACTCCTGAACTCAGGCTATCTGTCCACCTTGGCCTTCCAAAGTACTGAGATTACAGGTGTGAGCCACTGTGCAGGCCTCATTTTCTTATAAGGACACCAGTCATACTGGATTAGGACCCACCCTAATGACCGCATTTTAATTTAATTACTGCTTTAAAGATCCTATCTCCAAATGCTGTAGTCACATTCTGAGGTGCTAGGGGTTAGGACTTCAACATATGAATTTTGGGGCACACAATTCAACCCATAACAGGAATAAAGTATTTTTGTTATAAGTAATTTGTATACAGAAGAGCAAAAACAATGTGAACAGAATCACAATATGTGGGCAATACCTAGGCCCAATTTTGTAGATATAAATGAACTTAGATTTCATTTAAAAAATACTGCTGAAATAATCTGGATATATTTCAGACAAGATCAGGCACATTCAGAGTGGTATGGCCATATACGATCAGGATATATTTCAATGATTAAGAACTTAATGCTAAGTAACTGATGACTGTAGCAGTTTCTTACATAATTCAATACAGCAAAATTAAATGCCACAATATGTTTCCACTTGAGGTGTGTAAAGGTAGTTTTCTTTCTTTCTCTTTTTTTCTTTGAGATGGAGTTTCGCTCTTGTTGCCCAGGCTGCAGTGGCACAGAGGCTCACTGCAACCTCTGCCTCCCGGGTTCAAGTGATTCTCTCACCTCAGCCTCCCGAGTAATGGGGATTACAGGTGTGTGCCACCACACCCAGCTAATTTTTGTATTTTTAGTAGAGATGGGGTTTCACCATATTGGCCAGGCTGGTCTCGAACTGCTGGTCTCAGGTGATCCACCCGACTCGGCCTCCGAAAGTGTTGGGATTACAAGCATGAGCCACTGCGCCCAGCTGCAAGGGTGGTTTTCTAATATATTAAAGCAGAGTAGAATTGAACAAGACAGAAAAGTTGTTCTTTTATAATGATAATTGCTGACTTGAGGAAATAAACCTAAGTCAAATAATTGAATTTTAAGTGTTTCTAACAATGGTAGCAATTTATGACATCTAAGATAATTATATCTCTCAAATGATTATTAGTTTTGAAATAGGGATACAGTTTGGTACAAAGGCTCATTTTTTTTTTGAACACATGAAATGTCTCTTGAATAGTAGTCAGACTTCCAAAATTTTGAACGTTATATAGTAATTTACAAAATTAGCATATTTCCTCAGAAGAAATATTATGCCAGTGAGGCAAATCTATCAAGCAGGTTTTTTAACATCTTTCTTGAGGCTTCACTGATGTACAATAAACTGTACATATTTAAAATGTGCATTCTTTCACATTTCTATAATGGGTGAAACCATCATCTCTATCAAGATAAGAGGGTGAACATTGCACCCTAAATTTCCTGGTCCTCCTTGGTAATCCTTCCTCTTGCCTCTCCTCGACCCTATACTCCAAACCCAGCCAAACGCTTGACAACATTGAACTTGACCTGAGCCCTGTGCTCCTGAAAAACAGTAATGGTGAAGAAGCCCCCCTACAACCTTTTGTTTTCAAAAATCTTCTCATCATTTCCCAAAGAAAGAGCTAACCATAAACCCAAATATTCTGAGATAAGATCCTTCTCCATCTTTCCTCATGACTCCCATTTGAAGACTCAATGAATCTCTTGTTTAGCTGCTTCCTTTTCTCGGAGATGTTCCTTATAAATGAACACTCTCCCTATCTCAATAACCTGAATAAAATCATCTCTGGAATTGTCCTGTGCTTTTGGTTTGTCACTGTGACTCCTTTGGTTTGTCACTGTGACTTGGTTTGTGCTGTGACTCCACAGGATTGGACCTCATCTGTGAAGCCCTGTTCACTCTGCCCAGTAAGGAGGCCTTCTTCACAGGGCTCTTTCCTGACCCACCATCTGTGGACCAAGGGTATGTCCAACATTTGGTCCTGTGCTCTGCCTCTTGTCCAAATCCTCCCCTTGTAATATTTTGATTATGCTTCTTTTTGAGTATTCACTTGATATCTGGTGCCAGCTTCTTTTGACTTTATTGTCTAACCATTTGGGTTTCTCTGTAAATGAAATGATGATTTATAGAAATCTTATGTCTGCTACGTGAAAAATGACAGAGAACCTGCTTTGTTTTTCTTTTTTTAAAATTTGAGACAGGGTCTTGCTGTGTCACCTAGGTTGGAGTGCAGTTGCACCATCATAGCTCACAGCAACCTCCCAAACTCAAACACACCTCCTGCCTCAGCCTCCTGAGTAGCTAGGACTACAGGTGGGCACCACCACACTCGGCTAATTTTTGTATTTTTTGTAGAGACAGGATTTTTCTTTTTTCGTTTTTTTTTTTTTTTTGAGATGAAGTCTTGCTCTTGTCCTCCAGGCTGGAGTGCAATGGCACGATCTCGGCTCACTGCAACCTCCACCTCCTGGGTTCAAGCGATTCTCCTGCCTCAGCCTCCCAAGTAGCTGGGATTACAGGTGCTTGCCACCACACTCAACTAATTTTTGTATTTTTAGTAGAGACAGGGTTTCGCCATGTTGGCCAGGCTGGCCTCAAACTCCTGACCTCAGGTGATCCACCTGTCTCGGCCTCCCAAAGTGCTGGGATTACAGGTGTAAGCCACCATGCCTGGCCGAGATAGGATTTTTCTATATTGACCAGGCTGGTCTTGAACTCCCAGGCTCAAGTAATCTGAATGCCACAACCTCCCAAAATGCTGGGATTACAGATGTGAGCCACTTCACCTAGCCTGTTCATCTTTTCTAATTGTCTATTTTGAGCTCAAATCAATTAAGGATTCATACTCTCTGGGAAGAGAACAGCTTGTCGATATGGCCTGGTGAGTTTTGTAATTCTGTGTTACTTTGACCCATGGCTGAAATTCTGAACTGAAGCTATAAGCTTTCTCTCTATGTCATATTGTTTATGTTTCTATGTCTGTAATTTAGAAAGACATTTATCTCTCATTGCGTGAGTGTGTAATATTTTCCTTCCTCCAGATGGTATTAGTAACTTAAATTATAAAAATATCTTAAAGGGACACTACTCTGATTGGCTTGCAGATAAATAAGCATTTATATCATTGGATATTCCTAAAATTCCCAGAAATTAAGGAAATTTAACTTCCACTATTTACAGTGTTCTAAAAAATTTTATTCTTACCGAAACCAACTCAAACACACATTTTCTCTACTGCAATCAGCTGAAGACAATCACAAATTCAACTGCCTGGCCCCACCAGCCTTTGTCTCTTTTCCTTCTTCGTCTTCTGCCACAGCCCCTGCTGCCTCCACTGCCAATGTTAATGCTCGAGGAAGGTCCTAATGATCTTCAGAGGCTTTATCCAAAAACACATTTCCGTTATTATCTTATTGGACCTCTTTGCTACATTTGATCATTTGATATTAACTTTCTTCCTACTTCAGAGCTTCTGCTTCTCTGAATTCCATGATACTGTCTTTTTCCCAGGGCTTCTCCATTTCTTTTTTCTTTTCTTTTCTTTTTTCTTTTTATTCTTTTTTTGACAGAGTCTCACTCTGTTGCTAGGGCTGGAGTGCAGTGGTGTGATCTCGGCTCACTGCAACCTCTACCTCCCAGGTTCAAGCGATTCTTTTGCCTCAGCCTCCCAAGTAGCTGGGATTACAGGAACGTGCCACCATGCCTGGCTAATTTTTGTATTTTTAGTAGAGATGGCATTTCACTATGTTGGCCAAGCTGGTCTTGAACTCCTGACATTGTGATATGCCCACCTCAGCCTCCCAAAGTGCTGGGATTACAGGCATGAGCCACCGCACCTGGCCTAGGCCTTCTACATTTCTGACTGGTACTTCTTGGTCTTTTTTTTTGGCAGGTCTCTCTCACCCACTGTAAACATCACACTCCTCACCGCTCTTCTCTTTTGTTTACTCTTGTTTTAAGGCCACTGAGAGGACAAAGACTTCCTTTGAGTGAATTACACACAGTGGTCCCCCTTGCTTTTGTAGAGATGGGTCTTTCTCTCTTGCCCAGGTTGGACTCCAACTCCTGAGCTCCAGGGTTACTCCTGCCTCAGCCTCCCAAGTAGGGAGCCCCTTTTAAGTAGATGAATTAGAAGAAGGCAGAGCCATTTCCTCTTGTGCCACAGCCTAGACCAGGACGTAAGTTTGGTTAGGACTAGATTTTACCCTCATTCATGTCTTGCAGGTACCATTGAGCCAGAGCAAAACCTATGCAGTTGTACAGAGATCTCTCTCACTGGGTAGTATTCTTCATGCTCGTGGTTTTTTGTTTGTTGTTTGTTTTTTGTTTTTTTGGGTTCTTTTAATCCTTGCTGTTTTTGTTGTTTTGGGAAATGCAATTTTAAAAATGGGGGGCGGGGGGAGGGTAGGTGTAAAAATGTCTAGCTGCACCAGAGCTGTCCTACTTTAACACACCACCTCGTCATTGCACTCTGATAAATCAGATTGGCATGTATAATCAAAACAAGATTCACATCCAACTTTCATGTTTTCTGAGAACAGTAGGACACACAAAAGCACCTGGTAATATGTTTTTTCTGGATAAAATTACAGATTTTTTTTCTTCAGACTAGTTTTTCAAGAAGGTTTTTACTGATCAGGTTTTTCAACTCCTCTGTTTAATGATAAAAATTTTATAAAAATATATAGGTGTTAGGAAAATTCTTCGGGAACTATTGGAGGAAGGCAGGATAAACAATTTGCTATGTAAAGAAATGGCTGCTGATAAAGAATGTGTATATTTAATGATTAACATTTTTAAAAACCTGTTTGTAGTGTTTCTTTGTGTAATTTCTTTTCTATATTTACTTGCTAACGCACTTGCATGTCAAAGAAGAATTTGCAAGAAAAAAATGCAAACAGATATTAAATAACAATGAAAAAGATTATTGTTATTTCCACTAGAAGTCAGACAAGAGAAACATATGGAGACTTTTTTTTTCCTGAATCCTTCCTGAAATACAGTAAAGAAGAGCTGCTTGCAATATATATTAAACACAGTCACAGACTTTGCACTTCTTTCAGCTTTTCTATTGAGGGAAAAGAGAATGAGTCTATTACTGTAAATTATATTGTTGAAATTGTAGCCATTTATTACTCTGATTTTTTAAACAAAATGAATAGTTTATGAACTAGTAACAAAATTGTAGGCTTTTATAATGTTATATTATTTATCCAACTGTTGCTAAAGTGACTCTCCTAAGGATATATGAAATTCCTTATCTTTTATTAAAGGCAAACAATGTGAATCAGAGAAAAGAATTCATAATTCTATTATAATAAGTAGATGGCCACACACATCTTTGTAGTGAATATATATTAGACATTATAATATGTCTTCTTTAAAAGTTACATTAAACATTAAAACAGTAAAATCTGTACATGGTACTGGGAGTTTTATTTTTCCCCCTTTGCAACCACTAATGTTGAAAGATTGAAAAGCTGGGCTTGGGGTCAGGGAAACCTGGTCTTAATTCTGGGCCAGCATCTTGGTGGCCCTGTGATCTTAGGCTAGTCATCAACCTCCCTGGAGGGCACTGCTTGGGTTCATGATGGAAGAGGTCTTGTGGAACAAGGCCAGCAGCTGTGACTGCTTTGAGCAGTGACCAGAAATTTTGTGGGGCAGGAATTTAGAGTGAGTGGCGACCAGAAGAACGTACTCTTTCTGAGAACCCTAATATGTATTGGAGAAGGTGCTGGAATGCCCATAGGATATGTGGTAGAGACTTGAGTTAAATCACAGTTTCCTTCAATAGCCAAATGATTCAGAAGCTAGAACTTGAGGATGTTCCTAATACTTATAAATAATGCTGCCCAGAGCTATTGTTTTATCTTGTGACAGACTGTGCACTAAAACAGACTTTACAGGTTAAATGTCCATCTTATTAGCTCACTGTACCTCATTGCTGAGTGTCACTGATATGTCACAATTCCTTATTGTAGGCCCCAGGCTTCCTCCTGTCTTCTCTCACCATTCTTTTGTGACACCTGGTTTCTTTTCCTTTATTGCCTTTACTCTAGTCAGTTTGTACCACTCAATATTTACCTAAAAACTCCATCCTGCATGTTACATCTTTCCTCTTTTCATGCTGTTTCCTTCACTTAGAATGCCCATCTTTTATCCTGTTTTCCAAAATTCCATTTATTCTTCAAATTCCAGCTCAAATGCTATTGCTTCCACTGGGCTTTCTTTGATCTCATCAGAGTTATTCTTGTGTGCTCTCAGAGCATTATTTTGAGGATATTTTTTCCCTCTATCACACTGCTTGCTACATTCTGCTTTGCGATGTAGTGATGAGAAAGAAGGCTTCTTGGTGAATGGAATGCAGTTGAGGTGCATGCTGTGTGCACCACCCAGGTCTCTAACGGCCAGGGCGAAGCACTGAGCTCCCAGCTGCTGGGAGTATGGGTGACTGGCCCCTGGCAGCTGAGTCCCTTTCTAGAACCGAGCTGACTTGACCAGGTAGTATAACCTTTCCTGGGCTGCTAGTCTAAGGACTCATCTATCTGGGATGGCTGGGTTTACAAAGGGCAAGTCCCCTTGCCTCAAAGTGAAAGAGCTCTACAAGGCTGTCTCAGTTCCAG
The DNA here is from genome assembly GCF_000001405.40 of Homo sapiens. Lineage (NCBI taxonomy): Eukaryota > Metazoa > Chordata > Mammalia > Primates > Hominidae > Homo > Homo sapiens. The sequence continues at coordinate 52,096,813 of NC_000008.11, forward strand.
AGCTTCCCTTGACTCAGCCAAGATCTTGGTGGTGACTACATCACGGTTCAACTCTTCCTTCTGTCCTATCCTGCTTTCTTCTCACTCCTTAGGACTTGATCCCAAGGGCATTCCCCATTAAGTTTTCTCCATGCAAATTTCACCTCAGCATCTCTTTCCTGGGATCCCACCTTTTCCTCATTGGCAGCACTTGGCCCGTGTCTACGGAGGTAATGACACTGTGTTGATTCAGCAGAAGAGAGGTTCCTGGTCCTACCTTTTAAGCAAAGCCCAATATCAAAAATGTATCCAGTCTAGCTCTTGCTCTCATGACGTCTTTGAGTTGTTTAAAGGACTTACCTAGGAGACTGGGTCTTTTATTCTTAGATGAAAGTGCAACAAATATTGAATTAAGTTAAATCTGTTTCCTACAGTGGGAGAAACAGTTAAAGAAAGGTAAGAAACTCATCCGAGATCACACATAAAAGAACTAGATCTGCAACTTGGTCCTTTCCACAGTAAGGACATCTTCCCATCCATATAGAGTCTATGACTTACAGTCTGTGATAGTCTTTGTTTCAACTGAATCGTTATAGAAATTAAAAAAAGAAAAGAATAAAAAGGAGTTTAGCTCTACATTGGTCTTCATGTTTCAGGCCCAACTTTGTTGCTGAACTAAAACCCAGGCATTCCTTGTCTCTCCGAAGCCTGGGCTCTTTTCTGGGTGTTCTCTAGCAATAGTTGGGAGAGTCAACTTGGACACAGAGTCATGAGTAATTCTGTATGTGCGTCCACAGTAGCTTTGGATTAAGAGCCCCCAGGTCTCCAGCAGGAATGTGCACCCTCTGCCCTGCTAGGCATCAACTGTCTTGGGCACCCCTTGGGGTTTCCGTGTCCAGCAGTGCAGTGCTGTGGTAAGGAGCTATGAGATGTTGGCAAAACTGGAGAGTGAACTGAATAGGGCTCAGGCTTCTGTCTCCAGCATTGTATCCTGTCTTAGTTCATTTGTGTTGCTATAACAGAATACCTGAGATGGGGATATTTAAAAAGAACAGAAACATATTTTCTCACAGTTCCAGAGGCTGGAAAGTCCAAGGTAAGGTGCTGACAGATTCAGTTGTCAGTGACAGCTGCTAAAGTCCTCACACAGCAGAAAAACAGAAAACAAAGCTAGCCAGCTAGTTAAATGCTATGTGAAGCTTTTTTTAAAAGGACCTTACTCCCATTAACTTGGTAGGAGTCCTCACCGTCTAATCACCCCTTAAAGGCCTCACCTCTTAATACTATCATATTGGCAACACCTGAATTTTGGAAGGGACACATTCAAACCGTAGCCTACCACAAATCTATGGTTTGAATTCCTGATGGACCTGCCAAAGCCAGTAGAGTAAATGGCTGCAACACACCCAAAGTGGGGGTTATGGGCTAAATTGTGTCCCTCCCCATTCATATGTTGGAGCCCTAACCCACAGTATCTCAGAATGTGACTGTGTTTAGAGATAGGGTCTTTAAAGAGGTAATTAAGGTAAATTGAGGTAATGAGGGTGGGCCCTAATCCCATAGGACTGGTGTCCTTATAAGAAGAAAAGATTAGGATGTAGACACACAAGAAGGAAGACCATGTGAAGACATGGGGAAAAGACAACCGTCCACAAATCTACAAGCCACGGAGAGAGACCTCAGAGTAAACCCAACCTGTTGACATCTTGATCTTGCACTTCCAGCCTCCAGACTGTGAAAAAAAATAAATAAATTTTTGTTATTTAAGTCACCCAGCATGTGGTATTTGTTATGACAGCCCCAGCTGTCATACAGTGGGTTAGCGTTAGGTGTATGCCAAGGAAGTAGCTTCCTGGAACTCATCATTTCCATTTTCTTCTCTGATAAGGCAGGACCACGTGTCCTGAAGGGAGGAGGTTACATCCACTTGACAGCTTCATGGCCCAGCTGTATGAGATGAATTCTCTCTGTGGTTCTAGGTGGGAAATTACTGAGGGAAGATAATCTTTCCTTCTTGCTTGGGGGGCTGCTCTGCAGATGACCCCTGAAGAAATTGCACACAGTGCAGTGATGTCTGCTTGGTAATCCTTGGGAGAAACAGGACATGCCACACTATAGCTATACGTTATGCTTTTGCCTTATCACATCTTTGCATTCCATAAAGGTAATAAAAGTAAACTTAGTATGGGAATTTTTAGAAGAAGCCCAAACATTCTAGAGACAATTAAAGGACATTATAAAGAGAAATTTGTATTAAGATCTACAAAATGAAAGAGTGGAAATCAATAGACTATATATCTATTAACCAGGGCTTTTGACAAATTAAATCAGAGAATATGTCAGACTAATTTTCAAACAGAAAACTGCATAGGGTTGACTGAAAGAGAATTGTTAGAGCAAAAGAGATGGAAGAAGAATTACAATGAGGTGCTAAAAGCTGATGAAACAAGGTCGTTGTTGTTACTGTCTATGCAATGCATGTAAATCCCCCCTTCCCATTTTAATGAATTACAATCCACACATCATGTAAACCAATCCTTTCACTAAAGAGTGAAAAGTTTATTTATATGTGACATAAGCTTTCCTCGCACTCTGTGTCCTAACCAAATCAGGTGTTTGAGGAATTAGTTACAGAAACAGCCTCAAAATCATGGAAGGACATTCAGAAAAATGTTATCCAATCTGGTAGGAAATGAGTTTTGAAATTAAGAGCATCGTGGGAAATGTGTAATTCAGTCATAGGAACAGGCTAAAAAAGGCTATTGAACAGTTGATTTACTCATTGTTTGGTGCCAGATCCAAATGTAATTGCAGTGGAAAAATTAGCGCTAGATTATTGCATAGCAGTTTTGAAAAACTGCGTCTTGGCCAATTTGTTTTTCTAAATCAATATAACATTAGCTAACGTGAGTCAGGCTGTAATATTTTTCAGGCTCTGCCTACTTAGTGCCAAAAACCTTTAGATGAGAAGTGAAAACTGTATTCATATAGATGCAGATGCTTTTGGCTCTAAGACACATATTTCGCCGAAGCACCGTACAGTTTTTGCTAATATGAATTGTAGTTTTTCAGAAGTTTCGGGTGGGAACAACAACAACAACGATTAGCTTGCTCAGTAGGATTTTGTGAGGCTGCCTGTCCGCGCCTGGCCCTTCTGAAATCGTCCAGGCGCGGACAGGCAGCCTCAATCAAGACAACGGACTCAAGGGGTTACCGGGAGGCGGATCCGCCAAGTGTTTGGCCACGCCCGGATCCACCAGAAGTTTCTGAGACCAAGATTCTTGCGAATGTGAGAGTAGGAGGTGTTCTTAAGGAAAACTGGTCTGGGAAGAATGGTGAGGGAATGGGAATATGGAAGGGCAGAGGGCCAGGCTAGGGGCTCACCCGACAGGGGAGCTCTGGGGGCCTTGTAGCTCCCGCTTCCAAGCCTTGTAGGTCAGGGAGAGGGAGCTTGGGTAGAGAAGGGCATTGTTCGGGGAGCGGGTGCAAACCCCCGGGCCCTGCTACCCTGGCGACACCACGGCAGCCTGACGGGTGCGTGCATCAGTGGGTGCATCAGTGGTGTGCACCCCAGGCAGGGGGCACACCACTGTTAAAGGAATCCAGGGCGCTGAGACCTCAAACCCCCAGGCAGGGCTGTGAGGACCCTCCCGTCCCCTTCCCGGAGCCGCCTCTGCTGGGACTGCAGCTTCTTGCTCAGACTTCAGGACCGGCCCAGACCTCAGGACCTCCTCTCCACTTCGCTCTTCTTATCCCTGATGATACACTTGAGCTCCCAAGTCTCCATCCTCTCTAGCTTCCTTTCCTGTCCACACATGTAGACTTTCACACGATCGGGGGGGTGGGGGGGAGTTTAGCCGTGGTTACTGCAAATAGGTGGGAGGGCGGGGTGGGGGGGGGGAGACTCCGACGTGCCCCTCAGTGTGCCAGGCGAAGCATGTGTCACATTTCAAGCCTGAACTTATGTTGGAAACTATCCTGGATTATCTCCACTTTATGGTAGAAGCTGAGGCTACTTCTTTTTTTTTTTTTTTTTTTTTTTTTTTTTTTTTTTTGAGACGGAGTCTCGCTCTGTCGCCCAGGCCGGACTGCGGACTGCAGTGGCGCAATCTCGGCTCACTGCAAGCTCCGCTGAGGCTACTTCTTAGCTCAGGGCTGCTGGGAAGTATCCGCCCAGACCGGACCGGACGGGGTGGGGGGAGTGCCTGCCAGGGCGCAGAGGGGAAGAGAGGTGGGCCCAGACTTCAACCTGGGGCGAGTCTAACAGAGATAAAGGGGCAGGTGGAAGAGGCTGGGGCTGAGTGCGGTTCCGGGAGGTTCCCGGGCCGTGGGGAGGCTGCAGCCGGCTTCCGGGGAGCGCTGCAGGCCGGGTGACGGCGGCGGGGCTGCTCTGGCGTGCCACCTGTGCGCTGTGTGCTCCAGGCAGAGATGGGGCTGGGAACGCTGCGAGGCCTCTCCCGGCCCCACCCTGCGAGAGGTTAAATACCTTTCTGCAGGCACCGTTGGCCAGCGGAGGGCTGGGGCTCAAACCCTATCCTTTTCAGCATACCCTGCCTAATAACTGAGTTCTCCACATTTTCTAGAACTTTATATATTTCTGCATTTCATAGGAGAAGGAATTGGGGTCTAGACAAGTTCAGTGCTTTTTTTTTTTTTTTTTCCTGAAAGGTCATACGGTATTAAGAATGGTGGAAATGGAAAGAAACTCCAGAACTAGGGATTATGTCACATGAGTTATTGGGTAATTTTTCAGGGCACCTCAAGTATTTCTAAAACTGAAAAGCAGTACCGCACTGAAGATTAATAGTGATCGCAGTTGATATAGAGTATATAAATGAGATAAATACGACACAACTCTACTCTTTAAAAGTTAACCCTGTGTTCTCACACCTGTTATTATTCAAGAACCTTGAGCAGAACTAGGTCATATATTATTTTACATTTGGGAAAACAGGAATAGGGAGTATCTGGTGGCCTTTTCAATGTCACTCGCTAAGTCCTTTCTTCACTGACTCATTCACTCAGTTGTTCCAACTCTGTGCCGGGGCCTCTCCCCATTCCTGAGAACAGTGAGGACCAGGGTAGAGATCTGGTCCTCCTGTAGCTCGTGTTTCAGCTCCACAGTCATATGCAAATTGTGAAGTGTTTGGTGTATCTGAAATCCCAAATACATGCCCATCCTGTCGGTGGGGATGTTAGGCTCAGTGGCAGTGGAACCCACTGGGATGGGTGTCCAGGAAAACTGGGCCTTTTAGCCCCTTCTAGTTGAAACATATGGGTAAGTGCATATCAAACTTTGGGCATATTTAATCCGTTAATGAGTGTCCAACAATTTCAAGTGTCCATTTTTAGGAAGAAAAAAGACTGTTCACAATTTTAAAAATAATAAAACAAAAATAATACTTATAAAAATAATGAATTTTAAAATTGCAGTAAAAGTGATACCATGATTTGAAAAACTTTCATCCAATTCTACCCAGGATAAGTAAGCCACAGGTTCAAGCTCCACATGCACTTGGCTCACATCTCCTGGTGGAGAAAGTGAGATGTCCGCCCCCACATCCATTCTCTCTTCCTAACGGAACTCCCAACACCAGTTCTTAGCTATGCACATTATTTACCCAGAAGACAAGACTTCCCTCGAGTTAGGTAAGGCCATGTGACTAGTTCCAGCCACTGAAATGTAAGTACAAGTGGAATAGGTGATGTCTAGGGTGGCTGATTAAAGGGATCTGGCTGACCTCTGGGGGTTCCATTTTCTCTTTGGTCTTTCCTCCTTCCATAGTGTAGGACACAGGAGAAGTGGCTGGAGTTCCAGCAGCCATCTTAGATGATGTGATAACTTTGAGGATGACAGGTTGATTGATTAGAAAGGTAGATGAAACTAAAGCTTCATTGTATTGCTTACCAGCTGACTTCTTGTCAGAGAGAGAGAGAGAGAGAGAGAGAGAATTTCCTATTTTTTTAAAATTACTCTTTCTGGGGCTTCAATGTTGTCCAGATAAACCAAATCTAATACAATTAAGTGTATTACTCTTTATTTCTATTAAATTGGGAAACCCTAACATAATTATAAGTCATTAAGATGATAGCAATTGTTTAGTGGTTCTGACAGGAAGTTCTGGATATTTGAATTGAAACTGGACCCAGAAATAATGCTGCGATTTCTCTCTCCTTACTAATTTCAATTCTTCAAAGGTATTAAGGTGACAAACACCTCACATTCAAACACTGGGAGATTAAGTGTGAACTTGAACAATAGCTCTAAGTGGAGTCCTAATTCATTCCTTGGTTGTACCTGTAGGGCTGGAAGCATTTTGGAAACTATTTGGTCTTAGTGTCATTTATAAATAAATAATCTAATAATGAGCCATTGATTTCTTTCTTCAGTGAGTAAAGAAATAATTGAGTAACCAAGTACTGTGAAACATTGAACTTCAGGTGATTGGACTGTTTGATTCATAGTTTGCTTTATTCAGGACACCCTACCATCTTGTTTCTCAACATTAAAAATTGTAACATTTTGGCTTTAAAGTTCAGGTTCAGTGTAGGTAAGACGCTGAATGTGTTTGAGATCCCAAACTGACAAAGCTCAATGAAATCTTAGAGATGGCTTTAAGTAGCATTATCAGGGTAATGAGAAAATATTTTTATCTCATTCTTTATTCAAAAAAATGTTGGGGCCAGGCACGGTGCCTCACATCTGTTATTCCAGCACTTTGGGAGGCCAAGGAGGGAAGATCTCTTGAGATCAGGAATTCAAGACCAACCTGGTCAACAGAGTGAGACCCTGTCTCTACAAGTAAATAAATAACAAAAAATCTTGAATTTCACCTACACCTTCTCCTTTATTAGAGAGCATACTAATATGTGAAAAAATAAACTCACTTTCTAGTTCTTCACCAAGCATGCGCTCCCTTTCTTGATAGATAAATTTTCAGTGTCCCCTATTTCCTCCAACACAGCATTAAGATCAAGAGACGTATTGCAGTGCCAGCTGCTGTCTGTGAATGAAACAGTTTCTGGATGGGCATTCAAGTTTAGCCAGTTTTATTCCAATATTAATGCCCTTCTTTTTTTCAAACTTAGCAGGTGCTCCAAATTAGTACTAACTAAGTGTAAATAATGGATCAAAAGTAGTCATTAATTTAGCAAGAAATCTCACAGGCTTTGGGTAATAACAGCACAGGTCTCCTTCACTCATTTTGTGGCAGCATTTTATAGTGTGTGCAAGTGTGGGCTCCAGACCCACTATGGTAGAGTTAAAATCCAAGCTCTGCCACTTAGGAGCTTTGTAATCCTATCTTAAGGAATCTCTGTGTGCCACTAAAATGTATGTGTGGAAAACCTAACCCCCAAGGTGATGATATTAGGAGGTGGGGCCTGTGGGAGGTGATTAGGTCATGAGGGTTGAGCCCTCAAGAATAGGATTAGTGCCCTTACAAAAGACACCCCCGAAAGTTACCTTGATTTCTTCTGCTTTTTGAGGATGCAGCAAAAAAGACAGCCATCTATGAGCTAGGAAGCAGGCCCTCACCTTGCCTTGATCTTGGTCTCCCCAGACTCAGAACCATGAGAAATAAATTTCTGTCATTTACAAGCCACCCAGCCTATGGCAGTTTGTTATAGCAGCTGACATGAAATAAAACCATGCCTCAGTTTCCCCATCTATCATTGGTGAGAGTGTTAGTATCTGCCTCATGGGAATATGCTTCTTTAAGTTTAAATTTTTATATTGGAATTCCCACCACTCCATTTCACTTCAATAAGTGTTTTGTGTGCTTGATTCATTTGTGTGCATCAGAAATATAATACAACAAAACAAGACAATGAAAACATAATCAACTTAAGCAATACAGCACAAAGAATATGAAAATACACCCACTGAGATGAACTGTACCCCATTCACTGAATGGTAGGTAGCCTGCATAAGCCAACCCAAGCCATCCTATAGCTCTTCTGTGATTCTTAAGACCCTAATGATAAATGGAATTTCTGTGAAAATGGTAATTAAATTCTCCTGAGTAGCTGGGACCACAGGTACATGCCACCATATCCAGCTAATTTTTATATTTTTAGTAGAGATGAGGTTTCACCACATTGCCCAGGCTGGTCTTGAATTCCTGGGCTCAAGTGATCCGCCTGCCTTGGCCTCCCAAAGTGCTGGGATTACAGGTAAGAGCCACCATGCCCATCCTATTCCAACTATTACGGTCATCTTGTGAGCCAGAATTTGGTTATGTAGATGGGTAATTGTTAAAAAAAAAAAAAAAAAGCTAAAATGAGTAGGTTTTCGGGTTGTATCAAATCAGGCACATTTGATACATTTGTGGATTTTAGAGTGTGATTTAGCCACTTACTTTGTCTGATCATGTAAAAATTGTCATTCTTTTTAGATATTTTCTGTTTTGGGGTGTTTCTCCCTCACAAAAAGAGAAAAAAACATTGTGATTTCTGAGCTGTAGAAAAGATAAAAACTAAGTTATTTCCTTGGCTTTTCTTTTTGAACACCTTTTCTGTTTCTTGCAGAAAAAATGGTAAAACAGCACTGTTTACTAGAAATTTGGTGAGAGCGACACATGTAATTATATATTTTCTAGCATTCCCTAGCATTCCCACTGAAAATGAATAAAAAGAAAAGGGAAAATTCATTTTAAAACTAGACTTTATTTAACTCAATATATTCAACACATTTTTATTTCAGCTTGTGGTCTTGAGCCATAATTCAGTGCTCCACAGCTACTGATTTAAGAAGTGCAGCCAGGCTGTGATGGAGGAGAAGCCAGTGGGGCAAGAGGCTAAGAGGAGAGATTGGAGGGATGGAGGGCAGAACTCCCTCCATGTGATGGGGAGAAGGCTCCACTCAGTGCTGAGAAGAAGATGCATACAGCTGTGCCCACGCTACTGAGCCACTTTACGAATGCTTTAAAAAAATCTCCTGATTATCATATTTCATAATTTACAGAGTTGTTGTGGGAACTAAATAATATGTGTAAAGCACTTGGGAAATTTTTGGTGAATATTAAATGCCCGATTAATGTTAAAACACACAGACACACCTTTATAAAAAACTTCAGGGTGCCTTGCTGTGCCTGTGGGGACTTTGAACATTTCCAAGCCCACCTGTTAGCTTCTGCTGCTGCCCTTGAGGAATTTGTACTGACATTTGACTTACTTTTAAAAACCTCATGTTATCAGTATGAATAAATTTTCTTATTTTTGTTTCTTCTCCTTTCCTCCATTCTTCCTTTCCTGATTTTGTAGATTACGTACAGTTTTCCTGCTGATCTAGATGAATCTCTGGCGATGAAAAGGGTACATGGGAGAGATAAAAACATTCCCTTTTTTTTGTTCACAGAAATATCCAAGAAAGTTGTTGAAAGCATTTACAGTTACACTTATAGCTTTTTGATGATTCAAAATTGAAGCATTTATGTACCTAATTACCAAAAAATTGGGGATATGGATGGAAGATACATTGGTGGGTGTGTGTAGACATTACCTGGGTCTGTCAAATGCTGGCTGCCACAAAATACAACCAAAATAATCTATTGATAAAACAAAACTGAGTTTACCTTGACAGAATCTTAACAGCATGTGAGGAAAGGGGGCTAGCAAGCATAGGGTATTTATGTGATTTGAGGGGTCTGGCTTAAGGAGGGCCCTTGAAAATGAGGGCATGATTAGAATTGGGCAAGTTCACAACTTAACAATTCAGGAGAAAGACACACAGCAAAGCCAAGATTTCAAAGTGAGTCTCAAAGAGTAAACAATCACTTGACATGAATGAGTGTCCTGAGAAGGGGTATTTATTATGAGAGTACATTGAGTAGTTCTGGTTTTATCTGGTTCGGGTAAATGGATTGTTAGGAAGTTCTTGGAAAAGATAATGAAGATGTTTTCCATTTTTTATCCTGGGCAAGAATTTCCTGGAATAGTAAATTCATGTTAATAGAGTCAATCCCATAGTAGAGGCTTGTCCATGCAGACATTGACCCGTGGCCCAGGCAACAGCCAGCTGCGTGGGTGTCGATGTTTTTGGTCCTTGGGTCTTTGATGAGACACAGAACTTGAGCGTTCTCTCTCATATTTTTGAAATTCAAGTATACTAGTCTCAGGGATCAATATTTACAAAGATTTCTGATGGTTAAAATTTTGATCCTTTAAGAGCATTGTTAAAGTGCGTCTTCATACATTTTGTGTTGCTATAAAGGAATACTGGAGGCTGGATAATTTATAAAGACAAGAGGTTTATTTGGCTCACAGCTCTGCAGGCTGTACATGGAGCCCCGTGCCGGCATCCACTCTGGTGAGGGTCTCAGGAAGCTTCCCTTCATGGAGAAAGTTGAAGGGGGCCTGGACTGTGCAGAAGTCACATGGCGACAGAGGAAGCAGGGCAGAGTGAGGTGCCCAGCTCTCCTTAACAACTAGCTCTCTCAATGAATGGAATGATAACTCACTCACTCCCCACCCACATAGGGGCATTAATCTATTCATGGGAAATTCATCTGCATGACCCAAATAGCTCCCATTAGGCCCCACCTCCAACACTGGGGATTACATTTCCCCATGAGGTTTTGGGAGTCAAATATTCAAACCAGAGCAGCATGACATATCCCCAAAGTGCCACTCACACTTTCAAATATCTAACCCATAAATCTAACCCTGGATTTCATTTAAAACTGAACAAGGCCATCAGTTACAGAAGGAAAATGACTACATTTATATATGAGAATATACATCTGAGTGGAAAACTCTACTAAAACGGCAGCTGTTTCTGAAGAGCAGGGAACTTTACATTCTCTTTATGTTTTAAATATTTAATAGCTGGTAAAGGTCAGGACAAACTGTCTTTTTATTTGTCGGAGGCCAATTCAAAACTGTCAGGCATGCACAAAGCGGCCAGTGACAGAACAAAATAATTATATTGTTTTGCTCTAAAAACAGTAAAAAAAGAGGGATTTGCATTTTTCTTATTTTTGGCTATTTATTATAACCAATATTAAGATTTTTCAATCCCAATTCATCAAATACATTATTAGGATGTCACATTTTTATGATATGCTTTTGCAAGAAAAATACATCATAAAGTGTGGTGTAAATGTGAAAATGATGCTTCTTTGAACAACTTTTCCTGGAATGGGCCCTGGCATGTGTCTTAACTGTTTCTTGCTGAATGACTGTGCACAGAGGCTGGTAAGGTGCTGGCCAGCACAGCAAGTATGGCTAAATGCAGTCGTGGCGGCCTGCAGAAGGGACAGGAGCTTGCCTCTGGGTCAGAGTTGAGTTGAATACTGACCCTGCTACTTATCTCTGGGGCATCAAACAATGATTAGAGTTCACTCTCTCTAACCCTTGGTTGTCTCTTAGTATAATGCTGATCATAATAATTCTGTTGCAGTGTGGCCATGAAGCTTACAAGAGGGAATTCAGGGATGTACTCATTATCGTAGTGTTAAGATTGAGGAATATTGGAATATGTCTGGATCCTGGCATGTATCTTAATCTTACCTCATTCTTATTTTTTTCCTCCAGATGAGACTACATCTGACAGGTGATGAGATAGATCATGTTGGTTGGAGCACCTAGGTTGAGAGGTCCACACGAGGCTCAATTGTTTCTAAATGGGTGAGTCAGTTAGTCCTGCTATTGTCCTCATTAGAGAAGGACTATCCACAATAGAATTGTTTTTGTAAAAATAGTGAGAAGGGGCTTGCCTTGCTTTAATCAAGCACATCTGGGGTGGAATCCTGGCTGCACTGTTTCCTAGTTTTACGGTCTTGAGCAAGTTACTAACTTTGCTAAACACCAGTTTCCTCATCAGTTTAATTGTGCATGGCGATATTTGCTTGATACATTTTGTCAGATGAAGTATACAAAACATCATTGATTGTGTCTGACAGCGTGGATAGTTATTAGCCAATTAAATCTGCTTACTTTATAATTATCTGCTGAATAATGAGAGGAAATAGCAGGGCACTTTTCCCAGACCACAATAAAATGAATGTAATGTGTGGAAAGAGATGTAGAAAACATTAGTTTTTACAAATATTAATAAAATATTTATGTACCATAACAAGTTAATTTTTAAAACTTTTTCTAATGGGGAAAATCAAATAATTATTCACCCCCTTCTTTTTATTCAGGTCCTTGGTTCCAGTAGAAGGGTTTTAGTCCTGTGTCTGAAGGCCCCAGGACTTTTCTTGGGATGGTAACGATAGTCTCTATACACTGGCCTGAAAATGATCTCGGGAACACTCGTTACCAGTTTTTATTTGTACCATACCCCACATACACAGCACTGAACACAATTTTCTTGCCCTGATGTATGAAATGTTAATCATCTGAATTGCTGGAACAAATTATCTGAAGTGAAATCTGATCTTGTCATTCTCTGATTTAAAATTTTTCTTTCACATGCTGAAGTCTGTGGAAATTAGAACTCTTTAGCATGCCAGTCTACGATATGACCTCCTCTTCTTCCCACTCATCTGGGCTTTGGCCTCTCATCTTCTCACTTCTCACCAATTTTTCAATGTTTTAAATACGTGAAGCTGCTGCCTTGATGATTGCCATACTTTTGCACATGCTGTTGTCACTGCCTGCAGCACCTTTTCTCAAACTTTCCCTGCTGAATCAGAAGCAGGATTCTTCCTGGAAATCCAGGTTTGTTAGGTAACCCTCACATGGTTTCCACAGGAGCCTGTGTGTACCCAAACTGAAATACCTATCACTTATTTCATTGTCTCCCACGAGGCTGAACTCCCATGGGAGTAAGGAAGTGGGCCCGGCATAATCGTGTTCCAAGTAAACATCTTTTTGATGAATGGATGACTCTTACTCACCATTTCCGGTAAGACTGGTGCTCTTCTTATGACGCCTTGTTGACAGAGTTGTAGACACTACTCGTTGGTATAAAATCCCAATCAGAGGCCGGGCGTGGTGGCTCACGCCTGTAATCCCAGCACTTTGGGAGGCTGAGGTGGGTGGATCATCTGAGGTCAGGAGTTCGAGACCAGCCTGACCAAGATGGTGAAACCCCATCTATACTAAATACAAAAAATTAGCCTGGTGTGGTGGTGCATGCCTGTAATCCCAGCTACTTGGGAGCCTGAGGCAGGAGAATTGCTTGAACCCGGGAGGCGGAGTTTGCAGTGAGCCGAGATTGCTCCACCACACTCCATCCCGGGCAACAAGAGCGAAACTCTACCTCAAAAAAAAAAAAAAAAAAAAAAAAGTCCCAATCAGGGCAAGATGCACATCCTTGGCTAAGGGTAAGCTAAGAGCCTGACTGAGCAGATTTGCATTTTGTGATCCATTTTATGCGCATCTTCAACACGTGAGTGTGGTGACTAAATGAAAGCTATATTGTGCATTAATGGTTATGTTTTGGCTCCTGGTAAATGAAGGTCTCCCAAGTACAACTCTGGCTTTCCTCTTTGGACCCAGACTTCCCTTCGGTCAATTTGGCTTCATTACATGGGTTAAATAGATTTTTTTTTAACCAGATCAAATGTAAGTGGAAACTTATTCTAGAGATGTATGAATCTGGACAGAAACTGAAAAATTAAATTAGGCTGACTATTTGACATTAGATAGAAAGAACACATAAGCAGAAGAGGTGCTATCAGTAATTTATTATTGTTTTTCTTTAATTCAAGTTTCTTTAATTTTAGCTTATATGAATCTAGAGATATACTCCGTATCCAAAGTAATTTTGGAATCAGGAGGGTGGGCCCTCTATCTTGCCACTTATTAGATCTGAGTGAATTTGCTGCTACTGCTAGCAAAGGTGTTCCTTATGTCAAAGCATTCCCTGTTCTGGAGGTGAATGCCACATCAAAGGCAGTGACAGCTTGTCAACTGGCCAAAAGTCCTGTCCACTTTAAGGCAAGCAAACCGGCTGTCAGAACAGAAATGTCTCCGAATGACTGGCAGGCTCAAGTGCACTCTGGGGACCTCACCAGGGCTCGTTCTGGACAGTGGATTCCATGGGAAGGGGATACTAGTCTCCAGATAACAGCCTGAGAAAGATCACATCAAAACTCGTTATCAATTTTTATTTCCTACCATACACCAAATGTACAGCACTGAACACAATTTTGTTGCTTTGATGTAAGAAATATTAAGTGTTTGGAGAAACAGTATACAAACAAACTACCTCAAATTAAAAAAAATGCATACATCATTGCCTTTTTGTTTACAAAAGACCCAATTTACAGTATTGATCATTAACATAGTTGAAAAGAAAACAAATTCAGTGCACATTACAAAACACATCAAGTACAAAGTAGGCAAATAAATACAAACATACTTCACAAAACATCCTGCTCAAACTATGCAAACACAAATAAATTAACCTGAAGTCATAGCAAATTATAGTAATAAATATGTAGGTTGGTAAGAGATTTCTTTTAAATTAAATAAAATATATAACAAACTTGTTAAAATATTTAGCAAATTAAACGTTTGTCTTTGTAATAAGTGAGCTCATTTGTATGCATCTATGAAGTACTGTATAGCAAAATGTTTGCAAGTACACAACTGTAATAGAAAATTTTGTTTGGTGTCCCATTTATAATAGACAGCACATATGGTAGCTCATTTTTTAAAACTGATTTTTAAATAAACACCGTTTCTACCTAAGAACAGACAGTTCATCTTCACTAAACTAAGGTTCAAGAGTTCAAATGAACTCCAAACCAAAGATAAGCCCCACTTAATGCATAACAATGACCAAAGTTTCATGGGAGTGGAATTACTGTTGAGTATTGTTTTTCATTTGTGCAGGTAACAGTAATAACAGTGGAATACATCAAGCCTGTGAATGCCATCACTTTCCATCTAAATATCCATGAGGTTAATAAAAAATAAACACTTTTGTTTATAGCACAGAAAATTAAGCCCACATGAAGTTCATGTGTACATTTACACAGAGGCACGTCTGCACATGAAATGTGTGTGCACACCAAAAAGGCAGTTTAGCTGGTTGTCTATACCTTTTCCTTAAAAAAAATAAATATAAAAAAACTTTTGAAACAATGCTTAACTACTTTACAATCCCTGAAATAGACATTGCCTTTACTATAGAAACTATGAAACTCTGATCCGTTCAGAAATTCAAGATTGTGGGCTCAATTTGAAGTGTGGATGAGTCTGTGTGTGTGTGTGTGTGTGTGTCTGTGTGTGAGTATGCCTGTGTGTGTGAGTGTGTGTGTATATTTTGTAGCATTTGAAGTTTTGTGGCAAGATTTCTATCAAATTGAATGTTGTCTTGTTTCCTATGGTGGGTGAGACCCAAGGTGCCAGTGTTTGAAGTAATCATTCAGATTGGAGTAGCATTTTTTCATGTGTTACTATATTTTCCATTCCTTTCCAGTCAACCCAGTAAGATAAATGCTATTTCAGGGGATATGGTATCTACAAAATTTTTCATTTGGATGTGTTTGTATTTGCTAAGTACAAATCTACACCAATATTGTCACTTGTATATTGTACCAACATATGGCAGGAAAGCCTGGCTGGTCACACCAAGTCTTATTTTTCATCTTGGGATACGAGTTGCCAACGATCTGATATGACTTGAAAAACAAACAGACAAATCTGCATCACTAAAAAGGCTTATGTTTCTTTAAAACATTTCAAATAAATAATTCATATTAACGAAAACCGTCCAGCCAAGTCGAATACTTTGCTGATTGCTATATTTAATTATTGCTAACAAATTCTGAGCAGGCTGTTTTCCAGCATCCTGTGCTTTTGTGAGTGCGGATTCCCCACTAGTGGGCGCCATTTGTCTTCTTATTCCTTCCGTGCAGCTCACCTTACCGCAAATTCATTTATAAATACAAAAATCAGTGAAAGGTGGGGGAAGAAGTGTGCAATAAAAATCAAACTCAACTATAGTGCAGTCCTTAGACAAGGATTTCCTTCACCCTTTCCTGTTTCCTCATTAAAACCCAGCAAGAAAGATGACTTGAGAATAGCATTTCTATTTAAATCCTATTGGAAAATAAATTAATAAACACACTTGTAAAAATACGGCAGACTTCAAAATGCAGTTAAAAGATAAAAAACTCTTTGATTAGTAATAAATAAATTATAAAAATGTCACATTTATTTTACATATACTTTACAAAAAAAAAAAGAGTACAATGAAGAAATAAAAGAAAAACATATGAAAATAAATAAGATCTAATAATTGACTGCATTGCTTTTAATCCAAGAAGTCTATCATAGTTTTTCTTTCCTTTTTATATCAGCTGGGGAAAATAAAATTAGTGCAATGTTGCAAATTGTAAATGCAGTACGGCAACCTCCACGCCTTAGCAGTACATGAACCTCTAACAGATCCATCTGGAGTTTACTGCTGTTGGTAACTTCTGTTGCCCGGCAGCGCTGTGATCCTACACATGGATACCCTTCACTGCCTGTTTGATACTTTCCAGTAGAGCTTTGCATTCCGGGGAATAGTCCCGTTCCAGATTGCTGTACATATCTGTGAGTGTATTTACATATGCTTCAAAATTCTGCTCACTGATAGGTCCCTAAATGGAGACAAAACACATTGACCCAATCACAGTGGTTCAGGCTGAGGGAAAAGAAGGACCCAGTGACATCGAAGATCAGTGATCCGGGAGTCGGGAGGGAAGGCAAGGGTGCATATGACTGCTGGGGTTGCAGGGGATGGAGAGAGACGGAGTGTGTGTGGGATTCATCTGTTCACTCTTAATTCAGGAGACGAATATGACTGGCTTGTACAGTATTTGGGGTTGATTTGGAGCACATAAAGTATATGTCTGGCTATGGACTCGGACTCCACAAAACTTTTCTACTTCTCTTGGGAGGCAGCCTCAGCCTTGACTGCACATGCCTTGCACTACATATGCCTCCTGTTTGTGGAAGGTGAATATTTGTGAGGCTGGGAAGGAAGGGTTGCTTGTACTAAGTGGTGCCCTTAACAGCACTGGGCAGAAACTTAAAGAATTTAAGATTTGAGCGAGTTGCTCAGTAACAGTTGTGATGGAAAATTTTCCTCCTCCATCCTCAGATCCTTTTAGCCTGTTTCTCTCCTGTGGCATCATTGCAATATACTTTTAAAAATTTCTCAGTCTCTGTAAGCAGAATATCAGTTTCACAAAGTTTAAATTTATTCATACCGTGTTTTTTTTTTTTTTTTTTTTTTTTTTTTTTTTGGAGTCAGAGTCTCGCTCTATTGTCCTGGCTGGAGTGCAGTGATGTGATCTCACCTCACTGCAACCTCTGCCTCCCAGGTTCAAGCGATTCTCCTGCCTCAGCCCCCCAAGTAGCTGGGATTACAGGAGTGCACCACCACTCCCAGCTAATTTTTGTATTTTTATTAGAGATGGAATTTCACCATGTTGGCCAGGCTGGTCTCAAACACTTGACCTCAGGTGACCCACCCGCTTCGGCCTCCCAAAGTGCTGGGATTACAGGTGTGAGCCACCATGCTTGGCCTCCCTGTTCTTTTTGTATGTTTTGGTCTCTCCTTTACCCAGTGTGATGCTTCAAGGAGAGCACATGCTGGATACATGTAAATTTCACACAAATGTGAAACGGAATGAATGTCACAAGGGGAATGCTACTCAGTCATTTCTGTTGCCACCATTTTCCCTCCTTTTTAAAAACACATGACGTGAGACTTACTTCGCAAAGGTGCTTGGAAGAAAGGACATTTAAATGTCAAAGTACTGTTATTGTTGCTATTTAAGGAAATAAGCTTTCTAAATTTGAAGCTATTTGTTGTGCTCTGCTCGGCAAAGCGCTGATCTAAATTATTAGTATTGTCCAATCATGATTCTCTGTCCCCTTCTCTTTCCTGCCTTTGTTGTGCCTTGTGTTTCTTGGAGAGTCAGGGGATTGGATGGGAACCCAGGTAGCACAGTGGGTAAAGGCCACTCTGCAGGGCCGGGCCCACTTGCCTTGTGTTAGCTCTGGAAACTTGATCAAATTAAGTAAGCTCTCCGAGCCCTGATTTCCTCAACTATGGAATGGGAATACTAATGCTCGCTCTTTGGTGCTTTCGTAACATTTTGTGTGATCAGCACTAAAAATCACCACTAGAGTGCCCTGTGTGGTGAGTATACAAGGCACAGGTTAACTTGTGTGGTACCTGTTTTTTATGGCAGTGGTGAAGAAGAAAATACTAAGGAATGCATATTCAAAGTATGATTTACGCAACATTCATAAATAACATTGCAATGATTTTTAATAATTACCTTAATCCTTACCATAGTGGTATCATTTATTTTGCTTTGTGTTCATTATTACATTATTGATTTTTTGGCTGGTGGGAGTCAAGAAACATATTTGGAATCGGTTAAGATAAGAACTCCATGCTAGGAACTTGGGTAAAATGGAGGGGCTTAATGTTTTAACCAAAACCAATTACATTTCTTTATCACATTGCTGCTTCTATAAATAATTTCATATATAAAATAGGCATCTTTGGAAAAATTATTCTAAAAATTTAGGTTCTGAGGAAATTAAAAGCATTTAGCAATGTAGTCTCTCCTCCAAAGATTTGTCTGTATTTAAGAATATGTAAAAGAAGTTAATTTTCTATGAATTCCAAATACAGTCATGCAATGCATAACAACATCTCAGTCAATGATAGACTGAATATATGATGATAGTCCCATAAGATAACAATAGCATGTTTTTATGGTTTAGATATGTTTTTCCATGTTTAGATACACAAATACTAATAATTGCCTAAAGTATTCAGTACACTAACATGCTGCACAGGTGGGTAACCTCAGAGCAGTAGGCTGTACCATATAGCCTGGGTGCAAAGTAAGTAAAGTAGGGTCTGTCATCTGGGTTTGCGAAAGTTCACTGTATGATGTTCACACAACATCAAAATTGCCTAAGGACACATTTCTTAGAACGTGTGCCCATTACTAGGTGATAGAGGACTATAGTTGCATACCTAAAATACATGCTTAGATTTTGAAAATGAGGATTCCTTGTTCATTTTTTTTTGCTTTTTATTTTATATGAGGAGAACTGAAGTACGTTCTTCATACTTCCATATGAAGAAAGCACCTAGTCCATTGGGAATTGAACATTTTTGGTTACAGTTCCTGATTTGGGCGGATGATGCAAATAATGGTCTCAAATTTTGTAAGACATGGAATCTTCTACTTGGAAATACATTTTCACTGAGGGAGTTTTGCCCTTCAACTTTCACATGACATTGTGAACCGAGCTTTAAAAAATCCTTTGTTTTTAAATGACTTTGGCCTCTAAAAAATTCTTGGCCTTCATATAATTTAAATAAATGTATCTACCATGTTCCCAGAGAGGGAGATTACTCCAAGCCAGACTGTGATGAAGTGTGGTCACTCTGTGACTGCTCACAGGTCTCCTCAAAGCTCAGTCGTGGCAACCCCGTGGGTAGATGCATGATGACACTGCAAATGCTTGTAATGGAATGGCAAGGTTCTGGCCTTGAACTTACCATCTGTGGAAGCTGGATGTCAGCAAGGCTTGAAATGAGAGCTTGGCTTAGACCTGCCAGCTCTTTCAGCAGACTTTCATTGTTCTGTTCTATGAGTTTGTTCTCCTCCTCTATCGTCTTTAAGTTGCTCTCCATAGATGTGATCTACAACAGAAATAACTTGGGAATGTGAGTAGTGGAGTTTGGAAGGAGTGTAAAAGGTTTCTCCCTGAAGGAAAATGCACCAAGTGCATCTGAATACTAAGAGATGCAGAGATGCATGCGTGTAACTTCTCAGCATGAAGCTGCAGCCCCACTGGATTGTTTGAAGTGCTGGAATCAAATCCCCAAATTTTCATCTTCAGCCCAGACTTCCTCATGAATTGTAGAACTTCTCCACATGGCTGTATGATGGATATCTCAAACTCAACATGTTTAAAGTAAACTTTGCTATTTTCCCCAAACTTGCTCCATCCGCTGTCTCCCTTTTCCAGTCAGCAGCAACTCAACTGTAGTGCAGACCCCCCATGGCTCTTTCTTTCATACCTCACCTCCACTGGCTCCTCCTTCAAAATATCCAGGATGGGACCACTGTCCCCTCCACTCTGCTGCCCCCTGGGCCCAGCCACCAGTGTGACTGTGCTACCTTCTCGTGGGTGGCCTTGTGTTTGCCATTACCCCATCTAATCTCTTTTTGGCCTTTCCTCAACACAGCCACCAAGATGAGCCTGTTAAAATGCAAGTCAGCATGTCAATCAGATGGGATTATGTTACTCGTTAGCTCAAAACTGTGCTACAGTTCTGCACACATTCAGAATAAAAACCAAGGTCTTTAAAATGGCCTAAGATGCCCCGTGTGAGCTGCCTTGTTGTCTCTGAGACTGTTCTCCTGTGACCTGCCCCACCCAGCTCACTCACCTGCGGCCACACTTCCCTTTGCTATTTCTGAAATCCCCAGGCCTTCTCATGATGAGCACTTTTGCGCTTGCAGGGTTTCTTCTGTCTGAAACACTCTTTCTCCATACTTGTTTGGCTAACTCCCTCATTCCTCAAGTCTTTGTGGATGGCTTTCTTCTTCCTGGGGGCTGGTGGTCCTATTTAGTATTGAAATACAGCCACTCGCCCAGCCCCCTGCCATTCTAGCATACAACACCATTGATCATTTATGACTTTTTTGTTTATTGTCTGCTTCCTCCTTCTAGACTATAAGTCTCAGGAGGGCAGAGGGCTTTGTGTTCTTTGCTAATGGTTTTCTAGAGGAATTCCCATGATTTCTAGACAAAAGTATCAATCTGTGGACCAGATGGCCATTAAATTGATGATGGCAACAATGGTCACTCTGGGTAAGGAAACCTAAATTTCAGATGGATTAAAACCCTTTGTCTTAAGCTGTTGTGTGAGGACTTCCAAGAGATCCAGTAACCATGGTGGCATAAAAATCCTGCATTTCAGAAGAGGAGAGAAGGGAAGGGGAGAAAGACAGTCGTATGCTCTGTCTCATTCTTTTGCTGCTAACTTGTTGCAAGAGAGTTATGATTCATGTTTTAAAAATCTTGGACTGAACTGTTGATTTCCAGGAGATGAGGCAGACATCACAAAGAAGAATGCAGAATTGAGAAATTGCTTGGGCTTTTAGGTAAAGAATTTGCTCAAGAAAATATTCAGTAAGATCTGTTTCTAATAAATACTTACACATTCAGAGGTGTTCCAAAAACATTAAACAAAAAGTTGCTATATTTTACTTGAATTTTGAATAAAACCAAGGATTCTTACCTTTCCATCACATTTTTTTTCTAATGCACCAGAGACTCTTGGGTTATAGGATGATCTGCCTTGTTTGCTTATAAAAACTTCGATGCCACCAGGGCAAAAACATGAGAAAGCTTGCCCAGAGCTACTGAATAAATGGTAACCTGGGATGATCCACCTATTCAGAATTTTACAATAATTATGGAATCTAGAAACACTCAGCATATTGACTCTAAGTTACCATATATTTTCACACAAGTTTTAAAATTTCAATGTTTTGTTTCCACCAAAGATTATGATTACATTAAGGATCATGAATTACTTCTTTTTTTTACCTGGGTCTGAAGTTTCATCATATCTGCTTCAATTTTAAGGTTGGATTCATTCAGTTCCTTTATTTCTTCATCCAAATGCCTAATTTCTTCATCACTCTCTATTCCTGTAAAGAGTAAGACTACCTTAGTTCAAACTGAAAACTGTTAACAAATGAGTCATTATATGTTTAATTTGTGATTTGCTACTTGAAAATGAGACTTTCATTTAGTGTTTTTACCAAAACAATGCATATCTAGGATTCTGAAAAAGTGGATAAGAGAAGTTACAGATTTAATTTATTGGTAAGAAAGAAAAGAGGGAGTAGAAAAGTGCCACCCTTGCATGTAGCTCAGTTATGTCCCAGGGGTGCTGCCAGACCCATTTGTAAATATGCCTTCAATTACATCTTACCACACCCTACAGTGGGACACGCTCCATTATACCCTCCTCACATATGAAGACACCGAGCCCAGAGAGGTTAAATGAGACCCCAAGAATCACTGACAGAAGTTAAATAACCTGCCCAAGTTCAAATTAAGAGGCAGAGCTGGGATTAAACCTCAAAGCCCTTGCATTCTCTTATTCAAAATGCTCCAAGGACAGTTTTATGCTGAGTAATTAAATATCTGTTTAGTTGAATTAGACCTTAGGACCCATGATGGGAGGCAGAGCTGCGGGGCTGCTGGCAGGTGAATTAGTGTCCAGAAACACATTGGCATAGTCTTCCACGTGGACATGGATGAGGAAAATGTAATTTAGGGGGAAGGACATCAGCTTGGGAGTTTGACTCCTGTTCTGCAACTTGGGCAACTTACTTATCTTCTTTGTGCTTCAGTATCCTCTTCTGTAAAATAGGCATGTTATCTACACTGTGAGAATGAATGCAATAAAATGTAGAGCGCTAAACATGCCACAGGCTCTCAGTGAATGGGGGTTATTTCCCATGATTACTTTGTAGAAGGAGTATGACTACATTTGAAAGGTTTCAAGGACCTGGGGAAGGTAGTTAATATTAAGGGTGCGGGAAGCAGGATTGGAGGTAATTTACCTCCTAGAAGAATGAATCTGAACCAGGGTGACAATGAAGAAGGACATGTGAACTTCCACGTAGAGACTTCATAGGAGCAATTTCATGAGAGAAGGATAAAGGGTACTTGGCTTGACAATTGGTTTGAAAGAGATCTGGGCTCTTATACTTTCCTAGGGTGACTACTTTGGGAAATAATCCATTACCTCCTGAAGGTGGATGCTCACATTCTCTATGACCCTACAATTTCTTCCTTAGGTACACACCCAAAACAAATGGTTGCACACAGGAAGCATGCATAAGGTGTACACAGCAGTGTTGCTCGCCAAAAGCACAACTTGAAAGGAAACCACATGCCCACCAAAAACAACACGGGAGATTCTTAGTAATTTAGTGCGAAGAGAAAAAAAGTAAGCCGAAAGTTACATCACATACAGCATGATAAAACAGATGGCTATTCTGTGGGTACTTACTGCTTTATTAAAAGTAACTACTGAATAAAGTGAGCCATGCATGGACCAATGAAGAGAGTGTGTCATAAGATTGATATAACTCTGGGCTCTAAGATTTAATGAAAAAAGGAAAACAAACCAACATATAAGACTTAGGTACCTTAGTAGTTAGACCAGTTTAAATATGAGTCATCAGTATGACATGGCTACTAAGAAAACAACCAACAGTTACCCAGGACCATACTCATGGAACTATAGTATCTGGGACTCAGGATTCATTCTGCACTGGCCAGCTGTGTCTGGAGAATTGTACTGCATCTTGGAGCCCCGTATTTTACTGGTTGGTGTGCAGGTACAGGGATCTCCTCTCAGACAACTGATGGGTAAGAGCTGGGGAAGAAAGGACTGAAATACCTGGATTCTCAATGAAACAGGTATTTGGAGTGCTATCAGCACTTGAAATTTTTCTGATTTGAGCTATCGAAAACTTCTATTGTTATAAATTTCTTTGACATATTGTTTTTCTTTTCTGTCTTTTTATAGTAAAATTCCACCTCAAAGAATGTTATTTTCTTACATAATATCTGGTGAGGCAGACAAAAACCAAGGAGATGCTTGTAAAACATGAAGTGTTCTGAAGGAAGCACAAAGGGTTCTGGGAGGCCCTTCACTGGAGAAGATGCACTCCTTTCAAGACTTTCAAGATCAGAAGGAGGCAGGCCTGTGAAAAACCAGCCAGCAGCTGAGCATCCAAGAGGAGGAAGGAAGCCCAGAGCCCAGGCTGGGAAGGGAGTGAGTGCCCCATGGACAGCAAGAAAGTGAATGATGGGAGCAGGCCATGGGGACATCCTGGGAGCTTAGGTTTATTCCAAGTGCAACAGGAGCCAGGGAAGGGCTGTAGGTAGGAGAGCTGGGGTGATTGAGCTGAATTTTCACAAACATAATTTGGAGTTTTGAGTAGCGGATAGATTGGAGAAGAGACAGAGCAGAAGCGAGGAGACCCATGAGGAGATGATTGCTGGAGTCCTGGCTGGGTGTAGGGAAGTGAGGTCAAGAGAAGGAGACAGACTCAGGATCTAATCTGCAGGCAGAATTTGCAGGACTTGTGAGGGCTAGAGGTAGGGGGTGAGAGAAGAGAGGAATCGACGGAGAAGAGAGGAATCAACCCTGACTGCTTGTTTCTGCCAGAGCAGGTGGGTAACTGTAGAGCTGTCTCTGTGATGAGGCAGACTGGGAGGCTGAAACTTGTAGTAGGATAAGTAAAAGTTCAATTTTGGCTAAGTTATGAGTGCTTGTGAGAAGACTGTTTAAGTGACAGCCTGAGTTCTTGGTTCTGGGATTTCGTTAGGATTATGTTTCGCTGAGGGCCAATGTTCCTGAAGACACCCCAGCCTCTTAATCAAGATGGGGCTGTTTGGAAGATGCCTAATAACAAAAGATGGCTGGAGCTTGTGAGGGAAGATCATAAGATGAGATCTCAAAAAGGAAACATTGTCATGGGATCTAATACGTAACAGGCTCCCTTTACATGCTCAGAGAATTAATCAGTGAAGGAACTAATGTTTTTATTATAATTTCTGGGATCTGGGGTGCTATTTTAGCCACAGGATCAAATTCAACTAATTTCTTTGTAATGTTTCCTGTTAACATATCACTTTATCTGTTTCCACAGAGTCGCTCATCTGCCAAACTTCTTTCCATGCACACAGTCTCTAAGAACCTTTGGATTTCACTCTGCACTTCCAAATATTAACTCGTATGATCCTCATTTAAAAACCATGAGGTAGAAACATTTATTACCTCAAAGTATGGATGGGAAGCCAAGTTACAAAGTAAGTGGTACAGCGGGAATTCAAATATAAGCTCTCTGGTTCCAGAATATGTTCTTTTAACCATGAAAATACTATCTTTATTCATAGATGTTTCATCTGTTTTGGAAGTATCAGTAAAAGGTGTGCCCTGATGTTTACAGACATACTTCTAGTAGAGTGTTGGACTAGCTAGGTATTGCTGATTATCAAGGAAACCGTATAAACTATCCACTAAATTATTATTATTATTATTTTTTGAGTCAGAGTCTCACTCTGTCACCAGGCTGCAGTACAGGAGTGCAATCTCTGCTCACTGCAACCTCTGCCTCCCAGGTTCAAGCGATTCTCCTGCCTCAGCCTCCTGAGTAGCTGAGACTACAGGCGTACGCCACCATGCCCAGCTAATTTTTTTATTTTTAGTAAAGACAGAGTTTCACCATGTTGGTCAGGATGGTCTCAATCTCTTGACCTGCTGATCCGCCTTCCTTGCCTCCCAAAGTGCTGGGATTATAAGCATGAGACACTGCGCCTAGCCTCCACTAAATATTTTACTTAACTGTTCAGTGACTTTGATTCTTTATATAATCCATTTATGTAAAAGCAATAGATTATGCTTTCTTTTCATTTAATAATTCTAATATTTATTTGGTACTAATCTGTGCCTAATTTGCATATTTGGGGATTATATATTATATTTTCTTTGTATTCTGTATAATTATGCAAGCTATGTATATACTTGTATAGAGCAAGTATTCTCAACTTATGAGGCTTTAAGTACTATAGTTATGTTTTTTCATATTATACAAATGAAGCAATTCTATTATATTTCAAACAAATTCTATTATATTTCTTGAGTGAACTTCTATTATTTATTTATTTATTTATTTATTTTTTAGATGGAGTCTCACTCTGTCACCCAGGCTGGAGTGCAGTGGCACGATCTTGGCTCACTGCAACCTGTGCCCTCTGAGTTCAAGCGATTCTCCTGCCTCAGCCTCCTGAGTAGCTGGGATTACAGGAGCCTGCCACCACACTCAGCTAATGTTTTTTTTTGTATTTTTATTAGAGATGGGGTTTCAACATGTTGGCCAGGCTAGTCTTGAACTCCTGACCTCGTGATCCACCCTTCTCGGCCTCCCAAAGTTCTGGGATTAAGGCATGAGCCACCGTGCCCGGCCGAACTTTTATTTTTAAATTGAGTTTACGTACCAAAATTGTACTATTTTTTTTTATTTAGGGGAAAATGAGTTAATGTAAATTTGGCTATTTAGTTACTAAAGGAGTGAGGAGAGTTAATATCTAGAAATAAATTATATATAACTATATTTAGGACACACTATTTTGTCACATGAGAAGAGCTAGAAGGAGCTCCTAAATGCAAGACCATATACATAGATCAATTATCATAACTTCTGCTTGTTTCTACAAAGCACAGAAGGACTGGCATTCTTTCTTATACAGATGGCCTAATTTTATTATCAAGGACTAGTAAAGGTCTTTAAAAATTAATGTGGCAATTTAATTATGGCAAGGATGGAGAACTAAAGATCAATTATTCTAAAATTAATGTACACATTTTTTGATATAGACCTTCCATGTTTGAAATGGTTTGTACATAATATTCCCCTAAAATATTATCTAATTCAGCTAATTACATGAATGATTTGTACGTAGTTTAAATTAACATAGTATGCTAAAGGTAAAGCCATATGCACTTTGTATTTCATTGCAATTTGATTTAACATTTTTAATGTCTGAAGGTGTGTTGGTTTACATCTACTTTAAAGATCATCCAGAGAACAATTATTGTGGCCACACTTTAAGGTAAGGGATCATGAAACACAGCATTGTTAGAGCAGACCCCCAAACCACTTTAGGTCCTTCTGACCTGAATCCAGGTGGCCTTTTTCTCATGCAAAGTCATTGTAGGTTCTTAAGCTTTACACAGCATCAGCCTCTACTTTCTTGGATTGTAAAACGTGTACTTTTCCAGTTAGTTACCTGTCCACATAGAATGACTGCACCCTGACACTTGTCAATGGGTTCAACCCAGCTCGCTGCTGCTCTATATTCTTTGAAAGCTCAGCTGAAGATGCTAGACATATAGGGACCCTTTGAAGTGTATGTGCTCAGCCCTGCTGTTCCTGGGTCTCTGTGCAAGTCTATTGTGGGTTCAGACAGACCACCTGCTGCTGGCCCCCTGCAAAGCTCTATCATAATTTGATGTAATGCCAGATGACTGTTCTGTATTTATCTTTCTTAGGAGTGGCCTTGTAATTTATATTCTGTTTACAGTATGGATGGTAGTGGTGTTTTCATAATGAGAACTCATAAGAAATATTTTCTTCATGCACTGGGTTCCAGAAGGAGTTTTGCTCTGAGTTTACTTACTACCACGTGATTCACACGGTGATTATAGCTTTCTTTTGTGTTGGCTTCTAAAAGGCAAGGTCAAATTTGCAATCCTTATTTACCCAGCAAGAAATGACTCTTCGCACACGTCTTAGTGTCCTCAGGGTTGCTCCATCTTGCATTCTTATCTTCGACTTTCCTTTGTCTCATTTTTGAATTAATTTTTTTTTTTTTGAGACAGAGTCTCACTCTGTTGCCCAGGCTGGAGTGCGGTGGTGCTTTTTTGGCTCACTGCAACCTCTGCCTCCAGGGTTCAAGCAATTCCCTCCCTCAGCCTCCTGAGTAGCTCGGACTACAGGTGTGTGCCACCACACTGGCTAATTTTTTTGTATTTTTAGTAGAAATGGGGTTTCACCATGTTGGCCAGTATGGTCTTGATCTCCTGATCTCGTGATCTGCCCGCCTCGGCCTCCCAAAGTGCTGGGATTACAGATGTGAGCCACTGTTTCTGGCTGAATTAAATTTTTAACCAGCATTTTAGAAAAATTTCATGTAGCTTTGCAGTCCTTATCCTTTAAATACTATTTGAAATAAGGAGATAAATAAATACACATTAAATTGTCCCAATTTCACTGCATATGTACTGAGAGGTATTTAGGGAATGGGCAGTATTTCCAAGGAGCAGTCAGAACATCTAGTGAAAAGCTCTTTTACTGAGCATGTGAATGCTGGAAAGACTGGAAGAGGCAGGCCTGTCCCCAGCAGCCAGGGCTTTATTTCTCCTCTGCATGTACACTCCCCTCCTTTGGCGCTTAGAGGTGAGGACCCATGGAGGGAGAGAATCCCCAACAAGGACCGCTTTAAATACAGCAGATGAAGGCCTTGGAAGGAAACAGTAGGAAGCTTTCCCTCCCTTGGATACTGCATGTCTTCTTTTTAAAAATCACACACACAAATTAAAAAGATTGAGCAATGCTTTCAGGGAAAGTAGCAACAGTGAAAGTCCCCAGCTCAATTCTAGTCATGTGCCAAAGATGCCATCAAATAAAGTCTCCAGAGCAAAATAATTGCTCTGTCATTGTTTCTCAAATGCTTTGGAACGATCTTTGATGGAAAACAACACAGGCCCCAGATAATGCTCATTAGAAATCTCCAGAAAATGCATTCAAGTATCAAAGGAAAATTGGAGGATCCAAACAGAGAACTCAGAAACTGTGTCTCTGAACTTGGAGAGGGGATTGACACTAAGGAAATATCTAGGGAAATGTAGATGTAGGTAAAGATCTGGATGCTAAGTCCAAACCTTCCAGAATCTCTATAAAAATATCATGTTGGGCACAGAAGAACACAATTGAAGGATTCACATACAGATGCCAGAAACTGCTTCCTGAAATTTTATAGCAGATTTATACCAGAAAAACGCGCACGTACACACACACACACACATACACACACACGAGAGAGAAAGAGAACACACACACGTGAGAGAGACTGAAGGACACAACTTCCACTAGTGTATCTTTGTTGTTGTTGTTTTGTTTAGAGATAGGGCCTCTCGCAGTTGTCCAGGCTGGAGTGCAGTGGCCCTATCATATCTCACTACATCAGCCTCGATCCTGGGCTCCTGGTCTCTACAATCCTCCTATCTCAGCTTCCAGAGTAACTGGGACTACAGGTGTGCCCCACCACACTGGGCTAATATTTTTTTTTTTTAGAGATGGGGTCTGGCTATGTTGCCCAGGCTGGTCACAAACTCCTGACCTCAAGCAATCCTCTATCCTTGGTCTCCCAAAGTGCTGGGATTACAGGCGTGAGCCAGCATGCCCTGCCAACCACAAGTGTATCTTAATCCATCATACCCCACTGCCTGACTTTCTCTGTTGGAGATCACTCCTTATTTAAAAATAAGGAAAACACCAAAAAATTGGTTTTTAAACAAAGTTATAATTTTAGTTCAAATCTGAGGAAACCTTTCTTCTTGTACATTAAAATTATGCTTCCCACCTAGAGAATACTTTGACACACGGAACGCTTTGGGGAGCCAGGGTCTACACCCTGCAGGAGGTGGTGACAGCCAGCCCTGTGCTCTTACCCCCAGTTGCTTTGAGCTTGATGGTCATGAGTTCTTCAGAAACCTTGCCCTTTTTGATAACTTGTGCATTGAGAGGACATCCAGATAAGCTGTGAAAATAGAAATTGTACTAATGTATGAAATGTATATGATTTCTTATAAAAATTAAAATGTTTTATTCACAACCTACTATTTGTGTTTTTGCTGCCGATTAATTACATTATAACCCACAGTCTCTTTGTAGAGAGTAATGAATACATACCCATTAAAGCAAAGGCCAAAGGCCCTCAAATAATGTAAAATGTTTTGCTTTCTTTCCTTAAATCAAGGTACAAATAGTTACTGCTGATACACAATTATTATTTAATTTATTTTGTTAAATTGCTATTCATCTCCATTCAAGTAAGTTCTTTTGTTTAGTAGTGGTTACTTTATTTTCTGTAAATGTGAAATTGTACATATATATTATGAATAAGAATTGTTCCCAATTAGTCAAAATTCCATGAGTAATAAAGCAGAATCTAGTTCTTCCTTCCTTTATATAAAGTGTTCCTTGACCTTTATAGAATGACTCAAATTAATACAAGTCAAAATAAAGCCCTACCCCACGCCCCCATGGCAAATTCAG
Organism: Homo sapiens; assembly: GCF_000001405.40. Taxonomy (NCBI): domain Eukaryota; kingdom Metazoa; phylum Chordata; class Mammalia; order Primates; family Hominidae; genus Homo; species Homo sapiens. The sequence goes on from NC_000008.11 coordinate 52,126,659, forward strand.
TTTGGTTATGGGAATGTTTTTAATTTTTTTCTTTAACTTTTACAACATTTTTCATTAAAAAATTCTCTACCCTGGAAGGAGAATAAGAGGAGCTGCCACAAGTGTATTCAGATGCAATCACTGCAGAGGCAGTCTATTACATTGCAGTGGTGTTTATAACCCTTCCATTTAGTAGTGGCACTCTTCAGCAGGGTTTCTTTCCCTTAATGTCATCTGTTTTATTTAAATTGCACCAGCATGATAAATGACAACATTGAAGAAAACTTGTTTTTCAACGTTTATGATCAGATAATTTTGTTGTTCTATCCAGCCATTAATTCTTTTGCAATCTTGCTGTGTTTTCGTAGAAACAATTTTTAGATCAAAATAGTGATGATCATAATCAGTCATTTAAAGTCTTTTTTTCTGCAGAAAGTTAGTTACAACTCATCTGTAAAGAAATCATTTCACTCTGAAGCTTGGGACATTTGGCAGGGTGAAAGAAAATATTTCTGAAGAAAAGCCCTTAATAAATGTGTGCTTAATTACTGTATTTTTTCAAGAATGCTAATTATTCTACACTAAGAGTCTATGAAATATAGAAAATAATAGACATATACTATTACATATATAGAAAAGGCTATGCAGTTTGCCTAATTTGATAAGCTATAGATTTTTCTACACAGAAAAAGAAAATAATGAAAAGCACAAACTCAACTTGGAAACTGTGTCTTCTATTTTCAGAAGCTTCTCACTGTCAACTGTGGCCTATAAAAGTTTCATTATCTGTTTTATGGGAAGTTTGCATGTCTGTCTTGTTTTATGTCACATATTGTATTCTGAGAAAATAATCATGAATATTTATTTGGTAAACTGGATATTTAAAGGTGACCTTCAGTGAGTCCATTTGTAACATAATGGATATTAATACCTCATTAGAACTTCTCTCATCCTCACCCTTAAAGGATCTACTCTGTGCAGACAACATGCCAGAGAACTTTCAGGGTGACACAGTGTTGTGGAAAAGTTAATGAAGCGTCCATCCATAATTACATGACTTAGAAGCAAAGAATATAGTTATGAAAGAGAGGCTTTGCTTCCAAAATGCCACTTGATTTTGTGTCTTCCAATGTAGAGATTTAATATCTTCCAGGATGTAAAATGAATCTTAAATTAAAAAAAAAAAAAGGGCAGGAAAAATATTTTAGAAGTCCTTTTTCCTTTTGAAGGCAGATTTTAAGAGGCTGAGGTATTTGGCTCCATACTGGAAAGGCAGAAAAAAACGTGCCTTATATGGTTTTGACCAAAATTACCATTCTATTATGACATATTAAGGGATTTTTTTTTTTTGAGGCGGGGTCTCACCAAGCCACCCAGGCTGAAGTGCGCTGGCACAATTTGGCTCACTGCAACCTCCACCTCCTGGGCTCAAGAAATTCTCCTGCCTCAGCCTCCCAAGTAGCTGGGATTATAGGTGCACACCACCACACCTGGCTAATTTTTGTATTTTTAGTAGAGACGGGGTTTCACCATATTGGCCAGGCTGGACTCGAACTCCTGACAGCAAGTGATCTGCCCGCCTTGGCCTCCCAAAGTGCTGGGATTACAGGCGTGATCCACGGTGCCCAGCTGCAATTTTAAATTATATCTTCATCTGCCTTCTTAAAGCAAAATGGCAGGTGATACAATGTATCTCGTGAACATAATTGCTTACAATATATTATTACTAAGTTTCAATAAAATCACAAAGATATGGCATAGCACTAAATGAGTTCTGTCAATCACAGGACTTCTGATTTTAAAGCTACAAACATCCATAATTGTGTGTGTGTTTTAATATATCACTTGTCTTCTCAGATTGCTATTTTTTTCAAAGGGAAAATTTTGTCACATAGAGATTTAAAGCAAGGTTTGAAGGTAGTTATTATATAAATATAATATGGATATAGTGTGTGGGTCAAATTGTTCTTAAACGTCCTACAAAGTGTGTTTTGTAATGATTCCCATTTTGGTTGAGAAAAGTCTATGCACTAGTGCCTGTGACACCTCAGCTTGGTGCCTGGCCCATGGTGAGGACCCATCATTAAACCTTAGGGGAAGTGGGGTGACACTGGCTTTCACGTGCCAACCTGTATTCAAAGCAATTCCATAACTTTCCTGTGCTTGTTTCATCTTCTGTCAACTGAGGATAATTATAATAACTATAGCTCACAGGGTTTTGCAAAGTTTTAAAGGAATAAACTGTACAAGTTACTTATAAGGGTGCTGTCTGTGGGCAAGAACCCTGAATACATGTCAGCTATTACTAGGTAACAAGTGATGGGAAAGAAATTGAACAATCTCAGAGATTTCAGATTCAAAATATGTAACATATAAAAGCCAGTTGTGAGTTATATTCCAAGTCATGTAAGTCATCCTGCATATATATACATATAGGCTTAATATTATCTTCACAAACAGGAAAGAAGATCATCTGTGTTGAACCCCTACTGCGTGCCAGGCATAAGCGAGGCGTTTTGCCATATTATTCCATTAAATTCTACATAGGCCAGGCACGGTGGCTCATACCTGTAATCTCAGCACTTTGGGAGGCTGAGGCAGGCAGATCATTTGAGTTCAGGAGTTTGAGAACAGCCTGACCAACATGGTGAAACCCCGTCTCTACCAAAAATACAACAAATTAGCTGGGTATAGTGGTCCCAGCTACTTGGGAGGCTGAGGCAGAAAAATCGCTTGAACCTGGGAGGCGGAGGTTGCAGTGAGCTGAGATCACACCACTGCACTCCAGTCTGGGTGACAGAGTGAGACTCCATCAAAAAAAAAAAAAAAAAAAAAAGAAAGAAATTCCACACACAGAAAGGAGAGAGCATTCCACCTTAAAGAGAATACCCCACATTAACTACAGTCTCTTAAGTATTTGAAATCACAAGAGAAATTCAATTCCATTAAATTCTACACATAGAAAAGAAAGAGTATTCCACCTTAAAGAGGATACCCCAAATTAAATCCAATTTCTTAAATATTTTAAATTGCAAGAGAACTTTCGAGTCAAGAATGCTGAAATCTGAATTACCTTTGTCTAAATTCTTCACTGCTTCCCATCTCCTAGAAAATAATAACTTGGAGGCTGGGTGTGGTGGCCCATGCCTGTAATTCCAGCACTTTGGGAGGCCAAGGTGGGCAGATCACCTGAGGTCAGGAGTTCGAGACCAGCCTGACCAACATGGCAAAACCCTGTCTCTACTAAAAATACAAAAATTAGCCTGGTGTGGTGGCATGCACCTGTAGTCCCAGCCACTCAGGAGGCTGAGGCAGAAGAATCATTTGAACTGGGGAGGCAGAGGTTGCAGTGAGCCGAGGTCGAGCCCACTGCACTCCAGCATGGGCGACAGAGTGAGACTCTGTTTCAAAAAAGAAAGAAAGAAAGAGAGAGAGAGAGAGAGAGAGAAAGAAAGAAAAAGAAAGAAAGAAAGAAAGAAAGAAAAGAAAGAAAGAAAGAAAGAAAGAAAGAAAGAAAGAAAGAAAGAAAAAGAAAAGAAAATAGTACCTTGGCATTAATATTGCAGCCTATATTTTTGAAATCAGAATTTTCTTTTTGTTATTATGAAATACATAATATGTAAACAGGAACCTATGATGTGTATTTGCAGTTAAAAGAATATTCTATTTTTAGAGATGGGGTCTTGTTCTGTCACCAGGCTTGAGTGCAGTGGAGCAATCACAGCTCACTGCAGCCTCAAACTCCCAGGCTTAAGCAATCGTCCTGCCTCAGCCTCCTGAGTAGCTGGGACCACAGGCATGTACCACCATCAATAAGCACTACTTATTTACCCACTCCACTGTTAGTGGGCACCAAGGTTGTTTCCAGTCTGGAGTTAGTAGAGCAACACTGCTCAGATGTGGTCAGACAGATCTCCGGGTTCTCATATGCAGAGATCCTCCGGGCATAAGTCTGAGTGTGTGCTGGGGCAAGTGCATTTGTTGTTTTCAAATTGACTCTTTAAAGATAATTTGCTTCTTAAAGTGGCACTATCAGTTGCTTTGCCACCTACAGAGTATGGGAGTATCTGTTGCTCCATATCCTCACCAAGCCTTGGCATCATCATTTAAAACTTCTTCACAAGTTTTAAAGATAACTTCATTATTGCTAACTGAGGGATGTGCTCACCACAGTACAGCATTAATATTTCATTAGCAGTATCAACATGGATATTACTGAGGTCATTACAAGGAATTCAAGCTATTGTACAGTAAATGTGCCATTAGGCATACTTGATTTGTGACTGAAGTTCCTGAATATGAAATAATAATTCAAATTCAGAATAAAATAATGTGTGCTATTGTGGACATAAGTCTACATTTGAAAACCATCAAAAAATAAACCACTGGAAAAAGTCAAGTTTTCTCCATAAACAGGTTTTACTGAATATTTAAATATCTTTAAACAAGCAATTCCTGGAAGGCTTTATTTTCTGATATCATCCGTATATAACTTTAGAACTGAGCAAAATCTCAAAAAGCCCCAATTTTGCTCAATGTTTACACTGCTTATATACAAAACATTAACGGTTTCCTAAAGCTTCATTGGATTTTAAACCAGCATCATGTACAGTGGCCCAAAAGACAAGACAGGACCCCCTGTAGGGAGAAATATGTAGGGAAGCTTCTAATCTTTCCCTTTAGGTGGAATGTGAACCAAAAAGCTGGACAAAGATCACTGTTGCCCAAGAAAGGGCTTGGTTGAATGCATGACACTCGGTGGTAAAGGAATTCAGTCACTGGGAAGCTATAAAAGGGTTTCTAGATCTCCTGTATCCTGCTGCACACTTTGCAGTCACTGTGTCATTTTCTTTCTGGCTGCTGCGGATGAGTCACATCCTCCCAGTAGCAAAATAACTACAATTTTGCCCCCAAATTGAGCCAGTCCATAAGACAGAGGGAATGCTATAAATATGTAAAGTAAAAGTTTGCAATTACATAACATAATAGAATAGATATCACCACTTGGAACTGAAGTAAACCATTAAATGACTGAACCGTTAAGAAATAGCAGCCTAAGCAATATTTTAGAATACAAATAAAACCAACTGTACATTTTCTAGAGCACTTGAAAACTGTGTAGTAATTTTAAGAAATAGAGAGAATAACATTTTTCATTCTTCATGCTCATCCAGTATCTATACAGCAAGACTTCATGTTATGACATCTCAACTGCTACAGTGAACAACCTTTAGGGGGTTGTTCACAACCCTCTCCCCAAGGCAGCCTAGGCGACAACCGATCACAACACTACAACAAAAAGACAGAAAACTCATGTTACCTTCGGTGGGTGACAAAAACATTATTTACATGGCCCAGCCCATTGCAGCCTGGCAAGGGACAATGTGGTAGCTCTTGTTTGTTCAGTTTCCAGGAGAGGGAGGCTCCATTGAGAGGATTCTCCTTCTGTCTCTTGGCAGCCAGAGGACAGCCAGAAGCTGTGCGGTGTGATGTGTATTTACCTGATATGTGACCTTGGCCATCACACCCTATCACAGGACATCTAGAGAGAAAGCAGAGACATTACCAGCCAGGAAGAAGGCAGTGATAGTCCTATGCTCTCCAGAGAACAAACCATGCAATTATAGAGTTTTAATAAAAGATGCCACCATAACTAGCAAAACAGCATTGCATAAACAGGCTCAGAGCTACGCGATTTTCATGCATTATCTCACTTAATATTCACTACAATCTACTGGGTAGAGAGTATTATTATCCCATTTTGTAGATGAGGAATAATGAAGCTTAGAGAGCTCAGGTAACCTGCCGCCCATTTTATAAGAAGTGGAGCCAAGTTCATGCCCACACTTTTTAGGTCTAGAGCCAACCACATAAGGACTATGTTATGTTGCTTCCGAAGACCAAAGGTATAACATGTTAACTGCCTTAACAGACGCTGCATAGCACATTACTCATAGAACTGGAATTTGAGTTTCTAAATGTTTAAATATTGCATTTAGAACTGTTGTTGAGAAAACAACTTAATCTATATCTGCATATATCATCCATGACCTTTCTTAGAGGAAGGAATTCAATTTAGATATAATTTCACCTTAAGCAAAATTAAAGTTTCGGGGGAAAATGCTGCCATATTTATCATTGTATAGTACTTCCACAATAATACTTTCCTTTAAAACAATTGAGAAATGTATGAAACTGTTACTTTTTAAAACAATCTTTTGCATTATCAAAGAGCTGTGGAAGTGTAGATATAAATTGGAAACTTTTCTCAAACCACCAAATAGTTTGACTCTTGCTTATATTTAATAGGGTACACCTTCCCTGAAACTCAATCCGTGTTCAATTGCATCCCAACCAAGTTCCCTCCCATTTTACCAACAAGAGACAGCTGACCCCCATGTCTCAACTGTTGCACTTACTTCAGTTCAGGGTCTTCTTTTTCTTCCTTGGTAGGGGTCATTTTGACACCACCTTTCCTTGCACGAGGGCATCCGGACAAGCTGAAATAGGGACCCGACAAAGAACAAAGCAAAATTATGTGATCTCTCTGACTGCTGCCGACAAGCTCATTTCCACATCTCAGAAATAAGATCAATCCTACCTTCTGTGGGAAGCATAGTTTCCAGTCACGTGCCCCGAGCCATCGCAGCCTGGGGTTGGACACCTGGAAGGCACAGGAAGAGAGCATGGGCTGAGAAGTTGTAGTTGGGGGAGTGGGGGTCACACTCAAGTTATTTAGGTTCTTCAGTAATCACATTAATGTTCCAAGTCTCTGTAGTTCACGTGGAGGGAGGCGGGGTCACACAGCCAAATGTAACTAAAAACAAAGAGCTGCTTTCTGTGTGAGACTGTTTTTGCTTAAATATAATTATCTTTTGGTTAATAATCAATTTAAATATTTTTAAGGATATATGACTACTGAGTGACAATGGATTAGTTGTTGTTTATTGTACATTCTTTTTTTTTTAACCTCATATAGAAGGGACTTGAAAATCAGTCCACAACTTATTGCTGGGCTTCTGTCTACATCATGCAAAGTTCTTACCTTTTATGTAAAAAGAAAAGTTTTCCAAATTATTATTATTATTATTATTATTATTATTGTTATTATTGAGACAAAGTCTCGCTCTGTGGCCAGGCTGGAGTGCAATGCTGCGATCTTGGCTTACTGCAACCTCCAACTCCCAGGTTCAAGTGATTCTCCTGCCTCAGCCTCCCGAGTAGCTGGGATTATAGGCACATGCCTCCATGCCCACCTAATTTTTGTATTTTTAGTAGAGACAGGGTTTCACCATGTTGGCCAGGCTGATCTCAAACTCCTGACCTCAGGTGATCTGCCCGTCTCGGCCTCCCAAAGCTCTGGGATTACAGGCGTGAGCCACTGTGCCCCGCCTCCAAATGATTTTTATGAATAATTTATTTTCTCTGATATGCTGTGCGACTATGATAATCCATAGATTTCAGATGAACAACAGTGATACACGTGAACTGCAGAGACTTGGAACATTTATGGGATTATCAAAGAACCTCAATAATTTGCACCTGGTCTGTCCTGCTTCATGGCCCAAGTCAAACAGTCTTTGGGGGAAAATCCATCAATAACTACACCAACAATCAACCATTAAATTTGGAATGAGAAAAGTGAAAGATGACAGGGAATCCAATTTCTACTAGGAATGCTGATTAGGAATAGGTTTCAAAATATTCTTAAATATAAAATTTTACGCAGACTTTCACCTTTTTGCTGTCTTTTTAGAAAATCCCCAATACAAACAAAAACTAGAGGCCATCACAAAATACTTGCTTTTCTGAATGCACACTGTGGTTCACATCAAATTTCCATTTGAGAAAAACAATAATCCAAAGAAAAATGTGTTTACTATCCCTTTCCTTACATTCCATTCCCCTGAACTTTCACAGAATGCATTTATATTCAAGCCTGAGTCAGAAAATAGGGAACAAATTGCCTTTTTTTTTTCTTTTTTCAAATGTAATATAAAATGAGCATGCATCTCTTCTGGCTAACCAGAGCAACCTGCATTGAGTCTTTTATCAACCATTTAAAGACATAATATGTATCTTCCATTATAAGAAAGTTTTACATGCTGGTCTTTTTCTATTAACATTTTTTAGTAAAAAAGTGGTTTTATAGCATATTGATTGGAAATATCTGTGCTGAGTAACCGTTCGTTTTGGGGCATTCTCCATGAATATCTAAACAAGAGGTCAATAAAATGTCTCTTTGATTTTTCTTGCATGGAAGAAATTTTCTTGTATGGAAAAAACATATCTATGGAAAAAACCAAAGACATTACTTATTAGATAGCTGTATAAAAATATTAAATAATGAATATTCCTATAGGATCTCTCAATTTACATGTTTTCAGTGTATTACCAACATTTTTCTAGAAGCAAGTTTTAGAGAAAATATTTAAGAGACCCAATAGCTATAATTAAGATGTGGCAATGTAGAAGTTTAGAGCAATTCAGTAAGATGTTTTGGTACATCTCACTTTTCACTCTGTTAATTATTAGTCTCTACTTACTACTTATATTTTAGTCTAGAAAAATGCCAGTCAATAAAATGACTTCTAAAATCCACACTGACAAAGTAAATTGCACCTTACACTGAAAATGAGAAAAGTGGCCAGGCACGGTGGCTCATATAATCCCAGCACTTTAGGAGGCCGAGGCGGGCAGATCACCTGGGGTCAGGAGTTTGAGACCAGCCTGGCCAACATGGTGAAACAGTGTCTCTACTAAAAATACAAAAAGCACTCAGGCATGGTTGTGCATGCCTGTAATCCCAGCTACTCAGGAGGCTGAGACAGGCAATCGCTTGAACCTGGGAGGCGGAGGTTGCAGTGAGCCGAGACTGTGCCGTTGCACTCCAGCCTGGGCACCTGGGCAACAAGACCGAAACTCCATCTCAAAAAAAAAAAAAAAAAAAAAAAGAAAGAAAGAAAAAAGGAAAAAAGACAGAAAATGAGAAAAGTATATTTCACAGTTTATTTTACTACTTTTGGTACTAAGATTCCAAATTTTCATATCTGTCCATTATCACATCTTCTTTCATAAACTTAGTTTTTAAAATTTTTAGATAAAAAAATTTTAAACAGCTTAAAAAAGTGAAGGACTAACAAAATACTAAGAAAATATAATACGTGAAATGTTACATGTGTTTTAGACACCAAACGCTGATGCTGCTGTCTACGCATATTGTTTTACCAGTAGATGTAGTAATACTCATTTTTTCTAAAGCTTTATTATTTGTAAAAAGATGTAATTAGTTTTGTTTAATCCTATTTCTTTATCTTTTAAAATTTATGCCCTATCATATTTTTAAGGACTAAAAGGTAGACTATAAATGTTTATTGTTCTATACGTAATATAATAAGATATGAAAATAAACAAATGAGAACTTTGTATTAAAAGAAGATGAGCAGGAAAAATGAAATCACAAAGTAAAAGTTAATACACATGTGACTTTGAGATCTTGTAGGTGAGGCAGGAATGAGCCCAAACTCTTGGTTTGGGTGTTTTTGGCACCCAAGAGTGAAAGGCAGTTGTACGAATCAAAATACCCAGCAGGTTAAGGATTATGCAATTTCTTTAAAATTAAATGGCAGGTATGCTTTGAGACTCCTTCACAGGTCTGATTTAATACATAGACTGTGAAATTTACAGAAAAAAGTATTGTGTTAACTATTACATCACACTTTTAAAAATTATTATAAAATACAAAGCCCCGGAAGCAAGCAAATTAACTAAATTAAATTACAGTGATTTTGTTTCAGTCATCCCAGCGCTTTAGTCAGAAAGTGCCTTTGCTGTGATCCTGGCAGGCAGGACATACTGCTTGTTGCTGATCACTTGGGCAATGAATGGGCACTGAACGAGAGGGTCCTACCGTGTGGATGAAGGGCAAGCCGGCCACGCTTCCCGCACTTACTTAAGCTCCTGAGAGTTGGCAGCCATGAGGGATTTTAGAGTCTTATCTGCTAAAGGACATCCAGAAACACTAGAGAGGGATGAGGAAAAAAACACAACACAACACTGACATATACAAATCTGAGTCAAATGGCATCCTGAGTCGTGAACATACGTTAAATTATTGGTGACTGGGGATTGGGAAAAAAAAATAACTGGCTTTGAATCTGGCTTTGCTCTTCTCGCCAGTCTGGGCTGGTGGCACTTCAACTATTTCTCATAGACTCAGATTTTCTGTTTATCAAATGAATGACTTTAGCCCAATGAGACCCCCCAACTCTAAAGCTCAGGGATGCAATGATCACCCACACACAGAGTCCATTCCTGCTGCACAGCCAGGTGATGGTGCTTTTCCAAGAGAAGACAAATCCCATCAATGGAGATGGTGAGTAGAAAGATTAAAGCAACTCCTTTGCACTGTTTAATCTCTCAAATGCTTCAATTTGTTATTTGCCCAGGATTGAGGGTATTACTTTTCCTCGGGCAAATGGTCGATTTGAGTCACTGTTGTATTTATTCCTCATTCCACATGAGTCCTCAAGCCACACAGAACCGAAGCCTGACATGAGCTCAACTTTTCACTTATAACCTGGACTACAGGATCAGAAAACCATTTTGACCAAGAATCATGATTTTTATATCACATAATTTTATTTCTGAAAAAGAAAATAAACCAAAAACCCAACCAACTCATTTCCTGCTTCAGATAATACATGGATAGAAAGGGTGAGAATAAGTATTTAAAATAGAACAAGACCATGAAAATCTGACTGCACATGAGGTCATTGGGTACCTGCGATGAGATGCATAGTTTCCTGTCACGTGGCCACTTCCATCACATCCTGGTGTTGGACAGCTGAGTCAATAGAAAATACATCATTAGAGTCAAGCGCATTTCCCAGGTTCATTTCCTCTGCCCAGTAGATTACGGAGGAGGTAGCTTCTCTGTGCGAGATAAGTTAACACAGTATAGGACATGCAGAAGCTAGTGTACCAAGGATTTATATTATATAAGAACCAGTGGACTACCTGAAAGAAAACTAAAAATCATAGCATGATGAGTTACTTCCTTAGGTACCTGTTTCAACATCACATTCGATTATTTGATTCCATTGATGTGGGAAAGTGATGTCCTTGTGATGTTGTCAGTTAGCAATCAAAGATGTTTTAATTCATTTGAAAAATGTATATGTTGCCGGGCATGGTGGCTCACGCCTGTAATCCCAGCACTTGGGAGGCCAAGGCAGGTGGATCACCTGAGGTTGGGAGTTCGAGACCAGCCTGACCAACATGGAGAAACCCCATCTCTTCTAAAAATACAAAATTAGCCAGGCATGGTGGTGCATGCCTGTAATCCCAGCTACTCGGAGGCTGAGGCAGGAGAATCGGCTGAACTCAGGAGGCGGACATTGTGGTGAGCCGAGATTGCACCATTGCACTGGGCAACAAGAGTAAAACTCTGTCTCAAAAAAAAAAAAAAAAAAGAAAAGAAAAAGAAAAATACATATGTTATAAAAAATAAATATTAGAAACCCATGCTTTACTATGATAGCAGATCTTAGGAACACCAGCACCCATTATATGACATATTCCAGAAAGAAATTTTTGTGAGTTTTTAAGAGCAAGGCAACCTAGTAACTTTATAAACATTTTAGAAACCACTGAAAATCTTTGACTAATTAGCGAAGACAATTGCTAATTCACCATTAGCCTAAGAATAGGCTCTCAGGCCATCTGCCAAGAATCTCACTCCATTAAGATGTGTGCCCCTGCATTTCATTTTATCTCTGAACCTGGTCATGTCCTGTCCACCTTATGTGTGTTGTAAAAATAATATAATCAGCTACTCAGGAAACTGAGGCAGGAGGATTGCTTGAGCCTAGGAGTTCGAGCCTGCAGTGAGCTATGATTGTGCTACTGCACTCCAGCCTTGGTGACAAAGTGAGACCCCATCTCTAAAATAATAATAATCATGTAAGAAGGTAGTTAGTTATCCTTAGCAGTTTTCTTCCACAATTAATAGATTCCTTGGTTTCTCAGTCATTTAGTTTCCTCTGATGGTGTTTGAAAGTCACTCATTTGTAATAAGCAGGTGGACCCCAGCCTACTCAGTGTTATTTGCGGTGGTGTCAGTTATTAGAGGGGAACATCAACTACACCAGTCACGCATCTGATCTTTTTTTGACATCCTGCCTAAAGCGAGGACTTATCCAGATATACAGAATACATGTTTTAGCCTTTTGAAGGGACATTTTGGGATAAACTAACGCTATTCCTATATTTTCTGAGTTATCACTTTCTAAGTATTTTTCTTCCTGTGATCCACTTTCCAATCATTTTCAGGTATCTAAAGAAACTATAAGAGTTAGAGCATTCCCATCTTTCAAAGGAATGTTTGATTTTCAGGGTCTGATCCAAGCTAAGTCATCTATCTCCTTTCCCCATCCCTTTTCCTGGATAAGATAACAGAAAAAAAACTATAAAAGCTATAAATATATGTTAAAAAGTAAAGACAAAAACCAGTTATTAACATTTCGGCTGAGTTATCTTGCAAGTGCCATTCACTCACTAAATGTAAAAAAATCTTTTCTGAACATTATACAACTGGAGTATTCAGAGTGAGAGGTGTTTCAATTGCCTGGGAATTCCCACTTTAGAAATACATCGCCATTTAGTGTTACAAACAGCATTGCATTATATATATATATATATATATACACACAATTTTTTATTTTTTATTTTTTTTGAGACAGAGTCTCGCTTTGTCGCTCAGGCTGGAGTACAGTGGCGCAATCTCGGCTCACTGCAAACTTCGCCTCCTGGGCTCAAGCGATTCTCCTGCCTCAGCCTCCCGAATAGCTTGGATTACAGGCGTGTACCACCATGCCCGACTAATTTTTGTGTTTTTAGTAGAGACGGGGTTTCACCATTTTGGTCAGGCTGGTTTCGAACTCCTGACCTCAGGTGATCTGCCTGCTTCGGCCTCCCAAAGTGCTGGGATTACAGGCATGAGCCACCGCGCCCGGCCTATTTTATATTTTTAAATTACTCCGATTAATATTGCCAGGAGAAGCCAAGAAGTGCCAGAGGTTTTTAAACATCAGCTATAAATTACCTATAAAATATGATAATGAAATATGCATTCAATTAGCTGATAATTTATTTTTAAGTTTGGTTGTATTAAAAGGTCAAGAAATAAAGAACTGGAGACAACATTATACGGGGGAAAGTTGCAGTTTGGAATTTTGATAGCTAGACTAAATTCCGAATCTACAGTGAAAAATTTTACATAATGACATGTGCCAATATTAGTTGGGTGATACATTTGTTTTCAGATGAAAATACAAAAACTGGAAGAAAGAAACTAGCTAGTTTTCTCAGTAAGTGGCACTGAAACCGTAAGGAAATTCTAAGATAATTAGTGACATCCAAAAAGTCCTAATCTAGACAAAGTTTTTGGTAAGCAATCAAGGTACTGTTAGAAACACAAAGCAAAATATAATAAGGACAGGGTGACATGGAATGTAGTATGACTTTTACAAGACAAATATACCAACTCAGACACATGCAAATAAGTGATATCCATCAAAGCACTCACCCTGTCTAATATGCATGAATTAGACTGGGCGTGGTGGCTCACGCCTGTAATTCCAGCACTTTGGGAGGCTGAGATGGGTGGATCACCTGAGGTCAGGAGTTTGAGACCAGCCTGGCCAACATGGCGAAACCCTGTCTCTACTAAAAATACAAAAATTAGCCGGGTGTGGTGGTGGGCGCCTGTAATCCCAGCTGCCTGGGAGGTTGAGGTGGGAGATTGAACTGGGAGGTGGAGCTTGCAGTGAGCCGAGAACGCACCACTGAACTCCAGCCTGGGCAACAGAGCGGGACCCCATCTCAAAATAAATAGATAGATGATAGATGATAGATAGATAGATAGATAGATAGATAGATAGATAGATAGATAGATAAAATGGATGAACTAAGAGGCCTCTGAGAGAGTAATTTCTTAAGAATTTTTGGAATGATTATATTCCAAAAATCATTCAATATCTTTTTGAAATCCTTCCTCTTTTAAATTTACCCTCATACCATGGAGAAGTGCCCTTTGCAAAATAATCATGCTTCATTTTTCTGATCCAAAATGGTATTGCAGGTTAATTTTCAATCATTTACACTACATTTAGTTTGGGATGACTTTTAGCAATTTCCAACAATCTACCTTCAAAGGATAAAATTTTGCCATTTTTGAAGATATTAAAAATAACACATGAAAAAAATACATACAAAGATGAAAAGTTTCAAACAGCAGGTCCATGTGGGAAAAGGTGTCTGGCTGGCCTAAGTGGCTTCTAAGAAGTTTCTAAGAAGTTAGAAGTGACTTCTAAGGTCTCAAGTCACTGAACCTGAAACAGTGTTCAAGCCGATTTAAGTTCCAGCATGTTTGGAACCATCCGTTGTATCCGTCAACCACCAAGCCTCAGGTGGACATCAAGTTTACAAGGGAGAATGCTATTTCAGCCAGTAATGTTTGCCTACAAAATCCTTTGAGAATGCAAAGTCTAAGCTTATTTTAAAGTCGCTCACATACCAGTAGGGCAAACTGATGACGGACTCGGAATAATTTTTACTGAACACCTACTATGTGCAAGGCCCTGTTCTTGGCACCAGCATTTGAAATGCATTCCCTGCTCCCAAGTCACTGTCCATGTAGGTGGGGAAATAAGAGGCAGCACAGTGCATATTATGCACCAATGGTGTGGACAAGGTACAGAAGAGGAAATAAGGGGAAATAAGAGGTTGCATAGTAAATATTATGCATCAATGACGCGGACAAGGTAGAGAGCAAAGACGGAGGAGAGAAGACCTCCCGTCCCCACTTTGTGCCCTCTGAGGCTTTGTTCTTGGTAAAGGAGGCAGAAAATAGAGAGTGGAGGGAAGTGAAGAAAAGATCTGGGAATGGGAGCATCAGGGCTGAGGGTGGGGAAGCACAGTAGCCTGAAGGCCTCTCACATAAGTGATTGAGAGAAGAGCTGCGCTGAGGGAGGAGAGGATGTGGGCCCTGCAGAAGCCTTGGGGACAGCATTCTGGGCAGAGGGAACAGCAACCCTAAGGCCCTGCCTAATTCCTAGAGAGCTTAGGAGAAGCAAGAAGCCCAGAGTGGGAGGCTGGGGGATGGGAGCACTCACTGCCCCTGTGGGGTGGTGGGTGGGCATCTGGAGGTCACAGCGGGGTGGCAGCCAAGGAGTCCACAGCAGGAGTAAGTGCAGATAGCAGGAAGAAAGGGTCCCAGGACGGAGATCAGAGGCACCGCGCTCTTTAGAAGGCTACACATGAGTCTAGAAGGGCTAGCAGTGAGATGAGGGAAGAGTCCAGAGGTGAGGCATCCTAGAGGCCAAGTGTAGACAATGGATTGTGGAGGAGGGAGATCAGCTCTGTGGCATCCTGCTGCCTGTCAAGTAGGAACAGGAGGCTCCAGGACCAAGTTTCTGACAGGGGAAGGGGATGCCGAGGGAAGGGAGGTCCCTGGAGATCGGTCTGGGAAAGATTCAGGAGGGAAACTGCATCACACAGTAGCAACAACTTTCTTGATACGTTCAGCTGGAAAAGGAAGGGGAGACAGAGAATCCAGGTGGAAGCTGGGTCAGGAGAGGTTTTTACAGTTTTTTTTTGGAAAAGTTTAAACATATTTTTTGATGAGGGATACAGAAGAGAGGGTACAGTCCTGATTCCTAAGTGGACGCGTTACTCCTTGCTGTAAACTCTCATTAACTGGCAGCTTTAAATAGATTTATATATGAGTAGACTTGATTAATATTTAATCACTTACACATGGGAAACAGTTTCCTGCATTTGATTCACTCATTCACCCGCTAGTACATAACTCGTACTTACTGCCTTCGGGTACCCTGCTCTTTAACCTCTTCTGGGCCTCAGAACCCCTTTGAAAATGTGATGAAAACCAATAACTCCCTTGCCCAAATAACAATTTGCATCAAGTGTTAGAAGGTTAGTAGAGTCCCAGAAGACAACCCTTAGATCTGGAGGTAAATGGTTATCAGTTTAAGAAGCATTTCTAATTGTGTTATCTTATTTTGTTTTTTAATCAACAGGCTTTTAATTCTGTTAGCATAAGATCATGTACACCCTCTTAGCTCAGGTTAGATGCGTGTTTAACGTTTAACTGCTGACTGGTAGAAATCACCCTAACATCAACTGTATAAGCCAGGATATTGTAACTTTAAGTCATGAACTTGAATCTTCATTCCAGAATCTTAGAGGGCATGGCATTGGGCACCACTTACGTGATTAGTTCCTTTTTGAGATCTCTTGCAT
The DNA here is from genome assembly GCF_000001405.40 of Homo sapiens. Taxonomy (NCBI): domain Eukaryota; kingdom Metazoa; phylum Chordata; class Mammalia; order Primates; family Hominidae; genus Homo; species Homo sapiens. The sequence continues at coordinate 52,142,961 of NC_000008.11, forward strand.
GAAGCTTGGGTTTAGGGCTTGGTATAGAGGCCTCTCCAGGAAACTTTTTTTCCTCTAAATTTTCTAGAGAGCTCACTGGGTCTTTCTGGAAAACAAACAAAAAACAAACAAAACACAGAAGCCATTAGGGAACCCTGGAAAGACAACTAGATTTAAAATCATTGAAGCCAGGTTTGAGTTTTGGCTTTGGACTTGGACTTGGCTGAAATACCTTAGAGGATTTGCATAAGAAATAAATAATATAGGCCAGGCGAGGTGGCTGATGCCTGTAATCCTTGGCCTTTGGGAAGCCGAGGCAGGCGGATCACGAGGTCAAGAGATTGAGACCATCCTGGCCAACATGGTGAAATCCCGTCTCTACCAAAAATACAAAAATTTGCTGGACGCTGTGGTGCGTGCCTGTAGTCCCAGTTACTCAGGAGGTTGAGGCAGGAGAATTGCGTGAACCCGGGAAGCGGGGGTTACAGTGAGCCGAGATGGCTCCACTGCACTCCAGCCTGGCGACAGAGCAAGACTCCGTCTCAAAAAAAAAGAAAAGAAAAGAAATAAATGAGATAATAAGAATATGTCCTGGTTGTTACAGATCTTTATCCTAAGTGAAGAATGAAAAAGTGTAATTGATATGGAACACCTTTCAAAAGTTCACATTTTGGCAAATATGATTACAGAGGTAGGTATTTCTTGACCCATGTAATTAATATTTTAGTATATTTCAAGGTTTCTTGTATTAGGAATGCTCCCTAGAGAGCACAGGAATTGTTTATATGTCCAGCAGTCATAACAGCAGTAAAACCAAAGAAATATTGCAAAAATGAATCACACAAACTTTTAGACAGAAAAGGGGGAATTTTTGGTTAACGGAATGCCCTTTCTAATGTACAGGTAATTAAGATCTAAATTATTTGTTTAAATATGTAATAACTGAGGCTAAATTAAATTTAGGCATTTAATTTGATCTTTCTGGATAATTGCTTTTATTTTTATATTACTTCCTGTTTTTCTGAAATTACTTCTTTTGCTAAATGGGTATCTTGTAGCACTTTCACTCCTGGATGGAATTTCTTGTTGGATATTCCTAATTTTCATGCCCTTCTCTTAAGTTTAATACTGACCTTGATTTCATAAAGAAGATTCACTAATCCTATCAAACAATTTATTTACCAAGTGATGTATTATTTCACAGATAACAAATGATGGTTTTTCTCAATCACATAATTAGCTTACTTTCATCATTGATCTTGTATCTGGTAAATATAATACTTTCTGGTTTTAATATTAAAATCAGATGAACTAATAAAAAAAACTGTCTTCTAAATCTCAAAAGTACTGATGTACTTAAGGTAAGTAAACTATTTTGAATCGTTCAAAATAATTTTTTTAAATTAAATGAATATAAAAATACTATAGCAAAATATAATTTTAGTAATTCTGAGTCTATATTCAAAAGCAATATGAAAAAAACAAAATTCCTGGATTTTCCCAGCCAAAGAAAAATTCTAAATGCCGATCTCAGTCATCAAGGCAAATGTAATTTTTTTCATTAATTACTTGGCTAACAATTCAATCAATTATTTCACACAAGAGCATACTGTAGTAAATACATTGGTACACTGTCTCAAGTGACATTGTCTTCAGATTACATTAATGAAACCTGATTTAGTACAATTTATCCATATTATTGATGGTATTAAGTGTTTCATTTTGTTTTACTGGTAAATGTTTGAAAACAGAAGCCGATAAAAAGACAGGATTTTAAAATAAAGAGAAATGTATGCTTGATAATAATTCCACACTAGGATGCAAAGAGAAGTGCTAGTTTAATGCTGCCTCCATGGGATCCACAGCAAAATAGATGATTAACACTTACCTTTCAAAGTTTTATGCTGTAAATGGCTAAAATGAAAAAATTCCAAATTTTAAGGCCTTAAACCTGATAATTCCGCCATCTACTTTATTTAGTCCTATCTGGATTTGGCCTGAGTAGTATTTTCCACTATAATTTAGAAATGTCTTGGCTTTTTGAAAGTAGATACAATTGCTAAATCTGATATTGTCTCAATGTGGAACAGCCTTTGTTTTTCTGTTTAGATGCTGATTTTTTTTTTTTTTTAACGAAAACGGCATAAAGTAAAAAGAGCCATTTTATTATTTATGGCAAAGTTATGAACAAAGTCTCTCTAAGAAGACATGTATATTTACAGATTACCACAAGTTTCTAGCTGTTGTTTTAGGGCTGAATCTATAATTATGGAAGGCAAGAGAATGGGGAATTTTGAAAGAAATAATCAATTATGAAAGTTTAAGTTATTTTACTAAATAATATAAACATAAAGCTTGCAGGATATATGTTATTTATTTTGGTATAGTAATATGTGGTAATGTTTCAACAGGATAATTTTATTGCATACGACCTTTTAAATATTTTGTAACTTTAACACATAGACTCATATGCATACAATAGTTTTATGAAATAATTGTCTTTTCCCCTTTTCTTTGCTCAACATTCTACCCTTAGAAACCTTCAGAGAGTGTATGTATTAAAATCCAGGTGGCTGTCACTAAATAATTAGTTTTGTTATGGAGGCATTTTATATTAAATGAATACCTAAACAGCAGCCAGTGTAAATCAATAGCATTTGTAAAAATCTTTTTCCAAAATTTAAAGTATAATTTTGAAAATAATAATTTTATTTTGTGGTTGTGTAAAAGAGGATGTGGTATATATGTGTGTGTTTAGAGAGTACATGCATGCAATGAAATTCCTTTAACGTACAGATGGAAGTTTATATTGATTTCAGTAAAGACCAGGACATAATGGTAACATGAATAACAGATAATAGCATCTGGCACTCTTAACATTTTAAGCCCTGAAATCTTTGGAGAACTGACAGTTGAATGAAACTGACAGCCCTAGTTATTTCTCAACACTTTCCTTTCGAGATATTTTGAGTTTTTTCCAGATTCAGGAATTTTTTTTAGGGGGCATCTGGACAGGCTATTTCACTGAGAGAGACAGACAATATTTTCTGAAAATTACCACCAAAATTAAGCAACTGTTGTGCATATGAACTAGATAACAATGAATTAGAAATAATCACTCAATTTCTGGTTGTGTATGTGTCTTATGTGGTCGGGGGAGAGGGAAGTGGCAAAGGGAAAGACGTGGGTGGGAGCAGGGACATAACCATATTCCAGTCTCCAAATGTGAACAATAGATTGTCTGGAACGCACATAGCTATTCCAGGGAAGCTCACTGGAAAGTCACAAGAAAGGATCAGTCCTGGAACTGTTTTTTGTGGTCACATTGCATGGACTTGCCTGGATCACAGGAGCTCCAGTCCTGTACCCGCAGAAACACTTTAGACAACTGTTGCCGCCAACACACCTTGCCACCTGCCATTTCTTCATTCTTCTCTTTTTTCTTTCCTATTAAATTTTTCTCAATAACCCCTAAGCAGTCTCCAGTTTTTGGTGATTTTTTTTTCTTTTCCTTTTCCTCATTTACCTTCTTCTCTTTTTTTTCTTTGTTGTAGGGAATTCCAGGCCTATTACTTAATTTCATATGACCAGGAGCAACAACTTTACCCCCCTCACATTTCTCCTCTAAAAAATCTGATAATAATCCTGCTTTTCAAGATTGTTGGGATAATGAGACATTGCGTATAAAGGTTCCTTATCTGTATTTTATTGCACGTGGTATCCCTCTGATAGCTTGTCAATGAGCGCATTTAATACAATCTAATTTTTCAAAATAATGCCTACCAAACATTACATTTTTCATTTTCAAGATTCAGAACAGGATGTGAAAAATACTGTTAGTAGATTACCTTGGCACGGATGAAGGAACAGAGAACAAGAGTGAGAAACCATATCAGGAGTTAGAGTGATTCAGAAGTACTTTTATGTGTGTGTCTCCACCAGCCTCAGCTTTCCCAACCAATGAATCACCCTGTTCAGATAACTGGGACAATAAGCATTTAGCTTAAACAAATATTCTGTCAGCTCAAACCTAGGGCAAGCACACTGAGTCCAAGACCTCACTTAGCATCTCCAAAGTCCTCTCTGATACTCTTAGTGACACTGAATTCCCACATAGCTTCTAAATTCCAGATGTCACAATACTTAGGTTGAAAATTGTAGCAGTCCAAGCCTGTGTTGTCAGACCTGGAGTAAGTAAGCCATTCTGTAAAGAGCATCAATCCACTCTAAAGAATCCCATCTTGTGTGTGTGAATTTGCTGGGAAATGAAACACTGTCCCAGATATATATGCATGAGAAAAAAACAGACTCAAGTCTACCAAGATGAATCCAGATGATTTTTTGAAATTAAGCAAAAAACAAGATTAAAAAGTAACATAAAATATTTCTTATGAAATCTCATTTTCTGGCTTTCTGGGTGATAAGAACTGTGGCTAAGGAAGTGATAGGAATGGGTTTCTGAGAATCTGAAGAGTGCAATGTTGACATCCTTGCTGAGGGCACAAAAGTATAATCAGTGTCAAACAACGCAAGACACCCTAGATGAAGATGAGAACCTATTTGAAGCAAATGTGTTTTGTTACTACCCAGGATTGGAGGCTTATGCCTGACAATTTCTGGTGAATACATTCGCCATAATCATAAGGATGAGTGCAGAAAGCCCAAGTGCCACTCTGCATACGGCATCGAGATATTCCCAGAAATGAGAACATGTTGGGATTTTGAACCTGCATGAAGCAGTTATACTTAATTCATGAGACACTGTCCTTCCTGTAGCATAAGGACTTCTACTGGACCCACATCCACACATCCTGGGTCAAGGGTCAGGTTTCCCTTTAGGTCTGTAGATGCAATGTGCCATGATCTGAGCAGCAGTGGCCTGGCTGGAGATTAAGCAGTCATGTGAATTGAAGCGCATTCCCTTACCCAAAGCTAACTCGTATGTAGTAGGACTGCGCCAACAATTTTGATCTCATCACAATTGTGCCTCTTAACCTGTCCACTTCCTGGCTTGCTGCTTACTTCCATTTCAGACAAGATGTGCAGGATACTCGAGGGATGTGAACACTGACAGACTTTTAGATGATACACGTAGACATAATTAGGTGTAACCTCTGTTTTTTGGCACAAGCCTGAGGTGGCAGTGGGCACAGTGGTTGGGGAAAGATGCACACTTGCCAGTTTGTGGTCGTCATTTGAGGCAAATGAGCTTCTTAAACTTTGCTGGCATCAGTTTCACATTCGTTATCATCAAATATGTATTATTTTAATAAATGATTCTTCTAAAATAGTACTATGATAGATTGATTAAGGCCATCCTTGGACGCTTTGGGTGAATTTTGAAAAGCCAAGCAGAATAAAATGACTAAGGCCAGTATGACAGAATCTAATCAAAAGCTGCAGTGTGTGAATCCCCTCATCCTTCCATGTGATGGCTTGAGTGGTGGAGACACACAGGCTGCCTCAGATGCTGAGGATGTCTCCCAGGGGTCCACACCCAGCCACCTGATGCAGTTAGCCATTCCTCCCTCTCCACATTGTGTGCCTGTGCGTGCTACTCTGTTTATCAGTGTATTTGGCTACAGGTCAGTCTTCTGAGCACATGCATGACTGTGGCACACAAGCATGGTGGAAGTGTGTCCTATTCATTGCTGTATCTCCAGGTCCCATGTCACTGACTGGACTTGGAGATGTTGGCAAAACTGTGCTGAAGGAAAGAAGGAAGAAAGGAAGGAAGGAAGGGAGAGAGGGAAGGAGGGGAGGAGGGGAGGGGAGGGGAGGGGAGCGATGGGAAGGGAAGGGAAGGGGGAAAGAAAAACAGCCCAATCTTGTGATCAAAACTGTGTACGTTGACTTATACTTTGAGATGTTAAGCATGTGCAAAAATCAAATTAGATCTCATCACCCAAAGTCTCTAAACTTCAAAAAGCTGTAAAAGGCGCTGCACACTTCTGCAGAGAATGGCTATTTCAGTTCTTTACACATATCAACTGGCAAGCCCATCAACAACTTCCCTGACAAAGAGCAAAATAGGACTGACTTACTGTAATAATTAAGGCCACATCTGCAATTACACAGAGTCTAAACAACCGAGGGTTCTGGCTGTCAGTTCTTTCGAATGACACTGAGTAGTCCATGGCTAATCAGGCCTAGTCAGGTGGCTCAAGCCATAAGGCGAAGGTTAGATGAATTCCTGCACTGTCGCACCATCTGGCTTTCAGGGCCAAAACCACCTCCAAGATAATCAAATACACAAATAGGTCTCCTTGACTTCAAGATTAATTCAATTTAGACATCCAACATTTCGATCCAATGCCTTAAACAATGAGTCTATACATAGGTATGCTAACACAGTCCCTTCACAAAACCATGGAAAGAAATTTGACATGACTCAAAGATTCTTACTTGACCCTGATTTGATTTCATCTTCAACCCTCTGGTTCAGAAAGAATTAGTAAGCTGGCATTTCAATGTTGAGCAATACATTGCCCCTTACAGCTGCTATATGAAGGGATAGATAATATAATCTCTTGTGCAGGGCACAAAATTTCAGCCTTAATAGGAATAAAATCTACTATAGTGACATTATTTTAGGCAAGTGATAATAAAAGTTGGATTTGTTAATGAATTTCCTCTGACATTAAAAATCACCACTTTATCAAAATCTAAAGCAAGGTACAGAATTATGTATTATCTAAACAGGAATGTGAAATATAATTTAGGAGGGAAAAGCTAGTGATACCCTGCAATCATGCTGTCTTCAACTTATTGATTGACATATGGAAACAATACCTCTTTCTCCTCCTCTGTCTTCCCGTGAGTTTTGCTATAGTTGATAGGAGTGTCCCAGCCCTCTTGGTCACAAAGAGCCTGATAGAATGCTGCATTGACCAGAATGCTGCTTGTTTTGAATGGGGAAGAGGAAGGAGTTGGAATAGAAGTGTTAGAGGAAGTTAGGGGTGCAGACTTGTCCAGGATTCGATTTTTTTTCATGCTTAAGTCCAATGTGCCATTTTCATCCACTTCTATTTCGGCTCCCTGGTATACAATAGGAAACAGAAAAACATTTAAGCAGTTTGCAGTTACAGCCTAGCCATGTGGGGCTTTTAAGGGATCATTTTAAATGTAAGCTTTTATGTAAGTATATCTGCTTTTAAATCTAGCTTTCTGATTTGCGTTGGGTAATGTTCAATTCTTAGGCAGACTTTAAGAACAGCCCCATTAGTGAGCTTTGTGTTTCTGGGTTTAAACAAAGTAAGCTTAATGTAAATAAGATGCTCCAAATACTAAATATATTGGCTAAAACAGTTTTATGAAAATGTGTGTGTGTGTGTGTGTGTGTATATATATGTGTATATATATACACATACACACACATTTACAAGTTTAGCTTTAAATCTTCTTTTCTAGTTTACAGAATTATCACTCCCAATTCATCATTTAAAGCATTCACATTTGTGTTTATCAAAAGGCATGTATAACTTTCCAACCCTTCAAATCATAATATTAATCTCACATGAGAAATATGCAAAACAACCCACTGGAAGAGAATTTTTATTGGAATATTAAACTAATATAAAAGCAACATTTTACCCTAGGCTATGTGAGCCGGAAATGCTTTGCTAAATTGTGGCGGGCAGGGAGAGGGAGGCAGGGAGTGCAAACCATGCTTCAAACCGGTGGTGGTGGGGGCGGTGCTTTGGGTAGCAGCTGACAGCCTGACTGAGGTTGAAGCCCTATAGTGCAAACTTAAGAATACTATAAAACAGCTTATTTTCTCCACACTTAGTGTGAGACTTAAAACTAAATCCACCGCACAATATTTCTTCTTGAGATACCTTCTACCTTTTGCCATGTGTTATTTCTTGGTTTTGTTTTTTCTGTGTCGGGAGGAACAGTACCCCATTCTGTATTTGGTTCAAGCTCCAGCAAACTGCTCACGTGCCTCGTATGTTCTACAAGATTCGCACACTGGGATGGCTCATGTGGTGTCATGAATTGTGAACATTACTGTGCAGTCATTCTCAGAAGGTAGGAGGAAGCTGCCTGTCATTTTTCTAAATGGGTCGAATAACACCTTTCTGGTATTTTCGCCATCATCCATCAATTTAAAATTAACTTCTTGACAATTTGGCTACTCTCTTTTTTTCTCTTGGCTGGCCACTCTTCTTTGAATATTTAGCAAGATCCTTAACTCTTGTGGTAACCAGCTACTTCCCAGGGGATTTGTTTTAACTCTTCCCTTTAAACAACCCCCCACTCCCAACCCCCAAACAGGCGCCACTGGGCTGCATCAGCTGGGCTTGCTGCTTGTGCCCGACTTAGAAAATAAAAGCCCTTCTTTTATTTGCTTATTTTACCTGCAAAGTTTGTATTTTCAATCTCTCAGCCTATGAGATAGATATGCTTTACTATATTTGTGGGAGGTAAATACGCTTCTAATATGTTGTACTAAGATGCTTTGGCCGTATCTTTCTGTCCCTTTTTAGTAAATAGTTTAATCTCTCGTGATAGTTTTAAGCCCGGAATTTGGCAGTACAGCTTATCCGGGATAATAACTTAGTAACCACAACATCTTATGCCATCTGTATAATATCAAATACATTTTTATACCAGCATTAATAAACCTTAGTTACAAAAATCCAAGATATTAACCATATCAGTGCCACGTGTGCTCTCTCTCCATGATCTCACAATGTATTCTGCCAGGAGCGCATCAAAACAATTTTTGGCTTCGTAGCTGATATGTAAATAGCAATGAAACAGAGCTATAGTAATCAAGTTTAATGGCCAACGTAAAGTAAAATGCTAAATATTGTAGTTGCTGACATTTTTCATAAAAAAATAAAAAAAAACTTGGGTTAAGACTGCACAACCAACATTCACATAAAATTCCAGACCTCTGTGACAGATGGCTTAGGAAAAAGAAGCCATGTGACTGGGCTGCAGAGTTTTATAGTGCAAAACCCATAAATAGTGCAGATTCGATTTCTCTGAAAAATATCAACTCTTCCAAGACAAGACTAATATATATTTTAGTTTTTACAGGCAAAAATTCTAAATAGTCCATTAAGACAATGATAGATTCTAGGAGTTGTTACGATTATACATTTCGAGTCAATTACTCCTAATGTTTAAAAGAGGCGCTTTCCTGCATCCTGCGCCCAGCCTGCTGCTCTGAGCACCTGACTTCACTGGGAGAGAGCGGGCGGCTCACTGGGGAGCAGGGTACAGATGGGCCTTAAGTGAGCGCACAGATGCCTTCAACAATTACATGCAGTACCAGAGAAGGGTCCCTTTCTGCCCATAGATAGGCGATCACACGTTTACAGCATGGGCTTTTATTCAGAGCAGTATCAATGGGCATCACTTCTCTCTGTGCTTGAAACTCCAAATGGCAGCACAAAAAGGAGGGAGGGGCTGGGGAAGCTGTGGCAGATATGCATCCCCCACCCCCTCAATCTTCTAATATTCTGATTTCTTCAAGTGCTATTCTGGATCTTTAGTTTAAGTATTTCAATGTAAAGTTCTCTTGGGGGTAGGTATAGGATTACTACTATTCATGTTCTTTCCGACTTAGAGGGGACATCCCAGGCCATCGATTTCAGCCACTTTTGAGCTACCTGATGCTACCTACATTTTATTTATTCATTAAGTTATTGAGAAAGTACTTCATATTTTTAAGACACTATATTCTAGGGAAAGTAAAATTGGAAAACAGGTTGTTTCTGCCTTCAACAAATTTCTTTTTTATGCATATAGATTTTTAGTGAAGGTAATTTTATAAATTTAATGTAAATTATAATTAAACTGAAGGTTGAACTAATTACTCATTGTAATCCTTACCTTTACTATAAAATAAGAAGTGACCTAGATGGCCGCCAACAGAGAAATACTTAATGAAAATATGCCACCCCTATTTAATGGCACATTATGTGGTCAGGAAAGTGATAATTATGAACACTGTTTCTACATGGAAAATACTTGTATCACTGACAGCAGAGAACAATGTGGCATTCCTACTATGTTTACAACTAGGGAAAAAAGAGAGAAATGTGTTTTCTGAAAAAGAACAAAAAGGAAAACACAAAAGTGATTGTAGATCCTTGTATGTAGAAGGTAGGCTTGTGGCTATTTTCTTCCATTATTTTTCAGGCAAATGACAACATTATATTGTTTTAGCAATTTTAAGTGGTCACACATTCAAAGTTTGTGATGAAGTAAAAATAAAATTGGAATTTTAACTTAAATGTTATCTTGTGAAAATTATTAATTTTCCAAACATTGATAAAACAAGAAAGCACTGTTTTCCTGACTTGGCAAGCTGTCTTATGAATACAGGATGGGTCACCTGCCATTTTTTCCCTGTTGACTTGGCTGAGAGGAAGTGCAAAACTAAGTGTCCTTCTGATTAGGTTTCTGCCATAATTAGCCCCTGGCTTTCATCTAGCAGCTGATGTTTTTTATTCTTGCTTCAAGGTTTTTGTTTTGGGAGTATCTTTTCCATACTGAAAGCTATGTTAAATATGTTTTCAAAGTAGGCAGGGTATTAACAGTAAACAGATGAAATGAAAATATCTTACTCTTACTAAACGGTAATTATTAAAGCTGTTTAGATTATAAATTTGTGAAATATACTCAAAATAAATAGAGGAGAAATGATCAGAGGAGAAATAACTAATGTAAGGTATAAAATTTAAGTGAAATTTAAAACAGCTTCCCCAAGATCTTTGGGACTTGGAATCATGGTCCACGCTGCTTGGCCAGCAGCTTAGCTACTCTAAGATCTTAAGAAGAGAAGTTAGACAGGCATGAGTTCAAATTTCTGTTTCAACAGTTATAGTTGTGCCACTCAGAGAAAGTAATTTAGTATCTCTGTACTACTGTTTCTTTATCTGCAAAATGGGATAATAATATCTGCTTTACAGAAATTCTAGAGGGATTAAAAGGGATTAATGTGAGCCACATGCTTGCTTATAGTACCTGGCACATAATACGTCTTCCATAAATGACAGCTGATAATCATAATAATTTGACTGAGTTTGTTTTTCCAACTTCTACTTTAGATTCAGGGGATTGGACTAGGTTTTTGAATACGAAAAGAGACATGTTCTTAGGTTACTGTGCACAGGGCTAAAAAGCCAATTATTAAATAGCTGTTTCCTTGCACCTGTATCAACCAGTGCCTTGTGATCCCTGACCCAAGACCGTCATAACATTTCACTCAGAATGTGTGGCAAATCTGCCCTGCTCTTAAAGTTACCAGAAAAGGCGGCATCAGGGTTCTCACCGCCCAGAGGGCCGCCAGACTTCCTGATACCAGGCGGCAAGAATGGCGGTGCCACATCATGTTATTTCTAGGCCTTGTTCAAGCACAAAACAGACTTTGAACTTTAAACATTTCAAGCAAGTGTCAATTTTTTGTTTTCTTTTAAGGCACACTCTGCATATGCCATTTTGTCTAAACAGGTGGGGAAAACACCAAAACAAACAACAGAATGCCTGGCAAGCAGCAGCGATGAGGATAAAGATAGACTGCAAGGCCTGTTCCTACCTCTGGTGATCAGGGTGGGAGGAGGGAAGAAAACGGGAGTGCATCTGCCTGGGGCCTGTACCGGAGGAAGATGCTCAGGAGGCCCAGCAGACCCAGGACTCTCTCCCACCTGTGGCCCCGTGGCAAGACCAAAGGGGAGCTCTTTGGAGCTGTGGCCCCTTTGTGTCTTCCAAATCATATTAATTCCAAATTAAAATGAAGGACATTATATGCATCTTACAACCAAGTTCTAGAATCAGGCCGAGTACAGTGGTTCATGCCTGTAATCCTAGAATTTTGGGAGGCTGAGGCAGGAGAATCTCACATGAGCCCAGGAGTTGAAGGCTGCAATGAGCTATGATCACATCACTGCACTCCAGCCTAGGTGACAGAGCAGATCCTCTCAGAAAAAAAAAAAAAAGAAAAAAAAGTTTTAGAATCAAAATAAAGCTGGTATTGTGGCTCACACCTGTAATCCCAGCACTTTGGGAGGCCGAGACGGGCGGATCACCTGAGGTCAGGAGATCGAGACCAGCCTGGCCAACATGGTGAAACCCTGTCTCTACTAAAAATACAAAAATTAGCCGGGTGTGCTGGCGCACGCCGGTAGTCCCAGCTGCTTGGGAGGCTGAGGCAGGAGAATCACTTGAACCCAGAAAGCAGAGGTTGCAGTGAGTGAAGATAACACCAATGCACTCCAGCCTGGGTGACAGAGTGAGACTCTGTCTCAAAAAAAAAAAAAATTAAATTAAATAAATAAAGCTAATACTTCAGACAAATTTACCTTTAACCATTATGTCATCCACTAAGCACTGATAGTGTTAATTGTTTTTCCCTGATTTAATTCCTCAAAGAGATACTTAAAACATATGTAGGCAATATTGGTGGTACAAATATGTTATATATATGTTGGATTGTATTTTAACAAATAAATAATTCCTTTGAAAATCTTCTGCCTCTGGGACATAATGGGCTCTGGTTTGGGCAGTGATTGGCAATGTCACAAGCACTGGTGCCTTCAGGCTGGGGTGTGATGGGAGCCGGCACTTGAGGGATGCTGGTTGAGTGAATGGATGACCATGTGAACAGCAGCATGAGCCTTCTGTGTTGGGAAGGGGTGGATCAGTGACGTCTTCCAGTTTTGGAGGCCAAGAGACTTTGCAAGGAGGATAGCATTTTGGAATGTCCATATCATCCTTCGTTATATTTTTAGAGTGTGTAGGAAATCAAAGTTTTTTTGCCCCTCTGAAAACAACCTCTGCTCCTATGATCTTCTACAAGATCATTTGCAATTTTACAAAGCACCAATTCAGATTGCCCATTAAGCTTGGAGTCTGTTGTGAGATTGCATACAGCCAGTTAACATGTATTAGCCCCAATATATGGGCATGAAGGCAATTTCAAAGTTAGTGTTCTTTGGCTTGATGTCAAAAAGATTGTGCCCATGGGTGACAGTAAGATCTGTAATTCATACTCCTATGGGGTGCTTTATGCAAATGAGAGATGCTCATTGTGTAAAGGAAAGAACTGGATGCAAGCAGAGGAGAATTGAGAAATCAGCCCTCACCCAAGTTCTGGTCAAATTCCCTGCAAAGCCACCATGCCTGCCCTGGATGAAAGGAAGCTCACCTCTTCAAGCTTAGCTCTTTACCCAGAGCCATGCAAGGCAGGGACAGCTCCCAGAGGGTCACTTCTTTTCTCTTGCTTTGTTGGTAAGCTCCTCAAGGGCAAAGTCTATGACTGACCCTAACCTGTGGCCGGGGCAGTCCAGCACTTAGAGACCTTTGGTTGGTTCAGCTATGAGTCCATCACCAGGATGTCTTGCTAATATACCAAAAGTGCTCAGCTGTGAAAGTTTGGAGTAAGGAGAAGCTGTACATTTCAAGACGCTTATTTCTACACATGAAACTCAAGAGATCCTTGGATTTGAGCTATGAGAAATAAGCGTACTAATAGCCTGCCATGGTGGAAGAATCAAATAATAGCAGAGAGATAATCAGGCTAGCATTCAATGTGGAGGTGAAGTCTGTCTCTGCTTAATCCTACATTAAGTAAAAGGCAGCACTGATAACAGAAAAGGCCTACATCAGACATGGTTTCATCAGAGGCTCAGTTTCAGGGTGAATTACCTTGGCTTTCTCTCACTTTTGCTAAAATAATTATCTTGTTAATTCAGGAATAAATGAGATTCTCTTCAACATTAAGAAAATAAGGTCCAACCAGGACAGAATTCTAGACATTGTTACAGTTGTGTGCAAATGTGTGCACGTGCGTGTGTGCATGTGTGTGTGTGTGCATGCACTGGCAGAAGGATTCTGCACAAAGTGACAATCTAGGGCACGATGTTTCTCCCATTTTAGCAACTACTATGCAAAGGAGACAATTTTCATGGGAAAATGGTTTTTAGAACTCCCAGCATAACAAACTCCTTTGGGAAGTCAATCTGTGTGCTCTCTGTCTCTTCCACCCTCGTCACCACATCAATTGTTTGGCTTCTGCGGTTAAGACTTGGTTGGCACTGAAAGGCTGAGGCGTGCGGCGAGCTCCTGTCACCTGGGCATGCAGGATGAGCTCCGTGGAGCAGTCTGGCACAGAGTGCTCCCGCCAGGAGCCCAAGAACACAACACTGAAAATCTACTGTTTGATTTTTTGAAACGTGTCCATTTAACAATTGCTTTTCTAACCAAAAATATGTTTTTAAAATAGAACACATATTGATAAGGGGAAAAGCCCTGTAATTTTAGTCATCTTTGTTTGATATGTTGCTTGGTGTCATTGTCATAGAAGATGGAGAATCTGAAGGTGAGAGGCAGAATTCTGAGGAACAGGAACACATCTACAGGCACAGATGGACAGCATTCATTCTAGAACCACTTACCGTAGTCATTTCAGTAACACCAATAATTATAATATTGGTTCCTGTATTCTCATAGGACAGCCTGAATAACCAAATGATAAGGCACTAAGAAGGAAGCGATTTTAGTATTTCTCCAAGCAGATGGCTACTAGAATAGATACCTTTTAAAAGAAGGAATTTATTCAGATTAAAAAAATGAATTTAAAAATAAAGTTGCATTTAAAAATTCCCTAAATCACCTATGTAAATAATTTGTGACTAGGAATCTTTTGAATTTGGATCGCCTGGTATACATATGCATGTATTTTTTATTTTTAGAGGATGTATTTCTCTTTGTTTAAGAACCTCATTTGTTTAAAAATTGTTTTTGAGTGGTTTTTGGCCACCAACTCTTCCTGGGGTTTACTTGGCTCAGCTTTGTCCAGAAGCTAATTCTGATTCTTCTGTCAAATGCTCAGTGGCACCGTGTTACCTGCTCTCCTGAAGGCCTGGCACAGCACAGGCAGCAGCTGACCATGCCGGGGACCGGCACACTTAAAGGGGAAAAGAGGAGCCATGGTCTTCAAGTGCCCAGGTTTCAGGGTTAGCATTTGATGCAGAAAATCTTCCACATAAAGCAGGGTAACATTTATTCTCAAGTAAGTCTAGGCAACTTATTTCAGTGGCTTCAGCCATCTAGGTAGGGAAATCATTTCTTTGAACTGAAGCACTTTCTGTAAATAGGAGTTCCTGCTCCAGCTGACAGCAGGTGCAAATGGCTGAGCCACTTTTACAAGCTCTGTGGATCGCTGTGACTGTGGCATCAGAAGCCCTTTGCTGTCAAAGGGCATGAAGGATCTTTGTTTTTTGGTTTTCATAAAATTACTTCTTATTGTCAATTGGGGAGGAAAGGAGAGGGTATTGGAGAAATGTGATTAATTTCATGGGCTTCAGAAGTGTGGTGTTTTTAAAACTTCACAGAATGTGATTTTGTATTTGAATGCCCTGAGGTCTCAACCCTCCCTGAATCATCTCCTGTTGATTTAATGTATTCATGTTCTACCATGTGTCTCTGGAGAATACTGTGGCAACTTAGACTATCTTATGTTACACAATAGTAACAAATGCAATGATAAAATTTCATGGGTCAATTTTGCAAATGTTTCACAAGTCACCATTTGATCACACATTTCTTACCTTCTTTGATTTGCAGACACTGAAAAGCTTCCATTGTTGAGATTTATTTTAATAGCAATCCTCTTTTCTTGTGTGCCAAATTCCCCATAGCAAAAACAGCTTTGAAATGTGTAAATTCTCCCCAACCCATCTCTGTAACTCACTTCTCCCCAAACTTTGGTACCCCAACTTCAAGAGGAGCCACAGAGCAGGATGTGCACACTTTCATCCTTCTTTGACCCCACCAAGCTCATCCCTGCCTGCGTTCCTCTGAGCCTCTTCCTGAGACAGGGAGGGGATCGCTTCAGAGGTTGGGGAGCAGAGTGGTAGTGAATGTAGTTAGGAACATGAAAGGCAGTTTATTCTCACAGTTCAGTCGCTGGCCCACCCTCCGGGCTCTTGGACTGGCCTACCTTGGCATGCAGACTCTGTGGCTTGTTGGAGAGGATGTCTGTGGCTTCCCTGCAGCGGGTGGAAAGGTTCAGGATGGCAGCAGCTGCTGCTATGTGGGTGTCTTCACTACATTGACCGTAGCTATAAGAGCTGGCACGGCCAGGGCTCTGGGTGTGGGCGCCTGCACTAGGCAGTCGATTAGGAAATTTCACTGGATTTGGAAAATGCTTTGCTGTTGAAGAGAGATTTGATTAGCAATTGCATGTACATGGTTTTAGTCATTAAACAGATTTGTTTTTTTTAAAAATGTAACTTCTTGCATTAAAATATGTGAAGAATAAATTAAAACACGTTCCATTATCCATGGGAACATTAAATGAAGGTTATCCAGACCGGTTTTCACAGAGATTCACAGAACAAATGACATAATTGCTGGGAGAGAATACCTATTCTCTTAATATTTTTGTATTTACGCTTCTTATGACAAAAACTCCATAACTAATGTTATGGGGCAGGTGCACTGGCAACATTTGTGGCAAAAATTGTAGATAAAAAAACACACTAGCAAAACCTCCCAGGGACTACAGAGAGTTTAAGGCATGCCCATTGGAAAACTGCATATATGTGAGGACCGGTGATTCCAGTGGCGGAAAAAAAAATGTGTCCTTTCAATATTTGTTTTCACAATAACAATTTCTACTTAGACATGGAATTGTATTTTTATTATTTGATATGCAGGCTTGTTTTGTCCTTAAACCAGTAGAAGTTGTTCTTCATCCAACTAGATGGAACTAAATAGATGGTGGAGTCTTTAATGAGCTGGCATTTTGGCATATTTAGGGAGAGAGAGATAAATAAAGGGCAGGCAGGAAATGTTCTCAAGGTGAACAGAAAGGCAATTTAGTTATCAAGGCTGAGTTTCCATTTTATGTTTCTGTTGTGGGTACCAAGGCATTACTGAGAGATAGAATTAAACATATTTCTCTTCATTCTTGAGTATTTGTAAACATCACTCCAGGTTACAGGAGAAACACTCAAGATTTAATGTGAGCTAATATAAAAGCATTTAGCTTTTTATTTTATATTAAATTTTTTTATTTTAAATATTTGATTCTTTTCATAAAACAAAACTTAAAACACTGGCAAATGTTATATTTCTATAATTACAAGAATATGAAAATGTCACTGAATGTTTTGCACTTTTAAAAATCAATGTCCGTACTATATGAGTACATTGAATGCTCTTATTAACTAGCTTCGCTGGAATTAAACATATATGTATGTACGTATATTGTGTGTATATATAATAAAATTGTATATCTGTATAGGCACACACAAAATTGCATGGATAGATAGATATAAAACTGTGTGTGTACAACTTTTCCCTTAAATCTAACAGGTTGTTAGTGGTTATTTATGTTAGTTGGAAGCTATTTTTGGTAAGATTAGGTAAAATATCTTTTAGAATGTAATGTACCTCTCCCTGATAGGCAAATTCCTTTCAAGTCTGTTTACTACTGGGTTTTACACGAAATTCTAGTTCTCTGAAAGAATTCATCAGCATCACATAATGAGGTAAACATTCTGTGCTCTTAAGACCACTCAGTTTCCATAGCCTGGTGCAAGTTCAAAGGGATTCTATGGCTATGCAGAATGTTGTAAAAAATTCATTGTCTAGGAGAACTCAATGTGCACATTATTTAGCTCTTTCCTTTGTGGAAGTTAAGTGACCATAATGAAGAAATCATGACCTCTATTGGTTCCCAATATTTACTTTCACACCTTTTCATTAGAATGTTTAAGGACCCCAACAACCTGAAGAAATGTGTAAGAAGAAAAAACACCAGGTTTCATACACTATACCATATTTGAGTTATGGTCTTCTATATGGATGTGTTAGCATTAAAGAATATTAATGTATTTTAAGTGTTTCCATATTCATGCTTCAGTTTGGGAGTAAAGATTTCCACAGCCACACAATTTTTTCTATTATAGTAAAATCCTGACTTTCAAATTGTTTCTTAGACTTCTCACCTTCCCTTCCACCTTTAGTTTGAATGCTTTTGCTGAGTTAAATAATATTTTAAACAGCATTTCAACATTTTACCTATTAGATTTCCATAATTTCAATACAAATAAATATTACTGCATTACAACAGTCATCACATTTTTCAATATAGTAATCCAAGCTCCAGCTAACTGTGAGTTAAATATTTCTTTAGAATTATTGTACTTAGATTCAACAATAGCATCATATTTGTAGAATAATTAATTCATTAACTATTCACTATATTATGTGTAACTTCAGCATAAAATCAATAACATTGATCAACTTATTATCGTTTTCTTTATGGTATTTCACTTGAATATATTTTCTCTCCTGCCAGCTGTATGTAGTATATCATATATTTAAGTACAGCCCCCTGGCCCCCAGTACACACATACACCCATACACAAGAAGCATTTTGGGGAAACGGCATTAGAGCTCAAAGCTTACATTCAGGAAATGGTGGTGTTTTTCGTCCTTGCACTGTTTGTATGAGAGGGCGTTTACCGAAAACTTGGGCATCAAAACTGGCATAATCAAATGGTACTTTTCCAAACTTCTCTTGTTCTTTTGACACTGTGGCTCTGGGAGAGGTGATGGCTTGTGACGGGAAATTGAATTCAATTTGCTTCACCAAACTTGTCCTGGAGAGGGGGGTGAAGCAGTTCAAAAGAAATACAATGAAACTACTGGTGAGCACATTAGTGTCAGAATTTACAGTAGATACATGTGTCACTCCTGAAGGTATCCACAGAGACACTGAACAATAAGAGAGACGGGGCCATGGCAGGACAGAGCAGCATGCTCCGGACCCATAGGGCGAGATGGAAAGATGCTCTGGGCTCTACATCACTACATGATGCTGCGTACTCTGGGTCCTAGTCCTCCCATCAGCAAATTAAGAATATGCAATCCTCCATTCATCTTATGAAGATATCATGAGCAGATATTTGATGCTTATTAGCATTTTGAGTTTTTAAAGTTCTTAAAGGAAATCCATGTCAGGTGGGTGCGGTGGCTTACGCCTATAATCCCAGCCGTTTGGGAGGCCAAGGTGGGTGGATCATCTGAGCTCAGGAGTTCGAGACCAGCCTGGCCAACATGGTGAAACCCCTGTCTCTACTAAAAATACCAAAATTAGCCAGGTGTGGTGGCACACATCTGTAATCCCAGCTACTCAGGAGGCTGAGGCAGGAGAATCACTTGAACCTAAGAGGCGGAGGTTGCAGTGAACTGAGATCATGTCACTGCATTCCAGCCTGGGAGACAGAGCAAGACTCCATCTCAAAAAAAACAAAAAAGCCATGTTACCATCAGTAAATACTGGTTAAGGTGCTGACAAGGTGTGCACATTCTGCTTGTTAGAATTGTTCATTAGATTGGCAATGAATAGTCACAATTGTGACCAGTGAGCAAGTGTCATTATATTCTGTTCAGAAGTGATGCTAGGCTCTGCTCAGTCCTGCAGAGCTGGCAGAAATCTGATGCCTAAGAGGGGCAGTACAGACACCAGAGATTTGATTCCTGAATTGGGAGTTTCTTCCTGGGCTTTTCACCTTTTTTCCCTGCCTTCAGTCAGAATGTTTTTGCTGATTTAAGTAATACTTTAAATGGCACTTCAATATTTTATCGATTGAATTGCCATCATCTCAATATGAATCAAAATTACTGTATTATAATATCTATCACATTTTCAACATAATTATCACAATCTAAGCTAAATGTGAATTATATATTCTTTTAGAATGGTTGTTATTTGGATTAAACAAGGGCATCAGATTTGTGTAGCACTGATTCCAGCCAAATAAAACACAAATGATTTTCTGCTGTGGTGTAATGGTAAGAGAACATAAACAAATATACCTTTCAAAATTTAACAATATTAAAAAATATATTTTTCTCTTTTTTCCACCAAAAACTGTCAAACTCATCAGAATGCCAAAGTTTCCAATGAGTTTTTTTTGGATTAGATTTTACAAAAACTTTTTAGCTGCTATATAAAAATATCTGAGCAACTAGTTGATCTTATTGCCTTTATAACTTGGTTTAGAGCCTTAAATCTGCATATATATTCTAATCTAAAACAATATTAATCTTTTAAGAAATGAGCAAAATGAAATTCAATATTCTTTCTATATTTGCTAACTAACTTACTTGGGGAGAAACTAGAGTGTACAGTCATACCAACCAAGAATCTTACTTTAAGACTTTTAATTGCTACTTATTCAGTAATTCATAATTTTCACTTGACATATGTTCTTCACGCATGTGATTTAAATGCCAATTTTGACTCTTCATCAAATCTATAGAAGCAAAATATTAAGGGAAGCCGTATCTTGAAAACGTTGAAATGTCTAATAACTGGTTTTATATTTCAGTGACTCAGTAACAATAGTTATCTGATCATCTAGCTTAATCCTGAAATCATTTTCCCTACAAAAATGATTTTATGGCAATAAACATATAACTTTACATTAAATATCATCATATATACTTTAGTATTTAGATATAAAATCTTCCAAATTTCTAGATATCACCAAGAGGCTGGGAGCTACCAGGACCAATAGGAGATACTTTATTAATAGCTGTCAATCATGGAATGAATTTTTGTTTTAAATACATTATATGTGTTTGTGGAACTGAAGGATGAATATATAACAGTACATATTTAGGAAAGGCAGGAGTGACTTCTGATGGCATTTTCTCCAGGCAGAAAGGTGATGAAGGAGTGCTCATCTGACTTGTGGGTATACTTAGTAACCCACAATTCTGATTAATGTAGGCTATGGTATATTAATTCTTTTAGATTCACCCCTATTATGTTACCTTTGCAAAGAGATGACTTTCAAGTTAAACTTCTGGAGAGTTTAGTAGTTCATTTCAGCAACGATGTCATTAACTAGACCAGCCTCTGGTCTAGTGGAGTGGGCTGCACACCCAGGTCTACTGGGGCTGAGAGGGGAGGTCAAGCCACAGAGAACTGACTCATGAAGGACCAGAGGCCCCGCTGTGCAGGAGCCTGGATGAAGAGAGCACTGAGAACATCGTTAGGGGTTCATACCTGTGGGCCTGGTCAGGACACTGCCCAGTTTGGGGAGAATCAAGCTGATTTTTATCCTGGGACATTGCCAATTTTTCAGCTGCAGCAATTGGACAACCAGAAAGACTGTTTAAAAAAAGAAACACAGGAGGATTTTAGTTAAAATGATAATATGATTTGTTTTGGCATGTGCCTCACAGCACACTTGGCACACACTAAATGTTAAGTCATATTAATAGTTCACTTAGCACCACGCACACACTGAAAGATCCCAAAGGGTTTTGCAAACTACAGTGTCAACACTTGCTCCCATCCCCATCTCAGAGGTGAAAGGTAACAAACTCATTTTTAAACATCAAAACATTATGTAAGGGATAAATAACTAAAGCATTTGGAAACTTTTTAATATTCTAAGTGAATGTGCTCATTCCAATTGCAATGTATCCAACTCGAGAAGTTAGCATAACTCCTTGACTTATCTTAGCATCTTTAGAAAAATTTTAGGAACTCAGTTTTTCACCTTAGTTGAAATTCAAAGTGCAGAATGTGAAGTTTGCTGGCATAGTGCTTATAAGTCAAATAGTACCTCATCGCCACATAATCGACTTGTAATATAAAATGTGAATATCAAACAATCAGCATTTTCACCCCAAATATTTATAGACACACAATACATTTTCATGTAAATGCACATATGTATGTCTTATGCTAGTTGCAATTTCAGTGAAGTGATGTTTACCCTACACCTGATTTATAGTTACAACCATTGAAGCCCTGTTGGTACCTTTTTAATGTCTATTGGACAGGATCCAGGATAACCTAGAAGCAACTCTTTGCAATGTCAAAACAGCAATGGTGAGGTTCTGGAGCAAAAGACAGCACATTCTATTTGTATGATTATATGAATAGGTAACCACAGCAACTTCAAATATAATATTTTTTCATTATCATAACTGGTTGCTAATATACAAATTTCTAAGAAAGGAAATGATGAGGTCCTTTCTTTTTGACAATGCACATGCTGAGAATATTTCTTCTCTATTTCAAGTGTCACATATTGGACAGTGATGCAGCAATTTTCATCACACATTGGTAACCCATTATTTTATTGGTGGAACGTTTCTACCACATTTTTTAAATGCAAAATGATTATCATCTAATGAGAATTACCTCCTGTGGGTGTTGCGGTTGCTGTTCACATGACCCCTTCCTGTGCATCCCGGCGTGGGACACTTGAGCACATTTTCATGCATGGCAAGAACTAAGCACAAAACAACACATAAAGGAAAGAATACTTTACCATAAATACAAAGCACACTAACACGTGTATCTCTCAACTTTGCATTTAAATGACTTCAGTTCCATCATCCACCATGCTCTCTCTCTCTATTCAGACACAAACAAGTGAGCATGGAAGAACTTCAGAAATTAAATCCAGCAAGCTTGATCAAGTTGTAATTTCTCTAAACTCCACGTTGTGTTTACACTAGACTTCAGTGAGATGATTCTGCTTATAGTTAACGTAAACTGAAAACTTGTAACCTTCCCATCACCTGAATGTGATTTTCCCTGGGGGATGGATGGAGCATGCCGTTTGTCATATAGTTCTTTCTATCTTTTCCCTGCAGTTTGAAGTTCTGCGTATGGTCTTCTTTATTTTCTAAGTGATATCATTTTGATTCTTTGTCCATCCACCCGCTACTCCCCACACCCCACTGCCATTTGGTTACTGGGAGAAAAGTATGGTTGAGCGAAGAGCCAGAGAACCAGTCTGAGGAACTGCTAAACTGGCAGGACAGCACTGAGCTGATTAGACTTAGTGACTTGCAAAATCTCACTTTTGAGAAGAATGATGTTAAGCACTTCCATTTTTGCAATTTGTTTTGGCCCAAAAGATGTGTCAATAGGTAGGTTCACAAAGTGGAAGATGTAACAGGTCGATATTGTACAATGTAGAAGGTGGCAGCCCTCTGCTTCACTGCCAGTAGATAGCTCACAGCGGGGCTGAGGGTGGAGAGGGGGCCAAGGCTTGCTCCTACTCAGGGCCCTCCACTGCTGCAGGATGTCCTGAGACAACACCAAGGAGTATATTCCCATTGCGAGAGGAGGCCAGGAGGACCATGGTGACTGCTCTGTGATGCGTCAAGGCTGACTGGTCCTGAGCTTAAGGAATCCATACCTCCAGGTGAAACAGAACTGTGTAGTCACACAGTTTAATAACCATGACTTATTTTTATATTCTGGTGATTTAACATCTGGGGCCTTGCTAACTCTGGAGGGACTGCCCCTCCCAGGCTAGCCAATTCCCAGAGAGAATGAACAACTTTCCCACAAGCACACTTTAAAAATGCAATCCAGCCAATCTGGAACCCACAGCCCAACTACCTCCTTTACTGGGCGCTCACCCTCTGGGGCACTGTTCTTCTGCCCTGATTGCTCCAGAGGCAGGTACCAGACAACTAGGGACAGCCCCTATGCCCTCGAGCCTGCTGAAATCAGTCAAACTGGCCAGTCCTAAGGCTGCTTACCCCATCCCATCAGAAACCACCATAAAGACTCTGGCCCACTGTCCGCACTCCCTCTACCCCTGAACTCCCTGGTGCTTTCCTGTGTGGCCCTCTGTGCTGTGGCCTGGCCCTTCCTCTGGACACTGTGAGGAACTAGCTGTCTTTCCTATGGCAATTGTCTCTTGATCTGTTGGCTTTCTTGCACCTTGAATTTTCTATAAATACACTATATTTTAAAACCCACAGCTAGATGGAATTGGCTTGACATAGTTTAAAAAAGTTTGTTTCCATTCCTAATTCCAAATTGGGAGACAAAGAGGATAACATCTTGATGATCTGGCGTGCATAAGCAGAAGCTTTGAGGGACAAGTGGTACTCACTTTCCAGGGGAACCCGCACTTTGTGGGGGCACCCCGAAAGGCTGCGGTGGTGCGGGTAGAGCCCTGTCACGTGTCCCGTGCCATCACATCCAGGGATCGGGCACTTGGTCTCCCTCTTTTCAGGCCTTGGTGAATCTATGGAGAAATTCAATTGAGAAATGCATTTGGTTATTCTTGCTTTTCTTCCCATTCAATAGAATGGCCTTGCAGGGTGACATTCTCACTTTATTCAGTTTTACCGTTATAAACATTCTTCTCACATCGCCTTGAACAAGACCCTCAACTAAGACCTGTGGAAACGGAAAACATGTTTTCAATTTTCTTGGTTTCCTAAGTAAAGGCTGACACAGGGCAAGAGAGTGTTAAAATACAGAGATGGTTTTAAGTCGTCAAGTCACATATTGTAGTTAGAGCCTCATTATGAAAAATCAACCCTGTGCTAGGGGATGAACAGGCTCCCGAAAAGAAAAAATAGTGAGACAGAATTTATTTAAACCAAAACCATTTCTTATTGAAAGTCTAGAAAAAGCCAGACTCAAAATGACAAAAACAAAGAAACCACCATATCTGAGAAAGACCTGTCTGGCCTTGGCCCTGCAGGTCCTTGGGCTTGGTAGTGAAGAGCAGAGCCTGCTCCCTGCAGAGCAGCTGGCGGAGTTAGGACAGGGCAAGGACACTGGCTTGTGTCCTGTCTGTCCAGTGCTAGTGATTCACGGTCTCGAGATTCCAACACCCCCACGGGTTGCCACTTGGGTTCAGCATGCAGTGAGCACGGGGAAGAAGCTGCTGATCTCACTCTAAATGCAGAATCTGAAAACTGAGGCAGCAGGAAGACTTGGAAGGGAAATGTTCTTGCAGGAGACTTCCAGAAAATAGAAGTGCAAAGAGTGCAGGCCACCGAGCAGCGGTCCAGAGAGCACCCCCAGGAACACCAGTGTGGGTGGGGCCCACGGGAGCAGCCGGTCATGGTAAGGGGCACCTGCTCATGCATTTTCTGGGTGCCTGGGGAGGGTGAGGCTCCAGACAAGCTTGGGGTTTGATTTTCTGGCACACACTTTGCCACAACTTAAAAAGTTATATAAATATATACAATAAATGAGGACCAAACATGAATACTGGTGAGCTTAGAACTAACACAGATGAGGCCTTATTCAGAAATGTTCACATTCATGACTGAGATGGCAGATAAAGGTGAAACAAAGATGCACTCTTAAAGCCCAAATTGCCCCCTAACTTGTGCTGGGAATAACACCAACCATGGGGAGAGCCTGTCCCACGGCACTTGGGGCACGGAGAAGAAAGAGCATGAGAAGATGCACAGGAGCCCTCAGAGAGGGGCAATGCAGGAGGACAGGAGGCTATCGGGGTCTGCAACATGAGGCCTCAGGAATAATGAGCACACTAGATGCTGATAGTGGAAACAGGCAGTGTGGTCCTGCCCGAGAAGATGCTGACGTTGGAACATGGGGCCTGCGTGCGAGGGTGCGGAGCCTCGTGTGCTCCTGTGCAACGGGGCACGAAGTCTGGCCACTGTCACGGGATGCGACAGACATTTCCGGGGTGCTGTATTGTGAGAGCAGACGTGCCTCTGCCATACCATGGCACCCCAGTTGCTGGATGATAAACAGTCCTAGGCAGATGGGGCACAGCAGGTTGTATGTAATGCAATTATATGGGGGCATGGATTCAGCAGAAGCGGAAGAGCCAAGGATCCTTCGAGTCGTTCTGCGCTGAGGGTCAGGGAGGTCAGGAGACAAGGCAGGAAGTCTTAAATGAGCAACGAACGGCCAGATGATGGGGCTGCGGCCAGCAGCAGGCATTTACATTAGGAAAGATAGGACCTAAATGTGCCCGTGTCGATACTATTCTCTCTGCATTTCGTAATAGACAAATTAAGAGTTTTGTGATGCTCCATGATTTGTGGATATATGTTTTATTTAATCCAAAAATAGTGCCAAATTTCAAGTTGATGTGAAATCTGTAGACCACTAGGTCCAAATTCTTAAAGTCTGATTAGGGGAACTGAGGGGAGCTGACACCATAGGAGAGTAAGTTAGAAAAAAAGGAGAAGAGCAATAATGTGTATTTCGATGCCCTTCCTCTCTTGGACCTTGCCCAGGTAAGGTCACGTTTCTAAACCACATTGAAAGGATTGGCGTCGCACACTTCCCCTCCTCGCCACACTGTTTGTCTGCAGGAAGCCCGAGAGGGTGCTAGAGATAAGGCAGCCTGGCTCCTGCCCAAGTGCAGCCCACTGACAGTCCACCGTGCCCCTTTGTCTGTAAGTCCCTCCTCTGCTGGGTGAAACAAAGATGCAGGGAAATGCTCTGGAGAGCAGAACCTGTTTGCATGATAAGAAGCCAGAGCTTGAGCCTGGGGCGACTCTCAGGCTTGGCTCTTCCTCTGTTTTCTTTGTACAATGTTGCATAATGAGGGTGACCTTATACTCTGGTGATGTTACACCTTGGTTTTCCTGGGACTGTCCTCATCCACACCTGATGTACTCATGTAATGGTTCATAGTGTTCCCCTTTTCATAGGCAGGACAGTCAATGACAGGGCGACTGTACTTACATTGCAACCTAAATCTCACTAAATGCTTAGTGGCAAGAGTCTAACCAAACTAATTTTAGAATTGCTGACTCATCTGAAAGCTGGGGTAAAATGAGATTTTAAAACTCTTGAGTTTTCTCCTTAACAGTGAAGTTGCATGGTCAAGGTGTTGTCTGGGAGGTTAGGTTGGTATTTTGGAGAATATGGCTGTCAGTTGGGATAAGCATTGACTTAACAGCATGGAGTGCATGTCAGAGAGAAAAAACATCCTTCTTGTGCCATTGGATCCCACATCGGGAACAAGGAATAGGAAAGGGAATACTCAGTTTGCAGGCCTCCTCTAGACTAAGCCTGTGGCTCTTCTTCAATGTGGGCTTCACCTTCTTCACCTGTTTTGCTGACTAGCCTGCCTGGTCTTGATCTTGCAGAGGCTGCCCCCATGCCTCAGGCACTAGGATATACCGCTGAGTCATCCAGCCCTAGTAGGAATTCGGTAAGCCTCCAATTGGCCCAAATGTTTACAAACACAGATTATATGTCCTGAATTTTTGAAAACAAAAAAAAAGAAGTTTCAAAAGCTCTATAAAATTATTCTAAGGATCATCAAATACTTTAAGATGTGGCTCAAATAATTAAGTTTCTGTAAATACTAGGTTTCATTGCCTGTAAGGTATCATCAATTGTTTAACAAAACAAAAGAAATCATCATTTTGTGTGCTACTTAGAAAGAAAAAAATGATTGGTAATTAAACTATCGCATACTCTTCTGAGTTCAGAGATGATAAAATGGAAAAATGATCACACCTGTAATCCCAGCACTTTGGGAGGCCGAGGCGGATGGATCATGTTCCAGACCAGCCCGGCCAACACGGGGAAACCCCGTCTCTACTGAAAATACAAAAATTAGCTGGTTGTGGTGGTGAGCACCTGTAATCCTAGCTACTCGGGAGGCTGAGGCAGGAGAATGGAACCTGGGAGGCAGAGCTTGCAGTGAGCCGACACGGCGCCACTGCACTCCAGCCTGGGCAACAGAGCAAAACTCAAAAATCAATAAATAAATAAATAAATAAATAAATAAATAAATAAATAAATAAAAATGGAGAAATGATATCTCTTAAGATCAATAATATATAGTATATCAGAAATTGTGGATTTCGGGAATTTTGAGTAAATTTCATTTTTTTTTCTGATTTTGTAGTTTACTTAAAAAGTTAAATACAATAAGTTGCACATTAGTGGGAGTGCACAGAGCTAGATACAGTGTCCTGCCCTGAACCACAGGCTAGTCATTAATATTCTGTTCCCACTCCAACCCTTGCAGGATGTTTGCATGGCATTATCTTGCTCCTCACTACATGACACCGTTTTATCCTTTTTTGTTTTCTCAGCTCTGAGATGCAAGACATTATTTGTCAAGATTGCAGGTGAGTGCTAAAATGGATTTAAAATGACAAAATATATAATTTGTTTCTGGATAACTCTCAGCAATCAGAACTTCTCAACCACACTAACATGTTATTCTTGTAAGCTCCTTGGGTCCACTGCCCTGATTTTTTCTAAGGTACTCCTCTCCCTAATTTTGTGGCTCTCGGGTTTCAGAGATACCAAGAATCACCTGGAAACTTAGAGAAAAAAATGCAAATGCTGGAGAACTGATGATGATGGGATCTGAAAATACTCATCTTAAACAAGCATTCTAGGCACTAAGGACTGCTCTTGGGAAGCTCCATAAAACTGCTAGAAATAGCATGAGGCTCATCTGGTGCAAGACTCCGGGGAGAAAGAGCAGGGGGAATGCTCCAGGGAAGCAGGAACACACTTTTCTCAAGGTCTGAAGAACAATTCTAAAGCCTCCTCAAAGCACACCTACTCTCTCATTCAAATTTGTCCCAGAGATGTATGAGCCCCGAGTTAGAAAGCCAGTGAAAGCGTAGGCTCATAAACGCATTAACATCTAGGTTTATCCCAAAAAGGACCAGAGCATCCTGCCTGGCTAGCAAGTTAGATAATCCAAGAATGAGGGTGGGAAAGAAAAATTAAGTTTCTGGAAGATTTAAGATCCAGTAAATACTGATGTACTTCCAATAATGTCAAATAAAGTTATTTCTAAAGGTATGATGCATTTATAAAAAACAGTTAAATTAAGAGAAATAGATTCAATGAACCTTTTTTCATGTGTGAAAATAGTCCAAAATTAACACAGCTTGATTGGAGGATAATCTAGAGAGTGGGGGAAAAGAAAGAAATTGTTTATTTTATAATTATAAATTGATTTTTAAGTTGCATTAAACTGTTAAAAAGCTACCTGAAAAAAATAATCAAATCTGACTTTTTTTTCAAACCCTAATGCACTTTTATTCCTAAAATAAATGCAAAAATGTGTCTTACGTTTATTGTTAAAGATTTGTCTTCCACCCATGTCGATAACTTTGGTTTGCCTCCTTTCCCCTGCTAGGTGCTCCAGCAGGAACCTATCCAGCTCTTTGTAGGTGTTATGGAAAACACAACCTCGCTCAGCCTGCAGAGCAATTGCCTGCTCCAGCAAACTTAAATTCCCCTTGGCCTTTTCCAGGTCACTACCCTCTTCCGTCATTACTGCCAGGCTCTCGCTATCTTCCTCCTCAACGTCAGGGAATGAGGGCTGGGCATTGCCATCCAGGGGTTCTGCGAGAGCATTCTGCGGGTCTTTCCTTTCTGTTTCAGAATCACACCTGTTCTCACAAGGGATAAATTTGTCACCTTCAGTTTTTATTTCAGGAACTTCCAATAGGTCTTTTTTATGATCTGTTAAAACATACTTTGGGACTCTAGGTGGTTTGGTTTCTTCTGAGAAGTTGGAGCCACTGTCCCAGCCATTTTCTGCACTTTCAGAGTTACTTTCATTGTCATCAGAGGAGCAGAAGGGTGGCTGAGAATCATCAATCTTGTCTCTTCCATCATCAGAATGAATCAGAAAGCACTCGTCTGCTTCATCGCTCTCTGCTTTTAAAGACTGGATGCCACTGTCATTTAAATTTTCACTTACAGTCTGAACAGATACATTTTTTTCAAATTTCCCCAAGTGCATTAAAGACTTGACCATGAGCTCTTGATAACAAGAGTATCTGTCTTCCTTCCTACTGGAGTTTTCTTGTGCAGTTGAAAGAAGACTTTCATCCATAGGTTTTATCATGATTTCCTCTATGGAAAAAGAAAACCAATATTTGAAGAGCAAGAACAAAAAATATTTTAGGAAAATTGCAACAAGTTATATGTATATAAACATATGCATTCACATACATAGGTACATACACATACATATATGTACACATATACATACATAATATGTGTAATATATCATCTCTATTAATTTTATAAACATTGGTGAGAAAAACATATATCCTCTTAAGAGAAAACTTAGACCTTAATAGTCTAAGAACTGTGTTAAAAGAAATGAGCTATTATAATTTCCAACATGTTAAGAGGTAAGTACTTCTGGGGTATTGACCAAGACAAGAAGTAGATACTTAACAATAATAGTATTTGCTGAATGTGAAATTATTGTTACTGTACTTCTTAGGTTCCTAACTCTTAGCCAACCAGAAGAAAATCAAATATATATAATAGTATACATTGTAAAGGAGATATTAATGAGTTTCTCTGTTAGCATGGCAATGTATTTTCAAAGCCATTTGGTTTCAGATTTTATGGAATGTTAGCTTTCCATACTTTCAGATTTTATGGAATGTTAGCTAAGATACAAAATACATCTTTCTGAGGCTTTCAAGACTTCCTGTTTACCTTTGTAATTGTCACCCTAAAATTCCATATTGAAGGAAACACAAACAGGGAAATTAGCATGATCAAATCATATCTTGAATAGTAACACATTTTCTGGTCCATTACTTGCATGCACTTGTGTAACAAGGAAATGAGACAAGGTGGGGCATTGGAGGGTGCTGAATGGCAACTAGCTGTTTTCAGTACAAGGCTACTTTGGGTCCTGAACGTGAAGGCACCCCGTGAGGAGCCCCCAGTGCCTGTCTGTCCAGGGTCCAGGACAGTCTATGGGGTGGCTGTTGTCCCAGGCAGCCATTGTTGTCAGTGTCACCCCCTCTTGCTCTGGGAGTGGCCAGGTTGGGGTGACAGAGTGTATAGACAACAATGAGCCTACCCAAGCCTGTCCCAGTGCAAGACACAGCAAGTGAGGGTGGATTCACAGGTGACTCCAGCCCAGGCCCAGGCACGTGGGGTGTGCCCAGCTCACACCAGGCTGTGAAGTGCCTGCAACAGTGCCCAGACATCCAAAAAATAGGAGGACTGTTTCTGTGTCTCAAAAGCAGGGTGGGGGGATGGGAAGCACCCAGTAATATGCCCCATTCAAGACTGTTAAAGACACCAAGAGCAGTGCATTCTGTGCTAATAAACATCTTTGGAGGGAAGAAAAGCACAGCCATCCGGTGTGAGCACTGAGGGAGAGAGTGTCTGTGCGGAAGACAATGTGTCTTTTTGGTCTCATTTAATTTTTTATAAACATTGTCTCTGACAAGGACACTCAAAAATACATCTCCATCATCTTCCTTTCTGGTAATTATCTCCCTAAATCAACAGTGGACTGCCAGGATCAAGTAAATATTGCCATAGTAACTAAAAGCATTTTTGGATGAAGGGAAGAATTCAGTCACAACACTAGCCCCTGTAAATAATGCTGATTATAGGGTGCAGTCTTTTGTTGGGATCTATTCAACATAAACTGAAAAATTTAACATTTTAGTTCCTAGAAAAGAGGCTGGATAAACAGGCACATAATATTTGATAGGATAGCCTATCCTCTCCTGAATTCATATCAGAGGAACTCCAGGTTTAAATAATATATTAAACATAGTCTAAAATGCAAATGAAGTTTTTCTCAATATCACAGTTGGCTATTAAGAGAAAGTGTAAAGGGTTATGATAATTTTAAAGTATTATGAACTACAGAAAACAAATAAAAAGCATTTTCAGTGAATATGCTCAATTCATTGAACTATTCTCTCACTCCACTTAACTACCCACATGTGTACGATAATGATTTATAGACATTATACCTAATTATGCATATTTGGGCTGTGTTAGAGTGCTAACAAAAGCTCTAGAAAGCAACAATTACCTCTGTTGCTTAGCTACATAGTTTAAAATATTCCTATTAAGTGCAGATCACCAGAGAGGCGGGAGTGACAAAAATGCACATGTGCACGACAATGCATTTCACTGTGCTGCTGCCAACTGCTCGCATTTTGGGTCATTTCCAGTTTACATAATTGTTTGGTTCAACTGTTTGTTATATGCTAAAAGAAAATATTTATTAATTATTCCTCAGAAAAAGAGGAGCCCCACTGACAGAGGTGCCTGCACAGCACACGCGGGTTTCTAGGGATGTTCTGCAAATCTGCAAACCAACTTTCCACATTCCACCCCCCTCCCAGGCTTTCACTGGAGTCATAAGAAAAAAAGTTGGGTTTGCTTTGGAAGCTGAGAGATCTGTGATGGGGTGCTTGTTTCTCCCAGCTTTGCAATGGGTTGCCTTCATTTTCTCAGGCTGTGTGTGTTTATTTTCTCTGGGGGCCTGGTGGTTTATTTTGTGCCTCTGCCACTGAACTGACCTAAAAAGCCCTGTTGTTAGCATCAGGTGGACCTAAGCTTGAGTTCTGATCCTGGCGGCCTCTCTTGCAAGCTCGGTGGGGCTGCGTCACCTGCCTGAGCTTGGCACCACCGTAGGCACATTGAGGACAATAGTTATCACCCTGTGTACCCTGTGGAGGCCACACGGGAATACCCAATAGGTATCCAGTCAAGGGTGGCTCTCTTGCCCCTGCCCCAGCTACTATTTTAGAAGGTAGTCGTGGCAGGGATTCTATGCAACCTTTATCATAAATAAGATGGGCTTAGTTTTTTACCTAGGATAATTACTAACATTGACCCCCAAGGACGGGCAGGGTCCCACTATTGAGAAGGCTCAACTCAGTTCATCCCCACTCCCAGCACACTATGCCATGTTCACCAACTGCCTTTGGAAACTATGAGTGAGTGCACGATATGCGATGTGGAGGAAGAAACCTCTAGGGGTATAAGGTGGTGTGGCTGGCCTGGCACTACCTGCTGTGTGACCTTGGACAGGCCCTTGGTTGCCTGAGACTGGGTCCTCATCTTCAAAACAAGGAAGATCCAATGATGTGATGACTGGATGGATAGTTCAAGGATCCCTCCTAGGACAACAAACTGTTTGTTCCTGGCATGGTGTTCAGCTGTTTATTTCATTTAATTGTCACAATAAGCACAAGAAAGGCATTTTCTACTCCAGTTCACAGAAGGGAAACTACAATTCTACAGAGGGCCAGGCTTGCTCGAGACCACATGCCCAGCCAGTGCAAGACTGAGACACAGGACCAGGGCTGCGTGGCTCCCACTCCATGCTCTGCCCTCTGAAACATACTACTCCAGGTCCCACAGCCATGGAAGGCTGTATGTCCTGGCTGGTGTTTTGGAAACACAGCGACCCTTAGGAGAAACAGCTAAGAACACTAGTAGCTCATTATTTTCTCAAGTTCGGATATTTTCAAGAGTGAATTTATATGAAGTTACTAGAATGCAATTGTCAGCTAACTCTTTTTTTTTTTTTAGACGGAGTCTCCCTCTGTCGCCCAGGCTGGAGTGCAGTGGCTCAATCTCTGCTCACTGCAACCTCCGCCTCCCAGGTACAAGTGATTCTCTTGCCTCAGCATCCTGAGTAGCTGGGATTACAAGCAAACACCACCGCATCCGGCTAATATTTTTTGTATTTTTAGTAGAGATGGGGTTTCAGCATGTAGGTCAGGCTGGTCTCGAACTCCTGACCTCGTGATCCGCCCGCCTCGGCCTCCCAAAGTGCTGGGTTACAGGCGTGAGCCACCGCGCCTGGCCAATTGTCAGGTAACTTTCAATGAGAAGAAAGGTGATGATCAATTATAAATAAAATAAACAACATGACCAAACAAAAACTAAAAGTGTTCCAACCTCAACTTTCTTAACAACAAAACTCTAATAGGTCAAAAAATGTCTAGGGTCAGCTCTTGGGAGGGCATAACCAGAGGGTTACAGCCAGCCAGTGAGCAGACTGTTCGCTGGTCCAGGCCTTTCTCCATCCGGAGCACATTCACAGTGTGGGGAGGGAGCAGCGGCTGGAGCTGGGATGATTTCTAGAGTAAAAAGTAAATGTTTCTGCCTGATACATACAAGTTCACAGTTATTTATTTACGTTAAACCAAGACCTCTACTCAGAGTTTTCTGGTAATCCTACAGATACATACTAATGAATCCCGGCATAGATGTTGGCTGTTCTGCAAAGATACAACTTTAAAACATCCTCTGAAAGTCACAACATATTTTGAGTTTGTCTCCTTTAGTAACACTGGATGTTATTATAATTGGATTTCAGTTCTGTTTCTGTAACTAGCTAGGTTACTTTTATAGGTAAATTGGTTTTCCAGGCCTCTTGAATATGTACATTTTGCTGGGAATAAAAGCCTTGGAAAAATGAATTCATCTTTCAAAGTTCCGAAAGCAGAGTGGTTTATCCCTTATTTGCTATTAGTTGAAAGATAATGTGTTAAAAGTGTCCTCCCAGCCCCTAGAACTTCTATGACTGTGACATATTTCCCCATGAGCTTGTGGTTACGCTGCTGGGGACCCCACACCTGGGCTTGGTTAATCTTCCTTCCGGAGACTTTCATTCTCCCTGCCTGTGTCAGGAAAGCCTGTGCTTATCACTCTTCCTCCCTTCTGGTAGTACTTTGCAAGCTCGTCTCCTCAGGAAGGAAGAGGTAACTGCATGGTTTGTCCATGTTCTCTTCTATCCCCTTAACGGCAACCTGTATCTTTTTGAAAGACAGCAGGTTGAGGATATGGATGAAGTCTGTGCCATAAAGCGGAATAAAACTTTAGCATTCAAGCTCCTGACCTCAGTCTCTTCCTGAGCACTATCCCTTCTCTCATCATCTGAGCTTCCCAGCTGCAGATGATATAATTGGGCACACACCTGGCCAGGTAAATACCCTGGGGTAACCAGAGTACATGAGAGGCTAGATGAAAAGCCCTATGCTGACTTGGGCACTAACTCAGTGCTCTTTCCTCCTAGGGGGTGGGGGGTAACTTGTTCAGAGGGCTGAAGGCAACTTAGAATCTTTGTTCTTTTGACCAGGCATGGGGCCTGCCATTACTGGAAACTGTGACTTCATGATTTGACATTGTAGGAACTTTGACCATTCTGCATTCTGAAGGTAGTCAGTGTGTGAGGACAACTGAATTACAGAGCATAGTTAGTTGGGAAATAATTATTTTGCTTGTCCTTCCAATTGTTTCCTAATTATCTTCCTTCTAACACCTATAAGATCCATTACCTTCAGCGTCAAATCTCTTTGGTCCCCAATGATTTCATCTGTAAAACTGTGCCCATAATCACACACACTCGTGGCATTATGTGGATTAATCGATATCATTTACGTGTCTGGAATATATTAAGAACTCAAAAACAATGGTCACCACTGCTGTAATTTTAGCATATTCATTATTATTATTAGTGGTTCTAATATGAAATATAAACATAGTTAGCCTATTTTTGTGAACCTGCAAATAGATGTCCATCAGTGCTTGTAACTGTGTGTTTAACTGGAGGACATCTGGACAATATATTCACTTGGTTCATATCAAACATGTACAGTGGTCAACAAACTACAATAGAAGGTGACAAGTCAGTGAGCCAGATATAGTCTGTCTTCACAACACTTAAAAGAATGTGCTGATGCAAACGCACACACATTTTCTTAAACACTTGGCAAATTAATGTTAGCTAGATGGATTATACTGCAAGTCTAACCACAAATGATTCAAAGACTTTCCCTAATACTAGATTCAACTTGCAAATTTTCATGAATCAACAAATAAAACGGAGCCAGGCATGGTGGCTCACACCTGTAATCCCAGCACTTTGGGAGGCTGAGGCAGGCGATCACTTCAGGTCAGGAGTTTGAGACCAGCTTAGCCAACATAGTGAAACCCTGTCTCTACCAAAAATACAAAAATTAGCTGGGTGTGGCTGTAATCCCAGCTACTCAGGAGGCTGAGGCAGGAGAATTGCTTGAACCTGGGAGGTGGAGGTTGCAGTGAGCTGAGATCCCACCATTGCACTCCAGCCTGGGCGACAAAGTGAGACTCCATCAAAAAAAAAAAAAAAAAAAAAAAAAAAAACCACCAAAAACCAAAATAAAACAAACAAAAAAAACCCACCAAAACAACAACAACAACAAAACAAATAAAGTTGATCAGTTCAAGGAAACAAAAAAAAGTCAAGGGTGATTATAATTTACAGATGAGCTATGAGGCTTTAAATCACATGCTAAATACAGAAAAGCCAAAGAATTTACTTAAATACCTTCAAATCAGAATACAACTTTGTTTTAAGCGCAGAATTGCAAACTCTATTTTCAAGCCAGTATTACTGGATCTAGGATGATTCTGAACTGAGATTTGTGCTCACTCATAAGTAAGCCCTTAAATCTTTTCTATTAATTCTTATTGCTAACTATGATTCTACATGCCATAAAAATTTATTACATAAGAATCTCATTGCCTTTTGTTTGCATAATTAGTACTTATTTTTAAATAACAAGTTATTTAGTATATTTTGATTCCTTTAAAATTCACATTCAGAAAAAAATCATGTTTAGTAGAATATACATCTAGTTTCATTTTCTAAGTCAATTTTTAGATCTTAATTGTTTTCTATAATTTTTGAGAGTTTTTGCATGTCCCTCAGCTTCGCCTTATGCACAAAGTGATCAGTGATATTCAAACTCCTAGAGGCATGTGACTACCAGGAACTAATGTGAATAACATTCAATGGGGAAAAAAGAAATCCTAAAGTTTTGAAACGTAACTACTTTTCACTTAGCACACAAAAGGTGTTTGATGAGTAAGTGAAGAAGCGAATCAATTAACTAAAATGTGCACCTAAAGAGAAACTTAAATAACTTATTTTTGAAATAATGGGCACAGTGATAACTTTTCTACAATACATCATTTTCCTTCAGTCTCCTTCTGAAGAAGACTAGTCTGCCAACTTGAGGTTGCTTCTATACTTGATTGCTATAAGCATTTATTCAAAAATATTAAAAATATTAAGGCCACAGACCACTTGCATTGGTTCATGTTGTTATTACCAATTATATTTTGGAGTAGAAACCATACATGTTGATAAAAAAAATTAAAAAAAATTTTTAACTGTAATATATACATATATATATCATCATCACTAATGAACATTATATATAACTTGATCATTGCAAAGGTGTCTTAAAGTTTAAATATGCCCTTGAATTTAAAGGATTCTTTCAGGAATCCTTCCTATTAGGAAGAAAAAGTACTCTTCAACTCTAAGACTTAGTATCTTGTATTTTCTTCAAAAAGAGGCATAGTTCAATCGTCTGCTTTTGAAAACGGATAGGGCAAGACTCTCTGTTGCTTATTTATGGACCCTCCACAGTTACTGATTAAAAACTGGGTCCTCAATAAATGAATGTCAAGTAAAATAAATGTTTCATTTTGCTTCCAAATCTTAATGTACTTTTACAACCATACAAACCATACAAACCACACACTCTACATGAATTAGCACAGAGTCCTTGGAGCCAGGGAGCAGGTAAAGTTTGGGCTCTCCTCCTTGCTACCTGCGGTAGAGTGACCATGTGTTTCCAAGGGGCCATCGTCCTCTGTCCTGTCACTGCGGTCTTCTTGGCAGTCTGCTTTTGGGCTGTAGTGTCGGGGCTTCATTAGCAGGGATTTCCTTTTGTTGACTGGAACCCCCAAAGCCTGATCTTCAGCTGTTCTCTTCTTTGCCATGGAGCAATCATAGGCAACACTGTAGTGATTGAGGAAAATTAAGAATATGGTAAATTAGCATTTACTGCTGTTTGGCATTTAACTTTCATGAAGTCTAACCTAAAGCCTTTGGAAACTTGGGACTAGAGGTTTAGGGTTGGTTACTGGCACTAACAAAAACATCCCATCTGTGGACTCCACTGAACTGTGTGGATTCTATTTTACTGCTTATCAGAAGAATTTTTTTTTTTAAATCATCCTTAATCCTGAGTAAGCATATGTTAATCTGTGCTTTGCTTGGCACTACACTAAATACCCAGGGAGGGATGAAACAAGATTTGCACTGGTTTGCTAATCCTAAGAAACAGCTAATGTGAAAAATATACCACCAGATACAAAAAAAAAATGTGCCCAGTATGGATAAATCACAAGATTTTTCAAATAATTGTTTGCTACTGAAACTGCTTATCTCTGCCACAGTTGTGGCTCAAACTTGAAATGTCACATATCTTGGACTTTCACTTAAAAGAAAGGAGTACAGAGCAAGGGGGCTAGCTATGAACATCCTGTCTCCCCATCTCCAGTCATCAAACACAAAAAAAGTGGAAAGATGCTACATGGCATTCTGCCTTCTGATTCTCACTCACTTGGCACACAGAACAAATAAAAGGAGGAGAAATAAGATTGGATTTCACAAAAATGGACAACAGTTTATCCTCACTCCTGTTCTCATATGGTTTTATTTGGAAATGTTCCTGAGGGTGGCCCTTTCAAAATAGATTTCCTACATATAGCTCACTCAGAATTAATGCAGATCACTCTATGTGTGAAGTTAAGACAAACATTCTCTTGGCAAGATCCATGAAAATCAGAGGGTTTGGCCAACTGCGAGTCTATAAGAGATATTTATTAAATGTACTTTGAAGAAAAATGTGGAGCTTTAGATGAAAAGATCCAGAGAAGAGAATCCTAGACTCAGAGTAAAAGGATATGACTTACTCCATCTCTAAAAGATGACTAAATCCTCAGGAATATTACTAAATAAAGAAAGGCCTTAAACCATTATTTTACAAACATCAACGCAAAAGATGGTGCCTATTCGTGAAAATGATTCGGTTATAGTCACACAGGAACTCTTGGCTTTAGAAGAGTAGGTTCAAAAACTTCCAATGGGGGTAAAAGTGTCATTTCTTCTAAGAAAGAAGAAAAAAGATCCTGGAAGAAGCAATAATTAGACAGCTGGAAATGTCTTTAAGAAGATTAAAAAGTATAGAATTAAAAATCACCCTGATAGGTAATAGGTAAAAGAAGAGTGAAGTTTCTAAATCAAGCAATGTGCTTTCACAAAACTTCTCTGATGAACCTAAATGTAAAGTAACCAAGTACAGAATATGGAGCAAAATGGAATATAACCAGATGACTGTGGGAGCAAACACCACCATGATAAGAAGATGGGGCAGGAAGTGAGGACCAACATGGACTGCTCTGCTCATTTGTCAAGGAAAATACAAGTCCACACCGTAGATTATGATGTAATGAGAGCCAGCACAAAGAAGCGGAAACACCTTTACGCTTGCCTTCTTTGTCAAAGGAGACTGGCTTTGAGGGGCTGAACAGGGAGGCAGAAGAAACAGATCAAAGGGGCATAGAGTTCCTAGAGAAACTCTAGGAACCTCTTGAACCTCCTGAAGAGAGTATAATAACTGTGTCAGTGTAGGATGAAAAGGATAGTTAAAGTATCCTGAGTCAAATGAATTTCCACCAAAAAAAATCCTTGCAAAATATAAAACTAAGATCATTAAGCCATTATCATGAGCCAAGATTTGTAGCAAATGGGAGAGGCTCCTACGTCATTCAGATATTAAAGCAGGGAAAGGAAGTGGATTCTAAAAATCATAGTAATTGAAGCATAACATTGGTATTGGGAAAACAGCTAACAAAGGATATTAAAGTGAAGATGTTTCAGGATCCCGATTTCAATTCTTTTACATAAATACCCAGAAGTGGGGCTGCTGGATCATATGGTAGTTGTATTTTTGAGGAACATTTGCCCAGTTTTCTATGTTCATTGAATTTCTATGTTCATTGCAACTATCCCCAATAGCCAAGATGTGGAAACCACCTAAATGTCCATGAATAATTGACAAATTGATATGTGGTGCATACATACAATGAAATACTCTCCATTCTTTAAAGAGAAGGAAATATTGTAATATGCAACTACATAGATGAAGCTTGAGGACGTTATTCTCAGTGAAATAAGCCAGACAAATGAAAGACAAATGCTGTGTGACTACACTATAAGTATCTACAATAGTCAAAATTGTAAAATCAGAGTGGGATGGTGGTTGCCGGGGGATGAGGGAGGGGGAAATGAGAGTTACTAATCAAACAGGCATAAAGTTTCAGTCAAGCAAGATGAATTAGCTCTAG
The DNA here is from genome assembly GCF_000001405.40 of Homo sapiens. NCBI lineage: Eukaryota > Metazoa > Chordata > Mammalia > Primates > Hominidae > Homo > Homo sapiens. The sequence continues at coordinate 52,182,706 of NC_000008.11, forward strand.
AGATATGCTGTTCAACACTGTACCTAGAGTCAACAATAGTGTACTTCACACTTGAAAATGAGCTCTCATGCTGCATGTTCCATAACAGGACTGAAGAAGGAGGAGAAGGAGAAAGAGGAGATTTATTTTTTGGCATCAGGAAGCATTGATCAATGAGACCTCAGGTGGCAGGGATGGTTAATAAAAAAATTGGTCATTAAAAAAAGTCATTTCTGACTTTGACGACTGCGGTGATGAATGGGCCTGAACTCATACTGACTTTAAGATCCTTACAAACTGTATCTTGTTAATATCATCATCCAAATTTACTTATAAAAACGAATCACATTAACTGCTAGTAGTGGGGCCAATATTTGAATCCAAGTCTATAGGGCTCCAAAGCTCACGTCCTCTCCTCCATTTTACTACATAAGGACATAGATGTGGGTGATTTCTGTATGCATTTGACAGTTGGTTAGAGTAGAACCTGGATGAAACAGCAACCTCTCTAACTAGAAGAAAGATGCCTGCCACAGGACCTTGCCCACTGATTTGAGTGAGGATATACACAACAGTCATTCAGCCTGAAGAAGATACTGAGTTGCAGCAATGAGAAACACCTTGCAAAGTAATAAACTAAGACACTCCCAAAATGTCCATAGCCTGGGGCAGGAGAATGAACCTAATGAGATGGCAGTTGAAGACTATAAAAATAAAGTTCAAGATTTGGGTCCAAATAATAACTGTGTGAGTGTAGGATGAAGAGGATATGTAAGGTTTTTATCAGAACTAAAAGTTTAGCTTATAATAAGCTATTGTATTTGATAATAAGAGTATGTGAAATCACTTAAGTAATACTAGCTGTGTAATCTGCAACAGATAGTTAAATTTTTGGAATATCAAATTCTTCATCTACCAAATGGAAATAATAACTTCTATATCACAGGTTTTGTGGATAAAAGAGATAACATCTGTGCTAGTAGTGACAAAAATAGGTAAAGATGGAACTGTCTTGGCTCCCAGCTCAGGGCTCTCTGGACTCCATCAACACTGGCTAATGCAGCATCGCAAGCTTTCTCCCTGGCACGCTACAGAGATTTACGCAATGCATGTATGTCCATAAAGGCATTCTACTTTTTAACATATTATTTATATTTACATAAATTGCATTAGATTTACACATAACATTTGCTTTAAATCTCACATTCTGTGCATTTCTCCACTGGAAAATACCCACGGCCCAGGCAGCATTTGGAGCTGAAATGAAAGGCTTTATAATAAATATTACTCTTTGTGTGTGCATGGAAAATGGTCCCTTTTCCTAGTTTTCCCTGAGGGCACACTATTTTGGCTTTATTGTGACACTTCACTGTGACACTGCAATGAGGGAAAGCCATGCTTTACATGTCACTGAGAGAAATGCCACAAAATGCTAACATATCTTCTCAAGGTTGCCAGAAATCATTTCCACTGGGTTGTGTTTTCCCATCTGCGGAGCTCTGAAATGTTAAGGAAATAAATGAGCTCTATTATCTATATTTTTCTAGTAGATGAAAAAGAAGAGAAAAAATACACTCAGCCCTGCATTTATTGTTCTATTCAATCAAACTGTTGCTTTAAACATCCAGCGTCCCCCAGGAAACTTTATCAATGCAGCAAATATCTTTCAACTCCATACTTTTCAAGTTTTGACTGTATTAAAATCTATTTAAAAGATCTGTATTTTTTACCTGAAACTTTTTGATTATATATTTGAGAAATATACCTTTTACTTAGAAACTTGAATTCTCATTTGAAATGATATTCCCTTTGACACAATAGTTGAATGAAAATTTTTTTGAAAAATCATTGAAGCAAACCATAATTAGATAACACTAGTGATCAATTCTGCACTGGAAGTATGTTTAGAAGTCAAATGTGTTGACCTTTCAGGTTTCAGAAAAGATACATTAGGAAACTGTGAATCCTCCACATCTAGAGTTTTCAACTTACCTACTATAGTAATAAATTCTCAATGAAGTTTTCAGAAGTTATGTAACATAGTTTTAAAATGTAGGTTCAGCAATAGATACATTCTGGGCACACATCCCCAAAAGAATAAAATGCAAAAATAAACAGAGATTGTGAACCTCTGAGTCCAAGGAAAACACTTACATGCTTCAAAATTTTCATGGAAAATTCATAGCAGGTATTCCTACTGATTTCTTCTAATGAGACAGAATACCACAGATTCATTGAAAGGGGCCAAGAAGTATGAATCTGAATTAAGACTAAGAAGATTGACAGAAAAGAAACAAAGTAACAAAGGTATGATGATTGAAAAAGAAAAAATTAAACTATTATTATTTGTAGAGGTATGATTATGTTTGAGGAAAATCCAAAGGAATCTACAGATACAATTTAAAAACAAGTAAATTTAGTGAGTTCACTATTCAAAAATTCATTTTACTTCTATAAACCAGCCACAAACAATTAGAAAATAAAAATTAAAAAACATTTACAATAGCATAGAAATATGAAATACCTAGGAATAAATCTAACAGATGTACAAACCTATACACAGTAAAGAACATAGTGAGAAAGCTAGTGAAGGCCTAAATAAATAGAGAGATGCAAAGTGTTCATGGATGAAAAGACTCAGTATAGCAATTTCAACTCTCCCCTTCTTTATCTATTAGATTCAATGCAATTCCTACCAATACCTCCAGAGGATATTTCTTAGAAGTTTACAAGTTAATTCTACAATTTCTGTGGAAATGAAAAGAACCAAGAAGAGCAAAGACAATGTTGGAAAAGAACAACAAAGTTGGAAGCCTTACAATGTTGAATGTCAAAACTTGTCATAAAACTGTAGTAGCTGAGATGAGGTATTATTGGTGCAAATATTAAAAAAAACAGACCAATGGAACAGCATAGATGTTCCATTTATTGGGTCCAGAAATAGACCCACACATACACGGTCAACTGATGACAAAGGCATCATTGGGCAAAGGGTTGTTTCTTCAGTGAACAGTGCTCGATTAATTGGATATCTATCTGAAAAAGAGATCCCTCTACTTGTACCTCACAGTGTACACAATAAACTCCAGAAGGATGGCGAATTTGCACTGTAAAATAATAAAACTTCTAGAAGAAAATGTGAGATATTACCTTCAAAATGTGAGATAATATCTTCACGACCTTGGGGTAGGCAAAATTTTCTCAAGCAGTTTATAAACAACACTAATTTAAAGGAAAACACTGACAAATCAGAGCACATTAAAATGAAAAACTTTCATTTATCAGAAGTTGCCAACCAGTAAGGGGAGCCTCCTATTAACATTCCATTTCTCCATCCATTTACACAAGCACTGTGAGGTTGTGAAGAGCCATGAGCCCCGCTTCTTGATATGCATACTCTTCTATATGTATGTCATGCTGTATGGTTTTCCAAAGACCATTAAGAGAGAAGAAGCAAGCCAAAGAGTGGGAGAAGGTATTTGCAGTACCTACATCAAAAAATAACTTCTATACAGAATATATAAAGAATTCTTCCAAATAAACAAGAAAAGACAGACTGCCAATTTTAAACCTAGGCAAAGTACACGGGCAGTCACTTCACAAAAGAACTTTTGGCTGATACACAAATGCAAACGTGCTCAGATTCTTTCGTCTCCAGGGAAATGCAAACACCTACACTTAGGTACTGCTCATGCCAACTGGGATGGCTAAAATGAAAAGACCGACAAACCCCAAATGTCGGTGAGGATCTCAGGCAACTGGAACGCTCATACACTGCTAGCACAGGTAAATCGGTATGGCTGCTTTGGAAACTGCTCAACAGTATCTACTAAAGGTGAACAGATGTCTACCCATGGCCCAGAAATTCCATTCCTAAGTACACACCTGAAAGAGCCATGTCCATATATGCACAAAAGGTATGTTCAATAATATTCACAGCAGTAGTCTCTCCCATACCGGAAACATCGCATAGTCCTTTGACTGCAGAATGAATAAAAGACGGTAGAATATTCATGGCTCTGAATACGCTAGCCGTGAGGAAAAGGCAATTGTTGCTACAAATAACACGGATGAATCCGATACACATATGGTTGAGTCAAAGAATCTAGGCAATGAAAGTGCATACATAATGTCCAAAACCAGCACAATTAGTCGATGAAGGCGGAGTCAGGGATGATGACTTTTGTGAGGGTCACAGCTGTGGGAGGTATGAAGGAAATGGCTGGGATGCTGATAAAGTCCTGTTCCTTGTTCTGGTGGTGGTTTCATGGGTATGTTCATCTAGTGGAAACTCACAAGGCTATACATACATAAGTTGTGAATTTTTTGGATATGTTTTATACTTCAATAAGTTTACTTAAAAAAAAAAGAGTCTTAGCAGGTCCATTTGCAGCCTGGTATAATGTTCAGCCAATGTGAGCTGCAAATTTCTTTGATTACCGAAAGTATTTATAGACTAAAGTCAAAGGTCCTGACTTTAATTGTAGGTTCTAAACCCAATAGAGCCAATGATAACAGGTAAGATTTAGTGAGTACTTGCAATGTGCCAGGGAGTGCTCTAAATTATTTACATGTATCAGCCCACTGGATTCTTGTAATAATATCCTGAGGTTGGTACTATTATATCTCTAAAGCTCAGAGAGGTTGATTTGTCAAATATAAAACAGCCATTAATGAAAGAGTCCAGATTTGAACTCAGGCAGTCTGGACCTAAATCATACCTACAATTATTTAATACTGTCCTTGAAACTATCCATATCATACTATTCAATGATTTAATGAGCAGACTTGCTCCAGTGAGTGAACACAGCCAATGATGGAAGAATATAAAAAGCTTTCCAAATTAACAGTCTTACTTTGTAGAGGCCAATTGTTGAACTTTATTTGGTTTAGAATTACAGTCCTCAACTTTTTCTTAAAGGATAATAGATCACTTTTTTGAGATACTGATGGGGAAAATTTTCCTTGACCTAGGAAAGGAAAGGCATTTTTCATTTACTAAATCTAAGATGAGCTGTGATTAAAGAGAGGTGATCCTTTTTGCTTTTTGGTTGAGAGTTTGTCTTGCAGATGTTCTCAATGGTATCCGTATGTACATTTGGCCTAATTACCCAATACATAAATTAAAGAACCATGTCTGAGTTAATTTGCATTTCTATACCACATTTCTAAAACAATTGCAATCTATACTTAAAATAATGATTATTAATTAATGCAATTGATCTTTAATTCCTTTTGCATACTTCTAGTTAAAACAAAACTCAACAATTATTCAGCAAAATCAATGTATATGGACAGTACTATTTTTCCAGCTTATATTACTTTGGAAATATTCACTTATTCAATAAATACGTAATAAGTGCTAAATAAACATTTATTTATCAATGTCGTAAGTTTTAAGGATATAGCATGGAATAAAATTGAAAAAGTGTCTCTCTTCCTAGAGTTTTATTATGGAGAAAAGAGATAGAAAATCCTTAAATTGAGTAAAATACATAATATGTTTGAAGATGTTTGCTTTGGAAAAAATACAGCAGAGAAGCGAAACAGGAAATATATGCTAGCAAAGGATCAGAGTTTGAGATCATGTGGTCAGGAAAAGCCCCATTAAGAAGACTGAATTTTAGTAAAGATCTCAAGGAGGTTAGATAAGGGAGAAAATGCAGAAACAGTGGGGCACAGGATTGCAGGCAGCAGAAACAGCAGGTGCAAGGGCCCTGAGATAGCACCGTGCAAGGCACATCTGAAGGCGAACACAAAGGCTCAGGCACAGTGAAGGAGGAGGAATAATAGGAGATGAGGTCAGAGAAATAATGGATTCAGATTATGCTGAGAACTACAGACCATTTTAGGAACTTTGACTCAGTGAGATTTGAATACGTTGTAGTGTTTTGATAGAGTGACGGGCTGATTTGTATTTTAGGAGGACTATTCTGGCTTCCATGTTAAGAACAGTTGTAGATAGAAGGTTAGAAACAAGGAGCATGGTCAGGGATTATGGCAATAAACCAGATGAGAGATGTGAGTGATTTGGATTGTGGCTGTACTAGCAGTGGTGATGAGAACTGGTGAGATTCTGAATACATTTGCAAGAGAAAGCAAATGGAATTATGAGAGATTAGATGATGGATGTAAAAGAGAGTAAAGGGTCAAGAATGCCTACAAGGTTTTTCTCTTAAGAACTGGAATCATGTAGTTACCATTTCTGAGATGGGTAGGACTTGCAGAAGCAGGATTCACAAGGGTTGGAGATTGGGAGTTCAAACTGGAGCACGTTAAACTTGCAATGCCTACTGCATATGGTGACAGAATCTGGACCTTTTGATTGACACACTAAGAAATATAAAATCCTAAGAGTGCCCTGGATCCTCTGAGCCATAAAATTAGTCCCCTTCTCCCTGCATCACACTGGAGATGATGAATACATGCTTCCATCTCCCCTCCTTGCCCCCAAACAATAACCAACATCATCACACCACAGCATCTGGCTTTCTAAGAGTAGAAAGGGTGCACAGGCCAAAAGGAGCTGCAGGATCTAGCTCATATGTATGGCAGGAGCTAGAGGTGTACAGACAAGCTGGATCCTGAAGGTGCTGGATCAAAGGTATGGAATATCAACTTGGATAAGGGAAAGTTGATGGCAAGCCAACTCCCATGCTGGATTGGCATTTGAAAGCCTAGAAAAACAATGGCCCACACTAATCAGTGATTCCAGAACTGCCATTACAAAGGATAAAGAAGGGATCAAAAGATTCAGAGAAGTGGACATTCTAGGATAGATACCTTCCATAGGCCAGGAAACCCATCCCAATGAAAATCGATGATTCTTGGCTTTTTGTCTCTGGGCCTGAAGCAGTTCTTAAACTCAGAACCCAGTGATTGAAAGAGAAGAGCCATGTCCTTTCAAGGAAGTTCCCAATGGTGAAGGTCTCCCTAGTCTCTTTTCTTAAGGACCTATGGTCGTTTACTTGGAGAACAATTACCCTGGGGAAAAAAGACTGCACAAGCATTCACGGACTATTGCACTTATTGTCCGAGTTGATACCTAGGGACTGAAGCTTCATCATGGCCCTTTGATAGAGTGGGAGAATATGGGGGCAGATCACAAATGAAAACCTGTCCCAGGGGGTGTCCTGGCTTCACAAATCTTTCTCATGGGTGTACTACTGGTCTCTGCATGTATAATTGGTGCAGATACATATTGGCTTCTTGGCTAGTGCGGTAGGAGCTAATAAAGTGAGACCCACAAATGAAATCCTCTAAAACTTCTCCCATTCTGTTACCAGATAGTAGATTTAAACATTATATTCTAGATGGAATGGCAAACATTAGTACAGGTTGGGTATCTCAAATCCAAAGATTCAAAATGCTCCAAAATTTGAATTTTGGGGGCACTGACATGATGTCACACATGGAAAATTCCACACCTGACCTCATGTGACAGGTGCATTCAAAACTTTGTTTCATGCACAAAATTTTAAAAAATATTGTATGGAATTAACTTTAACCCATGTGTAAAACATGTATATAAAACAGAAATGAATTTCATGTGTAGACTTGGGTCCCATTCCCAAGATACCTCATTATGTATATGCAAATATTCCAAATTCTGAAAAATCCAAAATCCAATACACTTCTATGTCCCAAGCGTTTCAGATAAGGGAGATTCAAGCTGTACCACCCTTAAACTTATAGGATGCATGGCTGATGGTCCCTATCATTTTTTTTCCATTTAATTAACCAGTGTGGACCCTACAAGACTGATCCTGGGGGCCGACAGTGGACTGCCATCACGTCAAACAAGTACTGATCCCAACTGCAGCTGCTATGCCAAAATATGAGATCTTTGCTTTAGTGGATTAACATACACTCAAATGCATGTTTTGCAGTCCCTGACATGGTAAATGTGTTCTTTTCCATCTCTATCGGAAGCAGAACCAAGAGTAGTTAGCATTCTAATGATGAGATCATGCAGAGCTGTGATCTTGCTGAGGGCTGTGCTAACTGCTATCCTTTGTCAGGATATAGTTTGAAGGGACCCGGAGAATCTGGATAACCCACAGACCATCCCATTGTAAATGTTGTTGATGATACCATGCTAAGGAGAACAGAGAAGCAGGAGGTGGCAAGTATTTTGGAGGCTTTGACAAGACATCTGTGTTTGAGAGATGGAAGATAAGTCGAACGAAGATTCGGGGCACACCATATCGGTGAAGTGCTTAGGGGCTCAGTGGTCTGGGGCATTCTGGCATATGCCCACTTATAACAAAGGACAAATTATTGCATCTCACACTTCCCACCACTGGGAAGGAAGCATAATATCATATTGGCTATTTTAGGTTCTGGGGATAGCATATTCCACACTTGGGACTACTGCTCTGAATCACACATTGAGAGACAAGGCCAGTTTTGGCTGCATAGCAAGTCCAGGCTGCAGTGTGGGAAGCCCTGTTGCTTGGGCCATACAACCTGGTAAAGCCAATGGTTTGTTTAGAGGTATCTGTGCTCAGAAAAGATGCCGATGGAATTCATGGCAAGGTCTAATAGACAAATCAAAATGCAGACCCACAGGGGACTGGAGCAAGGCCATGTCATGTGCAGCAAAGAATTATGCACTGCTAGAAAAACAGCCCTAGTAGAGACAAAATCCCTGACCATGATGTCAGAGCCAACCATCATGAACTGGATTCCGTTAGACTCACCAAGTCATAATGTCAAGCAGGCCCAGAAACAATCCATCATGAGATGGAAGGTCCAAAATTCGGCTGAAACAAGTCTAGTGGGAACAAGCAAGCCATATGAGCAGGCAGCCCAGACCTGTGACATCCACCACAGTGGCGGGAGTACCTCACCCTCAACTACCACATGCAGGGCATGTGCAGGCTTCTGAATAACAGCTATGAAGAAAAGAAAAGGAAGAGTTAGTTCGTACATGGTTCACCTCAGCATCTGAGTTCAGTGTGAAGTTGGTCAGCAGGTCACAACTTAAGGGTGAGTCTGAGAGGAGCAGAGAGAAGAAATCTTCCCAATGGGCAGAGATATAGGGAAGGGCTCAGGTGCAGCTGGTTCTCCACTTTGCATGGAGAGAAAAGTGCCTGAGGTAAGAAAATATGCGGGCCCATGGGCAAAGCGAAGAGCTTAGCTAGTCAGGCAGGGACAAGGAGATGAATGGTTTAACTGGAATATCAGGGAACAGGAGGTCTGAGGAAGAGGCATGTGGGTGAACTTAGGAGACTGGGGGTGAAATGGGAAGGTCTTAATTTTGCATGACAACAGGCACTGAAGGGCATTTACCAGAGGAGGCATTAATCCACCCACAGACAGAACAACCTGGCCAGGTGGAGTTGTCTAGTCTGTTTTCAAGCTTCCCAGGGCTGGCACAGAGGGGTCATTGATGGAGTAGCATTAGTGGCAGGGATTGGGGCATTGAACAGGCCCAACAGCATAGGCTCTCACTAAGACTGATGTAGCTATGCCCACAGCCCAATGTCCAATCTGCCTCCAAAAGAAATCAATGCTGACAATGAATCCTCCCAACATGGCACCATTCCTGGAAGAAACCAACCAACCACTGGACCTTTCCACTGTAGAAGGGGCAGTAACTGAACTTGATTGGAACTGACACAAATTCTGGGCATGGATTTGCCTTCTCTGCCTTCAGAGCCTCAGCCAGGACCATATCTACCTGAGGTCATGCAGAGTGTCTGCTCTACCAACAGGAAATCCTCATGCATCTCCCTGGACCAAGGAACCCACTTAGGAAAATAACCATGGAAATACAATCATAAGATTCACTGATACTATCACACACCACAGAGCCCAGAAATTGCTAGCCTGATGGAGCAGGAAAATGGCCTCATGGAGGCATAGCTGAGAGGCTAGCTTGGACGTGACACCTACCAGGATGAGTGTCTTCCTGAGAGGCATCATGCCAAATAAAAAATCATTACAGAATGTGATGTCTTCGGCAGTTTAAATACAAGGATCCAAGAACAAAAAAGGTACAGTTAGGAGGAGCTTGGTTTACCATAATTTCCAGTGACTACTTAAAGGATTTGTACATTCATTACTCCAAATCTAGGTCCTGTAGGTCTGAGGATCTTGGTTCCCAAGGGGAGAATGCTTTCACTAGGGTACACAGAAAGAGTCCTATTCAACTTTGAGCTCAGACTCCTTTTCTGTCACCTGGGTTCTTGTTGCTGAGAGATAACAGGCAAGGAAAATAGATACCGTCCTGGCAGGAGTCACTGACCCTGGTCACTGGAAGTTGTAGGGCTGGGGGCTTATTACATATTGGGACAGGATATATATAGCACCCAAGTGATCCACTGGGGTATCTCTTTACTGTTTCTGGCCCAAACTTGTCAGCAAATCAACAGGTTAGCAGGCAGAGAATCTGAAGGTCATGGTGACCAAGGGCTCAAAGGATCTGAGTCGTGCAACCAAGTAAACTGTCTAGATCAGCAGAGGAACTTGGCAAGGATGAAGGGAATGGGTAGAAGTATAGGTAGATAATGAAGTTAATATACAAAGCAAGTATAAAAGGATTCAAGCTGGAAAGGTGTAGATGTCTGTGTATACCATGGTATGCACCTCCTCCTCCCTTCAGGACTAAGGTACACATCTTCCCTACTGGCTGAAAGTGTGGGGAGCTGATGGGCGTTAGCTGAATTCACTTCTGAAAATTGCCCTCAACCTGAGAGCCATTTAACCCAAAGTCCCATCTCCCTGGGACAGCCCATATTCACACTTGCCTCAAGGCAGGACCGACTCTGAAGAGGAATCTATCACCAAAGCTCTTGGCAGAGTTGGCTAAGCCTTCCATAGAACCTGCACTGCAATTCAACTTCTCTCTGCCCAGTCCCGCTTCCCTCACATCTGACAGGTACTGCTCCCTGGCAGGCTGTGCTGCGTGATACACAATCTGTACATGGCTAACTGGACTGTATTTTTAGGAAATCAGGAGACAGGACCCTGGGGAAAAGTTACAGTCTTGTGCATTCATCTGAAATAGGCCTTGTGATTCCTAAGAGAGTTAACGGGCCACTGTAAATGACAAATTCACTTTTACCCAGTGAGGACTGTGAAGCTATTGCTCATTCTGTAAGGATAATCCCTGAACTTCATGAGCCAACTCTCTCACCTATGTCTTAGAAACTTTGTGACCACACTCATGTTTACCGAGCTACAGTGTGTCCAACAGTTAAACCTATAATTGAAGCCTTCTCCTATTACTCATGTCATAAATTCAGCGACTAATAAGTTGTTGCTATTTATTGATGGTTGGTTTGCTGTCATGGAACACTGATTCCATTGACAAGGTTATCTGATAACGTCAGGTTTATAAAAGGGGAGAATTTTTTTTCCCGTAAGGCCAAAGCTAATAAATGCTTTTTTTTCTCATTTAGTTGGGACTAAGTTTTATAAATAATAAATTAATTGCATATCGTCTACCACAGAATTTTTTTCATAAAATAACCAAGCCATTAAAAGATACAATTTAATAACAACGAGAGGAGTAACAGGAAATTTCCTCTGAATCGTGAGGTAATAGTAGGTAAGTGGGGTTCCCCAGCTGCCACTTCACACTGGGTGAATAGACCTTCCTTTGTGATGTAATTCCAGTGACAGCGTCACAATACACTGCTTCTATGCCAGCAAGGCATTTGGCATTCACCTTGATTATAAACCTTATCTCTCTACACTATAATCATCTTCCCAGTAACCTGGAAACACCTACAAGAGAACAGAAACTGTTTCTTGCTCCTTTTTATATCTCTGGTGCATAATATGAGGTCTGTGTGTTAGGAGCATGCTCAGTGAAAGACCACTGAAGTTGAGCCCCACCCAGATGTGAGCATATGAAGATGAATGTTGGTGAAAGCATGCGTCTTGCATCTGGAGAACTGCCTTCCTCCGGGAGAGCCATCAACAACCACCCATTACTGTGCAGATGATGGGACTAACTTCCCTTATCCATGTGGGCTTCTCTGCCCAGCTCCCCGCCACTGAGGATGTGTTTTTGCAAGACAGTCAAAGAAGAGACAAGAAGTAAGCCAGCAGAAGCCGGTGAGCCAAGTAACCCTAACTGGTCCACACAAAGATTGACTGAATGACTCCAACATCATGAACTGATCAGTTCCAAAGTCTACTCTTCAAGAACATGAACAATCATATCATTTTAAAGATAATTTAATCCTCACATGGACCAAAGTTTTTAAAGAAACAACTATTCAATCATCGGCTAAAACACAAAATTATACACCAACATTTGAAATACCATTCAATATAAAATATAAATAAATGTCTTTCAATTTATACTCAAAGACAATATGTTTTAGTTAAATCATTTGGGCACTCCCAAACTCCTTTTAAGTGCCCAGAGATTGACAGAGCAGTTCAGCTACTGCATAGCCATGGATTAGCTATACAATATAGAAACAGGATCTGGCTTCTTCAAAAACGTAATATGATGGATCATAGGGATGTACCCGGAAGAGCAGAAGTTGAATATAATAAGATAAAATTAGAAAATTGAAGATACTAAGAGATGAACATTATGTGGATTTTAGAATCAAGATACTGAAAGAATTCAGATACAGACATTTATTACTATTTTTGTTTGCTAGTAAATTTGGCTTCAATAAAGCCCACACTGTTATTTTAATTTGAGTAATACTTCAAAATACTTTCTTTTGAGTATATAATATAATAAAATATATGTGACTTTATATTTATTTTTCAAACAGTGTTATAAAACTTAAAAACTATTAGGAAAAATTAAACATAAATTATCTTATTTTGATCATAAAGAAAGATAAAAATAAAATTCACTTAGTTTATGAATATTTGCCTTACCAAAATCATAACTATATTTGAGGAAGGAATATTTAAAATAATCTTAAAAAAACTTTTAAAGAAGATTATTGCAACATCTTAATTGATCTTGGATAAGTACTGGGTTTTATTATAGATTGTATCTGCTAAAAAATATTAAATGTGGTTGAGTAACAGAAGCACCTTAATCATCTAAGGTAATCATATGCCAGTTAAATAAATGTATAGAATTGAGTTTAAAGTGCCTCAATTTTACCTTAACTAACTTGGTGAATAATCTAAATTCTCTTTTTTTTGCTTGAAGTTTGTATTTCTAACCAAAAAATAAAGTAAAACAATAAGAGCTGTGAAATGCCACAATAATGGGGGATACAAGTATTGTACTTTATTTGTATATATCATCTCAGCATGTGATCAGACCACATAGATTCCACTTTTTGTAAATTCACAAACATCTAGTTTTAGAAGAAAATAAAATGTTCCCTCATTTAGTATTTCATCTAATTTGAAATAGCAATCACGTTACCAAGCAGAAATTTTATTAGCAGAATATGCTTGCAAAAAAATGGTTAATTAAAAGCAAAAATGACTTGGGTGCTGCTTAAGCACAGAAGTAGAGGTTTGGGGGCAGAGGATAGGATTGGGAGGTGCCCTTGTCTCTCCCCTTCTTTTCTCCCACCTGCCTAGGCTGGGTCTACAAGGTTGCTCCTGGGTCAGTGGAGGAACCAACCATGCCAGCTCAGTTTTTCCCTGAGAGAAAGTTTGGTAAGCCCTAAACCTCACACTTAAAAGAAAAAGAAACCTTAAATACAAGTATCTTCATATTCTTTTCAAATCACTCCCATGAATGATGCAGAAGCTTCATTCACCCCACCACGTAATTCACATCCTCTGTTTTTATTTGGCGAATGCCTGCATTCGTCCTGTGAGGACTGATGTCCCGTGTCTCTTCTCCCTGATTTCATACTGTAGTCCCCCCTTGTCCGTGCTTTCATTTTCCATGGTTTCAGTTGACTGTAGTCAACCGAGGTCTGAAAATAGGTGAGTATAGGACAATAGGTATTTTGAGAGAGAGACCTCATTCATATAACTTTTATTGCAGCGTATTTTTATAACTGTTCTATTTTATTATTAGTTATGTTGTTAATGTCTTTATGTGCCTACGTTATAAATTAAACTTTATCATAGGTATGTATGTATAGGAAAAAACATAGTGTATATAGGGTTTGGTACTAGCTGAGGTTTCAGGCAGCCACTGGGGTCTTGGAATTAACCCTTTAGGAGAAGGAAGCCAACTGTCACTCATGCATAGCACAGGTCCCAGGGCCTCCTGGAGGTAAGGGCTATTTGCTACGTCTTCTAGGCACTGTGGAAACACTTTTTGCAGTTTGAGGAGAAATGGAACCCTTGCATACATACTTCCAAGAAAAGGAGAAACAGTTAACTTTGTCATAAAAGTTGGAGTTCAAAGTAAATTGCAGTTATTTTATAAACAAAATAAGAATTTTACATTTTAATGGAGGTTGTTGAATAGAATGCAGAACCAAAAGCCAGGTCCTAGCAAAGTCCATTTCAAAATTCTACTTCGGCTCTCAGTGTTGAATGGGGACATTGGAACATAGTAAGTGACAGTGATTGTAAAATACTTAGAAAAATATCTGCTGCAAAGTTACTCTTAAACAAAAATAACAAAGGCAATGAATATTTTATTCATGTACCTAAACTTAAGTTTATGTGAATTATCCAGACAACTCTGGGTGTGTTGGGGAGGTTATTGTGGACAACCTAAAAAAATTATCTCTGTAACACATCATGTCCAAATCCATCAAATACTAAGTTCCTATTTACGTTTGTGAAGCAGGCACAGCCTTACTAATGAAAACGATCTCATTTATTCACAAAGTAAACATCATTAGCTGATGACAGGGTTTGGAGCTTCTTTGTTACTCTGGGTCAGTCACCCCCAGAAGCACTCAAACCAGGGCCACATATGTAAAATTGAGTTAATTTAGGAGGGCTTTAAGTGAAGACCAGGAAACATAAAGGTCTAATTAGTACGGTAATGAATAAAGTACAGATGTCCTTCTGTTCTCTAGCATGAACACTTAGAGTAGAAATCTGAAGAAGGAAAGATAAAATAAAAAGAAGGAACAGTGAGAAAGAGTGGGTAAGATGGAAGAAAACAGAAAGAATGAGGGCAGGGAGGCCAAAAAGAAGGAAGGGAAAGAAGTGTGCACATGTCACAGTTACATAGTCAAAAGCTAGCAGAAATACAGACACAGCACAACCCTCAGAGAAACAGCCTAGAGGGCAGACACGAGAATAGAAGATAGAGACCCACAGAGGGAAAACAGCAAAACAAAATGAGCACACACACACACACACACACACAAATACAGAACTTCTTCAGTAATATGAGCAATATAGTAATTTTCTGGCTTTTTAAGTTACTAAGACAAAAGGCGTTTTAAAGACCATGTGGCTGTTTTATTTGTTTGTTTGTTTGTTTTTGAGACGGAGTCTTGCTCTGTCACCCAGGCTGGAGTGCAATGTGCAGTGGCGCGATCTCGGCTCACTGCAACCTTCGTGATTCTCCTGCCTCAGCCTCCTGAGTAGCTGGGACTACAGGCACCCACCACCACGCCTGGCTAATTTTTGTATTTTCAGTAGAGATGGGGTTTCACCATACTGACCAGGCTGGTCTCGAACTCCTGACCTTGTGATCTGCCTGCCTCAACCTCCCAAAGTACTGGGATTACAGGCATGAGCCACTGCGCCCGGCCGTGGCTGTTTTATAACTACTATCATACATGTCAATTTCACTTCTTGACATTTACCCAAACACAGATGTTTGGCTCATAAATATAGGCTCCTTTTTTAGTTTTCTGCACACAAAAAACTAAAAACCTATAGATATACACAGGTTTTGCTAAATATGAATAAGACTTGTTTGATACTTGGAATGCTTCCGTTTATCCATCTCCACTTCACTGGAACATTGCATGAATCATTTAACAGAACTCGCTAACATACTGGAGTAATATTTAAAAGGAGGACCATGTGTTACAGTAGTCATGTGCATACTGAGTTAGCAGGGATCACCTACTTTGGTATATTATTATAATTATGTGTATATAAATGTATGTGTAATATCTCTATGTGTGAGTGTGTATATGTATATATATGTACACACACAAATCTGTGAAATGTTTCCGCAGCCAAGTGTCCTATTGAATTACAAATAACTTGAAACAGAAATAACCTGATAGAGAAGCACTCAACTGACAATGAAGCCTGCAAGCTCCACATATCACTTTCTGTAGCCCTAACCCCTTCCACATGTACCTGTGCCTTCCTCCACATGCAACACCAGAACTACTGACAAATGACACTTCCCCAGGCCCACCTCCTTCCAGCCCCACCACGGAGCTGTGGGCACCTGGAAGTCAGATAGGCTTAGCCCCAACACTGCTTCTGCCATGGCCTCATTGGTACTCATGGGGTGCCCTGATGTTTCCATTCACCAGTGGAGGTGGAAGTTGCCATTTTGCCAGTGCTTACATCCTAGTTTAAGCTTCCATTACATAACCTTTTTTTTTTTTTTTAACATTTCATATTCTCATTCAGGTTATTATACAACTGCTCTTTCTGGAGAATGCCAAAGCCATCCGTGACACGGTTCTGAGCCAGAATCTGTTCATCTAGACAACATGGACAGTAGCACCCACCTCCTGGTACTACAGATCAAGCAAGACAAGGCATTCAAAGGGGTCTGCACAGTTTCTGAGACACAGGCAATGCTTCAGGGCATGGAAGGGTTCAGGATGCTGTGTTTACCATTTGGCCCTCATGCTGGCTGGCTGGACTTCTGGGAGCTATCCTGCAAATGTAAATCATTACTTATAGGGCTGTTCCCGTGGTACACAGGGATCGTGGGGTTAAAAACCTGTCTGCAGCCTTGGTCTATTGTGTTGCCAAGAAATTGCCCTGCATCTGTTATAAATATAGAAATAAACAGAACATCAAACCTTTATTCATGAAGGCACAAAATTATAAAAATTGAGGGCATTTGGATCGTGAACTATAAGCTTAATTTTGATATATGATTTTCTGTTGCTTTTAAAAGATGGGGATATCTTGTTAAACATAGGCAAGTAGAAGTAAGTTCAAAGTAATGGAGAGAACTATGCTTCATATGTACTCAAGGAGCAATCTCTAGTCCTATATATCCTTGCTCCTTTGACCCATGGCCACCTAAACCCATAGCAAGCCAAGAACCAGGCTTCTGGAAGAGTTTGCCTCACACTGTTGTTTAGCTCATTTGCAAGGAGTGCCTGCTCTGTGACAGCAGAAGTTCCCTGGGCAATTTCTCTTCCTTCAAACTCAGGTCAAACCCCCAGCCAGAAGGAGCTGCTCATTCCACTGTGCTCCCTTATGTAAATGTCGTATAGGAATTACCGCAATGTGTTTTCATGACTTGTAGGCTGTTAGCTTTCAAAAACTATGAGTTCCTGTGTCTCATTCCAGTGCCTTCTATAGCACTCAGAACACATTTATTCAGTTTTTTTTTATTAGCTCCTATAATGTGGCAGGCACTATTCTAGATGTTGTGGATATTATCAATGAGTTAAGAGATTCCTGCTCCACAAAACTTATATTCTTATGAAAAAAAGACAGATTAGGAACAAAGTAAATAAGTAGTTGGATTGTGTGTCAAAAGGTGACAAATTTTTTTCATAAAAAATAAAGCAGAAGGAGAATAATAAAGAAGGCTGGAATAAGTGCTTGTAATTGCAAAGGCTAAGGTCAAGGAAGGTCTTGCTGACAAGGAGGCATTGAGCAAAAACCTGGTGCAAGTGAGCATGTGAGACTCGCAGCTGTGCGGGGAACAACATTCCAGACAGCAGGAACAGCATGCCAAGGCCTGAGGCTTCGGCAGGTCTGGGGGACCCAGCGCGGATTCTAGTTGGGTAGGGGGCAATGAACAGGGAAGGGAGACCAGGCCAGAGTAAAGATGTGGTCTTTTCCTTTAAGAAAGGGGAAACTCATCGAAGGGCTTCTGACTGTCTCGTGGAGTGAATCTTACATGAGGAAGAACAGAGGCAGGAAAGCCTGTAAGAAGGTGCTGACAGTGATTGGAGTGAGCCGCGATGGCTTAGGGGCCTAGTGACAGCAGCAGAGGTGGTGAGAAATGGTCAGATGGTAGATTTATTTTGAAGTTAGAGCCATCAGGATATTTGGACAGATCAGACATAGAGTCTGAAGAGAAGAGTCAAGGATGCCTCCAAGACTTTTGAATGTCCCCATTTACTGACACGGGAAGCAGGTGGGTATATCAATTCATGGCAGAAGATAATGATTTTAATTTTGAATACTCCTCAGGGATCCATTTGCAGATACTGTCCACACAGTTGGTTATATGAGTCTGAAATTCAGGAAAGAGAGGAGTGCTGGGGATGTAAAATTATGGACATACAAATGTACTGAAAGCCCCAATGAGATCACCAAAAGATCACCACCAAAGAGGATCAAGGACGCACCTTGGGGAATCCAGTGTCAGAGACTGGGGTGTTGAGAAACCAGCAAGGAGACCTGAGAAGATGCAGTCTGAGAGGTAGAGGAAACCAGGGAGGTTGCAATGTTGGGAAGCCAAGTTTCTTTGACAATGGCCAGGGTTGTGTGAGCCTTCCAGCTTTTCCTTCAAGAACGCAGAGCTTGCTGATCTTCCAGGACAGACTGTAGGCTCTGGGTCAGCTTCCAAAGACCAGGAGGATGGTCCTTAGGGGCTCGAGAGAATTACCTTGAGCACTTTGTGAGTCTAGGAGTCTACTTCTCTCTATTCTCACAGGGGCAATCTGGAAGAACAGAATTTACCCTGAGCCTCGACACTGGGGCAAAGGCAAACAGAATGCCCCTAGGGGCATGTTCCAACATTTCCCTATGCAGGGTTCACTCCCCTGCCCTGATTTGGCAGGAGTCCCTAGAAGAACATTCCCCACCCCAGCTTTGAGAACCACTCCCAGGTGAGCCTCCCGGAGTAGTTCCTGTAACTCAGGCAGAGAACCACAGTGAGAATCCTTAGAAACAAAAAACAAAAAAACAAAAAAACTGCTGTTCAGATGTGGCTCTTCGTCCCAATCTACACCATCCGTGCCTGGCTGCCCAGCCTTCAGTTTCGTCTAAGAGTTCCTGGGTCCTGGCAGTCACTTTGCTTCCTGACCCTGCAGTCTGAGACCACGCCCGTCCTCAGACTCCCTGGGCTGACCCCTTCCTACAAGCAGCTCAGGGATGGGCGGTGGGCTCATTGATTCCAGTTTTGTTTTCTCTTCCCATTTGAAAATGACCAAATGAGACCAAGTGAGACACTGGCAGAATTAAGGGCATCTCCCTTGTATGTCTGATACTTTGATAAAATATACTTATAAAGGAAGACCCTTATTGATTGCAGAAAAATGAATTAGAAACGATTAAACAGAGTAGGCTGATTCGTAGTTGAGGGGCCAATGGAAACTGCTGGCTAAACAGCCTTGGTTTTAAAGGGGCCAGAACTAGATTGTTATGCGGGTAGGGCTCAGGTGTTCTTATCACAATAAAATAAAATTTTCTTAAAAATACAAGTAAAGGGATAGAATTAGGGAAAGAACTTAAGAACTTGGAAGGAAAGAAGTCACAGGCAGTTTAAAGACAGTTGTAGAGAATCAACATGTTAAATAGAAATGCCTTTATCATGCATTACAAGCTACATTATTCTCAAAACAAACAGGGGTAGATAATGTAAAATAAAATATTTCTCTAGTAACATCATGTACGAGGCCTACACTGGTAAATAAAATAAATTTTTTGTCTTCAAAAAGTAGTCAGCATATTAAAAAGGCAGAATTATATATGATAAAGTTTTTTTTTTAAATATAGGTTTTTCCTTTTTTTATTGTCTCCCCAACGAAATTGTAAAGCCGAAGGCAGAGAATCTGCTTTCTTCTTCTGAATGGGTGGACAGATGGATGAGTGAATGACAAAACAGCTACAATTCAAAGTAATAAGTGTTTTGAAACAGACAAGTAAAGAAGTGCTTGGGGAACACAATGGGAAAAAATCTTAGTCTGGGAGGTCATGGGGACACTTCATGGAGGAGGTGGTATCAGTCCTGAGCCTGAAAGAATGAGTACAAATTCCATATGTCAAAAGACAAAGGAAAGAATTATGCCAGGCATGGCCTAGAACAGAGTTGAGATGGAAAGAATGTTTTATATCATGAAAAATCAGAAGTAGCATTAGGTGTAGGATTTTCTCAGAAAATAGGATGGCGATGATATTGAAAAAACAGAATTTGTTGGTGGGAAGGGGGATAAAAGTGATTTTCTCCTACAAGGAGAAGAAACTAAACAAGAAGAAAAATTACGCAAGCAAAAAACCCAAATGAAAAGGTAGCAAAGGAGAGTATCAAAGATAAAGATGAACTCACAAGATATAGCTGAATACTTCAAGAGGTTAAACATACAGGGGTAGATAATGTAAAATAAAATATTTCTCAAGCAACATCATGTACGAGGCCTACACTGGTAAATAAAATAGATTCCTTGTCTTCAAAAAGTAGGCAGTATATTAAAAAGTCAGAATTATGTATGATAAATTAAAAATTGTTTTAAGGTAGGTTTTGACATGGAGGGGGTAGGGGGAACCATGACACCAGGGCTCAAAGTGCTATATGCAAAAAGTTTCATTAGTCAAGAAGGCAGCAAGGCTTGATCTTTGAACACTTTTCCAAGGTCACACAGCTAATCAGGGAAACAGCCCCGGAACACAGGGCTGCTATTAACCCAGTGTTCTTTCCACCACACAAACTCTTGGCTTTTCTGCCAACCTTTGTACCATAGAATTTGACAAACCAGTCAAATTCTAGGCGAGGGTTTGTAGTAGAGTTTTGAGAATTTACCATTGTGAGGAAATATTGGAAACCAGAGCACATGATATTTGGATTGTAGGGCGTCCATTTGTCAACATTATGGGACACATTTTATTTCAGTTCACATTTTAAGCAGGAAAAAAATTTATGAGGTGTCAGAAACATTATGTTTGCAAGCATATAATATAATTAAAATGAGACCTCAAATAGGTATAGTTTACTTAAAAGATAGCAAGAAAGGAAGTATTCTGCCTGATGATTAAAGTTCATGCATTTCTTCAAGTAGGACTGGGGAGAAAAGAGATAGGCAGTCAAATAATTTTGTTTGCATTGGAGGTGCTGAAGAGTGCATCAGGGTGAGAAGATTTGGACCAAAGGGAGCCAACGACCCGTGCAGTGCTTGAGCAAGTCCAAAAGAGCCTTAGCAATTTAGTTCCCAAATTACCAAAGCTGCAAGGGAGCTGTGTGACAGGCATATGGAATTTGACGGAGACTTCAGATTTTGTCAGAGACATGTAATTAAATACTCTCAGAACACAATTTAGGTGGTTATAGAGTCATCTCTGGAAGCATATAAAATAGCATCTTAAAAGTCTCCTTCCTTAAACTCTCATTTCTGATACATGATGAATGTTTAAGGAAGAGCTGGTTGATTTCAAACACTTCTAAGAGGTAAAAACAAAGACTTACAGACCAAGGGTTGTGCATTTTGCCACACTACTGTCAAGATTTGGACATTTGTTCTGTATTCTGCTGCTTGTCTTCAAGTAGAAATGCAAACAATGATTAACATTCCCCAAGAATTCATAGATCAAGAAAATACCAAAGAAACCCAGATTCTTGACTTTTCAGCCAACCTTCTACCACTGAAAATTAGCAATGGTGAGAAGAGTTTTTCTAAGTAATTAGTAAAGTCCAACCTATGGTCTCTGTGATGTGTGCCTCTCAAACTTCCAAACGCCCGTTAATTTCTTATAAATCTTGTTAAAAGGCGAGAGGGAGCCTTGGAGGCTGCGTTTCTAGTAAGCCCCCAGGGGATGCCGTGGTTCTGAGCCGGCAGGCTCCAGGGGCACCTCTGAGTCCCAAGCTGGACGTGATCTATTCTCACCCACAACAATGCTGTTACATCATACCCTGGGTTTGTTACCGATGCTGTGAATTGCGTATCCACTGAAACATCTAATACTATGCTAGGGCACAAGAAAAAATATCAAAGGAAATATTCATCCCTCAGTCAAGAGTGGCAAATTCTGCGTGTAAAAATATTTATATTACAAGAAAAGAAAAGCTAAATGGATGAAAAAATTATCTCTGACAATGCAAGTCAATCCTCACATGCAGCCTGCAGTGGTGATATTTTGCCACAGTTTTAGAAGATGTCTGATTTTTAGAGATGTTAGTGCCTTAGACTCTCAGCTCCTGTAATCTATTGGTTGACAGAGGCCACCAATATCCTTGTGATAATATTTGAATGAAGAGAAAAACAGGCAAAGAAAATAAAGCATGTTTTCCTGCTCTTATTTTGTTTCTGAGTCTCTTAACTCTACGGACATTTATTCATTAGCTCCGTAGTATTTTTCTAAAATACAGATATTAAGATTTAAAGTAGACCTTAGACAAGCTGGAGAGTACTCTGTCCTTTGCAATCACCATTTTATATATACATATATATATACACACACACACACACACTATGCTTTATTACACTGTGTTGGTTGGTATAATCACAGTTATATATATTATGTACTATGTAATTTATATAATAATATATATATTTTATTACATACATGTAATAAAAACTGGAAAAACATAACTATTTAGTCCTTTGTGGTTAGGCTACTATGAAGGAAGAGGATTCCACTTTTAGTCCATTTGTAAATGACTATTACAGGCCTCAGGTGTAGGTTAAATGACTCACACCTCCCATACTGCAAAATCAGCCTTGGGAATACAAGGCCCTTGATAGGTCATCACTTGGGAGATGGCATTTCAAAAGAAAAAACAAATAAAATGGATGTATATTTGAGTCTTTCCTAGATATTTTAACATCTACTTAAAATCACATGATTAGCTCCTAGGAAACAATTTAGAAGGAAATGGTAGTAGTCTGTTTTTTTAAAAAAATTTTTTTAATTTTAATTTTATTTGTATTTTATTTTTGATGGAGTCTCACTCTGTTGCCCAGGCTGCTGGAGTGCAGTGGTGTAATCTAGGCTCACTGCAACCTCCGCCTCCTGGGTTCAAGCAATTCTCCTGCTTCAGCCACCTGAGTAGATGGGATTACAGGTGCGTGCCACCACCCCTGGCTAATTTTCATATTTTTAGTAGAGAAAGGGTTTCACCATGTTGGCCAAGCTGGTCTCAAACTCCTAACCTCAAGCGTTCCACCTGCCTTAGCCTCCCAAAGTGCTGGGATTACAGGGATGAGCCACTACGCCCGGCCAGTGGTCTCTTTATAATTGGCAGTGCAGAGAATTATGAAGATGTGGTAGGGTTTGTCTGAAGGTTAGGATACTTTTCAGCTTGATTTATTAATTTATTGATAAAATTTAAATTAATATTTCCCCAAAGTGTGGATAGTAAAGTGGCATGCAGCAGCCTGCAGTTGCAGCAGACAATATGGCACGGCTGCAGGAGGTGCGGGGTCTGGACTGGAGACGGGACCTGAGTCCTGTCTCTGATTCAGTCGCTTCCCTGTCACAGGCCAGGTATAAAGCACTTAACTTCCATGAACTTAGCACATGAGTAAATGCAGGTAATGTCATTTGTCCTGACAACCTTATGGGCTTGCTGTATGGCTCCAACCAGACGCTGTGCACATTGTTCCCACAAATCACTCAGTGCGCACCTGTTGAGGCCCACTCAATACACCTTCAGTGCTAAATGCTAGAATAGGCTATGCAAATACATAAACATACAAGAGCATTAGAGTTCATCGGCTTTACTTGTTAAATTACAAAGTCTTTTTTTGTTTTTATTCTTATTGAAAGCTTCCCCAATATATTTTAAGACACTTTTCTGCCCTAGTAAGAACAGTACAGTAAACATAAAATAATCTCTGGAATGCTTCTGTTGGTGTGAGGCCTCCAGCCTCATGTTCCACACGGAGCCCCTCCATCACACAGAGGCATGGACAAGGCCGATGCCGGGGTGGCTGAACCCTACAGATGCCTCTGCCACACCCTGGAGGGACACTTCTCTTCTAAATTAATTTTTATCATCAGCTTCTTGGGTGATCAGTCTTGAGTCCCTCTCAAAGTGGCTTATAGGTAAAAAGGGTTTTCTTGAAGGTGTCAGTTTCTTGGATTCTAATGTTCAGGTCTGGCCTAGTATTGAAAAAGATACATTGCCAACATGATATAGTAGTTATGCTATTAAATCTCTAAAACATGCTTTGAGCCCCACATTTGGAAATGATAACAACAAAAGGAAAGAAGAGAGTTTCTCCCTTCTTTTCTCTAACTTCATGATTAAAATGATTAATTTCCTTTTACCTGGCTGATGGACTTACGGAAGACTTACTATTAGAAATCAGTATCAGTTCACTTTTTTCTTTAGTTATCACCTCCAGGAATCTTTATGTAATAAGTTCCAATAAACTCATGACCACTAAAGGAAACTGAATTCTAAAAAAATTCCAAAATATTAAAGTATCTATTACTGATATAAAGACTATAATGAATGAAATAATATAAAAGAAAAACAAGAAAGCCATCTAGATCTGTAATTCATAACAATTTTCACATACTCATGAAATGTTATTGTTAAATCTATAACTAGGCCAGGCATGGTGGCTCACACCTATAATCCCAGCACTTTGGGAGGCCAAGGCAAGAAGATTGCTTGAGCTCAAGAGTTTGATGGAGACCAGTCAGAGCAACATAGTGAGAACCTCATCTGTACAGAAAATAAACAAAATTAGCTGAGTGTGGTGGCGCGTGCCTGTAGTTCCAGCTATTCCAAAGGCTGAGGTCGGAGGATTGCCTGAGCCCAGGAGGTTGAGGCTCCAGTGAGCCAAGGTCACACTACTGTACTCCAGCCTGGGTGACAGAGTGAGACCCTGTCTCAAAAAATAAATTAATTAACTAAATTAAATAAATCTATAATTGATTAGAGAGCTCATAAAATATTTAACATTTTAAAACTTACAGGAAAATGCCAAATGATAGGATTTTATATAAAGTAAGAAATTATGTAAAATAAAACAAAGAGAGAAACTTAAATTAAAACTTTCATTACCAAACTTAAGCTGACAAATTGGTACACAGCAAAAAGACTATGAACGGACAGAGAGATTTGACTCTAATATACTTAAGAGGCCTGAATTCATTTGTCTCTCTAAGTAGTCACATAGGAAAGTCATTTCAGGGGCTAGAATATATTTTCCTAATTAGAGGAAGGGGGCTGGACTGGTGTAAAAACACTTTGCCAATGCAAGAGACAATTACCAATATTAGTAGATGCAATAGCATGAGGTTCAGACTAAGGATAATAGTAATAAAAGAAAAGAGCAGAGATAATGCAATGGTCATGATTTAGAAAGACACAGGTGAGTCTTCTCGACACCACCTGTAACTTGAATTGTGTTGGAGGAAAGACTGGAAATGCTAATAAGAAATATGATTAAAGGTGGGCCTGTGGTTATAAATTGCTTTTTTAATGGTGATGATAGTAGCTGACATCGAGTATAATAAGAAGATGAGAATGTCAGTATCAATTTTATTAGTGCCATGAAGAATATACAGTATATTTAAATTAGTTTCATTTGTATTAGTATTTTCGTAAGTAGTCGCTCTAGAAGCAATAACACGTCCAATGCATTCTAAAAAGAAGAACCAAATAAAGTTGCCAGTGTTCTCTACAAAATAGCCATAACTTTTACACTGGGGAAAACATGCCACATTTCCTAAGATACTCAGAATTTAGGCACACAGTTGTGCTGGATCACAACAAACCTGTGGAAAAAATTGGAAGAGGAATTGCAAGAAATGGACAAAAATTTAAAAGATGCTAAAAATATAAGCTTCCATATGAATCAGTACTTTTCTCCCAAGATTTAGATAGAATAATAATTAAGATCTATGTCTAGGTCAGCTTAAACTACTTAAGAAGCAACTTGGGGCTGGGCGCGGTGGCTCACGCCTGTAATCCCAGCACTTTGGGAGGCCGAGGCGGGAGGATCACGAGGTCAGGAGATTGAGACCATCCTGGCTAACACGGTGAAACCCCGTCTCTACTAAAAATACAAAAAATTAGCCGGGCGTGGTGGTGCAGTCCCAGCTGCTAGGGAGGCTGAGGCAGGAGAATGGCGTGAGCCCGGGAGGCGGAGCTTGCAGTGAGCCCAGATCGCGCCACTGCACTCTAGCCTGGGCGACACAGTGAGGCTTCGCCAAAATAAATAAATAAATAAATAAATAAATAGATAAATAAAACAACTTGGGACCTTGCCTGTCTAAGCATGGTCATTCTGTTGAACAGAAATGATTATAAAATTTCAAATGATCACTTAGTGATTTTTATAAGCTGGGTCTCATTAAATAAAAATAGGTGAATTAATGATGTTTATAAATTTTCCCAGCAAGTATCATTAGCTTTCTGAGTTACTCTAATAACAAATTAGTTAAAATGAAATATGTGACAAAAGATAATCGTTAGAGAATTAGGAAAATAGAAAACATTATTATCTTAAAGTATATTATTTGTCCAAATTTAAAAAAACTAGGCTGTTTGAAAGATAAACCATAAGGGTTAAAAATATAGACTGTGAGAAATCTGTTGCTTAAATCACTTTTTGGTTTCTACTCTAAACAGTATTAATTGTGTGTGAGATAAAGACTAGTCTGGTGGGTGAGAAGCTGGCCTTTGAGTCAGAAGTCTGGATTGCCTACCAGCTGTGTAGCCTTGGGCTATTTCCATAAATTATTTATTTTCACTTTATTCATCTGAAAACTGAAATATCATAGTTTCTGCCTAATAAGGCTATCGGGAGGATTAAGTGAGATAATAGAGGTTAAGAAAGCTCAAGAGTGTCTGGCACATAGGACCCCAATAAATATTAGTTTATTGACTGGGTGCAGTGGCTCACGCCTGTAATCCCAGCACTTTGGGAGGCCGAGGTGGGTGGATCACCTGAGATCAGGAGTTCGAGACCAGCCGGACCAACATGGAGAAACCCGTCTCTACTAAAAATACAAAATTAGCCCGGCATGGTGGCTCATGCCTGTAATCCCAGCTACTCGACAGGCTGAGGCAAGAGAATCACTTGAACCCAGGAGGCGGAGGTTGCAGTGAACCGAGATCGTGCCATTGCACTCCAGCTTGGGCAACAAGAGCGAAACTCCATCTCAAAAAAAAAAAAAAAAAAATATATATATATATATATATATACATGCTTATTATAATTATTAATGCTTCTGACATGCTCAAATAGTAATTTCTATTTCTCCACATAGAGCACAGTAAACATTTCTTCCCACAAATTTGCTTCTCTCTGCTAATACCTAACTTTTTCTCTATGAATTATATTTCTCTTCTAGGCCAATGTACACACATTAATTCCTTAAAGATTCTCTTGAGTAAAAGTTGTTTTCAAGAAACGTCACTACCTTTTTTTCTCTGAATGACTTGGTTCCTTTAAAGGACTCTGGTGTCCCTCACCAGGTAAGTGGCCTCATGTCCACGGGCACACTGATTCTGCAACAAGAACCAAGAAACCACTCCAGGGACTGCAAACATGTCCCCCACTTGGAGCACTGGGTCATTTTAAACTTCTCTTGACTATTCTACAGGGGACATAAATAAAGCCTCCAGAAATATAAGAACTTTAAATAAGAGCAAATTTTAAAGGCAATAATTTAAATGAGCAAGGTTATTCAACAATTTAATCCTGTCCAAATGTAGGGGTATACTATATGTCCTGTTCTTATCAAAATACTTTCAAAATTAAGATTCTTAAGCCAGGTGCAGTGGCTCACTCCTGTTAATCCCAAAGCTCTGGCCGAGGTGGGAGAAACACTTGAGCCCAGGAGTTTGAGACCAGCCTAGGCAACATAGCAAGACTCTGTCTCTACTAAAAATATAAAAATTAGCCGGGTGTGGTGGCACACACCTGTACTCCCAGCTACTCGAGAGGCTGAGGCAGGAGGATTTCCTGAGCCCAGGAGTTTTAGGCTGCAGCAAACCATGATTGCACCACTGCACTCCAGCCTGGGAGACAGAGTGAGACCCTTTTTGAGACCATGTCTCAAAAAAATAAATAAATAAAAATAAAAATAAAATTAAAACAAAATTCTTAAGACAAAATTGATTACACAGGTAGGGCCATGGATTCCCTACTGACAAATTCCACAGAGAAGAGTATCTGCATGAATTCTAACAGATAAGTGTTTCGCTACATAAATGAACCAAGGCTATGACGGAGATCATAAGCCACATGGAAGCAACGGTGACAGCCTGTGTTTTAGAGGAATCACAAGCTCAGTTGCCTGGAGAAAGAACTGTGTAAATTGCATACCTTACAAAGTTCAAGTGTATTAGACACTGTTACACATCCTTCATTTTTCAAACACTTCCCTGAGGAACAAATACAGACCATGGCTGTTTCTGGAAAGGTGAACTAAACAGTGGATTTGGGACTTCCTAGGTTGTCAATAGCACATGCAGAGAAATGTACAGAGCAATTATCTTGTTCCTGACAGAAAATGTGTCGTCTGCATGTGTTTCTTCTTTAAAAAATGTACTTTCTTTAACTATACCCTGACAAAGACTCTGAAAGAAAATCTAATTAGAATTTATCCTGGAAAACCTGTTAAGGTGGAATTTTCACAATATTGCCTGAGGTGTAGTAGCAGCAATATCTGTGACGAAAATGCTTGAATCCACTCAAAAAAACTATTGGTCACATTATGTTCCCATGTTTAGGTTAAAAAATTAGTTACCTGATGGAATCATCTAATTATTATTATTATTATTATTATTATTATTATTATTATTATTATTTTGAGATGGAGTCTCACTCTGTCACCCAGGCTGGAGTGCAGTTGTGTGATCTCAGCTCACTGCAACCTCCGCTTCCCGGGTTCAAGCAATTCTCCTGCCACAGCCTCCTGAGTAGCTGAAACTATAGGCACACGCCACCATGCCTGGCTAATTTTTTATATTTTAGTAGAGTCGGGGTTTCG
This sequence comes from Homo sapiens, assembly GCF_000001405.40. Classification (NCBI taxonomy): domain Eukaryota; kingdom Metazoa; phylum Chordata; class Mammalia; order Primates; family Hominidae; genus Homo; species Homo sapiens. Next base: position 52,211,605 of record NC_000008.11, read on the forward strand.
CCATGTTGCCCAGGCTGGTCTTGAACTCCTGAGCTCAGAAAATCTGCTCACCTCAGCCTGGAATCATCTAATTATTTAATGCAAGAAGTGGATAACTTAGGATCTGGGTTATCCATCAGTCAGGTTCATGGATAACAGCTCAGCTCTTCCCTGACCATCAGTGTGAAATCCAACCGCATGCAAGGTGTGCACAAAGGGATCACATGCTTGATGAAGAAAAGTGGGCTACCACTCACATCACAGCAAAAATTGTTTTGTTATTTCATTAATACAATAGATTGAGTTGTTCAGGATCGAGTATCAGTACAATCATTCTCCTCCGCCTTCTTGGTGCATACACAACGTCTGGATGGAAAAAGCCCTTTAGCCAATTCCTTCTGCTAAAAAAAGTATTCTGAGGCTTGAAAAGTACAAATCATTCGAATAATCAAGGCCCATTAATGTGAAAAAAAAGTAATATAGGGTAAATCTTACCTGAGCTCCTGGATTAGTGAATCCATTGGCACTGTTGACAAAAGAAGAAAAAAAAGAAGACTTAATCAGTTGATAATTTTCAAAACTGTATAATGGAAACTTTTCCCCCACCTAGAGGTAACGACCAATAAGTTTCTCACTGGGTGGGTTCATCTTTTCTTGTTCTAGTTCTTTGGAGATGAGAGGACAGATGGATATGGCCCAGAACAGACCGGCTGTGGGTTTAGTACCTTGGGTGAACTGGGGCCTGATAATCGTAGATTGGACTTTCCAGGTACCTGTCCTTAGAGATTCATTGAAAATTCACAGGAGCACAAATGATTCAGATTATTTTTTAAATACATTTTATTTTTAGTACAAAATTATTCAAAAGGAATCCCAAGATTATATCTTTATTAATATTAAACACACATTCAAATAAAACTGGTAAAGCTTTGCTAAATAAATATGTCCCATGCTTTTACTCATAAACTTCCTCCATATAGAAAGGGGAGGATGAGCTTCAGCCATGTTAATATCACCAACCTTTTAAAAATGAAGAACTTACAGGAAAAACAGCTTTGATTTTTCTGACTGAAATGATGGGAACTAAAGAAGTTCATGTTTATAAATACCTGCCTACACAAGGATAAGCAGCATATTGAGAGAGACAACAGGTGGTTTTAAAGATTACTCATGCCTCACGAGAAACAGTTGTTTCATTTCTAGAAGAACATTTTGGCTCTACTAAGGGTGTTCATGCCTGTGCCAGAGGAATTTAAAGTCCAAAAGGAATTGCAAATTTAAAAAAACCCACATTTTAAAAGTATGACAGAGTAGTGTGCTTTTAGAAGTCAAAATAAGAAATTCAAATAATCGAAATACACACTCTAGCATGCTGATATTTATGGCAGGCATAAGCTTATTCCAAATAGTGAGACAAACTGCTTTTCTTAAGCTGGTATCCTATTGAGAAGTTTGCTCCGTAAAAAAGCTATTGTTTAGAAATACTACATTCCAAATATTAGGATATATAACATGGTTACTTTAAAAGTAATATAAAGTAAGACTGGAAAATAATACAGTATAAAATTTCTGTTTAGGTAGAAAAAATCTAATATGAGCACAGCATTATTCTGCATTTTGATTACCATGGTTAATGATAACCATGGTTATATTGTAACTGAAAAAAATTTTCCTTGAATTTATTAAAAATGTTGGGATTCTGGACTTTGCTCAAACAGGCATTAACTATCTTGACTACATACACAAATATAGATAACGAAAGCATTCCATTTGATCAGCCGCTGTCAGTTGTACATCTCAACACCCTCCTAAAGGGCTGCAGGGTCACGGCTTTGCCACAGCTTTTCCTCTGTGAGGTGGACTCTGAGGAGGGTGGGTTGGGGTGGGTGGGGAACAGCTATCCAGAGTGTTTTCAGAGGCTGTGGCGAACCTAGAGTTTTCCACTTAGAATTAAGGGTCACAAAAATATAGCCAATTATAATAAAATTTATTTTCCTTAAGGGGTATTATTGCCAGTCAATCCTGTTTTCCAGATGTTTAGATCATCAAGGGCCTGTTTATATTTCAATATTACATTACCATCTGTTGGTTACAAAAAGAGAGAGATAACCAGCAAGTTAAACCTTCCAGACATCAGAGCTGCTGGAAATTCCCAGCTGAGACAGTCAAAAAACAAACACCATCATTTTACTTGAACTAAGTTTAGGTTGGGAGCCACTAAACCAGATAACATAAAAATCAAAACCTGCTTTGACAATAAACTAACAATTCTGTCTTTTCCCTTGGCCATTAAAGGTCACTTCCATAATTTGAAAGTTTCCATGAAACATCCCTCACTTGCTGAACCTTATGCTGTTTTGCGTGATGTTCAAATCCACTCATGATTGCATTTTGTAAAAATTAGCATCATAGATCATTTGGACTTTTCTGAGTTCTTTAACTCCTCGTTCATAATATTTTGCCTCTCCGTGCCAAGAGCCAGTGTCCTGGCTTGATTTGAAAAAAGAAGCCCTGAGGAAGTTGTAATCATTCTGACTGCACACGAGGGACTGAGCACTGGAACGCTCATATTTCATGGTGTGGTGGGCATAGTGTCATAGAACCTGCTTGCTAACTCACCCTCGGTTCCTTTAGAGCGAGTACGCAGCGTTTTATCTTCAGCCTCTGCATCCATCTATAACATGAACACAAAGTCCTGAGGTCATTCCTTTGACATTGACCAAAATATGAAAACATGTAATTAGAAGTTCTGAAGGTCATTATGAAAAACAGTAGCCTTCCATGCTCTTGACTCACAGCCCGGCTCTATAGTACATAACTGTGACTCCCCCCACATACCACCAGCTTTGGAAATACATCTACAGTTGCTGGAAACCAGAGAGAACAGCGACAAGAGGGCAGATGTCCTTGTCCACAAGTGTTTGAAGTGACTCAAACACTTCTGGCATTACAAAGATAGAAAAAGGCTCATCTCATTAACAGTGGCTGTGAAGGAGATGAAACCTCATATGTCAAACCAAAAGATTTCAAACCAATTTACTAAAACCTAAGTCCTTTTACATTTCCAGACTCTTCCTGATACATATCTCTTTCTAAGCTTGGAAAAAAATGATTCCTCGTGTAAAAAAGCACCATGAAGACAAACCCCTCAAATGCCCCCAGAAAATACCATTAGAAATTTTGATTATCAACAATGACATATGTTTACTCTCAGAATTTCAGAATAAATACCAGTTATAATCATTCAAATGTATAAGGAAAGTGAAATTTGAGTGATATATGTGCCAGTGTCAAATTCTCCAAAACATCATTATTAAATATTTTAAATGTCATCAAATCAATTATCAAAGGGATGCAAAGACTTTAAAAGCCTGTTGTTTTCAGACTCTGACCTTGATACACCCATCCATTTCACTAGAATCCGCGAATCATCTCTTAGTTTAATTCACTTCTGCACATTATCAGGAGGAATTCTTAAATATAAATAAGTTGCTTTGCTTGTTGAAAATCAGAGGCAGGCAGAAGGTGCGCTCAGTGGCTCCCATCCTTAAATCCTGACACTAGCTCTGATGTGGTGTGACTGCAATGGTAATGGGAGCTGCATTTCTGCTCTCAGAGGCTGAGTTGTGATTGAAGGCACTGACCTGCCATAGACTTATAATAGGGGAGCAGGTGTGGCAATGATGGACTTTAATTTCCTTTAATAAACCTTTTATGTGCCACACTTTTACTGCCATTCGACGCTCTCCAAGGTCCTGCACATAATAGTTTCATTACTTTTGATTACTATAGTCTATTGAGACAAACAACTCCAGAACACACTATATATTATGTTCAGTTAAACCAATATAGACTATTTATCCATTGTGCATTTTTTCACCTGCAACACTACAGACAAAATTAACGACAGCTCTCGTAAGCTAAAACTATTAAAACCACCAGAACTCTTTTGTCATCATTTCATAATAAACACCACACCAATCGTTGAACTGCTTTTTAAACTAGCAAACAAAAAGTGTTCACTGCCTTTGCTGAACAGCAGTTGCTATAGTCTAAATAAAATGGTCCATTGTTATGAATACTTTAAAACTACACAATAAGAGAAAACAACAATAAAACCGGGGTGATTTTTTTCCTGTCAATTTTCCTTCTTTTCAGACCACATGAGTTTATGACAGATGTGACACTGCCTAAGATGAAAATGGCTTGGTTTACTCAGGATAGTAAGCACTGTGTTGTGAAATCCCCCTCCTCCCGTGAGTATCTCTGTTGCATACAAAGTGGCTCAACTCTAGCGAATGCCCCTCCATGTGCTAAATGAATAACTAGATTATGAGAGATCAGTAGCATGTGAGGGTGAAAATGATGAAAACCAACACATATTTCTGAGGAAGCCACTTCTATGTGTGAGCCTCCACAAAGCAACACCAACCTATTGTTATCTTGCCACATGGATGGTATTAATTCACCCTAACCACTCTGAAGAATTGCCCAAAAGGCAAGGATGAACTCCGTGAGTTTCTTTAGCAAAACTGAAACACAACCTGCAAAGAGTGCCAGTGGACACAAATCAAAATTTCAGAAGCATACTTAAGTGCAATCTTCTTTACACCGGCTTTAAGCTGAATTCTATTTTGCAATTCAGCTAACCAAGGGCCTGGTTGCCTTGTCACCACTCCAGGCAGCCGCTCCCTACTAAAGTCATTGGAAGGGATACATAAATATTCATGGACCTCCCTTTGACTGTGCTTGGAATGCTGGTCTCATAATTGTGTTCTGTTTGAGCTATTGTCTCTTGTTGGTATAGGATATAGATATCCTATACAAACATATTTAAAAACTGAGAACTCATTCATAGAATTAAGTTTTCAAATTTAACTTGTGGGTCAAGTTGCAGGAGTGAAATGGATCAAGGCCATAATATAAAACTCAACTGTTTCACTTGCTTTCTCTTCTTTACACATAGAAAACAAAAGTTACTACATTGTGTCTACTCAAGTCTGGGGCTCATTGGGGAATAAGAACATAAGAAACTGAAGGCATATGTGTTTTTCGGTGTGGAGAGTTTATCGCTCGTGAGATGGTTCTTTCTTCTCATAGATCTCAATTCAAAAATAGGTTTTGGTTTCTAGAACCTTGTCTATGGGAGTAGATATTTTAAGTATTCTTCATTTGGATTATTCTCACGGACCTCAATAAATTGCCAATGGGTAGGTTTAATTTTTGTAAAATCAGGCCTCATATTCAATGAGTACCTTGTCCAAGTAATGGATCATTAGAAGTGGAAAAAGATTTCCACGTCAGTGTGTGTGTTCAGGCCCCTGGGGTGGGGTGGAGGTAGATTATCATTCTTTCAAAGTCTTCCGGAATTAGAGATGAGGCACATGATTATGGTATGATTCAAGAAATCAACCTAACTTGTTCTGAAGTCTTGAAAATTACACTTCTTATTGGGAACTTTGTTTTCTTCCCCCTGGAAAAGAAGACTTGATCGTCTTTACTGCCTAAGCCCCGAATACTATTGATAAGCTTGCAATTATGTCTGTAAAACCTAATGAGTCCTTTGTTTTCTCAAAACAGAGGTTTTATTTTTTAAAAAGCTGTTCCTTTCCAGATTTCTTAGGGCATTTATATACTTCATTCTCATATACCTCATTATAGATGAAAACTGACAGAAGATATATTCTGAAATTCCTAAAATGGGTTCCTCCTGGCTTTGAGAATGTACTTCTCGATAGGAGTAAGAACAGTAAGGGTAAACTCTGCCACTCTTATTTTCCCTAACTTGAAACTACTTTAAGAAAAAAGTTCAGTTTAAATGATAAGTATCAACTTATTATGTATAATATTTATATAAAAAGGAGAAAAATGTGGTTCTTGCTCAGTCTCTAATTCTTAATAATGCCATGAAAAAAACTTCGAAAAGGGCTTAATGTCCCAGTTTTCTGGGGAGAGGGGTGAATGCAAGGTGAAATGGCAAGAGGAAAAGACATGTACAAAATAAAGAAGGCCAAAAAAGCAAAACTTGGAGGAAAACATGCAAGAGCTAATGATGGAAATAAGCAGATACACAATGAGGAAGAAAAATGACCAGAAAATGAAATTGAACTCTTGGGTTGAATTTGGAAAGCTCTCATTTAATATCTTTATGTACTTACAAACCTATAAACAGATGTATAAAGTGATTTCCTAGTACTTGTACTTGACGTCTTTTCTTACTGGAGCTTACATCAGGGGCAATAAGCAGGTCTCTTCCACATCGCCCCAGTGCACAGATCTGGTACCTTCTTTTAGGCTGAAGAGGAAGTCCTGGAATTGCTGTTTTGTGGGAGGGAAGAGATTCAAGGAGCAGGACATAGAATTCATAAACTCAGTTTTGCTTTCATTCACACAAGCCAATTACTGACATGTGGGGAGGTTTTATTTCCCTTAGATTTTATTTTTCACTTAAAATTCTATTTTAACCTAATGGCAAATAAAACAAAAACAAAAACACAAAACAAAACCCAGCTGTCCAAGTAAAAATTTAATTACTTATTAAAAAGCTGAACATAAGAAATCCCTTGGCTATGTTGAGGTTTTGTTTCTATCAACAGGGCTCTACACATTAATATATATTTATAATATACCTCTCTCTCTATATATAATATACATTTATAAGTAGTCTTGAGCTTCTTAATAATTGCAGAAAATGTCATGGTGACCACAATGTTTTGAGGGCGCTTTCTGAAAACCCTTATAAAATTAATCGTAAAATTGTCTAGTTAGATAGATATATCATGCAGGTAGCTACTCTTTTTTTTTCTTTTTTTTTTTGAGATGAGGTTTTGCTCTTGTTGCCCAGGCTGGAGTGCAATGGCATGATCTCGGCTCACTGCAACCTCACCTCTGCCTCCCGGGTTCAAGCGGTTCTCCTGCCTCAGCTTCCCGAGTAGCTGGGATTACAGGTATGTGTCACCATGCCTGGCTAATTTTTTTTTTTTTTTTTTTTTTTTTAGTAGAGACTGGGTTTCACCATGTTGGTCAGGCTGGTCTTGAACTCCTGACCTCAGGTGATCCACCCGCCTTGGCCTCCCAAAGTGCTGGGATTACAGGCATGAGCCACTGCACCCGGCTGCCGCTCTTAATTTGAGAAGTCCATCACACACATTCAACTTGCAGTAAGCACCCTTTTGAACAAGATTTTGCTGTGCTCATCGCCTGAGATTTTTGACCTGGCAGTGTGGTTCTGTCGCTGTGTTACATTGCTCTTGTGAGATGTCGTTTCAGTCCTGGGGACTCACAGCAATGGTGGGAGGAAGATCTGTGGCTGCTGAGAAGAGCTGCTGGGGTCCTCTCCATGAGGAACGCTTTATCTACAGTGGATGCTTCCTTTTCAAAAATCACGTTTTTTAAAAAAAATGATGAAGAAAAACTCAAGAAGTTGGAAATGGCTAGGCCCAGACCACCAAACAACTAGATGATGCCAGCATCTTGGACTGAAATTTGGCCAGATTGAAGAACAAAGAATCTTACATTGAGTGCCCTTTCTTTTGATGATTCTGGCATCATTTTGTTTTAAACATAGCTTTGGGGCAGCTCACAATGGGAGCAAAGATGTTTACCTGTCACACAAGGAAAAATCATGGGAAAAATGAGCTGCAGTACTAAAAGGATGCTAGTTGACTTGTGGAGAGGAGTACTAAGAATGTTTAAGTATGTTTTTTCTCTGTTCTTCCTTTCCTCTTATTTTTCTAGTTTTGTTTTCATGCATTTATTAATAACTCAGGAAGAATAGGAGCGAATTCAGAAAGTAAACTTAAAAAAAACTAAACTCTAACAAAACCATGTCTTTTTTACACCATCTGTGACAACATATTTATAATTTTCAAAACTTTTCATCTTTTATTTGCACACTATTCTTGATTTCAATGCTCTGTTCTTGTATGCCTCTTATTTTACTGTCTTTGGCTCTATACAGAGAACTGAAGAATCGAAGGATGTGTGCACTTTGGGTTTATGATCCTTCTCCTTGTCTCCCCTAATCCCTCCTACACCTGTAAATACCAAACTCAAAGGAAAAAATAGATTCAGTCCACTGTCATTTTAAGTAGAGTTTTCTGGGAAGCAGATCTTCCTGAGGGCCATGTGTAGGCACATTCCCCCCAGAAGAGATGATTTTCAAAGGAAATTTCCTAGAGCTTCTTAGAAATGCACTGCCATAAAGGAAACCTGAGACCTGAAACAAGCTTGGGTAGCATTATAAGGTGAATGGTTGGTTTTGATTCTCTCTGATTTCTGAGTTGTCACTGCTGGTGTAGACTTCATCCTGCAACTTTGTGCAACTGGCAATGCTGAATATAAACCAAAGCCATGTGTTGGTGTCTTTTTGCCAAACGACTCCAGCAAATAGTCCTATTATTCCCTTAGGTAACCAATTTGTGCCAGGGATTTCTATTAGTCACTGTACCACGGCCTCAGAGTCACAGCTTTGTGACATTAGGGGGCAATCTCCAGCTTTACGTTTTAGAAGACAGTTTGTTTTTTGATGTATATTTTTAATATCCCCAGATTAAAGAAAACTCAGGGCAAGTAACACACTAAAAGGGCCTTTACAATTTTTTTCTTGCTGTTATTTTGAGATGCATCTGTTGCAAAATATGTCAATGTTAGAAATCAAGCTCCTTCATATAGGGATAGATCATTTGAAATAGATTTCTCTCAAGAATAATCCAATTATTACTTTTTAGTGTTTGCATAAATTCACTCCAGAAGTCATCCACAGTACTTTTTAAAACATTGTGCTTTTAAAATCTTGCTTATTTACTCTTAATCCATAAACAAACTAATTTCTAACACGAATGTAAACTGGATTTTGAAAACCATTTTAACAATCAAACTTTCCTTAAAGGCAAACGTGTGAACAAATAATACATACCAATCAATATGCAAAACGGTTTGTAGGCTCAGAGGACTTTGCCTATTTAATATTTTAAAATATTAAATGGCTGTATTTCTGACAAAAATTGCAATTCTAAATTCAACACTAACAATAAATTTGTAAGCGAATCCACAGAGAAAGAGCTGTTGTAGAGGAGAGCTTTCGTATAAATTCTTTGATTGAATTCATTTTCTTTCAACATGTTCTACTTTTTAATAAATAAAAATGTCGCCTTACCTCTCTTTTTCTCCAGGTAACTTGTATGTCAACTCAGTTTGCCCTGCTGTGTCAGGGGGACTAAATAAATGACTTTGTCTTATTTAGTGATAAATCCTGAAATTCATTCTATTGAGATAAGAAATCAAACAAGAAAAGCATATCAGGCTGGACAAATAAATAGAAGAGCAGCAATAAACACTTAAATGAACAATCAACAAAGTGTTGACACTTATCTATAGTTTGATTGTACTACAGTAGAAATAGAATGACAATTTTTATACTATGTATCAATGGGGAAAAATAGTTTTTTATTTTTTAAGGTAAGCCAAATTTATTTTTGTCTTTATTACCAAACTACCTATCTCTATCTATCTATCTATCTATCTATCTATCTATCTATCTATCTATCTATCTACCTACCACTCTATTACTTCTTCAATTTAGTTGGGAAATTAGATAAGAGGGACTCTTAATGATCATTACTATTATTTTTACTTTTAACCACCAAAATAAAAAGTTGAGGCAAGATTTGGAATGTACTATACTCAAGCGGTCACAAAAGGCAGATCCAAAATGTATTCTTTTGTTACTTAGGGTTCTTTTTAACGAGACCATCATAACATGATACCAATCCTTTTGCTAATGTTTTAAGTTGTCGTCCAATGAAATGCTTTGCCCTTGGTTTACTGTGTGTTCAGTCATCATACACAGAGGTGCCTCACCTCTATGTGGTCCCAGGGATGAGCACAGAATCAGTTTTCATCAGGCTATTTGGCCCTTGAGAGAAAACTTTGAAATTCAGTGTCGTGCACTCAACATACTAGAGGAACCAATTTATACAAACATCACGTGTATCCATGCACATTTAAAATGTTTATGTCTGGCAGTTCTGATGTTTTAAAACACAAGCCACCAACCTTTCTTGCAGAAAATTTCTACCGTCCTGCCTTCTCTACCCTTTGCAGTATATCAAAGTGCTCAGCTTTTTAATCATAGATTTCTGTGTTTCTTGTAGGATTTGACCAGACATTAAATAGATGCTTCTTCAACTTAAGTCAGCAACTGTAGTTCCTGGGGAAAAATGGAGATAAAACTCTCAAGTGATAGAGCAGATTACTGCACATGATGTAAGAATTGAAAAGTAGCACAGGAGCTTGGGAATTCTTAGTTTGCGTTTGATTGCAACTAAAAAAAAAAAAACGGCTTTCTCTCCAAATGTTTTTGGCCTATTCTATTGCGCCCTCAGTTCAGAAAGAGTTCTGAAGCTTTCCACCTGCCTATTCCCCTTTGTTTGCCATACACTAACCTAAAACAAAAGATCCTGGAAAACAGTCACACTGGCAAACAAAGCTCTTTCTAAATCCTGAAAGTAATGGCTTTTTGTCTAATACCCTATCGTGTTATGTATTTATTAGCAATACATTTTCCATTTATTTTCTCAAAGATTGCCAATAAAGAACTGAATCACATAAGGGAGTAGCTGTAAAGCCTCTGAGTTCCCTAATGTCAAACTCATTAGCATTCGAATAAGCACACAGCAGCACATCATCTGCACAATTGCAATTTTTTACTACTTTTAATAGCATTTCTCAAAGGGCTCATTTTCAACTTTCTTCAGTGGTTAGTTGGTTCTCAGGGGAAAAGTAGCTTCCTGACGCTCACAGCTTCCACTCAACAGCCCGGCCGTTTGCTGTCAGATGCATCAGCCCTCTGCCCTAACCCCATCTGCCGTGGCTCCCCTCCCTGGGGAAGAGAGTGAAGGCAGCACAGCTGAGATCGGCTTGGAGAAGTGCACAGAGGGCACTGACAAAATATAACTTTAGAAATATGATTTGACACAATAGAGTTCATGAAGTCTAAGCACACCAACATACAAATGGGAACGAGGAGCCCTGCAGAGGCTCTCCATCCATGTGTCTATCATTAATAACTCCACACCCTTGGCAGACACCAAAAGGAATCTGCGACTGACATCGGATCACTCTAGTCCCTGCATGTGCACTATCAGATCAAGGAGATACCTTTAAAAAACCATTTTTCTTAACTGCCATACTTTTTTGAGTTTGATCTTAAATATGTTATGAGGGCTAAGGACTTACCAAAATATTCATGCAGTATACACATTTTTGAAGGCAGTTAACCTAAGACTTAGAATCTTGATCAAGCTCCCAGAACTTGTAACAGAGTTAGTTTTAGCCCCCACCTACTTAGATGAATACTTTTGCATTGAAACTCATTTTTTAATGAAAAAGGAATCTTAAAAAAAGGAAATGATGTGACAAGTGAGGTGTTAGTAACCTAACGGGCTACCCAATTCTAAAGTGTGCTCTCTGATGATGACATGGCTTCGCTTGTTAAATAAAGTCATCACGAAGGACTACGTTTGTCCACTTTACTATCTGCCAATAATTAGGGACTCTCAGTCCTTTATGGCTGCTTCATGGATGAGTACTGCGCCTGAGAAAGACAGTTCTTTAAACCTGTGCTACAAGGTAATGAGTCTGGTATGTTATTTTTTTCAAAAATAGAGTATATCAGATTATATTTTATCAGTTAGAATGAATGACCTAAACTGATAATGATATACATGTTAATTGTATCCCCAAAGTAGAGAATCATAGATTTATTTATGGGTCCTTGGCCAGGTGTGGTGGCTCACGCCTGTAATCCCAGCACTTTGGGAGGCCGAGGCGGGTGGATCACATGAGGCCAGGAGTTTGAGACCAGCCTGGCCAACATGGTGAAACCCTGTCTCTACTAAAAATACAAAAATTAGCCAAGTGTGGTGGTATGTGCCTGTAATCCCAGCTACTTGGGAGGCTGAGGCACAAGAATCACTTGAGCCCAGGAGGCAGAGGTTGCAGTGAGCCAAGATCACACTGCTACACTCCAGCCTGAGCAACAGAGTGAGACTCTGTCTCAAAAAAAAAAAAAAAATTTACTTATGGTTCCAAAGGATGTGATTTTTTTTTTAAGTCCTCAAAACTAAACTCAAAGTGAAAAATTTATTGAAAGGGCAAGTAAGTTTAACATGAAATGGATGTAGCACTCATAACCCTGTGCTATAGTAACTAATATGAGGTCATCACCATCACCAATTTCATTTTGGAACTTGCATACCAAGGGAACCAGACCATTCTGTGGTTCTGATATAAACCATAGCATCCTCTCAGAAGTTCAGAATATTGATACAGACTCCAAAGACCACTCTGAGATTTGCTTTTTTTAATAAGTAAACATAAAAATTTTAGCACATTTACCTTAGTATTGCTATCCCTTGAGAACCTATCTCCACAATTTACAACAGATTGAGCTCTTAATCGCTCTTCTAATGCTAATATCTTCACCAATTATTTGTTAGTTGGAATGATGAAAAAGAGCAGATTATCCTTGCCTGACTCAGTTTTTTGAATGATAAGAAAAGTTCTTTACACTCCCAAGTTTCTAGTTTTATTTTTATATTAGTCAGTATGATACTTTAAGTTATAGTCAAGTTTGCATAACCACTTTTGCTCCATTAAATTTCTAATGAAAACTTAAACCCTTTATTTTGGAGTTCCTAATCAATCAGCTGTAGAATTGGTATTTTCAACATAGCAAGAGATTATATATTTAGAAGTTGATGAACAAAAATTATGTAAGCCTTTTGCCACTTTATATTTATGCTATCAAAAATGACTTTCTTCTGCCTAGCTTTCCAGGTTAATATTAGGGCATATACTTTGTTGGCTGGAGCAAATGAAGATAAGCACTGAATTTCATTTAAGATGTTTAGGCAAAGACAAACACTCTTCATTGGCTATAAACTTCACTTTTACCACCAGCCCATAATTAGGCCTCTGATCACAGCAGGAGTAGAAACAAGAGCTTCAGCAAAACTGGAACCACTCTGCAGGAAAAACAGCTCCCATGGCAAAGTGGGTCAATGGTATCTCGCTTACTTTTAGGGAAGATGTTTCAGATTTTAAATCGTTGCATATTCAACAAGATGAATTCTTTGATATTAGCAAACAGACTACTTTTCTTTATCACCTTTTAACATTTTTCGCTTCCCCGAGTGATTGTTGTAAATATACACACAAAACTTCTTGTTATTCGTATAGCTTGTCATTTTGAAAGAATAAAATTTGTCAATGCACACAATTTCCATGGACGAATTTAAATGATTTTTATTAGTTTGCCCAGCTTTTTGAAATCTCTGCCTTATAGAACCTTTCAAAGAATTTTCAGTACAGGGAATGCTATGGCAACTCTCATAGGCTCCCAGAAAAATGCAATTTTTGCTTTTGCAGATTGCTGAAGTCATCCAGAGCATCACAATAACTTCCGGTTTTCACTGTGATAGATATGAAGTAATTGTACTTACACTAGTAGGCATAACAGTATTTGTATTTGTCCTTCCAGTCCCTGTAAAAATAAAACATAGATCTCTTCTCCTTAAGCTCTGAAGCAATTGCAATAACTTATGCAAGACCTATATTTCTCTCTGCAAGATGATTTAACTTTTACCTGATTTAAGTAACAAAATAGCCCTCAAAGATACTTAAAGCCTTGCTGTAATTAACATAACTGCATTTAGATGCCATTCATGACTGATAATTCTAACACCTTGTGGGAAAAAAAAGTTGCATGCTGTAAACATTATAAACATATTCAAATAAGCTTAACACAATCTGCCATGCTTATTTCTGCCTAGATCATGGACCAGCGAAATGGTTAATGCAAATGGATTTATAATTTGCTTTGGGGGGCCAGTTTCTTCTCCTTATTTATTAGCCCAGCTGATGGGGCAGATTTGATGAGGCACTTCTGGAATAATTGAGTCATCACACAAAGAAGGCTGCTAGCATTCAGAGTGGTTTTATCAGCAGCAAGCAGGCCTGATTACTGACAATTACACTCTGATCCGGTGATGGAGGAGAAAGAGCCAACGAGTGGGAAATGTCCGTGTTTCTATCCAGGAATAATTTCTACATTCATTTTACATGCTAAGTGTTTCCTATCTCTGCATAATAAACTGTAAACAGGAATAGATGGCACAATGTCCCTTAATATTTCCTGGTAATGAAGACACAAATGTACAGTGAGTGCTGATAAATATAGATGAAACATAAGCTATTCTCCCAGTCTGTATTGTTACCTTTAAAACAAATGCATTTTTGTGGTAAAAGCATAATCATAGCTAATGCAAAAAAATGACAGAAGATTGAAACTGTCCTTGTAACTACATAGAAACTTCGTAAAAGTCCTGTTAATCACTGCTGCTTTAAAGGCTGGTGAGCTGAAGGTGAGATACTAGAAAACACATCGTCTTGTTTCTCAACAGTCAACTGTGAAGAACTCCTTGGGTTAGATGCAGCAAAGGACAGAGCAACAGTGACCTCCATTAACACTCAGAGAGAGCAAATCTCCATGCTAAACTGAGAAAACAATGAATCTGGCACAAGGAGACATCTTCACTAGCATGGATTTCAATTTCCCTTCCTTCAGGCCTTTCAACAAAGCGTTGACCATGAATAGTAAAGTTATATCTAAGATTGCATGACTCGTCACACAGAGCAATGCATTGCTGTCTTTGGGGTGGCATTTTTAACCACTTGTTTATGATGTGGTTTATTAACAAAATACTATGAGCAAAAAACGCATCTCATGGAGATGCTGGATTAAACTAGCTTTCCCTCTAACTCAGAATCTACTTGTAAACACCTACAGAAAGGAAATGTTCAGACTTCTTAATGTGCTTCCATAGATTTTAGTGGGAAAACTTTAATTTTCTGTAATATTAAGTTTCCTCTTTTAAAAAACCAATCAGGTATGAAGCCCCACATAATGAACCTGCCTGGGTCTGTTTGCTTAATCTTTTCTCTAAAGCCCCTTCCTGGCTTCGAAAGAAATAAAAGTTATTCTCAGTTTTCCTGTGGTAACTATGGAAACTGTTTTATTAAACTAACCACTTAACTTCAAGGCTTGTGTTGCAACTAAATGTGCTATTTTCAGTAAATCTATACTAAACAACCTGATAATGTCAAAACATTTTTAATAAAGTTCAAAGAGCACTTGTTGATTCACAAATAAAGCTTTTTATTATGTAAAGAGAATTTTCTCTATTTAAGCTATTTCATTATGTAGATTATTACACAATGTACTTGATAGCTTTAGACATTTTCCATTTTCCTTATCCATCTTTAATAGGTTCTTTGGAATTTTTTCAAAAAGTCTGCTATTTTTCCCAACAGTGACTATTTGTTTTTCATAAAATCTTCCTCATATTTTGTACATTTGAATTAAGATAAAATGTAGTTATTTAACTTTATTATCTGATTATGAGATATGGAATGGGAGAATATATTGAAACTTGAAAAGCAAATGACATGACTCAATTGTGGAGGCCAATGGGGCACTGGATTTTTGCAGAATGATCCTTGGATTTTATTCTCACTACAGTGTTTAATTTAATAAAGATTTTTAAAAAATACACGTATTTTTCTCCTAAGAATGTACCCATTATTCGTTCAGTACACACTTATTGAGAAGAAATCTATGGATTGCCATGCTAGACAGTGGGCATAAAAGGATACATAAAGCACAACTCTTGTTCTCAAGAGCTCAAACCAGGAAGTTGAATATTACAATATTATGTGGAAGGTATTATTACAGAGGGAGGCAAAAGGAACAATGGGAGCACAGACTTAGACCAGACTGGAGAAGCTTCCAGAAGACGATGATTCCTGAAAAATTCATCCCTAGAGAGATTCAGAGAACTATGACTAGAATAAAGCAATGTCCCCAAAGACCAATTGAAAGGACACCAATGGTCAAAATTGTTCTTGGCTTGGTTAAACAATGCATTAAAGCCATATTTTTATATAGTTACAAGAGGGTCAAAGACTTGATGGTCAAATTAGATACCTAAAATTAAATGCTTTGAATTTGATGATTTCATTTGTACGTTTCAAAGGAACTTTTTCCTTTAGTGTCAGAACTGCAAGATCTGTCTGCTGAAATGTGATTTGTCATTCATATTGTGGTTGACAGCATCGCCCAGAATTCTGTATTCCAATAGCGTTTTGATGGCACTCTCATCTTGATGACTATGTTCTGCCTGATATTAGCTTGTCCAGGTCCAGTTTCTCTTCCCTGGGCTGATGTAGGCTCATGGAAGCAAATGGCTATATTGTTGACCTTTTGATGCAACATAATTTTGTGGTCATAATAGGTGCTCAATACATTATTATTGAATTGAATTGAAATAAGCAAAAAATAACACTTTTCAGATGCTTGAGATAATTGTTAATTGGATTTCAATACAAAACAACCCAGACATTTTAGCATCTGGAATACTATAGATTTTGTCTGTTTGATTGCTATGCCAGTTAAGGAGAATTTACAATTTTGTCTTCTCTTATGTTGAAAACATCAGCTCCCAACATGCAAAGGAGAGCAAGTGTGAAGTGTAATAGATTTTATGGTTAGATTTTTTCAAATGTCTACTTTTGTCTCATTTACATGAAAAGTTATGGCTTATGATTTAAATGGGTCCTTTTGCAGGAATAAAAGTCAAATGTAAAATAGAAATAATAGTCATATTTTTCCAAATATGGAAAGAAAACTATATAGGAAGATCTTCAACTCATTTAAACTATAACACAGTCCCTAGTTCTTAGACTTCACTTTTCTCACTTACATTTTCCAGAATGTCCTGACTGTTGTGCATCTACATTTATTTTAAGCAACGTGTGTTCATATATTCATACTGATGACTTTTGTGTGGGAGAGAAAATGGCACTCACCATAAGTAAAGACAAAACCAATTTATTTTTTTAATCAAAATGGTGAGGCGGCACAGTAGTTTCTAAATAAATACACCTCACCTTTGCCAAACTCACAGAGTGGCAGGCACTCTTGTGAGAATTTGTATGTACTATCTTACTTAGTCATCTTACCATGCCTGTGGGGAAGTATTATTGATGTTACATATGAGAAAAGGAAGGAAATTGAGCTCACCACCTTACCCGGGGTTCACACAGGTAGAAAGAGGTAGAACCAGGATTCACATGGCCACCATCTGCTTTCAAACACTAGACTCGGCATTCTTTGACTGTCAGGTCTCTGCAGCAGAGACCTGGCCTTCTACCCCTCGATGTTCCATTCCACTCAGCAATGCTTAGGTAAACATGGACTCACTAAAAAGTCCAATAAAGCATGTACTCATTTGTACCTTGAGTGACACAGGTATTGCATTTACAAATATATCATATAAAGAATTTCTGATGAAGAAGGGGTGTCACAAAGTAGAAAACAGAACTCTCTGAGTTGGCAATAACTATCATTTGGATCAACAAAATCAATATTCCAATTCTTACAGACTATCAGTCTTAGCCTCTCAAGAACATTTTCTCTTCATTCAAATACAGGAATTTACTCATAGGATTCAGACTGCCAGCTGCAAAATATGTCCCATCTATTGGTGGGCTTATTCTATGTATTAGTTTTCTATTGCTGCCATAACAAATTTTTACAAATTTGATGGCTTAAAAAGGCACAAAGGTCTTACAGTTTTGGAGGTCCAAAGTCTGATACGGTCTCACCAGACTAAAACCAAGTTAAGCTACATTCCATTCTGGAGGCTCCAAGGGAGAATGCATTTCCTCACTCATTGGGCTGTTGGTGGAATCCAGTTCCTTGCTGTCATAGGACTGAGGTCCCTGTTTTCTTGCAGGTTGTAAACTGAGAGCCATTCCCAGCTTCCACAGCCCACTCCTTTTTCGGTGAATGGCCTGCTTCCTCCATTTTCAACACCAGCAATGGCGGGTAATGTTGAGTCCTGCTCACATCTCATCTCCCTAACTCATTCTTTGGCCTTTTTCTGAAGGACCATGTGATTAGTTGGCCTTTTTTAGAAAAATAGGATAATCTCAAAGGTCTTCATTAAATCACATCCCTTTTGTCATGCAAGATAACATAATCACAGATTTCAGAGATTTCATGGATATTTTGGGGAGGGGTACTTTATCCTGTCTACCACATTTTAAAATCATACATGTTAATTCTGAATGTCTTACATATTAATGCCCCTAATATCAAACATATGAAGTCATGAATCAGGATGAACAGGTGTAAACACTCCTCAAAAATCTATATGAACATAACCCAAATTACCATGAGGATGCCAACAATAACCAAAGCAAGCATCTTTTCTGGTCCTCTAAAATGAAGTTCCTTAACTTCTCAGGTTTTTGATGGATGTTGAAAAGTTGGAGATTCTTTTTCTTTGGGGGAAAAGTTTATTTTTAAATAGCTTTTACTTACCTTCCCTAAAAGCTACTGGATCTGAACTGGAGAGTTTCCATCACTCCTGAGGAAAAGCATCGGAGGAGGAAAAATGGAAAGAAAAACAAAAAGAAAACATAATTAAATGGTATTTATCTACAGCTTATTAACTATATAAAACCATCCTTTCAAGTAATTTCCATGCTGACTATTGGAATATGGGTTGAAGTATTACCAATCTTCAATAGTCAAACAATATTCATTTGAAAGAACTCTGTCTTAACAAGAAAAACAGGTGTCTACTGTTATCAGAAAATGCTTTTTAGATTCGAACCCTTTTGTTTATAAGTATATTTGAGAACCTTTTCTAGGGACACACCTGAGAGTGAAAGTGAATTATCAATGACAGTCTTTTCTGAAGAAAAAAAAAAAAAGAATCAGTGGTTTAACACTAATTTCTAATCAGATCCTACAGAAAGGAACAGCCCGCACGGCAGCTGTACTTTTCCCAGGGTTAATTACCTTTCACTGCTCTCTACTAATGAGTCAGCTGTTCCTGTCATTGCACACTACACTGGTTCATCTGGAACTCTAGCTGTGGACAAACACAGGAGTGACAGTCCCATTTACATACGGGGTGGGGGCATGTTGTGTACAGATTTCAAAAGGATTTTTTTTAAAAAATCCTTTAATTCTCATGTGTTTCCACGCTAAAAATATTTTTACAAAGAAGGTTTTACTTGGTCAGCTACTGTTTTTCCTCCCAGGTCCCTGGGTTCACCACTAGTAGATATAAAATACTGCCGAACCCTTGGAAAGAGGCGAACTTCACCAACTTCACCAACTCCACAGAAAGCTTTGT
This sequence comes from Homo sapiens, assembly GCF_000001405.40. NCBI lineage: Eukaryota > Metazoa > Chordata > Mammalia > Primates > Hominidae > Homo > Homo sapiens. The sequence continues at coordinate 52,230,855 of NC_000008.11, forward strand.
CTCACTGATGCCCTGACGACAGAACAATCACCCTATAGGGTGGAAGGATAGCCTCAAAAGTTTGCAACTTCTGTCACTGGTAAAAAGACTTCCTGAAAAACTCATACTACAGAAAAATTAGATTCAAGGTAAAAAACAACCTAAGAGAAACAGACCCCCAAAATATCTTAGCATTGCTCGTACATGAAAAGTGAATTAGAAAATTGCGAGTTTCACACACAAAAAAAGTTGGACTTGAAAGTTGTGTTTTGACCTAATATGTCTAGATCATTGTGGGAAATTATATATATGTATGTGTATGTATGCATATATATACAATTTATTACCCAGATAATAGCTCTTTTATCTATATAATGGCTCTGCTTTCCATCCCATAATGCAGACACAGTGTGCCCTTATATATTTTCCATCCTTCCAACAGAAGTTTAAGCATCTCTTCCCTCCTTTTAATTCCAGAGGTAACTGAGACGGATGTCCAAACAGTAAGCATCCACTGAGTTCCACTTTCCTAGCTTCCAGAATGCCTCTGAGTAAAGGATATCCTCTCACTGGTAAGTTCCTGACTCTAAATCTTAATATGTTGTAACAGTGGCTCTCAGACATTAATATGCATCAGGACCACCTGGGTGGCTTTTTTTTTTTTTGACGGAGTCTTGCTCTGTCACCAGGCTGGAGTGCAGTGGCACGATCTTGGCTCACCACAACCTCCGCCTCCGGGTTCAAGTGATTCTTCTGCCTCAGCCACATGAGTAGCTGGGACTACAGGCACAGGCCACCAAGCCCAGTGAATTTTTGTATTTTTAGTAAAAATGGGGTTTCACCATGTTGGCCAGGATGGTCTTGATCTCTTGACCTCGTGATCCGCCAGCCGCGGCCTCCCAAGGTGCTGGGATTACAGGTGTGAGCTGCAGTGCCCGGCCGGGTGGCTTCTTAAGTGGCACATTCTGGTGCCAAAACTCTGAGGTTCTCACAAGGGTCCAGGTTCTCCTGCTGCTCCATGGACTGCACTGAACAGCAAAGTGTCAGAGCAGTGGCTCTGGAACATCAGTGACATCAGAATCTCCTGGAGGTCTTGTGAAAGCCCAGGCTATGCGTTCCGTAGATCTATGGTGGGACCCGAGAATGTGCATTTCTAAGTTCCCAGATGATGTTGGTGCTGATAAGTTTGTGGACCATACTTGGAAAACTACTGCTTTAGGTATTCACTATTAAATGTGTTGAAGAATCCCAACCCCAAAAGCTAAATATACCCACATAGAGCAGAAGCACTTCCACTTTATTTTTGAGCTATTTATTTGCTCTGGTTTTAATACTTTATGATAGAAAGGAACAGATAAAAAGTGAATGTTCTGGCCCCTCATTGAAGTACATTCTCAGAACCACTTTATAGCTTATTGAACTTGATCTTCCCTTCAGATGAAGCCATTCGTGTCAAGAAAGAAACAGCAATTATGTACTTCTTCATTCAAGGTGCCATTATCAAATATAAGCTCACAAATTACAAATCTAAGAGTTTGCACAATATTTAAACTTGCCAAAAGCAAATAAAATATGGGAATGAATTAATTACAAATTATATCATAAAAACAAATTTAAACGTCAAATAAATATGCAAATTTCCTTGAGACATTCAATATTTTTATCAGCCCTAGTAAATTCTGACTTACTTTCCAAATGGTGCAACGTGTTTCTTAAATACAGTGGTATATGAGGTGTTCTTTGTTGATCATTGCTATTTTGAAGAACGTATTATCCTGAAAACTTCTTGGAGGATGGAAACATTTTAGTCTAATACTAAAAATATATTTGCATTGCTGCTTATGTAAATATCTCTGTGATAAAGCTTTTACAAGGGTATTTTGCAATACTGTTCACAGGAATACATATTTTAGGAAGAAGGAAATAATAAGATAAATTATAGAATAAAACATCTGCTGAATATCTTTCAGTAAAGAGATGGAGGGTGCGTCTCTAAACAGCAAGTCATTTACCAAGCAGAAGTTAGGTCTTTAGCAGTGATCTGCTCAGTTCAGGAAGGACTAGTTAGTGTTCTAAACATGAACTTATCAACTAGTTCTCCAGTAAAGCTGGGAGAATGTAAGCACATGAGAAAGATTTTAAAAGAATCAGTGCCCCTTCTGAATTCTCACTGCCACCTATTGTTTTTGCTGTTCCACAGATATTTATTTTAAAAAGCTACTTTAAAATATCAGTCTCATCTAAATACAAGAGGATAATAATATCACAAATAAAAAAATTTGATTAATACCAGTGTAACTAACCTTCTTGGTACAGAACACTATTATTTAATTAATTCATTAATTTATGTACTCAAATCTTCATTAAGCACCTATTCTTCTGGAGAATGTTTATATAAATCAGTGGAGTCCTCCGTGAGTGGAGAGGGGTGTATGGTGAATGCCACTCCAATAGTGAATCTATTTCTGTTGCATAAATCAAAGAGGTAATAAAATAAAAATCTCCCTGAAGATGTGGAGGCCAAATTTATTTCTCGGTAACATGGGAGAACAATCTGATGAGCTTGACAAAAACTCCACCCTAGGAGTACAAACACCAGGGTGTGTAGTTTGAGTGAAGAAGAATTCCTAATCCTACAGATCTAGGATGGACATACACTCTGTTGTCATGGTGTAAGCCTGGCTGTGAAAGTCAAGATCCTAATTGATCCCTCTCTCCTTGGATGGCTTTCAAGAGTTACAGTGATTCAGACTAAGTAAGCGTCTCTGGTTATTTGAACATCTGATTGATAGTTGTCTCCCACGACCAATGAGAGGTCCGTACAGTTTATATCAGGCGTTTCGTCCAATGCTTATCCAATTTAAGTCTATTATTTTCATTGGCTTTCACCAGCCAATTGGCTTCTCTCTAGATAACAGTGTCTCATTAGCTGTGGCAAATTACTGAGGGAATCTGACTTTTTTGGTTTCTTTTTAAAGTAAATTAAATTTAATCGAATTTGTTATTGGATATTGACACATTATAACTATATATTTATGGAATACAAAGTGATGTGTGTATACAATATTGAATCAAGCTAATTTGTACATCCATCACCTCAAATATTTATCATCGATTCCTCTTGCCTAACTGAAACATTGCACTTTGACTAACATCTCCCCAGTCCCCACAACCCCAGCCTCTGGTAACCACCATTCTGTTCTGACTCTATGTCCAATCCTTCTTGGTTTTCTGTCCAAGGTAACAGATTATGTATTTTTTGGCTATGTTAACTTTTTTCCAAAAAAAGCATGTGCAGGCATTTCCAAAAAATGCCTTAGAAGAACTACAGAATCCCAGCCTTTAAAGATCTAATTTATACCAGGTGCTTTCAAAGTGAATGACAACCACTATGGAAAACAGTGCAGTGATTTCTTAAAGAACTAAAAGTAGAACTACCATTTTTTTTTGAGACAGAGTCTCACTCTGTCACCCAGGCTGGAGTGCAGTGGCTCAATCTCGGCTCACTGCAACCTCCGCCCCCCGGATTCAAGTGATTCTCCTGCCTCAGCCTCCTGGGTAGCTGGGATGACAGATGCCTGCCACCGCACCCGGCTATTTTTTGTATTTTTAGTAGATATGGGGTTTCACTATCTTGACCAGGCTGGTCTTGAACTCCTGACCTCATAATCCATCCGCCTTGGCCTCCCAAAGTGCTGGCATGACCCACCACGCCCTGCCAGAACTACCATTTGATACAGCAACCCCACTACTGGGTATCTACCCAGAGGAAAAGAAGTCATTATATGAAAAAGATACTTGCACACACATGTTTACAGCAGCACAATTTGCAATTGTAAAAAATGCGGAACCAACCCAAATGTCCATCAATCAACAAGTGGATAAAGAAACTATGGTGTGTGTGTGTGTGTGTGTGTGTGTGTGTGTGTGTGACAGAATACTACACAGCCATAAAAAGGAATGAATTAATGGCATTCTCAGCAACCTGGATGGGGTTGGAGACCATTAGTCTAAGTGAAGTAACTCAGGAATGGAAAACCAAACATTATATGTTCTCACATGTAAGTGGGAGCTAAGGTACAAGGATGCAAAGGCGTAAGAATGATATAATGGACTTTAGGGACTCAGGGGAAAGGGTGGGAAGAGGGTAAGGAATAAAAGACTACAAATTGGGTTCAGTGCATACTGCTTGGGTGATGGGTGCACCAAAATCTCACAAATCACCACTAAAAAATTTACTTGTGTAACCAAATACCACCTGTTCCCCAAAAACCTATGGAAATCAAAAGTTTTAAAAGCAATAAGCATTAATAAAAATTACACGATGAATGCCACTTAAAAATGAATAAAAATAAAAAATAAAAAAAAGAATGCTCCTTAAAGGAAATTCTTGCCTCGTGGTAAGCTAGATGAACTAGAGTTCATCTCCTGAACTCCTCCTGCCCCACACCTGGTCTCCGAGTTCCCACAGGAAACCACGCCTGCTCCTATGGTAGCCCCTGGCCCACTGAGGAGTCCTAGTTCAGAGCTCACGGTCAGCTCCAGACTGGAAGCACCTACAGGAAGGGCAAGGGTGCTCTTCTCTCTGCTTCTCTTTCATAAGCAAGGTGCTCTTGAGGGCATGGCATCTTCACATGGGAACCAGCTGACTAATTGTTATATTAACGAAAAAGGGAACTATGATGATGCCCCTGACCCTGTGATTTGAATTTTAGGAGAACAATGGACCAAATATTTAGAGATAAAACAGTAAATATCCACAGCCTGTAGCAAAAAGTGATGCTGGTGAAAACATGCAGTTCAGATTCATTTGTAAGACTCATACATGTGAAGCTTAAAACAGGTAATATCTGAAAACTAGTGAAGTAGGAAATAATCTTATGAACAGTTTACTCATAAGTTGAGATTAGTTTTACAAATTAAGAAAATACAAATGGGTAAAAAGCCTGTGTAGCATTACTATATCTTTGACACATGCACAACTGTCAACTTTGGTGCAGGGGGAGGGGATATTAACATTGAAGGACCGCCACTGCCAGATCAATCATATGCTACAATTAGAGGAATGACTGGCATATTAAAAATGTCAAAAGAAAATACTAAACTAAACTGGGTAGTTCTGAAAATACCAGGAAATAAATAAAAAGATAATAGAAGAAATAAAATATTATTTATCATGACAATCTACATGAATATGCTAAGCAACATACTGATCTTGGATTAAATAGTGGCAGTGGTGGGAAGTAGAAAATAGCAGATGATGCTTTAAAATGGTCTAAAGGAGGCAACAGGTAAGCATGAATCAGAGGAGGCTTCCAGCAATTGCTGCAGTCTCTGTACATTGACACTGATGAAGGCATCGGACTAGACATTGCATAGTTACAGCATTTAAATCTCACCACAATCTAAGGAAGTTCACATTATTATTCCCAACTTAAGGTGAGCAAACTTAAGTCACTCTTTCAGTACAAGCTAGTATTCAGAACTATATCTGAACTGAACACGGTGGCTGACTCCTGTAATCCTAGCACTTTGGGAGGCCAAAGCGGGTGGATCACTTGAGTTCAGGAGTTCAAGACCAACCTAGCCAACATGGTGAAACCCTGTCTCTACTAAAAATACAAAAATTAGCTGGGCATGGTGGCGGGTGCCTGTAATCCCAGCTACTTGGGGAGGCTGAGGCAGGAGAATCCCTTGAACCCAGGAGGCGGAGGTTGCAGTGAGCCAAGATGGTGCCACTGCACTCCAGCCTGGGCAACAAGAGCAAAATTCCACCTCAAAAAAAAAAAAAAAAAAACTATATCTGATGCCAACATTCCTTCTGCTGTGTAGCTCTAGCTAAGATGGCATCTTTCTTTGAGAAAAATCATAGAAAGATCCACAATGATAGCGTGGTCTCTTAGGGAATGGGAGCTTTTGTGCTGAATTAGACAGGAGATAGACTGGATAGACCATTGGAACACCAGTCATAAGAGCTAAGATAATGGGAACACTGAAATAAGGTAAAAATCATAAAACTGGTATGTTGGGGAGGACAGCAATAAATGACCTGGGAAATACTTTATGGATGATTGGAGACTGTGAGCACTGTCTAATTCAGCAGAGTTAGAATGGTGACACACTCTGTCTCTCAAGTAACACCAACCTACGTTTGAATCCTAACTCTGCTCTTCTGTGATCTCAGAACTGCAGTTACCTCCCTCACCTTCAGGTTCCTCATCTGTTAAAAGGGATATAACAGATCCTCCCTCTAGAGCTCCAAGGATCACATGAGATGCCATGGATAAAAGGCATAGTACATAGTAGACATTCAGTAAAATGCCATAATCCAAAAAGAGATCAGTCCCTAGACAAAGCCCAGAGGTATGTGGTCCACAATGAATGCCCCAGTGTGGGCGTGGTGAGGACTTGTGTTAATGAGAGTAATTAAATCTCTGAGGATTTAGCAGCTCATTTTCTTCAAGAGAACATGGAGTTAGTAGGATAATTTGTTAAGCATTCATTAAAAAATATTCTTTTTTATTATTCTATTATTTCTTCACACTAGATACTATTATAAATGCTTTATGTATATTAACTCAATCTGCATAACAAATATATGAATCAGGAACTATTAATTATTTCCATCTTTCAAGTGAGGAGATTGAAATGCAGAGCACCTCAGTGCTTGCCTGGGGTCACACAGCTCCTGAGGAGTAGCACTGGGATTGGACTCTTGCACTAAAGCCCATTTGTTCAATTAAAACAATCTATCATCATCACAAGATGGGTGATGGAGATGAAAGGGTGGATAACACAGATATTATATTTCAGTGTGGGAGCCAAACTCAAAAACAAGGAAATAATAAATATGCAATGCAGTTGAAAGCAGTGATAAATGCAATGGGACAATAATGTAGGCTAGAGGATGGGCTATTTTAGATTGAGGCAGGAATGACCTTTGCTGATTGAAGAAAGGATGCAAAACCATATGCCATAGTGTAAACAGTTAAAGCCCTTGTATCTAGAATAAATAAAACACAATTACAGCTCAATAATAAAAAGACAACCCAATCAAAAGTGGGCAAAGGACTTGAATACACATTTCTACAAAGAAGTTATACAAATGAGCAATAAGCACATGAGAAGATGTTCAACATCATTAGTCATTAGGGAAATGCAAGTTAAAATCACAATGAGATGCCACTGTGAACCCATTAAGATGGCTAAAATAAAAAAGACTGACAATAGCAAGTGTCGATGAGGATGTGAAGAAATCCAACCTTCACATGTTGCTAGTAGAAATGTAAAATGTTCAGCAACATTGAAAAATAGCTGGCAATTTCTCAAATGGTTAAACATAGAGTTTCTATATAATCCAACAATTTGACTTCTAGGTACATACCCAAGAAGAATGAAAACATGCGTCTACTTGAGAAATTGTACACAAATATTCGTAACAGCATTACTCACAGTAGCCAAAAATTGGAAACAACCCAAATGTCTATCAACCAATCAAAGGAAAAAAAAGGTAGTATATCCAATCTGTGGAATATTATTCAGCCATAAAAAGGAATGAAGTATTAAATTAGTGCAACCTCTATAGAAAACAGTAAAGACATTTCTCAAAGAACTAAAAACAGAACTACCATTCAATCCAGGAATACCACCACTGGTATCTACCCAAAGGAAAAAATTATTACACCAAAAAGATACCTGCACATGTATGTTTTTTGTAGCACATTAGTCACAATAGCAAAGACATGAAATCCACCTAATTGTCCATCAACGGATTACTGGATGAAGAAAATGTGGTATACACACACATGTGCACATACATATATACAACATGGAATACTACTCAACCATAGAAAAGAATGAAACCATCTCCTCTGTAGCAAGATGAATGGAACTAGATGCCATTATCTTAAGGGAAATAAGTTGGAAACAGAAAGTCAAATACCACATGTTCTCACTAATAAATGGGAATGATGTATGCACATGGACATGGAAAGTTTAATAATAGACATGGGAGACTCGGAAGGGTGGGGGGTGGGAGGAGGGTGAGGGATGAGAAATTACTTAATGGGTATAAGATACCCTATTTGGATGATGGTGACACTAAAAACTCAGACTTCACCACTGTGCAATATATCCATGTAACAAAACTGCACTTGTACCCCCTATATCTATACCAATAAAAGGAATGAAGTACTTATGTATGCCGAAACATGGATGAGCCTTGAAAATATGCTAAGTGAAAGAAGCCAGGCAAAAAAGATCACATATTATGTAACTCTATTTATATGAAATGCCCAGAATAAGCAAATCTATAGAGACATAAAGTAGATGAGTTGTTGCCCAGGGTTAGGAGGAAGATGGTGCATCTTCCCTTTGGAAGGTGATAGAGAAGGGGTGCAGAGTTTCTTTTTTGTGAAATAAAAAATGTTCTAAAGTTGACCATGGTGATGAATGCAAAACTCTGAATATACTAAAAACCATTAAACTGTACACTTGAAATGGGCAAATTGTATGGTATGTGAATTATATCTCAAGAAAGCTGTTAAGAAAACAGGTGAAACCATACAGATCACAGTAAGGTGCCTGCATGCTGTTTTAAGAATGATAGGCTGCTCTTGGACAGCTTTGAGTGCTGGCATCACACAGGGAAATCAGTTTTTGGACCATGGCAGTCAATTGGGTATGAGAAGATGAGCCTAGATAAGGTGGAGGTGGTAAAGGTGAAGAGAATGCAAGCAGTTGAAGTTCTAACCCCATTATAAAAAAGAAAAATACCAAAAAAACAAAAAGCCACACCAGAAATTAAGAACAGACATGTATCAGCTGCTTGCTATGATCCAAACGCATGACTTTTAACTCCCCAACGTGTGGTCTCTATTAGAGAAGCCAAAGTCTTCCCTCTCTCACGCCTCCTATTCTTTCTTATAGGACCCCAGATGGGAGAACGGTTTCCATTTCCCAACCCCAAACCCCTTTTTTGAGACAGGTCTCACTCTGTCACCCAGACTGGAGTGCAGAGGCATGATCATGGCTCACTGCAGCCTCTACCTCCCTGGCTCAAGCAATCCTCCCACCTCAGCCTCCTGAGTAGCTGGGACCACAAGCAGATGCCAACACACCTGGCTTATTTTTGTATATTTTGTAGAGACAGAGTTTTGTCATATTGTCCAGGCTAGTCTCGAACTGCTGGGCTCAAGAGATCCACCCACCTCGGCCTCCCAAAGTGCTATAATTACAGGCATGAGCCACCAAGCCCAGCCTCCATTTTCCCTTTAGCCTTTCTAATTGCATAAATTGTTTAAGACTGTTTCAAATCCAAGAGAAAAATTGCTAGCTTTTCTGGTTCTCATTAGTCTTTTAGTTTTCTGAGTTTCTATGCCAACATCAATTATATATAATTGATGTATGATAATATAAAATTTGTGTTAGAATATCTTTTTAATTATACCATGTAAATATAATAATTAATAAAAACTAACATGTTAAAGGAACTTGCAGTTTAAAACCATTTCACACTGAGTCTATGGAATTTTGCTACCTTATTATACAGAAAATTTTGAGACTATTAATTCTGAATAGTCTTAACATCTCATCCGTAGGCTTATAAAGGTGTCTCAATCTGCGTGCTTTCCTTCTTTCTTCTGGTTTAACAGGAAGAAAGAGATCCTCTCCTTTCTAAGGATGGGTTCTCCACTGGGCTCACTTTACATTTGTTTCCTATTTCATCTACTTTTTCTTTCTTCCATATCTTAAAACTTTTCTGTCTTCTTATCTCTCCTGGTTCTTTCTCCTCAGCATAGAAACACATTTCTTCTTTATATATTACTATCTCTGTTTTTCAGGGTCAAACTTCTTAATATTCCCAGAGATTTCCTTTCTTTTCTTACCTTGCTTTCACTACACAACTCATGGCCTGCTATCTGGCACATCTAATGGTGCAGGATTTTCAGAGCAACTCACATGATTGCTCAGTCTTTTCCTGAAGAAGCTGCTTATGTCTCTGGTTTATGTCTCACTCTATATATTCTCCTTGGAAACCACACCCAAAGGTGTATTTCTTCATCCCAGGTCTCACTCCTGAATTTCAGATCCACTGATCAGCTGTACACTCAACATCACCACCCGGTTGTCTCTCATTCAATATGTACAAGAAAGGACCCATTATTTTTTCCTCTAAACAACCTCTTCCTTCTGAATCTCCTATCTTGGCTAACCATTCATCTGGTAATCCAAACCAGAAGCCTGTCATTTATGACTCTTTACCAGTTTTCAAATGTATGTCCTGGGCTTGCCTCTCGCATAGGTCCTACTGTACTGTGATTGTCATTTGCTCCTGTCACCTGCATTGGAATAAGCTCCTTGTGTACTTATGTCTGCATCCTCACTTCTTGATTCAGTTGCTGGAACCTGGTCAATGCTCAATATGTTTGTTGAATGGATGGATTCAAGACTCCTTAAATGCCTCTTCTATAAAATCTTCCCTGATGTTTCCTCTAAACAAAGGTGGTCATTCTATTCTTTAAGCCAGAACTTTATTTTTTAGAGGAAAAATAGAATTGGCTATGCCTGGTGAGATGCTCTGGCCCCACATACATTAAGAAGGCTGAGTAGTATAGTGAAACTGCATGTGGCCACAGCCTATTCTGTCTTTGTAGAGGGTGCTGTGCAAACCTGCCCTAGCATGTGAACAACAACCCAGACAAGGTTGGCAGCTTTGCCTACATATCACTTTCTTCTACTGTGGCTCATAAAGTTGTTAGGGGCAGATGGTGTGGCTAATATTCATTGTCTATACTTCTGATACTTTTAGGCTTGTAAATATTTCTTAGTCAACTGATTGCACAGAACCTAAATAACTTGCTCACAATGTTCTAGCTCTGATAGTTACGTTTTTGACTTCACTGTCTTAAAAACTTTAGTACATGAAAAATACAAAATCATTTTAAATCATATTCAGCTGAAATAAAATATTTTAATCTCTTGTGAACATGATGTGGCATCTACCTAGGAGGAGCTATAATAATGTAATTGAAACTCTTCCTTCCTTTTTTTTTTCCATTAGAGGCACAAAACTGGGGAAATTCTTCATTTCTACATGCTTTCTTTTACATAGACAAACATGTATACATTTCTCAATATGTTAAAGTTTCTCTGCTAGGTACTGAGGAGAATAAAATGATTTTAAATACAGTTTCTCTTCTAAGTGATTTTTGTCAACCCTCAATAACTTGACTCTTTTTATTTATTAGTACACTTTCAACATGGCATTTTCAAAAGAATAAAAAATGCTTGCAGATTAATCTATAATAATTTGAGGAAACTATACAAGCATTATAACAGTAACTGCCTAATGAAGATCTAAAATACAAAATAAATATTACAGTGTGTCTAAACATATTAGCAACCTGTAATCTATCTTTTCAAATATATTTTAAAGCAACTGAGCCTTCTTTCAAGTGCAATCTTAGTGACAAGCCCATAGAGTAAAAGCACAGAGGCAGACTGTTGGGTGGCTGCACACCCCCTCTGGGGGCTATGGTGCCTGAGGTTGAATCCAGGCTCTGACCAAGCAGCCCCGGCGCATCACAGGCAAATGGCATGGCTCTCCATGGTGCAGTTTTCTCCATGATAAACAGGGAATGCTAGCTGACCTTACCTTATAGACTGTCGCCTTGGTGACATTGTGAGAATGAAAAGAATTAATAGATATAAAGTACTTAGGTAGCCAGGCACTGTGGCCCATGCCTGTAATCCCAGCAGTTTGGGAAGCCGAGGCAGATTGATCACTTGAGGTCAGGAGTTCAAGACCAGCCTGCCTGGCCAACATGGCGAAAACCCATGGTTTAGTAGAGGTTTAGTAGAAACCTCTACTAAAAATACAAAAATTAGCTGGGGGTGGTGGCAGGCACCTGTAATCCTAGCTACTTGGGAGGGAGACTGAGGCAGAAGATTCACTTGAACCCTGGAGGCAGACGTTGCAGTGAGCCAAGATCATGCCATTGCACTCCAGCCAGGGTGACAAGAGTGAGACTCTGCCTCAAAAAAAAAAAAAATGTACTTAGAAGAGTGGTTGGCTCTATGTCAGTGCTTTTATTATTCTTATTATTGGACAAAAATGTTTTCTGCTTGAGTCTAAAATACTCAGAGGAAGAATTCAATTACCTTATGTTTCTATGTATCTATGTTTATGCTCACAGAGCTAAGATTTCTAGCTATTTGGCCAAATGTTGAACCTTCGATCTAATATGTAGCATCAGAGCTGAAGCTCCTGTGATTCTCAGAACAGTCTACTTCTGATATCAAGGTTAATTGGTGTGCTAAATATACATGTCTTACAGAGGTATAATGAGTGCTTCTCCAGTCTTTGAATTATTTTTCAAATTCATAGGATGTTTTAATTTTAAAAAGTTCATGGAGTTATAGAATTTGGGGGATGAAAATGTCTCCAGGGGTCCCCTAGCATGATCCTTAATGTGACAGATGCTATTAATAAGAAAAATAAAACAACTTGTCAAGTCACTTCATCAGGATCTTTCAACTACTTAATGATATTTAACTATGACTGGAACCCAGGAGTACTTGGGACTCAGTGTCATTTGACACTATATTGCTGACACAGGTTTTTCCTCTCTATTCTGTTCCCAGAGACCTATATCTTAAGGAGAGATTAAGGGAAAGGGTTTGGGGAGCAGTCAGATTTGGGCTCAATCTGGGTTCAAGGCTGGTGACATAAGGAAGGGCATCTTCACATCTCTAGTCAGTGGCTTCATTTGTAAAAATAGGATACAAATGGAATTATTATGAGCATTAAATTATATAATGCATGTAAAGAACTTGACACCATGCCTGGCACAGTGTAAGCACTTCGCAAATGTTAAGGACCATTATTATAATTATTGCCACATATATCATCATTGTTCTGAACAAATTATATGTACAATGTTGGTACCACAAGTTCTTTTTCTCATTTGCCAAACCCTGACATATTTCTTGTCAATGATTTTCCGCAGGGTGATGGGGAGTGTGTGTGAAAGAGAGAAAGAGAGAGGGAGAGAGAGGGAGAGAGAGAGAGCTGTGCACGTGCATGTTTCCATTATTTGACAAAGTCAGGTAGCCCTGGATCCTATGGCTTCTTCAATTCCCCTCAGCTTACTTGCAGTCCCTGTGATAATGGCCTGTGTGCTAACGCTAATATGCAAAACCTGACCCTTGGATCCTCCAGTTGATAAGACTTGATTATGGAAGAAACATTCCCAAGGAAGTAGGGCATTGGGTATGGAACTTCACCAAACTTCAAATGTTTACAGTGGCAAAGACGGGCCATGGTGAGACTGAATGGGAAACCTGGTCAGTACACGATTTATACCAAAATAAAAATGCTTGGAAATTTGACCTTTAAACCAAAAGGTCTCTATCGAAACCCGCACGCTGTTCTATAATCTGAAATCTAAGGCTGGAAGGGTCTTCAATTGAATGTGAGTATTTCAGAAAAATAAATATCAGTGGGATATTCTATTAGTTCTGAAAGTCTAAGTGAAATGTACCTAATTTACCTGTGAAAACCAATGTAAGCAATTTCTGGAAGAGTTTTCTTGTTTGCTCATTTTGTTTAGAGTTGGAACCTGCCTTTCAGGAATGAAATGACAGAGCTATAATCCCTAGGAAAAAAATTCCCAAATACATCACAGAAACTAGGATAATCCTTCATGAAGTCAGAAGCAAAAAAAGAAAACAGAAAATAACTTCCTCTACCATTAAAATAACCACAGCATCCACTCCTATCCCTGTTCTTCCATTTCCCCAGGTCTGACATTCTGCAGATGACCGCCCTTATTTGTCCCTACATGTTTTCCAAAATATAAAAGTGAAATAGAGTCCCAAGGGCACTGTACTTGAAAGGTTATGAGAGTTAGAGAATTTTAACCATGCCTGCCAAACCAGCAGATGGCTTGTGATTATAATTATATGCATCAATAAAACGAATAATCTTTACAAAATTTGAATTTCTACTAAAGTAAGGGATTTAGTAAGCAGATGCAACAGAATGCATTTTCTTTAACCCTTTTGGTATACACTGGTGTCTTTCACACAAAAAAAGATCCAGGACTCCGTAGATAATAGGTTGTATACTCTAATTTTTGCCCCTTTCTAGAGTAGTCATATTGTCAGCCTCAATCTTTTCCTGATTTCATTTACTTCATGAATGAACATATTTCAATCTCACCTCATTTTCACCCTTCAGAATAGCAATGTTAAGACTAATTCTCCACCATTGTTTGATATTTGAAAGAAAATGTAAAAGAGGTAAATACCTTCATTCTAATTCATACCAAGTATACTATAGAAACAAAAGAGCAAACAGTGGACACATCTTTCTATATTATGGTATTCTTTTACAAATTAGATTTTCAATAAATTTTTTTTTGTTTTCATATTCTCTTTAATCTACATTCCAGGAATGAAAATACTGTTTATTCTATTTAAAAAATTAACCATTTCCTTTCAGTTTGCTTCTGCCTGTCATTATAAGTAAGGGTAACTAAGTTTTATCTCATGCCAAACATGAATTCACTCATATTGAAATTGGATATATATATGACACATCTGAAAAAAAGGATGTGGTGAGGTTTACACACTGGCCTTCTGCCATGTTTTCTTCATGAAGGAACCTCAAAATTTAGGGAATTAAGTTAAGCTAGCTTTGTTTACCTTTAAATCTTGGAAGGAGTAGAGAAAATGTACCACAAAAATTTTCATTCTAATTTTTTTATAAAATAGTAATGTAAATATTTTCATAGAATTACCAAGTGTAACTCTTTATTAGAATAGTATCAATTAATATACATTTCACCCAGCAGACCAACAAATATAATATTTAAGAATATTTGGAGAACCTATATTTAGTGCAGATATCTCTAGCACCTTCAAAGTTAGTTGCACTGTATAAATCAAAGAAATTAAAATAGTCTGATCTAAAATGCTCTTATAGTGTTGTAGTTAACTCCACTTAATAGTGTAAATAAGTTACTAATAAAACTTTAAAGGCATTGACATTTTTGCAGGTCATTGCAATTTACCTATGGCCACAAGATATATGAGATCGGAAATTCTCAGCAACAAAATTCTTTCAAGTTACAACTTAAATGTATAGATCAAACCCTAACAGAACAAATGTTCTGAAAAGTTAAACTAAAAGAGTAATACATTTTTGCCTAAAAATTTATAAATTTGATGTAACATTTGACAACACTATATTCAAATACTCGTAAAGAAATTCAGATATCTCTTGAGTTCACTGGAATGGAATTTTATCTCTTAAGATAAAATATTCAGCAATTAACTGGGTTCAAGATTCTTTACATAGGTGATAAAAATAAATAAATTAAATATTTTTCAATTATAATGTCCTTAAAAAGGGAAAACTTAAACCAAATTCAATGTATCAATTAAAAGAAACAATCTAAGCCAAAAAACTTATGAAATAAATCCCAAAAGGGCAAAAAAATTTTTAAAAAACAGAAAGAAGAAAACTGCATAATCTTAAGAGTTAAAGACCTATGCTGTAAATACTTAATTTATAGATGTTGCCTTTCTAAATTAAATGAAATTAAATACTTCTGCTTACAGAGAGTTTAAGTTGAAGTGTAATAAAATTTTTAGGTATGCTTTTGATAGCTACTAATAAAACTCTGCATAATAAGCCAATTTAATCACATATACTTAAGGTATGTTTAGAATTTTTAACATGTTACCTTAGTCTTGATATGAGCACGCAGACACATAAAATGGAATTGTCACAATGCTTCAGGGACACTCACAAAATTGGGGGCTCTGGAAGCGAAAATACGAGAAAGAGTTCTGTACTGGTACAAGCGAATGCACAGGCGGTGTGTGACATGACATTGGCACATCCCCTCGCTGTCTCAAACTGCAAGTGAAAGTTAAAAACACCAAACACAATATGCCAGGGGCATTAGGTATATGATCTTACTTAATTTTTCACATAAGTTATAAGGCAACATTTATCTCCCATCACTCTTGCCCCCATCTAACAGACCAGGAAACCGAGGCGCAGAAAAGTTAGAGAACTTATCCAGGGCACAGACTGAGTCAGTGGAAGAACCAGGTTTCAGATATGTGAACTCAAAAAGGGAGTACTGTAGATTCTCTTGTCACTTTGTCACTCATATGCACTTAGGATGACTGCCTTATTCTCTAGGAAGCATTTTATAGCTCCTCTTAGATGGGGATCCTTAGGGGTGGAAAAGAGGTATTACTAACAGCATCTACTACAGTCCTCTGAACTAAGTATTTTAATATTTATTTGTTAAATGAGTGAATCAGAATAAAAGTCCAGTAATACAAAGTTTCCTTCTGACAACACAAATTAAGTTTCTCAAATTTCTTTAAAGAAGAAAGCTGTCAAGTAGATAAAGCCATGCATATTTTCTTTAAATAAAAAAATATATATTTCAGATGCAAGACCCATATAGGTGGAAACAAGTTTGCATAAACCAAAAGTAATGATCTGGGCCTTCTCATCTTAATGACAATACAGACCTATTCTGTTTTGAAGAATGACAATTACATTTCTGTAAAAGTAACTCCACTCCTTTTCATCCACAGCGATGCAACTAAACGAACTTCAGTCAAGTTTGCACACCCTTTGCTGTACCCGTAAGGATGGGGGCAAAATATTTACAGCCAGCCAAAACAGTTATGTTTTCTGAAACATTCATTCTTGTATTAACAGGAGGAACATTAGCAGCTATAGAAAAATAAATTGTAATACATGAGATTCAAAAATAAAACATTCATCACAGAAAGATAGCCTAATACATTTATAATGCCTGAAAGAGTGAACTAGTTGCACAACTGCCTTAAACTAAATTTGTTAGGCAGCAACTGTAGCCATTTTTAGATGGCTTGCTTTTTCCACGATTTCTATCACATGAAAGGCATAATGATGAGATGACATATTAGAAAAATCTCAACTTAGTAAAATCAAACTCTATTTTCCCCACATACATTTTACTTGAAATTAAAAAGACACTATTATACCACTTTCTTCACAAAATTTATTGCCTCCTAATTTCTGGCTATTGTTAAAACAATACTTAGAGTTGGTAATATACAACATACATTACATTCTCTACAGACACACATATAGTTCTAAACAAATTATATAAACAAAATAAATGTTAGGGGCACATTTAACAGAGGAAAAGTACTTCATGAAAAAAAATGGTAAAGAAGTATGTGACCTCTGATCATCCAGACCATATTATTTACCTATATTATGAATCTTTCACGAATACTACTACTAAGCTATTTATTCAGTATCACAATATTGCTATATCCTTACATAAATAAATATTTTTCAGTATAAGTAATGAAAGTTAGCAAACTGATTTCTACACAGAGTTTTAATTCATGAACTGATGATTATGTCATGCCATTCTAACATTAAATGACAGTGGCTTTAAAATTGAATACTGATACTGATATTATGAACACATCTATTTTAAAACACCACACTTACATTAACAATACTTTTTAAATGTTTTCGATGAGACCTTCAGAGTTTATTAAACCACTGACAACCCACTTAGCGGACAGTTCTGAGAATAAAATATTTAATTTACCTGAATGTCTTGTAACAATATCATCCTCTCTTGAACTAAACATCCTCTGAATACACAAATCTAAGGCAGACAGACATTTCAGCAAGGCAAATAAGACTTTCTGGCAACTTCCTGTTGCCATATTTCTCTCAAAGGATCCTGCAATGTTACACTTCAATCCTGCAAACGCATTTTTCCAAGGGACACAGCAAGCCAATGCTGCTCCAGTGTCAGAAGCTTTGATTTTTTCCCAAGTACAGCAAGCAAATAACCACTAATCCTATTCAATATTACAGATTCACAGTAATGATTCTATTTCCAGATTCAAGAGAAATTAAATACAAGAGGAAAAGAGGAGCTTTTGTTTTCTTGTTTTGTTGTGCTTGATTGGTTGGTTTTTAAGACACTGCTGAAGGAAATAGTTATTCCATCTATGTTATTAAATATATATTAGGGGCTGGGGCAATTTTACATTGTCAAGAATGAACTTCACTGCTCACATGCATGCCCCAGGTTTCCATTATCTTTCAGAAGCAGTAAGACTAACTAAATTTAAAGTTGCCTCATACATTTGAAAGTTTTCAAACCTGAACCAATAACCTGAATGGTAGTTATTGGCAAAAGCACCATTTCTCCAACAAATAGCCTACCTCTCAAATTCAAGTTCACTCGCATTTTGGGGTTTACTCACTTTTTAAATTTACAAACTTTTTTGAAACAGCAAAACAAAACAACAATAACAACAAAATAAGAACACTGATCACTGAAGCGGTATTTCCAGAGGTGATAGCAAAATCCCTTCATTCTGACCTACTTGTGGAGAAACGGACTTTCAGCCCCACGGTTAGGCTAAGATCTGTTCTACTTTCTCCCTAGGGCTTAATTGCCAGACTGACTTACCGGTGCCTCCTAGCCTTTGTTCTGCCTCTCACGCTGACATCAGGGAAGCAGTGATGTAGAATAAAGCAGGGGTGGGCTAGGTTAGTCCAGTGTTTGTGTCGTTGTGTGGTGTGCAGGGACACTCTGTGATACTCTAGTGAGCTGCTAAGCTTTTTTTGTAGGCTTTGTGTCATTTACTTAACGACCAATCTCATTAGCTGCCAGGGTACAATGGGCTGATGCATTTTCTATGTACATACTCCACACAGTGACCCTCAAGGTTGCCGAAGGTCTATTTAATCAGACAAATGCTGAATATATTTGCAGTAAATCACTAAAAAAATAAAAAAAATTAGAATACTGAGGTATCTTACGGGCTTAATATTTCCTGGTGGTTATTTGCAGGTAATAAAATACATGCATATTTAGCCCAAACAACGATAGAGCAGGTGGAGATGAATTGTCTGGTTTGCACTGGTGACCTTAATTTTAGGAAACTTTCAGATCAAAGATATTTTCTCTTAGCAAGGAGCCCAGATTTGAAATTTAATTTCTGTCTTAGTTTAATCATATTAGCACAACAAAAAAGAATTGCTTTCTTGAGCAGTTTCTCCTTCCTCCTTCCTCCCCCCGACCCCAGCCCTACCCCCTACCCAAGCAGCCTCAGACCTGGCAAAGTTGCATTTATGCCCTCTTTCAGTTACAAGGTAAAAACCCTTTTAACTCCTATGAAAAATGAAATGCTGAGAGCACTATGAATGACGACAGCTGTCCATAAGTATCAGAGAGAGTTCTATTGTCCAGCTTGTCCCTGGATAAAATGAATACTTTACAGCAGAGGCTGTTCAGCTTGGCTAAAGAGTGTGGGGAGAAGGGGAGGAGGTCACTGGAGATTTCGCACACTAATTTAATCTGGGAAAAGGACAGGCTCTGCATCTCCCTTGAACAGACTGGCAGCAATCTGGGCCCCCACAGAACTATCTCCTTTTGCCTGTGCTCTATTTATTCCTTATCTCTGTTTACCAACCGCTAGGTCCCTTTCATTCACACCACGAGGCCGTTTTCCTACTATCAGTCAGCAGCTGACACTGTGGAAGAGCCTCAAAGGCAAAAAAAAAAAAAAAAAAAAAAAAAAAAAAAAGATCAAAACTAAACCAAAGCTGTATAAACAATGCCACAGTACAAGTAAATGCATAAACCCTGATTCTTAACCCAACCCACAGGGTGCAAACAGAACCTTTATAGTAAATCCAACAAACCCACCACAGTGAGCTGTGGGCCGCAGAGAAAGAAAAGTCAAAACACCATTCATGAAATCACCATCCAAAAAAAAAAAAATTGCTAAAATGTACACTGGCTACTGAAGCAGCCTTACTTTCAGGGATATTCTTATCTTTATCATAGATCAATTAACTGGCCACCAAGAGATATTTACTTTGCTGGGAAAGGTGAGCTATACATTTCTAAGGGAGGCCTGGCTCTCATTAAAATGCCAGCAGTTAAAAAAAAATCCTCCAATATGATTATAAGCTAAAGAGGAGGAAGAAACACCAACTTTTCCAACACCTTATCACATTGATTGAGTTTAAACAGTTCAAGACTCTTGGTATTAAACCCCCATTATTTTTATGTAAAGATACTAAAAAGTCCTGTACAATCCAGCCAATGAAATCTTTTCTTCATGTCTTGTGGATTTTACCTCCTTATGTCAAAATGATTAACGTGGCAGAGAAGTTGGGAGAAGACTACTTCCTGGACAACTTTTTAATATTTTGAAGCACTCTGCAGGGTGTGATCAAAAACGGAGATTGGAGCAACTAGTTTGAAGTGTGGAAAGAGGAGAAAATAAAATAAGTGTTTTTTGAACCTTGAAACCTTTGGGGAAATATGAATCTTGAAAACTTTACTTACATTAATGTTAAGTGCTAAATACTTACCTCAATATTTCAACAAATGGGAAAAGCCTTGCTTAATATAAACATTTCTTTGAAGTGATTCAGAATTTGTATATAATATATATGTGTATGTATAGATGTATATATATGAATATATTATAAGCATAGGTATACACACTGCCTCCCATATACACATACACAAAATGAGAAGTGCATAATTTCTAATGCCTGGAGTTTCTCAGATTAAAAACTGAGATTTACTTTAAATTTCCCTGAGTTTTTTAAATCATTGAAGTGATTGGGAATGATTGGTTATTGTCATAAAAATCAACACCGCATTGACTCAATCACTAAGATCTTTACCAGTAAAAGGAAAGACAATGCAGCTCATTATCTAGAATGATCAATTGGTCCAGATTTCAGTTTGTGTTTTCACCTATATGCATTATGAGCAATGAAGTCTTTACTACTTGGATCCTTTTTTCCAAATGAATTAATGAATTAAATTTATCCTTTCACCAGCTGCTAGGCAGCAGATGGAACCATTTCTGAAGCCTTGTTGAATTCAATCCATAAAACTCATTTCCTAGGATTAGCCGTCCAAAGTTTCTTTTAATGTTTATATACCGCTTGGGATTTTGAATTTCATGATGTTAAACTTTCAATTTAACTATTCTTTTTGCATTTCATATCAAACAATTATGATCTTTTGGATTTCTATAGCAGACATGGCAGGTCACATAAGGACAAGAATTAATTTCAAGAGCAATAAAGTCACGCAAGTTATATTTTTTTGATATGTTTGTTCACATTGCTCTACTACCATAGAAACTATTTGCAATGAACTGTTGTCAACCTAAAGAGTTATATATTTAATAGCTATAAATTTTGTTTATTTATGCATACATAGTTTAAAGCTGCAACTGGAAACATTCATTAACATTGTGAAAGCTTAAAGTTATACTGGGTTTTGCAATTTGGTTATAGGAGTAAGGTTGTTACTTACTGCAAGTAAGATTGTTAATTATCTGCAAATAATTTCTGTATCTACCAGGTTAATTTATCTAATGAGAATTTAATTCTGACTTTTAAAAATGGAAATAAAGACAACTATTCAGAGTATGTATGTTAACTTTTTAAGGAGGCAGCTACCATGGACAGCTCCTAACATTTCTGGTCTTTTCTAGGTCACTTGCAGTTGTCTAATTTAAGAGAAACCAGGAAACTTCAAATCTTACTGGTTCATGTTATAGTAGAACACTAATGGCCACTCTAAAAAAAAAAACTCCTTTAAACAT
This sequence comes from Homo sapiens, assembly GCF_000001405.40. Lineage (NCBI taxonomy): Eukaryota > Metazoa > Chordata > Mammalia > Primates > Hominidae > Homo > Homo sapiens. The sequence continues at coordinate 52,252,530 of NC_000008.11, forward strand.
AATCACATTAGGATCTCATAAAAGTTTCAATGTACTTTGAAACGTTTTAAATACAACCACCTTACGCTCTCCAAGGTACAGTATATCCAAATTTAAAATATAAAAGCTTTTAAGCTTAAAATGATGCTCCTACCATAACATAAATACAACTAAAAAAGAGTGAATCGCTTTTATGTGCAACAGTGATTTCCGCTAATTTGGCAAGAGAAATCTATATTAATCTAATATTGTAGTAAGCCAAGAAGGCCACATAATAATCACCACTGAGTAATTGAATATTTAGAAGAAGGAGAAAAGAGAACACTGGTAATCTTGGGTTACAGGCATACAAGTAGGATACCAAGCAGATGATATTTGCAAAGAAAAATAAAAAAGCAAAGTTAGGGAAGCCTAATTTTAGTCTTACTTTGGATTCTGAATTTGATTATTGCCTGGAACTTATTTACTATTTCCCTAACATAACGATAGTGCACAGAATTATATTCAACATTTCTTCATCAGTTTTTTTTTTTCTTTTTAGTGTATTGGATTTTGCAGTATTAGCTGTGGCATGAGAGTTGATAGAACTTTTTTTTCTGACAATTAGCTACTTTCTTATTTGGAAAATTAAGATTATAGAAGTTACAGTGCATACTTCGACTGCTGACTGCCTTGTTCTTTGAAACTGAAAAACACTCCAGTTATTTCCACATGTATCAAAGTAAGCACCTATAATAAAAGCTTTATTAAAACAAAAGGAATATGAGGCAAAGTATTGTTTATCAAAGGTTTTGAAATTTTTCTGTATAACTAAGTAATATTTCATTGAAATCATCCTTCTGCAAAATTTTGTCCAAGGTTAGTATTTTCTCTTTCATTCTTCAGCCCTTCTGGTATTATTTATTCTTTAACTTTCTGATGAGTCTTCTGACATCTACATTTATCAAAAATGAACAGTATCGTTTTTATAGGCTACTCTTATCCAATTCTCTAAATATTTAAAGACAAAATTATAACTACCATACTTATCAATTTAAATTTCCTGGGGACCTCCCACAAACTCTTTTCCTTATGTATAGCTACTATCAGAATTTTGACTTTTCAAAAAGCATACATAAAACATCTTTTTAATATTGGTTATTCATATACAATTGTGTTAACCTCTCATCCCTCACAAAGATCTCCCCAATTCTAGAGAGATGTCAGATTTGGGATCTCACTGGTAATTTTTGCAATCTCATAAATTATTTCTGCTTTACTTTTTTGCTAAGCAAAAAGTGTACTAAGTCTCATTTCATATCAAATAGTCTCTCTTGCAAATTTGCACGTTTCAAAAATCTATATGAACAAAGGCGATACTGGTGCAGTATAAATGTAATTGCACCATGACATTTTATTCTGAAATTCTTCTCAAAACAGATACAATACGCTTTTTTGTTTTTGCCAAAGAGAGTGAAAGTGTGAGAGATTGAGAGAGAGAGAGAGAGAGAGAGAGACAGAGAGAAATACATTTAAAATAATGCTCAAATATACATCACAACAGACATCAGAAACAGAAGTTCAAAACAAACATCAGAAAAACCATCAACACAGTTCTAAACTTCAACCTTTGCTAACATCCACCCCCCCTCCAAAAAAAACAAAAGTGAATGTTATGACTTAAGACCTAAAAACTTGCTAAAATTCCGAGTGGCTTAAATGTCAGTGTGAGCAGCATGCGGTTCAAAAGTTTTAAACTTACTTTTTTGTTTGTTTCCAAAACTTATATTTCTCTCCTCCCTGGTGGGCTGAACGGAAACACTAAAGCTGTTTCTTTGAAAGGTAGTTCCCATGATATGACATCCAGTGCCTTTGACTGCTTAGAGATAAGCACCTGCGTTTGTGTCCCCTCCTTACGTCACACCTCCCTATTCAGACCTTCTCAATATGATTCACATTTGCACATCAACAGCCTCATGCGCATACACAGATTTTTTTCGGCTCTGGGCCCAAAACTTTCACTTTAATTTTCATCACATGATTGCTGTGGCATATGTCCTTCCAAACCTCCCATATATCAGTCATCATGCAAATGAGATGGAATATCACTCCTCTGCAGCAGATGGCCAGGGATGATAACAATGGCTCAACAGAGGAGATTCAATGTCCCTGACTTTATCGCCACGGCAACAACAACCTAAAATATATGTAATGGAAGTGGTGCTTATTAATTTTGCAGGCTCGAGTGTTCTGATTTTGTGAGTGAATGGGCTGAGTTAAAAAGGGGGCTGTGTCCTCCTGCCTCTAGAAGACTATCTATAAAAGCCAGGGACCTGGAAATTATTTTCAGTGACTAAGAAGGCAACAGCCTAGCAATTATTTGAGTAATTAGGTGTAATTCCTCCCTGTAGGCCTTGTACCCTCCTGTGCTTGCTTCACAGAAGCTCACGAATTAGACAGGCACAGATACTGAAAAGAAAAGTGCCTCAAGATACAGCGGGAGAGCTTGCAGGGGCCCTGTCACTTGGCCTCCACCAGGCTTGGTAAACACAAGCCCCAAGCTATAAGTAAATAGAGGCCCCACTTCACAAACACAGACCAATTAAAATGACAAAGGCAACCACACTTCTGGGTGGAGCTTAGTAAAGCTTTATGCTGCACTAGATTCCATGTGAGTGGCACACAGAATGGTCTCTGTGCGGCCCGGAGTGCTCTATTTCCATGACTGGCTGTCGGGATTGGACACTTGCTCGCAGGTCTCTGCAGGTTATGCTGCTCTCACAGGGAATTTTTTCATGGGGCTACTTTTTCCCCTGACTCCAAGTGGACATTTGATACCCTTCCCACTCCTAATAGTATTTTTAAAAATTAAGTAATGGAAAAGGCAGTCTATCCTCCCAAATTTGCCACAAGCCCTTTTACGTCTTAAAGGAATGACTGTCAAACGGCCCAAACCAGTGGGAGCTTCTGTGAAACATGCAAGGAAGAAAAATTGAGTGAAAAACCTTGTCTCCAAATATTTTCCTGAAAACTGTTTTGAAAACACCCTCTACAAGACTTTTCATACTAACCAATATAAAGATTTAATTTTTTTCTGCTGGTAGGGCTGAACTACATATTAACATTTTTAAAACTTCAAGTCTACTTATTTTTCATTGCTTTTAAGAAAACCACCATGGAAGTATCATCTTATAAGAGCAAACTCTACTCTGTGTCCATTAGAAAAAAGACATGAATAAGAATTTATTGCCTTAGAAGAGAATAGCTGTGAAAATCAAAAAGGAATTCAAACATTTTCATGTCCTTTCAACATTCAATAAATCTCAGACACTGTTCAAGGCTCTCTACAGACGAGGAACGTGAGAGAAAAGATCTCAGTCTTCTCTTGCAGCAAGATCTAAATAAATTGTTCAAGGTCCCTTGGCCCATTGCTCCCTCACAGTGTTTTGGTTTTTTGAGAGGCACCTTGACCCCCACTCCTTTCTGGCTGGCCCCAGCTTTCTTTCCCTGGAGTTCATTCCTTCCAAGGAACAGGAAGCACAGGAGAGGGAGCGGAGCCTCCTAGCCTGTGAGGCTAACTTCCTCCAAGTCTATATCCATCAAAACAAAGCCAGTCCATCACTTGCTTAAATGGGGTGCAACACTACATGCTTTACCAACTGACTTTAAAAATAGTTATCTTTCCCATGGGAGGGACTGTATGCACGCAGATTCACTTTCCTTCCTAGCATGTGGGCTAATATCAGTTCATCAATGTTTTGCAATACATTTGGCATTGTGAAGAATATAATTGCCTAGTGCAAAATTTCATTGTGCTATTTAAAGGTGATACTCCAACGCAAGGACAAATTTGGAGCAGCAAATGTCCAATCTGGTTTTTTGTTTGTTTGTTTTGAGAAGGGTCTCCCTCTGTCACACAGGCTGAAATGCAGTGGCACAATCACAGCGCACTGCAGCCTCGACTTCCTGGACTCAAGCGATCCTCCTGCCTCAGTCTCCCAAAGTGCTGGGATTACAGGTGTGAGTCAGTGCGCTCCGTCATCTAATCTGAAAATTCCCACACTAAGAGTGTACAGAGAACTTAATCTCCACATGAAATGAATCCCTATACTGAGCTATCAGCAATAGCATTAGTGAACCAATACATGAGGCAAATGTGGTTGCCACAGATACAGTGTGGTGACAACATGGATTTCTAGCTGACAGTTCAGTCATCTGGTCAATTTTTGTGACTTTAATGAATATCATTATCATAGAAATAAAGTCACCTAATAATAGGAATTAAAAATAATAGCTCTTTGGGACATAAATGACATACCATACTATTCACCTATTTAAAATATATAATTAAATAACTTCTAATATATTCATAGTTGTGCAACTTGTTAGCAAGATTTTAGAACATTTTCATCATTCAATGCCAGAAATGCCATACTCATTAGCAGTCATTCCCCATTCACCAAACTTCCACCCACCAATTCCCTCCCTCTCACCCAGGCAACCACTGATCTATTTCCGTCTTTGTAAATTTGCCAATTTTGGACATTTTATAATAATGGAATCATATAATATGTTGTCCTTTATTACTGGCCTCTTTCACTTACCACAATACTTTCAAGGTTTATCCACATTGTAGCATCTATCGGTACTTTATTTCTTTGTATTACTGATTAATATTCTATTGTTTGGATATACCATATCTTATTTATCCATTCATTGATTGATGGACACTTATACATAAGGCTACTATAAACATTCATGTACAAGTGTTTGTGTGGACATATGTTTTTATTTCTCTTGAATAACTACTTAGAAGAAGAATTGCTGGATCATTTGGTAATCCCTATATTTAATTGTTTGAGGAACTGCTAAATAGTTTTTCAATGTGCCTGCACAATATACCTTTCCCCCAGCAGTGTATAAGAGTTCCAATTTCTCTCTATCCTCACCAACACTTTTTATTGTCTATCTTTTCTATTATGGTTGTTTCGGTGGGTGTGAGGTGGCATTGCACTGTGGTTTTGATTAGCATTTCCCTAATGACTAATGACACTAGCATTTTTTTCATGTGCTTATTGATTATTTGTATATCTTTTTTGGAGAACTGTTTATCCAGAGCTTTTACCCAGTTTTAAGTTGGGTTATTTGTCTTTTCATTATTGAGTTGTAGATGCTCTTTCTATATGTATTCTAGATACAAGTTTCTTATCAGATATAGAATTTGCAAAACTTTTCTCCCATTGTGTGGGCTGTCTTTTCACTTTGATGTTTTCCTTTAAAACACAAAGGTTTTTATTTTGATGAAGTCCAATTTATATGTTTCTTTAATTATTTGTGCTTTGGTGTCATAGCTAAGAAACTATTGCCAAATTCAATGTCACAAAGATTACATCTGTTTTCTTCCAAGAGTTTTAGAATTTTAATTCTTACATTTAGGCTTTTTATTCATTTTGAGTTAATATTTGCATATGCTGTGAGGTAGAGATCCAACTGCATTCTTTTTCATGTGAATATCCAGTTGTTCCAGCAACATTTGTTGAAAAGTATATTCTTTCCCTATTGAACTGCTTTGACACCTTGTTGGAAATCCATTGATGGTAGACATGGGAATTTATTTCTAGACTCTCAATTCTATTTCATTGATGTACATATTTATCTTTATGCCAGTACCACACTGTCTTGATTACTGTAGTTTTGTAGTGAGTTTTGAAATTGGGAAGTGTGAGTTCTCCAACTTTGTTCTTCTTTTCCAGGATTGTTTTGACTATTATGGGTCCAGTGAATTTCTATATAAAACTTAGGATCAACTTGTCAGTTTCTGAAAAAAAGCCATCTGGGATTTTGATAGGGTATGTATTAAATCTGTGCATCACTTTGGGTAGTATTGCCATCTTGCAAGATTACAACTTCTAATCCATGAACATGTCTTTCCATTTATTTATTTTGACTCTTAAAAATTTCTTTCAACAATTTTTTATGGTGTTCAGAGTTAAGGTTTACACTTCTCTTGTTAAATTTATTCCTAATTGTTTTATTCTTTTTTAAGCCATTGTAAATAAAATTGGTTCCCTATGTTTATATCTTGCAGCCTTGCTAAACTTGGTTCTTAGCTCTACATAGCATTTTTAGTGGGTTCCTTGGGATTTTCTAAATACAAATCTGTATGAAAGATCATGTCATCTGCAAATGGAAATACTTTTGCTACTTCCTTTCCAATCCAGATGACTTATATTTCTTTTTATTGCTGGACTGTCTTGGTTAAAAACCCCAATATAGAGTTGAAGTGGCAAGAGCAGACACCATTGTTTTGTTCCTGATTTTATGGGGAAATACTTTGGTGTTTAGCATGATATTAGCTAATTTTGGAATTTTGAAAGCTCAGCTTAAAAGCATTTTCAACTTAAAAAGCTAACTGCTTTCTGGCATAGTAACCTGCCCTACATTGGTGTAACCCCTAGGGAGACCAAAAACAAATCCTCTACTCTAAAATTTACAAGCCTCTTGTGTGAGACCTGTCATGGTGCTGGCCAGACCTCATCCCTAGCTGTCCCTCTAAAACCTGCTGAGACACAGCTAGAAGAGCCTGACACAGGGCATTCATTCTCTCTAGATTGGGCTATCTTGGTGACTCAGAGCATCCTTGAGGTAGTCAGTAACAGCCTGGCAGGGCTAAGTGGCAGAGTTTCCCTTTGAATACTTCAGGTTCTCATAGCAAGGGTCAACTGGACCCCAAGCTCAGTGATGCTGGAGAGGCCAAACTGCAAGTTTGACTTCTGGGTCTTCCATCTGTCATGCCAGCATTTGTAACATACTCAGTCAGATTCAGGTGTAGGCAGCACACCTAAATTCCATCTGTTGCCTGGGATTAAACCAATCAACCGCTAGACATAAGTTTATTGCCTGCCCACTTCATACTTGCAATATTTAATCTCTACATGTAGACTCTGGGTAATTCCTGGATCTATTTGCAAAAGTAGTTATATTTATAGTCAATAAGATGTATCAAAGTAAAATCAGGTATTATTAAAACCATAAAATCAAATGACATTTTGATAATGAATGAAAGATGATAAATGATTCCCTGTTATAATGATGATGATGATGATGATAACGATTATATTAGCAACAGTAATGGTAGCTAAGACTTATTCTAGTGCTTATATTATGCCATGCGCTGTTCTGAGTGCTTTTCATGGGTTAATTAGGAAGCAGAGGCACTCTTCCAACTAACTTTTCCCAGTCCAAACCATTAGCCATTGAGCTAGAATTCAGACTCAGATGGTTTGTCACAGACTCCATGCTCTTAACCACAAGGCAATACTGTGAATTTCACTTATATCTACACATCCTACCAGACCAGTAAAAACCAACATGGATGTGATGAGGAAACTCTCCAGTGAATTTTTCAGTGACCCTTTTCTTTTCTTTTATCCTTTGTCATTTTTTATAAGAAATTTATACCAGTAAAAAAGGTTTCTAATGTTGCATCTTATAAACTTTTACAAAGCTGTTATCATCTAACATAGTGAAGTTTTCTTCAAATTGATGTCATCAGTAAGAAACCTTACCTATTTTTCTTTTAGCCAGTGATTCGCTCCATCAGGAGAATGAACGTGAACACTAAAATGAACATGGACATAATCTAAAATGAATATGAACACTAAAACATAGTTTACAATAAGGCCAGGAGTAAGTTATTTGCTGAGGAGTGTGGTGTATCTATGTATATTTCTATACCTGTATGTATCTCTATACCTATACCTATGCCTACACCTATGGCTGCATCTATATTTGTCTGTCTATTATGTCTATATTTATATCTTTTCAATATGGCTTTCATATCAGATGGATAAAGTTCTTGTTCTTCACAAAGCAACTGAATTATATATGGTCCATGCATTTGGTACACAGCTCAATCACTCTGTCTTGTTCTTATTTATCATGTGACATGTGGCATCACCAGCTGCATGAAATCTGGCTGAAGATTCCTTTGCACACTTTATATGCCTGATGAAGTGAAACTTTAGATCATGGACTGTAGGTGATCTGAAAGGGTTCCTGAAGTGTTCAACTACTTCATTCCTCAGCCCTCTTACTCCCTCTGGATCACATTACTAGAGCTGGAAGCCCAGCACTGGGCACACACTGGGCATGTGTAAGTCATTCTAGCTCCACAGGTCGGTAATTTCTCATTTCTATGCACACTTCCTTCTTCTATACACATACACACACTGCAATTTTTTTCTATTTAGATTGATTTGTCTTAAACTAGTTTATTCCCCTCTTTACAGAAAGGCAAGTAAGGCTTATAATGATTCCGCTTAGAAAAAACCCCACATTTCCTGGACAGATAATTTAAGTTCCAAGTTGCCTTCTAGCTGTGATTTGACATAGTAGACCACAATGTCTCAAACAAAGGATTCTCTGCAGCTTCCACAATTAGTTTTGTAAATGTGTTTGAAATAAGTGTCTTCATGACTGAATAGTTGGCATTTAACACAACAAAAAGAAAAGACAGAGCAAAAGAGGAAGGATGGTTTCAAAATGGCCCAAGCAAAACCAACAAGCCTGTTGGCCAACACTCTGAATGTCCTGGGATTGGAGGTGAGGATGATATGCCGTGCTGATGCTCAGCTGCTGACACTGACGGCTAAAGAGGGAAGAGAAAGAGAAAACTCACATAAATAAATCATTTGCAAAGACTTTTAAAATGGGTGAAGTGTTTCCAGAGTTCACACAATATTTTTCTTACACTTTGCTGAACAGACATCATGACCAGGGGCTATTTTGGCCCTAATCCCAGGAAATGAGGCAAAGATGATAAATGATGTGATTTGGGGGACTGTCTTGGATTTGGTGAGTCTCCTGTCATTCACTATTCATCTCTGCTCTACACCATGGTTAAGAGCTTTCAATCCTATGGAAATGTTCAGTTTGTTAATGAGAATGCTCACCATTTCACTGCTGTAGGATTCAAGACCCTTTTTCATTCTCCTTGCTTGTTCTATGTTAACTTCAAAATATAAACTTTCTCAATCTTAGCAGGATAATCAGATTTTACGATTCTGGTTCTATTGAGTCACTGACTAGTTACTGTGCTGAGAATTACTTCTCTATGCTTCCAGTTTGGTTTCTATAACACATCTACCCATTCAGGGCCCTGAGGTTCAAACAAATCTTTAAGCATTCCCACAGCTCCCCACATCCCTTTAAAAATGTCTGTAACTACCTTTCCAACCCTATTTCCAAGGCTTTGTCCCAACATTTCATCCTCCATTATCTGGGCTTTTAACATATCCCAGGACCGAGTCTTTCTAAAAGCCCCAGAGAAATGTGTCTCATTCCAGGTCATCCTATTCCCAGCCTTCAGTATTATTTTTCTAAAAAGGAAATTCAGTGATCCCCATCCTGATGGCTTTCCTTTTCTTCCTGACAAACAATTAGACTATGTTTCCAACTGTCTTACTCAATTTTCTGTTGCTATAAGAGAACACCACAGATTGGGTACAAAGTTTATTAAGCTTATGGTTTTGCAGACTGGGAAGTCCAAGAGCGTGGCACCAGCATCTGCTCAGCATATGTTGAGGGCCTTCTTGCTGTGTCAAAACATGATGAAAGGATGCAAGGGGAAGAGCATGTGTGCAAAAGAGAGACCTTGCTTTTAAAACAAAGCCACTCCAGTGAGAACTAATCCACTCTTGCAATAATGGAGTTAATCCATTTATGGGGGTGGAGCCCTAATGATCCAATTGCCTCTCAAAGGCCTCAACTATCATCACCATCACAGTGGCAACCAACTTTCCAACACATAAACTTTTGGGGTGCGCATTCAAACCATAGCACTGACACGCCTTTGAAGTTAGGTGTGGGTCTGTGCCAAGGCAGTGCAGCAGTATATGTATATGGAACTTCTAGTATGGCAGTAAAACCCTCCCAAACAAAATCTGTAAGCTTTATTCCCTTCTACCGACTTCACAGGACGACCTCCAAAGCCACATGTTGAAGATGGCAGAGCTCCAGTGAATCTGAGTCCTGAATGACTATGTGTACCAAAGCACACAACTTTCCTCACAAAACAAGAACGCTTAAGACTATTTACATGACCAAGAAATGAACTACTTTTGTGTTTGTGTCGTTGTACATTTTTTCTGCTGATTTCTAATAAAGCTAATATTACCCAAATAAATACATCTCCTATGTAAGAGTCTTTTTCACCTGTAAGATTAAGTCTGAATTTCTAAGTACCATTTGAACTTTCTCTGTTTTGCCCAAGGCTGCCTTTGCAGCTGCCTTACCTCCTACTCGCTGCACACAGACTGCATTGTTGACTTCCCTCCATTTACTGAAGGCATCATGCTCATTCTAGCCTGGGAAAAACTTTATTTAATCTTTAGACATCATTTGCAAGGCATAAGTGACTGTCTCCCAGAAAACTCTTATCAAAAGGGGCCAAAACTTTTTCCACTGCTCAACTCAGCCTGTTACAAAGGTTGCTGTTTTTCTCCTGAAGCCCACATCTGTGGAGCCACCTCGACTGAAGTTGTGCCTCAGTGCTTCTGTGAAGGGCTTCTACTGTCTGCTTGGCTTTTAGTTGTCCCACTTTGAATTCTCACAAAGAGCAGTTTAAATATAGTGCTGGTTTCCATTTCCCACTCACATCCAGATTAGAGAATGATCAGTGATTATCACATTGCAATTTGAGAAGACTTTATTCTTCTGGCATGTACAGAGAGGGTGTGGTTGCTCCTGGGCTCCTCCATCTAAACCATCTCCCAGGTAGATATACAGATAGCTCAAGATACTTCACGCTTTGCAGAGAAAACAAGCTACCTACATAATCCCAAAATGTTAAAATAGATCTATAAACCATTGACATTGGAAGATTTTGAAGTTATCAAATGCAAGTGCTTACCCAGACCTGAATTTCACAGAACATCTCTGAAAAGGATGTACTCAAGTGACTGTGGAGGACATCAATTCTATCTATTAGCATGGCACTCTGAGTGCCAAGTGTTGTTCCTCATTTTTAACTATTGTTATGATCAATATCTTGGTGTTCTCATTTTTCTGTGTATATTTAATACTACTAATTTCTCATAATATCATGTAGTTTTTTTGTTTTGTTTTTTTTTTTTTTAGTAGAGATGGGGTTTCACTATGTTGGCCAGGCTAGTCTTGAACTCCTGACCTTAGGTGATCCACCTACCTCAGCCTCCCAGAGTGCTGGGATTACAGGTGTGAGTCACAGTGCCTGGCTTTTTTTTTTTTTTTTTTTTTGAGACAGAGTCTTGCTCTGTCACCCAGGCTGGCATGCAGTGGCACGATCTTCACTCACTGCAACCTCTGCCTCCTGGATTCAAGCTATTCTCCTGCCGATCTTCACTCACTGCAACCTCTGCCTCTTGGATTCAAGCTATTCTCCTGCCTCAGCCTCCTGAGTAGCTGGGATTACATGCGTGTGCCACCTCGCCTGGCTAATTTTTGTATTTTTAGTAGAGACGGGTTTTCACCATGTTAGCTAGGCTGGTTGTGAATTCCTGACCTCAAGTGACCTGCCCGCCTTGGCCTCCCAAAGTTCTGGGATTACAGGCGTGAGCCACCACGCCTGGCAATACCACATAGATTTTTTATAAGTGAAAACTATCAGAGTTCTGTTTAGTTATTGTACACTCTTTAAAACAGTGATGTTTTTCAACTGAATTTACATCCAAGTGTTTTAGGGTATGGTGTCCTAATTCTTGAACATTAAGTAATAAGATTTTAAGAAAATTGATACCCATGTGGAAATTATAGAGATGCCTTCTTCTTATCAATGAATCTAGTGTGAAAATCACTGCAAATCATGTTTCACACATCTGGGGTTTAAAAATTACCCATATCAGCCAATTAAAACATTTCTCTAAGATTTTTTTGGAATTCAGTTCAGCAAAACCAAGCTCTAGTCTTTCTTGGGTGGCTGAGATATTTATCTGAAGCTACGGACACTAGCAGGAGAGAATGAAGCTCATTTAGAAAAAGAGAAATCCAGACACAAGAGGCTTAAGGGATAAAGTTCCTGGTTTTAATCATTTCTGAAACTCAAATACATTCCTGCCCTTCCCATGAAACCTGACTTTTGTCCTCATGGTTTGAATGATTAGAATTCTGTCCTTGTGAACAAGAGTCCTGATAAATACATTGTATTTATTTTAAGTGCAAGAAATTGAGTAATATTCAAGAGCATGTTTTGAAAATGAGAGAACAAACATAAGTATACTGAAGACAAATCTAGACTGCCCAGGACACCTGCATCTAAAGATGCTCAAAGAGTTAAGAGACAGCTTAGAGGAGAAGTTCTGGCTTAGGGGAAAAGTGAGAAGGTGGCCTTCAAACACCAGTGATTTCTGCAAATTTTTGTCTGTAATTGTTTGTTTTCTGGAAAACGTTTCTTCCACCTGGTCCCAAATACTCCTCTCTAGTCTCTTAGTGGAGAATGAGACAAAGTACCTGCTACCAAGAAGCTTAAATTCCAGAATAAACAGAAAAACAAATGAGTACAAGATGATGGCTGTGCGTGAAATAAAGCTGCACGATGGAGCTGAGAATGACTGGGTAAGAGTGGGACTAATGATGGAAGGTATCACTGAAAAGATGATGTTTGTTACCTGAAAGACTAAACACCTGAGGGCAGACAGCCACAAGCACAGGACAAGGCAACTGCCGAAGCCCTAAGGAGATAGAGCAGGAGCCTGGTATATTTGAAAGAAAATAGGAAGAGCCTCCAGTGCAACAGGTGAACAATGGGGAGAAGAGGAGATGAGGTCAGAGACCTGGCAAGGATCCTGTGATTTGGGGTTTAAGGCTGCGCCAAGGTGTTTGGATTTACTGTAAGTGTGATGGGAAGTTATGGGAGGGCTCCAGCTAGAGGATAAACACAATCTGACTTCTGTTTTTAGAAGATCGCTCTAGCAGCAGTATGGAGAATAAATTGAAGGGAGACAGAGGGCAAGCAAGCTGACCAATGAAATGACATTGAAACAAAGCAGGCAGCCAGAGGCAGCTTATGTTCTAGAAGGGTGGCCATGGAGATGAAGAAGTATGGTCTATTCAGGAAATAGTTTGGGAATAGAATCCACAGAATTTGCTGGTGGTGAGATAAGAAATACTTCTTTTTTGGGATTTGAACAACTTCATGGAGGGTAGTTCATTTAGTGTCAAAGGGAAACTGAAAGAAATGTCCTGGTGGGTTAGGAAAATAGAGTTATCTTGTAGCCATGATAAAATTAAGAATAAAATTACTATTTGGGAATAATTCTGGACTTTAGTGGAAAGTCTCATTTGGAATTTGGGTGTCATAGCCATGTAGCTAGTATTTCAAGATAAAGGGACTGGATAAGATTCCACAGGGAGCCTACAGTGAGGAAAGAACAGAAATCTAAGGGCCACACCATAGAACAAGCTCATATTTAGGGACAAGCACAGGAGGTGACGCCAGGAGAGGAGGCTGAGCAGAAGTCACAGATGTCAAGAGGAAACCGTTGATTAAGAAGGAACACGTGGTTAACTGTATCAAGTACTGGCAAGGAGTCAAATTAGTTGAGGATAGAAAAGATTATTGAATCGGCAATTTCAGGTCAATAATGTGGTCAGATACTATTTAAACTATGCAAGAGCAGTTTTGGGAATGGTAAGGTTGTCAAAAACAATTAAAGGGAAAAATGCTATTTTAAGGATAAAATGCAATGATCTGAGAGAAAGCCAGGATGCCTGGAAATTGAGGCTGGTCTGATGGATCTTTCAGGATGTGTTACTGTGGCAGAGAGCAGAGTAATAGGGATGTAAGTGTAGTTGGATATGGGACCAGGGAAAAGCTTCTTTAAACTGGAGATGTTGTTTTGTGCTCAAGACACCAGAGAAGGACAAACTGCTAGTGAAATAGAGAGAGGGTATGGTAACAGGAGCAAACCCTTGAAGAAGTGGACAGGTGTGGAATCCATTGCACACATGAAGAGAATGTATAGATTTAGGATGGCAGGCAGATCTCACAGGGGAAGGATCGCAGAGTTTCTGCCACTTTTTTTTTTTTTTTTTTTGAGACAGAGTCTCACTCTGTTGCCCAGGCTGGAGTGCAGTGGCGTGATCTCGGCTCACTGCAGCCTCCACCTCCCAGGTTTAAGTGATTCTCCTGCCTCAGCCTCCAGAGTAACTGGGATTACAGGCATGTGCCACCATGCCTGGTTAATTTTTTTGGATTTTTAGTAGAGATGGGGTTTCACCATGTTGGCCAGGCTGGTTTCAAGCTCCTGACCTCAGCCTCCCAAAGTGCTAGGATTACAGATGTGAACCACCGCACCTGGCCTCTTCCACTATTTCTTAGAGGAGCAAGAAAGTGTTGGTGGCTTGGGATTAGAGGGGGCTATAAAGCAGTCCCCTTTCTCTGCAGCCCTGTGCCTCTGGGTCACTGCAGGTGCAGAGCTGAGGGATCTCTGGAGAGGAGAAAGATTAAGCCTTAAGCTGGTGAATACAATTGAGGGCAGGTGCAGCAAAGGGCTGGGGTGGCCCTGAAGGGGTGTAATGATGAGTCATGGGTACCTGTGCTTGGAAAGGCTGGGGAAGTCATCACAGGGGAGGGGATGCTTGGAATGACTTCTGCGATGGTGCACTCGTTGGTGACAATAAAGTCACAGGTATGACAGTGGGGATGAACCCTGAGGGGTTTAGCAGGTAAGACCCTAGGAGGTGAGGAGGTGGGGAATGAGAGGCCATACTTTAGGGAGCCAAGCATGGTGCCAAGAGTGGTATTAGGAGGGTGAGAAAGAGGACCCTGGGCTGGGGCTGGAACCGTCCGGGAATATGTAGGAGTACGCAGGAACCAGCAACAAGGAACAGCAAGGGGCCTTTAGAGAGCAGGATCTTGCAATAAATTGGAATGTTGGAAATTTGCAGGAGAAGATATAAGTTGAAAGTAGCAATGGGGAGCAAGACTGTCAGCTCTCCTTCAAACTCAGAGATAAGCTAAAAAAAAAAAAAAAAAAAAACCCAAAACCCTCTACACTCCCCTTGGAGATTTAGTGCTGACAGTGTCCTCGGAAGACAGTGCACTAAAAGTTCCACATCTCCAAGAGCTTTAGCATTGAATGGGGAAAATATATACCTATTCTTAGCCAAACAAAAAAGCACGGTGGAATAATTATTATGCAACCTGTACTTAAGATAAGTGTTATACGTTTCCTTTGCTACAGAAAAAATGTTAAGCACAGAAAAAATGTTAAGCGGGGTATTCTCTCAACACACTTCACCTGGGAATCCACGGAGAGCCCATGGCTGCCAGGCTTGGTGGCAAAAAGCAGAAACTTCTGGCTGCCAGGTCTTGAGCTGATCTTAGACACATTCTTTCTGGGAATTCCTCAACTGCTGTCTCATTTCCACTTTCATCTCAGCATCTAATTCATCTAGGGCAGACGTCTGAGATCAGAGTGAGATTAATAGGACACAGGCCAGGAAAATACACATAAAGATCATAGTTCACCCCAAAATATGAACGTGGTGACTTATTGTTATTTGTTTACCCTCATCAGCAAGTTCCCTTTGGGAAGAATAGAATGCATTAGGAATGTGTCAAATACTGAGAAATATCAGAGAGCATTTTGGTCCAGTGTGAATGGGTCTGTACATCCTAAAATGAATCCTCATCCTTCTTTATCTCCAGCAACTGAGTGGTAATGAAGACAGCAATCACAGCCTTCCCAGGTCTTCTCCTATTCAAAGAGTTGTCTGCAAGTTTTAAGTGTGTTTCAACTACTGTACTAAGTATTGACAAAAGATATATAGACTAGCTCCTGACTCAACGGGTTTTAAAAGCTCGAGCATACCAAGGACACACATGAAGGAAGAGCTCCTTCCCAACATTCAGCAGGCCTGGCTCATTCTACAGATGGCTGGGTGGGGACAGAGAAGCAGAGAAGAGCTTCTGTCTATCTATCTATCGTCTATCTATCTATCATCTATCTATCTATCTATCTATCTATCTATCTATCTATCTATTTATCTATCTATCTTACTATCTATCATCTATCTATCTATTTATCTATCTATCATCTATCTATCTCTATCTACCAATATATTGTTTGCTTAGAAAGAACTTACAGCAGCTTATAGGAACTCTTGAAATGCACAGATGTGTAATAAATCTAGAGGAGCGGTAAAGGAAGAAAAAGCCAAGCTAGGGGACATAAAAGAGACCAGGCATACAGCTGAAGAATACAAGAACGCAGAGCCGAAATCCCTGAATCCTTGGGGCTGGAGGGTGGCACATGCTGTCAACATTGCTGTAAAGCTTCTCGACAAGCACCATGTAAGGGGCACCTGTTACACAGCTCACAGCACCCACAAGGTCACAGCAGACCTGCTGCTTGGGGGAAGTGCAGCTACTCTTGGCACTGAGGTCAGACTGAATGTTTGTCTCACTCTGCAGAACACAGCGGGCAGTGCCCTCCGCAGCATCTTCACAGCACACACAGCACGTTTTGATGCTGTTCCTCAGTATAGAATGCTGACATCAATGCATGGAGTCCAAACTGAACAGTTCTACTGCTGTAACTTAATCTAGGAAAAAATTTTAGACTACCCAGGATATTCTTCAAACACTATCACTAGATATTACTTCTATCAAAGATGTAGGCCAATGCTGGGCGGCAATGACTTTACACCTGAATAAGTGACCCATCACCCTCTATCTGGATGTGGACTGAGGGTTTACACCCAGGAAACCATTCTGATGAATTTTGTTGCAGAGATAAATGGGTGAATGCATTCTCACATAGCCTGAATCCGATGGTTTTCTCCAGGAAAATGGTGATGACAGGTGTAACCGGATGCCCCATTCCAAGGGGTAAGACTAATGTAGTTCTGGGAAACCAGGCTTCAGAAAGATCTGCAGGTTGTCACTTAATAGGATGTTAGAACTACATGAAGGCAAAATCTGTGTCACTGCTACAGACATTCCTGAGACAATACTAGCTGCCTGTTAGGCCACCAAGCAGCTGGGCTAGGTGTGAGTTCAGTGCAAATAAGGGTGACTCCATGCAACCAGAAGCCACATGTTGGAGTGGTCTTTGGGCAAATTAGAGTGCATTATGAGCTGTTTGGATTCTCCTCTGAGTGACTCTTCCATGTATAGTTTGAGTGCCAGGAGGAGAGTGACCCTTTTCTCTGCACTGCCAATTTCACGGTGGGATTATGTCGTCAAAATGGGAGATGGTCCTTAGAAATCACTGGGAATTATTTTACAGATGCCCTTATTTTACAGATGAGGAAGTTGATAGAAGTTGGCATGGGCCCAGTTTACTAGGCTGTATGTTGGATCTCTGACCCAGAATGTAATGTCTTTTATTCCAGCACTCTCTGCAGAAACATTCTCTCTTTCAAGTTCAGGGATGGAAACTCTTCCAAGTGAGTCTGTGAAGCTCTTAAAACTTATGTCAAGGTCATCCTTGAGTTTAAAAAACAACTTGTGTTAATCATGGCAAAACCACATTTTTTCCCCCGTAACTGATCTATATTTTTAATAAGTTAGTTTCCCATCCCCGACACATGTAATATTTTTCTAGAGAAAATTTGGAAAATAAAATATAAAAGAATGACAATAATTTGTTTTATTTTCCTACAGAATTTCTCTCATGGGAAAATGTTTTTCTTCTTTTATATTGTTGTGAATATATTACATATAAAATTTTACCTTTTAACTTCACTTAACCTCATAGCATAAGAGTTAAATCGTCTAAACTCTGTAAAAATCATTTTAGTGGATGACGTCAACACACTTAATTTCATCAAATGTTTGCTCTGTGATAAGCTCAATCATTCCCCCGCTGTGCTCCAGGGGCTTTTCAGTGGCTCCCCATTATAAACAATGCTGTGATGGGCATCCTTGCTTGAAAATGTCTTTTTCCCTTTTGTGTGTGTGTGGTGAGAACACTCACGATCTTCCCTCTTCGCAAATTTTAAGTATATAGCACAGCATTGTTACCTGAAGTCCCCATGCCATGCTTTAGATCTTTAAAACCTACTCATCTTGCATAATTGAAACTTAAAAATTACTAAGTCTGTGACATGATGGATATGAAATTAGTCTGATTGTAGTGATTAGTATACAATGTATCCATATAACAAATCATCATGTTGTACACCCTGAATATACGCAACTTTGAAAAACGCATCTTCCAAGAAAAAAAAGTAGGTAAGTGGTTGTTTGGGGGTGGTGCAGGGGTAAGGGATGATAACTGAAGGGTACATTTTTTTTGAGGTAGTGATTATGTTCTAAAATTGATAGTGGTGAAGTGTACACAACTCTGCAAATTTATTAAAATCGATTGAATTGTGCACTTTAAGTGGGTGAAGTGTGTATTATGTGAATTATGACTCAATCAAGTGGTTATAAGTTTTGTTTTTTTTTTTGAGATGGAGTCTCGCTCTGTCACCCAGGCTGGAGGGCATCTCGGCTCACTGCAAGCTCCTCCACCTCCCAGGTTCACGCCATTCTCCTGCCTCAGCCTCCCGAGTAGCTGGGACTACGGGCGCCCGCCGCCACGCCCAGCTAATTTTTTGTATTTTTAGTAGAGATGGGGTTTCACTGTGTTAGCCAGGTTGGTCTCGATCTTCTGACCTTGTGATCCGCCCACCTCAGCCTCCCAAATAGGGTTATACATTTTTAAAGTCTCTTTCCTTATTTATAATTATCTCGAAAAAGATTTTTAAAAATAAAAATACTGCACCAAAGTGTATCCATGTATTTAAAGTGTTTGATACTCTCTTCCAGATTGCATTCCACTACAGTGGTACCAATGCACACTGCCACCATGGATCCAGGAGAGACTTTTCCATTCTCTTTCCAATAGTGAATCCATAGTGGTGTTGAATAGCTTTCAAATCTCACCAAGGCATTATTCCTTGCCATGTTTAACATCTAGGGGCTTACCAATATATACTCAATACCACCACTTTGTATCTCTTCCCCAATTTTCCCTCCCTGAAAGTGCATGGAATCATGAAATCTAAGGTTTTTGCAGGAAACAGATCGCACAGAAGTCATGAGTATGAGTACCCACGTAGTTTATAACAATGGTTTTCCTTTAGTTTCTCTGTTCTCCACCCATGCGTTATTAATACCTCCAAATGACATTCAGACTGCGATTCTGTCATTTATCTTCCTTCCTAACATATTCTCCTTTAAGTCATCATCTCCCTGAAGACAGTAGCTATTTTTTACACAACTGCTGTGCTTTGTACAGTGTTTAATACTGAGAAGAAGCTGTTCAACAAATGTTTGTGGATTACACAGACAAATGAACAAATGCTTTCTTACTGGTGCTGCAAGTAACTTCAAAATAAAGTTTTGGTCTATTCACTTCTTAAAGGCTAAACTTAGGTTTATATATTTCGCCATCAAATCGAAGAGAGAGCAAGAGGACATGCCTAAAGTATTTGCAGATTAAGTCAGAGGAGTGGTTCATAAAATGTTGAATACATGACTTTCTTCCCTAAGAACTATCTGGAGACTCTTATCTTACTCCATACAGAAAAATCAGCTTAAAATGGATTAAAGCCTTAAATGTAAGACCAGAAACTGTAAAACTCCTAGAAGAAAACAAAGGGGAAAAGTTTCATGGCATTATTCTTGGCAGTGATTTCATGGGCATAACACCAAAAGTACAGGCAACAAAAAACAAAAATAAACAAATGAGACTAAGTCAAACTGAAAAGCTTCTGCCCAGGAAAGGGAACAATCAACAGAGTGAAAAGAGTGGGAGAAAATATTTGCAAGCCAAAAATATGACAAAGGGTTAATCTCCAAAATATATAATGAACTTCTACAACTCAATAGTAAAAAAAAATCTAATAACCCAATTTAAAAATAGCCTAAGAACTTGAATAGACATTTCTCCAAAGGAGACATGCAAATGGCCAACAGGTATATAGGTATAGACATAGATATAGATATAATGTTCACCGTCACTAATCATCAGGGAAATGCAAATTAAAATAATGAGACATCACCTCACACCTGTCAGGATGGCGATTATAGACAACAACAAAAAAGACAAGTGTTGCAAGGATATGGAGAAAAGGGAACCCTTGTATACTGCGGGTAGGAATGGAAATTAGTATAGGTTCAGCCATTATGGAAATCAGTGTGGTGGTTCCTCAGGAAAATTAAGAATAGAACTACCATATGATCCAGCAATCCATCTTCTGGGTATATATCCAGAGGAATTAAAATCAGGATCTCAACACTCCCATGTTCACTGTAGCATTATTCACCATAGTTAAGATGTGAAAACAACCTTCATAAATGACAAACACTGCATTCCACTTATGTGAGGTTGTCTAAAATAGTCAAATTTGTAGAATCAAATAATAAGATGGAAATTATCTGGGAGGGGAAAGAAATGGGGAGTTATTCATCAATGTGCATAAAATTTCAGTCAAGCAAAATGAAATAAGCTCTAGAGATCTGCTATACAACACTGTACCTAGAGTCAACAATAATGTGCACTTAAAAATCTGTTAAGAGAGCAGATTTCAGTTAAGTGTTTTCAACACAACAATTATTTTAAAGACTATATGTTTAAAAGAAAAAAGATTGGAAAGGTTCTGAAAAGAGCCAAAAAGCCCATCTGAATTACTAACATCACATCCATATCTATGTTAAGCAGCAGTTGGACAGCTTTATCTGTCATCCATCTGAAACCAGCCTGAGTTGCAGTCTAAGCTGGGAATCGTGGAGAGGGGAGGACAGGCTGAGCCCAAATTATACTCACGTGTGGTCAATAAACATTTAGTAGAATAAATTAAATTTGAATAAGAAAGAACTATCTGGAGAATTTCAACACAACAGAAGAAAATTCACAAAAGTTGTAATTCATAGGAGATCTTAATAAAAATCGTTTTGAAACCTGAGAGCCCCCAGACCCCCAAATGCCATAATAGCATAATGAGTTGCATTTCTAGAGCACAATAGTACGGGTTAACTCAGAATATTCCACAATTCCCCACATCTAAGAGTTACAGTCAACTCTAACATCATATGCACTCAGTTTTTCCAGCTTAAAAGTATACAAGGATCTGTCAACAGAAGGCTTTTATTTCTTTTACAACAAGAGAACACTGTTTATAATATGACACTGGCTGCTCAGGCAAAATGGGTTCTATTAGAACTAATTTAATTTTCCATAAGTTGGTCTATTTGCATTTTGAGTCCCCAGTTAGATGACTAGGTGCTACTTTACAGATTGATCTTGTTTCAAGCTCCAGTGTATGGACAATGCTTAATCAGTGTGTATATCAGAAAATAAACATAATCATCAAGCACACTAATTAAGCCTAGAAAATGTTGCAACATGCATACAGTGTATGGATTAACAAGGCAATTCATTAAAATCTTAATTACAAATACTATATTTCTCATACATTTTATTCCACAATGCTTCAGATGAGTTCAGCAGTTCTGTAACCCATTGACACTACTCTCTTAAGTGAATTTCTTTTAAATCATGACACATCTGTGTATCCTCTCTACACTGAAGGCCTCTATAGTAATAACACTTCTGGCCTTAAACCAGATAACCTGGCAAACTTTTTAAAAGAAGCTAAAGAAGAACAGGCCAACTGTTAATAGAAAGCTTGAAAATAATTGAAACTAAAAGATGGAAATGTATCAAATGCAATCATCACTAAACAGTATCCTATTTCCACACTTTCACTCCTGAAATGTAATGATTGATATTTAGGTGCTACACAGAATTCCTTTAGAAGAAAATACATCAAAAAAGGTTAACATAAAATATGTTATGTAGATAAAATGTTTTACGTAGATAAGACATTCACACGTGTATATACATATATATGTTAAATACTAGAAATATATGTATATATGTAAAATATACATTTCCTTTACCTGCAAACTTAGCTTTGAGCAATCAGTTATTTCTCAAGCAAAATTCCAGTAATGAGTGTAACAGAAATAGGAAAAAGAGTTGTATGATGTTTCAGTGGCAAGTTTCTTTTTTTCGTTCTGTCAAAAATCAGCCATTTCCTAAAAATATGTAATAAGTGGAGAAAAGGAGACAAGGGTAGGTCCTGTTTGCTCCGTCTTCTTCAACACCTTAATTCATGCATGCACTGACTTGTTTTCATAGTCACATTGTATTGCATTCTAGTTGCACATAGTTTTGATATGCAACAAATCAATTTTCAAGGAACCATCACGTTAATAAGTAACAACCCAATTTTTAAAACTTGTCCAGATTTCCAGTCATGTTTTGGAGTCTATAAAAAACGGTTAATTTCATAGTTTAATAATTCTTGTATTTTTCCCTTTTCCCCAATTTTTTGTTTCAAAGAAAGCTGTTTATTTATGAAAGAGTGTCATTTTGTTTAAACTTCATCTTTTTACTTGTTAAGTGTGGGAAATATACAGAACATTGTTTATATTTTTATCTTAAGCCAAGTCAAAAGGCACCAGAGCTTTGTGACATTTTAATTCTGATTTTTTAAACTGAGAATGTTACTTATTCCTCCAGATTAAAAACTTGCCAGCATTGGCAGGTTTGGTTTCTGTACGATACACCAAAAGCAAAAGCCCTAGACATTCACCAATATCAATTTTAAATTTAAATACTTAAAAATAATTTAATGAAAGAGCTTCCATATTTTTTTTTACTTCAAGCAAAAACTAAAAATAAACCTTAACTATTGAACCCAGAAATAGGGAAACTACGTGAGTAAATAAAAACTTGTGACCTTGTGAATAGTGACAACACTGTCTTCTACTATCTAGATCATGATGTTGCCTATTATGTCCTTTTAAAAAGTAAATTATAAATAAAATGAGACGGATGACTTTTGCTAAAGTTCAGCTCAAGTTTAAATTCATTTGTTTCAGTTTATCAACTTTGAAGCGATTTTGTCTCAGGGCATTTGGTGTGTCATATCATCAAGCTTTGCAAATTCAATCCATCACAGCTGAAGGTCCAAACCATAATCATTTCTTCATTATGAAATGCAAGTGCACAGAAAGTAGATGTGTATCTGGGGTAAATTATTATCCTCTAACTAAAAAGTTGGAGGAGTTATAGAAAATAAGCTATGGTTTTTAGAAACTAAGCAGACATATCTGTAAAATGAAAATGTTAGAATAAATCATTTAATATTTTTTAGGAGGAAGGCATCACATACCATTTTGTGAAGCCGATAAAACCTGCGAGCCCTGTTCATGAGTAAATCTGCAGTTACCAAGATGAGATTCTTCATAGCACTGTGAGACAGTGCTTCCCATGCCCACACCTCATAAGGGACACAAGAGAAAACAACTGGAAGTCCCCTAAATTTAGGAGGTCAGAGCCCATCAGTATAGCAAGCAGCAAGAAACAAATGTGAGAAGCACTTCTTTATGGATCCAGGAAAACACACCACCCTACACCACACAACACATACACACACCATATGCATACCACATCCTACACATCATACATACAGACCATACGTACCACATACCCCCCACACACACACCACATGCACACTGCACACCAGACATCACACATACACATCACACATGTAAGCCACACACCACACACATGAAACACACACCGCACCTATCACATACCACACACACACCACATGCACACCACGCACCACACATACCATATACCATACATCACACACACACACCACAAACTACACATATACCACATAATTACACACTACACACACCACACACACCATGCATACACATACCACACACCACGTACCACATACACACATACCACACAACCACATACCACACCTCACACAAACACACCGCACCTCACACATACACATCATACATGCACACCACACACACACGCCACATACTACACATACACCATACGTTCACATACACACACCACACCCACACACCACACACAACACATGCACACCAAACACAAGATGACCTCTATGAAACCAAAAAAAGGAAAGTTATTTTCCCAGTTCTTTTAGGAAAATTATGCTGGACATTCCAGGAGCCTATGTTGTGTGGCAGGAGGCAAACACCTTGCCTCAGTGAGGACTCAGTCCCTCCTAGTGCCCCTCTGCCCATTCTCTCTCTGATCATGCACCCCCAATGCCACCACAGCAGATCAGCTCAATTACCATCAACAAAACCAAGTCCATGCCTTTAACTCCACAGGGAGTTAAATACTCTGACTATTTTGAAGGTGGAAAGTAAAGAATTATCTACCCAAATTATAAAACCTATAAAATCTTTTTTTTTTTTTTTTGAGACAGAGTTTTGCTCTTATCGTCCAGGCTGGAGTGCAGTGGTGCGATCTCGGCTCACTGCAACCTCTGCCTCCCGGGTTCAAGCGATTCTCCTGCCTCACCATCCTGAGTAGCTGGGATTACTGGTGCCCACCACCACGCCCAGCTAATTTTTGTATTTTTAGTAGAGACGGGGTTTTGCCATGTTGGCCAGGCTGGTCACGAACTCCTGACCTCAGGTGATTCACCCACCTTGGCCTCCCAAAGTGCTGGGATTATAGGCATGAGCCACAGTGCCTGGTCAAAGGCTATAAAACCTTATGTTTCAGCTGTGTTGGAGACCTCTTAGGTCAGAGACTGCCTGAAGGACTGCAGAAGGCATGGGGTGGCGAGGTGCTGAGAGAGGCCTCGGGAGCCGCAGGAAGCGCTCTGGATGTGAGAAACAGAGACCAGCTAAAGACACTTGTCACCATCACATCCACTCCTGCTCATCTCACATCCACTCCTGCTCATCTCACATCCACTCCTGCTCATCTCGACCCTGGTTCTTGGGTGACATCATAAACCACCTCTAGTCCTCTCCTGCTTCCAGCCCCTGAACCGTGGAAATCATGGATCTTTTCTTTATCTTAAAGCATGATGATACCCCCCAATAGCAGAATGTAGTACTTTTCTCCACTTTCTTCCACTGCAATGTTGAGATTTCTAACCAAGGAAAGAATGTACCATATCATGGTGTTCTTAGATCGCAGAAGAAATGTATTAAATATCATTTTATCTATGTTTGTGGTTTTGATCATCTATGTTTTGCCTCATTGGAAAGAGGATTTAATAAATATGCTCTTAAAAACATGCTAAACATATAAAATACTGTGTTTATTCATCAAGGTGAATAACTTTAAGAGTAGAAACAAACTTAGTAGATGCTTAATCTCACCATCAGCAATACTTAGAAATCATAAAATAACAAAAGCATTTTAGGTCATCTCTTAACTTAAGGATTACTTAAAAGTTCTACGTTTTCCAGGTCTTGTTGCTGAGATGAATATATTTTCATATGAAGAAAAAGTGATCCTTTGAGACCATTCTATCTCATAATCTTTTATTTTCTGTGTTATCAGAACAACCACACAGAATTGATAGCAATTCCATTATTGATAACAACCATAAAATAGAAAATGGGTAATTGGAGTCAACAGGACACTTCATTAGGTTTTGCATAATATTGTATAAATGCACAAAATATTATAAAATTAATTATTTTTATAAAGATACAATATATTTTAGTAGACAGAACTTCCTAGCTGATAATAACAATACCACATTTACTAATGACTCTGAAAGCTATACATTTTGCCTTGCTTATCTTGAGCTGGATGCTGTGGATTTTAATCTAAACGTTGACAGCATCCTCGTAACAGATTTTAGGCCAGGAATGATCATAATGATTGTCCCCTGACATCATACGTTCTGGGAAAGAGCTTTCTTCACAGAGGATGATAAGGCATTATGTAGATTCCATTTGCTGGGCAATATGGAGAGTCAATGGTGTAAAAATAAAAACACCTTCTTGTGTAAAATAAATGAATATACAGAATATTTTTAAGCATAGGCAAAATTATTAAATAACATATACATGTGAGGAAGAAAGGAAGCTGACAGATATCTGGGGGACATCTACCAACCTCTGGTTCCCTGGAGCTCTGGTTTTAGCTCACTCTGCAAAGAGAATGGAGATAAAGCCTAAAGCTATTCAATTTGGGAAGGAGATTTGGAGATACCACCCCTTTTCCATCTACCCCCAACCCCTGCTCCTTGGGAAGCCCAGACCCTTGGAAAGAAATGCTCATTATGAAAAGAGAACTAGAAAAAAATCACAAGCACACACACAAACAAACACACTTGCCCTACCAAGAGTAACTGAAAGAAAACTGTCATGCCTCGGATCTGGCTCTGAGAAAAGGTGGAAAATCAGCTACCTAGATATGCAGAGTAAAAATCCCACCTTCAAACAATAATAATAACTTGTAACAAGAATCCGGCCCTCACATAGGCATGGCACTAGAATTCTCCTACTGTTGTGGCCCCTAAAAAGGCCAAGTTAAGAATTTAGTTTTCAAGTGGTCTGGGTTGCCTCCTGCTGGAGGCAAGTACAAATTCCCCTGAAGGAAGAGATTTGCAATGAATCTTCAAAGAATCCCCAAGGTAAAGCTCCAATGCATATGAATGCTCAGTCTTTTAAAAGACAATAATAAATCAGAAAATAATTTTTTAAAAAATAATAAAATAAATGAGTGAGGGACAGTAAACAGAAGAAAAAGACAGCAGTGTCGGACCCATAAAGACTGAAAATTGTGGGAATAACAGTTATAGAATATAAAATATATTTAGCATAGTTAAAGCAATCAATGAACATATCTAATCTATGATTATTGAAGAGGAAACTGTTAAAAGTGACAGGCAGACTGAAAAAGAATTAAGCATAACATCTAGGAATAAAAAATATAACAAATAAAATAAGAACCTTGGTATGTGTACCTAACAGCGGGTTAGACACATGTGAAGAACTGGGAGACACATCTGAAGGAACTACTCAGACTATAGCACAAACAGATATGGAGATTAAAATATTAAAGTTATGAAAAGATTTGGAACACAGAGTGAAAAATCTTAACTTACATCTAATGGAAATCACAGAAAAAAATATTAAGAAGAATCGGGGAACTGCAATATTCAACGAGAAGTTGGGTGGAAATTTTCTCAGATTTCTGAGTCACAATAAACTCTACCCAGAATAAATTTTAAAAATCTAAACCTGCATACAAGACAGTAAAAATACAGAATACTTAATAAAGACACAAGAATATTTGCAAAACAGAGATTATTTGAAGGGAAATATAGTGAATTGGTAGCTATCTTCTCCACAACAAAAAAGAAGCCAGATGTTGGTGGATGAGCATCTCTAAAGGCTGAGAGAAACTAAGAGAAAAACCACCAAGCTGGATATGCAACGTGAACAATTCTGTCTTCACTATCTTCAAACAAACACAAATTAAAAGATTTTACTACAAATAGATACACCTCTAAGGTGTCTCCTAAAGAATGTACTTCAGGAGGAAAGAGATCACCCAAAACGAAAATCTGACATGCAAAAAGCAATGATGATTGGAGAGGAGGGTTACTAAGTGGGCTAAACAGATACCAATGCTAGAAAGAATAAGACTCACACCTTATTTTGGGGGAAATATTAAAGTTTGAAAATAATACAGGAGACAGGAGGGTGGGTTTGAGTTGAAGAAGCCCATGGTTGCACTGTTTAAGAGAATGGAGAAGGTGTTGGTTAATTTTAAACTTAAGTAAAACATATATGTGAAAATTTGTAGGAATAACCGCTAAAAAAATGAAGTATTGAATAAAAATATTAATCAGTTTAAAATAAGGTAAGAGAGGAAAAGAAACAAAGAAAAAGCAGAGCAAAGAGAAATTACCAGATATCATGGCAAAAATAAATTAAACTATATAAAAATCACAATAAATGCAAGGGGACTAATCTTTCTAGTCATAAAACAACATTTTCATGGCTCACTTTATAAAAATACAACTATATGGCTTCTTAAATCTTTATAATCTATGTACACATGAACATATATACATGTACATATTACATATTTATATTATGCATGACATGTATATACACTTGTGTTTATATGTGTATAATATACACCTAGACCTTAAGAACAAAAAGCCGAAAGTAAAAAGTTGTAAAATGTTGTATCAAGTAAATACAAATCAAAAGAAAGTATATTAATATCAGGCAAAATTGATTCAAAAGCAAAGGCATTATTAAATGGCTTTATTATTAATGACCTTATTTAAGTTATTTTATAATGACAAAATTTTTCGTTTATCAGGAACATATAACAATTCGGGACTTGTAAGCATCCATTACCACAGTCTTAAAACATGTAAAGCAAAAATTAAGACAACTCTAATAAAATTGGACACATCTATCATAATATAAAAGTTTTAAACAAATCCTTCCAGTAACTGATTGATAAATCAGACAAAAGTCAGTGAGGCTGCAGATGATTTAAATAATACACAGACTTGAGCTAAAAGACACATATACCCCCAGTATTCTTTATAAACATACATAGAACATTGTAAAAATGATGATATACTAGAAAATAAATTTCAAATTAGTAATATCACAGAGACCATGTTAGGTAAGCAAAAAGTAATTAAGTTAGAAATCAATAACAAAGAGTAAGTTAAAACCACACATTAAAAAACTAAAAGTTTAAATGCTTCTAAATAACTCATAAAGCTCGTGGTAATTAGAAAACACTCTTACAGAAAAATAACAAAAATATTACGCATTAAAACTCATGAGATATAGGAAATGTTCTCTACTTAGGGATAATGTGTAGCCTTAAGTGTATGTATATTTTACATTAAAAAGAAGAAAATTTGAGAAGTAATGAGTTAAACAGCCAGTTTAAGAATTTAGAACAACAAACAAGAAAATAATCATAAAGAAGTGTTAAGAAACAAAGTAATAAATAGCAAGTTTAACATAAATGAATAGAAAGATAAAATTAAGAGGATCAACAAAGTCAAGCATTGTTCGAAGAGACTAAAGAAAAAATTAAGATGAGAATGATCAAGGAAAGAAGAATAGTATGAATAAACAATATTAGAAATGCGAAAGAAGGAAAACTCATGGAAACATTAGGAATGTGAATAACCTGAACAACCTTATATTTGAAGACTGGAGACACAAATCCCTCTAAAAACATAATAGGCTAGCCTGTCTCAGAATGATCTAGATAGCTAATGGTATCACAGATTAAATTGAAATAGTACATTAAATTATCCCCTGAAAAACAAACAAAACAAAGCTAAACATCCTGAATGTGGCACATGTATACCATGGAATACAACTCAGCCATAAAAGGAATGAAATAATGGCATTCGCAGGAATCTGGATGGATTTGGAGACCTTTATTCTAAGTGAAGTAACTCAGGAATGGAAAACCAAACATCATATGTTTTCCCTCATAAGTGGGAGCTAAGCTATGTGTACACAAAGGCATAAGAATGATACAATGGACTTTGGGGACTCGGGGAAATGGTGGGAGATGGGTGAAGGATATAAGACTACACATTGGGTACAACGTACACTGCTTAGATGGCGGGTGCACCAAAATCTCAGAAATCACCACTAAAGAACTTATTCATGTAACCAAACACCACCTGTTCCCCATAAACCTATTGAAATAAAAGTAAAATTAAAAAGCTAAGCTCTCTGGAACTTCTTTTTCCAGAGCATTACAAAGATATGATTCCAATCACATGCAACTCATACAGAAAGGAGACACAGAGGGGAGAGACACCCTTCAATTCACTTTATGAAGTAAAGTAGAATAATTCCAAAACCAGGAGGAAAAAAAGAAGAAAAAACCCAAGAGAAGGAAATTCCAAGATAATCTTACCTGTGAACATAGACAAAAATCCTGAACAAAATATTATTAAACCCATCTAATAATGTACCAAAAAGATAATCCACTGTGACAAAATTGGGCTAATTAATTTCAGTAAGTAAATGTTGATTCAACATTAAAAATTCTAATCATGTAACAGCTTAAATAGAAAAATTAAGTGTATGCTGATGGGTGGCTGACTACTGTGGGCAACGGGGGGTTCAAGCCACTGGGGACCTCTGAGGGCCTTTGAGAAACGCACTAAGGATAGCCCCACCAGGGGTGAGGAAGCTGGGCAGGTGCCAACCTCCATCACTGTATGTAGGGACCTCCCTGGCACCCCTGGTCTGCCTTGTGTAGGCTGAGCACAATCTCATGGCCAGAAAATAGTCCACAGGCAGAGAAGCTTAGGTGCTTGAGGTATGAACCCCTCAGCCAGTACCAGAACTATCCTCCAGAGCTGCAGTGCCGCTGGGGTGAGTCATCGGGAAGGTGAGTCATCGGGAAGGGTGAGGCTCGTACAACACCTGCCACTTAGGGAACAGCAAGGGAAGAGGCCCCGAGAAAGTATGGTGCCCAGTGCCTTCGGGAGCGGGGAGGAAGATGCAAGACCTTGGATGGTAAGGAATTGGCTTTCTCACCCAAGAGAACGGAAGGGTTTGGGCAGAAGAGTGGCATATGTGATGTGCGCTTTTAAAGAGGTACTCTGGCTACTGTGCCACGAAGGGTACATAAGAAAACAAGAGTGGAAGCAGGAAGACCAGGTAAGGGGCTACAGTCCAGCCTAGAGGTGATCAAGGTTGGATCAGGGCACTGGGGGACTGAGCCCAGGGGAAGTGTTCGCATTCTGGATGTATTTTGGTTAGAACTGATGACTTGTTGGTGGATTAGATATGGAATGGGTGAGAAAGAGAGAAGTCAAAGATGGCTCCAAAGTTTTGGGCTTGACAGTGGATGGAAATAAACTAGGAGAGACCCCAGCTGAGGCAAAGATAAGGCACTCGTGCCTAACCCGCCATGATGGAGGTGACTGTCAGACATTGAAATGGAGATGCTGAGAAGGTTTGGTAACGAGTTTAGAGATTGGGGAAAGGTGAGCATTGGCAGCACAGCGATTGTGTCCAAAGTTGCAAGACTGCTTATGAGATAACTCAGGTGTGACTTAGGTCACTCCACAGTCTGGGAACTGACAAAGAATGAGCAAAGATAATTGAGAAGGAAGGAAGAGCCAGTGAGACAGGAAGAAAATGAGGAGATGGCAGTGAACTGAAAGCCCAGTTAAAAAAAAGAAAGACACTTCCAGAAGTCAATGGTAGTGGTGGAGGTTCAGGGAAAGGAGAGTCACCATGTCAAATCTTGCTGAGAGGCCAAGTAGAGGGAAGACTGAGATCGAGACTCAGCTGCTGGAAGTCGCGTGTTAAAGACACTGTTGGCTTTCACAGGGGCAGTTTCTTTGCATGGAGCAGTGGCCTTTGAGAGGAGTACTGACAGTTCTGGCAGTAAAGTGAACTGTACGTCACATCCCTGGGAGGTGGTTAGATGGGAACTTGCAGAAGTTCTCTTCTGAGTTTGCAATTTCTTTGGTAAAATTTCGTCAACTGAGAGTGAATATGGAGGAGGAAGCACGGGAGGTTTAAGAAGACAAGAAAATATATGAAATAGTCTTCTACAAGAGTAGAAACTTTTGTCGTGAATGAACATGGCAAATCCATGGTGATGACCATGTGGAATTGGGGTTGATTTTAAAATGGGATCAGTCAGCTTGGTTGATTTTTTCCCCAAGCACTTTAATCGGCATTGGTACAAATGCAATGAGGCAAAAATAGGATTTAACCAAGACTGGAATTTTGTCAAGAAAGCGAGATGACGCAAGTGAGAGGCAGAGCCAAAGTGGTGTGCATGGAGGTGATTTTAAAGGCTGATTATGGAATTCTGGGTTTTAGGCCCTGCTGTGTGCAAAGGATGTTACAGTTAGAATATTAGAGGAACTGCTTGGATGAGGGAAGGCAGTGTGCTCAAAAGGGATTTCTTAAAGTGAGGTAAGGAAGCCAGCGGCAGACGCTTGAACATGAGGAGGAATACAAGTAATTGAAGGGCTAGGTTTTGGAAAGAATCATCTCTGACACAGCTTCTATGTGGATGTTGAAATCACCCAGAAAATATTACCCAGCGTGTAAGCCCAGAGTTCAGGGAAATGAGGGGGATGACCGATGTGTCTCCAAGTGACCATCCCTATGAGAGAACACAGGGAGTGGCTGTGCAGGGAAGAACCAGGATGGTCTAGAAGCAGTGACAGGGAGCCAGGAGGATACCTGTCCCACCAGGGTGGAGCTGGGAGAGGAAAAACATCACACTCAAGGGGAGGCAGTGTCCTCTGGGAACACCAGGTTTTGGTTAGAACAGCAGGTTCAAGAAGTCCAGGTTACAGAGAGCATTACTGATGATGGACCATGAGTCCCAGACAATGCCAGAGCTTCGAGAACTGAGAAGGAATGGGAAATTGAAATGGACTAGGAAATGTGAAAACTCTCAGGGGGACTGGAGTGAAGGAGAAATATAACCCCCGCCACCCCCCAAAAAAATCAAATGTAGCTTTAATTATGCATTGGCTCATTCTCATCTCAAATATTTTTTGGGAAAATTGGTTATCATACCTTTAAGGATTTATTTCCCTTCTATATTCTGTCCACATCAGAAGGCACAATTAAGACAAAAGACACAAGAAAGAGGGAGGAAATGTTGAACAACTATAAGGAAGGACATTCCTAACTATACGAGCTGTTCAAAATGGAGCATGCTAACTTATCACTGGAAGGTGTGGGGAGAGGCTGAATAGTTGTTTGTGGGTTGCTTCTGAGATTTTCCACAAGGACTAAAGCTGGATAGGTGGCTTCTAAGACCCTTTTCAGTTCCAAGATTCTCAGGATTTGGTACCCATTACATGAGAAAAATAAACATGTATCCTCATATTCATCATTGCCATAACGCTTGATTCTGGTCCAAACTAAAACCTATGATCTTGGTCCTTTCCCCTTACACAGTCTGATTTTTACTCTTAAAAAATAAAGGCTAAAAATATTATTCCTTACATGTAATGACGATGGAACTTCTTGTTCCATATATCCAACATCTGTCGTTAACTTTCTGTTGCTGAGAAAACTGTCTATACCTCAACAACAGAATTGCCTTGTGTTTTCCTTATCTGCTTTGTCATTTGTGCCCAACCTCTCCTCCTAAAGCAAGAAGTCAGATGCCAGGCTCTGACCCAGACTGGTCACGATTAGTGTTGTGTGGAGAGCAAAAGGTGCTTCTAAGTCCAAGAAAAAGGTGGCTGCCAATGACAAGAAACACACAAAGCTTTCAATCTGAGAGCCTGGGGATCAAGGCTAGAATTTGAAACCACAGAGCCCCCAGAGGGACTCAGGCTGTGACCTGAAATGATGGACACCCTGCTGATGCCCAGAAATGCTATCAAGGCCTTCAACTTCCTTGGAATATATCCAATTTCTGCGACATTTTTCTAGTGGTCTTCAATGGCTCTTTCCCAGGAGAAGCATGTCTCCTCTGAATTAGGTGCATTGACAAATCAAAATGCCACTTTTGAGGTTACTTCTCTTTGCCTTATAGTTCTTCACTTCTCCTGGAGCCAGCACAGTGTTAAACTTACACACTTCACCCTAAACCATGTGGTCAAGCTTCTTAGTCTTTCATTCACTACAACACCCACTGCTACTGCTCCTACTACCATTACTTGATGATTCCAGACATTTATTTTTTTGCCAGACAAGATTTTTAAAAAATCTTTCTGCTATTTTCTTGCCAAAAGGAGTTTGTTTTTGCCTTTCTTTCCTATTAAGTTCGTTTGGCTGCCTAGAATAATTAATTGAAATAGAAGTTATTCTCCAGGAATTTAGAGGATCATATATCAGTGAATATTCCTTCACATGAAGTTTAGTTTTGGTCAGTTTGCAAATGTCCACACTCAAAAATGGAAGAGTGTGAGCTTTAAAAGGAAATAACATTGTATTTTGCATTGGGCACAGTACAAAGCTGGCAATATATCTTTTTTCATTTTATATGTAAGAAATAATAGCATTGAAGAGATGAACTGCATTGTCTAAAGTCACATCATTGTGTGGAAACAGCAGAGCAGAGCTTCAAATGCAGGTATTGGACCCAAATTCCATAACTGTCCTATGCTATATTACCTCTTCATGCATGATGCTTTTCAAGCTGTCTGTAATCTTCACATAAGTAAAAAACATTCTTACCATCATTATGATCATCTCCTTTATTGCAAGTTCTTTTAACTTAACAGGCTATAATTGTAAAAGTTGTGACAGCTGGCCAGTAGCTAGGATATACTAATAGGCACAGAAATATGGGTCACCTCCATTTTGTACTGATTATGTGTGGTCAGGCATTTGGGGTTTTCCTCACGTTTGAAACCAGTTATGTCTGACTCAACAATTCATGCTCATTGCACCAAGCCATACTTCTTCAAAGCAATGGTATCTGGCTACTAGATAATCAAGTCTTTGGTTCTCAAAGCATGGTCTCTGGGCCAGCATCACCTGGAAACTTGTTAGAAACACAGATTCTTAAACCGCACCCCAGACTTCCTGAATCAGAAACTCTGGGGCTGTGGCTTGGAAGTCTGTGATTTAACCAACCCACCACGGCTTGATTCTGGTATGTGTGATACAGGTGTGCTCAAGTTTGAAAACCACTGGTCTAAAGAAAATAAAAAAAACTGAGCAAAAATCTACAATATCCAAGGCTGAAACAGGTTACAGATTTTTTATACAAAGACTGTTCCAAAATATCTAGAATTTTAGTAGGCTTTTTTATACAAAGACTGTTCCAAAAAATCTAGAATTTCAGTAAGCCTTTTAAACATTAACAGCAGGATGGATATATGAAGGTCCAGAGAAATTAGAAGAAATTCAAAAATGATGGTCATCCCCAAATTTCTATGTACATAGAACCTATCCACAATACCAAAGGTTTTGCAAGCGTTGCTGAACATTTTTTAAAGCATTACATAGTATGCTAAGATTATGATAAAATTATCTGGGTAATTTTTCTGCTATATTAACCAGTTTCTTTTTCTCTTTGCATTTTATTACATTCAAGAAGGTGATGTCTGTGTGTTCTTTGTCTCAAAGAGGAGGTAGGGAAGCCTCCAAGTCTTTCTAGCTCCTTTAGAGCTAGAAACAAGCAAAGAAATATAGAATTTAAAAGCTTAGTCCAGTTGAAGGGGTTTTCAGACACAGAGCAACATCTAGAACAAATCCTTAATAGAAATTCTCCCAGAACAAGTAGAGAGAAGGGGAGATACCGGTTGCCATGAAGGAGAAGGGAGCTGCCCGGCCTCAAGGCTATGCAGAGTGTAAACTGTGTGTACCAACAACCAAGTAACCCCCAAGCTTTGGCATTGCATATACAAAGGGAGACAGGCAACCCCAGGTAGAACTGAAGTTAAGTTTTTCCGCTCACCCAGCATAATGGATGCTCTGAACTAAAAACTAAGAGGCATTTTTAAAAATGCAGTTACATATCTGAGCTAGTGGGCTGAGATTCCCACCTATTACGTCTTAATTTACACTAATTTTACCGGAGTCAATTCAGCTTCTGAGGGCTTCAAACAAGAGACCCAGGGACCAAGCTGAAAGCTCTAAGATCCACTGAAGCAGCTCTGAGCAGTTTTCCCATGCAAAGAGCTCAGAGGGTCGGGAAATATCAGTCACAACCATAAACTGAGCATGTTATGTGCATCCTGTGAAAAACTTTCTTTCTCCAACTAATCTGAGAGCAATCTACTGCAAATATAAACAGAACCGAAGCTAAATGCCTACTTCATCACCCAGCCCTACGCCTGATTCAGTACTGCTAGAAGTGTTTCAAAAGTCCCTTCCATGGGACAACCAGTTCATCCCTTGGTATTACCCTGAGTAGCAGCAGAAGCCACTCACGTCCACTGTGATGTGCTGGGTGGGAATGCTGCATCCTCACACAGATTCAGAAAATCTGCAAATCAGACTCAGAAGAAGGGCATGAGGAAGGAAAGGAATAAGATCAGGTCAAGATGAGAAAGTGTAATGAGAAAATGCCATTAAAACAAGAAGAAATTCAGGTAATCATTCAGTATTGCCTATTAAGAGTATTAATAGGCTGGGCATAGTACTCATGCGTATAATCCCAGCACTTTGAGAGACAGAGGCCGGTGGATCACCTGAGGTCAGGAGTTCAAGACCAGCTTGGCCAACAGGGTGAAATCCCATCTCTACTAAAAATACAAAAATTAGCTGGGCGTGGCGGCACTCACCTATAATCCCAGCTACTTGGGAGGCTGGAGAATTGCTTGAACCTGGAAAGCGGAGGTTGCAGTGAGCCGAGATCGCACCACTGCACTCCAGTCTGGGTGGTAGACTAAGACTCAGTCTCAAAAAATAAAAAAAAAAAAATAAAAGGAAAAAAGAAAAAGAGTATTAATGTCACCAGAAAACTTTAGGAGGATAAAGATTGTGGTTATTGACCCACAAACATCAAAAAAATCATCAAAAATATTGACTAGAGCAGATTCAGAGGAGTACAGGATGGAATTTTGATAACAGCGTCAAGGAGAAGAGTGAAGGTGAGAAATCTTGGCAGTGTGGGCTTTGCTGACTCCACCACTAGCTCTGCCTCCTTGGGCACCTAGAGATTCATGGCACGTGTGCAAGGTCCTGGAACCTTTCTCCATTTTCCTACATGACCATCAGAGTTCAGGAACTCTCCATCTGCACCTGTACTGCAATGAAAGGTAACTGAGCTGTAGCAAACAACCTTTCCTCTGAATCAAAGAATTCCAGCCCCTGCAGGTCAGAAAGCATCTTAGATACTACCCCTCTACGGATGGCAAAAATAGGGTTGAATTCTGCAAGAAAGCTTCCATTAAAGCCTGGGTCTTAGGCCAGGCACAGTGGGTCATGCCTATGATCCCAGCAATTTGAGAGGCCAAGGCAGTGGGAGACCAGCCTAGGAAACATGGTGGAACCCCGTGTCTACAAAAATACAAAATATTAGTCAGGGGTGGTGATGCATGCCTGATGTCCCAGCTACTTGGGACGCTGAGGCAGGAGAATCACCTGAGCCCAGGAAGTTGAGGCTTCAGTGATTGCGCCACTGCACTCCAGCCTCGGGGACAGATCAGGACTCTGTCTCAAAACAAAAAACAAAAAACAACAACAACCACCTGGGTCTTTCCATTGTATCTTAATGATGATATGAACTAAGAAGACTTCAGGAAGCGGGAAGTTTTGCCCATAATACCCCAGTGTCATGAGGATTTTGATGTTGACCATCACACTGCTAGCAGGCCTGCTACTCTGGGCTCCTCCAGCTAATGTCATTCACTTCTTTCTCCAGGAAAATAAGCCATTGGGGTGGGCTGCTCACGATGTTGAAGTAACAGATGATCACCTTCTGTCAAATTCACTCTCTCACCCTCCACATTGCAGGGGCTCATCAGCTTCTCTTTGACGTCCATCCCAGTGGTGGGAAGCAGGAGCCACATGGAGCAAATTGCATTGTTGGAAAGGTAGATACTCATATCTACAGGGTTGCTACTCGGTGCTAGGCTCTTTGACAAGTCTTGCCCTTTACCTGTGGTTAGAGATGGGGCTGATTATACCTTTTTTTTTTTAATAGACTGGGAAATGATGGTTCAGAGAAGTAAAGTGACTGGCCTGAGATCATGGAGTCAGTTAAAGGTGCAGCAAGGATTGGAACACAGGTCTTAAGGCAGCGTCTTCAGGTGCATCGACTCTTATGGTACACCTGGTACAACTCTGGTGGATCCATGTCCCTCCTCACATAGAGACCATCTATCTCCTGCAGCTTTGATCTCACACTGCCTTTCCCTTAGCCCAGCCACAACCACAAATCCACTCCTCCTTCATGTGACCACCCTTCATCTTGCTGACACCCAGCTCACTAAAGGCTCCACCTGACCTTATCTCTCCTTGATAAGTATCCTTAGCTCCTTGGTGGGCTGGGCATTTGACAGGATTTGGAGACATCTCACTCTCCTGATGGATTTTCAGTGAACACATTGTGTTCCCGCAAAGGGAAATGCTACACTTTAGACCTGCTCAGAGGTGAAGATGCTTAATGAGTAAGAGCTTGAGATGATGGAATGTTTACATACCAATAAATAAAGCTTTAAAAATTATCTTTAAAGCACAAAGAATAGAGAAGCCAAAAAAGGTTGACGCATACTTGCCCTATTTGATATTAGAAAGAGGGAGGTTCATCAGTAGAACTTCCTCAATGCGTTGATTGGCTGACACAGAGTTTTGTGAAAGAGGCGGGGATGTTGAGTCTTCCTTCTCAGTGTGTCTCTAGGACCAAGCATGAGGTGTGGACGACCCTTCTGAGCCCTGCGCATCCAGTTATCTCCTTTTAGCCCACAGAATCTGCTCAGGGAAGCCTTTCTTCACCAGCCCTGCCTGCCACTCTCCCATCCTCTCCTCACCAATCAAGCGAGGTCAGGTCTGGTTTTCCTGAAAGAGAACCTCACGGCCTCTTGTGCTTTTCCTCCCTGACTTCCTCATTACCACCTTGTTTGTGCTCTCCACCACCTTGTTCTCTTCTCGCCTTAGGGCTTCGTACCAATCGTTCCCCCGGTGAACACCGTGTTGCAGATCTCCTGGTGGTCAGTTGCTGGTGTCTGTCCATCACCAGCTTAAAAAGCATCTCCCTGTGGAGTGCTAGTTCAGAACATCACCCCGCAGTCACCCCACGTCACTGTCTCTGTTCATCAGGGCGCCCCATTGAGTTCAGCATAGCATCCATCACTGCCTGATACTTTCTGCTTATGGAGGAATCTCTTTTCCCACCACAGTATGAGCTGCAGAAGAACAAAGATTCCATCAGTCTTTTTCACTGCCCCATCCCTACCTAGTAGGTGTCACCAAACATCTGCTGGTTAAGCTCCCATTTTTCAACCAACGCCTTTTCCTCCCCACTGTAGGCATGTCACACAGGCTGTTTCTGAGCTGCGCCCACACGATGCCTACAGTGGCTGGCAAGGCACTGGCACACAGGACAAGCCCTATCAGTGTGTGGAGATGCTGACTGCTTGTTAAGGGTTATTATTTACTTTGAAAAAGTAAAATGGACCTACCACCACCTTTAGTTTAACCACTTATCAAAAATGTTTGACATTGTTGGGAATTGTTAAGTTGAATATTAAACGAATCTTGCAGTCTTTCTCTTTTGCAGAACCAATTTAAGGTTGCACTTGATGAGTGCTTTACATACATTATACTCCAGATAAATTCATCCACTTTAAAGAACTAAAACTGCTCATTAAAATATATATATTTCTATATCTTCTTTTGATTTAGAAAAAATATTATATTGTATCCTTCAAATTCTCACTTTTCAGTTTCATTAATAGATGTGATTTCCATTATTTTACATAATATTCATATAATGGATGGATGAAAATGTAAATAAACAAGGTTTTTTTTTGTTTTTTTTGTTTGTTTGTTTTTAATGGAGACAGGGTCTCACTTTGTTACCCAGGCAGGAGTGCCGTGGCAAGAACATGGCTCACTGCAGCCTCGACCTCCTCGGCTCAAGTGATCCTCCCGCCCCAGTCTCTCGAGATAGCTGGGACCACAGGCGCGTGCCATCACACCCGGCTAATTTTTATATTTTTGTACAGACGGGGTTTCACCATGTTGCCAAGGCTG
The DNA here is from genome assembly GCF_000001405.40 of Homo sapiens. Classification (NCBI taxonomy): domain Eukaryota; kingdom Metazoa; phylum Chordata; class Mammalia; order Primates; family Hominidae; genus Homo; species Homo sapiens. The sequence goes on from NC_000008.11 coordinate 52,291,990, forward strand.
GTCTCAAACTCCTGGATTCAAGCTGTCTGCCCACCTCAACCTCCCAAAGTGCTGGGATTACAGACCACACCCCACCATAAACAACTTTTATTTACTGAAAATCTCTAAAGTAAATATTAACTCTTCTTTGAGAAAATATATTTAACTTGCAAAGCAGACATATGCTCACTGATACCACTTCTGGGGCTCCATGCATTAATATTGAAAAAACATTTATTTCTGCACAGTGCTTAAGAACTACCTATTTAAATGCTTTAATAATGCAGTGTCTCTTCACTTACACACAGAAATGCACTGATGTCAGAGGTGCTGCTGCTTGGACGCCAGATGGTACCACATCATATGACAGTGGGAAGACAAACAGAACTGGTTACATTTTGTGCATGCATGTATGTGTGTGTGTGTGTGTGTATCAGTGACAGAAATGCTTGATTAAATATATTATGTGTGCATGAACTATCTGCTAGGAGATGTGATGATACTAGAAGATATTATTTCTTACAAGTATATGCACCTAATGCCTTAAGCAGCCTCAGGTGTGTGCCTATCGAACAGAATCTTTACATTCTGAACTCTGACGTGTTATTAACATAAAATAAATAAGCTACTGACACACTGTCCTATGGGGAACAGTCTTGGCTCAGCATTCCTGTCAGTGATCACTGGGAATACCGAGGAAGCCATTTAACTCCTATGTGTGTCTATTGAGTTTAATTGTTTTTTACTTTTATTCAGATTTACAATTGAGTGTTTTTAAATGATGGGACTCATCTATGAAACCTCATTCCACAAGCAAACACACACAAAGCCTTGGTTTTGTAATACTGAGACACTAGTGTTTAGAAATTGGCCTGTCAATCAATTCGGTCTCCTCCCTTCCAATAAAGAAGGGAAACCTCAGATATGGGATCTTGTACAAAGAAGTTATTCTGGCCTCTTTCCTATGAACAAATAGGCATGCAGAACTCATCAAATTATATATTATTCTAGGATGGCCTCAGCTTTGTCTATACAGGTTTGGAAATTAATCGATCGTGAGAATTATGTACTTTCTCTCTGGACCTTGAATTCTATGTGTGTGGATATTTATGTGTCCGCATATATACCCCTAAAATGTGGTTTTGCCACTTGTGTGAGGCAGCATTCTCCAACATGACATAGGAAGTGTTTTAGTTTTTCACCTCACTTCCTGCTTTGTTAGAGAATTACCAAAGGTAGTAAGGGAGAGCAGAAACGATGCAGTGGAGCATCAGGAGGAAGCACTGGCTGCTCTGTTTTGCAGGGCCAGGCTGTGCAGGACAGGGAAGCCCTGACTCTGCTGCATGAACCAGAGATGGCCACCATGACTGATCTCTAGGGAAGAGGGAAAGGCTGGGCGACTTCATGTGCACAGCACATGTGCCACTGTGACAGGTAACTTAGGGAGCATGTTCTTAGTGGTAAGTGCGTTTTTTCCTATCCGCTTAGTGTTGAAACAGCTTTCTTCTGCTCTGCACTCCAAAATAAAAGTGAAAGGAAAATGCTTTGCCCCAGTGTTTCTGTCCCTCGGGTCAGTAGCCAACATAACATTTGTCACAATGCTTTGCCCTCTCATTTCTTACATCCAGAGCATGGTTCTTGCAGAGTTCTTTATATGACATATAATTTTTTTATGTTTTTGTTATATTTGCTGCTTTTATTTTCTCTCTTTTTTCTGTGAAATTTGATTGAGCTTGTTGGAGATTCAGTTTCCTCATTGGTAAATGGGGATAATGCTTTCCTCCTATGATTATCATGCAGACTAAATAGGATATATTTATAAATAATATATCATTTTTGAACTGTAACACACTACACCAATGTTAGTAAACTTCTGAGTGGAGCTCCAAGATTATATCAATAATTTCTTGTCCTAGAATTGAATCTGAAGCCTCATCTCAAAGTGGAGAAAGATGATTTCATTTAAGTTCAGATTCAAGTGATTTTCACAGCTGACTCAGGGTTTCACGCAGTGGCCCATAGCCCGCTTTTCCATATGCTTTTGCACACACCCTCCTCACTGCACAAGGCTCACAGGTGTATGACTTAAAGCGACCAGTGAGTCCAGGGCACAGTTTATCTGTTTAGGTGAATTTCAGTGCAGTGCTAATGGGGCTCCAGCCTAACCAGAGCTTCCCCAGGGCCTCTGTGAGGCACAAGGAAAGGACACTTCCACATATCATAAGTGGAAGAGTCTTTAAACAAATTTGCCCTGAATAAGATGGGAAGTATCACTGGCCCAAAATGAAGCCAACCTGAGATCCGTCATTTGCTTCTGACCCTGAACCAGAAAGGAACTGAAAAATTGACTGGTTGAACTCCCTGAAACAAATGATGCTTGAGTGGTTTCATGCATAATAACTGCCTTGAATGTAAATAGGGCCATCAGTCAGCAGGATGCTGTGGGTTCCCCTCCCTCACTGTGAGGCCCCTCCCATAGGGACCAAGGCCCCCAGGAACTTCCTGTTCTAGGACACCCCCAGCAAGTCAGGGCCCCTCCTGACCAGGGACCAAGGCTTCGGAGAAGACTCTGGAGAAGGCTCGGAGGAAACTGGTAGGCAGGGATCTGGCATCTGTCCCTCCCTGACGATATTATTAGAGAGTTTTGCATTTTAGCCTTGGCAGGCTTACACCTTGCTCATACAAAAGCCAATAAGACAGGTGGTGCTTTTCAATGTATGCCCAGAGAGAAAACCAAAGCAGATTCCTGCAGTCTCAGGTCTTGCTGGGCACTGAGTCAGGAGCACCATAAAATTTGTCTCTATACTTCGTCCTCTCACTTCTTATATGGAACATGTGATTCTTGGCAGGGTAGAGCCCCCACATTTAGGCTAAATCTCTGGACTCATGGCTACTCTGTGGAGGGGACGGTATTGCTGCAGGAGCCATGCTTATCACCTTCTCACATATATTTGTAAGTTGTTATATGCTACTGTGCTTTATCTCTTAAAACAAATATATGCTTACATGCTTGCCGTTTGTAAGATGAACTTAGAATGAAAATAAAAGGAGATGGATAGGAGTCATTTTCAGACAAGATTTACCTCTAAGGAGCCTGCCAGGCAGCAATTCATTTCATCACCTCTAGCCTGACAAACCAGTGACATTAAAGCAAAGGCATGTCCTAATCGTCACACGTGTAACCACTTTTTTCTTTTTTTCACATTTGTATGCTAATCACGAGAAGCAAAAATAGACTTAGATTGGAAATCAAAGATTGGTTGTATACAGGTAATAGAGTGCTTGAACGCTTTATTTAAAGATAGAAGGCTCTTGAACCAGGCTTTATTATTGAACTAAGACTATCTATCCTTTTTGACACTTTTTAAATTAAGTTCTTCCTCTAATTTATGTTTTTATCAGGTTTCTTCCCTTACCTGGTTTTAAACTGGCTTTTTTTCCCTCTCTCTCTAAGTAATAAACTACTCCAGAGCAGAGAAAAAAATTTTAATGACCTTCGAAATTCAGATTAACAAAATGGATCATTTGTATACAGCCACAGAATTATGAAGCCTTTTGAAATATCAGTACAGAAATTTTGCCTGATGCAAAATTTCATTTTCTCTCTCTCTGACATATCTCTGACTTCCCCCTTTTAAAAATGGAGTGGTTTTAGTACCTCTTTAGTAAGGTCAAACACTGAAAAGTAAAGGGGTTTCGGGACAATTTTGAGGCGCAAATGAAAGAGCTTCTCTTTTTTTCCTTTTTTTTTTTTTTTTTTGAATTAAGGGAGACAAGCTCCAACAATGTGTTAGCATATCAGATAGAAAATAGTTTGTTGAAACTGGACTTGCAGCGCCAGTTCTGCCTGCCTCTTCCCTGCACGCTCAATCTGCCTTCTTATTATTGTTAAGCCAGCCTGCCTCCCAGTATGTTCTGCGTCCCATCTGACTTCCGCAGAGTTCGAGGGAGCTTAGGACAAACAGAACAGGGGAGCAGCTGCATGGGATGAGTGGTGGCAGCCAGATAATCTACCACAATGTCTTGCTGGAAAAAAAAAATGGGACAACATAATTTCCCCAACTTAACACAACCCCTGCCTGGAAAATGCAAGCCAAACTTAACAGGCAAGTTCGGCAGCTGCTTGGCGTCATTTTGTTTTAACATCATGCATATAAAAAAAGAAATAGTGCAATGCTGGGGGGAAGGAGAATTTTCAATTGCTTAGATTTGATAAAGAAAAACTAGTGATCAAAAATTATTTTTAAAAATAACAATGACTTCTTGGTAACATATTTTCCCCTACGGTTGTTTGATTTCTGAACAGACACCTTTTATTGACGTCTGGCTGATTTCCACAAATGGCATGTTTCTGCTTTTCCCACATTAGGGAAGCTGGTTCTTTGGCCCAAAGTGCTTTTACAGCCTACCTGTATTTTACCGGCCCTCCTAGACGGGGGGAACTCCCCTGTCCTCTGCAGGAATGTCAAAAGCCACCCATCTTTAACCACCTAATGCTCCCATCAGCAGAGAGGCACACAGCACAGTGAACGTCGAGCATGCACACCAGGAAGCCCAGGTTCGAGTTCTGACCGTCACTTACTGGTGGTAATGTAAGTAACTCAGCTTGCTTACTTACTCACTTACTGTAACTCAGCTTCCTTATCTCTAGAATGGGGCAGTAATTGATTCTACCTTTCCAAGTTACTGTGTGCACTGGAATAAAGTCTGGCACACAGTAGGCAATATAATACTATGTTTGTTAAGCTAAATAGAATCAGTATATTTCCTTTTAAAATAATTAATCAGACAATGATTTATTAAATAACCATGAGAAATCACAGTGCCTGGTGCTACAGATAAATCTCGCATGCTTTAAAAAGGTTGCAGTCTAGTACAGGAACTAAGACAAGTGTGCAATTAAGTACTAAACAAATAGAATCAAGATTATACATTTTCTAAGTATGAATTCCTAAAGAAAATATCAATAAGGTATAATTAAAAAACCATATTAGGCCACCATATCTGGCCTAATATGGTTTTTATAAGAATTACTAGTACTTAATAATGAGATAATAATGCATGAGTCCCAGAAATAAATGGGACAGAACTGATAGCCCGTGAACAGACCCCAACTCATATAAGAATCTGTGTGTAGTGCAGAAAGCTTCACCTTGATTCCACAGGGACCAGCCGCAGCCCTGCATGCTGACAGTGCAGTGCAGCGCAGGCTGTGGGGGGTGCAGTCCGCACACAGGCTCAGAGCCCAGCTCCCCAGCTTCCAGGCCCTGTCATTGTACGTGAAGTGTGTGACAGTGCCACAGCCCCCTTTCCTCATCTCTAAAACGGGGTGCTAATAGTTGCATCACTTCACTGGATTCCTGCAAGGAAGAAGCAGTGCATGTAAAGCACAGAGTACTTGCTCAATAAGCGCAGAATATATGGTACAATCTTTTTTTAAAATAATTTTTAAACAATAATTTACATGTTAATTCCTAACTTGTAAATATAACACAATAAATTCCAGACAAATTAAAAAATAAAAATTTAATGTTGAGCTTAAAGCCAGCCTAGAAAAAATAGTATGTTTGCTCTGGCAGGACTAAGGTAAAATCAATGGAAGAAATTAAAAACAACAAAAACAATAGGTTTGACTTTATAAGATTTGAAAAGTTAAAGGCACCTACATCAAAACATCATAAATTATAAAAGCTATTAATAAAGTAGAAATAAGAAATAATTGTAACAAACATGTAATGTATAACTAATTCCCAGATTAAAAAACATATTTTAAATTAATCAGTCAAATGGCAAAGAATGGGAAACGACAAGTCACATACGAAGAAAGCCAAATGGACACTTTTTCTAAATGTCTACTATGCATGCCCAGGAAAAAAAGTGATCATTACCACAACTATGAGTAAATGAGAGCTGTTCACAGAAGTTGTCTAAAACTGGGGTTTCTCACCTGAAATTGATTGACAAAAGAAAACATTTTAATTCTCGTTGTTTTCCCCAGTGACATTCCCTTTATGTTATCTTCTATAACCTCATTCTTGCACCCTTTGGGCCCAGCTCTCTACTTCTAAACTGACACTTCCAGGTGGAATTTCAGACCCTGATGCAGGGCTGGCCATGAGAGCTTCATCAGAGTCCTCCACTGGTCCCCGGCCTTCAGCTAGAGGGGGACCCTATGAGGCATTTTAGGGCCTACCCTGGAAATGGTACATTTCAGTGCTGCACATATTTCACTGGCCAGAGTGCAGTTATTGGCTCAAAATTAATGCCAGAAAGGCTGAGAGAAACAATCTGTGTGCGCAGGAAGAGGAACTGGGATTGGTGGGCATCTAGCTGGTTTCAGCTACATTATGACACATTCAAAGCATGGAATATTAAGTAGCACTATAAAGGGATGTTTCTGAAGAATATTTGATGACATGGAAAAAGCCTCATTTTATGGTCATGATTCAAAACAAAATGTTGGATCAGACAATTAGCATCAACCTAATTAAGTAAAAGGCATAAATAGATGTGACTAAAAGTTATATATCAAAATATTAACAATTGATAAATTACAGATACCTCACATTTATTTTTCTACTTTTCCTTTTTCCAAACCATGTGTGAGAAGCATGTATTACAATTATTTTAAAATTTAAAAAAGAGTGAGAAACTTTCCTTTGAAGATGGAGATTTCAGCTTAGCATTCAACTGCATGGAGCCACGAAACTATATGAAATTATATCAATAGATTTACCACTACTTTTACACATATTCCTTTTTGCATTTCATACTTTCCATTCAACATACTATTTCTACCTGAAATAGAGAACTAATAATTGTCTTATTTCCTCTTCAATCTTGAAATACTGTTTTGCTGGGTTTTTCTCTTGGCACAATGAAGATAATCTCCCCTCTCTGGCATCCATTGTTACTGCTAGAAATTCAGCTGTCAGTCTAATTTCTGTGTCTTTGTAAGTGATCTCTCTTTTCTAACTAGTCATTCTCTTTGGTCTGAATTTGTATTACTGCGTGTAGATTTCTTTGTATTTTAATTGGCTTTGGAATTGTTGGGTTTCCTGGATTTGGGCCTTGGTATCTTTCAACAATTCAGTAAAATTCCCAGTGATTATATTTTGGAATATTGCCTCATGCTCACTCATCTATTTTTTTCCCTCTAGGGCTCAGATTTATATACATATATATAAAATCATACACACGCACACACACATATTTATACACACATATGTGTACATGTGTAAACTTCTCAGCCATTTGATCTCTTAGCTACTCTTTCATAGTTCTTATTTCTTTGTTTCTCTCTGGGTAGCATTTTAGGTAATGTTTTTAGTCTACCTTCCATTCATGAATTCAATTCTCTCTTTAATTTTGTCTAGTTTGTTCTCCTGTAATCTTGAAAAACTTTCAATCACATTTTTATTACTAGTTGTTTCATTGTGTTCTTTTTCAAATCTTCAAAGTCAATTTTAAAATATCAGTCTCTAGTTTTGTATTTTCAAGTCTCTCTTTTTATCTTAAAACATATTAAACCTACTTATTTTCTACTCTAAATTGGATAATTACCCTCTCTCAAACATGTGCAGCCTGTGCTTTGCTCTGTTATTTCTCTTATTTCCTTTGGAGGTTTTAAAATATAAGTCCATGTGTCTTGCAGAAAGTTTTTCAGGCCTACATGAAGTGGCATTGTTTTGGAGCCAGTTTTTGTTTGCTCTTCTGTCAATCACCTGAAAGTAGTATCAACCTGAGACCACTTTAAATTAAATTCTCAATTTCAGCTTTTCAACCGCATAAGTGGTATGAACTCAGGCCAAAAGTGGGTGTAAGCTTCACCTCTGGGTTACAAACACTCATGGAAGTTTACTTTTCTGCCACAGAGCTCAGTTCAAGTCGTGCTATTTTAAGGTGTGTTACCTCTCCTGAGGTGTAGCCCCTGGGTCCTGGCTCTGCTCTGGGGAGCCCACGATGGATTTCTTCCTTCCTGTGCCTCTTGTGGCATCAAAACAGAAGCTCTAGACCACAGCGTTGGCAGATAACACTCTTAGGGCACAAGTTGCTTTGACACTTTTTGATAAATTCGTTGAGGTCCCTGATTGTAAATGGTTTTCAGCCTTCCGTTGATTCCTTCTGCTTATTTAGCTCAGTGGTATATTTCAAAACACAAATAATCCAGCTTTTTTGATTACTAAAATGTTTCCATTGAGAGGGTATGTAAGTTGGTTCTTCCACCATGCTGCCAAACACGGAATTGCTTTTCTCTGTTTGTAACATCTTACTTATTAAGCCAGGTAGTCAGGAGATGGCTGCGTGTTATATTGCTATACAGATTCTTGAATACTCGAACACTCATGGAACAGAATAAAAGAAGAACCAAGCATTAAGTTCAAGAAGATTTTAGAAAACAAATTTTAATAAAAGTAGATTAAAGGATGACTAAATTCTTAATATGGTAAGTAACTTAGAGAACAGAGAATTATATGTAGCTATGACAAACATATTTAAGCGGTTCACTCTGTGTTTTCGTTTTTGCTTTTTGCCCAAATCTATGACATAGACTAGGAGTTGGCAGACAGAATTATGGGCCCAATCCTGCCCTCCACCTGTTTTTGTATGACCCTCGATTTAAAATGGTTTTTACATTTTTTAATAGTTGGGGGGAAATGGAGAATAATATTTCATGACACATGAAAATTATATGAAATTTACATTTCAGTGTTCAAAATAAATTCTATAGGAACCCAGCCATACTCATTCATTTACGTCCTGTCACTGGCTGCTTTCATGCTAGAAGAGCAGAGTTGAATAGTTCTGATGATGACCGTATGGCCCACAGAGCCTAATATTTACTCCTGGCCCTTTACAGAAAAGCATGCTAACTCCTGGTAAAAAACAAACCTCTAGCAGAACTGTCAGAATGAGATGTGAGAGACAGAAAGAGAAAGAGAAAGTAGAGACTCACAATACACATTTTAAAATGGAATATAACCACAAATACAGAAGAGATTTTAAACATTACAACTTTCTTTGAAAGTAAATTTGTAAATATCAATGAAACAAATTATTTTCTAGGAATGATGACATTACCAAAATGTCATCAGGAAAAGGTAGAATGTCTGAATAGATTTCTAATAATGGAAGAAATGTTTAAAGTTGTCACAGAGATATACTTCCTTCCCTTCAAAATGGCCATATATGTTAATGCTATTACGAGCAGGTTTCTTCAAATCAAATAATTCCTATTTAACTCCTTTGAGGAAAAAATTAGAAAAACAATCTTTTCAATTTATTTTCCTAAAATTGTATAATCTTGATAACAAAATATAAAAAAGATAGCATAAGTGATACCAAATTACCAAAAAATAGTCAAATTAAATCTAGCCATATAGTTAAAGAATGATGTGCTATAAACAAGTACTATCTTCTCTAAAAGTGTAAGAATGATTCAGTATTAAGATATTTATTAATGCACTGGTTGTGTTACTAAGTCACAGAGGAAAAGCAAACTATCATCTCAATATATGTCAAAAATGTATTTGATAAAATTCAACATTCTTGATAAAAACTCAGTAAAACAAGAATCGATATTTATTTCTAATATGATATATAAAAAAGTGTATCTTAAAACAACTGCCCACATTTACACAAATTGAAACACTGGAAACATTTCCAATTAAGTAAGAAAAGATAAATTATTGTCACATTATTCAACATTTCCCTGAAAGTGTAATTCTATGAAATACTAGAAAGTCAGTAGAAAATCCATCATTATTTGCAGATATTATGATCTGCTTGTAAAAATCTAAGAAAAGCAATTGAAAAATGATGAAACATATTATGCCTTTCATCCTTCCTCCTTTTTTTCCTCATTTCTTTCCTTCCTTCCAGGATGGTACTAGATGTCAGAGTCAAGGGAGCTGAGGAAGGCATCCAAGTAAGGAGGTGGCGTGGGCACTCCCTGACAAGGCTACACGAGTGCAGGCCAGGTGAGGACAGTGTCCACAGAGTACAGGAAGACTGGCATGCGATGTCAGAGCCAGAGCAGAGTGAAGATGGCTTCCCTCAGAGGGGCTGCGGGACTCCGAGCCTGCAGAGGGCATCTATGCAGGGTGAGAGTGGCAGCCTGTCTGTTTTGGAGGAAGGCATCCACATGGGTGCAGGAGAGGTTTGGGAGCGATGGGGTGGAGAGTGGACGCAGTGGCAGAGACTGGTCAAATATAAGGATGATAAATGAGTAAGAAAATATGTTGGGGACATTCAAAGCCACGTCTCCCAGTATCAGAGAGGAATGCTACAAATGTGGAAAGGGAGAAAATTAAACTAAACCTTCAGGTGCTGGACTGGAATTGGAGGTATAGAATCATGGTTTTCAATAAGTACATGGTTTTCAATAAGTATATAAATTGATAGATGTAGAAATAAATATAGATTTCAATGGTACATGCATGCCTGTATTTATGTGTGTATGTTTATTTGTTTATATAGAAATCTATTCCCTAACTCTGTTCAATGAGAGAGTCTGTCCGCAGCCACACCTCCACAGCAGTGGGCACACCAAGCACCAGGTCTTGGTTGCTAAGTACTGTTCTCCACTAGCAGGGAACTGGACTCCTCAGAGAAATGGCTGAATCCAAGGATGAGGCAAGGGCAGAACAGTACAAAGTGGACCTGAACATTTTGTAGTGTGAAAAAATTATGGGAATATATCAAAAGGACACGAAGCCAGCTTGACAGAGTTCTCCTGTTGGCCAGATCTGGGGCAATTTGAGCATCAACATAAATAATGATAGGAACTTATAACCCCTTGAATAATAAATCTATACAGATATAAAAATATATTTTAAATACTAGAGCAAAACAACCCCTTCCTTAGAGTAGAATACCAAAAAATACATAGAAGGAAGTCATTAGAAACATCACCATTTGTCAATCATAATAGTAATAATTAAATAAGCCAAGAAGCATCGATGGATGCTAAAAGCTAATGGGTGAAGGTTCATAGGAAACTTTCTTACCTAGTCTCAAAGGACCTCCCATTCCAAAAAAAGAATCCTTATTTATTAAAAAGGAAAAAAAGAGTAACGTTATTGTAGGGAAACCTGGCAGATACTGCCTTGTGTTAGTTTCTGAAGGGTGCCATAACAGATTACCACAAAATTGGTGGCTTAAAATGACACAGATTTATTCTCTCACAGCCCTGGAGGCCAGAAGTGTGAAGTCAAGGTGTCAGCAGGACCATGCACCCTCTGAAGGCTTGGGGAAGGACACTGCCTTGCCATTTCTTGCCTCCAGTGGCCATGGGCAGTCCTTGGGGTCCCCTCCCTTGCAGATGCATCCCTCCAGTCTTTGCCTCCTTTGTTATGTTGCCTTCGTCCCTTTATGTTTGTGTTTTCATGTCTCTCTTTTCTTGAAAGAACACCAGTTATTGGATTTAAGATCACTCTAATCCAGCATGACCTTATCTTAACTGGATTACATCTGCAAAGACTTTATTTCCAAAGGTATGTGCGTGTGACCACACTCACAGGTATCAGGGTTAAGACTTCAATGTATCTTTTGGGGGCATGCGATTCAGCGGCAACACACCTTAATCAAGAGATCACAGTGGACATAAGTAATGGGACCAATACAACTTACACAACATTTGATAAGCCTCAATGAAGAGGAGGTAACATCACTTCTGTGATGTTCCTGCCAAAGATACACAAACAATGCAAACATGAAGAAACTCAAATTCATATGGACAGACATTCTATGAAATGATCCATAGTGTTCAAAAGCATCAAAGTCGTGCAAGCTAAGGAAAAACTTAGGAATTATTCTAGATTGAAAGAGTATGAAAAAATAAGACACTAAATGCAGTGCTTTGTCCTGGATTGAATCGTTTTCTTGTAGACATTATTGGTACAATTGGCAGGACTTGAATGGGGTCTCTGGATTGCATGGTGGAAATCCAAGGAGTTAATTTCCTGATTTTCATGGTAATTTACTATATTGTGATTACGTCCTTGCTTGTAGGAATTACTAAAGTATTTGGGGTGGTGGGGCATCATGTTGGCAACTTACTCTAAAATAGTTTTGGAAAAAGCACACTTTACTATTCATGCATGTCTTCTGTAAGCCTAAAACTACTTCTCAATAACAACTATTTATAGCATAAAAAGAAATGAAGATTAAAATAACTGCAGGATATAAAATAAACTTAGTTAAATGAAGAAAGAGACTATATTCTTAGATAGGAACAATCTGTATGTTTAAAATAAAGTTATCATATAAAATTCCAATTATATGGAATTTACTTCTAGTAGAAATACTGGAAGTATTTCTTAATAGAGTAAATCTGAAAAAGATCAGTGTGTGAGTACATACACACACACACATGTGCACCCGCACACCATCCTATCTGTACTGATAAGGTTAAAAGTAAAGAGAGAAACAATATCAGAGAATTAAAGTGTAGATTATATTAATTTAAGCAGTTAGATGGAATTTTTAAAAATCCTTTGGATCCAGAAATATTAATTCTAAAAACTTACTGGAAGGAAATTATCTTATATAACTTAAGAAAGATACATACATAAAAGAAGCTCATTAAAATGATGTTTATCATATCAAAACTTACAAACAAGTTAAATGAACAATGATTTCCATATTGTTGGATTTAGGATGATTTTCTTTTTGCTCTTTGTTTTAGTCCACTTGGGCTGCTATTACAAATTACCATAAACTGGGTAGTTTAGACAACAGAAATTTGTTTTTCACAGTTCTGAAGACGGTAAAGTTCAAGATCAAGCTCCTGGAATAGCCAACGTCTGGGAAGGGCCTACTCCCTGGTTCCTAGACGTCCATCTTCTTGCTGTGTTCTCACATGGAGGAAGGGGCAAGAGAGCTCTCTGGGTCTCTCTTACAAGAGCACTAATCCCATTCATAAGGGTTCCATCACCTTGGGGGTTAGGATTTCAACATATGAATTTTGGGAGGGACACAAACATTCAGTCTATAGCATGCTTTAATTCTATTTGCTCTTTTTTCTTTAATGACTATAAAATTTAGGTAATCCATGTAATTTAAAATGTAGGAAGTACATTGTGCTGAAATGTTGAAAGATCATTTAAACATAAATAATAGCTTAAGTAGTAGTAGGAAATTCTAGGGTCTGGCTCATGGACAGTCCTTAGTCCAATGTAGCATAAGAATAAAATAGTTCAGGTAATGTCTATATGATATGGATAGAAAATGGTTTATACCACAGTAAATGGAAGCATTTAATAGAGTAGGTCATGCCCTCCTTTGGAAAAAGCCTTTCACTTGGGCTTCCTAGAAAACTTTGCTTTTCTTCCCAACTCAGTGGCCATGCCTGATTCTCACTCCTTGGTCTCACTTGTGTCTGTGCAGTGCATGAGTACTAAGCTGTCAGCCTCCTTGATCTTCTCCTTACCCTCATTCCTGTCTTGCTGTCATTCAGTCCCAGGGCATTAAAGACAATTCCTGAGCTTACAGCTCTCAAAGTTGTAGCTCCTGCTTGGACCTCTTTTCTGAACTCACTTGTCTATTAAACAGCCTACTTGCATCTTCTCTAGGATGTGAAATAAAAATTTCACATGAAAACGTCTTACCTTCTCTTTCACCACAGCTGTCCAGTCTTCCCCATCTCAGCTAATGCCAATCCATCCATCCAGATGCTGAGTGTGACAACCTAGAAGCCTCCCTGACCTCTGTCTTTCACTCACCGCATCCGGTGTATCAGCAAATCCTCTGGGCTCTTCCTTCACAATATCTCCAGATAAGACCATTTCTCACCACCTCCAGGATGCCCATCTACCACCATGGTGCAAGCACTCAATCTGCTGCCTGGATGACTGCAAGTGTCTCCTAACAGGACTCCTGGCTTGCACCATTGCCTCTTCACTATGTCCTCTCAACTAAGCCAGAATGCTCTTTTTAAAGTGTTTGTCAGATAAAGCACCTTGCAAATCCTTCAGGGCCTCCCTGTGTCTCTCAGAGGGAAGTCCTCATCCTTCCAATGGCCTTGAGGCTGCAGACCCAGTGGCTCTCTGTGGCCTGACGTCCTCCCCTATACCTCCCCACTCGGCCACATTGGCCTGGCCACACAGCCACACTCCACATCATGCAGCATGGCTGACTGTTCCCTAGGCTAAAATGCTCTTCCCCACATCCGTGTTGCTCATTCCCTCACCTCCTTCAAATCTTTACTCAAATGTCATATTTTCAGTGATGCCAGCTCTGGCCATCTTAACTAAAAGGCTAATTTGGTGCCTCTTTACCCTGAGCTGAGGATCCTCCCTAGAATGATCACATTCTGGCATGCTCAACAATTCCCTTGTTTATTACACTGATTACACTGATTTTCTGGCCCCTCTTGCTGCAATGCAGAATCCTTAAGGGCAGGGATGTTTGTCTATTGTGTTCCTTGATAAGTAGAACAGAACAGGGCTGGCATAGAGAAGACGTGCGGTGAGTTTGTTGAAAAAAACAAATACATGAAGAAATAAATACATGAAAACAAATATTGTGAAGGGCATTGTGTACCAAGGCAAGGGGTACATAGTAAGTCTGGTGTGTGAGGTCAAAAGGGAAATCCATGAAAGATTTTTAGAAAATATAATGGGCTGTATAGTAGGTGAATTAATCTGGTAACAATTTGAAGAACAAAGTATAATAGCAGAAAAAGAGTCAGGACACTTGCTGGAATGTGGTGGCCCAGGAAAGAAGCAAAGGCCTGAAATAGGTCAGTGGTGGTGCAAGTGGAAACCAGGGGCCCTGAGGATCTTGGACTTACCTGGTTTATTGATATAATATAGATGAAAGAAAGAAATAGAAATCAAATCTATTTCCCAAACTTTGATGGGAAAGTCCCATTAAATGGCAAGAACCACAGTAACTTTTGCACCAACCTAATATATTATATTATCAGGTTTATAAATAGGTAACACATTTAGACATTAGATTTAACATATTTAATAGCCCAACTTTTATTTGAAATATAAACTAGGGTCTGAATGTTCTCAGGTACAACTTTCAAACTGAGGTTTTGTCTATAGAATAAAAAAATTAAAAATTCATTTGGGCTCACGCCTGTAACCCCAGCTACTTGGGAGGTCAAGGCAGGAAGATCACTTGAGTCCAGAAGTTCGAGACCAACCTGGGCGGCATAGTGGGATCCTGCCTCTAGAAAAAAAAAATCAAGATGTGAACTTGACTTAAGAAGAAAATATACCAGAGGCAATTCTAGAGCAAAAATTATATGAAATTACCAGTACCCATAAAATGACTCCCTAAAGTTCTTTGAATTAGCCCAAATTCCAAGCTCCAAAATGTGGTAATGCGAATAAGATCCAGAGGGGAAGACAGTGAACAAAACTCGGTCTTTTTAATGGTTAGAAGAGTTCTATTATCTTCATCATACTTTTGGGTATTCTGTCAAAGTCCACGTTAAACAATAATCTTTAGTTACTAGGGAACTCAGGAAGTCATATACACATTATATATCATAAGAGTATTAACTATTAGAATTCCAGATTTTTATTTTTTAGATTTTTCCTCACCCACTGCATAACTTTAAATGACTATACTTTTTCTGATTTATAAAAGCAATAAGCAGACAATTGTGAAAATTTAGAAAAAGTAAGAAAAATCATCTCTTATCTTAGCAACCAAATAATCCCTGTCAAGATTTTGACATAGCCCTTTTATTTCTTATGTATGAATGTGTACATGAGGATGTAATACCCAGACATGCAGTTTTTAATGCTGTGTACATGTGTCTGTATTTTCTTAGTTATTACAGTAGCCTAAGCAACCCCTTGTTGCTGAAACTCTTTTCATGACTCACTTAATGGCTGCATAATATATCTTGCACGTATAACTTGATTGACTACTCTCTAATGTTGGATATACTGATATTTTGCTTGGAAAGGGTAAATAAAATTTTCACGTGTACAATGAAGTGAAGAGAGAAGCAAATAGACACTTGGGTAGCATGAATGTCTTCATCTTGAAATAGAAGCACAAAATGTTTTTTAAAGAAACCTGAAGAGCCTTTTCTTATCTCCCTGATTCCTGCCAGTGACATACTTTGGAACCGTGTTGAAGGTCACGGGAGCTCTGCCAGGAAGACCCAGGGAGAATGAATGAGCATGCATCAAACTGTTCTCTACATTTTCAGACCTTTTTTAAACATTCACTCTAGTCTGCTCTCTTGTACCAAGACTGGTCCCAAAGCACAATCAAACCAAGGCGAAAAAACCACATCGGCTGTGAGCAAAAGTGCCTGCACAGAGCTATGCCACTCTCACTATTTTTTAAATCCAAAGCAAAGAATATTATTGGCATTTTGTATCTTGTAGAACATTGTACTATACGTTTTCTCACTTAATTTCCAAAATAACTCTGTGAATTTGGCAGTACAGACAATTCTATTGTTTCACATTTAATAGATATGGGCTCAGACAAGCTGGATAATCTTTCTTGAGACTCCTACAGCCAGAAATAAGCAGAGCCACAGCTCAAAGACAGCTTTACTCACTCCTGCCCTGTGTTCTCTCCATTCTGCTCTTTCAGAGGAAAAAAATGTTTGATGATTGGAGGTTCTTGAGACTAAGAAATATTTCCCAGAAACCTCTCCTTGAATTTCATTGAAGTACATGAGTCACATGCCCCCTTCCTGAAAGGAGAACTGTGTCCAGGGAGGTGAGTGGGTTTGGCCAGGGTTCTGAAGCTATCCTAGGAGGAGGGCAGAAGCCTCCAAGGACCAATGGGCAACCCCCCATCCCACAGGGAACAACTGGGGAGACACTGGAGAGGCCACCAGCACTGTCTGGACTGTGCCCTCCATATTTGCTGTCCAGGTGCCTGTGTCGGCTCAGGGGGACTGGGGTAGTTGTCTAATGAGTGCCAAAGCCAAGGCTATAACTAAGTGTTGCAAGTAAGCTAGTGTTCGCCATGGTACACAGATGGGCATATTCTCTTTCTATAAGTATGTGTTAAACATTAGCTAAGTGGCTACTGTGTATCAGTCACTGCAGTGGACAAAACAGGGGAAGCCAAGGGGAAAAAACAAAACCTCATCTTCCTTCTGATGAATAATAAAGATTGAAATAGAGACCTTATATAAGGGTCGGTACTGCTAGGCTCAGTGAAGAACAACAAAGCCAAGTAAATGCTGAGGGAGTGAGGGTGGTGGGTGGCGGTGGCTACCCAAGGTGCAATGGTCAATTATGAGTTCCTGTTAATGATGCTAGAAATCAAGCGGCATAGGCCAGGCATGGTAGCTCACACCTGTAATTCCAGCACTTTGGGTGGCCGAGGTGGGTGGGTCACCTGAGGTCAGGATTTCGAGACCAGCCTGACCAACATGGTGAAACCACGTCTCTACTAAAAATACAAAAATCCGCCAGGTGTGGTGGCGCATGCCTGTAATCCCAGCTACTCAGGAGGCTGAGGCAGGAGAATTGATTGAACCTGGGAAGTGGAGTTTGCAGTGAGCCGAGATTGCACCATTGCACTCCAGCCTGGGCAACAGAGCAAGACTCCATCTCAAAAAAAAAAAAAAAAAAAAAAAAGAAATCACGTGGCTCATGGAAACTATGAAATATGAGTATTTTTTTTTATGATGAGACTAAAATACAGTTTCTTTAAGCAGTGAGATTATTTAAACAATAATATGAATAAATAATAATAAAGTGATGCAAAAATATAAAATAAGTAGGAAAGTAGTACCCAAATAGCAAACATGTAGGGTGTGGGTGGGGGAAACCATACATCATCTGCTTCCTTCTTTTACCTGCAAATACCTGCAGCCCAGACCACCATGACCTACTCAGATTCAGGGCATTATGGACTCCAGAGTCAGCAGCTCAATCTCATAAATGAAACTATTTTACTTTCCCCACCCAGGACTAGAAACAGAAGCATTTAATACAATGCTGTTAACGCCATTCTTTTTCCACCTGCCCCACGTTCTATGTTACGTGCATCATGTATACTGTGCATGGGGAGAGGGAAAGACAGAAATCAAGAAGTGCACATTCTGCATCCTGAATTCAGAGGCCATGTTTAGTCATTCAAATCCTCACTTAATGTTTAATCCATATATATTTTCAATCCTACATTTGTGACATGTTCTGTACCCATGGCACTGCAATGCTTAAAATATGGATTATAAAGAGAACAAGAGACCTCATTTTTCTTTCCTGCAGTTTAATGGGAGTGATGATGGCCCGGCAATTATGAATCTTGGTTGCTACAGCTGTCATCAGTGTTAGCAGCAGATAGGTAAAGCATCCAAAGGACTCTGTGTAGTGTCTGTTTCTGATACTAAAACAGCAACGGTTCCACAGGAAGTTTTTCTGCACACCTACACATGTACATTATAAACATAATGAGCACTGTGTAACTACTGTGTCTTTTATTCCTTTATTCCCCTTAATTGAAGGTTGCTCAATATTTCCACTATAAGCCCTTGTGTCTGTGACATAGTTTCGATTGTGTTTTTGAATTAGAATTATATCTAAATTGCATGCAGGCAAGGTGGACAGGAGTTGTTTGTGTTATTCTGGGCTTCGTTTTGAAAGAAAAAATGCTGAACAAAGAAATTTAAGGGAAAAATAGAGGGAATTTTTAAAAGTCTACTCATTTTTTTTGCATTTTGTACTCTAGTGATCATGAATGGCTCCTATTCCAGGGCTACTGCAATGTGGTTGCAGTCTACTGTTCCCAACCTTCTCTTCCTCTCTGTTTCTTCTTGCGGCCTTCAGTTTAACCAGAGAGAGGCGGTTGTCTTAGGCTATGATAAGGAGCTTGACTTTCATTCAAGGTGCAGCAGGGAGTCTTGGGAGCCATGAGCAGGTGACTGATGAGACCCAAGCCACACTTTCACAAAGGCCCCAACTGCTCTGCGGAGAATGGGCGGGTGGGCTGGGTGCCACTGGGAAGCTGTGGCAGCAGTCACCAGGAATGCCACAGACTGAGGTAGTGTGGTGAGCACAGGGACAAGTGGTCAGCTTCAAGATATATTCTAGAGCTCACATCACACCTCTCAATGGATTGCACATGGAAACGAACTAAAGACAGAAAACTCCAAGATCCTCTCCAGAGCAAACAGGTGAGTAGTGAAGGCTGGGGAAGAAGCAGATAGGGAAGGGGTCCATTGTCAACATTCTTTCCTGGACATGTTCTGTTTGAAATCCTTGCCCAACCCTCAGGGGCTACCTTGTGGGCAACTGGACATTCCTGCGGGGCTCAGCAGTGAGGACCAGGCTGAGCTGGACATTGAAGGGCATCTTTCACAGTCTATCTTGTTATGTTATCTCCCCTGAACTTTAAAAGCCTTTACGGCTTTAATGTTGCTGCAACCTAAAGCCTAATGTTGTCTTTGCTCCTAGCAGCTCCTAAGACCCCTGTCAAGGAGTATTTTCCATACTGGACCCTCACTTCCTGCCTGTGAGACTTCCCCCTCTACAGTTCTATTGTCTCATCAAAAAATCTTCTAATGATCCCATTTCTAAGGCTTCATTGAAGGCATTGTATTAGTCCGTTTTCATACTGCTATAACGATACTACCAGAGACTGGATAATTTATTTTAAAAAAGAGGATTAATTGACTCACAGTTCTGCATGGCTGGAAAAGCCTCAGGAAACTTACAATCATGGCAGAAGGGAAAGCAAGCATGTCTTATATGGTGGCAGGAGAGAGAGAGTGTGAGCATCTGAAGGAAGAATTGTCAAACATATATAAAACCATCAGATCTTGTGATAACTCACTCACTATCATGAGAACACCATGGGGGAAATGCCCCCATGATTCAATCTCCACCCACCAGGTTCCTCCCTCGACATGTGGGGATTAGGGGACTTTGGGGATGACAGTTCAACATGAGATTTGGGTGGAGACACAGCCAAACCATATCAAGGACTTAGCACAATCTTTAGAAATATGAAACCACTGGACAATGTTGGCATTGAGTGGGTAAAAAACAAACTTGCAGAAATAATATCTTGTACATGTGCTTATTGCTATTTAAACACAAGCCTGTTCATATGTACCTTTGCATTAACCTCTCATAAGACCTCACGAGATATGTTATGGGTTATTATTCCATGTTTATTATTCAGGAAATGAGTGGAGAGATATTTGATAACTTACACAAATCAGACAGATAGACAGTTGCTGAAACAGGCCTGGACATCTTTCTCCCTCAAGCCCTTATTCTATCTATATCCGATTTACTAGGGTTCTCAAATGATTGATCTACTTCTCAAGGTCAGGGTCCAGATGTGGAGAGGGGGCACCCATGACCCTTCAGGGAAGCACTTGCCATTTACTCTGTTGCAAGGAGGGCTGTTAACAGGCTGCCTCCAGTAGTTAATGCCTTCATAATGCCACATGCTTTCAAAGGAATTTCTATAACTGACCCCCCTCTACTACCTCAACTACGATAAATCAAAAAACAATCTCACATGGAGAAGAGAGGTGGCAGAGATTAATGCCATTCTTGATGGTCTCAAAGATGCAGCATGGTGTTCCCTATCATATCTCTATTCGATTCACCAGAAAGGATCCAGCTGAAACCAGATGGATCCTAGAAGAATGGTCAGATATAGTATCTTTGCTAGAGCAGATCAATATAGCATAAGTCACATGATATTGATGCAGTGAGTGCATTCTTCTCTATCCCAATCAGAAAAAAAAGACCAGGAAAATGGAGTGCACAGCAGTATTCATTTAGTGCTGCTCCAGCCCAAATGCCTGGCCACAAGAAAGCAGTTAGCTTGAGTGGACCTGGAGAAAAACACAGCTCTGCAGGGCTTTGCTGCCTTGGCCACCTGAGCTATAGACCCTATGATGTTGGAGGGGTCAGTGATGAAAAAAAGACACAGTGCAGCATTTGTGTCAAGCTCCAGGGCAGGAAACAATGCCAGCCCCTTGGTTTCTAGAGCAAGGGCATGCTGTCCACATCTGAGAACTTTATGCATGTTTGGTACCACAGGACGCCAAGTATCTATGTGTCCTAAACAGCCCATCCTGAACTATGTCCTTGAAGATTGACCCTAAATGAGACCTGAGGGCACAGGTAAGCTGCATGAGCAGGTAGCCCAAAGCCATGTGATCCCAGGCCCCTCTCCCAGCTTGCACCTATGGTTGTGTGGTGCGAAACACTTCACTTTTAAATTTAGCATTCTGACTCTGTGCTTGTACCTTGAACTCTTTCATGATTTTCTGCTCCCTGATAAGGAACACATGCTTGATCCTGCCACAAACACACTCAGCACACATGGCACCACCACAAGCCCTGCTAGCATGTTTTTTTCCTTCTAGACAACCTCATAAGAACTTCAGGTCTCACAGCAAGAAGCCCTCAAAATGTGTCTGGGTACACACCACATGCAGATGTTGGTGTTTCCCCAAATGTCTTGGTATAAAAGTAAACAACTCTATTACCAGGGTTTGGGACAGCCTAGTTTTGTTAGAGGCTGTATTATAGGAAAGCTTATGACAGTATGTCCAATGCTGGGCCATTCTGAGTGCCTCTAGACAGTGTCTCCCAAAGAGGTAAAAGAAGCTCAATTATGGCAGGATTATTTTATATTTGAGGTAAGAAGGAATATGTGCAGGATTCTGTCTATCTGGGCACCCCTTGGCTGTGAAGAGACAAATACAGTGCAGCCACCCTTGCCTGAGAAGTGTGTGGTTTCCAGGGCCCAGACACCTTAGGATGGAGAGCTTGGGTCACATCATTGGGTAAGCACTGAGACCAGCAGAGGCAATGGCTGAGGCTCAGAGGAATTTAGAAGGGATCGTTGCTGCCCCGAGGCCTCCCGCAGCAATGGGAGCTGTGGTTCCTCCCACAAGCTCAGTCCTGGCAACTTCTGCCCAGAGAGAGAGGCCACTGGGATCCCAGAGGTGCTGCTCCCCAAACATGGAAGGAAAAGTGGAGACCCTTGACAGGGGAGTGGTGGCCACAATGAAAGAGCTTCCATTTGGCCACGGGAGTGCGGTCAGCTGATGGCTCCACTGGGCCTACCTTCAGGACCCAGCGCAGCTCTCAAGCCAAGGCCAGACTCTTCCCTGGTAGTCTCTGCTGATAACAGCACCACAGGGGTAGCAGGGCCCACCATTCCTGCCCAAAATGGGGCCTGAGAGCTTCATGGTGGTCTGAGGCTCTCCTGCCCTGTCCCACTTGCTCGCCCTTTTGTCTTTCCTTGGCCTTAACTCCCAGGAAACCTCCAACACTCCTAATTGAGAACCTGCTCCAGAAAGTGGTCATGGAGTGGCATTGCCTCCAGGCCATGGACACAGGACTGTGTGCCGCTGGTTGGGTGAGGATACAGATCTGGAGAATATGACATCCTTTAATGGACCCAACAGGCCCATTTAATGGACTCTTTGAATCTGCTAGGAATTATCTGCCCCTACTATAGGGCATGTAACAGCTGAGGTGTCTCACTGCCTCTGTTTCCTGAAGACATTACTGTACCTGTCCCCTTGAGAGTCATCAAAGGCACTTGCCTTAAACTCTGCTTAACTAGTGCTAACTCCAGAGTAGACCAGATTGACAGTTGGTTCTGCTTCAGGTTCTGATTCTGTGTAAATCATGACTTATAGCCCAGCTTTCTCCTCTCCGTTTTGCTGATGGTCCCTTTTCCAGGGTACTGAAAATGCCTGCAAACTTAAGCTATCCAACAACCCAACCAACCATGGCCTCCATCATTCTTCAGGCCCATCTTCCCCTAGAACCCTCCCTGGCCCCAACCAGAGCCTCCTCTGTGCCCACTGGCACCTTCCCTCTTACCCACCCATTGTGAGACTGCCTGGTCCTCCCTCCAGATCCCTGGGGCAGCAGGGATTGGCACAGCCATTAGTCACTCCATGGAGAGACTCCTGCCCTGACACAGCCAGCCAGCCTCGATTCTAAAGCATCTGGGGCCTAAGAGGTTCAGACCTCACTTTCTGAAGGACAGTGGACAGAGAGGGCCAGGAGAAAGGGCATGAACCCTGGCCCCCACTGGAGATGGTGTGGCTTCAAATCACTCTTCATAAAACTGAAATGCTGGCAGGGAGGCTCAATCTTGAAGAGACATCAGATTTCCTCTTTCATATATGGCCAATGCTCTGATTCTACATTGCTTATCCAGAAGTAAAATAAGCTAAAACAATTAAAGTAGTGTTGATTTAATTATATCCTATTTCCACCCTTGTATAGAAACAAAACTGACTCTATTCAGTAAGGAAATTCAACAAGGCTTTGCCGTATTTCCATGGTGATCCTCTCTTCTGATGTGGTATAAAATAGAAGAGGCTATTTATTAAAAGGCTTCATTGTAAAGAATGCATTTTTAATTAAGCGTATACAACAGCCCCTCATTGACCCATCAACCTGGGAGGTGAGTGACATCACCAAGGCAGCAGATCCACATGGCCCATTCCACCCCACCAAAGCTTTGCTCAGATGTCCCTTCAAGGAGGCCAACTTGTATATTTCTATTGAAAATTGTAGCCCCACTTATCCACCTTAACCTGTTGGCTTGTTGTTTTTTCATCTATAGTACTTATTATCTTCTGTATTCTCTTTAATTTACTTACTATTATTGTATTTTCAGCCATCGTCCACAAAAATTTAGGTTCCATTAGAGGAGGAAGCTTCTAACCTTTTACCTCCTTTGTTCCTGATACCAAATACCTGATAGCAAATATCTAAAACTCAGAATAGAGTAGTGCTGGTGAATGTTTGTTAAAGAAAGTGTGTGTTATGAATAACTGCAACTTAGCTATATAGCTGTCAAGCAAATTTAAATTAGAAACTTCACTTAACCATCTTTCCCATGTTTTCTTGGTTATATACCTCCCTATTATTTGCTCTTTCTTCTGCTGTTTTTAAAATACTCAAGTCAAACAAGAAAAAAGCCTCCTTATGAAAATGAAAATTATTACAGATTATACTAACGTTTGACATTACCCTGAAACATAATCACTATGAGAAGTCTAATGTGCAGTCCTCTGGAATCTTCTCTACTTATTCATATACACATAAATGGACCCATTAAAATTACTGTGGTGTTTTGTATTTTTAGGTGAAAGGTATCAATTGTGCATATCCTACAACTTAAATGTTTCATTGATGTGACATATACATATTAGATAACACAGGTCAAATTAAAATTTCTAATTAGAATCTCACAGTGTGAATATACCAATGTTTATTAAGTTATCCCATAATCATGGCCACTGAGAATGTCATAACATCATTGAATGTGCCTCCCTTTAAGCAAATATTTCTTGAGAGCAAATATGACGAAGTAGAATTTCCAGGCAATAGGATTTACATATTTTAAATTTTAATAGTTACCATCAAAATGCCACCCAGCACCTGTGCTGGTAGGGGCTCCCCCAGCAGCAATGAGAGTGCTGTGTACAGACCCTCATCTACCTGTGACATTAGCAAACTTTATAATTTTTGCAAAACTTTTTATAATTTGTGTAGAATTTACACTTTTATAATATTGAGTCTTCCCATGAACACAAGACAACTCCACATTCAAGTTTTATTTTATGAACTTCATTACTTTGTTATAGTTTTGTCCATAAGGATGATGGTTATTTTGGTTGGGTGTTACTGTAGACATTTTAGACTTACTTTTACTATTTTGAATGTAGTCTCCCCATCCTCACATTACATTTCCTAAGTCACTATCACCTATGTATAGAGAAGCTAATAATTTTTTGTATGGTTAATGTCTGCTTCTCAGCATTTGTCACTTGGTTCTATTTGACTTTCTAGCTCAGTGGTCATGTGCTGTATGGTATATCTTCTCTTGAATATATTACATCTTTAAACTTCTTATTTTACTGTATTAGCAAGGACCTCCAGAACCATGCATGAAAGTAGTGGTGAAAATGACCATGCTTGGCTTCAAAGGGGATTTTTCTAAAGTATCACCCTTATCAGGAATTTGGGAAGATGTCCTTTATCTTAAAGAAGCCTTCATCTCTACCCAATTCACAAACAATGTTTATCATGAGTCTTAAACTTTATAGATGTTTATTATTCTCTCTAATTCAAACTTCAATTAATCTCACGTAGCGAGCTTTGTTAGTATTTTGATTTTTTTTCAAAACCATCTTTTGACTTTATCACCTGTAGTGGTTTGAATGGTCATCTCAGAAAAGATGTATTCATGTTCTAATCCCCAGAACCTGTGACTGTGACCTTATTTGAAAAGAGTCTTTACAGAAGTGATTAATTTAGGGATCTTGATGAGATTATCCTGGATTACCCAGGTAGGCCCTAAATCCAATAATATGTCCTTACAAGAGACAGAATAGAATACACAGACACAAAGGGGAAGGCCGTGTGAATGAAGGTGAAGCAGAGTTTGGAGTGAAGCTGCCACAAGTCAAGGGACACCTGGAACCACCAGAAGCTGGAAGAAACAAAGATCCACCCTAGAGCCTTCGGAGGGAGCATGGCCCTGCCAACACCTTGATTTCAGATTTCTAGTCTCCAGAACTGTAAGAGGACATATTTCTGTTGTTTTAAGCCACTCAGCTTGTGGTAATTTGTTAAATCAGCCCTAGGAAATTATTATATTGCTGGACCTGACTGTTTCTCCCTATACGTCATGGTGTGTTTATCTACTATTTCTCCCACTTTCTCTGGAATTATCTAGCTGTTTCATTTGTACAATAAAAGTTCTTAAAATGCAGTTTGTTTGTGTTTCAACTTTTTGTCTAATATATTCATTTAAGGCTATAAATTTCTCCTTTTGCATTCTAATTTCATGATATTCTACAAAGCTGAACACAGGGATTATTCATTATTTCTCATTTTAAATAGTTTACCATGTCCGTTTGACTTTTCTCATGGTAAAATTTACTTAGAAATATTACGTGGAATATTTGGCCACATTTTTATTGTACATTTCTAAATTCACATTAATTATTGGTAATAGAAGAAAACCTAGGCAATACCATTCAGAACATAGGCACAGGCAAAGATTTCATAAGGAAGATGCCAAAAGTGATTGTAGCAAAAGCAAAAATTGATAAATGGGATCTAGTTAAACTAAAGAGCTTCTGCACAGCAAAAGAAACTATCAATAGAGTAAATGCACAACCTACAGAATGGGAGAAAATTGTTGCAATCTATGCATCTAACAAAGCCTAATATCCAGCATCTATAAGCAACTTAAATTTACAAGAAAAAACAAAAACAAACTTACAAGAAAAAAACAAACAACCCCGTTAAAAAGTGGGCAAAGGACGTGAACAGACACTTCTCAAACGAAGACATACATGCACCCAACAAACATGAAAAAAAGCCCAAGATCACCGATCATTAGAGAAATACAAATCAAAACCACAATGAGATACCATCTTACACCAGTGAGAATGGCTGTTATTAAAAAGTCAAAAAACAGCAGATGCTGGCAACGTTGTGGAGAAAAAGGAACGCTTTTACACTGTTGGTGGGAGTGTAAATTGGTTCAACCATTGCGGAAGACAGTGGCAATTCCTCAAAGACCTAGAGGCAGAAATACCATTCAACCCAGCAATCCCATTACTGTGTATATACCCAAATGAATATAAATTGTTCTATTATAAAGACACATGCACACGTATGTTCATTGCAGCACTATTCACAATAGCAAAGACATGGAATCAACCTAAATGCCCATCAATGATAAGATGGGCATTTAGGATAAGAAAATGTGGTACATATACTGGGTAAGAAAATGTGGTACATATACACCATGGAATACTATGCTGCCATAAAAAGGAACAAGATCGTATCCTTTGCAGGGACATGGATGGATTATCCTTAGCAAACTAACACAGGAACAGAAAACCAAATACTGCGTATTCTCACTTATAAGTGGGAGCTAAATTATGAGAACACATGGACACATGGGGGGGTGGGACAACAACATACACTGGGGCCTGTTGGAGGTTGGGGGGTGGGAAGAGGGAGAGGATCGGGAAGAATAGCTAGTGGATGCTGGGCTTAATACCTGGATGATGGGATGATCTGTGCAGCAAACCACCATGGCACATGTTTACTTATGTAACAAGCCTACACATTCTGTACATGTACCCCTGAACTTAAAATAAAAGTTGGAAATTTAAAAAAAATTATTTTTAAGGACACTATTCAGAAAACAAACAAAAAATATTGGTGAAAGTGGCCTGTAATTTTTTTTATTTGTGGAAACTTTCAGTTCAGGAGAATATGATCCATTTTTGTCGATTTCAGGTATGTTTGAAAGAAAATGCATTTGCTTTCGCTCAATACAAAGCATTTCTCTGTGTATATATGTACATATTAATTAACCATGCCATTCAAATCCTCTAAATCATTATAGGTTTTTGTCTACTAGATCTGTTGTTATCTGAGAAATGTCTGTTGTGTTCTTTTATGATTGTGCATTCGTTGATTTCTTCTTACAGTTTTTCCCATTTCTTCTTTCCATATTCCAGACCTTCATTTTCGATGCATAAATATGCATCTATAATATGTTTCTCTTTTTTAGTTTATCATTATGAAATATCTTCCTTTATAGTTTTTAACAATTTTCTTTTACCATAAAGCCTTTTTTGCACTGTAGTAATTCTTTAGTTACTAGTGCTGTGTGGCAAAGTACCCCACAAGTTTAGTATTATAAAACAACAAATATTTTATTTGGTTCATAATTTTGTGAGACAGGAATTTAGGAAGGGCTCAGCTGGGTGATTCTCGGTTGAGGTTGCTTGTTTGCTTCTGGTCAGATGTGAACTGGGGCAACCTCATCTGAAGGTTCAATCAGGCTGGACTTGCATGCCTGGCAATCCTCTGAAGATCTTAGGAGAGTGCCTGCATGTGCCTTCTCCAACATGGTGGTCTCAGAATAGGCAGACTTCTTCCATGGCAACTGGCCTCCCCAAACAGTGAGTATTCCAAGACGAACGGGTGGAAGCTGGACAGCCTTTTCTGACCAGGTCTTGAAAGTCACATCACATCACTACAGCCATACTTTACTGGTTGAAACAAAGACAAGCAATCCCAGATTCAAGAGGAGGAGACAGAAACTCTCTACCTCTCAATGAGAGGAATGTCAAGAAAATTTGGGCCTATATTTTAAAATCTGTCTCTATATATATGTAGTATGTAAACATTTTCCTTAAAGATACAGTGTTAAGTAAAAGTAGAAAGTACAGAAACATTTGTGTGGTTTGCTATAATTTATGTAAACAAGAAAGAATTACATATATGTATATATGTGTGTATATATTTTTGTATGCCAAGGAATGTTTTAGGGAGGATATTCAATAAACTGATCTTCTAGGTAGCCTCTGTGGAGGAAACCCACAGGGCTGGAGGGCAGACATGGAAAGGAGGCTGTGTAAATGTTCCTACTATTGATTTTTTTTTTACCACAAATAAATAAAATTGAATTTAAAAATAGAAACTTAAGCTGCATATTGGGAGAAGATCCATGTAAAACATGTAATTCACAAGGAATTCTTTTTCAGTATTTATAAAGAATTCATGTAAATTAATAAACACACACATACAACCTAATTTTGAAAAGGGTGAGACAAGTCTATTCACAGTCAACTTACTGGGACACCCAAATCCTGAAAACAAAAATTCTCAATTTCACTAATAATCAGGGAAGTGCTAACTGAAACTACCGTGAGATACTATCAGATCGGCAAACATTAAAAAGTATCACAATACCCAATCTGGTGAGGATGCAGAACAAAGCAGCTCAGGCACTGCTGAAAATTAAGACAACATTGAAACAATTTGGTAACACCTAGAAAAGTTAAAGATGCATCTGCCTTATGACCCAACCATTCACCCACAGGAGACGCAGCCTAGAGAAACTTTAGACTGTGTATGAGGATATCCACAAGGATGCTCACGCTGCATTGTTCATGTCAGTGGAAATTAAGAAATGCTCATCAATAGGGATATAATAGGGTAGATTCATACCATGAAATGTAGTTAAAATATTTGGCTAACTTACCTTTGACATCATGTTTTAAAATGTTTACATTCAGTAAACATAATATGGAGTGAAGAAATAACTGTCAAGTTGCAGAATGATCCTTTTAGCGTGTCACCAAAGTCACAGATTTTCAGTCACACAAAAGCAGGGCCGTGTATTGTTTATGCCTATATGCATGTGTGCAGAAAATATAAACACCTGGACGGGAAGAGACACTCCAATCTCAGGGTGAGGCTACCTTTTGGAGGGGACAAGGGGGCGTGGCCAGGGAGGAGCACAGAGGAAGCTGGGCCTAGGATGACCATTCAATTTCTTAAGGAAATAAGATCTAAAGAAATTTGGCAACATGATAATACTTCTTATATCTGGGTAGTGCTATTAACTGTTAGCTCTAGTGTCATCTACACTTCTCTATCAATGTGAAATACTTTGACAATGACCAGGAAGCATTTTTGAAGGATCTATTTTCTAAAGGATCAATTTTAATCAATCACTATTTAAATAATAATCAAGACAATGGCCACCAAGTGCAAACAACTGACACAATGTTTTTGTTATTTTGTTTATTTTGTTGCTTTTGGCTGATGTGGATGGAAATTAGCTGCAAACAGCTGTGAAAGGAGAACAGCCCGTTGCCTCCTGGTAAGCACTGAGCTTATATTCATATTCCTAGTATCACAGAGTGATGCTAATACAATCACCAACTAGGTCATTTATGAATTTCACAATGCCTGTCAAAAACAGTGGCAAACAAATAAAGTTTTTAAGTAATTAAGTCAGAAAAGGATTTAATGTATTTTAAGTATGTTTTTTAAAATTCCTTGCAGAGATCTATACAGTGAAAGTAGGTCCTCATCCTGATGCCTTGCCACTCAAAAGATGTCATTAGAATTACCATTAAATACAGCCTAGAGGTGCTTTGTTTCTAAGTCTTTACCCACTAAACAGAACATCTCTATCACCTCCTAAATAATTAGAGCAAAGCCATATTTTTAAGTTATTAAACTAGACCATTGCTTTTGTTCCCAGCATCCTGCCTTCCCTCCCATCCATATGGTGACTGTGGGAGCAACCATTCTGTACAATACAATGCTGCCTTCTTGGCACTGTTGATTGAAATGGAAGTGGGCTTCTAACAAGTTGGGTCAGTTAGGGTTCTTTGAAATTTTTGGAAAAATATTCTGTAATGAGAGAAAAGCATGAAGCTGGTATGGAAGGCAAGGAGGAGGGAGAGGAGTCTTGGCAACCCATGAGTTCCTTTCTTCAGTTTTTCCTACAATTCTCATTTTTACCACAGGCTGGCTGTCTTGTGAGATAGTCAAATACTTTCCTAGTAGATCTCTCCTTCCCTTTATCTACTTAAGCTAGTTCAGATTGAATTTCTGAACTTGCAACAAAGGGCAGTTTTCATGAATACTATTACTGGCTGTTGTTTATCATATGTACAGTGAATAAAAATAAAATTATAGAAATTGTGACAATGATATCTGACCGACTTGTTTACATCAGAACAACTCTAATCAAATAACTACTTGAATTATATAATACAGAATAAGTTATACATAATGTGGTTATTTCCTGACACACTCTTTTCAATAAAATATCACTCAACCCTTTGTCTCATCTCTAAGGATGAATTATTTGTCCTGCTGGTCCAGAGAGACAGAGCTCAGTGTGATCATGAAGCTGTGTCTTGCTCCTTCACGTGAAGGCATTTCTTTCCAGTAGAGTAGATAAAATAAAGCACTAATTGTTTCAACATCCAAAGAATACAGAACTTCCCTTATCATCTGACTCATTTTGGTTAAAAACTAAACAATATCCAAAGTGAAGTCATAATCCCAGGCAAAGAAAATACCACACTCAAGAGTTCACTTTAAAAGAATCTGATAGCTATCATTGATGATTGGGTGTGTTATTGAACACTTTGAAAATATTGCATCCACTATCACCACCAAAGGAATCAGCAACTTGCTATCCCTCCTCCATCTAGTGATAGCTCTTCACTGAGCACTGATTTCTCACTGGGCATGGCCTCAGAGCTCCAGAGCAGTAGGAGTCAGACAGGTTTCCTTGGACCTAGCTCCTCGGAGGAGTCCTGGGCCAAGAAATCAGGATTCATTCTACATAATGGCTATGTTCAGGAACTCTGTGCATGGAGGGAAAGAGCTGGGCTCTAGACACCAAAGCAACATGTCTAGAATTATGAATTTTTTAAAAATCACATAAAACCAGGAGAGGCCAAGAGGCTAGAGCTCTTGACTCCCACCCGTGATTTAACCACAGATGTTCCATTTGATCTGTTTTTATTTGAGGTTCAGTGAAAGATTTAATTTGAAATACATGTGACACCATCAAAATATGTTTAACAGCCACCATATAGGGACTTTAAGGAATTAAGAAGCACTACATCCTCCTTGAAAGAGGCAGCTAACATTGTCACAAAGGAGAAAGATCTGTCTAGCATTTCTGGTTTATTGTGGTGTCCAGCGTGCTGGGATGTAAACCTCAAATACCTCTCTTCTTAAAGCTTCCCTTCTCCTGCTGGGCTACAGCAGTCCTGTTTTTCCTGCTGGAGATGGTGTTTAGTGCCACAGTGAGAACTAGAGAGGAATGAGTAACTCTGCAGTCAAGCTCAGGTACCAACAGGGTCTCTTTTGAGTATTTCCGACTTGGTCTTGTTTAAATTTAAATCCAAAACCCTCTGCCTCCCATCAGTCTCTGAGCTTCTAGATTAATCCATAGCTCAGAGACTCTGGGCGAGGGGGAGGCTGGGTGGGGTGGCAGTGTATGGTTTGCTCCCACACCACTCCACTTCCGGCCTGTCTTCAGTGCTCGCTCTTCTCACTTTTCCAAACAGAGAATAGCACAGAGTTGGGCAAGTATGACCTTTGGAATGGGAAAGATCCAAGGCACTCTTTGTTCCCCTAACTGCAGCCAGTTGTCTAAGGTTTTGGTAACCTGAAGAGCAGCCCCAACATGTCAGGGGACTCATGCCCCTTACCACTGGGGCACATGTCCAACCATGACAGGGAACTTCATCTGCCCTCCAGGCTTCACAGCTTGAAGCTCAACCCTTGTTCCTTGGCTATGGCGAGAGAATGTTCCCCAGACTCTGTCACAGACAATGGGTCCCTGGAGAGTTGGGAGTAAGGATGGTGGTGGTTGGTGTTTGGGTCCCTTCTGAGCTGGTTCCTCTCATGAAGCTCTGGGGAGAGGTGGCATGAGGCCCTTTTGGATCTTTAGGGCCACTGGGCCTCAGGTTTGTTACTGTCCTTAATTGCAAGACAATAAGAAAAGTCTCACTAGCAGTCAATTACAGGTTGATAGATGATGGATGGATGGATGGATGGATGGATGGATGGATGGATGGATAAATGGATGAATAGACATATAGAGAGAATGACCAGATAGAGGTCTCAAGTGTGTAGCATGGGTCATAAGAGTTCTGGGGACTAAAGGAATGCTATGGACAGGTAAGGTTTCACAGAGGAGGGGCCTAGAAAGGTACTTTGAAGGATGGACTATAGCAAAAAGACAAGGCTCTCCAGGTGGAAGGAACCATGTAGGCAGATGCACGGCAATGGGAACTAGTGATGAGCACTGACTGCAGGAGCTATGATTGTACCATTTCTGAGTGCTTACTCTATGCCGGGTAGCATACTATGTGCTTTACAGAAAACCATTTCAATTACTCTTTGCAGCAACTTTATAAGGTACATATTATCAATGTCCTTTAAGAGAGGAAAAAATAATTAACATTTTTAGTGATTATACTGGGCATAGAAAAATGACCTGATATTCATTACCTCATTTAATCTGTGTCAGAGTGAAGTTCTATTTTTATGGCAGTGACTATAGCAATTATATAGCTTGTTCTAAATAATAAAATCAATATGTGACAAAGCTGGACTTAATGCCCGGACATGTTGATCCAAACAGCCAATCAAGACCTCCTGTGAAACCCCGCTGGGAAATAAGTTTGGAAAAATAAGTTGGACATTTGAAAAATGTTTTAGTACTAGTCTATAAGGATGGAGGAATTAATTTTTCAGCAATGAAGGACCAATAGAGGTTTTAAAGATAATAGCTGCAAAATCAAACATCACCTTGTGAAAATTAACCAATTTGCAATGTTCTGAGCAAATTATGAGTCAAAGAAACAGGGAGAGAGGGAGGGAAACAAGGAGAAGGTAATCACAATGGTGGAGCTGCTGATGAGGGAGTGAATATACTGTAGAGAGGGGGGAAAAGAAAAACATGAAAAGGAAATCATTGAAATGCTTAACGACTAATTTGATGTAGCTCCAAGTCTGGGTACCTGAGAAAATGATAGCCCCATTTATACAAATAGGTAAGACCCGAAGAGATCATTTGAAAAGGAATTAGTTTATTATTCTCTACTAAGAAATCTGTAAATGCCTGAATCCATATTGCTTACAACAGAACAGAAATTCATATGTTTCTACTGGAGGTAATCTAAGAATGGTCAATTTCTGGTATTACCATATCTAAGAATGACATATTCCCTATAATCATTATGCATCCTGAAAGCTTAATTAGAACAAGGTATCTATGTATTGTTATAATTATTATTACACCATACTAATGAATTAATAACAATGTAATTTTAAAAAAATGGTAAAACGAAAACAGAATAATTCCTCTATGTTTTATACTTAGAGTGACTTTTCTGATCTTCAGTATCTTAAAATTCAAATATAAAATTCTATGTTTTTAAAATTTCCCGATTTCCAGCTAGGAATTTTTGCCCAGACTCTTTCCAAACCAGACTCTGTGCTACTCTTTTTCTGTTATTACCCATCCTCACTTAGGAGGATCTAAAGAAAAAAGATCACATAAGCCACTCAACTTTATAAATAAATGTGGACAACCGGGAGCTAGCCATATGGTACCCATTTGTTGGAAGTCCCAACAAACTGTTCATTTCTCCCAAGTGTTCCTTTTCAATATATTAGGATATCAGCTGTAAGCTGCTTCTGAGATGCTGTAGAGAATACCTAGTCATTGTGTCATAAAACCTTTGGTTGAGTCCTAGCCTGACTTCAGACCCACATCCATAGTTAACTACAAGTTATAGGTAGAAAAATACAAAGCATAGAGAAAAATTTGAAAAGCCTTGTGCCTCCAAACACAAGACACATTCTCAGCTGCTTATATTTCTAACAGTGGAGTATAAATTCAAAAAAATGAGGCTAAAATTTGATTGGCAAGTCTCGATCTTACCATGGAGTCTCATTTCCACAATGGTGACAGTGGGATTTGGCCTGCAGCAGTGGGGAAGGGGAGGACAGAGGGAGTTCACAAGAACTGGGAATGAGAGAATTTACCATAGACAGAGGCACAGGATGCTAAAAACAAGACTTTTCTGGCAACTTTAGGCGCCACCATGTAGGAAATGTTTATTGGTGTGACCTTTGGTTTAGTATGTGAAGGTTTACATGATTGGGGAGAACCACAGGACTCAGATTTGCAGAAATGAAAGATGCATAGTAATGAAGCTTGTTCTATATTAAAATGGCCACAAGTGAGCTATATATTTAGGCAGGTGAGGCTATAGGCATATTATAAATCCACAACAGAAGGCAAAGTCAATGGTGCCTCCTGTATCACCATAACAATGCATAAAATGTATATTTCAAAGCTAGAAAGTGATAATCATGGAAAATTTATAGGAGGGATATCTGAAAGGCAGCTGAAAGGCCCAGAAGCCATAGGGAGTGCATGATTTCATAAATACTGAAAAAGAATTATTGCAGGTCTCCTACCAAGCCCATTATATGTGTCAGAACTCTGGAAATTTGAGGACAGTGATTTAACGCCTGAGATGGTGACTGCCAAGAATGAATATGTCACAGCTTCTCACAGGAGTGAGGAAACCACCACAGGGCTGGCAGCAGCCAATTGACAGCCTGCAAAGAGTCCACTAGCCCAGGCCAACTCCAAGCAGTGTTTCTGGGGAGCCAGAGAGGCAGTGTTCAAGGGAGACTGCCCACTCTCTCAAAGTGCCACCGGAGAGGGAGCCCCACAGCCTTCATTTAAGCTTGGTTTTGTTGTTACTTGGTCCACAGTTGCTTGCAACCTCCTGTAGCCAAATCACTCACAACCAATAAAGGATGTAAAAGCAAAAGTGATAATTCTTCTATGCTGTCTGCAAATATCAGAGCAATTACCTACTGGTCATGTACTCATAAGGATCTCCAGAACGTTTTCCAGATATAGTCATCTCTTGGAATCTGCATTCTCCCATACCAATGGGATGTCTCTTTTGGTAGAAGTGAAGTTAGATGCAGTAAGGTATTTTTCTCAGTTCTTCTTATTTATTGGATGGATTCATGTGGCAAGACTGGTCAGCCCTGCTCTTTCTTGAATTCTGTCCAGCCATCTCAACTCACCAAGAGAGAGTCTGTATAGAACCCACTGCATCTTATTCTGACTACCTGTGATGAAGGACATAGTTGAAAATATACCAAGGAGATTTGTTAAAAGGGTACCATTGTCCTGTGATCTAGAGTAGCAACTTGAATTTCCAACATCTCTGGTTACTCTGATATTCTCAGCAACTTGCTCATTCTGTGGTAGAGCACCACTGTTTTATGTTTTTCAGGCATTTTTTCTCCATATTGTTTTAGACACGGTGCCATTATAATCACTTGCAATTGACCAGTAATTGTTGCAGAAGCAGGGCTCCCTCTGCCAGTGCCACCCAGTTGCTGGACTACACCCAGCTGAGTGCAGTAAGTTCCAGAATCCAATCAAAGCTAAACCCCATCAGTATCCAGGTTTCTCATTATGAAGTTGAGCCAACACTTGCTTCAATGCAATACCTCCCTCTTACAGGGCACACACAAAGCCACTCCATTTTAGCTGTAATTCAGGCTCCTGAAATGCTTCCACAGGAAAACTCAATAGGAGACTCAGCTATGATCATTAATTCATGTTCAGAGATTTTATTCTTGCAATTGTCTTTATAGCTGAGATGGCTACCTGTGCTGATATCCCATCTGGAAAATGGGAGGAGGAATGTTTTCTTTCAGGAACATGAGAATAATCTTAACTCAAGAAACAAAGCCTAAAGTGCATCCTATAGCCTTAGCAGAGTGAGAGAATAGCCCCAGGAAAGAGAGCTATCTCTGAGTATTCATCCTAGTTTTGGTTTGTGATTAAGTTTGAATCACACAAGGGAAGTGCAAATCCTGTACTAATTAAGCCTCAATAGTTTTCCTGCCTCCTAAGCTATTCAATCACGAGCAGCCTAGAGTAATAGGACCAGAATGAGAACTTATTAACAGGGTGGTCTTGGCCATAACTTGCTATATGTAAAATGACATTAGTAGGATGAAGAGACCTTATCATATGGCCACGAGGCTTAGACACAGTAGTGGCTCAACACAGGTTTGCTCTCTGATATACCTTTCTACTCCATCTGTGAATAATGATGGTGATAATAATAATAACTAGCATTTATTGACTGTTATTGAGAAATGAAAACATGGATGTGAACCATGATTCACATCCACAATTTAGCACATGGTGTTCACACTTCCAGGATTTACAAAACTCTTAAAGACATTTTAATGACAACATAAGCTCCCTCCATCACCCAGGTCTGATTAAGCAGCACTTCACATTATGTGCTCACTAGCACTGAGATCTCCAGCCTACCATATACAGCATTATCCTAGGCATGTAGGACTTCATATATTTGTAAAAATGATAATAATTTAGAAAATTATCATAAAGATGCAAGCTTTTGAGAGATAATTTACAGTTTAATTTTTCCAATAAAAAAAATACCAGCATTTTTTGGTAAGTGGACTGCATGTGGATGAAAGTGTGCCAGGCCCACTGCTGATAAACGGGAAGTTTCTGTCTGCTGGGGGAGGGATGTACCACATCTATTGGGGGTGCTGGCTCTCCCCCAGCCCTCAAATAATTCACATTAAAACTTGGTAATGTGACTGATTCATAAAACGCAACTTTCCCCAGCCATATTTCCTTGGTTCTCTAACATCACCTTTTGTGCCCTGAGGATTCATTTATTTCAGTTCATTTTAAAATTTGGTATTAATTCTGCTTTCTCTCACCCAGCATATTCCAATGACTAAAAAACAGGAGAATCTTTTTAGAGGAATGCTGTGTGTGTCTATTTGTGTGTGTTTGTGTTTGTGTTTCTGCATCTGTTTTTCTATGTGTGTTTCTGGGTGTGTATTCCTATGCATGTATTTATGTGTGTGTGTGTGTGTGTGTGTGTGTTTCTGTGTGTGTGTGTCTCCATCTGTGGAGAAATGGTAAAAAAAAAAAAAAAGGCTGGCACTGCCCTTTGAGTTACAGGTGTTGGAAGATTTCTTACTTCCTGTGAGTGCAGGCTTCATGGAGACAGCCTCCAGCAGATCCCAAAGAGCATGTTCATGACAGCTCAGGATCCTCTCTGAACACGTTCCTTGTTTGTGAAATCCTGAAGTCTCTAAAGAAACCAGGAGGCCAGGCATGGTGGCTCATGCTTGTAATCCTAGCACTTTGGGAGACCGAGGCAGGTGGATCAACTGAAGTCAGGAGTTCAAGACCAACATGGCCAACATGGCAAAACCCAGTCTCTACTAAAAATACAAAAATTATCCAGGCATTGTGGTGGGTGCCTGTAATCCTAGCTACTCAGGAGGCTGAGGCAGAAGAATTGCTTGAACCCAGGAGGCAGAGGTTGCAGTGAGCCAAGATTGCACCACTGCATCTGCACTCCAGCCTGGGCCACAGAGCGAGGCTCTGTCTAAAAAAAAAGAAAGAAACAAAAAAAGAAAAGAAAGAAACCAGGGAAGGTTGAACCCAAACCCAATTTCTATTAGTGCTTCTCCAGAAGGTTAAAAAGGTTGCAAAATATCACTACCTCCCCTTCTCTGTATCCAAAAGGATCAGCCATCTGTTTTCGTAGCTAATAGTGGGTTGGCTAGTGAATGTTTCTGTTGTGCTATGGAGTGCCACGGTGGGCTCCAAGGGCCCTTTGTCTTGCATGTTTACATGTTTTATAAATGACTGAGTGTGCTAGAGCCCAGAATATCTCAGGACTCTTATTGAACCATGGGCAAAAAACATTAAAAATGATCTTAAGATATTCATTTGCCCTAGGATGCAGAAGGAATTTTACACCGTTTTCTTTATGTGTCTAGTAGATTAATATTTCCTTTATGTTAATATGAAGTTTATTATTCTTATCTTCATTTAATGTCCTGAGGAACCAGGTGAGACAATTTTGCCAGTTTAATGATCACTGGCATAAAGTACACGAGAGGGTCACTCAGGACAGGCCATCCCTTTCGAGGCATTTTGCCAAAAGAGCCTGGCGTTAATTAATTAATACTAGGAAATCCCCTGCCAGTCCCAGCTTTGAGAGACAAAAAATAATAAGAGTCTTCTAGGCTGTAGGCCAATACACCTCTTTCATAAAAATTAAAAGCCTAACCAGAACTCCGATAGCAAATGTCCCTTTTCAAAGAGTAGCTAATCTAAAATTCATTATAGGAGATAAAGGAAAAATAAATGGTGGGCCCAGGAACCTTTTGGTAGAATATATGGCATCCAGGTCATTCTCTATCGTAAGTCAAGTTACTTTGATGGCTAGGTTGGAGTTTATGCTGATACAGTACAGCTTCCACGCATTATGACATCACATCCAACATGTGGAGATGACCGGCTCTGGGCATGCCCTGTGCTCACCTGGCAGGTGATGGCGTGGGCAGGAAGTGCACAGCCTGCCTTTACCTTACGTGAACACTGTGTCTGGGCAATGGGCTAAGAACTGAAGAGGACAAGCTAGAAACGGGCTCCTTGCTGCCTCTATAAACCACGTGTGTGTACATCTTAGCGAGCCCACAGACAAAAAAGGCAAAGAAGCAGAGACCAAGAAGGAGCGCCTAAGAGGCACAGAAAAAGAGAGCCACAGAGACAGAGAGATGGAGAGGCAGACAGACAGAGGAGAGCCAAGGCACAGGGGAAGGGGCAGGCAGAGGCAAGCACTTCCTGGTGAACTGGGTCCCCTGTGTGATTGGCTGCTCCTAGAGAACAGTTTCCCTGGCTGCAGTTGCTGTGCAACTGCTTCCTGCAATTAACTGACTTTATTGACTTTGTCTGTTTCTCCCCCTCCCTTAACCTCTTGTTTGCCAAGCCATCTAAGGAGCCACACCTTCGACTGGAAGGGGTAGTTTCAATTAGCACACTGTACATCTTGTCAACCCACCTCCACTTGAAGCTGTGATAATAGATGTAAACAAATATGTGTTCATATCCTTTATATATTTATTCACATATAATATGTTTATCTGTATTTATGAATAATATTTGTTATATAATATATACATATATTAATATATGCATATATCTATGCACACACATATATCTCCTAAATTATGTTAAGGTCCATGTGAATACAAAATTTATTTTTTAAGAGGTCATTTCCAGAGCATTGTATAGGCCTATGCACACATACACAAGTAACCAAGACTTGACATACCCAGCCCGTCTCTGCAATGAGAAACGAAAAGGGAGAAAATGCAGGGAAGACACAGCTTTAGGTAGGACATTAACATCTGCATATGTAAAAACTAGCAAAATGGCTCAAAAATCATAGTCACAGAGTAAATGTAATGACTGAATGAATGAATAAGTGAACTATCACACATTGTTGTAATTACTGAAAACTTTTCTCTTTTTAAACTGGTCCTTCATGGGGGACACGTGTGCATATCAAAGTGCAAAGTCCCACTGGGAAACACCAGTTTGGGGATCATGATTTTATGTAGTGGATGAGCGGTTGGCTTAAGGTGTCATTTCAATTACCTATAATAATTGATAATTGGAGCCAAATCTTCCCATTTAGCAAGCACTCAGTAAATGCTTTGGGGTTTTGGAGGAGAGAATGAAGGACTCCTCTTCTCACATTCTGCCATCATCACAGAATTATTTAATAAAAGTCAAGCAATTTTGTCAAATAATTCTGTGTGAAAAAGTATATGTAAATATATATTTATTCAAGTGTGTATGTATATATACATATAAAACAAATATGTATGTGTGTATGTATATATACATTTATAAAACAAATATATAAAATAAATATAACCAAATGAGTTACATTTGCCATTATAAGTATAACCACTCATTGTTACCAGTTATATATTAAATATTATACTAAACAACCTAAACAGTAATTAAAATCAAATTACTATTTTGGATAAATAATATTTGTAATGGGGTAGAAATATATGATTGATGGATCTTAATTTTTGAGCATCATCCCACTTATGCTGTATTGATGCATGTTTTTCTTTTTTAACATTTCTAAGAACTATGATCACAACATTTTCTCTAAGAAATATCTTCAAGTGCCTAAACCTTGCTCAGTGTTTCTTTACACATTGAATTCAAGAGAAGAGAATTCTCTTACGATGGAAGCATATTCACTTGGACCTAGAATTCATTCATTCTTATTGCTATAGAAGGCATGTTAAAGATACTACTTCCACTTTCCCAAGAGCATCTAATGTAGCTTTTTTTTTTTTTTTTTTTTTTTTTTTTAACTAAAATGCAGGCCGGGCACGGTGGCTCAA
The DNA here is from genome assembly GCF_000001405.40 of Homo sapiens. Lineage (NCBI taxonomy): Eukaryota > Metazoa > Chordata > Mammalia > Primates > Hominidae > Homo > Homo sapiens. The sequence continues at coordinate 52,332,591 of NC_000008.11, forward strand.
GCCTGTAATCCCAGCACTTTGGGAGGCCAAGGTAGGGGGATCACGAGGTCAGGAATTCGAGACCAGCCTGACCAACATGGTGAAATCCTGTCTTTACTAAAAATACAAAAATTAGCCAGGCGTGGTGGCGCATGCCTGTAATCCCAGCTACTCAGGAGGCTGAGGCGGGAGAATCGCTTGAACCTGGGAGGCAGAGGTTGCAGTGAGCCGAGATTGTGCCACTGCATTCCAGCCTGGGCAACAGAGCAAGACTCTGTCAAAAAACAAACAAACAAAATATATATATATATGACCAATGGGTCCTGCCTATGCACAAGGCACATAGAACTAATCATTTCAACAACCCTGGAGGACCTAATTATTATCTCCATTTTGCAGCTGAGCATACTGGCTCTTGGGGAGGCTGAATCACTTGCCCCAAACATAGAACAACATAAACTGAGGTGGGATTCAGATACAAGTCTGTCAGACTCTAGAGCCCAAGTTCTCATCCATCAAGCTGATGTCCACCTTCTTGGGCCAGAGGAGAGACTCAACTTTGCTTTGAGCCATTGATGAGCTCAAATATGTAAAGTGAGATACATATTTGAGGTATTAAAGAGGAAATTCTTCAGCTAGGTTATCCTAAACGTTTCTCAAGGGAAAGTTTTCTGCAGTTTCTTCTATAACTAATCATTCTACTAAATAAGACCTGCATAGCATTTTCTATTAAAAAAAAAAAAAAGGTTAAATAGAAAAGACAAGCAGCTGAGAGAACACCACTGAGAATTCTTTAAAGAAAGCAACCAGCTCAGCAGGGGCACCTATATTTAGCCAATGAGTCAGACACATTTTCTTACCTAGCAAGCCAGTGGGCTGAACCAATAGGTTGTAGTTTCAGTTGAAAGGAAACAGAAAAAAATGTTGTGAAGAAGAAGAAAGAACTCTGAGAACAATAAGATTCTTGAAAGGAGCAAATGATAGAAAAAGGCAATGCCAAAGTAAAGTCAGGGAAAGAAAACTGGGGTGGGGGCGAAGCCAGGGAAGAGATAAAGGAAACCTGAAAATAAGAAAAATAAGTTCCAGAAAAGAAAAAGAGGAACATACTTTTCTAGTACTTTCTTTATATTTGATAAACTTTGAAATTGTGCCTACTTTCATTAAAAACTATTGTGTACAATATGTGAATCTTTCAGTCCCAGGAAAGTATGGCTCTCTTGCTACTGAAACTGGGCCACGCCAAATAGAATATCTCACTTGTACATGTATTGAGTATTAATAATTGCACAAGTTTATTGCTTTTATCAGAAGAAATAGACAAGTTTCTGCAAAGTCTCAGAAAAGCCAATGGGCTCCACTTCTGTGAAACAGAATTGTTCTGGGGGAGTGGGTCAGCCCTATCCCAGGAGAGACACCTGTCAGCTACAGGGCAGCACTCAGATATCGCAGGAGAGGCCCTTTGCTCTCTCAGACGAGGTGATAAAAATGCAGTTTGATGGCCCTGAGAACAGACACATGCTGTACATTTAAACCTTTGTTTTATATTCTCTGCCGGATATTTGATGCCACAGAATCCCTATTTAGTTGAAATAATTTGAATCTTTCTTCTACACTTTAGCCAACAATATTTAGCTTATCTCTATTTGCTGCTTTCATTCTCTAATTTAATAAAGACATAAATAAACAAATTTTCACTAAAAAATGTTACGTTTGGCAAATTCTGTTTCCTAATTCTCCCTTGATAGTATGGTTTGAAATGGGAAGGAAGAAAATTATTTCACCTGATTTACAATTGTTCTTACTAGTATGTGTTTTGGCTGAAAAGGAAAGCACCCACATGTGTAACTCACCTTTGAAATTTCCATAGAAAGATCACTCTTCCTTGTAGAAATCTGGATCATGCAATGATACCACTAGAAAATTTAAATGTATACAAGGATAACTAGACAGATACTGAACTTTTATTTAGTTTTCTTTTTGTGGTATACAGGACATTCTTGTAGGAAAATATCTGCCTCATTTTAAGGATCTGATAAATTATGTTTCCAAGGATTGAGGTTTAAGAGGGACTATGGGGCTTTTTCTGTCTCTCTGCCCAAAAATCAAGCTAAATGGTATGTCTTCCAAAGGGAACTGTGAAAAAAAAAATGTTTTCCTTAAAGCTACCTCTGTATTTTCTCTCCATTGGCTGTTATGGTTCCAAGGACTGGATCGAACCAGCTCACCTGCTCCACGTTGCTCATTTCTCTCAGCAAATCCAAGGACTCAGAAGGAACCCTTCACCAACTGCCCATTCCCGCATGCCGACCTGCAGAGCTAACTCCAAGCTTGCTCCACCCACCTTCTGTCACCACCGTCCCTTTTCTTGTCTCAAAAGTCATCATGAAAATGCAAATGTTGCCACAATTTGTTGAAAAAATAACAAAATTATAGTATGTGAAAGAGTATCTTGAAAATTGAATTGGAAATTTCTCTGATTTTTGCCTTAACACTGTAGAATTTTATTTCTAGAATTTTACCTTATTTTCTTATTTTTTTCCCACCAGGCAATAGAGAAATCAGCTATCTTATGACTTCAGACATCTCTTGATTTTCTAAAATGAACCCTAAACTTAATACATCCAAAATGGAATGCAAGCTCTCTACCTGAAACAAAGTAAAATTTTAAATAAGTAAATATTCTTTTCCAAGGTTCTAGGTTCCTGAGAATAGCATAACCACCCCAAGATCCAGGAATCTTCCTTGACATCTCCCTCCCTCTCGCCTGCCTCAGGGATCCACCACCAATCCTCTCTGTTCCACCTCCTCCCAAACCCAAGGGAATACAGGTGAATTATTCCTTATCCAAAATGGTTGGGACCAGAAAAGTTTCAAATTTCAGATACTTTAGTATTTTGGAATATTTTGCATATACATAATAAGATATCTTGGGGATAAGACACAAATCAAAGCACGGATTTCATATATGTTTCATATATGCTTTATTCACATAGCCTGAAGGTGATCTTACACAATATTTCTGGTAATTTTGCACATGAATTAAAGTTTGTATTAAGTACTTATGTTTGAAGTTTTCTACCTGTGGTGTCATGTCAGCACTCAAAAAGTTTTGGATTTTGGAGGATTTCAGATTTCAGATTTTTGCATTAGGGATGCTCAACCTATACCACCTCTTGCTTTGGAACCTTGGAACCTTGGGACCTTGGAATATCCTCCTGATTGGATATCCTCTCTGTTCCCTCCTTTAATTCATTCTCCATACTGCAGCCAACAAGGTGTCCTCCGTAAGCACCTCCCTTCACCCTCCAATTACACACTTCAGAGGCCTCCCGGTGCTGTTAGAATAGAAGCAATAATCTCCACATGGCCTACAAGTTCAGCCTCTGTGGCCCCCATCTGTCTCCCCTCTTGTCCCATTATCTCCCCTTCCCTGCAGCCCATCTTGTCTATTCTTCCCAGAGAATACTCCTTCAAGCCCTCTTCACCTAGTTAACTCCTATCTCAGGAGGCACTAGTAAACAGAAATGCAGTGGATGGGATTCTTCATCAATGTCCCCACTGCTTCTTGGATTATTATTATTATTAATTATTATTTTTGAGACAGAGTCTCCCTCTGTTGCCCAGGCTGGAGGGCAATGCCACAATCTCGGCTCACTGCAACCTCTGCCTTCCGGGTTCAAGCGATTCTCCTGCCTCAAGCCTCCCAGGTAGGTGGAATTACAGGTGCGCACCACCACACTCAGCTAATTTTTTCTATTTGCAGTAGAGATGGGGTTTCACTATGTTGACCAGGCTGGTCTCAAACTCCTGGCATCAAGTGATCTGCCCACCTTGGCCTCTCAAAGTGCTGGGATTACAGGTGTGAGCCACCACACCAGCCTGCTTCTTGGATTATTTAGGTGAAAATACAAGAAAATTCACAGAGCCATCTCAGGAGCCAGGTCTACATTTTCTGCTCTCCCATAGTCGGGAAGAAAGGAAAGATGAGCATAGCTAGCTGGATAAAAGCAATGGCACCAGTATTAACTGGAGAAGGAGGAACTCGGGAAGAGCCTTCCCATAGGTTTCCTCTATTCCCAAGTGAGGTTGGGTGAGATGGGAAGCGGGTAGACCTAGTGACGTCTTGCTTCCTAGCTTGTCAGTGATACATGCATATTTATTAAGACAGAAAATATACAAACACTGGAATTGGGCAAGGAGCCATGCTTGTGTCTGTTAATGAAATATAATCAATTAATTTTTTTAAAAAAGACCACACTTTCTGACACTCCAGCGTGGTGTACGCAGGTGGGGGTTGTAAGCCCTGAGGCTCAGAGTGACCCCTACCATGCCCCTTCTGTAGTTTCTGTCACAATCCTTAGTCATTCATAAAATATTTTTTCTATGCTTAAAATAATAGGAAAACCATCTACCTTCATTGTGTATGATTTTGACAAAAAGTAATGCAACCAGTTTCTAACAATCAACTAGTGCTTTCAGAATAACATCGCCTTTTTAAGTGCCCACTCCATTGAAATATGCAGAAAACATTTTCAGAAATTTCTTTATTCCAGATCTTTCATAGACCAAGTAAAGATGTTTGTTTTTTCAAAAGGTTGCTTAATGATCATTCTTTTTGACATTACACGATGGAAAGTCAACAATGTGACATTTGCCATAAGAAAAACAGAAAGATGGGGCTGAGAAATACAATAACAAGAGCTGCCACTGCAACCGCCAGGAAGTCTGGGATGATTTTTCGGTGCAATTTGTTTCTCTTCGTCTGGCAAAGGTTTTGGCTTCAGTTTCATGTTCTTTGATTATTATTATGCCTGTCTACTAGTGAGTGGAAACTGCAAGTACTCTCTCTATCTTTCCACCCTGGACGAGTGAAAAGAAGAAATGAGCCAAAGTCACTCTGAATGGGGTTTAAAAGAAAACTATTCCACTATTGGCTCGAAGGACTCAGACTGGTGATGTATCTATATAGCTCCATTCACTGATGGTTCAATTACTTAGTCTCTCCCATGTGTGTCAGGGAAATACCTCAGATGAGCAGTGTGAAGGTGTGGGGCTAAACCCAGAAAGATATATCACATGCTGTCTTGTAACTAATTTATTCGGGCTAAGCCATCAACTGCCTTTATTGCTGATAGAGTTGGCGTTTCTCAGGGATACCAAAGCTTCTCTATCTACATCAAAGCCCTCAGTAAGCTGCATTGCAGGGCACCTCAGCCTCAGATGCAGTGGGTGTACAAAACCTTTCTTCACTCGCCAGTGGTCATGAAGAATGGCTGTGTGAATAATTGTAACTAGCTACAGCCTAAGAGGTTTTCCTTCTGTTTCCCAAGTTTTAAGTTCAAACTGACCTACAACTATAGCCCATACCCTTTATATTTGGTGACAATATCTACCAGTTTAAGAATGTCAGGATGAATTAGATGGCATCTTTATGTAGGGAATATGGCTACATCTATTTCAAGGACTTCCTTTTAAATTTTATTCATTTATTTATTTATTCATTTTTGAGACAGAGTGTCACTTTTGTTGCCCAGGCTGGAGTGCAATGGCATGTTCTCGGCTCACTGCAACCTCCAACTCCTGTGTACAAGCAATTATCCTGCCTCAGCCTCCTGAGTAGCTGGGATTACAGGCATGTGCCACCATGTCTGGCTAATTTTGTATATTTAGTAGAGATAGAGTTTCACCATGTTGGCCAGGCTGGTCTCAAACTCCTGACCTCAGATGATCCGCCCACCTCGGCCTCCCAAAGTACTGGGATTACAGGCATGAGCCACCGTGCCCGGCCAGACATCCTTTTTAATGGCATATCTTCTGGGGATTCCTAATACAAAATTAAAATCTATAATTTTGATATAAAATATTTTATGAATTATAGGAATTACAGTCATCCCTCAGTATCCAAGGTAGATTGGTACATCTCAGTTCACTGCAGCCTCGACCTCCTGGGCACAGGTGATCCTCCCACCTCAGCCTCCAGAGTAGCTGGGACCACAGGCACAGGCCACCACCCCTAGCTAATTTTTGTATTTTTAGTAGAGACAGGGTTTTGCCATGTTGCCCAGGCTGGTCTCAAACTCCTGGACTAAAGTGATTTGCCCGCCTTGGCCTCCCAAAATGCTGGGATTACAGGTGTGAGCCATCACACCTGGCCTCTTTTTTTTCTGTTTCTCTTTCTTTTTTTTTAAAGATAATGTCTTGCTCTGTCACCCAGGCTAGAGTGCAGTGCCCAATCACAGCCCACTACAGCCTCAACCTTCTGAGCTCAGTCAATCCTCCTACCTCAGTCTCCTGAATAGCTGAGACTACAGGCACAAGCTACCAAACCCAGCTATTTTTAAAATTTTTTTGTGCTGGGGGAGACAGGGTCTCAGTATGTTGCCCAGACTAATCTCAAACTTGGGCCTCAAGCGACCCTCCCACCTCAGCCTCCCAAGTAGCTCACAGTTCTTTAAGTCAGAAGTTCACTTGCAAAGTGGCTGGGTTCTCTGCTTAGGGTTTCATGAGTCCAAAATCAAGGCTTTGGCAGGATCTGAGGTCATCTGGGGCTGGAAACCTCTTCCAAGCCCATCCAGGCTGTGGCAGGGTTCACTCCTGTAGCTGTAGGACTGAGTCCCTGTTCTCTTGCTGGCTGGCACCAGGCTGCTCTGAGCCCCAAGAGGCCATTCTCAGTCCTTACTATGTGGACCCCCATCCTCAAAGTCAACTACAGAAAACTCTCTCACATCAAACTCCTCTCCCTCTGGGCTTCTCTGACGTGTTCCTTCCCAACCTCTAGACCCAGATCTCAAGGGCTCAGGACATTCGGTCAGGCCACTGGGGATAAACTCCCTTCCTAAACCGACTGTACCACACGACAAAACCTCACCATGGAGGTAAGCTCTGTCCTGCTCACAGTTCCAGATCCTGCAGGGCACGTACAGCAGGGTTCGCAGATCTTGGGGGCCACCTCAGAATCCTGCCTCCACACAAGTTTTGAATTTTAAGGAGCCCCCAGCTCCACAGACTTGCCTGATGGCTTCTGCCCTGTGTACAGTGGCAAAACACTGGGCTGAGGTCCGAGGTCTGAGGTCTAAAGACGGCTGAGCTCACTCCTTCCGCACCATCGCTTCACCCTCTGCTGGGCTTGGGGCCAGCCCAAGGCCACTCCTCGTGGCCACACAAAGGGTGCTCAGGGGCCACTGCTCTGAGCTGTCATCTCTCCTTTCCCATGTCACCCCTTTCCGAGTTCTATTTTAGTTATTTGGATGCTACTCATTTTTGTGGATCTTTTGACACCTTTAATTGCTCTTCTCTTCCCACGCCTATTAAGTTTTCTCACCCTTTGATATTGGCATTAGGAGCATTTTAAATAATTTGCCAAATAATGTTTTACCACTGCTGTTTTCCGTAAGTTACATTGCTTTGCCTTTAACCCTGGATTAATTTTGCTGTAAAGTGTTAAATAGCATGAAGTTGGGTTATGTTACACACAAGATTGTAGGGCTTCCTAGATTCAAAGTCTTATTTCTTCATATATATACTGACTAAAAGCAAAGGCAAGTTAATAATGCAAATTTGCTTCGAAGCTCAATGCCATCTTTTGGCACACAGCCAGGGTGTGGCTATTCAGCCAGACCCTGAGCCTCAACTCTAAGAAAGAGTTACAACATTATTCCAACACTGAAATTATTTCAAAGCCTTTATAAAGCTAAAGCACAGAACTATTCCCATCAATACCAGACCAACAATTCTTTAAGCCCTGGCACATTTCACTGGTGTACGTTTTATGTGCCCTGAAGCTTATATTTGTTCCTGACTCATATGAATAAACAGAGAACTACTCAGTCTTCCTTCTGCTCCTCCCCTACTGTGGGCCTGGATCCAGTGCAGGAAACTCAGAGACAAGACGTGGCTCTATGACCACACGGACAAAGTGCAGAAGAGCCACATTTTAATGTTTCAAAAAGTCTATCACGGGGTTTTCATCATGTGTCAGTGGCCTGTGATATCACCTGGGTATGATTTCATTTGTACCTCAGTGCAGAAAAGATAGATGATTCGCACTCATTCTCAAATAAAAAATAAAAATTTCTCCACTCACTTTGTTATCTGTCCCCTTGCCACTCACCCCACAGAACTGCTAGAAAACACGAGCTACTTTCCTTAAGACACACTCTAGTGCTGTCTACACAAGGAAAAGGAGTGCTGTTTGTTCTCCACCTACTTCCAAAGTTCAAATATACCTCCCTGTTGTCACCAAACTCGTCTTAATTGTGTAGTGAGAAACAAAAAACCGCGAAGTGCCTGCAGTGAACCTTAGCAACAATGAGAAGGGCTAGTTCCAAGAAACGTTTCACAAAAGAACTTAGAGTTTCTATGCCTCTTTCCTGAGTTTAAAATGGGCACAACTGAAAAGATTTCCTGGAGTTCTGGGGCCAAAAGTGTGAAAATACAGGAGTGAATGAGATTGGCAGTTACCCTAAATCATGCTAAATACTAGGAAAGTCTATTCTCTTCTAACTGCAACCCCCCTAATCAAACTGCACCCTGTAGTTCACATGAGAAAATGCAGCTTACCAGGCATCTTAGTTCACACAAAATAAATTGCCATCCACTCCCCTTAAAAAAGTTAAAGTTTTGTGTTTTGTTTTTGTTTTTGTTTTTGCTTTTCACTTTGGAGACCCCAAAATCAAACACGTGGAAAGGGATAAAACACAGGTCTTCCACCTGGCTTCCATCAGGATGATACGGTTGACTTTGAGTTGAAATACATGCAAATTAGGTTCAACTTCTTAAGACACTGAAGGAAAGAATCTAAAATGTCTAAAAATTTGCTAAGACTTGGAGACCTTTTCTGCACATCTATTTGTGTTGAGCAGAGTAACAGCTTCCTAAAGAAGTCCGCATCCTAATCCCTGGAAATGAAGACTGCGTTGCCTTGCATGGCAAAGGGCAATCAAGGCTGCTAATCAGCTGACCTTCAGATGAAGGGATTATCCTGGGGCATCCAGGAGGGCCCAAGGTCATCACAAGGGTCCTTCAACCAATGTTAGAATTTATATCATATTCCAACATATGTCCAGATTTTTAAATTATCCCCAAAAAGTCTGTGGTCAGAATTTTGCTATAAGTAAGAGTTGGTGTGTGTTCTCTGAGATTCACTTTGATAGAATAGTGAGATTTTCCTTGCACTTCCCACTCAATGCTGCAGCTCTGCATCCAAGATCCGTGGCTTTCAGAGCTGTACTGTCGGACACAGAGCAGCCTCTGCCCCTTAGGCTCCCAGCTCCCCACTGCCTGGCCCAGGGGAGGGGACAGCTGGTGTGGAGGATCCCCTCATGGGCTGCCAAAGAGCACCCACCTCCTTGTATTTAAGGAAAATAGAAATCTGCTGGAGGGATTGGGGAGATGCTGGTCAAAGGACACAAAATTTCAAGTAGACAGAAGGAATACATTCAAAAGATCTATTACACATCATAGTAACTGCAGTTAATAACAGTATACTGATTACTTTTTAGTGTTCCTAAGAGAGTAGCTTTTAAGTGTTCACACCACAAAACAAATGATAAATATGTGAGGTCATGCATATGCTAAATAGCTTGATTTAGCCCTTCCACAATGTATACACATATCAAAACATCATGTTTTACACCATAAATATGTACAATTTTTACTTGTCAATTTAAAAAATACGTTGTATTCAGAGCCAAAAAGAAACAAAAAGAAATCATATTCATGGGAGGAATCCAGAACAAAAATGAAGCCAAAAGAAAGAAAAAAGAAAAAGACTCTACGATCTTATATATGACTCCATATAACTCTCACCCCCAAATATTACAAGACCATCTAGGAGACCAACTGCTGTTGCTAAAGAGCAGTCCAGGTCTTTTGTTTATTCATTCAACAAACATTATGGTTTATGATGTTCCAGACCACGATGGAGATGAGAACATGAGTGTTAGTTTATTTTGTTGTAAAGTCTTTCATCAGATGTGACATTTCTAGAAACAACCTTATGCGCCTCAGCCAGCTGGGCAGCACATATCAAATTTCAGCGTGCACACAAACCTCCCAGGGGCCTGCAAGAAGCACTCTGATGCAGGAGATCTGGGGTGGTTCCTGAGACTCTGCATTTCTAATGGGCTGTGAAAAGACGTTGAAACTGCTGGTCCAGGGCCTGCAGTTTGAGTAGCAGGGCACTAGAACCCAGGACTCTGTTTCATCCACCTCAATTGACTGTTGCTCTCCTGAGAACATTTTATAAAATCCCGAGACAAGATATGTTTCCCCATCACCACTGCACAACTATATTACACAAGGCAATAATCTTTTTGGATGTTGACCTTTGTAAGTGTCATACAAAAGTGAATGGCAAAACGAAAGAACAAGGTATATTTTCATTTTTGTGTGAGGGAGAGACATATGGATGAGGGAGGTATCAATCTGGAAATACGTTGCCTACAGTCATCAAAATAGAATGACTCAAAATGTCAACAGCTCCAAAGCTCTTGAACTGACGAAGCAAGCAGGTGCAGCGTTTGTCAGCAGGATGAGGAAGAGGTGCCTATCATAAACAAGAGACTGGAGGGCTCAGAAAGAGCTTTCAAGGAAGTAAAGCTCTTTAGCCAGGGCAGAGGTGGGGGTGAGGAGGGCAAGTGAATGCCCTGCGTATGGAAATAAACCAGGCCGTTACTAACCCGCCAGACAATAAAGCTTCAGGAGAGTTGGGTTTTACTACCGTATTTCACAGAGCACCGTGCCTGAACTGCTCCCAGATGCGCAGTTCAAGTTCACGCTCCTCATCTCCCTTCCTACTTTATATGAGGTGATCATATCTTTTACTCACAGAGCTGGAAACGATGTCCTTGAATGTACCAACCATAGACGTTTCTGTCATTAAAGCTTGATTATAAAATCTCCCCTAAGAACAAACGGTGGGGACCGTGCTGGCTTTATAAAAGTTCCATTAGTCCTCCGAGCAAAGTCCCCGTGGCCAAAAACCAAATCCCTCACACGCAGTGGAGCCATCGCTGACCATAAAGGACAGAGCAGCTATGACCTTTCACACAGAGAGTCACTTGTAAGTGAATTAAAAGTATCACCACAGGATTAAAATGGTCGCTATGAATCAACAATTTCTGATACACAGATACCACTCAGCAAGCTAAGAAGCTAAGTAGAATAATGGGATTACCTTATTTAATTACAGATTTGCAAAACATTTCTTTTCAAACCCAGACAACACATCCCTAAAATACTTTTAAAGGTATTTTAAGTACTTATTTATATTTTCACTGGAAAGTATTAACATTTCCTGCTATTTTAAAGGAAATATTATACTCTATTGGGAAGGTATTCTCAGCTAACATAAACACACAGTGTGGCTATGCTAATAAAGTATTTTCAAGCAGCAAAAAATTACCATTTTATGCAGATGATAATGTAATGTTTAACCAATAAAATAATTCCCTCATTTATTATAATAGCTGTAATTATAATAGCTGTGTCATCATTAATAGCTATATAATAGCTGTACAGCTATTAATACTAAGGTACGAAATCAATTTAAATTTAGTCAGAACTTTTGTTATTATCAAAAAGTTATTAAGACTCCTTTTATGTAGAATTTTAATGTGCCCCCAAAGCATTCTAAGTAGTTCAGCCAATTAATAAAGAGCAAGATATTATAAAAGAAGCCTTATTTTTTCAAAACTAATACAATGTGTGTATTAGAGTCTTGCCATTTTTTAAGATGTAGAAAAATGTTAGAATAGTTTAAACAGGAGCATGGAAAGTGTCTTATGTCCCTGATGAAATGCAGTAAATCTGATTAAAGCCCCCTACAATAATAGCCTTTTTTTTTTTTGAAATGGAGTTTCACTGTTGTTGCCCAGGCTAGAGTGCAATGGCAGGATCTCGGCTCACTGCAACCTCCACCTCCCGGGTTCAAGCCATTCTCCTGCCTCAGCCTCCCAAGTAGCTGGGATTACGGGGGCCCACCACCTCGCTCCACTAATTTTTGTATTTTTAATAGAGACAGAGTTTCACCATGTTGGCCAGGCTGGTCACGAACCCCTGACCTCAGGTGATCCGCCTGCCTCAGCCTCCCAAAGTGTTGGGATTACAGGCATGAGCCACCGTGCCCAGCCAATAACTGCCATTTCTAATGAGGGAGGATCTTAATCAGTAACATATCAAAATAGATACATCACCTGAGATTATTAACATTTTGTAGTTAATATACACATTTAACTATAAAGTTTTAATAAATAATAATAAAGCTGATAACTTTGCAAGTTTTACCATGTGCCAATAACCATGTTTAGCACTTTATTTTATTATTTGATTGTAAGGTATGTATTATTGTTATTATTATTATCATTGTTATTCCCATTGTATAAAGAAGAAACCTGAGATGTTACAATATGGCAGTCACTGAATTTGAGCTTAAGTGACTTTGACTCCAAAGTTTATGTGCTTGGCTGATACGTTAGGCTTTCTCAATACATATAATTATAACATATTCTTTAATTTCCAAACAAACCAAAACTAGGAAAAATATCACTTTTCTTTTTCTTTTAAAAATGTTTCAAGTATTTATTATTATTTACTATACCCACCATGCTGTACACTAGATCTCCAGGACGTACTCATCATAACAATATCACTTACTTTTCAATTTAAAAGATAAACCTAGACTTGGGGATCTAGATGACAAATTAGTCATCCAGATTTGTCTCTTATCCTTCCTGATACCCCACAGAAATGAATGTTAAAACTGATTAAAGAAAAAGGAAAGAACTTCACATCAACAATTGCAGAGGGCTTGGCAATGAACGATGACTTCACCATATTTCAAGAAAATGAAAAGCAGATGAGAGAGGATGGATGCATGAAATGCAGGGAGAAAGCTGTGGCCCAGAAGGTTCTGTTAAGAGGCTGCAGAAGAGATGATACCAGTATATCTGACAAACTCCAGTGAGTCTAAGAGTGATGGGGATGGTGTAAGCAGAAGTAAACCTGCAGCCGTCCCAGCTGCCTTCATCTCCAACCCAGCTCTTCCAACCACGCCTATAGAGGATGTGAAGTTGGAATGTCTACACAGGCAAAGCATGACAGCTGTCCTCTAAAGACTTGTCATTAAGTGTCTGGGAAGCTCCAAGACATCTCATGTATGCATTTCTACCTCCAGGGAAAAGCCTTCGTATTCTGACATTTGGTAGGGCCTCGGCTTGACTCCTTTCTTATCTGCTTACTAGAAAGCAAAGATTCCTAGTGATTAAACCCTTCTCTACTCTGCCCAGAATCTTCAGCCAGAATTTCTACTCAAAGGAGAGATACAGAATTTCAAAAATATCTTAAATATATAAAAACAAAGAAAAGTTATACTTTCTACCCAAGAAATCATAAACAGATCATTAGTTATATGAAAAAATAATCTCTAGAAAGAGAAAGATCAAATATATCAATGGAAAAACTGACCCCAGAGGAATTAGAGTAAATTCAGGGAACATAATAAAAATGAAAAACTAAAAACCCCAAATAATAAAATTAAAAACAGTAGGTGACATATTATATTCACACAATGAGAAAAAGGCCATATGTAAAATTTATTTTATTTTATTTATTTATTATTATTACACTTTAAGTTAAAAGTTTTAAACGAAAATAAGAGGACTCTCTGAAAATTTAAATATGGAATTGCCAAAATAAAAATTTGAAGAGAAGCCCTAAAACACAAAGTCAAGAAAAAAGAAAATTTTATATTATGTAAAATAAAAAGACACAAAGACCAAGAATATGAGATAAAAGATGAGACCAGTCCAAAAGTTCCAATATACAATGAAAAAATCCCTTGAAAAACTGAGAAAGTAGAAAGGAGGAAATGACAATAAAAGAATTTCCCATAGTGAAAGAAGAGTTGAATTTCCAGACCACAAGGCCCCTAGTGGGCAGCTCAATAAATAAACAATGTGACGACCCACACGCATTATCATCACATGTCAGAGCATCACGAGCTCCAGTAGGAAAAATAAAGCCAACTGTAAAGCAATGATAAACACAACTGCATCAGCCTTCTCGCTAGCCACACTGTTGCTACAAGTTAGTAGAATAGTACCTTAAAAGCTTTGAAGGAAAATATTTTTTTTAACCTAGAATGTTAGCTCCAGCAAAACTTCAAGTGTGAGATCAAAATAAAGACATTTTCAGATAGCTGTGGATTCAAGAGGATAGAAAGGTTTCGAGGGTGGGGAGAGATGGAGAAGGACTAAATGGAATGAGTGGTATGATTTTAGGAAAAAACAATGGGAGATGAACAATCTCTGGGGGAGAAAGGAGGAAACGGCTGGAGTAGGGGAAAGCAAAGAGAAATTCTGTAAAATCCAAAAAATATAAACAAAACCATGGTCTAAGTAAAAAGCAATTTAAACTGTGGTTTCATTTGAAGAAATAAAAGGTGTGTAAGAAAAGAGTTCATTTGACCTTGATGCTGGAAACAATCTCCCTAGAGTGATCCAGCAGTCAGAGCATTGGGCACAGGAAGGTAGCTATGTAGTCCTGGCACAATGCCTCTTGGTCTAGAACAAAATATTATTTGTAAGGTTATGGTGACATAAATAGTAAGTAAGAAATAATAAGTAAGAAGTAATAAATAATATAAATAGTAAATCTGTAAGGTTATGATGACATAAAATATAAATAGCTTTACTGTAAAAGCAGGAAAAGCTTGGTTGTGACTACAAGATGGAATGCAGACATTCCTCAACATTCTGAAAGTATAAATTGATGAGAAGTGGGATATGGAAGACAGAAAAACAGAGGAAACAGCAGAGGCGCTTATACTCGTCTTACAAAGCAGGGTGTTGCTAGAGAATGGCGTTATTGATATGGACCAGAACAGTTCAAATACATTATAGGCAATGTCAAAGTAATCAATAGAAGAACTAAAAATATTTATATATCAAACATTGGGATGAAGAGAGAGGAGAGAGGGATAGAATAAAGGTGATTTTTCCTCATTTTTCTTGTTGGTGAGCCAATAGATATTTTCTAAAATTCATAAATAAAAACACGGGGTATGGTATGAATAGTTAGCCATTAATGACTACTTACTGTATCCCAGGCACTATTCTAGGAAGTTTTATGCATTAATTCCCACAACAACTCAAAGAGAAAAATGAAGAAGCTGAGGCACAGAGATGTTAAAGAAACTGCCCAGGGAAACCCATCTGGGGAAATGGTGGAGCCTGGATTCAAATCCACCTCCTCTGGCTTTGAGCATGTGCACTTGATCAGTGCAGACTTCCTTCTCACAGCAGCACAGACTGTTTCCAGAGTGCCAGGCACTAATCCAATTTCTTTAGATGAGTTGATTTAATCTTAATGTAGACATATATTAAGACCATATATATTTAAATATAGATGTGTACCACCATTTTTTTCATTTTACAGATGAAGAAACTGAGGTGGGCAAACTATGGTCCATGAGCCAGATGTGGACTACACCCTGGTTTTGAGTGGCTCACGAACTGGTTTTCACATTTTTTAAGTGTGGAGGAAAGGGAAGGAAGAGATGAAAGAAGGGGAGGAAAAGGAGAGGAGAAATAAGTATCACATGTGGCTCACAAAACCTAAAATATTTTATATCTGATCCTTTATAGAAATGATTTACAAACCCCAGTTCTCTCAGTTCTACAGTTAAGAGCAAGGCAAGTGGATGCCTCAGATAAGGACTGCATCTTTCAGCCTCATTGGAACTAAGGAAGACCATGAGGCTTTGCTTTGAACAAGAGAAAGCCCAAGCATCGGCAGCTTCTGAACATCTTGGTTCAAAACAGCAGACATGCCCCACCACTGTCCTGTCTTCTTCTATTTTTTAAAAAAATGTTTATCTGACAGATAAAACTGTGTATATTTCAGCTGGGTGCGGTGGCTCACGCCTGTAATCCCAGCACTTCGGGAAGCCGAGGCGGGCATATCACCTGAGTTCGAGACCAGCCTGGCCAACATGGTGAAACCCTCTATCTACTAAAAATACAAAATTATCTAGGCATGGTGGTGTGCGCCTGTAATCCCAGCTACTCGGGAGGCTGAGGTAGAAGAATTGCTTGAACCCGGGAGGCAGAGGTTGCAGTGAGCCGAGATCGTGCCATTGCACTTCAGCCTGAGCAAAAAAATGCAAAACTCCACCTCAAAAAAAATTGTATATATTTATCATGTACAGTATGAAGTTGTGAAGTATATATACATTGTGAAATGACTAAATCTAGCTAATCAACATATTATTATTAGATATAGTTATCATTTGTGTTCTGGGAACACAACACCCACTGTCTTAGCATTTTCCAAGGATGCAATGTATTTACAATACCATATTGTACAATAGATCTCTCAAACTGATTTCTTCTAGCTGAAGTTTTGTACCCTTTGACCAACATCTCCCCCATGCCCAACCCCCACGCCCCAACCATTCTCTAGTCACCACTATGCTCCTCTGCACTTCTGGATTCCACATATGAGTGAGACTGTACCGTATTTGCCTTTCCATGCCTTGCTCGTTTTTTGTTAAATCTGGAGATCACAAAGTCCTCCAGGTTCATCCATGTTGCAGCCCTTGACAATATCTCCTTCTTCTTTCTCCCTTCCCTTCTTCTTTGCCTTTTATCCTTCCCACTGGTGGAGACGTGGTAGACAGCCTGTGTCCTGAAGGCTTTGTGGGGTAAAGCTGCCATAACTGTCCTGAACTGCCAACCTTCTAACCTTCGTGTGATTAAGACATGCCTTTTTACCTTTATTAATCACTGTATTTTAAGTTTTTGTTTCTCCCAGCTAAACCTACTGCTAACCAATAAAATATGATAATGTATTACTCTGACGTTCTGTTAATGTAACTTACTCAAAGATGTTGCATAGAGTTTGAGCTCATCCCACCCAGCCATCTAAAAATAGGTCCTCACTCCATATTATAGGGTAATGCTTTTTAAATTGAAACAAAATGATCATCTTTTCCTATACCTAAGTAGTCATTCAACTTTGTTTTCTGGGACAAATATAAAAGTGTGAGAATACTGAGTGGAAACCAATCTGACTTATAGGGTACAAAGCAAAACAAATTTCTGATTTCTAGCACAAATGTGTAGCTCAACTCACAAATCTAGGTTTTCTGTGTATCAGTCAGGGTCCTGGTGGGAAACAGATGGCACGCTCAAGCCGGGTAATGTGAGGAGTGTTATATAAAGAGACTGCAAAGGTGTGAGCAGGATGTGGGAATCAGTGAGGAATCATGGAATATCCCAGGCAGAGCAAGGAGGGAGAGTAGGGGGTCAGGGGGAAGGAGGAGGACTGTCTGGAAAGCCCCTAGCAGGGGCTGGAGCTTTTGAGATAGGCACACTTGTCCCGACAGCAACTGTGCAGGGAGAAACAGAGGGATCAGGAATTCAACACAGCAACTCCACGCCCTTCCTCCTGTTCCACACCCCGCAGGACCTCCCATCACAGAACCCGGCCTGAAGTCTGAGGAGGGAGCAGGGTGGGAAGTGTGGGGATGAGCATGGAGGGACCAGGGACAATAGCCATCCAGGTCTCCCAAGACAGAAAACCCAAAGTGTGTGGGTTAAAATATCCTTTGAGGTTCTAACTTAATTAATCATTATGCTCATGAAAAATAACTCCTTGCATTAGAAGCTCTTATTAGGTATCCCAATCCTTCTATTCTATGACGGACAGAGGGACACAGTGGATTAGAGCACTAGAGACTGTTTCCCAAAAATCTGAGGGGAAATACACTTCTGTGACGTGTTTGACCTTGAGACAAACGATTCTGGTGATCTCCTGTGTACAAATATGCAAGGTCTGATTTAGACAGCAGAGACACCCACAGCTAGGAAATTGTAGGTCATGGCCCCAAACATCAGAGGGTACTCAAGTACCATCCCTATTTTAATGTGAAATGAGGTACAGTCATCCTTCATTTGGAAACAGCAGCAACTGCAAACCAAACAATCCTTTTCTAACTCTTGAAAACTTGTTTTCAAAGTTTTGAGACAGACTACAACAAACCCTGTATGTTCCCAGACAGGAAGTGGGGGAGGCAAGATCACGGGACTTCTGTCATCCTTCTATGCCATTTTCATCACAATACTCACCTCTCGTGTCACTTGATATATATATACTTTTTTTTTTTTTTGAGATGGAGTCTCGCTCTGTTGCCCAGGCTGAAGTGCAGTGGCCCAATCTTGGCTCACTGCAACCTCTGCCTCCCGGGTTCAAGCAATTCGATTGCCTCAGCCTCTTGAGTAGCTGGGACTACAGGCGTGTGCCACCACGCCCAGCTAATTTTTTGTATTTTTAGTAGAGACGGGGTTTCACTGTGTTAGTCAGGATGGTCTCTATCTCCTGACCTCATCATCTGCCTGCCTCGGCCTCCCAAAGTGCTGGGATTACAGGCGTGAGCCACCGTGCCTGGCCGTCTTTTTTTGACTGCTACTCCCAATAAATATTAGCGTATTAATAACAGATAATAAGTCTGTCTTGGTATCTCCTAGTAGATGCTCAATTAATGTTTGTTAAATAAATAAATATCAAAATATATTTATTTTCCAACACATTATTTGGCGTAAGGCTTACTTGGTATGAAATGGATCATTTCAGAACAGCTCACTACCACTTTCTAGTTTATCAGCATCTGATGAGATGAGAAAACAACAAACTCCTGTTTCAAGTGACACTTCCTCCAGGAAGCCTCCCAATGAACAATTGAAAGTGCTGTCTTCACTGAATCTGCAGAGTACACTGACTTGCCTTTCAGGTCTTGTTAGCAATTTTTTCTACACACCAATTATTCCTCACTATCAGGTACTTAATTACAGATTCCTTGAAGACAAAGCTTAATTGCACACTGCATATTTTTCACACAATGGTTCCTTCCCCATAGGAGCCCAATGCTTATTAAATCAACTCTGAGATATACTGAACTCTCATGACATAACAGCATCTTTTCTATTTGCCATCTTTGACAAATTTTTTACACATCTTCTTTGTAATTCTGGAAGCAAACACATGAATTGTCCTGTCAAGTCGAACTAATGTTAATTATACCAGCTCAAGTGGGAGAGAGAAAAATACTTTTAAAAAGTTAAATGTGATCTTCAAATGTTTATATTGTGAGTGAAGACTTGGGGCAACTTCTTTAAACTTGAAATTAAAACTCCATCGATCTAGCTTTGATTTATTTTGAGGACAAATGGCATGACCTTCGGGTGGTTCACAACAATGAACAATCAGTTAAAACTCTAGAATCTAAAGGTTGGGTAGAAAAACAATAACTTCATGTTATGCAGTCACAGAGTCTGAGAAGCGTACTTCAATCATTGGTACAAATGTGTGTTAAACACTGGAATCAATTTTATAGAGATCAAAAAAATTTATATGCAAGTAGCTGCAATGGAAATTCAGAAAACAATGTACATGTGGCATCGATGAAAACCCAAACCTGCAGAGCACCTGGAGTTGGAAACCGGGTGGATGAAAGAGCCAGAAATGCAAAGTGTAGTCGATTTGGCATGTTCCAATGCCAAACAGAGCACCTGCCCCCCACTTCTTTGTACACCCATATACTTTGGCACAGTTTGCCACGTCTGCTAAGAGTGACTCTTGAGGAGTGAGAGGCGATGGAGAAACAATGGAGATAAAGTCAGCCTAGATTGCACTTGGCGCGGACAAGACCACAAGCCCCAGCTTTCTCCAGGCATTAGGCTCACTTGCACATTGTGTAATGTAAGATTTCCTCAATATCCAAGCAACGCAGTGAGCACAAAGACAACTCAATACTCTCAACTGGGTGCCTTTTTTGAAACTAGCTTAAACATGGTCATGGAACCCAGAGAGTGCTCCGAGATTTAAAGAATCACAATCCTCATTTTCCCCAGAATCCATGTGTGCATCTCTTCTCTGCATATTTATGACTTTATTTTAAGTGAAAGTCACAATGGCACCTGAATGAACCCATCAGCTAAGTCTAGGGCTGTTTTCCAGGTGAATATAGACATAAGGTGTGTGAGAGGTTTGGATCAGCAACAGTCAGGGAGCCTCTACTCTCTGCCAGGCCCCGTGCTGGGCACTAGCGACACTCATGAAGAAGCCACTGTCCCCTGCTCCAGTGGGATG
The DNA here is from genome assembly GCF_000001405.40 of Homo sapiens. Classification (NCBI taxonomy): domain Eukaryota; kingdom Metazoa; phylum Chordata; class Mammalia; order Primates; family Hominidae; genus Homo; species Homo sapiens. Next base: position 52,352,718 of record NC_000008.11, read on the forward strand.
GATAAATAAGCCCAGTGTGTTTTCAATCTGCCTTCATTGAGAGGAAAAATCACGGGACTGCGCAAAACATTGCAGAGAACCGTGGGAGAAGAAATGTTACCTGCTGAGTTACCACCTATATACCAGGCAGTATGTATTTAAAATTCCTCATTTCTTGTTCATGAGTGTTCTAAGAGTTAGGTGACCAATATTCATTTTATGGAAGGGTCAAACTGAAGTTCAGCATGTAATAAAATAAACAAGCTGTGATCTTCCAGCTACTATGGTAGACTCAGGATTCATCCAGTCCAGTCTGATTCTGAACTCCTGTTCTTTCCACTTTTCCACACTTTTTTGCACAAATAGGCAGTGCACAGTGATCCAGCATCAAGGGGTTTGTCGTATATCAAAGGGAGTAAGATGTGGATATAAATGACAGTATCCAAAGATAGAGTTATGTATTAAAAGACAGAATATGCTAATGTGGGAGAATTCTTAATAATAATAATACCATTTATTGAACATTTAATAATGTACCTCACACTGTCGAAGCACTTTACATGTTTTTGTCTAAATTTCTGGAAGTATAAAATAAGCACAATCTTTCTTAGATGGCTCACTATAAATAAATTATTTTAAAGCCACCATAAATAATGTAGTGCCCTGTGGCAAATAATATTTTTAACCACTATAAATAATGTTGTAGAAAGGCCTTTGGGCACAACAAATAATGGTACTAGACGCTGAGAGGAGATAAAGAAGAAATAGAAAGTGTTGCCTTTGCTGCCAGAAAGTTTCTTGTCTAAATAAAAACACACTCTCACAGACACACATGAAAAAATGTATGAGCAACTAGGAATTAACATAGAGAAACTATTTACATAAATATTAATGGGAGGCAAAGTGAATGTATTATTATGAAAATAAGAGTTTTAATCAGGTGTTTCAAAGCATGTGCCAAAGAAGAACTGAAAGATAATTATAGGTAGGGGAAATCAACTAAAACTGTAAACAAATAAGAAAAGAAAGGGTTGAATATAATAAGATAATTAGTGTAACTCACCTAGCATGGTGCCCGACCAAAAGGAAATGTTCAGTGAATGTCAATTTCTGCCTCTCCCTTCGCCTCTGCTGTACTTAAGACTCCCGGTTGCAGGAAACAGAGAATACAGCTCCATCTGCCTTAAGCCAAACTAGGTTATGTATATTGGCCCATGGTGTAGCTACAAAGTCCAGAAGATGCCTCTCTATTTCTCAGCCCCTTTCCTCAGTGTTTTGCTCTTGGGCTAGCCCACTCCACCTGCTGAACAGCGTCTTCCGAATCCAGGCCTTCACTCTCCCAGCCCAAGTCCAGCACCAAAGAGCACCAACCTTTCCAAAAGTTTGAATCACTGTCATATACTTGGTTGTCCCCAGCCAGGACCGAGTTATGTGCTCACCACTTGACCTCTGGAAGGTCTTTTGCTTTTACTGAAAATGAAATGGGGAGTGACTGGAGAATTTTGAGAAGCAGAGAGACATGATCTAACTTTAGTTTTACAAGAATCACACAATCTGCAGCAAGTGAGGGTGAAACCTGGAAATTCAGTCTAGAGGCTCTAGCAGCAATCAGATGAGCCATGATGGTTGCCTCGACCGAGTAAAGTCAGGGGGAGTCTTGAGAAGTGGTCAGATTCAGGATATGATATTTTCAGAGCATGGGCAAGACAATTTCCTGAATAACTGGATATGGTATGCAAGAGTAGATGAGTCAAGGATAATATTTGAAGCCTGAGTAAATGAAAGATGAAGCAAGTGTCTGATAGAGAAAGTCAAGACATCCAAGTAAAAAGCTTCAGCAGGCAGGGGATACATAGTGTTTGAATTCGCAAGAGAAGTCTGGGATGGAGATATAATAATAGAAGCATGGATAGAAAGAGACGAGGACCCTGGATTGAGCCCTGGAGCCCTCCAATGTTATTTTGTAAGGAAAGGGGAAAGGAATACATGAAGGAAAGTGAGGGAAGTTACCAGTGAGATAGGAGGAAACTCAAGAGAGTGTGGTGTCCCTGATGCCTAATGAAGAAGTTGAGCAAGAAAGAGAAGGGATCAAGAGCCTCAAGCTTTAGACTGGCCAAGACAGATGTCCTTCAACAGCCCACCTCTAATGCTGGCAGTGCTTGGTGCTAGAGCACAAATATGGGCTCCCCATGTGTCTAAATACTTGAACATTATAAATCAAATTCAAAGACTGTTAAGATAAAACATATTCCATTCTCCTGCATTGAGAATTACACCTTCATAAAAGCCTAGAAGGCCATGTTCAAAAGGAGACTTTTCAGACTCCTCATAGCTCTAGAGGGAACTCAGCAGCACAGGGGTATTGGCCCATCCCTTTCTCTTCTCACCACAACTCCCTCCCACACTGTGAGGGTTCCTGCAGACACAAGTGTGAACATCCCAGCCCACTCCTAGACTTGGGCAAGACTTAGGCCCTTATTATCTGCCAATGACCACCCTCTCCCTTCCACTCTATCAAGAAGTTCACAGTGCCAAAGGAATGTTCCCACCTGGAGCCAGTGCCCTTATCTATAGACCATGCTTTGGTAACTGGGCTCATGGAATGGTCTATCTAATGGCCGTGAACCTACCTCCGGGGCCTGTGTGGGCCTCCTCCTAGTTTCATCCTCCCAACTGTATGCCCCCAACCCCTAGCATAGCCAAAATGTAGTTGTTTGCAAGAATGTAGACAGAATGAGGACAAACAGGCTGGTATGTTCTCATTTGTGGATAATGATAATAAAGATTACTAAAAAAGGAGACATAAAGCTCGGTTCAAAATGACAGAGGTGGGAACTCTAGGGCTCTATTCATCCACAAAAGCAATAAGCTGGCAACAACTGTCAGAATCAACTTCTACAGAATTTTGGAATTCGGTCAAAAACTTATGACAATGAGTGATAGGTGTGGTAATAAAAGAAGCTGCTGTTTTGCAGTAAAAGATACCGTGTCATCTTAAACTGCCTACCATTCTCCAATCCTTAGGTCAGTGGTGATGGTGAGGTCAAGCAGCCCACACTGCTGGTTCAGGTTTCTAGTTTTAAATGGAGCAATACAGGCATTATTATCAAGGGACTGTGGTTGTCTATTTTGATCTGTCGAGTAGCTCCCTGCACAAATGGAACAGGGCTTGCCTTCATTTCATCTGACTTGAAGCATTACAAGGGCTAGGGCAGCTTCCTGGAAAGCTTTTGTTAAAAGATGCAAGTATTGAGCACAGCAGCCAGGAGCAAGGGATAACAACCAGACAAGCAACACTCAGGCTGAAAAGTAGTGGAAGAAAAAGGTTGGAAAAGGAAGTACATGGGAGAATAAAGGATTTAAAAAGTTCCCATGTACACAAGGAATCAAGAAGGACGTGCACAAGCTTAGAGTTGGATGTATGTTCTGAAAAAGCCTGAGAAAACCCTAAGCTGTCACCTCTGGCTGACATTCAAGCTTCACACAAGCAGGAACTGAAGGCTAAAGTGGAGTTGTAAACAGCCTGGCTAAATATTAAAGGAGTGTCCCAATACCGGGTCAGTTTGAAAAGACTGGGAGAGTATTTATTAATATTTATTGTTCTTTCTTTTTCTTTTTTTAGCCCCAAGTGTTTAAGAAAACTCTGTCAAAACACTAGGTCACCTCTAGCTAACAGCACACAGACTTCAGCGGCCACACATACACACACAAAGTCAGACTTTATAAAAATAGTTTAGAAATGTCACTAAACAAGCAAACAGTAACAACTCACAACAAGCAGTAGCAACAAACTTCAGTGAAGGGGAGAGTCTGATTTACAGAGTTGTCACATTATAATATTCAAAATGTCTAGTTTTCAACAAGAATTTATAAGGCATGCAAAGAAACAAAAAAGTATGGCCTATTCACAGAAAAAGAGAAATCAGTAGATTATGGTCATTGAGGAAGCCTGAACATTGATTGGACTTACTAGACAAAAACTTTAAAATTTAAATATTTTCAAAGAGTTGAAGGAAACCATAGAATAAGAACTAAAGAAAACAAAGATAAAAATGCCTCACCAAATAGAAAATATCAATGAAAAGAGAGAAATTTTCAAAATAAAGGAAACAGAAATTCTGGAGTTGAAAACCAAAATAAATGAAATGAAAAATTCACTAGAATGGTTCAATAGTAGATTTGAGCAGGCAGAAGAAATAATTCATGGATTTCAATATAAGTCTTCTGAGATTATTCAGTTTGGAAGATCAGGAAAAATAACTAATGGGTATTAGGCTGAATACCTGGGTGATGAAATAATCTGTACAACAAACCCCCATGACACATATTTACCTATGTAACAAACCTCCACATGTACCCCTGAATTTAAAATAAAAATATGAAAAAATATTCTGGGTACATAGTAGGTGTATATATTTATGGGGCACATGAGATATTTTGATACAAGCTTGCAATGTGAAATGATCACATCACGGAGTATCGAGCTTCCATCCCCTCAAGCATTTATCCTTTGTGTTACAAGCAATGTAATTACACTCTTGTACACAAAAGAAAGCATTAAGAATTGAGAAACAAAAGTTCTAAATTTATAGAAAAGAAATAGAAAACTGGCAGAAGTAAGTCGTTTCTTACCAGTGACTACTTTAAATGTAAATGGATCAAACTATCCAATTAAAATGCAGTCATCAAAAGAATGGATATGAACAAATATGACCCAACTATATACTACTTATAAAAGACTCACTTTAGATCCAAATACACAAACAGATTGAAAGTGAAAGAATGGAAAAGATATTCCAAGCAAATAGTAACTGAAAGAGAGATGATTTTACTATAGAAATGTAAGATGAAATAAAATATAAGACAAAAATTGTTAAAAAAGACACAAAAGACATTGTTTATCAACAAAAAGTTCAATCCATCATGAAGATATAACAATTATAAACATATTTACACATAACAAATCCCCAAAATCTATAAATATATATATATATATATATATATATATATATATATATATATATATATATATATAAAACAGACTCAAAGGGAGAAATAGTTCCACAATAATATTTGGAAATTTTAATTCCCCACTTATGTTAATGAATAGATCCATAAGGAAATAGAGGCCATGAACAATAGCATAAGCCAGCTAGACCTAAAAGACATGTCTAGAGCGCTCCACCTCACAGCTACAGAATACACATTTTCTCAAGCACACATAGATTATTCTCTAACATAGACCATATGTTGAACCACAAAATAAGTCTCAATCAATTTTAATAGGTTAAAATTATAGAAAGTATTTTCTCTAACCACAATAGAATAAAAGTTGAAATTAATAACAGAATGAAAACTGAAAAATTTACATGTGTATGAAAATTAATCAATACACTTTTTAACCAATCAGTGGGCCAAAGAAGAAATTACAAGTAAAGTTAGAAAATACTTTGAGATAAGTGAAAATGAAAACACAAAATGCCAACATCTATGGGATCCACTGAAAGCCATGCTAGGAGGGAAATTTATAGCTATAAACACCTCTACTCAAAAAGAAAAAGGATCCCAAATTAATATCCACCTTTACACATTAAGGAGCTAGAAAACCAGGAGCAAGCTAAACCCAAAGCTAGAAGGAACCACAGAATAAAAATTAGAGTGGAGTTAAATGAAATAGGGAGTAGAAGAACCATACAATCACCAAAACTGAAAGTAGTTTCTTTTAAAAAGGGAAAAAAATTGATAAACTTTTAGCTAGATTGACAAATAAGAAATGAGAGAAGACTCAAATTACTAAAACCACAAATAAAAGTGGAACTATTGCTACTAACTTTATAGAAATAAAAAGAATTGCAAGAAAATAGTTTGAATAATTGTATACTAACAAACTAGATAACCTCAATGAAATGGAAACATTTCTAGAAACACACTAACTACCAAAACTGACTCGAGAAGAAATAGAAAAGCTTGAATATACGTTTAGCAAGTAAAGAGATTGAATAAGTAATAATAACAATAAACCATACAACTACCACTAAAGACTAAGCCAATATCAGTGAATTGGCCTGGTGAATTCTACCAAACATTTAAAGAAGAATTAACCCCAAATTCTTCTAAAACTCTTCCAAAAAAAATAGAAGAAGAAGGAATGCATCCCAACTCATTCTATGAGGCCAGCCTTACCCTTATACCAAAGCCAGATAAAGACATCAGAAGAAAAAAACAAAAACCTATAGATCAATATCCCTTATGAATATACAAGCAAAAATCCCCATGAAAATACTAGGAACCAAATTTATTTAATAACATCATATTAAGAGGATTATACTCTATGATCAAGTGTGATTTATCCCAGGAATGCAAAAAATGGCTCAATATGTGAACAATCAATCAACTACATTGACATGGCATTAATAGAATGGAGAAAAAAAAACACATGATATCTCAATTGATATAAAAAAAGCATTTGAGAAAAATTCAATACTATTTCAAGACAAAAACATTCAACAAACTATAATAGAAAGAGAAGGGAACTGCCTCCACGTGGTAAAAGGCATTTAAGCAACTAAATAGAGGTGATAGATACACGACACTGTGAATCTACTAAATGCCACTGAATTTTACACTTTAAAGCTGTTAACTTTAGATTATGTGAACTTTACTTCAATTAAAAAAGGAGGAGGAAGAGGCAAAGAAAGCGAACCTGCCATAACCACAATGAACAAAGTTGATGGGTTTCCTGCTCTAATAGGGCTTAAATTTGAATGGCGTAGACACATAAGAAGCAAAGAAATAACTAACGTGTTGAAAACTTACTATGTGCCAGGCACTATTCTAAGCACTTTGAGTACAAAATCACGAACTCATCAGAACTTTCCAATGAAACAGGTGATCTCCTTTTAACAGATAAAGAAATCAAAGCAGCACAGAGAGATAAAATGATTTGTCCCTATTCAAGTAGTAAAAAAATGGCAGAGCCAGGATTTTAATCCAAAGAGTCTAACTTCACAGACTATGTTCATAACTATTATACTATATAATGTCACAGCTCTGAGGAGCAAAAAATAAAGCAGGGTATTGGAGATGGCACTGCTGAGATTCCTAAGTACTCTACTGACATACATTTTGATTGCTATAATTAAATTTGGCTGCTACACATTAAGATTGATAAAAGTACACAGTGAATAGTCTGAAGAATTTTAAAAGAACTTGGAATGTGCCATTTGCCTTGCATCCATTTGAGATAAGAATAGATATAGCAACAAATAGCAAACCAAATTCACATTGTGAACCATGAAATCACAAGTAATTTTCAAACTTCTTATTGGAAGCACTGACTTATATAAAATTAGTATGAGAAACTAATTTAAATATTATCAAGTTCAGTTTCATTCTTCTATAGTTAAGGAAAATATTTTGGAGACACTAGATAACTTGCTACTTTGTGCCAAAGTTTATAGTTGAATCCCCTAAATCTTAACCTGTCAGTCTTTCCAGCATATTGTACTCATACCTACATAGATCAGGCTATCAAATTTCAGAGAATTGGCATGAAAAATAATTTAAAATGCATGTTTATATTAAATACTTAGGTTGAACTTTTTATAAGCGTATACAGATGTATATTTAAAATATCTTATTTTAAATAAATGCTTTATTTAGGTCACATAATTAAATATAAATATACTGTGAGGTACGCTTCATTCAGGCTACATAATTAAATATAAATATATTATGGTACATCTTTTCACATTTCAGCTTTTGCTCCTTAACAAAATATTGTGGTAGTTGGACTTCAACAAATAATGCAAAAAAAAATTATTATACCTAAACAAATATTTTCTTAAAATATAGAAGGACATGATGATGAGAATATAGAAAAAAGATCTAGGAAATCCTGTAGCACCTTGGAAAAATCAAGTGAACTGAGGCAAATTGTAGGCATTATTAAGTTTTGCTAAACCCAAACAGGTGTTGCTAAGTATTTTTCGATTTATTTTATACCCATGTGTTAGAAGGAAAATGTCACCCATATGTGTTTAATTCAATTTCACTTAAGCTGAGAACAATGTAATTGTTGGGGAGTTATTTAATGCCCAGTAAGTTTTTTGAGTTTTACAAAGCCTTCCTTCTCCCTCCGAACAAGCAAGCGATGTTTTGCCAGCACAGAACAGAACTCGAAAGGGAGGTGCAGATTGAGTTTGGTTCTAAACTTAGAGCACACAAATTTGAGTGACTGCCAAGCCTGCTGAAATGTGTTTTCTCCAATCTTCTTAAACTGCATGAAGATTTCAAAGAAAAAATTGTAAAGCCTTCCATTGTGAGTTTTCTCTTACCATTGACTACTTTCTGAATTGAAAACCATGCATTGTATATAAGCTTGTGATGTATTTTATCAGGTCCTGGTCTCAAAATATTTCACCGTAGTATATTTTCCCCCAAAATGTTATCTTGCAACATTTTTAAGCCTACATAGTTTCCTTTATTTAGATATAGAATCGATTAGCTTTGGCTATAATGTTCTTGAAATTTATCTACCTTTAATCATCAAACAAGAAGCAAGAAGTGGACCAGGGAAATATTTATATAAAAAGACAATATATAATCAATAGGCTTTCTAATTTCTGATCACACCACAGTCTCCGATGAATCACTAGAGTCTTGAGGGGGATGGGAAAGTATTAGTGAAATCAGCAGATTGATCAAGACATATGGAAGGCATGAAAATGCCTGAGAGTGGGAGAAGGGAGAGAAAGGACATTCAAAACAAGGGGCCATGTCGATCAGTTCACTCATTGCCAATAAGCTGAAAAATATGTCATGGAGAATTTACCATTTAAATGGGATGACATTTAAATAATTCCTTTTGTTCATGTTTTTGAGACTCCTCTATAATTCATAAAGTGGCATGAATTATTTTGCATATTTCTATTCCTTTTAACAACTTTTTTTCACCTAATTTCAAATCTTAATCTTTTGCATCACAGCTAAACGATGCTAAGAAACATTAAGGAGGCTGAAAGAGGAAGAAAGAGTTAACATCTCTAAGAACAAATGTTTTAATTATTTAAAAAATGCGTTTGGGATCATGCTGAGAGGTAGGGTTTTATTTCTAGATTTTGTTTATTAGTGATCATTTCAACTGATTAGGGATCAGATCTTTATTTCCATCTCTGCAATTCAAAGCGTTTGTTGATTTCACACTTTATTTTTTTTTCTTTCAGGATGAAACCCAATATGTCTGAAAATAATTTTTCTACAGGTTTTGCTTCAGTTGTAGGTTAATTATTGGTTTATCTATATTCTTTACACTTTGAACCTATATTCTAGTTCAAAATTTTAAAAACACTACCTGGCTTTTAATTTATCAAAAGAGGGGGTTATAAAATCAGCTTTCGTTTCATGCTATCTGAGTGAATTTGAACCTGGGATGTTTTCCCAGTCAATTCAGGTTAACCAACAGTTGCATTAATGGTCACTTTTACAAATACTGTAATGTGATGTCATTTCACAGACATTTAAAATTATTCCCTTATATTGGTATGAAAGGTACATTGCATAAATATAAATAATGTAAGCTACCATATTTTTAAAGGTAGATAAAATTAGGCTCATTTAGCAATTTTGCCAGGAATCAAATCAAACCAAGAAATAATCAGTGACTAGCAGTCTTAGGCAGCACAGTTAGGTGAGTAGCCGTGGCTGCCAGGCTCCCTCCATTCAAATGCTGTTTTCATCAACTGGCAACATTAGGCAAATTTATCTTCTCTTTGCCTAGATTTTCTCATTTATGAGATTAAACAGTCATAGTACAACCTCAACCTACAAACATAGGATTATTGGGGGAATAAATGAGCTAATTAACACTTAGGGCAATGTTTGGCACACAGACTAAGAGTCGCATTCTTGTTAGATATAATTATATAATACATTTTCCCCATAGAATTCTGCAAATATAATTTTTCAGTGCCCTTTCTGATGCATTGCTGAGGACACAAGCAATCCTTGACCCATAACTATTTAAATTTAGTTATTCAAACTTAAGTATTTGGTAGATTTCTCCAGGCTATTCCTTCCAGCAGGACACAGACTCCCCTGTAGGGTCCTTCTTACACTTAATGCCTTTGGTACCCAAGGTCCACATCGTCTGGACTTCAGCATCAGGAATTCAAAACCCTCCCTAAAATACAAGCCCTGTCAGTGACTAGAGAGGTGTGTTAAAAATCTCCCACAGGCCAGACGCGGTGGCTCACGCCTGTAATCCCAGCACTTTGGGAGGCTGAGGTGGGCGGATCACGAGGTCAGGAGATGGAGACCATCCTGGCTAACATGGTGAAACCCGTCTCTACTAAAAAAATACAAAAAATTAGCCGGGCATGGTGGCGGGTGCCTGTAGTCACAGCTACTTGGGAGGCTGAGGCAGGAGAATGGCGTGAGCCTGGGAGGCAGAGCTTGCAGTGAGCCGAGATCAGCCACTGCACTCCAGCCTGGGCGACAGAGCGAGACTCCATCTCAAAAAAGAAAAAAAAAATCTCCTGCAGTGACTGTAGATTTGTCTATTTTACCTGTACATTCTGCCATTTTTTGCTTCATATTTTGAGGCTATAATATTAAGTGGGTAAACATTTAGAATTTTTAAATCTTTCTCGTGAATCAGCCCATTTGGGGGTTATTTAGGAATATCTTCCTAGCTGTTTCCTTTTAGTCTTTCACATGTTCAGCCTGTTAATTAATAAAACAATCACATGATTGGTTTCTATCATGGGCTCGGTGTGAATTATACACACCATAGAGAGCTCTATGCTGCATATTTTAAGTATGCCATTATTTTCTTGGATCGTTACATTGGCAAAGTATTGTGTTTTATCATAATATTGGAATTGGCTTATAATTTTTTATCTAGCAGTGCCTTTTCATTCATGCATTCAACATATATTAAGCATGTTACATGTGCTAGGCCTAAGCAAGATAAGGAGCCCAACTAAGGAACTCTTCAGACCCTCAATTTTGTTTTAACTCAATAATGTAGAAGAATTCAAGTGGTTTTTTTTTCCTAGGGTTATATTGTTTCTCACTTCAATTGTTGTGGTGGATATTATGTGTGTGTGTGTGAGTTTTTCTATAACTTCAGAACTTTTATAATAACCATGATCCAGTTTTATAAAAGTAAGTCCAGTCCTAATTCTAGGTGCTTTAGGCATGTCTCTGGCAAGATTATTCTACAAAGAAGGAAGTACAGGAATCATTGGCAAAAGTCAATGGCTCAATCAAAGCATGGGAATGTTTGACAGTATTTTTCAAGATCCCCACAACTTGAAAGGACTGTGGTATCGATTACATTATTCCAGTTCTAGGGGTACTTTCCTGACAGTATGGATTATTCAACCACATGAAACCATTTTTAAGCTCTTGCTTCAGACAATTTACCCTCTTCACTAGTTTGTAAAACAAAGGCTGCAGCAAAGTTTCATTGAAAATTGGATAATGACTCATCATTGCATGGGTTTCCTCCTATATGTATTTCTTATTTTATAGCTAACCTTTGCTTTTTTTTCATCCTCTAGTAGACTGGCCCATATTAAAAAAATACATTGAAATGAGGAAATCTAAGAAGACTTCCCAAGACCAGCTCTGGAAGGAAAAGGACTCTGGTTAATAGGAGAGTGGGAGCCAGGCCTGAGGTTCATGATGTCTTTCTCGCTGCATTCCATATCTTTGATATCTCGCTTGCCTACAATTGTTTGCATTCAGATGGGTATACGCGGTCAGCACACTTGCAGGATAAAAACCAGAAAATGCTAATTTTGTGCATATACACTTCAGACACTGTTTGAAAGAAATAACAGATTAATTTATGTGGAGTCAATGAAGACATTTCAAATGCTCTATTATCATTATGACCAAATCTACTGACACCAACATGTATTTTTCACTAAATGGAGAGGTATCACCCACACATTGTGGCTATTAAGCAAGTTTAATCATCTTTTCTTGCTCAAGATTTTGGCAGCTACAGAGGTGATGAGGGTGACCGTTGGAAGAGGTGTGAAGAATTGGTGTCACTCACCACCCATGGGACCTGCAGCATATGTGTCTTCAAGTGTAATTTACTCCTATAGAAAGTTCCTTCAGGCTGGGCACAGTGGCTCACACCTGTAATCCCAGCACTTTGAGAGGCCGAGGCGGGCAGATCACCTGAGGTCAGGAGTTCATGACCAGCCTGGTCAACAGGGCAAAATCCCCGTCTCTACTAAAAATACAAAAATTAGCCAGGCATGGTTGCGGGGGGTGCCTGTAATCACAGCTACTTGGGAGGCAGAGGCAGGATAATCGCTTGAACCTCGGAGGCAGAGGTTGCAGTGAGCTGAGATTGCGCCACTGCACTCCAGCCTGGGTGACAGAGCGAGACTCTGTCTTAAAAAAAAAATAAAGAGAAAGTTCCTTCAGACATGTTTTTCACATACATGCACAAAAACATGATGATGGAAAAACAAACACAAAGTAATAAAACCTAATGTTTACAAAATGCTGTGATCTGAATGTCAAATGATTTCTTCTAATTGAGCTTTGTCATATTATTTTTCAGATGAAGAATGTTTCGCCAAAGCTAAATGACTGACTCAGGCTATAGCAAGAACCAGGATTCTATGGCTAAATCGTCTCACACTCAGTCACTGCAGACCACCCTGAAAACGGAGGATATGTTTTACAACTTCTTAGCATAAAAATGAGGAGTTGAGTTAAGAGTTAGGAATATATTTTAAGCAGAAGTAAATGAAATGGAGGTGTTCCTGAAAAAAAGACTTTAAAAAAATTTATATGATTAAAAAATGTTATATACATAATATATACTGGTAACTTTTCTCAGAGCAACCAGAAACTAGTTTAAAAAAAAAAACTTACGTTATTTATGTCCATGAGTATACTATAACACATCAATAAAGATAATAGTTTGCAAATATTTTATACTTAATCAAGTGCCAGGCACAATTTTGGGTTTGGGGGGTGGGGGGTTTCTGAGACAGGTTCTGGCTGTGTTACCCAAGCTAGAATGAGTGTTGTTGCAACCACAGCTCACTACAGCCTCGACCTCACAGGCTCAAGCAATCCTCCCACCTCAGCCTCCTGAGTAGCTTGGACTACAGGTGCATGCTACCATGCCTAGCTAATTTTTTTTTTTTTTTGTAGAGATAGGGGTCTCACTCTGCTGCCCAGGCTGGTCTCAAACTCCTAACTTCAATCAATTCTCCTGCCTCGGCCCTACCAAAGCCAGGCACAGTTTTGAGTGTATCTCATGGATTACTTCATTAGACAACACAATAGCCTTTGAGGAAATTATCATCATTGCTCCCACTTTACAAATGAGGTGAATGACACTGGGAGAGGACACACAACTTGTCCAGAATCATTCCGCTGTGAGGGGGAGGAGGTAGGACTTGAACCCAGGAACGCAGTCTCAGGACCTCAGTCACAATCAGTTCAGCACTCAGGACACTAGCCCAGAGCCCACCTGTTCCCACTGCCCCTACTTCCCACCTCTGCTTACCTACCTCTGAGCTTCCTCTTCTCTGGCCTCTCCCTGTTTCAATGTTGCCCCTCACAAAAAACACTGCTCTCTACAGCGAGCAGAGGCAGCTTTCTAAAACATAAATCCCACCATGTTTCCCGCTCTCCTCAGAACAACACCTACAGGCTTCCCCTTGCCCCAGGAGGCCCTACAAGATCTGGCCCCTGTCTGTCTTTCCAGCCTCACTGCCCCTCTGTCCAGCCTCACTGCCCACTCCAATAATGCTGGGCTTCCTGCTATTCTGTCAATAAGTCTTGCTCGTTTTCTCTGAGGACCTTGGCACTTGCTATTTCCCCTGCCTGGGACAGTCACACAATGAGAGTTCACAGGACGGGACCCATCGCTTCATCTGCGTAACTGCCATGTCACCTCCTCAAAGATGCCCCTGCCTTCCCTTATGTGAACTGTATGAAAAGCACCCCCATCAGCCTCCTCACCAGCCACTTCCTTACCCTGCTTTAATTTTCTTCACCAATTTATTACCTGATATTGTCTTATTGTTTGTACTTATTTGTTAATTAGTTTATCAGTTTACCATTGTAATGTAAACCCCATGAGTTCAGGGACTGTGTGTCATTCATTATACTATGTTCCCAAGATCTATAAAAGTGCCTAGAAAATAGCGGGCCACAGTAATTACAGGTTGAATGAACTGATTGATTAAACAGTTAAAATATCCTTAGGATAGGCCTGGCATAGTGGCTCACGCCTGTAATCCCAGGACTTTGGGGGGCTGAGGCGTGCAGATCACTTGAGGCCAGGAGTTTGAGACTAGCCTGACGAACATGGTGAAGCCCATCTCTACTAAAAATACAAAAATTAGCTGGGCGTGGTGGTGCATGCCGGTAATCCCAGCAGCTCGGGAGGCTGAGGCACCAGAATCGCTTGAATCCGGGAGGTAGAGGCGGAGGCTGCGGTGAGCAGAGATCGTGCCAGTGCACTCCAGCCTGGGTGACAGAGCGGGACCCTGTCTCACACACACACACACACACACACACACACACACAAAGATTTTACCTTCTAGGTCGCATGCCTGGAATCTCTGTTACTCGGGAGGCTGAAGCATGAGAATTGCTTGAACCCGGGAGGCGGAGGTTGCAGTGAGCCAATATCGGTCCACTGCACTCCAGCCTGGGCAATAGAGTGAGACTTTGTCTCGAAAAAATAAAACTTAAAAATTAAAAAATTTAAAAATATCCTTAGGATAAATACTAAGAAATTGGAATCACTACCAGATCAAAGTGTATAAATATATAAAGGTCATTGATGTATGTTGCAATTTTCTTTCTGGAAAATGTGTGTGATGAATATTACATTAATTTTTAATCTTTGAAAGCATTAAAGAATGCAACGAATTACAATAGCCCCAAAAGGAGGGCAATGGTTTAAACTGTTCAACCCATACACCAATTAGGGTTTGGTCCCATCTCTTGGACCTTATTGCGACCAATTAACAAGTTAAGCAAACCTGACTAAACTGGTAGTATTAGGGAGTGGGGAGAATGATCATGAAAATATGGTGCTTGAGCCTGTAGCCCCTGATCACCTTCCATTCCTCAACCTACGACTCCAACCTCAACTAAGAACTCACATCTGGAAGGGGCAAGCAAATGACTGCCTTGTTTTCTTGACCTTTTAAGTATTTTGATTGACTTTGTAAAAATTAGTAGTCTAGTGAAGCTTATGGACAAGGTATCTGAGCTAGTATTTCTGCAGGATTATAACATCATTTTCACTTGGGATTTTAGTGTTAAGATAGGGTCTTGTCTATTTCTCTAGCTTAATAGGCTTCGGATTTCCTAGATACATGATATTTGCTTTCTAAGAATATATTGCAGTGGCAATCTCTTGGGGGAAAAATTCTAACAAGTTTTATGTGGAATTCCTGCCTCTCAGTACACACTTAGCTGTGTTTCTTTTTTCATTAAGCATCCCTAACACCCAAAAATAGAAGGAAAAAAACCTATTTGTCATAAAAAATACCAGTGTCATAAAAACTGCTGTTTAATTTCTAAAAGAAGGAAAATAGTCTTAAATGTTTTGACAGAGAACAAAATTCACAAACAAATGGAGAATTTGTGAATAACAACAAAATTTGGAGAAATGTTACAACCCAAAAATGTTCACCAGCTGCTTAGAAATCAAAATTCTGGTGTTTCTTGTGGATCATTTAGTTCCACAACACAATGATTAAAAGAATCAATAGCAAATGGAGATCTAAAAAGAGAGAATATATTAGTTAGGGTAGGCTGAAGTGATATTAACTAAAGGACATCATGTTTAAACATAATGGATGCTTAGTTCTTTCTGTATAACAATCCAAGGAAGAGTTGTTGGTCAGTGGGGAGCTCACTGCCACATAGTGACTCAGGGATCCAGGTTTCCGCATGTGGCGGCCACATCATTCCTTACAGTCTTCAGATAACCAAAGAAAAGAACCTGGAAGATTCATACATACTTCAAACATCTAAAAAAAATGCCTGAAAAAAATAGTGGGCAACAACTGTAACAGGATGAATACACTGATCGATGAAAGAGTAGTTAAAATATCCTTAGGATAAATATTAAGAAATTAGAATCACTACCAATTGGAATCAAAGGGCATAAACATAGAAAGGTCCTTGGTACCTACTACTTACCACGCTCAGCCTGGGTGGGGCACTCTTCTCCTCCTCTTACATCCTGTTCCACTGTTGAGAAACCATCACCTAACCATACCTAACAGCAAAAAGGGCCAGAAAGTCAGTCCTTCGCTTGACAACCACATCCTAGCAATCACGTTTGCTAAAAAAAGGAAAAACAGATTCTAGTGACCGAAAGCCATATCTGCCAGATATCAAAAGATATGCACTATTTAATAATGTCTATTGGAATCTGAATGAAAATTATATTTCTATGATGTGGTAGAGACTGCTAATTGACCTCCAAACAAATTCTTCTTCTTTTTCTAATGTAATAAGGCCCCTAAATTTTAACCAGGCAAATGGTCTCCCAGACTAAACACACTTTTCCCAGCCTCCCTTGTAATTAGTTGTGGTCCTGTCACTAAGTGCTGGCCAAAGGGAAAAGCGTGGAAGTGGAGTATACTATTTCTGAGTCATGCCCTTAAGAAAAAGAGAAATACTCTCTCCTTCCTGCTGACTGGATTGTGGATGACGTGGTAAGCCATCTGGTACTGTGTTGATGAGGGCAAAACCCTTGGTATTATTGAGCAAAAAGATTCAAGAAGCCCAGATTCTGACAACATACCAGCCTACTTATGCCCAGACAGTTAAATGAGAGAGAAATACACTTCTATCTTGTTTAAGCCACTGTTTTTTTATAAATCTCCATCACAGATGCCAAACCTATAACTAATACATATGGCAAACAATATGGAATTCTGTTCATCCCTGATTCAACATTTAAAATGTCATAAAAAGGGAAAGAAAAAAAGAAACTTGGCTGAAGACAGAAAACATAAACGTATTGATTCCAGTCATACAACATGAATTGAACTAGATATTAGTGGCCTTTTTCATTAAATGTGTGACTATCAAAGGTGAGATAATAATAAAAAATAATTGCCATCCCTGCTTAAGGGCCAAATTCATCCTTATGATGTTCATGAAAAATGCTCCATGGTTTATTTAGACAATTGCCTGAAAATGCTCTGGAGGGGTTCTCTGTGTTTCCCTAGAATAGCATGTGGCAGTATTTGCCAAAGAATGTTCACCTAGTCAGACCGATGCAGGTTTCAGATGCCATTCACAGAGCGTGGTCACCCGCTCCTCACAGACATGCATGTGCACACACCCACCAGGTTAGCTGTGAGAGCTCATGCTCCATAGGAACTACATTGTAAATAAAACCCCAACCAAAATAGAAGCACCACTTTGGTTTTGCATTGGGGATTGTTGTAAGAGATGACAAAGACCATTGCTATTCAGGGTTGAGGTGAGGGGTCTAGCGTCTAATAAGGGACTTCCTGGGACGACCAAGACAAGGTAAACAAAGGGCCAAAGTAGGTTAAGCTCTAATATGAGAGACACAAACACCTAATGGGAAATTTCTTTGATATTTAATAAGGATGTTTATCAGGCAGGCACATGTGTGCATGTGTGTGTGTGCATGCATGCATGTGTGCGTGTGTGTGTGCATGCGTGTGACTGTGTGTGTGTGTGAGTGTGCATGTTCAGGAGCAAAGAGCTGGAACTGCTTAGAGGGGGGAAGCTACAACACTGTTCTAGTCCCATGATGTACCCAGTGGTCAGGCCTTCTGGAGTCTTGAAGGAGCCACACATGCATGTTTAAGCATTCTGGACATTCCTTAGACAAAACATAACTACAAGTATACAGATTTTGAAGTTAATACTCAATGTTATTGAAATAATCACACTGCTAGCATCAAGCAGGCTTCCTCATGACGGCCTGCATCTGGGACTGATGGGCTTTCCTTGCACTTCTGACTCTGTAGGTTTGAGGGTCCCTTTCTATCATCACCCCTTGCCTTCAGGGGCTCTTACTCATTGTCTCTTGTCCTTCCTCTCTGAAGTTGCTAAGAGGTGACCACAAAACCTAGTTCCCTGCTTATGTAGATCCCCACCAATTAATTTTTGCATGTGTGTACTGAAATAAGCCAACTGATCCAGTCTATGTAAAAGGAGAAATATGTTTCTATGTTTTAATTTACAAAATGTAGTGGCTTTTATAGTAGGGTAATGCTTGGGCTCTGGAGTCAGATAAAAGTGGATTAAAATCCTAATACAACACTAGACAACACTTATGTGCCTGCTACTATGTATATAAACTCATGAATCCTCAAAATAATACTGTGCGGTGGTTTTACTGGTATCCTATTGTTTAACAGGACTTGAACCTGTGCAATTCACTACTGGGCACTATGCTGCCAACACTGTGCTCCACCACTGCCTCCTGGCTCTATGAGCTGTGTGCTGCTCGACTCTTAGCTTTCTAGGTAAAACAAAGGCGAATAATGTAACATCTACTCCATAATAATATTGAGAGAATTTAATGAGCTAGTCCTAATCAAAGTTCTGAAAGCAGCTCTTGGCATATAGAAAGTGGCCAATAAATGGCAACTAAAAATATACTAGTTTTTGCAAACCAATCATTTGATTACTATTGAACATCAATTGTCAAACATTCACTGAAGTCATATAGGCTTTCACATATGACAATGATGCTCTCAAAACTGTGTCAAATCATGCATATTGTGTATGATTGAAAAGACACCAAGATATTAGGTGCTGTTAAAAAAAATTACTGTTAATTTTAGTTGTGGCAATGACATTGTGATTATCTAAGAAAATATCTTTTTCTTGAGATGCATACTGAACTGAAGTGTGTTGGATAAAATGACATGATAAGCTCAACGCTTTTCCAGCATTCCACCAAAGGAAAGGCAATAGTGGAATAAATACAATCATGCATTCCAGTCAACGACAGACTGCATACACACGGTGATCCCATAAGACTATAATGGAGTTGGAAAACTCCCATCGCCTAGTGATGTCACAGCCATCCTGATGTCACAGAGCAATGCATGCCTCACGTGGGGATGCTGGAGTAAGCAACCCTACTGCACTGCCAGTCTATAAAGGTCTAGCACATACTGTTATATACAGTCTATAATACTTGATAATGATAAATATGTTACTGCTTTATGTATTTACTATACTACAATTTTATCTTCATTTTAGAGTGTACTCCTTCTGCTTATTTAAAAAAAAGTTAACTACATAATAGCCTCAGGCAGGTCCTTCAGGAGGGATTACAGAAGAAGGTATTGTTGTCATAGAGATGACAGCTCCTCGTATGTTGTTGCCCCTGAACACCTTCCAGTGAGACAAGATGTGGAGGTGGAAGATAGTGATATTGATGATCCTGACCCTTTGTAGGCCTAGGATTTTGTGTGGGTTTTGGTCTTAGTTTTTAACAAAAAAGTTTTTAAAATTTTTTTAAAAGTAGTAAAAAATTTAAAAATAGAAAAAAGCTTGCAGAATAAAGATGTAAAGAAAAATTATTTTTATTCAGCTGTGCAATGTGTGTTTTAATCTAAGTGTTATTACAGGAGTCAGAAAGCTGAAAAAAAGTTAAAAGTTTATAAAGTAAAAAAGTTACAGTACACTACGGTTAATTTATTACTGAAGAGAGAAAAAATTTTTATACATTTATTACAGCCTAATTGTCCAGTGTTTCTAAAGTCTACAGCAGTGCACAGGAATGTGCTAGGCCTTCACCACTTACTCACTGGCTCACCCAGAGCAACTTCCATCCTGCACCTCCATTCACGGTAAGTGCCCTGTACAGGTGGACCATTTTTAATCTTTTAGAGTGTATTTTTACAGCACCTTTTCCATGTTTAAATATGTTTAGATACAAATAGTTACCATTGGGTTCCAACTGCCTACAGTAGCATGCTGTACATGTACAGGTTTGTAGCCTAGAAGCAAAACAGCCTGGGTATGTAGTAGGCTGTACCATCTGGGTCTGTGTAAGTACACTCTATGATGTTTGCACAACGACGAAGTCACCTAACAACTCATTTCTCAAATCGTATCCCCATTGTTAAGTGACACATAACTATATAGCAAAATGTTTATGGTTATGAAGCTGGGTAATGGGTAGTATGAATGTTTATTGTACAGAGCATACCTGAATTTTTTCAAAATAAAAAATTATAAGTATTTTTTAAAACACCGTGAAAAGTTTTGTACAGCTTATTCTTAAAACTCCCTTCAGCAGAATGCCATGTTTTGGGGGTACCCAGGAGTTCTGCAGAGGAGCCTCAGTTATGAGGTCAGCACAGAGTTCCTAGGTCTCTGCCCACCTTCAGCCAGAGCTGCTCCGCTTACACCTCCTGTCCTTAGTGGAAATCCATATGAGAGTTTGTTTCTGGGAAAGGAGGGGAAGGGGTCACACAGCTCAATCAGCCTGGGAGACAGAAGGTGGCATCCTCATTTTCCCCCTTCAGAGAGTAAGCCCTCCCTCCTCCCCAAAGCCCCCACTGTTGAATCTCATGATATCAAGTGATATCACATACCACCTCCAACTTATGGTTACTTATGAACTCCCAGTCATCTCCCCTCATTTCTGGAAGATGTTAGCTCCTGCTTTCTATTGCTGTGACCACCACCATCCTGTATTAATTTTTGGTAATGTCAGTGCATGTGCAGGCGATGCTTCCCACCCCTGGCCTCTTGGTTTCCTGAGCCCTCCCCTCCAGTGATCTTGTTATTCGCCCTTTCTCAGGAGCTCCTTCCCAGACTCGAAGCCAGCAGACTCCACACAAGCCAATTTCCTGCATCCCACTACCTGCTAGCACCTCCTCCAATACCCCCACCCCAAACCCTCCTAGGCCACTGGACAACTTGCCTTTTTCTCTGACCTTCATGATCTTCATGTCTTCACTCTCCTCTTTTCCTAACATAAGTTTCAGGGTCAGTTATTCTAATACATTATAATACATTTCTTATATATGCCCCCAACTCTGTTGCCTCTCCCTCGCTATGTTGTATTTGTTTGGCAGAAGCATCCAACCCTATGCCTGCTCTGTCTCTGCACACATGAGCAAGGCTGGAGAAGCACCCACCACCATGCTGACCCGGCTCCTATAAATTCAGGAGCACGCATCTCAAGTGGGGCCTCCAGGTCACAGGCTACAACATCCTCCTGGGGTGTGCACTCCTCACACTCCAGGGCGAACAGTTTTCGCCATCATTCTGTTTCTCAATTCTCTAATACCTCCTTGCCTGCCTCTCTCTCAGTGGACTGTCTTGCTTTCTACTTCACTGAGAAAATTCAACCAATCCAAAGATAACTTCCAGAGGCTCTGTACTGGGTTGAAGGGTGCCACCAAAATCCACGTCTACCAAAAACCCATAAATATGACCTTATTTGGAAATAGGGTCTTTGCAGATGTAATGGAGTTGAAATAAGGTCCTACTACATTAGGGTGTCCTTAAATCCAGTATGACTGGTGTCCTTAGAATAGGAAACAAGATGCAGAGACATAAAGGAGGCACATGAGGAGGAGGATCATGTGGAATGGAGGCAGAGGCTGGGTGATGCATCTAGAAGCCGGGGAACACAGAGGAGCACTGGCAGCCGCCAGCAGTGGGAGAGGCAGGAACACACTCCCTCGGAGCCTCCAGAAGGAAGCAGCCCTGCTGGCATCTTGATATCAGACTTCTGGCCTCCTGAACTATGAGAAAATCAATTTCCATTTTTTTCTTTATTTTATTTTATTTCATTTCATTTCATTTTATTTTATTTTTTATGTTCCAGGGTACATGTGCAGGATGTACAGGTTTGTTACATAGGTAAATGTGTGCCACAGTGGTTTGCTGCACAGATCAACCCATCACCTAGGTATTAAGCCCAGCATCCATTAGCTCTTTCCCCAATGCTCTCCACTCCCCCATACCCCCCTGACAGGCTGCAGTGTGTGTTATTCCCCTCCCTGTGTCCATGTGTTCTCATTGTTCAGCTCCCACTTATTAGTATAAGCATGTGGTGTTTGGTTTTCTGTTCCTGCAATAGTTTGCTGAGGATAATGATTTCCAGCTTCATCCATATCCCTGCAAAGGACATGATCTCATTCCTTTTTATGGCTGCATAGTATTCCATCTTGTATATGTACCACATCTGTGGTACTTTGTTATGGCAGCCACAAGAAACTCACAGACTCCACTCGTGCACTTACCCGAAGGCTGCAGAAGTCACAGATATTTCCTCCTCATGTGTTAACACAAACCCTCCAGACTCCTAGTCCAAATCAATCCTCTTCAACTTGATCCTGTCTCCCCTGACTCAGGAATATCCTCTTTTACTCTCTCTTTCTCTCTCTCTTTATCTCTCTCTCTCTCTCTCTGCCTATTTTTAATTTGGGCAGCATCATTCCCAGCAGCATATAAGCATGCTGTTATCTCTCTCATCTTAAAACCAAAATGACAAAACAAAACAAAACAAAATCTTCACTTGACTCCACTTTCCCTGCAGCCGTCAACTCTTTTATTTGCTCCCCTTTGCAAGAAAAACTCCTCCTTCCCCAAATCCTCTCTCAAAACCACTGCCTTAGCCTTTGCCTCCCATGAGGCTTCCCTTAGCAGGGCCCCCAAAAACCTTGACTTACTGAATCCAAGGACCTATTCTCAGGCCTTATTTTACTGAACCAAGAAGCAGCATCTGACCCAGCTATTACTCTTTTCCTCCTAACTCTCTCTTCTCTTAGCTTTCAGGACAACACACTCTGTTGTTTTTCTTCTTGGTCACTGATGGTTTCTTCTCAATTCCCTTCACTGGTTGCTCCTACTTGCCTCATCCTAACTGTGGAATGCCCCAGCAGAATGCCCCTTGGTCCTCTTTCCTCTTTATCCTCAATGCCATGGTGATAGCACAGATTTAAACACCCTCCGTATGCCAATAACTTCCAAATGTGCTTCTGCAGCCAAGACCTTTCTCCAGCACTCCACACTCACATCGACTGCCTATTTGGTATCTCCACTAGGATGTCTTGCACGCACATTAAATCAACACACCCGGACTGAGCCGCAGGTCTTCACCAGCTCCCCCGCAGCTCTTCACCAGCTCCACCCACAGCCTTTTCCATATTAAGAGAGGCCACTTCCTCCCGTTAATTGCTCAAATCAAAAGCTAGGAAGGAGCCTTGCATCTACTACTCCGCTCACATCCCATCTTCAATCTTTCAGGAAATTGTACTGGCTCTACCTTCAGAGCACATCCAGATTCTGGCTGTCTAGACTAGCTCTGTCACAATGACCCAGGTTTTGCCACCACCATCTCTCAACTGGATAGCAACAGCCCCTTACAGGTCTCCTTGCCTCTGCCCTCACCTGCCCCCTATAACCGATTATCAGCATAGAAATCAAAATTCATCTGCTCAAAACCTGCAGTGTTTCCCCACACTACTCAGAGTACAAGCCAACACTCTTACAGTGACCTCTAAGGGACCGTGTAGTTCATTGCTGTTTCATCTCTCTGACCTTCTCTCTTTCCACTCCACCTACACACAGTTCAACACAACGGGATCCTTTTCTGAACACACCCAGCTCACCCACCACGAGGCCTCTGTGCTGGCTCTTTCCTTTGCCCATGACACTTTTCTCCCAGGAGGCTGCTCAGCTGATTCTCTGGCCTCCTTCAAATCTTTGTGCAAACCTCACCTTCCCTATGTAGCCCACAATGACTACTTAACACTGCAAATTGCTTCTCACTCACCCCCAGGGTTCTTGGATTCCCCTATCTGCCCTACTCTTTCTTTCCATCTATAGTACTCATCATCTTCTAAAATACTTGTGGTTCACTTATTTATTACTGCTATTACTGATGGTCTGTCTCCCTGCACTAGAAGCCAAGCCCCTTGTGGGAAGCGTCTTTGTCTCCTTCACTCATTGTGCATCCTAAGCACCTAGAACAGAGCCCGGTACACAGTGAGCATTCAAGCCACACCTGTTCTCTAGGGAGGACAGGATGGGGAAGTCCAGGTGGAAGCCCCATCACTGATCTGGGTGAATCTGAGGTTACATGATCGAATTCTAAGGTAATACATGAATGCCTTTTGTTTCATAATGTCTTCATAAATCTAAGCTCAGTCAATTTGGACTTTGATGGGTCCAAGATTTTCATCCTTATTAAGTACTTAAAATGCAGCTAAACTCTGTTCCCAACTAATTAAATGTGAAACCATATATCTTAACTAATGGTCTCTCTAGGGTTAACACTGATGCCCTCTTATGACAATACATGTACTTAAGAAGGATGCCACATACACTCAAAGGTAGATCAAGGGAGCACCATAACCATAGCCAAATGTATTTTTGAATCTCTATTAGTACATGGAAAAAATTGGTGATGTAGACCACAATGTATTGCTGTAGACAACATGGTTAAAATATTTCAAACTAGAAAAAAAATAATTATATTACCTAAATGCTGGCCATACCCATTCAAGTAAGATTCAATAAAGAACCCATAGGACAACTAGCTTTGTTCTTTTCTGGTGTTTATGCTTCTACCTATAACTGATTTAGTACAACACAACCTCACAACCCTAGATCTATGTGGTGACTGATAAATCGAGATATTTAGTTACTGTTCTATAAGTTGACATGGGCCAAATGATGGGAAGGAACAGCTCCAAGATATAGTGAAAAGATAACATTTCATGTTGTGGTTCATGAGGGTAGTTCAGCCTTAGAAAGAGCAATGAAAAAATGCTCAGCATCACTAATCATCAGAGAAATGCAAATTAAAACTACAATGAAATGTGAACTCACCCAGTTAAAATGGCTTTTATTCAAAAGACAGGAAATAAAAAATGCTGGCAAGGATGAGGAGAAAGGAGAACCCTTATACACTGTTGGTGGGAATGTAAATTAGTACAACCACTATGGAGAACAGTGTGGAGGTTCTTCAAATACTGCAAATAGAACTATGATATGATCCAGCAATCCCACTGCTGGATGTATACCCAAGAGAAAGGAAATCAGTATTTCTAAGTGATATCTGTACTCCCATGTTTTTTGCAGCACTATTCACAATAGCAAAGACTAGGAAGCAAAGTCTTTATGAGTGGATGCATGGATAAAGAAAATGTGGTACATATACACAATGGAATATTATTCAGCCATAAAAAAGAATAAGATTCTGTCATTTGCAGCAACATGCATGGAACTAGAGGGCATTATAATTCAGGAATAGAAAGACAATAATTTGGAAACACAAAGACAAATTTCACATGTACTCACTTATTCGTGGGAGATAAAAATTTGTTTGGGAACTCATGGAGATAGAGAATAAAATGGTGATTATCAGAGACAGGGAGGGGAATAGAGAAAGGATGGTTAATGAGTACAAAATACAGCTCAATAGAATAAATAAGACCTAGTATTTAGTAGCAAAGTAGGGTGACTAGAGTCAACAATAGTTTATCATATATTTTAAGACAACTAAAAGAGTGAATTGGAATGTTCCTAATACAAAGAAATGATACATGTTTAAAGTAATGGATACTCCAGTTACCCTGATTGACCATTACCTCTATGTCTGTATCAAAATATTACATGTACCCCACAAATATATACAACTATAAGGTATCTATAATAATTAAATTTTTTTTAAAAAAGAGCAATGAGCTATTTACTGCTAAAAAGGGCATCCATTCTTACTAAAATGTCTGTGCTGAACCCCAAAGTAAGATGCATGTGCACTGAAAATAACGTGTTTTAATGTTCTCAAAGTGTTGTGTCATTTTCCTAGTTTAGCCAGGAGGGCAGGCAGTCGTATGAAAAAGAGAGGCAGATCTTCAGGTGTGCATTTAATTAAGATATAATAAATCCTATATACATATATGACCCAAGCATAAGTTTTTCAAACATTGGGGAGTGTGAAACTTCACCTCTGACTGGTTTCCCTTTGTGTCATAACTTATCTAGTTAACTACTTAATTTGAATACTTTTAGAGATAATAAAGACTGAGTATTTGGAGAATTAAAATGTTATTTTCCCATTCATTTTTCAAGGAGAGAATATCACTCAAATATTGAATGTGCTAGAATTCCTACCTCATTTTCTTGATCTCATCAAACATTGTCATGACAAGCAAAATAGACCTATGTGATACGAGTAAGAACCACAGTCATTATGAGCTGCTGCAAGCAATGATTCTGCATCCCTCATCATGCTTTCAATTGTCATAATTCTTGTATTCCATATATTGTACCTCATTAGAAATTTTACTACAGATGAAATGTTGCCACATCAAATAATGCTATCTACACATTTTCTTTAAGAATAAAATCTATTTCTTTTCTTTCTTTTTTTTTTTTTTGAGACAGGGTCTTGCTCTGTCACCCAGGCTGAAGTGCAGTGGCTCAATCTCAGCCACTGCAACCTCTGCCTCCCAGGTTCAAGCGATTCTCCTGCCTCAGCCCCCCGAGTAGCTGGGATTACAGGTGTGCACGGTTACGCCCAGCTAATTTTTGTATTTTTAGTAGAGACGGGGTTTCACCATGTTGGCCAGGCTGGTCTCTAACTCCTGACCTCAAGTGAACCACCTGCCTTGGCCTCCCAAAATGCTAGGATTACAGGCATGAGACACCACGCCCAGCCAATAAAATCTATTTCTAAGACTCGCATCCAAGCTTATAGGTAACTATTTCCTATGCACCGTGAAGTACAGTTGACCTTTGAACAACACAGTTTGAACTCCAAAGGTCCACATATGCAGATTTTTTTCAACATATATATTACACAATTTTGGGGACTTTTGCAACACTTCAAAAAAACATGCAGATGGATTTTGTAGCCGGTAAATATTGAAAAAAAATTAGAAAAAGGTATGTCACAAATACATAAAATATTAATATATGTAGATACTAGTCTATTGTATCATTTACTACCATTAAATATACACGAATATATTACAAAAGTTAAAGTTTATCAAAACTCACACATATACTTACAGACCATACATGGCATCATTCACAGTTGAGAGAAATGTAAACAAATAGAAAAATGAAGTATTAAAATCATAACTGCCTAAGATTAACTTTAGAACATACTGTACCACTGTAATAATTTTGTAGCCACCTCCTGTTGTGATTGTGGTGAGCCCAAGTGTTGCTAGTATCTGCTTAAAATGCCATGTGACATTCATCATCTCCACGTGAGCAGCTCCTCTCTCCAGTAAATTGCATTTCATGGTAAAAAGCGATCTCTCATAGTTTTTGAATGTTTTTCATCATGTTTAGTACAAAACCATAAACCTTGAGTAACACCATGGGACCCATACAAATTATCACTAGTGATCCTGGAAGAGCTCCCAGGAAGCAGAGAAAAGTCATGACATTACAAGAAAAAGTTGAATTGTTTGATATGGACAGTAAATTGAGGTCTGCAATTGCCGGCCATTTCAGACAAATCATCTTGCAAACAGATGACATAAATTTATGATATTCATTTATACAATACAGAACTATAAATGCATTTTTCATTCCTTATTTTTTCTTAATATTTTCTTTTTCTAGCTAACTTTATTGTAAGAATACAGTATATAATGCACACGAAAATATGTGTTAATCGATTGTTTATGTCATCTGTAAGGCTTCCAGTCAACTACTACTATCAGTAGTTAAGTTTGGGGGGAGTGGAAAGTATACGAGGAATTTTCAACTGCATGGGAGACGGGCACCCCTAATCTCCATGTTGTTCAAGGGCCCACTGCACAATGTTGCATTGATCCACAGAGAAAGAACATCTGTCTCCTCTCCCTAGCACTCCCTATATATTCTTCTATCTTTGTGTAAAACATTAGAGGCAAATCCCAATCTCACAGTTAGAAATATCTTCCCATATGATATACTATCCAGTGTCATCCAGAAGAATCTAAAAATTATGGAAATGCCGATGCCTAACATTCATTAAAAAAAAAGTATTAATCTCCTCCTAGAGGCCTGGCAATTGATCTTATTCCCTGCTTTATCTTTAGACCCTAACGTTGTGGTTTTGGGGGGTTGACAGTTCAGGAGAGAATCAGCATTCAATCAACACCTATTGACTATGAATGAATGAATCCTTGTAACGTAAGCTGCACTGAGTGTCAGGAGGGAAAGTGCAGGCTGTGTCCCAGGGGTGGGGCGTTAGGGTTCTGTGAATGCTCACAGGCAGGGCCCCTCTCAACAATCATCTCTCCTTCTGGTATTTTCTCCCAGCTGCAAATACAGCAAGTGTTAAGAGAAGAGGCAGGTTATAAATACGGTCAGTATTGTGGTGGCCTGATGAAGTAATGTGGAACTCACTGCTACCTAACTTTTCTTCTTGCTGAAGCCTAAATATCTCCACAAGTTCCCTGTATTTAGCAACTGAAGGATGTTCTGTAGGGTGGAAAAGGAGAGGCATGTCCCAGCTACCTGCGGACTAAAAACCAGTACCTGCCACATGCTTTTGGAACCCTATACTTAGCTCCTATCCAGTGAGGGGGGTCATCTCACCTTCCATAACGTCTTCTCAGATGATTCCAGACGTCATTCCCCAACAAAGACAGTCGGCACCATGGAGCATGGAGCAGATTCATATGCCATCTTATGCTTCTCTCTGTTTTCTTCTGTGTAGCTTTGCCTCCCAAATAGACAGAAACCCTTGAAGGGAGTAACTTTAATTTTTACCATCCATCTCCAAGACCTAACAAATACTTCATAACTACTTAAAAATATTTACAAATTAATTGGTTTCTATCAAAACAACTGCTCTTACAACTTATTTTAATACATACTATTAATATTCTAAACTGGCCACAATATATTTTGCCATCCCCCAAAAGCAAAGATTCTTGGAGTCGTCTCATAAGTACAACATGTTAACTCATCGCGTTAATAATTATCATACACTGCTGGGCAGATTGCACCAGATCCTGGAATGTCATCAATTAATACTGAGCACTGAGTGTTATTAGTATGTGTTCTTGTTAATCAGGACTAGAATTCTCCCATCTGAGGCCAACCTGTGAGTATTTTCTCAAATTTCTCCCTGCCTTCCGTCCAAACTGGAAACACTGTATTTGAAGCACATTACAAACAATGCACAATGCTCACTAATCTTGCTTTTTTGTGAACAAATTCATGAAATTTAAAAGAATACAATAATAACTTACTAAGTAAGCTTCAAGAGCTATATGCTGCATTAAAAAACAAAAAAAAACAAAAAAACAAAGTTACAGATTTACCACAGGCCACAGAAAACCCTCTCTAGGAAAACTTATGATGTTTCCTAGGGCATGTGATTCAATAGTAGTTAGGGATCCTGATTTGGGGTTTGTTTGTTATTTCTTTCTCTCAAAGCCCAAAACCTTCTGGCACCCAAACCTGGCAGAGCCGCCTATCCATTTAAAGCCTTCTATCAGATTACCAGGACCGTGTGATGTCTCCCATAAAGCTGGATAACATTTACGGCAGTTTGTATCCAGTACAAAGCTTCTCATAAATAAATAGGGCTAGAGGCATGTTTGGATGGCAGAGGGCAGCCTCCTGCCTCATTCTCACTGAAAGGTGGCCCTGGTTTAGTACAGATATGGTTTACTGGCAGAAAAAAAAATAAGAAGCAAAAATAAAAAACACTGTTATCATCTGGTTAAGTGGTGGGATGTTCAGATGTTCAGACATGAAGCATGAAGCTCAAGGAAACATTTTTAGCTTAATCTTGAAGGCAAGTGATTGACTTTGTAGTGTTTCAAGGCATTTTCTCTTTTTTCTTATTCTTTTTGTATAGCAGAACAGTTTGTTTGCTTGGAATCGCTGAGACACAAAACATCGTGTCCAGAAGACAAAAAGAAGAGGATGAACGGAGATGAAAGGAAAGGAAAGCAGAAGAGATTTTCACAGGAAAGGGGAGGAATCCGAGGAGTACAGTCACTGTGAATCAATGAGAAGCAGGAAGGAAGAGAAGCTCCTTCTAGGAAGTTCATTTACAATTTTTTTTTTTTTTTGGATAAAGATATAGGGCAAGAAAGTGCCTCATGAAAGAGAAACTGATAAATTTCCAGACCCTGGCCACAAAGTACAGCACAGCCAGGAGAGATGGCTCTCGGGGGACACGCCCTAGGGAAGTGGACATTCTGTGACAGTAGCCAGCTTCTGAAGAAGAGGCTCAGAGCAAATGTGCCACGAGGATTGTCTGGTAACACAAGGTGCACGCTTTCCAGTAAACCTTTCTATCGTAAAACCTGGGTTCTCCTTCTCTTCTCTCCCTTCTCCCCTTCTTCTTCTTCTCTTCTTCTTCTCTACTACTTTTCCTCGCTTCTCTGCTACTGAACTTGAAGCAAGCACTTACCTTTTATGATCTGAAACTCAAAGAGAAGAGTAAGCTCAAAGGGTGACTTCTATTTCAGGGTTCAGCCTTCAAATTAACTTTATTAGAAAGATAAACAGGCAAGTGCAAGTTCTCAGTATGCCTTACTGCTAGTCATTTAAAGAAGGAGAACAAATTCTATCATTCTAAACTGTTTTCCTTGCTCTTTCTCCAAGAAAAATACATAAACAGAAATGTTTTCAAAGTCAGCCCTGAGTTCTGATAAATATATAATGAACACATAAAATGATCTGAAAAACCGTGGGTGGTAGCCCTCACCTTGATGACTTTTAGTCATTTTTATTTTTTTATTTACTTTTATTATATATTTATTTTTCAGATGGAGTCTTGCTCTATCACCCAGGCTGGAGTGCAGTGGCGTGATCTCAACTCACTGCAACCTCTGCCTCCCGGGTTCAACCAATTCTCCTGCCTCAGCCTCCTGAGTAGCTGGGATTACAGGCACGCACCACCATGCCTGGCTAATTTTTGTATTTTTAGTAGAGATGGGGTTTCACCGTGTTGGTCAGGCTGGTCTCTAACTCCTGACCTCGTGATCCACCCGCCTTGGCTTCCCAAAGTGCTGGGATTAC
The DNA here is from genome assembly GCF_000001405.40 of Homo sapiens. Lineage (NCBI taxonomy): Eukaryota > Metazoa > Chordata > Mammalia > Primates > Hominidae > Homo > Homo sapiens. The sequence goes on from NC_000008.11 coordinate 52,383,723, forward strand.
AGGCGTGAGCCACCACACTGGGCCCCATTTTTATTTATTTTTAAAAGACAGGATCTCAGTTTGTTGCCCAGGCTGGAGTGCAGTGGCACAATCATGGCTTACTGTAGCCTCAAACCCCTGGCTCATAGGATCCTCCTGCCTCAGCCTCCTGAGTAGCTGGGACTATGAGCCTGCACCACCTCACCCAGCTAGTTTTTGTTTTGTTTTGTTTTGGAGAGGAGGTCTATGTTGCCCAGGCCGATCTCAAACTCCTGGGCTCAAGCTAGGCCTTCCAAAGTGCTGGGATTACAGGACTTTTAAACATGATTTCCAAAAGAAATGCACCTCTATACCATACTCAGGATATGCTTCATACATTCCATCCTTGGCATACAGCAAGTCTCTAAATTAGAGTTGAGATTTTGGAAACATAAATGGGAGAGTAATGTTGAACACTGCAGTGTAGCCAAAATTACAACCTATTTCTATCCCCTGGCAATTACTGTCCCATCATGGTAACTTTTTTATGGAAATCAAAGCAAAGGGAAAGCCTGATGTTAGCAGCATAATCTCTAAGTGCCTGCTGGATGTTGCTTCTATTATTCTCCTATTTTAATAGATAATTTATAGGCAAATCTCAGCAACAAAGCAGTCAGGGAGCGCCACAATCCAGCTCCAAACTCTTCCCCGCTTTCCCTCCTACTAAGTCCTCCCACTTCGTTCTTTCCTCCTTCCCCACTTCACTCATCCTCTCCATACACACACACACAATTTCTCACACACTCCCATTTTCACACACAAACACACACTCATACAAACACATATTCTGTCATGCACACACTCCAGGCTACTCCATATTCCCTGATTCAACCATTCTCTTTCATTGCTACACACCTTAATTCAACTCTCTCACCAATCTACAATGCCACACCTCCCCCGCCCTCCTAACAGCCTGTCCAAAATCTTCAATGGCTAATTTAAGTATTGCTTCTTCGGTAGAGATGTCTCGGCTGCCTTTTCCCATGTGTCATTCTAATTGCTTTCACTTTACTTTTATACATTCATTCCCCTATGTGTGTACACAGGTGTGTGTGTGTGTGTGTGTGTGTGTGTATCTATCACCATCACTAGGCCCCTTAAAAATGGAACCATGCCATGTGCCACTTTGGATATCTTCAGTGCTGTGAGCACAGTATGGCATCAGTACCTACACCGGGTACTGTTGGAGGATATGAAAGAAATCGGCAGCACTTACAGTCAGTTAATTCATTTCAAGAGAAACATACTAATGTTACTAATAATAGTACCTTACATTGACAAGTACTTTCACATAAGTTATTTCATTTAATGTGTCCAATAACCCTCTGCCCATCTTAAGACAGAAACGTGAGACTCAGAAATTTTTCAGTTTCTAGAATAATTGACATCTAAGGTTCTGATTGACGAGACTGAACTAGAAATACAGAATGTAAATGTATGTTGAAGCTGGCAGGGATGAGCTGGTTCCCTCGGAAACTCTTGTCATGGCTAAGACATGCATCCCCAACTGTTAATCCACCCTATGGTATCCTATACAGCTCCCTAAGAAGGGATGCTAAGCATGAGAGATGAAACGACAAAGCACACATAAGAGATCACAGCTTGGTCCAGCACTTTGGGAGGCCAAGGCAGGCGGATCACCTGAGGTCAGAAGTTCAAGACCAGCCTGGCCAACATGGTGAAACCCCATCTCTACTAAAAAAACAAAAATTAGCTGGGCGTGATGGCAGGAGCCTGTAATCCCAGCTACTCAAGAGGCTGAGGCAGGAGAATCGCTTGAACCCGGGAGGCGGAGGTTGCAGTGAGCCAAGATCACACCACTGCACTCCAGCCTGGGCGACAGCAAGACTCCGACTCAAAAAAAAAAAAAAAAAGACATCACAGCTTGGATTCCTGGGCCTCCCATTCCACCTGCTGCCCACTCTGCCATACCTCCTGCTGCCCCAGAGCCCTCGCTTAACTTCACAGAAAACAAATTAGAAAAAAAAAAAAAAGACTTTTCCAGTTCATGCATGCAATAAAGCCAACATGTAATCACTATTTGCATGGATTTCAGTGAGGAAAGTAAAAGAGAGAACAGCTGATGGAATTGCAGTAGAGTCTGAGGGACCCCTGTCAGGGTGTTGCAGTGGAGATTTCTGCACTTGGTTTGAGAATAAGGAAAACCTCTCACTCTCTTACTGTGTCCTAGGGAAGGGCCCTCACAAATGTCAGCACCTCTTCCATAGCTTACAGGCCTCCTATTTCATCACACCCTCTGACCCCAGTCATTCCATGCCTGGGACTTGATTATGAAGAAGGAAATCCAAAATGCCAACAAAGATGCACATATACGCAGACATTGATTGTCTCCTTCATCACAGGAAAACTATAGATAGTAGAAACGTCCATCCAATGAGAAGGGATTGGTTACATAAAATAAGACAAAACATCAGACAGTCATTGAAAATTACCTTTATAAAGCATGTTTAATGCCATGGTAGAATTTATATTATACAATTTTAAAGTAAATTTTTAAAAATTTTAAAGTAAGAAATGCACTAGTATGTATAATGTATCCAACTATGTCAAAAATACAAATACTTAAAAAGATTGCAATGAAATATCAAAATATTTAGCACTTTGATTCTGTGCAATGGTATTATTGTTTTTATTTCTATGTTTTTTCTACTTTCTAAATGAGTTTTTGCCACTCTGATAATTAGAAAAGGCAGTCTTGTTTTTTTTTCTTAAAAAAAAAAAAGAATGCAATCAATTGAGAAAAACTGGGGAGACAAATTTTGGTTCTTTATAAAAAAAGCTAATGTTAAAACAAAATTGTTAGTTTTATAAAGCAATGTTACTCTTGATGTCTTACGCAACCCAAGCCATCTCTTCCTAAATTTGTGAATAGATATTTTTGTTCATTTTTGAATATTATCTTTCCTTTTATTTTAAAAGGGGAGAGTTCTCCTTATAAGCCTGCTAACTCTAGAGACGTCAAAGCATTGCCTTAGTGGAGTTTGTGTCAGGGCCATGTCAAATGTGCCAGTCAAAGCAACCACCCTACTACACTGATCAATTTGAAGACCAGAAAACAGTCACACTATCCTAAGATCATAACACATTTTCTTACCATCCTGTAGGTTTTCTGTTCCTCAAATCCACGAAAAGCTATCAGAGATAAATGCTCTAATAATCCAACTAGTATAATTAAAATAACACTTTCTAAACGGGCTTTCTAAACGGAAGCACTTTGCAAAACACATTCAGCTTTTTATAAAAACAAAAGAAAAAAGCCTGTCACTGTCATTCCATGAGAAGTTAGAATACTAAATTTACAGATAATTTCTTCCTTCCTTCCTTTCCTTTCCTCTTTCTCTCTCTTAGCTTTTTTCTTTCCTCTTTTCTTCATCCATCTATCCCTCCTTTCCTTCCTTTTGGTTTTTTGTCTTCTGTCTCCAAACTGAGAAAGTCCAGAGATTTTAAAATGTCAACTGATAATAGATATAATGAAAAATTATCATCTCTAAATCTCTTGGCCAAGTTATCTTCAGCCTCTTTTATCTTTTCTTCTCTGTCTTGGAGAGTTCAAGTGACATTTTTGATGGAATCTTTGTTTTGGCAAAAGGATTTCAAAAAGAGTCACTGTCACTATTACCAATATGTTTGTTCCACTAGAGTGTCCCCCTAGGTTTAGGGTTAAACCAAACTCAAAATCATCATTGTCAATAGCCAAGGCAATGTGAGATCATACTTCTCTTGAACTGTTTGTCTCTGCTTGACTTTGGGTTTCCTTCCCTAAGAGACAGTGCTGTTTTTTATAGGTCAGGCTTATTTTGTGGAGAAGATTGCTTCTTCACAAAATAGAAATTTCATTTTCATTATCTTCATTATTCCACCACTGTTGAAGGATATACAAAATGCTGACTTTCCTCAGGGCTAGTGTTAGAAAAGTCACAAAAAGTGTACGTTCATAACAGTTACCATGACCCAAGCAGACGAATAATTACACTGACTTGCCTGCCAGGAATGTCTGGATAGATCCTTTGACAGCCTAAGATATTTTGCAAAATGTTTTTTTAAAAGAAAAGAACTGGTTTGTGAACACAGGTAACTTATAAAGTTTTAAGTAAAAGTGACACGATCAGTGACTAAACATAACTTCCTGTTTTGAGTTCATTTAACCAACACTGACGTTTGTCCACTGGACAGGTCACTGCCAGCACCCTCCCCACCCCCCCGCCCCACGCCGGGCACTATTCTACAGAAGGTGAAAAGCTAGCAGGGTGTCCGCTTTGAGGGGGGTCTATGTTTGCAGGGGAGAGAGATGAAATGATTCAATATAGATACAGTCAGTTTTGCTGTAACGCTTGTTTCGAAAATGCGAGTTTGTTCCAACGTGATTGATATACTAGGAGCAATTTGAGCATAAGGAGCATAAGGCAAATTTTGTTTTGCTTATGTGCGATGTCATCTGTGAGAAACACTGGGCGAATACGGAGATGTGCACCCGGCTGAGCAGGACCCAGGAAAACGCCAGCGCGCTCCGAGCACACCTTGAATTCCTACGGGCTCTCAGCTCCCGGGAGCTGCAGAGCCTCAGCCACCCACACCCAACGTGAGTCCCCTTTCCTCCGAGTTCAGACACCTCCTCCCACCCGCCTCCAACTCCCACTTCCACAACAAGCCTCAGGTCTTCCTTCTCAAGGTAAAGTGCCATATTTATAGGAGCACGTTGCACACGGCTGAGCCATTTACCATGAATAAAAGTGCTAGCGTTTTTACTAGGTTTCCATCTGTGTTTTAAGGTGCTACGAATAAAGTGTTGAGTATTGGTCCCAGTCTCCCCATCAGCCCCAGGGTGCTTGTTGAGTGATTTCGCACGGCGCACGATGGCGTAACGGTCAGCAGGAATGAGTGTCACAAAGGAGGGATGGAAGGGAATAGCGTAGGAAAGGAGAGAGAAGTCTACTCAGATGGGAGGTCAGGGAGGGCCTTTCTCAAAAGGTGTCTCTCCACTGAAAACCTGGAGGATAAAGAACAAGCAACACATGGACACAGGAAGGGGAACATCACACTCCGGGGACTGTTGTGGGGTGGGGGGAGGGGGGAGGGATAGCTTTAGGAGATATACCTAATGCTAAATGATGAGTTAATGGGTGCAGCACACCAGCATGGCACATGTATACATATGTAACTAACCTGCACATTGTGCACATGTACCCTAAAACTTAAAGTATAATAATAATTTAAAAAAAAAAAAAAGAACAAGCAATACTTGGTGTCGGCGAGAAGGGAGAGAGAAGGGCAGACCAGGGCCCGAGAAGCGTGCAGCAGGCCGGGCTGCATGAAGCCCCGAGAGCCACACAGCCAAGAGGAGGCGAGGCGAGCCTGGCGCTTCAGGCGCTGCCCGGGGCTTGGCTGTGGGGCTCCCAGGCCTCAGCACAGAGCGCGAAAGTCGCCTTTGGAGGCGAGCGCGGAGGGCTCCAGCAAGGGAGCAGCACCATCAGACTCCCAGTTGGCGCCCGGCAGGCGGAAAAGGTGTGGAGAGGAAAAGGGAATCAAGCAGGGAGCCCGGTGAGGAGGCTAGCAGTGGAGGTTTGCAGGAAAGCTGCTGTTTCCCTGGACAAGGGATGGTGTGCTCCAGAGACTGCCTGGAGGAGCTCTTCTGGATGATGGGATGTGATGATATTAAAAGAGGAAAACCCAGGGACGCCGGAATGCACGACCCCATCGTCTTTGGTGGGGTCAAGGCACATTCTTCTGAGCACACCAGGGTCCTCCCTAAAGGCTTAAGCACTGGTTGTGTGCTCTAGGTACACCGACTCCTTCCACCCTAGGCATGAGGCAGCGGGGAGGAACCTGCCTTGAATCGTCACCTGGGAAGCGCAGAGCAGGGATGGAAATCTGCTGGGCCCCAGAGAGCCCGCACCTCTCCCACTCTGCATACACCACCAGTGCACATGCGGAGTAAGGAGACTGCAGAAGAGAGGCCCAACTGGCCCTGCACGGGCCTTCCTGCGTCGTGCAGGTCCCCTGGGTCACAGGAAGCTGCTCTCTGAAGAGCCAGCCGGAGCCGAGGGGCAGTAGAGAAAGCGATGCCAGGAACCAGAGACCGGGTAGTGGCGCTCAGATTAACAGGGAATGTTTACAAGGAAAATACAGATACAGCTGGCTATTGTGCATTTTTCCGTATATTTACTCCAACAACAACAACAACAACAACAACAAAAAGTTTAATTAAACATTTAAATATCTGGAGAGACATGCTTTACCACTTTCCTCTCTTGTCCAAATAGAATGCTGTCTTCTGGTTGGCTAGAGATGGGTACCGGGTGGCCAGTATGTGATTCTAGAAAGAGGAAACCAATGGCTCTAAGACAGGGCCGTTTCCCATGCGAGCATGCTGCTTTGCAGAGAAGCAGGGAAAGTGGGGAGCAGATTGTTTGAACTCTGATGTGGAGTCAATGTCTTCGGGCTGACACAGCTTCAGAGTGGCACACCTCCCTTCCTCCCTTCCCGTTATCTCCCTGTCTGCTAGGCAAACATTGACTTTGTGCTGATCTAAAGTCTGACTTGGCAATCTGTTAGGATGAAAAGCAATGAAGCCAGCAGGTAAATCTCTGTAAAAAAGTCCAAAGTGCACTATTTACACGCACATCACTCTGTCTCTCAAGACAAAAAAGCAAGGCTTCCCTCTCATATTAGTGGACAAGATGCATTTAAACTTTCTTTACAAGAAGGACCACAACAGAATCAGGAAATATTTTCTTAAAATAATAGTTATAAAAAAAGAGACTGAAAAGTTGTAGAAATATGTCCGATTCCGACATTTGAGGTGAATGTCCCCATCCCCTTGATTTGCTTGCATTGAGCACTGTATTTTGAGGGACGGTGACCTGGCAAGAAAGAGAAATGATGGGCAATAAGTGGACCCAACTGCACAGGGCTAGACTCCGAGGACAGCAGCTGAACAATGGCTGCAGACGTGGGCTTCTCCCCACACACATGCCCACTGGGCCCGTGCCACAGCGACGGTGGCATGGAGCACTACAGAAGGAAAGTACCCACTAAATGGTGCAAACACGGCCTGGCCCATCTGTCATAAACATTAGGTCCAAAGGCCACAGGTGCAGACGGCACTAAAAAGTAAAAATTACACTCGGGCAGAGGCCACTTGGTAAAACAGGAAGAAGAGAAATCTAGGATTGGTTTCCAATCAATAAATGGATAACAACAGTCTATTCATCTTTGGCACCTGTTGTTTCTTCCTCTCTCTGGTTTGCCATGAATAAAGCTGTTTTATTTGTAAAAGATGCTGTGTGTACCCAGGACCAGCCTCTGTCTATTGTGCACTCGGCAAAGTTTGTCTTTGGTGCTCTCCATGGCCAGCTGGCCCACGCTGCTTCCTCCCTGTCCTACCAGGTGTCAGCGCCTCTGCTCTTTCACCCCCTTTCCCTGGTGCGAACCCACCCCCAGAGCCTTCTCTCATTCTCCTGGGTAAATACTGTTTGATTTCACAAATGTATCTTTGCTTGCTACCTAGTAGCAAGCAAAGCACTGTGCCAGACCAGAAAGAAGGTGTTGAAGGGCTGTGAACCCAGCCACCACCCAGGTAGCTGACAGGCCAGCGAGGGTGCAGACATTCACACAGGTCAGCAGAGAGCAGACACTACAAGTGGGCTGATGGAGTGCAAACAAATTGCCATGGAAGCATGGAGGAAGGAGAATTTCAGTCGCGCGTCTCACAAAGACATTGCCATCAATCATGGGCCACATAACAGTGGTCTCATGAGATTATAATACCACATTTTTACTGTATTTTTTCTATATTTGGATACATTTAGATACAAAACTACTTGCCATTGTGTTACAACTGCCTACAGTACTCAGGACAGTCACATACTGTACAGGTGTGTAGCCTAGGAGCAATAGACTGTCCCCTATAGCCTAGATGTGTAGTGGGCACTACCATCCATGTTTGTGTCCACTTTGATGTTTGCAGGACAATGAAATCACCTAAGGATGCATCTCTCAGAATACATCCCTGTCATTGGGCAACACATGACTGTAATTCCAAATGGAGAAATTTGACCCAAGGAACCCTGGGGAAGAGGTGGGATTTGAACTATGACTTGAATAATGGAAAGGACAGGGAAGAATTCTGAATGGCAGGAAAAGGGAAGAAGGGCACTCCAAGTAGATGGAAGAGTAGAAACAAAGGTCTGGAGTTTGGAGGGCTGAGGCAGTATTCAAGGGGCAATAGTCCACATGTCTTTTTGAATTTTAGATCCATCAATGACTAGCTGTTTAACCTCGGAAAGCTACTTAGCCTCTCTGAGCCTTGATTTCCTCATCCGAAAAATGAGAATGCATTCAATCAACACATTTATGTGCCAGGATCTGTGTATGGAGTTGAGGGTAAACCGAATTAAGAGTATCTACATGAGAGGATTTATGTTGGAATTGAAGGAGAACATCTACATGAACTTAGCACAGTTTCCTAGCAAGGAGTAGTTTTGACAAATAGTTGTTGATGCTGGCGATAAGCATGGTGATGGTGACGGTGGTGGTAAGTGGGGAGTGGTGGTGGTGGTGTTGGTGGTAGTAGTGGTGGTGAGGATGGTGATAAAGCAGGTGGTGATGGTGCAGGTGGAGAGGCTGGTGGAGATGAGTGGTTCACTATACTGGGAAAGTAAAACATGAGGCATGAGGTTAGCAAGAGAGATGCCTACCAAGAGCTTAAGAATAGGGAAGACATTGCCTTAATAGGGCAGAAATTATACCCATGTGGAATTAATGGCCTTAATATAACAGATAAAATTCCAATATTGTTACTGATGCAGGGTCTTGACCACAAGTCCAGAAACAAACAAAGCCATGAAAGAATAAAGCAATGAAAGCACAGATTTATTGAAACAGTTTTACGGAAAGTACACTCCACAGAGTGGTGGCAGCCTAGAGCAGACAGCTGAAGAGCACTGGTTACAGAGTTTTCTGGAGTTAAAACACCCTCTAGAGGTTTCTCATTGGTTACTTGGTTACACACTATGTAAATGAAGGAGTAGCTCATGACCAATCTGACTGGTTGCAGAAGGCGACCAATCAAAGGCTGAAGGGAAATTACAAAGTTACACATGAAGACTTGGCCCATGACCAGTCTGACTGGTCTGATTGGTTGTGGGAGGGGACCAATCAGAGGTACTTTCTATTTTCCATCTGTGATGCTGTGTAAAGGGAGTAGCCTCTGATCCTTTGTTACTTGGATGTGGAGAGGTGGGGTTTTCCTTTTGATTCAGTTCTGGGAAGTCAGCACAAATTGGCCTTAGGTTCCCTGCCTCCAGACCCTATTCGCCTGCTTCAATATGGAATTCACTTTGGGTGGACAAAGTTCTGAGCAGGCATTAGGCCCTCCTGAGAACCCTGAAACCCCACTTTCTGCTTACTCCAAGGCTGGCTCTGTGGTACAATCCACACATCTATTAAAATTAATTTAATCAACTCAAAATAGGAAAGTGTTATGAATGATGTTTCCTTCTCTGTCATTTTTGGAAAACATAGTCAGTGATGCCCAGACCTGCGGCACAGACCCTTTAGAGTTCACAACAGGCGAGAGAAATGTAGAGCAGAGAATAACGCATGTGCAGCCAGCATCACCATATAGACTCAGTCCTGAACTAGTGTCCTCAAAATGCATTGCAACACATCCTCAAACTCCATTGACCAGTTTCACGTGGTCAATCATTTTCTTTTCACTGACCATATAAAACTGCAGATACACTCCTCTCTAAAAAACTGTTACTACAAGACAAAATAAAGTCACACTCAAGAGGCAGTAATTTTGCATATTTACGGGAAATGAAAAAAAAACGCAGGAGGCTGGACACAGTGGTTCAAGCCTTGTAATCCCAGCACTTTGAGAGGCTGAGGCAGGTGAATCACCTGAGGTCAGGATTCTGAGACCAGCCTGGCCAACATGGTGAAACCCCATCTCTACCAAAAATACAAAAATTAGCCGGTCGTGGTGGCAGACACTTGTAATCCCAGCCACTTGGGAGGCTGAGGCACGAGAATTGCTTGAACCCAGGAGGCAGAGGTTGCAGTGAGCTGAGACTGTGCCATTGTACTCCGCCTGGGCGACAAGAGCGGAACTCCATCTCAAAAAAAAAAAAAAAAAAAAAGATTATGAAACCATTAATAATGTTCTTTATATAAGGCACACCTCCAAACACCACACACACGTGCACATGCATCTCTGTCTCTCTCCGCTCCAAAACACAAGTGAAAGGCTACTGCCAAGATCATCTAAGTGTAATTCTCATCATATCTTCATACTCACAGATCTACAGCAACGCCCATTAATGTGTGGTGTGTTCTCTACCAGAATGTCACACAGGCACCATTCCCATCCCCCTGTCTTAATGAAGGGCATCCCAGTCTCTCCAGATGCAGAGGAGCCATCCCAAGTTGTCACACGTGAACCCTATAGCCATTCCCTCAGTAATTTCTGCCAATTCCACCTGTCATGTTTTTCTTTTGTGGGTGTTTGAGTTTTTGGTCTTGCTATAAATTGCCCTTCCCTACTCCAATCTTTCTTAAAATTAAAAATATATATATCTTTAGAAAAATTTCACAATTTCCCTAATATACTCTTGAGGGAAGTGGAACTGGGGTAGACTGTAAGCCTCAAAACATACAAAAAAAAGTCTTCAAAATCTTCCTTAGTCCTCCTTGTCCCCAAAAGTGCATCCCATGAGAGCTGCTCAGACTTCCCATCCTCTGTTTTCCAATCCCTGCCTGAGCAGGCTCTTTCCTGAATACCAGCTCAAGAAAGATTTATTTTTATCCTAGTAATTCCTATGCTCTCTGTAAGACAAGAAGATATTCCTCAAAGCTCTCTCTCTTTAAATGGTGTGGGAAGGGAAGTTATAAAACAGCATTTGTATTTCATATTTTAATTCTTGCCACAAAATGAACACTGAGGGCAACCTAGCACCTGATATTGTGCCTGGGTCCTTTACTATATCATCACCCACACAGTTTTGTTTGTTTCTTCAACTGGAGTACAAATTCCTTAAGCAAAGAACCTTAGAACACTTGCTAAATGAATGAAAATTTTACCTTTTTCAAAACCAGTCTTCTGTGCTTGGTATTAACTGTTGGCTTTTGAAAATGAACATACTGATCAAGTGAAGGGGAAAGAAACTACAGAAACACAGCAGACGCAATGATTCAAGACACGAAAGTGGATACGCACCAAGAAGGGAACATTTCCAGAACCATATGGCAAGGAGGCCGGAAAGTCTATTAACGTCAGTCATGGGGGAGGTCTCTCATTGGAAAAATTCTATCAGAGAAAGTTTATAATTATGGATGTCACAGAGTGTCCTGGCTGGACTGGAGTATGACTTTGACTTCTTTCAACATAGAGACCACCACCATCTCTCCTGTACAATGGCACTTCACTGAGCATCTACTGTGGGCCAAGTACTATTCTAAGGGCAGAGACAGATGTGTGAGCAAAAGACACACAATCCTCTGCTTTGTTCATTGAGCATATAAACAAAGAAGAGAAATCAAACATATTACACTGGAGATTGATAAGTGCTTCAGAAAGCAAAGAAACAAAACTGCAAGTAGGGAGACCCGTTAGGAGTGGAGTGGGACTTGCCAGCTGAACAGGGTAATCCAGAAAGACATTATTGAGAAGTTAGCATTTCCGTCAGGAAGTGAGGGCCTAAGGGAACCACGAAGATATCTAGGTAAGAGCCCAGGAATCTCATGGGGAGAGCTGGATTGTGGCTTAGGTGCTAGAACCATGTCTGGTGAATATAAAGCTTCCACGGTTAGAGAGAGGCCAAATTACAGACACTGACTTTCTCGTGGTCCATGAGAAAGAACTTAACATGAGGAAGGCAGAAAACTGATGTGCTTACTGGGATCCAAATTCAGAAAACGTTGAGGGTACTGGTGACTTCATATCCTGCCTGGCCACTGGCCAAACCTGTTCTTGGGGATGAGCATGCCTGGAAAAGCAGTATCCTCTACAAAACTGAAAGTACTCTCCAACCTAAATATCTAATTTTAGGATTCAAGCAAACTTGGTGGGATAGGCCAAAACATAATTTATCTAAACCTAGAAACTGAACTTATGAAAACTTTTACAGAATTACTAAAAATGATATGTTTATGGAAATTGAAAAGCATGCAAACACACAGAATCTGTATGCCCATATATTTAAACATAGAAAAAATAGGCACAAAAATAAATGGTAGACAAAATTTCTAGCTCTTTTTTTAAATGAATTTTATTGTATATATTTCAGGTTTACAACGTGATATTATAGGAAACATATAGGTAGTAAAATAGTCACCATAGTGAAGCAGATTAATGTACCTTCATCTCATGTAGTTACTTTTTGTGACAGGAGCAGTTAGAAACTACTTATTTACAAAAATCCCTATTACAATTTTATTTACTATAGTCTTCATGTTATATTAAATCTCTAGACTTTTTCATTCTACATATGACTACTTTATTTTTTTGACCTACATCTCCCCATTTCCTCCCCCACCCTCACCCCTAGTAACCACTAGTTTATTCTTTCTGTATGTATCTTATGTATAAGTGAGATTACATAAATATTTTTCTTTCTGTGTCTGGCTTACTTCACTTAGCATAATGTCCTCCAGCTTTATCCATGTGGTGGCAAATGGCAGGATCCTTTGTAAGAGTGAATAATATTCCATTGGTGTATTAGTCCGTTCTCACACTGCTATGAAGAAATACCCAAGACTGGATAATTTATAAAGAAAAGAAGTTTAATTGACTCACAGTTCCACATGGCTGGGGGAGGCCTCAGGAAATTTGCAATCATGGCAGAAGGGGAAGCAAACACATCCTTTTTCACAAGGTGGCAGGAGAGAGAAGTGCCAAGCAAAGGGGGAAAAGCCCCATAAAAAACCATCAGATCTCATGAGAATTCACTCACTCATGAGAACAGCATGGGGGAACCACCCCCATGATCTAATTACTTCCAACAAGGTCCCTCCCCCATCACGTGGAGATTACAATTCAAGATGAGATTTGGGTGGGGACACAGAGCCAGACCATATCAACTGGTAAATACATAACACATTTTCTTTATCTATTTGTCCATCAATGAACACTTACGTTGTTTCCATATCTTGGCTATTGTGAATAATGCTGCAATGAATATTTGCATCATTCAAATATTTACAAGATTTTAAGTTCATCTCCTTTGGGTATATACCCAGAAAGAGGATTTCTGGATCATAAAGTAGTTCTATTTTGAATTTCTTGGGAAACCTCCATACTGTTTTTCATAATGGCTGTATCAATCTACAATTTCACCAACAGTGTACTGTGGTTCCCTTTTCTCCACACCCTTACCAACATTTATCTCTGTCTTTTTGATAATAATCATCCTAACAGGTATGAAGTGATAACAGAATTGTGATTTTAGTTTGCATTTCCTTGATGACTAGTAATGTTGCACACCTCTTCATATATATGTTGGCCATTTTTATGTCTTTGGAGAAATGTCTGTTCAGGTCCTTCACTCATTTATTTTTACATTGGGTTATGTTTTTCTGCTATTGAACTATAAGAGTTCTTCATAAATTTTGGAAATTAACTCCTTATCAGATATGTGGTTTGCAAATATTTTTCCTATTGATTGCTTTCTTTGCTGTGCAGCAACTTTCAGTTTGATCTAGTCCTATTTATTTATTTTTGCTTTTGTGGCCTGAGGCTTTTGGAGTGATATCCAAAAAAATTGCAGCCAAGACCAATGTCAAGCAGCTTTTCCCCTATCTTCTCACCTAGGAGTTTTATGGTTTCAGGTCTTACATTTAGGCCTTTTATCCATTTTGAGATTTTTGTATATGGTATAAAAGTCCAGTTTTATTCATTTGCATGTGGAAATACAATTTTTCCAGCACTATTTACTGAAGAGACTATCCTTTAACCATTATGTCCTCTTTATACCCTTGTCAAAAATTAGTTAAGTGCATATGCTTGACTCTATTTCTGGGTACTCTATTCTGTTCCACTGGTCTATAGTTCTGTTTTAGCACCAGTACCATACTGTTTTGATTACTATAGCTGTGTAATATAATTTTAAATCAGGAAGTGTGATGTCTCTAATTTTGTTTTTCTTAGTATTGCTGTGGCTAGTCAGGCATTTCTGTGGTTTCACACAAATTTTAGAGTTTTTTTTTCAATTTCTGTGAAAAATAATATTGGAATTTTGACAAGGATTGCATTAAATCTGTAAACTGCTTTAAGTAGCATGGTCATCTTAACAATATTAGTTCTTCCTATACATGGACACATTTATTTATACCTTCTTCAATTTCTGTTTTTGATGTTTTACAGTTTTCAGCATACAAATCTTTCACTGTATTGGATAAATTTATTCCTAAGCATCTCTAAACAATTGAAATGGGATCATTTTCTTGATTTTCTTCCAGCTTGGATGTTATTTATGTATTGAAATGTAACTGATTTTCTATGTTGATTTTATATCCTACAAATGTACTGAATTCATTTATTAGTTTTAAGAGTTTCTGTGGAATCTACGGGGCTTTCTGTATATAAAATCATGTCATCTGCAAATAGAGATAATTTTCCTTCTCTTTTGTCATTGGATACTTTCTATTTCTTTTCTTATCTGACTGCTTTTGCTAGTAGTCAGTACTAGGCTGAATGAAGTGGTGAGAACAGGCATTCCTGCCTTGTATCAGATCATAGTGGAAGAGCTTTCAGTTGCTCACCATTGATCATGACGTTAGCTGTGGGTTTTTCATAAATGGCTTTTATTATGTTGAGGAACTTTTCTTCTGTGCTTAAACTGTTAAGAGTTTTGATCCTGAAAGATCTGAAAAAATCCTGAACTTTGTCAAATGTTTTGTCTACATCAATTGAGACACAGAATTGAGATGTTAATTGAGAATAATCATGGAGTTATTTTCCTTCATTCTGCCAATGTGATGTATCACATTGATTTGTGTATGTTAAACCAAACATGCACGCCAGCAATAAACTTGGTCATGATGTATAATCTTTTTGATGCATTGCTGAATTGAGTTTGCTAATATTTTGTTGAGGATTTTTGTATTAACATTCATCAGAGAGACTGGCCTGTAGTTTTCTTTTTCTGTGGTGTCTTTGTCTGGCTTAGGTATCAAGGTAATAATGCCCTCATAAAATGCGTTAGGAAGTATTGTCTGTATCTCTATTTTTGGAAGAATAGAAGAATTATTGGTAATAATTCTTCTTTGAATGTTTGATAGAATTCAGCTCTGAAGCCAACTGGTCCTGGGCTTTTTTGGTTGGAAGGTTTTTAACTACTTCTTTATTCTCTTGATTTGTTATTGGTAAATTCAAGCTTTCTATTTCTTCCTGATTCAATCTTGGTAGGTTATATTTTTCTATAAATTTATTCATCTCCTCTAGGTTATACCATTTATTGGCATACAATTGTTCAGAATAGTTCCTTATGATCCTTTTTATTTCTGATGTGTCTGTTGTAATGTCTCCACTTTCATTAGTGATTTTATTTGTTTGAGTCTTGTCTCTTTTATTTCTTAGTCTAGCTAGAGGACTATTGATTCTGTTTATTTTTTTCAAGGAGCCAATTCTTTGTTTTATGAATTTTATCTATGGTTTTTCTGTTTTTTATTTATTTCTGTTCTGATCTTTATTATTTCTCTCCTGCTAACTTTAGGTTTCAGTTGTTACTCTTTTTTTTTTAGCTCCTTGAGGCATATTGTTAGGCTATTTATTTGGGATCTTTCTTCTTTTTTAATGTAGGCATGTATTGCTATAAACTTGCCTCTTAGTACTATTGTTGTTGCAGTTCATAGGTTTTCGTAGGTTATGTTTCCATTGTCATTTTTCTCCAGATATTTTTAAATTTCCTTTTGACTTCTTCTTTAACCCATTTGTTGCTCAGGAACATGTTTAATCTCCACATATTTGCGAATTTTTCAAGATTCCTCCTGTTGTCGACTTCTAGTTTCATACTGTTGTGGTTGGAAAAAAATGGTACATATAATTTCAATCTTCTATGGGACTGACATAGGGGCTTTCCTGAAGAATGTTCTATGTGCACTAGAAAAGAATGTTTATTCTGCTGCTATTAGATTGAAAGTTCCATATATGTCTGTTAGGTCCATTTGGCCTAAAGTGAAGCTCAAATCCAGTGTTTCCTTATTAATTTTATGTCTGATTGATCTATCCATTGATGAAAGGGGGGTGTTGAAGTCCCCAGCTATTATTGTATTGCTATCTAGTTCTTCATTCATGTCCATCAATATTTGCTTTATATACTTAGGTATTCCAATGCTGGGTGCATATATATTTCCAATTGTTTTGTCTTCTTAATAGGTTAGCCCTTTTACCATTACATAATGACCTTCTTTGCTCTTACAACAGTTTTTAACTTGAAGTCTATTTATCTGCTATAAACAGCCATCTCTGCTCTTTCAGTTACTATTTGCATGGAATATCTTTTTTCACTCCCTTCACTTTCAGCCTGTGTATGTCCCTAAAGCTACAATGGGTCTCTTGTAGGCAGCATAAAGTTGGATGTTGGGTTTTTATTCATTTAGACACCCTCTGCCTTTTGATTGGAAAGTTTAATCCATTTACATTCAGTTATTATTGATAATAGTTACTATTGATAGGTATTGACTTAACTCTTGCCATTTTGTTAATTGTTTTCGGTTGTTTTGTAGATTCTTTTTCCTTTCTTCCTCTTTTGTTGTCTGCCTTTGTGATTTGTTGATTTTCTGTAGTGCTAAGCTTTGATTCCCTTTTCTTCCTTATTTGTGTATTTGTTATAGTTTTTTGCTTTGTGTACCATGGGGCTTACATAAAACATCTTATAGTTATAATTGATTATTATAAGATGATAACTACTTAACTTTGATCACATAAAAATACTCTAGACTTTTAACCTCTCCCCTGTCATCCACAATTTATGTTTTTGTTGTCACAATTTACATATTTTTATATCGCATATTTCTTAGCAACTTAATGTAGCCACAGTTATTTTTGACCATTTTGATGTTTAACCTTCATACTAGAGAGTTGAAAGATTTACACGCCACCACTACAGTAATTACATATTCTGAATTTGACAATAAATGTACCTCTACTGGCGAGTTTTATATTGTCATATGTTTTCATGATAGTAATCATCATCCTTTTGTTTCTGGTTAAACAATTCCCCTAAATATTTCTTATAAGGCAGGTCTAGTAGTGATAAATTTTCTTAGCTTTTGCTTCTCTGGCAAAGACTTTATTTCTCCTTTATTTTTGAAAGTCAGCACTACTAAGTGTAATATTCTTGGCTGACAGGTTTTTTTTCTTTCAGCACTTTTAAGTATATTTCTCCCTTCTCTTCTGGCTTGCAAGGTTTCTGCTGATAAATCTGCTGACAGTCTAATGGAGATTTCCTGATATGTCATTTGACATTTTTCTCTTGCTGCTTTTTAAATTCTCTCTGTGTCTTTGATTTCTGACATTTTTATTGTAATATGACTTGGTGGGGCCCTCTTTGGGTTGAACCTGTTTGGAGATCATTAAGCTTCATAAATCTGCATGTCCATTTTCTCCCAAGACTTGAGAATTTTTCAGCAACTCATTTGTTAAATAAGTTTTCCATGCCTTTCCCCTTCTTCTCCCTCTAACAACCCCATATTTAAATATTTTGTCACTTAATGAGTGTCTTATAAATCCCATAGGCTTTCCTCACTCTTTTTTCCTCCTGACTAGGTTATTTCAAAAGACTTCTTTTCAAGTTCAGAGATTCTTTCTTCTGCTTGATCTAGTCTGCTGTTGAAGCTGTCAATTTTAAAATTTTATTCATGGAGTTATTCAGCTATAAGATTTCTGTTTGGTTAGTTTTTATGATAGCTATCTCTTTGTGGACTTTCTCATTCAGATCATGAATTGTTTTCCTAATTTTGTTGCATTGTCTATCTGTATTCTCTTGTTTCCTTAAAATTATTAGGTTTAATTCCTTTTTAAGCAATTTCAATTTCTTTGTGGCCAGTTACTAGGGAATTATGGTCTTCCTTTTGTGGTGTCATGTTTCCTTGCTTTTTCATATTTCTTATGTCCCTATGTTGATGCCTGTGCATCCAGTGGAACAGTTGCCTCTTCTAATTTTATAGAGGGCTTTCATAGGGAAAGACTTTCGCCTGTAGATGAGTCCTAGAGTGTCAGGTCAGCAGAGTACTTGGCTCTGCTTCTGAGTGGGTGCAGTAATGTAGTCTCTGTGCAGCTTCTTCAGCTGTGATTAATATCAGCAATGACTGCAAGTACCTCAGTGTCTTCGGCTGTAGGAGTTTGTGGCAGTGGTGGTGGCATGGTAGTTTGTTAGGGTTCTTGGCAGCAAGGGCATTAGGGGTTCTCCTGTTGTCATTTTCCCCACAGTGGGCACACTTAGCTGAGGGGATCCCTGTTATTATCAGGTGTGACATGGGCCACAGGCAGCCATAGCATCACTGTGTTCAAGGGCACATGTGATTGGAATGGCTGTAGAACTGGGGTCCTGGGCTCAGTGTCTTGTTGAACTACTGTGGCACCTGTGATGTGGGCACAGGTCCATTCTCTGAGGCACAGGTGGATGCAGGTCTCCCACCAAGCCAAGGACTGTGACTCTAAGGCATTTCCCAGTAGCTTGGGCCCAGGGTTCAAGGATGTAGCTGTGACTCTAATCCTGGAGATCAGGGCACAGCATTGACATGGCTCCAGGGAAGAAGGGGTGTTCTAGACGCTCAGTCCCCAGAGAGCAGGCGACAGCTGCAATTCAGGTCTTAGAACCAATAGGGCACAGTGGCAACTCAGGCATCAGAAGTGGGGGTACTGCATAGTGATGACTATGGTCCCAGAGCAGTGGGATACAGCAGTAGGTCAGTCTCTGTGACGCCAGGTGCAGTGGCAGCAAGGACCCAAGAACAGTGGAGCACAGTTACTGCTTGGGCTCTGGGAAGCAGGTGCCACTTCTGGAGTCAATTCAGACTCCAGAGGGCTGGCCCAGACCCAGGAAGGTGGGGCACGGCAGCTGTTCAGCCCAGGGGTGGGGCAGCACAGCTCAGCCAAGGCTGTTTCTCTGGGGGCCAGTATACCACATCAGCTCAGCACTATGGGGTGTGGCTGCTCTGCTGGGCTGGGATCCAGGAACCTGAAGAGCACACTGCCATAAGGGCTTGGATACCAGGGATGTAACTGCTCCCCTAGACCAAAGTTCCAACTTCCTGGGGGTGGGACATTGGGCTGGTTCAGGCACTGAAGTGCATGCCTGCTCCACTGGGCCTTGGGTCCAAGTAGCTGGGGCTGGGGCACAGTAGCAACTTGGATGGGGGAAATGGGGTGGCTTCTAGGTAGCTTGTTCCCAGGGGGTATGGAGTTGCTGCAGCTCAGTTGGGGAATGTTGCACTACCATGTTTGAAAGCATGGTGCAATGGTGGCCAGGCCTCAGGGATAAACAGATACAGTGGCTACTGGACCCCCAAGCAGGACACACTCTAGCAGTGGCTCTGGTTTCCAGATGGCACAGTGCAGTAGCAGCTTGGCCTACAAGAGTTGAGGCACAATGTGGGCTCCTTCTTTGGAGCAGTGCAGCTATGTGAACTCCAGGCAGCTCCCCAAGCTGAGCTCAGGGACCTTGAGGACTGTAGAATTCTCCAGTGGTGAAGACTGCTGGTGTCCACAATGGTAATAGGGGCTGCTGGGTACCTCCTGCTTACCTTTTCCCCCCAGGAAGGAGTCCTTCCTGGTTCTGAGCTGAATAAGAGAATGGGGTGGCACAGGTGGGGTGGCAAGGGTGTGGCATGATTCCTCCTCTTCTGTATGAGCCCATACTTAGTGTTTGTGCTCCACTGGATTTCTGCCACTCCTGCTGTACTCCCGCACTCTTCTTCAGCCACTGTGGTCAAAATGTAGTTGTTTATTCATTGTTTATTCATTTTTTGTGGGGGTAGTCCAGGAAATGGGTGTTGGGCACTTTTAGTCAGCCATCTTGCTGATATCACTCCTCTCTAACTCTTAATATGATTGTAAGTAACTTAAACATCAGCAAAATTAATCATGCCTTGGTAAATTACAAACTATAAAGTAAAAAGAACAGAAACACTGGTGATCAGTTACCAGGCTTTTCCCTCCTAGCAGATACCAAACCTGGTCACTGATGGAAAGGGCTTCTGGTCTAACATTTGATGTAAATCTTCTAGTGGCTACCATTATATCTAAACAGCATAATAGTTTGATTTTTGGTTTGGCTACCAGATAAATCACACTGATTATCAATTCTGAATAAGATCTATTGCCGCCTTGCCATGAACAATGAAAAATAGTAAACATTTATGACAATCTCATAAAGGATAGTAATGCTGAAAGAAAGCTTTCTAAGCCACCATTAATTAAAAATAAATAAATTTGATTAACCACATTAGAAAAAGATTGGATTAGCTTTCCATTCTTTCTGTATAAAATATTATAAGAGCATTGTCAATAAAGGGCTTTTGAGAGAATTAAACGAGACAGCACATTCAAAGCACTGAGACCCATCCTGCACAGAGAAGGGCTCAGGTATTTGTTGGGAGAATTAATGACAAGCACTGCTGAGACAGAAGGAGTCGGGGCAGAGGGGCATTTCCAGGCCCAGGAGCACATGTTCACATCACTCCTTCCCCAGTCTCACAACAGACCTAAGATTTAAGAGATAGAGGGCAGGCCATGTGACGGATAAAGAAGGAAGGAGGAAAAGAAGGCTGAACCAGATGTAACCCAAACACCCAGCACTGTTTTCGGGAACTAACTTCAGCAAAAGGTGCAAAGCGGAGGTGTGGGGACATGGCCAGCAAGTCCCTCTTTCCCTCACTGCCCCCTGAGCATTCTGAGAAATTTAAAACTAACTCATGATTTGATATTTCTACCACTTCCCCATCTTTTCTCTCAAGCTGTAAGTATCAACTTATCTGAATTTTAACCAACGCTTTAGAAAAAGAAAACCTCCAAAATTCTAGTGGGGGTTTAATGCTCATACTGTTTTTCTATAAGATAAACAGTAAAAATATCTTTTTAAAAAAATTATTTTTTCCAGATGCTTCCAAGTACTCAAAACAACGTGCAGCCCATAACTTTAAGTTACCTTGTCCAGACCCACTTACTATTTAACCAGTCGATATGTTATCGCCTCAGAACTGTAATTATGTTTATGCCTTTTGAACAAGCTGATGAAAAGAAACATTTGCTTAAGGTTCCCATCAATGAATGCAGAGCTTAGATTAGTCTTTAGCTTATACAAACGTTATGCTTATTAATTCAGAATATTCATTCAGTTATTGAAACATGATGACAAAACTGTACAGTGAAAGACTGATTCTCTATTATACATATTAGCATTGCACAGAAATCCTTTGGCTCAGGAATAACTGTCCGAGACTCAGGATTCATATATCTCTTTGAATTTTTAAAACGGTGATTTAGGTATCAAAACTATAACATCAATGCTCTGAATACACAGATTATAAATTATCAAAATAAGTCCATTCTGATTAAGAACTCTCCAGCTGGATTTCAGCTTAAGAAATTCTAAAACTGCCTATGCGCAGTCCAGTCCACGCCAACAACCACAGCATCCTTTTTAATTAAAAGCCAGTGAGATGACTCATGCCACCTGTTTCATTGATCCTGCTATATTCCTATTTTGGTCAGAGTTCTCTTTTGAGGATTAAAACTTTTATGAAAACAAATAGCAAATATTTATTCAAATTGATTACTATTGTTTCACATCCTGACAACTACATTTCCTACTATAAAATTATATTTATCTGTATTAATTTTAATAACACAAGGATTATTCAAAGTGACAATCACAGTGGTAAATGTAGCTGTTGGAAGGGCTAGTAGCTAAAGCAACTATTATACACTTTCACATATCAATGAAATAGCCTTCCTAAAATTTGTTATAGACCCATAAAAGTAGATTCTTAAAAATCTGCCTACTTAGACACATTTCAATGGAATGTTTACATCTCAGTAATTATATTGAACAGAATGAAATATAACAAATCCAAGGAGAAAGGAATGGTGAGGGGTGGGGGAAGGGGTGGTCATCATGCTTTTATGACTGGATCCAGATGACATATCATTAATTGTTGAAGCTCTCTAGACTTTGAGTTCGACGTGGAGTTGATAGGGAGACTTCTGCAGAAGCCCTGTACTCAGACAGCAATCTGCTCCCACTTACAGAGCTCCATGAGTGGGATTTGCAGGCTGTCCATATTATATTGCCTTATTTGCCATCATTTTAGTCACTAGTAAATTAGCTGTGAAGACAAGAGTCAAAATAAAGGGGAAAAAAGGTGATGGTCTAACTGCACTGTCTGCCTAGATGAGGTGAAATCTTTTCTTTTAAACGCAACACAGAATGTAATTAATGTAAAGCAGAGGAACCTTTCACAAACAACAGGATCAGAGATTCCAATTACTCCCTCCTCTGTTCTTCAGGAACTTCTTGGGAGGTAATTATAAAACTCTTCCTGTAAGTAAAATGCAACAAGACTCCAACCATTGCTTCCCAGTGGGTTATGTGAGAAACAAGAAGCACAGAATGATTCTCACAGGTCAGCGTGTGTGTGAGTCAGCTGGAGTCCTGAGGCATCTCTCAGAGATTTGGGGGCAGTCACTCCCTGGCGGGCCAGCGATCTGGCCTTGAAGGAGTCCTTGGGGCCACCTAGGGTAAGAGTTTGGGGCCCTAGGAACTGTGAGGAAGAGTTAAACAGAACCCCGAACACATGATGTGGGTTGTGGCCTTCCCCCTAAATGCAAATGAGAGCTTGACAAAGGGAACCCGCAGGCAGCCAGCTGAGGTCTTAACATCCAAGTGGATCCTTTTGTGAAATCCATTCCTCTCTTCACCAAATCATTCACATTAGCCATTACATGAAGTCTTTGGTGTTTTTCCTTTTGCTACACACATTACTCATACAGGGAAGGGAAGTGAGCTGAGAGTTCAAGGGCACTTTTGACTAGAACCAGATGAATTGTTGCAGTTGCCTGGGAAACCTTTGAAAACAACCATACTTGATATGTCAAAGATCTGAAGTTAACAGGAGCCAAAGTCATCTAGAAGGTAAATCCAAGAAAGCTAATGGCATAAGAGGGACACTCGGCTTGTAAAAGTAGTTCCAATTTGTTATGCGTTCGTGAACTTTTGAAAAGAGGAAAGGATTTTATCATCCTAATTAGCCTATAAGAATGATCATCTTAAATGCCAACTTTCCGATTACAGAATAAAATTTAGTGAAGATATTTAGATCCCCTAAACATTTATGCATAGACGATGAAACTAGAGTTTTATAATAACCCTAAAACAAAATATAAATGTCTCCATAGATTTGTCCCCTCACGTTCTTTGGAATTCTGTTCCAGTCTAGTAGGTTTTTCTTTCCAGATTTCAAGTGTAAAATGTATGTCCAATGTAGAGTATCACGTGTTTTATTATAAAACAAAAAATATTTTCTGTGGTAATTCTGAGAAGAAAAAAATTAACAAGTAAAACAATGTGATATCATTTTGCATCAAGGAAATATGGATTTAATGGGAAACTTCCTTAAGCTGCATTTTGCTTCAAACGCTGTGTTGCGTAGGGAATCTTCCACGAATCTGAATTTGTGATTTTTTCAATATTTTTATCAAAAAAATCACCCCAAAAAGCTGCATAATGAATATTTGTGCACATGACTAATACTAGACTTCACATAGTCTTTTATAATAAAATAAATCAAAAGGATAATCGAAGTGAAAACATCTCTGACAGGGAAGTAAAATTTTGTCCCTTGCAACTCAATCCTTCCATGTTGAGGGACCCATTTCGAGATTAGCATGTTTGGGGAGTTTTATTATTATTTTAGAGATATATGGTTTTGGTGGAGGACGCTGTCCAAAAACGGCTACTTTCATGCAGAGATTTTCACTTTAAGTTTCAAGACATCTGTTTGGAAACTCCTCGGAGAGTTCATTGCTCTGCGCTGCCCTCTTCTGGTGAGCCTGTGTAAATGGTTTCTGGAAAACAGTCCAGTGCCGCCATCGTTTCCATCCTCCTCCATTTCCACCCCAATTCATCAATACATTGCTCAAGGGCCTGGATTTCCTATGTGGTGATGTACAAAGCTGAATTTTAATTCAAATAGTTTAAAGGTATAATCAAAGCAAAGGTTTTTTTAATTTGGAATTTTTTATTTTTACTTTTATTTCGTGTTGGAAATACAGGTTTTCCCAGATAACTTGCAAAGCCACAAACTAAGGACGCTGTCTCACCTAAAAAGTTTGGTTACAAAGTCAGTAAGAAAAATGATGTTATTTTTGAATAACATCAAACTAATTTAATGTAGGACTATGAATAATTTAATGTAGGACCATGTTGCTAGGAATGTCATTTTTATCTTGACCACCTGAACATAGCTTACAAGAGAATCACTACTTTGGCATAAATTATTTAGGTTTATCTGAAGGGACCATTCCTGCTAATTTGACAGCAATTTATCTGAAATAGTTAGAAAGATCAAGGCTCCAAGTTGTGTGCAATAAATGTATTCACCAACTGCCGGAAAATCAGAAGCTCTTCCTGACTGGAACACCACTGTGAGCCTCGCTGTCTGCTCTCCCCCAGTTACAAGTGCTTTCCTTAACCCACAGTCACGAGACAGAAAACTGTACAACCCTGAGAATCAACAGCTAATTTCTATGTGAACTGGAAGAACAATCTTGTCATAGTGCTAACGTTATGTGTATATATTGTACCAACAAATAAAAGTGGTTATTATGCTTTGCTCAAGAAACTCATCTACAATCCCAAGTACTGCGTAGTGACCAATGCAGTATTTGTCCTTCTGAGCCTCCTTCAAAATACCCATTCAAAAGTCCAAAATAATGTTCATTTTCAGTGACCTAAATTAGCTAGAGATTTTAAAAAATCTTATGGCTCAAAGAAAGAACCATGAAGTTTGATTCCTCAGTGCCTGTATTCCAGTAAACAGACATATAGCATGCATATGTTGCAGGTCTCCTATAGCGACAAATGGTTCAAGCATTCAACGTGTCTTCATATTTGATGCTTATTATGTGAAAGCAACAGATGTACTTCTCATCTGAGCACAGAAAAAGTGATGTTTTTAAAAATCCTAAATAGAAAGTGAGTCAGTCCCCGTGCAAATATAAATCTAAAAGAAATTCCTTACTGTACAAGTAACATTTGCAGTATTAAATACATTGACTTTTTCGCAGAACTGTCTGCCGAGTATCATACTCAGTCAGATCCCCTCGACCTGGTGAACATGTCTTCGACTGCTCCACAGCCGGCATTAGAAACAACTCAGGTGGCCGCTGATGGTCATGGTGGACACAGGGCTGCCATGCCCATGCCCACGAGAGGGAGGGGCAAAAGGTGAGCCCTCCTAACTCCTCCTTGCGCATCTTGCGCCAGTGGTATGTTTTCTCTCAAAGTTCAACCCAGTGCGATGTAATAAAATAACTTAAATGCATTTTACAATATTTTTTCTTACCTTTACCTGGCGAACGTCTACAGGTGTGTCGAAAGTTATCTTTTCCTGGATGTGTTCCAAAATGCTCTTATGCTATTTCTCTTAGGATTTCTCCACGCTGCCCCATTCAGAAATTTTATTATTTTCTAAAGAAGAAAAAAAATATGATGTGAAAATTATCATAAGAAAACCATTGATTTTCAATCAAAGCTACACAAATGCCAAGCCAATGTGATAGCACCTTCCACAACTCTGCCAGGCACTGGTTTTTGCGTGGGATGATGCCAGCTTCTCTCTTCATGTGGCCTTATTAAAAGCCATGGTTTCCGAGATGTAAAACACCCACAGTTACCTCAATTATTTTTCTCTCCTTACCTCTAGTATTCCCCTGAGGTCACATTCAGTTAAAAACATCCTGCCCTTCTCCCTACAAAAAGGTTCCATAGAATCAGAACGCAGAGGCGCTGCAACTTGCTAACTTTGCTCTGTGTTATTTACCAACCGCACAAAGAAAATGCTGTCTATTCAGAACTCATTTCAAAACTCTTTTCACTGAGAGTGAGCGAACAAGCGGGCTCATGTCCCGAGCCCAGTCACATCTCCAGCGGTCCGGTGATGGCCGTGGGGCTGGCGCCGAGTGGCACGGCCTCCACAGTGGCCCACAAGGGTCTGTTGTCCACGCCGCGTGGACCGCGCAGGCCGGTGGGAGTCAAGAAAGGGGGAGGGGCGGGGGATCTTCCACTTTCTCACCCCGAGTTTCTTTGCTTGCTTGCCCCGAGTATCTGTCAAGAGGCAGCCCTCTCCCCTCAAGGCCCCTTCATCCTGAACGTGCATGATGCCCCTGCAGTGACAAATACAGAATCTTCTCAGTGGGCCTGGATTTGAGGCCGAGCTAATCACTGGGTTGCTGCGGGTGGGTAGGTTATTTAAACCACCTGGAAATCAGTTTCTCTGTGTTATGGTGATTGTACCTGGCTCACTGGATTTGAGGAGTAACCAGATTTTAGGACAGACTCTTTCTCTGTCCGTCCTACTCAGATCCCAGTAGGAAACTTACCCTTCCCCTGCGCCACGGAGTGCAGAGAAAACAGCCCAAAGACTTCTTTAACGACTCTGGATCCCTCAGCCAGATCACGGATATGGAAAAAGCTTAAATTAGAAAGAGGAGGTCGTGAAGGGACCTCCTTGGCCTCCTGTCCCACGTCCTCAAGGCCTGTGGAATGAGAGCTTCAAGGCTTGTTCCCGCAGTTGGGAGATGGGAGCCAGCCACACAGACACAAGCAGACCATGCAGCAGAGTCTGTCCCAGAATCTGCCTAAGATGGCAGAGGAGTTGGCAAACAGCTCTGGGGGCAGAGCCAGAGAGTATGGACGGATACATGCAGCACAGACTGCACCTGCTGAGCGCAGGTGGGGTTGGAGGACGGAGGGGAACAAGAGTTCCCAGGACCAGTTGTATGTCCTGGGTCAGCAGGAGAAATCCTGTCCAACATGTGCAAAGGGATCCTTAGAGGTGGGAGGAGACCAGGGCAAGAAGGGGATGGAGGTTATCCACTGGACAGCCAGGGCTGAGGAAGGTAGGGTCCACTGACGACCTGAAGGAAGGGAGATGCACCCACCAGGAATGAGGGAGCTGCAAGAATAAGGGAGCTACCGGGGGCTTCCAAAGCCTCACTGCGCCAGCGAGTCCATCATAGAGAGTTGACCCAAACCATCTGCCAGACCGGAAAACAGGACACCAGCCAGCCAGGTTAGAAGGGGCGGAAGTTTCTACCTCTTCTTCCTGCATGCACCCAACACATGCCCTGCTACAACCATAGCAGTTGCGGTGAGCTGGCCTGGGAGCAGGAGCCGGGAGACAGCAAGCCTCCTCAGCCTCCCCTCCCCACTGCAGGCATGCAGGCAGGCCATGTGGAGGGGGTGTAGCTAGGCTAAGGTCAGTTTTTGATTATTGCATGGAACCAGACACTGTAAGTGCTGAAATGAAACTGTGTATGTGATTCCAGTTGACCAGAAGACTTTTTGAATTATCTGAGAACGAGCAGAAGAGCCATGGGGCCTGCCAGAGTTTTCATCCAGGGGTCATGGACATTGGTCCCACTGAATAAAGTTTACAAGAACAACAGGAACAAAATTATGTTGTATTTTGGCTCTGTTGTGTTGTGTTTTTTTAACGTATCAATTACTTGAGCTATACATGATAAACTCTTCTGCTAGACTAGAAGCTGCAAGAAAACAGAGACCCTACAATTTATGTTCCTTGAGGTTTCCCTAGAGTCAAGTACCTGGCCCATGGTAGCCAGCTAGCTGTCCTGCCTGTTCTTATTTGATTGTTTTATTTTAAGCCATGCCTGTCTTTCTAGAGAAATCTAGATCAATATATTTTCTCTCTAACTTCTTGATTGCCTCCTAAAACATGCTGAATACTACATTAGTTTTTCTTTATGTACTTCTCCAAAGGCAATCTCTCTCTGCCCTTATGTCTTTCAGAGAACCTTATATATCTATAACATTATACCTCATATAGAAGGCACAAGCTGAGTCTTATGCAACCTTTAATGATTGGTCATCAAAAGAAGATTAATCAAAGAGCACCTTAGCAAGCTTACTAGAGAAGCTCAAGGCACACCGCAAAATTCATCAGCATTTTTTCTTGTGAGTTTCCCTTTGTGGATCAACATTGATCTTTTTTCCAGAAAAAGAAAAAAAGACACCAGGACCTTTTGTAACCTTCCCATTCCTTTTACACCCCACCCCATCCCACATGCCAAAGAATTTCCAAGAAGTGCTTCACTAGCTACTTCTCTACTCTGGGTTGCAGATAAGTTCAAGTATTTTGAATGGCACAGAAGCGATTTCTCTTTGGCCAAAAGAGAAACTCAGGGGAATGAAAAAAATTAAAGGCAAGCCTACTTGTGAGCTTCCCAAACTGAGCAAGTTTGGGTGCAGCATATGTAGTCTCAGTTTTGGAAACCACAATATGCCATTCATCCCTAACTAGATGACGGGACAGAAATGTTGTTGCTGAACCAACCAAGGGAAATATGCTTGCTGATTACCCAAAACAAACTTGCAAAATTCAACTTCTAGTGCTCCAAATTTTCAGATGGGAAAATTTTTCTTATATATAATTTTGAATTATTTTTTTCACTTGCTAAGTGAACATGAAGTAATTGGGGGGCATATTTGAAAAGATGGGGTTCTTATCTGATAAAATATGAATCAAGAACAAAACAATTGTAGGTTAAGAAAATTCCAGAATAGCTAAGCAGAGTCCCTTCCTGAAGATGAGAATGGGTATGTGTGGAGAAAGAGTAGGTGTTGTCAAACATGCTGACATTAAAACACAGACCTTTGGGGCATGTGATTTGGTTCAGCCAATGAAATACAAACTATTGATGCCCTTTGTTACTGAAAACCTTTCATCCATTCATCAAGGAGCCCCATTCACACCACCTCCCTCCTGGGGCTGTAATGCAGTCTTTTCTCCTGAGAGCTGATGTTGAGGCCCAGGACTCTGTAAAGTTGACAAAGAAAGCCAGGAATTTCCACTGGGGTCACGCCAGGGGCACTGCCTTGGGAGACAAAACTACGGGGTCTTCCTCCTGAGGAAAGCCTCTTGACTCAGCTCATTCTTTCTACTTCCCCATCTCTCTCCTCCTTTAAAAAAAAAAAAAGCCAAAATAGAGATCCTTTGGTCTGCCCAAATACAAATCCTACTTATTTGTCCATCAATTATCTCTGGACTTCCCAAAGCACGTCAACAAAGCATTTTATCTACAGGTACCTATTGTTTAGGGCTATAGCCTTTGGAGAAGTTGAATTTGCAGTAATCCGTCTATACACAAATACTCATCAGTCAATAAGAAGCTATTACTATGAGCAATGGCGGAACATTCCAGGAAGATGGCAGAATCTAGACAGCGTTCCACAAAATGTGCTGTGAGATACTGAATTTCTGGCTGCTTCGAAGTGTTTATCACTCGCTAAAACGGCCATTTTATTAAGTACTCATTTTTTTAAATATCATTGAAACAGTCATATAGTTGTCTTCTATTCAGAAATGACTGCTGCCTAGGATTTGGGGTTTGTTGTTTATTTTGTTTTGGGCTTTTTTCCCCTGGAATACTAGATTTATTGGAATCAGAGAATGAACACCAAAGGTTGACCTAACATTTATCCTCAAATTGTGGCTCCTGGAGGAGTTAATATGACAAGATGATAACCTAATAATTATTGGAGAGGACATCATTTTCTGTAAAGAACTGCACCCAAGCAAAATAGGTAATGATTACTCATGCTCGGATTCCATAGCTTTAATTATCAGCTTTCTGAAGAAGCCTTTTGGAGTCTGCAGACAGCACTGGCAAAGATGAAAAGAAAAAGAAAACGTTTTGCTGGCAACTTACAAAGTACAACTAGCACTCCCATCTCCACCGCGCGGCAAAATGCACAGCCTCGGCAGGTCACGCCGGATCAGAGCTACAGAATAGGTGTCAGAAGCTGGCCGGGCCGCAGCGGCCACGTGTCTCCAGCACTGTGAACCTAGGACGAGGGAGCCCACATATTCCTGATTCTTTTCCCGTGAACCATGCCAATTTTTTTTTAGTTCTTTGAGAAACCCGTGGGTGGGCACAGATGGGAAGTGGGAAGCTGTAAAAGGGAAGAAGATGGTATTGGAGTGGAGTGCAGAGCCAGGCGCGCCTCTGCAAGCGCGTCCTCGCGGACCCAGATGGCGCGGCCCCTGCGCTCCGCTCCCGGGCCCTGCTGCCTCCGCCGCGCCCCCTATAGGCCGCCAGCACCGAGGAACCGAGGCCGAGACCAGCCACCCCAGGCCTGTCTATTTACAGCAATAAGCCTACGGGCTGCCGCTCAGCATGCAACCAGTTGTTCAATGCACACAACAAACATTTTTAAAAAGCAGCATCGGATTAGAAAAAAAAAGAGTTGATGCTGCTCTCCAGTGTTATAAAAGGCTTGTCGCTTTATCATTGTTGTTCAATATGATGCCATTAAGAAGCCTCTTTACTTCCCACTTTCAGGTGAGCCCGAAACTCGGCTTAGGGAAGGGGATCCCCTCTACGCATCCAGAAGACATAAAAGCAGCCCTTTCCTAAGGAAGTCCCAGCAAAGGCAGTCAACTTAGGAAACATTAGCGCAGCGTGGAGTTTGGAGACTCTGCCTGCAGCACACGTGCCAGGTAGGCAATGAGGCGAGAGGAAAGCGGGTCGGCCAGGCTCGGAGCTGGGTGTTCCCAAAGCTGGGGGGAGGGGGGCGGTGCACATTGACGCACTTATCCTCTACAGGTAGGTGAGCCAGCATCAGAGAGCAGCGTAGTGGCCCGTGACAGTAATCTGCGCTTTTTGCTCTTTGGAAGAAGACAAACTGATGAGGAGGAGGAGGAAGTTTAGACGATAATTAAATTATTAGCACAAGGCAGCTGCAGAAACGTGCTCTGTGGCCCCCCTCCAGAGCCATTTCTCAGGCTACCTTGCAGCTTGCGGTTGTTAGGTCCCTCTCCCAGACCCAGGCTTCCCTCCGGTTTTGTGAGATGGGGAGAACACACTCACGGTGGGCTTGGTGGGAGTACTGAGGGGCTACCCTCCTTGAAGACCGGGCCCAGGGCCAACACGTGGATGCTCCTGGAGGCTCAGCTCCCACCTCTCCCTTCTTCATCCAGCCAAACCTGCCCCACGTTAGTGTTGCTCTGTACATCCACTCAGCCCAGCACGAATATTGTAGGCAAACCCATGCCTCAGTACCAGCACTGGGAAAATAAAAACACACATCCACTGAAAGTCTGAAAAGACCTTGGCATCCAGACATGCTGTAGCGAAACAGTTTTAAGTTTTTATGACAGCAGAGCCTTTCCTCAAATGCTGAACCCAAAGCATACAAGAACCAAATCGCCATGGTGAGAGAGAGGCATTAGACTGCAGCTATTAAGATCATGACTCCAGCCTGTCATCTAAGCTACTTGGGAGGCTGATGCAGGAGGATTGCTTGAGCCCAGGAGGTGGAGACCAGCCCAGGGAACATAGCAAGACCTCTGTCTCTAAAAAAACTTAAAAATGTAAAATATTTAAGAACTTAGCCAGGCATGGTGGCATGTGCCTGTACTCACCACTACTTAGGAGGCTGAAGTGGGAGGACTGCTAAAGCCCAGGAGCTTGAGGCTGCAGTGAGCCGTGATTGCACCTCTGCACTCCAGCCTGGGAGACAGAGCGAGTCTCCCCGATGCGCACCCCCGTCTCCAAAAGACAAAAGAAAGAAAGAAGAGTGTGACTCTGACACCTGATTATTAGCTTCAAACCAGCTCTGCATTTACTATTTATGCTACTGGTCTTTTTTGCCAGTGTTTTACCAGGGCATTGCCTGAACCATAGCAGATACTACACAAATACTGGCTTAATTATTGATGGCTGCCCCACAAACCCCTTAGTGGCCAGGCTGCCTCTGACTCAATGCTGTTTGTGAACAGCCCTAGGTGATCCATTAGTTCAAATTTATCCTGTTTTTAATGCTAGGCCTGAAATTGACAATTGATTCTGGGCTGTTCTAGGAAGATTCAGATTACAAGCACATTCCTTGTCTTTATAGAGCAGAGGTCTGAAAGCTGTGTTCTATAGCTCGAGGGTTCTTTGGATGCGATTTAGGGCCACTGAAGGGTGACAAAGAAGTTGAGTGGAGTGAGCTCTGAGTCTCTGCACACCTTAGCCTTAGTAGTAATAACACTAACAAGCACGTAGACATCATTTGCTGCATAACAGGCCCCACTCTCACCACTTTACACAAATGAATTTTATCCCCATGACAACGCTAAGTGCAAAGTAGGATTGTTCTCACTTGGGGAAACTGAGACACAGGGTCAGCAAATGGCTTGTTCAAAATTGCATAAAGACCAGTTCCTCTACTCTGGGAGCTTGTGGTCCAGTGGCCAAGACAGATACAGAGCAAAGAAAACACTGGGATGCGTTTTTGGAAAGGAGATACCTTATCAACAAATGTTCTTATCAACATTTCCTTCAAGGATAGAAAAATGGGCCTCATGGAATATTTCCAGGAAAAATTAAAAACAGTGTGATTCATAAGTAACACAAGATCACAAACCCTTAAATCTGTGTATAGCATATTAACAAACCTGGATTGTCCTTCTACTACATGCTTCATGGCATTCTTTCATAGAAAAGTGCATTCCTACAGGTTGCTCCCAAAAAAAGCATCCTCCAATCAGTCTATTACATCATTTCATTAAAAAAAAAAGCATTAAAATTTTCCAAAACTGTTGGGGTTTTTTTGTAACCTGTCTTGTAAATAAAGATTTTTTTAAGACTAACTCAGTCATCCTGGGTAATGAATTAATGTTTTCATTCAAGATCTTGAAACTATGACAAACATATATAAAGCAAATATGTTACATTTTGAGTTATAGTCAGTCCATAGACTGAACTAATAAAATAGCCTTTATAGAAAAGATTTTATACTTCTGTTCTTCCTTTATTTTGCTTAGTTGTTCTATGCCCAAATCATTTATTTTGCCTTTAAAACTAGGCAGTGGAAGTCCAGTACCTGCCTTGGGGTCTGGTGGGAGGAGCCTCACTATCTGCTCAGAGGGAGAGTTCCAGGGCCTTTGCCACCAACTAGCGAGGTGATTGGAGTGAGTTAGATGATATGTATGACTTTAAAAGACCCACTCTCAATTAAAGTAGAAATTTAAAAAAAACCCACAAACCAAAACCCTAGCAATTAACCTGGATTCAATACAAAAATTATTCACTGGCTCCGTGCCCTGTGCCCACAACTGTACCGCATCCTTTAAAAAGGCCAATGTCTTCCGGGAGCAGGACTCACCCCAACTCTCTTGAAAGTTTCTGATCTTAGGAAAGGAAGAAAACCTACTCACTTCTACTTTCCCATGCCCACTCCCATCAACACTTTAAATTCTGTACAGAGAAAAGAATGTATGCATTAAGAGCAGTCAATTTGTAAGCCTTGCCTGCTTCTGCTATAGGAGCTGATGTTTGGCTTGTGCCTACTCATGTGTTTACCTTCATCATAACTGCCAAGGGAAAGAGGGGAGTTGGGGAAAGAGGGAA
The DNA here is from genome assembly GCF_000001405.40 of Homo sapiens. NCBI lineage: Eukaryota > Metazoa > Chordata > Mammalia > Primates > Hominidae > Homo > Homo sapiens. The sequence goes on from NC_000008.11 coordinate 52,417,402, forward strand.
AGGGGAAACAGGAGAGTGAGTCTTCATGGAGCTGCTGGATTCTGGAACACACTCTGGAACCACAGGGAAGCTAAGTCCCGGGACTCTTGGGAATGGCATCTGCAATGACCAGCCTGCACTAATCCCCCTGCATGGACCTGGCATTCAGCCACCTGCTTGTATCCTGGGACTACCTCCAGTGGAAAGGAATCAGTGTTGAAGGGCAGAAAGCAACCACATTTCTCCCACCAAATTTTTGGAGGAAGGACATTAGGAACTAGTAAAATCATTTTGGCTTATCATAAAAAGAATTATGTGATTTTAAAGAACTGTTTTAATGATAGGTTTAACATTTTTATCTGAATTATAAGCATTCATGCACCTGCACACTTCAATACATTCATAAAAACCCAAGAGCAATACAAAGCCTTGAATAATAACAGCAGCTGGCATATATTTTTTTGCCATTCTTCTCTCAAAAACATAGTCCTGATTATTTATAGATAATAGTGCATGTTATTCACCTTTCTACCAGAAAATTAAGAGAGTTAACAAAAATACATTATTTATAGGGCCATCCCTGAATAGGAAATAAAAGAAGCATTCACACTTATTAAAATAGAGCCTGTAAAAGTGAATAAAGTACAGATATTTCTTATTTGAGAGAACATTTTAAAACCTAATAATATTGGTATAATGTCATATGGTCTTTGAAGAGAAGTTTTACATCTGATGTATCCTTGAAAACCCCTGGAACCTAGCAACATTACTTGGTGAATATTGGTTAAATAAATGAATAAACCACAAAACAAAAAGCCCCACACACACACACGATAGTGAAGGCCATTAAACCATGGAATCAGGAACTGCAAGAAGCTGAATTAGAAAAAACTTACAAGATAATTCTAGTAATCCTCCAGTCTCTATGGGTGTAAATGTTCCTAGAGGGTTTCTGTTAAAGATACAGATAACTCCCCATCACTTGCTGCTCATAGTAGATCTTGATTCAGTAAGTCTGGTGCTGAACCCAGGACTCTGCATTTTAACTAGGCCCCTAGGATTCCCACCATAAGTTGAGGAGAGTCACTTTAGTGGGGTGTTCAACAATTCCAAGCGTGTTCTACTGATGAAAGTGCTTTGGCCGGGCACGGTGGCTCACATCTGTAATCCCAGCACTTTGGGAGGCTGAGGCGGACGGATCACCCTGAGGTCAGGAGTTTGAGACCAGCCTGGCTAACATCGCAGAAAACCTGTCTCTACTAAAAATAAAAAAATTAGCCAGGTGTGGTGGCCAGTGCCTATAATCCCAGCAACTTGGGAGGCTGAGGCAGGCGAATCGCTTGAACCCATGAGGTGGAGGTTGCAGTGAGCCAAGATTGCGCCACTGCACTCCAGCCTGGGCCACAGAGTAAGACTCCATCTCCAAAATAAAAAAATAAAAAAGAGAAGGTGCCTGCCTGGGGCTGAGCTGCCGAGGCTCAGCGCCCAGGGCTACCACCTCTTGATTTCATACCGCTGGGCAAAGACTTCATCTCTGGGTGCTTCAGTTTCCATATCTGCAAATTTGGACATAAGGATAGCACTGTCTACTAATTGATTATTAAAGTATCTAAAACCATACAGTGTTAGGTACAGTACAGATATAGGCCTTAAGCCATCTTAAAACTGATATGAGGAGTCAGTTTACTTGTACATCATTTATTAAACACAAAATATGCCTGGGCTGAATCGTGTTCCCCAAAATTTCATAAGTTGAAGTCTTACCTCTAGTATCTCAGAGCGTGACCATATTTGGAGATGGGGGTCTTTACAGGAGTGATTAAGAAAAACTGAGGTCATTGGGGTGAACCCTAATCTAATGTGACTGGTGTCCTTACAAGATGAGAAAATTTGGACACAGACAGAAATACACAGAGGGAATTCTGCACAATATCAACTCTTCCCTGGGTCTCCAGCCTGCCAGCCTGCCCTGCAGATATCAGCCTTGCCAACCATCACAATCCCATGAGCCAATTCTTAAAATAAATCTAGAGAGATGAATGGTAGATGTTACATACAGAGATACAGCCTATTGGTTCTGTTTCTCTAGAGAACCCTAATACAGCCTCTGAAGATAATAAAAATGATGCTTCTTGGATGCTTCTAATTCTTTCCAAAAGTAACTACACTGCATTAGGCCTCTGAAAGGGTGGAGAGGGTCAGAGCAGCTGAGAGTCCCAGAGGGTGTACTATGCAGTGGGCTGCCCTTCTTTTCTCCCTGCACCCAGATCCCACCCAACTCCCAATCACTAGTTCTTCTCAGTGTTCCTCAGCCCTCCGAGTCTGTTTACACGTAGGACCCACTGCAAGTGAGTTCTCTGAGGGTTCTGATGTGGGTTCTGCTTTTCGAGAACTGCTGATGTGGGTAGAGCTGACCTGTATGGGGCATCATCCTGGACTTGGATCTTGAGGTCTTCCGCTCCTCCTTCCTAACCACTCTCACCCCACAGGCCCACCAAGCCATGAAAGCCAGTTGTCAAGACTTGGGGAACTGTTATTTTTACTATCAAAACCACCTTCTTGGCCGGGAGTGGTGGCTCACACCTGTAATCCCAGCACTTTGGAAGGCTGAGGCAGATGGATGACTTGAGGCCAGGAGTTCAAGACCAGCCAAGGCAACATAGTGAAACCCTGCCTCTACAAAAGATAGAAAAATTAGGCAGTTGTGGTGGTGCATGCCTGTGGTCCTAGCTACTCAGGAGGCTGAGGTGGGAGGGTTGCTTAAGCCCAGGAGGTGGAGGTTACAGTGAGCCAAGATTGCATCACTACACTCCAGCCTGGGCAACAGAGCAAGACTCTATCTCAAAAACAAACAAACAAAAAAGTCTTCTTTCATTTTGAAGGCAGTAGACCCAGGTTGTCTGCAACCTGTTTGATTTAGAAGCACATTGAGCCTGCACCTCTGCTCCTGGTTTGTTTAGGGAGGTCTCTCCAGCCCTAGAAGTTCTCCTCTGTGCAGATGTGCTTTACTTTGGAGCTTGCCTAGCCTGAGCTAGGAAAGATGTCCCAGGTCCCCAAAATAAACACTCTAGACAAAAATAACTGAATGCGGAAACAGTATTTGAAAATTTTTGAAATGCTTCTTGAGACAATTTTGTTGTGACTATACATTGCAAACAATGACTGTGGCTTATTCATCTAAATCTCCTCAGCATCTAGCTTGTCATGAGTGGATACTCAGGAGAGGTTTAAGGGATGTGGAATGAATGAAGGAATGAATGGGATTTACCTCTGTAATTACAACACACCATAAAGATCCAGGAGTAAATTGAGCTTTTGTTTCTATCCTTTAAGTCTAGGGAGCTGCAGGATTTCCCAATTTTCACCATGGCCATTAATATGTAAATTGCCTGTCCATTTATTTAATAAAATGATATATTAGGAGAGCTGTGCTTTATAAAAACTTGTCTGAAGTAAACATAATCATATAGAATAAATGCCTACCTGAAAACCATAAGAAAAAATAAGTTTCCAAATCCCTTGCTAAAGCAGTCAAGTAAACTCAGGTATCAATGTGTTAACTTTATTTTTTTAATAATATGCTTTTGTCTGGATTGGAGAACATATTTCTTTCAGAGGATCCAACCTTTACCATAGTTTTAAGAGAATAATGATTTGTATCACTAGAGGGAGACACAGTTTGCCAAAAAGCTATTACCAGGGAGAACTGAAAACTTTCCAGTCTTAAGACTAAAACAACAAGAAATAAAGCTACTACATGTTGTTTCCCATATTCATATCATTGTGAATTTAACAAATTCAAAACTAGAATTAGTGAAACAACAGGTTAATTTTTCCCTTCTGAAATAATATTGAAACTGTGAATCAAAAGGTAGAAATGGACATTGTCAAACTTTAGTGAAACACTAAAATTCAAACACAATGATGTTGAAATATCAGAATTTTTCAACTATCTCAAGACAATAAAAATCAGTACACAAAGATTGTATCTATGTGCTTAAGTGTCTGCCTCTGTGAACAGCTGCTTTTCTAACATAAAAATGAATTCATCTAAATCTCTCTCCCAGGTAAAGAAGTCAGAGTTGAATTCCATACTTACATCACAACACAAAATGGAAGACCTGACTTTGAGACCTTGGTATAACAGTAAAATGTCAGATTTCCACTTCTTAATTAAAGAACAACAAATATCATGCTTTTTTTTTTTTCTGGTGTATGTGTAGTGCATGTACTTGTGTTTAAACCACAGTTCAGTGAAACTAAAATGTGATTATGTTTCTAGCAGATGGGCTTGTTTTGTTTTTTACCAATTTACATTTACATTTCCTACCTGGCCTCTGAAGACATTTGAAATTGTTATTATTATTCTCATTTTATAGGAAGAAAATTAAGGCAGAGCTATTTGAAGTAATTTCTCATAGACACAAAAGAAGGATGATGTTCCAAGCCCAGATCTTTGGTTACTTGTTTCACAGTCTTGTTATCCAACAAGGTAGCCATGAAGATTGTGCCAGAAACCCAGGAAATGGAAGGAGAAGACTACAAAGTTTAAGGAGAAGTGGCAGCATTCTTCCCTAAGATGGAGTACAGCGAAGTAAAATTTGGAAGATAGCTTGTTTCTAGCTTCATGATCTTCTGTGATTTAGCAGTGGCAATGCAACTCAACATACCACTATTTTCTGTTTTCTTTCTTTTTTTTTTTTTTTGAATGGAGTGTCATTCTGTCGCCCAGGGTGGAGTGCAGTGGCACCATCTCAGGTCACTGCAACCTCTGCCTCCCGGGTTAAAGAGATTCTCCTACCTCAGCCTCCTGAGTAGCTGGGATTACAGGCATGCACCATCACGCCCGGCTAATTTTTGTATTTTCTTAGTACAGACGGGGTTTACCATGTTGGTCAGGCTGGTCTTGAACTCCTGACCTCATGATCCGCCTGCCTCGGCCTCCCAAAGTGCTGGGATTAGAGGTATGAGCCACCACGCACAGCCTTACCACTCTTTTCTATAGGAAATTTTTTCTAAGGAACCTCATAGACTATTCTTTTGGAAACTGCAGAGCACAGCTGGAAAAAAAAAAACAGGAATACTAAGTAAATCTCTTTTTTGAGGATCCAAGAACAGAACGGCCTCTATGGAAGCCAAAGGGACCAAGATGGACTGGGCATTTGAATTTTTAATGCCTATCCTAAAAAAAAGTTTAGGTTTTGAAGCAGCTTGGCAACTGTAAGGGAGCTTTGCCTACAAAAGGCAAAAAGTTTTAGTTAAGAAGTGATGACAGAAGTCCACACCCAGGTGAAAAACCAGTTATAATACTCTAAAAAAAAAAAATCATCCAACACTCACTTAGAATGACCTCCCTGGCTCTTTCCTCACCAATGACTCCTGTCCCTTTCTCACCACTTTTTATGTATCTTTCTACTGTTCTAGACCAATTCTGTCCTCTTTCTACAGATCTTTCTGTTCTTCACTGCCCCTTCTGTATTTACTGAAATATGTTTTCTTTAATCCTGGTATTTGTTCTACTTATTGAATGAAACATCAGTTTCCCTGTTGTTCATTTTTAAATATTGGTTAGAGATTTACTATGTCTCTTTTAAAAACTAAAGTTCTTTCCTTCTATGTATGTCTTATCAATTGATTTTTTTCTTCCAATGATTCAATGATCTGCAATGAAAATCATTCTCCTGTCCCATCCTTTCTCTTCCAAACTCCTGTCATCATGACTGACATTCAGCTGCCCGCTGTTTGCAGCACTCACTTTTTCTTAGGCCACCCTATTTCCAGGGAGATCACAGACAGAAATTCAAACATATAAGAATAGGTGGTGGCACAAGTAAACCCACAGCCACAGCGAATCATTTCCGTGAATGTCACTGAGATCTTTGGGATTCCATAGGAAACAACTGAAGCAAAGTCCTGCTGCCCAGAAGCCAGCCCCAAAGAAATGCCATCCTATAACTGGAGCTTTTGAAGTAAAGAGAGTGCAGGCACTGTTAGTGCCATACAGTTAAGTCCTCCACGGGAGCAGCTCCTGGTGTGGTGAGTGGTATGAGGTGTCCTCAATGGGACAGAGAACACCGTTCCCCTTGATGCTTCCCAACACCGATGCTGCAATTGTCGAGATCACCACAGCATCAAGAACAGGCTGCTAATCTTCCCAAAAGCTGTCATGAGAAAGCCAAATTTGCCACAGTGTCATTTGTGCAAGGATAATGACATCATATTTTATGTCATTTGCAACCTATCTTAGTTTGTGATTACATGCACAGAAAGAAAAAAACAGAAAGTACACTTGGCAGGAATTACGGCACAAGCTGAGTTCTAGCTGTCCTCTCCTTGGAAACATCTTTCAGTTTTCACAATGAGCCACTGCTGACTGCTTCCTAACACTGCCAAGTACTAAGATGTGAGGTGGCACGGGTTCCTGGGTCCCTTCCCTTGTTACTTCTCAGGCATTTGAAACACTGCTGTGACCGTGACCGTAACCAGCCTCTGTCAGCACTATTCCCTACACTTGAGAAACGGTGTTTCCCAAGGTTTGGCTAAAGAGAAAATGCAACCAATCAATAAAATGTTTAAGTGCTAATATTTTATAAAATACTGCGAGGAAGAAAACTTTACCTGAGTATAAAAATTCAGTTTACTTATAAAACCATGGCAGCACTGTATTAGAACTGCCAGTCCTTTATTAGCTGAGTAGCAATGGTACACTTTAGCCAGGGCAAGGGAAGAGGGACGTACACTTGAGTCTGTAATTACATCCATTTTAGAATGGTTTCTTGTCTTCCCTGGGAAATATTCCAAGTCAGATGTCAAAGGACAGCTGTTTTACTCCAGATGTTTTTGGAGATCGCCAACATACATTTAGATTGGGAGTGAAGACACAGGAATTTAAAAAACATAAAATAGCCCTTTTATGATGCATTTAAATTCATTTCTTTTAGGATTTAGAATAAAAGGAAGAACAGATGGTGTAGATGTAGTTTAAAGTGAGAGCCATTAAAATAATCTTAGCCAGAAAGAGAGTTTTCCGTAACAGGAATTCATGAACCATAAGAGTTTAAGCAAATTTTTTAAATGGCTCATATAATAAGAGACTATATGATTTCAATTATATTTCATACAATAAACTGATATGTAATAAGTACCTTCAGGATTTCCATATTATGTTAGAGTACTAAAAATGGTGAAATGTCAAAAAAAAGAGTAACTGAAAAAAGATAAAACTACACATTGTTTTCTTCAAGAGTACACTCAGATTTTATAATTTTTCAGTTTTAAATCTCCAATCATTAGTCCCCATATTTATATAATTTGTAGATGTCTTATATTCGTGGAAAGAAAAGTAATACATTTTAATATAATAATATTATTTATGGCTTCTAGGCTTTAAATTACCTATTTCCTTGCTTTACATTGCACATTTTTAAAAGAAGATGGTAGCAATTCACATAATTTCCATTGATAAAGTGATTTGTACCTCCAAATACGGCAAACAATTCCTTAGAAACCCATAAAAAAGTGTGTATGCACATAATTTAACATACATACATTTACATAATACTTTAACTCCCTTTCACACACAGGACACACGCATCATATCAAGAAGAGTTCTGCTGCATGACACAAACCCTGCAGCTGTTGAATTTCAAATGCCGAGTCAGTAATTTTTGGCTAACAGATTCGGACAACAGTTGTAATCTTACTGATAACTCCCAACGAGAGAACAATTGTTAGTGATGGTAATGGAGCCAGAGTTTAATGAAGGTGGCGGGGGCTGGCCAGTAATAATAGCTCAGGCATAAAGTTTAAACCTCTTTATTGTGTAGCTGACCCCAATTATATCCCAAGACAAATAACACTCTTTACTCAAACACCTGATGCCAAGTGTGGCCACTTCCAATTTCTCCCTCATGGGAGCATCTGATCATTTCAGGACTATTTGAACAATAGGCATTAATTGTCAGTTTTGTATTTGATATGCTGGACCTCTCTGAAGTTGACTGAATTATTTTTTAAATCCCTTGGTTTCTTCATAACGATTTTTTAAAAGCACTTCCCTTAACTCATCCTTTTAAAAAAAATCTATCTATTTATCTATATATATATATAATGTTTTAATGATGCCACAAGCCAAGGTGGAGATTAGGCACATGACGGACCATTCATCCAAAATGCAGTGTATACTCTAACGGCACCTGAGTGCCCTGGTTACATCAAAATAGAGTGATAACTGTATTTATTTCAGAAATGATAAAATTACTCAAAATGTGAAGAATTACCACTTGGTATTAACACAGAGCATTTGAACACTGCAAGAATTGCTTTGAACTAAAACACAGAAAATATATATTTTTTCTTTTTTTGACAAAGAGTCTCACTCTGTCGCCCAGGCTGGAGTGCAGTGGCGCAATTTTGGTGCGCACCACCTCATCCGGCTAATTTTTTGTATTTTTAGTAGATACAGGGTTTTACCATATTGGATCTGCTGGTCTTGAACTCCTGACCTCAGGTGATCCACCCACCTCGGCCTCCCAAAATGCTGGGATAACAGGCATGAGCCACTGCGCCCAGATGAAAGTATTTTTAATTCAAGATTTCTGGAAGACAAGACCCCAGGTCATTTACCTCAGTAATGCTATTTTACATAAACAACAAAAATCCGGGATCTAGTTCTGGAATCCAGCTGATAGAGGCTGCAATCCCTGTGAGGTGATTTTGGACATGGTACTTATCCTTGCTATGCTGTTTTCTCATATATAAAACAGAGTCAGAAGGCACCTGTTTCAAATGAGTTCATGTGTGTAAGGAACCTGGCACTACATCTGGTTCACAGGAAGTGTCAAGCTATATTTTTCTTATTAGGATTATCAATAGAAAAATGGCTCTGCACTTATTTAACTGCATAAAGCACACTATTCATCTTTAATGAAGTGCAGGGACAAACCCTGGACTAAGCCCATATTCTTATCCTCTGCCTACAGTCTAAAGAGAAAAAGACAGGAACTCAGTGACGGCAGTGCTGACTGATGGGAGAGTGCTGGCCCTTGGGACAGGAGGGCAGGAAAGAGCATCTCGTCAAAATCAAATATACCGATGAACCAGCAGATGTACCATTACCCAAATGGGAACACGTTGCCTTTCCCCGTCACAGTCATGAGTATCGCTACACAATTTGTTCAATCATTATGTTTTGGATTGGGTTGGTCCTACTAAAATGGCGTACTGGTCCACTTTGCTCCACAGATCGTTTTCTGTCATTCAACACCCATTGGATGTTTCTCTTCCTTAGAATTATGTTGTTTATTTTTATCTTACCTTGTGAAAAGTCTAACCTGAAATGTCCCCGAGCTAGAGCACAAGGGTTTAAATTTCAACCTAAGCTTTTTTTTTTTAAAGTAACAATATCAAATAGGATGAAATAACTAAAGAAATCTAGACTGAATCCTTGGTCTAACCCGAAAGCAATATCAAAAGACAGGATGATTTGTGAAGGTGCTTCCTGGCTATAGAATGCTCAGTTGTCTTCAAAGTTAAAGAAGCTGAAGGAACTAAATAAGGCAGTGCTAGGATATGACAAAGAGAACAAGGAATGAATACTCAGCACAAGAGTGCTGGAAGGTCTCCAGTGCACACAGGTGAGTGTCAGGGTGTCCACCTCGTCCCTATTGCACAGGACTGTCCTGGTTCCAGCACTGAAAGCCTCACAGCCTGGGAACTCCCCTCAGTCCCAGGCAAACTGGAAAGGTTGGTCAACCTCAAAATTCGTGTATGTTTGCCTGTCTCTTTTCCCTGGATATTTTTTTTCCTTACAATAGTGTATTAGTTTGTTCATTTTGCTAATATTTCTTCCAAGACTCCAACATTCCAGGCCTCCTGGTAGGTGCTGCAGACTGTCCCTGTTTTTATGCAGCTTACGTCCCATGAGGGAGGCACAGGTAACCAAGCAACCACACGCCAAAAAGAGGGAAGTGTTATAAAGATAATAAAATTCAGCTCATGAGACAGAGTCACTTCTGGGGGTGGGGAGGCTCAGAGGCAGCATTTGAGCTGAGCCCTGGATGATAAGAAGAAGCCAGCCATGTGAATAGCAGGAGATGGACATCACAGGCAAAGCGGACAAGGCAGAAGCCAGGGGAAAACCTGCGGCAGGCAGACTGGAAGGCAGGCCATTGGGGTGGGAGATCAGTGGGTTGTGGGGGCCGGATAGTAGAGGACTTTTATAGGTGGGTTAAGGGCTTTGGATCTTACTCTAACTGCATTGAAGGGTACTGGAGAGTTTGAAGCAAGGAAATGTAAGGGATAAAGAGGTTCATATGATCCAATTTGCTTTTTTGTAAATCTCCCTGTCGAGTATGTGGACACTGGGGCACGGGAAGATAAAAGTGGAAGGAAGGGGACCAGGCAGAAGGCAGAAGGCCCACAGGGTGATGCCTGCCTAAGTCAGTGGCTCTCAGAGTGTGACCTCCAGACCAGGTGCATCAGCAGCACCTGAAACCCTCCAGAAATGCAAGTTTTGAGACCTCACCTCGGAACAGCAAAGTCAGTATCCCTGAGTCAGCCCAGCCATCCATGATGCAGCAAGCCTTTCAGGTGACTCTGATGCAGCATAAGTGTGAGGATCTCTGGCCCAGGGCCAGGGCTTGGAATGCATTGAAAACACTGGTGCTGTGGTGGACCTCAAACTGACTAAGTCAGAATTGTTGAAAAAGAGATTTCTGGGGAGAGGGGCTAATAGATTTGAGCAGTGGAGAAAGGGTAAGTGTTTAGGAGCAACCTGAGGCCTTCCCCTTAGGCAGCTGGGCGGAGGCTGGTGATCAACTGTAACTGCTTTCCAACCTCCTCTCTCCACTTCACTCCCCTGTCATGCCAGAAGGATTCTTCTAAAATACAAATGGATCAAGGACTAACTCATGTTAAAATAATTTTTTCTCCCTTTCCAGAAACCCCACTATTAACACAGCTAACTCTTCATCCTGAAAGATTGTGGCTCCAATCCACAAATCATAAACATGCTAGGCCAGGAGCAGTGGCTCAAGCCTGTAATCCCAGCACTTTGGGAGGCCAAGACAGGCGGATCATGAGGTCAGGAGATCGAGACCATCCTGGCTAACATGGTGAAACCCCGTCTCTACTAAAAGAAATACAAAAAAGCACCCAGCTGTGGTGGCGGGCGCCTGTAGTCTCAGCTACTCGGGAGGCTGAGGCAGGAGAATGTTGTGAACCCAGGAGGCGGAGCTTGCAGGGAGCCGAGATGCGCCACTGCACTCCAGCCTGGGTCACAGCAAGACTCTGTCTCAAAAAAAAAAAAACAAAAAAACAAAAAAAAACAGAAAAAAACATGCTAGGTGTTTTAGCAGAAGGAATTTAATACAGGGAACTAGTTTCACAGGCTTTAGAGGAATAAAAGAGTGAACAGCTGCAATAGCCCAGAGATCAGGCCTATGGAAAGCAGCTTCCCTGCCCCAGGGCTGGAGGAACAAAGCCTCAGTGTGGGAAGCTCTGATGGGGCCCTGCATGGGGCTGGGTGCTTCCTTGAAAAAGGAGGATCCCACAGAGCAGAGTGAAAACCTGAGGAGGGGCATGCTTCACCTCTTAGGGGACGCAGGAGGGTGATTTCAGGAATGCCCAGAAAAGAAAGATGTTAACGGCCACCAACCAGGGCATGCTGACAGGATGGCTTACGACTCTGCTTTCTGTTCTGCTGGCCACCTTCCCTATAGGCCCCACTATTGGTAGATGCTAACAGGGATCCTCTGTCTGAGGACAAACGAGGTTTGCAGATTTCCTTCTCCAGCATCCCAGATCCTTGAGGACAGCATTGGAGTTGAGAATTAGGAACCGCATGACTGGCACACAGAATATAGGACGCTTCCTCTAGGAACTCTTCGCTGATCCTCACCCTGGACCAAAGTCAGTCCTCCTGCACTTTTTCCCATGGCACTGTCGAGCCTTTCCATCCCGGAGTTATCCTCACCGAGTTGCTGGTCTCCCCTGCTGGGCCACAGGCTCTGTTAAGGGCAGGGACTGCGTCAGACTTCAAAACTTGGAGGAAAATAAATGCTAATCAGTGTTTTCTAAGTTCCTGCACTCGTGTCTTGGCACAGAAGGCGATTATAAATGTTTGTTGGATGTGCCAGGCATTGTAACAAGCAGTGTAAATATAGAGATGAATAAAATGAGAAACTTCTTCTTCAGGAACTAGTAGACTACCGAGAAAAAAATCAAGCACCGTGTCTGATCTTTAGAAAACTAAAAACAACACCAATAAGCATTTTGTTTATATAACATTCCATTAGGCAAGTTTTCATTCACTTGATATGTTAAATAGACAAATGAAAGGCTCTCCTAGAAGAGCTAAAAGACTCTAAAATCACAGTGTACTTAGGAGCTTCATAATACTATATAAGAATGTAATACACCAGGTTAGCATGTGAAAAGAATGAGCATCCTCCTAGACCATAGCTCCACCCAGGACGATTCCATGCGAATCTCCCCACTGCCACACCCTGCCAAGTCTCAACTCTCAAGCCCTGCATTCAAGATTCTTTACAAATGGGCCTCTATCTGCTGTGCCAACCTGATCCCACTGCACAGCTTGACTAATTTACATATTATTCCCTGAACACATCAGGAGCGATCATCCCATGTCTGTTTCTGTGCCTATCAAATAAAAATTTTGTCGAGCAAGAATTTATTTTGATATAAAGGTAGATATCAATATTTGTTTTCCACAAGTATCTACAAAGTCATTGCATAAACAATCTCTTCACCAGGAATTTTAAATGCTCTTTTTAATATATTCACAATTCCCCCTCTGAGTCCATGTCTACTTCTGGTGTTCCATTGTGTGCTGTGTATCATTTACCTCCTTTGGCATAAGCTATGAAATGTTTTCATTGCTGCAGCTCTCAAACCTATGATGCTGTGATGCCACCCCTTACTTAGGATCCTCAGGATCTTTAATCAGAAATGTTCCTTGCATCAGGATTAACTAGAAAACCACTTGTAATCTCATTTATTTCAACTATAGCAAGAGTTGCTTTTAAAAATCCTTACTTTTGGCCAGGCACGGTGGCTCATGCCTGTAATCCCAGCACTGTGGGAGGCTGAGGCAGGTGGATCGTGAGTTCAGGAATTTGAGACCAGCTTGGCCAGTATGGTGAAACCCCGTCTCTACTAAAAATACAAAAAATTAGCCGGGTGTGGCAGCGTGTGCCTGTAATCCCAGCTACTCAGGAGGCTGAGGCAGGAGAATCACTTGAATCCGGGGGGCAGAGGTTGCAGTGAGCCGAGATCGCACCACTGCACTCCAGCCTGGGGGACAGAGCGAGACTCCATCTCAAAAAGAAAAAAAAAATCTTACTTTTCCACCTCTAGATAGATAGTAAACTTAAATGCAAACACTGTATTTTGTTCTTTCTCATATTCTTCCATAGGATCCATGCTCTATGAGACTGCTCCAGCCAAGCTGCTGAAAGAAAACTCAGAAAGCTACTTGTAAAGGTAAATTTAAAGATGCATTATTTCCTCGGCATGAAAACATAATTCTCTTAACACAAAATTAGATGAACAAGCTGACTGGAATGAGACTTAACCTCAACAGGAAATAAATGAAGCGGGCTCACAGAGCCAAGCAGTCTGCAGAGGAGTGCAGGTCAGGGAGGCATTCTATCCTATCATGTTGGAGTGCTGCTTGATCTACAGCTGCTCCAAGATGCTCTCTCAGAAATGCTGGCTAGAAATAGCATTTTTCACTTTTGTGTTATGCATGAATCATGTGTGCGCACATACGCACGTGCGCGCGTGCACACACACACACCACCATCTCTACTGTTGCAGTGGCCAAATTCAATGACTATGACATGCTCAACTTAAAAATAAACTTGAAATCTTGGAAAATACACCACTCCCACCACTCCACTTCTCTCCAAGGTTGAACTAGGTGACAACGTATTGCTGGAATCGGAGCTGCATGTGTAGGTATGTCTTCCTGTGTAGAAAGAGGAGTTGATTTTACCCACCGGCACCGGGGCACTAGAAACTAAAAGATTTGGCCGGGCGCTGTGGCTCACGTCTGTAATCCCAGCACTTTGGGAGGCTGAGGCAGGTGGATCACCTGAGGTTGGGAATTTGAGACCAGCCTGGCTAACATGAAGAAACCCCATCTCTACTAAAAATACAAAAATTACAAAATTAGCCAGGCATGGTGGCATATGCCTGTAATCCCAGCTACTAAGGAGGCTGAGGCAGGAGAATTGCTTGAACCCGGGAGGCAGAGGTTTGTGGTGAGCCTAGATCACACCATTGCACTCTAGCCTGAGTAACAAGAGTGAAACTCCATCTTAGAAAAAAAAAAAAAGAAACTAAAAACTCTTTCTTCTGATGGCCAAAATACACAGTACCCTGGGTGGGATATGGGGCACTGCAAAGCACATACTGGGATCTCAGTATTATTTCCTACAGGACCCTCTTTGGTAGCCCAAAAATGCAAGAGAATTTTTAGCTCTCCTTAATTCCAGGGTGTCAGTGGATATCAGGATATAGGATGAGCTACATATAGAAACAGTATACCCGCAGGGTCCCATATGGAAGCTCCTAGGACACTGAGCTGGCCACTGAGCACTTGGAATGTGGTTCAGTCAAATTCAAATCTGTTGTAAGTGTAAAATACACACTGGATTTCAAAGATTTGGTATCACCAAATAAAGAAGGTAAAATATCTCATCAATTGATATGTTAATATTCTGATTATATTGAATTAAATAATTTTTAAGACTACTTTTTCCTTTTTTTTTTTTTTTTTTTTTGACCAGGTCTCACTGTATCACCCAGGCTGGAGTGCAGTGGAACGAGCATAGCTCATAGCTGCCTCGAATTCCTAGGCTCCGGCGATCCTCCCACCTCAGCCTCCTGAGTAGTTGGGATTACAGCTGTGTGCCACCATGCCAGCTAATTTTTCCTTTTTTTAATGTGGCCACTAAAAATTTTCAATTATGTATGTTGCTTGTACATGTGGTTCACATTATATTTCTATTGGGTAACACTCATCTACATGGTTGTCTACCCATCTAGGTAGAGAAGCTCATAGGTATGGTTGTCTAACAAGACAGTGGAATTGGTTTTTGTCATGTCTTCCCTCCATCTGAATTTACGTAGTATGTCTGATAGAACTAGCTGTCCATCTGACTCGAATATTCTTTTAATTCAAGAAATAAGTCAACTTGGTCCAAACAACTGAACCTTATGATGAATAGCCACAGTGTTAAAAAAATATCCCCCACCATTTCAGAAGGAAGATTTGCCTATTTCTATGTGTGGAAAAAAGGGAAGAAAAAAAAACCTCTGGTCCCAGCAGGGTTACCCAATATTATAAGATTATTCATCTTCACGTAAAGCTTGTCCTGTGAGACTACAAACAAATTGCATAACCAGTAAATAAAACTTCTGACTGCCTTTTGGGCCTCTTGAGGTAGGAGGCCGAGGTGCAAACAGCAGCTCTAACACATCTCATCTGTGTGACCCTGGAAAAGGTATTCACTTTTTTATCTATGCCAGAACAATGAGGAAAATAGCAATACCGTACCCACTGATAGTGTCGCTGTGATGATTCAGTAAGATAACCCTGTTATGCACTCAGAATGGTCAACATGTATTATTTCTTAAGTGTGTCATTGCTACCCTGCCCGTGTCTAAGATAATGGTGATTATTGATTTTAAAGAATCAGAAAATTGTATCTTGATTTTAAACAGTGCTCAGGTTCACAGAGATTAGAGTAAAAAACATTTACCAGTAATCCCCTTACCTTTTCGTGTGCCTAATAATATATCCTGTGCAGAAACTCACAGTATAAGCAACTCAGTATTTTTTTCCCATTTTCTTTTCTTCTGTTTCCATTTAGGTAGTAAGAAAACGTTATCCAGTAGACACTTTGATTTGTTATTTTGAATATACAATTCTGTATTCATTTCCTATTTCTGCTGTAACAAATTACCACACATTTAGTGGTTTAAAGCAACACATTTTTATTCTCTGACAGCTCAAAAGGTCAGAACTCCAAATTCAGTTTCACTGAGATAAAGTCAAGGTGTCCTAGGGCTGGTTCCTTCTGGAGGCCCTGAGGGGAGAATTGGTTTCTTTCCTTTTTCAGCTTGTAGCAGCACCTGCATTCCTAGGCTTGTGACCCCCTCCTCCATCTTCAAAGCACATCACTCCAGTCTCTGCTTCCATCATCACATCCCCTTCTAGTCTGTCTCTGAGGGCTCTTGCCACCTCCTATAAGAACCCTCGTGATTACACCAGGCCCACCTGGACAATCCCCCCATCACAAGAGCCTTAACTTATTCACATCTGCAACGTGCCTTGAGCCATAGAAACTAACATTCACAGTTCTGGAGATTAGGGCATGGACATATTTGGAGGATCATTATTTAGCTTACCAGAAATTCCAAAACAGAATTTTTTAGAATGCATAAGTTGTTATGCACTAAAATTAAACAGAATGCCTCCCTTGACCATATAATGTCATAATATGAATTAAAGAGGCCAAACTCAGCTCCAGTGAAGCCCCTGCCCACCATGGCGCTTTACTGACTCCTGCTTGACCTCACCTGCCATGGCCTCTCCCTGCCTCTCGCCGGCTCCCCAGACCCCAACATACTTCTCTTTGTCATCAGTTTTCATTCCCTTATGTGTTCATGCTCTGCTCTTATTATTCCTACCAGCCTATTTTCTTCACCCTCTCACCGTATAATATACTGTTCATATCTCTTTTATGACACACAACACATTTGGCTCCTGTTTCTTTGAGCGCATGGTTAGAGGAGTAAGCACAACTCTTGGTTCTTCTTTAATTCCTCAGAGTGCTTAACTTGGCGCCTGCCCAGTGAGCATTTTTTGAATTATTTCCTAGCACATCTCCTTAATATGTGAAGCACATTATCAGACACCAAGGAGATACAGTAGTCCCTCCTTATCCGAGGTTTTGCTTTTCACAGTTTCAATTCCCTGGGGTCAACTGCAGTCTGAAAATAGGTAAGTACAGGACCATAAGATATTTTGAGAGAGACCACATTCACATAACTTTCATTACAGTATACTGTTACAATTGTTCTATTAGTTATCCTTGCTAATCTTTTACTATGCCTAATTTATAAATTAAACTTTATCTTAGGTATTATACATAGGAAAAACGCAATACAGTCATATGTCACAAAACAACATTTCAGTCAACGACGGATCACATATACTATGGTGGTGCCATAAGATTATACTGTCCTAATGTCACAGTACAATATATTACTCACGTGTTTGTGGTGATTCTGGTGTACACAAACCCACTGCACTGCTAGTCATATAAAAGTATAGCACACAGAGTTATGTACAGTACAGAATATGTGATAATGATAATAAACTATATACCTTTATCATTATTTGAGAGTGGACATTTTCTAATTATTTCTTTAATGTTAACTGTAACATTTCTTTAATGTTAACTGTAACATTAACTGCCTCAGGCAGGTCCTTCAGGAGGTATCCAGAAGGCATTGGTATCCTAGGAGATGGCAGCTCCATGTTTGTTATTGCCCCGCAAGACCTTCCAGTGGGACAGGATGTGGAAGTGGAAGAAGTGACCTTGGCAATCCTAACCCTGCATAGGCCTAAGCTAATGTGTTGTGTTTGTGTCTTTATTTTTAACAAGAAAGTTTAAACAGTAAAATAAAAATTAAAAATATTAAAAATAGAAAAAAACTTATAGAAGAAGGATATAAAGAAAGAAAATGTTTGTGTACAGCTGGATGTGTTTGTGTTGTAAGCTAAGTGTTATCACAAGTTTAGACGTTTACAAAGTAAAAAAGTTACTGTACACTAAGATTGATTTATTATTGAAGAAATAAATTTTTAAATAAATTTAGTGTATCCTAGGTGTCCAGTGCTTATAAAGCCTATAGTAGTGCACAGTAATGTCCTAGGCCTTCACATTCACTCACTGACTCACCAGAGCAACTTTTAGCCTTGCAACCTCCATTCATGGTAAGGGGAAATAACAGGTGTACCATTTTTTATCTTTTGTACTGTACTTTCACTGTACCTTTCTATGTTTCAGTATGTTTAGACACACAAATATTTATCATTGTGTTACAACTGCCTACAGTGTTCATTACAGTAACATGCTATGCAGGTGTGTAGCCTAGGAGGAATAGATTATACCACAAAGCCTAGGCATGTAATATGCATTACTACCTAGGTTGTATAAGTGCCCTCTGTGTTGTTTGCACAATGACAGTATCACCTAACGGTGCATTCCTCAGAGTGTATCCCCATCATTAAGAACACATGACTGTGTGTGTGTGGGTGGGGGGTGGGAGTTGGTATTATTTGAGGTTTCAGGCATCCACAAGAAATCTTGGAACTATCCCCCACTGATAATGGACGGCCACTGTAACCTCCTCTTCTGGCCATAATTAAGTAACAGGAATCAGATTTTCCCTTCCACTTTAAACTAGAAAACCACACGAAACACAAGAAACAACAACGTGCAGGCAATGGACAACAGATGTGCAAGGCTAGGACCTCTGAGAGAAAGAACACAAATGGGAAGTAATGCCTGAGCCCCTGGCAGGAGCCTGACAGTTTGGCTTAGTTGAGAAGACAAGAGATCTGAGTCTGGGAGGACCAGGTAGTTGGAATTCACAGATCAGCACCAGAAATAAGAACATGCATGGAGAAAGCTCCTCAGATTTGCAGATGTTAATTATACTCCCCACAAGTCCTCATCTGAGTATTGATCTGTGTACAAAGGGGAGCTACCTGGAGCAGGGGAACAAACAGCCAGAAAGCAGGAGCCTGGGAACAGTTTGTATTCACATGAGCCAGAGGGGAAAGACTTAATCTGAGCAGAATCCTCAGAAAATATTGCCTTAAGAGTAGGACTAAATTAACCCTAAACAAAAGACTTCTAGACTCTTTTGAACAAACTTACAAGCAAATCTAGAAAGAATTTCATTGGTTATAAGTAACTGCATTCCAGAACTAAGTGCAACACTATTTAAAGAAATACAACAAAATCCAGTACCCAGCTTCATTCACAATGGCCAAAAATGGCCAACATTCAACCAAAATTTACCAGGTATAAAAGAAACAGAAAAATATGATCCAAGTATAAAGGAAACAGGAAAATTATCTCCATCATTTAACATCTAGGATGTTAAAATAACTATTATAAATGTGTTTATTATTCTCAAGAATCTAGAAGGAAATGTGAACTTAACTTAGTGAGGAAAGGGAAGATATAAAAAGACTCATGGAACTTGAGATGAAAACGCAACATCTAAAATGAAAATAAACTGGATGGATATAAAGGATACAGTAGCAATAATTTCTCAATGTATTATTCTAACCATTAACTATAAGTCATCAGACCATCTTTGTTTATAAAGACAAAAGCACTCCAGTGACTCAACAAGCAAAAAAAGAAGAAAAAAAACCCCACATTGTTAGTGATATTTTT
Organism: Homo sapiens; assembly: GCF_000001405.40. Classification (NCBI taxonomy): domain Eukaryota; kingdom Metazoa; phylum Chordata; class Mammalia; order Primates; family Hominidae; genus Homo; species Homo sapiens. The sequence goes on from NC_000008.11 coordinate 52,436,889, forward strand.
AAGCTGGAAGGTCCAGGGCATTGCTGTGCCATGAAACCTAGACATGCTCCAATTTCACGGACATTGATGCCGAAGATGACTGAGGCACATTTGACTGTGCATGTCAGAATCCATGAGTTTAATTAAAGTTATGATGTGAACAAAGAGTGTCCATTAGACAAGAAGAATTTGGTCTTGGCAAGTGATATTTGCATCAATTTGCTTAATTAGATCAGTACTTTTAAAACAATTTGTAAAGCATAGGATTAAAAGGCTGAATTTCAAAGGATTTAGCAGAAGCCACAATCATGGTTTCAAACAAATCATCTGCAAGAAATTGTAGGCTGAAAATAGCAATTAGCAGCCCACAGAAAAAAATTTTAATGGAGACCATTTCTATCAATTGAATCACCATGTATAATATGGCTTGGCTTGAATCACTGATAACTTAACCTTCACCAAATTTTCCAGAGTGGAAGCAAACTGCCCCTCTTGTTTATTTCAGCATTGGATTTCAACTAAAAATTAATCCCAGGTGCAAAAACATTCTGTGTCATTTTGCCTTTTGGGGGAAGAACAACAGAGGCAGCAGGGTTAGTGAAGCTTGGTCCTAGGCTCACCTCTTCATCCTCTTACTTTAAAAAAGGAAACACAGTCCCTGGGTATACAGAATCAATCCATAGCCACTGACCTAATAAATCTACTTCCAGTTAAAATTATAATTTAACAGTCCAGTGAAAATGTATTTTATTTATTCCAAAACAAATAGCTTAATCATAGCCCTGCCCATTTCTCTTCTCGAAAGAGAAAAGAAATATTTGGGGGAAAAATAATTCCATGGAGAAGATAAAATTTTAGCGTAAAATAAAGGACACTCTCATTTACACCAAAACTTGTTTCAGGAGCATTCAGAGCAGGTAAGCAGCCTGGCCGTTATCTGGCAGCCTCTGCCCTAAACTTTCTCTTTAAAAATCTTTCAGGGTTTTGTTAACTTACTATGACTCAAGTTTGTAAGACTCTGAGAGTCTCCATAATCCTGATGTTTATGAGTAAACGTGTTAAGTAAATTATAACGCATCTCCATTTTTAAAAATAATGTACATCTCTCCATTATCTCCTACTACTCCCTCCACCCACTGTTCCTCAGATAATAGGTCTGTGTAGTGATTCTAGACACTGATTCGGAAATTAACTTCCTCCAAGTACAAAGTGTAAAACAGAGTAACTATTTGTATAATAAGGAACCTCACTTCAAAACTGAAACCTCAACTAGTGCCTCCCAAAGAGGAGAACTGGATTTCCACCTTACAGATGACCACCATTTTCCAAAGCTACTCATTGAATTTGGGGGTAGGGAGATGTTCTTTGTGCCTACCTAATTTCATTAGGATAAAAGCCCTGTGTGGGTTCCTGCTGGGGTTTTTCTGGGGAGGGAGGGGGTTGTGAGAGTCACAAAATAACTGGATAGCCATTAGTTCCGTATGACTACCCACGCGGTGCTAGTCTGATGCTGTTAGTTTAAACAAAGGCCTACAGGATATGTACTATGAGTCCTTTTGAATACAGTTTTTCAGAGGGGTGTGATGTTTGTGTCATGTGTTCATGGTATGTAGCTAGCGGATGTGTTTGTGTATGAGGGTGTTTATGTGGAATGAGCATGTGGTGTGTGCGGAGTGTTTCTGTGTGGTGGAGGCTCTGTGTGTGGCATGCGAACGCATGTTGTGTGTGTGTGTGGTGTGTGTGGCATATGTGTTTGTGTGTGTACGGTGTGTGATGTGTATGGTGAATGTGTGTTGTGTGCATGTGGTGTGTGGATGTGGTATGAATGTGTGGCACGTGGTGTGTGGGGGGTGTGGTGTGTCGTGTATGTGGTGTGTGTAGTGTGTGAGGTGTGTGTATTCTGTGTGTGTTGTGTGTGGTGTGGGGTGTGTGGAGGGTGTAGGGGGTTGTATGTGATGTGGTGTGTGGTATGGCTGGTGTGACGCGTGGAGTGTGTGGGGGAGGTGTGTGTGGTGTGTGTGTGTGTGCAGTGTGTGGGATATGTGGAATGTGTATGTGGTGTGCATGGTGTGTAGAGTGTGTGTGATGGATGGGGTTTGTGTGGAATGTGTGTGTGGTGTGTAGAATGTGTGTGTGGTGTGGGGAGTCTGTGTGTGGTATATGTGTAGTGTGTGTGTGGCATGTGTGTGTATGGGGTGTGGTGTGTGTGTGTGGTGTGTGTGACGTGTACATGTGTGGTGTGCATGTAATGTGTGTTTGTGCAGTTGTGGTGTGTGTGTGGTTTGCGTGGTGTGTGGTGTGTGTGCAATATGTGGTTTGTGTGGGGTGTGTGCATGGTGTGTAGTGTGTGTGTGCATGGTGTGGTGTGTGTGTAATGTGCGTGTGTGGCGTGTGTGTGCATGGTATGGGGTGGGTGTGTGTGTGTGTGTGGTTTTTGCGTGGTGTGCGGTGTGGTATGCAGCCTAGATGCCTTTCAGGAAGGCCTCAGGAGGAAGGTGACATTGGAAGGAAGCCTTGGAGGAGGGGAGGCAGCCGAGCAGGCGGATACCTCCTGACGCCGGAACATGGGATGTGTTCAAAAGATCCAGAAAGCAGGGGAGGGGGGTAGGGAGAGAAGTCAGAGAGCAAAGAGAGGGGTCCGTCCCACGGGACCCATTAAGGAACTGACATGTCCTCTGCGTGCGATGGAGCACCACTGAAAGGCCTGAGCAGAGGCACGTGGGAATCTGACTCTCATTTACCCAAAGCTGCTGGAACTGAGGGCTGATCCCACTCAGAAGGCTGAGCGGTGGAGCAACGCAGAGCCCACCGGCGAAAGGGCTGGATCTGCAGGAAGTGTTGGGATCCCGGTACGTTCGAAGGCCGCAGGGTCGAGGCCAGGAGGTTTGGATGCTGAGGTTTGCGTGCAGAGGACAGAGACCAGTAACACCCAGATCCTAGGCCTGAGAAACTGGAGAATGAAATTACCACGTACTGACACAGTAAGACCAAATGAGAAAAAGGTTTTAAAGGTAAAGGCAAGACACCAGAAGCTCCGTTTTGGGCTTGTCTTTAGGATATCGCTTGTCACCCTACTATAACTGTCAGGTCAGGAAACAACACCAGTGCTCGTCCAGTCCACGCGGATGGCCATGTGCAAGGAAAGGAGCCTGGAAGCCTGAGGTTGCAGAGATGGGCAGGCCAGGACCTGGCTCAGCCACTGCAGCTTCATGCATGGGTGCTGCCTGAAGAAGGGTGTGAGCAGAGTGGTATGACCAGGATTTCATTTTAACACAATGCCCTGGTGACAACATGGAAAAAAACACTAGGAAAAGCCCTGTATGGATGGCAAATATTTACATGCTAATAATAGGAAATTCTTAACATATGTGAATATGTTTAGATTAAATTGCAGAAAATCATTTTAAGAGTACTGGTTTTATTTCTCTTTCTATCCATACAGATTCCTTCTTATTTAGCATTTCCTGCCATTTCACACAATGACAAGTTGTGTAGAACTAGCAGGGGAGCTACTGTACCATCATCTGCTGTAGGCACCTAAGTCCTTTCCATCCCTGCTCAACTGCAGGTCAGCTATGCCTCTGGGAATCAGCATCCTTCAGACTGGAGAAGGACTTTTTAATTAATAAAATTTGACTTGCCAATATTTGATTTACATCCTACTATTTAGAGATACATGTTTATATACAGAATCTGCCTACCAAAAAATTGTCTTCCTTTCTCTTCCTTTACAGAGAAAACAGCACACTTTACCAAGCATACCAAGATAAATTTTGTCCTTAAAATAAAAATAAGAACCTACATTTTTAATCCCAGACTAGCTTGTACAGACAACAAATCTTTCAATCCTGAGTAATGTAGTCATTTCCCTATAATTCACCTTGATCTCAATTATTGATAATGAAAATGAATTAATGAAATGAATAATTATTCATTTTGGGGTTATAAAAATGTGACAAAAACACTATGCTTAGAAGAGTTGATTCATGATTGAAATAGTCTGTAGTAGAATTTTAACAAAAACCTTATAATATCCTCACTAAATTCACAGAACAGCCTTCAATTCAAATCTGTATGTTCACGATATGTTTTAATAGTTATTATTTTATTTTGTCCTCAAAATAACTTTGTGAAGAAGATATTACTTTTTTTCAGTAACAACAGGAGGAAGGGGAAGCAATTTTCCACTTAATCTATTTTCCTAAAGATTTAATTTCCTGAGAGAGCTCAAGTCAATTTATATTCCATGAATCTTGAAATGTAAAGCACCAAGAGCCACAACATAGCCGGACGCTGGGGCAAAGCCATGCAGGGAAGAGGGGAGCTGTTGAAATATATAGGATCACCCCCAAAACTGGCAACCTCCCCTTCTCACAAAAAAAAATAAACCTTATTCTCATTGAAGGATTTCAGACTAACATTTTCATAACTATCTCTACTATCAGTTCAGCTTCAACAGTGACTCCTTTCCCCTGCTGACATATGACCACCTGACATAAGAAAAAATGGAGATTCCAGACTGGGCATGGTAGTTCATGCCTATAATCCCAAAACTTTGAGAGGCAGAGGCAGGAGGATGGCCTGAGGTCTGGAGTTCAAGACCAACCTGGCCAACATGGTGAAACCCCATCTCTACTAAAAATACAAAAATTATCCAGGTGTGGTGGCATGTGCCTGCAATCCCAGCTACTCAGGAGGCTGAGGCAGGAGTATCGCCTGAACTCAGGAGGTGGAGGTTGCAGTGAGCTGAGATCACACCATTGCACTCCAGCCTGAGCGACAGAGAGAGACTCCCTCAAAAAAAAAAAGAAGGAAGGAAGGAAAGAAAGAAGGAAGGAAGGGAGAGAAGGAGGGAGGGGAAGAGAGAGAGAGAGAGAGAGAGAGAGAAAGAAAGAGAGAGAAAGAAAAGAAGGAAGGAAGGAAGGAAGGAAGGAAGGAAGGAAGGAAGGAAAGAAAGGAGGGAGGGAAGAGAGAGAGAGAAAAAGAAAGAAAGAAAGGAATGAAGGAAGTAAGGAAAGGAGGGAGGGAGAGAAGAGGGAGAAAGAAAAAGAAAGAAAGGAAGGAAGGAAAGAAAGAAAGAAAGAAAGAAAGAGAAAGAAAGAAAGAAAAAGAAAGAGAGAGAAAGAAAGAAAGACAGAGATTGATTCCACTTTTTTTTTTTTTTTTTTTTTTTTTGAGACGGGGTCTCACTCTGTTCCCCAGGCTGGAGTGCAGTGGCGCAATCTCGGCTCACTGCAACCTCCACCTCCCGGGTTCAAGCGATTCTCCTGCCTCAGCCTCCCGAGTAGCTAGGGCTACAGGCATGTGCCACCATGCCTGGCTAATTTTTTGTATTTTTTTAATAGAGACGGGGTTTCACCGTGTTAGCCAGAATGATCTCGCTCTCCTGACCTCGTGATCCGCCCACCTCAGCCTCCCAAAGTGCTGGGATTACAGGCTTCAGCCACCGCGCCCAGCAGAGATTTCACTTTCTTAAAGAGAAGAAAGAACCTGGCCTGATCCACTTGTTCCATTGATTAAAGATTAAAGAGGACAGACAGCCGAAGGGCCAAAGAGCAGAGCAGAAATTAAAGATGCAACTGGATTCACATTGCAGAGGAAAAAGTCAACTTGTGAAACTGTAAAAAACACTCACTCCATCACTGTGTATGACAGCCCCATCCAACTGAGGAGATGGAGGAATTGGAAAGTACCCAAGGTCAAACAGGATGGTTTCATGTTTATGTAGTTCAAATCTATTTTGTTTCCAGGAAAATATGTTCCCAAATCACTTGGTGGTTTTGATCAAGTTAAGAAAATATTACCTTATGTTTCTAAAAGAGGATTTGTTTTGCACACTGGTCATGTCATAGCCAGTAAGGTTTATCTGAGGTGTGATTATTGCTAATTGACAGCTTTTCTAGAAGAGGATTCCTTTCTTTTTGTCTCCTCAGGCAACTTTATCGCAAATAATGTTGTATATTTAACAAATAACACAAGACATCAGTTAAATTTGAATTTTGGAAAAACAATAATTTTGAGTACAAGTATACCCCAAATATCACCTAGAACATAAACTTTAAAAATTACTTGTTTATCTGAAATTCAAATTTAACTGGGTGTCTTGTATTTGATCCAGGAACCTTAATCCCGAAGTAACTAAAAAAGAATCTCAAGCCGGGATTTTCATTCTCCTGACTCACTGAATGCACCATGAAAAATCTCATCAGTCTGGCATTTTATCTGAGGAGCTTATCTGAGAAATCCTGTAATTAATTAGAAATGGCCAAATCTAGAGGCATCAAAGGAGCTTTCTTTCTTGTTATCTCCTACAGACCTCTCCTTTTACCTCCTCCTGGTGTCCCAAAAGAAAACGTAGCTACTTTGGTTCTTAAAACACCTGCCTCCCGATATTACTATATTTTGAAGCTTTTGAGGTAGAAACTGCTTCAGTGACTGGGACCTGTTCTGTCTGCTACACACCAAAAAGCCCCAGTATCAATAGGGATGTTCCATTTTATAGGCAGACTCAGAAGGACTCACCTTAAAAATAATCACCACTTCCGGCTCACACCTGTAATCCCAGCATCTTGGGAGGCCAAGATGGGTAGATCACTTAAGGTCAGGAGTTTGAGACCAGTGTGGCCAACAGACGTGAGCCACTTTTCCCCACCTGTTTTTTGTTTCTTTAACAAAAACTGATAGGAATTTCTATGGGTATTGTGTTGACTCTAAATCAAATTGGGTTATATAATCATGTAACAATATTAATTTTTCCAATCTATCAATATGGGTTATATCTCTATATATGTTTTTAATTATTTTGATCAATGTTTGTAGATTTCAAGGTACAAACTTCTCACCTTTTAACATTTATTCCTAAGTATTTCTTACTTTAAGTTCTCTAGCAGATGGAAGAGTTTTTTAATTTTCTTTTAAAATTGTTTATTCTTAATGTCTGAAAATTGAATTAATTTTTGGTGCTGATATTATATTCTGCAAATACACTGAATGTGTTTATTAGTTCCAGTAGTATATTGGCTGTTTGTGATTTTCTACACAGAAGATCATGTCATCTACATAAGAATATAATTTTACTTCTTTCTTTCTGATTTGGATGAGTTTTATTTCTTTTGCTATTTAATTGCTGTGGCTGAGACAGCGAGTATTTATTGAATAGAAGGGGTGAGAGCATTCTTGCATCATGCGAGATCTTACAGGAAAAGCATTCCATTTTCCCTGCTTGGTTATTTCAGCTGTGGTTATTTCATGGATGATCTTTCTATTGTTGAGGTAAATTTCCTTCTCTATTTTGTTTAGGATTTCGACTAGATGTTGAATTTTGTGAAATGCTTTTTCTCCATCTATTGAGATGATGTGGTTTTCATCATTCATTCTGTTCAAGTGGTATATCACACTGATTTGCTTGAATATGTTGAACCATCCTTGCATCCCAGAAATATGTGGCATTGGGATATCTACAATCATTTTTATATCCTCTTGAATACAGGTTGCCAGTACAAGGGGTTTTCAAGAAGTTCATGGAAAAACATGTATTATAAGAAAATTGTGCATGAATTTCACACTTTTTGCACCCAAATACACTGGTTCAAGTCTGTTATAACGTGTCTGAACAGGCTCTAGTTTGAGGCACTCAGAGGGAAAAGACATGAGTTTGAAAAGAGACTCTATTGAAGCAATATAAATTCTGCTAAAATTGAAACAAGAAGAAACATTAAATTTATGATAAGCCCAGGTGCAGTGGCTCAGGCCTGTAATCCCAGCACTTTTGGAGGCTGAGAGAGGTGAGTCATGTGAGCCTAGGTATTCAAGACCAGCCTGGGCAACACGGTGAAACTTTTTTCTCTGCACCCCCTTCTTTACAAAAAAACACAAAAATTAGCTGGATATGGTGGCACATGCCTGCAGGCTCAGCTACTGTTGAGTCTACAGTGGGAGGATGTCTTGAGCCTGGGAGTTTGAGGCTGCAGTGAGCTGTGATCATGCCACTGCAGTCCAGAGTGAGTGATGGAGCGAGACACTGTCTCAAAAAAACTATACTTACGGTAAAGTTTGGGTAGAGGAATAATGCAATCATTGATGCTTTATGAAAAGGTTATGGGAATTATGCCCAAAAGAAATCACCAGTTTGTAAATGGGTAACTCATTTTGAGTTGGGACAAAACAATGTTGAAAGTGATGCATGGAGTGCCAGGCAGACCATCCACATCAGTTTTACAGAAAAAAATTAATCTTGTTTGTGCCGCAATAAAGAGGACTGACAGCTAACAGCACAAACAATAGGCAGGAGTTCAAGAACAGCCTGGTTAACATGGTAAAACCCCGTCTCTACTAAAAACAGAAAAATTAGCTGGGTGTGGTGGCGGGTGCCTGTAATCCCAGCTGCTTGGGAGGCTGAGGCAGGAGAATCGCTTGAACCCGGGAAGCGGAGGTTGCAGTGAGCCAAGATCGCGTCACTGCACTCCAGCCTGCATGACAAGAGTCAAACTCCGTCTAAAAAAAAAAAAAAAAAAAAGATGTCAAGCCCCTTCTCTTCCTCTCTCTGCCATTGTGGTGTGTGCTTGACGCCACTTCTCACCATGTCTTCTCACAAGGCTTTTAGGATTAAATGATTCCTGGCCAAGAAACAAAAGCAAAAATCATCCCATTCCCCAGTGGATTGGGATGAAAACTGGCAATAAAATCAGGTACAACTCCGCCCGCCTCGGCCTCCCAAAGTGCTGGGATTACAGGCGTGAGCCACGGTGCCCGGCCTTTGGAGACATTGGAGAAGAACCAAGCTGGGTCTCTAAGGAATTGCACATGAGATGGCACACATATTTATGCTGTCTGAAGGTCACAATCATGTTACCATATCAAGCTGAAAATGTCACTACTATCTGAAGAGTTGGACATGTTTTATTGGGAATATATTTTTTCTCTCTGAATCTGTTACAAACAGGTTGGTTGGCTGGGTTCAGTAATAAATATGTGAGACTTTTCATTTCAAAAAAAAAAAAGAATCACCACTTCCACATAGGTTTTGAGGAGGTTAAACATCCTATGATCCCCATTCTATAGACCAGAACAGTTGGCACCACTCCTGTGATCACTGTTTCTGAAATTCTGCCATCTAACCAAAACTTCCTTTTCTTCCACAATGCTCGCTCACCTACTTGGATTTTAGTTTCTTTAGTGGCCACTCTAACTTTCCTTAATACATGTTTCAGCTCCATTTATTGATTTCCCAGTGTTAGACTATTTTTATGGACTCTCATCCATGAAATATTAATGTTTGTATATTACAATTCTTCCACCTCATCTGCCTCCCCTCCCTTTCTAATTCAATAAACCATTATCTTATGTTCTTGTTTTTAAATAATTGTATATGTAAATCTCTGTATTTGATTTATGTGCTTTATGTATTGTCTTCCGTGTGCTCACAATGCAGCATAAAGAAAGCCCTTCGCCTCCTGTTCTAGCCCTTCCATCCCACTCCTGCTCTCCTGCATTCTATTACTACTTCTACATCATCGAGATCTGGCAAGCTTATATCCAATCCTGTAACCAGAATCCCTGTGGGTAGCATTTATCCTTGATTCTATTTTCAATTGTTTCTCTTTTTATCTCTTGTTTGGCTAGATATCTTCATCAGTTCCTTCAAAAAGGCTCAGACAGTATTTCCTGAGTTTTGAATAACAGAAAATATCTGTTGCCATTAGAGTTGAACTAAGTAAGCACCATATAAAATTCTTATTTCTCCACTATCTCCTCACATTAAAAGGTGCTGCTGAGTCTGAGACCAACATGGCTTTCCCTCTTTGTTTTGTTTGTTTTGATTCACAGAGTTCTGCCTCTGTTTAGCCTGTAACATTACCAGAATATCATAAGGATCATTTTGTCTCTTTTCTTCTGGAACAAAGGGTGCCATTTTAATTTGAAGACTTGGACACTCCTTTATTTTAAAAAAAGTTTTCTTCTTCTTTATGTCTTTGAAATTTTTCTGCTTTGTCTTTATGTCACTTTGTGTCTCTATTGAGACCCCAGGTGCATCAACTGGAAAATAATATTTCCTAGTTCCTTTCATAAATCTTTATTTATACAAGGTCTCTCTTATTTTATTTTATTTTATTTTATTATTTTCTATATTTTGTCCTTTATTATAATTACTTTTCTCCATAGCCACCTATTCTATTATATTTAATTTATATATACTTCTAATAAATTCTCTATATGCTTATTTATTAATACATGTGTGTATTTGTGAAAATATATAGTATTTTACTATGTGCATATTTTTAACCTACATAAATAATATTCTGAACTATTCTTCCTATTTTTCACTCACTGTATGTTCTGATATCTAACCATGGCTCTAGGTAAATCCTAGATTGTTATTTCTGGTTGCTGTCCAATACCCTACATATGAGGCCCAGGGTTTATTCCTTAATTCCCCTACCTATGGCCACCCACCTTACCTCCAATTCCTTAACAAAACTATGATTTATTAAACATTTCTGTACATATCTCTTCATGGACTTGTACAAAATTTTTCTTGGAAGAAGTAACCAGGAATTGGCTTCCTGGGTTATAGAAACATATATTCTTAATATTATTTAGATGTTGGGTGACTAGTTGAAGCTGCAACTAACAGTGTTCAAAGATTCCCTATTACTCATATTTTCACCAGCACTTAATGTGAATCAGTTTTCTAATTTTTCCTATCCATGTGGACTCGAAGTCATCTCTTACTGTTGTTTTAATTTCATTTCTCATTTACTAAGATAGCTAAACATCTCTTCACGTTTTATTAAACATTCAGTTTTCTTCTTCTGCAAAATGCCTATTTAAACCCTTTGTCCATTTTCTATCAGGTTTATTGTATTTCCCTTTCTGACTTCTAATAGTCTAGATATTGATTCTTGTTGTCATTAGACATTGCAAATATCTTCATCTAGTCCATCAACCAGTTATTAATTTTTTCTTTGCTGTCCTTTATAGAATAGGAATATTTAGTTTTGACCTAATAAAATCTATCTATTTTTTCACTTATGGTTTTTACTTTGGCAAATTTTAAATAAATTACTCCTACTTAAAAGTCCCAAGGATATTTTCCTACATTTTATTCTATTTGATTTGTAATTTTATTTTTCACATTTAGAATACAAATTGACCTGGAGCTCACCTCTATGTCCAAAGTTAAAAGGGTTTAATGTTTTCTTCCAAATACAATAGTGGGCCAATTTTTCAAGTCTCATCAACAAGTAAGGCGTGCTTCCCACTAATTCACTTTGCCTCTGCTACCACACATCAAGCTTGGTGAATATGGGTTTTCTTCTCTGCTTTGCTAGGTTCTTGGTTGGCTCCCACAGACAACCACACATTCCATGAGGATGGCCTTGTAAAATGGGATGCATGCCAACTCTTTGCCCTACTTTTTCAAAATTGCCTAACCTTTTTGTGGAGCCTTATTCTTTCATAAAAATTTCAGAATCAGTTCGCCAAGCACTCACAAACATCTGCTGGGATTTTAATTCAAACTGAATTGAATGTATAAACTATTTGGGAAAAATTAGCATTTTTGTCATTACCTGGAGTTTCCAAAATGTTTTTAAATTTTTTCTAATTTTTCACCCTAAAGATATCGTCCATTCTTTGCCAGGTAATTTTCTAGAAACTCTGTAGTTTTATTGTTATTTTAATTGATAATTTATTTTCATCATTTCTCTAGATGAGTAGTAGTGATGTGTATGACTGCTCATCACACCCCGTGTATGTCATGAGGGCTTGTGTCGTGGTTGAGACTGTATGTATGTAAATGTATGTATGTGTGTGCTTGTGAATAGCAGCCTCAGAGCAACTGACACCTGGCAGTTGTTCCTTACAAAGATGTCTCTGGAGCTTCTGCCTCCACTGGGCACCCTTCCACTCTGCAATATGCAGTGAGGTCAGGAACCCTGCAGGTACCCTGTGACCCCAGACCACACCGGTTCATGTAAAGGAGTGTGGGTTGGCCCCATTAGAATTGTGCCACCCACTACTGGAAAATGTGGCCCAACATGAAATTTCAGAAATATGTTTCCACTCTTTGTGCTCTCCATTCATTCCGCTCAAACTGTATTGTATTTGGCAAATATTTTTATCACACGATTTAGGATTATGAAAAGTAAGTTTTTCTTCACCTTTTTTTCTTGCTTTTAGCAGTTTCAAGGAGATAACTGTCTTCACTCTGCTATTTCTAACTGGAATGTCTCTAAATCTCGACCTGTCCATCCAATTTTCTCCATGTCTGCTGCTGTCACCGGAGTTTAAACCACCAACAACAGCAAAGGGTTACTCAGCATCCTTTCCTGCCCCCGCCAATCCGATGCCCACCCTACAACCAGACTGTTCTACTTCTTAAGACGCAAGACGGATCACATCACACTCAGTCCTGGCCTTGCTCTGAGGGTAAAACGCCAACTCCTTCCAGGGGGCCACCATGACCGTCTCTGTCTCCTTCCTCCCCGGGACCTCCGCGCTCTCGCGGCGCTTCTGGATTCACATCGCAGCTTGTGTCATCGTCTGTTCTGGGAAGACAGCTGGCTGAGTTTTATTTCTGATGCGTTTTTAAAACTAAGGTCAACTACACCTGAAAGCGATCCCAGTAAAATGCCCTGAAAAAGTGCTAAACAAAACACCCTGTGAAAATTTCATACCACCACCATTGTCCCACCTCTACTCTGAATGTATTGGCTCGGCTTCTTGACAATTTGTTAGGACCTTTTTTAACCCTGTAACAATAGATCCACTGTCAGACCCAAGATACAGGCTAACCTCTGAGGAAAGAGGAACTCAAACAATTGGTTTTGTTAACATCTGTCAACGAAGATGTGTCTCTCAGTTTCCCACTAAAGCAACTATGAAAAAAGAAAACAGAAAAGATGAAATGCACACAACCTCCAAAGCCTGGTGCCAGAATCTTAGAACTCTATTCATTAAAAAGACTTTCCACTAAAGAATTTCTTTTCCACTAAAAGTAAGGTTGATGAAAATGAGCTGAAAACACACACACACAAACACACATATGCACACAGCACAACACAAACAAAGGCTGCTGGACAGAGCAATAAAAAAACAGTGAAGCGGGGCGCAGTGGCTCACACCTGTAATCCCAGCACTTTGGGAGGCCGAGATGGGTAGATCACCTGAGGTCAGAAGTTTGAGACCAGCCTGACCAACATGGTGAAACCCCATCTCTACTAAAATACAAAAATTAGCCAGGCATGGTGGTGAGTGCCTGTAATCTCAGCTACTCAGGAGGCTGAGCCAAGAGAATGCTTGAACCCAGGAGGCAGAGGTTGCAGTGAGCAGAGATTGTGCCGTTGCACTCCAGCCTGAGCAACAAGAGCGGAACTCCGTCTCAAAAAAAAAAAAAAAAAAAAAAAAAAGTGAGATCTGTTCCTCCCAAACCACACTACTGTGGCCTACCTGGATTGGTGAAATACACTCCATACACATCCATGTAGAGAAAAATGATTACAAAGAAATATTTACTTAGTTTTTAAAGGAAGATACTTTCATTAGTGGTATTATCTCTCATGTGTGACACTAACAGAATCCATTTCTATGACAGGGCTTAGAACCCAGCAACTTCGCTCCTAGGTAAATCCACAATACTCCTAGGTAAATACACAAGAGAAATGGAAACATATGCCCACACAAAAACTTGCACACGAACGTTCATAGCCACAAAATAGAAATAACTCAAATACAGATATATAAAAGGACAAATATTGTAAAATTCCATTTATATGCAATGTTCAAAATAGGCAAATCTGTAAAGACCGAAAGTAGATTAGAGGTTGCCAGGAGATAAGGGGAAAGGAAAATGAAAAGTGACTACAAGTAGGTACAGGATGTCTTTGGAGGTATTAGAAATGTTCTGAAATTACATGGATTAGATAGTTGTGATAGTTGCACAACTTTGTGAATATACCAAAAACACAGAATTGTACACTTTTTAACAATGAATTTTATGGCATGTTAATTATATGTCAATTTAAAAGGGAGGTGGGCTTTAAAAATATATATCCCTGATATATTCTTGAGAAGAAAATATTTGAAAATATATTCCAGTCAATTAAGATACAAATCAAAGAAATTTCATAATATTAAATATTTCATAATATTAAAATATTATATAATTATAAAAATTATATTATTTGATATATTATTTTTATATAATTAAAAATATAATATTAACATAATATTAAAAGGATAGTTATTAAAGAGTAAAAAACAGGACAAGATCACGCCTATGCTTTGAGATAAAGCTGTAATGAGCAGCCTGCATATGCACAAGATTTCCTTCTCTGCTCTCCCCCACTGACACCTTCTCCACACACTTTAGGTGTAATCTGCCTCTCAGCCCCACGACAAGCATCAGAATCTGTGAGAATGTCTGTTGATAGATCAGATAACACTAATGAATATTGATAATTTTTTCATTAACATAAATGTCAATGGCATCTGTGTGATAAACAGTATGCGGTAGAGAACAGGAAAATGGATGAGTAGGAAGGTGCCCACAAGCACAGCGGCACTAGCAGGATAATAAACCACAGTTCCACAAAGAAATGATGCTTCAATGCCTATTTGTCCTAGTAAGATGGAAAGACAGGGAGGCTCAGTGGTGAGATAAAAACATACATTTAAAAAATCAGGCCTGGCATAGTGGCTCACGCCTGTAATCCCAGCACTTTGGGAGGCCGAGGCAGGCAGTTCACCTGAGGTCAGGAGTTCGAGACCAGCCTGGCCAACATGGCAAAACCCTGTCTCTACTAAAAATACAAAAATTAGCTGGGCGTGGTGGCACATGCCTGTAATCCCAGCTGCTTGAGAGGCTGAGGCAGGAGAATCACTTGAACCCAGGAGGCAGAGGTTGCCGTGAGCCGAGATCACATCATTGCACTCCGGCCTGGACAACAAGAGTGAAACTCTGTCTCAGAAAAAAAAAAATGAAATAGAAATTCTAAAACTGTTTTCAGTTGTGAATTAAAAAAAAAAATCACTGAATAAGTCTAACAGCAGAACAAAAATGACAGAGGAAAAGGTCAATTAACTTGAAAATGAAGCCATAGAAAATTATCCAATCTGAAAAAAACGGAAAAAATAAAAATTATAACTGAGTCTCAACGACCAGTGGGATAATATTCAAATGTTTAATATACTATAGCTGCATATTAAATCATTTTAGAAGAGAGCGAATGAGACAGAACAATATTTGAAGAAATAATGGCCAAAAGAAGTCCCAATTTGATGAAAGATATAAATTTACAGGCTCAAGTTCAATGTATCCCAGGTAGGATAAAAACAAATAAAACCATGCCTAGCTACGTAGAGACAAACTGTTGAAAACTAAAGACAGAAAATCTTGAAAACTGCCAGAGGAAAAACAACACATTACATACAAGGGAACAATATTTGAGTGATCACTGACATCTCGCCAGAAACTAATGAAGCCAAAGAAAAATAAAAGTGGAATTGCATCTTTAATGTGAGAAAAGAAATAGTCAAGCCAGTGAAAATACCCTTCAAGAATGAGATTAAAGGAAATACACTACCAAAGAATATAAAAGCCAAGCGTTTATTGACAGAAAACATGTTATAAAAAAATCTATTTAAAAAGTTATTCGGGCTGAAGTAAAATGACACTAGAAGGAAACTCAGATTTTCAGGAAAGAATGAAGACCATCAGAAATGGTAAAAATCTAGGTAAATATAGGAAGACTATTATAATTCTTAATTTCTTTAAAATACATATGACTAAAGCAAAAAATACAACACCATTTAGTGAGATTTACAATGCATGTAAACGTAATGCGTATGACAACTCTAGCATAAATAATGGCATGGGGATGGTAAACAGTCCTACATGGCTACCAGGTTTCTACATTTCACAAAGTATGCAATCCTATTTCTAAGTAGATTGCAAAAAGTTAAGAAGATATATCCCTAGAACAACCACTTTAAGAAAACATCAATAGGTAGAGATCAAAAAGCTTAATAGATAAATTAAAATGGCATTCTAAAAAATACTCAAAATTTCATAAAAAGGTAAGAAAGGAGAAATAAAGGAATTAAAAAGCATAAACTATAAATAGTAAAATATCAGCCGGGCATGGCGGCTCATGCCTGTAATCCCAGCACTTTGGGAAGCCAGGGCTGCTGGATCGCTTGAGCCCAGAGGTTCAAGACCAGCCTGGGCAAAATGTCAAACCCTGTCTCTACAAAAAATACAAAAATTAGCCAGGCATGGTGGTGCATTCCAGTAGTCTCAGTCACTCAGGAGGCTGAGGTGGGAGGATTGTTTGAGCCCAGGAAGTCAAGGCTGCAATGAGACACGATTATGCCACCGCACTCAAGCCTGAGTGACAGAGCAAGACCCTGTCTCAAAAATAAATAAATACATATCAGTGATGACACAATTATAATTATTTTTCAAGTTGTTGGATTAAGTACTTCAATTAAAAGGCAGAGAGACAAAAAAAGCAAGACCCAACTCTATACTGTCTCAAGAAGCATGTTATAAAAATAAAGATCCAGATAGGTTAAATGTAAATGGAGAGTGTGATACTTCAGTTTATGTATCAGCTTGTCTGGGTTAAGGGATACTTAGATAGCTGGCTAAACATTATTTCTGGATGTGTCTGTGAGAATGTTTCCGGAGAGATTAGCATTTGAATCAGTACATTAAGCAATGAAGATCTGCACTCCCCACAGTAGGTGGGCATCAGCCAATCTGTGAGGGCCTGAATACCTTCCCCCATCTCCACTCCCCACCAGCACTACCCATCCCCAGGCTCATGTCTTCAGACTCAGACTGAACCACAACACCTGCTTTCCTGGATCACCAGCTTGCAGATATCAGACAGTGGGACTTCTCAGCCTCCATAATCACATGAGCTAATTTCCATACTAAATCCTCTTTTATCTGTCTACCTACCTACCTACCTATCCAACTATCTCCTATTGGTTCTATTTTGCTGAGGAACTCTAGTACAGATAGAAAAATGATGTATTATGAAAACAGTTATATGAAGGCTGGAGTAACTATATTAACATCAGATAAAATATGCTTCAAGACAAAAAGTAGTAACAGAGATAAAAAGGGACATTTCATTATGAAAAAAGTTTAATTCATTAGCAAGATATCACAATCATAAATATGTATGTGGTTAGCACAAAGTTAAAAATGCATGAAGCAAAAACTAATAGAAGTAAAAGAAGGAATAGACAATTTCACAACAAACATTAAAGATTATGACACTCTTCTCCTGCCAATTAATAGAATAACTAGACAAAACATAATTATCCAGATTATCTGAAGATTATCAACCATCTGTCTTTAATTGATATTTATAGCACAATTGCAGAATACAAATTCTTTTCGAGCACATACAGTTTATTAAAACAAACAAAAAAAAATTACAGGTCCATAAAATAAGTCTAAATCAATTTAAAAGGTTTGAAGTCACAGAGAGAATATTTTCTGACCACAGCAGAATATAATTAGAAATCAAACAGATAATCAGGAAATCCTTATATATGTGAAAATTAAATAGCACCCTTCTAAATAATCCAAATATCAAAGAACAAATCACAAAGAAAATTGAAATTCAAAATTAAAATATGTCATAACAAAACTTGGGAGATGCAGCTAAAGGAGTATTTAGAAAGCAATTTATAGCTTTAAATGACTATATTAAAAAGAGTTCTAAAATTAATGACTGTTTCCACTTCATTAATTATAAAAAGAAGAGAAAAGTAAATCCAGTGTAAGTAGGAAAAAAGAAATAATGAAAATAAGTGCAGATTAATGAAATAATTATAAAGATAGAAAAAATAAAAAAATTAACAAAGTCATAATATGTTTTTATGAAAAGACCCACAAAATTGATACACCAGATTGATCAAGAGAAAGGACACAAACTATCAACATCAATAATGAAAAAGAGGTTATCAATACAGATCCTACAGACATTAAAAGATAATAAATGATATTACCAAAAACAACTTTATACCACCAAATATGAAAACTTTGATGAAATACGACCTTTCCTTGAAAAATACGTCCTTCAAAAATTGAGGCAATGAAACAGAAAATATGAGCCACCCTACAGCTATTTTAGAAAATGAATTTGTTATCAAAACCCTTTCTATAAGAACTCCAGGTTCAGATGGTTTCACTGGTAAATTCTAAACCAATCTTATATAAACTTTATTTCTGAAAATAGAGAAGAGGAGATACTTTCCAACTCATTAGATAAGGTCATTCCAAAGTCTGGCAAAGATTACAAAAGAAAAAAAGAAATTGCAGACCAATACCTTTTATGAAAATGGATGCAAATATACTTAACAAAATTAGCAAATTAGACCTGGCAATTATTACTAAATAGGGCTAACCCCAGTATTGCAAGGCTGGTTTAATATTTGAGAATCAATGTAATCCATCCCATTAATAGAATAAAAATTGAAACTACATGATCATTTTAATAGACAGAAAGGCATTTAACAAAAAAAAAAATCATTTTTTAATTTTAGAAAACACCCAGAAAACCAGGAATAGAAGAAAACTTTCTCAGTCTAATAAAGGGCATCTAAGAAAAGCCTACAGCTGATACTATATTTAATGGTAAAATAATAACCACTTTCTTCCTTACAAGACCAAGGGAAGAATACCCAGTCTTTTTACTTCTATTCAACATATGGAGGTTCTAGCCATTTTAAAGGGCCAAGAAAAAGAAATAGGTAAAAAGATTGACAGAAAGAAGTAAAATTGTTTTTATCTGCACAAAATATAATTATCAGTACAAAAAATTCTAACAATTACTGAACTAATAAGTTATATTAAAGTTGCAGGATTAAAGGTTGAGATAGATACCAACCATCTTTCTTTAATTGATATTTGTATGTATAATGTCTTTTATATACTAACATAAAACAATTGAAAACTAAAAATTTTTAAATCCAATTACAATACCACTGAAAAGTATGAAATATCAATGAACAGATTTAACAGAAAATGGAAACAAGATCTCTAGATTTAAAACTACAGAACATTGTTGAGAAAAATTAATGACCTAAAGAAACGAAGAGATATTCCATGTTCACAGATTGTAAAACTCAATATTGTTGTGACATCAGTTCCTCCCCAAAATTATCTATAGATTCAAAAGAATCATATTTGTAATCCCAACAGTGTTTTTAAGTAGATTTTGATAAACTGATTGTAAAGTTTTTACAGAAAGGATAGAGGACCAAGACAGCCTCAAGTGATCTTGAAAAAGAATATCCAATTTGGAGGATGTACAGCTATCTGACTTCAGGAATTACTGCCAAGTTCCAATCTCAGGATAGTGTCAATCTTAAGGATCAACAAACAAATCAAAGGAAAAGAATGGAGAGCCTGGCAATAGACACATATATTTAAAGACTATCTGATTTTTGAAAAACTCACAAAAGTAATCCATTGGAGAAAAGATATAGCCTTTTTGACAAATGGAACTGGAGTAGCTAGATGTCTTTATGAGGAAAACAAATGGCATTCAGTACCTCACACCATACATGAAAATTGATTCAAGATGGACCATAGACCTAAATGTAAAGGTTAAGGCCATAAGAAAATACATAATAGCTTTCATATTTGGGAGTACGTATGCAAAGTTTTCTGAAGTTATAGAAACAAATAATCATGGAAGAAAAATATTAATGAATTAGACTTCATCAAAATTAAAACCTTACCCTCATGAAAAGATACCACTAAGAACATGAATGACATTCACAGACGTAAAGAACATATTCAAAAAACCTTTATCTGACAAATTGCTTGCATCTGACCTATATGAAGAATTGTTACTACCAAAGACTAAGACAAATATTTCAATTATGGAAATGGGCAAATTTAAAACAGATACTTCAGAAAAGTTGTAGAAGTGACCAGTAAGTTCATGAAAAAGTGCCTAAAATCATCAGTGGTCGGCAAAATCCAAAGTAAAACCACATAAGATAGCACTACATGGTCACAAGGATTGCTAAAATTAAAAAGATCAATAACACCAAATACTGGTGAAGACAAGGAGCAACTGGACTTCTTATATATTGATGATGGGAGTGTTAACTAGAATTACCACCTTGCAAAATGGACTGACAGTTACTGATAAAACTAAACATACACCTATTCTATGATCCAACAATTTCACCCTTAGGTATATATCCAAAAGAAATGAAAACAAGCATGCTAAAAGCAGTTTTATTCATAATAACCCAAATCTGGAAATACCCCACATCTCAATGAATAAACAAATGGTGGCAAATTCATGCAATAGAATGCTATGCAGTTTTTTTTATAAAAGACAGCTGACGCATACACCAATTTGCATGAATCTCAAAAACAATGCTGAGTGAAAAAAAGCCTATGCAAAAGAATACAATGTGTTTGATTCCATTCATATGAATTTCTAGAACAGCAAGCCTAATCTATGGTAGAAAAGAATCACCACAGTGATTACCTCTGAGTGTTAAAGACGGGGATTAACTGGGAAGAAGTAGGAGAAACTTCCTCTGGTAAAAACAGTGTTTACTTTAGACAAATCGAGGTGTACATTTTCCCAAATTCAACTAGTGTGCACTTAAGATTTGTAAATGTATCTGTAAATTATACATTAAAATTATATAAATATTATTACATAACATGGTGTATATTATAATATAGTTTGGATATTTATTCCCACAAACCTCATGTTGAAATTTGGTCCCCACTGTTAGAGGTGGGGCCTAATGGGAGGTATTGGGTCATGGGGGCAGATTTCTGAGTATATGAATCCCCTTCCTTGAGGTGGGAGGGTGAGAAAGTTATCACTCTATTTGTTCCTGAGAGAGCTCGTTGGTAAAAGGAGCCTGGCAGTTCCCCTCCCTCTCACTTCCTCTCCCTTCATGTGATCTCTGCACAGCTCCATTCACCTTCTGCCATGAGTAGAAGCAGCCTGAGGCCCTCCCCAGATGCAGATGCCCAAACTTGAACTTTTCCAGGTATCAGAATCATCAGCCAAAACCTTTTCTCTCTATAAATTATCAAGCCTCAGGTATTCCTTTATAGTAACACTAAAAAGGCTAAGACAAGCAATACTTTATATTATTTAGTATGTGTTATTAATAATGTAATGTGAAATACAACATTATTTCAAGATAGTTGGAGAGGGAGAAAGATTTGCAAAGCAGGCAACGCAGTTATTTGTTCCATGAGGTTCTTAAGTTTAGGTGAACATCTAAAGCCCAGATCTGTGAGATACATGAGAACATGTGTTATATTTGATATGTAGTCATATAAATTATAATACTTGTCTAAAACAAAAATTATATGCAAATATTGAACTCTAATTAATGGGTGTTAATAATTAATCAAATGTCTGCACTTTACTCTGATGGATAGAAGGAATAACAGATGGATACATGCGATAAAACAAGTATACTAAAGTGTTAATGGTAGAATTTCAGGTGTGAGTATATGGATATTTACTGTGAAGTTTTGTCAACTTTGTCACATCCTTGAACCTCTTCAAAATAAAAATATATATCTTTATGAAGCACATATTTTTGCACAGATTTATGCATCTATATGTGTGTAGTTGTACACAGGTACACATACATGTATGTGTGCTAAACAAAATCTAAGGACCTCAATGACAAAGTACAATATAACTTTTGTGGTCACGTTCCATATTATTAAAGCCTCAAATCCTTGTATTAAATACAGAAATGTTTTCTAAAACAACTTTGGCCCTGCCCAAAACATCTTCCTTTAGCCATCTGCACAGAGAGGATGTTGATTCTGACGTGTACCTGCTCCAGGCACCTCATTCTGCAAAGAGAAGTCTCACCTCTTCATCAGTTGAAATTCAAAGTATGCAAATATTTTACTAACAATAAATTGGCTTTTTTTCCCCTGCTGCTGCTAGGGAAAAAAAAATGACCCATTCATTGAAAGATACATTTATACTTGGATCCAGCCAGACTGTCATGGATCTAAAGACATTTGTATCAAAATAGTAGATACAATATTGTTGGATTCTTCCTAGAACTGACATGATGCTCTACAGGGCACTAAAGGACATTATAAGAAATGTGTATGAAATTCAATATTGTAAATATTAAAAGATGTTGCTAATACCATAGTCCAATATCATTCCATGTCCTCATTATATAAGAATGAGAAGTATCCATTTCATTGTTTTCAGTATCAGGAAAAGCTTTACTTACCCTGAGTGACCAGCGTATTTATACATGGATGGCATGACTTTTACCGTCACGCCATCTCAGTTTCTTGCAAGGGAGCTCAGAGCCAAATTTCTAGTGCACCACTAGAAGCGACCCTTAGATAAACATCCTAGAATCATAAAACTCCCCTGCCCTCATTTCCTCTTCCCCATATTCTCCAGCTGAATATTTTACTCTCTGTGATGGTTTGTACATTTTTAAAATTATTTTTAACTCAAATTAGCACCTATGACAGTTTTTGTCATTAATATAATTAGCGATCATGATCTATTTTATCACCAGCATCCCTCTGTTCAATTACTTACATATCTTTGGCATTATGTTTATGCATACAAACTAACTTTATGCACCCCTTTTAAGTAACTAAAATAAATCATTTAGAGGGCTTATTGTAAGGAAGGAAGGAGGAAGAAAGAAAATCAGCAAGGGAAAGCAAGGGACATTATAAAATTCCTGCTCAATCAGAAAAAAAAATGTAAAATATTAATAAAATGTCACTCTTTGCTGACTCAAATCCAACCAAATACAAATTCATGTCAGCACCTGCATTCAGCAACCTATTGATCCAATGTCTCCATAGCAAATGCAGAAAGTTGATTTAAGGCTTACTAATAATGAGTGTTAGTCATCAGATATCATATGATTCTTACCAACTAGGTTTGTGGATTGTCATTTTAAGGAAAAAAAAGTAGTCTCCTCACACCTTTTCTTCTGTACAATGAATAGAAGGAAAATATTTTTGCCACAAACTCTACATGGATTATGGGATAGATATCACGCCATCAGAATCAAGAAATTATAAGTAGAAATCACAGCATAAGAGATTTTTTATGATGCCACAAAATAATCATTTTCTAAACATAAACATTAATTTTACTTGTGAAGCAATAACACTTTGAGTGCCTGTTATTCATACAATATTACATTATTTCAGGATTGTTGGAGGTTTGCAAAGTAGACGACACAATATTTGTTCCATGAGGTTCTTAAGTTTAGGTGAACATCTGAAGCCCAGATCTGTGAGATGCCTGAGAGTATGAGTAGAAGAAGGACAATTGCAAGGGCCACCGTGAGCTCCGTGTTTCACACTCAAGTTCTACAGGGAAGTGGCGAAAGGGCCGCATGACTATGAGGGTGCAATGGGCCCCTAGGAGACTTGCCTCAGGCCATGTCCTAGGGTTTTTTAAAGCCTTGTGGCAGATGTGCTGGTGAGCAACATGCAGCAGTTCCATCAGGACAGAGTGACTCACCAGAATGTGGAAAAAATATGTTCCACAACTTAAGAGCGAATAAAGCTGTGGCTATGCTCCTCCACCCCGTATAACCAGTGTGGGTCAGGTATTTCAGTATGGAATACATGCTTTTATGTCACATCAAGCAATTTTCATCTAGCTTTAGTCATCAAGTGTAAGCAATACTGAGGCTTTTAACAAGGTAATATATACTAAATTTCCTCTCAAAGTAAGCACAGACGAATCAAAAAATAACAAGGAGAGGGCGAAGCATCCTAAACTAAACATAATTATTCTTACACTAGAAAGAAAGACCATTTTTTTACACAGGCAGTAAAACTCCAAGATGTTCTCATCCATTTGTGTCGGAAAGAAAATGACAGACAAAGAGAGAAGAATTGTTAGCCATGAAACCACAGCAGTACTTTTATCTGAATTTTGAATTAAAAAGCCAACATATAATTTCTTTAAAATTGTTTAAATTCTTACTTGCAAAGCAGTTGGAAAATGAGCTCCAAACCAGCTGAAGGGAAACGTCGTCTGACAATTTTGAAGAACTCACATCTAAAACCTTGACACATACAAAGCATTAAAAAAAGGAAAGAAAACTTTCCACAAACTTTGAAGCCACGTGACTTCAACTTTAGTCCCTGTAGCAACTTCTCCTTTTCCCCTGTTTGTTCATATTCAAAACTCTCATGCTAATGTATACAGATTTACCTATTATATGAAAGGGATTTGCATTCAGTTCTCTGTGTAAGACTGAATCAGAAATTAAGTAATAACTTTTTGTGAAAAATTGAACTTGTTTCTTTATGACTTTCTTAATTACTGTAAAGACTACAGCCTGTCATCTTATCGAGCAACTGAGATTTTTTAATTGCTCTTTGACATCTTTGCTATGTGTTTCACCTAATTCATCAGAAACTGTCATGATTCAATGGTATAAACAATAAACAAAAATCCAGGAGGGGAAATGCAAGAGAGAAACCCTGGCACGGGCATGGCTGCAGCCTCAGAGTAGGACCTTCTGCAGGGGCTGCCGGAGTCCATCAGAGAAAACATACCACGGGGGTCTTGTACAAAGCACTATTTGGTGTGGTGTTTGACATTTTGCATTACCTTTAGTTATGTAGCTATAACTAGAAAAGCAAATTCCACACATATATTACTGACTTTAAATATTTGGGATCCAAATGAACTAGGTGGGATAAATCTTTTTTTAGAAGTTACTATTATGGAAAAGCAAATACACACAAAAGCAAGCAAACAAACAGAAACCCATGTCTAAGTATTAGAATTGGGTTCAATACTTCTCAAACTAGGTTTACCTGTACCACACTTTGATTAATATAGGAATTTCCTTCTCTTTCATCTTGTAAAACACCAATGTTGTTGTATAATTAAGTGAATAACAAAGTGATAGAAAAAAATCTTTAGACAGTTCTTTTGTTAAGTAAAAGCTTCAGGCTTATTTCTGCCAATAAATTTGACAATGTAAATAAAGATTATTGGCACAATCCAAATTGATCAAAATGTGCAAGAAGTTTGGGGGAGGAAGTTGAAGATAAGTCTTCCCTTAGCTTTTGTTTTAAAGCACAAAACTTTTGTTTATAAACCCAGCCCCAATTTTTCGAATAAATAATGGAGCTAAATGGCATATATTTATCAACATCTCTAGTGACATTTACTGATCATTTATTTTTTAAATAACTAAGATTGCTTTTCTAGAATGGTTAAAAAAACTGTTAAAGTTGTTTTTCAAAAATCATTTTGAGAAACTGTGCTTTGAATACAGCAATAATAGGCAAACAGACTTGAAGTTACTAAAAAGCTAAACTAAAGCATTTGCTCTTGAGATCATCTCATTAGATTCCATGTTATTCAAGATAGCCATCAATGTTGAGCCAACTTCAACTATGTAATTCCTGAGAAAATGGCAATTGAAAAATATCCATCACCAATTTCAGTCATTTGATGCAACTTTCATCCAAAAGCAAGATTTTTTTGCTCAGAAGTACAGTCATAATTTCAACATTGTCCTTGTCTATGAAATTTGGAAAAATAACAATGCATGTTATTATTAAAGCTTAGGACAGGTGTTCAGAGTGAGTTTTATTATGAAACAGTTTGGTGCTAGCTCTGGATAGTATTAATACCTGTAACCAAATATATTTGAAAAGCAAATACCCAGCACCCTGTTGCTATAGAAATAAAGCAAATAATAATAAAAGGTGGGGTTCTCTTTCATTACATCTTAGGCTAGCTCTTGAAAACACCGTATTTCTGCCTCAAGCAACAATCAAAAAGAGTGGAAAAGTAACTGAACTTTTATAAAACTTTAAAATTCAACTTTCATAGCACTTCGTGGTAAGATTCAAATCAGTTCATATATTATTTAAAATTCTGATAAGTGGCTTAAAATTCTAAATTATGCTTAAAATGTCTTTTGAAATATCTATTACATTACAATTTTTCAGTGGATAACTTAAGTGCTACTTTAGAATCAAGGAACAATACCTTGAGGTGTGTTAAACTTTGGAAATTTACTTGGAACCCAAGTGCATTAATAAAACAAAATCCAAACTAGCAGTCAAATCAGGCAGAGCAAGACTCCAGCAGTTTCAAAAACATTTGCATGAGAACTTTGCATTCGTTAACATGAACAAAATTGTCCTTTCAGCCACATGGTTAGGAATGAGAATTCCATCATGAGCAAGAAAATAAGTATTAAACCAGAGAGTAAAAATGAACCTTCATCATATTTATTATATTTGGCTCAAGACCATTCTAGACAATGACTACTTTGATAGAGACATTTTGAAATGGTTCAGACCTTAAGGAAGTAAAAAATTAACATAATGACACCCAAATAAAGTTAAACAAGTTAAACATAAAACAACATATCTGATCTTCTAGTACAGCAGTCCCCAACCTATCTGGCACCAGGGACTGGTTGTGTGGAGGACAATTTTTTCACAGATGGGGTGGCAAGGGGGATAGTTTTGGGATGATTTAGGTGCTTTACATGTATTGTGCACTTTATTTCTATTATTATTACATTGTAATATATAATGAAATAATTCTATAACTCACCATAATGTAGAATCAGTGGGAGCTCTGAGCTTGTTTTTCTGCCACTACAGAGTCCCATCTGGGAGCGATGGGAGACAGTGACAGATCATCATGCGTTAGATTATCTTAAGGAGCAGGCAACCTAGATCCCTCACATGTGCAGTTCACAATAGGGTTTGTGCTTCCATGAGAATCTAATGCCGCCGCTGACCTGACAGGGGACAGAGCCCAGGCAGTAATGCTCACTTGCCTGCCACTCACCTCCTGCCATGCAGCCCAGTTCCTACAGGCCACGGCCCAGTATCAGTCCACAGCCCAGGGGTTGGGGACCCCTGTTCTAGTATACTGCACACATTTTTTTAACATTTGGTATAATTGCCACTAACTCACTTACCTAACAAACTATAACCTATGTTACGCTTTCCCCAATTGTGGAAATGCTGTAGAAGGTAAGTACTGCCACATTTTAGAGGAAGAGCAAGCTCCCACTGAAGGGAAGTCCTGCAGAAGGTGCTTGACACATGCTGGTGGAAGGAGTGATGGCGTGAATGGGTGAGTCCTACTTTGTGATTATGTCAGAAAGCAACAACAGCCTCTCATGCTTATGTCAGAGCACAACACAAGCTATTTGGTTTCCTTATGTGAGGCCTCCATGTTATCAAATCCAGAAACAACTTTGAAAATGTCACTCTTAGCATGATTTCAATAGCATAAATACCAAAATATCAGCAAAGTCTACCCAGTGATGGACAAGGTAAAGATCATGTGCATTTCCTCAACAAAAGCTGCTGGTTGGGTTACTTACTCTCACAGGATCTGACGTAAATGTCTATCCATGAGGTACATAGATATTTGAGATATCTTCCTTTTTTTTTTTTTGGTCTTTGATGTTTCTTAATTCCTTAATATACATGAAGAAGTGAAATACCATTGAGGAAGTAGTTCAGTGTTGACTTCAATTAGGATAGGATTGTTAAACTTCATTGCTTGTGTTTGTAGTGTTTAAAACTCGTAAGTGGTATAACAGTACACTGCAGTATTTTGGTAATTTTCACAGTAATATGCCACTCTCATCCCTGTTCCTGTATGACCTGTGGTGGTTAATAGCATCATTATGGATCCAGGAAGAACCACCCTTCTTTTTCCTTTTTACAGAACATTGTATTGGCCAGACAATCTCACAAATTTCATCCATGAAACACATTTATCTCAAATTTGCTTCCTCTCTCTCAACTACCTTGATTCAAGCCCTCAAAATCTTTTGCCAAGACTTTGTAATTGACCTGCTGACCTCTTCACATTTCAACCCTCCTGCCACTGGAGCTAACAATGATGCAGGCATGCCACTCATCTAAGGAATCAGATCCACACTTTTTAAACTTTTGGTAAATGTACCGCATAATCTGGAACCAGTTGACTTTTGTAGGCTCATCTTTTCACTACATCCTGGCTCTGGGCACTCACAGCACCCTGATCCCAAACACTTTATACCTGTCTCTGTGTGTGTCATTTGAGAGCCTTACACAAAATAAAACTTTGCTTGATACATATGCAAGACATTTGCTTCTGCTTTAAAATAATGGAGCAAATACAGTGAAAGTTACATACAGTACTAAGTATAACACAGTATAACATTTCTAAACAGTTTATAACAACTTAGACTGGAGAGACAGGGATAGGCTGGGTGATTTTCATAAATGTTTCTCTTATTTTGGTTCATAAAGCCTACTCTTTATCTGTCCTAAAGGGATATTTTCAGAGCAAAGGACAAGACAAAACGAGTTTAAACTGCACTCAAAAATGCATCTGGGGCTGGGCACGGTGGCTCATACCTGTAATCCCAGCAATTTGGGAGGCTGAGGAAGGCAGATTCCTTAAGTACAGGAGTTCAAGACCAGCCTGGGCAACATGGTGAAACCCTACTTCTACAAAGTACAAAAATTAGCTGGGCATGGTGGTGCACACCTATAGGCCCAGCTGCTCAGGAGGCTGATGGTGCAGATCACCTGAGCCCAGGACACGGAGGCTGCAATGAGCTGTACTCACACCACTACACTCCAGCATGGGTGAAAGAGTGAGACCCTCTCTCAAAAAAAAAAAGGCAGTTTGGCTGGGCATGGTGGCTCCCACCTGTAATCCCAGCCACTAGGGAGGCTGAGGCAGGAGGATTACTTGAGCCCAGGAGTTGGAGGCCAGCGTGGGCAGCATAAAAAGACCCCCATCTCTATTAGCCAGGCATAGTAGTGTGTGCCTATAGTCCCCGCTACTCAAGAGGCTGAGGCGAGAGGATCACTTGAGCCCCAGGAGTTTGAAACTGTGGTGAGCTATCATTGTACCACTGCACTCCAGCCTGAGGAACAGTGTGAGAACCTGTCTCTTAAAAAAAAAAAAAAAGAAAAAAGAAAAGAAAAGAAATGCAACTGATCAGGAGGAAGAACATTCAAGAATCAACATTCAATAGTGAGTTCGTCAATACTCAACCGTGAAATTAATAAAAATAAAAACTAATAAGTAATATATAATCAACCAGGACAGCATTCTATCAAACAATTATGTATCAAATTCAGAATAGAAAATTATCAACAAACTTTAGAGTGAAGATTTCTCGATCTCCTGACCTCGTGATCCACCCGCCTCAGCCTCCCCGGCGTGAGCCACTGCGCCCGGCCAAGAGTGAAGATTTCTAAGTGGATTTAAGAGATCTTATTGAAAAATATGTTCCTCAATTTTTTTTCTTTGTAATTGAATATTCGTCATCTTAGGAGGCTGACAAAATCTAAATAATTTTAGACGACTTACCAAATTGTCTTTTTGTCACCTTCATTTGATAAATAAGTTAGATGCCCATAATCATAATCAACTAACTGAATCTGAATCTGCTCAAAAGCAATTTTGTTAATAATAATTTTTTTGCCATTTTATTAACATATTTTCAGCACAGGCTAATATTATCATACTAGCTCGTATTTTCAGCATTAGCTAATTTCCAAAAGGAATTAAGTTCTAGTAACAACTTTGAAGTTTGTATTTCTCTGTTTTTTTTTTAATTTGGTTCAATTTTAAATCAAAATTAAGCATAAGTTAATTTCAGTTTGAAAATGAAAACTGTCTTGCATGGCTTTCTTCATTTGATTTATGGTCTCATTAAGTCTATGATGACGCATACCCTCCATGGAGGTGACTACGTCAAGCTCCCAGTCATTTTCCAAACTGACTTCAGGAATTTTCAAAAGTATCATTTCAGGGAGAGGAATTTTAAATTTGCAATGCAGAGTACAAAAAAAATACTTTTTTTATTGTGTTTAATTGTGATTACATTGGTTTATAAATTTAAGATAGACAAATCATGTTACCGTGGCTATTCTATAAATACATGATTTTTTAAAAGGTTTTTTAAATTACTTTGTGTTGTACCACACTTTAAAAACTTGACAAAAGAAATTATCAGACTATCCTAGCATTTTTCATCATAATTTACACTCTACCCAACTTGAACTCTATAGGACATTTTTCTTTACACTTTCATTTTAAAGTGGTTATTTTCCTTAAAGATAAAAACAGGGAAAAACATAAAAGAAAGCAGTGTTTCATATTTCTCCTGAAATAGCTGAACACTTAGTCATTTTCCTAAGAAGCCACTTCAATACAGAACAAAAGAAAACTTTGGATTAGACAGATGGCTTTATTTACTTAGGTAAAGTTCACATCTGAGGATCTTGTCCGACTTGTAAAACTGCATTGTCCACATGAGATTGCCAAGCAGTGTTGTGTGGTGCACAAATACTCATGCTGCATGAAGGGCCGCCACGGGGTGTGTCTTCACCCTGGGAAGGTGGCACTCCCGCCCCCTGCAGCTCCCTCCCTGCTCTGCCAGGCAAGTCCCCTGCGGTCGCCCCTGAACAGGAAGCACTGACCACTGCCTGCCGTTCCAGGCAAAGGAGGTCCTGTAATCAGCGCCTCCTTCACTCATGACAAGCCTGAAAAATCCTCATGACTAACCTGACAGATCGATCTCACGAGATCCTTTCGTTTACCTCCTCCTCTCCCAGCGGTTCTTTTCTAACAGCCTGGCATTATTTTGCAAGGGGGGCCGTTTCTGCTGCTGTAGTGAGAAGTTTTGTTTTTTTAGTTTTTTGTTTGTTTGTTTTGAGACAGAGTCTCACTCTGTCGCCCAGGCTGGAGTGCAGTGGCGCGATCTCA
Organism: Homo sapiens; assembly: GCF_000001405.40. NCBI lineage: Eukaryota > Metazoa > Chordata > Mammalia > Primates > Hominidae > Homo > Homo sapiens. Next base: position 52,467,671 of record NC_000008.11, read on the forward strand.
GCTCATTGCAACCTATGTCTTCCGGGTTCAAGGGATTCTCCTGCCTCAGTCTCCCGAGTAGCTGGAACTACAGGAGGAGTTTTTAATGACTTCAGACTGAGAGTACCTGGCTACAGCAGCTTCCCCAGTAAGTGAGAAAAGGATTTCTAAAGACCTGACTCTTGTACTGCATTCAAGAAATAGAACAAAAGATTAATTATGCACATTTGGTGCTGCCCATTTGCTCAGACCAACAACTTTCACTGGATGTTTGTCCACACAGAGGCATCTCCCATCATTTTGTCTCAGCATCCGCGAACTTGCTCTCCTGTTCATGCAGCAGAACAAACTGACAATTAAAAACCAAACTTTCTCCCTTTCTCAATATCTATTTCTCTAATTATATTGATTTAATTGTTACATGCGCTTTTAAATTGTGGTTAATTATTTAAGTAACAATCGTTTCCATTTCTAAATACGCCTATCGGTGGTAGGTGAGCCCTTGTAGGTACTTTATTTTTAAGGCAAATTTAAGTTCACAGTAAAACTCAGTGGTAAGTGAAGAGATTTCCCAAATACCTCCTGCCTCACACTGCACAGCCATCCCTGTTACCGATAAGCCCTGCGGAGTGGCAATATGATGCAATTGATGAACCTACACTGACACACCATTATCACCCAGAGTCCATGGTTTCTGTTCGGGTTCATCAGGGTGTTGTACACTCCATGGGTTTGGATAAACATATAATGACATGTATCCAACACTCTGCTGTCATGCAAAGTATTTCACTGCCCTAAAAATCCTCTGTGCTCTGCCTATTCATCCCTCCCTCCTCCTTAAACCCTGCCAACCACTGATCGTTTTTACTGTCTCCACAGCTTTGCCTTTTCCAGAAAGTCACATAGTCAGAATCGTAAAGTATATAGGCTTTTAGACTGGCTTCGTTCACTTAGCAGTCTTCATTCAAGTTTCCTCCACGTCTTTTCATGCCATGGTATCTTACTTCTTACTGCTGAGTAGTATTCCAATGTCTGCAGGTACCACAGTTTATTTATACATTCTCCTACTGAAGAACAACTTGGTTGCTTCAAAGTGTGGGCAATCAAGATTAAAGCTGCTGGCCAGGTGCAGTGTCTTACGCCTGTAATCCCAGCACTTCGGGAAGCCAAGGTGGGCAGATCATAAGGTCAAGAGTTCCAGACTAGCCTGGCCAACATGGTGAAACCCCGTCTTTACTAAAAATACAAAAATTAGCTGGGCATGGTGGCACGTGCCTGTAATCCCAACTACTTGGGAGGCTGAGGAAGGAGAATCGCTTGACCCCAGTGAGCTGAGATTGTGCCACTGAACTCCAACCTGGGCGACAGAGTGAGACTCCATCTCAAAATAGACTAAAATAAAATAAAACTGCTATGAACATCCATGTGCAGGTTTTTGTGTGGATATAAGTTTCCAAGGATCACAATTGTTGGATGATATGGCAAGAGTATATTTACTTTTATAAGAAACTGCCAAATTGTCTTCCAAAGTGACTGTACAAGTTTTATGCCCACCAGCAATGAATGAGAGGTCCTGTTGCTCTGCATCCTCACCAGCATTTGTTGTCAGTGTTCTGGATTTTGGCCACTCTAATAAGTGAGTAGTGGTAAGTCACGGTTGTTTAAATTTGCATTTCCCTGATGGCATGTGATGTGGAAACCCTATAGGTACAAGGCTTGCATTGTCTCAGCTCATCCTATGGAGTATTATTTTGATCTTTGTTGCAAAGAGAAGGGAGGACAGTTGGAAAAGGTATGTGCCCTGCTCCAGGTCACACAGCTGGTCTGAATAACCCAGAGTGATTCTGGGAGTCAGCTGGTTTACATCATCTGTTTGTTCATCAAACCTGCTGTGCACAGCAACATCCATGATACTAACTTGATTCCACACTTAATGCATCAGCAAACACTATCAGCTCTACCTTAGAAATATCTGTGGAATTCAACTCTTTTTCACCATCTCCACAGCCTGGGCCCAGCCATTGTGGCCTCTCGCCTGAATTAGAGCAGAAGCCTCCTAACCATCCCGCTAGTGCCTCACCTCTGTGGGTCTACCCTACACACACCTGCCACAGGAACCAACGAAGACCCAACCTGATATCCTCCACTCAGGACCCTCCAGGGGTTGCAAGTACCCCAGGATGCAGTCCCAAATCTTTGCTGTGCCCTGGAGAGCTCTGTCTGTCTGTCTTGCCCCAACCCCCTCTCCCCTCCTCCCCTCCTGGCAGCTCCTAGAGCAGGTCAGGAGGGTTCTGCCTCAGGGCCTTTGCAATCACCCCCTCTCTACCTGGAAGGCCCTTCCCCAGATGTCCCAGTGGCTCACTGCTGCTCCTCATCAGAAATCTGCTCCACTGTCGCCTCAGCCTAGTGGCCTTCCTCCAGCACCTGGAAGGAAAGAGCACCCTCCAGGATTGGGCTTTGTTTCTCTTCATAGCAACAGCTCTCCCCTGCACATTAGGTGTTCACATGTTTACTGTCTGCTTCTTTAATGGAATGTAAGCTCCGAGAGACCAGCAATTTCAACTTCTCTGTTTACTGCTGTATTTCCAGTGCTGAGATGTGCTTGGCACAAGATAGGCCCTCAGTACCAATTAACTGATTGAATGAATGAATCTTTATTTCTGACCTCAGAGAAACTCCAGCAATTTAGTACCTACTTGCTACAGTTTGGACACCGGTGGTTTGTCTCAACCAGAGCTCCTGTTAAAATTTGGTCCCTGGTGTGGCAGTGCTGGGAGGTGGGGCCTAGTGGGAGGTGTTTGGGCCATGGGGGTGAAACCTTCGTGAGTGGCTTAGTGCTGTTCTTACGGCAGTGAGTGAGACCGTGATTGGTTCTCACAAAAATAAATTATTTTGACCTAGCACATGGCCCCCATCAGGAGCTAAGCAGGTACTGGGACAATGCTTCTCATACTTCCCAGCCTACAAAACTTGAGCTAAATAAATTTCTTTTCTTTATAAATTACCCAGTCTCAGGGATGCTGTTACAGCAACACAAAACGGATGAAGACTCTATTCTAGGCTACACGATACACAATAGTAGAACCCACAATATGTCACCATTATGCCAACTTCATCCAGAGATCCATGTTTCTAAGATTCTGTGGGACCTGATTAAGTAGGCTGTGGTCAAATAACTTTGGGAAACACTGGCTTAAATGCCATTAAGGAGATATATTTACTGCAGGACTTCTCAGTGCTTTTAATGTGCTAATACATGTTGATCTTATACAAGAAAAAAACAATACCTGCAGCAAATCCCAAATTGAATTGACCATGGGACTCTTTTGCCATAGGCAATTAATATTCCAATGCACTCTGCAGAATGCTAAGCTAGTTCTTCCAGCGCCTTAATGATTAAAGAGTGATCATTCGGCTACTTTTTTAAATTTTATTTTATTTTTATTATTTTTTTAATTTTTATTATTTTTATTTCAATAGTTTTTGGGGAACAGGTGGTGTTTTGTTGCATGGTAAAGTTCTTTAGTGTTGCTTGCTGAGATTTTGGTACACCCGTTACCTGAGCAGTGTACACTGTCCCCAATATATACTCTTTTATTCCTCACTTCCCTTTTACCCTTCCCCCTGAATTCCCAAAGTCCATTGTATCATTATTATGCCTTTGCATCCTCATAGCTTAGCTTCCACTTATAAGTGAGAACCTACGATGTTTAGTTTTCCCTTCCTGAGCTATGTTTTTAAGATTTTTTAAAAATGGAAACAGGGTCTCACTCTGTCACCCAGGCTGGAGTGCAGTTGCACAATCATAGCTCACTGCAGCCTCAACCTCCTGGCCTTAAGCGATCCTCCCAATGCAGCCTTCTGAGTAGCTAGGACTACAGGCACACGCCACCATGCCCAACTACTGTTTTTAATTTTTTGTAGAGATGGGAAGGGTCTCACTATGTTGTCCAGGCTAGTCTCAAACTCCTGGCTTCAAGTCATTCTCCTGCCTCTGCCTCCCAATGTGCTGGGATTACAGGTTTTTGGTTTTTTGATAAGAATTTATAGGCCAGGCACAGTGGCTCACACCTGTAATCCCAGCACTTTAGAAGGCTGGGGCAGGCAGATCACTTGAGATCAGGAGTTCAAGACCAGCCTGGCCAACATGGCAAAACCCCATCTCTACTAAAAATACAAAAATTAGCCAGGCGTGGTGGTGCACACCTGTAATCCCAGCTACTCTGGAGGCTGAGACAGGAGAATTGCTTGAACCCAGGAGGTGGAGGTTGCAGTGAGCCGAGATTGCACCACTGCACTCCAGCCTGGGCAACCGAGTGAGACTCCATCTCAAAAACAAAACAAAACAAAAAGAATGTATCAGTCACTGAAGATCAGGTTCAACTCTATTAGTAATAATCATCCTACAGAAAGAGCAACCAAAGGCTCCTAAGAAGTGATAGCCAGCTGGGTATAGTGGCTCATGCCTCTAATCCCAACATTTTGCAAGGCAAAGGCAGGAGAGTTGCTCGAGCCCAAAACTTTGAGACCAGCCTGGGTAACAGTGACACCCTCCCTCTACAAAAGAAAAAAAAAAAAGAAATAACTGTCAATCTGGTGTGGTTTGCTCTGTGCCACAGGCTGCCCCTCAGCACGGTGTGCATCAGACAACGTTCCCCTGCAGAGCTCCCCTTCCTCAGCCTGCTCTCCATGCGGGGGCCTCAATGCCCACACTTGGGGCCCCCAGTTGCCCTGGCGTGCTTCCCAGAATGCCCCTTCCCTTTAGCACCCCCTGGGACCTAGGATCATCAGAATCTTCTTCCCTCATCTCCAGAATCTGCGCTCTGGAACCTGCTGCACCCATCTGATTAGCATTCATCACTAATAGTCCAGCAAAATCCTTCCCTTCATAGATGATTTCAGTACTTCTCCCAGTGTGTTTTGGTGCCTTAACAGACTGGACTGCCCAGAGTGACTTTTAACTCACAAGCATAGAGTCTGGGGGAATATTTGCTTGGAGGCAAAGGGGCATTTCACATCCATCCTAAATGTTCTGATATTTGAGTCCCTACTCTTCTGCCAGTGGCTGCACTAAGCCTTTATTCCTACATGATCTCTAATGCCCACAGGAACCCTCTGTAGATATTATAATATCTACTTTTTAAAGATGGATGCTGAGGAGCAGAGAGAACTTGCTCAAGGTCACATGGTCAGTATGGAATTCTCAGTGTGTCACCCCTTCCCCAAAACCCTCTCTTTCTCTCCAAGACACCCAGGTCCTCCCACAGCGGGTCCCACTAGCAGAGACCTTGCTACCTGCCAGGCCCTGCACAAGGCACCCTGGTCAATCTGTTGGGCAACATAAACCTTCAAAGAGTAAACATTGGTCATTAGTGAGTGAACCAGCACCCTCTAGACATAATTATTCCCATTCCACATATGTGGAAACTGAGGGTACAAACAGTTGAAAGAATGATCACAAGGCACGTGACAACATCCTCATAGCCTTGCAGAGTGTGGCCTCTAGGAAGCATGCAATGCATATTTGTTGAATTAAAAATTATGGAGGGATAGATGGGTGGGTGGGTGGATGGATGGATGGATGGATGGATGAATGGATGTGTGGGTCCGGGGGGTGGATAAATATATCTAAGACTAGTTCTGCATTCCAGTCTCGAAAAATGTGAAGATATACTGGTTTGATGATACACTGAAATTAAAAACAAATGGGAACATTTAATGAGAGCAATAGAAGCTATTCATAAATAACCTTTAATGGTCTTAATTACAATTATGAGCCTATAATTGTCCTCATATCTTCTTCTTGTGTACTTCTTACCTGTTTTCCTCTGTCCCTCGGTGTATAAGATGAATTCCTCTCACCATTCCTGTTTCCTGCCCTGTTGTATGTATGGTATTTTCAGCTATCTGGGATTTTTGTTAAAGAGTATCAAATCATATCCTAGGAAATGTGGCAAAAATAGAAACTATTGATAGGAATATGTAGAGTAATATATGTACGCATATGGTCAAGCTGCTCAAAATAGAACACTATAGCTAGCATTCTTTGCCAGCAGGCACTGTGATTGGAGCCTGGTGTTCTGATACTTTGCACTGTATTAATGAGTGACAGTTTTGAAATGGGGGTGACCGTGGTGCGTGGCAGAAATGAGAGGGGTAGACATCAGGGTGTAATTTAGTTCTCTGCTCTCTTCTTGCTGATGATTTGCTGCTGTGCAGCACATCTCTGGAAATAAAATTCAATTTTAAAAAACCAAGTTAGACAGCAACAGACAGTTAAATTTGACGTCAAGAATGTCTGGAAGCAATTGGAGATTGCATCCACTTCATACACTGTGATGAGGCACACTTGCCGTGACCACCGGCAGCCACCAGATAGACAGCTCTGCTCTGTATAGACACAGACACCACCTAGAGCCCCAAACACACCAAGCTCCTGGTTGTGGATATGCTGTAGATATTTGCCCCATTCCACCCACAACTGGGACACTTGATGAAGTCACACTTGATTGAAATTGTGCTTCTCCCAGGCCCCGTCAGACACCACCTATGTGTTTAAATTTCACCGTCTATCTTAGCAAAGAAACAGAGGGGAGAGCTTCAATATACATTGCAACACAATCTTGTGCACAGGGTCTGCAAGGAAGCCCCCAAACAACCCTTTCTACAGAGCCAGATTTGATATGCAAAACAGCCTAATAAAAGGTACAAGATGAAGTTGCTACATAAAGTTAACAACATGGAAAGTAAAGAAGCAATTTCTAAACTAAAATAAATGTCAACTACAGCATATCCAGAGAGGGCTTTTGCTGACAGGATCAGCAGGTCAAAGGAAAGTAACCTTCCCTAGAGTCAGTGTTCAAGGCAGAGCCCCCATCTTTAACAGCAGCCTGCCCTTGGATGCCTCTCTGTGTGGGCTATCTGGTCACCCCAAGCCTCCTGCCCTCAGACTAGTAGAGGCCAGGGCCTGCCTACGTGCTAGAGCAAATCCCCCAGTTAGAGCCTGTAGCTTGCTCCCGAGGATGTTCTATTCTTAGGAATAAGTGAATTGGAAGGTGCTTAGCACAAGGCCTGGCACATGGAGAGCCCTCAAAAAAATGGTAGCTGACATTAAGCTCCCTGTAGCCAATTTCCTGTCGTCAAGAAAATAATAGCAGTATGAGACACCAGTTTGACTTTTTTGTTAAAACCAGTTGTGGTTATAGGTAAAGAATATATCAAACCATTGGAGGAATTCAAGCCATTCACAAGCCATCACCCAAAATTTCCTACACATAAAACAAGTTGCTGAGAGGAAATAAAACTGCCCTCTGAACACACGTATCGTGTATCACTGTTGCAGTCCCAGAGCCTGCAGAATTGCCTGTAACATACTAGATGTGCAATAAATATGCGTTAAATGAATGTTCTCTTGATCACACTACACGTAAAACATCAAGAACTGTTACAACAAAGGATTAGCAAGCCTGGTAGCCTGAAATTGGTTCTGCCATTGACAAGACTATAGCATATGGCAAGCTACTCTGCATAGCTTATAAAAGGTAACCCTTCTCCATAGGATGTAACAAAATGATATGAAACAGGAACTCACATTTGTCTTGTATACTCACATCACAGGATTCAGAGATGGAAGATCTGTTTTGCTCTGTTATGTCCATGTTATTTCCAGCTGTTGGGGAATGTGGTTAGAGTGTCAAATCACATGTGTGTGTGTGCTTGTATTCTTCTTTTAGGTTTACAATGGCATTGCTTTTAGGTTTGCTGTCATTCCCCACACTTCACAAATTAGGAAATGGAGGCTCACAGAAATTAACGAATTGGCCAAACCTTATATTGCTTGTAAGTAGAAAAAGAGGTTCAAGCATGGGATGTCTGGCCCAGAGTTGGTTGTTTTTCCCAGGAAACTGTACCCCACCACCCAGTAACAATTCTAAGTAGTGACTTTTATATATTAATACAGGATCTTTCTTGGAGGTCACACTAATATCTGAGTAGTGATTGTTTTCTATATTAACACAGGATCTTTCTTGGAGGTTACGCTGAAGTAGATACAATGGAATGTCACCTGAGACTTGCCACAGTTGGGAATTCTCTGTGGGTCTGCTCTGCATCCATTCCTGTCTCCATTTTTCTTGGATTTGTTCTAACCATGCTCCGTGAGTCCGTGTGACTCCAGGAAGCCAAATCTACCCCCATATCTGAGGTGGACCTCGGTGGGTCATTTATCCTGTTGGTCATTGGTTCAGCATTAGGTTATGCTGCAGTTAGGGCTAATTAGACCAGTAGAGGGCCTTCCAAGAAGGATCATATTAGTTCTTCTGTGAAAGCTTCAGGGGACCACTCTTCTTTGGACACCACAGGAAAGCCTGGAGCCTTAGCAAATGGCTGGATATGATCCTGAGAGCCGCAGGCAAAGTGACACGAAGGATGGCGGTGGAAAGAGTCAGGAAGACCCTCATCCTTATACCAGGCTGAGCTGCTGGGTGAATCAGTTCTGGAGGTGCTCCTGCCTCTGGAATCCTGATTTCATGAGCCAATGGATACCTTTCATGTTTAAGCCACTTTGAGTTGAATTCTCTGTTACTTCAACAAAAGCACCATAACTAAGATATTCTACAGAATTTTTAAATTCTATGATCTGACCCCTACAGTGAATATTCACTGAAAAATAAAAATTTGGGGACTATTGTACTGTGCTGAAAAAGAAATACCAAGTCAATACACAAAATAGTTCTACCTTGAGAGCATTAAAATTTTCTCAAGAACAGACTACTTTGTGCATACACAAATGTAAATCTGTTGTGTGAATTTAAAAATTGAAGTAGTTGAAACTCTACTAAGGTAGAATCTAAGATTCATCTTTTCCTAATTTTGCATTATCATATATACAAATAAAAAATTGGAAATGGAAGCATATGGGCAGTTGGGCATATCACTATGTGCTTCTCACATTCCAGTTGGATATGCTGATGGAGCCTCCTACTGGGTAGAGCAGCAGTCTTAATGCCCCTGTTTTGACCTCTCACTGCTCCGTTTACCTTGTGATTCCCTCACAAGAAGTGAGAAGTGGGGCCCATTGATGGGTTTGGTTGAGTTGAGCATCAAAATGAAGACTGTCTCTAGAAGTGTCTGTAACTGAAAGGGTCTCAGAAATTCAGAGCCTTGCTATGTGAGGCTCTCGGCAGTACTCCCCCAAATCCAAAATTCTACTCTGTTTCATGTTAAGCCTTTATTTTTTCTCAGAATAAAGATCCAAGGCCCAAAGAGGCTCAAAAACCAGTTTATCTCAAAACAGAATCCCTGATCCCCCTCCCTGAAAATAGCAGCCCTTCCAATCAGCTGGCATCAACAAAGTCAAGGTTGGCTTTGAATGTTGTTCTTTTCCCTCTCTTTCCTTCCTCTCACTGTTATGCAGCTCCTAATACAAAATAAGCAAGTGATGAGGGCCTGAGGTTTGCACACAGAACAAGGCACAAGCTGGTGAAAGGCTGCAGCTTTGAGAAAATTGCCTACTTTAGTTACTGTGCTTCTACTGGCACCAACCTCATTGGAACAGAATAAGTCACAAATCAGAAGAGATGCTGAGTGTCTTCCTCAGGAACAGCGAGTGGAATACATGACCCAAACCTAATGCTTCTGGTTCTGAAAAAAATACTAAATAAATGTTTTCTGTTTAAAACGTGCACTCTGGGTCCTTCACTGTGCAGAGTGACTTCATGGGCCTTTGGGACCACAAGGGATGAGTCCTCTGCTGCTTTCAGATCCAACCGCCTGAGTACAGGAGACAAGGGAATGGGCAAGCTGCCTGGAGGGTCACTTCCATGACATTCATCTCAGTCTTTTGGCTTGAATTCTGATGTCACAAGGGCAGAGGAAAATTCTCCTGAACAGAATTGGGCAGTGAGAGACTTGTACCAAGGCCTCTAAAAGGTTAGTTATCTGGTCAGTGACAATACACTCATCCTTGGTAAGAGAAAAAAACAAACTCTGCCATAGAAAAATCATCAACTTTTCTCGAGTGACAGCAGTAGAGAAGGGATCAGCCTTCTTATCTGAGAGCAAGATGCAACCTGGAAAGCAAGATGCAATTTTGCTGTTTTATGTTGTCTTTTTTTCCATGTTTAAGTAGTGTTCAAGTCTCATTCTTCTAAAGATAACTCAGCTAAACTAATGAGCCTGGTAAAATTGTTTTGTCACTTCACAGAAACATTTTTTTTCCTAAAGGGAGAAAAAAACCTTGACATCACTGTAACTCTTTAATTTATATTCTTTCATTTGATCTTGTTAAGCACTTATGTCAACCCCGTGAGAAGAAACTACAGCTTGGAAATAATATACCTTCTTAGGGTGGAAATTTTCTTGACTCAATACATTTTTTTAAATTTTGCCCTCCATTCCCTTTTCTGTCCCAAATTTGAAAAGAGATCCCTGTTGAAAGTACCCAATTTAGAGATGAAAAAACTGAGATGCTGGGAATTTAAGCAGGCTTTCCAAGATCACACAGATGATACAGAAAGCTGGTCCTAGAACTCCTGGACTCCAAAGCCCTGCTCTTTCTACTCCCTGCTTGGCAACCTCCCACCTATGGACCTGAGAAACTGCTACTGCACCCCAGACGCTAGGTGGTGCTTCCCAAAAGGCAAGGGTCTTGCATCTTTGGCTCTTTCTACATTATTTGGATATTTTACATTCAGAATACATTATTTCATAACTTGATTTTTAAAGGGATAAAAATGTATTTTTCCAGGTTTATTGAGGTACAATTGCCAGAAAAATTGTATAATTCAAGGTGTACAATGCAACATTTGATATACATATACATTGCGAAATGATTTTCACAATCAAGTTAACGAACATATTCATCACCACACAGTTACTATTTTGTGCATGTGAGGGTGAGGACACAAGATCTACCGTCTTAGCAAATTTCAAGTGTATGATATAGTATTCTTAACAAATGTCGCCATCCTGTGCGTTAGATCTCCAGAGCTTACTCATAACTGAAAGTTTGAAAATGGATAAATACACTAATAATCATTGAGCACTGTCGAATACTAAGTAGCTCTGAGGCGTCCTTGTTCATTTTGCTATGTGTGTTATTGTGTTTTATGTGTTCTATATGTATGACTTCATTTAATTCACGGGGTAGCTATACCATAAAACTACACACAGGAAATAGAAAGGAGAAAGAGCACAATTATTCCATTATTCAATTCCGTAATTGAGTAATTCACAGCAGATCCTTACTTCGTGTCTACCCAACCTCACTTCTCTCTCTTTGACTCCTTTCTGGATCCTATAATTGGCTGCCAGAACTACTCGCTCAAAAACACCCTTATTTCCTCTGTGCCCTTTCTTCTTTCCATACTTCCCCAATGACGATGAAAACGTTTAGAAAGTCATGCAGAATCTGTCCTTAAAATGTGTAGTCTCCCACTCGGCTGGACAATCATCACCCCTGGTCAGCCATTTTTCTTATCCTTGATTCATTTCCTTTCCTTATCTAAATATTCCAAATTTTGACTACTTTCCTCAAGATGCTGGTGCAGTTCTTAACTTCTTCAGTCTCAGAAGGGATGAACTCGTCTATAATTTCATCAACAAACTAGAGGCCACACAGCACCTTCCTCCACCCACAGTCTCCGTGGCCACGCCCACCCCGAGGACCGCCCCTCCGCGCTCAGCGTGAGATCCTCAGACCCCCGCCTCCGCCCAGACACTTCACCATCCCCTCTTCTCCAGAACTGCACACAGCCCTTTTTCTCCTGTATTCGCACTTCTCTTCTTCTCCTTGGCCCATCGGTATGTTTATTTACCTCCTATCTTTACTGAGACTTTTCTTCATGCTACGGCCTAACTCGTCCCCTCTCCTTCCTATCCAAACGCCCAAAGTACAGCGCCTCCTCTTTTCCTCTCCTTCACCCTTCAACTCATCTGTCTTCTCTCCATCTTCCCACAGCTCTGCTGAACATTCACGGGGATGTTCAACTAACTGATCAGAAAGTCAGAGAGCATCTTTCAGTCCAATCTTATTTCATGCCTCCCCAACACTGCATCAGTCCTTTCTTAAAGGGCTCGGCGTCCTTGGTTCCAGGACAGCTGGTCCTCCCCTCCGACTGGGCTTCATTCTTCTACTACTCCTTCGATGGCAGCTGTCCTAGTTTTCTGTCCCCAGCCCATGGATGCTGATCATTCTCGCTATGTGTTATCATTCGCCTTAGGATTCCAAATACATGCTGATCGCTAAATCCACATGATGGACCCAGATCCAAACATCAGACTTAAGCTAATTACTGAATATTTCCACCTAGATATTTCCTAATACCACAGATCCAACCATTCTAACACACGTCCAAAACTCAGTTTACCTTTCACATAAAGCAGCGTTGGTAGAGCCACCATCATCCCCCAACCACTCACCTAGAAACCTTGGAATAAACCCTGACTCATTTCTCTCACACTCTATGTCCAATCAGTTAATCGTGTTTTGCCAATTTTAATTCCTAAGTATAACAGATTATATTCTCACAGATGGCCACGACAATATCCCCCACCCCAAACGCTATTCTGGAATGTGGCCTTACCCACTCCGATCAAGAGGCGAGTCTGCTTCTCCACCCGCAAGCAGGGGGACTCGGTGACTCCTCCAACCAACAGACGCAGCAGGAGGAAGAGGCACTGCCCGAGGCAGCCCTTCCCTGGGGAGCAGCTCCCAGTTCCTATGTCTTGGAAGCCAATCTTGGAGACCACCATGCTGTGAGAAGCCCAAGCTATGTAGAGAGGGCCTAGAAGATGCGACACCACATATGAGGACAGAAAAAGGCAAAGGGCCAAGAGGTGCCAAACACGCCATGAAGAAGCCATCTTGGAAGAAGATCTGACGGTCCCAGCTACACTGACCGTGTCCCTGTCCTAACTTCATCCTTCCTAGGCCTTTCTAGAAAACCTTGAGTAAGTCTCAGACAACTGAGGTAAACAGCCTGGTGGTGAATGAAAGGGTTCATAGAATTCAAACTTAGATGGTTCCCTATGTTTTCTCTATTTCCTTTAGAGATCTGTGACTGTGTCCGCCCCATACCCTGATCTCCAGGCTGGTGCAGCGGAGTGCGGCCAGCTAGGCTGGTGTCTTTCTTCCCTTCCCATCTCATGGTGGACCTCCCACGACAGGGGATAGAGAAGGGCTTCTCAGCTCGGGAGCTCGGGGCTGAGGAGTCACCTCACTGCTGAACTGGAGCTTCCAAAAACTTCCTCCAGTCCCCCAGGAGAGGAAGGAGAAGCCCCGTCTGCACCCAGGCCCGGCTTAGCGAAGCCTGGTGCGTACTGCTAAGCGCTCAGCTCCCTCAACCCGCCGCACTTCACGAGCCCCACACAAGCCTGCGTGCCAGGGGTAGTGCGACCCTGAGCTGCAGCAGAGCAGGACGGGGCTTCCCGGAAGTCACCCTACATTTTCAGGGTACGGAAGAGTAATCAAAGGACTTGTCAACATGTACATTTTGGAGCCCCACCCCCAATGCCTTTTTTCTGGGGTGCACCCAGGAGCTGTGCTTTTAAACGGACCTCCCAGGGTTATTGATAAAGGTACTTGGTAAACCACACTTTGAGATACACAGTTCTAATGTTCTAATGAAATGTCAGTCATGTCCTCTGCTTTCAAGGGGTTTACAGTCAAACCAAATATATCTTAAATGATATAATCTAGTATATACCAAATACCAAGAGAGATAACATGAATGTCGATAAAGGAATTAAAGAAAATGACATGCATCTGGACAGTGTGGGATCTGTCTTGGGTTTAATGAAGGTCAGATTCTGGTGGCTTGGGGTCCTCAAAATGCAGTGACGAGCCAACAGTGTCTGCATTCCCTGGGCACTTGTTGGAAATGCAGATTCTAGGGCCCCACTCAGGATTACTGACTGAGAACCCCTGGGGTGGGCTCAGCCATTCGTCTTTTGACACCGTCTCCCAGCTCACATTGGGCACCACTGAGTGGTAGAGAAATGCCCCCAGGAAATGTCCAGAGACCAGACTACACCGGTTGCCTGAAGGGGACATTTGGTGATGTATGAAAAGTAAAGTGTGTCCTAAACAAACCAAACCAGCGGCTGTTTCTGCCATGCTGATGGGGGATATGTGTGTGTGATAGGTGCCTGGAAAGCGCGTGTCTTCCCCCCATCTGCCATGCTTATGGTCCCACCACCATGCTAAAAATACGAGTCTGCATGGAACAGTCCTCTCTTAATGGTTTCGGATTTAAAACATAGCCATTGGAATAAGTCATGGCTGGTATATAAAGACCACCGTAATACGGTGTTAGGTGGCGCAGTATTTGTTTAGTTTACATTTAGCATTCCATCTGTACCAGTGAAATCATAAATTTGTTCAGAGACTGTGGTGGGAGTCGGGGAGTGTGTTCTTTGTAAGTGGTAAAAAGCCAACAGGTTTCAAAGCAGTAATGGTTAATGAACTTATATGTGCATTCAATATGTTACGCTTACAGCATGATGTGTCATGAATAAACAGGAATTGTGGTTAGTAATAAAAATATGAAATATGTTCATTAAATTGCAGGATAGAGGTACATTAATCACAAAAAGCTTTATTTCAGAAAGCCATTTGCACTGTTTGAACTACTAATAAGTAATTTGAGTCAAGAATGTGGCTTACAACTTCTCTTATTATAAACCTATGGGGTAATATCATGTACTATAATTAATCAGCTTGTAAGAACAAAAACAAGGAAGTACTGTATCCCAGGGAAAAGTCTGTTTTATTTTAATGAGCTAGAGAAATATGCCTCTTTTAAAAACGTCCTTTTATCATTTGTAACATGGACTATTAGATAAAGTCTGTGGTTCTTCACCTTGTAATCTTGTAATAATGTTACATACTAAGTGTTTCACTGCTGAAGAATCATTTATAGCTACTAAATGAGGAAGGAAGTTAGTGCAGCACTGTTGTAGTAAATGTAGTCAAAGTAAGTCTTCTAGTCAAAGACTCACAATCATGTTTGGGATTTTATTGACATGTATGTTCAGTAATCTGGATATTAGAGAAAATATCCAGCACAGAGTTCTGGGAAGAAGCTAAACAGTGTCCAACCAATAAAGTTAAAAAGAACAGTATCTTGTGTCATTCTGATAACTATAATTAAATTATCTTCTTCCAATACATTCTTTCTTTGCTTGCAGAATGAACACATTGAAAGTTTTCCCATATAATATTTTCATAGATTATAAACTTCAGTTCATTATTCTCGTGTTAAAATTTTATAATTTGACACAGTTTTTTTAAGCCCGTCATTATCTTGTACCTATCTCTATAGGGAAGTGTTCAGAGTGTAGACTTTTGACTGAATAAGAATTAATAGTTACCATGTTTGTACTTTTTTTGTACAATCAGACATTTAGCGTTCATCTTGTTCTGTATCTGTAAAAAAGTAACTTTTAAAGCAATTTCACAAACATCCAGAGCACATCTAGAAATTGCTGGCATATTCAGTGGAGGGGGAAGGGCAGGATGGGGAGACCAACAGATACAAAGTTACAATCAGATAGGAAGACTACTTTTTGGTGCTCTATTGCAGTGGTCCCCACCCTTTTTGGTACCAGGGACCAGTTTCACGGAAGACAATTTTTCCACAGACCAAGGGTGGGGCAGGAGATGTTGGCAGATGGTTTTGGGATGATTCAAATGCATTACACTTATTGTGCACTTTATTTCTATTATTATTACGTTGTAATATATAATGAAATAATTGCACAACTCACCATAATGTAGAATCAGTGGGAGCCCTAAGCTTGTTTTCCTGCAACTAAACAGTTCCATCTGGGGGTGATGGGAGACAGTGACAGATCATCAGGCATTAGATTCTCATAAGAAGCAGGCAATGTAGACCCCTCACATGCGCAGTTAGGGTTCATGCTCCTATGAGAATCTAATGCTGCTGCTGATCTGACAGGAGGGGGAGCTCAGGTGATAATGCCAGCCATGGGGAGTGGCTGTAAATACAGACGAAGCTTCACTTGCTTGCCTGCTGCTCACCTCTTGCTGTGTGGCCTGGTTCCTAACAGGCCGTGAACTGGTACTGATTCGTGGCTTTGGAGTTGGGGACCCTTGTTCTATTGCACAGTAAGGTGTATCAAAACATCAAACTGTACCCCGTAAATATGTACAACTATAAAGTGTCAATTATAAATAATTTTTTAAAGTTTTAGTGAATAATTCATAATTAGAATTATGTTTCTTTTCCAAATAAAATAACACAACATAAAGTAGATAATAACCAGAGGTCCAATCTAGCTTGTTTTCTTTCCCAATACTTGCTCTATGTGCTTTGTAAGTTATTTCAATTTATTCTATGATGGCGAAAAACAGTTTCTGCACCACTAGTGAAAGATGATGATGTATTAACTATTATGATGCATTGACCTTATGCAATTACTATGCCTCATGCCTTTCTCTGCAAATGTAGTAAATAATTCTGAGCAAGTCCACTAGGAGGAGTTCTTGCTACAACTATAAAACAAAAGATAGCTTTTGCTATTTGCTGATTGAGACATTTGGTACTTTCCTTAATTTTTTCTGCATACTTTTATTGGCATACAAAAATGCATGCTCCACAGGCAGCAGATAAAATGTAAAAATATTCAAATAAGACTTTATTAAATATAGAAAGCAAGGAAGATAATCGAAGCCAACTTTTATAAACTTGTATTGACCTCTAAATGAAGACAAAAAAATGATATGTACATCTGCAGACAATTTGCTATGACTATATTCTTCAAAAGAATAATATAGTTTAACAGGAGGATAAAAGCTGAGATTTTCCTATAGCCTCAATTAAATATTTCTATTTTTAAAACATTCCATTTCTATTAAATTTGCTGATAGTTCTTAAATTGCAATGATAAAATGTGTTCCTGTCGAATGTTCCTAAGAATTCAAAAACTTACCTGCAAACCTATGTCATTTTCACTCAGACTGCCTTGATGCTCCGTGCTTTGAATGCATTGATTTTCTCCATCTCTTGAGTGAAAATGATTTTTTGTTATGAATTTTAACATTTATTAAAGTAATAAAGTATACAAATACGTGGTCTCCTACACAGAGTTTGAGTATAACTCGCCTATAAAATATTTATTTTGAACCATGTTGTGCATGTGTATGTGCACGTGTGTG
This sequence comes from Homo sapiens, assembly GCF_000001405.40. Classification (NCBI taxonomy): domain Eukaryota; kingdom Metazoa; phylum Chordata; class Mammalia; order Primates; family Hominidae; genus Homo; species Homo sapiens. The sequence continues at coordinate 52,484,829 of NC_000008.11, forward strand.
CACAAGCATGTGTGCACGCATGTGCATGTGTGTAATGCGTTCCTACACACGTATGTGCTAGCGCGGTCATACTGGCCCACTGATATTAATGAGAAAGTGATCTATATTTTTTCTTTTTATTTATTGGCTAATGAGCAATAGACGTGGCTTCCTTGGAAGCAAAAATAGCTTTAAGTCATCTATGGAAGGATGGATGCAAAGAAAGTAAACAACCGCATGACAGAAAGATCAGAGCTGCATTTTTAACCTTTCCTGGCACTGAGAGCCTGACTTCCGGGCCTTGTGAAGGAGCCAGACCTCCATGAGTGAGGAGCAGATGGAACAGGCAGTAGTAAGACATTATAAACATTTTCGAAAATGATTCTACAAAGCCAAGTGGCCTGTGGAGTAGCAATGGGGGAGGGGAGACTGGGGAGAGAACAGCAACCTGACTTTGAGATTGTTCAGCAGGTGGCAAACACTACCAAATGATGCTGGTATTAAAACCGTGGAGTGGGGTGAACCGGCTGGAGCGCTGCGAGGAGGAGCAGATGCTCCCGTTCCCGAGTCCCCCGTCCGCCCGTGTTTCTGGAGCCATTTTCTATATGACACCCATTTGTTTAGCTCAAATTCTAGGCCAAGAGCTACAGTGGCTCCAACCTCGTCAAAGGCAGGACATTCCATGGAAGTACACAAGATGCTATTCAGACTGGCACTAAAATCCTCATTACCTGCGGGATACAATTCAGTTCCTTAGCATGACACTCAGGGTCTCCACCATCCACCCTCTCACTGCCTCCCATCGTGGCCACCGCCACTTCATTTCCTAAAAGCCACACTCTATTCAGGGAATCATTCCGTCGTCATGTGGTGCTCCTTCCTACCTTCTTAAGCTCTCCTGACCTGAGATATCCTCCTGCCCGCCTGTCAATATCCTATAAGGCTCTGGGGAAAGGCCAGACACGGTGGGAGCTCCTCCAGTCCTCTTGCCAGCCCAAATTCCTCTCCAGGGTGCCCTGTGGCACGTATGATTTCTCTATGAGACCATGGAAGTCCACACGTTTACCTTCCCTATTCGTCTGCAAGAACTCGAAGGGAAGGCACTCACCTTGCTCACTGTGCATTTGTATCCTATGCAAGACCCTGCCACCACCTTCCACAACTCATCACTCGACACTTACTATGGGCATCCCCTCATTTAATCTGCTGGGGTTTCAATCCCCAATTCTCCACTCACCAGCTGTGCAACCTTGGGCATACTTAGACTCTTACTGCCTCAGTGCCTCCATCTGTGAAATAGGGTAACAATGCCCTGCCTCACTGGATAACTGTGAGGATCAAAGGCATTACTGCATATGTAGTGTGTGCCAGACTCCTGGCTGGTAAAAGGGGATCAGGACTCCTTACCTAATTTTTCCTAACTTTCTTCAGACATGGGTTCTTTGTTTTTTGAGATGGAGTCTCGCTCTGTCACCAGGCTGGAGTGCAGTGGCGCGATCTCAGTTCACTGCAACCTCCGCCTCCAGGGTTCAAGCGAATCTCCTGCCCGCCTGTCAATATCCTATATATAAGGCTCTGGGGAAAGGCCTCAGCCTCCTGAGTAGCTGGGACTATAGGCTTGCACCACCACGCCTGGCTAAATTTTGTATTTTTAGTAGAGATGGGGTTCCATCATTTTGGCCAGGATGGTCTTGATCTCTTGACCTTGTGATCCACCCGCCTCAGCCTCCCAAAGTGCTGGGATTGCAGGCATGAACCCCCATGCCCGGCCAGACATGGGTTCTTACTATATTGCCCAGGCTGGACTCCTGGGCTCAAGCAATCTTCCTGACACTGCCTCCCAGAAAGCTGGGACTGTAGGCACCACCACCATGCCCAGCCATTTTTATTATTATTGCTGTTGTTATTGTTTACATAGCAACACTATAAGATAGTTGTTATCTCAACCTTTGCAGGAAGCCACACAATTCGGGATCTGAAGTCAGGTCTGACTGCAGAGCCAGTGCTCCTGACCTCTCATGACCAGCATGACATTTAATATTGTTTCTTAAACAAAAGAAAATAAAAGAAAAAATTTCTGGTAAGGTTGTTGAATATGTAACAAAGACATTAAAATAACTGGCTTAAAGTGCTTTGGGTTAGAATATTAGATTCTGAAAGACTTCCAAAATCATTAAACCTAAACTTTATTCTTTACAAATGAAGATGTTCAGGCATATTCATGCATGTCAAAAGTTTGATACTAGGCATGAAACACTGGCATAGGCATTTGGATGGGGAAAAAACAAACACAAAAAAAGCAAGAGATGATATGCTTGCCCTTGAAGAGGTTTTGGACCAGTAGAAAAATCTTCAAGTAACCTAACTCTGAAAGTGGGCATGCTGTGCTGAACTACTTAGCAACAGCCCAGACTCCAGATGTCAGCTTCTTGCTCAGAAGGCTCTGCCTTTTATCTTTGTATTACCATGTTATGGTAAAATAATCAATTCAGCTTAACATGGAAATTTCTGTAGGAAATGCTTTGCTTTTAACAACTCTCATATCCCAGAAATTCATCTTTCCCACAGTGACCTTGATGGCCCCGAGCATGTCTTGAAGCAGTGACATTGCAGAGGGTTAAATACACAATCCACTGTCTTCCCCACCTTCCCTGTAGAACTTCAAATGTGTGCACCAGCCAGAAAAGTCCGCCATTGCCCTCTCCCACCCTCCTGTCCATGCATTTCCTCTTCCTCTGTGAATTCCTTGTGACAATTCATGTTCATTGTCAATACAGTGGGATCATGTGAGGATTTAATAAATCAAACAGATAATGAAGAAATAGCAATTTAAGTAAATCAATAATAAATGTTGATTTCCCTAGGAATAAAGGACAGAAGTCTTGTAATGAGATGCATATCCTTAGCCAGGCATGGTGGCACACACCTTTAGTCCCAGCTACTTGGGAGGCTGAGATGGGAGGATCACTTTGGCCTGGGAGGTTGAGGCTGCAGTGAGCTGTGATTGCACCACTGCACTCCAGCCTGGATGACATAGTGAGACCCTGTCTCAAAAAAAAAAAAAACAAACAAGATGTACATCAATGCCCCTGGCTGAACTGATAAGGATATATATCTGGATGGAGGCTTCATTCAGAGTTTTAGCAGCAGTCTCCCCCATGTAAAATATAAAGTGATGCTTTATGCTTGCTTGGTTGAGTGCATGCTAGAAGTGATTATAGATCAGGAAATGGATAGTGAGCTAAGCGAATTAACACAGGAACAGAAAACCAAATACTGCATGTTTCCACATATAAGTGAAAGCTAGGCATTGAGTACACATGGACATAAAGAAGAAAACAACAGACACTGGGGCCTACCTGAGGGTGAGGGGTGGGAGGAGGTAAAGATTGAAAAACTGCATATCTGGCATTATGATGATTACCTGGGTGACAAAAAAAAAATCTGTATACCAAACCCCCATGACATGAAATTTACTCATGTAACAAACCTGCACATGTACCCCTTGAACCTAAAATAAAAGATAGAAAAAAAAAAAAGAATAAAAAAAAGAAAATGGATATTTAAAATACTATTAAAAATATATTTAGAATGATGTGAGCAAAAATAACTGAGTAGTGGCATCTAGGAGCCATCTCATCCCAGAAACACTGAAAACCTTGGGAAAACTGTCAGAATCAATCTTATCAGAGCTCTGGAAATTGGTCAAAGATTTACAGCAACCAAGTGACCACTTAGGCAGAAGAAAGTTGGCTGAAGTGGGATAAGAGATCTTTGTGGCATTATCCTAGCATCCCCTTCCCAGGCATGGTGGAGGTCTTGCAGATGATAGCCTGCATTCCCAGTGTGAGTGTCTGATTCTGGAGAGAGCAGAACAGACGCTGTTTCCAAGGAATTGTGTTTGTCTGCTTTGTTCTGACTGGGGTTTCCCCAAAGGAATGCCTAAACCAGGATGCAGAGACTACTTGGTTCTAAAAAACCATGAAAGCCAAATGAATAAGCTGCTGCTACCTGGGGCAAAAAATAACAACTGGGACAAGCAATGAGCCATTGGGAGCAAAAAAATAGCAACTGGGGCAAACAATAGAATTGTCAAAAGCCTGGGAGGGAAAACCAGGGAGTGAGATTTTGGGGAGGCACAGGGGCTTTGAAAAGTTACTGCATATAAGAGGAAACCCAAAAAGCACATTCTTGGGACAGAGCTTATGTTGAGCAACATAAGCTGAAAAGACCCTGGTTGGTCTTAGGCTCAGTGCAAGCAAGCAGCACAGGCAAGGGCAGTGCTGTAAATGATTTGGCTAAGCATTAAAGGAGTGTCTCAGCACCACACCCATCTGCAGATACGTGGAGGGTATATTTTCTTTTCTTCCTTCTTTTTCTATTTTCTTTTGCACATCATAATACTTAAAATGCAAGTTTTAACAAACAATTATGAAGCACACATAGAAATAAGAATGTATGGCTCTTTCATGGAAAAAAAAAATTAACAGAAAGTGTACCTGAGGAAGCATAGACATTAGATTTACTAGACAAAGACAAATATCTTAAATATGTTCAAAAGGCTAAAGGAAACCATGAACAAAGCATTGAAGGAAATCAGGAGAGTGATGTCTCCACAAATTAAGAATATCAATAAAGAAACACAAATTATAAAAGGAACCAAATAGAAACTTTGGAGCTGAAAAGTACAATAACGGAAGTCAAAGCTTTACTGGAGGAGTTCCACAATATATTTAAGCAGACAGAACAAAGAATCAGTGAGCTTGAAAATAGGTCAAATTAAATTACCCAGTTTGAGAAGCATAAAAAAATAAGAATTTAAAAAAATTAACAGAACTTAAGAGTACCCATTGACATCTCAGAAAATGAGGAGGGAGGCCACGCATGGTGGCTCACACCTGTAATCCCGCACTTTGGGAGGCCAAGGCAGGAGGATCACTTGAGCTCAGGAGTTCAAGACCAGCCTTGGTGACATAGTGAGACCCTGTCTCTATTAAAAAAAAATTAATTGAAAAAAAGAAAGTGAGGACAGAAAGAGGCAGAAAAATATTTGAAGAAATAATAATTGAAAACATTCCAAATTTGATAAAAGACATGAATCTACACATCCAAGAAACCTGATGAACTCAAAGTAAGGTAAATTCAAAGAGTTCCACATCAAAACAGCTTGATATTATCAAATTGTCAAAAGAGCAAATCTTGAAATCAACAAGAGAGAAGCAAAACATACAAGTAACCTTCAATAAGATTTTCAGCTGATATTGCTTCAGGAACCATGCAAGTTAAAAGGCAGCAGGATAACATACCTAAGGTGCTGGTGAGAAAAGATAACCAATCTGTCAACTATCCTGGCAAAGCTATCCTTCAAGAATGAATGATAAAGTAAGATGTCCTCAGATAAACAAAAGCTGAGGGAATTTATTACTAACCTGCCCTACAAGAAGTGTCAAAGGGTGCCCTCCAGGCTGAAATGGAAGGACACTAACCATAGAAGAAATAAAGATCACTAGTGAAGGGAACCCTAAAGGTAAATATAAAAGCAAGCATTATTGTATTTTTGGTGTGTGACTCCTTTTTTTCCCCTCTGTGATTTAAAAGACAAAGGCATAAGACACTAACTAAAACTCTATGTTAATGAGTATGAAATGGATAAAGATGTAATCTGTGACAATAACTATAAAAAAGGAGGAACACAGATGTATAGGAATACATCTGTGTATACTATTGCAGCTAAGTTGGTATTAATTTAAGCTTGGTTGTTTAAAGTTTAAGATGTTAACTATAATCTCCAAGATAACCATTAAGAAAATAACTAAAAATATACAGGAATGGAAATAAGAAGGGGGTTCAGAATATACACATGCATAGAGACAGAAAGCAGATCAGTGGTGGTTCTAGGGTCTGATGTGGAGTTGGGGGAAATGGGAAGTGACTCTTCATTGGGTTTTCACTGGTGGCATTGATAAAGCTCTGGTACTAGATGGTGGCTATGGCTGCGCAACAATGTGTGTGCACTTAATGCCACTAAACTGTACACTTTAGAATTGCTACAATACTAAATTTTATATAATCTCTATGTTACCACAACTCTTGTTTATTTTTTATTTTTTCTTAAAGACAGGGTCTTGCTATGTTGCCAAGGCTGTTCTCAAACTCCTGGGCTTAAGCAATCCTCCTGCCTTGGCCTCTCAAAGTGCTAGTATTACAGGTGTGAGCCATAGTGCCCAGCCACCACAATTCTTTAAAAAGGTAAAAAACAAACAACAACAACAACAAGAAAAAACACTGAAACTGGAAACTTCCCTTGATCACTTTGCAGGCCTCATGACAGAGGTTCCTGGCTTACTCAGCCTGCAGCTCTCAACCCCTTGGGAAGGGGAGCACACAGGTAAGCGAGTGCAGACCCTGGAGCAAGTGCTTCTGGGCACCAGTAGGAGCCAAACTCTGTGCAGCCTCACAGCAGCATCTAGTGGGGAGTACCTGCAACCCTCAAAGCCCCAGAAGGCATGTGTTACAGTGCTCTTGCAGCTTTGCCATCCACAGACAGCTTAAGTGTTTAACAGCTCAGTGGGCCCTCTGCCTTTTTGCATGAGGCAGTTGCTCTCTGTCAGCAGGGGCAGAGGGTCAGTGTGACAGCCTTCTGTATCCCAAGCTCTTGTCCAGCACCCAGGAAAAATCAGGTGGCCCAAATGAATTGAAGGGTAGTAAATGTGGAGAGTTTATTGCTGATGAAAGTGCCTCTCAGTGGGAGGAGGAGCTGTAAAGGGGATGGAGTGGGAAGGTATTTTTCTTCTGAAGTATGGTCATCTCCAGCTGGACTCTTCTCTGAAGTCCCACCATCAAGCTGTCCCTCTGAAGTCAAGCTGCTTCTCTCTGATGTTCAGCTGCTTCTTCTCTTTTCCCCTTCTCTGCTCTCTGCCAGTAGAGCCTGGGTTTTTTCTGGGAACAGGATGGAGGCTGGGGTGGACCAGGGGTGGTTTTGGAAAAAGCAATATTTGGGCCAGAAAACAGGGATGTTCTCACTTTGGGCTGCAGTTCCAGGCTTGAGGGTGGGGCTTTGCCAGGGACCCCACCCTTTTCTGCCTAGAATTTCTCTGCCTCCCATCCCTATCACCACCACAGCCTTCACTCAAAGAGATCATTCCAACTGCTTCAGGCCTTAATGAGAACCCAAATCCAATACTGTGCCATAGAAGTTACAACAAGCATCTGGAAACACACCCACATCCTCCTTCTCCAAGTCATGCTCCATGTTCCCCAGATGCCTTCACAGCCTTTGAGGCCCTGGCATCAGCCATGCCAGATACTACACAAAATAAGGCAAGGAGAACTGAGTCCTGGTGCTCAGTGATAAACAAGGATGGTAAATTATGATAATGAGTGTTATTGATAACAATAAGGAAGATTCTCACCCCAGTTTCTTAAATGTTCTGTTTGGTGCTTAGCACCTTAGACTTTATTCTATTTAGCACCAATACCATTCTGTTATTAATTCATTAGGAATCTGTTTTTTTTTACTAGGCAGTGAACTTCTGTTGATCCCTGTATCTGGTAATATCTGGAACATAATGAGTGTTTAATCAATATCGACTGACTAAATATGTGCACATCTTTACAATGTTCCAGGAAACAGGGAGTCTGATTCCTTAAGAAGCCAAAGGGTAAAAATATGGAAACTCTTCACCTGGAGAGATAAGCCACGGGATTGAGAGATCCAGGGATTTTAATGATACTGTCTGCTTTTCCTTCAGGTACAAAGTCATATGTTGGTAGGGCTGTGGAAATAATGAGGCTATCATTTATTCAAATGTGTTTGTATTTGTTTTGTTTTATTTCATTTGTCAATCTAAGTTCTAGGAGTCCCTTTCTCCTTCCTGAATTTTTGTAAATAACCTAGATTTTGGTTGGTTTCTAATGTTTGCAAATGGTGCTTAGTTTTCTGTTTTTTGTCTTGAAACTTGAAGAGATCCACCACGTTAAGTAAAATAGAGTTATCTGGCAAAAAAAAAAAAAAAAAGAAAAAAGAAATCAGAAAACACAGACTGTGATGACAGTTTGGGAGTTTCATTGTCATTTGTTTCTGGTTTTTAATAGTTGCTTCTGGTTTGTAATAATGCTTTAGAAGCTGAATACAATTGTAAAAGAAATACAGTGTCTGAATCAATTTTCCTGTACTTTGCAATTCAATTCCTGACTTCAAATGAAAGTCAATTTTTCACTTTTAAAAGGTATGTGTGTATATATTCTACCACTAAGATTACCTCCAAAAACTTACAAGAGTTAGTAATTCCTTGTGGGATTTTTTTTCAGCTCATTTAAACTTGTTAACACTTCAGGAGAATGCTACATGCTAAAATTGGGAGCCCATCACACAATAACAGCTAACTGTTAGCACTGGCAGAGGCAGCTATGCTAAAAGCTAACAAAGTCTGAGCTTCAGGACCCTTTATTTGCATGGCCCCTTCCAAGGTCCTGAGAAGCAATGTCCAGCAATGGCTTCACATGGTCATATTTTCATACAATGTGCAAAATAAGATAGTTTAACTGTGTTTGCTATGACAACATTTTTGAGATCCAGCTAAGGGGAAGTTGAGGTAGAGATACATTTATGTAGGGATTAGTGGGAAGTATTTATAAGGTTCGTGGTCACCTCTGCGTATAGTTAAGTAATGGGCAGCTGCCCTGGGATAGGAATGGCTTCCACCAACCACTGTAGCAATTCACTCAGCATCATGACACCAAGACGTTGCAGGAGATGTGCATACACAACTTAGTTTCTTAATCTTGTAGGAGAAAATTTGCCTCCACAGCACCTGGAGATGTTGACCACTTCGGTATGGTATTTTGCGGCTGATGTATATTGTCTTCTGGGATTAGTGTCATACAATTGGATTTGGTGTCATACAATTTGAATTTTTCTTTAAAGAGTTTAAATGTAACGAGATGATCTGCTCATTTTAAAACTGTCTGAGGTTTGCAATGAGTCACATTTTAAAGATCTCAGCTGTATTTTCTAAAACCAGGAAAAAAAGTCACAAACAAGATGCAATTTATTCAAAGAGTTGATAACGTTTAAATATGCAATTTGGAAAAAAGCTTTGGAATACTTCTTTAAAACAAATTTTAAAAACTACAGCCCCCTGATTTGGATGTGTATGAAAGGTACATACCTTCCTTTGTCATTTTTATTTATATAGAGAATAATCAAATAAAAATTACACCACATGAAATGAATAAAAAATAGCAATGAAATAGAAAGTATTCTGATATTAAGAAGTGTTTTTCTTAAATTTTCAAGTCAGACCAAAAGCAGTAATTCATTAAGAGAAAGAAATACATTTGAGATAGAAATAATGAATCAATTCCTTCATTGTCTGTGTAGAGGAGTGAATCATAAGAACAATGAAAAAGATTTACCTGCTTTGCTGATTTGAAATAAACTATCAACATCTATGAAGACAACTATGATAGGCAGGATAATGGGACTCCCAAAGATTCCCCCATCCTAATCCCTGGAGCCTGTGAATACATTACCTTCTATGGCAAAGGAGAATTAAGGCAGCACATGGAACTCAGTTTGCTAATCAGCTGGCCTGAAGGGGAGGAGAGAGTCCTGGATGACCTTGGTGGGGTCCTCATAAGTAGAAGTGGGGAGCAGTGAGAGTGTGAGCCAGCAGAGATTGCAAGGTGCTACTGCTGCTGGCTTTGGAGACAGGAAGAAGACACAGCCAAGGAACGCAGGAGACCTCTAAAAGCTGACAGAGCAAAGGAAATGGACTCTGCCCTGGAGCCTCCAGAAGGAACCAAGCCCTACTGATACCATGATTTTAGCCCACAGAGGCTAAAAGCCCCACTGGAGGACTTGTGACCTGCAAAACTGTTAAGAAATCAATGTGTGCTGTTTTAAGCTACTAAGTTTTTAGTAACCGTTTGTTGTTGTTGTTTATTTATTTATTTAATTTTTTTTGAGATGGTGTCTCACTCTCTCGCCCAGGCTGGAGTGCAATGGCGTGATCTCGGCTCACCACAACTTCTGCCTCCCGTGTTCAAGCGATTCTTCTGCCTCAGCCTCCCGAGTAGCTGCGATTATAGGCATGCGCCGCCACGCCTGGTTAATTTTGTATTTTTAGTAGAGACGGGGTTTCTCCATGTTGGTCAGGCTGGTCTCCAACTCCCGACCTCAGGTGATCCGCCCACCTCGGCCTCCCAAAGAGTAACCTTTCACAGTAGCAAATGGGAAAGGATACAATACAATAATATTGTATACAATATTACAATAATACAATAACATAAAATACTGTGGAAAAGACATCCACAACTAATTGGCTAGACTATCAAGAATTCAAGACGCACTTAAGATTAGTATTTGCGCAGGAAAACTTGGAATGCCCTGAAATCATACAGCTCATATACAAAAGAGAGTTGATCGTTTTCCCTAATTTGATAACAACGCTAAAACTTTATATGGCATCATTGTGAAGTTGAAAGAAATTTCTCGAACTATTAATAATGATAAACAAATCTTGATCAAGCATGCTAGAGTTAAGACTTTCTAATTTTGTTATAGAAAAGCATAGTATATAAAATTGTCAAATGGAGAGAAAAGAAGATGAGGAGAAAAGTGCAGCAAAAAATAATGACTAATGAGATGTGTCAGGCAATTAATAAAAATATGATGCTGTTTCAATTGGGTTTTCTGGCAATTATGACATTGGTCTGCTTTTTAAATATTCACCTAATTTTTCATCTGCGCTTTTGTAATCTCTTTCAAAATTGTTCAGCCTTTGAACTCCACAAAGTCCAGATTCTCGCTGGAGACCAGGCTCTCTGCTAACCTGCTGCCCGGACTATTCCAACTCATTTTTACCACCACCAGCCTCTCCACTGAAACAGCGGGGTCACCTGCCCCAGGTTACTTGACTATCTCAGAGGCTTGGGTTTGAACCAGTGTCTAACTCCAAGACCCATCCCTTAGTCATGCAGCAGAGGTTCTCAAAGTGTGGTCCCTGGTCGGCAGCCTGAAATCTCCTGGCTATGCATCATATCTGTTGAGTCAGAGCCTCGGGGCTGGAGCTCTGCAACCCCTGGCTTAACACCCTTTCCAGGTGATTCGGATGCACACGAAAGTTTAAGAACCACTCTCTTAAAATATAGTCTGTGAGGCCAACAACCAGCCTCCCTTGTCAGGAGCACTCCTGCATCCTCATAACATACCATGATTTCCTGGTGTGGGATCAGAACCCCGAGCCACTCAGAAGGTGCTGTCACAATGAGCTGACTGATTAGAAATAAATCAACCAGAACGGAGAAATTCAGTCAGCATTACCGAACACAGATATAAACATTAACTTACGTCCTTCAGTGAAATTATACCCTTAAAAGAATATACCGAGTAGCAGTCTATTGGCATATGTTGTTAAGGACCGATGTTTCTTTCCAAGCCGGTAACTCCAATAGAGCAGGGTACCGCACACACGGTGGCCGCTCAAGCCCAGAATTTCCCCAGCCTTTCAGCGCAACTCTGACGGTCAGGCGCCATCTGGTGGAACGATCTTGGCACTGCACAAAAATAACAAGTGTGGGCAAGATTTGGTTTTGTTTGTTTTGCTTTATTTTTCCTCCAACTTATCACAGACTGAAAATAGTTTTGTAAAAGATAATGACAATTTGGAAAAGTAAAATGAAGAAAGCATACATATAAAGTCTTCTTTTTTAAGTTTCGAATTGCAGTGAAAGTTTCTAATGCTGGCTTTCCCCTGTCCTCATCCTGGGCTAAAGAGTGTGCAGGCTAGCTGGGGTCCACAGTCTGAGTAGCCTTGCATTGCTTAACATGCAAGCTATACACCTAAGAACCTTTATTTTTGTAGAAAGGGCTTCCTTTGTTAGAATGAAGAAAGAATAAACATGCTTGTCTAAACGCAAACATGGATTCTGCGCTGGTCCTGAAGTGACAACCCAATCACCATGCACTAGTGAGATTTCTGACATTTATTTAAACTTTTCATCCCAGTCAGAAAGGTTAAAAAATTGTTTAAATAAAAATAAATAAATAAAATTTGTATTTGTTGTTTGTATTTTGTTTCTTAAAAAGAGAAAGAGTACATATTTCTAAAACAATCTGTTGCTGTGAGTTAATAAGGACTTTTAAAAAAAATCTCTGTAGATCAGGTTTTTGTTTTCATTGTTTACTTTGCATTTGACATTTCAGTATCATTACACAATGCCACCACAATGACTAAGTGGTGAAGAACAATGGCTAAAAATCAAATAGTGGTTTAGGGCTTCATTATTGAAAATCTAATTGACAATGAGCTGACTGATTAGAAATAAATCAACCAGAATGGAGAAATTCAGTCAACATTACTGAACACAGATATAAACAACTTATGTCACTAAATGTTAAAATAGTGCTCAGAAGAATGAAAAATTAAAACTTGAAATAAGGATCAATCATTAACCAGTTGCCTAAAAATGTATTTGAAAAAATTAACAAAAGCAAATTACAAGTAATCACATGTAATGATCATCACAGCAGAAAATTTATTGTGACTCCAGTACGTTATTTTAAAATAAATTTTCTTCTTTCTCGTCATCTCTAAAGCACATACATTTCACAACTTTTAAAGTCTATATCTTTGTAAGATGACTGAAAGCTCCTCAGCCTTTCATTCATGATTTAATTGCATGAAATTTTAATTCAATACCGATTGAACAAGTAGGTTTTTATTGTTTTGTCATTTGCAGATTTAACAAATTTTCATCAAAGTGCTATTCTTTCTAGTTTTAACCATTTGTAAATTTTAAAGAATATATAATTTGTCTTAGTTAATTAAATTTCTTCTAAGGAAGAGTACTTATTTCTTCCTATTGTGAACCATTAACTGTTAAAAAAAACTTCATTCACGGTAAGGCCGACTTTATTTGAGACCATCTCAAGAGGCATAGACAAATGCAATGGGAATTTGCAGTAGGGGAGAAATTGGGCTCCACTCTGAATACAGCCTTCGCAAGTGAGAACTGATATCCAAGGAGCCAGATCGGGGTCGGGGAATGGAAAATTACTAAGAGGAAAGTCAGGGATAAGGGGGATTCTAGCTAACTTGACCTAGGAGGATTCTCAAAGGCAGGCTAGGCTGATCAGACCCCACCTGGGGGGTGGGGGAGGATAAGACACCCAGAAACTGAAGGTGATGAGATATGTAGGGTGGAGGGTTCTGGCTAAAGTGACTTCGTGAGATTCTTACTAGACTAGAAGTGGATTTTACAAGGAAGTGCAGAGATGGACCTAAGAGAAGGTTCAAGAGCCTGGCTAAAGTTTGATCAGGCAAAGAATCTTTGTTAGTGTCCCCCTTTTGTTCAAGGAGAGAAGAAACATTGTTAATTCCTTTGGAAAATAGAAATCCAATTTCTTGTTCAGTCACCTTTTTTGTTCATTGAAGATCTGCTGACCCATCTGCTGGAACTTGATGGTGAGGAGGCCTCCTGGATGGCGCTCACAGTCAGATATTTAACAAGTGGAGTTTCTATGAAAACACAAGAAAAACAAGACTAATAGCTAGAAACTCAGTTTCTGAGTCGAGAGGACAGCCAGCCGAGCTTGAAGCACCTTCAGGTGGTAGAGCCATCATGGCGGATATGGCCATCGACACAGTCCCTGGTTTACAGCCAAATGCCTGTGGTGATGGTATTGAGTGTTCTGATGAACCTTCTGAGTGGCCACACATCAACAGGCACGAAGGTTGTCTACTGGATTTGTCGTGGGTATTTCTCTGAAGTTTATATAAGTTCCTATTATTTTCAACTTGCAGGGCTTCAGGAAAACGGAAGTTTTAGTTTTTAGGGATGCCATGTCAGGAAGATAGGAGAAAATTGGAAACGTTAATTTAGAGAGTTGTAACCAGATATGGAACGAAGCTAGAACTGAGCAGGACCAGTCAGGTTCACAGGCAGATAATAAAACCCCAAAGATAAAGAACAGGGACAGAACCTCATAACTCACAGGATGTGCTATAGTTTTCTATTGGAATGTAATTTTTCTTTCTAAAGCCACCATTATTTCTATCAAGTAAGACTATTTTGTTTGCAAAGTAAGTCTCATCCCATTAACCTTAGCCTGATCATTTTCGTAAGTACAGAAAGAATGGTAGTTGACCAAAAGGCCTTTGCTTAGTTTGCACTGCTGGAACTTTCCATTAAGAACCTCATATTAGACTTTTAAAAGCTGCTTGAGGCTACAAAGTCAAGTCAAGAACTCAACTCCAGACTTCATCTTCAATACCTAGAGATTTGAGTGAATTATTCTCTTTTTAGAGTCCCTAAGATATTTTAAGTTTCCTGGACCAGGAAGTGACATTTCTTACTCCTGTAAGGCAAGGAATGCTGTAAGCCAGGTACCAGGACATTTTTTTCCCCCAAAAGGGCTTTGTAAGCCTTGGCTCCATAAAGTCAGCTTTAGTTCCTAAAAACTGTCTGGTCATGCCTAATTTTGTGCACATTATTCTCAAATATGACATTCCAGTCAAAACCCATGAAATATAACCAATGTTTCCAATAAAACCATGTCTTGTTATAATGAGAACAAATTCTTATTGAGCTTATGCAAAATAACTACATTGCAATGAAAATAGAAATACTCGATGAGCATTTCCAAAGTCCGGGCAGAGTTTCCAAAGTCTGGAAAAAAAATCAATGTTTCATTTTTGTTTATAAAGGCATACTTTACCAAATAGCTGTAGGCTACAAATAGCTAAAGAGGATGGGGGAAAAGGGTTCCTTATATCTGGAAAATAAAACATTGAAGCACAAGAAATGTTCCACAATAAAAACTGTAATCCTGCTTTCTCAGTCTATGCATTCCCCTGCGGCACACCTGTGCTGCTTGACCTTGGATGAAGTCTCATGTACCCATCAGTTTCTTCATGAGCATTCTAAAAATTCTGACCCAGTCCACTGCTGTGATCTTCAGGTTCTCAGAAACCCGTCCTTGTCAGTCTTTTTTATGAATATCTTTAAAGGTGAAACACTTTTGAATTACAGCTGCTTACAGAAGCTTGAGGAAAGCATCAGAGTAAAACAGTCTGTGAAAACAAAAGACTTAAAGTAGCCATACTGATCTGATAAGAGTTCATTTAGTAAGAAAAGTTAGCTATTTCTGTAGCATATAACATTTTCACATAATAACCGGAATTATGACTGATAACATTATGCCACACATAATAGGAACAGCAAACGTACGGACAGATTTCTATGAACTTCACATCAGTTCTGAAATACTTATATTAGCAACATTTACCTATACAAATATAACATAGGGAAGGTTAAGCATCACTTTTCATTTGCCAACATTTCCCATGTGACTTAGCCTATCAAATAAACCTAATTAGTTAACATTTCTTTTACATAGTGAGAGACAAAGCCTTTGAGATTTTCCAGGGGCCCTCTGCTGGCAAATTCTGTGAAAGTTAAAAGGAAAGAATTTCAAATCTCTAAGACAAAAAATTGTGAAATTGTCCATTTATCTACACGGCTCCAAGCAATCAGTTTGAATGCCTTTATTTTATGAATGTAATGAATGTTTTCAAATCATAGGGGAACATGCGTGTGTCCAGCATAGTCCCGGGAATATGGTAGATGCTTTGTGATGATGTGAGAAGGAGCAGAAAGAGTGGAGGGAATACCTCTAATTCGGTAGAGGTTAATACTGCTAATTAATCTTGGCCTGATCATTTTCATAAATGCAGCAAGAATGGTAGTTCACCAAAAAGCCTTTGCTTAGTTTGCTTTGCTGGAACTTTTCATAAAGAATCTCATATTGGACTTTTAAAAGCTGCTTAAGGCTAGGAAGTCAAACCAAGAACTTGTCTTCACCTTCAAATCAGACTTCACCTTCACTACCTATAAAATCTATAGGGTGAATTCCTCTCTTCTCAGAGTCTCTAAGATGTTTTAAGTTTCCTGGGCCAGAAAGTGACCTTTCCTACTCATCTATAAGGCAAGGAACCCTATAAGCCAGGCACCCAGCACACTTTTTTTTTCTCAAGAGGGCTTTGTAAGCATTAGCTCCATAAAGTCAACTTTAGTTCCTGAAAACTGTCTGGTCATATCTGGGGTGAGGCTGGAGAATTTCATGCTAACCCACTTCTCAGATGGTACTGAAGCTGCCTGTTCTCTGAGCAGCACTGAGCAGGTTAATTCCTTCCAGGAGCTGAAGCTGCGGAGCCAGCCCTCGTGGGAGCTTCTCCAAGCACCACTGGCTCTGCCACCCACGCTTACTCCACAAACCCCCATGAAGCCAAGATGCAGTACCAGATCTCAGTGGAGGTCCAATGGAGGGGGAGACCAAGAAAACTTGTCTCTCCTTAGATGAGTGTCAGAGAGGCAGAAAGCAGAGCAGGAATGGCCAAGGACAAAGAGAGGGGGAATGGGGACTTCGTATTTAATGGGGACAGAGTTTCAGTTCTACAATACAAATGATTCTGGAGATGGAGGGTTTCCTTCTCTGAGCAAGAGCTGTTTCCACCTTTTGGCCATCATGAATGAGTCTCTTCTGTTTTGCACCATATTCTGGTGGCATGTGTTCTTGCATAGTAGTGATGGGGCTGCCATCACACTCTGAAGAGCCTTCTATATTTGGAGATCTTCTTGCATTTTAAGTCTTGTCTTCCCTGCATGGCAGCCAGAACTCTCAGGCAGGTGAACTTGGCTCTGCCAATCAGCTTCGCGCAGGCCAGGCTGACTGGAAAGGGGGTGTTAACACGGAAGTGCAGGAATTCTCGGTTCTGGTCTAACTTATGAGAAAGAATTCGGCCAAGAGACAATTAGTAATGTAAGCCAAAGGTTTGTTAAGGAAACAAGAGCACACTCCGACAGAGGAGTTGAAAACCACTCGGGCTGGTCCAGCTGGGAAAATAACCGTAGCAGTGTTTATTTAAAGAGACAGGATGCTCTGGAAAACGAGGCAGAGTGGGCTGCTGGAGAGTGAGCCAGCAGCAGCCAGTGCCGGGGGCTCTCTTTAGGAGAATCTTACATGATTACTCATGAAGGGGTATGAGGGGATGTCACGTGCAACCATGTTTTAGGCAGTCCCCTTGAGCACGCATGCTCTGTGGTTGTACATGCTAGTACACATGCCATATGTCACATTAATATTTAAAATCTCCACTCAGAGGTTGTTTTTTACTATGACACTGAGCAAAAGGTGGTAGGTGAGTTAGTGGAGGACTGGCATGCTTCTCAGCTGGGAATGTTCCTAGCATGGCTATCTCTAGCTAAGGCCCGATAAGCCCCCTTCCGGGCTGGAGGAGCCCAACCACAGGGCCAAAGTAGCCAGCATAGCCACTGTATTTTTGCTGATTGTCAGTGGGCAGTGCTTTCAGGACTTCTTTTCCCAGGGGCTCCCTTGCCTGTTCATTTCTGGCTATCCCCCTATTCTAACCGGGGCACGTAAGGAATCAAGCTTGATTCAGGACATCCATCTTGCTGGCTCAGTTACAGTGGTGGTTTCTGTCTTGGGGTATCTGCCAGAAGTTGCCAGAAAGCAGAGTCCCGGGAGCAGTGCAAATCACAGCCTCTTGTCCTGGGCAGAGGCACTGCTACAAGGTGAATTGTGTTCCTCAAAATTCATATGTTGGAGCCCCAGTCCCCGGTATCTCAGAATGTGACTGTATTTGGAGATAGGCTGTTTAAGGGGGTGATTAACTTAAGGTGAGGCCATTAGGGTGGACCTTTATCCAATCTGATATTATATGGAAAGAAAATTTGGACACACACACAAAAAAAGAACCATCAAGGAATTGCTCAAACTTGAACCCATCAAATAATTTCTTTTCTCTGCTTCCTCATTTATCCTACAAAAAAAGCCTTCCCCTTGTGCTCATCCCCTGTGAAAGTCACCCAGTTTCCCCACAGGAATGATATTTAGGAATAAACAGAGAAATTG
The DNA here is from genome assembly GCF_000001405.40 of Homo sapiens. Classification (NCBI taxonomy): domain Eukaryota; kingdom Metazoa; phylum Chordata; class Mammalia; order Primates; family Hominidae; genus Homo; species Homo sapiens. The sequence continues at coordinate 52,502,746 of NC_000008.11, forward strand.
ACCCTCCCGGTCTTAAAAGTTGAAACTTATATTTGTCTTGTCTGAGTTCCTTTTTTGGGAAACCAACCCTCAGGCAAGGGACTGAAACTCACCAGGTCCCCGCATCTGGAGGCCACGCAGAACCCTCCTTCCTTGCGCTTGCTCCCATGCCCCTCCCTAATTGCTGTTTTCCCCACAGGTGGTTTACCTTCCTTTCTTAATGTATAAACCACTCCTTCCCCCAGCCCCTCCCATTTTAGTTCGTTGGGGAGGCAGATTTGAAACAATCTCCCCTTCTCCTCAGGATGCCACCTGAAGGGCCTTCTTTGTCTCCGTGATTGGCTTTACCTGCGGTGAGTGGCAGGACCTAGACCGAACCCCTGGGGTTTCAGTAGCGGGAGGAACCCTGGCACTGCCCATTCCTGAACTACTGTTTGCTAAAGTAAACTCTTGAATATTGAAATGTGCCTCAGTTTATCTTTTAACAATATGTTTATGCTGGACACAAGGAGAACTGAGAGCCTAGAGAACTGAAGTGTTTCCAGATACCTGAAAAATTAAAGGCAGAATTCTCCCCTGAGAAGATTGTATGAGGGATTACAGGAAGGTCAACAGCGCAGAGAAACCCTGGTTCACATGATGTGAGTAGGGCCAGGAGCAGCGACCCCTACCGTCAAGACGAGGGATTGGCTCCCTCATGCATCTCCTAACAGGAATACAGGAGAAAACAAGAGAGACTATAAAAAGAGAGATTTGGCAGGGCGCGGTGGCTCATGCCTGTAATCCCAGCACTTTGGGAGGCCAAGGTGGGCAGATCACTTGAGGTCAGGGGTTCGAGACCAGCCTGACCAATATGGAGAAACCCCATCTCTACTAAAAATACAAAATTAGCCGGGCATGATGGCGCATGCCTGTAATCCCAGCTACTCGGGAGGCTGAGGCAGGAGAATTGCTTGAACCCGGGAGGCGGAGGTTGCGGTGAGCCGAGATGGCATCATTGCACTCCAATCTGGGCAACAAGAGCAAAACTCCATCTCAAAAAAAAAAAAAAAAAAGAGAGAGAGAGATTTTCCAAGTTGTTTCAAAGGAAAATGGTTCAAGCAACTGGGAAGAATTTGACAGCAAGCGCAGCACTAATCAGTGGAATCTTGGCATACGGTTGAATTGAGGGTGACCTCCAGCCTCAGGCTATGAGAAAGAGACCTTGGTGCCGGAGTTTGTAAAAGGCAAATCTCCTGCAGCGGACAAGATTCTAGTGCCACCAGGTGATTTTCCAGTGAGCACGGGCTTCTCAGAGAGTCAGCATGGAATCTCACCAGCTGCACCATGGGAAACTTGATGGCGAGAGTCTGTCAGAAAGGACCAAGCTTCAGGGTGCACATTGGGAGGGGTAGATATTTGGAGAACTTTGAACCTCTATAGAGCAGAGAGAGCACCTCTTTCACCTTTATCTCCCAAAACACTCACTTGACTGCCTTGCTCAAAATTCACTCTCAAAAAATGTCTATTGAATCAGATTGAGCACAATCCTTGCCACTTATTCTATGAAAGTATCAGAATTCTTAAAAAATCAAAATATACTTTCAGATATAAGGATATAGCAAACATTGTCTTAAGTTTCTATGCTTGCATAAGACCATAAAATGGCAAAACTAGAAACAAGTTAATCCTGCATCTTCTTTTTAGAGTTTCTTTATTCATTGAACAAATATATATGAAGTACCTGCTGTATACCAGATATAATGCTATGTGCTACAGATGCAATGGTGATTGGTGTCTGATAAAATATAGTTACAGTCTTGTGGCAGAAATAGATAGTATAATACAAGAACACAATTCATTATACTGTGATTGAAAAAACAACAATAATAATCATCAGGGCCTATAGAGGTATTTGTCTTTAACTGGTCTTCATGAAGTACTATTAAGTGCAAGTCTTTACCTATACCCTTTGAGAAATATTGTATGCTTTTCTCAGCTGTAAACTTCTGGGGATGGTATCCTATATGGTACAGCACTCTTGTTTATCATATAAACCCATTGTCATAATGATGTTACATCTTTGTGAATTTGTCAGCATAAATGTGTGTGTGTTTGAGGACAATTCATATATGTGTCTTTGCCTCCTCAGGGAGTTTAAAGTGTGCAGCAGCATCAGAAATCACCACAAGCTGTGTTCAGAGACTAAAAATGGCATTTGCTTAATTTTGCAGAGGCCAAGATTCTGAGCCAAATTATTCTGATTCTGATTCCCAGAGTCTGAAAGAGGATGAGACACCACCTTCCTTTTTATTTACAGATAAAGATTCAGATTTCATTCCAAGTGGGCCCCATCTGCTGCTTCCTTCGTGTTGGTGTTCTCTTTAAAGCCCTTTAAGTCTCTGTCTGGAAAAGAGCCCACTAATGCCACGTTAAATACAAACTCACCCTCTCTCTTTTTAGCTTACCATAGTCACACCTTGAGAATGAGGCTAGAGCATCCATATGACCAAGACCTATAACCTGTCTGACTCCCCGTCATAGAAGCTACTGGTCAAATTCCTGTGTTCTGCAAGCATACATATTTCCTAAACATCCCAAAGTGGAATTAAAAAGTCTTCTCTCACAGTCCGGATGCAGTGGCTCATGCCTGTAATCCCAGCACTTTAGGAGGCTGAGGCAGGCGGATCGCTTGAGGCTAGGAGTTCAAGACCAGCCTGGCCAATACAGTGAAACCCCATTTCTACTAAAATATACAAAAAAAAAATTATCCAGGTGTGGTGACACATGCCTGTAATCCCAGCTACTCGGAAGGCTGAGGCAGGAGAATCGCTTGAGCCCAGGCGGCAGAGGTTGCAGTGAGCCGAGATCATGCCATTGCACTCCAGCCTGGGTGACAGAGCGAGATTCTGTCTCAGAAAAAAAAAAAAAAAGTCTTCTCTCACACACTTTCCTTACAGGAGAATTCATAACAATACATATAAATACTCCATTGTCCAATGGGTGGAGTTTCATCCCCACCCTCACCTCTCCAGGAAGGGCTAGATTTAATGCCTTGTTTCCAAATAGTACAGCAGAGAAAGGGAAGACAGTAACTTCACAGTGGAGAGAGCTGGCAGACATTACCTTCACCAGGTGATGAAGGTTAACATTACTGGTAAAGTCACATGGCTATGAAGTATCCCCTAACATGATGTGGCAAAAAGAGCACTTCACCTCTCGATTTCTATTCCTAAAACCTCTAATGCCAGTCTAATAGGGAGGAAAACATTAAGCAGACCTAGACTGGTGGACACTCTTCAGCATTCCTGGCCACTACTCCTCAAGCTGTCAAGGTTATAAAGACAAGGAGAGACTGAGAAACTGGCAGACTGGAAGAACTAAGGAGACAGGATGGCTAAATGCAGTGTCATTCCGTGAATTTGATCTTGGATCAGAAGGAGGACATTCATGGAAAATACGGTGAAACCCAAATAAAGTCTGAAATTAAGTTAATAGAAATATACAGACATTGGTTTCTTAATTTCAAAAAATGGACCATGAAAAAGAGTTCACTGATGAAAGTCACTGCTTGGGGTAGACAGAAATCTATACTATCTTTGCAACTTTTCTGGAAATCTAAAATTGTTCTAAAATAAACAGCTTATTTTTAAAAGTCTGCTGTTACAGAAGTTTAGTTGATAATTGAGAAATGGCAAGATAACAAGAAAAGTCACATAGCATTAGATATTCATAATTAATATAAGAAAAAACATAGATTGAAAATTTGAGGAGGGCAGTTCCAAGATGGCCAAATAGGAACAGCTCCAGTCTACAGCTCCCAGCGTGAGCGACACAGAAGACAGGTGATTTCTGCATTTCCAATTGAGGTACCAGGTTCATCTCACTGGCACGTGTCAGACAGTGGGTGCAGGAGAGTGAGGGCAGCGCAACGAGTGTGAGCAGAAGCAGGGCAAGGCATCACCTCACCTGGGAAGTGCAAGGGGTCAGGGAATTCCCTTTCCTAGCCAAGCAAAGCTGTGACAGAAGGCACCTGGAAAATCGGGTCACTCTCACCCTAATACTGTGCTTTTCCAACGGTCTTAGCAAATGGCACACCAAGAGATGATATCCCATGCCTGGCTCAGAGGGTCCCACGCCCACGGAGCCTCGCTCATCACTAGCACAGCAGTCTGAGATCGAACTGCAAGGCAGCAGCAAGGCTGGGGGAGGGGCGCCCGCCATTGCTGAGGCTTGAGTAGATAAACAAAGCAGCCAGAAGCTTGAACTGGGTGGAGCCCACCACAGCTCAAGGAGGCCTGCCTGCATCTGTAGACTCCACCTCTGGGGGCAGGGCATAGCCAAACAAAAGGCAGCAGAAACCTCTGCAGACTTAAATGTCCCTGTCTGACAGCTTTGAAGAGAGTAGTGGTTCTCCCAGCATGGAGTTTGAGATCTGAGAATGGACAGAATGCCTTCTTAAGTGGGTCACTGACCCTTGAGTAACCTAACTGGGAGACACCCCCAGTAGGGGCAGACTGACACCTCACACAGCCAGGTACCCCTCTGAGACGAAACTTCCAGAGGAACGATCAGGCAGCAACATTCGCTGTTCAGCAATACTCACTGTTCTGCAGCCTCCACTGCTGATACCCAGGCAAACAGGGTGTGGAGTGGACCTCCAGCAAACTCCAACAGACCTGCAGCTGAGGATCTTGAGTGATAGAAGGAAAACTAACAAACAGAAAGGACATCCACACCAAAAACCCATCTGTACGTCACCATCATCAAAGACCAAAGGTAGATAAAACCACAAAGATGGGGAAAAAACAGAGCAGAAAAACTGAAAACTCTAAAAATCAGAGCACCTCTCCTCCTCCAAAGGAACGCAGCTCCTTACCAGCAATGGAACAAAGCTGGTTGGAGAATGACTTTGACGAGCTGAGAGAAGAAGGCTTCAGACAATCGAACTTCTCCGAGCTTAAGGAGGAAGTTCAAACCCATGGCAAAGAAGTCAAAAACCTTGAAAAAAGATTAGACGAATGGCTAACTAGAACAATCAATGCAGAGAAGTCCTTAAAGAACCTGATGGAGCTGAAAACCATGGCACGAGAACTACGTGACGAATGTACAAGCTCCAGTAGCTGATGCGATCAACCGGAAGAAAGGGTATCAGCGATGGAAGATGAAATGAATGAAATGAAGTGAGAAGAGAAGTTTAGAGAAAAAAGAATACAAAGAAACGAACAAAGCCTCCAAGAAATATGGTAATATGTGAAAAGACCAAATCTACGTCTGATTGGTGTACCTGAAAGTGACGGGGAGAATGGAACCAACTTGGAAAACACTCTGCAGGGTATTATCCAGGAGAACTTCCCCAATCTAGCAAGGCAGGCCAACATTCAAATTCAGGAAATACAGAACACGCCACAGAGATACTCCTCGAGAAGAGCAACTCCAAGACATGTAATTGTCAGATTCACCAAAGTTGAAATGAAGGAAAAAATGTTAAGGGCAGCCAGAGAGAAAGGTCGGGTTACCCACAAGGAGAAGCCCATCAGACTAACAGCTGATCTCTCAGCAGAAACTCTACAAGCCAGAAGAGAGTGGGGGCCAATATTCAACATTCTTAAAGAAAAGAATTTTCAACCCAGAATTTCATATCCAGCCAAACTAAGCTTCATAAGTGAAGGAGAAATAAAACCCTTTACAGACAAGCAAATGCTGAGAGACTTTGTCACCACCAGGCCTGCCCTACAAGAGCTCCTGAAGGAAGCACTAAACATAGAAAGGAACAACCAGTACCAGCCACTGCAAAAACATGCCAAATTGTAAAGTCCATCGATGTTAGGAAGAAACTGCATCAACCAACGAGCAAAATAACCAGCTAACATCATAACGACAGGATCAAATTCACACATAACAATATTAACCTTAAATGGAAATGGACTAAATGCTCCAATTAAAAGACACAGACCAGAAAATTGCATAAAGACTGAAGACCCATCAGTGTGCTGTATTCAGGAAACCCATCTCACATGCAAAGACACACATAGGCTCAAAATAAAGGGATGGAGGAAGATCTACCAAGCAAATGGAAAACAAAAAAAGGCAGGGGTTGCAATCCTAGTCTCTGATAAAACAGACTTTAAACCAACAAAGATCAAAAGAGACAAAGAAGGTCATTACATAATGGTAAAGGGATCAATTCAACAAGAAGAGCTAACTATCCTAAATGTATATGCACCCAATACAGGAGCACCCAGATTCATAAATCAAGTCCTTAGAGACCCACAAAGAGATTTAGACTCCCACACAATAATAATGGGAGACTTTAACACCCCTCTGTCAACATTAGACAGATCAACGAGACAGAAAGTTAACAAGGATATCCAGGAATTGAACTCAGCTCTGAACCAAGCAGACCTAATAGACATCTACAGAACTCTCCAGCCCAAATCAACAGGATATACATTATTTTCAGCACCACACCACACTTATTCCAAAATTGACCACATAGTTGGAAGTAAAGCACTCCTCAACAAATGTAAAAGAACAGGAATTATAACAAACTGTCTCTCAGACCATAGTGCAATCAAACTAGAACTCAGGATTCAGAAACTCAGTCAAAACTGCTCAACTACATGGAAACTGAACAACCTGCTCCTGAATGACTACTGGGTGCATAACAAAATGAAGGCAGAAATACAGATGTTCTTTGAAACCAACGAGAACAAAGACACAACATACCAGAATCTCTGGGACACATTTAAAGCAGTGTGTAGAGGGAAATTTATAGCACTAAAGGCCCACAAGAGAAAGAAGGAAAGATCTAAAATTGACACCCTAACATCACAATTAAAAGAACTAGAGAAGCAAGAGCAAACACATTCAAAAGCCAGAGGAAGGCAAGAAACAACTAAGATCAGAGCAGAACTGAAGGAGATAGAGACACAAAAAACCCTTCAAAAAATCAATGACTCTAGGAGCTGGTTTTTTGAAAAGATCAACAAAATTGATAGACTGCTAGCAAGACTAATAAAGAAGAAAAGAGAGAAGAATCAAATAGACACAATCAAAAATGGTAAAGGGGATATCACCACCGATCCCACGAAATACAAACTACCATCAGAGAATACTATAAACACCTCTATGCAAATAAACTAGAAAATCTAGAAGAAATGGACAAATTCCTCAACACACACACCCTCCCAAGACTAAACCAGGAAGAAGTTGAATCTCTGAATAGACCAGTAACAGGCTCTGAAATTGAGGCAATAATTAATAGCTTACTGACCAAAAAAAAGTCCAGGACCAGATGGATTCACAGCCGAATTCTACCAGAGATACAAAGAGGAGCTGGTACCATTCCTTCTGAAACTATTCCAATCAATAGAAAAAGAAGGAATCCTCCCTAACTCATTTTATGAGGCCAGCATCATCCTGATACCAAAGCCTGGCAGAGACACAACAAAAAAAGAGAATTTTAGACCAATATCCCTGATGAACATTGATGCAAAAATCCTCAATAAAATACTGGCAAACCAAATCCAGCAGCACATCAAAAAGCTTATCCACCATGATCAAGTGGGCTTCATCCCTGGGATGCAAGGCTGGTTCAACATACGAAAATCAATAAACGTAATCCAACATATAAACAGAACCAAAGAGAAAAACCACATGATTTTCTCAATAGATGCGGAAAAGGCCTTTGAAAAAATTCAACAGCCCTGCATGCTAAAAACTCTCAATAAATTAGGTATTGATGGGACGTATCTCAAAATAATAAGAGCTATTTATGACAAACCCACAGCCGATATCATACTGAATGGGCAAAAACTGGAAGCATGCCCTTTGAAAACTGGCACAAGACAGGGATGCCCTCTCTCACCACTCCTATTCAACATAGTGTTGGAAGTTCTGGCCAGGGCAATCAGGAAGGAGAAGGAAATAAAGGGTATTCAATTAGGAAAAGAGGAAGTTGAATTGTCCCTGTTTGCAGATGACATGATTTTATATCTAGAAAACCCCATTGTCTCAGCCCCAAATCTCCTTAAGCTGATAAGCAACTTCAGCAAAGTCTCCGGATACAAAATCAATGTGCAAAAATCACAAGCATTCTTAAACACCAATAACAGACAAACAGAGAGCCAAATCATGAGTGAACTCCCATTCACAATTGCTTCGAAGAGAATAAAATACCTAGGAATCCAACTTACAAGGGATGTGAAGGACCTCTTCAAGGAGAACTGCAAACCACTGCTCAACAAAATAAAAGAGGATACAAACAAATGGAAGAACATTCCATGCTCATGGATAGGAAGAATCAATATTGTGAAAATGGCCATAATGCCCAAGGTAATTTATAGATTCGATGCCATCCCCATCAAGCTACCAATGACTTTCTTCACAGAATTGGAAAAAACTACTTTCATGTTCCTATGGAACCAAAAAGGAGTCTGCATTGCCAAGTCAATCCTAAGCCAAAAGAACAAAGCTGGAGGCATCATGCTATCTGACTCCAAACTATACTACAAGGCTATAGTAACCAAAAGAGCATGGTACTGGTACCAAAACAGAGATAGAGACCAATGGAACAGAACAGAGCCCTCAGAAATAATACCACACATCTACAACCATCTGATCTTTGACAAACCTGACAAAAATAAGAAATGGGGAAGGATTCCATATTCAACAAATGGTGCTGGGAAAACTGGCTAGCCATACATAGAAAGCTGAAACTGGATCCCTTCCTTACACCTTATACAAAAATTAACTCAAGATGGCTTAAAGACTTAAATGTTAGACCTAAAACCATAAAAACCCTAGAAGAAATCCTAGGCAATACCATTCAGGACATAGGCATGGGCAAGGACTTCATGTCTAAAACACCAAAAGCAATGGCAACAAAAGCCAAAATTGACAAATGGGATCTAATTAAACTAAAGAGCTTCTGCACAGCAAAAAGAAACTACCATCAGAGTGAACAGGCAACCTACAGAATGGGAGAAAATTTTTGCAATCTACTCATCTGACAAAGGGCTAATATCCAGAATCTACAAAGAACACAAACAAATTTACAAGAAAAAAACAAACAACCCCATCAAAAAGTGGGCAAAGGTTATGAACAGACACTTCTCAAAAGAAGACATTTATGCAGCTAACAGACACATGAAAAAATGCTCATCATCACTGGCCATCAGAGAAATGCAAATCAAAACCACAATGAGATACCATCTCACAACAGTTAGAATGGCGATCATTAAAAAGTCAGGACACAACAGGTGCTGGAGAGGATGTGGAGAAATAGGAACATTTTTACACTGTTGGTGGGACTGTAAATTAGTTCAATCATTGTGGAAGACAGTGTGGCAATTCCTCAAGGATCTAGAACTAGAAATACCATTTGACCCAGCCATCCCATTACTGGGTATATACCCAAAGGATTATAAATCATGCTGCTATAAAGACACATGCACACGTATGTTTATTGCAGCACTATTCACAATAGCAAAGACATGGAACCAACCCAAATGTCCAACAATGATAGACTGGATTAAGAAAATGTGGCACATATACACCATGGAATACTATGCAGCCATAAAAAATGATGAGTTCATGTCCTTTGTAGGAGCATGGATGAAGCTGGAAACCATCATTCTCAGCAAACTATCACAAGGACAAAAAACCAAGCACCGCATGTTCTCACTCATAGGTGGGAATTGAACAATGAGAACACTTGGACACAGGAAGGGGAACATCACACACCAGGGCCTGTTGTGGGGTGGGGGGAAGGGGGAGGGATAGCATTAGGAGATATACCTAATGTAAATGATGAGTTAATGGGTGCAGCACACCATCATGGCACATGTATACATATGTAACAAACCTGCACGTAGTGCACATGTACCCTAGAACTTAAAGTATAATAAAAAATATATCTATATATTAAAAAAGAAAGAAAATTTGAAGGTATAAGCGTATTACTGAACACCAAAGATTCTTTAGTTCCTCAGTTCTCAGCTCAATTAGAAGTAAACAACACCTTTCAGCATTTCATTACAGTATTCAGCTCTTTTTCTGGCTATTTTACTTTCAGCCTTACCCTAGTACATTAAAAAACAAAGTTTCTGTCTGTTTTTCATTCCAGATTTCTCTTAATTGCCCCAGTGAAGCTGTAAGCTGTCATCATGGCCATTTCCACTCTCCTTGTAGCTCTTTGACTTCCTTGCATTTATTCTATTTATTTTATTTATTTATTTATTTATTTATTTATTTTTTGAGATGGAATTTTGCTCTTGTCACCCAGGCTGAAGTGCAGTGGTGCAATCTCAGCTGTCTGCAACCTCTGCCTCTCAGGTTCAAGTGATTCTCCTGCCTCAGCTTCCTGAGTAGCTGGAACTACAGGCACGTGCCACCACACCTGGCTAATTTTTGTAGTTTTAGTAGAGACAGGGTTTCACCATGTTGGTCAGGCTGGTCTCAAACTCCTGACCTCAGGTGATCCGCCTGCCTCAGCCTCCCAAAGTGCTGGGATTACAGGCATGAGCCACCATGCTCGGCCATATTTAATTTCTATATTAGCACCCCAATTGCTTTGGGAGAATTACCTTTCCCTGTTAGTAAGACTATGAATCAAATTGTGGAGGCTCCTTTTAGCCAAGGTTGGATGCATGACTAGAAAGTTAGGCAATCCCACTTCCTCCTAGAATCTGAAACCTGAGCAGAGGGACAAAACATATGCTCCTTTGTTATTCCAGCAGCTGGGCTCTGTCAAGTCGGATACGTAGACCACTTGAATTTCCCTTCTATTTCCTAGTCTAATTCTCCTGTCTTCCATCACTCAATGAGCTCTCTTGTAATCCCAAAACACAATTATCTCCCCATATACCTCTTACAGAGCTAGCTGCTCATTCTGCAGTACCTTTCTGAAAATGTGTATGTTTGAGGAAAAATCAGAAGTAGCATAGGTCTAATCCATGTCCCAGTTTTAAATGTATGGAAGCACGTGACTAAGTCATTCAGTCAAGACATACAGCTGACACAGTTTAGGAACAGTCTTCCACTATGTTGGCTGACATGGATTAGGCACAGCTGAACTACAGCCAAGTGAAATCACACTGCATTTAACATTTGCCTTTAATGTCAAAATAGTGTCTTCTTTGTGTTCTATCATAACTGTAAAGCTTCCTGATACAGTTTAGGACTCCCTTTTGGTTTTGTTAAGTCTTGTGCCAGTTAACAATGGCTGATCAACTGAAGAAATGCAAACGTTGACTGGGTGTTTGATGATATTGAGGAATAATCATTAATGTTTAGAGGCAATAATGATTTTAAGGGCATGTCACATGTTTATTAAAGAGTCCTGTCTTCTAGACATGTATGCTGAAATATTTCTTGATTAAATAAATGACTGAAACTTGCCACAAAATAACTCAGAAACTGAGGAAAGCTGGGGGAAGGATGAAGGAAATGTGTCAATATGTCCACATATGAATACATAGACGTTCTTTATACCAGAGTTTTCCAAAATTCAAAAATATGGTAAAACAATGCCTGATTCTATCTCAATTATACATTACTATTATAGTTACTATTAATAACAAGAATTTTGTGAGCTTTATTTGCAGTTAATTGGGAGACAATTAACTGAACCATACCAAGAACTTCAACTCTCCTCATCCCCTCTGCCATACTGGCTGATCACTGACCAGCTTGCAAAGAATAGTAAGTATTCTAAGGGAAGAAAAATAAAATTCTAAATGAATTTTTCTTTACTCCTCCTAAAGAATCAATTTTTAATGTTTTGCTGACTATGAAACTCCCATTCTGAGTCTGAATCTCTAAAGTGATTGCATGACATAAGGGTTCGGGGCAAATCTGCTTATGAGAAAGGGAACCAAGGACAGATTTCATATAAGGCATTTTGGTCCTCAATTAATTTGTATGAACAGCACCTTTCAAGAAACAAGTTTAGGCTGGGCGCGGTGGCTCACGCCTGTAATCCCAGCACTTTGGGAGGACAAGGAGGGTGGATCACTTGAGGTCAGGAGTTCAAGACCAGCCTGGCCAACATGGCAAAACCCCATCTCTACTAAAAATACAAAAAAATTATCTGGGCATGGTGGCACGCGCCTGTAGTCCCAGCTACTTGGGAGGCTGAGATACGAGAATCGCTTGAACCTGGGCGGCAGAGGCTGCAGTGAGCTGACACTGCACTCCAGCCTGGGTGACAGAGCGAGACTCTGTCTCAATTTTTAAAAAAAGAAAGAAAGAAACAAGTTTGGCATAATCACTTACATTTCAATAACTTCAGTTTAAAGGAGAATGAGCTAACTTGGTGCTGTTACTGCTGTTTTGCTTTGATCTTTGCTTTTTGAACCCAGAAGTGTTTTCCTGCTTTTCCTGATACATAAAGAAGCAAGATTAGGAAGGCACAAAAGACGTCTTCCTAATCTTGCTTCTTTATGTATCAAGACATCAGAGGCCTAGGACATCTATGGCCATGGCCTCTGGGTTGACCAGACCCTCTGAAAGCTGCACTCCTTGACAATGGTAACGCTCATAAATTCCACAGGCGTCAGCAGCAGGATCACAGATCACTAAGCAAAAGTTTGCCTCAGGCACGTCTTGCCACTTTTTGCCCAAATTCAGAACCTTGGTTTGAGTTCCACTACATTCTCCCTTTTAGTTTCTTTAGTCGTAATGTTTTAAGATTAAATGTTCATGGTTTCAATTAATGAGTTAGGTAAGGGTATTCAAATAACTGCCCACCTTGCATGGACCCAAATCTCCCTCTTGCATTGACGCCCCTCTCGGGGAGATCAGTAAATCTCGGGCTCAGGGAAGCCACAGCATCAACTAGTGTACTTATCTCTTTAATTTTTGGTTATTTCTTTACTTCTGTCACCGGAGAATTTCCTTTTCTTTCTGAAAATCCAACCATGCATTTTAAAGTATCTGGGTCTCCAGCATTTCTAGCTATGACAGGAGGGTTTCTACATTACCTCATCCTCTATCTTGCTAGAACACATGGTCTGATTAAGTCACATACCTGTCTCTTCCCCTAGATAAGGAGCTCCCTAAAGAAAAGGACCACTCTCTGATCTTCTCATTCTGCTCATAGCAGCAAGCCAGCACATGGGAGTCACTCAAGAGTCAATATTGAATGAAGCAGTGAGTTGATTTTCTTTTTGGTGATACATCGAATGTAAATCATCCTTTCTTTTGTAATCTATTATGAAAAATATCACAAAAAAGGGAGCTCGAATTGATCAAACCATTCCAAAAATCCACTTTTCCAAGATTGCATCTCCCGTAAATTCCAAATTGTCAACAATGAATTCCAAATGATCAACAAAGTCTCTAACTAGGCTAGAGACTATATCTATTTAGGCTATATCTAGCCTATTTGGCCCAAATTTAAAATATGTATGAATTGTTCAAAAAATAATAAATTATAGTAAACCCCCATTGACAGGCTACTCACTTCAAATAAAAGAATGTCACAAAGCCTCAGAAGGCTGCCATGGCCCTTTTCCGACTATGTCTCCTTCCTTCCCCCGCCAGAGGTGTCCACTCTCTTGACATTTATTTTCTTTTATGGTTTTATTACTCTGTGATTGTGTCCCTATATAAAATATTACTCAGGTTTGAAAAATGAAATACCATATGAAAAATTGAACTTAGCCATATAAAGAGAAGCCAATATTTCCCACGGTATATAAAGTTCCCCTGAAGAATAAAAATTTAGGCTCTCTGGATTATAATCTGGACTGAGCTACCCTGTGATCTTATAAAATCACTTCTGGGGAAGCCAACGGGTGAACTATGCAGAGGGTTACAGGAACCTCATCAACAAGAGGTCAAGAAAGCCAAAGGTGAGAAAGACCCTTGGCCAGAGTTTTGCAAGCGGGTGCGTGCCCTCCGGTTAAAAAGAGAATGCAATTGCTGCTGAGATCTCAGTAATAACATTTCACCTGGTATCAGTCTCTTGAGTCACATTGCTCTAATCTAGACTGATCACCCTCTTGTAGGGCACAGCTCTCATCCTGGGGTCTTCTTTCATTGTCATTCTCGGGATGCCCATGACCCTCTTCTGTGATGGACCTACTGTTTCCTGTTTGTGATGTTTTCCTCTTCTACTCTTACTGTCATTGTTTTGGTGGAGCTCACCCTCCTCCAATAGCTTTTTGAGAAAAAAAGAGCATGACAGTAAGTGTTGAAGCCTTTAAAGACTGAAAACATATTTGTTTTCCCCTTACACATGATCGTTTCATTAGGAGTGGAATTTGAAGGAGGATATCATTTTCTTCAGAGTCTTGAAGATGTTTTTACCTTGTCTCCCTTCTTCAAGTATTCTGCCAAGAAATCCAAAATCATCCTGATTCTTTGTAGGTGACATAAATTGTTTTTTCTCTCCAGAAGTTGAGAAAAACCTCTGCCATGCACTCATTGTTATTAAACGTCATAATTGTTTGTCACTAGGCACTTAGTTATTCCTTCCAATCTAAAAACTCACATCTTTCCATTTGAAACATGTTCTGGGTTACTTTATTGGTGACTTTGTCTTCTCAACTTTTTTTCTGTGCTTTAAATGCTTAGCATTCAGATGTTAGGCAATGTAGATGGACCCTCAGATTTTCTTGTGTGTTTCCTGTACTTCTACCTTCTTCTTTCTCCCACTCATTTTTGTTTTATATTTTATGTTATTTTAGATTTTACAGTACCACCTCTGTCACCTAGTCTTTTTTTATTTTAAAGTATGAAGTGGGTGGGCATAGTGGCTCGTGCCTGTAATTCCAGTACTTTGGGAGGCTGAGGTGGGAGGACCACTTGAGCCCAGGAATTTGAGACCAGCTTGGGCAACATGGTGAAACCCTGTCTCTACAAAAAATACAAAAATATTAGCCAGGCTGTGGTGACGCATGCCTGTGGTCCCAGTTGCTCAGGAGGCTGAGGTGGGAGAATCACCTGAACCTGGGAGGCCGAGGCTGCAGTGAACCATGATTGTGCCACTGCACTCCAGCCTGGGCAACAGAGCAAGACATTGCCTCAAAAAAAAAAAAAAGAGGAAGAACAAGAAGAAAAAAAATAAAGTGTAAGGCAATTCTTAGCTTATGAGCTGTATAAAAATAAGCCATGGACATGATTTGGCCTGCAAACTGTATTTTTCCAACCCCGATCTAAACAACATCTTTAATATGAAAGATAGAGATCAAAAATATGATACTAGAATCCCAGAGAAAAATCAAGATTATACAAGAGGAAGACATTTTCTCACATAATATTCTTAGATCATTTTCTTACATAATACCTTAAATAATGTCCTTAGATCAGTGTTTCTTGGCCTCAGCCCTATTAGCAATTTGGGACAGATACTTTTTTGCTTTGGAGGCAGAAGGAAAATAACTCTCAACCTAGAAGTTTATAACCATCTGTTTCAAAAATAAGGGCAAAATAAACATGTTATTGAACTAACAAAGACTGAGAAGGTTAAATCCTCACAGATTCTCACTAGAAAAACTGTAAAGGATATGTTTCAGGAGGAAGAAAATTAAACCTAGAGGAATTAGTGGGATGCAAGGAACAATGGTGTCCAAATGTTGTGACCAATATATGAAAAATGTAAACTAGCATTGGCTGAACAAAGTACCAACAATCACAATGACTAATTTGGGAATATAAAAACGTGAAACTAAAATACTAAACAAAACTTACATGACATCATGTAAAAAGTGAGTGGAGTTAAAAAATGTTCTAAGGTCTTTGTATCATTCAGAAGACAGGTAGCATATTGTTAACACTACCTATGTCTAAGTTGAGTATTGATGCCAGAAAGTGTGGGGTTTTCTCTCACTTCTGTGAATGTTCTAACAGCTTGGCCCATACTAGGTTTGTACAGGTCATAAGGCTGACATGTAGAGAAAACAGCAGGTGGCCTAGAAACATACACAGCATGAGGGTGTGTCTTTGTGTCCTCTTTGCTATTGAAAGTGGTAGCTTTAAGGCTGATTGCCATCTCCTGGTTTCTGTTTCTGTGGTTGTGGTCAGAATTTAAACAATTCAGCAGTGATGGCATTCATTTTTTCAGAGTAGTCAGCACAAGATACAAACAAAATATAAATATTCTTGCAAATCATTTTAGGAATAAAGAAGAATACATATTTGGACACACACACACAACAAATTCTGGTTCAACTATTTTGTGAACAATTAACTATAAACATAAATGTAATTTCATTTCTTATATGTCATTCCCAATTTGAAGGCTGTAATTAGAAGCATTATGTGATGCACTAAAAATCTCCTATTTTTCCCTTCAGATCTACTCTTTATCTTTGTCCACCATCATCTTTGTCCCAGGGGGCAGCGTGTGTGACTTCATCAACAGCCATGCCCCCTGGTTCAGACCATGACAAATACAGTAGGAAATCACAGGAGGGAGGAAAGTGAAGCCAGTTTGCTTATTTCTTCAGCTTCCTCTATGCCTACAAGTGTCCCTTTTCCAAAAGCAACCAAATTCATACAATATTCTTCCTCTGGATTCCAGTAAGTGCTCCCTGCCCTGATTTTTTCACCATAGAAGTCATTATAGTGTGAGAGGTACTAGGTCCCTAACTTTTGCACTATTACTTGTGGTTCTTCTACAGCAATATCTTTCTAAATAGTCCCTTTGTAAATAAACCCCTTCAAGTTATCTTATTTTGAGTATTCCTTCTATATCCTGTTGGCATCCTGATAAATAGAGTCACTGACACTGGAAGTAGCACCCCACTTCTGGTACCAAAGTCTGTATCTATTTTCTATTGCCACTGTAACAACCTCTAATTTAGTGGCTTAAAATAACACAAATTTATTCTCTTACAGTTCTAAAAGTCAGAAGTCTAAAATCAAAGTGTCAACAGGGCTTCATTCATTTTGGAGGATTCAAGGGGAGAATTCATTTTCTTGCCCTTTTGGCTTTTAGAGGCACCTGCATTCTTTGTCTCTCCCTTGCATCATTCCAGCTTCTTGCTTCTGCTCTCCCATCTCCTGCTACTTACTCTGCTCCTCCAGCTGCTCTCTCTTAAGGACTTCTGTGATTACCTCAGACCCACCTAGATAATCCAGGATGATCCCCCACCTCAATATCCTTAATCACATCTACAAAACAATTTCACAGCAATATCTAGATAAGTGTTTGATTGAATAACTAGGTACCATAGCCTGGCCAAGTTTACACATAAACCTGACCATATCACAGCTCCAGGAAGCAGACTCTCCAATATGGATTCTGGAATTGGGCAGCACATGGTTTGTATATTTGAGAAATGCAAGAATAAGATTCTTACCAGGCATAAATGGGACACAGGTCATCTACAACATGCTAGAGCATCAGGATTACTCAAATTGTCACTGCAGGTGGCACTGCATAATGTATAGATGCAGATCAAGTTACTGAGCCATCAAGTGTCTGTGACACTGTGGACACAATAGTAAGGATGGCGGCTGTGGAGCTGCACCTCTTCTCCTGATGACCATGGAGAGTACACCAGGAGAAAAAGAAAATTAAAAAGTAAAAACACGAATTCAAATTTGCACATGAACATGAATCTGAACATACAATTGAGTGCATTCATAGAGAACCAGAAAGCCCTCCATGGCAATGGAACAGGTATCTCAACTTCTAATCACAGAGTAGGAATAACTGAGATGTAACCAAGCCAGGGTCTCTTGGAAATACTAGCAGAGTTACAACACCATGTGAATGCTTGACCCATTCACTTCTCATGCTAAAATAAAGGTTCTGTTCAGAAGACACAGGTCTCTGAGTCATGGGATGGGGACATATGGGCAGAAATGAATGAAGTTAAATTTGATCATCTAAATTCACTGAAATTCCCTTCTCCACCTCATTCCACCGCCCCTATACTGAGGAAATCAGTCCTTTTCAAAATACAAGTATTTCAATGATACACCTATAAACAATGTTTTACGAATGACAGTTCTTCTCAGGACACACCCCACTACCTCTCATTGCTTCCAGGCCTATTTGAGTTAGATCCTCAACTATCCCAGATGAGGAGAAATAAGACTTGCTCTAGAAAGAGATAATTTTGCCAAACTTACTGACTGATGCCCAGGGGCATCTGTGGAAATAGATTCTTAAGAAGAAAGGCGAGCCGTGCACAGTGGCTCACGCCTGTAATCTCAGCTCTTTGGGAGGCCGAGGTGGGCAGATCACGAGGTCAGGAGATCGAGACCACCCTGGCCAACAAGGTGAAACCCCATCTCTACTAAAAATACAAAAATTAGCTGGGCAGGGTGGTGCGTGCCTGTAATCCCAGCTACTCGAGAGGTTGAGGCAGGAGAATCCCTTGAACCTGGGAGGCAGAGGTTGCAGTGAGCTGAGATTGCTCCACTCCAACCTGGAGACAGCGGGAGACTCCTTCTCGAAAAAAAAAAAAGAAAAAAAAAAGAAGAAGTAAGGCCAAGAAGGATGGAAAAAGGGACTCAATCTGTCTAAGTTTATTGAAATTATACAATCTCATCTGGGATGTGGGATTTATTGGGTCAGCTTGAGGCTTTGTGAGTGGTATTAATTGTTTTTTCAGTTGGATGATTGATGCTTGAAATCAGCAATGTCCCACAGTCATTGAGGTCAAATGTCAGAACATCACTAAAGCATTAAAAAGAAAGAAGTTCAAAACTCCTGGTAAATGGGGTATTTCTTATGATTCCATTAGGGGTGATCTGCGTACTATTCCTTCTGAGGGCCCTGAAGAAACTCCATCCACCAAGACAATATAAAATGCATTGCTGGCGAGGTGCAGTGGTTCACGCCTGTAATCCCAGCACTTTGGAAGGCCGAGAAGGGCAGATCACAAGGCCAGGAGCTCAAAACCAGCCTGGGCGTCATGGCAAGACCCCGTCTCTACTAAAAATGCAAAAATTGGCCGGGCATGGTGGTGTGTGCCTGTAGCCCAGGGGAGGATTGCTTGAGCCCAAGAGGTGGAGGCGGCAGTGAGCTGAGATCGCGCATGCCAGCCTGGGGGACAGAGCCAGACCACATCTCAAAAAAACAAAAAAAAACCCACCCCCTACAAAAAAACAAAGACAGAGAGAGAGAAAAGCTGGGAATAACTACCTGGTCTGTGAATGAGGCTGTGTGTTATATGGGTTTAACCTGAAGGCAGTTGGGGTCAGTCAGGGGGAATCCACTTTGCACCATCTAAAACACCAATCATTGGGGATAATCTTGATATCTGAAATCATATAGCTTAGAACTCCCATTCCATTCACATCTCACTGATCTTTACCATTTCTTTCTCTAAACAGCATACTCAGAAGGGTCTTATACTCATGTTAGGGAAAATATAACCCAAATCGTTGGAGCAAGAGATCCTAGATGTCATGTACCACTGACAACAGTTGCTGGTGCCTGATTCAGTAGGATACCTGTGGCTGGGGGCGCACATCTGGAACGTCACTTCCCAGACGCTGCCAGCACAGCACAGCCTCCCACCAACAGGCCTCAGTGAAGCCCTGCCCTTGTTCTGTGCAGCTTGGCAAAGTACAGAGGAAAGGAAGAAAGTAGACACCCAGCTCCTTATAGTTCCTTTAAACTGTGCACTTCAATATATCTAATCTACTCCTGTTCTCACACTGCTTCTTAAATATCTTTTTTTTTTTGAGACAGCATCTCACTTTGTCTCCCAGGCTCGAGTGCAGTGGTGTGATCATGGCACACTGCAGCCTCGAGCTACCAGGTTCAAGCAATCCTCCTACCTCAGCCTCCTGAGTAGCTGGGACTACAGGCCCACACCACATCATCCAGCTAAATGTTTTTATTTTTTGTAAAGATGGGGTCTCACTATGTTGCCCAGGCTGATAAACTCCTGGGCTCCAGCAGTCCTCCTGCCTTGGCCTCCCAAGTGCTAGGTTTACAGACATGAGCCACCACGCCCAGCTCTTAAATATTTTAACCACAGCCTCTTCAAAACTCCTCTACTCTGTCTTTACTTTCCCAGATACCAATCCTATGTCTCTGTTGTACCCTGGACTCACATCTAAGATTTTCTGCATGCTTTTGCCTTTTCTGGTTATGACTTTGGGGTTATTTTTTTTAAATGTAACTCATTCTCTCTGTCCAAGCTGATTCATGAACTCCACTTCCAGTCCAATCTGCCCTACAGACACCAGCACGTCCATCCCAGGAATGAAAATGTACCCACCGGACTCAGATCCAATTGGAAAGATTTATACTATTTGAGGCAGTGTAATATAGTCCAAAGAATGTCATACTTAGAGTCAAAAAACCTATGATTAAATCTTAACTCTGCTACTTGTTATCTGTTTAAATTTGAGGAAGTTATTAAAAATCTCTTGGCTTCCATCCCTTTATCTTTAAAATGAGACTGAACACTGATGATTTCTACCTCCTAGTCATATGAAATTAACAAACGTAAGAAACTGCGCAGCCTAATGTTTTGCACATGCTACATATTCAAAAATAAATGGTTATTGTCTAGGTTTTACTCTAATAAGCATCGTTAAGTCATTTCCATTAGAACACAGGTCAGAAATTCATGTATTGATATTTTCATATTTTAAGTCATTGCACAAATATTTTAAAGCTGCAGAACGAAAATTCTAATTTTGGAAGCTGCTGTTTTAATAATAGTAACATAACTCCAAATGATGATTAAGTGAGATTCTAATTCTTTACAGCAAACCAAGTACATTCCACTGAAGGCCCTTTGGCACACTGGTGATAAATCAGCAATGCAGTGGAATTAGTAAAATAAACAGAAGGCACCTTCTTCTTTCTTGTCCCTATTATATCTTCTTTTCTTGGTATTTAACTCAAGCAAATGGATTGAAGAGATGTTCAGTATTTCACGGAAGCAGGAACATTTGACAGACTGCTGGAAATGTTTGCCCTCTAGGGGACAAAGTGGCAAGTGGACTGCAGTTTTATTTCCTAGGAAAAGCCCACTCTTTGCTGTCAACACCTGATCCAGTCTGAGTCAGTCAGACTCTCCTTACCGAGAACTTCCACTTTGGAATGGGTGTAGAAGTGAGCATATTGAGACCTGGATCTTACCAACGGCAATGTGTTTGGAGGAAGTTCTGCAAATTCTCACTGCTAAGGTTCCAGGAGCTTTCCAATTATTATCCCTCCAGAGGCCAAGTTTGAACCCAAAGATTGCCCCACTAACTCAGAGATTATCTCTATTTGCTTAATCTAAATCAGATTGCTTCTGTTTCTTGGAACCAAAGTAATTTTGAACATGTATACAAATATATTTTATAAAATAAAAAAGCTAAACATTTCTTTATGTATTTATTTCTATATTTCAGAGAGACTAAACAGGATATTTTTATTAAACTTTTTACAATTTTTTTTATTTTTAAAAAGTCAGATTCTTTTTAACTTTTATTTATTTACTTATTTGCTTATTTATTTATTTATTTATTTTTGAGACAAAGTCTTGCTCTGTTGCCCAGGCTGGAGTGCAGTGATGCAATCTCGGCTCACTGCAACCTCCACCTCCTGGGTTCAAGTGATTCTCCTGCCTCAGCCTCCAGAGTAGCTGAGATTGCAGGTGCCCACCACCAAGCCTGACTAATTTTTGTATTTTTAGTAGAGATGGGGTTTCACCATGTTGGCCAGGCTGGTCTTGAACTCCTGACTTCAAGTGATCCTCCCACCTCGGCCTCCCAAAGTGCTGGGATTACAGGCATGAGCCAACACGTCCGGCCTTAACTTGTATTTTAGATTCAGGGGTAGATGTGCAGGTTTCTTACTTCGTTTCTTGTTATGTATGTAAACTTGTGTCCCAGGAGTTTGGTGTACAGATTACTTTGTCACCCAGGTAATAAGCATAGTACCCCACAGGTAGTTTTTTATCCTCACCTTCCTCCCACGCTTCACCCTCAGGTAGGCCTTGGTGTCGGTTGCTCCCTTCTTTGTGTCCATGGGTACTCGATATTTACCTCCCACTTATAAGCAAGAACATGCGGTATTTGGTTTTCTGTTCCTGTATTAGTTTGCTTAAGATAATGGTCTCCGGCTCCATCCATGTTGCTGAAACTAACATGATCTCATTCTTTTTATGACTGCATAGTATTCCATGGTGTTTATGTATCACATTTTTTTTATCCAGTCTACCATTGATAGGCATTTAGATTGATTCCATGTCTTTGCTATTGTGAATAGTGCTGCAAAGAACATATGCGTGCATGTGTCTTTATGGTAGAATGATTTATATTCCTTTGCTTATATACCCAAAAATGGCATTGCTGGGTCAAATGGTAATTCTGTTTTAACTTCTTTGAGAAATTGCCACACTGCTTTCCACAATGACTGAGCTAGTTTACATTCCCACCCTCAAGGTGTAAATGTTCCCTTTTCTCTGCAACCTCACCAGCATCTGTTATTTTTTAACTTTTTAATAGTAGCCATTCTGACTGGTGGAGATGATACCTCATTGTGGTTTTGATTTGCATTTCCCTGATGATTAGTGATGTTTAGCATTTTTTCATATACTTGTTATCCATATTTGTATGTCTCCTTTTGAGGAATTTCTATTCAGAAACTTTGCCCGTCTCTTAATCAAATTGGTTTTTTTTTTCTGTTGACATGTTTGGAGACCTTGTATATCCTGAATATTAATCTGCTGTCAAATGAATAGCAAATATTTTCTCCCATTCTATAGGTTGTCTTTTCACTTTTCACAAATGCTTTTTAGTTTGATGTAATCCCTT
The DNA here is from genome assembly GCF_000001405.40 of Homo sapiens. Lineage (NCBI taxonomy): Eukaryota > Metazoa > Chordata > Mammalia > Primates > Hominidae > Homo > Homo sapiens. Next base: position 52,525,435 of record NC_000008.11, read on the forward strand.
TTGTTGGATACTAAAAAAGTCTGCTAAAAAAAAAAGGAAAAAAATGAAAGATATGATCCCATTTGGGTTTGTTTTTTTTTTTTTTGCTATGTGATGTGCTTTTGAGATATTATTCATAAAATCTTTACCCAGACCAATGTCCTGAAGCATTTTTCCTATGTTTTCATCTAGTAGTTTTATAGCTTTAGGACTTGCACTTAGTTCTTTAATCCATTTTGAATTGATTCTGGTATAAGATGAGAGGCGGGGTCATTTCATTCTTCTGGGTGTGGAGTTTCAGTTTTCCCAGAACTGTCCTTTCCCCAGTGAGTGTTCTTGGCACCTTTGTCACAAATCAGTTGATTATAGATATGTGGATTAATTTCTGGGTTCTCTATTCGATTACATTGGTCTATTTGTCTGTTTTTATGCCAGTACTATGATGCCGATACCATGACATTTTGGTTACTATAGTTTTGTAGTATATTTTGAAGTCCTTTTTGCTCAGGATCCTTTTTGCTCAGGATTGTTTTGACTATTCAGGGTCATTTGTGGTTTCATACAAACGTTAAGATTTTTTCTTGCTTCTGTGGAGAATGCCATTGGTATTTTAATAGGGATTGCATTGAATTTGTAAGTTGCTTTGGGTAGTTGCTCATTTTAACAACATCAATTCTCTTTTATTTTTTATTTTATTTTATTTTAGATCCAAGGGGTACATGTGCTTGTTTCTTACATGGGTAAGTTGCATACTGATGGAGATTAGGATTCTAGTGTACCCACTACCTAAATAGTGAACATTGTACCCGACTGGTAATTTTTTTAACCCTTTCACAATCCTCCTTTTTTTTGGAGTCCCTAGTGTCTACTCTTTCCATCTTTATGACCATTTGTGCCCATTGCTTAGCTCTCACTTACAAGTGAGAATGTGTGGTATTTGGTTTTTATGTTTCTGAGTTAGTTGACTTAGGATAATGGCCTCTAGCTCCATCCATGTTGCTGCAACAGACATGATTTCATTCTTTTTTGGGGGTGCATAGTATTTCATTTTATATATACATATATTAACATATATTATTATATAACATATATTATACATATATTAAATAATATATTACATATATTATACAATCTATAATATATGTATAATATATAATATGTATATAATATAATATATACATATAATATGTATATAATATAATATATACATATAATATGTATAATATAACATAATATATATAATATATAATATATGTTTAATATATATATATATCTTTTATCCAACCATTGATAAATACATAGGTTGGTTCTATGACTTTGCTATGGTAAATAGTGCTGTGATACAGATACTGTATGGGCATATTTTTAATATAATGATTTCTTTTCCTTTGGGTAGATACCCAGTAGTGGGATTGCTGGGTCAAGTTGTAGTTCTATTTTTAGTTATTTGAGAAATCTCCATACTACTGTCCATAGAGGTTGAACTAATTTATGTTCCTACCAGCAATGTATAGAATTTTATTTTCTCCACACCCATGCCAACATGTGTTCTTTTTTGACTTTTTAATAATATCCATTCTGTATTAGGCCATTCTTGCATCGCTATAAAGAAATACCAGAGATTGGGTAATTTATAAAGAAAAGAGGTTTAATTGGATCCCAGTTCTGCAGGCTTTAGAGGAAGCATGGTGTTGACATCTGTTCAGCTACTGAGGAAGCCTCAGGAACCTTATAATTATAGCAGAAGGCAAAAGGGAAGCAGACGTATCATATGGCCAGAGCAGGAGCAAGAGAGAGGGACAGAGGTGCCACACATTTTTAAACAACCAGGTCCCACGAGAACTCACTCACTATTACAAGGGCAGCACCAAGACTATCATGCTAAACCATCCATGAGAAATCCACCCCTGTGATCCCGTCATTTCCCACCAGGCCCCATCTCCAATTCTGGGGATTACAATTCAACATGAGATTTGGGCAGGAACAAATATACAAACTATGTAACATTCTGACATATGACAATATCCCTTTGTGGTATTAATTTGCATTTCCTTTTTTAAATTTCATCTTTTATTTTAGATCTAGCGGGTAAATATGCAGGTTTGTTACATGCATATATTGTACCCAGGTAGTTGGTCTAGTACCCAATGGGTGTTTTTTTAGCCCACACCCACTTTTTTCTTCCCCCATCTAATAATCTTCAGTGTCTATTGTTCCCATGTTTGTCCATGTGTGTCCAGTGTTTAGCTCCTGCCTACACATGAGAACATGTGGCATTTGGTTTTCTCTTCTTGTGTTAGCTTGCTTAGGATTATGGCCTCCAGCTTCATCCATGGTGCTGCAAAGGACATTATTTCATTCTTTTATATGGCTGCATAGTATTTCATGGTTGTGTATGTACCACATTTTCTTTATCCAACCTACCATTGATAGGTACCCAGATTGATTCCATGTCTTTGCTATTGTAAATAGCATGGCAATATATCAACTCTCTGGCTTTGTGTCATAATCTTATTTGGAGAGACCTTGACCATTTTTTGCTTCCACAAGATATCACACTGGTCCATCCATTGCATTGATGACACTATGCTGATTGGATCCAATGAGCAAGAAGTATCAAATGCACTGGACTTATTGGTGAGATATTTGGGTGCCAGAGGATAGGAAATAAATCCAACTAAAATTCAGGGAACTTCTACCTCAGTAAAATGTTTAGGGGTCCAGTGGTGTGGGGCCTGTCAAGATATTCCTTCTAAAGTGAGGATAAGTTGTTGCATTTGGCCCCTTCTGCAACCGAGAAAGAGGCACAACACCTAGTGGGCCTATTTGGATTTTGGGGACAACACATTCATCATTTCAGTGTGTTACTCCAGCCCATTAATCAAGTGACCCGAAAGGCTGCCAGTTTTGAGTGGGGTCCAGAACAGGAGAAGGCTCTGCAACAGGTCCAGGCTGTTGAATTTTGGAGCAATGCCCTGCCATCTTCTGCAGATAACATCTCTGCTTTTGAGAGACAGCTCTTGGCGAGTTACTGGACCTTGGTGGAAACTGCATGTTTGGCTCTGGGTCATCAAGTCACCATGCGACCTGAACTGCCTATAATGAACTGGGTGCTTTCTGACCCATCTAGCCATAAAGTGGTTCAGGCACAGCAGCATTCCATCATCAAATGTAAGTGGAATACATGTGATCAGGCTCAAGCATGTCCTGAAGGCACAAATAAGTTACATGAGGAAGTGGCTCAAATGCGCATGGTCTCCACTCCTGCCACCCTGCCTTCTCTCCCTTAGCCTGCACCGATGGCCTCATGGGAAGTTCCCTATGATCAGTTGACAGAGGAAGAGAAGACTAGGGCCTGGTTCACAGATGATTCTGCACAATATGCAGGCACCACTCAAAAGTAAACAGCTGCAGCACTACAGCCCCTTTCTAGGACATCCCTGAAGGACAGCAGTGAAGGCAAATCTTCCCACTGGGCAGAACTTCCAGCAGTGCACCTGGTTGTGCACTTTACATGGAAGAAATAACCGGATGTGTGATTATATACTGATTCATGCGCTGTAGTCAATGGTTTGGCTGGATGGTCAGGGACTTGGAAGAAGCATGATTGGAAAATTGGTGACAAACAAATTTAGGGAAGAGGTATGTGGATGAACCTCTCTGAGTGGTCAAAACTGTGAAGATATTTGTATCCCATGTGAGTGCTCACCAACAGGTGACCATAGTGGAGGAGGAGTTTAATAATCAAGTGGATAGGATGACCCGTTTTGTAGACACCACTCAGCCTCTTTCCCCAGCCACCCCTGTCATCGCCCAATGGGCCCATGAACAAAGTGGCCATGGTGGCAGGGATGGAGGTTACACATGGGCTCAGCAACATGGACTTCCGCTCACCAAGCCAACCTGGCTACAGCCACTGTTGACTGCCTAATTTGCCAACAGCAGAGACCAACACCGAGCCCTTGATATGGCACCATTTCTTGGTGTGATCAGCCAGCTACCTAGTGGCAGGTTGATTATACTGGACCTCTTCCATCATGGAAAGGGCAGAGGTTTGTCCTCACTGTAATAGACACTTACTTTGGATATGGGTTTTCCTATCCTGCAAGCAATGCTTCTGCCAAGACTACCATCCATGGACTCACAGCATGCCTTATCCACCATCATGGTATTCCACACAGAATTTCTTCTGACCGAGGCACTCACTTTCTGCTAAAGAAGTGTGGCAGTGTGCTCATGCTCATGGAATTCACTGGTCTTACCATGTTCCCCATCATCCTAACGCAGCTGGATTGATAGAACGGTGGAATGGCCTTTTGAAGTCACAATTACAATGCCAACTAAGCAACAATACTTTGCAGGGCTGGGGCAAAGTTCTCCAGAAAGCTGTGCATGCTCTAAATCAATGTCCAATATACGGTACCGTTTCTCCCATAGCCAAGATGCACAGGTTCAGGAATCAAGGGGCGGAAGTGGAAGTGGCGCCACTCACCATCACCCCTAGTGATCCACTAGCAAAAATTTGCTTCCTGTTCCCACAACATTATGTTCTGCTGGCCTAGAGGTCTTAGCTCCAGAGGGAGGAATGCTGCCACCAGGAGACACAACAATTCCATTAAACTGGAAGTTAAGATTGCCACCTGCACACTTTGACTCCTCCTACCTTTAAGTCAACAGGCTGAGAAGGGAGTTACAGTGTTGCATGAGGTGATTGATCCGGACTATCAAGATGAAAACTGTCTACTACTCTGTAATGGAGGTAAGGAAGAGTATGCATAGAACACAGGAGATTCACTAGGGCATCTCTCAGTATTAACATGCCCTGTGATTAAGGTCAATGGGAAACTGCAACAGCTCAGTCCAGGCAGGAGTACAAATGGTCAAGACACTTCAGGAATGAAGGTTTGGGTCACTCCACCAGGAAAAAAACCATGACCTGCTGAGGTGCTTGCTGAAGGCAAAGGGAATACAGAATGGGTAGTAGAAGAAGATAGTCATCAATACCAGCTACAACCATGTGACCAGCTCCAGAAATGAGGACTATAATGGTCATGAGTATTTCCTCCTTCTTTTGTTAAAAACTTGTTTGTTCATGTATACACTTGTACTAAGAAAATATCCTCATTTTATTTCCTTTTCCTTTATCATGTGACATAAGATTTACTGACTTCATATCAGCATTTAAGTATTGTTAACTTTATGTAATAGTATTTGGGTTGGGGATTGGTGAGTTTCCTGTTGTATGAAGGATAGTTGTGTTATGTTAGGCATAATTATGACCTCATTATTTTCTTAATTTGAAGATTATGTATGATCTCAGGAGATATGTATGGGTTTGAGTTGACAAGAGGTGGATTTGTGATGATTAATACTGAGTGTCAACTTGATTGGATTGAGGGATACCAAGTATTAATCCTGGGTGTGTCTGTGTGAGTGTTGCCAAAAGAGATTAACATTTGAGTCAGTGGGCTGGGGAAGGCAAATCCACTTTTAATCTGGTGGGCACAATCTAATCAGCTTCCAGCAAATATAAAGCAGGCGGAAAAATGTGAAAAAGAGAGAGATGGGCCTAGCCTCTCAGCCTACATCTTTCTTCCATGCTGGATGCTTCCTGCCCTCGAACATCAGACTCCAAGTTTTTCAGTTCTGGGACTTGGACTGGCTTTCCTTGCTCCTCAGCTCACAGACAGCCTATTGTGAGACCTTGTGATCATGTAAGTTAATACTTAATAAATTCATATATATATATATATATATATATGGAATAGGATGTGTATATATATATAGGGAATAGGATATACACACACACACACACACACACACACACACACACACACACACACACATCCTATTAGTTCTGTCCCTCTAAGAGAACACTAATACATCTGGCTTGATGCAGATAGGTAAATAGAGCAGTGTATTTATCTCAAACCATCTCTTCTCTTCTCTCTCTCTCTCTCTCTCTCCCCCTCTATCTCACTCACTCCCTCTCTATACTTCTCTCCCTTCATCAACCTCCCCACCTATGATTGGCACACACTGAAGAGGCAAAGACTCACCTTTGTCAAGGATCAAGAAGTAGCTCAGCGTTCTGTGAAACACATGGAGATGTGGTTTACCTTGCTGGGGGCTACACAACAGGAGCTCGGGAGAAAGTTCCCCAGGAGCAGGGTGTTAGGGAGCTGCCAGGCCAAAGCCAAGGCACAAATATAAAACTCACCACTATATCTCCATAGGGACCAGACAGAAGAGGGATCCCAGTTCTTCAAAGGGGATGAAAGGAAGTCAAACTGAAAAAAATCCCAAGTTAAAAATGTCCATCAGATGTCAAATAATAGCAGCTTCTGAGCCAAATAGGCTCAAATAGGGCTCCAAATTTTTTATTTGGCTGGCATATACATTGGAATTTTTCTAGTAAATGCCAACATTTAGAAACTGAGATGTTTCACATGAAAATCCAGATTGCAGTTTTCCTAGAAAAATCAGAAGGAAGCTTGCATTCCCACTTAGCAGCATGGCCAGTGAGATGCAGTGGGGCTGCAAACCTGCCCTACCCCAGACTGCATTGGGTCTCTGTGGTACAATCAAATCACTTGTGTTAATCACCTGGCCCACAGGCATTGAGTTTCAATGCCAGTGTAAGGTTCTTTGAATCCATGAGTTGGACAAATTGAAGCAGTTACAGGAGTAGAAATGAAGTGGGTAAACACAATGTTTTCATAGAAAACCTAAAAGTTTTGATGAGTCACTAGACAACTGCTCAATAGTGTTTTCATAAGTCATTGTCTGCTTTTTATTACCAGTTACAGTGTGTTCATTAATCTCATTCATTGGAGTACGAGATGTTTGTTTATTCTTTCACTACACAAAGTACCTACTAGGAACCAGGCATTGTTGTAGGCTCTAGAAATACTTCAGAAGACAGTCTCTTCTCTTGTAGAGAGAATTCATCACCATTTATTGTGGTGAGGTAGATAAGAAACCATCAAGTGTGATTGCATAGACTGATATATGATTTTTAAGCAAATTAAGCCAGAAAATGTGGGGAAAGGCTACTTTAGATAGGGTTAGTTTTTCCAGTCAACCATTTTTTACCATGTAGAAAATGATAAGACACATACACCTCCCCTCCCCACCCCAAGGTTAAAACCCACTTCCTCTCTTCTAGAATGTGTCAAGGGCTAGCTTTACTAACTGCATTTTGCCTTTCAAACCAAAAGATCTATGGTAAGAAGTCAAGTGGAAGGTTAGGTAATTATACAGACAGCTCCAAGCTTAACTGGGTTGTTTGCCTAAATCCCTTAAGTACCTAGTTAAGAACAGCCCACTTAGTTGATGCAGCTCTAAATATTCCGAAAACATTGTTAACCTCCTGGCTTGCTGCTTAGACAATGAGATCATTTCTCTGATGTGTGGATATTACTTTACCAAGTAACCATGAATGTTTTACCCTACTCTCATTTAAATCACTCATTTGCCCATGTGAGAAAATTTTCTCATTAATACAATGAGAAAATGAGGATCATGTAGTAAAATAAACATGATTTTAACTGGAGTAATATTTAATATATCTTTGTGGGTTTTTGAGAAATATATAGCATGCAATACATTTCTGAGGCATACTACTTATCTATGGGAATGTTTAAAATCTAATTTCATAGAATTGCATCTGAAATCATTTATCTTATTAAAACCATACTAATCACGAAGCCCCTTTAGGCTATTTTTTGTATTTCAGCCAAATATGTCTCACCAGTAAGTTCTTTTATATCATCATTCAACAGCCTCTTCACTTTATAAAAATAGCCCTCAGCTCCCCAGATACTTATAATCAAAAACTACTTCATTTTCCCAGATATAGAATTACAATTATTATGATAAGTACAATTAACTAAAAAGTAGTCTTTTTTCATTATTACATAGCATTACTGCAGAATTTTCTCCTCCACCTCAGATTTTTTAAACATAATTATTTGTAAATCTTTGCTCATAGACCAAAATAAGTGAAACCAAAAATTGAGAATGGAGCTTCATAATATTCCTGAAGCCAAGGGGCATTTTTTTCGCTTGGTTTTCTGAGGAACAAAGGACAATGTATGCATACATACACAAAGAGACACGAAACAGTGTCTGGAAGTTATGCAAGAGACCAAAAGCACTGCATAATTGAAGTGATGGCTTCCATATGGCACAGAGATACATATGTCTTCATGACACCAACACAAGCAGTTGGCAAGTGATACAAAGTCAATGACTGCACTGTTTAGGTATTGTTAAGCAACTCATGATTTGTCTACTAATTAAAGGGATGGAGGTTCTCCATTGTTTTGTTGTAGGGTCACGATTTTTTTTCACTGTTGTTTTTAAATGAAACTTCCTGGATGCATCAGAGTATTCTGCTACATTCTAAACAGAGCATTCAGGCCACCCATACATTCCTCTCACTCCTTGATGTACAGCTCGCCAGTCCAAGAACAACTGGACTTCTTTGTATTTAAGAGAGCAATACCAGATGTTCTAACTTTAAAAGGCAGAAATTGTCTCAGGATTCTAATTATCAATTCAAACAATACATATTTATACACATATACTTATATAGTAATCACACTTCAAAAGCATAACCTCTATTACAAACATCTTTAATTCAAAGGAAACAACACATTTTTTCATATTTCAACTTTAATAAAATTCACAGTTCAAATTAATGCAAGTGAAGACAACAAGTTCTAAATAAATGTATTTAAATATTAAATAAGAATTATAAAATTTAACTTGGTACACGATGATTTGACAAATATATACTAACAGTCATATACAAAAAAATCATTATTTCTCACTGGCACTCACAGATATAATTTACACAATTAAATGTTTAATTAGAATGTTAACCATATAAAGAAAATAATATATCTAGTAAAAATAAAATACAATCACACAATTTTTAATATCTAATTTTCAATATGCGATTCAAACTCTGTTTTACAAAATTATAAATTACTGTATACACAAAAAGATAAAGCAAGAAAGACTCCATTCTATGACAGGAAACAGCTAACCAGTTATTTCTGGGAAGTCTCTTATTTTACTCATCTTAATATCCATAAAAATATAAATTTCATCTTTTTTTACATTTTGCATGATTTGAGGCACTTTTTCTTCAAATTAGATGTACATTCTTAGGAAATGTCTGTGGGGGTAAAAGAAGAGCCATATCATTTATGACCTGGTTTTTAGAATACTTATAAATATGTACAGTTTCAACAGTTTTATTTTGCTTAAAGACTCTGTGGACTCCTAATTTACAGTCTAATCCTGAGAATGCAGACTAATGTGTGTGCAGAGGGGCAGGAAGGTTGATCAGCACTTTTAGAGACTTTAATTATTGATTTTTCCCTTAAAGATTTATGATATCTAGACATACCAAAACAGAAAAGAACTTGACATCTTGTAAACAACTCATTAAATATCCCTAACATTTATTAATCTGTAGTATTGATTGTAAACCTTATTAAATAAATAATTCAAAACAGATACTATCACAGATAACTCCTATAGAGAGAAATCACTAAGTCTCTAAAATCTATAATTTTTAAAAGTCATGTTTATCAGCTCTGTCTTCTATGATCTAGCCCAGGAGAATGTAAATTTGTGTACATTATCTTAAATTATAACACAGTACTTGTTTGGGAAAACTTTTCCAGTATTGTGTTGTTTGAGGACTTTAGGTAAATTTACTCATTTACATGGAATATATTAAAAACAAAGAAAGAGATAAACATAACTTGGTTTAGGTCATTTCAATAACCAAGTGAATTATCTTGATTCATGTTTTGCATTGTTCAAAAGAGTTGAGGCCAGGCACAATGGCTCATGTGTATAATTCCAACACTTTGTGCAGCCAAGATGGGAGGATCACTTGAGCCCAAGAGCTCAAGACCAGCCTGGGCAGCACAGTGGGACTCTGTTGCCACCAAAAAAAAAAAAAAAATTAGATGAGCATGGCAGCATGAGCCCATAGTCTCAGCTACTTGAGAGGCTGAGGTGGGAGGATCACTGGACCCTGGGAGGTTGAGGCTACACCGAGCTATGATCAAGCCACTGCACTCCAGCCTGGGCAACAGAGTAAGACCCTGTCTCAAAAAAAAAAAAAAAAAAAAAAAGGAAAGAAAAGAAAGAAAGAAAAAAAAGCTTTGAGACAGGTAGATTGAGAGTAATTGAATTAAGTATCTTGCCACTAAAATAATCTAGTTTATTTTCTTAATCTAAAAAAAATTGTTTTCAATTTAGCAACTGTAGATATGCAGAACTAACAGTTCTAATTATTATCATTAATGTGTAATAATCACTTTTAAAATAAGACTAAGTATAGCAACAGTGATAGGTCAAGATTGTCTCAGTAATTGTCACAACAAAACTGTGAGATAGTTTAAGTAAATCTCCATGCAGTTATGTGGGATATATTGATATTGAGTTACACTGGCCAGTTCAAGATATTCATGAGTAATCTTAGACTACAAGTCCTCTATGACCATTTTTTTTTTTTGAGACGGAGTCTCGCTCTGTTGCCAAGCCTGGAGTGCAGTGCTGCAATCTCAGCTCACCGTAATCTCCACCTCTTGGGTTCAAGCGATTCTCCTGCCTCAGCCTCCCAAGTAGCTGGGACTACAGGCACGCACCACCACACCCAGCTAATTTTTGCATTTTTAGTAGAGACAGGGTTTCACCATGTTGGCCAAGCTGGTCTCGAACTCCTGACTTCAAGTGATCCACCCGCCTCGGCGTCCCAAAGTGCTGGGATTACAGGCGTGAGCCACCATGCCCAGCCATCCTCTATGATTTTCATTCCCACCTTCACAACCTGAGGAACCCGTTTCCTTAAAAGGACTTGTCCATGGTACTGAAATGCTGACCCAAAAAAAGTTGACTTGGTACTACACTGCAAAAGAACTACTGATTAAAGAAATATTTGAAAAGAAATAAGTACCTTTCAGTATTTTGTATAGATTCTACTTTTTTAAATAAATGTTACAATTTACATTCAATTTATTTAGGATCGTACAAATACTCTATTGCCCAAGGGCTCCTACGATAAATTAGCCAGAATGAAAATTCTGACTTACCATTTCACTCTTGTAAAGTAATAGGCTAGAGCAAGAAATAACTACATGTTCATTATCTTTTTTATTCTTTGCTTTTTCTCTTATTATTACAATATCTTCTCTCTGTTTCCTACCTACAGTACCAAAACTGTACCGAAGTTTTAAGACCTGGTTTCTTTTTTATTATCTATTTTGGACAGTTAAAAAATAGAACATCTAAGTACTTTTGTTAATCTAATGCCTATCTGCGTAATGTTTCTGCATAATCATAAAATAACACTAAATGCTGAAAGATTTTTGGAAATCACTCAGGGCTGGTAAGGTTGTCAAAAAACTATTTTAATTCAATCACTGTTGAGGATATTTTAAACTAATTCATTAAAACGGTCTTTTCATTTGGACCGAGTTTTAACATTTAGTGAAAAATCCATAGATTAAGTTCATGGGTATTGCTAAAATAGGCTTCCTGGCTTCTGACATTATTCAAACATTTTCTTAAGAAAATTAGGCTATTAACAGAGTGAAGAGACAACATGTAGAATGAGAGAAAAGATTTGCAAACCATTCACCTGACAAGGGACTAATATCCAGAGTATACAAACAATTAAACAGCAAAAAACAGATAATCTGATTTAAAAGAGGGCAAGGTATCTGAATAAACATTTCTCAAAAGAAGACATACAAAAGTCTAACAAATATATGAAAAAAATGCTAAACATCACTAATCATCAGGAAAATGCAAATCATAACCATGATGAGATATCATCTCACTTCAGTTAGAATGGCTATTGTCAAAAAGACAAAAAAATAAATGCTAGTGAGGAGCAGAGAAAAAGGAACCTTTATATACTGTTGGTGGGAATGTAAATTAGTACAGCCATTATGAACAACAGTATGGAAGTTTCTCAAGAACAAAACTAAAAATGGAACTACCATATGACCCCAAAATCCCACTACTGGGTATTTATCCAAAGGAAAGGAAATCAGTATATCAAAGGGATACCTGCACCCCCATGTTTACTGCAGTACTATCCACAATAGCCAAGATAGGCAATCAAACTAAATGTCCATCAATGGATGAATGGATAAAGAAAATGTGTATATACACAACGGAATACTATTCAGCCATAAAAAGAATGAAATGCTATCATTCTAGGCAGCATGGATGAAGCTGGAGGACATCATGTTAAGTGAAGTAAGTCAGGCACAGAAAGATAAATATTCTCACTCATATGAGGGAGCTAAAAAAAAAAAAGCTCATAGAAGTAGAGAGTAGAATGTTGGGTATTAGAAACTAAAGAGGGCCAGGCACGGTGGCTCACGCTTGTAATCCCAGCAGTTTGGGAGGCTGAGGTGGGCGGATCACTTGAGGTCAGGAGTTTGAGACCAGCTTGGCCAACATGGTAAACCCTGTCTCTACTAAAAATACAAAAATTAGCCGGGCATGGTGGCACGTGCCTGTAGTCCCAGCTACTTGAGAGGCTGAGGCAGGAGAATCGCTTGAACCTGGAAGGCGGAGATTGCAGAGATCGCGCCACTGCACTCCAGCCTGGCGACAGAGCGAGACTCTGCCTCCGAAAAAAAAAAAAAAGGCTAAAGAGGAGTGGGGAGGCGCAGCTTGGTTAGTGAATATGAACTACAGCGAGACATGAGGAACGGGTTCTGGGGCTCTGCAGCACTGTAGGGTGAATCTGGTTAACCATAATTCATTGTATATTTTTTTAAAGCTGCAAAAGAAGGTTTTGAATGCTCACAATATAAAAAAGAATAAATGTTTGAGGCATACAAGTATCAAAATGTAACACTGTACCCCATAAATATGTACAATCATTATGTGTCAACTAAAAAGAAAAGGAAAAAATGTTTAAAAATAAAGTTAGACTATTAAACAGGATAAGAAAAATAAATATATACTCACAGGGTAGTTTTGCTAGGTCTGGGAGCACAGTGGACTCACTGCTAATCTTGTTAACAATCTAGCACATCTTTTGTAATCTAGGAAAAACATTTAAAGGTAAATTATATATAGAGTTACTAGAAATGTTGGGGAAATCCTGTTATTATTGTCACTAATTCATATAACAATAACTACAGTTTAATAAATACCTACTATGTTAAGTGCTGAAAATGGATTTTCTCATCAATTCTTTCAATAACACAATCGGGAAGGTGCTATTCCTATCTTCACTTTAGAGATGAGACAAGAGCCTCAAAATGTTAATTAATTACCCCATAACTAGTCAAAAGCTTTATCCCAAAGCACGTGCTTTCTCCACCATGCTTGGCTACCATTAGTCATTCTGCCTGTAATCCAATGTGATTAAATTTCTCTAGCCATTTAATACAAGTTGTTTTGTTTTATTTTATTTTATTTTGGAATTTTAATTTATTTATTTACTTATTTATTTATTTATTTATTTAGAAGCCGGGTTGTAAGACTGGCTAATTTTTGTATTTTTGGTAGAGACAGGGTTTCACCATGTTGCCAAGGCTGGTCTCAAACGCCTGAGCTCAAGCGATCCGCTTGCCTCGGCCTCCCAAAGTGCTGGGATTACAGTCGTGAGCCAACACTCCTGGCCTTTTGTTTAAAAGTTGTTTTTGAAAAAAATTATAACAAATACAACTTAACATGCTGAGTAAAAGTCAATATTCCTCAAGATGAGCAATCTAGTTAAAAAGAAACAAAATGCTTAGAATTCATGTTCTTTAAAAGGAAAGTTGAGGCTTAGAAAGGAATTTAAAAACAGCGAACTGAGTTACCACACATAGTCATAATTTCGGCACTTCAAATGAGAGCACTTAAATATTATGTTTAGAATTATTATTAACTTCAGTAACTTAAGTATCCAAAAGAATTCATTATAGCAACCTTTACATGCTATCATTACTCAGAAAAATCCAGCACCATTATATAAATGATGTGCTATAAAAAATATTTACTTTAAAATAACTTATGAAAAAATTTTTACTTAGAGTTCACAGTCATCTCATTTTTTTCATTTATTTGAGACAGCACCCTATTTATGCCAAGGAATTCGAATCATGATAAAATGTTTAAATCCTAACAAACACTTTAGTCTTTAAGGAAATCTGGCTATTATCAGATTTGAGTAGATTCCCAATTAGAATGTGGTTTCATTCCTTACAGTGGCAACAGTACACACAAACCTTAGGTTCTGTCAGTGTTCTAAATCAGTGTTATAAATAGAATCTCAATGTTTAGTCTACTACTTCCCACCCACAGACATTTGAAGTTTAAAATTAAACGCATTTATTGTTGGATAATTAAAAAAAAAAAAACCCACCCAAGTTACTTACAAGCTGGCGTTGAGCACTCCCTGGTATTGTAATAGAGTCGGTGGAAATGTTTGCTGCATTCTGGTGAAAATGTGACCGGCCCTAGAGCACAGGAAAAGAATGCTTATTATAAACATAGGCATGTTTTCCAAACAAATTTCCTAGCACTTTATGGGTGGATATAATACAACAGCACTTTACATCCTTCCATACCCTTAAAAGAACGTGCCTGAGAGCTCTTCCCCCTACCCAGGCTCTGTGGGAGGTAGAGTTGTGGTCTATGAAAAATAATCTAAATTCATTCCATGTTCTCGATATCTCAAATAATGGAATCTTCACATTTAGGAGAACTGTCTAGAAAAATTAGAAGGAAAAAGCTCTGGACAGAAAATAAAAAGTCTGTAGTGAGCAAATTGAGTGGACAAGAAGTACAAACAATAAGTATCTTTGGTTTCTACTTTCTGTTTTTATTTAATAGCAATTAATGTTTACATGCCAAGACATTTATTCCATTTTCTAATTATAATAATTTGTGTCTTATTACTGTCTAGGATAATTGTAAAATGAGCAGGGCCTTGAGAAGTCCCTTGTCTCTCCCTTTTAAATCCAAGGTGGGCCCCTTGGATTTAAAAACTTTCATCCCGGATGGCTCGTGTCTGTAATCCCAGCACTTTGGGAGGCCAAGGCAGGAGGATCACTTGAGCCCAGGAGTTCAAGAACAGCCTAAGCACCATAGCAAGACCCTGTTTCTACAAAAAATAAAAATGAAAAATGAGCCAGGCATGGCGGCACACGCCTGTAGTCCCACCTCAGTTACTCTAGAGCCTGAGGCAGGAGGATCCTTGAGCCCAGGAGATGGAGGCTGCAGTGAGCTATGACTGCACCATTGCACTCCAGCCTGAGCAACAGAGTGAGACCCCATCTCTTAAAAAAAATACACATACAACAACAACAACAAAATGTTCATCCCTCCCTCCCTCTGGAGTCTGCTTCTCGTGGGGTCTACGGTCATGTCGCTCACAACTGCCTCGAAAGGCTCAACATCCTCACACATCCCTGTGCCCTGCAGGTGCATCTCCACTTGATCCTCAGGACCATCCTTTCCGTTAATAAACAGGTAGGGCCCTTGGACTTGACTAAGTGGGCAAACCACATCTTTCCCACATTACAGGCCTGAGGTGTAAAACAAGAAAAAAGTAGCTGGGATGACTGGGAACAGAGAGGCAATGCCAATAGTAAATATGGGGATGTACTGTTTAAAATAATTCAGTGATTTGCTAGAAATTGGGACATAGGACAATGTGCAAATGATTCACAAAGTTGATATGAAGAACCAAATAGTGTCATGGCACAGTATTTATCTGTGCTCAAGATGTGGCAGGTGGGCCTGGTGCAGTGGCTCACAACTATAATCCCAATGCTTTGGGAGGCCAAGGCAGGAGGATCACTTGAGCCAGGAGTTCAAGACCAACCTGGGCAACATAGTGAGACCCCATATCTAGAGAAAATAAAAAATTCGCTGAGTGTGATGGCACAGCAGTCCCAGCTGCTTCGGAGGCTGAGGTGGAAGTATCCCTTGAGCCTATTTGTTCAAGGCTGCAGTGAGCCATGATCTCACCACTGAACTCCAGCCTGAGTGATGGAGCCAGACCCTGTCTCAAAAATAAAAAATTTTTGGCCGGGCGTGGTGGCTCACACTTGTAATCCCAGCACTTTGGGAAGCCAAAGCAGGTGGATCACTTAAGGCCAGGAGTTTGAGACCAGCCTGGCGAATGTGGTGAAACCCCATCTCTACTAAAAATACAAAAGATTAGCCAGGTGTGGTGGCACATGCCTGTAATCCCAGCTATTTGGGAGGCTGAGGCAGGAGAATAGCTTGAACTCGGCAGTGAGCCGAGATCGTGCCACCGCGCTCCAGCCTGGGCAACAAGAGCGAAACTCTGTCTCAGAAAAAAATAATAATAATAAATAAATATATTTTTAAAAGATGTAGCATATGAAAGTCTGTCCCTCCCTGTTCAAAAAATTTATATTGCCCCCTCCCTCCCTACCCCCACCTGGTTGGGGAACATAGTCTGAATTCCCTAGCATGCCACTTAAGATTATCCACAACATGACTCCAACCTACCTTTCCAGCCACATATTTGACCAGGGCCAAATACGTCCCTACCTAAGCCCACTCACAGTCTGTGCACACCTGTCCTTGCCTAAACCACACCCGGTGTCTTCATGGCTTACTCAATGCACTCCTTCTGAACAGAAGGTCTCCCTCACCACGGGAAAGCCTTATTCATCCCTTAAAGCCCACCTTAAATACTGTGTCTACTACAAGCCGTTCTTGGTAGTTCTTGGCCACTTTATTCACTTCCTGTGTATCCTTAAAAAGTGGCTCATACTTCTATTACTTATTAAGGGCTGGTTTACATTACAGTTAACACAAGTTAGTAGCATCCGTCCATCTCCCCAACTGGACCATGAGTCCCCTACAGACATTTATTTTCATATCCCTAGTGCCTGACATAGTATTCTGCACACAGTCTTTTTATTTAGTTAATGGAATCACTGATACATTTTGTACTTACCTGTGAAATGCTTTATGAATTTGTCTTTTAAGTTAGAGTCTCTTGGGAATATTTCTGAAAAGAAAAAAAAAACCATCAGAATTTATTGAATGCATTTCTCCCATTTAAAAATATCCTTAATATGCTAATTACTTAATAAGGCACTAAACACATGGATTTGTGACAGTTTATTTAGCTGATCCCAAACTGGTTTCTCCAGCCCTGACCATTTCCTGGGCTCCAAAACTGCAGTACAACTCACTGCTTGCTCTACGGCATGAAGGGTACCTTACAGATCTCTCAAAAGTGCACAGCCGCAATGGAAGGTCTCCTTTTCCTCTGCCCAGACCTGTTTCTCCCGTGTTCCTCAGTCCACTGAAGACTGACTGAAGTGGCATCACTCTTGATCAGGCCCCAGCTCAAGAAGTTATGCTTGACTTCCTTTTTCCCTCACCCCTACACCCAAACCATGAGTTAGTTTTATGTATTTCACCTTCAACAAATTATTCCAGACCCACTCACTTCTTTCTCCTTCCCTCAACGAGTCTGGCCCAAGCCATCGTCCTTTTGTGACCATGCCTTGGCAGTGGCCTCCTAACCCCTCTTCTCCTCCCCATAATCTTCTTTCTCCCCAGTAGCCAGAACAAACAAACAGAAATATACTATAAGTCATGATCTCTCCCACTTGGAAGGTTTTGCACTTAATACATAATAAAATTTAAAAATAAAATTGTATCTCAGGCTTTACCTTCTACTCACTAAAACTACACCATCCAGAAAATGCAATTTATACAAACAATCGGGAGCATGTGCAACTCTTTCAAAGGAAGAGAAAACTTAAACTTTAGTAAAATAGTTGAGCCTCAAGGTTTGTTGGTAGGTATACATTTAAACTTACAACATTTTAAGAATATAATGGGGAAGTGAAGGTTTGTCATCCCCCTCTAGGAGAGTCTGAGCCATCACGGTGATGAGTGTGACTTCGCCAGCACAAGGCAGTGGTGACTGAGGCTTGGTAAATGCAGATGCAGGGATTCTAACTGTTCCTTACATGCCATGAGCTCCTGAGGGACGTGGGAACACTTCCCTGTGCAGGGAGCTCCCCAGTTCAGGGCAGCCTTATGTGAGTTCAGGGCCTGGTTCAGGGCGTGATTGTGTGGGTGCGCAGGAATGCAGAGAGATCGGAGCTCCCCCACCATTTGACAATGAACACCTGCACTTTACAAACAATTAAAACTAATCCTGAAAAACAAAGCAGCAGTAAAATGAAAGTACTTCATATAAACCTTTCCTCTTCTCTTCAATAATGCTCCAGCCCGAACATAGGTCTTTTCCCCTGTACTTCTCAGAAACCAAAAACAACAAATTGGCTTCTGTGGTGTCAATATTTGGGCCAGGTAGTTACACTGGTGCTTTCTGAAAAATGAATGAGCTGAGTACAGCAGAAGCACCTACTGTGGTTAAGGCATGCTCAAAGACTTTATAAATAATTCTATTTCCAAAAGCATTTTAGAGTATAATTTTAATCTCTAGACCCTGTGACAATGATGACACTCAGGTGTGTAGAAAATTACATATTTTAAGTAAATTACCCTCCTCATCTCCACCCCATAGCACATTTTATAACTTCTATCAAAGCAGATGTCACATTCTGGTTAGCATGATGGGGCACCGTGTGTGTCTGTCTTCCCCACAATTATGGCTTCCTGAGGAAAGGGATGCGGTCTTGTCCCCCTGTACAACCCGGCTTTGCTGGCAGAGGCACCTGGCACATGTTCAAGGAATAGGAAGCCAAGAGGGTTGCTACCGCTCAAATGGAAACATCAGTGCCTCCTTGTACTCAGTACAGCCCACCAAGAAAACCAGAATTTCAATACACTTGAATTTTAACTTCAAAACACAAACATCACATAGGAATACAAGAATGTACAACAGATTGATTTAGCTGAAACAGAAAAGTGGTGTTTAAGTTGACACCCGAAGTAACAAGCCAGAGATAAGAAGGTAAGAAGAGATGGGAATGGGGAAGACTGCAGCGTGTTCAAGTATTGGGGGAAATGTCCAGAGCTGCTGAAGAAGAGGTGGGTGAGACAAGGCTGCAGGTGCAGGTAGGCTTTAGAGTTAAGTCGTACACAAACTTTGTGCTTAATTCTGTGGGTGATGAGAAGTCAAAAGGCTTTAGGCAAAGGAATGGTACGGTTAAGCTATTTTCAAAAGACCGTTGAGGGAGGGAGGGAATGGGGAGAATTGGCCAAAGGATACAAAGCTGCAGATGGGTAGGATGAGCAAGTCTAGAGGTCTAATGCATGGCAGAAGGACTGCAGGGAATAATGATGTGTTGTATATGGGATAATGACTAAGAGAGCAGAGTTCAGGAGTTCTCACCACCAAAAAAAAAGGGCAACTGTGAGATGATGGATATGATTTGCTTGACCACAGTAACCACTGCACTCTGTATACATATATCAAAAATTATGCTGCATACTCTAAAGACATACAATAAAAATAAACAAAATTATATACACCATTCAAACATTTTTTAATAAATAAATTTTGTTTTTTTGAGACAGGGTCTTGCTCTGTTGCCCAGGCTGGGGTGCAATGGTGTGATCACAGCTCACTGAAGCCTCCACCACCTGGGCTCAAGCGATCCTCCCACCTCAGCCTCCCAAAGTGTTGGAATTAGAGGCACGAGCCACCAAACCCAGCATAAACTATTTTTAATAATAAAAAACAATTATGCCTAAGTATTGTGAAAGGAAAATAAATCTCAGGACCCCAAAATCACTAAGCCAAGGGAAAAGTCAAGCTGGGAACTATGTTAGGCAAACCTGCCTCCCATTAATTCCTAAATAAGATAGTTACAAAGATAAAAAGCTACATACATCCCTCACGATTTGCCCACAAGAAAATTCTTTGTGGATGGAGGACAGACAGAACTCAAAGTCATCCCTCTGAGGCTCACCTGACACAAATGCATATGATTGCTTCCTCTGCCCTATTGTTTATGTAAAAATGCAGATTCACTGAGCCACACTAAATTGTGTACTCAGTGGAAGGCTGATCAAAGACTCAAAAGAATGCAAACTTTTGTCTCTTATCTACTTTTGACCTGGAACCCCCCCCACACCCACCTCCCTCCCTGCACACACCCCTTTCCCCTCAAACCCGTTTCCCCTCCCCCATCCCCCTTCAACTTGTCTTACCTTACTGAACCCAACCAATGTACATCTTACACATATTGATTGATGTCTCATGTCTCCCTAAAATGTATAAAAGCCAGCTATACCCCAATCACCTTAAGCACATGTCAGCAGGACCACCTGAGGCTGTGTCATGGGTGCATCCTTAACCTTGACAAAATAAACTTTCTAAATTGATTGAGACCTGTCTCAGATACTTTTTGGTTTACAGTACAGAGGGCAAATAATAGATGCAGACAGATAAGTTAAAAGGTTTACAGTCATGTGCTGTTTAATGATGGAAATATGTTCTGAGAAATGCATCGTTAGGAGATTCCTCCATTGTGGGAGCATCATAGAGTGCATTTACATAAACCTTGGTGGTAGAGTCTCCTGCACACTCAGCTATATGGTATAGCCTATTGCTCCTAGGCTACAAAACCTGTTGTGCTGAATACTGTAGGTAGCTGTAACACCATGGTGAGTATTTGTGAATCTAAACATATCTATACATAGAAAAGGAATAGTAAAAATACAGTATTATAATCTTATAGGACCACCATGGTATATGCAGTCTGTAGATGACAGAAACGTCCTTTTGTGGCACGTGACTGTAACTGTATTGACTAGCACTGGCCTATGCAGGGGCTAGCAAACAACAGCTCCTGAGGCAGATCCAGCTTGCTCCTGTGTTTGTGAATAAAGCTCTGCTGCAACATGCCCACATCCATTTGTTTAGGGGTCGCCAGTGGCTGCTTTTTCACTACAAGGGCAGAACTGAGTAGTTGTTGCACAGATACTATGGCTCACTGTAGAAAGCAGAAAAGTTCCTCATTAAAGTTCGTCTTGCTTTAAAAATAAAATAATAGACGCTAGGAATAATAGCTCCTTACTCCAAAGCCTCCTATCAACTATTAGTTCTCATACTTTAGCCCAGTTAGTTGCTTTGGCTTACTCAGGCATGTCTGGACAGGCCCAGGCAAGTCTTAGCTCATAGCTTATGCCCCTTCCTTATTTGGAAATGTTATTGCTTCCTTAAACCTTTCATAAGCAACTTCCTTTTCTTCTTGGTTCTCCCTTGCACTTACCTATTTAGGGAAATTTTAGGTTATTAGCAAATCGGGTATCAGTTTAAGACTGTGAGGTCCAGCTCCAGCCAATGGATGCAGGACACAGCAGTAAGGACAAACCAAATGCGTAAGGGATAAATATGTCTGCTTTTCCTTTGTTCAGGTGTATTGTTGCCATTGTTCCATCTGTGAGGGGCACCCTTTCTGCAGAAAGTAAAGATTGCCTTGCTGAGAGATCCTTTGTCTCTGTGCTGACTTTTCTTTGCACACTGATTATCTGCCCAAAATATTGACTATGTGGCCCTTTCTAAAGAAAGTTTGCCAATGCCTGCCCTGCAGCACACTCCTATTTGCAGTAAAAACAAATTAAAATGGTGGGAGGCGCCAGGGAGCAGAATTCTGGGGTGGAGAGAAGAGATATTTTTCCATGCACACCCTTTTTATTACTTTTAACTTTTTTGAATATAAATCTGTATTAATTTTTCAATAAAAAACTGATTGAAAATGAATTTGCATTTAGTGACTAGATGCACGCAGTAGTTTTTGATCCACAAAATATTAAATAAACAACTGAATATAAGAAAATTACCCCAGGCCGGGCATGGTGGCTCACGCCCATAATTCCAACACTTTGGGAGGCTGAGGCAGGTGGATCACCTGAGGTCAGGAGTTCGAGACCAGCCTGACCAACATGGCGAAACCCCATCTCCATTAAAAATACAAAAAAATTAGCCTAGCGTGGTAGCGTGTGCCAGAAATCCCAGCTACTCGGAAGGCTGAGGGAGGAGAATCAATTGAACCTGTGAGGTGGAGGTTGTAGTGAGCCAAGATCGCACCACTGCACTCCAGCCTGGGTGACAGAGCAAGATTCCATCTCAAAATAAATAAATAAATAAATATAAATAACTAAGTAAAAAGAAAACTCCCCGCAAACAATGAAACTAGTTGATTTCTCTCTGATGGAAAATGTTCTAAGAGAGCAGCATCTACAATGAGATAAATGGGAGCCACACATGTAATTCTAAATGTTTAGTAGCCACATTCAAAAAGTAAAAAGAAATGTGTGAATTAATTTAATAATTTGGCCAGTCACAGCGGCTCACGCCTGTCATCCCAGCACTTTGGGAGGATGAGGCTGGAGGATCGCTTGGGCCCAGGAGTTTGAGACCAGCCCAGGCAACATAGTGAGACCTCATTTCTAAAATTAAAATTAAAATTAATTTATTTTAACTAAGTATAGCCAAAGTGTTACCATTTCAACTTGTTTTCAACAATATTAATTACTAATGAGATACTTTACTTTTTTGCACTAAGTTTTCAAAATTCAGGGTGTATTTTGCACATTCAGCACATCTCAGTTTGAACCAGCCACATGTCAAGTGCTCAGTAGCCTCATGGCTTGTGGATGTGGTGTTGGACGGCATAAGTCTGAAATGTAACTTTACGCCGGGTGCAGTGGCTTATGCCTGTAATCTCGGCACTTTGGGAGGCCGAGGCCGGTGGATCGCCTGAGGTCAGGAGTTCAAGACCAGCCTGGTCAACATGGTGAAACTCTGTGTCTACTAAAAATACAAAAACATTAGCCGGGCATGGTGGCACACACCTGTAATCCCAGCTACTCAGGAGGCTGAGGCAGGGGAATCACGTGAACCTAGGAGGCAGAGGTTACAGTGAGCTGAGATCGTGCACTCCAGCCTGGGCGACAAGAGCGAGACTCCGTCTCAAAAGAAAAAAAAAAAAGAAGAAGAAATAAAATAAAATGTAAGCTTCAAATGACAACTAGATATGAGGAAGAAGTGCTAGTGTTCTATAGCACTGTAAGATGACTACAGTAAACAATAATATACTGTACAATTTCAAGTAGCTAGAAGGAGGATATTGAATGTTCCCAACACAAAGAAATGATAATTGTTTGAGATGGATATGCTAATGACCCTGACCAGATCACTGTGCATTATATATATTGAAACATCACTATGTACCCATTATTTGCCAATTAAAAAATAATATAAAATGTATGCTTCATTCCTGTGATATATAATTACAATTATATAAAAGATTACATTATTTGGGAGGGTTAAAATCAAACAGATCTCTAGGTAATGCATGATCATTATCTTGGAACAATTTGAATAAATGACTATCTCATTCATCCAATTTGTAAAAGTTTCTAGTTTTTATTTACTAAAACAGTTGCCATCTGCAGCCCTCCTCAATTGTAAGTTTACAAAATCTTTTAAAGAAATAGATGTGCATATATATGTACATATATATGTTGGCATACTATCTCTTATTCTTATATTCTTGTTTAAAAATGAGCCATGATCATGTGAAATAATAAAAAATATAATGCAGTACAACCAGAAAACAAAATAATTGAAAATGTTTACTGTTTGCTTCTACCTGCATATAATTTGACTATCTTCCATAAAGATAATTTGTTCTGATATGATTTACTGTTGACAAGCCTTGTTAATTGATCCTCAGTCCTTTGTAAGGTACTATGGAACATTATTTTATGTTTCAATCTAGCATTACATTAGGTACTTAAATCAAAATGTTTGCTGTACAGTTCTTTGAGTTATTTATTTTAAAAACAAGACACTACTAATCTCATTACTAATCAATACTAATAAATCTAATCATTGTATAACAAGTTCCCATTTCAAAAATAAGAACAATTACCTTTATTACAGCAGTACTGAGAGAATTATAGATGAGAACTGTTTTCAGAGAAAAATTCAAATTTAATTTCAAAATGACAAAAAATTCAAATTTGTAAAATATATAGCAGAAAAAGCTATACTATATTAAATATAGTATATATATTAAATATATAATAGTAGAAAAAGCTACTTCAACCTCTGCCTTCATCGTAACATGAAGTTCTCCTGTGTCTCTGTATCTTCCCATGGCTGTCATCTTATTAACAACACCAGTTGTATTGAAAAAGGGCCGACTCTAGTATGACCTTTTAAATATATTAAAGTTGACTTTTAAATATATTCAAGAAATATTTTTTTAAAAATACTAAATTGGCCGGGCACGGTGTCTCATGTCTGTAATCTCAGCACTTTGGGAGGCTGAGGCAGGCAGATCACTTGAGGTCAGGAGTTCGAGACCAGCCTGGCCAACATGGTGAAACCCCATCTCTACTAAAAATATAAAAATTAGTCAGGCGTGGTGGCACACACCTGCAATCCCAGCTACTCGAGAGGCCGAGGCAGGAGAATCACTGGAACCAGGGAGGCGGAGGTTGCAGTGAGCCCAGGTCACGCCACTGCACTCCAGCCTGGGTGACAGAGTGAGACTCCATCTCAAAAATAAATAAATACATAAAAATACTAAATTAAAAGCATTTAAAAATAAACTGTCATAAAATGTGTGCCTTCTTCTTTCCTTATGTAGTTACATAACATCTGTACCAGTATATACTTGTAAGTGTATAAATATTTGTAAATACATGTTTTTATATCATGCTTCTTCTATTACAGTTTAAGATATTTAAATAGAGGGATGTATGTGTGTAACTCTCTTTTTTACACACACATTAGCTGGGTGGTTTAATGAGACCTAAATGCCATTTAGGCTGTAAATTACGCAGAGGATAAAAAAGTAAACTCAAATTGGTTGCTTATTATCTTCTAAATTTTTGCTACGTTCTACAGACTAGCAGTGTTAGCATCTTCTGGGAGCATGTTAGAAATGCAAACCAAGCCCAGACTTACAGTCAGACTTTTATTTTACTGGAACACAGTATGTTGGATAGACTCCCATTGGTATAATTTTGTGTGGCGCTTTTGAGCTGCAGAGACAGAGTTGAGTAGTTGCAAGCACTTTCTCAAACTTTACATATGGAATAAGTACAGACGGATTCTGCCTTCAGAAACGACCATATATTGTGTATTTGTTTTGTAGGGCTGCCATAACAAAGTTCTAGAAATGGGATGGCTTATATCAACAGAGACTTGCTATCTCGCAGTTCTGGAGGCAAGAAGTCTGAAATCAAGATGTGGGCAGGGCCATGCTTTCTCTGAAGTCTTGAGGGAAGGATCCTTCCTTGCCTGTTCCAGCTCTGGTGGCTGCCAGCAATCCTTGGCATTCTTTGGCTTGTGGATGCTTCACTCCAATCTCTGCCTTCATTGCCACATGGAGTTCTCCTGTGTCTCTCTATCTTCCCATGGCCATCATCTTATTAAGACATCAGTTATACTGAAAAAGGGCCAATTCTACTCCACTATGACCTCATCATAACTAATTACATCTGCAATGACCCTATTTCCCAATAGGGCCACACTCTGAGGCACTAGGGGACTAGATCCTCAATGTATTTTGAGGAAGAGGAACACAATTAAATTCCTAATGTATGAAATCTGAATTCACTGAATAAATTGGAATTAGCTATCTGCATTATAAAAGTTAATTATTTTCACAATAATTTGCTCAAAATTATTTTTAAATGATTTAACCAAGACATCAAAAAACATGACTTATTTACAAAATTTCAATGGGGCATAACTTTTATATAAATAAATATATTCTGTAATGTGAGGTTTTATTACAACCTCCTGTGAAAGAAATCAGCTAGTCAATTTAGCCAATGCAAGTTGTAAAGACCCACCTACAAAGAATATCCTGACTGAAAAACTTCCGAAAATAGAAAATATTTATTTTTATTTTTATTTTTTTAGAGACAGAGTCTTGCCCTGTCACCACAGCTGGAGTGCAGTGGTACAATCATAGCTCACTGCAGCTTCAAACTGCTGGGCTTAAGCAGTCCTCCTGCCTCAGCCTCCCAAGTAGCTAGGACAACAGGCATGCCACCATGCCCGGCTAATTCATTTTTTTTTTTTTTTTTTACTTTTTGTAGAGAAGGGGGTCTTACTTTGTTGCCCAAGCTGGTCCTGAACTCGTGGCCTCAAGAGATCCTCCTGCCTCAGCCTCCCAAAGAGTTGAGATTTCAGGTGTGAGCCACTTTGCCTGACCAGAAATATTTTTAAAACATCACTCACTCCAGGTTATTTATATTATTTAAAGTTTTTGTAGCAGTGTTATTTGGATTTTTTTCTTATTTTCTAAGTAGCTTTTGAAAAAATAAATTATTTATTTATAATTATTCTTTCTGTGACAAATAGCTTTAAAAGGCAGTATTTATATCCTAAAACTAAAACCCAAAGTTTTGGAAGATGTCAACCACCTTCAAGAGTGATATAAAACTTTTAAAATAAGTCTTTTATTATTGAGCAGTTTTAGATGCACAGAAAAATTACATAATACAAAGCATTCCCATATGCCCTGCCCTGGTGTCTCCTATTATTAACATTACATTAGTATGGCACATTTCTTGCAATTAGTGAACCAATACTGGTACATTCTTACTCACTAAAGTCCATACTCCTTTCAGATTTCTGTCACTTTTCCTTGATGTCCTTTTTTGTCCCAGGATGCCACATTGCACTTAGTCATCATGTCTCCTTAGGCGCCTCTTGGCCGTGATAGTCTCTCAAAATTTCCTTGTTTTGGTAACTTTGAGCATTTGGAGGAGTCTTTGTCAGGTATGTTGTAGAATGTCCCTCATTTGAGATTTGCCTGATGTTTTCCTTGTGATTAAACTGAGATTACGGGTGTTAGGGAGGAAGACCACCGAGGCAAATGCCATTTTCATCACATCCTGTGAAGGGTGCACACTTTTAGTGTAATTTATGTTTGCTGGTGTTGACCTTGACCTCCTGGCTGAGTCCCTGTGTGTCAGGATTCTTACTGCAAAGCTACTCCTTCCCCACCCCAGTCCCCCAGCCCCGTACTGTACTTCTCAGAAGGAGGTCACTATGCTCAGCCCACACTTGAGGACTGGGGAGTTGTGTCCCTTCTTTGAGGACATAGTATCTACATGCATTATTTAGAATTCTTCCGCATAAGAGGTTTGTCTTTTCTCCTCCAGTTATTTATTTACTCATTTATTTACACAAGCAATGACTGATGAATATTTTATATTTTGTGTTATAATCTAATAGTACTTTCTTTATTTTGTGTCTCAGATGGTTCTGGCTCTGGCCATCATGAAATGTTTTACTTGGCTCCTGTGTTCCTTTGATTCTGTCATTAGTAAGTTTTTGTTGTTATTTTTATTGCTTTGTATTTGTTATCACTTTTTAAAAACTTTCTGGCATTATCAGATACTCTAGGCTTATTTCTTACTATTTTCTGTCCTAGTCTTGGTTTTAGGGATTTCTCCAATCAACCCTGGTTCTTTTACTGGAGAATGGCATTAGAAACCAAGATCAGGGCATTTGGTGTGCTCCTGGTGACTACGGTGTGGCTGCTTCTAGCCCCTCGAAGCTGACAGAGCAAGGAAAAATGTGTACGGTATAAGTGAGCAACTTGATTTTTATATATCCAGTGTTTAAATTATTTCTAAAATTGGACTATGGTACTTAATGGTATATATTCTGGGGGCTGGGCACAATGTTATCCCAGCACTTTGGGAGGACAAGGTGGAAAAATCACTTGAAGCCAGAAGTTTGAGACCAGCCTGCACAACATAGCGAGACTCTATCTCTACAAAAAATTTTAAAATGAGCTGAGCATGGTGGTGCATGACTGTGGTCCATGCTATTTGGGAGGCTGAGGCAGAAGGATCCCTTGAGCCCAGGAGTTAGAAGATGCAGTGAGCTCTGATCATGCCACTGCCCTCCAGCCTTGGTGACAGAGTGATACTCCATCTCTAAAAAAAAATTGGAAGGTGCAGCATCTGTAACATTTCACTGATTATAAGAACTTCATAAAATTTATTTTAAATGATCTGACTTCAAACACATAGTCATATCAAATCAGACTCTGTACTCAACTGTGCCCTATGTCCTCTCTTAGGACTGGACAGTCATGCTTTGCCTTCTCAGCCAAAGTAAAATTCTGTGTCCAGCCAGACCGCCAAAGATGCCTTGGGTTTCTTTTATAAATTCAGGTAGACAAATTAAATAATCTCTAAAGTCCTTTCAAAGTCCTCCTATATTATACAATATTATGATAAAATTCTAACATTAGATTGCATATTCACAAAAGGACAAAATATTAAATAAGTCCAGAAAACTTGAAAAAATACAAAATCATGTTATAAAGTAGATTCTTTTCTTGTTTTAAACCACAGAACAATTCATGTTTAATTTAAATTTTAGCAATTTCATCTGAAGACTGATCTCATGAAAATGATTTATTCAGTTTCTGGTTTAATCTAGTTAATCCCCCTTCCAGATTTAAAATTATCATTTCCATAGACACTTAAAAAGATAAACGAGATTCTTATAAAAATGCTAAAACAGGGCCGGGTGCAGTGGCTCATGCCTGTAATCCCAGCATTTTGGGAGGCCGAGGCGGGCAGATCACCTGTGGTCGGGAGTTCGAAACCAGCCTGACCAACATGGAGAAACCCCGTCTCTACTAAAAATACAAAAATTAGCTGGGCATGGTGGCGCATGCCTGTAATCCCAGCTACTCGGGAGGCTGAGGCAGGGGAATCGCTTGAATCCGGGAGGTGGAGGTTGCAGTGAACCGAGATCGCACCATTGCACTCCAGCCTGGGCAACAAGAGTGAAGCTCCGTCACACACACACAAAAAAGCTAAAACATTTCAAAAACAAATAGATGTGCCACATTTCACACCGTGATAAGATTTTTATGTGTAATCAGTTATTAAGAATGACAACCAAATGACAATAGATTGGTACTTGCGGAAAACACAGGATCAAGCCCTAATAATGTTCTTGGATTAGGCAGTGACATTTATCAACAAACAAAGCAACTGGGAAACTCCAGAGGGCTGTTAATCCAGCAGTAAATTAACCACCCTAGAAGCACAATCTCTAACAATCAAAAACTTGCCTTTACTTTGACCAGAAATAAAGAACAGAGAGCAAGTTTGAAGGCAGAACACAGGTTTAGGTAGAAAAGGGTCAAGTTTGAGATTCTGTAGCTGAGATATTCAGCAGATAAGGAGTATACGAATTTAAAGGACAAGGTAAAGAAAAAGGAAGAAGATACCTTTTGGAATCTTTCATGGATTTTATGAAAAATCCATTGATAAGCATGGAACCTTGGGGTACACAAACACTTAAAGGCTGAAGAAGAGATGTTTGGAGAGAGAAAGAAGGAATGGTCAGAGAAGAGTAGAACAAAGCAAGAATAACTGGAATCAGGAATCATTTAACGAGGAAGAGATGGGTCAACTGCAGCAAAGTATCCAGCAGGCCAAGTAAGATAAAGGCCGACAGGGCCGGGCACGGTGGCTCACGCCTGTAATCCCAGCACTTTGGGAGGCTGAGGCGGGCGGATCACGAGGTCAGGAGATCGAGACCATCCTGGCTAACACGGAGAAACCCCATCTCTACTAAAAATACAAAAAATTAGCCAGGTGTGGTGGCGGGCGCCTGTAGTCCCAGCTACTCAGGAGGCTGAGGCAGGAGAATGGTGTGAACCTGGGAGGCGGAGCTTGCAGTGAGCCGAGATTGCGCCACTGCACTCCAGCCTGGGTGACAGAGCGAGACTCTGTCTCAGAAAAAAAAAAAAAAAAGATAAAGGCCGACAAATGCCCACTGGAGTCAACTGGAGTCCCGGTGGGATCATGGGCAGGAAGAGGCGATGGAGGGCTGGAACACAGGTGAAGCTGGCAGAGGATATTGGATTTTGCCCTGTGAGCTGTATTAACCATGCATTTTTATTTTCTGTATTTCCAATGCTTTGACATCTTCGGGTTTTGCTGACCCTGGAGAGAATGTCCCTCTCAGGGTAGCCATTCCTAGAGAGAGTAAACTCACAGAGACAGGACACAGGTTTAGGAAGGAAACGGTCAAGATTGAGATTCTGTAGCTGAGATAGGCAGCAGATAATGAATATATAAATTTAAAGGACAAGGTAAAGAAACAGTGCAAGCTCACCTTTCATTTACAAAGCAGCCAATGCAGAGCCCACACCTTCACCACCTCCTCTACTGGGCTTTCTGACTCTGGGCCAACATTCCTCTGCCCTAATTGCTCCAGGGCCAGGTACTCGACAACTAGAGGCAGCCCTTAGTGCCAGAGCCCACCGAAATCATTCAAACCAGCCAATCCTACGCCCACTCACCCTGCCGTGCCTTGGCTTTCCTGTGGTAATCACAGTACAACCTCTTGCCCACATTTTCCCCGTTCCTCCTTCCTCATGACCCGCCCTGGTGCTTCCCCTGTGGCCTTGTGTGGTGCACTGTGCTCCTGTCTTTAGGGACCCGTGAAGACAAACTTCTTCCTTCATGATAGTCATTTCCATGCGTCTGTGTCCATACTATCTCTGGTTAAAACAAATCCCAGGTACATTTTAAAACACGGATGGTGGTAGATCCTGCATGGAATGGTGATCTAGTCACATATATTTTATATACTCTGGAAATGATGCAAAAATTGGCTACAAGAAAGCTTATATCTCTCCTTGTAATCTTCTATAACAATTTTAAACTAACTTTTTCTACATACAGCATGTTGTTTCCTAGATGAGGCGATGAAATTCTTTATGCAGCAAGAGTTTTCCAGTATATTTCAAAATACCTTATTGTGAATGTTTTTGAAATGTGTAATTACTATCTGATTACCATATGTTAAAAATTTTACCAAAGTAATGTAAAATATTGGATTAGATAGTAAAATAGAATAAGCACTCCATAAGAAATGTTTTTCCTAAGAATGGAATATGTATGGGTTTAGAAGATTGGATGGATAGGCCGGGCGCGGTGGCTCACGCCTGTAATCCCAGCACTTTGGGAGGCCGAGACGGGCGGATCACGAGGTCAGGAGATCGAGACCATCCTGGCTAACACGGTGAAACCCCGTCTCTACTAAAAATACAAAAAATTAGCCGGGCGTGGTGGCGCGCGCCTGTAGTCCCAGCTACACGGGAGGCTGAGGCAGGAGAATGGCGTGAACCCGGGAGGCGGAGCTTGCAGTGAGTCGAGATCGCGCCACTGCACTCCAGCCTGGGCGACAGAGCGAAACTCTGTCTCAAAAAAAAAAAAAAAAAAAAAAAAAAAAGATTGGATGGATAAAGCTCTCAACAGTAATGATACAGTAACACAACTGAACCAAAATTCAATTCATCAACAAATGAGATAAGCAAGTTTATTGCTCATTGTGCACATAACCTAACCTATGTGTTACATTTCCTTTCTTTCTTGTGAAGTATCTTTTATTTTTGCTATATCTATAAAGAATTCTTTAAGGTGTGGCTATTTTAACACCATCAATTAATGCAGTAGTAATGAGTAATTCTTTAATGTAGTAATTTTTATTCTTTTGACTTAAAGTACAGAGTATGACTCCTACCCTGCTTTGTTTTTAAATCTGTTAGAGACATTGTTTTCAAATCTATTAGAAATCACAAAAGATAGTTATAAGAAAAAGTTACACAAACAGATAGTATTCCAAACCCAACGTGTAACTTGTTGTTTTTCCTTTCTCAGCATCAGGCATATATGCTGGCAATAGAAAATCTCCTATAAACAAATATAACCAAGCTTTGAAGCAGTCATGATGATATTCATCTTTTCAGGTTCACCATGGCTGATGCCCGGGTGGTGCTTGGAGAGAGTAAGAAGCCGCCTGCCTGCAGCTCCTAGGCCAGGAGCCTGGTCAGGTGCTCCACACATCTCCTCTGTTGTTATATCTTCACAAGAAGCCTCATGATGGGGTCTTCCCTGTGGCACAGACAAGATACCTGGAACTCAGAGATCCACCCCTTCCCAATTCCACAGCAAGCCTGGAACCAGTGCTTTCTGTCTCATGGAAATGATCAATAGCCAATCTGATACTGTCAATAAACTTTTTACAAAACTATCAGCCAGAAATAATCACCTTTTGGGGTTTCAATTTTCGGTGTTTTTGTTTTCCTGTTTTCTCACATGTAACCATTATGTAATAAAGATCAGACTTTTTTTAACGGTTGGCTCACATAATTTGCCTTATGTTTACAGAGAAAACAGAGCCTACCAAGCGTGAGTAGACACATACATAAGATGAATAGTAATTATGGATTCTGTAGAATTAACAGACGTATAAAATATTGGCTGTTGTGGTAGCTCATGCCTATAATCCTAGCACTCTGGAAGGCAAAAGACTGCAGATCACTTGAGGTCAGGAGTTTGAGACCAGCCTGGGCAATGTAGCGAAACCCATCTCTACTAAAAACACAAAAAAATTACTGGGTGTGGTGGCATGTGCCTGTAGTCCCAGCTACTTGGGAGGCTGAGGTGGGAGGTCGAGGCTGCAGTGAGCTGAGATTGAACCACTGCACTCCAGCCTGGGCAACCAGAGTGAGACTATGTCTGAAAAAAAAAAAAAAAAGAAGAAGAAGTATAAAATGTTCATACTGGGGCCTGATGCAGTGGCTCACTCCTGTAATCCCAGCACTTTGGGAGGCTGAGGCAGGTGGATCACTTGAGGTCAGGAGTTCAAGACCAGCCTGGCCAACATGGCAAAACCCTGTCTCTACTACATATATATATACACGTATATATACACACGTATATATATACACACACATATACTTTTTTTTTTTAATTAGCTGGGCATGGTGGCTTGTGTCTGTAATCCCAGCTACTTGGGAGGCTGAGGTGAGAGAACTCCTTGAATCTGGGAGGTAGAGGCTGCAGTGAGTTAAGATTGCTCCACTGCACTCCAGCCTGGGTGACAGAGTCAGACTCCATCTCAAAAAAAAAAAAAAAAAAAAAAAAAAGTTCAGAATGGGGCACACTCTTCAACAACAGCATTTAAATTTGAATGAGTAGTTTATGGTTTTACTGAATTTGTTTCCAGGTATTTTTCCACCAAATAACAGTGTGCCTATTTGACTAGCAATTAGTATGTGGTCGTGTCTCAGCAACTCTCTTGCCATGTCCCTGCCCTGTCCCTCAGCCCTCCTCTGTTCACCTTTCCTTCTCTCTTCATTGCTTTCCTGCAGCCCAGTCTTTTTTTCCTGGTGTCCCCCAGCGGCTAAAGTCGGGCTCGTTTATAGGCATTGGCTGAAACAATGTTTCCAAAGTGGGCTCCTTCATATCCTAGATATGCAACATGCAAATAAATGCCTAATTTAAAAAAAATTTGGATAGTACTGATTTGTATAAAGTTTCCTTTACTGCAGGACTTCGTAGTGCTTTGTCATAGTCCGTTTTGTGTGGCTATAAAGGAATACCTGAGGCTGGGTAATTTTTAAAGAAAAAAAAGCATACTTGGCTGATAATTCTGGTGACTGGAAAGCTCAAGATTGGGCATCGGCAGCTGGGGAGAACCTCAGGCTGCTTCCACTCATGATGGAAAGTGAAGGGGAGCCGCTGTGTGCAGAGAACCCGTGGCCTGACAGGAGCAAGGGGCAGGGGAGGGGCCAGGCTCTTTTTAACAACTAGCTCTCAAGAAAAGTAATAGAGCAAGAACTCACTCCCACCACCTCCCAGGAAGGGCATTAAACTGTTCCTGAGGGATCCACCCCCATGACCCAAACACCTCCCATTAGCCTCCACCTCCAACACTGAGGATCGAATTTCAACATGAGGTTCAGAGAGGACAAATATCCGAACCAGAGCATGCTTGTATAGTGATTCTAAAAAAGGGGGCTTAATCGTTATGTTCCCAAAGCTGGTAGACCAAGGAAGCCTTTTTTCACAGGTTATCTTTCAAAACACACTGGAACGTATAGCTGTAGAGCTGTGGGTACATGCAAGGATGGAGGGAGGGCAGACAGTGAGCTACTGAACCAGAGGAGTGTGGCTGGGTTTGGGGAGGGCAGATAGAAACCATCTCTATCTGGAAGAAACTTTCCAAGAGATTCCAATATGCCACCTTTCTCCTCCTCACTCTCCTTAGTTAAAAAAATTCTGATGGTCCCAAAAATTCAAGGTACATGAGAATTCTCAAAGAGTTTGTTAAAATGCAGATCTACAAGCTGCACTCATACAGATTTATTATATCCAGGGTGAAGTCCAAGAATTACATTTGAAACTTGCCTCTCAGCTGGTTCTGAAACAGATGATCCCAGGAGCCTCATTTTAACAACTACTGCTCTAGAAGGTATTAAGGACAGTAAATACTGTATTGTCTAAATATAACCAAATGCCAAAAAGTTAGCTTATGCCTCATAATGGTAGGAAGTAAATAAGACAATAGGTCTGCTTTAGCTTTGGGGAAAATAAAAATTTTAATTCTATATGTCCACAATTATGTATCTATAAATCAATAAATAAATATTTTAAAATTCAAATTATTTTAGTTTCAAAGTTAAAGAAACCTGCAAAGTTTCTTTTTTAAAATTCAATTTCTTCTGAAAAAAGTAATTCTTCCTAAAAGAAGAATTTACACAATGACTTTGGTAGGCTATGGGATATTAAAAACCGAGTAACCCCTAGTCTTCAACTTAAAGAGGCTCACATTCAAATAGAATAATATAATATCAAACTAATATGAGTTTCAGTGTGAGGTGTGCTGTAGGAAGAAAAAAACGCTATCTGTGTTCAACAGAGAAAGAAATCATCAATGAACGATATCATCAAATCAAAAAGCCTAACAATAACTCCAAGTAAAACACATTTAATAAAATTTTAATTTTATTAATATGTAAAAGACTACACATCTTTCACGTATGATATAAATATTGTAGCTATTATTTCCTGGCAGTTTATGTTGTTAGATATATAAATGGAGTTATAAGAAATATTTAAACTCCAGACACTCTACTTACTACCCACTACTGTGACGTTTTCTACAATGGCAAATAGTCGAAGGAAATATCACCTGGCCACGTTTTTCTATCCTCCTACACAGCAACAAAGATCTTAGAAATCTGCTCTCAAATGTCATTTCCAGCAATAAAACTGAAGGCCAAAGAAAAAAATTGCCATTAAAAAGGAATTGTTTTAATCCTAGGTTTTCCTAACCAATATGTGATTGGAAAGTAGTCTCCTGGGACTGGGTCATTTCAGGCAAAGAGAACCCCACAGTGGGTGATTCTGTTGACCTCTGCACAGAATTTCCTCACTTAGCAGCTCGATAAATAGGCTCCTGCAGAAAGGCCACAATTCCTACAAGAAATACTGTGAATGGGCAGAAACTCATTCCTCTAAGTTAGCTTTGGCATCTCAGAATGAGTATTTATGATCCTGCTAGCTAGCAGCCCCATGCCCAACAGACGTCTGGTCATATATATAACCTGCCAAATCTACTTGGTGAAAAATCATATATAACCTTTTCACTTTGACCTCTCCCCATACTAACAGTTTTCAGTAAAATAAATAGCTTCAAGTAACCCTGCAAATAACATAATAAAAATATTAAAATGGAAGATGATGGCTATGTTCATCTGTTTGACTGTAGTAATCATTTCTTGTGCCTACATATAACAAAATATCATGTTGCACACTTTAAATATATACAACAAAAAATGATTTTTAAAAAAAAGTACCCATCCATACCCCCCTCCCAGGTGATATGCAAAGCAGCAAAAATTTTTTATTATTTATGTGAAATAAATTGTTACTCACCAGGTATAACTGTCTAAGTGGGCAGATATAATAGCCACAGACTTGCAATAGAGAGAATTTGGGCTGTACAAATAAAATCCCACTATTACGCAAGCCCCTGCAGTATTTAAGTATGTCTAGTTTTTTTTAACTTTCATCAGATCTTTGGGGATATTTGCAAAGTGAATTTATGGTTTAAGACGCATCTGAACGCATAAATAACCGAACTGCAAAGACAGTACAAAGGAAGGGGGCCTAGATGGATGAATAGAATTCCAGCAGGCAGAGGTAAGAGAAGTGCATTTCAGGAGAGGGAGGAATAGCGTTAAGCACAGGCAGAATGGCCTCTGTAAGGAGGGGGTACCAAGCCTGGGACTGGCACAGAGGCACTTACAGTAGCTCCTGAGAGCTGCCGAAAGGTAAGAGGAGGTGGCACAAAAGGACTTGAATATCTGCCTTTCTTTCCAAGGAAGCTAGGACCTTCCTGGAAAATCAAGAGAAACCACAGCAGATTTATGACCAGGAAGAGACCAGCCCCATGCTACTTATTAAGCACGTTGATTTGCCATTGTTCAGCATAACCTCATCAAAACCCCTTCACATTCTCTCCTTAAGCTCCATGTCAGTGAGGTTTTATATTAAAACAGCAACAGCAAGCACAACAACACAAATCTGACTCCAGAAAGCCTGTAGAAATAAGGTAAACATTTACTGAAATCTCTTGAAAAGGCAGAGGTAGCAAAAGAAACATCATATACATCAATAGTTGCTAACAGTACCCTTACACTGCTGCCTCCCACATCTCAAGCCAATTTCCTTTCTGTCAAAAACTGAACCTCCTCTCTACTCCCACCACGGCCCTATTCTCAGCCTTCTGATTCTGTTTTCCTTTCAGTGGGTGAGTGCTCTGATGTTTCTTTCCTTTGGCAGGGTTTGAGGTATGGTCCCTTGTTTGTGCCATCCTGCTGGTGGCGCAGTGACCAAAGACAAAGGGAGGAGGAAAGAGGAATGAGAGAGCAGGAGCGAAGGTTACTGGGAATTCTTATCCCAGTAGGACACACTGTCAGGGGCACTAATAGAGTTGGAGATGATCGAGAAGGTCACCGTAAAACTCTCAAGAGGGTCTGAACTAGAGTGGTGGGAAGGACACTAAAAAGGAAGACCCAGATTCGAGAGACATCGCAGGCAGGAATTATGAACTGAATTGTGCTCCTCAAGCACAATGGTCAACAATGTTGCCCATCCCAACGACCTCAGCTGTGTGTTAAATTGCTAAATGAGAGGACGGATACAGGCACGAACAAATGGGCTGTGAGAAGGAAGGAGGGCCAAGGACGGTGAATCAGGAGTGTTCCTGGGAACCTAACACAGTCCCCCACTCTCCGCAATCCTCGGGGCATGCTGTCTGGTCCCTCCTGCCTCAGGGTTTCCTGGTTACTACTCCCTCTACCTGGAAATGATCCCCCCACCTCCAGCTCACATCTGCATTTAGGGAAGTTGCCTGGCCTACAGAAAAAGGCAGACAGAGCAAGTGCAGGGGCAGCAAAGATTTCTGAACCTAGAACAGGTACGTTAGGCCTGGGTGATGGTGCTTATTACGTCACTACAGAAATATGGGGCCATCATTCCAGGCACATCTGGCAGAGATGAGAGTCCTTGGCCTCCCGGACCTGCGAGATATTTTCCTCCTGAATGAACGATAACCCCTGCCACCTGCTGAGTGCACCCCGTGAGAACATCCAGATAGGCCCTTGTCCTCTATATTCTCATGTCCCTGTTTGTTCCTGATCCATGTGCAAGTACTCCATTCACAGACTCAGATACGGATGTCATGAGCCACCCTTTTCTCCCCTTGTGAATGTAGTATAGCAATCAAAAAATTAGACAACTACAGTCACAGAAAGCAATGGCTTTAAGGGTGCCCACAGGGCACTTTCTGTCTGACTATATTGTTGTTTAAAACTTCAGATGGTTGCCGCTTTTAACTATGGCCGGGCATAGTGGCTCATGCCTGTAATTCCAGCACTTTGGGAGGCCAAGGCAGGCAGATCACTTGAGGTCAGGAGTTCGAGACCAGCCTAGCGCAACATGGTGAAATCCCATCTCTACTAAAACTACAAAAAAATAAAAATTAAAATTAGCCGGGCGTGGTGGTGCGCCTGTAATCCTAGCTACGTGGGAGGCTGAGGCAGGAAAATGGCTTGAACCCGGGAGGCGGAGGTTGCAATGAGCCGAGATCACGCCACTGCACTCCAGCCTGGGAGACAGGAGCGAAACTCCGTCTCTAAATAAATAAATAAAATATTGTTTTATCCCTTGTAACTCACTTCAGTAAGTCTTCACTGTCTGAATCAAAGAGAAAAGATCTGTTGAATGAAACAGAAGGTCTGAATGAATGTGTGCCCTCCATGTTTCTGTACTTTGAGAGCCTTTCTCCCAGTCCTTTCACATTCCAAAGTGACATTTTATTCTCTGAGATAAATATTTTAGGCTAACAATAATTTTAAGTCAAAGTGCATGATCTGTGTGCACCATTGCTGCATGGCCGTGCTGCGGACACTGACCCTGTGCCCTCCCCTCCTGAGGGCTCCCCAGTGGCCGGCTGGACTGAGAGGCTCTGCCCGGGTTGTCCACACACCAGCTGGGCAGCCCACCTCAGCCTCCCACCTTCTCCATCCCCTCCCCAGGGCAGGACACCCTGCTCACTTAGTGCAGGTGTGCACCAGCGCCTCCTTCCACACCCAGGTGTGTGGGAGAGTGCAGACACTGCTGTCTGCTCCTCTGGGTGGCCTCCGCCCTCTGCATGGTGACAGACAGGAACTCGAAGAAAGTTTGTGGAGTGAATAAGTATATATTTATATCACAACTATTGTGAAAGAAAAATCATACTAAGAAGCCCTTGTTTGCTTTCTTAGCCATAAAGCCTGAGGAGAAGGGATCAGGAGCTGTGGTCCCACGGCCAGCCGCTAGCTGCGAGGCATCCCCAGGCCACCCTAGGCCCTCTCCTCTTCCCAAGCCCGGTGGAGGCCACCAAATGTCCCCGCAGAGGGGCCCTTCTGTCCCAGCCTCGCCGGCAGCTTCACCTTGCTCTGCTCTTGCTGGGTGTGAACAGAAACGTGTGAGGAGCTTCTCGCTTCTGTCCCCACCTTCCTTTCCTGCGTGTCCTGCCCTCCTCCCTCCAGCGCTGCCCCAAGTGCCCGGCCGCCCCCTCGGACCTCCTTTTCCAGGGGCTTTTCCGTGTTCCCCGTATTCACACGACTTCTCTGCCTGTGGATGTCTCATGACCCTCTAGAGCAGCGACTTTTTCCTCCCTCATTCCTTCCACTCCCCTCGGGCATCTAAGTAGCAGGAACCTGACTGTCCAAAGTTGATTTGGGAGCAGCCGGCTGCCCTTCTAAAATGATCTAGGAAAGGTGCCAGTAACATAAGCCGCCGCCTGCTGAAACTGGCGCTTCCTCAGCCACTCGCTGCGGCCAGCGTGAAAGGGGAGGGGAAAGGGGCATTCCTGGCACGGTCAGGTGTCTACGGACAGCAATCTTAGTTAATTCTCAAAACCCCGGAAGATCCAGAAATGGGGTGCTGACAGGGACCTAACCTGTCCACCACCCCTCGGTCGGTGGGACTGAAACCCATGTCTTTGAGCTGCTTTACCAGTTTATTTCCAAAAAGTCCTCCTACACCTGGGAAGGGACATAGAAAGCTGATCCCATTGCCAGCCGGATTTCTTTACTTAACTCTCAACCGTGGTAAATCTAATTCGCTTACGACCTCTTTCCGAGAGCTGGGAATCTGCAGAGATGCTCTGTTTTCTGCTGTACTAATCTCAGGCTTCCCAAAGCGAGTGCCTCGCCCAGCTCCTAGGGGAATCCACGGAGCCCCAGGCGCAGGGCAAAGGATGGGGCGGGATGGGGACATCGTACCTGCGCTCCGGGAGCCG
The DNA here is from genome assembly GCF_000001405.40 of Homo sapiens. Lineage (NCBI taxonomy): Eukaryota > Metazoa > Chordata > Mammalia > Primates > Hominidae > Homo > Homo sapiens. The sequence continues at coordinate 52,565,084 of NC_000008.11, forward strand.
CTGGGAGTCCGGCCGGCCCCGGCCGCGGGGAGGAAAAGCAACGGCTTGGGCTCCTTATCCGTGACGCGCGCTCCCCTGCGCCCCCGGGGCCTCCCGTGGGCTCCGTGCGGGGACAAAGCCAGCGCCAGCAGGAAGAGTGCGGGCAAAGGGGCGCCGGGCTTAAGGGGCCGCATGTTCGCAAGCCGGGAGGAGAGAGCGGGAGACTCCGGGAGGATCCCGACGCAGGTCCGGAGGGTGCGCGGCCCAAGAGAAGGCCAGCGGGACCACAGCGCGGCTACGCGGCCGGCCGCAGTCTTCACCGCGCGCCTGCCCTTGTCTACGTCCCGGGGGTCGGCTGGAGCTGCACTGGGACTCGGTCCTCAGTGTGCCGAAGCCTAAGCGCTGCGGGGCGCGGGGCGGGAACGGGAGGCGGTGCCTGGGGCCACGGGGTCGTCCCCCAGGATGAGGGCGTGTCCCAGCGCGCGGGACCCTCGGAAGTCCGCGCTGGGCCGGGCGGGCACCAGCCTCGGACTCAGCGGGTCTCAGGGCTCCCTGCGCAACGCCTGCCTCGGATCCGGACCCCGGGCTCGCTCTCTGGTCGCCGTCCCCGGGAGGACCCAGTAGGGTAACTGCCGCGTCGCCCCGGCGGTTCTCCCTGGGCTCTGTCTCCCGCCGCCTCCACCCCCCGAGCCTCGGGGTCCGTCACGGCTTCCCCTGGCTGGCGGGGTCAGTAGAACCCGCGGCGCCTAGGTCCGGACGGAAAAAAGCAGGGCCGGGGTGCGGCCTGGATGAGCGGAGATCTCCGCGCCTTGGGCTCAAAGGTGCGGGGTGCGCTCTGCTGCCGAGCCCCTGCTCGCTCAGGAACACTGGCCACGCCGTCACGCCAGCCGCCCCTGCCCCAGGTCTGGAGGCCCGACCTGCTCTCCTAGGCGCAGCACCGCGTTCTCTTCCGCGTGGGGGAGCGGCGGGCGGAAGAGGTCTGGGGCTGGGCACCGGGGACACGCGCCCAGCTCCCCTGGCCTCCCTGGGGGGAGTGGCCGGTTTCAGTGCTTCCCCAGGTGAAATCGCCAAGGTTGACCAGTGCGCCCAAAAAAGCAGCCGGCTGGATTTTTCTTCAAATTAGGGAACTCTTATAAAGAGTTTTAGTGTTAACAACTTAAAAAATGAAATTAAGGCCAGTCGTTCTGATTAAAGTGCGCCTCTCTGATCAAACCGCGCTCTGTAAACTGTTGTTGTTTTAGTTGTTTCAGCCGCCTGCTTTATTGCTTTATGTTAAGTATATTGAAAAATGTTGAAATTGCTCGCTAATCAATTGACTACTAATTATCTCCTCATATGCAAAGTGCAAACAGGTGAAAGGAAAAAGGCAGGAATAACTAAGGGAACTGAGGCTCCATTACTCCTTAGGCGGTGCCCAACGTTACATTACTCTACAAAAAGAAATCTTGTGGGTCACAGATCCTGAATAATGACCTCAACTCCTTCAAATAGTTTATCTAGGCTTGGCATGTCCAACATGCCTAAGAAATTGGGAAGCAAAGCAAGCTTTGCAGGAGCCCTGTGAAATCGTGCCTTTGGATGAAGCTCTTTTGAGGAAGTTGTTACACAGGTGAAGACTGCTTCTTCCAATCGTTTCACTGTTAAGCACGCATAGGAATCTGGTATTTCCTAAGCAAACACAGCAGTGTAAGAGAATGGCTTCCACCAAGGGAGACCCACAAGAGTCTTCCTAGAAAAACAGGTTAAGGGTCTGAAGGCCCTACTTAGGTGGAATAAACGCTTTCTCACAGCTCTACTGAAGTGAAATAAGAAAACATTAGAAGTTCACAGACATTGACAGGCAGTTCAAAAATTAATTTTAATTGGAAAATAAAAAAATAGGGACTAGTCCGAAAAACGATGGGGAAATGCAGTATGAAATAATGCTGGAGAATAAGTGATACTGAAACCATGACAAATGGACTTTTTAATCAACCATCTATCCGGAGCAAAAGACAGCAAAACCTGGAAGCTGAATTATTTCCCTCTTCCTCTACGTTGAAAGCTAGAGGAAATAAACAAAGCAATGAAGTTTTCAAGCCTGACAGTTTGGGGTCTACTTTCAGCTGTCATTAGCCATGGGGCCCTGAGCAAAACACTTAGTCTTCTCTCTAGCAAGGTGAAGAGGTTGAACTTCAGTGGTTCTCACACTGTGTACCATGTGAAGGAGAGGCTGTAAAAAAAATGCAGGTTCCCAAACCCCTGGGGACGCAGTCCCCCAGGAGGATCCTGTAAATCTGCGTTTTAAGGGACTCTGGGTAGTTCTGAAGCAAGTGGTCCTTTGAAACCCACCTTTATTCATTCAACAAAAATGATGTGAACGCACACTGTGGACCAGGCAGTGGAAACACAGCGGAGCCACCACAGTGGGTAAAATAAACAAAATCCTCATCTTTGTGGAGCATCTAACTTCAGGGATCTAGTTCCTCAACACAGTGCTTTTATCATAAATAAACAGGTTACGTATAGCTAAGTCACTCTTTGCTTTTGTTCTTTGTTCATTGCATATCTTTGACTACTTTTCTAACTGCCCCAACTAAATGCTGCTTGCCCTGCCTCTTGCTAATTAGTTTAGAGGCAACTTGAAGTGTTCATGTGGGCATTCCCTCAGTAACACTTGCTAATTTATTTAGTATATAAGGAAGGGTTTTCTGTGTAGAAATGGGTACTTAGTAACTAATGTTTAAAGTAATCCAAAGTTTTTAAAACTGTAACTGTTACAAGCTGTTTTAAGCCTTGAAACTCAAGGCACTTATTTTCTTTACAACTTAGCTAATAAATTAAACAAGTGAAGTTTCCTTATTTAACACCAACAAACCCTATTAAACATTTCAAAATACAATCACATATTTAATATAGTTGATTTTCTTAAACATTTTTAAAACCAGAATTTTAAAAGTCACAATTGAAAAATCCATTGCTACATCTCCCCCAAAATATTGGTAATATTGGTAATATAAACTTGTATTAAGGTTCTCTAGAGGGACAGAACTAACAGGAGATATATACATATATATACACACATATAAATATAGAGATATATGTAAATATATATATAATACTTAATAAACTCCTACATATATATAGGAGTTTATTAAGTATTAACTTACACAATCACAAGATCCCACAACAGGCTGTCTGCAAGTTTGAGCAACAAGGTGACCCAGTCCAAGTCTCAAAACTGAAGAACTTTGGAGTCCGATGTTCAAGGGCAGGAAACATCCAGCATGGGAGAAAGATGTAGGCTGGGAGGCTAGGCCAGTCTCACCTCTTCACTTCAATCCAATCAAGTTGATACTCAGTATTAACCATCACAAGAATAAGATTATGACACAAACCTAGAGAGTTGATATACTCCTGAGGTAGGACAGTAAAGGTATATTGCTGGCCTTGCCAGCTGAAGGCAAATTGCTTCTGGTGGGCCTTATGGACAGGAATGGAGAAAACGGCATTTGCCAAGTCAATGTCTGCATACCAGGTACCAGGAGATGTGTTAATTTGCTCAAGCAATGAAACCACATCTGGTACTGTAGCTGCAGTTGGAGTCACCACTTGGTTAAGCTCACAATAATCCACTGTCATTCTCCAACATCCATCTGTCTTCCGCACAGGCCAAATGGGAGAGTTTAATGGGAATGTGGTGGGAATCGGAATCACCTCCCCTGCATCTTTCAATTCCTTGATGGTGGCACTAATCTCCTCAGTTCCTCCAGGTATGCAATATTGTTTTTGATTTACTATTTTTCTAGGTAGAGGCAGCTCTAATGGCTTCCATTTGGCCTTTCCCACCATGATAGCCCTCACCCTACCAGTTAGGGAGCCAATGTGGGTGTTCTGCCAGGTGCTAAGTATGTCTATGCCAATGATGCACTCTGGCACTGGAGAAATGACCACAGGATGAGTCTGGGGACCCACTGTAAGTCAGACCTGAGCTAGAGCTCCATTAATTACCTGACCTCCATAAGCCCCTACTTTAACTGGAGGACCACAATGACATTTTGGGTCCGCTGCAATCAACATCAGCTCAGAGTCAGGGTCCAGTAATCCCCAAAATGTCTGATCATTTCCCTTTCCCAGTGCACAGTTACCCTGGTAAAAGGCTGGAGGTCTCCTATTTCCCTTTCCCAATGCACAGTTACCCTGGTGAAAGGCTGGAGGTCTCCTTGGGGAAGGGCGGGGAAAAAATTCACTGCCTAAATTGTCAGTGATGTAGTGGGGTCCTTCCTCAAGGGGACCCAGCCTCCCCTTCATTCAAGGGGTTCTGGGTTTGTAAAACTGGCTCAAATCTGGAAATTGATTGAGAGGCCATGATTCTCTGTTTTTATAATTCAAATTAGTCTTTGGTCCATTCAACCTAGAATTTTTCTCCTTATAGAAATTAAGAAGGAATGCAGTAGGCTTCCTATCAATTTCACTTCTACGAACACTGTGATTAATTAGCCAATGCCAGAGCTCTACACAAGTCAGACTATTCCGATTGCCGCTTTGCCTCTGCTGTCCATTATGGTAGCTACGCCCACCTTGCCTTTGACAGTTGAGTGTTGCCACTTGGCCCCTGCCTCCCTGGGATCCAATTATGCCCGTTGTATTTAAATTTTGTAGTTGAATGACTGTGGTTCCCACCATTAGATCTGACATACAGAAAAGAGCAATTACAGGGCTCTTCAAACATGCAAGTGCTGCCCTCACGCATCTATTTCACAATGCATTGGTCAAGGGTATATCTTCTGGACCCTCCCAGCTGGAATGAGTAGGTCTAAAGTAATTAAGCCACTCCACCATCCCAATATCCCTAAGCCTTTGGAGTCCCTCCTCTACATTAAACCAAGGGAGATCAGGCATTTCCAGCTTGCTCTCAGTGAGCTATCTTTTAATCCATATTTCAGCTAACTGAGCAAATAAACTATTAGAACCTTTTTTTAACTCCCCAAGCTGCAACATTAAAAGCAGTGTCCCTACTTAGTGGGTCCAAATCAATAAATTAAGCCTGATCGAACTCTATGTTCCTTCCACCATTATCCCATACCCTTAATGTCCATGTCCATGCCTGTTCTCCAGATTTCTGTTTATATAGATTAGAGAACTTAAGCAGTTCTTTTCGAGTGTAGCACACCTCCTCATGGGTCACACTCTCAACCTCACCTCTAGGGACTCGTGAGGACTTTAGTTATAGGTCAGGAAACAAACAGGAGTGTTGGGGCTGGCTCCTAAGGAGAATCAACATTATTTTGCCTGGAAACTGCTTCGGGGAGGCCATCACTGTTGCCTCGGGCAGGACAAGGTTTATCTTCTCACACAAAGGTGGAAAGGCTGATGGCAGCATGGGTAAGGGAGGGGATTTTGCCACTACTGGGGATGGAGAAGCTGTTTCTTCTGGAAAAAAAGGTTCATCAGAGTTTACAAACTCTGGGTCAGGGTCCTCCCACACGTCTCATTCCAAGTTGCAGGGTCCCATTCTTTTGCAGTCAATGCCCTCACTTTAACAGTAAACACCTGGTGAGGCTGTGCACGCACCTTTCATTGCAGATCAGCCACTCGCATGATACGAGCTTGTGTCTGTCTTTCCACAATTTCAGCTCTTTCTCTACATGAGATAAGGCTCTCATTCAGGGCAATCTTAGTAGATTTCAGGCTCAGTATCTGCTTCTGAAGTCAGGAGACAGAATCCCTAAGTTCCTCATTTTCTTTCATCACTTTGTCCACTGAACTTTGGAGCAAGCAACCAGCTTCTTTATGTTTGTTGGGTCTCCACATATGGTCAAAGGTATTATGTATAGAGTCACTAAACTCCTTGCCTCTCATGAGCAGTGAATCAGGAATGTCAAATACATTTATTTTGCATAATTATCTAAACAGTTCATGCCAAGGACTATCAGTGTTCTCCATACTATTAGAAGTAGAGTCCTTAGCATTTTGAGATCTAATCATATTAAGCAACCAACTCCAGAAACCCCAAAACCAACGAAAGAACTCCATCCTTAATATTATGTTCCTCTAGAACCACTCCCGGTACCAAAATCTGTATTAGTCAGAGTTCTCTAGAGGGCCAGAACTAATAGGAGATAGATAGAGATGATAGATAGATAGACAGATAGATAGATAGATGATAGATAGATAGATGATAGATAGAGATATATACATATATTAGTTTATTAAGTATTAACTTACACAATCACAAGATCCACAATAGGCTGTCTGCAAGCTTGAGGAGCAAGGAGAGCCAGTTCGAGTCTCAAAACTGAAAAATTCTGGAGTCCAAAGTTTGAGGGCAGGAAGCATCCAGTATAGGAGAAAGATGTAGGCTGGGAGGCTAGGCCAGTCTCGCCTTTTTCCATTTTTCTGCCTGCTTTATATTCACTGGCAGCTGATGGACGAGCCACAGACAAAACTCCTCAGACACCGAGTTAAAGAAGGAAGTGGTTTATTCATCAGGGAGCTTCGGACAAAACTCCTGTCTCAAGAGCCAAGCTCTCTGAGTGAGCAATTCCTCTTCCCTTTAAGGGCTCACAACTCTAAGTGGGTCTGCATGAGAGGGTCATGATCGATTGAGCAAGCAGGGGGTATGTGACAGGGGCTGCATGCGCTGTGTGGTCAGAGTGAAACAGAACAAACCAGGAAGTTTCACAATGTCTTTTCCATACAATATCTGGAATCTATAGATAACATATCCAGTTAGGTCAGGGGTCGATCTTTAACCACCAGGCTTAGGTCAGGCAGGCCCAGGCCTGGTTTCGGGTCTGGTTCCTAGGCGCCAGGCTACCTGCCTTTTGTTTCGCTTTTCTTTTCTGAGTATAAAACAATATGAGAGGGTCTGTCTCTCTTCTCTCAGCCTTTTTACATTTTTCTGCCTGCTTTATATTCACTGGCAGCTGATTAGATGGTGCCCACTAGATTAAGAGTGGTTCTGCCTTCCCCAGCCCACTGACTCAAATGTTAATCGCTTTTGGCAACACCCTCACAGACATACCCAGGATCAATACTTTGTATCCTTCAATCCAATCAAGTTGACACTCAGTTTTTTTTTTTGTTTGTTTGTTTGTTTTTTTAGTACTTATTGATCATTCTTGGGTGTTTCTCGGAGAGGCAGATGTGGCAGGGTCATAGGATAATAGTGGAGAGAAGGTCAGCAGATAAACACGTGAACAAAGGTCTCTGGTTTTCCTAGGGAGACGTCCCTGCGGCCTTCTGCAGTGTTTGTGTCCCTGGGTACTTGAGATTAGGGAGTGGTGATGACTCTTAACGAGCATGCTGCCTTCAAGCATCTGTTTGACAAAGCACATCTTGCACCGCCCTTAATCCATTTAACCCTGAGTTGACACAGCACATGTTTCAGAGAGCACGGGGTTGGGGGTAAGGTTATAGATTAACAGCATCCCAAGGCAGAAGAATTTTTCTTAGTACAGAACAAAATGGAGTCTCCTATATCTACTTCTTTCTACACAGACACAGTAACAATCTGATCTCTCTTTTTTTTCCCCACATTTTCCCCCATTTCTTTTTGACAAAACCGCGATCGTCATCATGGCCTGTTCTCGATGGTCGCTGTCTCTTCGGAGCTGTTGGGTACACTTCCCAGACGGGGCGGCCGGGCAGAGGCGCTCCTCACTTCCCAGACGGGGCGGCCGGGCAGAGGCGCTCCTCACTTCCCAGACGGGGCGGCCGGGCAGAGGCGCTCCTCACTTCCCAGACGGGGCGGCCGGGCAGAGGCGCTCCTCACTTCCCAGACGGGGCGGCCGGGCAGAGGCGCTCCTCACTTCCCAGACGGGGCGGCCGGGCAGAGGCGCTCCTCATTTCCCAGATGGGGCGGTCGGGCAGAGGTGCTCCTCACATCCCAGAAGATGGGCGGCTGGGCAGAGGTGCTCCTCACTTCCTCCCAGACGGGGTGGCTGGGCAGAGGTGCTCCTCACTTCCCAGGCGGGGCGGCCGGGCAGAGACGCTCCTCACCTCCCAGACGGGGTGGCCGGGCAGAGACGCTCCTCACCTCCCAGACGGGGCGGCCCGGCAGAGGCGCTCACTTCCTAGACAGGACAGCCGGGCAGAGGCGCTCCTCACCTCCCAGATGAAGGGCGGCCTGGCAGAGGTGCTCCTCACCTCCCAGACGGGGCAGCTGGGCAGAAGCGCTGCCCACCTCCCAGATGGGGCGGCCGGGCAGAGGCATTCCTCACATCCCAGACGGAGCGGCCGAGCAGAGGCGCTCCTCACTTCCCAGACGGGGCGGCCGGGCAGAGGCGCTCCTCACTTCCCAGACGGGGCGGCCGGGCAGAGGCGCTCCTCACTTCCCAGACAAAGGGCGGCCGGGCAGAGGCGCTCCTCACTTCCCAGACGGGGCAGCCGGGCAGAGGCGTTCCCCACTTCCCAGACGGGGCGGCCGGGCAGAGGCGCTCCCCACTTCCCAGACGGGGCGGCCGGGCAGAGCCTCTCCCCACTTCCCAGACGGGGCGGCTGGGCAGAGGCTCTCCCCACTTCCCAGATGGGGCGGCCGGGCAGAGGCTCTCCCCACTTCCCAGATGGGGCGGCTGCCGGGCAGAGACGCTCCTGAATTCCCAGATGGGGCAGCTGCCGGGCAGAGGCGCTCCTCACTTCTCAGACGGGGTGGCCGGGCAGAGGCTCCTCAGTTCCCAGACGGGGTGGCGGCCGGGCAGAGGCACTCCTCACATCCCAGATGGGGTGGCTGGGCAGAGGCGCTGCTCACTTCCCAGACGATGGGCGGCCGGGCAGAGGCGCTCCTCACCTCCCAGACGGGGCGGCTGGGCAGAGGTGCTCCTCACTTCCCAGACGGGGCAGCCGGGCAGAGGCGCTCCTCACTTCCCAGAAGCGGCGGCCAGGTAGAGGAGCGCCTCATTTCCCAGACGAGGCGGCCGGGCAGAGGCGCTCCTCACTTTCCAGACAATGGGCGGCCAGGCAGAGACGCTCCTCACTTCCCAGACGGGGTGGCGGCCGGGCAGAGGCGATCCTCACTTCCCAGACAGAGCGGCCGGGCAGAGGGGCTCCTCACATCCCAGACGATGGGCGGCCAGGCAGAGACGCTCCTCACTTCCTAGACGGGGTGGCGGCCGGGCAGAGGCTGTAATCTTAGCACTTTGGAAGGCCAAGGCAGGCGGCTGGGAGGTGGAGGTTGTAGCGAGCCGAGATCAGGCCACTGCACTCCAGCCTGGGCAACATTGAGCATTGAGTGAGCGAGACTCCGTCTGCAATCCCAGCACCTGGGGAGGCCGAGGCGGCCGGATCACTCGAGGTCAGGAGCTGGAGACCAGCCGGTCAACACGGCGAAACCCCGTCTCTACCAAAAATGCAAAAACCAGTCAGGTGTGGCGGCGCGTGCCTGCAATCCCAGGCACTTGGCAGGCCGAGGCAGGAGAATTACGGGAGCCCGAGGCAGGGAGGTTGCAGCGAGCTGAGATCATGGCAGTACAATCCAGCCTCGGCAACAGAGGGAGACCGAAGAAAGAAAGAAAGAGGGGAGAAGGAGGGGGAGGGGGACTCAGTTTTAACCATTACGAAACTTAATTTTTAAAAATCATCATCTCTATCTGTATACATGTTTTGTACGTTCTTGGATACAAGGCTATTTTTCTGATCAAAATAAATAGAAGTCATGTTTCAGGTTAGAAGCCCTGTTTTAGATTAGGTTAGGTTATTGATTTGAGGTTATCTGATAGAAAATCAGGAGCTTGATTCAATTATGAATTAGAGGAACAGGTCAGGACAGTAACATAAAAACCTGGAACTCCCAAGATGATTAAACCATATTGTAGAGTTTATGGAATCAGGCCCCTTTTTACAGCAATAAAATATTTCACATCCATGTCTCTCTAGAACTTGGTGTGTTACATTTTACTCTGAACTTTTTCTTTTTACTACAACCTCAGACACAACTTTTTAAATAATTTCTTTCAGTTTTTTCTGCCTATATTCATGGAATTGCATGCCACGCATGCACACACACACACAAACACACCCCATTTGTAAGATTGTTACTTAATCTTTTGCTCCCTGATTTGACCTAAACTTTATCCAATATATGCATAGTGTGAATGGAACAATATATGACATTTTCTCTAAATATGATTTTTAAATCACATAAGCTCCTCCTCTATTGTACCACATAATTTTCCATTTTTGAGTAAAATTAAGAATCTGTAATAATAATCACAATATCATTTATCCTTCTTTTGATGCTCAACACTATCTGGTCAACAGGAGTCCTGTGGTCTGTCTCCTTTCTTTTTGGCACTCCACAGCATCTGTGAGAGCAACAAAGGTGTCCAGGCACGCCTTAATTTTCCTTGTTGCTTTTCATCAGGGAGAGACATTTACCTGGCCACTCTAGAGGAGATTTTACTGGAGATGGGGCTGAGTTTGTTCCACATGAGAGCACATGGTGGGGGCATCAAAGATCTACATATTAAGGGTCCTGAATTCATGCAGTTGTTGCCAGCTTAGCTCCAACTTTACTAAGCCCTTTCTTAAAATTATTTTTTCAAATATGTTTTTAATTTTCCCTTTTAGAGCTACTACTAGTTCTTCAGAGTTTTCATTATGTGTGTGACTTATACAATATATATGTGACATTCAATGACGTGGTAAAACTGACAGAAGAAAACAAAGGGGAAAAAGGAAAAGGGTCATTTGTAATGTAAAGGAATATATAATAGGCATATTTATAAACTAACTTATTTCCTATAACAAACTGGTTTTATGACAACCTGCAATTTCTAAAAAACATAAAGCTTTTTGTTTGATATGCTGAATAGTAATTATTCTGTATTTCTTACCATCTTAGGAAAAATATTTTACAGTGAAGCATCATTAAATAGAGAAAATATGTTTGCGTTAAAGGAAATTAGGAAATTGCTTTCTCTTTGTTCAAAACTCCTTGTCCATATTTCCCTTTTAATCAAGGACAGGCAAGAAGAGAATTATGCAGTATATTTATGCTACACAGTTGTCCTTAGGGGAACTGCTTGTTGATTCCACACTGACAATCTCTGCCAAATGAGGCATTGGTCTGGACTTGATGGAAGAGCTGCCTTGGATACACATAAGCACAGATGATGGCACTGTGAAGAGTGGCCGCTCTAAATGCACAAGGGAATTTGAAAGAGTTTACTAAATTATACCGGAATTATAAAAAGCTTAATTTATAAATGTCTGTTTATTTCCTCTCTTACATGTTTAGTCTGAGCTACTTTACATCACTTTTACGACTCAGAATCAGCTAAGTGGCATACTTAAAGTGGGAGGAAAAAGATAATATTTATAATTCTACAGCAAGTACATCATAGTGTATTCTATTCATATTTTTGAGCTGAGATACTCAGAAGATAAAAAAATTGTTATATTCTTAGGTAACTGAATCATTACAAACTTTCAAAAATTTTTCCTATGCTGAGTGCACATAAACCATGTGACTGGGAATAATTTTTTTAAAAGTAAAAGGTTGGAAGTTAATTTAAAAGTATTTCACAAACTTTTAAATGTAAAATGCTATGCAGAGAAAAATTGAGTTATAAGGCACCACCCTGATCTCAAAGGGGAAACAAGATAACACATGTTGAAATGTCAGCAACAAAATCTTAAGACACACTAAATAAGAGAGTCAAGGCACACATTTCCAATAATTCATGTATTGAGGTGAAAGAGGGATTGGATAAGTATGATTAAGATACACAAAATAATATTTATGTATTTAATATATACAATCATCTTAAAATGAACTATTGACAATATTCTTGAATACTTTAACAACTGTCGGGCTGTGCTTACAATAATAAAAATCAGTCATAGTACATGGTAGCAGCAATTTAGTAATGCTTTATCGTTCAGCTGCTGTTGAGTGAGAGTGGAGTGGAGGAAGCAGTCGAATGTGGAAGTTGGAAAATGGGCCCTGAGTCTGTCTACATGGATTCAAATCCCAGCTCCATCACTTAATAGCTGTGTGGCCTTAAGGAAGCATTGGACTCTCTTCAAGCCTCCGTTTGCTCACCGTAAGACAAGAATAATAATCTACCACTTTTAGTGACTGACATGTACAGGTTAGACTTATTTTTAGGTTCCTTTAAAGTCAGCACCACAGCAGAAATTTCAGGACAGCCAGAGACCAGCTGCCAGTTGGTTCTCTCCTCGGTTTGAGCCCACTCAGATAACTGATCATGGTTTTCAGTTCTCTGCTAGTGATGTGAATACCATTTTCATTTCTTTGGAGAGATCTGTATTTTTCTGTGGTCTGATGACCACAGAAAGGCCTTTGCCTGCAAACAAGTACTTGCTTTCAAGAGGGGAGATGTTTCTATATCCTTCATAACATCTCATACATCTCAGAAAATACAGCTGGCTTAAACCTTGGGATAATGAACTCTCAGGCCAGTTTGTTAGAAACACCACCAGAGTCTGAAGTCACAAGCTCTCTGAGATATGTTGGACTTGTGGACATCCCTTTAGACCATATCTAAAGCTTGCCTCCTGTGGGTGTTCTTTATGGATGATCCACACCTCACCACTTCTTCAGCCAGTGGCAAGTAAAAGCAGTCCCATCAAATTCCTCCTTCTGGGACCTCACGTTGCACTTAAACAGATTAGCAGGTAATTGCGTTGCATAGGTTATCTCCCAGCCTATATCTTGAACATTTCCAGCCTGAAGACAGGGCATACACTTTTCATTCTCCCTCAATAGTTTGAACAGAGCTCAGTAAATATTTTGGGGACAAGCTGATTTGAGAGAGTAAGAGAAATCGACATCATTCTTGCCAACATACTGTAAAATGTTTCTCTTCCTGTGCAGGGAAACATTAGAATGGGAAGTTTATTCACCAATAGGTGGCAGTGTAGACAGATTATTATAGCAGAAAAACAGTAAATTGCTAAAAATGCCTGATTTTATGTTCCATTCCTGCAATACATTTTCTAACACTTCCAATGTCCTTGCTTTCTCTCTCAGCTCTGTCGGCCACTGCCCTACGTGACTGTTGCCTGAACAATTGTATTGGCTTCTTAACAAAGCTCCCCAATCTTGACCCTCTTCCAGTAGCCTCTGGTATTTCTGCCCAATCACATTCATAAGTGCTGATCCAATCGTGTCAGTGTCCTGTGTGAACTCATAGGTGCTCCCTATGTTGTGCAGTGCCAAGTCCAAACAACCAAACTGGTTTTCCAAACTTTGTCATTTGGAACCTTTGTAATTTTCACTCTTACTTTATTATCCAGCTACACTGGTCTTCTCAATTGTTTTTTTTTCCAGCAAGGATATCCCATTGCTCTGAGCCTGGTATATCCTTAGAATATTTCAGATATGTATAAATACTATATGTACATCACATAAATATCCATCCTTATATTCCCACCCATTCCCTACATCCTGCCCAGTTGGAATTGATTACTCTGTTCCTTATTCCCAAAGCACTTTGTTCCTTTAAGGCTTTCTATCCCACTAGAACTGTTTTCAAGGTCATATGAGAGACATGTGTGCTCTTTCTAAGTACTGTGAACTTCCAGAGAGAGGGAGTGTTATATGTTTGTTCATGGAAGAGAGAAAGAGTACGCACTCAAAACATTAGTTTAAAAGTTTAGGCTGGCTCAGTGGCTCATGCCTGTAATCCCAGCACTTTGGGAAGCTGAGGCGGGTGGATCACGAGGTCAAGAGATCAAGACCATCCTGGCCAACATGGTGAAACCCCGTCTCTACTAAAAATACAAAAATTAGCTAGGCATAGTGGTGTGCGCCTGTAGTCCCAGCTATTCAGGAGGCTGAGTCAGGAGAATTGCTTGAACCCAGGAGGTGGAGGTTGCAGTGAGGCAAGATCACGCCACTGCACTCTAGCCTGGCAACAGAGTGAGACTCGGTCTCAAAAAAAAAAAAAAAAAAGTTTAACAGATTGTGATTGTATCTTGATTACAAAATGCTTGCCAATACCATCACAAAGAAAGAAAGATAATTTCTTAGAGGAAGGGTAGTCTTTGCCGAAAATGATGCTGAAGAAATTGGACACCCATAGGCAAAAAGAAAAAAAAAAAACCATAGACACAGTATACCTTTCACGAATACTAACTTAAAATGAATCATAGGCCTAAATGAAATGTAAGACTGTAACTTCTAGAAGAAAATCTAGGGGAAAATACAAATGATCTTAGATTTGGTAATGAGTTTTTATATATATCACCAAAGGTACAATTCATGACAAAAAAATTGATAGGTGGGACTTTATCAAAATTTAAAACATTTACTCTATGAAAGACACTGTTAAGAGAATGAAAAGATAAACCACACACTGGGAGAAAATATTTGTAAAAAATACAGCAGATAAAGAACTCGAATCCAAAATATACAAAGAACTCATGAAACTCAGAAAACAAACAACTCAGTTTAAAAATAGACAAAATGGCCAGGCACGTTGGCTCATGCCTGTAATCCCAGTACTTTGGGAGTGGAGTTTACAGATAAACAAGGGAAGAAGCTAGAATGATCCATGCGATAATGGATTCGAACTAGAAACTTCAATATAAATTCATGTTTAGTTTAATATAGGTACACATTGTTACACATAGAAATATTTATGGATATATGTATACACACTGGTTAGTACACACATATTGCCTTACCCTGTCAGCGCAGAGGGTCTAGAGGCAGTAACGCCCAGTAACAAGAAGCACACCTAGATCCCAGGTCCTGGTTTCTGATAGTATTTGCTAATAAAAGGGTCCTGGGCTCCTTGGACAGCTGGCCAATTCTAACACTGGGGCAGGTACTACTCAAGAGGAGCCTGAAGTATCTTTTTTTTTTTTTTTTTTTTTTTGAGACGGAGTCTCGCTCTGTCGCCCAGGCCGGACTGCGGACTGCAGTGGCGCAATCTCGGCTCACTGCAAGCTCCGCTTCCCGGGTTCACGCCATTCTCCTGCCTCAGCCTCCCGAGTAGCTGGGACTACAGGCGCCCGCTGAAGTATCTTGTAGTGACAAAAGGAAGTGCAAAAAAAAAAATCCGACACATACATGCAATGAAGGGGAGAGAGGTGTCTGTCAAAGGAACTCAGGAGCCAACTAAAAGAGCCATCTAGGTATTAAGTCCAGCATGCATTAGCTCTTTTTCCTAATGCTCTACCCCCCGACACCCTGCTCTCCCACAACAGGCCCTGGTGTGTATTGTTCCCCTCCCTGTGTTCTCATTGTTCAGCTCCCACTTATAAATGAGAACGTGTAATGTTTAGTTTTTCGTCCCTGTATTAGTTTGCTGAGAATAATGGCTTCCAGCTTCATCCATATCCCTGCAAAGGATATGATCTTGCTCCTTTTTATGACTGCATAGTATTCTATGGTGTATGTACCACATTTTCTTTATCCAGTCTATCATTGATGGGCATTTGGGTGGATTACATGTCTTTGCTACGTGAATAGTGCTTCAGTGAACATACACGTGCATGTATCTTTATAATAGAATGATTTATACTCCAAGTATATACTGAGTATATACCCAGTAATGGGATTGCTGGGTCAAACGGTATCTCCAGTTCTAAAATTTTGAGGAATCACCACACTGTCTTCCACATGGTTGAACTAATTTACATTATCACCAACAGTGTAAAAGCGTTCCTATTTCTCTGCTACCTCACCACTAAAAATTAGCTGGGCATGGTGGTGGGCACCTGTAGTCCCAGCTACTCAAAAGGCTGAGGTGGAAGGATTGCTTAAGCCTGGGAGGTCAAGGCTGCAGTGAGCCATGATCACACCACTGCACTTCAGCCTGGGCAACAGAGTCGGAACCTGTCTAAAAAAAAAATTCTAAAATAGAAAGTCCTTTTAAACAAAAGTCTGCATCATATGTAATTCTAATGATTTATATAGGAAAATTACTTTCCATACAACAAAAGAGTAAAAATTTAAAGCACTATCCTTGATTTTGTAACCTTTTCCCCAAAACTACTGAACATACCATCATCACAATATATTAATGTTGTCTGTCATAGCATTTTGACATACTTTCCGTGGTTCTCAAATGTAGGTCATACTGTCCCCTCAGAGGGCCACTGCAAATCTGGAAGAGTGAGTTGAATTGATATGTTGCATGGGAATTAGTACTGGCATTTAGAGGATGTAAACAGGGATATTAAAAATCCTGCAAATCAGCAAGGCATGGTGGCGCACGCCTGTAGTCCCAGCTAGTCCAGAGGCTGAGGCAGGAGAGTTGCTTGAGCCCAGAAGTTGAAGGCTTTAGTGCACTATGAATGTGCTTGTGAAGCCACTGCACTCCAGCCTGGGCAACATAGCAAGACACTGTCTCCAAAAAAAATTAAGTCAAAATTTCAAAAATCCTGCAAATCAAAAGGCAGACCCACACAATGAATATTTTTTCTGCCCCAAATACCAACAAGGCTTTTCACTGAGGAACACTTAAAATGGAAGTAGTATTTCCATTTTCCAAGTACATAAACTGTCATAGCATGGGACTAAATTTTACTATTATTTCCACCATCTTGGTTTGGTGCCACTTTTTACATATTGAAATTACTTTCTTGTATTATCATCATCTTCTTCAATAAAGTCCTGGGATTGAGCTAGAGCAGTCATCTTGATGTTACAAATAAGTAACTTGAGAAGCACAGAGGTTTTGTGGCACCCTCATGTGAATCAAAAGCCAACCCTATCATAACTTTCTGTTTGTCTTTTCATGTGGGAATGCAAGTGAACCTACGTTTCTCGGTTTGGAGAAATATCTAAAATAAGGAGCTGGGTCACTCACACTGACTCCTCCTTCTTATCAACTCACAGGTGGAAGAGAAGTTTGGAGTTAATTATTTTCCTAAATTCCATTATTCTTCCTCTCAGAATAATGTACAGTTTTCTTGTCACAAGACAAGAAAATGTACAGTTTTCTTGTCACAAGACAGATCTTCCTTGATTTAAAGTTAACCATATTTTAAGGGAAGATGTAGTTAAGTCATTCTTCTTTTTTTATAATTAATTCTTACATCCTACAGTCTATTCTTTCTCGATAAGCTGCAGTGTTCTGTAAAAATGAGGTGATAGCTGAGGTATGTACCTTCCATTCTTTTAAATTTAAGTGGTAAGTTTTACTTATAAAAATTTAAGAAATCACTTTCTACATGAATAGCACCAACAATAAAAAACAGAGTTAACTTCACAATGAATGAAGTATACTCTTGTGACTACTTCAGGAAAGAGGTTACTGGTTAATTTAATTTTATGGTTAACTTCGTGTTCACAATATACCAAATTGTTTTCAAATTTTGTTTTAGAACTGCAGTCTAAGTCACAGAAACATACCCAGAAGAATAACAGGAGTAGAACACATTGGGCAAGGCATAACCCAATGGCAAGAAGAAATATGCAAAAGCCCAAATTAGATACAAAACTCACTTAATAGGCCAGGCGCAGTGGCTCACACCTGTAATCCCAGCACTTTGGGAAGCCGAGGCAGGCGCATCACCTGAGATCAGGAGTTCAAGACCAGCCTGGACAACATGGTGAAACCCTGTCTCTATTAAAAATACAAAAATTAGCCAGGCATGGTGGCTCGCGCCTGTAATCCCAGCTGCTTGGGAGGCTGAGGCAGGAGAATCGCTTGAACCTGGGAGGCGGAGGTTGCAGTGAGCCGAGATTGTACCACCGCACTTCAGCCTGGGCGACAAAGCTAGATTCTGTCAAAAACAAACAAACAAACAAAAACCCTCACTTGATAAATGTGTACATTAGAGGAAAAAAGCTAAATGTTTTTAAGGACTATTTCCATGAAATTTACTCTCCATTCTTGGAATATTTCTTTCCAGATTACCAGTCAATGATTTAAAACAAGAGTGGAATCTACCTAAGAGATAAATGTTATCAAGTGGTTTCAGCTGTCATCAAAAGTGCCACTGCTTTGTGAAAGGTAAATTACAGCATGATTGAATAATTGCAATTTTTTTTTTTAATCTGTCTGTGGTCAGTTTGAATGATCTGGATTGACATCCTGGGATTTTACCTAATTTCTTTAACCTCACACTTCACAATAATTTGCATATGTGGCTAAACCAATCCATTATATGTTGCTTCTTTTAACTTTCAATCCAGAATATAAACTTTTTCTGACATTCTCAAATGTTATCAGAGTTAAAGACAGGAGTTCGTCCTCTTCTCAATCTTTAGTGTTCCTAAGAATCACACAGGAATTGAGTGAAAACACAGTTTTCTCAGGTCCCATCTCTAGAAATTCTGGTTTTTAGATCTGAGTGTGGGAACCAAGGAATTGCACTTTTAATGAACAACCCCTCCCCTACCCGCCATCCTGGAAAAAAAAAAATTCTGTGCAGAGTCTGTGAATCACACTTTTTAAGCATTTTTAATTTTGTAATGCTTTATATTGAAATCATTTTAGACTCACATAAAAGTTGGAAAAGTAGTACAAAGAGTTCCTATATACCAGTTACCCAGCTACCCTAAATGCTAACATCTTATGTAACCACAGCACAATCATCAAACCCAGAAAATTAAAATTAATACAATATTTTCAACTACTCCCCAGGCTGGATGCACACTCAGCCACGTTCTTTGCTGACATCCCTTTCCTGGTCCAGGAGATGACCCAGAATCCCACTCTGCTTTATGAGTCGGCCCTCCTTAGTCTCCAATTTGGGAAGTTCCTCAGACTCTTGTCTTTCATGACCTTGACACTTCAAGAACACTGACTAGTTATTTTGTAGAATGTCTCTCAGTTTGGGTTTTTTTCTTTTTCTTTTTTTTAGACAGGATCTACTGCTGTTGCCCAGGCTGGAGTACAGCAGCACAGTCATAACTCACTGTAGCCTCAAGCTCCCAGGCTCAAGCAATCCTCCCACCTCAGCTACCCAAGTAGCTGAAACCACAGGTATACACCACTATACCCACTTATTTTTATCTTTTTTATTTTTTGTGGGGACAGGGTCTTGCTATGTTGTCCAGGCTGTTCTTAAACTCCTTGACTCAAGTGATCCTCCCTCCTCCCCCTCCCAAAGTGCTGGGATTACAGGCATGAGCACTGCACTCGCCCAGTTTGGGTTTTCCAAATTCTCTTTGTGATTAAATTTTGCTCATGTATTTTGGCAAGAACACCACAGAAGCAACAGTGTGCCCAGCTCAGGGCATCTTATCAGGAGGCAGGTGATGTCACTATGTCTCCTTACTGCTATTATACTTGATCACTTGGTCAAACTGGCATTTGCCAGATAGCTCCACAGTAAATTTACTAGTTTTCCTTTGTAATTAATAAGTATCCTGTGGAAAGATACTCCTTGACCAAATACCTTGTTTCTCTTTCTTATTTCTTCTCTCATCTCTCATACTTTTTTTTTGTTTTTTGAGACAGTGTCTTGCTCTGTTACCAAGGCTGAAGTTCAATGGCACAATCACAGCTCATTGCAGCTTCAACCTCCCAGGTTCAAATGATCCTCCCACCCTAGCCTTCCAAGTACCCGGGACTACAGACACACCACCATTTCCACATCTAGCTAACTTTTAAATTTTTTGTAGAGACGGCATCTCGCTATGTTGCCCAGTCAGGTCTCAAACTCCTGGGCTCAAGCGATCCTCCCACCTTTACCTCCCAAAGTACTAGGATTACAGGCTTGAACCACCATGCCCGGCCTCTTTTCTCATATTTTAACTTACTAATTTTAGCAACCATTGATAACGGATGATTGCAGCAATTGCTATGTGTTTACTAAATGGTCATTTTCCATTGTTATTAATGATTCCTTCATTTCTTCTCCCCTGTTTTTTTATTTACCTACTTCCTTATATTTATTCAATTAATTTTTTATATTTGAGACACTCGGTTCTACTAAATATTCAACCAACATTTTTGGAGCTTCTGTGATCAATTAGGCTTTGCTCTAAGTCCTGGACAGGTAAGTGAGTAATAACAGTTCTTGCTTTTTAGAACATTTTAGTGTATTAGACTCAGGTGAGTTTGATTAGCATAACATATTTTCACCAAGCCTGCTTTAAGAGACTGAGTTAACTGAACTTCTGGTATTGATCAGGGGCTCTCAAATTTTAGTGAAAATAAGAATCACTTAGGGTCGGGTGTACTGGCTCACACCTGTAATCACAGAACTTTGGGAGACCTAGGTGGGAGGATCACCTGTGGCCAGGATTTCGAAACCAGCCTGAGCAACACAGCGAGATCTCATCTCTACGAAAAAATTTAAAAATTAACTGGGTCTGCTGGCACATTCCTGAGGTCCCAGCTGCGCAGGAGACTGAGGCGGGAGGATCACTTGAGCCCAGGAGTTCGAGGCTAAAATGAGCTATGATCTCAATTAGGAAACTTATGAAATGTGCAGACCCAATACAGGGACTGACTCAGTAGAGCCAGAAAGAGACCAGATCATCAGTGTTTGTAGCTATGGGACCTCAATAATTAAGACACAGGGGGTCAAGAACCACACTTGAAAAACTGCTCTAGATTGAGAGCTCTGACAAGAGAATAAAACTCTTTGCAAGGCCCCTGGAGGAGCAAATTAGTCTCTTCCGCTTTGGCATATTTTTAATTAAAAGATGCATTTTCATTTCTTCAGAAAAAATTCTCTTTTTTTCTAAAGCATATAAACAATTCTTTTATTTAGGGCTATCAGTCTTTCCCAAGACTCATCAGTTTCTCTGACCAGTGAAGAAAAACATTTGTGGAGGAGGAAAACGCACTGGCTTTCTGCTCATTCAGGGTTGTGTGACCATAGCACTTGTTAGCAGTACTGGAGAAGGGTGGTTTTGCTTAATCCTGCTCCTCTGAGGGCTCTGGATGACCTGAGCCTTGTTGTATAAGGTTCTTGAAAACCACCATGGAAAAGCAAATAAAACACATTATTATAGTTTCAAAATGTTATAAAACGTTCGTATGTTTAGGTGTGCTCAATACTAGTTTTCTGTATGCTGTACAACTTTTACTTCGTTCCTAAGGAGGAGGGCCTGAAGCACAGTAGAATTGGGAAAGAGAGTCTACTTGAAGTTTTGGTCATCAAAGGCCAGGACTTAGAAGCCACTTCTCCTTCCTAGTGTATGAATGTGGGGCAAACCATTGAAGAGCTCTGAGTCTTAGCTCCTCAAAACAATGGGGTAATCCCGGAACCTTGTTGTGCCAACCTCACAAAGAATGAATGAGCTTCCAATGAGATCATGATGCAGGGAAGTATTTTTTGTTTCTATTACAGTAACTCACATAAATACTCTTTGTTATTATGGGCCACAAATAAATTTAGTTGATTGCCGTTCTTAGAAATAAAGGGCATTAACCTTCAATTCTTAGGGTTCCCTGAAGAAAGTACTGCATTCTATTCAGATGATAGATTATGATTAGAATAATGAGGGGAACAGCTTTTCCCACCTCAACAGACTATCAATTTATGTGCTGTTTCTTGTTTTATTGGATCTAATCAGCAGCAAAAAGAATGTTCATTTATAATAAGTTCTGAGAAACATAATTTGAGCTATATAGATAGAAATATTATTTATTGCTTTAAATAAACCATTCAAATGATGGTTTATTTCTTATGAATGGACTCTGTGCCACCAGTTACATTAATGAATTTTTTCTGAGTGAGATCAATGGTGGAGCTGAGAAACCTGTCAGAAGGAGAGTCTCCAGTCCTCCTGTGCCGCTGAGCACGTTAAGCCTACTATAAAGTTTGTTTAAATTTCTCTCTTAAACAGTCTTAAATATAAAACAAACTCGAACCCTTTAAGGGAAAAAAAGTTCCCTTATGTATCTGCTAATCTCCTTGTAAATCTTCCAAGCGTGATTAATATGATTACTTAAACCCAACTGTCCAAAGGGGATTTTTGACAGTTTTATGAGGGAATTAGTTATTTTCTATTTTACGGCCGGTCCTTTTCCTCTCAGTTGTGAAGCTGGGTGTCTGGGAGCCAGGGCCCGCTGCGCTCAACCCGGCCTGGTTCACGGCGAAGTCCCCAGGCCGCATCCTGGACGTCTCAGCTGCAAAGATGCTCCCCTCTCTCACCTGCGAGTTCGCTTTAAAAACATATATAATGATTAAAAGAATGTCTTTTGTCTCTCTAGCCAAATTACTGCTAAGTAGACTTTCCCTTTCCATCACACTGAACAGGCGTTTGCGAGCCACCCGTGGCCTCCCAGAGCTGCGTTCCTGGGATCTTCTTAGAAGTTACTTTCACCGTAACGACTTGTCCTGTTCTCAACTCTGGCCTGTCCCCCTTTCCCCAGATTTATGGAGCAGTCATTTTTATTTTTCATTCAGTTCAACTCTATGCCCATCTATCAACTGCCCGCCTTTAAAAAGGCAAGGGACCTGTTTCCCTTTTTCCCACAGGATATAAAGACTAGAGCAGTGGTTCTCAAAGTGGTTCTCCCAGGCTCCCCTGGAACCTTAGAAAGGAGAGCTGTCCACCTGCTGAGTCAGAAGCCTGGGGTGGGACCAACAGTCTGTGCTTCCACAAGCCCCACAGGGATGTTTGGTGCTCACTTGCTTGAGAACCACTTGAGCAGAGGATCAGCCGGGGTCCTAGTAGAAACGCATGGGTAATGGGGCCCCTAGGAAATTTGTACAAGCTTGCTAGTCAGTATCAAGCAAGATTATGTAGATTGAATTCAGAAAGAAATGTTTTAAGTTTTATTTAATATACTGAAAGGGGATATTTTCGACTGGCTTGGAGAGGAAGAAACGTTTTTTGTTTGTTTGTTTTTTAGAGACAGGGTCTCGTTCTGTTGCACAAGTTGGAGTGCAGTGGCGCCACCCTGGCTCACTGCAGCCTTGAACTCCTGAGCAGCAGCAATCCTGCTGCCTCAGCCTCCTGAGTAGCTGAAACTACAGGTGCGTGCTGTTGTGCTGCCATTTTATTGTTTGTGTTTGTTTAATCCCTCTGATTTTTGTTTCTCTCTTTCCCCTTCCCTGCCTTCTTTTGAGCAAGTAGAATAATTTTGGCATTCCCTTTTACTTAATTATTATCTAAATCATCATTAATTTAATTAGTGACTTTTTCATTAATTTGACTTCACAATATTTTTTTCAGAGGTTGTTTTCGGGATTATAATACACGTTACCTAATCTAATTATAATACACATTACCTAATCTAATTATAATACGCATTACCTGTACTTATAGTTAGTATGTTACCATTTTAAGTAGAAAATTGAAGCCTTACCACAATTGAAGTCCCTTTATTCTTCCTCCTTTGCGTTATAGTTATTGTATGTATTACATCTCTCTATCTGAAACGCTCAATTGACAGTGCTATAACTGTCAAATTTCAGCAGCCATACATCTTAAAAGGACTTAGAAGAAAAACATAGTCTAACCTATTTACCCAGACATTTATCATTTCTGTTGCTTTTCCTTTATTTCTGAAGTTCCATGTTTTTCTCTGGTATATTTTTCTCTAAGTTTAAATAATATTCTCTAGCATTTTTTAGAGGGGGTCTGATGGTGATAATTTTTTTAAGTTTTCCTTCTCCTAAGAAATTTTTTAAAGTATTCCTTCTCCTGTATTTTGCCTTATTCTTGAAGAATATTTCCTCTGGATATAGAATTCAGAGTTGATAGCACTTTACTTTCTGCATTTAAAAAGTGTGCTACTTCTTTCTGGCCTTCATGGTTTCTTATAAGACATTCACTGTTAACTAAATTGTTGTATCATCAGTTCATAGTTCTCTGGCTGTGAAAAGACTTTATCTTTAGTTTTTCGCTGTTTGATTATGTGTCTGTGTATGCTTGTCTTTGAGGTTATTTTGTTTGGAGTTTGCCAAAATTCTTGGATCTGTATGTCTTTTACCAAATTTGGTAAGTTTTCAGCCATTCATTTTTCAAATATTTTTCTGCATCATTTTCTTCTTCCTATTCTTCTATTCAATAATATGAATATTAGACCTTTTGATATTGTGATGTTGTTCTACAAGGCCCTGAGTCCCTGTTCATTTTTTCAATATTTTTCTGTGTTCTTCAGACTAGATAATTTCTATGGCTCTATCTTCAAGTTCACGGATTTTTTTATTAGTCATCTGTATTCTCCTGTTGAAACCATCCAGGTAAGTTCTGATTTATTATAATTTTTAGTTGTAAAATTTCTATTTTTAAAATATTTCTTCTATATTTCTGCTAAGAGCCTTTATTGTTCTATTCATTTCAAATGTGTGCAAACTTTATTTCATGGAACATGGTTATGAAAACTGCATTAATATCTTTGATAATTTCAACATCTGATTTATTTTAGGGTTGACATCTGTTATCTTTTTCCTTGGTAATTGGTCACATTTTCAAGGTTATGTGAATGTCAGGTAATTTTGGATTATATAAAAATGTGGACATTTCGAATATTATATGTGAGACTCTGAGTTTCAGGAGAATATTTATTTATATAAATATTTTTTGATTAGTCAGGCAATAAACTCAATTAAGTTAAGACTGCAAGTTCTGACTTGCTTTCCGTGGGCAGTGTGTTTCCAATGTCTTTGAATAGAATAACATCAAAACCAGAAAATTGACATTGGTACAAGAGTGTTTGTTATTCTATGGTATTTTACATCACACAGGTAAAGTCTTCTGTTTGTTTCTGCCCTACATAGGCACCCCTCAAGTGTTAGTCTGGGAGATGTGTGGTGTTTATATCACGGTTTAGTTCTCATAGCTTTTGCTGTGCTTTTTTGAGTCTGATACGCATATGAACAGTTTGGTTGTGAGCTCAGAAATTGCATGGTTCATACACAGAATTAAGGATGCCCTTCTCCATCTCTCTTCTCTCTGGGGTTACCCCCCATCCACTCCAGTCCCTTTTCCCAATTGCTTTCGGGGGGTAAAGTGGGTTTCATTTAGAGTATTAGCCTCCATGCTGCTGCACATTGTCATGCAACGGTGGCCACCTTCAGTGTGAAGCAGCAGGAGAAAAGAGATAAATTAAGAGGATTTCTTTCATACTCTCCCCACTCAACTCACAGTGGCGTTTTTTTTTTCTTTCCTAGTCTTCAAGCCAGAATGAGGGTTTTCCCTGAGTTATTGTTGTCTGTTCTCGCTATAGTTATGTGAATCAGATCACCCTCAGGTAAAAGAAAAAAAATCCAGAAAACTCACCAGTATTCCTGTCACACTGTAAGTTTTGATTTCCCTCATCAATCTGCCTCCTATGGTGTACTTTTCAGTCTTCAGACAGCTGAATTTTCTATAAATGTCAATTAGACCCTGTTGATTTGTGAGGTTGTTAAATTCTTCTACATAATTGTTGATTTTCTATTCAATTATTCTATCAGATGTGGAGGACGGGTGTTAAAGCCTCCAACTCTAATTCGGATATGTCAATTTCTCCTTTCAATTCTATCTGTATTTGCTTCATATATTTTATGACTGTTGTTTAGTGACATACTACAGCAATGTCTTCTTGGTGGATTGACCCTTTTATTATTACGTATGTACCTCTTTCTCCATGGTAATTTTCTCTGCTATAAAGTTAACTTGATTTGATATTAATATAGCCACTCCTACTTTCTTTTGATTAATATTTGCATTATATATATTTTCTATCCTTTTACTTTCAATCTACATACATAATCACATTTGAAGTTTTTTTTAAAAAAAAAAACAGCACATAGTTGGAGTTTTTTGTACTATGCAAATCTCTGTCTTTAATTTTTTAACTATGTACATGTAATATAGTTATAGCTATGTGAAGGCTTTAAGTTTACCATTTAATTTTAAATTTTATCTTTATTCTTTCTGTTTTTGCTTCTATGCATTCTTTTTTTAACTTGTTTGTAACTTGCTCCTTTTTGAAGAATTCCATTTGGTTTTATTGATAATGCTTTTGAGTGTATCTCTTTCTTTAGCCTTTTTTTAAGTGGTTGTTAAAGGCATTATATTATACAAACATACCACAGTCTGCTAGTGTTAACATTTTACCAGTTGATGAGAAGTGTACAAAACTTGCCTTCCTTAAATTTCTTTACCCTCACCTGTTTATAATTGTCCTAAATATTTGTTCTACATACTTTGAAAAACACATCAGATAATGTTAGTATTTTTACTTAATAATCATCAAACATAATTTTTTAGTGCAAGAGAAGAATAGTCTATTGTGTTTACACATATTTTTAATAATTCTTTTGTTCTTTCCTCTTTTTTGTTGTTCTCATATTTCTCCATTTATCATAACCTTTTTTGTTTTATAAATTCCTTTTGCTGCTTTTTAGGATAGATCTTCTGAAGTCAAATTCTTATTGTTTTCCATCATCTGTGTTTGTCTTGATTTCCCCTTAATATCTAAAGAATATTTTTACTGTATATAAAATTATGATTGACAGTCATTTCCTCTTAGCACTTGAAAAACATGTGCGACTTCCTTCTAGCTCCCATGATTTCCGATATTATTTGAATAGCACTGTACTCCAGTCTGGGCAACACGGTGACAACTTGTCTCTGGAAAACACACACACACACGCGCGCACACACACACACACACACACACACACAATAAAATGGTAGGCCTAAGCTAGTCATGTCAATAATTATATTAAGAGTAAGATTTCTGACCAGGCTCGGTGGCTCACACCTGTAATCCCAGCACTTTGGGAGGCCAAGGCAGGCAGATCACCTGAAGTCAGGAGTTCGAGACCAGCCTGGCCAACATGGTGAAACCCGGTCTCTACTAAAAATACAAAATGAGCTGGGCATGGTGGCACATGCCTGTAATCCCAGCTACTTGGGAGGCTGAGGCAGGAGAATCACTTGAACCTGGGAGGTGGAGGTTGCAGTGAGCCGAGATTGTGCCATTGCACTCCAGCCTGGGCAACAAAAGCAAAACTCCGTCTCAAAGAAAAAAAAGAAAAGAGTAAGAGTAAAATTTTTATTTAGCTCTTCATATCTTCTATTTCCTTGCTGAGACTTTCCATTTTCTCATTTGTTTCAAACATGACTGTAATTACTTATCACATTTTATGATAAATATTTACAATCTTTTACCAAAAATTTCAACAGTTGCATCATCTTGGTGTCTGTTGGTTGTTTTTCCTGTTAAGGTTGAAATTTTTCTTGTTCTTTTAATGAAGAGTGAATTTCAAATAGGCATTTGGAGTATTATGTTATGATACTCTAGATATTTTTTAAACCTTCTGTTTAAGTGCCAGGTGTCGTAGCTCATGCCTGTAATTCCAGCACTTTGGGAAGCTGAGGTGAGAGGATTGCTTGAGGCCAGGAGTTTGAGGCCAGACTGGATAACATAGTGAGATCCCATCTCTACAAGAACTTTAAAAATGAGTCAGGCATGGTGACACATGTAGTCCCAGCTACTCAAGCAGCCAAGGTGGCAGGATCACTTGATCCCAAGAGTTCAAGGCTACATGGAGCTGATTGTGCCACTGCACTCCAGCCTGGGCAACAGAGTGAGACCCTGTCTCTAAAAAAAAATAAAAATTAAAAATCTTCTCTTTAAGCAGGTCTCCTCTGACACTACACTTGTGAGGTAAGGTGGGCACTACCTTGTTACTGTTAGTTGGGGTGGAAATCCAGATTTCCCCCTAAGCCTCTATTAACATCTTAAGTGGGTATACATCTCACTATTCCTGAGTAGGAGTGAAAGCAGGATACTCACTCAGTCTTCTCTGACACCTCAGCACAGGAGAAGAATTGCCTTA
Source organism: Homo sapiens (assembly GCF_000001405.40). Lineage (NCBI taxonomy): Eukaryota > Metazoa > Chordata > Mammalia > Primates > Hominidae > Homo > Homo sapiens. The sequence continues at coordinate 52,592,711 of NC_000008.11, forward strand.
TGACACTTAGTCAAGAATGAAAATATATGCTAATTTTGCTAATCGGGATGCCGCTTCTTCCATCGTGTTTGGCTTGAGTGCGATGGTTGTTATCTAAAGTTCTCTCACTTGCTAGGCTTCCCCTTTCCTGATTCTCTCACTACATAGAACAAGCTTTACAAGGCAGAGTTTTGTTGTTGTTGTTGTTGTTGTTTGTTTGTTTTTTTGTTTTGTTTTGCTTTTCTGTACCCTCTTGGCATTTCTTTGTTTCCACCTTCTCCTGCATCCAGTCAGAGCTATATGCAGCAAAAAGAAAACTCAGGAAACTCACCCTGTGTCCTGGAGCTCCTAGCTGGGTCTGCCTTCTCCCAGTCTTTCAGAGACTTCTTATGTTTGTCGTATATATAACATTCAGGGATTTTAGCTGTACTTTATGGTAGAAAAGAAGTGTGTCTACTGCATCTTGTTCCAACCCAGAAGTCTGTGTGATGCAAGTTTAATCATCCTGTCTCAATTATTTTTTAATAGGGTCACTCATCAAGAGGACTTACAATGGTGTCACCATAAGTCCCTCTTTTGGATTAAAGATTTTATAATTCATTAGCAAACAAGGCAAAATAAGACAAAACTCTTTTGCTTCAAGTTTCTGAAAGTCTCTCCAAATTTGATTCTACCTATCACCAACTGTGCAAAGATTGTTTCATCATCTTCTGATGTAATTTCTAGGGCTCATTCAGAACCCAGCTGTCCTATGACCTCATATTTATCCAGGGTTTTCTTACATCTAATAAAGAGTGCTCAAATAATTAGTTTTTAAATTACCTGCTTCCAAAACACTCACGTAACTAATTTCTGAGTTGTACTTTAAGGTTTTTCAGAATACGTAATATGTATTTTCTCAATTTTCTTCAATCTAGGAATTAAATCTCACAGAACTTAATTTATTTATCCAAATTAATGGTGGAACCATGAAGCTTAGGATAGTTATTGACCATATTTGAAGGTTTTCTCTATGAATCAGAATTTTTCTGTGTGCCTTCAAGAAAGCTAATGAGTTGGAGTTAAAGGGAGAACATTTCAAGAATCAGAGATTATGCAAAGATGAAATGAATTGCCCCTGTTGGTTGTAACTTTTTCTATCTCTGGAGAAATTCAGACATCAGTTAGATTTTATACAACTCTATTGATGATTTATACTAGGTTTGAATTTTAGAATACAGGGGTTAAGGTGAATGTTTGAATTCATGCTTTGTATCTAAACCACAACTAAAAAGATCACATGCCACTCAAATAAATCATCTATTAAATTTTGATTCCCCTGGTAAGTTGTCTACTCACTCTCTAAAAAAATTAAAACACTTTGAAAGTTGTCTTTTAATTAAGAGAATAGATTTTAACTCATCAACTGCCAAAAGAATCCATCAAATATTTATTGTATGTATAAAATCTGAATAATTGAAAAAATTACATGATCATATTAGATTTTTCATCCACTATTCCTCAGTTCAAAGAGAGATTTGAGTAGATGTAAGATAAAGAGGCTTGCTGTACTTCACATGTGAATATCAGCTAATTTCAAGAAGACAAGGTTAATTTCATATGCTCTTTGGTGCCCTAATTATTAAAGCAATTGTCACTTTTATAACCAGCATTCCTAGATGTCAAATTGAAGACAGAAAATAGAGTATCATAAACTTGATTACCAATAATTGAAACACCACACTTACTTTAGGAAGATAATTATTGTTGTTTTCAGTGGGACCATACTCTGACAATTGTGAGATTTTGCCTAGTCTCACCTTCTGCCACTAGGAAACATATCCAGGCATATTTGAGAGGAGCAGATGGGCAGTAATAATACATGTTTCCTAAGTGTGCTACTCGAAATCTAAATGTCCTTTCCCTTATTTATTTTCTTATTGTGCTATTAGAGGAGTTCAGATGACTTAGATATTGATATCTATAGAGATTTCCTTCATTGAAGCATCTCTCATTCACAGAATATTGTTTCAGATGCTAAAAATCTCAACTATTTTTTCTGACAGTCAAGAATTGGCATTAAGGCCTTTGTTATACTTTTCTGCTAACATACTTTGGGATGTGTAGTTAAGACCTTGTTGTAAATTGCTCCTCCAGACTTTGATAAGAAATTAGAATGAAAATAAAAATGTGTGAGTAGGAATAAATGTTGTCTTATTACATGAAAATATCTTTGAATTGTGACTTATTCCTGTAAACAAGATGTGTTGTTTTTATTCCTGGTAAAATAATTTTAAATATCATCTCTAAATTAAAGAAAATCATAATAGAACCAATTAGAATATGTCCATGAACATTTTCTTGAGAATCATCAATGTATGGCTTATGTTTTAGAATGTCTTTAGTATCATAAATTACTTAATTTTAATAAATAAAGTGGATAAATTTAATAAGTATTTATTATACAGATCATTTTTAGCACAAACCATTGTCAATATTAAGTTTGATGTACAAAAACAGGAGTATCTAAGGCTATTTTCTACTGGTTCAGAGTCACAATTTCTTTCCTTTTTTTTTTTTTTTTTTGAGATAGAATCTCTTTCTGTCACTCAGGCTGGAGTGGCGCGATCTTGGCTCACTGCAACCTACACCTCCCAGGTTCAAGCGATTCTCCTGCCTCAGCCTCCCAAGTAGCTGGGATTACAGGTGCCCACCACCATGCCCAGCTAATTTTTGTATTTTTAGTAGAGACGGGGTTTCTCCGTGTTGGCCAGGCTGGTCTTGAACTCCTGACCTCAAGTGATGTGCCTGCCTTGGCCTCCCAAAGTGCTGGGATTACAGGAATGAGCCACAGTGCCCGGCTCTGAGTTACAATTTCTAATAGATCATCCCCTTAAAACAATCAATACTCACCAGGAAAAAAAGTATTAATAAATGACTCTGAGGATTGTCACTGGCATGATATATGAATGCAGAGTAATTTTACTGAAATAATTAGTAATGGAACACTTCTATTGTTAGCATTGTTAAATGACTTTGGAGGCAATGTGCTAATTATAAAAAAAGATAAAGACACACTAAATGTGTGGCCTGTGCTTACATAACAGAGAAATATGCAGGGCTATGCCGTGGCAATAACTCACCATCTTTGCCAACACCATTCTAAGCACTTTACATATGCTAACAACTTTAATCCTCCCAGCTGTCCTTCAAGTTGTTAATACTAACACTATCACCATTTTCATTGTATAGATGAAGAAATGAATCATGCAGCAGGCCACTGGTCCAAGGTCAGAGCTGATTAAGTGGCAGAGTTGGAATTTGAACTGGATAGTCTGCTCTAGATATCGTGTTCTTAACTCTCACCTAGTAACTTGTTAGTTTCCTCACTCTACATTCATTTATTCACTGAACATAGTCATCAAAACCAAATCAAATTTCACCAGTTTTGCACATCGGATGTTTTTTTTTTTTTTTCTGACCTGTTTTAGGATGGTACTTGAGATATTTTTATTAATTTGGCTTTCCTTGTCTACAGAAAGAACATTTGCATCTCTGCAAAATTTGCAATTAGTTCCTTGGCTTGGCTGCAAGCATTTTCACATAACTGCTAAGATAATAAACAACTCCTACTTTTCAACAGCAGAGTTATCTGTTAGAATGCAATAGCCACAAAAGGGCCAGAATTTCAAATGAACAGTGATAATCTAAGAAGCCATACTCCCCTGCAATAGCACGATTCCACATGCACGTTCTCAGTGGTCATTCTGACTAGTCCTCTGTGTCATCAGGGGACACTCAAGCCCCTTCTACTCTAAGTCATCATGCTCTCCAGGCTGTGGGCAATCCAGTCACATTGGACAATACAGTGTTTAGTGAGTAGCTTTCCTCAGATTTAGTCCCACCATGAGATGTTTATAAGGTCACATTTATTTATGGAATAATTTATTAATTTAAGGCAACTTAAACATTTTTGTCTTAAGTGTATGTTAATTTTATCATGGTTCATATGCAATGTAGGACATACATAAAACAAACATTCCTTCACTGTTTTCAACATTAGTATTTCCACATGCAGCCCTCTTCAGCAATGCAGAAGGAGCATGCCCCAGCTTCGCTGTCATCTGATATGAGGACTAACTTGAACTTTCTAGGACACTTTTCTGGGTTGCTACCAATGGCCATTGCAAGCTGGAATCAGTAGTAATGGACAATAGACCACCTTTGTTTTCCAGACCTCTTTTGGGAGGTGGCAGTGAGTTTAGAAGGTAAAATCTATGAGAAAGCTGAGCCTGAGAGGAGGCCCTAAGATGGAATTTCTAAAGATAGAGAGCAAATGAGGCAGCCAGGGACAGTCTCACCAGAGATGCTGCTCAATATCTGGCTGAGAAGAGCATAAACCACTTAAGTCAGGTAGAAAGGCCTGAAAGCATGGGTACTTTAAGTTTTGATGAACTTGGTGCTCACTAAAAAGCAGTTCCCAAAAACTCTTTGATACCTATGATCTAACAATGTATACAGCACAGATTAGTCCAAGTTTGATGAGATTGTCAAATATTATTGAATTTACTATGATAGCTGATTATATTTTTTCTGTCCAAATTAAGGTCCAGTGCTCTGAGATTTCCCGCCAGCAGTAGCGTATGACGTAACTGTAGTGTTTGTCTCTCAGGTAGCTCAAAAACACCGTTAAGTACAGAGCTGAGATGCACACATTAGGGGGCACAAAAAAAAAATGGTTGTCCAGGCACGGTGGCTCACGCCTGTAATTCCAGCATTTTGGGAGGCCGAGGTGGGTGGATCACATGAGGTCAGGAGTTTGAGACCAGCCTGACCAACATGGTGAAACCCTGTCTCTACTAAAACTACAAAAATCATCCGGGCATGGTGGCGCACACGTAATCTCAGCTACTCAGGATGCTGAGGCAGGAGAATAGCTTGAAGCGGGGAGGCGGAGGTTGCAGTGAGTTGGGATTGTGCCATTGCACTCCAGCCTGGGCAACAAGAGCTAAACTCCATCTCAAAAAATAAACAAATAAATAAATAAATAAATAAATAAATAAATAAATAAATAAAATGAAATAAATGGTTGATGAAAGGCAAGCTTAAATTGAGATGGAGCAGAGACCCCTCTTAGTGGCCTAGCAGGCCCTCTAAGCATGAAAATAAAAGAAAATCCCGAGTTTCTTTCAAGGAAAGTTCCAGGCACCTAGTTGGCCTTGAGAAGAAAACGAGCAGCCTGATAAGCAAGAAGGTAACAGTAGCTTAAAACAACAGCCAGGAAGGTTAGAGTCACGAGCTGTTTGGTTCCCTATGGAAACTAAAGATAACATCTTAACATATGTCCCTGAGTTGTTTTTCAGAAATCAAATGGAAAATCCTGTCTGCTGGCAGGTAGACCTCAGATGCAGGGAAATTGAGGACTGAATTCTGACCACTGTTCTTCGTTCTAAATTTCTTTGTGAGGGACCTAGACGAAGTCATGCCCACAGGCCGGAGCTCAACATTCCTTTCTACTGACCCCAGGATTTTAGACAAAGCTTGACAAACTTCAAATTGGAAAATATTTGAATCCACCTATGACTTGTGGGCCCTCTCCTTAAGATGTCCCACCTTTTTACACCAAAAGAATATATAGCCTCCATGTATTGATTTATGACAGCCTGTAACATCTGCCTCCTACTTCGAAAACTCTTACATGTGCCCAGGCACAGTGGCTCATGCCTGTAATCCTAGCATTTTGGGAGGCCGAGGCAAGTAGATCACTTGAAGCCAGGAGTTCAAGACCAGCCTGGCCAACATGCAGAAACATCATCTCTACTAAAAATACAAAAATTAGCCAGGCGTGGTGGCACACACCATAATCCCAGCTACTCGAGTGGCTGAGACACGAGAATTGCTTGAACCCAGGAGGTGGAGTTTGCAGTGAGCCAAAATGGTACCACTGCACTCCAGCCTAGGCACTGTCTCAAAAGAAAAAAAAAAAGCCTCTTATGTGTAGGCCATCTGGGAGTTTGAAGCTTAAGCATTTGCTGCCTGATTCTCCTCATGTGGTGCACTTTAATAAATGTCTCACTTTCTCTTGCTGTAAATCCTGATGTCAGTGTTTGACTTTGCTGCACCAAGCAAGTGGACCCAAGTTCAGTTCGGTAACAGAATCTGTACGTAGTACATATTGATCAAAAGTTTTAAAATCAAAAAAGGAAAGAAGACTAAACATTTTGAAATAATGCCTTAGATGCTATGTAAAAGTTGAATTTTGTGGCCAGACGTGGGTAGCTCACACCTCTAATCCTGAAAGAGGCAGGAGCAGCCAAATGCCGGCCAGGTCATTGTGCACAGGGGGTTTGCCTAAACATGCCCATGGTAAAAAATTCCATCCCTTAACACATGCACAAGTAAGAGAAATAAATCGATGTGGAGTGGCTCAGACTAAGGGACCACCTGTGCACTGAAAGAATGGGTTGGAGCCACCAGGAATTCACACCTTATACTAGGGAGGAGCCTGGCCTCTTCAGATGGTGTGTGATGGTCTGGTATTCCATTTCTGAGGTGGAAAAGCTGTGTGCAGGACCCCTCTTTTTGTTGAGAGCTTTCCTTTTGCTTAATAAATTCTGCCCTCCTGACCTTTCAATGTGTCTGTGTGCCTAATTTTTCCTGGTCATGGGACAAGAAACTGGATTTTAGCTGAACTAAGGAGCAAAAAATCCTGATTCATTTTGGCAGCCCGTACAAGGACATGAGGAAGGGTGAGTAAAATGTGGACATCCTCAGATTTTTTTCTGAGGAGAGGGGAATCTGCCCCCCACCCCCACCTCACGTTGCTCTCAGGGGTCAGGAATGTTAGCCTTGGTCCAACCCAGTCTTTTATGTGGCATTTTCCTTCTTTTTCAGGATGGTAATAGCACCTATTTTTTCTTTTACAAATTATGGGTCCCCCACTCCCACGGCTGCCCCCCTTTCCTCCCAGCTGGGGCACATGGCCATGTCTACTGCATGTGTGTGCTGTGTCCAATGGCCATGCAGGGCAGGAATGAGCCTCAGCCACTGCCCAGGCCCCAAGGTGGCCTCAGGGGCCTGGGCCCATGTGGCCGGCTGGCCAGTGTCCCCTGCCACACATCCACAGAGTCTTCACCTTCCCTGGCTGAGGGGTCCAGCTTGGTTCAACAGCAATTAAAAGTTTCTCTCCCTGTTGGAGAAACTCATTTGCATAAGAATAAGATGTTTCTTCCCCAGGCATCTTTTTCTTTTATCCACCCCGTCAGCAGTTAACACAGCGCTGCACTTAAGCTGTTTTTTCTTTTCTTGTCTCTACCCTGTCAGCAGTTAACACAGCTCTGTACTTAAGCTGTTGTTGTTGTTGTTTTCTCCACCAGATCAGGAGTTAGTGGGTTGGTGTGAAAGTAGTTGCGGTTTTTGCCATTACTTAGAATAGCTGGGACCATGATTGCATTTGCAACAACCTCATCACACAGCCCTGCAAGGAGAGGGGGCTTCTCTATGCCAGAGGTTTTTTTGTTTTTTTTTTTCCTTTTGGAAGGCATCTTATTAGACCAGGACCCCAGTTCACAGGAAACCCTTTATCTCTCCCTTGTTGGAGGAGGACTCAATTCCACAGCTTCATCTTAGCATTTGGCTTATGATAAGGAGTCTGTGCAACCCCCGAGACACATTTTTGTCCCAAACTCAATTCCAAGCTTCAGAACTCAAAGGCTCCTGACAGCAGTGGGGACAGGGCATATGTGGGTAACAGCAAATAATCCAACTCCCTAGCCTCCCTTGTTAACATGAATGAAAGTCGCATTGGCATCCACGGGGTGGCACCCTGTCAAGGTCACTGGGACTCGGGGATATAAGCACATAAGGTTATATCCTGCCTCTATCAGGATATAAGCACAGAAGAAAGAAAGAGGGATGCCTTTTCTACCTCTCCCTCACATACCCCAGGTATTTTCTGGGAAGAGACAGGAACTTGGGACTCTTTGCTCCCCTCTTTCTGGATGAGTAACCAATTCATTTTCAGTCTGTACCCCTTTCGATGACTCATGAACCCCTGGGGCTCCTTAAAAAAAAAACCAGAATGCCTTCTTTTTTCCTTTTTCTTCCTCTGTTCTCTCTTCACAGAGGGGTAATTGTATCCCCATACTACAGAACACTCCACTCGGATACATCCTCCAAACTGAGAAAAGTTAATTTCCCAAACTTTAAACTGGTTGTCTTAGAACTGAGCTCGGAGAAAGGGAACCCATAAGTCTGACATGCTGGCAAAAAGGTAAAAGTTTTTTTGCCAGTCAGAATTTTGGCTTCCCTCTCCCTGTGCCAATCAGTAAAAGAAATGAGAAGGATCAGTGTTTATATTCTCTGTAAACTTTTGTTCAATGAAAAAGTATTTATTAGGTTGGTCTTAAGCTGTGACAAATCTGGTGTGCTTTGCCTGTCTTAATTGAGACTTGTTGGTTTCACTTGTGAGGTTACTTGTGCTAAAATTCAAAAGCCAGAAATATTGGCCACTTGGCATGGCTAAAGTCAGGTAATACAAGATTTAAAAGGACTTTCTTAAAGAGTGCTCAGCTTAATTAGAAGTGGATATCCAAGCTATAAGTATATTTAAAAGGCCTGTATGTTTTTCTCTTCATGGATCTTGTTTTCCTGAAAAAGTTTTTTTTCTCAGTTGACTGAATTATTTTTCTCCATTTTGTCTTGCCACTCTTGGTGCATGCATGTGAGGCCCTAAGATAACTTCTAAGAGCATGGGACTTCTTAGAAAAACAGAGACAGTGCCACTGACCCTGTTTGGGGGAGAAACCTCTGTTTTTCTCATGGAAACCCAGGAATTAAAGGTGGATAGATCTCTCTCAAAATCTGTTTCTGTCTTTCAGCCACACCTGTTTATTGGGCCCTGGAAGTTGCAGGCTTTCCTCGCCTTACTCTCAAAGGGCTCCACCCAGAGGCCAATAATCCAATTATGAGATTGGCAACTGAAAACTCTTATAGCTACTGGACCTTCTTCTGTCTGTCTGTGTAGTTATATATGTGTTGTGTGTGACGTCTATTAAAAAAGCTCTAATTAATTGGCTTAAAGAAGGATAAGCACTTGGATCAAATATATTTTGCAGGAAAGATAAAACTTGTAATGCCTTTTAGTTCACATGATTTTAATCTTTGAGAAATAAAAAGTCTTGAAGATTATTGGTAAAATGCAAATGTCATTAAAATATAAATAGGTGGTCTAAATTATGCAGGCCAGATACTAGGTTTGCTAAATATTTTAAGGTTATAAACTGCTTCTCTGGCTTTTGAGAACGGTTCAATTTGCCTGCTTCACAATTGGTTAGGCCTGGGCATATGTGGAATTAACCAAACCCTTAACTACGCTGGAAGGAGTCACACTTTACCATTGCCTAGTACATAATTAAAATAATTTACCAGATTTTACATTAAAGTTAAAAATTGCTAAGAGTTACCATTATAACATGTAATTGAGACCACTGAAAATGGATTTACATGCAAGGTGTGTAAGAATAGTAAAATGTGTTTGTAGTACAAGATTATAAGAAGGCATGGAAAAGTAAATTTTTGGCTAGGGCTAAAGGATTGTTTTGAATTAGACAAGATAAAGCTAAAACTTTAAACAAGTTATGGAAGGATTGTAAAAATTAATCTTGCAAAAGAAATTCTGTGGTGAACATACTAAATTCAAAATGGTATTATGGCTTTTCTGTAAATTGAGCATTGAAATAAAAGCACAATAAGGTTTTTTTTTCTTAAGGCACTAATCTACTCTTTAGCAAAATTTGTAAAGGGTTATAAAAGGTTTATAAGAATCTTACCTTATGGTCAAACTCGTCAAGATTGGATGCAATGGTCTATAAGGTTTCATTTTAAAAATTGGGTTGACATTCATAGTAAACTAATGTAAGCATAAAATTTGGCTTTCTCTCCCTCATACAAGATTTTCATGTAATAGTAAAGGATAATGAAAGATTTCCATTTGCCTTGCCTATAGGCTGCCAAGAAAAAGAAAAAGAAAAAGAAAACAGGAGACAAATTGTTTGGAAAGCTAAGTCTTCCCTCTTAATGAGTAAAGGTGTTTGCCTTGTCTTAAAATGTTTGAGTCATCATTTTGGCAAAATAAATAACTTATGGTAATGTGGAATTCTATTTCATAACATCAAGTGTTTTAATCCTCTAACATATTTAACAGGCTTTCCAAAATGAAATTTCAGCTTCAAGGTTGTCTTTCCTGACCCCTAGCCTTTGGATGCTACAGAGGGGCCCCTGGAGTATCCAGAAGAGAGGTAAACAGGATTACCTCATATGTTTAGGTAGATAGGATTGCCAAAATGATGTTTAATCTTCTTCAGGTTATATTTTAGTGAATAATATTAATATATGCTCCAAAACTATATGGGATCTCTAAAGATTCAAATGTCTGAGTATACACTATCAGTCACAATTAAGGTTGTTAAGTTATTATAAACTACAGAGATAACCAAATTTCGTTGTCAATCGTGTTTTTGACTGTAACTACCCTGGACATTTTGTTATTTACAGACAATTGTTGTCTTGTTTTGATCTTCTTCAAAAGATGGTTTATAATCAGCTATAGAACTTTGACAGTTGTTCTTAAATGTAGGTTTCTGATAACATTGGAGATTGTGACATTAGAATAAAGAAAAAACATACAGGAACCATGAAGAACTGAAATTTTTATGAATATCAAGAAGAACAAGAACTAACTGAATGGACTCAACTAATAGAAAATGAAGTAATTCTTTTTAAACTTTTGTTTAAAACATTGCTGATCCTTGTTTTGTTTTTCAGAGTCAAGGAAACTTATTTTGAGCTATTTATGACCCTTAATAATTGAGTAAGGTATAATCCTGTGAAAAAAGTTTGGAGCATATTTGTTTCTCTCTGCCTGGTTTCTCCAGAATTTGAAAACTAGTTGTGAATATTCTTAGCTTATGGCAATATGGTTATTTGCATCAGTGCAATAACCATATAAGAACCCATTTTCTTTTGCCACAGGATGCAATTGGAGAAACTGGTTGTTTTACTAAGGCTTTGACTAGAAGGGTATGCTTATCTTTAAGAAGTCAAGCTCGACTTGCAGAGCCAATAAAAGCCCCTTGGGAAAACTGGCCCCATACCTTCTCTACACAGTCCCTGTACAGGGTTTGTAACCTGTGGTGAGTAAATAATGTCACTTTCTAACAGGCCCAGGAATCCCATATTCTTGGGACCTCAAGAAGAGAGGAATTCACCCAACTTACAGGTACTTGAGGATACAAACCCATGGTTGGGCTTGGCTTTAAAAAGTCCTATCTGAGATTCCTTATGGAACAGAGTTCCATCAAAGCCAATTCAAAAAGCCTATGTAAAAATAATTATTCTTGCTGCACTTTATGCAAATAATCAGGCCAAATATAAGACTAATGTTTATTTTGCAGACAACTCAGTCCTATCATAGTTTTTTTTTTAACAAAAATGAGGAGTGGAGAGAAATTATGTGTCAAAACTTATACATTGTCATTAAATTCTAGACACATTAGTTGTTTTTAAGCTATTTTTCCTACATTTTAGACTAACCCTGCTTATTCCTGTGAACCAACCAGCAATCTCTGACTGCAGCTCAGAAGAAGTAAAAAGGGATAGGTAATGTAAAAATCTGGATCAGCATTCTAGTTCTGTGCAATTATCCTGCAAATCTTGCCAGGTGATGAGAGTAAATAGAGCGCCCATCACCCAGAGGTTTATTTGTTGGGAAAATAAGACCAAAGGAGTTAACCAAAGCCAAGCTCCATGCACCCAAATCTTAGCAGGCATAACTATAGTCACCAGTTATCTGGGCACACTGGCAGCCTCGGGATTTTTGAGCTGTCCTTAACCCCCGTTTTGTTTCATTTTAATACATGTCTTCTAATAAACCTGTTTGTCTCATCTTGCCTTGAGGCCATCAAACTCCAAACGGTCATGCAACCAGAGCCTCAATTGATGATCCCCCTTTTACCAGGGACCCTTAGATAGGCCTCTGAGGAAGATCTGACTGCCCATTTCCCAAAACAGCGACTCCCCGTCTGCAGGAAGCAGTTAAGATCAGTCATCATCTTTGTCCTTATTCTAACCGCAGTTAAACGTGCTTCTTTAGAGGGGGAATAATAGAGGCAGGAGACAGCCAAATGCCACCTAGGTCATTGTGCACAGGGGGCTTGCCTAAACATGCCCACAGTGAAAAATTCCACCCCTTAACAGATGCACAGTAAGGGAAATACATTGATGTGGAGTGGCTCAGACTAAGGGCTCACCTGTGCACTGGAAGAATGGGTTGGAGCCACATTCATGCCTTATACTGGGGAGGAGCCTGGCCTCTTCAGCTTCTGTGTGGTGCCCTGGTATTCAATTTGTAAGGTGGAAAATCTGCATGCAGGACCCCTCTTTTTGTTGAGAGGTTTCCTTTTGCTTAATGAATTCCACCCTCCTCACCTTTCAATGTGTCTGCATGCCTGATTTTTCCTGATCATGGGATGAGAACTCAGATTTTAGCTGAAGAGGAGCAAAAAATCCTGCATCAATCCCAGCACTTTGGAAGGCCGAGCCTGGTGGATCACTTGAAGTCAGGAGTTGGAGACCAGCCTGGCCAACATGACAAAACCTTGTCTCTACTAAAAATACAAAAATTGGCCAAGGGTGGTGGTGGGTGCCTGTAATCCCAGCTATTTGGGAGGTTGAGGCATGATAATCGCTTCAACCCTGGAGGGAGAGGTTGCAGTGAGCCGATATCATACCACTGCACTCCAGCCTGGGCAACCAAGCAAGACCCTGTCTCAAAAAAAAAAAAAAAATTGAATTTTTCCCAGAAGACAAAAGCCACTCAGAAGTAGGTGGGATTAAACTATTAAGGTGACTTTGAGAGTAGTCTGTGATTTTGACCAATGAGCAACACAATTTTTGGTTTCTGCTTTCTCTTTTGATACATTCTCTTCTAAAGTTAAAGAAAACAGGTTCCAACTCAAAATTTCGTGGCATCTTTTGAGATAATTTGACCTATTTATCTATTGATTGTAGTGATTTTCTTGTTCATTTGTGTTTATTTTTAATTGTATAAAATAGTAAGCCTTTCTCATATTTGTAGAAATAATATTTCTTTGTGCAATGTTGGGCATTTCATTTTCATTATGGTATGTACTAAAGAGAATTTTTCATTTGTGTGTGGAAATATCCACCTGTTTTTAATTTACAGTATTTAATCCTAGAATTCTTGTTTTTTAATGTTGTCTGCAATTTGTAGCTTCAGTTCATCTGGATATTATTTTGGGGTATTGATGTGATGAGGAGCTAAATTGATTTTTTTTTTTTTAGAAGCAATGCAGTTGTCTCCCTTGACTAATTTTATAAGGTGTGCTGATTTGGCTAAGTTGGTCTCATTCCTCTGATGCTTTATGAAAAGGATTCAGTGGACTCAGCTTCCCCCCTCTTTTAATGGTCTTGCAGTCTAAAATGATGGTTTCAGCCCCTAGGCAGAGACAGCTGCGGACCTGTTGTCACGGGAAGAAGTGAATGCCCTGATGGTGGTGTGCACTGAATAATGCTTCAGGGGTTCTACCAGGCAGATTGGCAGGGGCTGGCTTTAAAAACTCAAAATAAATCATCCTGTTATCATCCTTTCACCATCCACAAAGATAAAACTGCCTTTCTCTTTTTCATGCAAATACCTCCTAGGCTATAAGCTACATCATTTAATTTTTTAAAAGGGTGGATCATTTGTTCTGAGCACTGAATCTTTTCTCGGGGTGCTGTTAATGATTGCAGCAATGTACATATTTTTAAAATGTCACCTTTGCAAAGTGTCATATTTTCCCCATTTCCTTTCTTTGAATTCCCCTTTTCTACCATATTTATCCTGTGAGTAGACAAAGACAAAGGGTTCTGTTGTCTGAAACTGCATCAGGATAGATTTAGGCTAGACACAAAGAATGTTTCCAAAATAAAATACACTTGTTTTGGGCACCTTTGCCAGCTGCTGCTCTTACCTTCCTGGACTCATAGCTTAATGCGACAGGCATAAAGACAGGATGCTGAATTCTAGACAAACACATGCAAAGTCAGACAGTAAGTAAAAAAAAAAAAAAAAAAAAAAAAATTCTAAGGCAGCTTCAGGTTTAGCAAATACCTTAAAGTAGTGGTCCAATCTGATGCTTAACACGTTTGATTTTGGGAAACTAAAGGGAAGGTAGTGGCCACTTTGGAATGAGAAGAGTCAAAATCAACTGGGGTAGAGGATTGGGGCTACAGCCTCTCAACTCTATACCCCTTTCCTTTCATAGTAGATACTTAAAAGTAAATCTGTTGTGAATAAAATAGATTTTACATCTGGGTTAAAGGGAGAATAATACCGCTTGTTGTCAAAAATGGGAAGTGAGGAGTAGGAGTTTGAGACAAGGTAATTTCTATTTGTCTGTAATAGTTGAATTCCTGAAAAATTAATAAAGTTCATGGTCCTGACCCTGGGCTAGTTCATTAACCTCTCTACACTTCAGTGTCCTTATAAATAAAACACACACACACACACACGCACAGATAGAGAGAGAGAGAGAGAGAGAGAGAGAGAGAGAGAGAGAGAGATTGATTTTATTTCCAGGTTGAAAAACATGGTTAATCTAGGTCCTGACTATAAGAATTAAAGAAAGAGGAAACAAACACAAAGGATGGCTTGCCAGTCAAGATGGGCTTATTTTAGAGAAAACAAACCTGAGAGGGGTGTCTGGCAGAGTTAGGTCAGAGAGTTTTTAAGGATTCAGGGTAGAGAGTTTATCAGACACTTGGACTGTTTCTGTATCTCTTTGTGGTGCTTATCTGGGAGGGAGAGTTGTGTGTCTGTTCCCATTCATCTTTCCGCAGCTGCAGGCATATCCCCTGAGTCTGCTTTTAGCTTCCCTATTTCAGTGCACCTGAAGGGAAAGGAATGTGCTTATTAAGGCCCACTGTTTTACTGGGGCCCATTGTATGAGGGTGAAGTTTGGCAGTTACCCAAAAGACTTTACCCTCACCTCCCTCTGTGCCCAAGCTGTCTTATCTGTGTTTTACTGCCTGCTCTTTCTGGCTGCTTGTAGTTAGAAGAGAAGTGATTACCTTAAAATACATGATGCTAGAAAGGGAGCTGGAACTTAAAGTGATGGTGTTTGTCCAAGATGATGGTGCTCTTGCTCGGTCACTGACTCAACTCAATTTTTGAAATTCTAGGAAAGAAATAGGTGGTTAAGATAATTTGGAGCTAAAATTCTGAACAATGCTAATCTGAACAGTGTCAACAGAAACAAAAGGGACTTAGGAGCTTGCTAAGACTTCATTTAAGGGAAAGCATGGAATGGATAGAAATAAATGAAGCCATAGACACTTATGGGAAAATAAAGCATATACATACATACATATATATATATATATATATATATATATATATATGCATATATATGTATGTATTGAGACCCATATATGTATATGTAAGAAAATATAAAGCATACATATATGCATATATATGTATGTATCGAGACCCATATATATATGTGAGAATATATAAATCAACCATTTTAGTTCTTTTTAAAAAAGGAATGAGGTGGAACACACATATGAAGTCTGTGAATACGCACAGTTAACCCTACTCTGATGAAAATGTACATTATATCTGGCATCTAAAAAATCCCTCTCATGCCCCTTCCTAAAAAATGGACTTATGTCATCACAGTTCATTTGTCTGTACTTGAACTTCATATAAATGAAGTAATTCAATATGTAATCATTTGTATCTGTTATCTTTAACTCATTATTATGTCTGTGAAATTACTTCATGTCATGTGTACCAACAGTTCATTCATTCACTTAAAGACAGGGTTGCTATGTTGCCCAGACTGGCCTCATACTCCTGGTCCTAAGGGATCTTCCCACCTCAGTCTCCTGAGTAGCTGGGACTACAGGCATGCACCACCACACCCAGCAATAATTCATTCTTTTAAACTGCTACATAATACTCTGCTGTGTGAGTATACCACAATAGATTTATGCATTCTTTTATTGAAAAGCATTTGGGTTGTTTCCAGGTTTTATCTACAAACATTATTTTACATGGCTTTTGGTGAACATATGTACTCATTACTTTTGGGTAAATATTTAAGTGAGATTGCCATGTCAGAGTGCAGGATTACATTTAGTTGTGAAACATACTGTCACATTTTTCAAATTACTTCCCATCTGTAGTATATGAGAATTCCAACTGCCTCCCAAGAATCTTTGCCAACAGTTGTTATTGTTGGTCTTTTGAATTTGAAGCATTCTAGTGGGTGTGCAGTGGTACCACATTGCAGTTTTTATTTGCATTGTCCTGATGACTAATGATGTTGAGCACTTATTAAAAATAGTCATTATAACTGGTCATTTGGTATCCTCTTTTATGAAGAATCCATTCAACACCCAGTTTTGCCCATTTCTAAAATTCACCTATTTGTCTTTTTCTTATTGATTCATGGGAGTTATTTATATGTTCTGGATACTAATCTTTTGTTGGATCCATATATTGCATATGTCTTGAGTCTAGGACTTGCCTTTTCACTCTCTTAATGGGGTCTTTTGATGAACAGAAGTTCTTAGTTTTCATCTAGTCCAATGTATCAATATTTTCTTTTATATTTTTAAAATTTTCCTGTTTAAGAATTTTTTTCTTCCCAGGGAAAAGAAGGTATTTGTCTATGTTTTCTTCCAAAAGTTTTATTGTTGTATCTTTCCCATTTAGTTCTGTGATCCATTCCAAATAAATTTTTGTGTCTTAAATAAACTTTGCGGATAGCATGCAGTCAAGGAGAAGGTTCATTTATTTTTCACCTAGCACCTTTTATCAAGAACACTTTTCTTTTCCTACTGAATTGCACTGGTGCCTTGGTAATAAATCAGGAGACCATATATATGTGGGTCTATTTCTGTACTCTGTTTTCCACTTTACTTTGTGAGCACAAATGAGGATGGATTTAAAGTACTGGATAGTAGTTTCCCAAAATGCTATTTTTAGATTGCGACATGAATTGTTTTGTCTTGATAGAGTTCTTTTGATTCTTTTCCCTGACTTACTTTCCATCTCTTTATAAGGAAAAAGATAGCAGTGAGCTCCAGAACATGCACTGACAGTGGCAACCCTAGAATTTTTTTCCATCAATTCTGTTGTATTTTTCTTATACAGTTTAATAATATAAAATTTAATATGTTGCTTAATCCAATACACAGAAAGGGAAGCGAAATTATACAAGTACTAAGAAGACTTTATTTTGCATTTTCACAGTTCAAATTCATTTTCTATATTCATGACAGTATATACGAACATCTAGAAATATCCTACAAATGTTTTGAGATCTGAGAGAAATATCAGATACTGCTATAATCTAGAACTTTAACTTTTCCTATTTTTTAATGCATAAAGAAAAAATTACATCACTTTAATGTTAGCATTCAATTATAGTTATGCAATCTCTATTGCAATGACAATATTTAAAATTATCTTTTAATTAGGAGAGTACATTTTTGGCTCCTGCTTGTGAATGAAAACATGAGCTACAAGAAGAAATATTTATATACACTTTGGCTGTGATTTTTTATGAACTGATTCCATATATTCTTTATAAACTGACAAATAAAAAGAACTCTCCTGGCCAGGCGTGGTGGCTCACGCCTGTAATCCCAGCACTTTGGGAGGCCGAGGTGGGCAGATAACGAGGTCAGGAGATCGAGACCATCCTGGCTAACATGGTGAAACCCCATCTCTACTAAAAATACAAAAAATTAGCCAGGTGTGGTGGTGTGCGCCTGCAGTCCCAGCTACTCGGGAGACTGAGGCAGGAGAATCACTTGAACCCAGGAGGTGGAGGTTGCAGTGAGCCAAGATTGTGCCACTGCATTCCAGCCCGGGTGACAGAGCAAGACTGTTTCAAGAAAAAAGAAAAAAAAAAAAAAAAGAACTCTCCTGATTTAATTATTAATCAGTTTCCCTGATGCATCTGGTGTAACTAATATACCTAATTCAATTCTCTACAAGTACTTGGTCACTGAACTCTTAATGTCTTCTGAAAAGTTCTAATGTCCATCTCAGAATACACCTGGCTCCCATAAGGACAAATACATTAAGCAACAAGTGCAGCTTTAATTGTAAAATTATGGATTTCTCTTTTCCCTAGACTCACTCTTGCTTCCTTGAAATGTTAGATGAGACCTTATAAGGTTCCACCTAACAAACACTGATAGAGAGCAGCTGAGTAAATGACATCTATGTCAATAGTTTAGGCAAAGAAGGTTCTGCTAGGATAAACTGAAAGTAACTGGGCATTGTTCATTAGAAGCCAATTTGGGCTAATTATCACTGTGGAAAGTCTACGGTTTGTTGCATCCATGACATACGCAAAGTAAAGACCAAAAAGGAACCTCAGTTTTGCCTGAGATCTTTCTGTGAAGATCTTAGTTTTTAAGATAAGCCAAATACAGCTAAAGGAGATAGATGTGGAAGAAGTGACAAAGCTAATCACTTTCTCAGTTCAGTTATTTTTGAAGCATGTAAACTACCTCAAGAAATGTTGCTGGGCACGGTGGCTCACGCCTGTAATCCCAGCACTTTGGGAGGCCTAGGCAGGCAGATCACCTGAGGTTGGGAGTCGGAGACCAGCCTGACCAACATGGAGAAACCCTATCTCTACTAAAAATACAAAATTAGCCGGGCATAATGGTGCACGCCTGTAATCCCAGCTACTGGGGAGGCTGAGGCAGGAGAATCGCTTTAACCTGGGAGGCAGAGGTTGTGGTGAGCTGAGATCGCACCACTGCACTCTAGCCTGGGCAACAAGAGCAAAACTCCATCTCAACGAAAAAAAAAAGAAAAAAGAAAAGAAATGTTTATGAGGTTTATGAGGCACTTCTGTAACAATCCAAAAAGGGCTCATTTAAATTTTAAGAAGTAATCCTCACAGTTTAAAGAACTTCTCTCATTTGGAAAGAAAAAGATAAGTGTGTGCTTTAAGGTTAGTTCTGTAAAATCTTTAATTCCTATGGGGGAGAAAAACCTCTATATTTCATATATGTTGTGTTTTCCTTAACAACTAGTTTTAGAAAAAAGCAAAATTGAACTGTGAAAATAAAAAAGATTGTTCCCAGTGAATGATTTAAATTATTATTTTTAAAATTAATTTATTTATTTTTGAGATGGAGTCTCCCTCTGTCACCCAGGCTGGAGTGCAGTGGCGCAATCTCAGCTCACTGCAGCCTCTGCCTCCTGGGTACAAGCAATTTTCCTGCCTTAGCCTCCCAAGTAGCTGGGATTACAGGTGCCCACGACCATGCCCAGATAATTTTTGTATTTTTAGTAGAGATGGGGTTTCACCATGTTGGCCAGGCTGGTCTTGAACTCCTGACTTCAAGTGATTTGCCTGCCTCCACCTCCCAAAGTGCTGGGATTATAGACGTGAGCCACTGCGCCTGGAATGAATGATTTAAATTAAAACAAAGATTAAAGTATTTGAAAATATATTTGTTAAAATTATTTTCAAACACAAAATGTGGATACTAAATAATCTTTAGATGTTGCTAACCACCATTAATTTAATTTTACTTTTTTGAGATGGAGTCTTGCTCTGTCACCCAGGCTGGAGTGCAGTGGCATGATCTCAGCTCACTGCAGCCTCCACCTCCCAAGTTCGAGCAATTCTCCTGCCTCAGCCTCCCAAGTAGCTGGGATTACAGGCATGCAGCACCATATCGAGCTAATTTTTATATTTTTAGTAGAGATGGGGTTTCACCATGTTGGTCAGGCTGGTCTTGAACTCCTGACCTCAGGTGATCTGCCTGCCTCGGCATTCCAAAGTCCTGGGATTATGGGCATTAGCCACCACGCCCAGCCTAAACCACCATTAATTTTAGGATGAAAAGTTAAATATTTTATTTGTAAAAGCTTTTATTTGTTGTTTTTGTTTTGTTTTGAGACACGATCTCATTCTGTAGCCAAGGATGGAGTGCAGTGGTGTGATCGCTCACGGCTCACTGCGGCCTCCACCTCCTTGGCTTGAGCAATTTTCCCACCTCAAGTGATCCTCCCACCTCAGCCTACTGAGTAGCTTGGGATCACAGGCACATGCCACCATGCCTGTCTAATTTTTTGTTTTTGGTAGACATGGTGTTTATTTTGCCCAGGCTGGTCTCACACTCCTGGGCTCAAGCAATCCTCCTCCCTCAGCCTCCCAAAGTGCTGGGACTGCAGGCGCGAGCCACCACATCTGGCCCACTTTTCATTTTTAAAAGATAAATACAACCTTTATCCCAAAGAAAAACAGAGGGAAGAGAGTAGAAATGCATTTTAGTGCTTTCTTAAATACACAGGTGTCTTCTGCCATGTCTGAGCAACTTTTTATGGGATTTGGGGATGGGGTGAGATAGGGTGGAGAGCTTACACGCCTTTTTTTTTTTTGTAAAGAAAGATAACAGCAGTATTGACATCGAAGCCTAGGAAGGCACCCTGCAACTTCTCATCAGTGTTTTGAAAGTATGTGGAAGCTTTTTGAAATCTTTCTAGGAATATATAAATATTTCTACAGCACTTTTCAATATGCAAAAATACTTTTACTTAACTTCCTCTCATTGTGAACATCACAGTAAGTTGTGAAGATTATTTCTTATAGATAGGGAAATTAAAGCTAAAAAACTAAGTTGCATAGGCTAACCAGTAATTTCCTTTAGAATCGGGGTTTCAACCCAGGTCTATAAACCAAAAGTGTTCTGCACCTTGTCAGAATGTGACATTGTATCATACCTACAATTCTAGGCAGCAAGAGCTGCATAAAACACTGGAATTTTCTGGAGGAAAGTGGTTCTGGAGATGTCTAAGCTTAAAATATTTACCAAATAAATAATGACGGCTATGTTCGACTCAAGCATTTTTGAGGTTCAACTACTGACACCGATGATATGGACCTACTGATAAGCTTGGGCGAGGTGCAGTACTGAAGTTTTAATGAGCAGAAAGTAGACTGCAAGCCTGGGAGGCGGAGGTAGAAGAATTGCTTTAGCCCAGGAGTTCAAGTCCAACCTGGGTAACATAGCAAGACCCTGTCTGTAGTACAAAAAGTAAATTAGTTGGGCGTAGTGGCAAGCACCTGTAGTTACAGCTACTCGGGCGGCTAAGGTGGGAGAATTGCTTGGGCCGGGGAGGTCGAAGCTGCAGTGACTGCGCCCAGTACACTCCAGCCTGGGTGACACAGTGAGACCCCATGCCAAAAAAGAAAAAAATATTTTAAAAAAGCTTGTGAGAAAATATCACACAAAACAACTTCAGTGAAGTGATATTCTAGTCAGCTTCCATTTTGCAATCGTAGGCATTTTGCTTTGGCCCTTCTAATCAAAATAATTTCACTGTTATGTGAATACAAAGATCATTTTGATGTCAGGCATTATTTAATGAAGATTTTTCCGAACCTCATTCTAATCATAAACTTCTAGTGATGTGCCCTGAATTAAAATAATTAGAAATAATATTGCAGTGAGGCACTGAACAGGTATTTCAGTATGTCAAAAGTTGGAATTTTCCACATTTATGTTAACAATTTGGGCTATTTCCAATTCCAGGATGGTTTAATAGACAAATGCTAAAGAGAACACACAAACAGAATCAGGCACCCCCTACAGCCTGAATAACATTAGACGAGTTTTTTTAAAAAAATATCAACAATTATCTAAAGAAACAGTCTAAGAGGTTGTGGATGTGTGGCTAGGATTTTAAAACAATGAGCAGTCCAACCAAGACAATGTGGACTCGGCTGTAGTCTCAGAGATATAACTAGAATATAATTATTGTAGTCTCAAAAAAGCTAACACCTGAAAAATTGAAAAACACAGCATGGACCCAACAGGGATGAGAAAGTGACCTAGAGAAGGGTGCTGGGGGAAGGAAGACATGTGTGAGCTACACTGAGAGGGCGCGTCCGCCCACATTAGGCTACCACAGCTGGGCCATTAGGTCCCCTGACTACTAATTCTTGTTCCCATTTCCAGCTTTCCAGTCAACGTTTTGATAATTCTGCTTTCCAACAAAAAGAATCCATTTATTAGTATATTTTTCTTGGCAACTACATTTTACCGATTATACCAGTATCATACCCCACATGACATGCCCTGCACGTATACAACATGGAAAAACTAGTAGTAAATTATAAAATTTTTCAATTTCACAAAAGTTTGAAGATATTTAGAAAACACGCAGTACTGGCATACTTATAAAAGGAAAGAGATTTATCTTTCAAGCAAAAAGATGACTATACATGCACACACATGTGCTCTAAATGTGGAGAAACATCTTGACATTCCAGTTATAGTCACAAGCCTCTACTCACCTTCCAATCCTCTGAACTAGGGACTGTTGCTAGTTCATGATGTGAGATTTCAACTACCTCAACTGAGCATACTCTTTATTAATAACAGTAAATGGCTGTTTAATAAAATTAACATTCAATTGTTTGAAAAGCCTCTCTGATGTCTTAGGAGTGCACAATTGCTCATGGTCATCGCTAGTTAACGTGGAGGTCATTTGGGAAATAACAGGTTTCAGAGTTAGGCAGTGACCTGTCATACTCCCGCTTCACATGGGAGTACCAAGACCAGAGAGGTGAGAGAATTCTCTTAAGGAGTAGCATTTTTAAATGCTCTTACTTATGAAGTTATTTAATAAAATACTATTATTTGTAAGGCACTTCAAAATATTTTAAATATGCACAATTGCCTTTAGTTCTAATTGTTAATAGGAAGAGCCCTCTAGTAAGATTTCCAGAGTGTGAAATGGCCATTGTCAGCATTTAAGGAGTAAGGAGCCCACTCATGCTTCCCTGTATTCTTTGATGCTATAGGCTGAACTGGGGGAATATTAATAAAAAATGCATTACTTTTAGAAAGGATCTAATTAAGCATATGGTGGCATGAAAACAGAAAGGAAAAGGCACAGATTTTTACTGGACAATGGATAGCCTATTTTAAAGGTGACATGTTGACAACTCCAGGAGTCGTGCTTCTCAATCAGGTAGAATGTAGAGATAAACTTTTAAGAAATGACTAGGCCAGAAATTGCTGAAAGAATACAGTTATAGTGTATGCTTGTGAAGATAAGCTTCGTACTTTTGGAGAAGTTTAAGAACTCATTCTTTAAGAAACTAGGCAATTCATGTTAGAAGCCTGGGCTGGTTAAGGAGCCCACTGGTAGAATTCCAGAGAGATTACAGTTGACACCTAATTAACTCCTCACTAATACTATGACTATTAGAGGAATTAATTGATGGTACTTCCAGAGCAGTCTAAGAAAAGGGTATTACACCACTGATTTGGAACTAGATTGTCAAAAGCATCTTTGCTATTAGGTCCCACAAAACTGGAAGAGTTCATTCCAAAGCAAAACATAACATTTGTAAAAATAGCTCTTGAGAGCCTAGTGTTGCAAATTCTTAAATTGTCAACATTTAAAACTTTAGTGATGGTTTAGTACAGTTAGAGGGATTCTTGTCTCTAGAAGGCCAAAGGGTGACATGGTTAAAATGGTTCACTAGCACGGTATTTCAATGGGGCATAGATACTGGGTAAAGAGGCAGTCCTATGTGTATTCTTACAGGACATGTACATTATATTACTGCTTTGATTAGAAGAGTACATGGAGGACTAATCTTGCATTTTGTTATCTCGAGGCTTGCTACTTGTTTCTACTAACATTAGAATTGGTATTGCTATTAAGCTTCATTTTAAGGTGGGAATGAAACAAGCAGGTGGAGCTCTAACTGGTTTCCAAGTCTGAGACACCTAAGAAATATGTAAACCCAAATAGCTTACAGCTGACTGTTCAGTCTCATTACCACTATGTTAAGAATTGTTTGAAATAACTTCCATCTTACCCATAAAAATTATAAACTATACAAAGCATTTTTTTAAAATGGCCAAAGACAGCTTACGTCCTAAGAGTATGACTAACGTTAAGAGCTATCAATTAGTGGACATTAATAAAGAGTTTTCACAGCTTTCCAGTTTTTACTTCAAAGTAAAATGGATAAATCTATGAAAATGAGATTTTAAAGTAAACATTACCAAATTTGGTGCCTTTAGGCATCATTAAATCATATGCT
Source organism: Homo sapiens (assembly GCF_000001405.40). Classification (NCBI taxonomy): domain Eukaryota; kingdom Metazoa; phylum Chordata; class Mammalia; order Primates; family Hominidae; genus Homo; species Homo sapiens. Next base: position 52,616,839 of record NC_000008.11, read on the forward strand.
TAAAAAAAAACAAACTCCAAGTATACCGATAAATTTTTATCTAAATCTTAAAGGGCAATAGCTATTTTAGACCTAACTTTAAAAAAAATGTGATTTTAAAAAGATCACAATTTCCTTGCAGCTACTCTTATACTTGGACTCTGGGCTGGCTCTGTGACTTACTTTGACCAAGTGACATGACTTCCAAGCTTCTTTTGCTGTCACTCTTTTCGGAATGCTGCTGCCACTGTTTAAGAAACCCCAGGCATTTTGATAGAGACTCAAAAGGAACCAAGGCATCCCTAACTAATCTCCAGACATGATTGCAGTCACATGCGCAAATGGTTATTTTAAGCCAGCAAATGTAGGCATTAACAGTTACACAATATACACCTGATACAGAAATTAGCACCAACAGTGAGACTGCTGCCCTAACAAAAACTTAGAACGCATGGCACTGCCTCACAAAGGCTATAAGAATAGTGAAGAAAATTGTACTAGCAGAGGCTGGAAAAGTAAAGAAACTGCTACTGAAAGCTGGAAAGATAGGAACTTGTGTCTTGTGGTGGCAAAACAAATGGCAAAACTATGAAGTTGTGACTCTGGCTAAGGTTAGTTTCCAGGAAATGTTCAAAGCATCAATTGGCTTATTTTGGTTCTGTATAGTAAGGCATGGGAAGAGAGAGATGAAACAGAGAAGAAACTGTTCTGCTGGGTTGGATCCAGTCTCTGCAGCAAGCTGAAAATTCTCAAAGACAGACAGTTTCAGGGTAAGGAATCAAGCCTGTGGCTGTTAGGCCCTTTGCTATGACTTCAGGTTTAAGTCATAAGCCTAATAGACCTTCTTATGTAGACAAGGGGTGCTCCTAGGAGTCTTGAGTGTTTTCCCATAGTACACTAGCCTTCCAGAGAGAAGTCTGTGTGAATTACGACTTAACTTTTAGAGAACTTCTGTCAGTTTTATAGGAAACCCAAAGTTTTTAAGGAAACTATACTTTGCTGAACACATATAAAGATATTTCAAAATGAAAAGGGCCTCAAGGCACCCAACTTTGAACAAACAGGAAATAACCAATCTATTGTATCAGTCAACTTCAGAGCATCTGAAGCAAATACCGCACTATTCATTTTCAGCAAATGTATCCCTTTAGTCCCTTTTTGTTCTTTTGGGCCCATGCATTAAAGTAATGACATTCAGTGATTCAACTATTTTAACCACTAGAAGAAATTAAGGTACACACTGAAATTTTTCCCCCTAATTGGAAAATCACCGTTAGAAGTCAGAAGTGATCAATTTGACTCCCAGATGAGATTATAATTCTGCAACAGTGGCCAAGTCACTAAAGTCTCTGAGCCTGTTTTATCTTTAAAATGATTAGGCCAGTAGTAATGTCACAGAAAATAGCAGATTAGGACCCTCAGATAATTGGTCCCTCCACTTAAAGTACCTGATGCAAAAGTCCTGTACAAAATACTAGCAAATTTGAGTTCAGCAGCATATCAAAAGGATAATATAATGACCAAGTGTGATCTATTCGCAGAATGCAAGGATGAGTCAACATACAAAAATCAATTGACATATTACACTAATAGAAAAAAGTCTCATATATTCATCTCAATTTAGGCAGGAAAAGCATTTGACAAAATTCAACACTTTTTTTCATGATAGAAAACGACGACAACACTACTCAACAAACTTAAAATAGAAGAAAACATCTTCAACTAAAAGATCATACGTGAAAAACCCAAGCTATCATCGTACTGTTATGGTGAAAGACTAAAAGCTTTTTCTGTAAGATCAGGAACAAGATAAGGATGTACATTTTCACCATCTCTGTTTGACACACTAGTGAAATTTTAGCCAGAGAAATAAGGCAAGAAAAAGAAATAAAAGGCATCCAAACCGAAAAGGAAGATGTACAACTATTTGAATTTGTAGATAATCTGAAAATCCCAAAGAATACACAACACATATACACACAAATGGTAGAGCTAATAAATTCAGCAAAGTTTCAGAGTACAAGATCAACACACAAAAATCAGTTATGTTTCTTTACCCAATGAATAATATAAGGAAATTAAGAAAACAATTTCATTCATAATAGCACCAGAAAGAACAAAATACCTAGGAATAAATTTGACCACAGTGGTAAAAGGCCTCTACATTTAAAACTATAAATTTTGGTGAAAAGAATTAGACACAAGTGGAAAAATACTTTGTGTTCATGGATGGTAGACTTAATATTGTTAAGACGTCAACATCCCCCCAATGTGAGCCACAGACTGAATGCAATCCCTATCAAAACACCAATGATTTTTTTTCCAAAATGGAAAAATACCAACCCTAAAATTCATATTGAATGTGATGGAACCCCTAATAGCCAAAACAATCTTGGGGAAAAAAAAGTTGAATTCATAATTTCAGATTTCAAAATTTATTACAAAGCTACAGTAATAAAAACACTATCATTCTTTATAATAGTCTCTTCAACTGGTGCTGAGATTACTGGATAGCCACAAGCAAGAGAATGAAGTTGGATCTCTACCTCACATCATACACAAAAATTAACTCAAAATGGATCAACAACCTAAATATGAAAGAGAATACTATAAAACTCTTAGAAGAAAACACATAAGTAAATCTTTATGACCTTGGATTTGGCAATGGATTCTTAAGTTGTGACACTAAAAGCACAAGCAAAAAAGGAAAAAACAGGTAACTTGAACTTTATCAAAATTAAAAACTTCTGTGCATCAAAGATTTAATAAGACAACCTACAAAAGATAAAATACTTCTAAATCACGAGTTTAGCATCCAGAAAATATAAAGAACTCTTACAAATCAATAGTAAAACAAGACAAACTAAAAAACAGGCCAAGAGCTTGAATAGATATTTCTCCAATGAAGACACACAAATGACCTACAAGCAAGTAACACTCACTAAAATGGGCATGATTTTTTTTTTTTTTTAAAGAAAACAAGAAGTGATAGCAAGCATATGAAAAAGTTGGAGCCCTCATACATTGCTGGTGGGAGTGTAAAATGGTTCAGCCACTGTTGGAAACAATTTGGCTGTTCTTCAGAAAGGTAAACATAGTATTACCATACTTTCTAACAATTCTCCTCTTAGGATATACCCAAAAGAATTGAAAACAGGTACCCGTGTACATACGTGTTTTCATAGCAGCACTAGTAACTACAGCCAAAAGGTAAAAACAACCTAAATGTTCATGAAGAGGTGAATGAATAAACAGATTATGGGATATATTTTATAAATATATATATAACATATGATATATATATATGAAATGGAATTTTAGCCATAAAAAATGAAGTATTGATATTGTTCATTTTCAAATGACTAACTTTATGTGAATTTCATCTCAATATAAAAAATGAAACAAAAAGGACTAGGTTAGATGATTTCTAAGATTTCACAAAGGTTTAAAATCATAAGTCTATAATTCTTCCTTATTTTCTGGATACAGGGTGGAAGGGGTTAAAAATAAAGTTCAGCAGTTTAATGCCCTACTCTTGAATATGAGGAGACAAGCCAGGATCATAAGATATTTGAGGAAGACCTCCAACATGAAATAAAGACTAAATGAGAAAAAAAGAACCATGGAAGACAATAGAGAGAATATAAGAAAAATTTTAAAACACTAATTTGTATCTTCAGAGTTAAAAAAAAACCAAAAAAAGTAACAAAAAAAATAACAAAAAACAGATGCATAGGATTCATGAAAAGGTGATCAGCAATCTTGGAAGTTAAAGCCATAGTTGTCAACACAAAATTCAATGACATGGCTTAAAAGACACATTGAGCAAACTCCCAGATGACACTAAAATATTAGTTAAATAGAATGTAGGAGATAATATAAAAAGACATTTTCTAAAAAAAATTTCCTTAGTGCTACAGGACATACATCTCTAGGTTGAAAGGGTTCTCTGACTGCCTAGTACCAAGAATGGTTGGGGTTAGGAACTGCAAGACATTATCATCAGACATAATCTATAAAAGAGCACAGATGGAATGGCATTAGATTTCTCAACACCCTAAATGACAGAAGACAATGTCTGCAAAAAAACGACACTGTTAAACTATCAATCATGAGCCTATTTACAGAGGTTCAGAAAATTTATTACACTAATTCCTAGGAAGTCACTTGATCAAAACCTCTAGTAAGAAAGATGAGAGTCCATGAAATGCAGCTTCCTAACAAAAATGTTAAGGAAAGTTTTAGAATATGAAATAGTCAGCTTAAAGAGCAACCAGATGTTTGAAACAGAACAGTTCCAAAATGGAGGTCTGAGAAAAGTGGCTTGATAGACTAAAATATGAAGCAGCATCTGCATCTGAAAATACTGAAGCTATGATAACTACAAGATAACAGCACAATAAGAAAAAAAAATCTTCAAATAAAAATTTGTGGGCTGTACAAGAAAATGTAATCATCGTTCAGGACCTAGCTTAGCAGGTAACAGTTAAGTCTTCATAATGCAAATCTTAATGAACAAACTAGAACGTAATAAAGTATATAGGAAAGAGAGAAAGAACTACATCTTATATGAGAAAGTCAATTAAAAATGTACATGGGTTTATCAAAATGTCAGTATAGCTATATAATTTGGCACTCCATATACAAATGTCTTTACAATTAAAAGTAATCGCCTCTAGGTGGCAAAATTTGGGAAATAGGACAGGGATCTTGGGGTGTATTATTTTTTGGAAAGGATGTGCATGTGTTTGTACCTTGACAATTTTAAAAAAACAATAAAAATGACCGTTCATATGATTTTTGTTCATTTTGTTCTTAGTATATCCACTCACCTTTGCCAAAATAAATCAATCTATGTAATTCATGTGTGCTTAAAGTTTACTTGCAGTAAAATGTGATTTAAATCTTCACTTACATAATAAAGGGATCTACATTTCTATGCAAGTCTGAATAGTACCTTACAGGTTTGATTGTATTACATAAACAAATCTTTATAATAGCTAACACACGTTGAGTGCTTAGCATATGCCTGAAATTGTTCAAAGCACTTTACACTTATATTTCTCATTTAATCTGCAAAATAACCCTCTGAGGCAGGTCCTATTATTACCCCATTTTAGACATGAGAAAACTGAGGTTCAGAGTTTATGGAACTCACCTAAAATTAAAGTTATATCTAGAACTGGAAGTGAGGTATCCTAATGCCAAAGATTAGGGTACACCACCTCTATCCAAAGCTAATAACTCAGTTGATGAGTTTAGATTCCCAAGTTTCATTTCTCTTCAACTTTTTAACTAAGAAAAGTATTTCGTTTTTTGTGCTTTATAAACATACATGTGGAACAATGACAAGACAGACACAAAACAGCATATAAGGAAACTATAGGCAACAATCTTCAACAATATTCAGCAATATTAATAAGATAATGATTTGATTTGATATCATGTGTCACAAAAATTCCACAGCACAATGACCACATACGAAATTTGAAGGGTACCAATTAAGTCAAAATGGCCTACCTACCTGGCAGATTTATTTACACCTAACCAGATCTGCTTAACAAAATCACCCTCTATATAAAGTTATTGCTTTAACAGTCTTTGCATAAAGATGTCATGGAAAGATTAAATAGAAACATGTGAAATCATTTGTTCATTTATTCATTAACTTGTCAAATTCAGTTTTCTATACACTATGATGTTTATTCCATTTTGTACTATTAGATATACATATTTAAAAAAATATTTAACTTATTTTTATGAAGAAATTAAATATTTTCTGAAAAAGAATTATTTTATTATTGTTCTCTAGCAACAAACCTCAAACAATTCTCATCCAACTCAACTAACTCATTTAAATAACTTTGCTCAATGGCAACTTCTCTAAAGATCTAGTTTACACAATTCTATTCTACATAACACTGTTTACCCTGTTACATAGTATATAGTTAAAGAACATTTTTGTAATAAACATGTTTCTCTTTGATATGATACATAACAATATTTTCACACTTCCCAGCAATCACTCAAATATATTAAAAATGTATCCTTCTTTAAAAGGCACACACATTTACAGGTTCAAATCTTTATTGTTTTAAAATTGTACAGTTCTTTTACAATACAATATTTTGTTATTTAAATGACCTCTAAATGGTTAATGTGCAATGAATATCTTTTGTTCTGAAACTCAACCATGAATTACGATTTCATCAATATGATTATTCTAGAGTCATAAAGATGTTGGGAAGGTTTGAGTCTGCATTTGAAATGGTTAGTAGCACAGACTCTTCCCTTTAGAACCCAGATGACCAATCCACTGAAAGTGCTTTTGAAGATTGCTGATTACTTATGGCTGATCTTAAAATCAGTCAATCAAATTACAGTTCCTTTTTTTTTTTGAAACATCAAAGGGCATTTAAAAAAACTGAAACAATTTGCTTTAGTATCTACTGAGGCAAACTCAAAATGATTATCAGCATGCAATAACACTCCTCTTTATTTTAAATAGTTCTGAATAATTTATACATTTTATAAAGAATGTGTTAAAGAGTGCAAGTATTCTGATACTGATTTCACAAAAGGACAAATGCTGGTAATAATAACATTTAACATCTAAGTTCAAGCTAGTGTATATTTAACAGGCAATTAATATGGCTCATCATAAGCCACAATGCACAAGGTATGCCCTTTGAGAAAATGAAGTAGTTTGGTCCGCATTTCTAGAGTTGTCTGGGTAAAAAAAAAAACCAAAAAACAAAAACCATTTTAATTCAGCCAAGGATTCTGATGAATTTATTATTCCTAAAATGAAGCCAGTTAAAAAGTAAACGATGTACACCAGTGAAGTATATTGTCACGCTGACTTTTGCATAAAAAGATGGCCTGCTGTTTTTGGAGTGATGAATGAGCACTGCAGGACAAATCAGAAAAAAATGTCATAGAATGTATTAATTTTGTCCATAAGTTATACTTTCTTATTCCATGATACGGCTTTCACTCTGTAAAACTTTGTCCCCAAAGGAACTTTAAATCTGTTTTGTGCCTAAGAGGGAAAGAAAAAATGGAATCACTAGAGTGATTAAACCACATCTCTCTCTCTCACACACACACACACACACCCAAAAAACAAAAAGAAACAAAAAAATAAATAAACCACATCACACAAGTACCCTCCTATCATATTACTCATTGCTGAGTATTGAGGGGTTGGAGGGATGTGGGGGTCTTTATCAAACTATGTAAGATCTACCCCTCACGAACAGGGAATATATTGAGTGAATAGGAAAGACAAAGTTGGTAGCCACTGCTAAAGAATATAATACAAAGTGGGCCATACATCATTGTTTTAAGTATCAAAGAAACCTCAATACTATATGGTTCAAGTTCTATTCGTATTTTGTACATTGAGGCCCCAAATTATAGTGAGTCAGGAAGAATGCTCAGAAGACTTCACTGACTCTAGAGCACTGATATTGTTATACAATCAGTCCATTTGTTAAGCCACCAAATACTTTACACTACCTTTCTTCAATGGGGGCAGAGTATGAAAATAATAAAAGATCAACTGTATTTATAAATAAAATTCCCTTTTTGTCTCTAGTTATGCAGGGATTTTTTTTCTTGCAAATTAGTTACACTAGCAACCCAACAGTCATAGAACACAGACTTCGTAGTAGTTTTCCATTATATGTTGATAGCTTGTAGTTAATCTATCTCTACTATCTAAGGGCAGCATGAATACTTATAAATTGCCAGTTCAAACTCACTCTCATTAAATTCAAGCTCTAACTGAAATGAGCATAAAGGCCAAGAACAGCAGTGGTAATGATTTCTATATAAAGCAGTATTAAAATCTTCTTTACAGTTCCCAGGCTTAGTATCACATGATGTCGTTTTTACCTTTTTGGCTTGACAGTATTCTTTTTCCATTACTTTTCCAAGTACCCAGGGTCTTCTAGATGCACCTGAAGCTAATGAAATTAAATAGTTAATCTCTTTTTGAAAGTATGATTATAATTATTCATGGAAACATAACTGCCAGAATTAAAACAGACTAAAAAAGCTCTCATGAGTGGAAGAATATGTAAGACTTTAAAAACTACCGAAATCACTGAAATGCTTAACAATTTACAAAACTAAATTCATGTTACTTTTCAACCAGTAATGTGTGCGTAGCTCTTGTTACTCATTAAATATACATGATATGTCAAATCACAGAAATAACAGTTCAGGAAACACTAATAATCTAAATACAAATCATGAACAAATATGTAGGAATTCTAGGCTAACTCAGTAGTGCCATCTATTGAAAGAACTAATAAAGATGACCTTTCCCATTTCTTTAAGCAAACAAAATGTATAGGTTCAAAGCAAAACACTCATTTTTGATGGGCAGTATTTTTAATACAAGTTCTCAAAGGCAGCAAGTGAACAGTTCTCACATCTGTATGCCACAGTGCTTGGCACAGCAGTGTGTATACAGTTGGTACTCAATAAATTAATAAGGGCTAAGAACCAAAAAATTCTAGAAGGGCAGTACTTGTGTGAATGAAGGAAAGCTGAAAAATGTGAGAGAAGACAGGATAATCCTAGTCCTCATAAAGCCAAAATGTGACAAGCCAAGTGGTACCCATTCTCTTTTTAAATTCATCAGAAAAGAAGCTGTCTTATTAAAGTTGACTTCAAAAGTATTCAGGCAATAAACTACAGATGCCTTTCAACTTATGATAAGGTTATGTCCAGATTAAACCCATCCTATATTGAAAATATCTAAGTTGAAAATGCATTTAATACTTCTAATCTACCATACACCATAGCTTAGCCTAGTCTCAGAACATTTACATTAGCCTTCAGTTGGGCAAAATCATCTAACAAAAAGCATATTTTAAAGTGTTGAATGTCTCATGTAATTTATTGAATACTAAAAGTGAAAAACAGAATGGTTGTGTGGATACCGAAAGTAGGGTTTCTATGAATGTGTATCACTTTCACACCATGGTAAAGTCAAAAAGTTTTAAGTAGAACTACCATAAGTTGGGAACTGTCTGTATTGTGTTTAGGCTAAAGCCTTTGAAAGAAGGCATACGGATTTTTATTCCATACAAATAATTTGGGAAGATATACACGAAAGATATCCCAAATAAATAATCAGAAATGAACCTGAAGAATACGATCACATGACAGAAACAGAAAAGCCCCTGGACAATAGGATGTGGTGAATTCTCTGAAGAGCAAACTAGCACTTCACAGCCAATTACTAACATCCAAAAAGAATCATCTAAAAATAAATGCTTGTATGATGCCAGAAGAGTAATGAGCCCCACTAACAAAAGGCATAAAAACACTCTGGTAATCCGCACTCTCCCAAGGCAACAACACAGGGGTAGCATGATCCCAACTGGCATTCCTCAAAGGAAAAAAGGAACGGGGGTTTATTAATGGTTAAGTAAGACTGCTAAATAAATAAATTCTTTTCTGCAGTACTTGTGAAAGCCTTTAAAATGGCAGTGTGCATTTTTAAAAAAGTTTTTTAATGTTTCCCAGATTTAAACACTGAAGTCTTCAAAATGAACATGGAAATGTTGAAAGGTAATGGGCTAAGATGTAACTTATCATCATACGGTTCTGGGGGAAAAAAGTGTGCACACATTTGTGTATATTTATATCTTAGATACATACACATAAAAAGATATTGCAAGTGGGGTAAAATGTTAACAGATGAATCTGGGTAAAGAAATATAGGTTTTCTTTGTACTATATTAATCTTTGCGACGTTTTCTAAGTTTAAAAATCATATTCAAATAAAAGGTTTAAACAACTGAAAAACAAAAAACCCCATAAAAGACAAAAGAAATATCAGGTTCATTATTTTCAAGGTAAAAAGTACTAAGTAAAAATAGTAAGTTATAAGCTATCTTCTCATTTTTCATGGTTACATGATTACTGTTTCATGGATACTCTAAACAGCCAACCACAAATAGCCATGATGGAGTTGTCATGGGGAAAGTGGCCTAGTTCAAGACTAGGAATTTGCCAGCCTGGCCAACAAAGTGAGACCCTGCCTCTACAAAACAAAACAAAAAATGGGCATAGTGGTGGTGCAAATCTATAGTACCTAGTCCCAGCTACTCAGGAGGCTGAGGCAGGAGGATTGCTTGGGCCCAGGAGTTCAAGGCTACAGTGACCAATGATCATGCCACTGCACTCCAGCCTGGGTAACAGAGCAAAAACTTGTCTTAAAGAAAAAAAAGGCCGGGTACGGTGGCTTAAGCCTGTAATCCCAGCACTTTGGGAGCCTGAGGCAGGCAGATCACAAGGTCAGGAGTTTTGAGACCAGCCTAGCCAACAGGTAAAAACCCGCCTCTACTAAAAATACAAAAATTAGCTGGGCGTGGTGGCACACGCCTGTAATTCCAGCTACTCGGGAAGCTGAGGCAGGAGAATTGCTTGAACCTGGGAGGCAGAGGTTGCAGTGAGCTGAGATCGTGCCACCGCACTCCAGCCTAGGCGACAGAGCAAGACTCCGTTTCGAAAAAAAATATCTACCTATAAATATATAGATAAGATACTTGACTTTGTTGCGAGTCAGTCCAATTAGATTAGGAACATCAATCTAAATGGACTTACTTCGTTTTAGTGTTAAAAATAATTCTACTTAGGCTAAGTACACCAGGATATCTATTCTGTTCTTTTTTAGTATTTTAAAAATCAAATAGATAATAGACATTGTTACTTAGTATATTTTAACAAAGCTTATTTCCTTTTTAAAAAAATAAGTGTATAGAACAGTATAATGATAAACAAGGTAGGAACATAGGATGATATAGGATAGACTAGACATTTTATAATTTAAGAAAGTTTTTTTTGCCAAAAAATAATGCTTTTATATAAACAAATAAGCATACATTAATTTTGAATAGTCTGTACATGAGAACTTTGACAATATAATTATCCAACTGCTAGGGTTATGAGATGTCCGAATCACTGCACATTCTGATCAACTGGTCCCTTGTATAAGCTACACTCCTTAATTCTGAATTGTAAATGGAATCCATGAAAATAATCTAGATAATACAGATTTTATAAAAAAGCAGATTACACAGGGTTCCCTCTTAGTGACTTAATTCTTATGTAATTAAACAGGGAAAAAAAAATCTTTACTTATATAATTTCCTCCATTCCAGGTTTATATTTTAGTCATGGAATGACACTTACCACCCTCACCTGGTTTGAGATCCAGGGCAGGTAGAGACTCTGAATGTAGAAAATATAAAGTAGGACTAACAGTAAATAACACATAATTGTCATGGCGTTCGTCTAGGATGATGAGTACCAAATCTCCCACCTGAAAACTGAATAAAGAAATGCAATTTTATTGACTTAGAGTTACTTTCAATCCCCCTATTCTGAAAACTTAGCATATATACTTAATGCTCAACTACATATTAAGATATTAATGCAATATTAAATTTCACATTTACATGATACTCTTTTTGCATTCTGCCCAGGTCCTAATGGGACTGCTGGTCATGCACAGATATTCAAAGGATGATGTCAGGGGCTGTCAAAAACCAAAAATTTCTTTAATAAAGTTTCCATTATCTAACGTTAAGGAACTGGATGAAAAGCAGAAAAAGCACCCATTACAGTTTATCCAGTCATAGCAAGATTTTTTTCTCCTAATCTTTCATTTCACACCAAAAATTCAGAGAGACATCTCATATACAGTCACAGTGTCAAAGAAAAATTAGATCTTGTCTCCAAGCGTAGTGCTCTTCAATTTACAAGAAAAAGCAACTGAGCTAGGTCCAGAAGTCAGGTGCTTAATTAGGTCTAAACAAGTCAACAGATATTACTATTTTGGGGTATAAGCCCGAAAGAAGACAGGGAAAGAGAGAAGTGGGTACAACCAATTACATGCTTAAGTGGTGTTTGTCTCTTTACAGCCTTTTTCAGAACTGTTGTTCAAAACATCAAAAGGCCTTGAAAATCAATCTCATATTTTTCAGTTGTCAAGATCATTTAAATTGGTAGATCCTATACCTAATAAATCATCAAAATCAGCTGGGGAAACTTTTAATGTCTTTTATTTATTAAGTTACCCTACAAATACTTAGTGATTACCTAACAACCATGTGGCAGGCACTGTTTTGGCTAAATGCCAAAAGCTAATAACTTAAAATGGGGAGATGGGAAATGGGGCCTCTATGAGGCAGTATTTTTGGAGCTCCTCTCTCTCTAGTCTCTGAAAGAACATTAATGAACGGCCCATTGACATGACATACAGCTGGTAAAGACAGATACCACTAAGCCCTTTCAAATCACTGAGAGAAGCTGAAATTTTAATGAGACATGAAAAGTCAGAATCACAGATATCTGACAACCAAAAATGTGGTCAACAAATTTAGAAATTTAGAAATAAAATACAAGAAGTTAAATAAAGGGTCTTAACTTTCACAACCTTCCTGTCAGGATAAAAGGCTGAACACTATTCATAAGTTGCTAACAATGCTTTTATTATTCCAGAGCTCCATTTAAATAACCAAAGCTAAAGAAAAATTTTAACTATGGGGTAATACAGTGCAGGAAAATTATTAAACCATTCAATTGATAAATTCTGTAAACCAAAAATAAAATTTGAAGCCCCCCCAACCAACCATCTGAATGAACTTCCTCCTCTAGGCCAGTGCCCTATAAATTTAACCTGAAAGACCGGTTCAGGCCATGACAAAAGGCAGGGGTTGGACTTGCCTCATCATGTCCTCTTCCCTCTTAGAATTCAGGAAAAGTCAACAAGAATTTAACACTAACACAGAGGTTAAGCCTGATAAGAAACATTTACAAACTATTATCTGTCAAGCCTGCTACCTGGAGGCTTCATCTGCATGACAAAACTTTGGTCTCCACAACCTCTTATCTTAACCTAGACATTCCTTTCTACTGACAGCTCTTTCAACCAACTGCCAATCAGAAAACTTTAAAAATCTACCTATACTTTGGAAGCTACCCTCCCAGCTTTCATTTGTCCCACCTTTCTGGACCAAACCAACTTGTATCTTCAATGTCTCATGTCTCCCTAAAATGTATGAAACCAAGTTTCCCCCTCACCGTCATCCAATCACCTTGGGCACATGTTCTCAGGGGCTCCTGAGGGCTGTGTCACAGGCCATGGTCACTCATATTTGGCTCAGAATAAATATCTTCAAATATTTTACAGAGTTTGACTTTTTCATTGACAATTTGTTTATTATGAATTTGTAGAATATTAATAAAATGAAATCTAAAAACTAAAAATGAGGAAACACTGCAACTTAAAAACAAATCAAAACTCTCCAATATAGATTAACAAGACTAAGGAGATAAATGGGATTTAAAAGAGGTAGCACATGCTGAAAAGTTAACTGGAGGAAAAGGCTTCAAGGATATTTATGTTAATCATAATGCTATAACTGGAAAGTTTTGGCAATCTAAATGTTTCCAGAATAACAATTTAGAAAAATCCTGCTTTCCAGTAAAAAACTTTTACTACTACTGAGTGCAAAACACTCAGCTCAATGAACCTGGACCTGAATTACTGTCACTGAAATACATTTTCATTAACAATTCAGTGAATGTTTTTCACAGAAAAATACTCACAAAACTAAAATACTTACTCTCTAATAGCTATCTTTTCAGAATGCCTTGAAGATACTGAAGACATGCTCTGAGACATCTAAAAAAAAAAAAAAAGTTTATGAACTTACACAATTTGAGTACCACATGCATTCTTACTGCAAAAATTTCACCCACTGTTATACACATTCAAGCCTGTGTCCAGCTTTAAAGAGCCCAAACTAATATAGTTCTTATGTTCATTAATAATTCCTTTATTTCAACCATTAGTAAATTTGGTTAGATTAAAAACTGATTTTTGAATCACATTTTATTTATATTACATATTTAATCTTAAAAATAAAACACAGAGAAAAGGACAGATTTTTCAAGAAGACTTTGAAAATTCTAATGCATTAGATTCAAAATCTTTCATTTTGGAAAAACAACAATGTTGGAAACAAGTGCTCAGTGTAGCCAAAAGAAACCCACACTTAGAAAATTTCTTGGCAAGGCAACTTTACTTCTGCAGAAGGCTGCTGCTCACAGCCGTCACAATTGCAAGAGAACACCAAACAAAGGAAGGAAGGGGTTTTATCTCTAATGCAGTTTCTGTTTCTGTGTCCTTCCCCTATTGGCTGGGGTTGGACCACACAATCTAAGCTGATCCCGGTTAGCTTAGACCTAAACTTTTTCCAAATAGGGTAAATGTGCGATTTGTGAGAAAAGGAGAAGGCAGAGGGGAGAAGGGGATGGGGTTGATTTACAATCTTACAACTTATGACCAGGAAGTTGAGTCTTTGAAGAGGAACTTAGTTGTCCCAACGAACAACAACAAAAAAACCAAAAAGATTTAAAATCTCCAGCCTGGGCAAAATGGTGAAACCCCATCTCTACCAAAAATACAAAAAATTAGCTGGGCATAATGGCAAGCGCCTATGGTCCCAGCTACTCGGAAGTCTGAGGTGGGAAGATCACTTGAGCCTGGAAGGCAGAGGTTAGAAGTATAATGCAGCAAGCAAAGACACCTGGTGACCATCAAACAGGCCATCTGGAGGCAGAACGCTGAGGAATTTAGAAGTAATTAAACTTTCCTAGCATGTGGTTACAGGTCTCTTTCAAAAATGTTGTAAGTAACTAGAATTTCTATACATCTCTGGAATGTATGCATGCCAAAACTCACTGAGCAACCCTTGCTGACATCAAGACACAAAAATGTCTACAAATGTAATCATTTATCATGACCTACACGGCCAACATTGGTCCAAACTACCTTTAAGATCCTGCCTTAAGGTCCATATATGCTCGTCGGGAAAATTCACCACAGCGTGCTCAGTCCTCTCTTGCTGAGGCACCCCGCTACACTCTTCAGCATCATTCGCTCTAATAAAACTTTCCTTTTTCAAACCTATACTGTTGTCAGTAAATTCTTCTTACCAAACCAGAGTCAACCACTTTGCAATGCCAGCGCTCTGACACCTTGCCTAGCAAACACTACTACTCTGGTTAAACTGGGGTGGGAGCATAAAGTTCTGAAGGCTGAGAACAAACCTCTTTTCTCATCTTCAATGAAACTTCTGAGATGTCTCAGTTTAAAAAAATTTGTGAACAATCACGAAACAATGAATTTTGTGATAGCCACCCACTTCCTCTACTGATGATGAGCACAATCAAATGGTACTTGCTAGCTGATAAGCTATAGCCATGGCTTAGCCGGGACTGTTCTCCTCTTCAAACAAGCTTCAATCCATTTATCCACACCATCTCATAAGACCTGAAGCATGGAAACCAAGGTCTTTGAAGCTTGAAAGGGTGATAAAAACACCTATTTTTCCCAAGCAAAGTGAGCCCAATGCATGGTTGCACAAACCAAGGACAGATAAGGATATTTTGTTTATTAAGTCAAATTTTGATGCTCTGAATTTCCTCCACTTCCCTCTGAACGCTATCTGGTACAATGCAGGGTTTTAAAAAGAGAAATAACACAACAAATAATAACTAGGAAGGCCTAAAACTGTATAGCAACTTACTAAAATTATCCAGACAAATGGTCTATATCCTGCCAGTGAAGATAAGATTGACCATCATTTTTAAGACCATAATTCAACTTTAGTTTTTTAAAAGCTTAAGTTTTTTATATATTACAAATGAAGACAATGGAAGAAAAAATTTGTTAATATAGCTGTAATTCTATGTGAAAGTGTGATTTACATTTGGACACCTTTCTGAATGTGACTGTGATGCTCTCTGGGTCTGAAAGACAATTTATTCTGTGAAAAGAAAATAAATCTTGGGAACCAAAAATCACTAAGGAAAAGGGAGGTCAAGCTGGGAACTACATCAAGCAAACCTGCCTCCCATTTTATTCCTAAAATAAGATAGCTACAAAGACCTCACAATTTGCCCACAAGAAAATTCCTTGTGGACAAAAAACAGACAGAACTTAAAGTCATCCCTCTGTTCCTCTGCTCATGTGAGACAAATGCGTATATGATTGCTTTCTCGGCCCCACTGCTTCACTAAGTCAGACTGAAGCATAAGTGACAATTCCTCTACCATCCTCTGACATGTAAATTGTGTATTCAGTGAAAGGCTAATCACAGTTTCAAAATAATGCAACCATTTGTCTCTTATCTACCTATGACCTGGAAGCCCTCTTCCCAGCTTTGAGTTGTCCCACCTTTCCAGACAGAACATCTTACACATACTGGTTGATATCTCATGTTTCCCTAAAATGTATAAAACCAAGCTGTGTCCTGACCACCTTGGGCACACGTCAGGACCTCCCGAGGCTGTGTCATGAGCTCGTCCTTAACCTTGGCAAAATAAACTTTCTAAATTGATTGAGACCTGTCTCAGATACTTTTGGGTTCACAATTAATCTACAAACATATGCCAAGCATCTATAGTATACCAGTTACCATTCTAGATGCTAAGAATGTAGCGGTGACCAAAACTGATTAAAATCGTTGCCAAACAGAGCTTATATTCTATTGAGGATAAATAAAGCATACTACATAAAACACGTATTGAGTCATGTCTGAGATAGACCATTCTTCTAAGTCTTTGTGATAAAATTAATGATTCACAGTATAATCACTACAAAATATGTGATTTTTGCTGTTCAAGTTAAGGTATAAAGAAGAAAGGAGATGTCTCACTACAAGATATTTTTATTTTTTAAACAAACTAAATTCTAAAAAGTATTTCAAAACTTTTCAAAAGCACTGAACAGAAGCCTTAAACTGTTCCTACTACCTTGTAAACTGTAATTAATAGAACTTGAAAAAATAAAGTTATTGCTTTATTAAAACATATAATTGGCTGTAAAATGGGCTGTTCAAATAATTGGTTAAATTCACAGGTTAAAGCCAAGGCAGTTTGGTTGGGTGCAGCAAAATTCCAGGCAATTCCAATTTGCCTGGAATCCCAGCACTTGGGGAGGCTGAGGCAGGCGGATCGCTTAAGCTCAGCAGTTCGAGACCAGCCTGGACAAGATGGTGAAACCCCATCTCTACGAAAACAAAAAAACAAAACCTAAAACCAAAACAAAACAAAAATTAGCTGGGTGCAGCGGCACTCGCCTGTACTCCCAGCTACTTGCTGAGCTGAGACAGGAGGATTGCTTGAGCCAAAGAGGTTGAAGCTGCAGTGAGCCAAGATCGCAACACCACACTTCAGCCTGGGCAACAGAGAGAGACCTTGTCTCGATTTTTTTTTTTTAATTAAAAACGAAACAAAACAAATCAATAAAAACCAGGGCAATTTACAGTACCACATGGGATCTCTTGCCTTTCAGGCACTTTCACTTAAAAATAAGATTCATGAAAAGGGCTGGGTGCAATGTTTCACACCTGTAACTCCCAGCACTTTGGGAGTCCAAGGTGCGCAGATCACCTGAGGCCAGGGGTTTGAGACCAGCCTGTCCAAAATGGAGAAATCCTGTCTCTATTAATTATGTAAAAATTAGCCGGGTGTGACGGCGCAGCACACTTGTAATCCCAGCTACTCGGGAGGCTAATGCACAAGAATCACTTGAACCCGGGAGGTGGAGGTTGCAGTGAGTCGAGATCACACCACTCCAGCCTAAGCTACAGAGCAAGACTGTCTTAAAAAAAAAAAATCATGAAAAGATACAATGTATTAAAATTACGCACACTTGTGAGTAAATATATTAATCTTCAAAAGACTTATGAAACATAACTCAAAACTGATTTTGATGATTTTAAGAATCTTAGGTGCTTCAACTGGTCAGACCTACAGCCGTAAATTCGCCAAGACATTATTTAATTTCACGCTAAGGAAAAAGTCTGACTCTACAGTCAGGAGATAACTCTGGCCTGACTTCAGCATTCTGAAAATCAATAGGATTCAATGACCAACACGGACCAACAAACCTACTATAGATAAGTCAATCAAAGCATACATCCTCTGATGGAATATCTTCATAATGAAATATAATGCAAATCATTTAAAAATGTTAAGACCAATTTACCAAGAAGAAAAATCTTACCAGTCTTTGATTTAACCGTTTATTTTCTTCTTCTTTCAATTGCAATGTCTGCAGGTGGAAAAAAGAGACCTGTGGTTTATCCTTGTACCTACTCAAATAAATCTAAACAGTGATTGTCAAAGTTTTCATCAGACAAAAATGTTTGGTTCGGGTATGAAAAGTTGATGGGGATATTATTTTCTATGAATTCTTTCCAAATGTTTTCATTATCTACTAGCTTAAATGAGAACCAGAGCAATTTTAGATACATTTACCAAGGACTGTCAAACATTAATATGCGTTAGAAACACCTGTGGAATATATAAATATGTAGTAAAAATCTGAGATCTATCCCCAGAGACTTTGTTAACTAAGTCGTGCCTAAGAGAATACATCTGGCATCTGTAACATACATCTCAGGTTATGCTGAGGTAGGAAATCACATAACCCTTTCATAATAGAAAACATGCTATATTCAAATGAAGTTGTACAATTCTGAATTTGGATTTTTATCAGACAATTACACTTGTAAAGAAAAAAAGGCATTGTTGAAAATCTTATAGGCCTAAAGAATGAAAAGTAATCTATGAACAATGATCTGCCAAATGTGTACCAATTTGATCTTATAGTACCCTTAATAAAGGAAACCCTTTATTATCAGTTTTTTCTTGTCCATTTCAATTCTTTATTTAAAACATAACTCCCTTCATTACTTATTTTTGTTTTTGCCAATTTCTAAAAAGTATTTAATACTTTGTTTTTGAAATAGATGTTTAAAATTGCCATTCATGTTATTTTGCTGAATTCTCAACTATTAGGTAAAACTATTACTTTACACATTGATTTAATAAAAACTACCAACTTTTTCCTCTCATACAGACTTCATTCATTGGGAAATTACAACAAATGGGAGGGCTGAAATACTGTCAACTGTTTAGCTAGTAAGATCATAAAATGACAAGACTTCCCAAAACAGTGACCACAAAAATAAGTTAATCATAAAAAGGCTTAATTTATAAACACAAATAGTCTATTGTATGTTTCCAGAATGAAGTTTAACTGTATCCAAAAGTGAACATATTAAACATGGTACTTCAAGAAGATAATTTACTTACTCGTTCTAACAGCATTATCCGCTGTTTTTCTTCAGACAACATATGAATATTTTCTCTAAAAGTGAGAATAATTGAGTTTCAGTTTGAAATTCTAAACTTTACATTCTTCAAGATTTTAGAAATTAAAATATTAATACAGATCACTTTAACAATTTAAGGGTTTTCATAAATTTTCAAAAGTAGCTTATTTCAGTTAGCATGTAATTTCAATGTTGTATATTCTCTGTAGCAGACCTAGATCTATAAACCTTTTGAAATAATAAGTAAAACTCTGTGTATGCATTTATCTAGAGATGTCTTTAAATTTCTTATTTTTCCCAGGCATTAAGAACCACTCTTCTTAATATTTGTGAGTGAATCCATGATAAAGTCGTAGTTCTTGAGTGGCTAAAGACTTCAGTAGATTTACTAAGTGGATGCTATGTACTCACTAGTTACTATGCCAGGTGTGAATTTGCCCAATACACTAAAACATCCAAAAACAAATTAGAAAATTTTAAAAAATGCTATAAAATTAGAAAAGAGAAAAACAATTATTATTTAGGTTTTAAAATTCATCTACAGGTATAATCCCCAAATTATATTTCAAGTAACTTGATGCAAGGCAGGTATTCTGTCTTCTTCAACATGCTACTTCTTTAGGAAGACGCTTTGCCTAATATAAGGTCATAAAGATTGACTTCTGTAAGAGTTTTATAATTTTAGCTTTTACACTTAAGTCTATGATCTATTTAAGTCAACCTGCGCATATGGTGAGGAAAGGGTCCAACTTCATCCTTTTGCATCAGAATATCCAGCTATGCTATCCCTGCACCATTTGCTGAAAAAGCTATTTCCTTCACGGAACCGTCTCAGCACCTTTAACCAAAATGCAAGGGTTCAACCGACCATGAATACGAGGGCTAATTTTGGACTCTCAATTCTATTCCACTGATACAGTCAGGCTAGCACTACAGTGTCTTATTACCCTTGCTTACAAATTTTAAGATTAGTCAAACAGTGTGAGACTTTGTTATTTTTCAAGATTGCTTTGGCTATTTTGGGACTCTTGCAATTCCATATGAATTTTAGGATCAGCCTGCCCTTTTCTGCAACATAACACAGTTCAGATTACGATAAGAATTGTGTTGAACTGGCAGACCAATTTGGGGAGGGCTACCATCTTAAGGCGATTAAGTCTTCCAGTCAGTAAACACAGGATGCCCTACTGTCTTAACTTTTTTCCATGTTTTGTAATTTGTACAAGTATTGAACTTCTTTTGTTAAATCTATTCCTAAGTATTTTTACCTTTTTGATGCCATCAGAAAAGAAACTGTCTTTTAAATCTCATTTTTGGATGATTCATTGCTAGTAGAAAGAATGACAATTTTTTAAGAGACAGGGTCTTGTTATGTCATCCCTGTTCACAAACCCCTAGGCTCAAGGGATCCTGCTGCCTCAGCCTCCTGAGTAGCTGGGACCACAGCTGTGCACCACCACAGCCAGCTCCAATTGATTTTTGCACACTGAACCTGTATCCTCCAACATTACTGAACTAGTTTGTTAATTACAGTATTTTTTTAGAGGAGACCTTAGGATTTTCTCAATAAAAGATCAGGCTATGTATGCAAATAGTGTTTTTTCTTCCTTACCAATCTAGATGCATTTATTTATTTATTTATTTATTTATATATTTATTTTTTGAGACAGAGTCTTGTTCTGTCACCCAGGATGGAGGGCAGGGTCGCAATCTGCAACCTCTGCCTCCCAGGTTCAATCAATTCTCCTGTCTCAGCCTCCCATGTAGCTGGAATTACAGGTGCCCACCACCATGCCCAGCTAATTTTTCTATTTTTAGTAGAGACTGGGTTTCACCATGTTGGCCAGGCTGATCTTGAACTCCTGACCTCAGGTGATCTGCCTACTTTGGCCTCCCAAAGTGCTGGGATTACAGGCATGAGCCACTGCGCCTGGCCAATGCCTTTAATTTCTTTTTCTTGCCTAAGTGCCCGTGATAGAACTTCCAAGTACAATGTTGAGCAGCAGTGGCAAGAGCAGGCCATCTTCATCTTGATTTTAGGGGAAAAGCATTCAGTCTTACACCATTGAGTATGATGTTAATTGTGGGTTCTCACAGATGCCTTTCAATAGGTTGAGGAAGTCAATTCCTAGTTTGTTGAGTGTTTTTATGATGAAAGGCTGTTGGGTTTTGTCAAATGCTTTTTCTTCATCTATTGAGATAATCATGTGTTTTTCTGTCCTTTCATTCTACTGATATAGTGTATGACATAAATTGACTTTTAGATGTTAAACCAACCTTGCATTTCTGAAATAAAGCCAATTGGAATTCCTTTTGTATTCTGCCAGACTGGATCTATTAGTATTTTGCCGATAATATTTGTGTCAATAGTTATAGAAGATGTATTTTCTTCTTTTGATATATTTGTCTGATTTGGTATTAGTATATAATACTGGCCTCAGAGGATAAGTTGGGAAGAGTTCTCTCCTATTTTTTAAAAGAGATTATAAAAAACTGGCATTATTTAAAAGTTTGGTTTTTATCTTTTATTTATTAAAAATATTAACCACCAGACTTCTGCTGTTTGTTTTCTGTTGTACTCAAGCTTTAAATTTCAATGTAATATTGATTATTGTTTTCCAAGTGCTCTCCTACTCTGATTTCAGAGTAGTCTTTTATTTTCTTTAAGAAACTCTGTAAGTTCAAAAAAAAATTTAGTCTTTACTACATCTATCATTTTGTTTATATATACAATGTAAAATATGGCTCACCTCTCACCAATAGATCAACAATGCCTCTAATGTCCCATTCTGAGGAGTCCATCCTTTTACCAAACTGATTTAAAATGCTACATGTAGATTTCCATATATATCCACTGGTTTGTTTCAAGATTACTAACTCTATTAATCTATTTGCCTGTGGCTATACCAATAATGTACTGCATTAAATACTATCTATGTAGTTTAAGACTATATCTTAACACCTAGCAGGACAAATCTCTACTCTCTGATCTTTATTTAGAAATGCTATCAATTATTTTTACACATTTTTCAATATGAATTCTAGCATCAAACATCACTTTTTAACCTAACATATTGTTAGAATTTTAATTGAGTAATAGATTAAATCACTGAATACATCTGAGGAGAAAAATGATATCTTAATAATACTCCATTTCCATCTATCTTTCCACGTACAGCTTTCAGGCCTCTTCATAAAATTAGTTTTCTTCACGAAGTCTTGCGCATTTTTGTTAAATTAATTACAAGTAAGTTATTCCTTTAAATTTTTATTGGGATCTTTTATACATATTAAAGTCAGCTTTTGCTGGTAAATATGCAAACTACTCCTCTTTGGATATATCTATGATCTACACTCTGATGTACTCTGTTAATTCTAATATGTCTTTAGGTCTTTGTGGTTTGTAAAGGATACTGTCTGAAAATGAGGACAGAAAAAGTTGTTTCCAAATTTTATTTATTGTCTTGCTGAATAGCAATGGTGACAGCTGGCATTGTGTTCTTCCTGAATTTATGAAAAATACTTCTAAATGTTTCAATATGAAATACGATGCTTGCTATGTCTCTCCCATATACTTACAAATAAAAAGAAGTTCCCATCTACTCCTAGTTTGCTAAGGATTTTGTTAAATTATTAAATAAATGGGCACTGCATTATATCAATTGTCATTTCAGCTTCTACTGACATGACTCTATAAACCTTCTCAAGTAATCAGTGAGTATGGTTAGGTATTGTACTGTTTAGTTATTACTCTGGCATTCCTAAAATACTCCACTGGGTCATGATGACTATATCATCATAAAACCACAAGGCATTTGATAAGCTAAAATTGTCTTCAGGATTCCTTGTATTTATAATTCACAGGTGAGATTAACTTGTATCATGTTCTCTGTAATTTTTAAAACTATAACTAAGGTTATGTCCCTCTTTTCATTACATATATTTATTTGTACCTTCTATTTATCCCAATATCTACTAAACAACTTTTATTTTATTGTGGCTCATTTGTTTTTATTAATTCATTTAAAAATAAAGGAACTACACAGTTCTCTCAGAGTACCACTTTCGTCATATCTGTTTTTGATACTTTGGTTCTGAATAACTCAATTTTCATATTTATAAAAAAACCTACATATGATCTGACTAATATGCAGAATCTTAAGTTTATCTCATGGAGGCAGAGAGCAGAATAGTGGTTACCAGAGGCTGGGGAGAGTACAGAGGAGAGGAGATGAGGAGAGGTTGGTCAACGGGTACAAAGCTACAGCCAGATAGGAGGAATAAGTTTTGGTGTTCAATAATGTACTGCGCTATCTCAAAATAGCTAGAAAAGAGCATTTTGAATGTTCTCACCATAAAGAAATGATAAACGTTTGAGGTGATGGATTACTCTAATTTGAATGTACACATGTAACTACATCACACTGTAAACCATAAATATGTATAATTTATGTGTCAATCAAAAAAGCCTTAAATTCCTAAAGCTTTTTAAAGCCTTTTGCTTTGAATTGCTTTTATATTTTTCCCTTCTATATCTTTCTGAATCATATTATAGTAAACTTTCTGTATCATTTGGCTCTAGGTACCTCTCCTATATGTAGAATGAAGTTGGATATATTTTTTTAAAGAGGTTTTCATACGGTGGTTCACTTTTTTCACACATGTCCGGACATATTTATGTCATTCATGTTTGCTAAATAACCATGTTTTCTTGATTTGCTTAACCATGTTTTCTTGATTTGCTTTTTTGAATTACTTTTTTTGTTCTATTTTATTTTTAATATACATTCTTAAGCCTTATACCTTTCAAAGTCTAAAGGTAACCAGTTTCTATTATTTTCCTTTCAACCAGACAGAAACCTAAGTAATTTTATTTTTCAAAAACAAACAAACAAAAAACTCCCCTACCAAAGTTTCTCAAAGGTCAGGCAGATAATGGGCTTATATGAAGATGCAACTAACTGCGTTCCTCTGAGTGGGCAGGGGTGGGGTACGAAGGACCCTGCACTTACTGGTTTCTTACTGTGTACCACACCTTCTCACGGGTGCTCATTAAATTTAATGCCTGGCCGGGCGCGATGACTCACACCTGTAATCCCAGCACTTTGGGAGGCTGAGGTGAGTGGATCACCTGAGGTCAGGAGTTCGAGACCAGCCTGTCCAACATGGTGAAACCCCGTCTCTACTAAAAATACAAAAATTAGCCAGGCGTGGTGGCAGGCGCCTGTAATCCCGGCTATTCAGGAGGCTAAGGCAGAAGAATCACTTGAACCCAGGAGGCGGAGGTTGCAGTGAGCCGAGATTGTGCCATCACACTCCACCCTGGGGGATAAGAGTGAGACTTCATCTCAAAAAAAAAAAAAAAAAAAATTAAAATAAAATAAAATAAAATATTAATGCCCAAAGCAACCCTGCTGGTGTATCATAACTGTTGTCTTGTTATCATAACTGTTATCTTGATGGAAAAATAAGGGATGATGACTTGCTCAAGTTCCCAAGCAGGTGCTAGACTCAGGACTTGAACCTGGATCTGTTTGAACGAGGGGACCACGCTGATTCTATGATATCTTTTGGTAATCACTTGTTCGAATTACTTCATCTCACATGGGGGTGTAGTGTTCACTGACCCACTGGGCATAATTCTTTGTGTGGCATAATGATCTGGACTTTCTGCCCTTGGAATCTCAGTTCCCATATCTGAAATCCCAGAGGTGCAACTAGAAATGCAAACTCTACTTGCAACGTCCTTTGGAGAGGAGCACTTTCTCCTCCCAATTCTGTCTCTCCCATAGATATAATTGTAAGCACAATTTTAGTGGTCTTTCACTATATTCAAAGGAGAACTGGTAAGAAAGTTCTAAATTCCAGTAAGCTCTGCCACGATTTCAATGTAATGCAGTAAACATTTGCTATATATGAATAAACAAATAATAATAATAATAATAAAAAACCCTTCCCTGCTTTTCCTCACCAAAATGAATATATTCATTACTACAATAACCCCTTTATAGGTAATGGACCCCAAAATGTCAACATTCCCTGTAAATAAGAATGGCTCAATACTACTGCCATGATCCTTATCTTGGCAGTATGGGATAATTCTGGTGCACATACTTTGTATAGTATGAGAGTACCCCAAAATAATTCATTCAGTAATGTTTTCTCACACTTACAG
The DNA here is from genome assembly GCF_000001405.40 of Homo sapiens. NCBI lineage: Eukaryota > Metazoa > Chordata > Mammalia > Primates > Hominidae > Homo > Homo sapiens. Next base: position 52,642,210 of record NC_000008.11, read on the forward strand.
TTTAAAGAATTAAAATAGCACAACTTTCAGATACATGGGCTGTGGACAACCAGTAATGCTAAAAATATTTCCTCTCTTCAGAGCTTTATAACTCATGGAATTGCAACAGCCTTAAAAACAGTTGAAAACAGCCATACTTACTGTACAGACATCATGCTTGTCTCCATTGCTGAATCCACTCTTCCTTCATCTGCTGTTTCCACAGCGGATCTATCTGATTCACCTGGGAGTTCAGGTGCACAAGCTCCATAAAGTTCTGGGGCTGTAGCTACATATGGTGAAGGAACAAAACTGCTACTACGCAACTTACTGACTTCTTCTTCAAGCTTTTTCTTTTCCTCAAGCAAACGAGCTCGATCTTCAGAAAGTGACTCTATCAAATCTGAAGGACACCCAAATTTAAAAAAGTATCATGTAATTAAAAAAACCACTTTGCATGAATGTATCTTTTCCACTTTAAAAAATTAAAAAAAATAGTACAAAACAGTACAAACCTTTATCCCGTTCTTGTTGCTGCATTGTACTTTTCAACTTATCACTAAGATCATTTATTATGTTTTCTTTTCTCATTTTCTCTCTTGTTAAAACAGTGTTAAAATTGGTCTGGAACAAGAGAATAATTATTTAAATTTATCTACATGTACTTAGCAGCTAGGACTTAGAAAATACACTTGCAAATATTCTTTTCTGTGGCACATTTGTACATGGAGATGATGGGGTATGATTCATGAAATGTTTTAAAAATGAAAATGTAACATACTGTGGCAAAGGTTCTACTTTCTTGGTTCCAATTTAAGTCTCTTGAAAGCAAATCCTATTTTCTTATTATTGTCCATATATTTACTGTCAGAGATTTTGAAATTTTGAAGAATTAGAAGCATCAATAACTTAGAGTGCTGTTAGACACTTACTTTTTTCCTGGAGTAATCATCCTGCCTCTGAAACCTTCCTTTTGTCTTTAGCATTTGATCACCACCCTAACATTTTAGATATGACTCTATCTTCCTTATTTCTCTTATTTGGATATCTGCAATGGTCACTGGAATGCTGATTTATATTGGCTAGACTTATTACTCCCCCACTTTTATAAACTCTACTATGAAGCTCACATATCCAACTGCCTGCATGGATCTCATGAGACAATCTGGCAATTTTAACTGCACAGTTTCTTTAATAAAGATGACTGAATCTGTATAAAAATTTTGCTTAGGCCGGACTTGGTGGCTCATGCCTGTAATCTCAGCACTTTGGGAGACTGAGGTGGGAGGACTGCTTGAGCCCAGGAGTTTGAGACCAGCCTGAGCAACACAAGATCGAGTCTCTACAAAAATTATCTGGGTGTGGTGGCACATGCCTGTAGTCCCAGCCATTCGGGAGGCTAAGGAGGGAGGACTGCTTGAGCCCAGGAGTTCCAGGTTATAGCATGCCATGATTGCACCACTGAATTCCAGCCTGAATGACAGAGTAAGACCCTGTCTCTAAGAGGCAAAAAAAAAAAAAAAAAAAAAAATTTACTTACAAGATTTTTGAGCTTCTTGAAATGTAAAAGCAATAGATGAATGATGAAATGATCTAAACTGACTCTTCTCATCTGCCCAGCATTTCTAATTCCAAAATTTTAAGAGCTCTACGGTCCTTGGATCAATGAATAATGCTAACAATGCTGGCAATAGGGAGATTTAGGAAAAGTAATACAGCATTTTTAATAAAATTTTAATAAATTCATTAAATATTTAATTAAATACAATTTCTGGCCACAAAGCATACAGGAAGATCTCTCAAAAAGAAACATTTATGATATGGCTTTGTATTAAGCCATCTCTATGTATTTTATTTATATATAGAAAATAAACACAAAAACATATAAACCATTATGTTTATTTTCATGATTTTTGCCATTTCTGTAATTTGAAATGAATTTTTAGGAAGATCACAATTTGTAATTGGCATATGAAAAAAGGGGGCTAGTTAAGAACCAATTAGTTCCAACTCAGAAATCACCTATACAGAGCTAGGTACAAATAACCTTAAATAAATACAACTTAACATACACATCATGGAAAATTGGAAGGTACCTTAGAAGTCATTTCTCCCACTCTTATTTTATAAATATTAAAAGAGACATCAAAACATGAAGAAGTAAATTAGACAGCTGTCAATACTATACTTTTGGTTTCAGTTAATTCATTCTTTACTTAATTTTAGAAATTGTACATGTGCTTATAAGAGAACACACAAAGAGACAATGCAACACAAGGAGATAAAGAGATCAATATGCAGAATGAATCATAGAGAAGAATCTATAAATCCAGATTCTTAGAGAGAGGTTACTACTGACCTCCTCATTGTTAATTCTTACTTAAAACTTGGCTATTCCTCCTCCCTGAACACTTAACTTTCCTTGGCTTCCCTTAAGCCACACACTTTTTTTTCTGGTTGTGCTTTTCTCATTCCCTTTTCCCAGGCTCTTCTTTCTTTCCCTAGGCCTTAAAAATCTAAAATTGTTAGAGGTTTCAACTATACTTTATTTTCTTTCTGTTCTCTGATTTACATTTTTTCAAATTCCACAAAGACACTAATTAATCATAACATTTTAGGAAAAGGAAAAATACCACATAATATTACATGTGTACAATAACCATAAATATGCAGTTTCAGAAATGTATCCCTCAAAATGTATACCCCAAACTGCAATATTATCCCTGGCCTGAATTCTAGCAGTAGCTACCAAATTGCTCTTCCAGCTGACTGCTTTGCAGTTCTCCAATCTTTCTCCATGTTCCAGTGGGTGATCTTCATTAAGCATAAATCTAATTATGCCATTGTAATTAGTTGCTGTCCGGTACTTTAGGTAAAGTACAAGCTCTCTAACAAGGCATCTGGTTTTTTATCTAACCCCAATATACTTCACAAGCACTACCTCTTACTATTGACCAACAACAGTAAGTACATTAACAAAATTCAATAATATTCCATCTTAATCTACCACCAGCCTATCAGAAGGATAAGAATTACAGAAAGGGTAAGATATTTATGTTGATCTGAATGTAATTTAGGATAACAAAGTTTAGAGAATTTGAAGCTTAGAGAAAAAATAAAATCATTTTTTAAATTAAAAACATCATTTCATAGAAAACTAATCTTAGTTCTCAAGAGGTTAAATGATCTACCCAAGATCACATAGGTAGCGAAGAAACCAGGAACAGAATTTACATTCCCTCGCTTCTAATCTAAGACTATCTCATTTTGAAGCACCTGGTATTGTCATGTGACATGTTAACATGAAAAATATTATTCTCCAGATGAGTAAAAAAACTAAAAAAAATTCTTAAAAATACACGCTTTTGTCAAGAGGAAATTTATTAACAGGATCAATGTAAGGAACATCACATCTAAGATATAAGAAACCCTCAGCTACATAAAGAAATTATATTTGTTAATTTATGTCTACCTTCTTTAGTTCTCAAATGAAATGGGAAAAGAGATACAGACCTGTTGTTCCGCAATCAAAGATGTTCGAACATTTTGCATTTCTTCATTCTTTCTTTTTTCTTGCTCTTCAAGTTGTTCTAGAAACTTAGCTTTTTCTTCCTGAAGCTTTTCTTGAAGTTCAGCAACTAAGCTTGAAGAATCTCCTCTGGTAGAGTCAATGGCAGGACTTACAAATTAAATACAGCATTAAATTAAAAAAAAAATTACAGACACACAAATATACCAAATATCATATTTGGGAAATTTATCTTCCTTAAGCTCAATAATGTAGCATGAAAGATATCTGTGTGAACCCTCTCTTTGAATCTAAAAAGTAAAGGGAAATAAGTAAAAGTTTAATACAGATTAGATGCTGACACTAACAAGGTTTACTGATTTTTATCAGTATAGCAGATAAATTCCAGATAATTTGCTTATATCAACATACATAAAAATCAAGAGGCTGCTCTGCCCATGGAGTAGCCATTCTTTTATTCTTTGGCCGAGCTCTGTGGCTCACACCTGTAATCCTAGCACTTTGGGAGGCCCAGGCGGGAGGATCACTTGAGTCCAAGAGTTTGAGATCAGCCTGGCAACAAAGTGAGACCCCGTCTCTTAAACAAACAAACAAACAAACAACAAAAAAAAACAACAGCCAAGCACAGTGGTGCATGCTGAGGTAGGAGAACTGCTTGAGCCCAGAAGTTCAAATCCTGCCTGGGCAACATAAGGAAAAAGTATTTTCTGGTAAGGGACTATACACATAAGAGATAGGTAAACTCAACTTCAAATGTCAGTTTTGCTATTCCTATACATGAAATTTACACAATGACTTAGGAAAAAAGAAACACCTAAAGATTGCATATGTTGAAATGCTTTAATTTCCATAAAATAGTCTTTGGTTCATTTCTGCTAGCAAGTAGGTAACACAAAGCTAAAACTGAAAAGCGCTTACACGAACAAATCTACATATTCCTGAACTCATACTCATTTTCCTCAAGACTTACTAACCTCTTAGGGGTTGCTGACAAAGTGCTAGAGATGAGAATAGGACAATGTAAGAAGAAATGAACAAACACTGGTTAATGATTAGTTTAACTTCTAATTAATAACTCATTAACTTCTAATTATAACTTCTAAGTATTAATCTTATCTACTTTCAACTTAATCCTTAGCATTAAAAAAAGGTTTCTCCAAGAAGCAGATGAAAAATCCCATTAGTATTAAAACATGCTAAGCCTCAAAAAGTTGCTGTTACTAAAAACCACTTTACCAGGTCAATTTTTAGGCTTAAATGTCCCTCTTTGTTTTTAAATGATATTTTAATGTTTTTGAAATCAGGGTGTGTTCTGCAATTAATATGGGCATGTATTTAAAATGTTCACTCTACATGTTTCTTATGTAATTTCCTCATCTAATTATATGACAAGAATACACTATATCAATAATCATACAAAAAATTATTGGAATCCTTTTATTCATGCTTCCAAATTTCCTGATAAAAATCTAATAACTTAAACTTGCTGCTCAGATAACCTTTCCTCCAAAGGGATAGCTTTATACAGCCAAATGCAGAATATGCAGTTTGAAACATAATATCTCTATCAAAGTCTGAGACTCCTTACTTAGTTCCCAGAAAGGCTGGAATAGGAATCCCCTATTTCATAATATAGTTAATTAAAGGAAGGAATATATATTCCATAATATAATTAATTAAGGCGAAGGATTTACTTTTAAAGTTTCTCCTTTGGGGCTGAAGAAGAGGGGGATGTGCAAGTTTAAACTACTCCATGGCTGGAAAACTGACATACTACATAAATCAAAGGCTTACTAAGGAACACAAAGAGACTTACAAAGAGACTCAGACTACTAATAATGAAGTGCTTGGGATAAAAATAGGTATAGGCAGGGTTTACAAAGAATCCTGCTTGGCCGATTTCTTCCTTGAAGAAATCTCCACAGTTCTAAGGTAAGCTGAAACTTTTAGGAATAAAAAATAAGGCCAGGTTTTAAGGAGGAAATCAAGAGAGCACTGAGGTTGGAGATGTGAAGGACAGATAGTGAACAGTAAAGGTTATGAATTTTATTGCAAGTACCATATAAAGTCATTGAAAGGTTTGGTCTAGAGAATGATATCGTGTGAATCTAGGCTTTGAAAAGACTATTGTGAGAAAGGATATTAGTAAGAAATGTGGCACAGTAAAGAAGCCTGAAGGAGAGCTTTCAACATGATAAAGGATCCTAGAATTGTACTAGAAAAAGTGTGGTTCAAATTGTGCAAGAGAGGAAGGGGAGGCCATGCACAGGCAGTACTTATAATTTCTAGGTGTCCTGCATCTTTGGATTGCTTGGGGTACTCCATTTCAGGGTCAGTGCTGTGCTGAGATAATACAGGGACAAGAGGACACAGTTCCAGGTACACAAACAGATATAGACACCCCTGACACTCTCTGTAAACACCATATCCCCAAAACCAGAATAAGAACACTAGATGATTAGCATAGGGTATCTCATTTACTGACTCAAAGTAAAAGCAAAGATTGCACAGGTTATGACATGAAAAATAATCATTATCCTGTACTGAAGACAGGTTTCTTGTGGCTGTATTAATCCGGCCAAAAGTACATACTATGCCATATTGTTTGAAGCTCCCATTAGAAAATGTTCCAAGTGACTATCCGCCACACAACTTTAATTTTACATTACCCTAGGATCTGAAATGGCCCTGCTATCAGGGGAATTAACCCTAGCAATGAAAGGCTAACAGCTAAAATAGGTTTTGTGTTTTAACTAGCATCACTGCCTAGCTTTCTATGGGGAGCAAGAAGCTGTGTAGAGGGGAGGGAGGTCATGAAGAAAAGGTTACAGCGTATCACAGTTCAGTTAGAAAAATACAGTAGTCCCCCTTTACCCACAGGGAATATGTTCCGAGACCCCCAGTGGATGCCTGAAACTGTAGATAGTAACAAACCCTGTATTTTTTCCAATATATGCACTGTGGTCCTAACTTTTGCAGTTTGAGGTGTGATGGCAAAAAGAGAATGAATGGGCTCCTCCTGCACAGTTTCACAGATAGGTTGGGTCTTACTGTAGATCTTTGCAATCTCAGCATTTGATTTTTTTTCTTACTAAATCAAGAACTTTCATCTTTTCACTTAAACGAAGCACTTCAAGGCTTCTTTTTGGCATATCCAAATTGTCGACATCATTACTCTTGTGCTTTGGAGCCATTAAATAAAGGTTACTTGAACACAAGGACTGCAATACTGATAACCCAGATGGCTAACAAGTGACTAATGTGTGGAGAGTGCCCACAGTGTGGATACACTGGACAAATCATGCTACTCAAAACAGTGTCCAATTTAAAACTCAGGAATTGTTTATTTCATTTAATACTTTCGAACCATGGGGTAAGTGAAACCATAAGAGCGAAATCACATAAAACGAAACTAGACAAGAGGGAATGACTGTATTTAATCTAACAACACTACCACAGAAACCTAAGAAATTCATCAATAAAGGTTGTCCAACTAAAAGAAACTTGCATAATCCTGTCTTTGCATACCTGAATACTTTAAAGAGGCCTGGACATTGAAACTCAAGGAAGCAGATACATTTGTTACCAGCTGGGAACTTTAGTATCACGGAAACTTGAAAAAAGGCATCTCTAAAGGCTGACAGTTTTTCCCACCATTAAAATGTCAGTTCTAGCAAAGGACTGTATTATATCCAAATATTTCTAGCAACTAGAAAATTTACATTGAACATAAACTAGATTGTCTTGATGCTTGAACTCTTAACACTGACTGAATTAAAATGGGGCCTAGTAAACAATTAGTTCACTGTTTTTTCAAAAAAATCTCTTCTATCACTTGAACCCTGGAGGCAGAGGTGGCAGTAAGCCGAGATCATGCCACTGCACTCCAGCCTGGGCAACAGAGTGAGACTCCGTCTCAAAAAAATAATAAAATAAAAATCTCTTTTGAAATTAGAATTACAAAATTAAAATGCTCCCACCCATACTCACTCAGATCCACATCACTACTTCCTGGGAGCAAGGCCATCAATCATGTAGTAGGTAGATTTCCCAACCCACGCAAACCACATACACACGTTCCACTCTTATTTCTTTGTACAAAGGTACAGGAGAAAGCTTTCTCCTATATTTTCAAAACTAAACATTTCAAAACTAATATAAACTTTAATAATTCCAAATTAAATAGAAGATATTCTGATCTTGCATTTCCTTAATCACAAGTGGACCGAACAGTATCTACATGTTGGCCATTTGTATTTCTTCTTTGATCTCTTCATATCCTCTGTCCATTTTTCTAACAGATTATGTGCCTTTTTCTTATTGACTTACTGTGGGAGCTACAGACATAGCTAATATACATATCTTAGAAATGTTTCTCCTTGGCAGCTGGCCCCTCAGTGTTGCTTCTGGCATATGTAGAACCAAGTGGTGAAAGGGAAATATGCCGGACTGTGTGTCCTCACATAAGCATCTTTCTTCTTCAAAGGTTTCCTCTGCATGACAGAGAAGCCAGGGATATTATCCAGAATTCCCTCCTCGGTAGGTTCTATGTTTGAGATTGCCAATGCAAGATACCCACACCTGACCTGGGATGCTGAAGAGAGAGACTCTGGAGGTGGTTGTAGCCAAACATGTGGGCAATGTGAGATTCGTAAGAGACTTCCAAGTAAACCACCTGTTTGGGGGTCTTGGTAGACAACTGACGAAAGTCTTCAAAGAACTGTATCAGTTTCCTAAGCCACCAACTTTGGTGCTTCAGATGACTTTCTATTATAGATCTCTTGGCCTTCACCAGATTACTATCCAGTCTCCTAGTTCTCCCAACATTCATGTAAACTCTAAATCTAGTATTAATCCCTTTAATCCTGAAATATTTAAAAGTGGTTGTTTTATAAGCTCAATCCTGATACAAAAAAATGACTCTAGAGGAAAAAAAAATCCCATAAAACATGGAAACTGAGATTAATTCTCTGATCTGAAAGCAGTAATGACCTCAGTGCCAGTGCAAAATAGAACACTGGAAAACCAGGGCAGTACATGGCATAACAGTACACACTTGTAGTTGTTTGAAAAACCAGTGACTAAGGAAGGCAAGGCTTTGAGACATGTCCCAGCTGTGCCTCCAAATCCCACCAAACCTTCCTTCCTGGAAGCAACAGCCTTTTTCTACCTTGTCTGAGGAAATCAGTGTCCCTTCACTTGAGGTAGTCCTCTTCTCAATGAGATGATCCTTTTCAACAACCTCTCCCACCATTTAATTACTTCCATACTCATTGCTACACTCAAATTGCCAGATCTCTGGAGAGTTAAAAATCTAACAAAGAAGGAATTGCAAAGCAATTACAGAATCTTTAATATATTTTGGCAGAAAAATGGAAAATACATATGGGAATAGATCTAATGACAGTTACAAGAGGAGGGACAATGTGGAGTGAGGCCAAAATTATTTATACGGGTGTAATGACCACAGATTCCAGACTCAATATTGGCTATTAACACTTTGCCAAGTTGACTGCCTGGAAAGTAGACTTAAGAATAACCAACATTAAATGAAAATGAGATGGCAAAATGAGATACTCTAGATCAAGGGCAGGTAAATCCAATCCGCTTTTTTGCGGAACACAGCCAAAACCATTCATTTATATAGTCTCACTGCTGTCTTGCTAAAATGGTACAGTTGGGTAGTTTGGATAGAGGCCATTTGGCCCACAAAACTTAAACTACTTACTATCTGGGCCTTTATAAAAGTTTGCCAACCATTTCTTTAGGCTAATGATTCCCAAAGAGTGATCCATAGAAGCCTGGGGTTAACCAAACACATTCAGAGGACAAGTGAAGTCAGAACTGTTTTCATAGTAACACCAAGTGTTGCCTTTTTCACCTTGTTGATATTGGCACTGATGATCAAACTGCTGGTACCTGAACACAAATTAAAGCCATTAGCACCAAACTTTACTTGTAGTCGTTTTCTTTCACCACAAAGCACTCAAAGTGGGGAGGAAAAAGGGGAGGCTGTTTTTTCTTAGAATATTCTTGAATAGTAAAAACTACTAGCTCTAAAATATGTTAACATTTGGAAGATCTGCATTAACTCCGTGAACTCGTGTTTTCCAAATGACCAACTCATGACGCTATAAAATCATGCATGAGTAAAAAAGTACAAGAGATGTACCAATAAATGTTAAGATTATGAGAAAATCCACTAATAGCTGCATATTCCACAATAAAAACTAATGTTCAGAAATTACCACTTGCTGAATTTTGATTTAGTAACAAAGAAGAATATCGACAATCATCTGAAAAGGCTATTTAAATATTCCTTTCCTTTTCCAATTGCATTCAGCATAAGGTTGGATTTTTTTTCATATACTTCAATCAAAACTTAAGAGATTTGCAAATACATAGAACAATGGTACTCTTCTAACTAGTTTTCATTTCAGAAAGTTTTTATTAAAAAATCTTATGTATGGCCAAGCATGGTGGCTCACGCCTGTAATCCCAGCACTTGGGAGGCCGAGGTGGGCAGATCACAAGGTCAGGAGATCGAGACCATCCTGGCTAACATGGCGAAACCCCATCTCTACTAAAAATACAACAAATTAGCTGGGCGTGGTGTCACGCACCTGTAGTCCCAGCTACTCGGGAGGCTGAGGCAGGAGAATCACTTGAACCTGGGAGGTTGCAGTGAGCCGTGATTGCGCCACTGCACTCCAGCCTGGGCATCAGAGCAAGACTCTGTCTCAAAAAAAAAAAAAAAAAAAAGTCTTATGTATGCCACCATGTAATGAGGTTATTTGAAAATGACTAAGTTTCAATTTCTTGCCATTAATTTTTAGTACAGAAATACTGACATAATCCCTATGAACAAAATCAGTCTGGAGTCAATTTTTGAGAGCGTAAAAAGATACTGTGACAGAAGTTAGAGAGCCACTGTTCTTGTTTTTCACATATTTAAAAGATGGTAAACACGCATGCACACAGATTATATGAATAAGTCTGTGTGTGACCTGCAAATGCTAAAATTTTTACTATCTGGACCTTTAAAAAACAAGTTTGCTGGCCAGGCGTGGTGGCTCATGCCTATAATCCCAGCACTTTGGGAGGCTGAGGCAGGTGGATCACCTGAGGTCAGGAGTTCGAGACCAGCCTGACCAACATGGAGAAACCCTGTCTCTACTAAAAATACAAAATTAGCCAGGCGTGGTGGTACATGCCTATAATCCCAGCTACTCAGGAGGCTGAGGCAGGAGAATTGCTTGAACTTGGGAGGCAGAGGTTGTGGTGAAGAGAGATCACGCCACTGCACTCCAGCCTGGGTAACAAGAGCGAAACTCCGTCTCAAAAAACAAACAAACAAAAAACAAACAAAAAAACAAGTTTGCTGACTCCTGATCTACAAGGAAGGCATCCAAAGGCAGGTATACTGGAAGGGATTTATTACTTATACCCTCAGAGGTCCCAGAGAATATGTTCTTTACCAAGGCTTTGCAAAATACAAGCTTAAAAGGCTCTGTAGTGGTGCTCTGCAGGAAACAGCAGAGGGAGATGAGAACACTGAAATTCAATGAATTTAATGGGAATGACAGGCTTCTGGAGTGGCAGAGGCCAGTTAGTGGCACTTCACCACCAGAAACATAATGTGGCTCTATCACAAGCAACAGAGCCAGAGCAGTAATTAGAAGGTTTTGACCCAGAGAAATCTGTGGTAGTGGTTGTCCGTAGGCCCTAATAGAATGAACCGGTTAAAGACCTACTAAAACTGTAAAAACAAGACAAAACAGAAAACTCTAGATCTAGTATTCAGAGGCTTAACTTACCAAGAGAATTCTAACCTTCACCCAAACACTGGCTCTGAGAAGACTGAAGTGACTGTGGTCCACTAGGAGGAGGAGATTATTGGTGCTCATGTGACAGAGTTTGGGCCCAATGGTTCCCTCATCGAGACAGGAACAAGCTGAATAACCCTTATCGGAAATGCTTGGCAGCAGAAGTGGTCTGAATTTCAGATTCTGGAATATTTGCATTATATTTACCAGCTGAATATCTCAAATGTTGAAAATCCAAAATCCAAAATGATCCAATGAGCATTTCCTTTAAGCATCATGTCAGGGCTCAAAAAGTTTCAGATTTTGGAGCATGTTGGATTTGGGATACTCACCCTGTACATCCTTAGATCCAGAATCGTTACTGGAATAGACAGAAGAAACTGGCAGAATCCCCATGTTGCTTCCCTTACTCGTGGAACAAGGACTATTATGGTAGAAAAGGCCAAGTAAAATTCCTAAAACTCTCACTTCACGACACAGGGGAGGGAGGTTTCTACCATGTTCTTATTCAACATTAAGTATGTGTCCTGTCCAGAAGACATGGAGACAAACAATGGATTTTAATGAATTTCTTCAGGTGGTGTCTTCAATCCAACTGCTGTTTCCTATTTTAAGTGTCTTTATTTGGAAGCTCAATATGGGCAAAAGACATTTATCTGTCTAAATGCTGAGTTTTAAATGGGGTATAAAGTGCTGGACTGTCTAGTATTCCATAGGCTTTGCCCTTGCTCCTCTTTTATGATCTCATATGCACTGCAATACAGAGATCCAACATTTCCCAAAATCCCAGGTATAGCTTCCAGTTTGCCAATGAAAAGAAGATGTGCAAGGTTTTGGAAGGCAGAAAAGCAGCACAGGTTTATTCTCCAGAGGTGGCTGTAGCCAGATGCAGTTTCACAGTAGCTTCCTGGCAAGTAACTGAGAACTATCCATTTTGTGATGCAGATTGAGTCAGACTGGTGCTTTGAAGAGATTCTTGAATCTTGTAGCAGCTTCCCAGTGAGCCATGGAGAACCATCAGCTTTCATGGGTGCTTCAGCCTCTGTTTTCCTCTTATTTCACTTTGAGCTTGAAAAGGGCTCTCCTGAACTAAACTTCAATCAGGCTCCTCTAGGCTTCGACCTTGACATCTATTCTTCTTGGGCCTACGCTGTCCAGCTGTATCAAGTGTCTTGCTAACTCAGTTTAGAGAGTATCTCTCCATCAATATCTGAACAAATTATCGTCCCCACCCTTGGTATTTTATTGCCCTGGCCTGCCTTCAGTAAGAATCCTGTTAGATCAATTTAACCAAAATTCCCCTTATTCCTTATGTTTCCTCTTAGTAATTTTCCATCCACTGACCCCTACCCTCCTTAGCTATAAATCTCAACTTGTTCATGCTGTATTCAGAATTGAGCCTAGTTCTATAATGAGGTCTATTTTCCATACTGCAATAGTGTCTGAATATAATCTGTTTTTACTGCTTTAAGTACTGTCCATCTCTGATTCTCTTTGACAAGCTCTCCTGGCCTTTGGCAGTGACTCTGTTAACCTTCTCTCATCCAGCTTTTAAACATACATGCAAACCCTAATTCCTCTATTAAACCCTCTAATGCCCCCTCCCCCAGAATACCTAAAGAGCTTCTAATTTTAAGCCAAAAGGGGAGGTTTAACAGTATACCAATATATGAGTATTATAGAGCAGACAATCACAAGAGATTGTATAAAAGTGATAAGGCAAGACACAGGTTGAAATATATATGTATTCACTTGGAGAATTCATGATAGAATGAATTGACATATTAATTATGTTCTAGAAACTGTTTACTGGGTCACAAAACCCAATTAAACCCAGATTAAAAGTAAAAATACTAAAAACCATCTTCTGTGATCAAAAGGCAGTAATATCAGACAGTAACAATAATAAACATGTAAAAACACCACCAATCCACAACCACAGTATCAAACCTGCAGTTTAAAAACATCTTTCAAGCACAGAGGAAATAACTGAAACTGTATTAAGAAAATAACAATAAGGAACACTCTACATGTTCCTATGATTTAGCCTTTAGTAAACAATATACAGAACAAAATTTTAGTCTTTAATATATATACTAAATTTAAAGAGAATATAAGTAATTTTCTACTGAAGAGTTTAGAAAAAAACTGCAAATAAATCAAGAGAGAAACTTATGAATTAAAAAAGGAAAAACAAAGAGCTCTTTAAAACATTTCAAACTTTCAACAAAAAATTTCTCTGAAAATCCAAACTGCTGATTCATTTTTTAAAAGCCACTCATGGATTTAGTCTGTTATTTCTGTTTGCAAGAAACACTGACTAAAAAGTAAGTTTTTACTTCATGAAAATACCCTAGTTGCTACATTTACCCAAGGTAAATGAGTAAATCAAGGTACTGTGATTACACACAAACGAATCACTGATATTTTAATTTTATAATTACAGACTAAACTTAATTCTTACCTTTTTGCTATTTGATTCTCAAGATGTTTAACTTTTTCTAATAACTCTTTCTCAACAACTTCTCTCTCCAATTTAAATTCTTTTAGGGCAGTCTGAATAGCTTCATCTTTTTCACAATTAAGCTTCTGAATTAACTGTTCTCTGTCTTGCTCCTGGCTGCTGACCAATTTTTGTCTGTCTTTCTCAAGGTTCTGGATAATAGCTTCGTATTTCTCTTCTTGTTGGGTAATTTTTTCATCTTTTTGTCTTTCAAGAGCACTCAATTCTGAATCCAATTTACTCTGCAGTTCAATTATTTGTTCTTTTAGGTTTTTTTCTATTTCAAATGCTTGGTTATGCAAAGATGTTACTTTGTTTAATTCAGCTTTAAGTATATTAGATTCTTCTTCATGTCTACTAATTAACTCGGAAATACACTGATCTTTTTCAATTGTCATTAAAGTTCTTAGCTCTGCTAAGCCCACCTGATAATTTTCATTATTATCCTGAATCTTTTGGTTGAGTTTACTAATTTCTGTTCTCAAATTTTCTGTCTCTTGTTCAAGAAGAGATTTCAAGGTCTCCTTCTGCTGGGCTCTGCTTTCTTCCAGCAAAATTTTTATTTCATCAGTTTCTGCTTCCTTCAACGCAAGTTCAACCTCTAACTTGCATCTCGTGTCTGACAAATCAGAAACCTTGAGTTTTAATTCCTGTAACTGTTTTTCTTTTTCCTGGATAATTTCAGCATGAGATTCTTGTATTTGATTAATTATTTGTTGGTTTTCCTTTTTTAATTCCTCCAAAGAAACTCTGTGGTCTGTCATAACCTTCTCAAACTCTTGTATGTGCCTAACCTGAAGTGTGTCCTCTAATTCCTTTAGATGACTTTGCTCCAAGGACTGAAGTTCTGCCCTCAATAACTGTAACTTCTCATCATTTTCAACATGGAGCTTTTTTAAGTCTTCTAACACTATTTCTCGTGACTGCTTCAGTTCTTTAATTTCACAATTTTGAGAGTGCATTATATTTTCCATCTCTAACAACTTCTGATCCTTTTCATTCTGCAGGCAGATTACAGCTTCTTTTTCATGTTTAACCAAAGCAAATTCATTATCTTTATTTTGTAAAACCTCCTCAAGGCATACTAACTCTCCCTTCAATTTTTTAATTTTGTTTTCATTCTCTTCAGTTTCCTTTATTAGTCCGTCAAGTTTACCTTCATATTCATTTTTTAAAGACAGTAGTTCTTTTTGATGTTTTTCTTTTAGTGTTATTTCCAGAGAACATTTTACTTTTTCAATAATGTTTCTTATTTCTACTGCTGTACATTTTAATGAATTTGAGAAGTCACACTGTTCTTTTTGTACAAATGTTCTAAAGTGGCAAAGGTCTTCCTTAATGGTTTGTATACTGAAGTGAGAGTCTTGGGCAACAACTCTACATCTTTCCAACTGGACATTCAGAGAAGTATGATCTCCAAAATCCTCCTTACCACATACATTTGTATCCTGCATTCGTCTACTGTCTATCGCATTGATAACTGATGAATAAAGTGATTCCACCATCATTTCTGGGCTTTGTGGATCACTTATAGGATTAGGAGACGACAAATTTTCTTCTATTACAAACTCATTCACAGCAGACATAAAATCTGATTCAGGACTTTCTGCTAATGAATCCAAGTCTAAAGAAACTTGGTGAATAGTCTGTTCTATGTTTGGATGGGGAATAGTTTCAAAATCAAACGTATGTGCATCAATACTATCTGGAGATAATTCTTCTAAGGGACAAACTGCAGGACATAAGGGATCCTGAACAGTCAGTGGTGGAGGAGTTCTCGGTGAGGTAGTAGTTGTAATTCCTGCTGTACTTTCCATCCTTGGTGAAGAAGCAGACTGTGGGGATGTCTGACTCACAGATGCCTGGAAAACAGAAAGAAAGGCTTAAAGAGCTGCAGGAACACAAACATTTTACACTAATGAAGAAAACTGTTTGAAAGAATTGAATTTGCCTTTTGTTCACTCAGTAGATCTGTAATGGTCTGTGACATTTCATCCAAACTTTGTGCTGCTTTTACCAAATTATGTAGAGCAAGTACATGCTGGTGTAGAGGTTCAAAGTCACAAAGTAAGGGAACCCTGAAACAGAATGCAATGCAATTAGACTTCTGATTTTTTAATGAACTAGTAGATAACTGCTACCAAATATTTTAATATGTCAAAAATAACAAGAGCCTTATCATTCCTTTTTAAATTAATACCAGAAGTATTTTAAGAAGTTTGTGTCATAATCAGTAAAGTAAAAACTTAGGGCCGGGCGTGGTGGATCACACCTATAATCCAAGCACTTTGGGAGGCCTAGGCGGGTGGATCATGAGGTCAGGAGTTCGAGACCAGCCTGGCCAACATGGTGAAACCACATCTCTACTAAAAATACAAAAATTAGCAGGGCATGGTGGTGGGCTCCTGTAATCCCAGCTACTCAGGAGGCTGAGGCAGGAGAACTGCTGGAACATGGGAGGTGAAGGTTGCAGTGAGCCAGTATCACACCATTGCACTCCAGCCTGGGCGAGAGAGCGAGACTCCGTCTCAAGAAAAAAAAAAAAAAAAAAAAAAGTAAAAAGTCAGAAATTTCCCAACAGCATGCAAAAAGTAACTACTAGAAAAAAATAATTACATGTAAGGCATGTCTTCCTTTACTTTACCTTCATTTTCCATCATTTTTTATTCCCCAGAAATTTCTCAAAGCAGTCACAGGAAAGCCAGTCTATCTTAAATATTTCTTATCTTGGCACCTCTTAAGATTACTGGTACTACCTGGCACAACTCCAGAATAATAAAAACATTTTAAGGTTATAAATTAACTGAAAATACTAATGACATTTACCTGAGGAATGGCTGAACTTCCGAAGGACAAAATGATTGCAGAAACTGTAAATCTTTTAATGAAATATCTGGAAGTTCACAGTCAAACTTTCGAGGCTTTTGAGTCTGTACCAAAAAAATTAATTACTTAAAAAATTTTTTTTCAACCAAAAACAGACAGCAAATTTATATGATTTCTTACTATAATTAAATTTACTATACCAAACAAACTAAAGTGCTTTAAATGATTAAGAAACAAAAAAAGACCATTCAATAAAGATATGGCATATTATTTTCCTGAGCCTTTAGTAAACTGCGACGTGAACTGCTAGTGATCAAGGGATGCACTTGTTCCTCCCCTTCTCTGCTTTTAGCATCATTTTATGGGAATTACAATATTCCTATCCTGTATGTGTATGTATGTACATATACATATGGTAAACACATATGTAAGTGTGTGCGTATATATATAATATTTACCATGTTAAAGCCACTAATATATTAAAATGCACACATGTATTTTTTTTCCATGTAACACTTTCTTATTTGCTTTTGCCTTGACTTTTCCATTACATTTTCCAGAAGACAAAGTTTTGGTCAATTTTAGCTTCTGTAAAAAATATTAACCGGTAAATCCTACCAATTCATTATTTATAAAATTGCCAAGAGTTGCATTAAAAAAAAACTTGTTTTAAATCATTACTCAAGCAGATGTGGAGATGCCAAGATGCTCTTCATAAAAAAGAGTTCTCGGATAAATAAGTATGGGAATCGCTATGTCACCAATTCTTATGTATTAAAAAATGCATACATTTAAAACACTAAGAAATCCTGCAGTATAGAAACATGTTTAACAGCTAAGCATGGCTGGGCGTGGTGGCTCACGCCTGTAACCTGAACAATTTGGGAGGCCAAGGTGGGCAGAACACTTGGGGCCAGGAGTTTGAGACCAGCTGGCCAACACGGTGAAACCCCGTCTCTACTAAAATACAAAAACTTAGCTGGATGTGGTGGCAGGCACCTCTAGTCCCAGCTACTTGGGAGGCTGAGGCACAAGAACAGCTTGAACCCAGGAGGCTGAGGTTGCAGTGAGATGAGATTGTGCCACTGCACTCCAGCCTGGACAACAGAGCAAGACTCTTGTCTCCAAAACAACAACAACACAGCTAAGAGTACATCTGATGGGGGTAAAAGCCCCCATATTGCTTTGATCATGGAAACGTTTCTTCTCATGTAATACAATTAATGACCCCAGATAACAATGGTTTAGAAACATATCAAACTAACGTTTAATTCCAGTGAAGTCTAACTGAGGCTTTATTATTCTGATTTGTCAAAATATAAAGGGGGGTGGTGTGAAAAGAAATATAGAAGGGCAAGGAGGAGGTGGAGGCTGTAAAGGAGGAGGGAGGGAGAAGAGCAGTGGAAGAAAGAAGAGGGAAGGGTGGAAAGAAAAAAAGGAAGAGACAAGAAAACAAAAAAACCAAGTGAATCTATTTCTACCAATCCTAACAGTGCAGTATAAGGTATCTTCCTGTGTTATGAAGATTCTTTATAAAAAATTATGAATACAAATATCAATCTTAAAGCTTTATGCTAACTGGCTTTTAAAGCCAAAAACACTTTTATTTTGATTTTTTTTAAACCACAACAATTTCTGCAAGTTTCTGATAAATGTCTCTACTTCTGGAAAAAAGGTTTTAAAACATATGGAATTTAGTCATGGTTAGAAAATAAATACATACACAAAAGGAAGGGGGCCAGGAGTCCAGTCCCCTAAACAGACGATTTCTTAAAAAAGACTTCCCTGTATAAAGAAATTAACAATATGGTTATTTTAGAGCTTTATTTAAGGCAAAAAATTATCTCTGGTTTTTGAAAAGGTAAATTAAAAGTTGACAGTACTTCAAGTTTAAAATTTAACAATGGATTCAATTCTATACACTTTAAAAGGAATATTTCCTAGATATCAATGGCAATTAACAGCATATACATGAAGTATGCTACAGAAAATCCAAGCTTATAAAAACTTTTATCCTTTACAAAAGTAATTAAAATTATTAATGAACACTTACTAAATAATTTCCCAAAGGATTCCCTTTTTGATTTTTCTGCTTCATATAATCTCTTTCCATCTTTGACTAAAGCACCAGCCCACTAGAAGAGGAAAGCTTATGTTAAACATAAACATACACCAATTCGTTAAAGTTCATATACAGTTAAAATAGAATTCAACTTGCATACCTCCCTGTAGTGTTTTATGAACATTTTTCTTCTTACAACCTCAACAACAGCTAAGCAGTACATCTGAGGAACTGTACTAAGAGCTTCAACAATTTTGACTCTTTCTAACAGCTCTATTACGAGGCGGAGCAAAGCTTGTAACTTCTCTCCATCTTGATCAGCATGAAGCATTACAAAGCAACACCACCTAGAGAATAAAATCCATTATTTTCAACATTCACAAAACTGGTACTAACTTAGTTACTTACTTAGTAAGCTTACTAACTTAGTTAAGCCAAAGAAATCAAGATATATAAGCTCTACAAAAATAGTCTAATTCCAAAGTTCATCAATAAGGTATTTCAATAAAATGGTAGGGAAAAATCACTCCATCATTTGGGAGAAATAAATATAAATACCAATTCTAAACATCTTAAAACAGATATAAATGAATCACTTACTTCAGTCTGACATGTAGGTTATTTGCTAGTTCTTGTTTGGCAGTGGTACACTTCTGCTTAATATCTAACAGTTTTCTATGATTTTGCAACATAATCATCAACTGATTTGCGTGACTCAGGCATAAATCAGGTAATACAGATGCATCCTTTAAGTTTTCAGCTCTCTTCTGATTAGCTAAAAATCCCTTTGAGAAAAAAAATGTTTCAAAGGACATTAATTTTGTTTCATGAAAGGTATGGACATTCAGTTAAGTGGAAAATCTTTATGTTAAACACAACCCGTTTTGTGCCTTCTAACAATATTTTTAAATCCTCTATTTTTCTCGAATGTAGTAGATGCATAAATGGCACAAGACCTAGAATTTTTAAGAATCCTATGCTCATCTTTAATTTTTCAAACTAGAAGAAAATAAAGGCTAGAAAGATAAAGCCCCTTAGCCAAGGACATACTTAATAGTCAATGAGAATTAGAAGCTATGTGTCTAGAATCCTATAACACTATCGGTCAGTCACAGCACAAACAAAACAAGGTCACTGAAAAACAATAAGGGATTTAATCTAGCAAACATTATACAGTAGTATATTAGACACTTTCCCAAATATAAAAATAATAAAATGCCCTTAAAATATTTATCGAAAAGTCACTGCCCTCTCCAGTTATCTCTGGACTATATTTTGTTCCACTGATCTGTGCTCCCATTGCTAGGACAATGACTGAATTGTGTGATTTTACACAGAGTTTATACTTTATTATTTGGTAGAAAAACATTTTTTCTGTTTTTCTTAACTGTCCTTACTCATTTGTTTTTGTAGGTGAACGGTGTATCTGTCAAGTAGGGATTAAGTTACTAATTAATTTAGATAGATCTGCCATAATCTTCCTTCATTTATCTCTCAAGTATATTTAGTTTTCTTTATATGTGGTCCAAAGATAACTTAATAAGGTTATTACTACATACTTTATTGCTACCACAAAGTTTTTTCCTATGCTATATACCAAGTGGCTTATATGTAATAATGTTGTAGGTTTTGTACATCCATCTGATTGCTGTATTGATACTGTAAATAAATCATTATCCTTCTAGGAACTTAACTTTATGACCAGCTAAAGGACAAGTGTGTCTTCCAATTTTCTGGTAGTTCTCTGTTTCATGTTTTCCTAAATATCATGACATTTAGATTTGAATGATATATACTGAAGTCAAACTGGTTCAATATCTGAAAGGAAGACAATTTTCATAGTAACTGTATGCCTTTTTTTTCCCTTTCAATATACTCTTTGGTTAACTGCAACTATAATTTTTCTATAATGTAATCTATTAAAAAACAATTTGCTACTTTTAACTCCTTTCGCAAAGTCTGGTTTTCAATTACTTTTTATTGAATCCATGAAAAATATAGAATCAATCCCAAATTTAAATTCTAGACCATTAGTAAAGGATTTCCTGACACCAAAAGCATGTAAGTACTGTATTGCTAAAAGAAGGAAAAAATAAAGTTTTTCAATAAATTGAATTTCATATTTGCTCAACCATACTCAATATAATTCAGACTAAATAGAAAAAATCCTCATAAATCATCTAGTACTAATTCATTACTAATATTTTTACACGCAAATAAGGTTTGACAGCTACATGAGCTACATGATAGCACTGTAGTACTCACAATCGTGTTCCAGATGCATTCAGCCAAATTTGGTTCAGGAAGAAAACTCCCTGATATTTCCTAATTTTGCTGATAACCCTCAAGGATACGAATGGCTAGAGAATGAATATTCAGGGCTCCAGTGTTACACAGCTTCATAGGTTTGGTGAGTGAGGTTTTTTTTTTTGCCAAAACCATGTAGAAGGGTCTACAACAATCCTCATAAATGTTGTGGTTTTAAGAAATTACCCCTTCAAAGGCATTTGAAATGGTCTCTATCTTATGAGATGTTCAGGCAATAAATAATAAATCCCTTTCCACAATTTCTTTTCCCTTTTAATTGGGAGTGGTTTTAAGTTTTAATTGCTATGTAGCTAGAATGTATTATACTACGTTGTAAATGTGTTTAGCAAGATGTAAAATCAACTCCTAAAATTGGATAATCTGAATTTATCTACTTTTCACCAAACACATTCTAAAGGAAGTACTGACAAACTATCTGCAACAGGGAAATACCATTAGCAGCAACAAAAGTAACTGATGAGACATCTGTAAATAAAAATTCCAGACCAGCCAAAGACTAGATAGAATTGTGACATTTCTCAAATTCAAAAAAACACAAATCCAAATTCTCATTTTATTAAGTATTGATGTGTTCCTACTATGTATGTATCAGGAATGTGTGGTAAGACCTTGTAGATAAAGCAATGGAAGATAGAGTAGTGTCCTGCCTCCTTGGAGCTTATATTCTGGGAAGAGACTGTATTAAACAGCATGTAATTAATAATTACAACTGTGGTACAGGATAAGTACAGCATACTAAGAGAAAATGAACCTGATGATGTGACCAAGACTTCAAGATCAGGAAAGTTTGGCTGAGGAAGTGATGCTTCTGCTAAAACCTTGACTCTGTACATCCCTTGGCGGCAGCCAAATACATGACAATATAGGTGTGAAAAGTTGTCTCACTCACCATATACCTCCTAGCTTCAACTGGGTATCCCTTTTCTCTAATGAGCTCACTGAAAATAATCTTATTAAACTGAATCCTATCACATTCAGATTCATTCAGGCACACTCAATTGAAAACTGTCTACCTTGGGGTCTATATTTCTGTCTTAAATTTTGCTCCCAATATACAACCAGACAATGTAGATGACTTCTTATGAATACTTAGGAGTACCAAAAAATATCCATTGGAGAACTTAAATAATTAAATATTTAATTGTCTCGAAATGTTTAAAAGGACTATACCACTCAGGTATCGAAGAAAGAAAAGATATTTTCTAAAAGTAACAATATTACCTATAGTATTCTTTTGGTATATTCCATGAGCTACCATAGTTTAAAACAATAGCAAAATACTACAAATAAATTAGGGGGAATGAAGATGTTGAAAGAGGATGCTCTATGAGCACAAGACAACAAAAACTAATTTTGTAATATCCATAGGAACAGCATAAGAAATTTTCACTGAATTTTACTTCAGTTTGGATTCAGGGAGGTTAAATGGTCAGATTTAGAAAGCAAACAAGAAAAGCTCAAATCGCAAATAATGCATTCTTCCATTTTGAGAAAACAGTATTATCACCCCAACCATACTCCCAGAAAAAGACTTTTCCTTGTATGACAAAACTCCATTTGCTGAAACCAAGTAGACTTGAGGGCAATATCAGCAATAAATATCTTTTTATATTACTAACAAATATAAAACCATCCAATGTACCTGCCTGATTGACTGTTCAAGTGATATAAAGCAGGAGGACTAATAGCAATATTTTAATATACTGAGAGATTAAGGGGAGCAAAGAAAAAGTAGAGAGAGAAAAATCGAGTGTCTAAGGTAAGATAATTGAAAGCCCTAGTTTATTCAATCTGAGAAACAGTTATAAAGAAATCTAGACGATTTTATAGAATGATGGGTTCATAAAATTTAATATGAATAAATATACGAATGAATTTGACTGCATCAAAATTTAAAGCTTCTGTTTTTCGATCCAGATAAATTATCAACAGAGACAATATCTGTATGATCTATAATAGACAAAGAACTATCTAGACAATATATGATAAATTCTAACAAAAACATGAAAAAGAAAATGTGGCGAATGACAATTCAGAGTAAATACATGGCAAACGCTGAAAACAGAGAAATTACTCTTCTTACTTACTGGAAGTGTTGACTGATTTTGCTTCTATGGCAGGCATTAGAACATTATTAATTAATATTTAAAATGAACAAAGACCTTAATCCAACAATCCCATTATTGAAGATTGTGCCTAAAGAAATACTAGAACATGCATGTAAAAATGGGTGTATTGAGATACTCAATGAATATTTCTAATATGGAAAAACTGAAACAAACTAAATAATCACCAAAAGAAGTATGGTTAAATAAATTTTGTTTGATTCATTCTATGGAAGTTAAAAAACAACTACACTGCAGAAGAAGCAAAAGATCAGGAATGCAGAGTTCTGTCTCTAGTAATGGTAGCCTGTAATGTCAACAAGCTCCCTGTGGCTCTAGGAAAGCAGTGAAGAAGCCAGGCACAGTGAAAGGGCTAGGATCCAGGAGAAGAACGAAACCAAGAGAGAGAAATTAGGTGACTAGGAATGCCATTTGCTCTGAAGAATTCTGCTGATTCTTGAAGAGGAGTCCAAAATTAAAAATAAGTAGTCAGCAGTCCTGACTTCCCTGAAGAGCTAGAAAATTAAAAGTTGAAGACCAGAGCCAGCCAAGGGAAGGTACAATGGAACAGTTTATTTGCGTTCAGATCCTTAAAACCTATATCCTATGATTAGGGGTAAACTAAAAGTAGAATGGCCATCCCAAGAACTAGAATACCAATGTCCAATCATCCAAATCTCTGAAACTGAACTAAAGTAATTTACGATGGTAACTGCCCAAAGCACATACCAAAAGCAAACATAAATTATCTGCAGAAGAAAACGTTATCCTAGGCCTCACAATATTTCTTTGATTTTTCTTATTAAAAAAAAAATCAGGTACATGAAAAGGCAAGACCATAAGAGTGAGAATTATAAGAAACACCACCAAATATACGGCTGGGCGCCGTGGCTCACACCTGTAATCCCAGCACTTTTGGAGGCCGAGGCAGGCCTGAGGTTAGGAATTTGAGACCAGCCTGACCAACATGGAAAAACCCTGTCTCCACTAAAAATACAAAATTAACCAGGCGTGGTGGTGCATGCCTGTAATCCCAGCTACTTCGGAGACTGAGGCAAAAGAATCGCTTGCACCCAGGAGGCAGACGTTGCAGTGAGACGAGATAGCGCCACTGCACTCTAGTCTGGGCTACAAGAGCGAAACTTCCTCTCAAAAAAAAAAAAAAGAAAGAAAGAAAGAAACACCACCAAATATAAACAGACACACAGGAACAGGCAATACAGTGAACAGATACAGACTTTTAAACTGCTATGTGCTTAATGTGATCAAAGAGATGATGAATGGCTAAGACTAAATATTTGGGTAGAGAATATGAAACTATATACAAAAGAACCAAACTGAAACTGTAGAGCTGAAAAATGAACAAAATTAAGAAATGAGCAAGTGGTTAGCTACAGTTAGCCACTAAAAAAAGAGAAAAAGTTAAAATGTAGGTTAAAGGAAAATATCTAGAATGAAGCACAGATAGATAAAAAGAAAGAAAATACAGGAAACAAGTGTAAATGAAACGGATATGGTGAAAGGTCTAACACGTCTAACTGGAATCACTGAAAGAGAAGGAAAAGCAAGTGAGGGAAAAGCAAGATCTGAAGAGAAACTGACTCAGATTTTTCCCAAATGGTATAAGTCATTAAACCACAGATTCAAGATGCACTACAAGCCCAAAGTAGGATAAATACAAAGAATGCCACATCTTGGCACCTCATACTAAAATTGCTAAAAACCAAACAGAAGGAAAAGACCAAAAGTAAAATGCTAACAACCCAGAATTTTAAATGAACCAGGTAAAAATATCCTCCAGAAATCAAGGTGATTTAAGAGATTTTCAAACAACAAAATTGAACTTATCACTAAAAGGAAATACTAAAGGACATTCTAATTTATATCAGCCTTAACTATAACATCAACGAAGTATGTTTTGCCTTAAAAAAAAGGAAAAGTTAATATGGGGGATGTAATTATTTATATGTTCCAATGAAAGAACACAATTAGAGGAAAAATATTGGCAAGGAAAATTAAACTAGAAAAACAGCTGTCAGAATCTGATTATGACATTCAACTATTCAGCTATGGGTGGTTTTGCCACAATGCTAGCCATGGTGGGTGAAGGACAGGCAATCATGAATTTAAGAGAGGCACTGGTTTGCTTAGAAACGTCCACATTTACCACTCTTACTTAGCCATTCCATCACCTTCCTTTGGTTTAAAATCCACTTTTTCAACAGTTCTAGGATTATGGCATTAAATCAGATCTAAAACCTAGGTATTACTATTAGAAGTATTAGTAAATTCTTCAAGATTTCGTATTCTCCTATTCTTAAAAAATTTCATTTCTTATCCTTCGTCCTATGGGGGGTAGTAGGAAGCATTGAAATTTTTAGCACAATAACTGATATGATCATCTGCTTTCAACATATCAAAAAATGTTGATTTCTGCCCCCAGCTTCAAGTAGCAGTTTCATGGTTTATCTATAGGAAACTCAATCATTAAGAACATGCTTTTCTGTTTTATTACAAGGAAACAATATTAATACATTAAAAATATTCAAGGAAAAAGTGAAAATATGGTGCACACCAAATTGATACTGCATATAAAACATGTGTACAAAAAAACTATAAATTCCTTTTCCTGAGAAAAGTCTAAAATAGGTACCTGAGCAAGCTCTTTCTGTTCATTCACCAGTCGGCCACAGCTAGCAATCATCTGGTCCAGGGCGTAGAGCCGATCTTCAAGTCCTTTAATGGCTTTCATATTCTGATTATCAAGTTTGGCAATAGTTTGACGGCATTCTGCTATAAATGGTCGAATAATCCTTGGATCAAGCTAAATGACAAGGAAACACATACGAATACAATTTTCAGCAAATAGTTTAAAATGTATTTCATGCTATTCTGACATACAGCTTGAGAGAAAATAAGTGATAAAAGATATAAAAAAGCAAAAGCATGGGAACTCTAAGTTATACTTTCATAAGAAGGTCAAGTACAGGATAAATATCCTTGACAACACTGAATTTACACTAGAATACATAATTAGGAATACATTTTCAAGAATCACACATTTCAATCAGTGCTACAATTTAATCACTTGTCAATATCTCTCAGAAAAAGGTATTTTCAATGTCAGCATAATATCATTAATTCTCTTATCAATGCAACTTCTCTTTAAAACATATAAACTTCTTCGGCAAATTTATCTCCCTCCTGGAGATAGAAGATAAAACTTCCTTATTCTCTATTTCTATCTCCTCAACGAATCGGCTTGCTCAATTATGCTTTCTCACTCTTCCATCTCTCCTGTTCCCTGGCTCTAATTCTACACATTTGCTGAAATTCATGGAACCTATAAAATTTTCCGATAATGCTCCTGGTCCCTTAAAAAAATATTTTACCTGGCAGCCTTTCTGTCTGCGTTTTCCATAAAAACTGCTCAGCCAAAAACTACCAATGACCTTGCTTCACTTGAGGCTCTTCAACAGTTAGCATGGCAGATAACCTTTTCCCAACCTTAAAGGCTCTGGGAAGTTACTTCTACTGGTTCCTTCACAGCATCCTTTTCTGGCTCCTTTTGCTCTGTCTAATCTTTCTAAAACAGATGATTCAGAAGGATTTTGTCCTTAGCCCATTTTTACTGTTCTCAATATGATTTCAGCATTAAGTATAACTTTTCTGGAGATAACTCCCAAGTCTACTTCAATCACTGATCAGTCTCACAGATTCTCAAACTGTGTTTCTGACTGTTTACTAACATCTACATTTGGGTAGCAACCATGAAACCTTCTATTATTGACTTACTATGCTTGTTCCTAATAAAACCCTCAAATGACTTTCTTCTGCCCACAGATAATATCCAATAAATGTAGAATATAATAAAGGCTTCATTGATCTGATATCAGAAAAAAATCTTTCAAGCCTCTCATCTTTTCAAGCTGAAATGTCTATCATTTCAAGATAAACCGTGTTTTTCTATCTCTGATCTTTGTTCACAATTCTTCTATTAACTGTTTAAGTCAACCTCTCCCTCTAAAGATCCTAGTCAAATACCTCCTTCATGCTGCCTTCTCTACAGTCGGAAAAAACTGATTAATGCATAGAGTCTTGTACACAGAGAACATACAAAAGCAATTAAACTAAACTATTTTATTGTTATTATCAAGAATCCAGTGTAGTTAAGAGGGTGCATGTCTAACACTACCGAAAAAATTAACAAAACCATTATTTCAGAATAGGCACCACTAGTTTTGCACAATGTTGTCTCAACTGCTACTTGTACATTTGTGAACATTTTCTCACTTTTCTCAATTTTGTGGTAACTGAGTCCAATGTGTATGTATTTCTACACCAGAGTACTATGCACATCAAAGCCTGGTTACAAATTATTAGCATGATAAAGATGAAAACTGGTTCAAATGTTCAACCTAGGCAAAATTACAATTATACATAAACTTAACATACCAACAACTTAAACCAAAAACAAGGGCTCCTGAATACAACGTATCTGAATTTAATAATTCATTGAAAGTATAACTGCACTGACAAACATAGGAGAGTATTTTATGATTCACTAAATAGTTTACACAACTTCCTAAAAAAAATTTATTTTTGAGCCACGTTCTGGCTCTGTTGCCCAAGATAGAGTGCACTGGCATGATCACAGCTCACTACAGGCTCAAGCGATCCTACGGCCTCAGCATCCCTAACTGCTGGGACTACAGGCATGTGCCACCACAATCAGCTAATTTTTTGTAGACATGGGTATCGCCCTGTTACCTAGGCTGGTCTCAAACTCCTGGGCTCAGGCAATGGACTCCCACCTTGGCCTCCCAAAGTGCTAGGATTATAGGCATGAGTCACCGTGCCCAGCTGACTTCCTAAAATCTCACTGCACTTAATATTTTATTCCATTTGTTCACAGATAATAAAAATCTTTGAAGAAATGTTTTAAATTACATATATGTAAACCACAGAATCTCATTAGTAATTATTTAGCCAATTTTCAATAATTAACAGTCAGTGATACATTAATTTTTACTCTTGGGCTCTTTGGCATCTACAAAGGCTAACATTATTTTTAACTGAGAAAGAAACTATAAAACAAAGTTTCTTACACTCTCTATTCTTAAGCCTCTGACCTTTAAACCCACTCCCCTGCATAGATTCCTTAAGATCACAAGTTGTCTGAAAGAAATGCTAAAGCTCAATAAATTATGCTGCATTAACCTGGACAGTTTAGAAATGTGCTAAATGCAGACACTTCCAATTATTAATCGTTAGAAACACAAATCAGTGTGCCTTTTGTAGTATAAACTGAAACAGAACACTCAAGAGTCATCTTAAGGCCGGGTGCAGTGGCTCACACCTGTAATCCCAGCACTTTGGGAGGCAGAGCCAGGCAAATCAACTGAGGTGAGGAGTTCAAAGCCAGCCTGGCCAACATGGCCAAACTCTATCTCTATTAAAAAAAACAAAAATTTGCCAGGTGTGGTGGCGGGTGCCTGTAGTCCCAGCTACCCAGGAGGTGAAGGCTGCAGTGAGCCGAGATCGTGCCAGTGCACGCCAGCCTGGGTGACAGAGCGAGACTCCAACTCAAAAAAAAAAAAAGAGTCTTTTTAGCAAGAATACACTAAAATCTAAAAATATGAGTCTACGAAAATGCAGCAACAATTCTAAATTTTTTCTGACAGATAAAATGGGGGGAAAAACAATAATTTACAAAACTAGCATCTCTTAATCCACAAAAATATAAAACTAGGAATCCCATGTTAAGTGACTTATGGATGACAGATAGTAAATGAATCTCAATGCCCAGATTTGAGCCCCTGCTATTCCAATTCCAAATCCTAATTTCCAAAATACCTATGTCTCGACTAATTTCCTGAGAAAGACATTTTAATTTGCCAGTTGAAAGTACATGTTACAAAATACTGTTACAATTGGAATTAATCTGCAAAAACGATAGATTTAAACTGAATTTCCTTTTACGGAAAAAAAATCTTGGCATATATTTTTATTACTTCATTGGAAAACAGTGCTACTGCGATCAGATATCAGGTAGGTTAGTTGTTTTGGACAACCGTTTAATAAAATGAGAGTAAAAAACCATCTCCAATCAGAGAGAAATCTCATACTCGGTTCATCTTCAGAAATGCCCCTAGTCTTATCAAGAAAAAGTATAGTACTCCTGAGAGGAGAAAAATACTGATCTAATAAAAACATCATGGTAAAGTGCCATTCATTACGCAATACATCACATTTACAGATCATATACTTTGTAAAATATAAATAAATTTTTCCAAATTGGATTTTAACTGCTTCAGAATAATATATATTTTTTAACTTCAAACATTTATTTTAAATTCTGGCATACACGTGCAGCATGTGCTGGTTTGTTACATAAATGTGTAAATGTATGCCATGGTGGTTTGCTGCACAGATCATCCTAGCACCTAGGTATTAAGCCCAGCATCCAATAGCTACTCCTCCTGATAGAGTAAGTAAAAAAAAAATCTAATGGGCATATACAACTAATGAGTACTATATTATAGGCACTATTTTAAAGTCACGTTAGCTAATTTGATAACAAACAACAATAACCAAATACAAGTTTGTATTTTGCTTTTTTAATATAATGGTCATGTAAAATATCACAAAGACTTCAGATGTTGTTGCTATGCCCTATTCAATGTAGCATTAACTTCTAAAAAGAAAAAAGTGATTGCTTAGTAATAACACTATAGCTACCTTCTATTTTCTGAAGGTATAAATATTTCTGACATTTATTCTTTCATTCATTATTTAGAGATAGAGTCTCACTATGTTGCCCAAGCTGGTCTTGAACTTCTTACCTCACGTGATCCTCTCGCCTCAGCCTCCCAAGTCACTGGGATTACTGGTACAGGCCACTGTGCCTGGCTGACTTTTCATTAAGTCAGAGAATCACTGTTCCTTTCCTTTAGTCATACAAATTGAAAAAAACCTAAGACTCCGTGAAATTTCACACTGAACATGGAAATACAAAGCCGATTTCAGGTTCGCTTCATATATATAACTCTGTTTTGACATCTGGCACAGCTTAATTACAGAAAAAATGATAGGCCAGGTGCAGTGGCTCATGCCTGTAATCCCAGCACTTTGGAAGGCTGAGGCAAGAGAACTGCTTGAGCCCGGCAATCTGAGACCAGGCTAAGCAACATAGGAAGAAGACCCCGTCTGTGCAAACAATGAAAAAATTAGCTGGACATGGTGGTGTGTGCCTGTGGTCCCAGCTACTCGGGAGGCTGAGGTGGGAGGGTTGCCTGAGCCTGGGAGGTGGAGAACCAATGAGCTATAATCATGCCACTGTACTCCGGCCTGGGCGACAGAGTGAGACCCTAACTCAAAAAACAAAACAAAACAAAATACCTTAATTATTCTGATCACAATCATGTAAGCAATTATCTACAATCATAAATGGAATTTTCAGGCCACTACATTGTCAATAGTTTAAGCAGGAACACTAACTTTAATTCATTTTTGGCAGTGATCAATCTTTGCATAACATATTACATACTTCTCTGGCAAACATGTCTTAATTGAAAGAAATGCTTAGCCTACAGAATGTCATCAAGAAACTGGATACTGAAAGAATGACAAAACCTAGATTTTTTGTTTTCCATTTTACTATATCCTATAACTTTAACAGCAATGTATGTATTCTTTTTTAGGCATCCCAGACAATGTGCTATCCTGCTCTAAATAGTGAATCAAAGATGAACTCTTCTTCGACTGCATGCTCCTTGAAAAGTTTAACTATTTTTAACAATTATCTTTTGACAACAGCAGCCTTCACAA
Source organism: Homo sapiens (assembly GCF_000001405.40). Lineage (NCBI taxonomy): Eukaryota > Metazoa > Chordata > Mammalia > Primates > Hominidae > Homo > Homo sapiens. The sequence continues at coordinate 52,673,198 of NC_000008.11, forward strand.
CATTATTTAACATTTCTGTAACAATGAAACATGCCCCATCAACTTCCTTCCTGGTGTCAAAGATTTTGCATCAGTTTGCAGATCAGATATGAAGGGGTATTTATTCCTCAGGTTTAAAAGGTTTTCAGGTGTGCTGGAGAAGACCTTAATCCAAAATACAAGCTCACTATAACTATAAAACACAACTAAAAAATACAGTGTCTACGTTTCGAATTTTAAAGATCTCAGGCAGATGCAGCATTTGAAATTTCTTCTTTAAAAGTCAGAAAGAAGTTGCCTCTAAGGAAATAGTGACTGGAAAGAGTCACACGGGGACTTTCTGGGCAATGAAATTTTCATTATCTTAATTTGTGTGGTGGTTATTTCTTGCATGAACCACTCAAGACCTGTGTAGTTTACTGTATGTAAATTATTCTTATTGCACTAGAAATTTTTCCTATTAATCTCAAATAACCTTCACAAATTTACAATCAATTCATAAATAAAATTATGAATTAAATTGATTCAACCTATGTTAAAAGTTTCACTCCAAGACTCATTTATTTCTACTAAAAGGTAATACCCATTCTCTCAGTACATAAAATATTTAGGATAAATAATATAAAGTAGTAAAATGACAAAACAAACATCAAATTAACGTTACTTACCCTGCTCATAGAATCAAAGCACTTCCTGACCAAAGATTCCACATCATTAGGTCTATCTTGAACATTTATCCAGTCTAACAAAGAGACATTAAAAAAGGGCAGATCACCATCTTTAGTGTCAATCGTAGTTTCATCTTGCTGATGAACAGTACTTTGACAAGATTCCCTAATTTCTTTGCCACTTTCAGCATCTGCGGTATCTGGGGACACATGTTCCACTGACTTGGGAAATGAGGTTAACAAAGATTCGTTAGTTGTTCTAGGCATATCAGGAGAGAGCACCAGTTCAGTGGATCTTTTCATCTCAGCTTTTTCTGAGTCTTCATGTTCAGGTAAAGAATCCAGTCTTCCCAAACATTCTCTGTAACTATGTCTGGTTAGGCACTCCAACAGTGGAATCTTGGCCATTACTGAAACTGCAGTTCCTAAACTTAAAATACAAAAGATCTGTCAGTAAAACTATGAGACTGCTCTAATTAGGAATTAGCATGTTTGAATGAAATCACATATTATTATACACACAAATCTCACCACCTCTCCATAACATTATACATACATAAACTAGTCTATGAGCTAGCTATTCACTAAAAGTCTAGTTTAGCAGAGAGAGGCTATCGTTAACCCATTAAAATATCACTCTAGGGCTGGGCGTGGTGGCTCACACCTGTAATGCCAGCACTTTGGGAGGTGGAGGGCAGCAAATCATTTGAGGTCAGGAGTTTGAGACCAGCCTGGCCAACACGGCAAAACCCAGTTCTACTAAACGTACAAAAATTAGCCGAGTGTGGTGGCAGGCACCTGCAATCCCAGCTACTCAGGAGGCTGAGGCACAAGAATCGCTTGAACCTGGGAGGCGGAGGCTGCAGTGAGCTGAGATGGTGCCACTGCACTCCAGCCGCCTGGGTGACAGAGCAAGGCTCCGTCTCAAAAAAAAAAAAAAAACACTCTAAAGTAAAGTAGCTATACTAAACAAGTGAACACTAGGCTTTTACAAAACCTTAAAGATGTAACAAATTTAAATTTACAAAAAGATTCACCATAGCAGTATCTTAGAATATAACCTTATGGCCTTAAGTAAATCAAATATATTTGATATATTCAAAGCACAGGATAAAAATAACAATCCTAATGAAGATAACTCTTGTACTCATAACACCCTGAAAACAGGTTTATGTTGTCAAAAGCATAGGGAAAATATGAAATCCTGGTGATTTAACTTCTATAAAATGATGTGCAATATGATGTAGGTCCCTACTTTAAACTGATACAGCTAACAGAACCCTTAGAAAGTTACTGGAAAAGGTTCTCATTTAAACTTTAAAAAGATCTTTCTAGTCTTAATGAATCCTTCTCTTTCCTCTCAAGATTTTTCCATTTTTAAGGCCAAAAACTAATATTCATACCACAAAACAGAGAAATCTGAATTTAAAAGGTTACCCAAATTTAAAAAAATCAAAGAAACAAAAAGACAAAGATTAAAACCAGAACATGCTACTTGCCTCTAATGCAAGGTCAAGATAATTAAAAGAAAAAAAAATCTACAGATCCAAAACAAAAAACCTGAACACAAAATGCTAAAAGCATATGCACACACACACAATAAGGGTTAGTTTCATGCTGAATTACCATTATATTTTCAGGTTAACTACAGCCCTTTTAAAAAAAGAATCAATGTGTATTAAATGTACTTCTATGCAAAGAACTAAAACTTGCCATCTTAATGAGCATTGAAAACACATGGGCTGGCCAGGTGCAGTGGCTCACGCCTGTAATCCCGGCACTTTGGAAGGCCAAGGCGGGTGGATCATGAGGTCAGGAGATCGAGACCATCCTGCCTAACACGGTGAAACCCCATCTCTACTAAAAATCCAAAAAAAAAAAAAAAAAAAAAAATTAGCTGAGCGTGGTGGCGGGCACCTGTAGTCCCAGCTACTTGGGAGGCTGAGGCAGAAGAATGGAGTAAACCTGGGAGGTGGAGGTTGCAGTGAGCTGAGATCACACCACTGTACTCCAGCCTGGGCAACAGAGCGAGCCTCCGTCTCAGAAAAAAAAAAAAAAAAAAGAAAAGAAAACAGACAACACAAGGGCTTTTTTTCCACCTCATCAAACCTGTATCAGGATGGCAATATTTACAAAGAACTTAAAATTTTCCTCCATTGTCCAGTGTTTGATAATGTGCCTATTTCTGTTAGATGTTATTTTTCACATCTTGCCTTTTGTTTAGTGGACAAGACATAAGCAAAGATTCTTGGTTTTATAAATGATTTCAAAAGTATTTGGAGCCTTATTACAAGTAAAACAACCCAAGAGAAAGAAATGTGGGAGACTCATACATGTAAAGAGAATTATCATTTTTTAAATTAAAAACTATAACCTACAAATCACTATCAGAAAAGGCTCAAAGAATAAACCTCAGTTACAATAAATATATGGCCTATAAGAAACAAATTTGCAGTAATTAAACCTACTGATAAATTTCAAAGGCATTTTAAACAAATATTATCCATTTTAATGGCAAACATACTGAGTAAGTTTTAACTTGATGTCTTCTATGGACTGCAGATAATTTGAATAAATACTTTCAAACTTGAAAAGTAGCTTTTGGTATGAATTTGAACAGTCCTCCAGGTTGGCCATGATTGCAGCCCAGCCTTGGTGTTGAAGATGTTCATCATGTACAAGACCTTCACAAAAAGAACAAAGTTTCTTGGCAACTTCATACATTTCCTATATTGAAAAAGAATACAAAAGAAAGTAAAAGAAGGCAATGGTTTGTTTGCAGAAGTTTGCATATGTTTACAAACATGTACGTGTGGATGCGTTGTAGAGCACATTTAACAAAGTATTTCAAAGGACTGTTTTAGTTTATCTCTGTTCTCTTCTGTAAAAGACAGCCTAAACATAAGTGAGGTGTTTCCGAGCAGGTATCCTAAGAGACAGTCAAAAGAAGAATCCATAAGACGCTACCTCTGAAAAACAAAGGAGTAGGGCTTTCAATTATTTGACTAATGATCAACATCTGCCATCTCAAATGTCACTGTCCTCTGGTATTATCTCAAGACATTCATGTTAAAAACAATTTTTGGTGAAGGCAAAGCTAAAATACGTCATCTACTTCTAGATTAGTATAACTATAACAGATTTAGTAACCCTAAATGAGATTCTAGAAAATATTTAAGCAGTGAAAATACCTTCAGAAAATAGACATCTGACATTCAGTTCCAAACAATGAAGTACAAAAATATTTATTAAGGATAAATTACAAGGCAGCAATGTAGATTGCTTTATATATGGAGATATATAAAGAAGTCCACTGTTATAAAATATTTTAGTTGGCAAGGAAATAAGACAGATCATTCTACCTTTGTTAACTGGTATGAGACAGATATAAAAGTCACAAAAGAGACAGGAAATGAGAAGTCAAAGTTAACTGAAGGCATTTAACTTAAGTATAAAGGTATGAAAAGAATATGAACAAAGATAGGGAAAGAAGTACTTCAAAAGAGTGGAACACGAAGTGGCAAAGACAGGAAATATGAAGCACTATTGGTTAAGAACAAATGGTCTGGAGGAAAAAGCGAGAGAAAGAGGGCCAGATGATCAAAGACCCAGAAGATACTAAGGTAAGGAAGGAGGAATTGGACTTTACTCAGAAAAGACCTCCTCAAGAACTCTTTAACATGAAGAATGTAATCAAATAGAAGCTTTAAGAAGACTGATAATACAGAAAATGTCATAAGGTGGAACGGGAAGGCACCTGAAAGAATGGATGTAAAATGATTATTTTTAAGTTGTCCAGGCAAACTGTAAAAAAGCTACTGTAAGTTATCTAGTTACCAAAGTAAATAAGTAAGATGGTCTTTATGGGGTAGGAATGTCAGTAAAATGATTATGTGCCATGTCAATTAATGTCAATTAATCAATCATGCTGCCACTAAAATAGAGTGGGGAAAAAAACTCTGGAATTATGAAATAACAAATAAAATGTTTTCAGATTTTTTTAAACAGATGAAAGAGAGGTGACACCCTTGAAATGACGAGTAAAAGAGCTGTTGGGTACATTAAAGCAAGAAGTTCTTGCAGCGCATGTAGAAAATGTAGGAGGAAGATTCTTAAACACACAAAAGATGGAGGATATAAAATATTCAAATGTTTCAATTTTATGAATTGTTAAAATTTATAAATGTAAAATAAGTTCAACTGTAGCACTGTTTACTAGGAAAATAAATTTATGATATTTCAAAAATGGGAGTACCTTGCAACAATGAAAAAGGAATAATATATATAGTATGGGCCGGGTGCAGTGGCTCTCACCTGTAATCCTAGTACTTTGGGAGGCTGAGGCGGGCGATCACCTGCGGTCAGGAGTTTGAGGTCAGCCTGGCCAAGATGGTGAAACCCATCTCTACCAAAAATACAAAAATTAGCTGGGTGTGGTGGCACGTACCTGTAATCCCAGCTACTGGGGAAGCTGAGGGAGGAGAATCACTTGAACCCAGGAGGCAGAGGTTACAGTGAGCCAAGATCGCACAACTGAATTCCAGCCTGGGTGGCAAGAGCGAAAACTCCAACTCAAAAACAACAACAAAAAAAGTATAGTATGCTTTCATTTATTTGGGGAGGCTAAGGTCAGTTAGAAATGTGAAACAACAGAGGTATGAGAGAGAAATGCATTTTGTGTGTATATCAAAGTCTAGGAAAATGCAAAACAAATGTTCCACCATCATTAAGATGGAGTGGGGGATGCAACGAAAGAGGAAGTATTTTCTCTATATATTTTGCTGATATATTTGCTGATATATTTGGCTGATAAGGATGCCAAAATTATGACCATTCTGTTTTAGAAGATAATATTGTTAATGAACAAATTTAGGTGAAAAGAAATATCTTTACAGGTAAAATATGAAAGTTTACTTTCTGGAAGTACAATGATATGAATGTAAAGAGCACTGGCCTTGGAGAAAAGAGGTTCTTCTTCTCCCTGGCTATCTGGCCTTGAAGAAATGACTTATCTTCACCTGTTCTTAATTCCATATGTGTATAAGAAAGGGCTAATAGTTTCAGTTGTAAGATAATGAAGTAAAGATGTCTTTGCCTGCTTCTCCTTCATGAAACCAACCAAATACAAAAGGGAAACAAGACACCATCTTGATGAAACCAGGAAACAACTACCACCCCACACATACAATATATGCAGCAAACCTGTGAAGAATATGAAAACTGATCAACTTGGGTCAAATAAAAAGGGCACCCACTGTGAAAGAATAACAAATCTCGGGAACCCAAAATCACTAAGCCAATGGAAAAATCAAGCTGGGAACTATGTCAGGCAAACCTGCCTCCAATTTTATTCCTAAATAAGATAGCTACAAAGATAAGAAAGCTACATACCTCCCTCACAATTTTGCCACAGGGAAATTTCTTGTAGGCTTCAAGATCTTTAACCTAAAACAGTTCTGCTGAATTTCACCTTCACAATGTAAACTGACAGCATATCTTCATATGTGCGGGACAGAAAGTCACACCTCTGCTGACCTGAAACAAAGGCCTATCTGCTTCCTCTGTCTTACTGTTTATTGTTTATGTAAAAATGCAGATGCACTGAGCCAGACTAAATTATGTATTGAGTGAAAGGCTGATCAAGGACTCGAAAGACCCCGCTTCGAGTTATCCTGCCCTTCTGAACCAAACCAATGTACTTCTTACACATAATCATGTCTCATGTCTCCCTAAAATGTATAAAAGCAAACTGTACCCTGACCACCTTGGGCACATGTTACCAGGACCCCCTGAAGCTATGTCTTGGGTGTGTCCTTAACCTTGACAAAATAAATTTTCTAAATTGATTGTGACCTGTCTCACGATAATTTAGGTTCACACCACTATTGCAGACATTTAGCAAAACTTGGGAGAACTGAATCCTCCTTGTGGGAAGCTTGGGTGGACAGCAAGAACCTCTTGGGGCCCTATCTGAAATTAGAGAGTAGCAGAAGAAATAATACCTATTTATGTTACATACTTGCAAAAAGCCAAAGGAAAAAACGTGAGAAAAAGCCCTAGAACTGCTAAATTTTGTCCAAGGAGAAGGACAAAATAAGTCATCTCCATCCCTCTCTTACACATATAGATTCTGCTTCTAACTGGGGATCCCCTGTGATCCAGGGCAGCTTCCTGCTCACCAGGAAGTGCTATCTTATACCCTTTCCTACACTGTCTTATAGAGGAATAATTCTATTCATTCAAACACAAGCAAAAATTTTAACATGAAATCTACACTAAATTACCCTAATTTAGTGTAGAAAAAAAGAATTAAAAGTAAAAAAAACTAAATGCAGAAAAACTTTCTCCAAGAGCAAATGGAAATTATAACCAAATTCTTTTCCTAAGAACTTGGTCTAATTTTGCTTTATAAAAAAGAACTCAACACAGAGATTTAGCTCAGGAAATAAGTTAAAAAGAAACGTATCACTGATTGAAGGCTACACTGGAAGAAGACACGGCTGAAAACAGAGAAGTCTAAATCAAGCTTTAACAACCAAGACAAGTGAAATTAATAGAATTACCATGTAAATGATAGCTAATATATGGAAGAAAAAAGACAGTGTGCACTGAGTCCATTTCAAGATGAAATCTGAAAGAACTATGGACATTTCGGTACAGAAGAGATTGCAGAAGTAGAAGAGAAGACAGATTTAACACTGTCAAAGTATTCTGATTTCTCTACACTACAGTAGTCAAAAGAATGTACTAGGACATTCACAGCAGGTTTAGTCACAATAGTTGAACACTGGAAACAATCTCAATACCTACTAGTAGCAGAACAGATTTAAAAAAAAACTGTGGCATATTCGTACAATAGAATACAATGCAGCAAAGAATACAAACCACGGATACATGCAACAGCATGAATCATTCTCAGGAACATCATGTTGCGTAAAAGAGGCTAGACACAAAAGAACAGAAACTACATTATTCCATTTATTTACATTCAAAAAGAGACCAAGTAATGTTGGTTTAGAAGTCAAGATACTGGTTAGCATTAATGAACAGGGAGGATGAAAACTGATGGGGAGAAAGTCCTAAGTAGGGCTTCTGGGTTGAAACTATTTGTTTTTGTGGGGTTTTGTGTGTGTGTGTGTGTGTGTGTGTGTTTTTTTTTTTTTTTGAGATGAAGTCTCACTCTGTCACACAGGCTGGAGTGCAGTGGTGCGATCTTGGCTCACTGCAACCTCTGCCTCCTGGGTTCAAGCAATTCTCCTACCTCAGCCTCCCGAGCAGCTGGGACTACAGGCACATGCCAGCATGCCCGGCTAATTTTTGCATTTTTTTTTTAAGTAGAGACAGGGTTTCACCATATTAGTCAGGCTGGTCTCAAACTCCTGACCTCATGATCCGCCTGCCTTGGCCTCCCAAAGTGCTGGGATTACAGGCATAAGCTACCACACCTGAAACTATTTTTATCAATGTGTTCATTGTGAAAATTCACTAAGAATGGATGTACAATTATGGTTTGTGCATTTTTCAGTATATCTCAATAAACAAAAATCTATTCTTAAATTTACCAATAAGGTAAATGAGTAAAAGGTCACACCACAGGTAAATGAAGTAATCAGACATAAACTCAGAAAATCTGACTTTAGAGACCACATCCCGGACCATGAAGAAATATCACCTCTAATTCCTCACATAATGAATTGATTAGACCTATGTTACTGTTTTGGTTATAGCAGCTTTAGAATTTGTTTTATAAATCTGAAAAGAGGGCAGGCATGGTGGCTCAATGTATTTTATAAATCTGAAAAGAGGCCAGGTATGCTGATTCACGCCTATAATCCCAGCACTTAGGGAGGCCAAGACAGGAGGATCATTTGAGCCCAGGAGTTTGAGACCAACCTCGGCAACGCAGTGAGATCCTGTCTCTATATAATAAGTCAATAAAATACCTAATGTAAATGACAAGTTGACGTTGGGGAACCACCGCCTAGATTTCAGAAGATGTACGGAAACGCCTAGATGCCCAGGTAAGTTTGCTGCAGGGGCAGGGCCCTCATGGAGAACCTGTTAGGGCAGTGTAGAAGGAAAATGTGGGGTCGGAGCCCCCACACAGAGTCCCTACTGGGGGCACTCCCTAGTGGAGCTCTGAGAAGAGGGTCACGGTCCTCCAGACCCCAGAATGGAAGACCCACCAACAGCTTGCACTGTGCACCTGGAAAAGCCACAGACACAACGCCAGCCTGTGAAAGCAGCCGGGAGGGAGGCTGCACCCTGCAAAGCCACAGGGACAGAGCTGCCCCAAGTCCATGGGAACCCACCTCTTGTATTAGTGAGACCTAGATGTGAGACCTGGAGTCAAAGGAGATGATTTTGGAGCTTCAAAACTTGGCTGCCATGCTGGATTTCGAACTTGCATGGGACCTGTAACCCCTTTGTTTTGGCCAATTTCACCTTTCGCCTCCTGCCATAATTCCGAGGCCTCTTCAGCCACGAGGAACTGTTAAGTCCAATTAAACCTCTTTTTCGTCCCAGGCTCGGGTTATGTCTTTATCAGCAGCATGAAAACAGACTGATATAGAATGCTTGGTATCTGAATCTCAGATTACTATTTATGTATTTAAAAAATATTTTAAATATGATGCATTAAAAGAGAAATAATGCCAGCTTATATTTAATTCCTGATATACGTATTTCTGACATTTTATCTTTTCTTTTTACTTTCTTGTTTTCATTCTTTCGTTGAATATAGTTTTAATTGCTCTTTCTAATCACTTGAAAATTATATATCCTAGTTATCCTTTAACTTATTTTCATATTTAATACTTTCTCTATCAAAATGTAGTATGTACACTTTTCAACCAAATCAAAAAAACAACTCTAAAAGATTCTATTATGTAAATTCAGTTTACATAAGTATATTTTTTAAAATTTTGTCCTCTCAAAGCACTTTTGGACTCTCAAATGTTTATTAAATATGTTTCACACAGATGAGGTTATTTCCTTTTAATGTTGTATCCTATGTGAAAAATGGGGGTATTTGTACAAATGTATATACTGCTTAAAACAAATCTCTAAGAGTTTTACTAATTAAAGCTAATGTTCAGTAATGTTATTTATTTTTACAAAAGGTAAATACTATTATTTCATTGGTTCTAACACATTTTTTCCATGATTAAAAGAAAAATGTAGCTTACCACTGATAGCTTAATGTCAATGATATTACTAGAAGGTAAATAGTAAATTAAAAAGGAAAATCAAATGACTGGGAAACAATCCGTGGGAACTGCAAGTAGCAGTGTTAAGAGCTATATATTAGAAAGAAACCTAATTCTCCTCCAGGAACTAACCACAAATATGGAAAAAATAAATACATTTTTAGAGCTATTTAAGTTCTCTTTGTTAACATCTACTCTAACGTAGGTCCTTTATTAATTAATGTTCAAAAGTAACTATTTACATATTATCTAGGAAAGAAGGTGACCAAATCATGTTAAGACAGCTTTTCCACTCTAAAATACTGTCATTATCAAAGTAGAATAACTAGCAATGTATGACCCAGAAATTTTAAAACTAGATATATTAACCGGAAAATATTTTTAAAGTTTATTTGTCAAACTTTTTGCATACTTCCTATGCAATTTAGACTACTGTGCTATTTAGATCCGAATGCTTTTAGAAACAATCAGTTAAAATAATTGTTTATATCTTACCAATGCAAGCTGTGTCCTTGAAGCAACAGTATGAAAAACTGCAGGCATCATAAGAGATTCTTCAACTTTTATTTCCATGTCATTTTCTGTCGAAAAGGTAGTTTTAGGAATAGCAGGTGGACGATCACATAAGATCATTTCTTTGTTAAAAAGAAAAATTGGATTTGTATCCTATATTTTTTAAAAAAGGAGAAATAACCAAAATAAAATGTTATAAATACTGAGCGTGCACATTGCCTTCAATATATGAAGCAAATAAACCTTACTTTTGAACACTGAGTTCCCAATGTGATGTAAAGATGTTGCATTCTTGTGTGAAAGGACTCTTGAATACCTACCGTCCCAGCACTGTAGGTACACACTCTTCGATCTGCAGCCATGCATTCTCCTCCATTGACCACCAGCACCTGGTGTTGAATAGCAATCTTGTATTTGCTTTGAATGGCATGCTTAAGGTCTGCCACACTTCAAAAAATGAAATAAAATAAATCAGTTGTTTATATTTGCCCAATGACTTTATTTTCCAAGTAGTACTATGTAAAAACACCTTAGAGGTTAATGAATTTCACTCTAAAACCTTCCCCAAAAACAGTAATAAAAATATAAGCTTCCTATTTAATGAACAGGATTCCATAACAACTGGCTGATCTTAGGTAAATAACAGCAAAAGAATATGCTCAAACTGGTTATCAGGTCTATTAAAATCCTCAGGCTACATAATTTTTGTTAAAATCTCCACACGTTTTAGAAACTACATTAAGTCTAACACATGTGAAGATTCCTTCCTATCCCTATCTTCCAAAAAATCATTCATGTAAGTGTAAAATCAAGTTTAATGAAAACTAATTCTGGAAAAAAAATCCATAATTCAATTTTTACAACAAAGATTATTATTTCACACACTATTTATAATAATTCCAATGTCAGTTTTATTCTGCATTGCCATAAAGTCTTTGCTATTATGGTCACTATAAAAATATAAACAGCGTTGGAAATGATATTTACTACTTCTATTTCTTTCCTGTCCTGTCAAGCCAGAGAATTATTAGATACCTGAGTCCCACTAAATTTGGATGAAAATATTAAATTTATCTTTTCTCTCCTTAACAAACAAAATAAACCTATTGACATTTATTCATAAACTGAATAAAAACAAATGACCAAAAACCATGGAAGTGATATACATTGTTTTATGAAGCTTCCGATAATTCCCTTAACAATGGCCTGTGAAAAATAGAATAGCAATTGACTATAGGTACTTACAACAATGGAAATCAGTTTGTTTTGTGTGAGTAGATCTGTTTACTGATCTGTTTACTGTTTACATGAATATTATATTCATGCCAACAGGACAAAGCACAATTTAAAGAATGTAACTAGTCTTTTAGAGAAAGATAACAATTACATATAAAATATGTTGGGATAAAAGATTTAAGACTTGCCATTATGTGACCTTTTTTTTTTTTTTTTTTGAGACAAGAGTCCTGCTCAGTCGCTGGGCTGGAGTGCAGTGGTGCGATCTTGACTCACTGCAACCTCTGCCCCCCGGGGTTCAAGTGATTCTCCTGCCTCAGCCTCCCGATTAACTGGGACTACAGGCATGCGCCACCACACCCAGCTAATTTTTGTATTTTTAGTAGGAACGGGGTTTCACCATGTTGGCCAGGATGGTCTCGATCTTTCTTGACCTCGTGATCCGCCCGCCTCAGCCTCCCAAAGTGCTGGGATTACAGGCGTGAGGTACCGCACCCGGCCGCCATTATCCTACTTTTTAAACAGTAGAATAATATTTCTTTAACTTTCTGCATGCAGACAGAATGCGAAAAAAAAATAAATGAAATACAACTCACGTTTGCACTGTAAGTTCAGTGTCAAATGTTAGAGTAGTTCCAGTGTTAACCAGAAATACATATAACTTCATGATGATTTATCTGAATTCTGTGAGCTTATACCTCACCCTCTGATACAGTTACTAGAAGAAACAAGAGAAGTGATCAATTTTACAAATGCAACTACAATCACAAATACTATCATCATTATGACACAGTACAGTATTACTATATAAATAACAAAAATATCAAAATGGGCTTTGATGTCTAGGATGGCTAACTGGATAGTTCAGTAAACTCAATGCTTAAAAAAAAATAAAAATAAATAGTAATGAGTTTAGTGAAAAGAAAAGCATAACTGTTCTGCCACAGGAAAAAAAGTTTGATTCTTCAAGAAGTAAAAGGCCAGTAGCTAGAGTAAAGGTTGCTATGTGCATATTTCACTCAGTGTTTTACATTAAGAATAAAACAGTTGGTCAATCATCTTATCCCTGAGAGTTTTCCCCCCACTTCTTCCTCAACATAATAAAAAATAGATTAGTATTAAGGTTAAACTTACTAATCGCAAATTAAGAGTAGCCGTTACTTGCAAATTAGGGGAAATGAATCCCAATTCCTTCCATCATCTGTGTTTCACCTCTACACTGAGCTAGAAATCCTCCATAATAGTTCCATCACTTCCATCAGCTGCCTGTTGAACTGCTTTTCACCTCTACACTGAGCAAGAAATCCTCCTTAATAGTTCCATCACTTTGTGTAACAGTAGCAAGTGTACAGGTCTGGAGATCAGAATATTTAAAACAACTCTGTGATTAACATGCCCAAGGAAAAACCTCATCTAGAAAATAAAGCTTTTTCATCTATAAAATGAGGATAACATACACAACAAGCCACAGTGGCTCATGCCTGCAATCCCAGAACTTTGGGAGGCCAAGGCAGGAGGATCACTTGAGGCCAGGAGTTCAAGACTAGCCTGGGCAACACAGCAACACCCTGTCTGCACAAAATGTTTAAAAAAATTAGACACACTTGGTGGCGCATGCCTGTGGTCCTAGCAACTTGGGAGGCTGAGGCAGGAGGATGGCTTGAGCCAAGGAGTTCAAGACTGCAGTGAGCTACGATTGTGCCACTGCACTCCAGCCTGGGCAACAGAGAAAGGCCCTATCTCAAAAGAAAAAGAGAAAGAAAAAAAACTTAAAATAATGACATAAAAAGGGGACAGATTTCATGGTCTAGCATTTTACTTTCAACAAATGGAGGAAAAGATCCATAAGATTAATGAAACTGGTGAACGATAACTATAAATAAATTCCCAGAAAGTAGTAGGTACCTTTACTTATGCTCTTTCCACATAAGCCTTAGAGAATTATTAGAGAAGGAAAAAGCAAATAAGGTTTTAAAATTAAGATTTCCAGAATCATTATTTTAAAGGCAATAGATTAAACTCTGCTATACAGGTAGAAACTGTGACTTACCGTCAGGCACTGTGAAAAGGACTACCACTTTTCTTAAAAAGTAGATTAAAACTGGCTTATGTTTGCTTTGCTTGAGATTGGCAACTGAATGGCATTACTGGTTAAACTCAGAAAACTGGAAAAGAAAAATTTCTGGTTATAAAGAGAAACAATTCAGTACGAAACAACATATGGCTATTGTTCCTTTCTTCCTTTTAAAACTACCGTCTAAGAATAATCTCTACTCAGGCCCTTCTACTTGCACATTCACTATAATAACAACCACATGACTTCAACCCACATCAATCCATGGCATCAAACAAAAGTCACCAATAAATTCCTCAAAACGGCCATTTCCACAACAATTCCTCATTCCTTAAAATATTATGGTAAAGAAGTATCCAGGCAGTGGAGTTAGAAAGCTTGGGTTTGGTTTGGGGTCCATTACTTGCAATTATATGATCTTGGACAACTGTTTTGGCTTCCTCTTTTGTAAATAGGAATAAAAATGGCACCTGCAGCAGACAGCCTCTAAGACAGCAGCAATTATCTGTACCACATCCACCTACTGTATTCATACTCCAGTGAAATCCCCACCCTCAAGTGTAGGCAGGGCCTGTGATCTGTTTCTAACCAAAAAAATATTGCAAAAATGATGGGATATCATGTAGGTAATCGTTACTTAAGATTATAACTCCCATCTTGCCAGCTGACTCTCTCTTGCCAGCTTTGATGAAGCAAGCTGCCATATAGAGAGGCCCACCTGATAAGGAATTGAAGATGGCCAGCTAGCAAGAAGCTACAGTCTCAGTCTGACAATTCTCAAGGAACTGAATCTTGACAACCACCACAAGCCCATAAGCAGATCCTTTCCTAGTTGAGCCTCAGAGAAGACCTCAGCCCTGGCCAACACTTTGACTGAAGTCTTGCAGAGACCCAAAAGGGCCCAGTGAAGCCATGCCCAGAATCTATAAAATAATAGATTTATGTTGCTTCAAACAATCAAGTTTACTGTAATTTCTCACTCAACAATAGATGATTAATATAACACAACCATATCACAGGGATATTAGGAGGATGTTGTTGTGGGAAGTCAGGGACCCCAAACAGAGCGACCAGCTGGAGCCACAGCAGAGGAACATAAATTGTGAACATTTCATGGACATTTATCAGTTGCCAAATAATACTTTTATAATTTCTTATGCCTGTCTTTAATCTCTTAATCCTGTTATCTTCGTAAACTGAGGATGTACGTCATCTTAGGACCACTGTGATAATTGTGTTAACTGTACAAATTGATTGTAAAACATGTGTGTTTGAACAATATGCAATCAGTGCACCTTGAAAAAGAGCAGAATTAACAGCGATTTTTAGGGAACAAGGGAAGACAACCATAAGGTCTGACTGCCTGCAGGGTCAGGCAAAAAGAGCCATATTTTTCTTCTTGTAGAGAGCCTATAAACATATGTGCAAGTAGGAGAGATGTTGCTAAACTCTTTTCCTAGCAAGGAATATTAATACCCTGGGAAAGGAATGCATTCCTGTGGGGAGGTCTACAAATGGCTGCTCTGGGAACGCCTGTCTTATGCGGTTGAGATAAGGACTGAGATACACCCTGGTCTCCTGCAGTACCCTCAGGCTTACTACGGTGGTGGGGAAAAACTCCGCCCTAGTAAATCTGTGGTCAGACTGGCTCTCTGCTCTCAAACCCTGTTTTCTGTTGTTTAAGATGTTTATCAAGGTAATACATGCATGGCTGAACATAGACCCTTATCAGTAGTTCTGCTTTTGTCTTTTGTCCTGTTCCCTCAGAAGCATGTGATCTTTGTTAGACTCTTATTAGTTCTGCTTTTTGTCCTTTGAAGCATGTGATCTTGTACCTACTCCCTGTTCTTACACCCCCTCCCCTTTTGAAACCCTTAATAAAAACTTGCTGGTTTTGAGGCTTATGCGGGCATCACTGTCCTACCGATATGTGATGTCGCCCCCGGCGGCCCAGCTGTAAAATTCCTCTATTTATACTGTCTCTCTTTATTTCTCAGCCGGCCGACACTAATGGAAAATAGAACCTACAGTGAAATATTGGGGGTGGGTTCCCCCAATAGGATGTCAAAGAAAAAATGTGGTACTTGGCAGATAAGTCAACTCTCCAAAGTTTGGGAGGGATCTCAGCCGCCTTACCTTTGTAGTAGAGCTCACTTACTCCCATAGCTGCTGCTACCACCACTGTTGATTGCTGACTCCCAAATCTCTCCTAAACTATCTATCCAATCCCTCTGAAACTCAACAAATCCAAATCAATCTCCTATATGCATTTCTTCAACATTATTGTTTCTAAAACTGAGCTCTGCCCCTTAAATCTCCTTGCTTTAATTTTTCATTTCTCTTTGTTGATGAAGTCTAGATTCACCCAATCTCTCACATATTATCCTAGATTTGTCTTCCTCCTAAAAGACATACGAACATCAGCAAATTTGTCCTGTAAATTCTAACATTTAAATACTTAATGACACGATATCCCTATTTCTATCCCTACTGCCTTAAATCAGACCCTGTTTTCAACCTGCACTGATTTCCTCAATCACTAGTCCGTCAACCTCCATGCTGCCTTCAAAGAAATCTTCCTACATGCTAGGTAGGTTGATCCAAGTTTTTCTGCTGCTTTAAAACTCAAGACGATTATGACTTTTAGGGCAGCAGCTACCACTTTGTATTCATTATATTCCAGGAAACTATTCTAAATGCTTTATTAAATGACAATAACACCTAAGACAGCAAATATAATATGCTCTTCCTTTCCACCACAACTTTTCACCCTCATCCTCTACCCCTCCCCCAACTTATCAGTCCCAAATATCACACTGCTTGAACTCCCTAAACAAATCGAGCTGCTAAAGTCTCTGAGTCTTCATGGGGCAGTTTTCCACGCTTAGGATTCTATTTGCCCTGCCTGCTATGATCACCCCTTCCACCTGCCCTAGCCTCATACACATCTTCTTCCAGACTCAAGAGAACTGCTTGAACTGGGAGGCGGAGGTTGCAGTGAGCTGGGATCGTACCACTGCACTCCAGCCTAGGCGACAGAGCCAGACTCTTTCTCAAAAGAAAAAAAAAAGGCAGTATCTACAGCCAGGGAAAGTAGGCATAATTATCATAAATGTGATACTTTCTAAGAAATATGTGGAGAGTGACAGGGAACTATGAAACGCACTTAACAGATTGACAGAAGACTGGCCAGAAGGTGCAGACCTAGAAAAGTCATGCAGATCTGAGAGATGTTAACAAAAGGAAGCTAGAGATAAACAGGAATCAGATGACTGTATTAAATAAAGATTTGCTGAATGAATGAGTGAATGAATACCAAATCCAAAAGCATAGGCTTTATCTTACAGCTTTATCTTACAGGAGGCATTTTGTTTTCTCAGAGATTAGGTAGCTAAGGGATGCTGACTAAAGTGGAAGGAATATTCCTTCATTCATTCATTCATCCAAATCCAAAACACGTGTATTGATATTATGTGCCAGGACTGGGTATTCTGTGGGGGAAAAAACAGACATAGTCTTTGTCCTCATGGAGTTCAGTCTTGAAGGAGAAAGCAGCATTAAACAAGAACAAAGCAAACATGATATAAGCTGTAATCAACGCACAAAAGAAAAGAGTGGGTAGGAAGAACGACTTACTTTAGATTTATGTGATCAAAGGAGGCCTCTACGTGGGTTACATTTAAACGGTATTGTTGGGATAAGAAGAGGCCTGAACTGAGAAGATGTAAAGCAGTACAAGGAGACACACCATTTTTGTGAGACTAAACACAAAATCTTCAATAATAATCACTGTATTGTTTTTTGTTTTCTCGTTTTCCTTTGAATATTATCTTTTGTTTTGATATAATTCCAGTTAGAGAAAAATTACAAGAATAGTACAAAGAACTCCCGTCCCCCTTACTCAGATCACCAACTGTGAACACTTGTGTTCTATTTATCACTTGTGTCAGTGCACACTCCATACATGCTCTCTCTCCACATACGTATACACACAGGGATATATTTTTTCCTGAACTACTGTAATTTGCAGACAGAATTTCCCTTTATCCATAAATACTTCAGAATGTCTTACCTAACAGCAAGAATTTTCTCCTTCATAACCAAAGTACATTTATCAAATCATAAAATTTAACACTGATGCACTATTATTATCTAATCTACAGTCCATATTCAAACTACTGCCTCAATAATATCCTTTGTAGTTTCCGCCCCTCAGATCCAGGATTTATTTCAGGATCATCATATTGCTTTTAGCTGTAATATCTATTTAATCTCTTCCAATCTGGGACAGTTCAGCTTTTCCTCTGCATGATCTACAGCCAATATATTGCTTTCAATCAGAAGCTTTAGAAATCGTTAGAGTATAGACGACCTCAGTTCCATTCTCCTCTTCCATGATACTTAAAGCAAATTGAGGGAAACTCCAATAAGCTGTAGCAGCTGTGTGCCTTTAAACAAACACTAATCTCTTCATTTGACATGCACACACCTCACCCTAAGAAACCATAATCATAAACAATGCTGACCAAAAAAAGCTGAAAGAAATAAACCTAATTGAGAATGAGTTTGTCTACATACTTGATGAACAATTTAAACTATTTTAAGGATAGTTTTGATTACACTGGCTCCAGAACCTAGGTTAAAATTAATTTAAACCACTTCAAGGATAGTTTTGATAACTGTGACTCTAGAACCTAAAATTTGACTCCAGTATACAAATTTCTAACAGCTCCTAAGTGATGTTAATGACAATATCATTTTCCCACGTTTTCATCCATTGTGTATAGTCCTAAGACTGGCATCTTTAATCAGAAGCCTCTTCTAAATATTTTCACTCTCTACATCCTCACTAACTGCCAGCTACCAAAAGTCTACCCAAGAACAACAGAGAAAAATCCAACTACTAACACAAGGCATCATTTCCCATGGGTCTACCAGTACCGGTAACCTGTGAGGAAATGTGACGCTCATTGCTTTCACGGCCACAAATGCTCTTCTTTCCTCCACATGTCCTAAGTAAATGGCACATAAAATCATAATCATAATCATTGCTAATACTTATTGAGTTATTCATTGTATACCACTCATAATGCTAAGTAGCTTTACATGCATGACTTCATTTATCATTACATGTAATACATTCATATCATTAGGGTTTCCATTTGCAGATGAGAAATTACAATTCAGATTAAACTTGTCTAAAGGAACAAACTTAGTAAACCAAAACAAAAGTAAACTTAGCCAGGGGTGTGAACACAGGTCAATAAATTCATTCATTCAATAAAAATATCACCTGAGAATCTAGTTAGGTACCAGGCATTTTCTTAACTTTGGGAATAAAATACAAAATAATAAAACTGTCTGCTCTCATGAATTTTAATATCATAGTGGGCAACATGAAAATTTTATATTTATATAAAACTCCATGATACCTACTTTCAGGGGGAAAAAAGCTACAAAAAATCTTTTTTTTAAAGTAAAAACAAACATGAAGTTCCAAAATACATACTTCCACTTTGCTTTTATTCTTTAGAGATAATGATACTGTTGGCATAGCAATAGCTTCCATTGACTGGAAACATGAGTAAGAACTGTATGAAGTATATGATATTCTTACAAATCCTATAGTGAGAGAGGTTAAGAATTATCCGCATCATTCATATGACAAAACTATGGCTCAAAGAAGTTATTTCCTAAAGTCACATAGAAAGAAAGTTGTAAAAACTTAAAATCCATAGCTGGATCACGGGGGAAAAAAGAACATGAACATACTACATTAAAATCCCTTAAATAAGACTACATGTAGTAAGCATATTCTATGACTTGGGACTTTACTATTCCTTTAGAAATAGCAACACTTTTTTCCCCTTGCAGATTTTCTCCCTTATGTGACCATTTAAAAAATTTCCTTTACTAAATACAATACAAAAAAAACCTCTTTCAATATGAAGTAAGAAGAGTGGAATAACAGAACACTTTAAATGTGACAAGGTAAGGTTTTCAACAGAAAGCAAAGTCATCATCCAAGAAATGGCATGGACCCAGATCCTGAGAGAACAAGATTTCCTTGTGTCCATAAATGAAAAGGTGATCTTCACCTACAACCACCTGATCTTCCACAAACCTGACAGAAACAAGCAATGGGGAAAGGATTCCCTATTTAATAAACGGTGCTTGGAGTCTTGGCTAGCCATATGCAGAAAACTGAAACGGAATCCCTTCCTTACACCACATACAAAAATCAACTCAAGATGGATTAAAGACTTAAATGTAAAACCCAAAACTATGAAACCCTAGAAGAATACCTAGGCAATACCATTCAGGACATAGGCACAGCAAAGGTTTCATGACAAAAAAGCCAAAAGCAATTGCAACAAAAGCAAAAATTGACAAATGGAATCTAATTAAACTAAAGAGCTTCTGCACAGCAAAACAAACTATCATCAGAGTGAACAGACAACCTACGGGATGGAAGAAAATTTTTGCAATCTATCCATCTGACAAAGGTCTAATATCCAGCATCTTCAAGGAACTTAAACAAATTTACAAGAAAAAGAAAACATACATGTAGCCAACAAACATGAAAAAAAAGCTCAACATCAAAGATCATTAGAGAAATGTAAAGCAAAACCATAATGATATATCATCTTACACCAGTCAGAATGGATATTATTAAAAAGTCAAAGAAAAAGACAGATGCTGGCAAGGTTGTGGAGAAAAAGGAATGCTTTTACACTGTTGGTGGGAGTGTAAATTAGTTCAACCATTGTGGAAGACAGTGTGGCGATTCCTCAAAGACCTTGAGGCAGAAATACCATTTAACCCAGCAATCCTGTTACTGATGAGAACATATAGACACACGGGGGTAGGATGGGGAAACAACACTCACTGGGGCCTGTCAGAGGGTGAAGGGTGGGAGGAGGGACAGCATCAGGAAGAATAGCTAATGGATGCTGGGCTTAATACTTAGGTGATGGGATAATCTGTGCAGCAAACCACCATGGCACATGTTTACCTATGTAACAAACCCATATATCCCGCACATGTACCCTTTAACTTAAAATTTAAGAAAAGAAAAGGTGATCTTGGCATGTAGCAGAGAGAAATTTTTCCATACCTGGTCATCCTGGCAGTGTGGAATTCTCTAGAAATGTGCATACTGAACACTTCACAGCTAAAGAAACATATAGAGGAGAACCTACCTATCGTAGCCAAGAACAGAGCTGAGTGTTTAACACAGACAGCTACCCCTTTGCATCCTCACACACTTCACTCCCAGGACACACACTGGGGCCACCTTCAAATAGGGAACTCCACCCTACTGCTGGCAACTGCAGGACAGTGAGGAGTATAATCTTGGCTCTAGAGTGGAAGACTCAACAGGTCACGTGGTCTCCCACCAGGCTTTCAGGAAGAAGAGGAGGGTGATTCAGGATCTGCTCTCAAAGCAGAAAATAACATGGTGTTGGCCTCTACTCCCAGGCTCATCCCCCCCGGGTAGTCCCCTGTGGATCCGGAGACAGTCTCGAACTGATGCCAACTGGGCACAAAACATGCCCACCATCCTGGATGGCTCATCCCGGACAAACGGGACGCAGCAGGAGTTTTCTCTCTTATTACATTAAACATCTATACATCATAGCCTCAATTTTGCCTCTTGGAGAGTAAAGCCTAAAATACTTAACTATCTGGTCCTTTAGAGAGAAAGTGTGTGCCTCTTCCTCCAAAGCTTAAGCAACTACAGCCACTTCAGTGAGAGCTGCACATACTTTAGTTAATACCAGGCATCTACTAGTGAAGGACTGAACCTCCTGGTAAGCAGCACTTCCATCATATGGAAGTGACAGCAACAATACAAAGAAGTCCTGCCCAGAGACAAGCCCAATTTCCCAGTTTTCTTTCTAACAGATGATAGACCCAGGACTGATCACACAATGACTGGTATTCTAGTTTAGTGGGAGAGGAAAGGGTAGAAAACCAAAAAGAAGAAGATATTTTCCATACCTGCCACCCATCATTTAATTCAAATATCCAAAGATGTGATTACTGGTGAAAATGACAATAACAAGTGACTAAGGATTACTATTAGCTTTTTAGTAGGAGTTCCTATAAATTAATAAGAAAATCACAAAGACTCACAATAGATAAATAGGCAAAGGGCATGAGTAGGTTATCAAGTGGTTAACAAATGTGGAAAATATTTGAGGCCTCTTCAGTAATCAAAGAATTACAAATCTAAAAAGAAGACAGTATTTTTCTCCTACTAAGCAAGCAAGATTTTCGACCTAAGATTCCAAGGTTTTCAACCCAAGAGAAAAGAAATAAAATGTATAAAGAAGTAAAAAGTACTTTAGAAATACTAGTATAAACAAGAATTTTTCTCTTTCCATAAAACATTTATTCCATAGCTCCATTGAAAAGAAGGCATTGACAGACCTAGAGCCAGAAGTACCCACAGCACAACAGGCAGTGAAAAATTAACATTAACCAAAGAAAGGTCTGGCCTTTGCCCTTCGCTACTGGGAGGTGATCTCTAGGCCCCTGTAATATCCTGACAGATAGAACTGTGTTTGTTTGCCTTAGGGCTTCAGTCACGTCAGTGTAGCAACGTGACTCATGTATCAGTTAAGTTCTGACCTCCAGAGGAACTACTGACTAAAGACATTGGTCTGACCTCCAGAAAGGGCTAGAGACTAAAGGTGAGTCATGTGGACAGTACAGGATCAAGCCATAATAAAAACTCTGGACACCAAAGACTCAGGTGAGCTTCCCTAGTGAGCAATACTCTGTGTATACTGTCACGCGTTGTGGCCAAGAGAAGGTAACACTGTCTATGACTCCACCAGCAATGATGGCCAGAAGCTCTGAGTTTGGACCCCTTCCAGATTCTGCTCTCTGCCATTGCCTGATTTTAATTTTTGTATCCTTCTCTTATAATAAAAGTGTAATTGTGAGTATAGTGCTTTCCTTCGTTCCCTGACCTGTTCCAGTGAATTCTCCAAAGAGAGGGTGGATATGGGGAACCTGTGAGTTTGTAGTCAGCTGGTTTGAAGTGAGGGTGGGTTCTGGGCACCGCCAAACTTGCCACTAGTACCTGAAATGAGGGCAGTTTTGTGGGACTGTTCCTTCTAACTGTAGAGTTGGCTAACCTCATTACACACTCATACTATGGTTTTTTTGTTTTTCAGACGGAGTCTTGCTCTTGTCGCCCAGACTGGAGTGCAATGGCACAATCTCGGCTCACTGCAACCTCTGTCTCCTGGGTTCAAGCGATTCTCCTGCCTCAGCCTCCCAAGTAGCTGGGATTACAGGCACCCACCACCACGCCCGGCTAATTTTTGTATTTTCAGAGAGACAGAGTTTCTCCATGTTGGCCAGGATGGTCTCGAACTCCTGACCTCATGATCCACCCGCCTCGGCCTCCCAAAGTGCTGGGATTACAGGTGTGAGCCACCACGCCCGGCCTACTTTGGTTTCTAGAAAGAACCTTTGGAGAAGTGGCTAATGCTAAATGTCTAAAGTAGAAAATGTACCAATCACATAAGCCTGGAACATCTTAATATGCCATAAAGCAAGACAGCTAACAAAGACTAAAGAGATTAGGTCAAAAAGGCAAGGAAAACAACTTTAAAAGGCTTCTACTGGCTATGATGGGACAGTCTGACCATCAAAAGAATGAGTACAAGTAACTGAATGGCAAAAACCCATAAAAATCCATGCTGCATAATGATACTCAAAAAAACAAAAACAAAAAACCTCAGTGAGCTAAGATAGAACCCATGATAAAAACTTAAAAAGCAAAGAAATTAAGCACTGTCCTTCCTATATGAAATGTATTTTGGATAGCTGGGCACAGTGGCTCATGCCTGTAATTCTAGCACTTTGGGAGGCCTAGGCAGGCTGATCACTTGAGCTCAGGAGTTCAAGACCAGCCTGGGTAACATGGCAAAACCCTGTCTCTACAAAATATACAAAAATTAGCCAGGCATGATGGTGCACACCTGTACTCCCAGCTACTTGCGGGGCTGAGGTGGGAGGATTGTTTCAGCCTGGGGGATGGAGGATGCAGTGAGCCAAGATCACACCACTGTACTCCAGCCTGGGCAAGGGAGAGAGACCGTCTCAAAACAAAAAACAAAACAAAACAAAAAAGATACGTATTTCAGTCCATTTATATGGAAAACCTCCAGCTAATAGCGATTCAACTGGACACAGCCCAAGTATAAAGTTTTCTTGCCACCCCAGACCACCTCTGAAAAAGTAAACCTGAATTTAATCAAGCAACTATATGTACCTACGGTTTCCAGTTTCTAGGAAATATGGAGTATAAAGAAAAAGACAAACATTATGATGAATCAGTTAAATTCAGAATAAGCATTCCACAGAACAATGACTCTGTTTCTTCAACAAATGGTTACTAAAAAAAAAAAAAAAAAAGAAGACTTTTTATAAACTAAAAAAGATGGACGAGACAAAATAAACAAATGCCATGTGTGAATTTGTTCAGATCCTGGATCCTGACTTAAAACAACTGTATAATAACATTTTTGGGATAAATGTGCAAATCTAAATACGGACAGGGTATCGGATTATACTAAAGAATTAGAATTACTTTTGTTTGGATGATAATGGCATTGTAGTAACAGAAAATGAACTCTGAAAAATTAGTGTGTAAAATGATGCCTGAGTCTTGCTTTAAACTAGTCTAGCAAAAATAAGCGAAGGAAGGAAGGCTGGAAGGAAAGAACAGAATTAGCTGGGCAGTAGAAAGGTGAGATTGGCAAAATGTTGGTACTTATTAAAGCAAGTGAGATGGCTATATTAGGTTCACTGTAACATTCTCTCTACTTTTGTATATGTTTGCAAATTTCCATAATAAAACACTAGAAAATGTATTATTTTAATCACATTCAACATTCATATTACAGGTCAGAATGTATTTTAAATAATTATGATGTTTCTGGAAAGCAACTGGTGTTTGTAGAGGTAGGTAAGCAAAGGTTTTATAAAATCACATTTCCTTAAGCCAATAACTGTACCATGAAATCAATTTTAGGGAAAAAATTTGAAATATAGTTAAAGCATACACAAGACACTTTCCTACATTTATTAGTAACAAATATTTGTCTACCCATACTTTTATTATTCATATTTTAAGACAGGATTTAAAATGTTACGGATAAAAATTAAAAATTTGATTTATTTATACATTTTTTAAGACAAGATCTCGTCCTGTCACCCAGGCTAGAGTATAGTGGCGGGATCACAGCTCACAGCAACCTCACAACCTCCCCGGCTCAAGCAATCCTCCCACTTAAGCCTCTCAAGTAACTGGGACTATGGGCATGCACTACCATGCCCAGCTAATTTTTTGTATTTTTTTGTAGAGACGGCGTTTCTCCATGTTGCCCAGGGTTGTCTTGAATAGAAATTTTAAAATATGAGAGAATAACTTTTTTTTTTTTACACGGAGTCTCGCTCTGTCGCCCAGGCTGGAGTACAGTGGCGCCATCTTGGCTCACCGGAAGCTCCGCCTCCCAGGTTCACGCCATTCTCTCGCCTCAGCCTCCCGAGTAGCTGGGACTACCACCACGCCCAGCCAATTTTTTGTATGTTTTAGTAGAGACGGGGTTTCACTGTGTTAGCCAGGGTGGTCTTGATCTCCGACCTCGTGATCCGCCTGCCTCAGCCTCCCAAAGTGCTGGGATTACAGGTGTGAGCCACTGCGCCTGGCCAGAGAATAACTTTTAATAAGGCTTACAGTATTAACAAAAACTGTATATGTAATGGTTGGTTTTTTTTTTTTTTTTTTTTTTTTTTTTTTTTTTTTTTTTTTTTTTTTTTTTTTTTTGAGACAGAGTCTCGGTCTGTCGCCCAGGCTGGAGTGAACTGCAACCTCCCCTTCCCGAATTCAAGTGATTCTCCTGCCTCAGCCTCGGAGTAGCTGGGACTACAGGCGCCTGCCACCACGCCCGGCTAATTGTTTTGTATTTTTAGTAAGGCAGGGTTTCGCCATGTTGGCTAGGCTGGTCTGGAACTCCTCACCTCAGGTGATCTGTCTGCCTCAGCCTCCCAAAGTGCTGGGATTACAGGCATGAACCAGCGCACCCGGCCTTCAATATGATTTTTTAAATGGTCAAAAATAATGCAGAGGAAAGGAAAAAAATCTAACTCTAAGCTAACCCTAACCCAAAACAATTAACAAGTGTCTGTAGGTACTGAATTGGTAATACTCCAGTAAAACATTTAGCTGCTGTCAGAATACACCACCCTCCTTGGTTATAATCTGACCTAAACAGAAGGAAAAACAACTGACTGCAGAGGAAGAACTTAACAGACCTGGTTAAAATTCTTATTCTGCCACTTACAAGCTGGGTGATTTTAGAAAAGAAATTTATCCTAACATTCAATTTTCTCATCTCAAAAGTAGAGATAACATCTTCCTCACAGGGCTACTGTAGGGGATATCTGTTCTTCAAAATTTACAGGTCAAAAGTAACAAGAGAATGAGAAGCAGATGGAAGTATAGCTAAAACAAGATTGGCCATGACGTGATGATAACTGAATCAAAATGATGGGTACATCATAGCTCATTCTTCTATTGCCTATCTTTCTGTGTTTTTGATTTCCATTAAGAATTATAAAAATACAGCCGGGCATGGTGGCTCACGCCTGTAATCCCAGCACTTTGGAAGGGAAAGGCAGGTGGATCACTTGAGGTCAGGAGTTCAAGACCAGCCTGGCCAACATGGTGAAACCCTGTCTCTAGTGAAAAAAAAAAAAAAATACAAAATTAGCTGGGCATGGTGGCACATGCCTGTAATCCCAGCTACCTGAGAGGCTGAGGCAAGAGAATCACTTGAACCCGGGAGGCAGAGGTTGCAGTGAGCCGAGATTCTGCCACTGCACTGCAGTGAATCTCCGTCTCAAAAAAAAAAAAAAAAAAAAAAAAAAATATATATATATATATATATATATATATACACACAAAAACAAAAGAAAGCTTATAGAACAATCCCAGTGTTTCCACACCCACACAACAGGATAAAAATGTCTGAATGATGCCAGGAGCTGTTTCACCAAAGCAAGTCAATTTTATAAAAGGCTACTACAAAGAACCATGTCTACTCTAATACCTACCTACTGGCACAATGCCTATACAAGAGCTATGTGCATGCTAGAATTACCTATATAATCCCCTCCCATAATTCATGCTACACAAAAAACTTTAATTTTTCCCTCTACCTATTCCTCACACTCATCTTTTCTCATATTGATGGGAAGAGGTAACTGAAACACTCTGAAGGCAGTCTTTCACGGTGGTAAGACAGAGCTGAGAAAATTTTCTTTGCCACTATGTCTCAAAGAAAATCAGCAACATGCTGGGTGCATTGGCAGCACCCTTGGGAGGCCAAGGCAGGTGGATTGCTTGAGATCAAGAGTTCCAGACCAACCTGGGCAACATGGTGAGACTCCATATCTACAAATATACAAAAATTATCCAGGTGTGGTGACGCACACCTGTAGTCCCAGTTATGGGGGGGTGGGGTGGGGGCGCTGAGGCAGGAGGATGGCTTGAACCTGGGAGGTTGAGGCTGCAGCAAGCAGAGACTGTGCCACAGCACTCCAGCCTAGGCAACAGAGCAAGACTATCTTTAGAAAAAACAAAAAGAAAAGAAAAAAAATCAGCAACATGTTCTTAATTAAGTGTGGACTAAGCATATCTTATTGGTCATTGGCATATCTTATTTGCAGCCAATCCATTAACATGAGCAGAACATACAAACAATGTCTGATATGACCACCCTGTATCCATGGCAAGGCATAAACACTAAATATGCTTTACTAAATAAAGGGAACATAGAAACAATTGCCAATAATGAAAATTACAGTTTCCTATAAGTAAACATGTATACACAAAAACAAATTGCACCAACATCTAACCAATATAAAGGATATTCAAGGTTTTCTTATTCTCAGACTACACTCTCAATCTCAATGTTTAACAACAACCACTGCAGGCATGAAACGTGAAATCTTTACTTGAATTGAATTTCCCTGGACCTGTCACTGCATTAAGAGGGAGGTTGACCTAGGTGACACCCAAAGTGCCTAATTACTAAAGATTCTACAAGTAAGTTGTATAAATTGGACTCTCAAGCCAGTTGTTTAGGGAAACAGACATAACTGGTCTCTTTCTCAAATGGCTGTACAACCTTATGTATATAACAATGTGTGAAGGACCAGATCTTTTTTTTTTTTTGAGATGGAATTTTGCTCTTGTTGCCCAGGCTAGAGTGCAATGGCGTGATCTCAGCTCACTGCAACCTCCGCCTCCTGGGTTCAAGGAATTCTCCTGCTTCAGCCTCCCGAGCAGCTTTGATTACACGCACCCACCACCACACCCAGCTAATTTTTTGTATTTTTTAGTAGAGACAGGGTTTCAGCACGTTGGCCAGGCTGGTCTCAAACTCCTGACCTCAGGTAATTCACCTGTCTCGGCCTCCCCAAGTGTTGAGATTACAGGCTTGAGCCACTGTGACTGGCCAAGGGACCAGATCTATACAACAGCAGTAAATGGAAAAAGGAGTTTGATTACTGCTTTGCCTGAACACTCTGATCCAGTCAAAACAAGAGGATACTGACCTGTTTTTGCTCACAAGGATCATTACTTCCTTTTCTTCTTTTCTTTTTCTTTAAGAGATGGGGTCTCTCTATGTTGCTCAGGCTGGTCATGAATTCCAGCCCTCAAATGATCCTCCCACCTTGGCTTCTCCAAGTGCTGGGATTACAGGTGTGACTCACCATGCTCGGCCAGATCATCACTTTTCTGTCACTTAAATCTCTTGATAAAGCTGCTTGATCTCAAATTTTCTCTTCTTTACCTTAGCTCCTATACCACTAAAGTCTTCTTTGAAAAAAAAAAAAATCACTTTTTTTTTTCTTTTGAGATGGAGTCTCACTCTGTCACCCAGGCTGGAGTGCAGTGGCACAATCTCAGCTCACTGCAACCTCCGCCTCCCGGGTTCAAGCAATTCTCCCTGCCTCAGCCTCCCAAGTAGCTGGGATTACAGGCACCTGCCACCACGTCCAGCTCATTTTTGTATTTTTAGTAGAGATGAAGTTTCACAATGTTGGCCAGGCTGGTCTCGAACTCTTGACCTTAGGTGATCCACCCACCTCGGCCTCCCAAAGTGCTAGGATTACAGGCGTGAGCCACCTTGCACAGCCAAAACTATCTATTTCTATCTTTAGCTGTTATTTCAACCCTGGATTATTAATCTTTATGTGGTCATGTAATAAAGCTGGTCAGATTTTAATTGAAATGTATGGTTTATAAAATTAGTTAAATACTCTGTATGGGTACCAGGATGAATAAAATATACCTATTCATGCTAATGTTTTAAGTTCTCTTATTAAAAGAAGTATCATATGACCTACATAGACCAATTTTGTGTAATCTAAGTCAAAGTTATAAAATTCTACTGAATGAATCTTCTCCAGAAGATCCATGAGCTGCATGGCTTTATTATCAGGGAAAGAAATGTAGATAAAACAGGCCAGGCACAGTGGTTCATGCCTGTAATTCCAGCACTTTGGGAGGCCGAGGCAGGTGGATCACTTGAGGTCAGGAGTTCGAGACTGCCTGGCCAACATGGTGAAACCCCATCTCTACTGAAAATACAAAAGTTAGCTGGGCATGCTGGCTCTCGCCTGTAATCCCAGCTACTCAGGAGGCTGAGGCAGGAGGATCACTCGCACCCGGCAGGTGGAGGTTGCAGTGAGCCGAGAGCATGCCACTGCATTCCAGCTGGTTGGCAGAGTGAGACTCAAAAAAAAAGAAAAGAAGAAGAAAAAAATGTAGATAAAACAAGAAAACAACTTTCTTCATCAATACATGTCTGTCTAAATTTCCATTCTCTAATCTGTAAATGGGGATATTTATCATACCTACCTCATATGGCTGTTGCAGAAAAAAAAAAGAAATCACAGTAAATATTCCCAAAATGTTCTCTAGGGACAGGAAGTAACTCTGTGACATAACACAAAGCACTCAAAAGCATCTGTTGAATAAACAGGGTTTCATAAGCAAATGTACTCTTGGGGTTCTAGTAGCAGTACTCTAAGCAAATGACAAAGCAGAATCCAAATAGTAACTTAGTAACAGAGAGAGATCACATGCAGGTAGCTAATTTTCAGCAGTTTCTTTATCAGCCAATGTGTTCCCAGTATCTTATATTAAAAAAAAAAAAGTAATCAACTTGGTTTAATATATTTTAACATCATATATGAATAAGTACTCCTTGGTTCCACATAAACAGTTACTAAGTATGTGTATCCTCTCTTCCACCTTATTCCCATTAAGCTATCTAATTCAGATCTTCCTACTGCATATCGGGCTCTAACAATTACCTATCTGAGCACCTACTATCTGCAGATTCCATCTCAGATGACACCACCAACTACATAATCTTAGATTCTTTTAATGTTTACTTCTCCCCAAACTAAAAATGCTTCATAACTTCTACTCAAGTATAAATTCCTTAGACTGACACTCCACTATTTCCTTTATTTGGGTCCCTACATGAAGCTCCATACCATTTAGGCTGATCTCCTGAAATGAGGTGCATGAATAAATGGATTTTCATGCCTCTACTCATGTCATTCCACAGCTTCCATTATGTAACCAAGAATTCACAAATATTCTGTCGTAAAGTCTTCCTCAATGTACTGGCTGTCAGTGGTCTTGTTCCTGAAGTACTGACAGCCCATACTTCAAATTCCAACTATTCAAGTAAGTGTTGGTATTCAGAACATAAATAAATGCCCTGCTACACTTTTTTGCCACTTGCCAAATAACTTACATCGCCCAAGCTGTATTGCAAATGGCTAAAAAAAATTTTGGTCATGACATATCATACCTCAATACCTAACATACTACCTAGAGACAGTAAACAGTCAATAAATGTTTGCGGTCAAAACCATGGATAAGGACTACGGCAACCAAAACTGAAATCAGAAAGTTGCTCAGAGAGAATCCACAGGAACACTGTCGCTATTTATTCACAAGACTGTATACTTTATGTTACATACTCCTATATGCTATCAAAATAACATGATCCCATGAAACTGAATTCTCTCCTTTGTATGCCACAATTGTTAAAAAACATTCAGCAAAAAGGGACATCAGTAACCAAGTACATATTTGGTCACCCTGAAATAAAAAATACTTGGAAAGAAATAAGAGATCTGGTTTTTAGTCCTAGCTTCACATCTTTACTCCTGTGATTTCAGGAGTTATCCAATTTCTCTGAATCTCAGTTTCGTCATCTTAAAACATAAAGGGGTACACTAGATTATTCTTCTGATCTTCTATAAATAGTCAAATCATACATTAAACATGAGTCTAACACACTGAACAAATACTAATTTTAAGAAACTTATTGTGTGTTAGTGCCAAAAAGTAATAAAAAGCACATTACCTGCCTTCCAAAAAGTTCAATAATACTAATATGAAGAGAGGTATGCAAAAGTTAGACTGAGAAAGAATGGACAAGAATTCACACAAAGGTGACATTAAAAAAAAAAAAAAAAAAACACAAAAGTATATGTAAAATCAAGTTCCAACTAGAAACTGACAGTTTACCCTCACTGATCACATTACTAAAACTTAAGAGGATAAACTTAATAAACCAATGATTTCTTTTAAGAAAACAATCATTAAAAGGAGCTAATTCTTTTATTAACTTGCAACTTTGGGAATGCTTATTATGTACATGTACCCCTAATTTACGTAAAGTCCATTAAATCCTGTAAGTGGGTTGACTCTCTATGATCTAGAACTAAAGTTATTGCATGTAATTGTTAAGTAAGGTACAAGCACAGAAATCAACTGCTATTCAAGGAATTATAAAGTAACTTTATAAGCCTTATATAAATAAGCCTAGTACATAAGTATTACTTTTCACCAAATAGTCACGATTTCCTAAAATCTGACTTGATGCTCATTTTATATAAAGTCCTTCTTAACTTTTATAAAATGAAACCATATTTAATACTATACAAGTTAACACAAGCCAATTCTAAATTAAAAGTAACAGGTTAGTAACTCAACAACTGACACAAGATTTTCTTAAATTATTTGACCCTCTGCTTAAACAGTCTTTAGTTTCTACCCACTAAGAATTACTATAAACTGCCTACCATATATACTGAGACTTCGTAGGACAGAACAACTGTCAAAACATGTCAAACATACTCATAACTCACACGGTAGTTAACAAGTTAGTAGGAATCATGATGCATTAATAAACATAATGCATGAAACTGAACAGATCCAAATTGATCTTTATACATGCATACCTGCACTTGTGTATCTATACAATAATGGTGGGATTTCAAATTGGGGAGAAAGGATCAACTTTTCATGCAATGGTATTATGACAAATGGCTATCCATAGCATGAAGAAAAATAAACTATCTGGAGGTACATATTCACTAATGAGAACTAAAACATCAACAAGGTACTACTTTTTACCCTTCAGATTACTACTAATGATTAAAATGAGTGCTAAGTGTTGACAAGATTAACAGTGGGTCCACTGGCACATTTCTGACAAAAATATAAACTGGTATAACTTTTAAGGGAATTTAATCTGGCACTATGTATCAAAATTTAAAATGTACAAACCAGCAATTCTACTTCTGGGAGCAAAGAATGAAACAAGTGTACAAAGGTATATATATGCAATGATTTTCATTATACCATCACTTTTTAAAATGATGAATTTAAAAACTATCAATGGAGGTTGGTTAAATAAATTATGCCTATAGTCCTAGCTACTCAGAAGGTTGAGGCAGGAGGATATGGCTTGCTTGAGCCTGGGAGCTGGAGGCTACAGTGAGCTATGATGGCATCACTACACTCCAGGCTGGGTGACCCAGCAAGATCCTCTCTCCAAAAAAATAATAAATTATTACACAACCCTATAAGGTATCAAATTTTAGACATTTAAAAATGTTTTGATCTATACGTATTGATCAGTACAAAAAGCAATTTACAGTATATATTATGTGATTCTGTTTGTGGATTTTATTTTTACAACTAATGCAGGAGGACATATGTATATGCAAGCACTTAAAAAGTCTGGATCAATTTAATAGCAATCTTTTTAACACTGGCTATCTCTGGATGCCAGACTTTTACTTTCTCCCAGTTCTTTTAAAAATCACATTTATAATTAGAGGGGAAAAACACATATCCATTAAAAAAAAAAGATGACACCCTATACATTACAAAGAAATAAAGAACCTGAATTTGTTGCACCAAAAGAGTTAGTCCCACCAAGAGAGCAAGACAAAGATTCCCACCAGCCTTCCCTATTTCAGTCCCAATCTGAGGTCCTAGGGGAGTTCTGCCCCACTCCCATTCTAAATATAGCCTTCCCTAAATGGTCATTCATGTTTAGTCTTCCAACTGTTATCTTTTTTTTTTTTTTTGAGATGGACTTTCACTCAGTCACCTAGGGGCTGGGTGCAGTGGTGCGATCTCCGCTCACTGCAGCCTTCAGCTCGTTGTAGCCTCCGCCTCCCAGGTTCAAGAGATTCTCCTTTGGGAGGCCGAGGCAGGCGGATCATGAGGTCAGGAGATTGAGACCATCCTGGCTAACACAGTGAAACCCCGTCTCTACTAAAAATACAAAAAATTAGCCGGGCGTGGTGGCAGGCACCTGTAGTCCCAGCTACTCGGGAGGCTGAGGCAGGAGAATGGCGTGAACCCAGGAGGCGGAGCTTGCAGTAAGCCGAGATCTCGCCACTGCACTCTAGCCTGGGCTACAGAACGAGACTCCCTCTGTTTCAAAAAAAAAAAAAAAAGAGAGAGAGAGATTCTCTCTCCTCAGCCTCCAGAGTAGCTGGGATTATAGGCACCCACCACCACACCCAGCTAATTTTTTTTGTATTTTTAGTAGAGACAGGGTTTCGCCATGCTGGCCAGGCTGGTCTCAAACTCCTGACCCCAAGTGATCTGTCTGCCTCAGCCTCCCAAAGTTCTGGGAATACAGGCATGAGTCACCACGCCCCAATTGTTATCTTTATGTAAACATAAGAGGGAGAACAGAACTGTGAAAAGAACATGAGATTTGGAATCAAAAGAAGTATATTCAAGTCCTGGCCCAATGTGACCTGAACTGACTTCACCTAACAAGTTTTTTCATTTGATTACAAAAAGTAAAAGTACCTGTCTCACAGGGTTGTGGTCAGGATCTAACGAATAATCTATACATATATGGAAGTTATGTAAACCATAAAGTGAAATACAAACATCAATTACTGTTATTAACTAATCCAGATCTCTGTTCTGAGTTTAGAGCTAGCAGTAACTGATGCTTCATATTTCCAGCTGGAAATCCTACTGTTACCTCAAACTCAACATGTCCAAATTTAAATTCGGTGCTTTTCCTTTAAATCTATTCCCTAATTTATTCACTGTCAATGAACTATCATTCTACTATTGCCCCAAACTTCAGTTATTTTTCTTTTCTTTTTCTTTCTTTCTTTTTTTTTTTTTTTTTTTACAAACTTTCCAAAGTGACAATGGACCAGGCTTCAGTTATTTCTGTCCAAGTCCTACCCATTTTTTTCCTTTCTAATCCAACCCCTCATTTTCCAATGACATAACCCTTACTTAGGAAACTGCAACCTCTTCTCTCTGTCTTTAAATCTCTATCCGGCTTCAATCCTTCCTAAATACTCCCTACCAGTTACAACCAAGGTAGTCAGGCTGCTTCCCTCAAGTATCTTCCCTAGCACCTTACTGTTGCCTACAGCAGGGCACAAATCTGTAGTTTCTTTACAGCTACACTCTCTTTGTCACCTCCGGTTCAGTACTCAGACAGTTTCACTTAATTGTACTATCTGCCCACCCCTCTTAGCATGTGAATTTGCCAACTTGATATAGGCTAGATTAACATAAAAATGGCAGACTTAGGAACAAAATTTACTTGTATTTGAATACCATCTATCTCACTGAGGCTCAGGTAACCTCCACATATCAGTTGACAATCTATAAATTGCAACGATACCTTTCACAGAGATGAGAAGGATAGCAATAATGTACTTCAGAGTCCTTTACGGTGCTAGGAATATACTAAAAGCTTTAAAAATGGTGGCAATTATGACTTTAATTAAACTCCAGCACTCAAGAACTTCATAATTAACCCCAGTTTATTTTTGTAGCAGTATCATCAACTACTCCCTTACATGACAAACCTATACCCTCACTTTACATACTCCTGCCAGGTAAAATACCCCCATCTTTGCTGATCTGAATTTTACTCATCTTTAAAAGTCAAAGTATTGCCGGGCACACTGGCTCACGCCTGTAATCCCAGCACTTTGGGAGGCTGAGGCGGGTGGATCACAAGGTAAGGAGATCGAGACCATCCTGGCTAACACAGTGAAACCCCGTCTCTGCTAAAAATACAAAAAAATTAGCCGGGCATGGTGGCGGATGCCTGTAGTCCCAGCTGCTTGGGAGGCTGAGGTGGGAGAATGGCGTGAACCCAGGAGGCGGAGCTTGCAGTAAGTTGAGATCACACCACTGCACTCCAGCCTGGGCAACAGAGCGAGACTCGTCTCAAAAACAAACAAACAAACAAACAAACAAAAGTCCAAGTATTGTCCTATTACCACTTCTGGGAAGTCTTCCCTTATCACAGGTGGCCTATAGTATTCTTTCTCCTTTCTCTGAATTTACAGAACTCTTAAGTAGTTAATATAAGGTAGCAGGAATTCTCTTATCTGGGGGGAAAAACCTATCTCTCATTATGAGGACATCTGGTCCTCCTAAATCCTCCTAGGATACAGTCAGCTATAAATGAAGGGGAGAAGAGAGCTGTATTTTAAAAAATATTGATCCGACAGGGTGGTGGACATTATCTCCATTGATGCGGTAGTAGCCCGTGACCCCTCAATGAGGGAGAATTGCTAATAACTGCAGTTTACAGAACTAGGGATCAGGCAAAATTATTTCTAATCATCTTTTCTCTCTGAAGCTTTTAGTCCACTTTATATGCCACCCAGCACTTTGGGAGGCAGAGGCGGACAGATCACCTGAGGTCGCGAGTTTGAGACCAGCCTGACCAACATGGATAAACCCCATTTCTACTAAAAACACAAAATTATCTGAGTGTGGTAGCACATGCCTGTAATCCCAGCTACTCAGGAGGCTGAGGCAGGAGACTCGCTTGAACCCGGGAGTCAGAGGTTGCGGTCAGCTGAGATCATGCCATTGCACTCCAGCCTGGGCAACAAGAGTGAAACTCCATCTCAAAAAAATAAATAAAAATAAAAATATATTGATCCCACTGCATTTGTTTCCAGATGTACAGGAATAACAACTGAACCCATATATATCCATATTTGAGGAAAAGAACCAGAAAGTATCTCACATACTCATTAAAATCTATCCAACTTATCAAGTGGAGATTTACAATTTTCTCGAGAGATTATCATGATGATAAAGTCAATTATCCCAGCCTTACTGTCAACTATTCTAATACAGTCAAAACTTAGAATTAGGCCAGACACAGTGGCTCCTGCCTGTAATCCCAGCACTTTGGGAGGCCGAGGTGGGTGGCTCACTTCAGGCCAGGAGTTCAAGACCAGCCTGGGAAACATGGTGAAACCCCGTCTCTACTAAGAATACAAGAATTAGTTGGCAGTGGTAGTGCATGCCTGTAATCCCACCTACTGGGAGGCTGAAGTGGGAGGATCATCTGAGCCCACGAGGCAGTGGTTGTAGTGAGCCTAGATCACACCATTGCCTGTCGCCTGCCTGGGCGACAAAGTAAGACTCTGCCTTAAAAAACAAAAACAAACAAACAAAACAGAATTCGCTTCCTTATATGATAAGGTGAAAGGGGGACACCCCAATGACAATCTCTGACCTTCAAAACTGGACACATTCATTATTCATCCACTATTTTGGGGGCATCTAAACATAAGCCAGACACTGCTAGGTGCCTGGAATACAAATATCTTCAAGATGCTTTCCAGCTGAATAGAACACATGAGACTCAGATAACCCTAAAGTGGACTAAAAGCTTCAGAGAAAAGATGATTGGAAATAATTTTGCCTGATCTCTAATTCTGTAAACTGCAATTATTAGCAATTCTCCCTCATTGAGGGGTCACGGGCTACTGCATCAATGGAGATAATGTCCACCACAAACGGAGTGTCTAGGTTGCCCAGGGACTGAAAACTGGGCATCAGTCTCCCCAAATCAGATGTATTCTAATCTGATCCTACCCCTTCTCTGCCAAGAAAAAGAATGAAAGATGAGTAGGTCAGGCATTTTCCTCACATTTCCCTGAAAGAAAACCTTTTTCATAAAAGTTCAGACTTCCTAAATATACGCCTTGTCTACAAACTAGACAAGCAACTTCGCCAAAAGAATGAAGCGAGCATTTAGAAAGGTAGTGCCCAAAGACAGCAAATGAGGTAAAAATAGCAGAACAGGAATACTTTTAAAACAAAAATGAAAAATACTTTGGAGTACACCCTTCAGGTTTTTTTCCCTAGGTGTACAGGAAATATGTGTATATTCAGGCAATATGGTTTTATAAAAATGAGGTGACACCCTACATACTACTATGGACTTTGCTTGAACTGCATAAAATAACAGAAATCTTTCTGTATCAGTACATATAAATGCATTACACATTTTGGTGTCCCTATCGTTTATAAAAACTACATAAAATGCATGATTTTAGTGAAAATTTTCTAGTTGTGTTTTATTTTATAACGGAAACTAACAGTAAAACCAAAATTATCTATATAGCAAATATAGAATTATATAAGACAGGGAAAATGGGGAAAAAAAAGAAAATGTAGAATTAGCTGCATTCTATTAAACCAAGATTATCTATAAACATATAACCAAATTATTAAACCAGCCTGCCCAAATCTGGTATTTGCAGTAAAACAATTACTAAAAGCCGTTATATTACTGTAATATAATATGGTATTGAATTAATATTTCAACAGGTATGCTGGACAGTTACTGAACAAGTATAATGTGTGGAATGTGAAGGAAAAATGAGTGGACAGTCTCAAATCAGTGACAAAAAAAGGAAATGGAACACAATTATTTTTATCTCCTAGCACAATTACAAGCCAATAAAATATGAGAGTTCAAAAGAGCAAACTAACGGGTAGAAAAAAATCATGGATGAAAAAAAATGGGCGAGGATTGTTATTCCACAATCCTCAAAGCACTCACTAAACAGCCATGAAAGCAGAAACAAATTAGCCAAGGAAAGAGGGTACTTGGAGGCATTCAAGTACTGCACTTACAAAAAGTAATCCAACAGAACCGGAACTTTACAAAGGGATAGAAAGAAATGCCATCCTCTCAGGACCCTAAACAATGGGGGTACAGTTTACAGTCAAATTAAGTTGATTTGGTCCATAATAAATAATCAGAGACAAGTAATCTTCACATCCTTTTATCTATGTGAGTTAAGCAAAAACTCATCAACCTAGCACTATACAATCGGCTTAGCTAGCCTTTTATCTACTCTACATCCTCAAAGTAATCTGCGTTTGTCATTTACCTCCATGAAAATTTCCAGTGGTTACCCATTTCCTATAAATAAATATATATACATAGACAGATATGTCTTTCTTGTTCACTGTTGCATTGCTGAAGCTAAAAGAGTATGCTGCAGGGGTTCAATTAGCATTTCAGGAATAAATGAAGTGAATTTGGCTTCAACTGCTTTCCAGCCATGCTGGGTTTACTTGAATTCATCTGTAGACCTTTGTGAGTTAGAGCACATTAGTTTCCTTACTATGACTTCCAAACCTGAATATGTAGAGCCCCACAATCTACCATTACTATCGCCTCTCTCATACCAGTCCAGCTTCAGTAACTTCATTTTTCTTGGTATATGCCATGTATATCAGAGCCTTTCCATTTACTGTTTCTTCTGCCAAAAATTCCTTTCGAGAGTCACACACTTACACCCCTTACTTCTCTTGGGCCTTTATTCAAAAGGCAATCAGTGGCCGGGCTTTGGGAGTCCGAGGCAGGCAGATCACCTGAGGTCAGGAGTTCAAGACCAGCCTGGCCAACATGGTAAAACCCCGTCTCTACTCAAGAACAATTACTTAAACATTTTTATGTTCCTCATGTAACTAGTTCAAAAACCTCACAGTGGTAAAAAGATAATAAAAGAATCGTGAAAGTGTGTTGAAAGGGACTGCTAGATTTTCAAAGTGTCTTAGGCCAGTATTACTACAAAAGAAAAGTGTAACTGGAGTCAGAAAATATCATTACCTGAATGAGAAAATTTTATCAGCCATTCTTTTAAAAAGATATTCATAAGACATACACATCTGCAAAGTAAAGCATGTAGGTGCTCAAATATCTGCTGAATGTATGATATAAAATTTTAAGTTAATATTAGAGTCTAAAAACTTTTCTCAGGCTAACATAATCAAAATTTAGGTTCAAAATTTCGAAAACAAAAGTCTTGTGTCTTCTGCCTTTATGAACTTGATTTGCTAAAGTAAATCTGCCATGCATCCTGATCTTGTGTTTGGCAGCAAGAGCCAAAAAAAAAAAAAAAAAAAACTCAGGGACAAAAGTACCGCTTCATTGTCTTCCCTGTCGTCCAATAACAAACATATAAAGGATTAGGTACATAAATAATCATATCTTGATTACCATAAAAAGTTCAAAATAGACTAAATAAAATTACTTTAAAAATATGAACTATGTCAATATCCACTTTCCATCAACAGAGGTTTCTCAACGTAAGCATTATGTGCCTAAAGCATCCCTGACATAAAACTTTATCCAGGTTTTGAACACAATCACAAACATTAAAAGACATGACAGGAATGTTATTGAGAAAATATCTTCATTAGGGCCATATTCTGTTACAACAAATATAAAAAGCGAACATATTTTCACATTCCTAGCAATGGTCTGCTTATAAATCCAATAATCCAAAAACTAAAATCAGCCACCTCCCTCAGTAGTTCCTTGGTTTCTCACAGTTTTATCTGATCAGAAGTGGAAGGACCCTCTTTTTATCGTCTATCACAATGTAATAACATTCTTGATTAAACACACAATTAAGTCTACTTAAGTCTCTTCCTAAATTGCTAACTGTCCAAACTTATGTATAAATCATACAAGCTTCACCAAAACACAAAAACTTAAGAAACTACACAATAAAATAGTTAGCAAATAGGTACACTTTAAATGTTTGCAGCAGACTTGAGAACATTCCCATCTGGCTGAATGTCTCGTAGTAACGTGACTCTTTATCAACAGTGAGCACATGAGTCTTCCTTGGCAGCCAAGTCTACACTACTTCAAGGTATGACCACACTTTAAAGAGTCATGATGGAAACGACTAGATTACGAAACCATAAACAGTAAACACAGCACATCCACCAGGCGGTGGAAGAAACTATAGAGATATTCCATTCAGAAGCTGCTATTTCTACTGTTGGTTAATGTATTTTTGTTTCTACCAAGGAAGCTGTGAAATCCGCGTGCACACCCATCCCAAATCTATCCGTGGGGCGGGCGCAGGCTGAGTCATTCCTAGGAGTAACTTTATACCGATCCTCGCACTCTGGGGTCGGGACAAAGACATCATCTCTCCGTTCCTCCCATTCGGTGAGCTTCGTTCGGCCTCGGCCAAACTCCACTCTCCCGTTTCTCGAGTCCAACACAGAATTAAGGGCTGATCCCTGGCAGCGATGAGCACAAGTCAAGATGCGTCTTGGGAGGTTCGGACGTCCCTCGCCCTCGGCCACTCCGGCAACTAGGCCGGGTACTAAGCGGCAGCGCAGAGGGAGGGATCCCAAGGCTCCGGCCGAGGAAGCCGCAGGCAGCCCCGCAGCACGAGTCCGACCCACACCTCCGGCAGCCTAGTGGAGCATCGACTCGAACCGCTTTTGTCTCCACAGGGGCTGTCGCGCCGGGAAAGCGGCCAGTGGGCAACACCTGCCGGGGCGGGAGGCGCCGGGGCCCTCCCGTGCACACACCTGCGCGTGGGCCGGGCTCAGGCCGACCGGA
This sequence comes from Homo sapiens, assembly GCF_000001405.40. Lineage (NCBI taxonomy): Eukaryota > Metazoa > Chordata > Mammalia > Primates > Hominidae > Homo > Homo sapiens. The sequence continues at coordinate 52,713,978 of NC_000008.11, forward strand.
ACCCTGGACCATGCGACCCCGGCCCACCGTGCCAGGGCCCGCCGCGCGACCGCTGTGCCAGATGGGGGAAGGGGACGCGGGCGGCGGCGACACTTACCCGGCAACGCCTCCTCCTTCGCCGGCGGCAGCAGCAGAGCCAGCGACCCCCGGCACCATCTTCCGCCGCCGCCTAGTCCTCGGCAGCGGTTACCAACCGCCCATTCGGCACCGCTAAGCCGACACAACCGCCGGCGTCCCGGGCGCCCGCCCGCCGCGGCCCCGAACTCTAGGAGGCAGGGAGGGGTCCGGGCGGACAAGGACGCGAGCAGGCCCCTCGGCTCTGGGTCTGGGGCCGGGGGACAGAAGGCCGCGGCCTGTCAGAGCCGAGGGGCCCAGGCGACTGGGGGATTCTGAGGCAACGCCGAGGGCTCGGCAGGGCCGCGGACACCGCCGCGGCTTGGTTTGTTATTGTCGACTCCGTCTCTTCCTCCGCGGCGCATGCCGGGAAACGGCCTGCCGGGGGAGGGGCGCGCCTGGAGGCGCAGAGAGGCGTCTACGCAGGTCCGGAAGTCGGCAGCCTGCCGGGAAGGGGGCGGCCCCGCCTCCGGCTCTCCGGCCGGCAGGTTGGCTGTCCTGGCCTGACCCTGGGAGACTCCGCTGGGGCCGCCTGTTATGGTGCTAGCTGCCGTCCCGGTGCGTACTTTCCCAAGGTGAATTTGACCTTCTTTGCGACAGCTAGGCCCTGACTAAGGTCGACCCACCAAACACTGGATCGTCCCCAGGCGAAAGAGAGCTTGTTCCCCTCAGCCTGTCGCGGAGGAGCGGAGCCAATCGAGGGTCTGGTGTCCCCGTCGCCTCTCCAGGGGCAACCTGCGGACTAGGCCAAGGTCTGTAACAGGATAACGTACCAGCGCCTGGCCCAGGCGTTCCTGCCGCCACCTCCCCGCATATCCGGACCGCCGGGACTGCACGCAGCTGGCAAGCGTCCCCCTGTTAACTCTGCAAGGGTGGGGCGGCACCATTTCTCAGACCAGGTAAGGCAAGAAAACATGCAAGAGAGAAGAGAGGGAAGCCTAGGCCAATCGGAATGAAAATGTAAACGCCACAACCACGTTTTCAGCTTTACAAATACTGAATCTTGTAGTGGGTCTAGTGGGTTAGGGGTTAGCATGAGCACCCTAATGGTTGGGAGACAGTTTCAGGGGACTCTTGCATTTGTGAAGATGATCAGTCACAGGCAATGACTTGAAGCCACGAGGCTTGAATATTAAAATCTGATGAGCAGATGTTACACGTAGAATAATTACATAATAGTTCTCAAATTCCTGTTATATCCAGGAATATCTGGTATGAGTGAAAACTTGGAGGTGCCTTCTCTAAAGTCATCAGGAATTCTGAGTTGTGTTTGTAAAAATAGGAGGCACAAGAGGGCACCAAACTGAACAAAATGTTAGGTGGAAACTGAAAAACGTTGGTTAGCATGAACAATTTCAGTTTTCAGTCACACTGACCAGTATCTGTAAGTTAGGATTGAGATGGGCTTGTTTTATTTATTTACTTTTAAATTTGTGCTGCTACATATCCCAAACAAATGTGGTCTTTATCATCACTGGCAAGCCATTTTACTTATTGGTTAAGCTGGAATTTTATTACACCACCCCAGCAAGATAGAGGAGAAAAGCGAAAATTAAGTAGTAAATGGTTATTATGCCTTAAGGGAAGGTGTGAACTGGCAAGACAAAAGAGCCAAATTTAGTAGTAAAGCATAGTCATCAGCACACAGAAAATAAGTGGTGAGGAGGAGTTTGGCCAGAAAATTGGCTAAGAAAAATGGCAGTATGACCAAGAATGAAAAGAAAAAGAAAGAAAAGAAAAACTGCAGTATGAGGCCTGTAAAGAACGTATTGGTACTTGCACTTCCTCTTATTAGTGACATTCATTATTACAAATATAACCCAATTTAGAATGTAAAAATCTTGCTGGAGCTCGGTGCAGTGGCTCACACCTGGAATCCCAGCACTTATGGGAGGCCGAGGCAGGAGGATTGCTTGAGCCCAGGAGTTGGAGACCAGCCTGGGCAACGTAGTGAAACCCCTTCTCTACAAAAAATACAAAAATTAGCTGGGCGTGGTGATGCACACCTGTGGTCCCAGTTACTCAGAAGGCTGAGGTGGGAGAATCAGTTGAGCCCAGGAGGTCGAGGCTGCAGTGAACCATCATGGCACCACTGCACTCCTAGCCTGGACAACAGATTGTTGCCCTGTCTGAAAAATAAAAAAAAATTTCTGAACTATGCCAGTGATAATCTGGTAAATTATAAATGTTGTCTGACTTTTTTCTTTGGAAAATGAATTAATTCAGTCCTAACCTTCTCTCTTAATCACAGGTTGCAATAAATTACCAGAAACGACTGGTTCATACCTTATACACCTCCAGTGTAAATGTTAAGAGTTTGTATATTCTTAACAGACTCTTAACAAACATCAGTAATTCTTTCCTAGGGATAAGTGAAAATGTACTAACATTAATTCTATTATATATATGCAAATATCTAGAGGAAATACTGTTTATAAGTTACTAATACATGTATCCATGGTAGTAGGTCTTGAAAAGTTACTTTTGTTGCCTATTGGACACCCTCTATTCTCCCTTCCTTAATAAAACAAAAAAAAGAACAAACAAAATTCTGTAGCATCACTTCTCAACCAAGCTTTCTGATAGGAAGTCCTCAGTCCAATCTCATTTTTGGCCTACTGTGCATTTCTTACTTAACTTGCAAACAGATCATTAACAAGGACCTCCAAATTACAGTAAATTACAGTACTAAGATTTTACTTGAACTTTCTAAAGCATTCGCCATTTTAAATTATTTAACTTTTATACTCCTCCTTCCCTTTTGTGCTGTTTCCTTCCTGGCGCTCCTAAATATCTGTCCATTCTTTGGACCTCTTCCAAATTTTCAGATAATTATAATAGTGTGCGAATGATGCAAAGGTAATGTGCCGTGGGAGAGAACAGAAGAGAGAAACCTAATTCTGGCCTCATCACATTATTGTTTTTTTAAATTTAATAACTATTTTAGATGCTTCAGTAGATTTACAGTGAGGGCAAAAGAAAACAGTTTTCTTTAGGAGTATGGAGGGATTATATAGGATGTACAATAAATACCCTAAGTACTTCAAATCAGTTCAGATCTTTAAAATCCTATTTTTCCTTCAGTTCTCAACTTCAATATCACCTACTCTGGGAGTCATTCCCTACCATGCTTGTTTGTTTGTTTGTTTGTTTGTTTGTTTGTTTTGAGACAGAGTCTCACTCTGTTGCCCAAGCTGGAGTGCAGTGACACCATCTCTGCTCACCGCAGCCTCTACCTCCCAGGTTCAAACGATTCTCTTGTCTCAGCCTCCCTAGTAACTGGGATTACAGGCACTTGCCACCACTCCCGGCTACTTTTCATACTTTTATTAGATGGGGTTTCACCGTGTTGGCCAGGCTGGTCTCGAACTCCTGATCTCAAGTGATCCACCCGCTTCAGCCTCCCCCACAGTGCTGGGATTACAGGAGTGAGCCACAGCACCTGGCCACATGCTTGTAATTTCTTTAGATTCTCACATTGTATCTTTCAGTGTCATCTAACATGCTGACTATAAGCTCCTTTTTAAAAGATGTACTGTACCTGGTATATAATGGTATGCACTCAACAAACATTTGACAGTACCCCACAACTTGTTCAGGCCCTCAATTTATACCTGAATTGACCTCCTATCCATCTCCATTATTTACTCCATCCAAGACCAGTCTAATCAAATCTCTTCCCTGCCTAACAACTTTCATTGGTTTTGTTTTGTATACTAGATACAATTTAAACTTTTTTTTTTTTGAGATGGAGTCTCTCTCTGTCACCCAGGCTGGAGTTCAGTGGCGCGATCTTGGCTCACTGCAAGCTCCACCGCCTGGGTTCACACCATTCACCTGCCTCAGCCTCCCAAGTAGCTGGGACTACAGGCGCCTACCACCACGCCCGGCTAATTTTTTGTATTTTTTGTAGAGACGGGGTTTCACCATGTTAGGCAGGATGGTCTCGATCTCCTGACCTCGTGATCCGCCCGTCTTGGCCTCCCAAAGTGCTGGGATTACAGGCATGAGCCACTGTGCCCGGCCCTGGGCATGGGTAAACTTCTTAACCTAGCATGAAAGTCTCTCCATGATAAGGTATCAACCCATCTCTCCAGTGTATCTCCCAGCACTTTTCTCCCCTTTATATGTGCTCTATATGAGTTTCCTCATCCAGGAATGTTCTTCCCCACTTGTTCACCTTTAAAGTCATCCCTTAAAACACAGCTTGGATGTTAGCAGCTTCTAACTTCTAGAGTTTCCACTCTTCTATTAAGCTTTGCTCTGTATCTCACAACTGTAAATTTTTCTCTCCCCTCTTAGTCTGTGAAACTCTTAAGATTAAGAACTATGCATTATTAATTTTTAAATTCCTGGAACTTTATGGAGAGCTTGGCAGTCAGCAATTAATACAAGATTTGCTGTATGTAATACATTCTGCAAATTTTTATATTTATATTGATGGTTGACTAGAAAGTTACTGTGGAAAATTCCTGCCATCAAATATCTCATAGGCTTGTAAAGGGGACCATTCAAAACAATTGCAGTAACAAAGGCAGGGTGCAGTGGCTCACGCCTGTAATACCAGCTGAGGTGGGCAGATTGCTTGAGCTCAGGAATTTGAGACCAGCCTGGACAACATGGTGAAACCCTGTCTCTAGTAAAAATACAAAAATTAGCCAGGCATGGTGGCGCCCAACTGTAGTCCCAGATACTCAGGAGACTAATGTGGGAGAATCAATTGAACCTGGGGACGGAGGTTGCCATGAGCCAAGATCATGCCACTGCACTCCAGCCTGGGAGACAGAATGAGACTCCATCTCAAAAAAGAAGAATAATAATAATTGCAGGCTGGGTGCAGTGGCTCACGCCTCATGCCTGTAATCCCAACACTTTGGGAGGCTGAGGCGGGTGGATCACCTGAGGTCAGGAGTTCGAGACCAGCCTGACCAACATGGAGAAACCCCGTCTCTACTAAAAATACAACATTAGCCAGTGGCGCATGCCTGTAATCCCAGATACTCAGTAGGCTGAGACAGGAGAATCACTTGAACCCAGGAGGCGGAGGTCGCAGTGAGCCGAGATCGCACCATTGCATTCCAGCCTGGGCAACAAGAGCGAAACTCCGTCTCAAAAAAAGAAAAAAAAAATAAATATAATTGCAGTAACAAATTTATATGATATTAATTCTTTACCAAAGTACATTCAGTTTATTGGGAAGATCATGGTAAACATCTTAATTTTGTCAACTCTGCCTGAGGCATTCAGCACATGTATTAAATATTTCTCAAACAACTTAGTGTCATTACCCTAATTTTCTTTTAGGCAATGTTCAAACAACCAGCAACCACAATTCACATAATTTGGCTTTATTCAAAGTATGAGGCACAATTATTGTTCATTTTTAAAAGGGTTAAAAAGATGTACGTTTTGGACTTTGTTTTTAAAACCATAACTAATTTGGTGTATATGATTATGTACTATTTAGAGGCTGCTGGCACTATGATGATTAAGTTAATGTTTTCAGTACTGCTTATAGACCTGAAAGCTGCCCTTCTCAGCTGGTTTGTGGGTACTCAAACATACTAATAATGATGATGGCTAACTTAGGAATGACCATCTTCAAAGCTAGTGATGACTTGATGAGCTCATAAGCAACACTGTTTCCAATGCTGCAGCAACATAGTCAAGAAAACACTTCTAGAATGCTTAATTTCCTGAAAGATTTAAACCAATAGATTAAGACAAAACATTTGTAGTCATTTTTCAGATTGAAAGAGATATCTTTTTGCATCATGTTTTATTAGGTTCTTGTCTTTCATTATTTTGAAGAGCTGCCTAGCAAAGTGTCCAAAAATAGAGCTGGCACTGTTTATAAAATGCCTTAAGGCAGAAGTTAATCAGTCATGTAGACACAGATACAGAACTGATTCAAATGTCAAGTGGTAGTTGGACTTCAGGTGGTGACTTTCTAACTTTTACTGTGATCCACATTAAGAAATACAGTTTCACATTGTGACCTGGTATACATACACAGGAAAAAGTACTTGCTGCTTGTGATATACTCTGATACCTTCTATTGTTTTTTTTTCCTCTTGCTAGTCTTACACATTACATCGATTTTACTATCATCCAATGGTTTCAGAGATATTAGATTCAATGACTTAGGCCCCAAACCTTGAGATTCTTTGTTCCTGATTTTTCTGTCAGTGCCTTCCTATTTCTGTCAGTGCCTCAGTAGTGTTTATAAATAAATGCTTCTTTTTTTTTTTTTTTGAGATGGGAGTTTCACTCTCGTTGCGGAGGCTGGAGTGCAATGGCGCAATCTCAGCTCACTGCAACCTCTGCCTCCCGGGTTCAAGTGATTTTCCTGCCTCAGCCTCCCGAGTAGCTGGGATTACAGGCATGCACCACCACACCTGGCTAATTTTGTATTTTTAGTAGAGACGGGGTTTCTCCATGTTGGTCAGGCTGGTCTCGAACTCCTGACCTCAGGTGATCTGCCCTCCTTGGCCTCCCAAAGTGCTGGGATTACAGGCGTGAGCCACCGCGGCTGGTCAATAAATGTATTTTTTAAAAAGCATGACCTAACGGAGCTCATGAAACACTTATGGGTGTATCTTAGATGCCAGACATGGGTTTTAAATTTATCAACCTGTTTAGTTGTCTTAGCAGCCCTATGCAGTTTCTGTAAATTTTCTTTGATTTTACAGATGGGGCAATAAGGCATGGAGTGGTTAAGTTGCTAATTCAATGTACTTCCTTCTAGTTAGTGTTCTTAAATTAGTAACTGTCAAGGCCAGGATTTGAACCCAGGTAATCCAATTGTACGGGCTATATCCTATATATCCTATGCATAGCCTATGCTCCCCCTTAATTTGGTGCTGGTCCTGCAGGGGTTAAAAAAAATTGGCTCAGCAAGGTGGCTCCCAGCTTACACCAGTAATCCCAGCACTTGGGGAGGCCAAGGCAGGTGGATAGCCCTGAGTTCAGAAGTTCTAGACCTGCCTGGACAATGTGGCAAAACCCCATCTCTACCAAGAATACAAAAAAAAAAAAAAATTAGCCAGGCATGTGGTGGCATACGCCTGTAGTTCCAGCCACTTGGGAAGCTGAGGTGGGAAGATTGCTTGAGCCTGGGAGGCAGAGGTTGCAGTGAGCTAAGATTGCACTGCTGCATTCCAGCCTGGGCAACAGGGTGAGACCCTGTCTCAAAAACAAAAAAAGAAAAAATGTCTAGCAATAGGTTACAGAGTTTCTCAATCTCATACCTACCAGTTAATTCTTTGTTATAAGGGGCTGTCCTGTACATTTTAGGATGTTGAACCTCCTTGGCTTCTGCCCACTAGATGCCAGTAGCACCCCAGTTATGACAATCAAAAATGCCTCTGGACATTTTGTAATGTTCCCAGAGGGACAAAATCAACCCCTTTCTCAGAATTCAGGGAAAACGTGGTACATCTATATAATGAAATACTATGCAGCCATTAATATTATATTTTAGAAGAATATTTAAAACAGGCCTGGCATGGTGGCTCACACCTGTAATCTCAGCACTCTGGTAGGCTGAGGTAGGAGAATCACTTGAGGCCAGGAGTTTGAGACCAGCTTGGACAACATAGCGAAACCCTGTCTCTACAAAAATAAAAGTAAAAATATAGACCAGGCGCGGTGGCTCACGCCTGTAATCCCAGCACTTTGGGAGGCCGAGGCGGGTGGATCACGAGGTCAGGAGATCGAGACCATCCTGGCTAACATGGTGAAACCCTGTCTCTACTAAAAGTACAAAAATAAGTTAGCCGGGCGTGCTCGGGAGGCTGAGGCAGGAGGATGGCGTGAACCTAGGAGGCGGAGCTTGCAGTGAGCCGAGATCGCACCACTGCACTCCAGCCTGGGCGACAGAGAGAATAAAAAAAATAAAAATAAAAATAAAATAAAAATATAGCTCTGTGTGGTGGTGCACTCCTCTAGTCTCAGCTACTTGGGAGGCTGAGGTGGGAGGATTGCTCGAGCCAAGGAGTTTAAAGCTACAGTGAACCATGACCACACCACTGTACTCCATCCTGGGCAACAAAGTGAGACCCTATTCTAAAAAAATTGTAAAAATATGTATATTAATTTTTTTTTTGTTTTGAGATAGGGTCTCACTCTCTCACCCAGGCTGTAATGCATTGGCACACCCACGGCTTGTTGCAGCCTCAACCTCCCAGGCTCAAGCAATCCTTCCACCTCACTGTCCCTAATAGCTGTAACTACAGATGCCCACCACCATGCCTGGCAAATTTTTGTATTTTTTGTAGAGACAGGGTTTCACCATGTTGCCCAGGCTGGTCTCAAACTCCTGGGTTCAGGCTCTCCTTTCACCTTAGCCTCCCAAAGTGTTGGGATTACAGGCGTGAACCACTCTGCCCAACCAAAAAATATTTAAAGACAAAGGAAAACAAAGTAGCAAGCTACTCTGTTTTACTATGTTTCGTATTTTAACATCTCTGAAATCTGGGTCCATTTAACAGTGGATGGATAGTGGTCCTCCAAGCTTGTCAACCAATGCCATCCATTTCCTGTGCTTACTATAAGACATCAAAAACACCAGATTGGAAAAAAATCCAAACTATAATGGTGAGAGAATTGATGAATAAGATGTGTTGTACAACATTCCCAAAGACAGCTAGGTACCTAGCACCACAGCTTTAGTTCTTTTATGGATTCTGTAAGGAAATGCTTGTTGCCAGTGCTTTCAGTGCTGCAAAGGATAAATTCTGTGGAAAAACCCAGACAATCTCTGAGTCGGAAGTAATAGTTCAAAAGTGATGAAATTTTAGAAATACCTTTACCAATGTAATTTGCTTGTATTTTCATTTTTATGTATGGGCAATATAATAAAAATGTGTCTAATGAAGTCTAAGAAAGCTTTCTAAGTAAGTACAAAATTAAATTCTAAGTGATTTTTCCTATGTGTATATTTTTCTTCATTTTCCAGACTACATATTTTTGAAAAATGTACCATTAGTCTTTTGTAACTTAAAACGAGTTCTGTTGTTTATCATATAAAATGAATGCTTTTTTCCCAATTCTCTGAAGTCCATTTATTTTAATAACACCATTTGTTTTTTTGCCTTCTTCCTCAAATGATCCCTTTGTTTTAATCAACCCTACCTGCTATCCATTCATGCAAAATACTTTTCCCAATAGTCATTCCTTTTCAGTATGATGTATTAAAAGGACCACTGAACTGAATGTCTGGAAACGTGGGTTCCAATTCTACCTCAGCCTTCTGTGTTGTTTCCCTAGTAGTTCACTCTTCCTACTCTCCATCAGATTGTCTGCACTATTCTTGAATCCCTAATTCCCACCCCTTCCCAGTTCTCTCTTTGGTAAATAATCTCACCTCCTACAACACTGAGGAAATAGAAGCCATGAGAAAAGAACTTCCTCTTCTGCCCTGAAATCTGCAAACCTATTTGCATCCACAAATTCTCTCCAACAGTCACTATTCTGTCCCTTCTATTTAAGGTAGTCGTGGGTTTTTGACTCCATCTCATTTTACCATCTCATTCTGTCATTCTGTGGAACCACTTACTAAGTACAAAATTTAGTTCATGTGTGACATACCTTACAAAACTTAAATATCTTTAAAATTGAAATTTATCCGGTTTCATTGTTTATTCATTTAAAATTAAAAATCAAGAAGTAAAACACTCTATCATCAATATGATTTAGTAGAAACAAATTATATCTTGTAGATGTTATTGAAATTCACTTATTAGTTGCTGGACAATTGTTTACATAAAATGACTTTTTAACAAAGGGTCAAAGTTAAAACTCCTAGGCAGATCTCAAAACTATCAAGTAGTATAGATTTTTTCTTTTTGGTTTTGTAATATTTGTGTGGCTTTTTTTTTTTTAACTTTTAAATTTTGACTGCCTTGATTAAAGTTTCAGTTAAAAAATTTTGCTGTCAATTTCTTTTCTAACCATTACTATTATTGTTGTTCTATTGTTACTGAAACTATAGAGGAATGGGATGTTAAAAAATTATCTACTCTGAGTGTCAAATACACTTCACCACTGGCAGGGCTCAGGGCTCTTCATTTTTTAATAAGTTCTAGGGGGAATTCTAATACAAGGAATGGCTTTGAGAAACAAGACTAAATTTTTAAAAATCCTCACAGTCCTGCTCAATCTTCTTTCTGTCAATAGATGTCGCCCCTCCCTTGAAATAAGCTCCTCAGAAAAATCCTAATCTACACACAAAGCTTTCTATGTGTTTGTATGCTTATTATGGATTAATTTGAACTCATATAATTCTCAGATGTGCCTTAATTTTTAAAATATGTGTATATAGTTTATACACATACATCATAAGTTGGCTGCATTAAGGAGTTGGAAAATCTGGGACTTCATTTGGATTTGGAAAATCAGTTAACATCTATAAATTCAAGTTCCTCATTTTGAAACTGTGTTGGCAATATCTACTTTAGCTACCTCACATTGTTCTATAGGTTAGAATGAAAAATCGCATGTAAAATATACTGTAGCTCTGACATTTGTACGGTCCCTACAGAAATTTTACATTAGCCAATCAACACTTTTTGAAAAATCTAACTCCAGTGGTTTTTAAAATGTATGAAGTGCTTGTATTTTAGTACAAACATCTAGTTACATTTAAAACATTTTGTGAAAAGAATTGCCATAAAATATTTTTAAAGTTCACATCTTTCTTACCGTTTACATTCATGTTATAGGCTTTTTGTCTCCTCTCCTTTCATTTTTTTCTACTCCCAGAGTTCTGGAAGCTGACCAAAGAGATACTTGTGTGAAATGCTTGTATTTTCCCTACCATATTTAAGGCTCTCAAGAGCAATTTTATGCTCCTGTTTTAAGATTTTTTTTAAAAAAAATTCAATATCACCAAGAAATGAACTGAAAATGACAGGTTTTCTGGAAGAAGGTTCAGCTAGGCTTTATTAAGAAGTTAGGAGGCCAGGTGTGGTGGCTCACGCCTGTAATCCAAGTACTCTGGGAGGCCAAGACGGGTGGATCACAAAGTCAGGAGATCAAGACCCTCCTGGCCAACATGGTGAAACCCCATCTCTACTAAAAATACAAAAATTAGTTGGGCGTGGTGGTGCATGCCTGTAATCTCAGCTACTTGGGAGGCTGAGGCAGAATTGCTTGAACCAGGGAATCGGATGTTGCAGTGAGCCAAGATTGTGCCACTGTGCTCCAGCCTGGGTGACAGAGCGAGACTCCGTCTCAAAAAAAAAAAAAAAAAAAAAAAAGTTATGATATGTCCTCAACACAGTGGGTAGTACAGATTCAAAATAAGTAAAAATGTTAAAGTCCACATTAAGTGACTTTAAAAAATTATCTTTTTCCTATTTCATATAACTGCTTCAGAAGTATTGTTTTTACTTGAAAATATTTTGTTGTATTTCTGTACAATAGCAATAAACAATTAAAATGCAATTGAGAGGCCAGGCGCAGTGGTTCATGCCTGTAATCCCAACACTTTGGGAGGCCAAGGCAAGCAGATCACTTGAGGTCAGGAGTTCAAGACCAGCCTGGCCAACATGGTGAAACCCTGTCTCTACCAAAAATACAAAAATTAGCTGGATGTGGTGGCAGGCATCTGTAATCTCAGCTACTCGGGAGGCTGAGGCATAAGAATCACTTGAACCCGGGAGGCGGAGTTTGCAGTGAGCCAAGATTGCACCATTGCACTCCAGCCTGGGCAACACAGTGAGACTCCATCTCAAAAAAAAAAAAAAAAATCTGTGAAACATTCTCTTCCCAATTTCAAAACTTTTCTACAAAGTCACAGTAATCAAGATAGTGTAGTACTGGCATAAGATCAGACAGATCGAATAGAATTGAAAGTCCAGAAATGAACTAAGTTTAAAGTCAATTGATTTTTCTCCTGAATCAAGGACTAGCAAAAAATAATAATAATAAAATAGGCCAGGCTCTGTAGCACAGGCCTGTAATCCTAGCACTCTGGGAGGCTGAGGCAGGAGGATCGCTTGAGGCCAGGAGTTCAACACCAGCCTGGGCAACATAGTGATACTGTCTCTACTAAAAAAAAAAAAAAAAAAAAAAAAAAAAAAAATTAAAAATTAGCCAAGCATGGTGGTGTGAGCCTGCAGCCCAGCCACTTGGGAGTCTGTGGTGGGAGGATTGCTTGAGCTCAGGAGGTGGAGGCTACAGTGAGCCATGATCATGCCACTGCACACCAGCCTGGTCGACAGAGCAAGACACTCAAAAAACAGAAAAGGATATTTCAAAGGAGGAAGGAAGAGCCTTCTCAATAAATAGTGCTGGGAAAACTGAATATCCACATGCAAAACAATACAGTGGCACTCATACCATAGACAAAATGATCTCAAACTGGACCAAAGACTTTAATAGCTAAAACTATAAAATTCTTAGAAGAAAACAGGAGTACATCTCTTCAGCTTTGTATTAGGCAATGGTGTCTTAGATATTACACTAAAAGCACACTTAACACACACACACAATTAGATAAATTGGACCTTATCCAAATTAAAAACTTTTGTGCTTCAAAAGATATCATCAAGAAAGTGAAAAGAGGCCGGGCATGGTAGCTCATGCCTGTAATCCCAGCATTTGGGGAGGCATCAGTTTGAGCTCAGGATTTCAAGACCAGCCTGAGCATCATGGCGAGACCCCATCTCTACAAAAATTACCCTATGTGGGGGCTCACGCCTGTGGTCTCAGCTACTCAGGAGGCTGAGGCTGGAGAATCACTTGAAGCCAGGAGGCGGCAGGGCTGCAGTGAGCCAAGATCAAGCCAGTGAACTCCAGCCTGAGTGACAGAATCTAAGACCCTGTCGCAAAAAAAAAAAAAAAAAAAAGTGAAAAGACAAAACATAGAATGTGAGAAAATATTTGCAAATCACATAACAAATAAGGAACAATATATAAACAATTCTTCCAACTCAACAATAAAAAGACAACCCAACTTTAAAAATGGGCTAAAGATTTGAGTAGACATTTCTACAAAGATATGCAGATAGCCAATAAGCACATGAAAAGATGTTCAACCTCATTACTCACTAGGGAAATGCAATGAAATCACAACAAGATACCACTTCATATCCACCAGGGTAGTCAAAATTAAAAAGGCAATAGCAAGTGATAGTAAGGATATGGAGAAATTGGAACCCTTGTTAGTGGGATTACAAAATGTTGTAGCCACTTCGGAAAACAGTTTGGCAGTTCCTCGAAAGGTTAGAGAGTTAACTACATCGCGTAGCAATTCCACTTCTAGAGAAATGAAAACATACATCACAAAAAAAAACACAAATGTTCATACAGCATTACTCATAACAGCTAAAAAGTGGAAGCAATCCAAGTGTTTTCTAATGTTGAATGGATAACCAAAATGTGGTGTATCCAACAATAGAATATTATATGTGATAGAAGAGTTTCTGTTCCTCAAATAATAAGCATAGAATGACTACGTGATCCGGCACTTCCACTCCTAGGTTATATACTCAAGATAATTAAAAACCTATGTCCACACAAATGTTCAGAGAAGCATACTTAAGTAGGCAAAATGGAAGCAACCCAGATATCAACTGATAAATGCACAGACCAAATGTTGTTTATCCATACAATGGAATATAACCTGGCAGTAACAAGGAGCCAAGTACTGATACTTGAAAACATGCTAAGTGAAAGAAGTCACAAAAGGCCACATATTGTATCTTTACCTTTATATGAAATGTCCAGAATAGGCATATTCATAGACAGAAAATAGATGAGCATTTGCCAGGGGTTGGAGGAAGAAAGAGAAGAATGGGATATGACTGCTACTGGACATAAGATTTCTTTTGAAAATGATGAAAATGTTCTGAAATTAGTGGTGCTAGTTTCATAACTTGATGAATATACTAAAAACCACTGAATTGTACACTTTAAAATGATGACTTTTTGGTTTGTAAATTATATTTCAATAAAGCTGTTATTTTAGAATATTTAATTATGTTTTTAAAAATAAGATAAGCATGAAATCAACCAAGAGAATAGCCACATACGAACCTGTGGCTAGCTCTGGTTCATTTACGCCTCACTGAGGTGGTACTCCAGAAGAAGAAATCTAATGGAGCAATGAATGATAGCCAAGATGGGGTGGGGTGTCCGAGTGGTTACCCCCGGGTACAGACGATAAAGGAGTACACTGTCTATACGATTGCCATTTAGCAACAATAAAAATAACTAGAATCAGTCTGCTTTTATTATCACCTTTCTGCCATCAAATCCTAAACAATGTCATTGAAAAAATAAACTCTCACCTCAAAAACCTGGTTGGTCCAAGCCAGGGTTTCTCATTCTGTTGTCATTTTGGGCCAAATAATTGTTGTGGGAGGCTGTCCTGTGCATCTTTGGATGTTTAGCTGCATCCCTGGCCTCCACCCACTTGATTTCAGTTGCACTCCCCACAATGGTAACAGCCAAAAGTGTCTCCAGACATTGCCAAATGTCCCGAAAGGCAAAACAGCCAAGGTTGAGAACCATTGATTTAAGTTCTAAATAAATGCTGTGATTGTCTATTGAATTTTAGTAACGTGTAAGCCTCAAATTAGCACATTGTTATTGCTTATCTTTTAATTATACTCTGGGGAAGTTAATTCAAAGAACTCTTGATTATACAACTGGTCCCCAACATACAAGGACTCGGCTTTATATGTGTGTTGGTATTGAAAGTACATTCTTAACAGTTCTAAATTGTTTCAGCTTGTTTTGTGCACAGCTCTTATCTCCAACCTTTGGCACTATAGAAATCCTAGCTTTAAATAGCAGATTCATAATACACGATAGCGCCGTGATTGTAAAGGTGTCAAAACAAATTGAATAACTTCAGTTCTGTTATTGTATAATATATACACACCATTTTCTGAGACATATAGGCAGAGTTCCCTTTCTCTTATTTTCACATGTCTCCCTGAACCTTTAATTTTTTTCAAAAAAACACATTCATGTAATGGAAAAGTATTAATTTGTTTCCTTTTTTGTACTGTATTATTTTATTTACATTTTTATTTGAAAAAATTTAATGATAGTTACAAAGTAAAAATCAATAAAATATTTTTCAGTGTCTTCTTTCTGGTCTGTATTTCATTTCATGACTTAAAAATAATTTTCTCCTTTAGAGGAGGAAGTCATTTAAAATGATCTGTACTAGGTGTCAAATGTGCTAGGCACACCACTGATTTAAGGAAAGAGATAAAGTACACCACGATGAAAGTAGAAAAGAAGAAAAAGTGCATTAAGATGAAAAAGAACATAAATAGATGAGGGGCCAAGGAATCGAAGGTGAGAAAGCAGAAAATTGAGAGAGACCAGGAGGCAAAATTGGCGACTTCTGAAATGAGTAGATTATTTAATTGCATTTGTTCTGTTTTTATTTCCTTATCCTTTGTTTGGGCGGTGGGCTAAGGTCTGTACATTATCATCTGTTCTTCCCACACATTTGAAAGATTAGTTGCCAATTAATTACTATTTTTAATTCTTCAACTGCTCTGTAGCTTCAGCTGTGCCTTGCCCTGATCCACGTCGTTGCAGAGGCCCAAAAATTATTCTCTAGGTGCTACGAAGGAGGAAAGAATGCCCAGAATAGGGAGCTAACAAAATTGAATGGATATGTGTGAGATATTAGGCTAGATGCTTTACATACCTTATTCCATCTCTCACAACAAACTGCCATTTTACTTGAGGAAACTGAAGCTCAGCTTAATGGGGTTATCCCTTTCAAATTCTATTTAAAATTCTCAATAGGATGAATAACACTTATTGGCAGATTTTTTTTTTTTTTTTTTTTTACTATCTCAGTCCTAGGCTGATTTTTACTCTCTCAAAAACCAAACAATATAATGGCATACTACTTACACGATATGATAAGTCACCTTTTAAAGTTACGCACTCTGGTAGTTCTTAATTATGGAACAATCAATACATATGTGTTTTTTTAAAGGAAACTTTTAGACATAAGTACTTGAATCGCTGGTAGATGCCTACTTTTTGTGCTATGCATTCTATAGCATGTAATTAACCCTTGTTGAATGCATAATGTATTAAGTTTGTAGCTTACCTAGATAATGAAGTTGGTTCCAAGAAAAATTGTTGAGAAATGGCTCTGTCAGTGAAGTCTCTACAAAATTTTAATTTGAAAGGTAAATAATAAAAGGAGAGGCTGGGAGTGGTGGCTCATGCCTGCAATCCCAGCACTTTGGGAGGGCGAGGTGGGAGGACTGCCTGAGGCCAAGAGTTTGAGACCAGCCAGGGCAACAGAGCAAGACCCCGTCTCTGCAGAAAATGTTTAAAAACCAAATTAGCTGAACATAGTGCTGCATGCCTGTAGTCCTAGCTACTTGGGAGGTTGAGACAGAAGGATTCCTTAACCCCAGGACTTCAAGGCAGCAGTGGGCCATGATTGTGCCACTGCACTCCAGCCTGAGCGACAGAGCAAGACCCTGTCTCTAAAATATAATAAAAGGAGACAGAATCACTAAAATAAAGTCCTAATCTGAAACACGAGAGAGAAATAAGACTGACATCTTTTAAAGTATTTATACAGTGTTCTTCTATATCTATAGTTATGAAAGTTTTGGATTGAATTCTGTTTCTATGGTAGAAACCTAAATACTAGAGGAAGTGTGTGCACCATTTTGCCTTGGAATTTCTAAGCATAGCTTCAGAAAGATTAACCACATTAACCCAGCCACGAAATACATTATTACCCAAATATTAATGTCTTGTGCCAAAACTTGCCACTGGTGGATAGGCGGTGTTATACAATTCTTACATGGAAACTGCCTTTGTCATGATATGACAGCCAACTGGAGAATTCAAATACAGTATATGAACTTGAACTTGAGCTTTAAATCTTTGGTATGTCATTTTAATAACAAAGCAACCTAGCCAGATTTATCCTTAATTCAGTGTAAATATAGACAGGGTGTAGTGGCCTTTAGCCAGCTGGGAGTTATCTCTGCAATTCAAAAGATGATTAATGAGATACTAAGTAGAAAAATTAGCCTTGATATACAGTTTTTTGACTAACTGATGATTGAGGCTATTTATTCAAGTTATGAAAACTGAAAAAGTAACTAGAGTTTAAAAGCAATAAAAGACCATTTTTCCTAATCTGTCCCATTTACCTGTAAGGTCTTGAAATGATGGACTAGGATTGGATTTCCGCGTAGGGTTGGATTTCCATGGGTATTTAGCAACTTCGTCTGTCTTCCCTTAGACAAGGCAATTAGTAGTAAGGAACATTAATTACAGTCCCTCAAAGTTAATACCTAAATATTCAACGTGCCTTGCGATCAGTTTCTTACTAATTGACTCATTAGTTCATTCACTCAACAAATATCTGTCATTGACCAGGCACTCTGATAACATGCTTTTTCTATTCTCCCCCATTTTGCTCATAACTAATTATATTTGTATGCACACAGCATATCTCTTTCTCCCCAAGGTCCACTAACCCTTTCTTTTTTATTATTATTTTTAATTTTTTCCACCAACCCTTTCTGCTTATCCTAAACATGGCGTAACTCTAGAACAGAGAGCATGTCTTGTTCATCTCTGTATACCAGAGCCTGACATACAGCTTTTAATAATGAATTGCATTTAATGTTCAGTAAAATAAACAGGCAGGAGGACACCCCCAAACAGTGTCAAAGATAAACCTAGTTGTCCATTAGTAGGTGTGTGGATAAGTAAATAGTATATTTGTGCAATTTAATAGTACTCAGTAGAAAATATTTGCCAACTATTCATCCAACAAAGGACTAATACCCAGAATCTATAAGGAACTTAAATCAACAAAATAACAACCCCATTTGAAAAGTGGGCAAAAGACATGAATAGACATTTCTCAAAAGAAGACATACTAGCTGAGTGTGGTGGCTCACGCCTGTAATCCCAGCACTTTGAGAGGCCAAGGCGGGTGGATCACGTGAGGCCAGGAGTTCAAGACCAGCCTGGCCAACATGGTGGAACCCTGTCTCTACTAAAAAATACAAAGATTAGCCGGGTGTGGTGGTGCACACCTGTATTCCCAGCTACTCAGGAGGCTGAGGCACGAAAATCGCTTGAACCTGGGAGGCAGAGGTTGCAGTGAGCCGAGATCATGCCATTGCACTCCAGCCTGGGCAACAGAGTGAGACTCTGTCTCAAAAAAAAAAAAACAAAAAACAAACAAACAAAAAAAGACATGGAATCAACCTAAGGGACCAACAACAATTGATTTGATGAAGAAAATGTGGTCATATACTCCATGGAATACTACACAGCCATAAAAAAAAGAACAAGATTATGTCCTTTGCAGCAACATGGATGGCACTGGAGGCCATTATCCTAAGCAAATTAACATAGAAACAGAAAACCAAAAACTCCATGTTCTCACTTATAAGTGGGAGCTAAACAATGAGTACACATGGACATAAACATGGAAATAGACACTGGAGACTCCTAAAGAAAGGATGGAGGAAGAGGGGCAAGAGTTGGAAAACTATTATTGGATACTATGTTCATTATTGGGTGATGGGATCGATAGAAGCACAAATCTCGGCATCATGCAATATACCCATGCAACAAACCTGCACATGTAACCCCTGAATCTAGAATTTAAAAATACAAATGTACCCAGTAATTAAAAATGCATGAAGTAGAACCACATGTATCAATATGGATATCTCAAAAACATAGAATTTAAGTAAAAAATTGAAACATTTGATAATACGCAATATTACAAAGGAGTGAGAAAATGGGCACTTATTTATGTCTCAGAATATAAATTTACTATAACCTCAAGGGAGGGCAATTTGGCAAGTGATTACAATTAATAATTACAATGAGTAAAGGGTACATTCCAATTTATTCTCTAGATATGTCTACATGTATGAAAAATGAACAAGAATAGTTATTGCAATATTGTTTACAGTAGTAAAAGATGTCTATTAACAGGACAGGTCAGATAAATTATGTTCTGCATATTCAATGCATCTTCAACAAAACAACAAGGAATATCTTTATACACTCTACGTAATTATCTCTAAATACTTCTAGAAGAATACAGATGAAATGGGAAGCATTGGTTGCTTCCAGGAAGTGACATTGGCTATCTTGGGCACATGTATAGAAAAGAAACTTTTCACTGCTTACCCTCAAATAATTTGAGTTTTGAACCATGTGACCATATGAATTATCTCTTCACAAAAAGAAAAGGCAATTGAAAGCCGGCCTGGTGGTTTGGACCTATAATCCCAGTGTTTTGGGAGCTTAAGGTGGGAGGATGGCTGAGGCCTGGAGTTCAAGACCAGCCTGTGCAACATGGTGAGACACCCTCCCTACCCCGGTCCAGGTTCTAAAAAATAAAAGATGTTGGGAATTTTTTAAAAAGATGATCCAGCTGGTGGGAAGGCAGAGCACCTTGCCTCCTCTGAGAGGCAGCTCCCCTTCCACATGGAGGAGAAGAGGAACAAGACTCTTACAGAGTTGGAGGTGGAGCTCGACAGTGGGTGAGGAACCCCTGCTTCTTCTTGTGACCTCCCACCTGGACCACACAGTGTCACACTGCCTGCTCTAGGTGGCCACTCAGGCCCTGCAGACTAAGACCCCAGCCTCCACGAGGCTGGATTGTGGTAAGACAAAAGAGCTCCAGCCAGCTGTGGCTCCTGCCAGTACCTCTCGCTAGCAGGGCGATCTTGAGAGAGTGCCTTACCCTCTCATTGCCTCAGTTTCTTCATCTCTAAAATGAAAATCGTAATGCCTGCTTTGTAAGAGTATTGTGAAGTAATACTTGTAAAGAGCCAAAAACAACACCTGGCATACAGTAAGTGCTCAATTACTACTGTCTGTTGTTAGTTCTAGAAGTACTCCTCCTTTCCCGCTGTATGCCTTTACTCAGGCTGGCACTTCTGAAAACTTGTCCTGTCATCTTCCTGTCAAAAGACTACCAATTTTTAACCTTTTATCCTGGTCCACCCAAGTGGATGTTATTTGTCCTCCGAACCATCACAGAGCTATGAACTTTTCCTATGGTCCTTCTAAGCTGCCTTTCTGAAGTTATCTGGGTACCTGTCCTGTTTCCCAGTTTTAGACTGTCAGTGCCTGAGGAATCTTTATTCTTGGAAATGTCTTTCACAGCTAATTGTCCATAGTAGTAAAGAAACAGTTTCTAAAAACAATCATCTTTACTAGATGACAAACTTAATATCCTTAAAATTCTTATGAGATATAAATGATCTCGTTAAAAAATAAAAAGTATTTAAAAGAATTCAATTATTTTCTTACCTATCCCAAATTATTCCTAAGAGGCAGTCACTAATACACACACACACACAATTTGTATATATATATTCTTCCACGTGTTTTTACAAGTACATAAATATGTGTATGTGTGATGTCAGTAGACTTAGACTTTATCACATTTCTTTCTTTTTCTTTTTTTTTTTTTTTTGAGACGGAGTTTCCCTCTACCTCTTGGGTTCAAGCAATTCTGCCTGGGCCTCCCGAGTAGCTGGGATTACAGCTGCCTCCCACCATGCCCAGTTAATTTTTTTTTTTTGTATTTTTAGTAGAGATGGGACTTCGCCATGTTGGCCAGGCTGGTCTCAAACTCCTGACCTCAGGTGATCCACCTACCTCAGCCTCCCAAAGTGCTGGGATTACAGGTGTGAGCCACTGTGCCTGGCCTTATCATATTTCTTTTAATGCTTTTGTAGCATTCTATCACATGAAATATAAGTCTATCCAGATAGATATAACACCATTTATTTAATTGGCCCATTTTTTGATATGTACGATTTTTTCAAGTCTGCTTCTACAGTTTTCAATTTTACAACTGTCATGATAAAATCTGCCTTTTCTTTCCTTTTTATCACTACACTTTAAGTCATGAGTAAACTCTCTTGCACAATCATAGGGTTGTTCTGTATAGTCAAAAGTTTTAGGCAGTGAAAATCATTCCTGTGATTTCTACCTCTGAGAGACTGATGTCTTGGAACTCAATTTAGAGCCCACAGATGCTTTCCAGTTTCTTTCTACTGAGGGCACATTGGTGTCTGACCACATTTGGTCTCCCTTTATTTGCCTTTCTGACCCCCCTAACTCAGTACCCTACATTCTCTCTCTTCTGGTCCTTCTGATAGAGTTTTTAAAACTCGGCCTCACTTTTAGCATAACTGGTAAGTATGATTTTTTTATTGTACCCAGCTTTGGTTTCTATATTTCCCTCCTCTTCTTTCCCTTCTCTCCCGTCTTTCAATGTTAGGTTCTTAAGAAAGGAAATAAGTGCAATTATAGACTTCAGTAAGAATATTTGCATTGTAACCACCTTTTATTTTAATAAATACCCTGTGTTCTGTGAAAAGGTTTTTCAGGATCATCTGAGCAATTTAGAGAATTATTTTGGGCTAGGGAGCATTTTTGTAATCCTAATTTAACAGCCATGGAGTTACTTTTATGTTTTCCATTATTGCTGGGCCACAAGCTTTACCCATGACTGCTGCTGGGTTTGTTCAAGGGCCCCATGCCACTTTCATGGTGGCAATACTTTGCAGTTACACAGTTTTACAATTTCTGCATGCATGGTCTCATACAGGCCTAGTCAGTGGTGTGAAGCTTGAACAGAAAGAAGAAATTCGGCCGGGCACAGTGGCTCATACCTATAATCCCACCATTTTGGGAGGCAGATCACCTAAGGTAAGGAGTTTGAGACCAGCCTGGCCAACATGGTGAAACCCCGTCTCTACCAAAAATACAAGAAATTAGCTAGGCATAGTGGCACGCACCTGTAATCCCAGCTACTTGGGAGATTGAGACAGGAGAATCGCTTGAACCTGGGAGGCGAAGGTTGCAGTAAGCCAAGATCTCACCACCGCACTCCGACAGAGTGAGACAAAATCTCAAAAAAAAAAAAAAAAAAAGAAATTCCAGCTGGGAGTGCTACCCCCATCCACCTAATTCTGAACACACTAGGCAGGAAATACAAATGTTAAATTATATATTCGGCATAGTTTTAATTGGTCAGCTTTATATAGTTTAACCTTATGAAACTGCTGTTGTCTGAAGGGCAGTTCACCTGTGAACCTACTACATGTCAGGCATTATACCAGGCCCAGCAGATTTGGCAGTGATCAAGACTCAAATTGCAAAACATCCATCCAACATCTATGTTTTCTCTCATCTTCCTTCCTTCCTTTTTTCTTCTTATGGACATGAACCAGAACGAATATCTTCTTTTCCATTTCCTTTCTTCCCCCCTCCTTCCTTTCTTCCTATTTTTTCTTTCTCCTTCCTCTCGTTCCTTTTCATCCCTCCACGTTGCATGAAGGATTTGAGGTGAAAACTGTGTTCTCATTACAATAGCACATCCAGACTTAAATGTTCTGGTGTACAGTTTGAGTTATTTAGACTTGTCTCACATATTCACACAGACTACACAGATTTCTTAAATTTGCCATTCATGAGGGAACATATAATTCTGCATAATTACGGATTTCAAGACACTTAAAAACTAGATTTTGTGGCCGGGTGCGGTGGCTCACGCCTGTAATTCTAGCACTTTGGGAGGCTGAGGCGGGCGGATCACTTGAGGTCAGGAGTCGAAAACTAGCCTGGCCAACATGGTGAAACCTCGTTTCTACTAAAAATACAAAAAAATTAGCCTGGCGTGGTGGTGGGGTGGTGGATGCCTGTAATCCCATCTACTTGGGAAGCTGAGACAGGAGAATTGCTTGAACCCAGGAGGCAGAGGTTGCAGTGAGCCAACATCGTCCAATTGTACTCCAGCCTGAGCGGCAGAGTGAGACTCTGTCTAAAAAAAGAAAAGATTTTATATCTCTCTTTTTGGATATTGCCATCTACTACATTAGGAAACAAATAAGTTTAAATTCCTATTGTTGCTTTTATTTTTAAAATAAGTCACTTTAATAATTGAGATTTGAGAAAAAATTAATTTCATTTGTTCACTGTTTCTTTAGTACATATTTTAATGACATGTACAGGTATTACCTAATAAAATGCTGGTCTTTTGTATGTTGAATGCACAGATTCTAATTTCCTTTACAGAAATTTGCTTTACTCCACAGCCACTGGGAATGGGCTGCTTTACATAGAGTTGGCCAGCTCCTGTCAGGAGCTATTTCCACAGATTGGAACAACAGACTGCATGTGTTTCAATGTAACACCAGGGGTCACTGTAAGCTAGAAACCTTCAACCATGTTTAGAAATGTTGAATTAATGTTAGTCACAACATTTTTATTTGAATACTGGCTTATTAGTGAGATTATTTTTTTAAACCTCTGGTTTTATAATAACCTATATTGTCTTTAATCATCTTCAAACTGTCCCATTTTAATTCAACTAAAAAGGAAGTAAAAATTCCTCATTTACAATTTTTAGAAGCAGCACTGCCACAATCAGATGAACAATGACAAAGTATAGTACTTTCAGGAACCTTGAGAATTCCTGTTTCCAGCTGAAATTAGATACGATAGAGTTCAATAGATAAAGCCACGCTGGAAATCAGGAAAGATGAATTCTTAAATATGCTGCATGTAGTATAAACTTTCTGCCTAAATTTTCAGGTTAGGATGAGACTAGATTATTTCTAAGATCCTATTCAACTCTTCATTTTGTTTTGATCCTACTCAGCTCTTAGTTTAATCATTCAATTAAACAAACTTGAACCATCTACTGCTTTTAAGTATTCTAATATTATACAGAAGGCCATGGAGCCTTTTCCTTAAGTTCCTGAAGGGCCACTTTGTTTAAGGATGGGCCTTAGGGGAAAGCTGAACCAGGTCTAGGGCTATTGGAGATTTAAATCCCCTAAAGAGACAGACCTGGGCTTAGTGACCACAAGGGATGAACCTAAATTCTTATCTTGAAAGAAGCTAAATCTCCAGCAGCCTGGCCCAGTGCTTGCCTCTGGCCATTACCCATCACATGTTTCACAGGCAGTCTCAATTCTACAGGGATAACTCCACCCCTCCCAAGAGGAGGTTACCCTCCAGGCTCCAACACGCCCTCAGATACACCCAAGCCAATCAACTGAAACCAATGAAACATTTCTATCAGGGGCTTTCAAGGACTTCCTTAGGTTTCTTTGAGCTTTTTCCTCAAACTCCTCCAACCTTAAATATTTGCTTACTCCAGTCCCACATCCCAGGGCCCTCACCTTCCATAAATCAAATCACTTTCATTCCACTTTATTGCTAAAGTGCCACCGCTCACCCCAGCCTTTGCTTCTCCCTCAGCACCCGATTCCCAAAGCATTCCTGTGTTTTGCGAAAGCTCGCAGAACTTTCTTCATCACTAACCTGTTATCTGTGGCACTCACCTTCCCTCTGCCACATTCGTTTTCTTGAACATAACGATAACCGAGTTATTATATGCAAGTATATCTGTATCACCAGTAAATTTTCAAACTCTCATAAAAAGCGACCAAATCACATACCCCATCCAGACCCTCACAGCCTAGCAGAGAACTAACTTCCTTCCTTCCTTCCTTCCTTCCGTCCTTCCTTCCTTCCTTCCTCCCTCCCTCCCTTCCTCCCTCCCTTTCTTCCTTCCTTCATTCCTTTTCTTTCTTTCTTGACTGAGTTTCGCTCTTGTTGCCCAGGCTGGAGTGCAATGGCGCCATCTCGGCTCACCACAACCTCCGCCTCCTGGGTTCAAGTGATTCTCCTGCCTCAGCCTCCTGAGTAGCTGGGATTATAGGCATGCGCCACCACGCCCAGCTAATTTTGTATTTTTAGTAGAGGCGGGGTTTCTCCATGTTGGTCAGGGCAGCCTCCCAAAGCACTGGGATTACAGGCGTGAGCCACCGCAACTCAACTTGTAATGGATCAATAACTCAATCTGAGTTGCTATCTAAGCCATATGTTTGTTACTGCCTTTGCATGTTCCACCCTTCTTTCAGGTGAGAGCTCATCAGAATATGAAACAGACTTGTTAGATTTCCATTGGTTTGGGGCCATTGGGGAACCAGAGGTTTACTCATAAGAATTAAAGTGTAGAATGTACTAGAGATGACAATAGTATTAATTAAAGAAACAAAATTGTTTAAATAGAAAAAGCTGGGCATGGTGGCTCACGCCTGTAATCCCAGCACTTTGGGAGGCCAAGACGGTCAGATCACCTGAGGTCAGGAGTTCGAGACCAGCCTGGCCAACATGGTGAAACGTCGTCTCTACTAAAAATTAGCTGGGCCTGGTTGCGCATGTCTGTAATCCCAGTTACTTGGGAGGCTGAGTCATGAGAATCACTTGAACCTGGGAGGCAGAGGTTTCAGTGAGCCAAGATCATGTCACTGCACTCCAGCCTGAGGGACAGAGTGAGACTCCATCTCAAAAAGAAAAGATATTTAAAGCCAGATGTGGTAGCACATGCCTGTAATCCCAGCCACTTGGGAGGCTGAGGCAGGAAGATCTATTGAGCACAGGAGTTCAAGTCCAGCTTAGACAATGTAGTGAGACGCTGTCTCTAAAAAAGAAAAGTTATTTAAAACTTTCATTTTATGATATATTTGCCCTCTGTGGTACTTATGAATGCAAGCACAAACACATACTATATTTTTAGTGTTAAACATATACTTATGCTGAAATAAAATTAGTTGCTCTTGGAAGGCGGACATTTTCCGGATGTAGCCTCTAGGCAAATTAGTTTGGGAGCCACATTTATACTCAAGGCAATATAGAAGGTTTAATAGCTGTGCTCACAAATAAAGCAAGGGTTGAAAAATGGTCAAGCATCTCTTTCTAAATCTATTTTAGTCTTCATGCCTTCAAAGATTCATATTGTGGCTTTGATGGGGAGAATACTGTTTGTACCTTGTACTTACTTTTCAATTTACGAAGAGTAATGGTAAAGAGTATCAAAAAATTTGATGCCAATCTTGATTGATACACAATTAAAGATAGAGTTCTGAGCATACTAAAGGATTTCTTATAATTGAATTTAAACAGTTGTTAAATCTTAGCTAAATAATTGGGATACTACGCAAAGAAAAATGAAAACAAACATTGATACAAGATGTATTATGGGCTAGTCTCTACAATAGCTTATCAAAAATCCTAATCATAACACTATGAGAACCCTCATTTTCCAAAGAAAACAGGAAGAGGGTGGGTGAGTCATTGGCCCGAGATTAATTACCCAGTTAGGAAGTGACAAAGGTGGGGCCAGGCATGGTGGTTCATGCCTGTAATCCCAGCACTTTGGGAGGCCGAGGTGAGTGGATCAACTGAGATCGGGAGTTTGGGACCAGCCCGACTAACATAGAGAAACCCCGTCTCTACTAAAAATTCAAAATTAGCTGAGCGTGGTGGCGCATGCCTGTAATCCTGGCTACTCAGGAGGCTGAGGCAGGAGAATCACTTGAATCCAGGAGGCGGAGGTTGCAGTGAGCCAAGATGGTGCCACTGCACTCCAGCCTGGGCAACAAGAGCAAAACTCTGTCTCAAACAAACAAAAAAAGAGAAAGTGACAAAGGTAGGATGTCAGTCCAGAGTTTGGCTCTGAGCCAGTTCTCCACTCTTGTCTGCACTTGGTATTGTCACTTTTTAAGATTTTAACCATTCTGATAAGTGTGCACTGATATTCTATTTTAGTTTACTTAGCATTTTCCTAATGGCTAATGAAGTTGAGCATCTCTTCAGGTGCTTGTTTGTCATCTGTATCTGCTCTCATGTCCTTTGCTCATTTTCTAATTGGATTTTTAAATGCACTGTTGTTTTGAGAGTCCTTTATATATTCTAGATAGTAGTCCTTTGTTGCGTATGTGGTTTACAAATACTTTCTAGGATTCTTTCTTGTCACAATATCTTGTCATTCATGTTTCTAATCCACCAGCCTGGAGATACATTAGGGGGAGCAAAAAACCCAGATTGCATCTGATTATTTGTGAGCAGGTTTGCAGTGCAGAGTCCACTTCACAGTCATCACTTAACCATCTAACTGTAAACTCGATTTCATCTTTTGTGTACCCAATATTTAGTTAGCATTCTTGGTAATGGTTACAAGTTTGTTTTTACGTTTTCCTAAAATAAAACATAACACCAGACATGTGTAAGGAATCTGGTGTTTTAATGTATAATAAATGCCAGTGAAAGTGTTGTATTCCTTATTTCCTTTAACTCACCCAACCAATGGAAGGTATTACCATTATCTTTATTTCACAGATGAAGAAACCTAGGCCTGAAAATGTTAAGTAACTAGCCCAGGTTGCATGGCAACAAAAATAAGATTTATATCAGGTATGAATCATTCGAGAGACGCTTAGCTGCCACTCAATATTGTCTCTTTTATATTCGATTTTGTTGCAAAATTATTTGGCTTTTTAAGAAATCATGAAGTTGCTATGTGTCATTTACTGGGGAAGGGCTGAGAGAACTGATGTTAAAAACACTGTGGATGGGGCCGGGCACAGCAACTCACACCTGTCATCCCAGCACTCTGGGAGGTCAAGGCAGGATTGATTGAGTCCAGGAGTTTAAGATCAGCCAGCACAAAATAGACAGACTCCACTCTACAAAAAATTAAATCAGTCAGGAGTGGTGGTGCACTCCCATAGTCCCAGCTACTTGAGAGGCTGAGGTGGGAGGATCACTTTGAGCCCAGGAGTTCAGGGCTGCAGCAAGCTATGATCACGCCACTGCACTCCAGCCTGGGCAACAGAGCAAGACCCTGCCTCTAAAACAAATAAACAACCAGAAACCCCACCCTGGATGTACTTCCAATTCCAGCCATTGATGGAATAAGAGGGATTCAATTTGCCCTCAGGTCTATTTTAACAAAGAGGCTCAAAAGTAAGCCTAAAAAGGATCAAACAGATTTCAAGTAATTTAATGAAATATTTCTTGGAATACCAAAAAGTCCAACAGTTAATTACATAAAATTGACAACAGTGGCATCTATTTATAAATTACCAGGCACAGAAAGCAATAAAATCTGTCCCAATGCCAAACAGAAAAAAAAAAAAAAGACACAGCTAATAGAATCAGCAAAGACAGTAAAGCAGTTATTAAAAATATACTTCATATGCTCAAGAAGGTTAGAGAAAAGCATGAGCATTATGAGAAAAGGAGCATGTAAAAAGATCCAAATTAAACTTCTAGAGATTAAAAATATAGAGACTGGGCACAGTGGCTCAAGCTTGTAATACTAGCACTTTGGGAGACCAAGGCAGGCGAATCACCTGAGGTCAGGAGTTTGAGACCAGCCTGGCCAACATGGTGAAACCCCGTCTCTACTAAAAATACAAAAAAATTAGCCGGGCATGGTGGCGGACACCTATAATCCCAACTACTCGTGAGGCTGAGGCAGGAGAATCACTTGAACCCAGGAGGCGGAGGTTGCAGTGAGCCAACATGGCACCACTGCACTCCAGCCTGGGCAACAGAGTGAGACCCTATCTCAAAAAAAAAAAAAAAAAAAAAAAAAAAAAAAGAAAAAGAAAAAAAAAAGAAAAGAAAAAGAAAAAAAAAATATCTGAGATGAAAAATACACCAGATGGGATAAACAGCAGATAAGATACTGCAGAAAAAAAAGACTTGTAAAACTGAAGACAAAACAACTGAAACTAACCAAAATGAACAGAAGAAAAATATCTGAAAAATGAAAAGAGCAACATAGTGTGGCCTAAAATGCATCACACATATAGTCTCAGGAAGGAGGGGGTGGCAGTTCAGACAAAAATTTTTTTGAAAAAATAATGGCTGAATATTTATCAAGTGTGAGGAAAACTATAAACCAAATAGATTGAAAAAAAAAAACTCAAGAAACCAAAATCAAAGAAATATAGAAAAACACAACTAAGCACATCTCACTAAGAAGCAAATGGCGGCCAGGCACAGTGGCTCATGCCTGTAATCCCAGCACTTTGGGAGGCTGAGGTGGGAGGACTGCTTGAGCCCAGGAGTTTGAAACCAGCCTGGGTAACACAAGGAGATCTCATCTCTACAAAAAAATAAAAATTTAGCTAGGAGTGGTGGTGCACATCCATGGTCCCAATTGCTTGGGATGCTGAGGTGGGAGGATCTCTTGAGTCTGGGAGTTTGAGGCTGCAGTGAGCCTGGATGGTGCCACTGCACTCTAGCATAGGTGACAGAGGGAGACCCTGTCTCAAAGAAACAAACAAGAAGTAGATGGCAAATTACCACGTATATAAAGATGTTCATGATTATTAACCAACAGAGAAATGCAAATTAAAATCATAGAGAAATCACTCCATACCTACTAAATGCTAAAATTAAAAAGACTTCCAACACCAAATGCTGGCAAAGATACAAAACAACTGTGACTCTCATTCCTGGTGGGAATGCAAAATGATACATCTACTTTGGAAAAACAGTTTGACTGTCTTGTAAATACCATATGACTCAGCTGTCCCACTCCTGTATTTTGTCAAGAGAAATAAATTCCTATGTTCACACAAAGACTAGTACAGACAGATCTTCAAAGCAGCTTTGCTCACAATGACCAAAAACTGGAAACAATCCAATGTCTATCAACAGATGGGTGAATACATACATAGCAGTGTAGCCATTCAAAGGATTTGGTTTTATCAAAGACCAGACTGCAGACTCCAGCAACAGGGCAGAAGAATCACCAAAGCATTATGCTAAGTGAAAGATAAAAGCACTCCCCTTACCCTACTCAAGGTTACATACTTACATGATTCCACTTATATGAAATTTGAGGAAAGAGCCGGGAATGGTGGCTTTTAATCCCAGCTACTCAGGAGGCTGAGGCACAAGGATTACTTGAGCCCAGAAGTTCAAGGCTAAAATAGAGAAGGCCAAGGTAGGAAGCTGAGATCTATGATCAGGACTGCCAGTGGCAAGGAGCACTAGTGAGATGTTTAAGCTGAAACTGTGAAAACAATTGGTAGGCTTGCAAGGGTGAAGCAGGGTTTGTTAACCTTCTCAGGTGATGCAGTAAGCCGTGGGACAAGAGTTGTTAAGAGAACTGCAAGTAGATCATGACAATAAAACAAATGTTTAGGAAGAAGAAAATGCAAATACAGATAGTTGAAGTGCTATGACAGCAGTAAATACTTGGACTGCTGGCTTATGGCGCATTTCTTTCACATGTGCTTTTCTGGAAGTATTCACAACCATTTGAACTAAAACATTTGGATTAAACTTCAAAAATAATAGTGTTCAAGTAAATATATCGCCTCTCTTAAGACACTAGTCAATCAATGATATAAGGATTAATTTAGCATCTCATTTCTTAGGTAAAACCAGACAGGATTTCTTTTGGGACCAGTAAATAACTGCTATCGCTTCTCGACCTTTTGTCTAAGATCAAGTGTCTAAATAATTGCTAAGAACAATTCTGATTTTTTTTTTTTTTTTTTTTTTTTTTGAGACAGAATCTCGGTCTGTCGCCCAGGGTGGAGTGCAATGGCGCGATCTCGGCTCACTGCAACATCCGGCTCCCGGGTTCCAGCCATTCTCCTACCTCAGCCTACCGAATAGCTGGGATTACAGGCGCCCGCCATCACGCCCAGCTAGCTTTTGTATTTTTAGTAGAGACGGGGTTTTGCCACGTTGGCCAGGCTGGTCAACTCCTGACCTCACGTGATCCGCGCACCACAGCCTCCCAAAGTGCTGGGATTACAAGCGTGAGCCACCGCGCCTGGCCGACTAAGAACAATTCTAAAGGTAACTGCTTTTGACAAATTGGAAACCTAACTCACAACAGCTTGTTTTTCTGGATTAACTCCTTTCTATAGAACTCTCCTAAGTGTCGATTTTGCAAAGATATTTCTAAATCAGATTTGCCTAATTATGTTTATGTGTACCCATGCAGACATACTGAAAGACTAAGAAATGTCACAGCACAGGACAACCGAAGCACTTGAAGAAATTTCAAATATTCTTAAAAGTATGAATTCCAATGACAGAAAATGTATTTCATTTGTCAAAATTCTTAATTTCTCAAGTTCAAAAATGCCTTGGCACATTTCCATGGCTCCTCGCTAGAAGAATTTAACTTGGCTCTACTTCCAGGTTTGTAAAAAGACCATTCACAGTTAATTCTATTTTGAAAACTTTTTTAGTCTGAGTATGCTTTAATTGACGGCTTAGTCAATGAGCTTTCACTTTAAAGAATAGTTTTATATGAAATCTTTTTGTGTGTGACTTTGTCTCCCTAGCATTATTTGAGAATTATCGAATTCACAATTAAATAAAATAATCTACAAGAAAAAATGTTTCTCAAACATTTCTATTTTTAAAAAATCATTGAATATCAAAGCAAACTAATGCTCAAAAAAATGACCAAACAATTGCTTGATGATATTGTGTCATATAAACAAAACAAAACAAAATGACCAAACCATTTTCACTTTTCTATGCTGTCAAAAAATCAATTCAGTACTTTTTGTTTAGCATTTGAAATACACAACGACTGCTAAGAATATCACAATTACCTTGTCAAAGTCTAGTTCTTATCCTTCCGTGGTGGAGGTAGAGGCGGACGAAAGCAAATGCTGTAGAAACGTTAGTTCTAAGTTCAGAATAAACACCTCAGAACTCTCTTCCTTAAATCCTTTTTAGGGTATTTATGCATTTGCCCCACCTCTGGCCATCTAATTTAAATTTAAAAGAAGGTCGGGTGCGGTGGCTCAAGCCCCTAATCTCAGCACTTCTGAGGCCGAGGCGGGCGGATTACTTGAGGTCAGAAATTCGAGATCAGCCTGAGAAACATGGCGAAGCTCCCTCTCTACCAAAAACAAAAAATAGCTGGGCGTGGTGACGCGGGCCTGTGGTCCCACCTACACAGGAGGCTAAGATGGGAGGACCGCTTATGCCCACGAGGTCGAGGCTGCTTTGAGCCAGCCTGGACGACAGAGCAAGACCCAGTCCCAAATAAATAAATAAATAAATAAATAAATAAATAAATAAATAAATGTAAAAGAAGACAAAAGAGCTTTTTGGTCTTCAGGTAGGAGTTAATTCCGTTTCCCAGGAGATAGGATATAGATTTATTATCGCGGGAGAAACCGAAAGAGTCTCATCACGTTATGTAGTAGAATAGATCAAGATTGATTCATGGACTCAGCAAATAGTTATTGGGGCGCTTCTCGGTTCCAGGCAGTACTAAAAGCTAGAAATATGAAAAATAAATAAGTACATTCAACCAAGTCTTATCCTCAAAAGAATTTACAGTTGTGAAGAGGGAAGTGAGAGGAAGCAGTCAGTACAATTCATTGTGAGTGCTGTGATGCTCAGCAGCATTGGGAGCGGTGCGGTCTCCGGAGGGACAGCCACCTACTCTTTGAGGCAAAACAAAGCGTAGAGAGGTGGCAGGTGGGGAAGGGGTTTGGAAAGGGAGAGGTTGGCAGGAGTCTCCCTCTAAGCAAACTGAAAAGCCAGAGAAACTGGCCTAGATAGAAGAAAAGCCTTTTTCAGGCCAGGCGAGGCGGCTCACGCCTGTAATCCCAGTACTTTGGGAGGCCGGGGCTGGTGGATTACCTGATGTCAGGAGTTTGAGGCCAGCCTGGCCAACATGATGAAATCCCGTCTCCGCTAAAAATACAAAAATTAGCTGGGCGTGGTGGCAACACGCCTGTAATCCCATCTACTCAAGAGGCTAAGGCAGGAGAATTGCTTGAACCCGGGAGGCAGAGGCTGCACTCAGCCAAGATCACGCCACTGTACTCCAGCCTGGGTGACAGAGCAAGACTCTGTCTTAAAAAAATATATGTATATGTACATATATATATATGTAGAAGAAAAGCGGCCAGGCACAGTGGCTGATGCCTGTACTTAGCACTTTGGGAGGCCGAGGTGGGCAGATCACTGAGGTTAGGAGTTCGAGACCAGCCTCGCCAACATGACGAAACCCCGTCTCTACTAACAATACAAAAAAGAAAAAAAAAGATCGGGGCATGGTAGCAGGCACCTGTAATCCCAGCTACTTGGGAGGCTGAAGCAGGAGAATCACTTGATCGCAGTAGGCAGAGGTTGCAGTGGCTGAGGCAGGAGAATCGCTTGAACTCAGGAGACAGACAAGAGCAAAACTCCATCTCAAAAAAAAAAAAAGAAGAAAAGCCTTTTTCCCTCTACCTTGCCCCCTCCCACAAGGGCCAGTGTTTGTGAAAATTAAAAGCTGTAAAGGAAAAGAGAACAAGGCATCACTGAGAGTTAAGTTTTCACCCTAGAGGGTTGTAGGTATGACATAAGGGAAAAGAAGGCAAGATTGTGAAGTTACTTATGACAAGCCGAATGGTTGGGGAGCCACTGAAGGTTTTGTTTTGTTTTTTTAATCAGAGCCCCCCCACCCATGTCTAAAGGTTTTTAAACCGGCTGATAACATAATCGGGTTAGCACTGTAAGAAGTTTACACTGCACCCCACCCCGCTCATACTCAGAGCTTAGATTTGGGCAGAGGCTAGGACACTGATTACTGCATAGATAATAATTACAACCATATGACCAGATGAAAATAATTAAGAGAAATTATAGATAAGTGGAGAGAAGCAGCACAAGATCTGAACCCCTGAGTGACAGGAAAAAAACATGATGCTTTTCCTGTTCTCAGATACAAGTCACTTGACCCACTTGACCCTTCACTTCTTTTTATTTTTTTTTTTGAGGCGGAGTCTCACTCTGTCACCCAGGCTGGAGTGCAGTGGCATGATCTTCACTCCCTGCAACCTCCACGCCCACAGGTTCAAGCAATTCTCCTGCCTCAGCCTCCCTAATAGCTGGGATTACAGGCATGCACTACCACACCCGGCTAATGTTTGTATTTTTAGTAGAGACAGGGTTTTGCCATGTTGGCCAGTCTGGTCTTAAACTCCTGACCTCAAGTGATCTGCCCACCTGAGCCTCGCAAAGTGCTGGGATTACAGACATGAGCCACTGCAGCCGGCCGACCCTTCACTTCTGATACCAGGTATGTGGGGGTTCCCCCCACACACCAAACAATCCTCAGCAGGCACCAATTAATTAATTGAATTTATCCAGTTCAATTCTGACATTGTCTACCTAGAGATAGTGTCAGATCACACAAATTGAGAGCTCAGTTCCATAATACTGCCCCCTACTTTAGATGGCAATTCCAAGTTCCAGATTGTAACCTGTGCTTCTGACAGACCAGTTATAAATTGGAATTCCCATGACCCACTCTTCAGGTTTTACTAATTTGCTACAGTGGCTAGAGTGGGAATATTTACCCATTTCTTATAAAGAATTTTACACAGAATACAGACGAATAGCCTGATGGAAGCGATGCATAGGGCAAGGTATGGGAGGAGAGGCATGGAGCTTCCATGTCCTCTCCAGGTGTGCTGCCCTCCAGGAAACTCCACGTGTTTAGCTATCTGGAAGCTCATCCGATCCTGTCCTTTTGGGTTTTCATGGAGGCACGACTGACTACATCACTGGCTACTGATGATGAACTCAATCTTCAGCTCTCTCCCCTTGTGGGAGGTTGAAGGTGAAGTGGGGCTGAAGTTGCAACTCTCTAATCACATGGTTGGTTTCCCCTATCCTGAGGCCATTCAGGAACCCACCAAAAATCACTTCATTAAAGCAATAGATGCTCCTGTCATCCAGGAAATACCAAAAGATTTAGGAGCTCAGTGTCAGATGCTCGTACCACTCAGGAAATTACAAAGTCTTAGAAGCTCTGTGTAAGGAACAGACCTCCAATATTTGTCAAAGACCAAATATTAGAACAAAAGATTCTCCTAGTGCCCCTAATTCCAAGAGCTTTAGCAGCTCTGTGCCAGAATGGGTCAGGTGCAAGTGGCTCATGCCTGTAATCCCAGCACTTTGGGAAGCAGAGGCGGGAGGATCACTTTCAAGGCCAGCAGTTTGAGACCAGCCTGGGCAACATGCAAGACCCCATCTCTTCAAAAATAAAAATAAATAGAGGTTCTGTGCCAGGAATCAGAGGTCAGAGACCAATAATATATTTCATATTATATCACACTTTCACAACCCCAAATCTCAGAGACTTAAAACAATAGAAATTGATTTCTCACTCATGCCGTACATGTATTGCCTATTTGGCAAGGATGTCAGGCTCTGTGCATTGTAGTTCATCAGGGATCCAGCTTGACTGTACAGCTACCATCTTCAACACTGCTGGTTATCATACCAGGGCAAAAGACAGTTCTGGAGTGACACACATCATTTTGCACTTAACTCACTGGCCAGAGCAAATTACTTGAAGACGCCGAAAGCATGAACCTCCATATACACAGAGGGTGGAAAGACCTGGAAGTATCTGGCAAACATGTGTTTGATGACCAGAAAGCATTTTATAAATGATGCCCATTTATCATTTCCTTTCTTTCTTTCAATTGAAGACAGGCAAGGTCATTTGTTGAGAGTAATGGAGGAGGTAGAGGAGGTTGAAGAGGAAGGATTAGGTAAGATATTGTTTATTCTTTTTCCAAGTGTTTAAGTGAATATTACTAGAGAAAAGTAATTGTTGAATGCCCATTTACGATTTATAGTCATACATGTAGTATGACATCCATCAGTACAACTATGGGTTGATTGACATTGATCTTTAGCTGCTCAAGTGAAGATTCTGAGTAGGCAGATAAGTGAAAGTTTTACTATGCAATTATGATGAAGGGTGAGTGGACACAGGGGTTAAAATTGCTTGCAAGGGAGAGATTATAAGGGATGATGGACCATGGTTGAAACAGGTCATTGAGTGACTCAGTTATTCTTAAGTAGTACATTTTTCCTCTGTAAAATAAAGAATGATTCGGTACAGTTAATACCATCAATCAAATTTGTCAGTCATGAAGGATGTTTCTTTGGTTGTCTACCCAGAATGTCTCCTGTCTCTTAGAATAGTCAGCTTCTTCTTTGGATAAATTAAAATCCCACTCCAAACTTAAACCATATGGTCACAATGGGAGTGCCCTCCACCACACATTACCATTTATGATTGGGTAGACCTCTTACCTGAACCTGAGTCCATTTCATTTCCTCACTTTCTGGCCACAAGGGCAAGATGTCCTCAACCAGGCCTATCAAAGTCCTTCCCTGGGGTCCTTTTAACTGGATGTCAGATGATAGGGTCTTTTTCTTCACTGACACTGAGGCCATGAGGAGGTGAGGTCAGAGCTATGCATGGGGCAACTCACTGCCTTGAGGAGAAGTTTGGAGAGAACTGACTTGGCAGCAGATGTGAGATGAGGGGCAAACAAATTCTCACCCCCACCAGTCTCCACATCCTACTCAGCCCCATAGCCACGTCTCCTCTGTCCTTCTCAGGTTTTGATTATGCAAACCTGTAAATTTCCTACTTTGAGTTGTATATAAATGTAATATATAATTATATTATAATTCTAAGTAGGTGAAAATCATCCATCAAGAACCTCTGCTCTGTGCCAGCTCTGCTAGGAACAGGGAAAAATGGGAGCTTGGCAGAAGAAAATTTTTCTTATTTTTCATTTCCCTATTGTCCTGCTGGAAAAATACATTCACAATTAAAACATAGAAATAGGAACATGTTTATAATGATAGAGATGGCACAAAAAAGCAAATGATGAATTCCTTCCCAAAATTATCCCCTAAGAGTTAAGCTAATAACATTCACATAATAGGAATCATAACAGAACCACTGAAAGTGTCGACTTAAACAACAGAGAGAGGCTCTCTAAAAGGAAATGATATTTATTCAGAAATACAGCATTGCAATATCAACTATGTGCATATTCCAGGAGTAAAGAGGGATTTTAGGGGCAGAGCATGGTGGCTCATGCCTGTAATCCCAGCACTTTGGGAGCTGAGGCAGGTGGATCGCTTAAGCTATCTACCAAAAATACAACAACAGCAAAAAAATTAGCTGGGCATGGTGGCATGTGCCTGTAGTCACAGCTACTTGGGAGGCTGAGGGGGGAGGATCGCTTGAGCCTAGGAGGTGGAGGTTGCAGTCAGCCAAGATCATGCCACTCCACTCTAACCTGGGAGACAGAGAGACCCCATCTCAGAAAAAAAAAAAAAAAAAAAAAAAAGAAGGTTTTTAAAGGAAAAATGAGGAAGACTATATAATTGTTTTGAGATAATTATCCTTGGCTCCAACGATCAATGATGAACATGGCACGAATCTGAGGCTGGATAAGCAGAAGCTGGGCAGATGTCCTCATAGCTAGTGCTTCTTGTGTGAGGTTGTGATGGCCTTTGTGCAAGGTTGTGGCTTTGCAGAGTCCTTTGTGCTAGTTTTTGTTATCAGTAATTTGTGCATGAGAACCCTCCTTTAATGGCATTCCTGGATCAATTTGTCAATATATATATATTTTTTAAACATGAGTAGCTCCATTTTGATACTGACAACTTTCATGTTTCCCCCTTTTGATCAAGATCTTTCTTTAAAAGCATCACTGATTAATCATCCTGTAGTTAAGCTCTGATTGTCCCTTGATACCTGGGATTAACCTGTTCTGGGTTTCTGGTCTCATCCCACCTGGGAGGAAGTGATTGATGGCTAGGAGTCAGTGTCAAAATACTTTAGCCACATTTGAGCAACAGGGGAGGTTTGAAGGGACTTGCTCTTCGACTTAGTCTACCTAGAGTCCATTTTTAGGTTCAATTTTGTTTGTTCTATAGTCTTTAGCTATCAACTCAAAACCTGTGGGCCAGCATTATTCTGATAGGAGTTGGATTCCTGAGGGGTTATTTGATCCTGTTTCGTGTAGGAATAGTAGGTGTAGGGCTGTTAGGGCTGTGATAATAAAAGATAGGATAAAGTGGAAAGTGAAGAATCATGTGAGGGTGGGTTTGTCTACTGAATAGCCACTTCAGACTCACTGGACCAGGTCTGCTCCGACATATGGAATGGCAGATAGTAAGTTTGTGATTACTGTGTATTTCTGTAAAAACTTAACAAGTTACAGATACAAAGCTTAAAAAGGGAAAATAAAAAATAAAATTAATAGTAATATGACAATCCCAGTTTTCATAATGGTTTTGAGCCATGAACCTAGGCTTAAAAACAACCAATTGAATAAATCAAATGACCATTGTCCTATCAATTGAAAAAGGTAGGCATTAGAGTGAAAAAGGTAGGGATATGAGTCTCATTATGATACAGAATGTTGCTCCCATATCTTGGGAGAAGTTGTCTATAGCATGAAAACATCAACTTCTCCTCCTGGTTTGCAGTTTGAATGGCTCTGGTTATGGCATTGGGTAGTTGGTGAACTTTTTGTGTGATCCATACATCAGGTATGAGACTTGTTCCTTAAAATTAATCCAATATCAGCTTATAAGGCTTTAGGAACAGAGCAGTTCCCATTTTTAGTAATTCCAGAATGTAATTTAGGATGGATTTATAGTTTTATAACCTTTATGTCAAACCCTGACACCTTAAAACATTAGCAGAGAAAATATAAAACTCTGACTAGTAAACAAAGGCAAAAATGTATGCTGAGAATTTTAAGGACATTTCTATTTTTATTTTACTATTTTAAAAGTTTTTTTAAATCAAAGATGTACTTAAGTCACATGAACTAAAAGCCATTTGGATTAATTACTATATATTTTATATGAGCACTCACTTATCTAAGCCATTGGCCTAGATAAGTGTAATAAAATATACAGTAATTAACTAAATATGTTATTTAGCAACAAAATATATAGTAATTAACCCAAATTCTTAAGGGATTTCAGGCTGACTTTGCCAGATTTTACCATGTAGACACAACTTATAACGTAAGACAGGTACATATTCATAAATAAACCTAGACATATAAAACATACAAACAAAGATTTTATAGGTTTCATTTTAGAATTTTGAGACAGTAAAACATGTGAACTCACTGGTTTACAAAAGACAGTTGTTTCCAAATTATATTTCTGACAGAATAGGACATGTTCACATAGCTAAAACTTTATTTGCCTCAATAGATAATCTAATAAAAGCTGTGAACCAAAATTTCTGGTAAAGAAGTTTGGTTTTAAAAACATTTTGGTCAGGTGTGGTGTGGTAATCCCTATAATCTCAGCACTTTGGGAGGCCAAGACAGGAGGATTGCTTGAGGCCAGCAATTCAAGACCAGTCTAGGCAACATAGTGAGACTCCCATCTCTATAATTTTTTTTTTAATTAACTGGGCATGATGCAACATGCCTATAGTCCTAGCTGAGGCAGAAGGATCCCTTGAGCTCAGGAGTTCAACGGTGCAGTGAGCTAAGAAGGTGCCATTGCACTGCAACCAGGGTGACAGAGTGGGACCTTGTCTCTAAAATATATAAAATAGCCTGGCGCAGTGGCTCACACTTGTAATCCCAGCACTTTGGGAGGCCGAGGCAGGAGTTCGAGACCAGCCTGGCCAGCATGGTGAAACCCTGTTTCTACTAAAAATACAACAATTAGCTGGGCTTGATGGCGGGTGCTTGTAATCCCAGCTACTCGGGAAGCTGAGGCAGGAGAATCCCTTGAACCTGGGAGACGGAGGTTGCAGTGAGCCAAGATCACGCCATTACACTCCAGCCTGGGCAACAGAGCGAGACTCCATCTCAAAAAAATAAAAATAAACATAAAATAAAATATATAAAATAAAGCAAACATTTCCTTTACCACCACCCCCTTTTTATTTTTTTAGTTTCAAATAAGTTTTGCTAGGACTGGCTGGCTTAACTGTATAAGAAAAACAAAATCTCCAATAGCCTTGAATTTTTAGTAACAAATCTATCTTTTGTTTGCTGGTTTCATTGGCTTGACTAGTCACTGCAGGTAGGGAAGCATTAACAATTTTTACAGCTTTTTTAGAAAAATTTAATCTTTGATGGAATGCCATAAACAGTGAGTTTTATCTCAACATCAGCGAAAAAAATCAGCAGATTCAAAGTAGGCAGAGAAAAAAGAGTGATAGAGAACTTAGCTCTATATGGTAACTCTTATCATTGCAGGTTTTTTAGAGTTCCAATCAGGACCATTAAATCTCTGAATTTTTCTTGATGTAATTTGCCCATTGATTTTAAAATGTACACAAGAATGGGCCATAATATGTAACCAGCTGGAGTCCAGAGAACTTGGCATGCTTTAATGTTTGGGAATCCCATTCTGTTTCTTATTAATCTCTCAAGAGCTAAGACAATCCTATAAATTCTGTCAGAGAATGCCAGGAGTTTAGTTCAGTGTTTAGACAGTGGCAGCCACCCTAGTGGTAGTTTAGCCACCCTGCTCACACTATTTTTGTTTACTTTTGCTCTTGGAAGATTTTTGGATACAAGCAAGGAAGAAGAGCCAAATTACTTACAGACACATACAACCAAACCAAAATCAAAGTGCTCACAAAAATTTTAACCCAGGTTGTGCAGATCAAATAAAATGTTAAATGAGTCATGCAGAAATAATAAAAAGTAAAACAAACAAACAAACTAAACCTCGAAGGCAAATTCACCAGAAAAGACATGCCTCAGTGACAGAACATAAATTTTGTAGAAACCAGAGTACTCAAACCAGGACACTTGTCTTTATACCAAAAAAGACTTGGCAGAAGAGACAAAAAGTATTTTATTATACCAGAAGGGATGTAATGTCCTTTATTGAAGATGGCCTTATAACCAAAATAAATCCTGAATAAAGTAAAAAAAAAAAAAAAAAAACTCAAAATGAGGGAGACTTTGCCTGACAAAAGACTCACCAAAGAAGAGAAAGTAAGCTGTGGAAGCAGAGAGCTCAAATGGCTCAAGTGAGTACTGCACACTGGTTCTAAGAGTTGTTGATTCCTTCAGAAAGTGATCTTGTCCCAGGTCTGCTTCTGGGCACCATTTCAGACTACCCAAATAAACAGAGAAGGATCTCTAAAATAAATACTATTGGTTGGGCATGGTGGCTCACTCCTGTAATCCCAGCACTTTGGGAGGCCGAGGCAGGCTGATCACCTGAGGTCAGTTCGAGACCAGCCTGACCAACATGGAGAAACCCCGTCTCCACTAAAAATACAAAATTAGCTGGGCATGGTGGTGCATGCCTGTAATCCCAGCTACTCGGGAGGCCGAGGCAGGAGAATCACTTGAACCCAGGAGGCAGAGGTTGCAGTGAGCCGAGATCGCACCATTGAACTCCAGCCTGGGCAACAAGAGCGAAACTCTGTCTCAGAAAAAAAAAAAATACTATTTATTCCTGAATAGGGCATTGCAGTGGGAATATGCACATAGTTTATCATGGTTTACTATGGCACATGTATTACTATCACAATGCCATATTCCTAAATAAATACCTTTTTTTTTGAAAAAGAGAGCTCTGTTTGACATGTAGATTGACAAAAGCAATTGCAAAGAGACAGCATGACTGTGGCCTGAAAAACTTTTCTAATGCTATTGTTTAAAACTGTTTTAATGAAACCTAAAAGCATATACAGGCCGGGTGCGGTGGCTCATGCCTGTAATCCCAGCACTTTGGGAGGCTGAGGCAGGCAGATCACTTGAGCCCAGGAGTTCAAGACCAGCCTGGCCAACATGATGAAACCCCGTCTACTAAAAATAGAAAAATTAGCCAGGCATGGTGGCACCCACCTGTAATCTCAGCTACTCAGGAGGGTGAGGCAGGAGATTTGCTTCAACCTGGGAGGCGGAGGTTGCAGTGAGCCAAGATCGCTCCACTGCACTCCAGCCTGGGTGATACAGTAAGACTCCGTCTCAAAAAACAAACAAACAAACAAACACCAAAAAACATATACAAAAATAAAGCGAAAACTACAATGTATAGCCATATATCCCTGACCCTGACCCTAGTTCCACAATTATCAAGATTTTGCACCCATTTGCCTCTAGCCTTTTTTTTTTTTGCTGAAGTATTTTAAAGTGAATCCTAGTGTTACAGCATGATACCCCTACATACCTCAACATGCATCACTAACAATAATGGACATTTTCTTACTTATCTAGTGATTAATGTCAACTCAAACTCTTAACAACCCTGAAATATAGGCATTATTCTTCCTATTTTTACAGATTAGAAAAATGCCTGAAAGAGGTGTATCCCATGAGATGACCAACACATGGTCATCTTTCTCATGACCTTTCCTCATGGAGATTACTTTCTAATCGGGTGATATAAAACACACAAATGAATACATAATAAAAAAGGTCATTATGGTATGTGAAAAATGGCATTTCTTTTTACCCCATCCTACCACTCTGTTTAATTCACATGAAACAAGGAGAGGCTGCCTCACTTACTTCTCCTTCCTTGTTTAGGGGTTTCCTATCACTTTCCTGTTGAATTTCAGTGTTCTCTCTTAGATGATCTATTTGAGGTGTGATTATCTGCTTGTTATTTTGGTTCTTCTTTGTGGAGGAGGGTGGCGTGAAAGGCAGGGTGGGGGCTGGGGATAACTTTGCCCCTTGGGCATAACCTGCCCCTTCCCACCACCTTTATGCCCACATGCACCACCAAAGGGCCTGAGTACAGGCCCATGGGACCCAGCTCTACCTCTCCCAGTGTCCAAGCATGCCGTCCAAGGGGCCTGGGAATCACTGTGTATAATC
Organism: Homo sapiens; assembly: GCF_000001405.40. Classification (NCBI taxonomy): domain Eukaryota; kingdom Metazoa; phylum Chordata; class Mammalia; order Primates; family Hominidae; genus Homo; species Homo sapiens. Next base: position 52,756,589 of record NC_000008.11, read on the forward strand.
CACCATTGTTGACACCTAAGCACTCCTCCCAGGGGCTGAGGAGTGGTCCACCAACTTGCCACTGCCACTCTCAGCTGGCACTTACCCATATTTGCTACCTGTGGGCCTGGGAACTGGCCTGCCCAGCCTGTCACAGCCACTGCCAACACCAATACAAACCACTAGGGAGCCAGAGAGTTGTTCCACCACTGCTGCTGTCATCTCTCATGCCATGCCTGCTGCCCAGGTCCAAGGACCCACCCACCAACATGGCCTGCCACTACTGTTGCCAGCACTCAAACAAGCTTTCTGAGGCTCAAGAAATTGGCCTGCCTGGACAACATAACACAAGTGCTAACATATGCCACCCTGAGGTCCAAAGATAGGCATGTGCTGTGCCCACCACTGCCAACACTGGGGCCAGATTACTGGCCAACCTGGTGTACCCATCCCCAGCAAAATGTCACCGGAGCCACCACTAGCAACTGCACCCTAAACAGCTGAGTTAACTATAGAAACTATTTAAGCTGTTTATAGCCAAAGAAACTATATGGAAACTTTACTACTGCATGTGACCAGAATCAAAGCCAAAGTGTCCTACCCAACCAACATCTTCAGGAAAAACAGGAGGTGAAAGACCTCTAGAAAGGAAATTACAAACCACTGAAGAAAGAAATTGAAGAGGATACAACAAAAGGAAAGACATCCCATGCTCAAGGACTGGAAGAACTTATATTGTTAAAATGATCATATTATCCAAAGCAATCTACAAACTCAAGACAATTCTTATCAAAATAATGTCATTTTTCACAGAAATAGAAAAAACATTCTAAAATTCATATGGTACTGAAAAAGAGTCTAAGTAGCCAAAGCAATTCTGAACAAAAATAATAAAGCTGAAGGCATCACTCTATCTGACTTCAAAATATTTTACAAAGATGTATTAATCAAAACAGCATGGTATTGATCTAAAAACAAATGTCTGTGTCTCCACATAGACATATGGAACAAAATAGACAATGCAGAAATAAATCTAAGCAATAACAGTGAACTGATTTTTAAGAAAGGTGTCAAGCACATCTACTGAGGAAAAGACAAGCTTTTCAATAAATGGAGCTGGGAAAACTGGATATCCATAAGCAAAAGAATGTAACTGGACCCCGTCTCTTGCCATATACAAAAATAAACTCAAGACGGATAAAAGACTTACATGGAATACCCCAAGCTATAAAACTACTGGAAGAAAACAGGGGAAACACTTCAACACATTGGTCTAGGCAAAGATTTTATAACTAAGACCTCAAAAGCATAGGCAACAGCAACAAAAAATAGACAGATGGGACTATAAACTCTTAACTCTAAACTATTAAACTAAAAAGCTCTGCACAGCAAACAATTAACAGAGTGAAGAGATAACCTGTTGAGTGAGATAAAATATTTGCGAACTATTCATCCAACAAAGCACTAATATCCAGAATATACAAGGAACCCAAACAACTCAACAGTATAAAAACAAATAATCCCAGTGAAAAGTGGGCAAATGACAAGTGTAGACATTTCTCAAAAGAAGACATACAAATGGCCAACCGGTATATGAAAAAAATGCTCAACATCACTAATCATCAGAGAAATGCAATGAAAACCACAAGATATCATCTTACCGCAGTTAGAATGGCTATTATTAAAAAGACAAAAAAAAAAGATGCTAACAAAGATGCAGAGAAAATAACCTCTTATATACTGTTGGTGGGAATGTAAATCAGTACAGCCACTAAGCAAAACAGTATGAAGATTACTCAAGAACTTTTTTAGAACTACCATACAATCCTGCAGTCTCACTACTGAGTATTTATCCAAAGTAAAAGAAATCTGTATATTAAAGGGATACTTGTACTCACATGTCTATTGCAGCGCTGTTCACAATAGCCAAGATATGGAATCAACCCAAGTATTCATCAATTGGCATATGGATAAAGAAAATGTGGTATATATACACATGATGGAGTACTATTTGGCCATAAAAAAGAATGAAACCTTGTCATTTGCAGAAACATGGATGGAACTAGAGGTCATTAAGTTAAGTGAAATAAGCCAGGCACAGGAAGACAAATATGGCGTGCTCTCACTCACAGTGGGGGGCTAAAAAAAAGTTGAACTCATGGAGGTAGAGAATAGAATGATAGTTACCATAGACTGGGATGGATGGGTGTGCATTGGGAGGTGCAGGGGTATGAGGAGAGGTTGGTTAATGGGTGCAAAAAATACAGTTAGATAGAAGAAATAAGTAAGTTACAGTGTTCAATAGAAGAGTAGGGTTACTATAATTAACAACGTGTTGTATATTTCACAATAGCTAGAAGAGAGGTTTAAAATGCTCCCAGCACACAGAAATGATCAATGGTCGAGGTGAAAGATATCCTAAACACTCTGACTTGATCATTACATATTCTATGCATGTAACAAAATGTCACATGGACCCTATAAATATGTATAAATACTATGTATCAATAAAAATAATTTAAATATTTGAACAGCAATACAAAAGAAATATCTTATTTTTACATTTGGAAGTTTAAAACTTTATTTTCTTTCCATATCCCTAGAACTAGTCCTAAGCTCTAGGCAATTCGGACCAATCTAAAAGAAACTATTGTGTGTTAAACATGACTGAATGTTGAGTGATGGTTGAAGAGGCCAGGTGTCAGATTTGTGTTTGGCACAAGCCTCAAAGGAGGTATTTAGCTCACTTTGTATCTTCATAGTACAGAGTTTTGGCTGTTTCCAAGTAGTATATAGTTTTTGGATAAATGGTGTTGAATGTAGGCAGTTGTTTACAATGCTATGTCTACATCATGTGAAATCTCCAGATATCTGTAAGCAAACAGCAATCTAAGGGAAATTTTCTGCTTTTTCCTGGATATTTGACATCATGTAGTCTAAATCTGGCAGTCTCCTAAATACATGTCTTCTTTCAGAATTCTATATTCCATGTTTTTCTCATATTACAACAGCAGCTAAGACATGTCAGTCACTCTCCTTGTTCTTGGAGCTATAGTAGCTCTTGCAAGTGAGGTTGATTTTGATGTATGATAAGATTTCTAGACATTTCAAGGGGATAGTATAATAGCTAACATGATTCAAATTATAGTTTCATCCTATCATGGGAACTATATATTTTTAAATAGAAAAAGTATAAAGAATATTATTCACCATAGTTTGTAAATAAAATCTGTATGGATAGATGTATTGTTTCCCATAAGAGTTATGGTCACATTAGTAAATGGAGTGATTCTAGTTCTATAAAGCTGTAGTGAATTATTGTAATTTTGTGCTGCCTTAGCAAGCATTTTGAATATAAGTTGGACTTCCTCATACAAAAAGCAAGGCTTAGTTGCCCTTAACATAATAATAGTTTCCAGCTCTCCATATCCTCCCATTTCCTCAAGGTTGTTGATGTAGATATCTGCCCTATACAACTGCCTGTAATGTGACAGGTCCCCCACCTTGATTACTTAAGGGTGGATGTCCGCTGCTTACTCGCTGAAGGCCAAGCAGTGAACCAAGGCCAGGGTGTCCAGTTGAGGTTCAGGTGCCCCTGAGAACCCAAACATCCCCGGGCATAGGTAGGAACATTCCAAGGAAAACAGTCTCATCACACATAGGCAGTAGCCAAAGAGCCAGATCATTAGCTTGAAAGTAGCTTGGAGATGGATGGTGACATGGATTTCTAAAAATGTCCTGCTGCCACTCAGGAGTGCACTGTATGTAAGTCCTAATCAATTCATCTACTCGCCAAGCTGGACTTACTCAAATCATTCTTTTTGTCTCTTGGCTCCTTCCCAGTTTGGGAAGGGACATTACAGATTTTTCTCATAACAACTGGTGTCACTAACCTAGGATCTAAGAGACCAAATGATGAATCAGGAAGGAGCATCTGTTGGGGGAATCACAGGGTAGTCAGAGGCATAAATGTGGAGTGGAGTTACCCCACTGCTCAACCTTTGTGGGCCACTGTGTGGGGACAGGGATGCTCAGACAACACCACTGGGGACTGAGTACCTATTACAAAAAACTAAGATGTTAAAATATGATATGGACAGCAAATATGCCATGTGGTAAGGTCGGCTACTGAGAAATTGTTAGAGCAGGAAAGGAAAGAAGGGTAGAATTTCCTGTGGCTTACACATTTAAAAAGATGAAAAAGTTCAAAGCCACAACAGATTTTCTAGGACTCCAGCTGGATGCAGGCCCATCCTTGCACACAGTTTTTAACTGATGGGCAAATTACAGCAAGAAAAAAATTCAAAGCTCAAATGATTAACCTGCAACTATACAGTTAAGTAGAGTCTTCTAGATTTCTCTATTTCTCTCTTTTCTTTTTTGCCTGCTTTGAATCTACCGTTATTAAGCTACTTGTGTTGAGATAAAACTCATTGTTTATGGTTTTGCTAATTCAACGCTACATGGACATTTTATTTTTCTTATTAAATTCAGCCAGTTCCAGCTAAAATGTAAACATTGGAAACTCCTATGAAACTGCAGAAGAAAAGGTAAAAGAGCTTTTAAAAAATCAGACTGCTATGGAAACTGCTTTACTCCAAATTTTTTTTCTTTCCTTGGATTATTTACAGGGGGAAACAAAGTTTAGCCATGTGACAGGTTGTAATTTAGTCAAAAATAATTTGGATCCTGCTATCTTTTTTTTTAGAGATGGAGTCACACTCTGTCGCCCAGGCTGGAGTGCAGTGGCGTCATCTCCACTCACTGCAACCTCCACCCCCTGGGTTCAAGCGATTCTTCTGTCTCAGCCTCCTGAGTAGCTGGGATTACAGGCACCTGCCACCCTATCTGGCTAATTTTTTGTATTTTTAGTAGAGACAGGGTTTCACTCTCTTGGCCAGGCTGGTCTTGAACTCCTGGCCTCGGATCCACCTGCCTCGGCCTCCCAAAGTGCTGGGATTACAGATGTGAGCCACCGTGCCTGGCCAGATCGAGCTATCTTTTAAGCTAATGAATTTATGCTGCTGTCTCATGACTAGAGTTTTGAAACTATTAGATCTTTTGTGCATGTATACATATTTAAATGTATTTATGTGTATGTACCTGTATTATGTTATGCATTGTGTCTATCATGCTACTAAATTGTCTTATAAGTAAGTGATTAGTCATACATTAAGTTCAAATGCTTTTCAAGTTCACATGAATTTAGTAAACTTTAATAAATAAGCTGGCTTTAAAATTACTGGTAAACTAAAACTAAAAATTGTCTTCAGAATTGCCAGCATACATTTTTGTCTGAGCTTACTGATTAGGTAACTCTAATATTTGCTCTGTTGGATTTTTTTTTTTTTTTTTTTTTTTGAGACAGGTTCTCACTCTGTCACCCAGCCTGCAATGCAGTGGCACAATATAGCTCACCTCAGTCTTGACCTCCTGGGCTCAAGTAATCCTCCCACCTCAGCCTCCCAAGTATCTGGGACTACAGGTGCACGTCACCATGCCCAGCTAATTTTTTAAAATTTTTATTAAAGATGAGGTCTTGCTATGCTGCCCAGGCTGGTCTCAAACTCCTGATCTCAAGCAATCCTCCTGCCTCAGCCTCCCACAGTGCTGGGATTACTGGCATGAGCCGCCATGTTTGGCTGCTTCCGCTAGATATTTTAAGGTGTCAGGGTTTGATAAGAAGGTTTTAAGACTATAAACCTAGCCAAAAACATATTGATTTTTGTTTATGTAGGTTTTTTTTTTTACAAATATGATTAATTTAATATGAACAGCTAAATTTTCTGAGTTATTGGCAAAAATGCCCATGTATCCAACTTTAATGTTCTTTCTTCAGTAAACACCTGATAGTCACAGGCTATAAAATTGGTTAACAGGAAAATAACTTAGAATCATGATTAGCTTCTATAATGTCTCAGTTCTCACGGGAATCTAGGTGAACTGCTAAAAATAAAAGAATTGGGTAAATGTAAATAAGAGAAATGCTTGTAGGCAAGCTTTTTGTGTAATTTAAAATCAAAATTATTTTAGGTACTCATTGAATGTTTGGGTCATTTCCAATTAAAAAGGGTTATAATATGGGGCATTGGTTACACTTTTGAGCTTGTTCATGAAATCTATCACGGGGAAAAGTATTAGCAGACTTCACTGAGCTGAATAAAAGTAAGGACTGAGTCTAGAAAATATTCAAAAAATAAAAACGGGATGGGCCAAATGGGTGCCTGTATACTTGTCCTGGCCCAGGCGGGCAATGAACATGAAACAATACTGCCAGGGAAACACTGAAGTCATCCAAACAATCCAGAAATTACATAAGACACAAGCAGTCAGGCTGGCCCAGTGCTCTTACACCAGCCCCGTGTGGCCTGTGAAAAAGCCAGGTGGCACCTGGTGAATGACGGTAGACTACTGTGAGCTAAAAAAGTGGTGCCCTCTATACAAGCAACTATGCCCAGTGTTGCTCAGCTGCTACAGCAGGTGGTCCTTAGGCTGGGAAATGTCCATGCTGTGATTGAATTGACTAATGCCTTTTTCAGTATTCCTTTAGCAAAAGATTCACAGGACCAGTCTGCCTTCACTTGGGGGGCCAACGATGGGCTTTCCATGTGTTACCATAAGGGTACCTGCACAGGCCCACCATCTGTCATGGTATGATTGCATAGGACTTCTCTAGACTCTCTTTGCCTGCCTTGATCTCCCTTTTTACTATGTCGATGTTATCATCCTAACCTCAGAATCTCTTGCTGCTCTGGAGGCTTCCCTGCAGACTGTCTTTGGCCAGCCTAGAAGACAGGGGATGGAAAGTCAACTCCAAAAAGTTTTAGGGATCTGGCAAGGCCATCAAAGTCCTGAGAGTTACCTGGTTGAGTAAGATGTAAAACACACCCAGAGCTATCATTGATAAGATAGCACAGCAGCCTATTTCCTAGACGATAAAATAACTTCAGGTTTTTCTAGGTTTGCTGGGATACTGAACAATATTCATTTCTCATTTGGCACAAACCCTCCACTCATTACACACCCTATTATAAAAAGCTGAAAAGTGGGACTGGACACACATAGAGCAAGAGGCTTTTGCCAAAGTAAAACTATTGGGAAAGCAAACCCAAGCACTAGGTTCCCCACTGCCACAGCACCCTCTTGTATTAGAAGTCACTGGAGATGCCACAGGGATGAATTGGGGTTTGTGGCAAAAGCAACCAATGGAAATGGTAGCTGTAGGGCTTGGATCTCAATTATGGAAAGGAGCAGAATCTTGCTATACAGTTTTAGAGCAACAGCTATTGGCCATACATAGACCATTGCAACAAGCGGAGGCCATCACCAGAAAGCAGACCATCACAGTAAAAACTGCCACTCATTCAAGAGTGGGTGAAAGGCATTCTAGCTAAGCCTACCTCCAGGGTGACACAGTCGCACCTATCTATAATAAAGGGGTGCCGTGTCAGGCCTGTAAGTCCTTTAAGTCAGGCACTGCAGGAGGTGCTTGGACCCATCCACTTTAAACAAGTAGAGGGGACTGGCATAGCAATGGAACCACCTACCAGGCCAACCACTGTGTCCGAAGGGACCTGCTGAGACCCTCTAGGGCCCGGTACACTGATGGGTCTAGCAAAGGCACCAACACCAATGGTCAACAGTTGTGATGCAAATGGAGACTGACACCATATGGATAAAATGGGCATCAGAACAAAACTTAGACCAGAGGTCCACTTACCATATAACCCAACAGGCACAGGCATCACTACAAAAAAGAATGGCTTGCTGAAAACCCAATTACATGCACTGTCCCAATTCCATGCATTGTTTTTAACCCAAGTACATACTTAAATCCCTGGACTAAGAATCTCCCTGAAGTCACACAAAGGTTAGATGAGTCACCCACTACCACACATGGCATCATATCCTGTGACTGGTTGGCACGGACTGTGAAACAGACCTCATAAACTCTCAGGGTTACCTCTGAGTCACTGAGTCATGCTCCTGAAGCAGGTGGTCAGACCATGCTCCTGAGAGCACCAATGGATCTGCTAAACATAACTGGCTATGTAGATCTGAAGTTGAGCTGGACAGTGCCTCCAAACTGGATCAGTTTTATGGCACTGGAGGGTGCCATGAAGACTGCTGGAGGGGAGGTGGTCACAGCTGTGCTCCTTGATGGATATCTGAGAGCCTTATGATACCAACACGCAGCAGCACCAATATCTGCTGGAGTGCTCACAGGGCAGGCAGTATAGGCAAGGCTGGAAACTTACCAATTGGCTAGTATGCTTGCTCCTAAAAGGGAAGCCATGTGTGGTACGGTAAGCCAGGCCTGAAGCCCATTGTGACCTCTCTAATAAGGCCCATGAAAAAAATATAGTGGTAATAATGTTACAAGAAGTGGATACACCCATAAGGGTCCCTATTAAATACCTGTGTTCACTTCCATAGGCTGTTGCTCCTACTAACCATGACAGTTGGTAATGCCTTCCTGGACTGGGCTGATTATAGCAGCAGCCAGCAACCAGTCTGATTGTAGCATATATGCATACCTCCCTGCTGTCAAATAATAATAATATGCCTTGAAATACTCTGCATTTCTCCCAATGGAACTGGAGTGACTGATTCAACAGAACGAGTAACGCACCTTGGGCTCAGTAGGGACTGCATCCACCTGGAGGCCCAATTGCCAAAGTGATGGAGACCCAACAACATACGCCTTTATGGGCACTACCTGTTGAGCCTATATCCTTGATAAAGAGAATAATGTTACAAATGCTTTTTTTTTTTTTTGAGACAGAGTTGCACTCTGTCACCCTGGCTAGAGTGCAATGGCTCGATCTCAGCTCACTGCAACCTCCGCCTCCTGGGTTCAAGCAATTCTCCTGCCTCAGCCTCTCAAGTAGCTAAGATTACAGGCATGTGCCACCGCACCCGGCTAATTTTTTGTATTTTTAGCAGAGACGGGGTTTCACTATGTTACCCAGGCTGGTCTCAAACTCCTGAGCTCAGGCAATCCACCTGCCTCAGTCTCCCAAAGTGCTGGGATTATAGGCGCGAGCCACCGCGCCCGGCCCACAAATGATTTTAAATCATTTGTCAATTCAGATCCATGATAAAACCTAATTAGATTTCTTTACCTCATTCTCAATTGGTTATACACTTTACCTACTCATTGGAGTTATGTCTTGCTAATAGGCATGATCACTGTAGTTAGCTTTTGCTTTTGATGCTGTTGTGTGTACTGTGGATGTGACTTGTACACACAAGCCAATGCTATAGGGTATAGGCCCATATAATTCTTTCCCTCATACCCCACTCAGAGACTGTGGTCCAAGATTGGCAGAAAAAAAATGTGAGAGTTGAGGGACAGGGTGGATTGTAGTGTGATGGGTCCCCCATCAGGTTACTTAAGGGTGCATGTCTGCTGCCTGAACCTGAAGGCCGGGCAGTGAGTCAAGGTCATGGTGTGCAGCTGAGGAGCAGGTGTCTCTGAGAACCCAAATATCCCAGGGCATAGCTGCGAACATACCAGGGAAAACAGTCTCATCACACACACGGAAGGCAAAGAGCCAGAAAATTAGCTGAAAAGCAGCTTAGAACTGGGTGGTGGTGCAGATCTCTAGAGCTCTCCTGCCACTGCCCAGGAGTGTCCTGTATGTCAGTACTAATAAACTCATCTACTTATCAAGCTGGACTTGTGAGAGTCATTCTCTGATTATCTTGACTCCTTCCCAGTTTAGGGAAGGGACATTACAATCCCAGGTTTTTCTTATAACATTGCCTCCTGGTGACCACCTCACTATGAGACAGCTGGATCCAGCCTACTTGACTGGCACCACTGACCCCCTGGACTATGCAGTTATGCCATAGTGACCAAGTCACAGCCACAGCATGACTCCCTGGAACTGCGTCTGCTTACTTTAAACTCACCAAGTAGAACTCCCTGGGGGAAATCTGCCTGGGTAATGCCCTGGATCCCAGTAAAGGCTTCAGCCCACAGGTCCCTCACACGCACTCTCTCTTTGTCTCTCTTTCTCTTGTTCTCCACCCACAATCTGAGTGTACAAGTCCCAGACAGCTTTCTTCTTCCTGTTGGCCCTGTGAGGTGTGCTGCCTTCTTCTCTGGGAGAAGTAATAAAAACTACTTCTGTTACCTGTGTGTTCTTGCAAAAGATAATAAAATAATAAGAGTGTGAAAAACCCTACCTCTGTTATTTCACGTGTTTTCTTATGCTGTCTCCTCTGTCTCCCCTGATCGGCACACTTGACCCAACTCTCCTCCTGGTCAGGGCTCTCCTGGAGAGTGGCTATCTTGGTAGGAATAAACTGGACAGAGGTCATCTAAGAGCCAACAGGGCGTCTACTGGAATAAACATGTTTCCTGTGAGGGGGACCCTGGTCACAGTTTGGACACATAGGCAGGGGGCATCCTTCTGGATGAGGCAGCATCCTGAGAAAGGCACATTGTCCACAACCAGGCCTGCTTCCCCTGGTCCCATCGGGGCAGGGCGAGGGTTGCCACTCTCTTCGGAGAAATCTCAAGACAAAACTGGAGGTAAATACTAGGGCCTTGGATAAAATTAGTTTAGCCAATTTTAAAGATATTGGCATTTTCTTTTTCTTTTCTTTTTTAAAGATGGGGTCTCGGCCAGGCACGGTGGCTCACACCTGTAATCCCAGCACTCTGGGAGGTCGACACAGGTGGCTCACCTGAGATCAGGAGTTCAAGACCAGCTTGGCCAACATGGTGAAACCCAATCTCTACTAAAAATACAAAAATTAGCCAGGCATGGTGGCGCATGCCTATGATCCCAGCTACTCAGGAGGCTGAGGCAGGAGAATTGCTTGAACCCAGGAGGTGGAGGTTTCGGTGAGCCAAGATCGTGCCATTGCACTCCAGCCTGGGCGACAAGAGTAAAACTCTGTCTCAAAAAAAAAAAAAGACGAAAAAAAAAAGACAGGGGTCTCGCCATGTTGCCCAGGGTTGTCTAGAACTTCTCAGCTCAAATGATCCACCCACCTTGGCTTCCCAAAGTGCTGGGATTAGAAGTGCGAGCCCCCGTGCCTGGCCGATATTGGCATTTTCTTATTGTGAGGTGAGCAGAGAAAAATCTGTGTTGCCACCATTTATTGTTACATTTTTTTTTTGTACAAAGAAGTATTTAAAGTTGCTAGAAAAGTAATAAAAAATAATAAAAATTGTCTACATGGTATAAATCCCCTTGGGCATTAAATTCTTGTAGATATTACTGGTATGCTGAGTACCCTCAATGTGTGAAGTAAAAACATAAAAAGTGTTTTATCCAAACCTGTCTCTCAAATAAGAGAAATTAGATCACATTTCCCACTGGGGAGAAGCATCCTGAATGCCACCCTGGCTGTACTCCATACCTTAGCCTCCAGGGTCAGATATCAGAACACGCATTCCAGTATGTAAAGTTCACACCCTGTTTTTTGGTTTTGATTTTTTATTTTTAAACTTCAAAGCAATTTTTCTTTCCTCCTCCAGGGCAGACCAGAACAGTGGGTGATTTTCCTCCTGCCATTTTCTTGGGACAGTGAAAAGTGGAGAAGAGAATGTTTAAATTGTTGCCTGCTGGGGACACATCGCACTCCTCAATTTGGGTGGTGCCAACCGCTGTTGGAATTAGTTATCTGTGAGTACAGTAAGGTTGTATGTTGTTCCGATGTCCCATGGTAAGGAATTATTCTCTGTAATTCTCTTGGGCTTTGCAGCCCTTGAACAGCTTTGTTCTTCTCTTCTGGGGTCATCATGCCGAGTTCTCTGGTGTATAAGGTGGTCCAGGGAAGTCTGTAGCTGCAGTGTCTACTTTTTAGAGGCCAAAACCTTAAGCCATCAGACACTGGGGGATCTTCCATGTCTCCTAAGGGGGCTGGCTGGCATTTCTTTACCACATTGTCTCTCTTTACGTTTCTTTTCCACTGCTACAGTACCCAGGAAAACTTCTCCAAGTCTATGGTAAGCAGACATCCACCCAGAGTCAAAATGCTGGTCTCCTCTTCTAGCGTAGGCCTCCAGTCTTCACAAGGGACTCCCTGAGGTCCTCCTCCCTGGCCAAAGGGAGGGAAGGTCCCCTTCAGGGAAGAGTAAGAACAGCTTCTTCAGCCACCTCTGCTCCCTGGGTCTGGTCTCTTTTTCTGTTGCTGAGGATAGCAGGAGGGGATTCTGGGAGAGGGTAGTTGGTGATGGGACCCATTCTCTTACCATTTCAGTGAGAAAAGTGAGACAGGGCTGGCCTAGGCAACGATCTGAACTTAGAATGTGAGACCTTAACAGCAATTCCAGAGCGATGGCAACACACATTCTTATTAAACGAGTTAGCTTTATAGTGATGGCTTGTTTCATATCTGGGTTGCTAGAGCCTCCAGGTAACACAATAGAAGGAATGTGCTTAGACGGCCCAGAGCATCAGTCCACACTTTCAGTTAGAAAGCAATGAATGTATGTGAACCAGGTTGTTACATCAACTCCTGTCTAGGGCAAGGTGGTGCGTAAATGAGCCCTTGTATATCAACATTTTATTTTCATTCTGTACTCTTACATTGATGGAAAAGTGAAAAGTTATTATGATTAATAGTAGCTGGATTCTTCCCTGTCAGTGCTAAGTGATGATATAGAAACCAAGGTGCAAATAAACGCAAATACTCCTACAGATAAGTATGATCATGTTCCTGACCTTTTAACGTTGTTTATGCCGTATGCACATTCTAAAATTATCATTTCCTCTTTTATTTGCAGAGCTGAAATTTTGTCTTTCAAAGGACTAGTGCATCACTCTGCTGCAAAGCTTGGAAAAGCTCTGATAGCCTCAAGTCTCTGCTCTGCTTTTGTGGTGGAGCCTTGGACAGACGTGGAATTAAGGTTGTTGGAATCAGAATTGCTATTCCTCCACTGCATAGGGACAGGTTACAAAGTTTTAGTTGTCAAAAATAATTTGTCCAATGAGAAAGTACTTTCCTCTATCCTAACCTCTTAATTCATTGTCTATCTCTGCCAGATATGTGTGTGAGTTAACCCAGATGGAAAATGAAACTTTGTGAATAAGTGATTCATTTTTAAAAACCACTTTTCTTAACATATGTAAAACCAAATTGTTTGAAAGTAACTTTTGCTTATTGGAAAGTCTAGTATCTTAAAATCTCAGGCTTCTTAAAAAAATGAACCTTTCATTTTAAAGTAGATTTACAGAAAATCTCCAGAAAAGAAAAGTGAAGACAGTACAGAAAGCTCTCATATACTCCACATCCAGTTTCCCCTGTTATTAACATCTTACATGAGTATGGTGCATTTGTTACACTTAATTAACCAATATTGAGACATTCTTCCTAGCTGAAGTGCATGTGTTCATCATTCAGATTTCTCTAGTTTTTGGCTAATGATGCTTTTCTCTTCCAGGATCCCGTCCAGGATCCCACATTCCATGTAGTCACTGCCTCCTTAGGCTCCTCCTGGCTGTGACAGTTTCTCAGATTTCCCTTGTTTCTAATGATTGTGGCAGTTTTGAAGAGCACCGGTCAGGTATTTTGTAGAATGTCCCTTGTTTGGGATTTTGCAAATGTTTTCTTTTGGTTAGACTGGGGTTATGTGTTTTGGGGAGGAAGATCACAGAGGGGAAGTGACACTTTTATCAAATCATACCAAGGGTGCATATCAACATGACTTGTTAGTGTCAATGCTGACCTTGATCCATTGGCTGATGTAGTATGGGTCAGGCTTTTCCACAGTAAAGTTGCTGTCTTTATTCCCCTTTTCATTGTTGTATTCTTTGGAAGTCACTATGTACAGCCAACCTTTAAAGGGTGGGGAGTTGGCTGGGCAAGGTGGCTCATGCCTGTAGTCTTAGCATTTTGGGAGGCCAAAGCAGATGGATCGCTTGAGCCCATGGAGGTTGAGGTTGCAGTGAGCCAAGATTGTGCCATTGTACTCCAGCCTGGGTAACAGAGTGAGACCCTGTCTCAACAAAAATTAAAAAATAAAAATAAAGAGTGGAGAGCTCTAGTTCACCTTACTGAGGGCAGAGTATCTACATAAATTATACAGACTCTTCTGCACAGGAGGTTTTCTAGTCTTCTCCACTTTTAAATTCATTCAGTCATTTATTTATATGATTCATGCATATTTCTTTTTTATTTTGGGTTACCATCCAATGCCACCTTGTTTGGGTTTTTTAAATTGTTCCAGCTTTGGCCATTGATGAGCACAGTTGGATCTTGTGTCATTTTGACAAACTCCCACTGCTTTTTGTGTGTGTGTGTGTGTGTGTGTGTGTGTGTGTGAGAAGCACTTTCTGGCATTACAAGGTAATCCTGCCTTTTTTTTTTTTGGATAATCCTTTTTTATCTTTTTTAAAAAAAGTTCTGTCCTATTGATATAATTTGGATGTTTGTTGCCTCCAAATCTCATGCTGAAATGTGATTGCCAATGTTGAAATGGGGCGTGGTGGGAGGTGACTGGAACATGGGGGTGGATCCCTCATGAATGGCTTAGTGCCACCTTCTTGGTGATGAGTGAGCTTACATTAGATCTGGTTGTTTAAAAGAGCCTGGCACCTCCCTGCATTACTCTTACCATGTGACATGCTGGCTCCCTGTCAACTTCTGCCATGATTGTAAGCCTCACTGGAAGCAGCTATCAGCACCATGCTTCCTATAAAGCTGAAGAACAGTGAGCCAATTCAACCTCTTTGTATACTATGCAGCCTCAGGTATGTCTTTATAGCAATGCAAGAATGACCTAATACACCTGTCTTGAGTATTTCCTGCCTCAGCCCTAGAATCAGCCATTTCTCCAACAAGCTCTGGTTCCTTTTATTGGTGAACAGTGTGAGTCCAAAAGTATCTGAGACACGTCTCAATCAATTTAGAAAGTTTATTTTGCCAAAGTTAAGGATGCACCAGTGACACAGCCTCAGGAGGTCCTGATAACATATGCCCCAAGTGGTCAGGGTACAGCTTGCTTTTATACATTTTAGGGAGACAGGAATTTCAAGAAGCCAAAGAGGAGTCTTGCTGTGTTGCCCAGGCTGGTCCTGAACTCCTGGCCTCAACCCATTCTCCTACCTCAGCTCCTGAGTAGCTGGGATCACAGTAGGAACTGCCTATCAAGCCCCGCTGAATACTGAGTCTTTCCATCCCTTTCTGTCTGTGTTCCACACAAATGTTCTACTTAACTCTTCAGCAGACCTGACGGATGCTAACTTATTACCTCTCTAGGCTTAACTCATTTTATGAGTCTCACCCATTTCAGCTTTTGTCTTTTCCATAGCATAAACGAATATTTTCCAAAATACAGCATTACGTAGGTATGTTAAACATTACACACACATTACATAGGCAAAGAAACTGTAGTTAGAAGTCACAAGTGCAACAAAGTTTCTCCTTTTAGGGAATGGGAGCTCAAGTGATATTAAATAGATAGATTGGTTGGGAAGTGGAAAATATTGAAAATGTCAGATGTGCTTCCAAATGAGGGTATGGTATTTGATCCAAAGGCTACATACTGGTTAATTTACTCTGAAGAGCTGAAGTTTATTCAGAATACTCTGTTTTTCTTTCCAAAAAAAAAGTGCAAAAGACTTCACAAGGCTGGAGGAGAAGGAGCTAAGAGGTGGCCTGTTGCGAAAGGGTCTGCAATATTTTACCCCTCCTTTTTTTTGAAGAGAAGCAATCTCACAAAGGTGCAACTATCTTCATCCTAAAGATATTCCTGTCAAGTGTTACAACCTCATTTAGCAACTTCTTGACACTTGTGAGGTAAAAGATTCCAAATCTCTGTATGGTCAAAGTTATGTGGAGCCCTATGAAGACTGGTGAGTTCTGCCCTTGCTTGGTAGAAGTGGGGCAGTCAGAGCTGCTTTTTGGGAGGACATCATCTTAGCACTAGGTCCTGAAAGAGTCAGTAGAATTTCGACAAACTGAGAAGACAGAGAACGGTGTGCTAAAAAAGCCAGCAGCCCAAGCATAGCAAGGAAAGTGCACAGCGTGTTCGGAGAAAATGATTCGTCTGCTGCATGAAACGGAATGGAAGGAATGGAGTCCAGTACTCTGTGCAGTTAGAAGCCCAGCCTGCAAGATGGGCTCAGACAGAAGCA
This sequence comes from Homo sapiens, assembly GCF_000001405.40. Taxonomy (NCBI): domain Eukaryota; kingdom Metazoa; phylum Chordata; class Mammalia; order Primates; family Hominidae; genus Homo; species Homo sapiens. Next base: position 52,772,668 of record NC_000008.11, read on the forward strand.
GAGGGTCATAGGTAGCTTTCCAGGAGTTACCATCAGACTTTATAACAGCACTAAGCGGGTGCTGTTATACAGCTTTGTGGAGCACATGAATATTATCCTCTAAGGTGTGTTGCTAGCACCTTTGGGGAAGAGAAACTATAGCTGGATATGGGTAGTGAAAGTTATGAACCCAGAACAAAAGGTGTTCAGATTTGCTGATTGGCAGGGAAGTTCTGGGAGCTTCACATATTCTACAGTCTTGTATTTCTTCACAATAATCCCATATCTTTTTTTTTTTTTTTTTTTGAGACTGAGTCTCGCTCTGTCTCCCAGGCTGGAGTGTGGTGGCAAGATCTCAGCCCGCTGCAAACTCCGCCTCCCGGTTTCAAGCAGTTCTCTACCACAGCCTCCCTTGTAGCTGGGATTACAGGCACACCCAGATAATTTTTGTATTTTTAGTAGAGATGGGGTTTCACCATTTTGGCCAGGCTGGTCTTGAACTCCTGACCTCGTGATCCACCCGCTTCAGCCTCCCAAAGTACTGGGATTAGAGGCGTGAGCCACCGCACCTGGCCTCCCATATCTCATGTATACAACATTTTTCTTTCCATTTTACAGGTGATGAAACTGAGACCCAGAGAGGAAAGCTCATTGGCCCAAGGTCACATAGCAAATAGGTGGCGGAGGCTGGATTCTATGTGCACACCCTTGACTGGATGCTTTCAACCTCATTTTTTTTTCTTTTTTCAAAGTGAGCTTCAAACTTTCACATTTTGAAAACTGATGGTGCCCTAAATTACAATATAGTGCCTGTAGCTTACTAGCTACCACATAAATGAATGTTGAATAAGTCAATGACTGAATAAATAGATGGCTGAATGGAAGAGGCTCCCATTGAAAAAGAACATCCTTTTGGCTCTGAAAGTCTGGAAACACACAGAAGAAAAAAAGGAGAGAGAGAGAAGCTCTGTGTTTTCATATTCCTGGAAGGCTACAGAAAAAGAAGTGAATACAAATTTGTAAAAATCTGTATAAAATCTAGCCAAGTGCTGTAATCTCAGCTACTTGGGGGCTGAGGTGGGAGGATCGTTTGAGCCCAGGAGTTTGAGGCTGCAATGAGCTGCTATTATACCACTGCACTCCAGCCTGGGTGACAAAATGAGACTTCATCTCTTAAAAAAAAAAAAAGTATAAAATCCAGTGAAAGATTACCAAGGCCGGGCGTGGTGGCTCACACCTGTAATCCCAGCACTTTGGGAGGCTGAGATGGGTGGATCACCTGAGGTTGGGAGTTCGAGACCAGCCTGACCAACATGAAGAAACCCCGTCTCTACTAAAAATACAAAATTAGCTGGACGTGGTGGCACATGCCTGTAATCCCAGCTACTAGGGATGCTGAGGCGGGAGAATCGCTTGAACCCGGGAGGCGGAGGTTGTGGTGAGCCGAGATGGTGCCATTGCACTCTAGCCTGGGCAACAAGAGTGAAACTCTGTCTCAAAATAAAGAAAAAAAAAAAAGAAAAGAAAGATTACCAACATAAACTTGCCAATGTTAATTTTAATTTTAATTTTAATTTTTTTTTGAGACAGAGTCTCACTCTGTTGCCCAGGCTGGAGTACAGTGTTGTGATCATAGCTTACTGCTGCCTCAAACTCCTGGGCTCAAGCAATCCTCCCACCTCATCCTTTCAAGTACCTGGAACTATAGGGATGAGCCACCAGGCCTGGCTAATTTTTATTTTTTTACAGAGACAGGGGCTTACTGTGTTGCCCAGGCTTGTCTAGAACTCCTGGACTTAAGTGATCCTCCCACCTTCGGCCTCCCAAACCCTAAAATTATAGGTGTGAGCCATTGTGACTGGCCATATTATTTTTCTTTTCCTTTTTTTTGTTTTAGTTACAAAAGGGATGTAAATGTGTGTGATCAGAGCCCAGAGCAACCTTCAAAAGCCTTTGACCATTACTTTTGATTTTTGGTTTCCAGTGTAGGACTTTCCCTAGAAATCTGTTTCTAGTAACCTACACAGTTTGAAGTTGTGAATTTCTTTTTCTGTCCTGCAGAGTCTTGCGCCTTTGGGTACATGATGATGAGGAAGAGCTAGCTGCAAGACCATTCCTCAGCAGTAGTATTCAGTTCCTATTCATAACAGAATGACATTGAAAGTACAGTGACTGCATTTGTTTATTTTTTAAAATTTCCCAGCTCCTACAACTGACAGTTGCTATATTAATTGCACAAAAGTTTGCACAAAGACTGAGAAGATGACTGAATTGAAATTAATCCCACACTGTCAATTCAGTAGTCATGTGAACTCACATCTCAGAAACAGTGGGAAGATAGTAGAAAGAATGTCTTTATAGTCATTGCCTTTCTCATAGCCCTTTTCAATATTTGGCAAATTTTTTAATATTAATTACTATTTTTTTCTTGTTTCAGTAAACCTACACACATATTAAATTTAACATGAAATTACATTAATCATGTGTTCTAAAATTTTCTGCATCTTAGGATGGTTGGCCATCTTAAACATCTTGCTGGCCTCCAGAGAGACTGCCCCTCCCAGGGCTGGCCAATTCTGGAGACAACAAAGAACTTAGCCAGGAGCATGTGTTTTATGTGCAAACTACCCAATCCCAAGTCTACTCCCAGCCACAACCCTTTATTTAACTCTTACACACCACTCCAATATCCCCCCTGCCCTAAATCCTCCCAGGGCCACCTACCAGATGACTAGAGATGACCCCTGTAGACCAGAGCTATTGGGAGAGGGAAAGAGACAGAGAGGGAGAGAGATAGAGTGTGTGTAGTACTATGAAGCTGAGCTTACCCATATTTTAAAATTTGTGAGAATTTAGCTATATTTTCAAAGAAAGAAAATGTGCAAAACAATGTAAATAAATTTAACCTGTAAAATTAGTATTTTTGAATAACCCAGTAAAGAAAAGGAAAGATTATTAAAACATATTTGCACAGACCTTTAATGCTTTCCAAGCCACTGTTTAAAAGTCAAAAGAGGCCAGGCATGGTGGCTCATGCCTATAATCCCAGGTGGGTGGATCACTTGGCATCAGGAGTTCGAGACCAGCCGGGCCAATATGGTGAAACTGCATCTCTACTGAAAATACAAAAATTAGCCGGGCGTGGTGGCACACACCTGTGATCCTAGCTACTCGGGAGGCTGAGGCAGGAGAACTGCTTGAACCCGGGAGGCAGAGGTTGCAGTGAGCTAAGATTGGGCCACTGCACTCCAGCCTGGGTGACAGAGCAAGACTCCATTTCAAAAAAAAAAAAAAAGTCAAAAGAAACTAAATGTTATTAGTAAAGGTCAAACCTGGAATAGAAAGTATAGAGAAAGAAAAGTTGGTGTGTGTGTATGTGTGTGTATGTGTATGTGTTATTTTATAAAGGCTTATCTTCAAAGAAACTCAAATGAATAACTATGTAACTCTCTCTGTATGTAACTGTAACTTTCACTTGCAAAAGTGTATCAGTTTGAACAGTTAAATCACACATTCACCTATCTAAGCATCACATGATAAGTAATGTTTAGATAGGTGAATGCATAATTTTAGTACAGGGAATTTTTAGAATCTTTTTAGCACATAATTAGATAAGCATGTATGGAAAGTATGTTGTTACAAAGAGTTTACTCTGAAGGACCCATAGTAAGTCCTCTAAACCAGTGCTTAATCTAATTAGTTCTTGTAGCTAATGACAAATTACATAGTTTTATAAATTACCAGTGGTCACTAAAAATTATTACTATCACCAAGTCTGTTTTCTTGATTTTTCTTATAGGTTGATTTTAGTGCATTTGAGCTACAATCATATTTTATTATCTGGAAAATGCCTCGAAGACATCTGTGGATCTACAAACTTCCAGGGCTACTCTCTGCATACAAAGGAGGCATGAACAGGCCTTTCTACTCAGAAGTGGACTAAGGTGAATCCATCAGCTGACATCCGTCATAGTTCTTTGTGTACCAAACACCTCATGTATGTTGAAATTAGCTGATTTCATGATTCAAAATAGACCCCATCTTCAGCCTCAAGGTTGTCCAGTGCATCCCCAGTTCAACCTCAGAAGAACCTTTTCAGAAGCCACCAGCTCATGACACATTCCTTCTGGGGGTCTCTGGTGGGCACAGAATAAGCCCCCCTTCCCCTCAGGGTCTGCCTGTCTGCCCCTTAACCTGTTCTCCTGCTCCTCCATTCCAGGTTCCCTCCACCTAAGGCAAACTGCCCGGGGCAACTGCCCAGCATGGAAAGCTTTGGTCTTCACGGTCTTGACTTTTTACCAGCATCTCTGAAGCCCCAAAGTCACATAAGAATTTATTTGACTGAAAATTATTTAAGAACTTTATGTGTTAATTTTCCTTATAAAGTGAAAGTTGATCACTTTCTTTTCCCATATGTCCTTTGCCCAGACACAACTTATTGTTACTCTGTTTTCAATATCGAAGCAAGAAATGGAATTCATTGTGAGCCTGCCCCAGTGCTATTCAGACTCATTCTATCCAGGGAGCAACTTCACTCCATAATTTGTGTAGATACAGTTACTTACCTACCCACTCTCTAGTACATAACTCCCCATACACACCCACGGACTTCTTCCCCTAGGGAACTAGTCAGTGGTGTGTCTCCCTTTACCAGGCAAGTGCATGAAATCAGTGCATGATGTGCTGGTCAATGTGGTGATCTTTTCCCCTCTTTTAACCTGGGGAAGAGAGTTTATGGCAGAAACCACAGCTTTAATCCACACATCTTTGTGTACCAACCTCAGTGTTCTACAAGGCAGAGAAGAGAATGGGTCCAGCGATTCCTCCTGAGCAGTTGTCACGGAAATCTCTTGCTCTCCTTTGGGAAGATGAGTTTTACTCTCAATGATGCATTGATACTCACCATTATTACAAGGACTAGTGAACAAGAACTTGTTATGTGCCAGCACTGTGCTATGCTTCACTCAAGCCAGTTAATTCCTGCACTCTCCTGCATTACTGAATGATTTTTCTTTTCTTCTGAATGGTAGTTTTTAAATGTAGGACTACTGTTTCTTCATCATTTGAGTTTGGGAATTAGGCCTCAAATGAGGCAGCTTATGAAATCTGCTTTGGAGGTCAGGGGTCTTCTCCATAGTGGAAAACATCTACCTGACCCTTTTTAGGCCCCAAACTCCTCTCCAGGGTGTAGTGAATGCATGGCACTGGCATCCCTCCTGTAAATGGAGGGGCTTAGATCTCTGGAGGAAACTTCTGGGCTAGTATGTGGCTACCACGAGAATGGCTACAAGTGGGAATAAAAGGGCTTTGATCACCTTAGTCTTGAGTTCCAGGCAGTTTTTCTGGGCCATGTCACTGATCAAGCATGGTGACATCAAAGTAAGGTATTTTCCTTTTTTTTTTTTTGAAATAGTGTCTCACTCTGTCGCCCAGGCTGGAGTGCAGTGGTGCAATCATGGATCACTGCAGCGTCCGCCTCCTGGGCTCAAGAGATCCTCCCACCTCAGCCTCCAGAGGAGCTGGGACTGCAGGTGCACACCATTACACCTGGCTAATTTTTGTATTTTTTACAGAGATGGGGTTTCACCATGTTACCCAGGCTGGTCTCAAACTCCTGGCCTCAAGTGATCCACTCGCCTTGGCCTCTGAAAGTGCTAGGATTACAGGGGTGAGCCACTAAGCCCAGCCTGGTATCTTCTTTTGTACTTTTCAGAAGAACTCAAAATGGATGAGTTTGCATAAAACTGCATCTGCTGCTCTAGTGCCAGTGAATAGGCCATGAAGCTTCTGGCTCAGATGGGACTTTAGATCTATGACCTGCTGGGTATTCAGAAAGCAGCCACAGATAGCATAGGAGTTCAAGACAACAATGGTGCGTGAACCACCATGGGTCAAGAGGAGCCGTTGATCTGATCTGATCTCCGCTGTCCCCCCATGGCTTTCGTGCAGACATAGCTGGCAGCCTGATGGCGGTGCTGTGGAAGCAGGCCCTTCACTGGGGTACTGGCAGACTGGTTGAAGAGTCTACCTACAGGGGAGTGTCGAGTCCGGCTCTCCCTATGGGCAACAGGCAAGCCACACAGAGGACCAACTCTTGAACAAACGTTGGTAACATTTGTGGTACTGAGGGTTGAAAGCTAGGGGGATTCTTAAAACTATTAGGAGATTCTCTCTTGCTAGTGAAACAGATGGGAAGCAGAGGAACTACTGCACTTTGGACATTGACTTCAGTTTTAATCACAGACTGTTAAGGCTAGGACATATTTTTCTTTAACTTTTAGACTCGGGGTGCATGCGCAGGTTTGTTATATAGGAAAACTTGTGTCACGGGGTTTTGTTGTACAGATTATTTCATCACCCAGGTACTAAGCCTAGTGCTCAATAGTTATTTTTTCTGCTCCTCTCCCTCTTCCCACCCTCCCACCTCAAGAAGGCCCCAGTGTCTGTTGTTTGCCTCTTTGTGTCCATGTGTTCTCATTATTTAGCTCAGACTTATAAGTGAGAACATGGGGTATTAATTTTCTGTTCCTGTGTTAGTTTGCTGAGGATAATGGCCTCCAGCTCCATCCGTCTTCTGGCAAAAGACAAGATCTTGTTCTTTTTTATGGCTGCATAGTACTCCATGGTGTATATGCACCCTATTTTCTTTATTCAATGTTTCATTGATGGGCATTTAGGTTGATTCCATGTCTTTCCTATTGTGAAGAGTACTGCCATGAACATTCATGTGCATGTGTCTTTATGGTAGAATGATTTATATTCCTCTAGGTATATGCCCAGTAATGGGATTGCTGGGTTGAATGGCACTTCTCTTTTAGCTTTTTGAGGAATTGCCACACTGCTTTCCACAATGCAATGGTTGAACTAATTTACACTCCCACCAACAGTGTATAAATGTTCCCTTTTCTCTGCAACCTTGCCAGCATCTGTTGTTTTTTGACTTTTTTATAGTAGTCATTCTGACTCATGTGAAATGGTATCTCATTGCGGTTTTGATATGCATTTCTCTAATGATCAGTGATGTTGAGCTTTCTTTCATATGTTTGTTGGCTGCATGAATGTCTTCTTTTGAGAAGTGTTTTGTTCATGTCCTTTACCCACTTTTTAATGGGGTTGTTTTTTTCTTGTAAATTTAAGTTCCTTGTCGACTCTGGATGTTAGACCTTTGTCAGATGGATAGCTTGCAAAATTTTTCTCCCATTCTGTAGATTGTCTGTTCACTCTGATGATAGTTTGTTTTGCTGCGCAGAAGCTCTTTAGTTTAATTAGATTCTATTTGTCAATTTTTGCTTTTGTTGCAATTGCTTTTGGTGTTTTCGTCATGAAATCTTTGCCTGTGCTTACGTCCTGAATAGTATTGCCTAGATTTTAAGAAATATTTAACTCAAAGCAACAATATTAACAGTTCATTTCTCATCTGAAACAATAGAAGAAAAAAGACAATAGATCAACCTATGTTTTTGAGATGGAGTCTTGCTCTGTCGCCCAGGATGGAGTTGCAATGACACGATCTCAGCTCACTGCAACCTCTGCCTCCTGGGTTCAAGCGATTCTCCTGCCTCAGCCTCCCGAGTAGTTGGGATTACAGGTGCATATCACCATGCCCAGCTAATTTTTGTATTTTTGTAGAGATGGGGTTTCACCATGTTGGCCAGGTTAGTCTCGAACTCCTGGCCTCAAGTGATCCACCCACCTGGGCCTCCCAAAGTGCTGGGATTAGAGGTGTGAGCCACCTCTAATCCCAGCCACAGACTGAACTCTGAGCTTTTTTTCTTTTTTCTTTTTTTTTTTTTTTGAGAGGGAGTCTTGCTCTGATGCCCAGGATGGAGTGCGGTGGTGCCATCTTAGCTCACTGCAAACTCCACCTCCCAGGTTCAAGCAATTCTCCTGTCTCAGCCTCCTGAATAGCTGGGATTACAAGAGTCTGCCACCATGCCCAGCTAATTTTTGTATTTTTAGTAGAGATGGGGTTTCACTATGTTGGTCAGGCTGGTCTTGAACTCCTGACCTTAAGCAATCCACTGGCCTCGGCCTCCCAAAGTGCTGGGATTACAGGCATGTGCCAGCACACCCGGCCAGCTTTTTTCATATGCTTGTTGGCCATGTGTATGTCTTCTTTAGAAAAGTGTCTGTTCATGTTCTTTACACACTTTTTAATGTGGTCGTTTTTTTCTTTTTAAAGACCCTGGATATTAGGCCTTTGTCAGATGCATAGTTGCAAATATTTTCTCCTATTCTTTATGTTGTCTGTTTATTCTGTTGATAATTCTTTTGCCGTACAGAGCCTCTTAAGTTTAATTAGATCCCATTGGACATTTTGGTTAGCAAGAAAGGACAATGCCTAGAGCAATAATCACAATGTAGGACGTCTTTAAGGAACAAAGGTAAAAGTTTCTGGAGATTGAATGACCAATTCCACTAAACTGTCGCAGCTTGAAAATTACCAGAATGCTCTGTCCATCAAGTTTAGAGAAATGCTTCAAGTTTAGGGGAATGATTTCTATTGTCTATGAATACAGCTGAAAAAAAACAAACCCCGTCAAAATATCTCTCTCTTTTGGGATGGCAGTGTTCACAAGCCCCTGTTGCCCAGCTACACAAAATAGCCAGACATCATGCACCTGGTCCCACAATGTTGAGATATGTAGTGATTTATGATCATAATAAATTAGTGTTTCCCAAAACTTACTCTGTGGAACCTTGAGTCAAATAACTTTGGGAACTTTGCCAACTGTATCTTCTTAATTATTGTGAAAGTTGTCAGAATCAAAATGGAGTCATGAATGTTAAGAAAACCCTGACAAATGGAGCCAACAAAAACCATAAAGAAGGGGTTCTGACACTTGTGTGCTCGATAATGAAAAAGACTATACAAAAACCACAACCTGGCACACAACCCATTGCAACTGTACAAAAAATATATACAAGAATATCTGCCCAGCAACTGCCTGTCCAAACTTGTACTGGTGTCACCCTTGTCATTGATCTTTGTAACCAAAGATAAGTATTTCAAAAACAATTATGTAGTCCTCATTTTTTTCTTTAGAAATCTTTGCCTTCTTTTACCTCCCTGACACATATATTAATAGTTTGCTATGGCATGTATATGCCCATTGCAATGTTCTATTCCCTAATAAACATCTTCTTCTAGAGAGCCTCTCTCTGTTATTTAGGTTGAAAATATTCTTAAGACATGTGAGCCTATTTCATAGCTCTGAGAAGTTAGATGATAATGTGCCTTTACGTCTTGTTTAGTCAATAATTTGCCCAAATTATTTGGTCTTGAAATGTTACTTTAGCAAGATACCTATTAACAGTTTGTATAAATCTGTCTGATATAGTGTAGTAGTTATTCTTTTTTTAATTCATCACATCTCTTAATGCTGATATGAGAGAAACTTTAAGCGGTAATTTTGGTGCAAAGATACTGAGCATAATGCTCTAAGACACTGAGAACACACAAGAAGCAGCGAAGTTTGGGAATTGGTAATATGAATTGTTAGAAGATCAATAGACTGTGGAATTCTAGGTTGCCCTCTGGAATGTAGACTAACCCACTGACCATCTGGTAGGTTAGGAGGCAGATGAAACCAAGAGTGTCCTCCTGGGCCTATGAAAATAAGGAACAAGCAGGGATTAGGAAAGATGAAAATGAGGTTCAGAAGGAGTGAGAAAGCAGGAAAGGCCAAGAGATAATTGACTATAAACAAAGAAGAAAATGTCAGAGTTAAAGATGGTGGAGGTGGAGAAGGTCTAAGCAGTAGATGGCTTCATCTATTTCTGGGTGGATGAAGTGGAGGGGAGATGAAGATTCTTGGCAGCTGTGACAGCGTGCAAGGAGGGTCTTGAAGAATTAGCAGCAAGGAGAGTAGCAAGCACAGGCTGAGGAGGTGCCTGGGACTCAAATGATAGGGATTTTAAGGAATAATAATCATGACACAATTTATGCCACACCCCTCAGCCCTCACCACTGCAGTGCACCCTAGAAGCCCAGAAAGAGCCTGTCCAGATGCAGGGCAGGCTGAAACTGCTGGGGAGCTAACTCCCCCAAAACATTCCCCAGCAGCAGCCTGGCTTCCTTACATCTCAGGTAGGGCAGCTGTGAGATGTGTGTTTTTCGCTTTTTTTAAAAAAGAGTTTTCTTGAAGGAGAAAACCCCAGGTGCCCACATAGAATGTATGTGCTGCCCTTTAAGTCCTGCTTTCCATTCCAGGACCACTTCTTCCCTTCCCCAGGAGGTGTTTCCAGCCCCTTCCACAGAAGCTACTTGTGTTGTTGGTGGGCCAGTTCGGGTTCTTGACTTCGTGGCACAACATAATTTGAGAGTGTGATCGGCGCAGTGGCTCATGCCTGTAATTCCAGCACTTTGTGGGGCCAAGGCAGGAAGATTGCTTGAGCCTAGGAGTTCAAGACCAGCCTGAGTGAGATCCCATCTCTATAAAAATAAATGAATAAAATAAAAAAGAAATAAATAAAAAAAATTGAGAGTGACTTCAATGTGAAAGTAGGTAAAGAAGTTTATTGCAAAGTGAAAGTAACTCTGATAGCTGGGTGCATGAGAAGGAGACAGCGCCATGTGACACTGAAGTACTACCCGTTATGGGAGATGCGCATGATTATTCAAAGGGGTGAGAAGTGGTGTTGCTGTTGAGCGTGTTGCAGATGGTTTCCCAAGTCTGCATGTGCAGTGGCCATACAGGCTACTACATATATTGGATGTCTCATTAGCATTTTAATTCTCCACCCAAGGGTGTGTTTTTTACTATTATAATGAACACAGGTCAGCTCAAGGACACTAATGTTGGGTTTCTGTGTTCATGCGAATTTGTGAATTTTCCCGTCTGCCCTTCTACCTCCTCACTGCAGGATGTTCTAACCATGAGCCCAGGATGTGGTTTGTGCACTGTTAGGCAGTTTGTTCTCTCCATCAATTTGGTAAGTTTGTTCCCACTTAGGCGAGGCTATGAGCAACCTATTTAACCTACCTCACTTGGGTTTGAATTCTTGTCTCAATCTGCATGTGGGGAACCCAAACTAATTCACAAACATCATGTCATTTGGCCATCAAGACAACTCTAAAGGATGGCAGAATAATATTATTTCCCCTTTTATTTTATTTTATTTTATTTTATTTTATTTTATTTATTTTATTATTATTATTTTTGAGATGGCATCTCACTCTGTTGCCCAGGCTGGAGTGCAGTGATGCCATCTCGGCTCACTGCAACCTCCACCTCCCAGGTTCAAGTGATTCGTGCCTCAGCCTCCCAAGTAGCTGGGACTATAGGCGTGCGCCACCACACCCAGCTAATTTTTGTATTTTTAGTAGAGATGGGGTCTTACCATGTTAGCCAGGCTCGTCTTGAACTCCTGACCTCAAGTGATCTGCCTGCCTCAGCCTACCAAAGTGATAGGATTACAGGCGTGAGCCACAGCACTCGGTCTATTTCCCCTTTTAAAAAGGAAACAGGTTGTACCTTTTTCAAAGCCACCCACGTAGAAAGAAGATGAGCCGAGAGATGAACTAGCCTTCTGACTTCATGCTCTGTGTTCTCATCCCTACATCCTGAATCCCTATATTCAAGATGTGTTACTGTCCACAAGGTTGGTAGATTACCATGAGGATGGAGAGAGGGAAGTATATATTGATGTATGAATATCAATAGGTAAATTATGAGAATGTGATAGGGAAACAATGCCCAAGATGAAACATGGGCATTATGAGTACAAGGGAAGAAGGTACAGTGCAATGGATTAACCTAAATCAAAGGTGGTCCAGGACTATTGAAAACCATGTGTTAACCAAGGTGATAAGTCAAAAGGGCAAAAGACCAAAGATAGAGATAAGTTTATTCATTGTAGAAAGTGGATTTAGGGCAGGGCGCGGTGGCTCACGCCTATAATCTCAGCGCTTTGGGAGACCGAGGTGGGCGGATAACCTGAGGTCGGGAGTTTGTGACCAGCCTGGCCAACATGGAGAAACCCTGTCTCTACTAAAAATACAAAATTAGCCGGGCATGGTGGCGCATGCCTGTAATCCCAGCTACTGCGAAGGCTGAGGCTGGAGAGTTGCTTGAACCCGGGAGGTGGAGGTTGCAGTGAGCTGAGATGGAGCCATTGCGCTCCAGCCTGGGCAACAAGAGTGAAACTCTGTCTCAAAAAAAAAAAAAAGAAAGTGGATTTGGTAGGAACCAAAGGATGTCCGAAAATATCTTTTTTTATTGGTACATAATAACTGTACACATATATGGAGTACATGTGATATTTTGATACATGCATACAATGTGTAATGACCAAATCAGGACATTTAGAATATCCATCATCTCAAACATTTATCTTTTCTACATGTTGGGAGCATTTCAAATCCTGTCTTCTAACTATTTTGAAATATACAATATCTTGTTGTTAACTCTAGTCACCCTGCTCTGCTATGGAAACTTACTTATTCCTTCTCTCTAACTGTATGTTTGCACACATTCACCGACCCTATACTGCCCACTGTTTCCTTCTCAGGCTTGGAATCTTTTGAGATGTGCTCATGGTCATTAATAAGACATTTCAATATTATAGGATTACAGAAAATAGCATTACAGGCCGGGCATGATGGCTCACGCCTGTAATCCCAGCACTTTGAGAGGCCAAGTCAGGCGGATCACCTGAGATCAGGAGTTTGAGGCCAGCCTGGCCAACATGGCGAAACCCTGTCTCTAGTAAAAATACAAAAATTAGCTGAATGTAGTGGCAGGCACCTATAATCCCAACTACTTGGAAGGCTGAGGCAGAAGAATTGTTTGAACTTGGGAGGCGGAGGTTGCAGTGAGCCGAGATTGTGCCACTTCATTCCAGCCTGAGGGAAAGAGTGAAACTCCATCTCAAAAAAAAAAGAAAGAAAGAAAGAAAGAAAATAGCATTACAAAACTGAAGAGATTACAATACTGGTCTCACCATCATTTTTATTACTCTACTCCCTCCTTTCCTAGCTGACACTCGCTCCCCATCCATGTCTATTCATCTAAAAATCCTGATGTCCCCTGGCTGTTGGCCTCCAGGCTGCTGGATTTGGTCCCTTCTATGACAACTTTACTGACAGACACCAGCCTTCTAACTACACAGAAGTCCTGCTGCACTTCATAAGATGATGGAGTGAATGTATTCCTGTAGAACATTATTTGCACAGGTAACCATGGAAATAATATTTATTTTGTCTAAATTAGTCACATGAGGGCAAACCGTTTCCTTATCTGCACTCTCTTTTTCTTTTTAAAATGAGTTCAAGGCAATTTAGATGAGTGGGGACTAATGGGAAGGACCTTTGTGAAATCAGAAAGCTTGGATTTCTCTCTTCATTTTACCTCTGACTGATCGTGACACCATAAGTAAGACATATAATAGTTTCATTAGAAGACCCTGTTGAGAAAGGCAAGAGCAGGGAGCCATTTAGTGTGTGAGGTACCTGCTGGTTGAAAAAGTTATGGGGCTAAAAATAATCTCAACATGATGACTCTGTTGAAATTAGGCACCCAGGCAAATAAGCTGGCCATTGACCAACCCAGGAGACTGCCATTTTCCCACTGCCTATGCAAAGATCAGACAGGATAAATAGTCCTGGAAAAACCACAGTCCTGGTGAGGGGGTGAGTGTGGGGGGTTGACAAGTATATGGTTTCAAAATGACCATAAAGATGGAAGCATGATCTATAATTCTCATGATGCCTCTTAATGAGTTTGAATAGAGAGCACATAGGTGAAAAAATAAACTATGCAAATATAAAGAGGGGTGACTGGTTGGAAACATGATTGGCAATGCCAAATATGGCCAAAGATTTGAAAGATGTAGACAATCCCAGGTGAATGCTTATAATGTTATTCATATAGTGCTATATTAATTCTAAATGTATAGGAAGTATAATTATTCATTTTCTTCATATTTTTATCATAGGAAGCTTCTAGCAGAGAAGTTGAAAGAATTTTACAGTATATACCTATATATGCACAACCTAGATTTTACAATTAATATTTTACTATAGTTACTTTATTGCATGGCTATCAGTCTGTCCATCCCTTTCTCATCCATCAACTCATCTTGGCTTTTTATTCATTTCAAAGTAAATTGCAGACATCAGTACACTTCCCCTTATAATCGATAGTGTTTCAGTTCTTTATTTATTTTATTTTTTGAGATGGAGTCTTACTTGTTGCCCAGGCTGGAGTGCAGTGGCGTGATCTCAGCTCACTGTAGCCTCCACCTTCTGGGTTCAAGATCCTCCTGCCTCAGCCTCCTGAATAGCTGGGATTACAAGCGCACGCCACTGTGCCTGGCTAATTTTTGTATTTTTTGTCTCAAAAATAATAATAATAAGGAGTCAGAGACAATTTTAATAAGGATTATTAAATGGAAAAGTAATTTATTACCAGATATTTAGAGTCTTCTTCCCTCCCCTTGTGTGCAGTCTCACTGCATAGCTTATTATCTAGAATATAGTATGTGTACTATTAAATATCTGTTCAACTGAATGTCAGTAATCTTTGGGGTCTTAACCTGTTTGGGCAGAAAGACATTAGCTGGATGACCATTCCAGATTCTTGACTAGCTTGGCATTCTGATTTTAACATTTAACTCAATTTCACAGTCATTTGATCTTTTAAAAAGTTTAGAATGTTTTCATGAGCCTGCCTGCCTGGAGGGCCCTCTTCCCCCCAGTGCAGTTCACAAAACATCTGCGCCAAAGTGCTTCGTGCATATGGAATTGACTACTACTGCTTCGGGGCTGGGACAGGGTTGAATGCGATAGCCATCATTTTAACAAACTGCTACACAAAACAGCACTACAAAGGGAGTATTGATTGGATCCTCTATCTGCCTCCCCCAGCACTGCTCAAAGTTGAATGTTTCCATTGACTTTCTAATTGTTCCTTCCCCCCCAACTTTATTCTAAAGGCTAAACTTTAGAATAATACTTTAATACTAAGGAAAATTTAGTATAGTCTGGACCTGTCATGCATCCTGTTCAAGGGAAGGAGGGGAAGTAAATGGGTGGCAAGTGGAAGAAGGACAATCTAATTGGACACTTACTAGATGCCAGGGATTTTCTTTTCTTTTCTTTTCTTTTTTTTTTTTTTTTTTTTTTGTGACACAGTCTGGCTCTGACGCCCAGGCTGGAGTTCAGTGGTGCAATCTCGGCTCACTACAACCTCCACCTCCTGGGTTCAAGTGATTCTCCTGCCTCAACCTCCTGAGTAGCTGGGATTACAGGCATCTACCACAAACCATACCTGGCTAATTTTTGTATTTTTAGTAGAGACAACGTTTCACCATGTTGGCCATGCCGGTCTTGAACTCCTGACCTCAAGTGATTTGCCCGCCACAGCCTCCCAAAGTGCTGGGATTACAGGTGTGAACCACCACACCTGGCCTGGGATTTTCATATATTCTGTATTTTATATACTAAATATTTATTTAACACTCATTATGTGCAGAAATTTTCATATACTATATATAGCATTTGTCTCATTCGATCTCCAGAGGAACATTGTCATCCTAAAACCCATTTTCCACGCAAAGTAGAAACTGATGTTCAAATAAATGAATTTGAATTTAAATCTGAGCTTGGTTGACTTCAAAAATCCAAGCAGTCTCCATTCCCTCACCCTACCTAAAGGAGTTCTGCTAACAAAAGGACCTCGTTTTGTCACCGGGGGTCCTGGATACCCCAAAAAGGGCTCTTTCCTGTTCAGTGTTGTGAAGATAATACAAAAAGCCGAAAGTGTCAAGCAGTGCAGGCTTTATTCTAAGGCCAAGGAATTGGAGAAGTGGGACCGTAGCTTGCAAATCAATTTCTCAGTTTCTGAGAACCAGGAAATTACAAATTCAGGGTATCTTCACTGAAGGGGTTGGGCATTAAGAGCAAGGGGAGGAACATTCATGGTTTTTTTGGGAAGCAATGAAGATTTTCCTAGAACAGGGAGCTGCCTTTTTTGTCCTTTCTTGGTCTTTTCTGGTTATTGTCATAGTGATTGTCAGCTGTCATGGTGCTGGTGGGAGTGTCACTTAGCATAGAAATTGGATTATAATGAAGCTAGAGGTTCTTCAGAGGTCAAGTAGGCGGCCATACTGGGTTTCACCAGTTTCAGCCAGTTTAGTTCTAAGAAGGAACTAATGACCACAGGCATCCTGCTTCCTAAAAATAAGCAGAGTTAAAGCCCAGTAGGAATTTAGCTATGTCATGTAGGCATTACATTGGGCAACAAAAGCAGAGAGGGGGCCCAGCTAAGCCACCTAGGCACTACAATGGGTGACAATTTTATAGTATTATAGAAAAGATTCTCTGTCTGATTTCTTCCACGTTTACAGAACTCCAGATTTACTTTCAGGAGTCAAAGCACCGGGGAAAGATTCAACTTCCTTCAGAGATTTTGGAAACAGAGTTAAGGGATCATTTCTCCTGCCTCTCACTCCTACATCTTCTTTCTTAGCTGCCTCCTAACTCCATTGGGTATAGGAGATCTGGGTTAGTGACAAAGGATGAAAAATGAAAAAAGGATGCCAAACAATAGCAATTTTCAGGGTAGCAAGAATGCCATTTTGGTAGGCAGCTTCTATGTCTCCTGTGCAATGATTGCTGCTGGCCAGGATCACCCAGCCAGGAGGGTAAATTGGCAGTGTGTTTCTGCCTCCTGCCCAGAAGGTGCCCATTGTCTTCATGCTGGTCCTTGGCACCCTGGAACATCCCCCATCCCTGCACTGCAGTGTCCCAATTCGGCTTACTCAGTGTGGCTGGCACCCATCATCCCAAATTATTTCTCTCTGCTCAGCTACAGAATTATCATTTCTATTTCCAACTAGCAACAGCTTGTCACCCATCAGAGATATATTTCCATCTAAACAAAGCTCTTATCCTGCCAGTCCTTTGCATAAAAATGTTCAGTGTTTTCCTGTTGTAGTTAGAATGAACCCAAACTCCTTGCCATGGCCTGTGAAACCCGTGATCTGGCCCAGCTCTCCTATTTCATGTCCTATTACTCTACTCCTTGCTCGTGGGACCCAGACACCATTCTTGCTTTTCTAAGACACTCCAAATGCATTTTTATTCTCATTTGCTGTAACCTACTTCTTTCCCATCATGCAGGGTGCTTGCTCATTCGGAATCTCAGAGGGGTCTCTGTTAACCCTTCAACCTTGAATAGCTTCCTCCCCACCCACAGAGGCCTCTCTTTTATCATCACCTTTTCTATTTTTTCAAAGAGAGTTTCACAGTTAGAAATCATGCTTTAGATGGATTTGTTCATTTTGTTTTCTGACTCCACTGAAATATCTGCTCCATTTGCAAGGGGCCATCTCTACCTGTTTTTCACTATACTCCTTGTGTGTAGAACATTGTGTACTCAATAAATGTTGTTCAAATGAAGGCAATTTATGAGCACTAAGGGTTGGCTGACCATCATAGCAGAATTCTACCTACCATGGCAAGCAGGTAAAGGAAAGGTTTTGCATGGAAATGGGAGGAAGGAGGTAGGGATTAGGTCCTACACTCTCCCTAAGATTTTCCCACATTATTGGCACACATAAGTCAAAAACAAATACAGGCAGTCCTTGTTGTGCTTGGTTTCAGTAGGCGTGAATATCAGTTACCATAGTTAAGCTTAATAAGCCAGGCTTCTAACAACACAGTTAAAATTTCAATTGTTACCATGATACATTAATTTGTGAGTAATTTTATAAAGTACTGACATCACTGCCAGGAATCAGTTCACAGATCATTAAATGAATAACGTGCTCATCCTGGTCAGTGACCGATCACATCACTCCTCACCTCTCTGCCATAAGTGAAACCCCCCTGTGGAACTATGGTCCCTATAGCTCTCTCAGGAACATCATTCACTGTGGTTCAGCAGGACTGCTGACATTCTCCCAGAGTGGACTCCAGGCCAAGCTTTCATGAACTTTCCTCTATTTTTTCAGCTGTGAAGTAGAGAGATGTAGAGATGTAGAGGTTGAAGACAGGTGGGCTCTGATGTGTGTGGGCAAAGCCCTTTTCCTTTCTGTAACCCTACCCTGAGTGCAGGTTTATCAGGATGTTCAGGGTGCTGACCTGCTTCCAACTCGGACATGAGTGATTTGCGTCCCAGAGCATCATGTTGCAGGCACTGTGCCTAATGCTTTGTATTATTTCATTTAACCTTACAACAGTTTTATGCAGTACTGTTATAGGACTGACAGGTTCATATGCCTGCTGCACATGAGCAGATCAATACATTGAGACAGCAGGCTTTGCAGCAGAGAACAAGTTTAATGACTGCAGGGTACTGAGAGAGGAGATGAGAAGAGACCCCGAAATCCATCAGAAGTTCTGGGCTGGGGTTTTTAAGGAAATCATGGAGGGAGAGGGACTGGAGAATTGGAGTTGTTGATTGGCTGGGGGAGGGAAATGAAATCATCAGGATGTGGAAACTGCATTCGTGGGCGAGTCAGCTTCTTGGGTGCTTCTGACCATCTGAGTCAGGAGTTGCATTGGTATGCAGTACCTGAAGGAAAATCTCAAAGGGAAAACTTAACATTTCATAATGTTCAAGTTGTTACCTATAGAGCAGTTAAAGGCAGCTATGATCTTGTGACAGGGTCTGTGTGATTCTAGGGCAATGGGCACCAAACAGCTATGAGGAAGGGTTCAGAGAGCAGCTGACCTCATGCTGAATGCTGATGTGCTGCAAGCTTGGCTTATTTTCATTTTTCCTTTCTTTGCTGATTAATTTTATAAAGTTCATAAGGATGGCTTCAGTACAAACTACTGATATCCCCATTTAAAGATGAAGAAACCAAGGCTTAGAAAAGTTAAATAATTTACCAGAGACTCATGCTCTTCTTTTGAAGTAACAAATACAAATATTTATGTTTTCACAAAAAATTGTGGAAGACTATTTTTATAATGATAACATGCCCTTTGAAACGTGCTACTTTTAAATCTGAGTCATCTTACTCCCTAAAAACCAACAAGAAAAGTGGAAAGCATTGCCATATATATATATATATATAATTTTTTTTTTTTGAGATGGATTCTCACTCTGTCACCAGGCTGGATTGCAGTGGTGTGACCTTGGCTCACTGCAACCTCCGCCTCCTGGGTTCAAGCGATTCTCTTGCCTCAGCCTCCCAAGTAGCTGGGATTACAGGCACACGCCACCACTCCTGGCTAATTTTTGTATTTCTAGTAAAGATGGGGTTTCACCATGTTGGCCAGGTTGGTCTCGAATTCCTGACCTCATGATCCACCTGCCTCGGCCTCCCAAAGTGCTGGGATTAGAGGTGTGAGCCACCGCACCCGGCCGCATTGCCCAATATTTTCCAGAGGTTTTGTAGATATGGCATGAAGCCCTCTGGCAATAGTTAAATGACATCTTTCGACAATTCTGTGGCCACAATAGGCTGAACACCAAAACTGATGCTAGATAGATTATGACAAAGATGACTTTTTTGTCAAAAGCTCTTTCCTCTCTTTTCTGCCATCACAGTACAGTTGGATGTTGTCTGATTGTTGTAGTGGTGTTAGTCATCTGTTTGTTTGTTTTTTTTTTTTTTTTGAGACAGGGTCTCACTCTGTTATCTGGCTGGAGTGCAGTGGTGCAGTCAGAGCTAACTGCAACCTTGACCTCGCAGGCTCAAGTGATCCTCCCACCTCAGCTTCCCGAGTAGCTGGGACTACAAGCATGCACCACCATGCCTGGCTAATTTTTGTATTTTTTGTAGAGATAAAGTCTTGCTATGTTGCAAGGTTGGTCTTGAACTCCTGGGCTCAAGTGATCTTCCCATCTCAACCTCCCATAGTGCTGGGATTACAGGTGCAAGCCACCGCACCTGGCCCTAGATGTTACGTTTTTAAACTCATCTTTTTAGTTTCAATTTTTTCGTTGTTGTTATTGTGATTTGTTTGTTTTTGAGACAGGGTCTTGCTCTGTCACCCAGGCTGGAGTGCAGTAGCACAATCAGAGCTCAGTGCAACCTCGACCTTCTGGGCTCAGGCAAGCCCCCCACCTCAGTGTCCCGAGTAGCTGGGACTACAGGTACACATCACCACACCTGGTTAATTTTTAATTTTTTTTATACAGACAGTGTCTCCTTATGTTGCCCAGACTGGTCTTGAAATCTTGTAGCCAAGTGATCATCCCGCTTTGGTCTCCCAAAGTGTTGGGATCACAGACATGAGCCACCGTGCCTGGCCAAATGTTTTCATATTTACAGAAAAGTTGCAAAGATAGTACAGAGACTTTCCTTAGATCCGTCAACAGCTTTCCCTAAAGTTAACAACATCTTATACCACACATTCTTTATTCATCAGTATCTACTGAGCACTTAGACTCAGCCCTTACTATACATGAGGCATAATCCTCAAAATCACACTGCAAACTCTCCGTTTTATATCTGTTCCTTGGCTCTCACTGGTCGTTTTACTTCAGTACCTGGTCTGTCTTTTAAATTAAGTAGACTCTAGGGTAAGTTCTTCTGGCCTTGGAATCAGAAGGCTTGAATTTAAGTCTTGACTCTGCCGTTTGCCAATTGCTTGACCCATGTTTTTTCTGTAATACTCACCCTGTCAATCTGGGAGAGCTGGTTTGAGAATCTGTCACGTGTCAACTCTGAAGGAGGATGGCCGTGTCAACCTCATTTCTCCCTGTCTCCCCAGTGTCTTGTCAAAAGCCAGAACTTAGTAAGCATTCAACAGGCAGTGGGTGCACTGGCTGAGTGATTAAACAAGGTAATGTTTAAACAAGGTAAAAAAGGTAATACATTAATATTGGCATGCAAATGTTAGGAGTTTTAACTGCTCATATAAAAACTCACACGATCTGCATGTGTTGCTGGTGTCCCCTGTTTGGTGCCCATGAATCACTTCCTGTTTTGTTCATGATGGAGTCTGAACCCCTTATAAGTGAGTGCCTGGGAAGTGGTAGACGTGATGAACTGCCTTTTCATCCTATTAAGCTATGTTTAAAAAATGCTAGGCAAAGTGGTAGCTTATTACTTTTGCTAATAAATATTTTCTGATAGTTTATGAGAACTCGAAAGCCAATGTTGCTCTTATTTCCGACTTTTACTTACTAAAGTGCTGATATCCATTTTTGTTATATATTGTTTTCTTGATTTCATTTTGTGCAGAAAGTAAATGTGTATAAATCATGCATCTGCATTTTGTTATTTATTTCTGGAAGGTGAAAATATCTTCATCTAACTCTTGGCTTTCACCTGTAATGAGTTTTGTGTTTCATTTTGATTTGATTTTCTTTCAGTTCTGCTACATCAATAGACAAAACTTGAAATACTATATTTAGGATCCCTTTGCTGGAAGAGAAAACTAAACATTTCATTTAGCGCTTCAGCCCCAGGAGGCTGTATACCATGTCACTATTTCCATGCTTTGACAGTTGGGTGCAGTTGTCTCTTGTTATTAGTAAATTTCATGAATTTGCTGGTTCTGGGGAGGAAGCAAAAGGTGTAAATATTTGAGTATTCCCTGCATGTAGCAATCCCACAGTGTCACATCTGTCTAATACCTTTATGAGACAGTCCATTTGCGTAGAGAATAAGTGTCCTAGGAAATAAAGCTATCAGGAGTGTCGAATTGGAATATAAGAATGATATTCTGAGCTTAAAAAACATATATAAGACTGGAGTTCATTGATATATAACCTTGAAGAGTGCTCTGAATGACAATCATGTTGTTATGCTGGTAGAGAATTACGAAGTTTTAGAACTGGAAGTTCTATTTTTTTTAACCTCATTTTATGCATGAAGAAATGGAGACCAGAAGGGCCAAGAGCCTGTGAAATTCAGGCAGCCAGCGAGAGACTGAGATCATGCAGAGATAACAAGCTCTGGGGTCTGCCACCCAGCTTTCTCTTGCGAAGGGATGCTTTTCAGCCATTGTTGATTATTCAGCTTGGGGGTTATTCAGGGTTACCGCTTTTCTGCCTTAGTCTTGCTTCTGCCTCTATTTTAGCAAATCTACTAACTGTACCTGGTAGGGCTGTACCTGAGAGGAGGTGAATCCTCAGCTAGCCAATTTTGTGTTTTAGAGGGGATTTGGTAAAGATTCAGTGTGAAGGACTTTTTTTTTTTTTTTAAAGATAAAAAACTTTTTTTTTTTTGGCTGGGCGCGGTGGCTCACACCTGTAATCCCTGCACTTTGGGAGGCAGAAGCAGGTAGATCACCTGAGGTTAGGAGTTCGAGACCAGCCTGGCCAACATGATGAAACCCCATCTCTACTAGACATACAAAATGTTAGCCAGGTGTGGTGGCAGGCACCTGTCATTCCAGCTACTTGGGAGGCTGAGGCACGACAATTGCTTGAACCCGGGAGGTGGATGTTGCCGTGAGCTGAGATTGCGCCACTGCACTCTAGCCTGGGTGACAAAGTGAGACTCCATCTCAAAAAAACAAACAAACAAACAAACAAAAAATTTAAAGATAAAAAACTTTTTACAGGATTCTGTTGTTTTAGTCTATGACTCCATGGTTTCCTCTTAAGGTGATTAAAAACATTTTAATTCAATGGGGCACAGTGGCTCACATCTTTGGGAGGCCGAGGTGGGAGAATCACTTGAGCTCAAGAGTTTGAAACAAGCCTGGGCCACATAGTGAGACCTCATTTGTATTTTACAAACAAACAAAAAATTAAAATAAATAAAAATAAAACACTTTTAATGTATTTGAATAACCCCCAAGCTGAATAATCAACAATGGCTGAAAAGCATCCCTTCGCAAGAGAAAGCTGGGTGGCAGATCCCAGAGCTTGTATCTCTTCTTTATTATATCAACATATGTACTTTTTGTGTGTGTGTGTGTGTGATGAAGTCTTGCTCTGTCGCCAGGCTGGAGTGCAGTGGCGTGATCTCGGCTCACTGCAACCTCTGACTCCCTGGTTCAAGTAATTCTCCTGCCTCAGCCTCCCAAGTAGCTAGGATTACAGGCACGTGCCACCATGCCCAGCTAATTTTTGTATTTTTTTTTTTTTTTGAGACGGAGTCTTGCACTGTTGCCCAGGCTGGAGTGCAGTGGTGCGATCTTGGCTCACTGCAAGCCCCACCTCCCGGGTTCACGCCATTCTCCTGCCTCAGCCTCCCGAGTAGCTGGGACTACAGGCGCCCACCACCACGCCCGGCTAATTTTTTGTACTTTTAGTAGAGACGGGGTTTCACCGTGTTAGCCAGGATGTTCTCAATCTCCTGCCCTCGTGATCCGCCCGCCTTGGCCTCCCAAAGTGCTGGGATTACAGGCGTGAACCACTGAGCCCGGCCTAATTTTTGTATTTTTAGTAGAGAAGGGGTTTTACCATGTTGGCCAGGATGGTCTCGATCTCCAGGCCTCGTGATCTGCCCGCTTCAGCCTCCCAAAGTGCTGGGATTATAGGCGTGAGCCAGTGTGCCTGGCTGACATACGAACATATTAATATAGAAATCTTATTCTAGAAAATACTCTTTTAATGCGCTTCGTCCTATGAAATAAAGAAAAAATAATAATAATAATAAAGTACTTTGCAGTCTGGTTTGGTAGTCTCCCTCATCCCCCACCCCAGTGGCCATCCCCATCCCACGCAGCTGGCCACCACTCCTCCTTGAGGCCCTTTCTTCACCTGGCTTTCCAGGACGTGGTGCCCTCCCTCTTCTCACCTCTCCTGCTGTTCTTCATCGCCCCAACCTTCGACCTTGTCTCTCTCTACACCCAGGCTCATGGAATAAGACACCAAATACGTGGTGGTCACTCCCAGATCTTGATTTTCAGCTCAGACCTCTCCTTTAACCTCTAAATCACATATGCAGGTTTCTACGTAAAATCTCCAAAATAGATCCAAACCACACTCTTGAAATTCTCCAAATTCTTCCCCATCTAGCTATTGGCAACCTGATCTGCCAGTTGGCTGAGTCCCAAATTCCACGTTATCCTTGATTCTTTTCTTTTACTCTCACGCCCCGAATTTAATAATCAGGATGTTGTCTTGCCTCTACCTTCAACATATCCATAATTTGACGACTTCTTACCCCTGCACTCCTATGTTCTAAGGAGCGAAGTACTGTGTTCTAAGCCACCGTCATGTCTTAGGTTATTTCAACCTCTCTGACTGTTGGCTCTGTTGCCCCACCCCTGCCTCCACAGTCTACACAGCAACCTCAGCGACTTTTGACAACTGACTTCTAGTCATGTCGCTTCTCTTCTCAAACCCAGCAACATGCCACCTCCTGTTCCTAGTTTCCCTCTCCTGGCCGCCTTGGTGCTCCCTGACCTCTGGCCATATTTTCTCTGGGTGCCATGGCACAGCTCCTGCTCTGCAGCCAGGATTGCTTTTCCCTGGTGTGTCCTCATGAAGCTCTCACTCAGGGCTTCTCAGTGTTCATTCAGAGGGCACTTTGGCATCTAAACCCTTCTCAGACCATCCCGGCTGAAGTTGCAGCTCATATGGCCCGTGGCACTGGCTCTTCCTTAGTTCATTTCCCCCGCCAAGCATTTAGCTTTATCTCATAGCACACTGTTTATTTTATCCATTTTATGTCATCCATCTTCATATTTATTACCTGTTCTTCTGCTAGAAAGTAAGCCCCTCTGGGGCAGGGATTCTTGCCTTTTTTGTTCTCTGTTTCAGGCTCCATCTCTAGAGCAGTTCCTGCCACCCAGCAGACACAGGATTGTTTGTTAATGGATGTGGGAATGGATGTTGGGCCTTATAAACTTGATGAGAATCCTGCTTATGTAACTCAAGGAAGGTAATTGCACCCTTGGGACCAAGTTTGTTAATTTGTAAAATAGAAACAATAAGAGTCCTCACAGTCTTGTATGTTGTTTTGAGGGACAGATTATATTGCTGTATATAAAATGCATAGTATTAAGTTCTTCACACACTATAGTTGTATTTTTGTTTTTTTTTTTAATTTTTTTGAGACGGAGTTTCACTCTTGTTGCCCAGGCTGGAGTGCAATGGCATGATCTCGGCTCACTGAAACCTCCACCTCCCGAGTTCAAGCAATTCTCCTGCCTCAGCCTCCCAAGTAGCTGGGATTACAGGTGCCCACCACCATGCTCAGCTAATTTTTTTCTATTTTTAATAGAGACAGGGTTTCACCAAGTTGGTCAGGCTGGTCTCAAACACCTGACCTCAAGTGATCTGCCCGCTTCGGCCTCCCAAAGTGTTGGGACTACAGGCATGAGCCACCACGCCTGGCTATAGTTGTATTTTAAAAATTTATTTATTTATTTATTTTGGAGCTAGGGTCTTGCTCTGTCGCCCAGGCTGGAGTGCTGTGGTGTGATCATAGCTCACAGCAGCTTTCACTTCCTGGGCTCAAGCAATCCTCCTCTTGAATCTTCTTTCAAGAGCATTTTTTATATTTATGCAGAAAAATATTAATACATTTTTTATTCCCTGGCTGTTAAGAGAATTGACTATAATTAAACGACCAAGATCTTATAATTATATTATCTTAGTATTTATAATTGATCTTAGTATTGTAATATATTAGTATAATATAATATTAAGATCTCAGTAGTTATAATTGTAGTTGAAATACCTCAAGTTATTTTTCCTAAAAGTTCTATTCAAAAACATTTTAATACATTTATAAGTTTTGTTTTTCTAGAAATTGTTAGCACACTTTTTGGTGTCATTATTCATAGTTAAGAAGTGTACTATTTGGTATCTAAAAACGTCACGGTTGCTTTGGGCTAGGTACATTTTCAATGTCCTTTTATAGCCATTATAAAGGTAATTTTTAGAGAATTAATTGCTTTTTGATGTTTAACATTACGTGGAAAAAAGTAAACATCATTAATTCTAGGTATTTTTCCCTCGGGTGCCAAGATTTCATCATAGCTTTAAATAAATTTAAATTTTAAATTTTAAATTAAAATAAACTACTAATTTAAAATAAATTACTAATTTAAAATAAATACTAATAAATTTTAAAAATAAATTACTAATAATTTGCTAAATGGTATACATGTAATTTAATATTTTAATTGGCAGTTAGTAAAATATTGACATTAATGCCACTACTCATATTCATTTTAGCTCAAATTTTTAAAGAATGACTGCGAATAATAATACAGGTGTTTTGGGGCATAGTGTTGTAATAGTGCATAGGTCCAAAATATATTGCTCAACTTTTCAAATAATTTGCCTTGTTCATATTTTTGTATGATTTTGGCTTATACTGCAAACACTGTGTCTCAAGCTAAAGGCAGATTTCCCCTGAACCTCTCGTTTTCCTGAACTCCACCAAGAGCATCATCACAACTGCTTTCCAGGGTGATCTCCTGGGGGCAATCATCCTCAAGAAGATTGATATTTATCCTCCAAATATCTGTCACATTTATTCCTATTACCTTAGATTAATACAAGTTGTCATTTCCCATAAAAACTAGTTTGAAGATGAGTCTCTAGGCCGGGCATGGTGGCTCACGCCTGTAATCCTAGCACTTTGGGAGGCTTAGGTGGGCGGATCTCCTGAGGTCAGGAGTTCGAAACCATCCTGGCCAACATGGTGTAACCCTGTCTCTACTAAAAATACAAAAAAATTAGCTGGGTGGTGTGCACCTGTAATCCCAGCTACTCAGGAGGCAGAGACAGGAGAATCACTTGAACCCAGGAGGCAGAGGTTGCAGTGAGCCAAGATCGCACCACTGCACTCCAGCCTGGGCGACAGAGTGAGACTCTGACTCAAAAAAAAAAAAAAAAAAAAGATGATGAGCCTCTAGCTTTGACCCCTTGTAGTTCTACCCACCATCCAGCCAGTGATCTGTGTGTTTCAGACTAGTCAGATTCTCTGTTGCTGGCCTCCTCCAGGCTACCTCCTTAGCATAGCGTGTACCATCTGATGTCCAATCCTGCTGGATGTGGAGCCAAGGGAAAGGGCCTTGTCCAGTGCGGAGAAATCTCCCTGGGCCATCCCTAGGGGGCACCATGCAGTCAGTAAGAAAGCAATTATTCACAAAGGACAAGTGACCTGGAAAAGGTGTGTCAGGTGGAGGGTGGGGCTGTACAAACCAGACAGGATGAATGAAAAAGCAAAGATGGTACTATAAATCAGGAGGCAGGAAGGGGGGACTCCTAATGACATGCAGGTCCCTTAGCAATTTCCTTTCTTGGAGGAAATGTTAAATTTATAATGAGGGAAAGGGCTGCACAGAGATCGTGTTCCTCTTTCTGTCTAGACAAATGAGGTAACTGTCCTCCCTGCAGCCTAGGTACCAGCTTTCCAGCGCTACTTATTTTTATTTTTTATTTTTTTTTATGACGGAGTCTCGCTGTGTCGCCCAGTCTGGAGTGCAGTGGTGGGATCTCAGCTCACTGTAATCTTCATGTCCCAGGTTCAAGCGATTCTCCTGCTTCAGCCTCCCAAGTAGCTGGGATTACAGGCACACATCACCACGGCCAGCTAAGTTTTGTAATTTTAGTAGAGACAGGGTTTCACCATGTTGGCCAAGCTGGTCTTGAACTCCTGACCTCATGATCCACCTACCTTGGCCTCCCAAAGTGCTAGGGTTACAGGCCTGAGCCACTATGCCTGGACTCCAGCGCTACTTATAAATACCAAACCCAACCTGAACAGACCTCCACCTTTTTGTGAGGTGTTTCCTCTGCGTGGAAGTCCTTTACTCAGGCTTGCAGAGTTACTCCCTACTGACCAAGGTTCAAGGCTAATACTTTCTGTGAAGGCCTTTCTGCACCTCTCCCTCAATCCTTTATTTTTCAAATAGATTAATCACCCATTCTCCTGTGAATGAGGTCACATCTTTGCCATAGGCCTGTTCTATGATTCTTCACCTTGCATTCTACTGACTCTACTGACAGTCTTGAAACTGTCCCTGTAAATTTTATAAAATTAATCCAGGAAGAAGGGAGAGGAGAAATGAAAATAAACCCAGTTTGCAATACATCAGCATGCATCATGAGGTTGACTGCTCTAATACCTTTTCCTGATAGCTGTTTGCTGCCCATTGCCGCAGAATCATGCAGTCCCTGTCACAAGGTTATAGTTCCTGTTAACTGCTTTATAGATAACAACTTAAGCACTGTGATTTGAGATATTCCTTCAGGTCCAGCATATCCATGAAACTACCGTACCAGGTGGTCTGAAAAACCCCACGAGGAGCTGACTCATCAAAGAATGTGGTTTCCACATCCTGATGATTTCATCCCCCTTACTCTGACCAATCAATGACCCTCAACCTCCATGATCCCTGTAAAAACCCCAGCCCAGAACTCCTGGGGAGATGACTTGAGGGTTCCTGATGTTTCCTCTCTCAGCTGCCCTGCAATCATTAAACTCTTTCTCTGCTGCCAACCTGCTGTCTCAGTGTGTTGATCTCTTACTGTGCAGTGCACCTACAAGCCCAGTGATCCTGTAATAGGCTCGCTGCGTTACTCAGTGACATCCTGGAGGGCTTTTCCTCTCTTATTTCCTTTCACAGTGTCTGGTACATGGTAAGCTCTCAAAGATATTTCCAGTGCATTAAAAGTAAAATATAACCTTAATTCTTTTCATGTGAAGAGATGATAGAGAAGAGAAGAAAATAATCACTTCCCAAGACTTTTGTTAAAAACATGTAAATTTATCTTATACTTAAAAATATTTTATTTTAGATGGTTCACTTTCTTTCCCTTGCTTTTTGGTATTTTATTTTGTGATTTTGAATATTATTGTAATATGAAATGATCAGCCTAAAGTGATCAAGGTTTTATATTGGCAAAAAGACATCAGATTTAGTTTAGCAAATATGTAGCATTTACAGTATTCAAAACTCTAATCACAAGGGTGAGATGGGATGGGGTGGAGGTGACAGTTACTATAGAGAAGTACACTGTATGAAAACTGGCCCTGAATTATTTGGAAAATTTGATGAGTTTCCATGTAATTGTGCTTCTAGCTGACAATGTGAAGTTTCAACTGTTTTAGTGTGGGAGGTGGTGACTTGCTCATCCCTCTGCCTCTGTTTTTTGAATTAGTCCTTTAGTCATCTAAGCATAAAGCAAATTCTTGGAACTAACTGTCCGGTCAAGATCACTCATCAGAATCTGCATTCTGTCAGGTAATATAAATAGTGTGTGATTGAGTGAGGAGAGCTTTGTTGTGCACTCTGCTGCCCTTTGTGGAGTAGAGATATTTCTGATTTCATATGTGCAGGCTGTATTTTATACTGAATAACCCAGATTTTACACAATGTGCAATGGAAACAGAGCAGAGAATCTGAGAGGGTCGTCTGACTTAAAATTAGATTTGTTAGTGAGTTTTCTTTTTTTGAAAACGTACCTTCTGAAAATAAGAAGTGATAATTTAAGTCTTTCCAAAATGGTGTACCCTATATATAACCTCTAAGAGATTCCTGTATAAATAAACTCAAAACATACTGTCTACATTCTACTCTGCTTAGAAAATTAGGTCATGAGTACACCATTGTGTTACGTTCCACCTACAAATATTCTCACTACTTCTCTGAGTGATATTCCTTTTCTTTCTCTTTTAATTATGAAGAAAATAAATATCTGAGCATTTGTAGCAATATGAAAGCATATACAGTCAAATTTACTTTTTGATCTTTTTCCTTTCTTCCCTCTCATTCCAGAACGCTAGAGGTGACTCTTCAGAGGTGACCTCTATTTTCAGTGGGTGTGCATCTTCCTAAAATCCTTATGTGTCTTAGTTTGCTAGGGCTGCAATAACAAAATATCCCAGGCTGGCTGGCGTAAACAGCCAAACTTTCTCACCATCCTGAAAGTTCAATGTGAGGGTGTCACAGATTCAATTTATCTTAAGGCCTCTCTGCTTGGCTTGCAGGTGTTCTTTTCTCTGTAAGCACTCATCTCCAGTGCCTCTGTGGCCTCTGTGTGTCTACATTTCCTCTTTGTAATGAGCACACTGGTAAGATGGGATTAGGGCCCACCCTAACAGCTTCATTTAAACTTAATTACCTGCAAATCAGTCACCTCTTGAGGTCCTGGGGTTAGGGCCTCAACATATGAACTTTGGGGAGGCACATTCCGCCCACATTGCATAGATGCAGTATCTTTTGCCAACACAGGCAGGAGTTCAGTACACTTTTTTTCTTCCTGTGATTTGTTTTCTGCTTAACGATGTAACATAAAGATGTGATTGCAGTATTCCCTAATATGGATAATCTGTATTTATGACAGTATTGATGAACATTTAGGTTGCTTCCAATTACTTGCTGTCATATACACTATCGCATTAAATATCCTTGGAATCATATCTATTTAACTTATGTGATTATTTCTTTAAGGATAGATGGATAGAAATAGAATTTCTAGGTTAATGTGTAGGTCATTTATATGTTGTAATAATACTGCGAAATTGTATTCTCAAAAGGTTAAATTAATTTGTACCTGCCCAAAAACTTCATTACTGTTAGCTATTACCAAATTTCAATATTATCAATTTTTAAAAAATTTATAAAGAAAAGAGATTTCGGCTGGGTGTGTTGGCTCACACCTGTAATCTCAGCACTTTGGGAGGCTGAGCAGATGGATCACTTGAGGTCGGGAGTATGACACCAGCCTGGCCAATATTCTGAAACCCCGTCTCTACTAAACATACAAAAAAAAATTAGCTGGACGTGGTGGCACATGCCTGTAATCCCAGCTACTGGGGGAGGCAGAGGCATGAGAATTACTTGAACCTGGGAGGTGGAGGTTGCAGTGAGCTGAGATTATGCCACTGCACTCCAGCCTGGGTGACAGAGTGAGGCTCCATCTCAAAAAAAAAAAAAAGGAAAAGAAAAGAAGTTTAAATGACTCATGGTTCTGAAGGCTATACAGGAAGTATAGCACTGGCATCTGTTTCTGGGGAGGTCTCTGGAAGCTTCCTGCTCAGAAGGCCAAGCAGGAGCTTACATGTCACATGGCGGGAGCGGGAGGAAGAGAGCAATAGTATCAGTATATTAAAACAATTTGTGTATCTGATGGGCAAAACTCACTATTTTAATATACATTTTTCTTGTAAGCAGAGAGTCTGAATATCTTTTTTATATGTGCCATGTGTAATTTAGTTGCTGTGTGTCTAAATTGTCTGTTTATATTAGATACCCATTTTTTATTGGGCTGTTGGTCTTTTGGTTATTCATAATAATTCTTTATATATTCTGACTATTTGTACTTTATCTGTTTTACATTTTAAAATATTTATATTAGATGTGACTTATAGCTTAACCTTGTTTTTGGGTTTTTTCGACCTAGAGAGATTTTACATTTTTATATGATCTAATCTGTCAGTATTTTCCTTTTAAAGATTTGTGTGTTTGGGTATGTCATGTCTACTAACAGACAATGGTACCATTTTCCTGTAAGTTCTTTGGTATGAATTAATTAAACGTATTTCTCTTTTTTACCATGTCATAGGTTTAGACTATACCGAAGAACTTGCAGTGAAACATGAAGGTCTACTTTCCTTGTCCAACCCCTCACTGCACACACACTCCTACCTTGCCTGCCTGGGCAACCACATTCACTGCTTAGCACTCAGCATTCTAGCTCTTTCTCTACGCATTTACACACGTCTGTAGATCTCATTATAAAGCCATAAATGATATCCAAGTACAGGTTTGCTTATTTTGCTTGCTTTTTCCATGCAACAGGATGTCTTTGAAACTTTAAATGTCAGTACAAATAAGTCTGCCTTATTCTTTTTACTTTCTTGGAAATGTAAAATGTCAGTACAGATAAGTCTGCCTTACTCCTTTTAGTGGCTAAATGGTATTGCATAGTGTTTATCCTATAATTTATTTAAGTACTTCTACCATGATCAATATGCAGTCATTTTTAAATTGTTTTGCTATTACCAAAATTTCAGAAAGTGGAATTATTAGTTTTATTTTCTAAGGTTTAGTCTAATTTTCATCTGCTTGATAGTTCTTTTTGTATTCAGTATGAGAGTTAGGAGATAAGGCTGTCAGCCATACATTGAGCAGCCCATTTTTATCAAATTTAAACTGATATTTTCTTATATTAAAAAAATTATTATGCCTAATTAATTCTGCTTCTTGACTCATTGTTCTTATTTTTCCTATTGTTATGTCAAGACCACAGTTTTAATTACCAAAAAATGATAAAATGCTTTATCTGCTTGAGCAAGTTAATCTATATTATATTTTTTTCTAAAAGTATTTAGGTAATTTTTATTATTTATTTCCTAAATGGGGTAGAGATAGCTTGTCAAAATATGGAATATTTAAAGGTTATTTTATACTAATAGATTAATTTGGGGGATATTGACCTTTTAGAGTATTAAGTCTCCCACAATAACTATGTCATGTCTCTCCTTTTTTTTCTGTTTTTCTCTGATGCATATTTTTCTTTCCATTTACCTTCGTATCTATACCATCATTTTGATATTATAAATGGGATCTTTTCCTTTTTACTTTTTTTTGGGGGGATGGTACAGAGTCTCACTCTGTTGCCAGGCTGGAGTGGAGTGGCGCAGTCTCAGTTCACTGCAGCCTCCACCTCCTGGGTTCAAGCAATTCTCCTGCCTCAGCCTCCCAAATAGCTGGGATTACAGGAGTGTGCCACCATGCCCAGCTAATTTTTGTATTTTTAGTAGAGACGAGGTTTCACCATGTTGGCCAGGCTGGTCTCAAGCTCCTGGCCTCAAGCAATCCACCTGCCTTGGCCTCCCAAAGTGCTGGGATTACAGGCATGAGTCACCTCTCTTGGCCATTCTTATTAAATTTTATAATTTGTTATTGCTGCTATATCAGAAAGTTATTTTCTTTGCATATTTATCTTGCATCATTAAAAACCAGTCTTGTCTCTAAGAACTTAAAAATTTATGAAAAAATATAAAGTTAATATTCAAATTAGAATATAGGAATAATTAGGGTGTAATTCTGTGACCTATTGTGTAAATTACCTTCAGGGTTCTAAAAGGTTCAAATACACTTATAATGACCATAAGGAGCTTAATGGAGGAGCAACTCAACCTGATCCTTTAGGAAAAGGCAGCTCCCTAAGCAATGGATTACAGTGAACAATGGCATGAAGATGAGATTTAGTATGGTATATGCTTAAAACAGTGATTAGCGTTTCTTGGCAGATCAGAGAGGGAAGCTAAAATCCAGTGAGAATAATGGATAGAAGGGTAGGGTGGCAGTTGTGAAGACTCTTCAAAGTCAAGTGGAGTAGTTTGGAATTAATTCGATAAGTAAGGGAATTCATCCTGGGGTCAGAGAAGTGCCATCCAGACAGTAGAACTGTAGAATTATTTCTGGCACATCGAATGCAGTTGGAACCAGGGTGAACTTGCTAGGAAGCTATTCGAATCATACAATCTGACAGAGAAAAGGGCCTGAAACAAGGATAATGGTAAATAAATGATGCATTTCCAAAAAGGAAAAAATCAGATGAAAAAACTGAATATGAAAGAAGAATAAAATACTTAAAATATTTTTATTTTAGTAGACTAGATTAAGAGTAGTACTGTTGTAGGAGACAGAGGACTAGAGAGACTGATATGGGGAACAGGAGGATTTATTTGGGTGTACACCAGATCAGTGGATTCATATCTGAAAAGCTGAGCATTGAACAAAGACTGAGTGGGGTTTTTATAAGCAAATTTACAGAAGCAGAACAAAAGCAATCAATCATACAGTGACAGATCATGTAATCTATAGCATAACTGTTGCCTTAGCATAACTTGTGGCCTTGCATAGCTAGTGGACTTGCAGTTGCATCAAAATAAAAACAGAAACTGGCTAAATACAGACATTTGTAAAACGCGGTCATAATTATTAGTTCAGAGAAGGAGAGACAGTAAAGGAATTTGTTTTTCTTTTCAACTTTGCTCCAGAGGGGGCTGTCTGGAGAATATTCCTTTGGCCTCAGCTTTTCAGATAGTGTTATCTTATAACTGTCCTTGAAGTGAACTGGCTAAGTAGAGGAAAACTTGTGTTTCTCACTTAACCCTTGCTTTATTCTGTTTCTCTCTTTTAATTTCTGCATCAATATGATTGCCAAAGAGGATGGAAAGCTGTTTTAGTGAGAAATAAAAATAAGTTTGGGTCAGAACATATTTAGATAAGCGTTGGAATAATAGAATGTATATTTGATAGAAAACTGAATCTGGGTGATGGAATTGCTGAAAGAGCTCAGCAGCATAGACTGCTTCTTTCTTGGGGCAAGTCGTCTTCTGCCAATCTGCTTTTGATTTGTGGTATGGTTAGACTTGTCATTGTTGGGTTTCTATTGATGTTAAAGGGGCTTTGTTGTTTCTTTTGTTTTGGTAGAAAGTAATTAAACCAGTGAAAAATGATTAGCTGGAATTTTTTTTTCACAGAGAATATGATTTTCTAAAAAGTACAATTATGCTCAAGTTAAGCTTTTTATAAAAGGTATTTGGTGTTCTATAAAGGGTAAAGACATTAGACTTTTTTTAAACTTAAAGGTCACATTTAAAGGGGAAAAGGTGGGAACATGAGCAATGCTTGCAAGAACCACAGCAAAGGAATTATTATTTTTAAATTTTTTTTTTTATTTGAGACAGGGTCTTGCTCTGTCACCCAGGCTGGAGTGTAGTGGCATGATCTTGGCTCACTGCAGACTTGACCTCCTGGGCTCAAGCAATTCTTCAGCCACTCACGTAGCTGGGACTACAGGCATGTGCCACCATGTCCAGGTAATTTTTAAAAAAAATTTCTGTAGAGATGGGCTGTCACTATGTTGCCCAGACTGGTCTTGAACTTCTGGGCTAAAGAAGTTCTGCCTTGGCCTCCCAAAGTGCTAGGATTAAAGGTGTAAGCCACCATGCCTGGCCTACAGCAAAGGAATTATTTCTGTTGATGGATAGTACAAATTTTTAGCCTATAGAAATTCACAAAATACATGTTATCTATATATATCATAAACTGCTTCTTTATTTTAATTGGTAAACAAGTATTGACTATTAAATATTGAAAGCAGTGAGAACATTTCAGTTTCCTAAAACTAACCCACAAGGCTCAAAACTTAAGAAGAAATATTTGACAAAAAATTACACTAAATTTATGGAATTCTAGAGTGTATCTTTTTCATATATTAAATCTTGTGGAAAAAACCAAAGTAGCAGTTATAGATATAGGTGTTGGTAATATAGATGCATCTTAGACACCCTCGTGTTAAGCTCCTGATTCTTCAAAACATATTCATTTTATGTTCCTTGGAATATTATAAAGGCTGGTCAGAAAACTAACAGCATTTCAAGGATACAGAAATTCCCAGTAGGGACACACATTTATTTGATAGTTGATTCTAATTACTAAATGACAAAAATAGTTGAAAAAATATAGATTACATATAAGCTTGATTAAGAACTGCCATCAACTTTTTAGACTTTTTTGATGTACAATTCTATAGTTTTAACACAGGTATATATTCACATAGCCACCACCATTATCAGGATACAGAATTGTTTCTTCACTAAAAAGCTCCCTCAGGCTGCCTGTTCTCATCACCCTCCCCAGACCTCCTAAGCATTTGCAGTCACTTATCATACTTTACCACTATGATTACGTCTTTTTGAGAATGTCATACAAATAGAATCATGTAGTTTATAACTTTCGTGACCAGTTCTTTCACTCAGCATAATGCCTTTGAGATTCATCCACATTGTGTATATCAATTCCTCATTCCTTTTTGTTGCTGTAGTATTATTCCATACCACTGTTTGGCCATTCACCCACTAAAGGACATTTAGATTGCTTCCAGCTTTTGGCAATTATGAATAGAGCAGCTATAAACATTTATGCAAAAGTATTTATGTGAACATAATTTATAATTAGGGTAAATACCTAGGAGTACAATTGTTGGGTCATATGGCAAAGTGTATGTTAAATTTATTAAGAAACTGCCACACTATTTTCCAAAGTGGCTGTGCCATTTTGCATTGCCACCAGGAATATAGGAGAGTTCCAGTAGCTCAATGTGCTTGTCAGCACTTGGTATGGCCAGTGTATTTTATTTTAGCCATTTTAATAGATGTGACGCTCATTGTGGTTTTAATTTGCATTTCCCTAATGGTAAATAATGTTTACAACATTTAATAATGTTGGACATCCTAATGGGTGTGAGGTGATATCTTATTCTGGTGTTGATTTGCATTTCTCTAGTGATTAGCAATTTGAGCAACTTTTCATGATCTTATTGGTCATTTGTATATCTTCTTTGGAGAAATAGCTACTCAAGTTCTTTGAGCATTGTTTTAATTAGGCCATTTCATATTTTTGTTGTTGAGTTATATGAGCTTTTTATGTATGTTGAACATTAACTACTTATCAGATATATGATTTCACATATTTTCTTGCACTTTATTGGTGCTTTTTCACTATGTTGATTGTGTCCTTTGAAACACAGATGTTTTAGATTTTGATATAGCACAGTTTTTCTGTTTTTACTTTTTTCTTTGCTTTTGGTGTCAAATACAAGAAATTATTGCCAAATTTAATGTTATGAACCCTTTCCCTTATGTTTTCTCCCAAGGCTTTTATTGTTTTTGCTCTAACTTTTAGTTCTTTGACCCACTTTGAGTTAATTTTCTTATATGGTATTAGGTGAGGGTTCAACTTCATTTTTTTATATGGTTATCTGGTTTTCCCAGCACCATGTGTTGAAAAAACTGTCTTTTCCCCATTGAATGGTCTTGGCACCCTTGTCAAAAATTCACTGGCTAGCCAGGCATGGTGGCTCATGCCTGTGATCACAGCAGTTTGGGAGGCTGAGATAGGAGGACTGCTTGACCCCTGGAGTTTGAGACCAGCCTGGGCAACATAGTGAGACCCTGTCTCTATACAAAAATAAGAAATTATACAGGCATAGTGGTGCATGCCTGGGGTCCCAGCTACTCAGGAAACTAAGGTGGACAGATTGCTTCAGCCTGGGAAGTTGAGGCTGCAGTGAGCTGTGATCATGTCACTGCACTCTGGCCTGAGCAACAGAGTGAGGCCTTTTCTAAAAAAAACCAAAAATTTATTGGCCATATATGTGAGAGTTTGTTTCTGTGATCCCCATTCTATTTTATTGATCTCTATGCCTGTCATTATGCCAGTACCACACTATTTTGAGTGCTGTAGCTTTGTAGTAAATCTTGAAATCAGAAAATATATGTCTTCTTACTTTGTTCTTTTAATGACTCTTTTGCCTATTTTGGGTCTACATGAATTTTAGGATTTTTCTTCCTATTTCTTAGTAAAAGTAATTGAGATTTTGATAGAGATGGCATTGGATTTCTAGACTGCTTCAAGTAGTATTGTCATCTTAGCAATATTAAGTCTTCCAATCAATGAACATAAGATGTCTTTCTACTTATTTAAGTGTTTTAAAATTTCTTTTAGTACTGTTTTATAGTTCTCAGTGTATAACTATTTTGCCTCCTTGGTAAAATTTATTCCTAAGTATTTTATTCTTTTTGATGCTATGGTAAATAAAATTGGTTTCTTAATTTCTTTTTAAAATTATTCATTGCTGCTATATAGAAATGCAACTGATTAGTGTGTGTTGATTTTGTATTCTGCAACTGTGATAGATTCCTCTGTTACCTGTAACCTCTCGTTTTTTAAATTAGTGTGTTCAGACCATATATGTTTGGATTTAGGTCTATCATTTTATTATTACTTTTTCTGTCTGTTCCTTCTATTTTCCCCCCATTTAGCATTTCCTGCCTTATTTGGAGTTATTTGAATATTTGTTAGTATTCATTTTAAGTTATGTATTGTGTTTTTTACTACATATTTTCATAATTTATTTTTAATGGTTGGTTTAGGGATTACAATGTACTTATTTAGTTTTTCACAGTCTACTTAGAAACAATATTTTACCACTCTAAGTGAAATACAGAAACTTTATCACCATATAAGTCTCTTTACTCCCTCCCATTTATGTTGTGGTTATCTTGTGTACTACATCTGTATACACTGAAAACTCCAAGAACAATGTTATGATTTTTGTTTTCTACTGTCAGACATATTTTTAAAGAGTCTAGAGAGAGGAGTAGCATATTACATTTGCCCAGATATTTTCTATTTCTGCTGCTTTTCCTTTATTCTTGATGATCCAAGTTTCCTTTGGTACTTTATCTTTTCTGTCTGAAGAACTGCTTTTACAAATTTTTTCACAGTAGTTCTGCTGGCTGTGACTTACCAGCTTTCCTTTATCTGAGAATGTCTTTATTTCATTTTTATTCCTGAAGGAAATTTTCATTAGCTATAGGTATCTGAGGTGACGTTTCTTTTCTTTTCTTTTTCTTTTTCTTTTTTTTTTTTTTTTTGAGACAGGGTCTTACTCTGTTGGCCAGGCTGGAGTGCAGTGGTGTGATCTAAGCTCACTGCAGCCTCCACCTCCCAGGTTCAAGCAATTTTCCTTCCTCAGCCTCCCGAGTAGCTGGGATTACAGGTGCCCACCACCACACCTGGCTAATTTTGTATTTTTTGGAGAGACAAGATTTCACCATGTTGGCCAGGCTGGCCTTGAATTCCTGGCCTCAGGTCATCTGCCCACCTCAGCCTCCCCAAGTGTTGGGATTAGAGGTGTGAACTGCTGTGCTTGGCCTTGAGGTGACAGTTCTTTTCTTTCAGCATTTAAAAAATGTATTTCTGCTTCCTTATGGCTTTTATGGTTTCCGATGGGAAAACTCATGACCAATTCAAATTATTTCCCTATAATTAATGTGCCATTTTCCTCTGATTGTTTTCAGGATTTTTATTTTTTTTGTGTTTAGTTATTTGAGTTGATTTTTATATGTCTCAGTAGGAATTTCTTTGGATTTATTCTGTTGGAGGTTTGATGAAATTTTTGAATCTATAGGTTTCTGCCTTTCACCAGACCTGAGAAGTTTTCTTCTATTATATCTTCAAATAATTTTTTTCTGCACCACACTCTTTTTTCTCTCCTTCTTAAGCACTGGTGACATGATTATTATAAATTTATTCTTGTTTCACAGGTCCATGAGACTGTAAATTTTTCTTTATTCTGTTTTTAAGATTAGATAATTTCTTTTTTTTTGTTTTTGAGATGGAGTCTCACTATGTTGCCCAGGCTGAAGTGCAGTGGTGTGATCTCAGTTCACTGCAAGCTCCGCCTCCTGGGTTCACACCATTCTCCTGCCTCAGCTTCCGGAGTAGCTGGGACTACTGGCACCTGTCACCATGCCTGGCTAATTTTTTTGTATTTTTTTAGTAGAGACAGGGTTTCCCTGTGTTAGCCAGGATGGTCTCGATCTCCTGACCTCATGATCCGCCCGCCTCGGCCTCCCAAACTGCTGGGATTACAGGCGTGAGCCACTGCACCTGGCCAAGATTAGATAATTTCCATTGATCTAACTTTAAATCCACTGACTCCTCTTTCTATTTTATTGAGGCAGTGTTGCTATTTCTTGTTTGTCAATGTATTTTTCAGTTTTAAACTCTTAATTTAGTTCTATATATCTTCTGTTTCTTTGGGAGAGACTGTATATCTTTTTATTTGTTGAAAGAGTGTTTGCCCTTACTTTTTGTTACATCATCACGATAGCTGCTTTGAAGTCTTTGTCACATAATGTCTACATGTGTGATATCTCAGTGTTGGTACATGTTTAATGTCTTTTTTCCACGCAAGCTGAGATTTTTTTAGTTTTTCATATGCTAAGGACATTTTAAACATTATGAGATTTCGGGTTTTGTAATCTATGTAATATTAATATTTTTGTTTTAGCCAGCAATTGACTTGGTTGGATGCATGTAGATGGTTTTCACCAGCCTTGTGTGGGTTTTGGTTTTAATGCCAGTTCTGCTTTTGAGGATTTTTCAGTGCTATGTAGATCTTTCCTGTGTGTGCATGACCCAGTAGCCAGTCTGGGAGGTGATTATGGTCCATCCAATAGGTCAATTCTTAAAGTCTTTGGTGTGCTGTTTAGGGTCAGATATATGCATGCATATTTTGGGCATGAGCCCAGAAGTTCATAGACAACTTGATGGGATTTCTATCCCATGTGCCTCTTTTTTCATAATCTCCTTAGAATCTTCCAGTTCCTTGGTGTTCTCCTTTAGGTCATCTTGCTAGAAAACTTTGGCTCTACTTATCCCCTGTGTTGCATACTTCCAGCCACTTCCATCCACGATGCCTTCATTCAGGGTCAAGTAGTAGAAGAGAGAGAAAAATGGAATATGCTTTCCATTCCTAATTAATTATCTTGATTAGAGATAAGTTTCCCATCTTTCAGAATTTTAGTTATCTGTAAGCCCCTGTTGCTGCCACTATCACTAACACCACCACTATGGGATTTCCTGTGGACAGGGACATGAGAGAATGGAGAAAAGATGTAAAAAACAGATATTTTTCCCCATGTGTGTAAGTATTAGAATTTCTCTTTCCCACTCCTTGAACCAGGGCTAGAGGGATTCTCATGAAGTTCTCTGTGTCTCATCCAGTGTCCTTTTCTCATTTTGGGGCCACCTTGAGTCTAGGAGAGGGTATACTGGAGGGAAAATAAGAAACTAGTCACTAGTTTGCATTAGGGAAGAAAGAATGAAATGGGCTTTTTCTCTCTTACCTGGAACTAGAACCATCTTGTTTCAATGTTTTATACTGTTTGTTTGATAAACATCAATTTATTTTACATTATTTGATAAACACGATTGTTTCATCATGGCTTGCTTAAAAGAATGCATGATCAAGAAAGTTTCCCATGGCTGGGTGCAGTGGCTCATATCTGTAATCCTAGCACTTTTAAGACCAGCCTGGCCAACGTGGTGAAACCTTGTCTCTACTAAAAATACAAAAACTATCCAGGCATGGTGGCACACGCCTGTAATCTCAGCTACTTGGGAGGCTGAGATAGGAGAATCACTTGAACCCGGGAGGTGGAGGTTGCAGTGAGCCAAGATCATACCACTGCACTCCAATCTGGGCAACAGAGCAAGACTCTGTCACACACACACACACACACACACACACACACACACACACACAGAGTTTCCCATAAAACATTTATAAATTAGAAATTAAACTTATTTAAAAATAATGAAAATTATTTTTAAATTATACAGTTGATATAGCAATAGTTTGCTTTGCTATAGTTAATTAGGATGGATAAATCTAAAAAATTTCTCTGACCAAAGCGTCCCATCTATCTCCCTTCCCCTTCTGTTATGGAGTGAATGTTTGTGTTTCCTCTCTCCCCCAACTGCCCAAATTCATATGTTGAAATCCTAACCCTAAATATGTGATGGTTTTAGGAGGTACGTCTTTTGGGAGGTGATTAGGTCATGAGGGTGATAATGCCCTTATGAAAAGGAACCCAGAGAGCTCTCTTCCTTTTTTTTTTTTTTCTCGGTCATGGGAGGATACAAAGAGAAGTCAAAAGTCTTTAACCCAGAAGAGGGTCCTCATCAGAACCCAACAATGCTGGCACCCTGATCTGGGACTTCCAGCCTTGAGAACTGTGAGAAGTAAACTTCTGTTATTTACAAGCCACCTCATCTATGGTACTCTGTTATATCAGCCTGGACAGACTGAAGCACCTTCTCAGAGGTTACTGCTCCAAACATTGTCTCTCAACATGTCTCAGAGGTCTAGCCATATAATTCAGATAGAGCTATTGTACTTTTAACTGATTCGTTTATAGTTTTAATTTAACTTAGTGTATTAAGCCATTCTCCTATTTAGATATTTAGATTTTTTCAATGAAAACCTGAATGCTTACTTAGAAAGAATAGTAGCATCTGTATTATAAATAATTCCAGAGCTGGCAGTCTCATATAGCCTGGTGCTGTGAGTTTTAAAGGTGTTTGTTGAAATTTTTGATCTGGTTGGACCTCACATTTTTTGTTTTTCTGTGTTGAGCCACAGTCACAACACTATTAAGCCATGTGTCAAGTCCCTTTACTGAAAAGCAATATGGTAAATTGAATGCCAGTGAAAATCATTTTTAATTGAATTTCTATAGTTTTCCCAAGAGTATAATGAATATAATTGGCTAAGTCCGCAGCCACAAAACAAAACAAAACAAAACAAAACACCAGTGTAGAATAATGCAGCTTTTCCTCTAACAGTATTTTCTATACAAAATGGCTTTTTTGCCATACTATCAATCTTTTTTTTTTTTTAAATCATGGCTCTACTTCTTGGTTTGTTGAGAATGAATTTTACGTAGGCTATGATGTTGGTATTCTCTAGAATTTCATGCATGGAGTACCTAACACATTTAGAAACCATTCACAAATTGGATGGCATGTGGCGGATTGAACCCTGAGCTTGTCTCTAGCCCTTCTCTAAAGCCCACTGGAATGACAGTAAAGGAACAAAAATAATATAATCCATGAGGACAAAGAGACAAGAGAAGTGACAGCAGCAGACCAGAGACATCGAAGATGTTTGGAAGAGCAAATGAAAGAATGGCAATTACTTAGCAGCTGAAAGCCACAGTGGAATTGTGTATATATCTCTATACAGAGAAAAAAGCATGGATTTTTGTCACAGAACCCCAGAAAATTTCAGGTGATAAGAGCACCATGGAAGAGCAGGTAGGACAGAAAATCTTTAACATGAGAATAACCTCCACGCACCCCCCAACCCCCGCCCCCTGCCTTCCTAAGCTCACATGAACGGACGCTCCCTCCTCCATCAAAGAATACTGTAGGGTCATTCTCTGGAAATACTGAATGAGAAAGCTCAAGCCTCAGGATGCCACACAGAGCTGGGGCTTCAGGGAGATGCCGTGCTGGGGAGAGGGAAGGGAAGCCTGCATGCTGCAGGAGGAGTGTCCCCGGACAGCGGCCCCGCACATCTCCTGGGATGCCATCGCCCAGGTTCATGCTCTCTGAGCATGAAATCACCCAACTATTCTCTGGAGAAAATGATTGGTCCCCTAAAAAAGCTTCTCAGATTCTGACAAGAAGGACTTTCCAATGGAATGACAAAGTCCCAACCCAGTCCCTCGAAATAAAGCTCAAAGGTCAGTGTGTGTGCCCAAGCACTCAGAATTCACTCATTTTCTTAGTGTCTTGTTCTTAAATAGGACCATCAGCAAAGACGCCCAACACATTTGAGGAAAATCTTCAACATGAAAGTAGAGAACCCCCAAAACAAACACCAAGAGAGGACAATGACAAAAATGCAGAGAGCAGAAGAAACTTCAAGAAAATATATAAAAATGTCTGCAGAGAGATTTGATATCACCTATATGAAACAAGAACAGGGGTTATAAAAGGAAGGAGAAGGAGTGCTCAGAATAATTAAATATAATGTTATAAATAATAAAAAAAAGTGTTGGGACAGATTTAAAGATTCTTACAGGATATTTAAAAAACCAAAAAACTGGATGGGCATGGTGGCTCACACTTGTAATCCCAGCTCTTTGGGAGGCCGAGGTGGGCGGATCACTTGAGGTCTGGAGTTCAAGACCAGCTTAGCCAACATGGTGAAACCCTGTCTCTACCAAAAATACAAAA
Source organism: Homo sapiens (assembly GCF_000001405.40). Taxonomy (NCBI): domain Eukaryota; kingdom Metazoa; phylum Chordata; class Mammalia; order Primates; family Hominidae; genus Homo; species Homo sapiens. The sequence continues at coordinate 52,816,088 of NC_000008.11, forward strand.
ATTAGCCTGGTGTAGTGGCACATGCCTGTCATCCCAGCTACTCAGGAGGCTGAGGCAGGACAATCACTTGAGCCCAGGAGGCAGAGGTTGCAGTGAGCCGAGATCATGCCACTGTACTCCAGCCTGGGCGATAGAGCAAGACTCCATCTCAAATAAATAAATAAATAAAAATAAAAAATAAAAAACCAAAGAGACAAAAAATAGGAGAAGAAGAAAATTAGGTGATTTATAAGATGTTTAATGTACTTAAAAAGATTTTCAGATAGAACAAACAAGGAAAACAAAAAGAATGATATTATTTTTAAAAATCAAAAGAAAATAAAAGAAATAAATTCATCAAACTAGGGAACTGGATGTGTGTGGAAGTCCTGAGTCCAGAAAAACAGAATTTTTCTTTCCTCAACTATTGACTCATTATCTACCAGGGGAAGGGCCTGGGTGTGCCTGGTCAGGCGTCTCTCGCTGCTCCAGCTCAGCACAAGGAGCAGGGCAGGGAGGTTGTGTGCCACTTGCTCTAGACAGCATGGCTCTGTGGAATAAGTGGGAAGTTAAGGTAAACCTGGAGAAGGAAATACTGAAGAAGGATGTGAACAGAGAGACTGATGTGTGGAATTTCAGGGAGTCATAATTAGTAATAATCAGTCATGAAATCAGAGGACCACCTAAAATGACTATTCTGCTTGACCATCACACCAGCTCTTTGGCTGATAATAGCAGGCAAATGTAAACATAAATTAGGAAAAAATTTCAACATACACCATTTCCTAACTAGGAAGTGGTGCAACAGGGAACAGCACTTGTTATTTGCAGGACAGTGGCTGGGGCGTGTGTGTGTGTGTGTGTGTGTGTCAGGAGCTAACAGGCATGCAATGTGGGCAGAACCAAATTGAAGAAAAGCCAGCAGATTTTTGTTCCCAGATCTGAGTTTTGGGAGCACAGCAGGTAGCAGAAGCCATCAGGATAAGGAAAGGCCGAGTCTCTGGCACATCCGGCTGCATCTTTCTCTGTTCCTGTCCCCAGACGGGCAAGTACTGCCTGGGAAAATCAGCCAGCAAAACTAGAGCCAAGATGGTGGCAGTGCCTCAGTATTTTCAGAGGCTTTAATGCTTTCTCTGTTTCCCTACTCAGGGTTCTCTCTTATGGCCTTCACAAGTAGCTATTTTATATTTATTGCATACTCTGACACCTGCTTTTTTTTTTTTTTTTTTTTTTTTTTTTTGATGGAGTCTCGCTCTGTCGCCCAGGCTGGAATGAACTGGTGCGATCTCGGCTCACTGCAACCTCCATCTCCCAGGTTCCAGCGATCCTCCTGCCTCAGGCTCCCGAGTAGCTGGGATTACAGGCACACGCCACCACACACAGCTAATTTTTTTTTTTTTTTTGGAGACAAAGTCTCACTCTGACGCCCAGGTGGAGTGTAGTGGCGTGATCTCGGCTCACTGCAACCTCCGCCTCCTGGGTTCAAGCAATTCTCCTGCCTTAGCCTCCCAAGTAGCTGGGACTACAGGCACATGCAGCCACGCCCGGCTAATATTTTTTGTATTTTTAGTAGAGACGGGGTTTCACCATGTTGCCCAGGCTGGCTTCGAACTCCTGAGCTCAGGCAAACTGCCTGCCTTGGCCTCCCAAAGTGCTAGGATTACAGGTGTGAACCACCGCGCCTGGTCTCATTTTTTATTAGTAGTAGAGATGGGGTTTCACCATGTTGGCCAGGCTGGTGTTGAACTCTTGACCTCATAACACCTGCTGTTTACTAAATATTGGAAAATAACTTTACTCCCCACTTTATGAAGAAAAGCCATACCATAAGCCTTTATTTTCTTGTGGCTTCTATTCCCATCTGTGTATTGATGATTTTTTACATCTGTAACTCCATCCCATATGTTACTCCCGAGCTTGATTGAGTTCCATAGGCACTCCCAACTCAACATTCCTAAAACTCAGTTTCCTACTCCTCACCACCCCTGTGATCAGCTCCATCCATCAGCACTCAAGCTGGAAACCCGGGGAGGGATCATTCTTGATGTTTCCCCGCCCCTACACTACTTGCCCACATCTTTCCACTGCTGTGCCTCCTGGAACCCACCCTTGTTCTGGCCATCTCAGCTTTTTTGCTTGTTTCCCCTCAGCTCTTCTGTCCCCAGGCTCTCACACCCAGATGACTCCCTGCCCAGGTCTTGCCCAGCTCCAGTCCATTGTCCCACCCTGTGGCTAGAAAGATTTTTCTAAAAATTCCTGTTTCCTTTATGTTCTTATGCAAATCCTGGATGGAGCTTTGAGATAGGAGGTGGGACTTGACTCTAGAGGTGGGGATAGGGCATTGGACCCAAATGAGGACTAGCTAAAACAGGAATAGGCTGGGAGCAGCTTTCCATAAGACACGCACAGCAGTGTGCTATGTCAGTTTACCATTGCCATGGCAACACCCAGGAGTTACCACCCCCTTCCCATGGCAATGACCTGACGACCCAAAAGCTACCATCCTTTCCTAGAAATTTCTGCATAGACCACCCCTTCATCCACATGTAATTAAAAGTAGGTATACATGTGACTGCAAAACTGCCCTGAGCTGCTGCTCTCTGCCTATGGGGCAGCCCTGCTCTGCAGGAGCAGTCTTGGAGCTGTAACACTGCTGCTTCAATAAAGCTGTTTTCTTCTACCCTACCACCAGCTTGCCTATGAATTCCTAAGTGAAGCCACAAACCCTTACGGGCTAAGACTCACTTTGGGGCTCATGTGTCTTGCCTCAGCTTCTCTACTTTACTTGGGAAATCCCAAGTCCTAAACCCTAGAGTTCAAGGACTTCACAGTTCCTCACTGTTTACCTCTCCAGAATCATCTGTTGTTGCTCGCTGTACTTAGCCATGCTAGAGGATAAGAATCCTCTAGAATGCTTATTTTAAATGCAAAGTCTTGAGAATATGGTTTAGTAGATGAGCTCCAAGCTCAGGAAACTTGTTTCGACAAGCACTCTGGGTGATTCATATGTAGATGGTTTATAAACCACACCTGGAGAAAGCCTGCTGCTCAGGTGGTACCTGGGCTATTTCTTAAAGTTTCATTCTCTGTTTCACCTTTAGCATTTCCACATGCTGTGTCCATTGCCTAGAACAGACTTCTCTGTCTCCTCTTACCCCTTCCTTACCCCCAGCCCAACTTGGCTCTTTATCCTTCCCTTTCAGGGTGCAGTTTACAAGTGGTGTCTTCTGGGAAGCCCCCACGATCCTTTCAAAGCCCAATTAGTAGACTCCCTTTCTTTGTACATGCTGAGGAACTTGTTACATTGTCACTCCTGTTCACTCTGTTTTCTCTGCTTGAGCTGAGGAGCTCCTGCCTTTGGTGACCCTTCCAACTTGGGTATTTTCAAAGAAAGGGCAGTGTTGTACCAGCACCAGCACCATTAAGGAAGATGCCTATCACTTGGCAGCACAAATGCTACTGACATTACATGGTGATGCATGGTTTTCATCCTTTCCTTCAACATAATGCCAAAGGCAAATTTCTCTTAACCTGTTATACATCTTGTTGGCTTTGCTTGGGAAGAAGCAGGGGATATCCCAACAAAAGTCTAGTATTGAGCACAGGATTAACTAACTTTCAACAAGACATTTCAGTAGAAGGAAATTAACTTTGCTTATTAAGTAGATGATGGGTTTTTTGTAAGCATATTTTTAAAATTTGAAGCCTTATTTGTCCATGATACTTAAAGATGAAATGAAGACCTTAGATCATTTAGGGTTATTTGTTTCTGTGTTTGCAGGTTTCCATTGGAAGAGGGGAGCACTTCTGGCAATAGCTAAAGCTATTAACCATCGCATGAAAAAGATGATTAGGTTTTCAGCTTTCAAGTGAGAATGCTGCTACTTTAATGCCCAAATGTATCAACATCGGCAAAATCAGATTTAGCTGAACAATTATAATAGAATGGGCTGCGCTGCCACCCATGCTTTTAGATGTCCAGGGTAAAAATAATTTCCCCTCAAGCCTAATTTTCGAATTGTTTGTTTTATTTTCCCCATAAAATAGGGAAGAACTGTGTGACTCAATTTCAACATTCCTGTATTTATTATCAACATATTTCACCCACTCCTACCTGGCAGGGCATCAGGTTTGTGCAATCAGTGACTATCCTGGGTCTTGTCAATTGAGCTGTTGTTTGGCGTGTGGAAACCAGAGAGATTCACTTCATGTTACACTCTGGGCTATGTGCAGTTTATTGCTTTCTGCATGTTAATGTTGGGTGGAGAGAACTTTAAATGTGTCATAGATTGGATTTTAATGAGAAAAATAAAATCAAAGGAAAGGGAGAAACTGAATGCAACATCAGGATTTTAAGGAAAACATTTCTTGTTCTGATTTGATTTTATTTACTGCACCAAATGCACCATGTGTCAAGCATATTCTATTCAAATAAGATTTATGAAGTACTTTTTCTTATTTATTTATTTATTTTTGGACAGAGTCTCATTCTGTCACCCAGGCTGGAGGGCAGTGGTGCAATCATAGCTCACTGCAACCTTGAACTCCTGGGCTCAAGCAATCCTCTTGCGTCAGCCTCCTGAATAGCTGGGACTACAGGTGTGAACGACCATGCCTGGCTAATTAAAACAAATTTTTTTTTTTTTTTTTTTTTTTTGTAGAAACAAGATCTAGCTATGTTGCCCAGGCTGGTCTTGAACTCCTGGGCTCAAGCAATCCTCTTGCCTCAGCCTCCCAAAGTGCTGGGACTATAGGCATGAGCCACGATGCTTGGCCTGAATTATGTTTTAATGAACGGTGTCATGTTGGTGCCTTTTCCAAAGCATTTTTGTTTGATGTGTTCAATGCCATCATTGGCACTTAACACTCTTCCCAATAGTTTTCATAGATACACCATATTTTTGTGGCACTTATTGCAGCATTTTTTTTTGTTACATAAATATACAGAAAGTGTTTAGCAATACAAGATAGCTGAGTTATGCCATTAAAAATGTATGCACAGTCCCTGCATGCATCCAAAGGATGCTGAGCAACCAGCATGGCTTTCATGTGTCCTGTTTCTGCCCTTAGTATCCGTTATCTTCCTGTGTCCTAGAGGCCAAAGTCCCAATGCTAGACCTAGTGGTCCGGAGTTCACCAGGTCATCCCTCCTGGAGCCACTCTCTCCCACAGCACCCAATTGCTCCAACATACCTTCTCTCTCTTTGAAACAGTTTCACAACAAGAAGGTGCTGGAAAGGAAACTATGTATTTCTCACACTGTGCTGCTTCGCACCTCTGTAACTTTGTCTCAAAAAACCCAACACAGAGTGTTGTTGGTCATTCAGTGGGAGGCGCCAATACTTTTCTCTCAAGTTTTTAAAAGATCACTAAGTAAAGCATGCAAGTGAATATTCACATATTCAGCTTCTGTTTATTTTTATTATTTTTTTTTAGTGATGGGGGCCTTGCTGTGTTGCCCAGGCTGGTCTCTAATTCCTGGCCTCAAGCCATCCTCCCATCTCAGCCTCCCAAAGTGCTAGGATTGCAGGCATGAGGCACCACGCCCAGCCCTCAGTTTCTGTTTTAAAATATCTGACTTTGTTCATGCAGAGATAATCTCATAAATGAAAGATGATTAAAGTTCTAATGAGAACCTGTCAACTTTCTAACCTTCAACTTCGCTTACCTACTCTTTGGCATGACTATCTTAATCTAGGGATCCAAAAGAACTTTGGATATTGTTACCCAGCAACAAGCTTTAAATTATAATGAGGTTAAGTAAGTTTGCCCAGAATCCACATTGTATCAACAACAGATACCTTGCCAGGATTAACTAAACTCCATTAACTTGAAAAGCCCTGTAAGTCAAGATTGCCTTCTTAAGTATAAATAAATATAATGCTTCAAAGAAAATAAATACTGTGATGTTTTGAGTCTTTACTGTATTTGAAACTCTCTATATGGTTATTGTGTTTTTTTTTTCTCCTCCTATTCAATTGGCCGGTGGTTTGCTCTTGTCCCCACTCTTCACACACATCTACTCAATTGCTAAGTCCTGTCAGTGCTCCCTCCTAAACATCTGGAATGCTCACTCGCTACTCATGTCCACCTTCCTCCAGCCCTGGTTCACACTACCATCACCTCTCATTTACCACCTTGTTCTCTGTATCTAGTATGACCAGAATGTTTACTTAAAAGAAAAAAAGAATCAGTCCACAAAGATGAAATGCAAACCACTCTAATTTGGCTTAGACTTTTCTGTTTCTGTTTCTCATTCTCAATAGCACTGGAATTTTCTGTGGAACATCATTTTCTGACTCCCAAAGCTCAGAGTTAAGACAGTTGTGAAACCAGGAGGTCGAATGGGACAGAATGGGAAGGATTCAGTCATATACTTATAATCTTGTTTGTCTTTTCTGTGGCCTGGAACATGTGTTTCCTGAGAATTTTAAGAAAGGGCTCCTTTCTCATCCAGCTGTCCACCTGAGTTGGTGACCCTATGTGTCTGGGTGGCAGGCAGGTGTGGCCCACAGCTTGCCTTTTTCTCTGGGTCATGCTCAGCACCAGTGAGGCAATTGTTTTTTGCCTGGGGAACAGGGCCACCTACACCCCTGAAGATGCTAAATGGGTGTTATTATTTGATAATTTTCAGTGATCTACTGTTCTTACTAATGGAGTGATCCAGTGTTCACTATGACTAATGTTGACTTCTTAATCATTAGAAAGTTTAGGAAAACTAGTATTATATTATTAATATATAATTATAACTATACAATACATAATTATATATATTAATGTATACAAAATATGTAACAACATAAAATATATATTTGGTGCATATTATTTCAAAAAGTTGAGTAGTTTGTTGTAATGAATGACATTATTGGCGCTTTTCACATTCTTAAAATATTTTTGTTTTTGTTAATATATATTTGGTGCATATTATTTCAAAAAGTTGAGTAGTTTGTTGTAATGAATGACATTATTGGTGCTTTTCATATTCTTAAAATATTTTTGTTTTTGTTAATATATATTTTATTGTCAATAAAGGCCACATATTATTTTTGCCAAAAAAGGTATTAGAAAACAAGTTTATTTATTTTTTAATTTTTGATATGGGATCTTGTTCTGTCACCCAGGCTGGAGTGCAGTGACCCAATCACAGCTCATTGCAGCCTCAACCTCCTGGGCTCAAGTGGTTCTCCTGCCTTATCCTCTCGAGTAGCTGGGATTATAGGTGTGCACAACTGCACCTGACTAATTTTGTATTTTCGTAGAGATGGAGTCTTGCTATGTTGCTCAGGCTGGTCATGAGCTCCTGGCCTCCAATGATTTTACTGCCTTGGCCTACCAAAGCATTGAGATTATAAGCGTGAGCCACTATGCCAAGGCTGATTTTGATTTTTAAAACTTTTTTACTTTGAAATAATTTCAAACATTCAGAAAAGTTGAAAAAGTAGTATAAAGAATTTCTGTATTCACCAGGTCCTTGAATAACATCATTCTGTTATAACATTGATGAGAAAAAAATTGATTCCTGCCAGGGTCCACTGTTTGTGGAGTTTGTATGTTCTCCCCATGTCTGCATGGGTTTTCATCTCTGGGTCCTTGGACTTCCTCCTGCATCCCAAAGCCATGCACGCTGGTGAACTGCTGTGTCTACATGGTCCCAGTGTGAGTGTGAGTGTGCTTTGTGATAGGATGGCAACTGTCCAGGCTGGTTTTCACTTCCCGACCTGAGCTGCCAGGATGGCTCCTGCCACCCATGACACTAACTGGAATAAATGGGTTGGAAAATGAATGAGTGAATACAAATGATTATAAAGCAAACATTCCTAAAGTCTACGATAACCACAGAAATGCACAAAAATAGATGACGCAATATGAACATGCTCAGTGAGCTGCCACATTTGTGATTGCTTTTGAATTGTGTGGTGCAAGGAGATGCTCTTGACAATTTTTGCTTTGCAAACATTTATTCCTTGATTTAACCCACCACCGCTTCGATGTCATCACTCACTGAGTCATCAAAAATTGGGTAAATAATTCTTTTTCTTGTTTTTATTTACCTTTATTAAATTAATGAAGAGTTCTCATTTATTTAAGTGAGAATTGAATACATTTATTTCAATAAGCGCTCTCCATAAATTTAATAAAGATTAATAAAAACAAGAAGGATTAATAGTAAAGTGTTTTGTGTCTTTGTTTAGAAGTTTGATGATGTTTTTATGACCAGAAATGTGCTGTAGGAACTTAACTCTTACTTATATCAATTAACCTATGGGAAAACTGGTTTCATTATATGTCATTTCATTCATTGTCTCTGTTTCCAAGAACCCATTGATGACATTCAGTGAGGACGTACTGTAGTCTCTCTCTCTCATCTCCCTCCACCCACAGCATTATTATTATTATATATTTTTCTGAATCATTTGAGAGCAATTGCTGACATGCTCTTTTACCCTAAAACACTGCTGTGTGTGCTGCCTAAAAACATGGACAGGCTCTTGCATAACAGGTACGTCCGTCCACATCGGGAAGTCAGCATCAATACAGTGCCACCACCCAGACCTCACTCAGATATCACCAGCGGACCCAACCATGTTCTTTGCAATCCCCTTTTCTCTTCGGGAATAGGATTCAATCCAGGATCTCATGCTGCACTTAGCTTTCATCTCATTTTGTTTTCCTTCCGTCTAGAGTAGTTCCTCACATTTTCCTTGTCTTTTGTGATGTTCATATTTTTAAAGAGTAGAATCCAGGTGTTGACCTTCATTTGGGGTTCAGCTGATGCTTTGTCACGATGAGATTGAGGTGATGCATCACAGAAGGGACTTTTTAGGCTGGGATTGGCCAGTCCACACCGCTTTGCACATGACTTCAGATGCCCTCTGGAGTGATCATGGGTTTTGTGAGTAGTTCATAACTTTTTTCTCTCCTGTTCCTTTTTTAATTTTTAATTTTTTTTTTTTTTGAGACAGAGTCTTGCTCTGTCACCCAAGCTGGAGCATGCAGTGGCGTGATATCGGTGGCTCACTGCAACCTCCACATCCCAGGTTCAAGCAATTCTCCTGCCTCAGCCTCCCGAGTAGCTGAAATGATAGGTGCTCACCATCACGCCTAATTTTTGTATTTTTAGTAGAGATGGTGTTTTGCTATGTTGGCCAGGCTGTTCTTGAACTCCTGGCCTCAAGTGATCTGCCTGTCTTAGCCTCCCAAAGTGCTGGGATTACAGGCATGAGCCACTGCACCCGGCCAAGTTCTCACTAATTTTTGATAAGTCAAAAGTTAACCTGCCCCTGTGGCCTGGCATCCACTTCTTCAGCAGTTCCTATCCAGTGCCACTAAAAGGATCCCTCATCACTTTGCTAATAAGAACATCCTCTATGAGTCAGCATTCTGGCATCTCCCAGTTTAAATGCACGAACTCCAGCAAAACCCAAGACCAACTACATGAGATTTTGCATTTTAACAAGTTTCCCAGGTGACTCATACACATATTCAACTTCGAGAAGCACAGCTCTGGGAACATAAAATCTGCATTATTTCATTAATTTTTTAAATATCAGATATTTTGGAATGTGTTAGGCAATGTGGGAGCCTGTGGGAGAAGGAGTTTGCTTTGTTACTTTTATTTTCTGATCTTGGACAAAATGTATTTAAATTTTGAATACATTTTATACTTCTCCTTTAAACTCTGAAACAAAAATCTTCAACCTCAACAGTTCTAATTCACTTGGTCTAGTGTGGGTCCCCAGCACCTATATTTTCTAAAGGCTCCCCCAGCGTGCCCCTAATGTGCACCTAGGTTGGGCCATTATCACAACTCTAACACATGTGGAAGTCACGAATTAACTGCATAAACATACAGCAATCATAGGAATAAAATACTTCCAATATCGTGGCCTCTTAATCCTAGAACTTTTCTCCAGTCTTTTATCTTCCTCTCTATTTTATTCCCATTCAATATCCTTGTCATGGTTAAGAAATGTGCCCCTTCCAAATACCAATTGCAAATATTTCACTTTCAGACCACTAGCTCCTGTCTTTAGCTCACTCTCTGTAGTGCCTGGACTCCAATGTTCCTGGGCCTTACTGAACCCCTACCAGCTATGCCTCCCTCCACAAGTTCATGTTTCCCAACCCCCTCACAGCCTCATTGCCTGCCTTCCACAGTGGGGGCTTCATCGCCCATCATCAGTGACTCCTCCCTTGGCTGCACCTCCAATTCCCTTGCCCTCACTTACTTCTCACCACTTGCTTGGAAAACTCCAAACCTGGTTAAACGCTGCTCTCTTCCTGCTCACTCTGAACCGTGTAGCAGAATATGCCATAAAACAAACAAACAAGCAAATAAAAAAATCCCAGATCATGTTGACCCAACAACTGGTCTCACTTTAAATTCAACCACCTCTGTCCAGCAGTTCCACTCCTTTCCCTAGTCCAATAACTCGCCCTTGTGCTAGATGATGATTTCCTACCTTAGTCATTCTTCCCAGACTTACAGCTCCTCCTTCCTGTCCCCACTCAGTGATGCTTTTTCTTATTTCTCTGGAAAAAAAAATTAAAAAAAAGTTCTGCAAGCTGCTACCATCACCTCCAGCCTCCTCTGCACCTGAACACGTTTCCTTGGCCTTCTGACTGTTCCTGTGCCCACCCAAGACCATGCCCTCCACTTATGCTCTGGATCTGGTCAAGCCAACCTTTGCTGCTTCTTCTGGGTCACCAGTTTGTGTCCACTGAATCATTTTCATCAACTTTCAACCATGCTTTTTCATTCCATTTAAAATAAACTCTTCGGCCCCACCCTCCCAGGCCAGCTACTGCCCCTCTGCTCTGCTTTGCTGTCTTGTCTTTCTGTGGAAAGCCTCTCTGAACTCATTTTGCCATATGTGTAATGGAAGAGAATGGGATAGAGAGAGAGAAAAGCTAGGAAGAGAGATTAGAGGGGAGGCAGAGAGTGGGAGGGAGAGGTTAGAAAGTTAATTCTGATTCATTTAAGTTTATAATATGTAACTGGGTATCAATCTATTCTAGGATTCACTTATTTAACAACTATTTATTGGTTAGCAGGCATTTTTTTTTTTTAGGTGCAGGGGATACAGTAATGAACAACAGAAAAAGAAATCCTTCCCCTTAAATGAGAGATCGGGTTTCACCATATTGAACAGGCTAGTCTTGAACTCCTGACCTCAGGTGATCCGCCCACCTCGGCCTCCCAAAGTGCTGGGATTACAGGCATGAGCCACTGCACCTGGCCTGTTCAAGAGTTTTTATATCACTTAATCTCTACCTCCTCTTCCTCTTCCCAGAGCCCAGTGAGTGGGGCTGAAAGTTCCAAGACCCTACTTACTTGGTCTTTCTGGTGACCAGCCGCAGCCTGAGGCTATCTAGGGATCCTGCTCTAAGTCATGCCATTTGCATAAACTCAGCTGTGATGAAAGCTGCTCATTATGAATTACAAAGGACACTCCTATCACTCAGGAAATTCCACGGGTTTCAGGAGCTCTGTGCCAGAAGCCAGGGTCAAAGACCAAATATAGTTTTTTATTAAAATCATAGTGACCTTTCCTTCCTTTTCATTTCATAAAAGAATATCCTTTGGATATTCTACCTGGTTGTCTTTAATCCAATGAAAGATTATTGATCTCAGGTCAGATATAACTCCCTTTCCTCTGTCCTAATTAATGTCACTTCTAGAGACATTTCTGGACTGTAGTTTCTAGTGGGTTTGTTTTGTCCATTATCGGTTTATTTTTAACTGCCTTTCTTTCAAAACAGTTCCTATTTATTCTTTCATTTTCAGTCACAATATGTGATAGTTTTATGGAACAGTTTTCTCCTTTCTTTTAAAGCCTATAGATGATGACATTTAATAAATGACATCAGATCTTTTTAACTGCATGATGTTATCACATAGTGATTCTTATCCACCTCCATACGTTGTTTCTAATTGCTCTTGTGTCAGACAGTTGGAAGCTGGCCCCGAACTGTGAACTGTGAGCAGCGTGGGGAACTCAGCCTTGCCTCTATTAAAGCATCTTTGTCAGAAGACTAAATTTTTAAAAAGCTCTTTTGCATCACTAAATTAGAAGAGACCATATCAAATAATATTCACTGCTGATGAGATGGAGTTAAACTGATACTCATGCTTCCTTGGCAACTTTATAAATTCACACAAACTTTTGGAAACTAATTTGGCAACTAATTAAAGAGCTGAGAAAACCTTATTTAAATTATTTAAAAAATTCTATTGAGACAATCTAATATGGGAAAAAACTTCTCTAAAGGAGAATGTTTATTGCAAAGTTAGTGAAAAGGGATAAAAATCATAGAAACAAATCTCCAAAATGGAATAATAAATAAATAAACCATGGTATTTTTACTCTAAGGAACATTGTGTGGCAATCAAATATATGGCAATGTGGAAAAATTTATGTTATATAATATTAGATTAAAAAATGCAACTATGTACATGGTAATTACAGCCATCTACAGAGACATATTTAAAAAATCTTGCAAGGAATTTTTTTTTTTTTTTTGAGACAGAGTCTGGCTCTGTCATCCAGGCTGGAGTGCAGTGGCGTGCTCTCGGCTCACTGTAACCTCTGTCTCCTGGGTTCAAGCAATTCTCCTGCCTCAGCCTCCCAAGTAGCTGGAATTACAGGCATGTGCCACCACACCCGTCTAATTTTTGTATTTTTAGTAGAGATGGGGTCTCACCATGTTGGCCAGGCTAGTCTTGAACTCCTGACCTCAGGTGATCTGCCCACCTGAGCCTCCCAAATTGCTGGGATTACAGGCATGAGCCACCAAGCCTGGCCAAGAATTTAACCAGAATAATGATAATTAAATTATGAAAGCAGTAGGGTTAGAGATATTAATTTTTATTTATTATTTTTCAAATTTCATTTAATACAGTTATATTACTTAAAGTTTAAAATAATGTTCTAGAGTAGGGTCATACCATTTGAATTTGGAAAATCCTGATATATTGTTGAGTTGCTTTCTAGGATGGTCAGATGTAGCCTAATATAGTGTATGAGAATGCTGATTTCACTACATACTCTTCACCAGTGAAAGCTGTCTTTCAAAACATCTTTGTTAATTTAAGAAGCAAACATGACAGCTTCTGCTGTCACTCTTATCCTTTGATGGTAAAGTTGAACATTTTTATATGTTTGTTGGTCATTTGTATACTGTCTTCTAAGAGTTTCTTACAAGTTTGCTTATATTTCTTTTCTTTTCTTTTTTTTTTTTTTTTGAGAAAGGGGTCTTGCTCTGTCACCCAGGCTGAAGTGCAGTGGCATGATCTCGGCTCACTGCAACCTCCATCTCCTGGGTTCAAGCCATTCTTCTGCCTAAGTCTCCCAAGCAGCTGGGACTACAGGTGCACACCATCACACCTGTCTAATTTTTGTATTTTTAGTAGAGACAGGGTTTTGCCATGTTGGCCAGGCTGGCCTTGAACTCCTGGCCTCAAGTGATTCACCCACCTCGGGCTCCCAAAGGGCTGGGATTACAGTAGTATTTTTTTTCATAATTGATTTTTATCAGGTCTGTATAGATTAAGGCATAAATGGTCTTTTATCATTGTATTATTCATTTTTTGTTTTTGAGACAGGGTCTTGCTCTGTCACCCAGGCTGGAGCACAGTGGCTCGATCACCTCAGCCTCCCAAGTAGCTGGGACTACAGGCATGTGCCACCATGTCTGGCTTATTTTTCTATTTTTGTTTTTTTGGGAGAGATGGGGTCTCACTATGTTGCCCAGGCTGGTCTTGAACTCCGGGCTTCAAGTGATCCTCGCACCTCAGCCTCCTGAAATGCTGGGATTACAGGTATGAGCCACCACGCCTGACTTTCATTCGTTTGTTTTCATTTTTTGTTGATTATTGTATTACTCTTATCTCTGGTTTTCCCCTTTTTATTTGTTAAATAATGTTATTAGATATAAAGATTTTTGTGTTTTTTTGATGGTTTTTTTTTTTTTTTGAGATGGAGTCTGGCTCTGCCGCCCAGGCTGGAGTGCAGTGGCACTATCTTGGCTCACTGCAAGCTCCACCTCCAGGTTCAAGACATTCTCCTGCCTCAGCCTCCTGAGTAGCTGGGATTACAGGCACCTGCCACCATGCCTGGCTAATTTTTGTATCATTAGTAGAGACAGGGTTTCACCATGTTGTCCAGGTTGATCTCGAACTCCTGACCTTAGGTGATCTGCCCACCTTGGGCTCCCAAAGTGCTGGGATTACAGGTATGAGCCACTGAGCCCGACCTAAGTATAAAGATATTTAAAATTTTTTCATGCTTAATAATATGGGTTTCACTATGATTTTCCTATACATAACTTTATAGTTTTTCATTGTGAGCTATAATGTACATCCTGAAGTGTGTGAAAATGTGTGTATGTGTATGAAGAAATATAATGATGCCAACACTCCAGAAGCTTCCTTCATCTCTTATTCCTCTTCTTTATCACAATGTTCCTCTTTGCTTTAGCAGTAACTGCCTGTGGTAGGCATCCTTTATGATGGCCCCGATTGGTATTCATGCCCTGTGTAATCTCGTCCCACTGAGTGTGGGCTGGACTCATGGACTTGCTTCAAGCCAATAGAATCCAGCAAAAACAATGGTGTGCCATTTTTGAGTAGATCTGATTGTGGTTTCTGTTTCTGCCACTTCCTCCTCTCTCCTCCAGTTCCCTCTCTCGGTTCTTGCTCTAGGGGATGCAGATGCCACACTATGAGCTTCATGGGGCAAGGAACTAATGTCTCCTGCCAACAGTAAGGACTGAAGGCCTCCAACAACCATGTTAATGAACTTGGAAGCAGCTCCTGCCCCAATCCAACCTTGAGATGAATGCAGCCCAGGAGTACCTTGATTGAGCCTGTGGGAGACCATGAGCCAGAGGCATCCAGCTAAGCCACAATGGGATTCCTGACCCACAGCAGCTATGGAATAATAAATGATTTTTGTCTTAAGCCACTAAATTTTGGAATAAATTGTTTTGCAGCAATAGAAAACCAATACATGATTCACCTTTATGGTTATAATTTTTCTTTTTATTATATACATAGGCCTCCCTAAAAATTAAAAATCAATAATAGGTATATCCTCCCATATGCATTATTTATAACTATCTTTTGTACCATAATGATTGCAGCATTTATCAATCTTGTGACATGTAGCTATAGTTTATTTTTGTTGTTTTATGACATTCCATTCAAATATACATCAATTTATTCACTTACTGTTGATGGATATTTGGTTTGTTTGTAATTTTGGTTGTTCTGAACTATAGTGCTGTCAACATTTTTGTACATGCACACTGGTACATATATGCATTCATTTCTCTGGAATGTGTACCTAGAATTTGCTGGGTCATGAGATATTGATGCCTTTAAATCTTCATCACCAAAGTATTTTTTGTACTGTTATATTAACTTATTCTCCCATAAGCTGGTTATTACAGTTTTTTGACTCCACTTTCTTGTCAACTGTTATGAGACTTCAAATATCTTACCAATCTGGTTAGTATATGATGCTACTTTGTGGTTTTAATTTCCTTTTTTAATGCAATTGAGCAGCTTTTCATGTATTTATCGGCCACTGGGATTTCCTCTTTGTCAAGTATCTATTTGAGTCATTTTAATTTCTACTGGGTCTGCTGTATTTTTTAAAATTTATTTATAGACTTTGAAAATAATATTCTGCATGTAAGTTCTTTTTTTTAGTTACATGTTGCAAATATCTTCTTTCATTTTGCAGGATGTCCTTTTTTATTCTTATGGCATGTTTATTTGAATGAAAGTTCTATCTTGTTTAAGAAATCTTCCACTACCGGAAGATTGCTAAGCTATTATCTTAAATTTTTTTTTCTAGTTTTGCCTTTCGCATTTAGTTCTTTAATCCTTCTTAAATGGACTTTTGGTATAGACGTGAGGCAGGAGTCAAATCTATTTTTCCTGCATGAATACCTAATTGCCCCAGCATGTTTTGTTGAAAAGTCCGCCTTTTCTCTGCTGTTCTGCTTTGTTATAAATTTTGTGCCTGTGTCTGGATAGCGTATTCTGTTCCATTAGTCTTTGTTTCTGTCCGTGCACTAATAGCTCACTGTCTCTATTACTATAGCTTCATAATGAGCTCTGGTATCTGGTAGAGCAAGTCCTTCCACTTATTTCTTTTCATGAGTGTGTTGGCTATTCCCTTTGCAGTTCTATATATATTTAAGAATTAGCTCATCCAGTTACATACACATGTACACACTCTTAGGATTTTAACTGGGATTGCATAAGCTAACTTAGAATTCATGTCTTTACGGTTCTGAGCCTTACAATCTGAACATGTTGTATCTCCCGTTATTTGGGTTAATTTAAACATGTTTTATAAGGAAATTTATAATTATCTTTATAGATATT
Source organism: Homo sapiens (assembly GCF_000001405.40). Classification (NCBI taxonomy): domain Eukaryota; kingdom Metazoa; phylum Chordata; class Mammalia; order Primates; family Hominidae; genus Homo; species Homo sapiens. The sequence goes on from NC_000008.11 coordinate 52,832,466, forward strand.
TTGAACATATCTTGCACAGTTTAATCTAATTACTTGATAATTTTGAAGCTATTAATGGTATTTTTTAAAACTTTAATTTCCTGGGGTTTGTTTTTTGCTGGTATACTGTAATTACATATATAGAGGGGGTATATTTTATTAAATTATCTTATTAATTCTAAGAGTTTTTCTGTAAATTCTTCTGAATTGCTTATCCAGGCAATCATGTCACCTGTGAATAATGATGTCCTTTTTAATTTCTTCAATTCATTTTATGCTAAAGAAATAATTCCCTCTTTCTAGAACAAATAGGCATTGATTTCTACTATTCTTTTATGATTTTGTAAAAAAAACACTTATAATGTTAAAAAATTAATATTAATTTACCTCTAGAATTTATTTTTATGTGTTTTAGGAAATAAGACTCCAACTTTGTTTTTCCCAAAGGGTTAACCAATTGTTCCCACAATATAAATTTACTGATACACCCATTTGCCCTTTTAGCATACACTAAATTTCTGTGTACACTAAGGTTTGTTTTTTGTTGATCTAACCTGCTTCATTGACTTGTTGGCTGTGGCACTGATTACTGTTTTCTAATACCCTTACATGTTGATACAGTGATTAATTCTTTAAATGCCAGGTCTCTTATCAACATAAGAGTAAATTTTGGAATTATAGTCATATTTTAGGAGATTTTTTTAAATCACTGGCAAACATTTTCCAAACCCCTAAGGGGTTGCATCCAGTTGTCTTTGGTGTTTCAGATTTTATGATTTCATAGTTATTAAATCACTAATTTCTATGACAGGAAGGGACAGAAGCATAGAATTGTTGAGTGAGAAAGACCCCAAGGATAGCTCTTCCAGACTCTCACCTTGAACAGTGACTTATTTTAGCAGGTTACAGCCTTGCACATGGCCATCTCACCTTTACCTGGAACCTTCAATACTAGGAAGTGAGCTATGACACTGCGCAGTTCAGTCTAGGTTTCAACGATCCTCGGTAGTGAGTTCTACCTGGACAAATCTCACTCTGTACAAGGTCCATCCATAGGTCTTACTTTTGTCCTTCAGAAACACAGAGACTTGCTTAAATCTCTTTTATACATGTTTGCTATTTTAATATTGAAGACACATATCACCACACCTCCTTAACTCTTATTTTCCCAGAGTGATTATTTCCAATTTCGCCTCTGAGGCTGGGTTATCCCAGCCTACTTGTGTTCAAAGTGTTTGGTAATTTCCCCCTTTCCTACACACCTGCCAATAATAGCAATAGCGACAATTACAATACAATGAAAGCGATGTAACACTGAGTCTAAATAGTATTCAAATGTGGTCTCCAGGTAAACTCTATATTCCTTTGATTTATGGACCCCACTAAGGAAGCCTTGGCTGCAAATAAGATATGTCTCACCTATTGGTAAGTCAAAAAAAAAAAAAAAAAGAATTTGATTTTTTCACATCACAAGAAATCTAGAGGTGGGGTCGGGGGTGTCACTGGCATTAAGTGAGAAGGTCAAGTGTGCTAGGACTCTGGGGCTCATCCCTGCAGCCCTCAGTCTTCCCTGTGGCTCCACGCATCACTGCATTTATCAAAGATGAGAAGTGGGTGTGGTGCAGGCAAGGCAGAATTTCACCTCATATGCTTACCTCTAAGTGAGGAAAATCCTTCCCAGATGGTCCCAGGACAGCGGCTTAAGCCTTGTTGGCCAGATTTGTGTCATGGATCCATCCCAGACCTCAGACTGGAAAGCTTCCCTAACAACAAAATATTTTAACTCAAAAGGTTTTCAGGAGTTTGAGACCAGCCTGGGTGACATAGTGAGACTCCCATCTCTAAAAGAAAAATAATTTAATAAAATTAAAAAAACAAAAACAAAACCCCACAAGGACTAAGAAAGGGGCTAGCTTTGGAGTAGATGAGAAACAGCATCTGCCATTATCTATATATTTATCTATATGCTTTACTACTATTGATGTATCTTCTGGCACTAGCTCTTTTATTATTGTTATTTTAAATACCCCCTCCCCACACCCCAGTGTATATTGATCTAATGTTCACTAATACTCTTAGAAATTGATACTGATGGCCGGGTGTGGTGGCTCACGCCTGTAATCCCAGCACTTTGGGAGGCTGAGGCGGGTGGATCACCTGAGGTCAGGAGTTTGAGACCAGCCTGGCCAACATGGCAAAACCCCATCTCTACTAAAAAAACACAAAAATTAGCAGGGCCCTGTGGCGGCTGCCTGTAATCCCAGCTACTCAGGAGGCTGAGGCAGAAGAATCTCTTGAACCCGGGAGGCGGATGTTGCAGTGAGCCAAGACTGTGCCACTGTACTCCAGCCTGGGTGACAGAGCCAGACTCTGTCTCAAAAAAAAAAAAAAAGAAAAAAAAAGAAATTGATACTGATAAATTTAACCAATACAATCTGAATATGGTTAGTAACAAACAAGTCACCTGTCATTCACCTTCTAGGTTTGGTTCTGCCAATCAGTAAAATTACTTTTGGCAGCAGGTGACATAATACCTGACCAAACATGGCTTAATAATAAGAGTCATAGCTGGGGGTGGTGGCTCATACCTGTAATCTCAACACTTTGGGCGGCTGAGTCAGGAAGATCACTTGAGACCAGGAGTTCAAGACCAGCCCAACCTGGGCAACATAGCAAGATACCCCACCTCTACAAAAAATAAAATAAAAACCTTAGCTGAGTGTGGTGGCACAGGCCTGTAGTCCCAGCTACTCAGGAGGCTGAGGTGGGAAGATCCCTTGAGTCCAGGAGCTCAAGGCTATAGTGAGTTATGATTATGCCATTGCACTCCAGCCTGTGGGACAGAATGAGACTCTGCCTCTAAAAGAATAAGATAAAATAAAGCTCACTATTAAATGCCACATAACAAGAATGAGACACTTAGGCAATTCTATCATTGTTTAATACAACCCCTCAATGATATCAGAGCTCCAGGTAGACAACATATGTCCACATCAGGATCTGCCCCTCCTTTCCTTCCTTTCCTTCTGGCTGCTATGTCTGTAAACTCGGATTAAGTTGCAATATAACACATCTAAAGGCTTGCTGGGCCTCATAAGGGAGGGAATGGGCTACACCTAAGAAGAACAACAAGGCCTATTTGGCATGCAATTGAGGAATACTCTGGGGATTCTAAGGGTGCGTGGTAAAAGTGGCCAGAACATCAGGTAGAAAGAAGAGAGTTTATTGTTTTGGGAGTACTTTCTTGAGATACTGGATTTAACACCCTATCACTCACCCTGGGATGGCTCCTAGAAGCATGGAGAAAGCAGCAACATGGAAAAAGCAACAAACATGGAACAAGCATGCTTTTCCAAGGGGTCAAGCAGTCTCTAAGCAGCAGGCAGCTGCTAGGTCAGCCCACCACACTTCCATCCACATGGCCAAGAAGGAAGCAATGAGTCCAGCTGGATCCAGACAGCTTAGCACAGCAGGCAGTAGGAGCTTCAAGTTCACACTGGGTCATCCATCCTGACCACCAATTTAAAGGAGGTGAGGCAGAGTGGGCCCAGGTGAGTACTGTTCACGCAGAGCCTCTGTCACAGCTGAGACATTCCAAGCTTAGGACACCCTGATCTTATGTAGGAGCTGCTAACATACCTATCACTTCTCCCCTCTGGAGATGTATTCTCTTTCATTATCCCAGAATGTCTTAGGGGGGGGAGGCAGATTCTAGCTGTCTTATCCTGAAATGTGAGCAAATCTGTTTTCTGCCTCAGAGCAGCTTTGCTGATATCGTTGAACACTACTGTCAATGCCTTTTGCTCAAAAGATGTGAAGAAACACCAGAATTGTCTCCCAACATGCAAAGTGAAATTGAAATGCCAAAATTGCCATGGCAGAAGGAATTAAAAGGCTCAGTGAAGTTGGCGTGCTATGAATATGCCAGGCAAGGCTGGAAGGTCTATTAGTTGATTATGTTCCATGAAACAGCTAAGAGGATACACCATTTACCAAGACCTCAAGCAACACACTAGCAAAAAGAATCACGAAAATATATTTGTTGGTAGTTCTATAAACCATAGCTGATTGTAAAGAGGCAATTTTACAGATCTAGGCTCACCGATAATAAAGAAGGCCATAGAACCCTAGAGCAATAGAGGCCAAGTGGTGAGACAGTCTCTGAAATCAGATGTATGCAACTATTACAAGGAGAGGCAGGATCAGAGTGGTGGCCAAGAAGGACTGATCTGCAAATGTTATGGATGTGGTTAATAGAACCAGCACCTCTAAAGACAAACAGATGGGCAATACTCATTTTATACTTGCAGAAGAAATAGAGGATGGATGGCCAGAGGCTGAAAACAGTCTATAAAGTCATAATTGCTTGCACAGTTTCCAGACCTGAGGCAGTTTTCAGACTTGGAAACCATGGACTAAACAGGAGGCTGGATTTCCAGGAGAAAGCATCTTGTAACACAAGGCAAACACAGATAGTAATGATGATTCCCATAGTCCTTCTCCAAAGGGATGGATGCCTGTATACTCATACTCAGGTAACAGTTTATTGGACACATGCCAGGCAGCTTCTTGGTCCAAACATCAGCACTCTCAGTTTTAGTTATAAGGAATATTATATGGAGCTCAGGGATCCTGGGAGCTTTTTGGGGCTGGAGAAAAAAGTCATGCCAAAGGATACTAAGTGAAAGAAAAAACAGTCTGTTAAAATAAAGGAAAATAAAATAAAAAAGGAAGAAAATTAGATTATCTAAAGTTTAAACTAGGCTAAACCACTAGGGGAAAAAAAGTGAGACATGGTAGAGAACAATAAAGTATAGTCATAATTAAAATAATATTTGCCTGTTGTTTGGAACAGTGTAATGGAAAGAACTTCATTCTAAGAAAGTTTTCATGAGTTTTTTTTTTATGTGGAGAAACTGTAGTCAGTGAGTATATTTTAATGACTTTTTTTTTTTTAGTAAAGATGGAACTATTTTAAGTGTTAGCATCTAATTATTTAATCAAAAGACAGATAATTTCTAATGGAGTATGATTAGGATGTTATATCCAGCCAGCAATAATTCCTATTTGCTGCTAATGAATATATTATATACAATCTTGAGATATGTTTTGTTAATTTAATTGCATTGTCTTACATTCTCTTTGATACTGACAGTCTCCAGGGGTAACCCAAGGGGCAGGAGAGAGTTATTTCTATAGAATTTCTGCTCCAGAGAAGTTTCATGTGACTCATGCGCTGCCGGGAAAGTGCTGTGTGTAGAAGACGAACCAGGAACATTCAGAGCCTGTCACGTAAACGGGGAGAAATATCAATTATATTAAAATTGTTGAAAGAATGAATACATTTCCTACATGGAACAGGCCTTTACATGTATATGTATAAATCTGGGTCTCTTTTATGTTGTTTGCACTTATATTTTTGTTTATGCATTCAGATTTTGGGATATGTATGTGTGTGCCTTTGAGAGTGAGGACATGATGGAGCAGCACCTTTGTAAATGTAAGACTTTGAACCATAAAGCAAGCTTGAGAACAAAATAAAACAATGCAAAGCATTTGAAGAGTCTCTAGTTTCTTCTCTGCCATTTAGCAGCTATTGACGTGGTGAAAATTCCTTCATTCTCTGGGCCTGGGGTTCTTGTAAAGGACAAAGGACAACCTCCCCTACCTTAGCACCTCCTCCAAGGAAAATTCTCTCTGTCCTGAGAATGATAAGCACCAACTTAAAAATATGTGTATATATAAACATTGAAAATGTAAAGGAGATATGATATATACATAATATACCTATATCCATACATGTGTGTATAATCACTCTCCTTAAAATTTAGAGGCAAGATATGCAAAAAATCATTAATAGTGGTTTCCTCTGGGGAGTGGAATAAATTTGGGAAGGACATTTTTACTTTTCAATTCATTCCTTTTTCTACTGTTGGAATTTTTACTCTCTCTTTCTCTCTCTCTGTGTGTGTGTGTGTTACATTAGAAAAATAACCTCTCTTAAGTCTTCATATTGTTTCAGCTTGTGTTCTTCTGCACAGTGGGCCCCATAAGATGTGGTTTCTGTTTCAACATCAGACACAGTCTTTTTCTAGGGCCCAGACAAAACTAGTAACTGCAAAGAGAAAGCAAATCTGAGGGAAGCAGGTCAGCAACATCTGCCACAGCATTGTGTTCAAAGGGCCTGAGAGATTTGTTTTCGATAAGCTGCAGTAAAACTTATCTGCCTATAGACAGAAAAACAGGTAAATAAGTCTATACAAATTTTTATTATTTTAACTTAGACTTACAAATTGTTTATATTTGTCCTACTTGCCATATATATTTCTCTTTCTGAAACGTCTGAGAATGAGTTTCAGAATTGTGCTTCTTTGCCCCTAAATACTTCAGTATGTATTTCCTAAGAATATACTAAGAATATTCCTAAAAATACAACCACAGTACAACTATTCAAACCAGAAAACTTAACATGGATACAAAGCTGTTATTCAATTTATAGTCCATATTCAAATTTTGGTAATTGTTGCAATATCTTTTTTTTTTGAGACAGAGTTTTGCTCTTGTTGCCCAGGCTGGAGTGCGATGGTGCGATCTTGGCTCGCTGCAACCTCTGCCTCCTGGTTTCAAGTGATTCTTCCACCTCAGCCTCCTGAGTAGCTGGGATTACAAGTGCCTGCCACCAGGCCCAGCTAATTTTTGTATTTTTAGTAGAGACAGCGTTTCACCATGTTGGCCAGGCTGGTCTCGAACTCCTGACCTCAGGTGATCAGCCCACCTAGGCCTCTCCAAGTGATCCTGCAATATCTTTTATAGCATTTTCCTCAGATCTGTTCAAGAATTACTTGTTGCATTTAGTTTTCATGTCTCTATTCTCCTTAATCTGGAACATTTCTTAGTCTTTGTCTTGCACGGCCTTGACATTTTTAGGAGAACAGGACATTTATTCTGTAGAATTTCTTTTAATTTGAATTTGTCTGATATTTCTTCAAGTTTAGATTCACTGTATGCAAGTTTTGGACAAATACTGGAAGACGATTTGTACCCCTTTTTGAGGTACCTGATGGTCGAGTTGATGTGGTATCTGTAGATTTCTTCACTGTCAAGTTTCTATTTTCCTCTCTGTAACTAATACATATTTTGTGAGGAGATACATGCACACAACACATGCCTATATTTATATATCTATAAAAAACAAGCAAGGCCCCATCTCTACAAAAATAAAAATAAAATTAGCTGGGCGTGGTAGCGCATGCCTGTAGTCCCAGTACTCGGGAGGCTGAGCTAGGAGGATCGCTTGGGCCCAGGAGTTTGAGGCTACAGTGAGCTATAATCATGCCGCTGCCCTCTAGCCTGGGCCACAGAGCAAGACCCCAAAACCACACAAAAAAACAGTCATACTGATATGATACCTGTAGTTCCTTCCAATCCAGCACTCCAGGGTTTATGCTTTTCTTTCTCAGTTCCCTGTTTTAACTCTGGTCATATGGAAGAGAGAATGAAGTCAACATACACAAAAGCAGAAAAAACCTGGACAGAAATCCCTGGTGCTAACGTAAATCCCTCTACACCTGCCTTTCTCAAGGGTTTTGAAAATTCCAGGAAACCCTTCTTTTTCTAACTAGTCTAGTTGGATTTTAGTCTTTTGCAACTAGATGATTGTTGACTCATACTGTGATGAGGGAAAATCCAGTGTCATCATGGTCCCTTTGACATTCACCTTTACAAATAGTTTTGCAATGATAACTCACTAATTTTTACCTTTGTGGTGTTTTACTGTATCTCCCTGCAGAATTGAGGAGACTGACATTTATTACAATGCTGTACTGCACCATTTAGGCATGACATAAAATTTAATCCTTATGATAATTTGTAGCATTAGTAAGAGAATCCTCATTTTGCAGATAAAAGATTTGGGACTGAGAGAATTTAAGAGACTTGTAAGGGACACACGAAACAGAATAAGATCCCTAACCTCTCCGTAAATTAATTTTCTTCCCCACACAATTTTGCCTTTTACCTAACTCCTTACCCTGGCAATTCATTCATTCAACAACTGTTTTCTGAGTACTGTATATGTCGTTCTTTATCAGAGTCAATTAAACAGACTTGTCAACACCTGTCAACCCTGTTGGTTGCTTTAGTACTTTAGAGAGATTTTAAATTACACTCACATTATAATAGGAAAGTGCTAAAGAAAAAACAAACAAACCCTGAGTCAAAGTTCTTGTACTCAAAGAGTTATAAGTAAACTACTTACATTTAAAACCGTATCTGATTTTCTAGAGAAAAAAATACATGTTGATATTTATAGATACTTATTGGTAAATATTTATTGTATACAAAAATAATTGTCATGATTTCAGTCCAGATTTCTCAGAGATGGCCCCTTAGAAAGTTTACTTGGAGTAGGTCTGACTCATTTACATGATTCAATCAAGTGGATATGACATCCATACAAATAGTCATAATATTTGAAGGTTATTAAATGATGCTCAAGCAGAAACATGAAACACGATTAAGGATGAATGGTGTGTTTTATGCCCTTGAAATCGCTAGGATATGAGATGCCTACGGCTTTGCTCACTCTGCCTCTTGGCCAACCCTGATGAAGACATTCGGTGTCCTTCTGTGCTTTCATGTGTCCCTTAGCCAGAGCCAAAGAGTCCAGCGCACAGCTGTGCTGGGGCTTCAGAGGTTTTTGGATGCCTCTGTCTTTCTAAGGAAAGAGACTTTCCTTAGAGGACTTCACAAGATCAGACAGCTGCTGCCCTGAGTGCTCTAAGTTCTCAGAAACACATCATTTCAAGTTTAGAAATACAGGGCCCACATATTAGAGTCCTTGTTAAATCCTCATGAGAAATGAAAAAAGGCTTTCCCCCACCACTTTCTTCAGCCAGCAAAGAAAAGAAACAAACATTTATTTAAAGTGCCAGATCTTATGCCAGTGGCACTTTGTACACATTTTTCTTATAATCCTCATAATAACTAAGGAAAATTATTTTAACAATCTCCATTTTGCATGTGAGCAATGGGTTCAGAGGAGTTAACGTGAACAAGATCACAAGCTGGAAAAGGACAGTGTCTGCAGTCAAACCGAAATGCCTTTGACTCAGTTCAGCCCTTAGAAATCTGCAGTGTGGACTTCCAAAGTGCCCGCACTCCCTGGCCTTGCAGGACTTGGAAATGTGGCTCATGTATTCATTAGGGTAACTGTCTGATCCATTATTTGTAACGGCTGTGCCTACATTCTAATAATAATTGTATGGAATTTATTATTTTAAATTAGACACATGTATTACTGAATATAGTTATTTTTACATAGAAATCTTACTATTTGGTATTACCAATAATTAATACTGTGTGGGCATGAATTGCTATGAGAATCACATATTTCGGGTATGTGAAGCACTTTATAAAGGAAATAATAATTTTTTTTTTTTTTTTTGGAGACAGAGTCTTGGTCTGTCATCCAGGCTGGAGTGCAGGGGTGTGATCTCAGCTCACTGCAACCTCCATCTCCTGGGTTCAAGCAGTTCTCGTGCTTCAGCCTTCCAAGAAGCTGGGATCACAGGCCTGTGCCACCACAGGCCTAATTTTTTGTATAATTTAGTAGAGACAGCTTTTAGCCATGTTTGCCAGGCTGGTCTTAAACTCCTGGCCTCAAGCAATCTACCTGCCTTGGCCTCCCAAAGTGCTGGGATTACAGGCGTGAGCCACCACGCTGTGCCTGGCCTGGAAATAATAAGTTTGGGGCAAAACTTGCCATTCACCTATTGATGACATGCACTTTTGATAGTTATGATTTTTAATATCCAATATAAGTAAAATCAATATAAAACAACAGTGTTATTTAATTATGTATTATATTTGTTCATTTTTTGGTAATAATGTAAATATAGCAATAATGGAAATAATATGTAAAAAGAAATCTTACCATGTTTACCCTATAGAATAAATACGTTTTTGTGCATTAGAAAGGGGAATATTCTTGTCCTGACTAATTCTGAATAAGCAGTGTATCTGAGGACAATGGGGGAGGGAGTTGCATGTAAGTGTGCATGTGCATGAGTGTGTGTGTGTGTTTGTACATGAATGTGCACCCAACATCTCCTGCTGATTGGCTTCTCCTGAGCTATACCACATTTCATATTTGGTTGGTTCCTAATACATCACAATAGCAAAGTGCTGTTATATAAATATTAACTATTATATACACACCTACTATATACCCACAAAAATTAAAAATTAAGAATTAAGAAAAAGAGGTTGAAGGGATGCAAGGAAGGGACTGCAAGCCTAGGCATGCAGGCAGCCCCCAGAAGTTGGAAGAGGTAAGGAAAGAGATTCTCCCCTAGAGCCTCCAGAGAGATCCAGCCTGGGCAACCCCTTGATTTCAGCCCAGTGAAACCCATTTCAGACTCTGGCCCCCAGAACTATGAGAAAATAAATCCATGCTGTCTTAAGGCACTCAAAAAACCCCAAAAATATTAAATATTAGTGTTTCATTCTTATGAAGTGAAGAGAGTAAAGAAGAAAAAAACCAAAATGCTCTTAACTCCCCTTAACTCGGTAAAGTGCTTTGTTTTTGTTTTTGTTTTTGTTTTTGCATTCTAACTTGCATTGATTTGGACTCAGTTAATTTTCTTCGTTTTTTTTTTTTTTTTTTTTTTTTTTGAGATAGAGTCTCGCTTTGTCACCCAGGCTGGAGTGCAGTGGTGTGAACTCGGCTCACTGCAACCTCCACATCCTGAGTTCACGCCATTCTCCTGCCTCAGCCTCCCAAGTAGCTGGGACTACAGGCACCCACCACCACGCCTGGCTAATTTTTTGTATTTTTTTTTTTTTAGTAGAGATGATGTTTCCCTGTGTTAGCCAGGATGGTCTCGATCTCCTGACCTTGTGATCCGCCTGCCTCGGCCTCTCAGAGTGCTGGGATTACAGGCGTGAGCCACGGCGCCCGGCCGGACTCAGTTAATTTTCAAACAAACCACAGTCAAATGGTATCATGCTGTTTCTAATTAGTTAAAGAAACACTTTCCCACAGTGGTTACCGATGGAGGTCTTCCCTTGTGTGCTATTTAAGTCTCTGTGCCATGGTGCCCCAGTCTCTCTCTGCTCTGCCATTTTTCTCTCCAAGTTCTTTGCCCTCCGTTTCCAAGCCCGGCTCCATATCTTGCCCTGCTGCTCATCCAGCTGGTGGACTAGCATCTCAGTTTGTGTGCTTTTGTACCATAACTTTGGCAGGTTTACTAGGTCACCACTTCCTTCTGGTATTTGTCCAACAGTGTTTGAACCACAAGCTTGAGGAAGACCATCTGCAACCTCCCCTAGGTCCTAAGAGACCAGCAGCCAGGCCCACCAGACAAAACGAAATTTCAGAGACCACTGGGCTGGTATACATAATTCAGCCACCGACAGCATTTGGATCTTTCTGATCCCGTCTTTCTTTAAAAGGTTTATATTTGGTTCATCCTAGATTTTTTGCATTCATTTTTATTTTTAAAGTATGGTATTAAGATATTTATCTTGATGACTGAGTTTTCTTGGCCTGAGCCCAATGCCTTACTCACCATAGCCGAGCCCTGCCCTGTCTGGCATGATCCTAGATCCCAGCCATCACCTAGCTTCTGAGCTCCGCCTTTCTGGGTCCGTGAGCCCTCCCTCGTTTTGATTCTTGGAGGATGCTCTCTTAACCCTGCCTACTCCTTGGCAATTTTGCTTTAGTTTGGACTTCCTGCTCTTGTTATCCTGGACTTTACCTTGATGCCCCTCTGGTGCCCGGTTGTCCTCACTGTGACCACGGGAGGGGGCATCCCTGACCTCTGCCCACAGCAGTCCTTGTAGCACCAGGCAGGGCCCTGCCGGAGAAGAGGAACGGGAAACGGATGTATTAAGAGATTGATGGCGAGGAGGCCAGGCACGGTGGCTCACGCCTGTAATCCCAGCACTTTGGGAGGCCAAGGCGGATGGATCACGAGGTCAGGAGATTGAGACCATCCTGGCTAACACAGTGAAATCCTATCTCTACTAAAAAAAAAAAAAAAAAAAAAAAGAAAAGAAAAAAGAAAAAAGTACAAAAAATTGGCCAGGTGTGGTGGCGGGTGCCTGTTGTTCTAGCTACTTGGGAGGCTGAGGCAGGAGAATGGCGTGAACCCAGGAGGAGCTTTGAGTGAGCCGAGATCACGCCACTGCACTCCAGCCTGGGCAACAGAGTGAGACTCCATCTCAAAAAAAAAAAAAAGAGAGATTGATGGTGAGGAATTGGCTCACACGCTTGTGGGGCTGAGTGTGCAGGTGCAGACACACAGGGCGGACCTCAGGCAGGGCAGCTGGACCTCTTCCTGTGAGAAGCCGCTGTCCACAGGCGGAATTCCTTCTTCCTCAGGGAAGCCTTGGTCAGGCCTTTCAGTGGGTTGCCTTGGGTCCGCCGGGATGGTCTAGGATAATCTCCCTTATCTATAGTCAACTGATTTTGAACTTTAATGGCACGTGCAGGAGACCCTCACAGGAAACCTAGATGTAGGTTGGAACAGCGGAGGGCTGTGGCTGGGCCAAGTTGACACATAAAACGAACAGTGCCAGGCCCCACGGCCTTCCAGTTAGGCCTTGCTTTGTGCTAGGCTCCTTGTAAGAGAAGGGAACTTTATGAATGGTTCATAAAATTCCATGTGTTATCTCCCGAAAAAGAAGTTTCTCAAAGCAGGGCCTGCACTAAGTACATGCTCTAAGGCTCTAGGGGACAAGGAAACAGATTCCCTCCTAGAGCCTCAGAGGGAGGCAGCCCCGCCGGCACCTTGCTTTCAGCCCAGTGAAATCCATTTCAGACTCTGGCCCCCAGAAGGAAGAGCCTTGTATATATTGTTTGTTTTATTAACAGCTCTAGGCTTAGCAATAGTATGTCCTGACACTTTACATCAATTGCTTGAAATTGGTACATATTTCCACACATAAAGAAACAAATCATAAAGGAGTTGAGGCTGGTTTCAAATTACATTTGCTACATGACACAGGAGTTCTTCTTGGGGCTAGGAACCAAAGTGGAGGAAGATTCAAGTTTCAAGGTGAGAATTCTGTTCTCCCTTCCAGATAGGATTTGTTGCAGGCAAGATTTTACAGCATGCTGCTGGTGCCTCCATTGCCCTTTCTGCGTCTTTCTGCACTTCCCCGGGGGCCCAGGCCTCCTGAGGCAGCAGGTTTCCCACTGTGGTAGCTGCGCCCTGCCCAGGGCTCTCAGTGGTGCCGTGTACCTTGGGGAGGGACCCTGAGTGTGCCTGGGATTCCCAAGTCCCTGTATTCCAGGACCGCATTCGATCTCCTGACATGTGTGCAGTACCCGCCCTAGTGTGACCCTGGACTCTTCCTGTCTCTGAACCTCCAGAGTGTCCAATTTCCTTACCGCTGTGCAACCTCCTCAGACCCGGGCCAGCTCAGTGCTTTGGGTGAGAGAATTTCAGCCCAAGTGACCAGCCTGGTGGGTCACTCCTGTCCTGGCCCCCTGACCTCTTGTACAAGGAGAAGTATGGCCTGCTGAATTTTCGTTAAGCATGGGGCCCATCGCAGTAATGGCTGCTTACGCTGGTCAGGGCCAGGATCAACACAGGCATAGACATCCCCTGGCATCTCAAAGGTGGGCCTGAGGGACAGTGACATGTAAGCAGTGGGGGATGGCAAATACATACCAACTGTGGGTTTTTGTTCAATATTCCATATAATCCAATACCTTTTATTTTGAAATGGTACTCTGTGTTGGTTAAACATCTTGTAATTGTTTTTCCTGACATATACTCCATCACCTAGAAACAGGTACAAAAATACAATTCTATTTTTAGAAATCCTGATTGGGCACCTTCTCTTTTGTAACCAAGGCCACATAGAGTGTTTGAGGAAGCTCTGCCTGCGTCCTTTGATGGTGCCCCAGAGCTGGGCTCTGACCCTGCCCCCAGTGGAGACCTGGCCATCGAGCGGGAACTGGCTGTGGTCTGAGTGGCTCTAGACACCTGGAGTCACTGGTGTGCAGGGGCTCTCAGCCTTGAAGATGGAGATGGCAAGGATCAGAGCAAGAAGGAGCAGGAGGAGCCCCAAGAACATGAGAACATTGCCCAAGCCATCAACTAGGAGAATAACCAGAGGACCAGGAGAGGCCTTTGGAGCCACACTGACCTGAGTCCTGACTCTCGGCTCTGCCTTTGATGTGTTGTGTGGCTGAGAGGTTTTCTGTTGTGGGTATTGATGGTGTTTTTTTAATTTTAAATTTTATTTTAATTTTTATTTATTTATTTTTTATTATACTTTAAGTTCTGGGATACATGTGCAGAATGCGCAGGTTTGTTACATAGGTATACATGTGCCACGGTGGTTTACTGCACCCTTCAACCCATCATCTACATTAAGTATTTCTCTTAATGCTATCCCTCCCCTAGCCCCCCACTCCCTGACAGGCCCCAGTGTGTGATGTTCCCCTCCCTGTGTCCATGTGTTCTCATTGTTCAACTCCCACTTACGAGTGGGAACATGTGGTGTTTGGTTTTCTGTTCTTGTGTTAGTTTGCTGAGAATGATGGTTTCCAGCATCATCCATGTCCCTGCAGAGGACATGAACTCATCCTTTTTTATGGTTGCATAGTATTCCATGGTGTATATGTGCCACAGTTTCTTTATCCAGTCTACTATTGATGGGCATTTGGGTTGGTTCCAAGTCTTTGCTATTGTGAACAGTGCCTCAATAAACATAAGTGTGCATGCGTCTTTATAGTAGAATGATTTATAATCCTTTGGGTATATACCTGGTAATGGGATTGCTGGGTGAAATGGTATTTCTAGTTTTAGATCCTTAAGGAATCGCCACACTGTCTTCCACAATGGTTGAACTAATTTACACTCCCACCAACGGCATAAAAGTGTTCCTGTTTCTCCACATCCTCTCCAGCACCTGTTGTTTCCTGACTTTTTAATGATCGCCATTCTAACTGGCGTGAGATGGTATCTCATTGTGGTTTTGATTTGCATTACTCTAATGACCAGTGATGATGAAATTTTTTTCATATGTTTGTTGGCTGCATATATGTCTTCTTTTGAGAAGTGTCTGCTCATATCCTTTGCCCACTTTTTGATGGAGTTTTTTGTGTTTTTTCTTGTAAGTCTGTTTAAGTTCTTTGTAGACTCTGGATATTAGCCCTTTGTCAGATGGATAGATTTGCATAAATCCCATTCTGTAGGTTGCCTGTTCACTCTGATGACAGTTTTTTTTTGCTGTGGAGAAGCTCTTTAGTTTAATCAGATCTCATTTGTCTATTTTGGCTTTTGTTGCCATTGCTTTTGGTGTTTTAGTCATGAAGTCTTTGCCCATGCCTGTGCCCTGAATGGTATTGCCTAGGTTTTCTTCGAGGATTTTTATGGTTTTAGGTCTTACATTTAAGTCTTTAATCCATCTTGAATTAATTTTTGTATAAGGTGTAAGAAAGGGATCCAGTTTCAACTTTCTTCATATGGCTAGCCAGTTTTCCCAGCGCCATTTATAAAACAGAGAATCCTTTCCCCATTGCTTGGTTTTGTTAGGTTTGTCAAAGATCAGATGGTTGTAGATGTGTAGTGTTATTTCTGAGGCCTCTGTTCTGTTCCATTGGTCTATATATCTGTTTTGGTAGCAGTATCATGCTGTTTTGATTACTGTAGCCTTGTAGTATAGTTTGAAGTCAGGTAGTGTGATGCCTCCAGCTTTGTTCTTTTTGCTTAGGATTGTCTTGCTACACAGGCTCTTTCTTGGTTCCATATGAAATTTAAAGTAGTTTTTTCTAATTCTGTGAAGAAAGTCAATGGTAGCTTGATGAGAATAGCATTAAATCTATATATTACTTTGGGCAGTATGGTCATTTATTGATTCTTCCTATCCATAAGCATGGAATGTTTTTCCATTTGTTTGTGTCCTCTCTTATTTCCTTGAGTGGTGGTTTGTAGTTCTCCTTGAAGAGGTCCTTCATGTCCTTTGTAAGTTGTATTCCTAGGTATTTTATTCTCTTTGTAGCAATTGTGAATGGGAGTTCACTCATGATTTGGCTCTCTGTTTGTCTGTTATTGGTGTGTAGGAATGCTTGTGATTTTCGCACATTGATTTTGTATCCTGAGACTTTGCTGAAGTTGCTTATCAGCTTAAGGAGATTTTGGGCTGAGACGATGGAGTTTTCTAACAGAGACAATTGACTTCCTCTTTTCCTAATTAAATACCCTTTATTTCTTTCTCTTGCCTGATTGCCCTGGCCAGAACTTCCAACACTATGTTGAATAGAAGTTGTGGGAGAGGGCATCCCTGTTTTGTGCCGGTTTTCAAAGGGAATGCTTCCAGTTTTTGCCCTTTCAGTATGATATTGGCTGTGGATTTGTCATAAATAGCTCTTATTATTTTGAGATACATTCCATCAATGCCTAGTTTATTGAATTTTTAGCATGAAGGGCTGCTGAATTTTGTCAAAGGCCTTTTCTGCATCTATTGAAATAATCATGTGGTTTTTGTCTTTGGTTCTGTTTATGTGATGGATTACGTTTATTGATTTGCATGTGTTTAACCAGACTTGCATCCCAGGAATGAAGTCGACTTGATCGTGGTGGATAAGCTTTTTGATGTGCTGCTGGATTCGGGTTGCCAGTATTTTACTGAGGATTTTTGCATCGATGTTCATCAGGGATATTTGTCTGAAATTTTCTTTTGTTGTGTCTCTGCCAGGTTTTGGTATCCGGATGATGCTGGCCCCATAAAATGAGTTAGGGGGGATTCCCTCTTTTTCTATTGATTGGAATAGTTTCAGAAGGAATGGTACCAGCTCCTCTTTGTAACTCTGGTAGAATTCGGCTGTGAATCTGTCTGGTCCTGGACTTTTGTTGGTTGGTAGGTTATTAACTGCTGCCTCAATTTCAGAACTTGTTATTGGTCTATTCAGGGATTCAATTTCTTCCTGGTTTAGTCTTGGGAGGGTGTATGTGTCCAGGAATTTATCCATTTCTTCTAGATTTTCTAGTTTATTTGTGTAGAGTTGTTTATAGTATTCTATGACGGTAGTTTGTATTTCTGTGGGATCAGTGGTGCTATCCTCTTGATCATTTTTTATTGCATCTATTTGATTCTTCTCTCTTTTCTTCTTTATTAGTCTGGCTAGTGGTCTATCTATTTTGTTGTTCTTTTCAAAAAACCAGCTCCTGGATTCATTGATTTTTTGAAGGGTTTTTCATGTCTCTATCTCCTTGAGTTCTGCTCTGATCTTAGTTATTTTTCATCTTCTGCTGCTTTTGAATTTGTTTGCTCTTGTTTCTCTAGTTCTTTTAATTGTGATATTAGGGTGTCAATTTTAGATCTCTCCTGCTTTCTCTCGTGGGAATTTAGTGCTATAAATCTCCCTCTACACACTGCTTTAAATGCATCCAGAGATTCTGGTATGTTTTGTCTTTGTTCTCATTGGTTTCCAAGAACATCTTTATTTCTGCCTTAATTTTGTTATTTACCCAGGAGTCATTCAGGAGCAGATTGTTCAGTTTCCATGTAGTTGTGCAGTTTTGAGTGAGTTTCTTAATCCTGGGTTCTAATTTGATTGCACTGTTGTCTGAGAGACTGTTATGATTTCCATTCTTTTGCATTTGCTGAGGAGTGTTTTACTTCCAACTATGTGGTCAATTTTGGAATAAGTGTGATGTGGTGCTGAGAAGAATGTATGTTCTGTTGATTTGGGGTGGAGAGTTCTGTAGATTTCTATTAGGTCCACTTGATCCAAAGCTGAGTTCAAGTCCTGGATATCCTTGTTAATTTTCTGTCTCATTGATCTGTCTAATATTGACAGTGGGGTGTTAAAGTCTCCCAGTATTATTGTGTGGGAGTCTAAGTCTCTTTGTAGATCTCTAAGAACTTGCTTTATGAATCTGGCTGCTCCTGTATTGGGTGCATATATATTTAGGATAGTTAGCTCTTCTTGTTGCATTGATCCCTTTACCATTATGTAATGCCCTTCTTTGTCTATTTTGATCTTTGTTGGTTTAAGGTCTGCTTTATCATAGGCTAGGATTGCAACACCTGCTTTTTCATGCTTTCCATTTGCTTGGTAAATCTTCCTCCATCCCTTCATTTTGAGCCTATGTGTGTCTTTGCACATGAGATGGGTCTCCTGAATACAGCACACCAATGGGTCTTGATTCTTCATCCAATTTGCCAGTCTGTGTCTTTTCATTGGGGTATTTAGCCCATTTACATTTAAGGCTGATATTGTTATGTGTGAATTTGATCCTGCCATTTTGATGCTAGCTGGTTATTTTGCACGTCAGTTGATGCAGTTTCTTCATATCACTGATGATCTTTACAATTTGATATGTTTTTGCAGTGGCTGGTACTGGTTATTCCTTTCCATGTTTGGTGCTTTCTTCAGAGCGCTTGTAGGGTAGGCCTGATTGTGACAAAATCTCTCAGCATTTCCTTGTCTGTAAAGGATTTTATTTCTCCTTTGCTTATGAAGCTTAATTTGGCTGGATATGAAATTCTGGGTTGAAAGTTCTTTTCTTTAAGAATGTTGAATATTGGCCACTCTCTTCTGGCTTGTAGGGTTTCTGCTGAGAGATCCGCTGTTAGCCTGATGGGCTTCCCTTTGTGGGTAAGCCGACCTTTCTCTCCGGCTGCCCTTAACATTTTTTCCTTCATTTCAACTTTGGTTCATCTGACGATTATGTGTCTTGGGGTTGCTCTTCTCAAGGAGTATCTTTTTAGTGTTCTCTGTATTTCCTGAATTTGAATGTTGGCCTGTCTTGCTAGGTTGGGGAATTTCTCCTGGATAATATCCTGAAGAGTGTTTTCCAACTTAGTTTCATTCTCCCATCACTTTCAGGTACACCAATCAAACGTAGATTTGGTCTTTTCACATAGTCCCATACTTCTTGGGGGCTTTGTTTATTTCTTTTCACTCTTTTTTCTCTAATCTTGTTTTCTCACTTCATTTTATTGAGTTGATCTTCAATCTCTGATATCCTTTCTTCTGCTTGATCCATTCGGCTATTGATACTTGTGGTTGCTTCACGAAGTTCTCATGCTGTGTTTGTCAGGTCCATCAGGTAATTTATGTTCTTCTCTAAACTGGTTATTCCACTCATCAACTCATCTAACCTTTTTTCAAGGTTTTTAACTTCCTTGCATTGGGTTAGAACATGCTCCTTTAGCTTGGAGAGTTTGTTATTACCCACCTTCTGAAGCCTACTTCTAACAATTTGTCAAACTTATTCTCCATCCAGTTCTGTTCCCTTGCTGGTGAGGAGTTGTGGTCCTTTGGAGGAGAAAAGATGTTCTGGTTTTTGGAATTTTCAGCCTTTTTGCGCTGGTTTCTCCCCATCTTTGTGGATTTATCTACCTTTGGTCTTTGAAGTCGGTGACCTTCAGATGGGGTCTCTGAGTGGATGTCCTTTTTGTTGATGTTGATAATATTCTTTTCTGTTTGTCAGTTTTCCTTCTAACAGTAAGGCCCCTCTGCTGCAGGTCTGCTGGAGTTTGCTGGAGGTCCACTCCGGATGCTGCTTGCCTGGGTATCACTGGCGGAGGCTGCAGACCAGCAAAGATTACTGTCTTTTCCTTCCTCTGGAAGTTTCTTCCCAGAGAGGCACCCACCAGATGCCAGCCTGAGCTCTCCTGTATGAAGTGTCTGTCGGCCCCTACTGGGAGGTGTCTCCTAGTCAGGATACATGGGGGTCAGAGACCCACTTCAGGAGGCAGTCTGTCCCTTATCAGAGCTCGAACACTGTGCTGGTAGATCTGCTGCTCTCTTCAGAGCTGCCAGGCAGGGACGTTTAAGTCTGCTGAAGCTGCACCCACAGCTGCCCCTTCCACAAGGTGTTCTGTCCCAGGGAGGCGGGGGTTTTATCTATAAATCCCTGACTGGGGCTGCTGCCTTTTTTTCAGAGATGTCCTGCTCAGAGAGGAGACAATCTGGGCACAGGGGCCTTGCTGAGCAGGGCTGGGCTCCACCCAGTTCGAACTTCCCTTGGCTTTGTTTACACTGTGAGGGTGAAACCGCCTACTCAAGCCTCAGTAACGGCAGATGTCCCTCTCCCCACCAAGCTCGAGCATCCCAGGTTGACCTCAGACTGCTATGCTGGCATTAGAATTTCAAGCCAATGGGTCTTAGTTTGCTGGGCTCCGTGGGGGTGGGACCCACCAAGCCAGACTACTTGGCTCCCTGGCTTCAGCCCCCCTTCAGGGGAGTGAACGGTTCTGTCTCACTGGTTCCAGGTGCCACTGAGGTATGAAAAAAACTCCTGCAGCTAGCTCGGTGTCTGCTCAAACAGCTGCCCAGTTTTGTGCTGGAAACCCAGGGCCCTGGTGGTGTAGGCACGGAAGGAATCTCCTGGTCTGCAGGTTGTGAAGACCGTGGTAAAAGTGCAGTATCTGGGTTGGAGTGCACGGTACAGTCCCTAATGGCTTCCCTTGGCTGGGAGAGGGAGTTCCCCAGTCCCTTGAGCTTCCCAGGTGACGGGCTGCCCCACCCTGCTTTGGCTCGCCCTCCTTGGGCTGCACCCACTCTCCAACCAGTCCCATTGAGATGAACTGGGTACCTCAGTTGGAAATGCAGGAATCACCCGCCTTCTGCATTGATTTCCCTGGGAGCTGCAGACTGGAGCTGTTCCTATTTGGCCATCTCGCCAGCAACAGCTGGTGTTTCTTAACCTGTAAGATAGGGATAACAATATCTACCTCATAAAATTGTTTTGAGGATTAGAAAAGATGCCACGGGTAAAACACCTGCATCAAATGGGTACTGCATAGATAATTGTCACTATTACGACTACTGATGTGGGGCAAGAGTCCTCAGAACATGCAGAGTGCTTGATTAACCTCAGTCAATGATGGCTGTTATTTTTATTGGTGGAAATAATAATATTACTACTACAACTCCTACTAATATGCAGCTGAGGGAGAAATTCAAGGATATAATGCGTGACTCAAGTTTATGATATGTCACGGTGGAGAACAGAGCAACTAGTTTGCTTGGAAATGTGCTTTCACTGGGTCAAAGACTTGGGCATTGAGGAGGCTGCAGAATCTGGTGGCTGAGTCAGGGAGGCTGGGTACTGAGCAGGGGCTCAGCTGGGCTGAGGTCTGTTATCCCAGTTCTTAGCCCTTCTTAAAGGGTCCAATAAAAGCCCCTGTTGCATAGTCCCCCAAAATTCTTAGGGCCTAGTTCTTTTTTTCCAATTGGTTTACAAAGCCAATTACAAAAACAACACATTGACATTTACAGAATGTCGGGCAAAGCTAAAACAAAGGCAGTGTTGCTCAACTGTATTTGAGAAGGGCCTGTCAGAGGATGGGGTCATTTGAGCTGGATTTGATGCAGCAAAACAAAATGCTAGATTTTGACAAAATCTTAAATGAGGACTGCTGAAGTAGATTAGATCTGGAGTGACCTAAGGCAGAGCTTGTTCTTTGCAGTAAAGGAAAGTAGCCTCCTGCCTGTGTGTGTCTGTGTTTGCCTGGGGTAGTGGGCAAATGGGGGAAGTTGAGGGAAATCAATTCCATTTATAAATGAATCCATTTGGATCTCAGCAAGGACAGATGAACACACCAAGATCTCTCTTATGGGGAGCAGTGTGGCCCAGTCATGATCACCTGGGCCTGAAACACCTCATAGTTGCTGAGAGAAAGCACATTGTAGCAATACAAATCCCTTTTGCTGAATAGGCCTGCTGGTATCATATCCATTTACACTGCTGCATTTTTACACAGGTCACACCTAATTTAGGTGAAACCCCAAAGCAACAGCCATCAACTACATGTGCTGCTCACCATTTCCCTCCTTTCCACTTCCAGCTCCTGATCCTTTTGGTGATGTCTGTTGCTAAGGAATCTAGTGTGGCCTGCGGATATCTAGGTCATATTGCTGTGGATTAAAAGGAAAAACTAGAGGGCTCCTTTGGAGTTAGCAGTCATCACCAAATGCCTCTGGACTGCCACCCACCTTAGCTCAGTCCTTCACCTGTGCAGCTCTGCTTTCGCTTTGCGGATGCAAGTCACACATCAGTGGATTTTTTTAGGAATAATCTTCTTTGTCTTCTCTGTAGCATTTGGGTATTGACTATTGGATACCTGCTTCTTTGATTTTGCATGAATTGCATTATACAGATTCTCTGCCGCTCTCCTATCATTACTTCCATTTCCCATTTAGAGTCCCCTTCCTCATGCTCCTCCCAGACATGAGGTTCACAAGGTTTTCTCCTCTTTTCTCTGACCCTGCCATGCAGAAATCACTCCTTCTCACAAGGCCAGGAATCACCTGAACACACAATTCACAGAGCAGGCCTTGCCACGCACCCCTCCCAGAGGTTAGCTCACATCTTCCCAACTTCCTCTGCATTCCGAGACATTCTCTCCCCTTCCTAGATGCTCGTGGCTGAAACAGCACACATGATTTCCTTTCAGAATTCTCCATTTGAGTGGTTGGCATCATCAGCATTCACGGCACCCAATCTTAAACCTCAAGATCATTATCTGCAACTTCTTCTCTCTTGCCTCTAGCCTTGTACCCACTCAAGCCTCTTAAGTCAATTATTCTTCAGGTAGACTCTTGCTTTCTGTCCCCACTAGTTTCCATGTTGGCAGCTCATGCTGGATCATCCTGTCCCATGCCCTGCCTCTAGGTTTTCTCCCCTCCACACTCAATAGACGTGTGGATAATACACACTGCAGAGAACCTGCCTTAGACATCTCTAGGCTCCCCACTGCACTCAGCACAATGCCTTTTGAAACACAGACACTCAACAAATGTTCATATAATGAATGCATAAATAGAGGTGCACCAGGCAGCAACCTCTTCTGAAGCAAGAGTGGTAACCGAGATAGGAAAATATTGCAATCGCAATTTACAAATGCTCTTCTGCTGAAAATGAACAAGAAGATTAAGCTATAAATACTCTTTCGGGGTAATTAAATGGAACAAAAGGTAATAATTGTTAGCATAAAATGCAATCACATTTTAATAGATTCTGAAAATTAAACAGGCTTTCTGGCGATAGATCTTAAAGCATTTCTATTACACTTATTAGAGAACATTAATTTCTGAAGACCCAGAAATGACCCAGTCCTTTGAATTACATTGATGTTATTACCACACAGCCTGAAAATTGTATATTTGGTATTAAGAAATCAAACACAGTCACTCTTAAACTTTAGATGTTATTTGGTCTGACATTTGATTTTACCTCACTTACTTAGAAAGTAAGTTACTTTGCTACTGTATTATGAATCCTGACGGAAGACACAAGACTCTTGGGACAGAGGTAAAGGATTTTATTATTCACAACACTGCAAATGGCATGAATGCATTGGTTCCCTTACTCTTTAAGTCCCAAAAGGATGAATAGCCCAGAAGGATGCCTACATAAGGAATGTGTTGTGCTAAAGGAACTGACTTGAGGAACTCTGAAAAGAGCCCAGATGGAGGCATTATACATTCTTTAAGATTGTTCACTAAAAACACAACCCAGAGAAATGGCTCAGGTGAAGAGGTTCAGCACCCTGCATTCTTTTTTCCCCCCATATATACCTCTGTAAGCAAAGGGCCTTGAATTCTTGATAGACACAACAAGGACCTGCAGGGATGTGAAGAGCCATGGTGAATTGCCTCTCCCAACATACCTCAGATAAGAATTAATACTCAAAGTAACAAGGATATCATTATTAGCTTTCTGAATTTAGAGTATGGACTATTGGGACATTGATGAACATCATTTGTGCAAAAATAAACTAGGTGATCAGAAAGATTAATACTTATTAGTTATGTGTGTGTATATATATAACACACACACATATATATATATATACACACACACATATATATATACAGAGTGTGAGGAAAGGAAGATATAAGTTGTAACTTGATATTTTTCAACAGAATTTTTTTTTATGAACACATCATAATGAGCCAAATGAAATTCTCTCACTTTAGCACAAAACTTGAGACCTTTGAAAAAATCTCTTTCATGCTATGTATGCTTATTCTGAAAAGCCCATGGCTATTCTGCTGCAGCAGAATCTGACATGATCTCAATTATTATCACTAACAGCATTAATTTATGGAACTATTTACTGTGTGATGCACTTTATGTTAGTGATGCACATTCAAAAGAGAATAGTCCTTGTCCTCAGAAGACATACAACGGATTTTGGTCAGCATGATTAGTCACAGGTCCCATCGTCTATTTTAGTATATCTGAGCATAAGGAAATATATTGAAGCAGACTTGTAGTTATGGAATCTCTGAAAAGGCCTGAGAACCAGGCAGGGATGCTGCATCTCCAGAGAATACGCAATGAGGAGCAACCCAGCCAGAAGTCACACTGCGTGGAGGTCTGAAAGAGCAACACAGCAGCTATGGCCCGTGGATTGGCACCTATGGTGCTCAGGACCAGACCCTTGACCCCTGCCATACTGCCCCAGAAACCTAGGTGCCTGTGCCGCTGTGCCCGTCAGAAGCTTCTCCCACGGTGACTGCTTCCTCCATTTTGTCACTTCTGTTGCTAAGTTGCTCACAGCGAAGCCGGATTACAGAAGCTAGGGCTTGTTTCGAACCTACCAACAGAGGACTCAGGGGAACTGAAATTTAGCTTTATAGTCTATGTAATACAGAAAGATAGGCTAGGAGGGCGAGCAGAAAAGGTGAGCCTATTCCACCTATGGTTTCTGCCATCAGGTAGTATATACAAGTAGTAAATAGTAGGTAGCTATTAAATGGTTGCAAAAGAAAGGACTGCAGTAATGTACATAGATGCTTAATGAATGTGTATAGATCATCACTGTCCAATAGAAACATGACATAAGCCAAAACTGATTTTACGTTCTCTACTAACCATGCAAAAAAGCAAAAAACAAAAAAAGGTGAAATTAATTTTATCAGTATAATTATTTAACCCAGCATATCCAGAATGTTATTATTTTAACATGAAATCAATATTAGAATTAATAAAGTGTTTTACATTCTTTTTGAATACTAAGTTCAAATCTGGTTTGCATTTTTTCCTTATAGCACCTCTAAATTTCCATGAGTACATTTCAAGTGCTTTGCAGTCTTGTGGGGCTAGTGGCTACCACGCTGGATGGCATGGCTCTAAATGGACAGTGTTAGAGGAGCTTAGAGATAGGGAATCAGTCAGATCCAGGGTAGCTGAGCAGAGCTTCTTGGAAAAGTGGGACTTGAATCATCTTAATGTTAGAACTTACAAAACTTTGAAAATGGACAAGAGCATGCCAAGTGTCAAGTCTGGATATTTCCAGAGGTCCTGAAAAGCTTCAGCTACTAATTGTCCTTGCTGGATTTTTCATGGTTGAAATCTGACCCTGAGAAACCTGAGTGTAGGGACATGGTGAGTTCTTCTCATGGAGGTGAATATCTAGGAGCCAGCCTCAGAATATTGACATATGAAATCAAAGGGCCATTCTTCAATTTCAAGTTTTTATTTTAGGATAATTGTAGATTGACATGTAAGTGTAAAAAATAACTACAGGAAAATCCACATACCCTTTATCCAGTTTCACTCAATGGTAACATGTTGTAAAGCTATAGAACAATGTCACAACCAGGATATTGACACTTACACAGTCAAGATACACAGCAGTTCCATCATACACAATCCTCATATTCTGCTCCCCCACCACTTTTATTTTTTGAGACAGAATCTCGTTCTGTCAAGTAGCTAGGATTACAGTCATCCACCACCATGCCCAGCTACATTTTTGTATTTTTAGTAGAGACGGGGTTTCTCTGTGTTAGCCAGGATGGTCTTGATCTCCAGACCTCATGATCCACCTGCCTCGGTCTCCCAAAGTGTTGGGATTACAGGCATGAGCCATCGCTCCCGGCCCCAAGTTCCCCTTTTATAGCCACACCTACTTCCCATCTGCTCCCAGCCTCCCCCTCTTTTTAAAATGTTTGTCAACCAGTAATCAGTTCTATAGTTTTCTCATTTCAAGTATGTTACATATGGAATCATACAGTATGTAACCTTTGGAGACTGGCTCCTTACTCAGCATAAATTTTGTAGATTCATCCAGGTTGTAGAATCTATCAACAGTTTGTTCCTTTTTGTTGCTGACTGGTATTTCCATTGTATAGACTGTGAACATTGTCAGAATCAAAATGGAGTTACTCATGTTAAAAAAAAAAGTCCAACCTTGGACTGGCATTACCATTGTTATTGATCTTTATAGCAAGAATAATCATTTCAAAACAATTATGTTATTCTCCTCATTTTTCCTTTAAAAACCTTTGTCATTCTTTACTTCCCTGAATACACACATAGTTAACTATGGTAACTGTATTCCCATCACAAGGCTCTAGTCCCAAATAAACATCATTTTCTTTCAGAAAGCATCTCTCTGTTTGTTATTTATGTTGACATAAATGGTGTTCAGAAGTGGGACCTAGAGTAGGATCCCATTTGGATGAGTCAGAGATTCTTGGAACCAGTTTGCAGTACTTGAGCCTCTCTGCTTCCATGGCTCTCTGCTTCCATGGCTCACCTTTCCTGTCCTGGAGAGTCTTCTCTCAGCCGAGGAGTCCTCTTTTGGGTAGAAGCTCTTGACTTTGTCTGCATGAGGCCACCTTACTAAAGAACCATACATTCCTCCTGGGATGATAAAAGACTTTTTGTCTTTTCTGGTAAGTCTTTTCTGATATAAAGACAAGTGTCCTCTGGGTTGAGCACTCTTGTTTCTATAATTTACATTTTGTCTGTGAGGCATGGCATTTCTGGTGAATTCACTTTTGGTTATGTACCTAGATTAAAATTTTGGTTAATTTGAAAGCCTGGGTTAACATTTTTGTGAACACTATTATCTTGGTTTCTTTTGATTTGGTTTGACTCTTCTCCTTTGCTTGTTTCCACAAATTTTCTGAGAGTAATCATAAACATAGTAAATGGTGGGCACAAGATGGCTAATTAAAAGCCACTAGGTGGTTGACTCCCTCTAAAACACTGGTCCAAACTCCTGAGGTCCTCTGACAGGATTTATAGGATTTTCTTTGCTTTTGTGAAGTTAATAAGAAATGGAATGGGATTCTCAAACATTAAGGCATGCCAGGTTTCCTGGGACTCCAGCCAGCTACATATTATGGCCTGTTCTTCCCATTTTAAAACTGATGGGCAAAATTACATCAAGAAAAATTCAGAGCTCAAATGGCCATTATTCAAATTCTCTAAAAAACTTCTAACTATAGAGTTGGTATTGTGATTTCATGACTAAAATTCTAAAATTAAAGGTATAAGATCTTTGTGCATATGTATAAATGTTTAGGTGTGTTTATGCACATATACATGTGTTATGTTATGTGTTGTATCTACATGGTAAAATCTGGCACAGCCAGAAATGCTCTAGGAATTTTATTTAGATTGGCTTAGGTAAATAAATACTCATATAAAATATATAGTAATTAACCCAAAATGGCTCTTTAGCTTACGTGACTTAAGCTGGCTTTAAAATTATTAACAAGATAGAAATATCTTCAGAATTGTCTGCATACAGTTTTGCTGGTCATGTGGCTTTATATTAGTTTCTGTTGGATGTTGACACACAGATGATGAAACTGTAAACCCAGCCTAAACAGAATGACCTTTCCTTTTGCAATTTTTTTGATACTTAAGACTAATTTAATATTGTTGTTTTAATGAAAACAACTGTATCTTCCGAGTTATTGGCAAAATGTCCATCTATTTAACTTTAAAGTTTTTACTTAGATGAACACCTGATATTCACAGGCTCTAAAGATGGTTAACAGAAATAATTCCAAACGATGACTAGCTTTGTTTAATATCTCAGTTTCCACAAGTAATCTAGGTAAACTATTAAAAATAAATAAATCAGGTAAATGTAAATGGTATAAGCATTTATAAGTAAACTTTTTATGTAATTAAAAAATTTAAAGCTCTGTTGCGTTAAATTACGTAATAAATACTCATTAAATGTCTAGGTCATTTCGAAATAAGATAAAAACGAAAACAAATTGGTGATCATAAATAAGTTTGATTTTTGTCCCTGAGATTTTATATAAAGACTAAATATATTTAGATCTATTAATACTTACATTTAGATCTAAGTATATTTGGATGAAGTATTTTGAACCCTTTGACATCTTTGGAAAGCTTCTCCAGGATTAAAATTCTAAGTGAAGCCTGTTACACCTAAAATTAACTTTGGGCCCCTGGAGAGCCTCAAAGAATGTGTCTCTCATTTTGCAGCGATATTAAATGATTAGACTTATTTGGTAAATTGTATGGGAAGCATTGTCAAATGATAAGCGATACTAGATCTTCTTTCAGTTACACTTATGGATATATTACTGATATAATGTTTCAAAAATTTTTATATAAATTCATAAAAATCTAATATGTTATCAGTCATAATTTTAGTTGTTAATGTTAAATCTTTTTTCAAAATGATATTTTTATGGATATGTTATTTATGTGAATATCCTAAAGATTACATAAAATGTATAAGTCTGATGGTCCTAATGTGACATTGTCAGTCATAATTCTGATTATCTTTATGCCACAGGTAATAAAAATAACTAAATTTCATTGTAAGTGTGAACTTTGATCAGTTTTTTTATCATAGTATCTTCAGTTATTGTTATCCACAGTTACTGTTTTGAATTCTTCTTTAAATGGCTTTGTAATCAGCTATAGTCCAAAATTGCTTTTCATGGAGAAGTCTAACAAGTACCCTCGAACACCGATTTCTGGTAATGTTAAGATCAATGGATGAAATAAAAATATTCAGAACTGTAATATAGAAACTGATCAAGCAAAATAAAATTTAATTACATGAAATCAAATAACTGATTAAGATCTTGTTTTTTTTTTTTTTTGAGATGGAGTTTTGCTCTGTCACCCAGGCTGGAGTGCAGTGGCAATATCTCAGCTCACTGCAAACTCCGCCTCCTGGGTTCAAGTGATTCTCCTTCCTCAGCGTCCTGAGTAGCTGGGATTACAGGCATCCACCACCATGCCTGGCTAATTTTTGTATTTTTAGTAGAGACGGAGTTTCACCATGTTGTCCAGGCTGGTCTCGAACTCCTGACCTCAGGTGATCTGCTCTCCTCAGCCTCCCAAAGTGCTGGGATTATAGGCGTGAGCCACTGTGCCTAACCAAGATCATGTTTTTATGATTTTTATTCAAAACATGGTTGGTTCTTTATTTAAATGTATTGTTTCCCAGATTTAAGGATTTTTTTCTTCTTAAGCTGTTTATAGTTTACAACAATTTGGTAAAGTATAGTTTTGTGAACAAAGGTGGAATCAATTTTTTTCACATTTCTTTAATATTTACTTTAGGTTTAGGGGTACATGTGCAGGTTTGTTATACAGGTAAATCACATGTCATGGGAGTTTGGTGTACAGATTATTTCATCACCCAGGTAACAAACATAGTGCCTCATAGGTAGTTTATCAACCGCCACCCTCCTCTCACCCTCTATCCTCAAGTAGGTTCCGTTGTCTGTTGTTCCCTTCTTTGTGTTTATATGTTCTCAATGTTTAGCTCCCACTTATAAGTAGGAACATGCAGTATTTGGTTTTCTGTTCCTACATTAATTAGCTTGGGATAATGACCTCCAGTTCCATTCATGTTGCTGCAAAGGACATGACCTTGGTTTTTTTATGGCTGTGTAGTATTTTATGGTGCATACGTACCACGTTTTCTTCACCTAGTCTATTGTTGATGGGCATTTAGGTTGGTTCTATGTCTTTACTGTTGTCAATAGTGCTGTAATAAATATACACATGCATGTGTCTTTATGGTAAAACAATTTCTATTTCTTTGAGTATGTACCCAGTAATGGGATTGCTGGGTTGAACAGTAGTTCTGTTTTAAGTTATTTGAGGAATCTCCACACTTATTTCTTGTTCTGTGGTCTCAGAGCATTGGAGGTATGATTTCATTTTTTTTTTTTTAAATTTACTGAGGATTGTTTAACGAGCCAATTCTGTGGTTGATTTTAGAGTATGTGCCATGTGCAGATGAGAAGAATGCATATTCTGTTGTTTTGGAGTGGAGAGTTCTGTAGATGTCTCTTAGGGTCCATTTGGTCAAATGTAGAGTTCAGGTCCCGAATATCTTTGTTAGTTTTCTGCCTCAGTGATCTAATACTATCAGTGGTGTTGAAGTCTCCCACTATTATTGTGTGATTATCTAAGTCTCTTTGTAGATCTCTAAGAACTTGCTTTATGAATCTGGGTTCTCCTGTGTTGGGTGCATATGTATTCAGGATAGTTAGGCCTTCATCTTGAATTGAACCTTTACTGTGATGTAATGCCCTTCTTTGTCTTTTTAGATCATTGCTGGTTTAAAGTCTGTTTTGTCTGAAATTAGAATAGCAACCCTTGCTTTTTTCTCTCTTCCATTTGCTTGCTAGATTTTTCTCCATCCATTTACTTGGAGCCAAAATGTGTCATTGCATGTGAGATGAGTCTCTTGAAAACAGCATA
This sequence comes from Homo sapiens, assembly GCF_000001405.40. Lineage (NCBI taxonomy): Eukaryota > Metazoa > Chordata > Mammalia > Primates > Hominidae > Homo > Homo sapiens. The sequence continues at coordinate 52,862,933 of NC_000008.11, forward strand.
GAGTTGGGTCTTGCTTGTTTACCCAACTTACCAATCTGTGCCTTTTAATTGGAGACATTTAATCTGTTTACATTCAAGGTTAATATTGATATGTATGGATTTGATCCTGTCTTCATGTTGTTAGCTGGTGATTATTGCAGACTTGATTGCGTGGTTGCTTTATAGTATCAATGGTATGTATACTTAAGTGTGTTTTTGTGGGGGCTTGTGATGGTCTTTTCTTTCCATATTTAGCACTTACTTCAGGACCTCTTGTAAGGCAGGGCTGGTGGTAATGAATTCTCTTAGGCATTTGCTTGTCTGAAAATAATCTTATTTCTTCTTTGCTTATGAAGTTTAGTTTGGCTGGATATAAAATTCTTGGCTGGAATTTCTTTAAGAATGTTGAATATAGGCCCTGAATCTTTTCTGGCTTGTAGGGTTTCTAGATCTGCTGTTAGTCTGATGGAGTTCCCTTTGTAGGTGACCTGTCCCTTCTCTCTAGCTGCCTTTAACATATTTTGCTTTCATTTCAAACTGGGAGAATCTGATGACTATGTGTCTAAGGAATGGTCATCTTGTATAGTATCTTGCAGGGTTCTCTGCATTTTCTGAATTTGAATGTTGGCCTCTCTAGCAAGGTTGGGGAAATTTTCATGGATGATATCCTGAAAAATGTTTCCCAAGTTGCTTGCTTTCTTTCCCTCTCTTTCAGAGACACCGCTGAGACATAGATTTGGTCTCTCTCTCTCTTTTTTTTTTTTTTTAAATAAATGGTCGTTTTACATAATTCCATGTTTTACAGAGGTTTTGTTTATCCTTCTTTAATCTTTTTTCTTTATTTTTGTCTGACTGTTACTTCAGAGAACTGATCTTAGAGCACTGACATTCTTTCCTTGGCTTGGTCAATTCTGCTGTTAATATTTGCAACTGTATTCTGAAATTCTTGAAGTGAGTTTTCAGCTATATCAGATCATTTTGGTTCTTTCTTACAATGGCCATTTTATCTTTCATCTCCTATACCATTTTATCGTATGCCTTAGAATCCTTGAATTGGGTTTCAACTTTCTCCTGAATCTCAATGATCTTTGTTCTTGTCCATATTCTGAATTCTATTTCTGTCATTTGAGCCATTTAAGCCTGGTTAAGAACCATTGCTAGAGAACTAGTGCACTTGTTTGGAGGCAAACAGACACCCTAGCTCTTTGAGTTGCCAGAGTTCTTGAGCTGGTTTTTTAAATCTGCATGGGCTGATGTTCCTACAATCTTTGAAGTTGCTGTACTTTGGATGAGTTTTTCTTTTCACTTTTTTCTTCTTTGATTCTCTTGGGGTTTGATTGGTATAAAGTGGTACAAGGTAGGTTCAGTCAACTGGCTTTGTTTCTCTTCCCCAAGAGTCACTGAAGGCCAGGAACAAGTTCCAGTGCACAGCAGCCCTGTGCAGGGTTCCCAGCTTCCTCTTCCTTCAGGCCAGCATGTGTGTCCTGCCACTGTCCACTCTCAATAATTTGATTTTCTTCCCTACTTGATTTTTCCAAAATTCAGAAACTATTCATGAGTACGCTTATTTTTATGACAATATGATTATTTACATAAGTTTAATAAAGATTTGGTCTCTATATTAATACACAGTTGGAAACATTGATTATATTTCCAAAGCTTCAGCTAAAATAACGTATTTGAGAATGAACATAAAATGCCTGGCTTCAAGTATTCCAGTCTTATAGTGAATGAGTAAGAATTGTCACTTTCTGCCAGACCCAGAAACCTTAAGAATGTTAGTAAAATCAGTTTCCTAGCCCCAAGAAGTTTTAAAATCTGAGATTCCTATGTGATTGGCATAGGAAAAAAAGTCATGTTTCAAAGAAAAACTATAGTACCCTGTTAATAGATAGTAGCTCTGTTTTGCATTGTGCATTGTTTTCAAGTTCTTATTGTCTACCTGTAGACTGGACTTAATCCTGAATTCTCCTAATTTCCTCCAATACTTGGCTACAGCTCTCCAACTAAAATCAAAGGTTGTTATGTTCTTAAAGTCTTATAAGCTGAAACTAGATAAATCTTAAAAAACAAGTCTCATGCTTGATGTATGGGCCACACAGCAAGTTCATTCATAAAACTACCTGATGCCATAGAAGAGAGAGTTGAAATGCAAACCAGGAGTAGTAGTTAGCGTTTTCACATTATAGACCACTTTTTTTCACGACACTGGAACAAGACTTCATGTCATTATGAGACTCTTATCCTTTTAATGCTACCTTTTTCATTTGGCAGTATAATGGTATAATTGAAATCTTATAATCAATAACACCTGCTGGTAACTGAACAGAACCTCACCTAAGAAATTATTTAGCATCCATTGTTAAATAAGAAAACGTCTATGCTATTACTAACACTACATGCTATACCTGAATAAATTCCTCTGTGGAAGTTGAGACCTATATACACAAAATAAGAAAACAGGTCACAAAGTTAACAAGGGTCTCACTTAATTCTTTATGGTCGTTTGATTTATTCAGTTGTCTTAAAGCCTAGGCTTATGGCTGAAAACCATTATGCAACTGGGGTTGTCATGTTACTATTGATTTTACTTTGTTTATCCGCTTTTTAAACTTTGTATCTGCTATTTGTTAAATTTTTACGGAAGTACAACTCCTAAAAGAATAATACTGGCGCAGTACTTTGAGGTGATAACAAAAAGCTATGAAGCAGACAAAATTGAACTTAATAATGAACTGCAAGCAGACAGCCTGAGAGCCACTCCTTCAAACCTCCCTTGTTGTTCAACTGTGACTACATGGGTTTTGACCCTGACTCCTAGTCACCAATCACTTCCATCAACATGCCATGAGACCAGTAGCTGAGACAGGTCCCTCCTGGCACCGATGGAAATCAAAACCTAACTACAGAATGATTAATAGTGATGCTTTTGGAAAAAGATCTTGATCAAATGAGAGAAACATGAAAATTGTTAGAATCAAAATGAAGCCACAATGTTAAAAGAAAACCCAGATAAATAGAGCTCGGGAAGGTAATGAAAAGAGGGTTCTCATGCTTGTATACCCAACTAAAAAAAAAAAACCTATCACAAAAGACTGCAAAACCGCAACCCTGCACAAAGAACATCATAATCTTACACACAAAAAAATACTTCTGCAAGGTCGTTTTCTCAGCAACTGCCTGTCCAGACTTGGACTGGCATCACCCTTGTTATTGATCTTCATAACCAAGGATAGTCATTTCAAAACAGTTATATAATCCTCCTCATTTTTTCTTTAAAAATATTTGTCTTCCTTTACCTCTCTGGATAGGCACACAGTTTACTATGGCATGCATATTCCCATTATAATGCTTCATTCCCAAATGAATATTACTTTCTTTTAGAGAGCCTCTCTGTTATACAGGTTGATCAGATGTACCACTCTTTCACCCACTGAGGGACGTTTGGCTGATCCAGGCTTTGGCTGTGGCAAATAAAGCTGCTACAAACGTTGGGTATTGGATTTTGAGCAAACGTGTTTTCATTTCTTTGATTAAATACCCAGGAGTATAATTGTTTGACTGTATGGTTGTGGCATGTTTAGTTTTTAAAGAAATTGCCAAACTGTTTTCTCGAGTGGCTGTATCATTTCACATTTCTGCCATCAATATGTGAGCGTTCTGATTTCTTTGCATCCTCATCAGCATTTGGTGTTGTCATTATTATTTATTTAGCCATTAGTATGGTGTGTGGCGATATCTCATTGTGGTTCTAATTTTCATTTCCATAATGGCTAGAGATTTTCAACACATTTTCATGTGATTATTTGCCATCTGCATATCCTTTTTAGTGAAATGTCTCTTTGTTTCTTTTAGCTACTTTCTAATTGGGTTATTTGTTTATTTTACTGTTGAATTTTGAGAGTTCTTTATATATTCCAGATACTAGTCCTTTTTTGGATACATAGTATGTAAATATTTTCCCCATCTGTAATAGCTTGCATTTTTATTATCTTTCACAGTACAAAATTTTGAAATTTTGATGAAGTCCAACTTAATTTTCTTTTTAGAAATCTTGCTTTTGGTGTCCAAAAACCAGGCACTGCAGCTCATACCTGTAATCCAGAATGCTGTGAGGCTGAGGTAGGATGATTGCTTGATCCCAGGAGTTTGGGACCAGTCTGGGCAACATAGCAAGACCCCATTTCTTTAAAAAAAATAAAAATATAAAACGAGAACTCTTTATTCAGCACTAGATTCCAAGATTTGCTCCTATGTTTTATTCTTAAAGATTTGATAATCTTATGTGTTATCTTAAGTAATCCATTTTGAGTTAACTTTTGTATTAGGTGTGTTGTTGAGTTAAATGTTCATATTCTTTTGCCTATGGATGTCCAGTTGTTCCCGTACCATGAATTAAACAGTCTATCTTTCCTCCATGTCATTTGCTCCATTAAACCGTTTTTGAACCTTTATCAAGATGTTGTATATATCTGTGTGGGTCCATTTTGAGTTCACTGTTTCATTGATTTATGTGTCTATCCATCTGTCAACATCACAGTCTTGGTTGCTGTGGCTAAATAATATGTCTTAAAATTGAGTAGACGGTTTCCTCCTACTTTATTCTTTTTCTCAAAATTGTTTTAGTTATTTTAGCTCCTGTGTATTGTCATATATATTTTATAATAATCTTGTCTATATCTACAAAGCCTCTTACCAGGATTTAGATAGAAATTGCATTAAACCTTTATATCATTTTGGGGAGGGTTGACTTCTTTATTGTGTTTAGCTTTATTATCCATGAACATGGTTTGTCACCCCATTTGTTTAGATCTTCTTTCATCAGTATTATGTAGTTTTAAATGCACAATTCCTGTTCATGCTTTGTCAGCTTTACAGGAAAGTATTGTGTTTTGGGACAATTATAAATGGTATTGTGTTTTAAATTGTGGTGTCCCTGTGTTTATTACTAGGATATATAAGTGTAATTGCTGCTTTGTATGTATCTTATCTCCTGTGACTCTGCAAACCTCACTTATTTCTTCTAGGAGGTTTTGTTTTAGATTCCTTGGAATTTTTTATGCAGACATTTATGTCATCTGCAAATAGGGAAAGTATTATTTCTTCCTTCTGATCTATATGCTTTCTATTTCCTATTCTTGCATTGTTGAACTTACTAGAACTCCCAGCATTATGGAGAATAGGATGGTGAGAGCAGACATCCTTGCCTTGATCTTATCTCAGGAAAAAAGCCTTCAGTATTTTAGTGTAATGCTAACTGTAGGTTTTTTTGTGGGTGCTTTTGATCAAGTTGAGGAAGTTTCTCTCTATTCTTATTTTTCTGAGAGTTTTCATTATGAAGGTGTATTAAATTTTGTCAAATTTTTCTGCATTCATCAATATGATTATAGCATTTTTCCTTAGTCTTAATCTAATAAATTATATTCATTAACTTTCAAATACTGAAGAAGACTGGCATCTTTGAATAAAGACCAATTGGTCATGGTATATATAAAGTTGTGATAAAAACCACATACCATATAATTTACCATCTTAACAATTTTTAAGTATACAGTTCAGAAGTGTAAAGTATGTGAAACCTGAAAATTTAAGACAGATCTCAGTTCATTTAAAAAGTTTATTTTGCCAAGGTTGAAGATGTGCCCTCATGACACAGCTTCAGGAGGTCCTGATGACGTGTGTCCAAGGTGGTCAGAGCACAGCTTGGTTTTAAACATTTTAGGGAGACAAGAGACATCAATCAATATGTGTAAGATGTACATTGGTTCAGTACAGAAAGGTGGGACAACTTGAGGTGAAGGCAGGACACCTCAAAGCAGGAATGGGCTTCCAGGTCATAGGTAGATAAGAGACAAATGGTTGCATTCTTTTGAGTTACTGATTAACCTCTCCAAATAAGGCAATCAGATATGCATTTATCTCAGTGATCAGAGAGGTGACTTTGAATAGAATGGGAGGCAGATTTGCCCTAAGCAGTTCCCAGTTTGACTTTTCCCTTTAACTTAGTGATTTTGAGGGCCCGAGATTTATTTTCACTTCAAAAGTATATTCATATTATTGTGAAACAAATCTCTAGAACATTTCCATTTTGTAAATTTGAAACTCTATACCCCTTAAACAACAACTCCCTTTTCCCCTCTCCCAGCTGCCTCTCATGATCATCATTACACTTTTGTTTCATGAATTTGACCACTTTATGTACCTCATATAAGTGGAATCATACAGTATGTTACAATTTATTTCACTTGGCACAATGGCCTCAAAGTTCATTTACGTTGTAGCATATGACAGGATTGCCTTCCTTTCTTCTCAGCTTTATTAAGATATAATTGACAAATAAAAATTAATATATTTAAGGTGTACAACTTGATGTTTTGACATACATATACATTGTACAATAATCATCAAAATTAAGCAATTAACATATCGATTCCCTCACACAGTTACCATTTTCTTCCCCCCCTTTCTTTTTGCCACACTTAAGATCTATACTCTTAGCAAATTTCATACATACAATACAATATCGCTAACTATAGTCATACTGCTGTACATTACATCTCCAGAACTTATTCATCTTGCATAACTAAAACTTTGTACTCCTTGACCAAGATTCTCTTCCTTTTAAAATCTGAATAACATTCCATGGTATGTGTATGTTATAAGAGTTAAAGAAAGAGGAAAGACGCACGAAAAGTGGCTCAACAGTCAAAGACAAAGACAGATTTATTTTGGAGAATAAACCTGAAAGGGGCTTCTGGCTGATATTTTTTTTGGTCAGGAACACTCTCTCTTACAGACTAAAGTATTTATTGGTGAGAGAGCTTGGAATGTTTCTGTGTTGGGAAGAAGTTTATGGTGGGGTTGGAATGTCTCTGGTTGGAGGGGACATTATCTTGGGGCTGACATCTCTCTGGCTGGAGGAAAGGTTATCTGGGGGTTGGCATGTCTCTGGTTGGGGAGGGGTTTGGAATGTTTCTGGTCGGAGATGTTATTTGTGGTTTATGGTCACGCCGACCTTAGCCATTAGGCTGATGCCCTTTGGGTTTAGGCAGTTTTTGATCAAGGTGAACTTCAGAATGGTGGTGGTTGTCTAAGATGGTGATGGTGATGCTCCTGCTCTGTCATATGTCACAGCCACATTTTATTTATCCATTCATCTGCCAATGGACATTTGGGTTGCTTCCACCTTTTGGCTATTGTGACTAGTACTGTTTTGCACAGGGATGCGCAAGTATCTCTTCCGAGATCCTGCTTTTAATTCTTTCTGATTTATACCCAGAAGTGGGATTGCTGGGTCATATGACAGTTCTATTTTTTTTTTTTGAGGAGCCTCCATACTTTTTAATCAACCATTTAACAATCCCAGCAACAGTGAACAATTCTAATTTCTCTACATCTTCACCAACACTTTTTATTTTCTGTCTTTTTGATAGTATTCATGCTAATAGGTGTGAGGAGATATATCATTATGGTTCTGTTTTGCAGATTTGCATTTCTCTGATGATTGGTGATGTTGAGCATATTTTTACTTTCTTTTTTTTTGTTTTTAACTTTTTTTTTTTTTTTCTGAGACAGAGTCATACTCTATCATCCAGGCTGGAGTGCAATGTTGCAATCTCAGCTCACTGCAACCTCCCCTGCCTGAGTTCAAGAGATTCTCCTGCCTCAGCCTTCCAAGTAGCTGGGATTACAGGCATGTGCTGCCGCAACCAGCTAATATTTTTAGTAGAGATGGGGTTTCTCCATGTTGGCCAGGCTGGTCTCAAATTCCTGGCCTCAAGTGATCTGCCTACCTCGGCCTCCCCAAGTGCTGGGATTACAGGTGTAAGCCATTGCACCAGGCCATGTATATCATCTTTGGAGAACTGTCTATTCAAGTCATTTGCCCATTTTCTAAATGGATTATTTTTATTGTTGTGGTTGAGTTGTAGGAGTTCTTCATATGTACTGAATATTAACCCCTTATCAGATATATAATTTGCAAGTATTTTCTTCCATTTGGTAGGTTGCCTTCTCACCTTGTTAATGTGTCCTTTGATGCAAAAAACTTTTAAAATTTGATGTACTATCATTTGTCTTTTTTTCTTTTATTCTTTGTGCATTTGGTCTCATATCCAAGAAATCATTGCCAAGTCCAATGTCATGAAATTTCTTTCTGATTTCTTTTAGGAATTTCATAGTTTTAGGCCTTTAATCTACTTTTAGGTAATTTTTATATGTGGTACAAGGGCCCAATTTTATTTTTATTTTTTGCATGTGGATATAATTCTTACATATTACTGAATCCTCTTTGCTAATAACTTATTGATAATTTTTGTATTTATATTTATAAAGAGGTATTAATCTATAGTTTTCACCTTTTCTATTATCTTTGCTTTTTGTCTGAGCAATACTAACTTTAAAAATTTAATTGAGATGTGTTAATTCCTCTTCTATTTTCTATTTAATTCACAAAGCTAGTTTGTAGAATTAGTGTTAATTCTTCTTTAGATTTTTGGTACAATACACCAGTGAAACAACCTGGGCTTCAATTTTTTTCAGACTTTCAAAAATAAGATTTAAATTCCTTTAATAGTTTCAGGTTATTCAAATTATTTATTTCACACTGGGTGAGTTGTGTTAGTTTGTGTTTTTGAGGAAGTTTTATCTAAGTTGTCTGCAGAAGTGTTTATAGAATTCCCTTATTGTCCTCTTGATGTATTCAGAGCTTATAGTGCTATCTCCTGTTTCATTCCTGTGATTAGTTATTTGTGTCTTCTATTTTTGCCAGTCCTGCTAGAGATTTGTGAATTTTATTGATCTTTTCTAAGAAGCAGCTCTTTTTTTTTCCATTCATTTTCTTTGCTGTCTTTGTATTTCCAATTTCATCAGTTTATGTTTTCATTTTTATTGTTTATTTCATTTGACATTCCTTATGCTTATTTTGCTCATCTTCTTTTAGATTCTTGAGGTGGGAGTTTAGATTCTCAAGTTGAGATTTTTGCTTCACTTGGAGGAGAAGGAAAGTCTATTTTTTAATCTGTATTTTTGCAAACCGTGTTCTTCCTTTCCCATGTCCTTTTATTGGTTGCCTTGTATTTAGGAAACTTTCTTTGGTCTTCTTTTAGGGTAAGTCTGTTGGCAACAAATTCTCTCAGTTTTTCTTCATCTGAGAATGCCTATTTTTTCTCTTAATTCCCAAAGAAAACTTTCACTGGATATAGAATATTGGTTCTTTTCTTTTTGTACTTGAAAAATGTTGTGCACGTTCATCATTTCTGATGAGAAATTTGCTGTCATCGGAATTGTTTTTCCCATAGGTAGGGAGTAATTTCTCTCTTTCTGCTTTAAAGATTTGTTCTTTGCCTTTTGTTTTAAGAGTTTGAGTATGATGTGTCTTGGTGTTGATATTTTGAATCTATCCTTTTCTCAGGTTCACTCAGCTTTTTGACTTTGTAGTATATGTCTATTGCCAAATTTTTGAAGTTTTTACCACTATTTTTTGAGTACACTTATAGCTCTGTCCCCTCCTTTTGGGACTATGATGCCAAGAATGTTAGGGTTTTTTTTTGTTATTGAGCTACAGGTCTTTGACGCTCTGGTGCCCCCAACTCCCAGCAGATTTTCTGTTATTTAGACTAGATAATTTTGATTGTTTGTCTTTCAATTCACTGATTCTTTCCTTTTCTCTTCCATTCTGCTGCTGAGCCCATCCATTGATGTTTTAAAATTTCTATTTAAACATCCATTGAGTTTTAAAATTTCAATTATTATGTTTTTCAATTCTGAAATTTTTATACGGCTCTTCTTTATTTCTTTGCTGAGACTTTCTTTTTTCCTGTTTATTTCCAGCTCCTTAAGGCATTTTTATCATGGTTATTTTAACACATTTTCAGTTAATTCTAACCTTTCTGTCTTCTTAGTGTTGGCATTACTGGTTGTCTCTTTTTCATTCAGTTAAAATTTTCTTGGTTTTTGGTGCGATGAGTGATTTCTTAACTGAAACTTAGACATTTTGCTTATTATGCTATGAGATTCTGGATCTTATTTAAACCTTATCTGTAAGCTGGCTTCCTTTGACACTATGTTTCTCATTAAAGGGGCACCACCTTGTTACTGCCAGGTGGGAATAGAAGTCCAGGTTTCCTACTCAGCCTCCATGTTGACAGCTGTTTTGGGTTTGTTACTGAACAGAACTGGAGTCTGCTCACCTGTTGCAGTCAAGTCAAACATCCATACTGAGGCTTTGCAGCAGAAGAAAGGAGAACATTTATTTGCAGGGCACCAAGGGAGGAGAATCAGACCACTCATACTTAAGACCCAATTTCTCCAATGGCTTATAAGCTAGAGTTTTTAAAGGCAGGAGTAAATTTCAGGAAAGCAGAAATAATAGGCAAACATATAAATTAATACATGGAGGTTATACATTGCTTTTCCCTAAAAGGCAGGATACCTTGAAGCAGGGAGGCTTACAGATGGGTTCAAAGACTCTTTGATTTGAAATTAGTTTAAAAACTAAAGCTTTGTCTAAAAACTTGGGGTCAGCAGAAAGGAATATTGAGCTCTGGCCTGCGGGTGTGACTTCTTCTAGGCATCTCAAGAAGAAATTTAGAACAAAGACAGAGGTCAGAATTCTGTCCTCAGCTCCCCCTTATCTGAGGTCTACCTGCCAGTGGATCCATTTGGTGGGGGCTCGGGGTTTCTAAAAAGCAATCCAGGAACATATGTTAAGATGCTATCTTTAGTTTCTATAGGAAATCATACATCTTTTTACTCTTTCTTGGCTATAGTTTTTTTTTGTTTGTTTGTTTGTTTTTTTTGATGGAGTCTCACTCTGTCGCCCAGGTTGGAGTGCACTGGTGTGATCTCAGCTCTTCAAACAATGTTCCTGCCTCAGTCTCCTGCGTAGCTGGGACTGCAGGCACCCACCACCCTGCCCAGCTAATTTTTATGTTTTTAGTAGAGACGGGGTTTCACTATGTTGGTCATGCTGGTCTCAAACTCCCCACCTCAGGTGATCTGCCCACCTCGGCCTCCCAAAGTTCTGGGATTACAGGTATGAGCCACCGTGCCCAGCCCTTGGCTATTGTTTTAAGTTACTGTTACCTTCTTGCTTATCAGGTTTCTCATTTACTTCTCAGGGATAGCTAGGTGCCTGGAATCTCCCTTGAAGGAAACTCAAAAATTTTCCTTATTTCCATATTTGGGTGGCCTGGAGGCCTCTAAGAGGGATTCTAGTTCCATCTGAAGTTCATTGTAACTGCTGGGAAGAGGTGGGGGTTCTGGCCCCAACACTGATAACTCCTTGGCTGGGAAGGGTAGTGGTGCCTTTTCACTCTTTCCCATGTAGACTCCACTGACACACAGTGAAGGGGCGGCCTCCTTCCCCTTGGGCAGTGGTGAGAGTCTTGGTCTCCATTAGGCCTCTACCACCACCCCAAGAGGAGGGAGCAGGCCCCTCAGGGATGAATGTCCTGGCTCCATACTCCTCCTTCTCTGAGGCCACCCTTGCAGGGCTGGGTGGGCTGGAGCACACTGTTGCAGCCTGGTGAAGGTGGAAGTCCAGGCTCTCCTCTTGGCCTTTGCTGGTGGGGTGTGGGTGGAGCTACGGATTTTTTCTTTGGCATTTGGCTGTGTCAGAGCAGTTGTCATCTAAAGGTTTTCTACTCCTTTCCCAGTCGTTTGATTAGAGACAATAGGTTTTTCTTGAGCCTTTTTTTCTTGTCTGTGCCCATGGGCATTTTTGGATTGCCAGCTCCTCTAGTATTCGGTCTGGGAGAGATGAAGAGGAAGAAAATGCAGGGAACTCCCTACCATGTTGTTCCTCATGTCCTAAGACCTCTTCTCAGTCTGTTTTCTACTGTCTTTTAGGTTTTCCTTAGGTTTATTTTACATAATGTCCAAGGCTTTTAGATGTGCTTGGTGGGAGGAATAGGGAAAAGTATGTCTATTTTATATTCTAAGCTTAAGGGCCAATTTTAAAATTTTCTGACAAAAATGTAATTGTCATGGAAACCAGGAAGTCTAGTTTGCATTATCACTGATAGCATAGACTCTTCCTATAGTTTGTCTTATGTGGGAGGACAAATTACATTCAGGAGGTTGTTGGGTGAGTCTGGAATCGGGGCACATATTATAAGATTAACATGTAAATTTTAATGGCCCTAGACTGACACAACCATCTCATCAATCGAGATATTATCATCAACTTTTGCATCTTTCTTCTGCACTCATCAAGAGCTAATATAGCGTAGTGAATAAGAGTGTGGACTGGGGCCAGACTGGCAAGTCTTGAGTCCTGACTTTGCCTCTTATTAACTTGGTGGCCTTAGGCAAGTGATTTAGCATCTCGTTTTCCTCATATGTGAAATAAACAACAACCAAAGTACCTGTTACACAGGGTTGCTTTAAAATGAAATAGTTAAAGCCTGTAAAGCATTCAGGGAAGTATTTGGCATGTGCCAAACACTCAATAAATGTTAACTCTTATTAGTGCCTAATAAGTTTCCTGAAAGACAAGATTGTGTATTGAATATGTAAATTGAGTCACATGATGGCCAATTCTTGTTACACTTCAGTTTCTTTAGGGTGTCTTTGCCTCTGTCTTCTCGGATTCATTTGTGTTGGTTTCAGGGTGGAATACTTAGAAAACCATCTAACTTTCCTCACTGAGGAGTCCTCACATTGCATCTATCACAAAGCTCCTGTGCACTAACAATAATTCTTCGAAGAGTTGCTGAGTGCAGAGGGCATTCCAGTGTAGGCGATGTGAGAAAGGTTGCAGGTGTGGGTGAGCTGGCGGTGCAGGCGCTGACAGGCAGACGCCAATGGGTCAGTTCGAATGGAAAGGGTGGTGTGAAATAGGAAGGGCAAGATTATCTCAAGTCTTGAATTTCAGGTTAAGAAATTTGGGTTTTGGTTTTTTAACAATTGGAAAACTGTAAATTGGTCTAGAGCAGGAATTCTTAATCTTTTTGTGTGTTGTTATGTCATTTGGCAATCTAACAAAGTTCACAGACCCCTTCTAAGAAAAATGAAATAAAATGAAAATGAAGTAAAATACATAAAAGGAAATACATAGAATTATAAAGGAAATAAATATAATGGAATAAAGTTTTAAATATTAAAAAATAACTGTGTGGTAAATACATATACTTTCATATTACAACAGTGAATAAGATCTATTAACTACTATAATTTCACCCTTAAGTGATATGAAAATGTATGTGATTTCTATTGATGGGAAAGCCACAGGTACTGATACTACTACTATGGTTTATTGCCTACTTTCACAACTAAATGAAATGCAAAGTTTCAGCCACAGTTTAGTGAAAATTAAGTTTTCTGTTTTTCTTTCCCATCTAAGTTTATGACTGTTGTTGACAAAAAAGCCAAACACTGTAAAATGCTTAAAGAGGTCTATTCTGAGCCAAATATGAGTGACTATGGCCCTGGGTATAGCAATAAGAGGTCCTAAGAACATGTGCCTGAAGTGATCAGTTTACAACTTGGTTTTATACAATTTAGGGAGAAAGAAGTTATAGGCAAAGATGTAAATCAATACGTGTTACATGTAAGGTATGCATACGTTGGTTGGGCCTGGAATGAAGGGACATCTCAAAGTGTGGGGGTGCTTACAGGTAACAGGTGGATTTAAAGATTTTTTGGTTGGCAATTGATTGAAAGAGTTGAGCTTTGCCAAAAGAGTTCAAGTCACTAAAAAGAAATGCTTAAGTTAAGATAAGGGGAGTTGTGGAAGCCATGGTTCTTGTTATTTGGATGAAGCCTCTAAGTAGTAGGTTTGTATTAGTCCATTCTCACGCTGCTATGAAGGCATACCTGAGACTGGATAACTTATAAAGGAGAGGGGTTTAATTGACTCACAGTTCCACATGCTGGGGAGGCCTCAGAAAACTTAGAATCCCGGCGGAAAGGGAAGCAAACACATCCTTTTTCACATGACAGCAGGAAAGAGAAGAATGAGAGCCAAGTGAAGGAGAAGCCCCTTATAAAACCATCAGATCTCGTAAGAACTTATTATCAGGAGAATAGCATGTGGAAAACCACCCCCATGATTCAATTACCTCCCACTGGGAACCTCCCACTGGGTCCCTCCCACCACATATGGGGATTATGGGAACTACAATTCAAGGTAAGATTTGGGTGGAAACACAGCCAAACCATATTAAGGCTTCAGAGGGAATAGATGGTAAATGTCTCTTTTTGGACCTTAAATGGTGTCAGACCCTTAGTTAAATCTCTCCTGAATTTGGAAAAGACCTGGAAAGGGAGGGAGATTCTCTACAGATGCAAGTATCCCTTGCAACAGACAGCATTTGCAGGGTCATTTCAAAATACTTCAATGAAATACATTTTGGGGTAAAATACTTTGATTTTCTTGAGACCTTGCTATTGATCAGGTGATGCTATACCAGAGATGGAATTTGATGTCTTCTTGTCACAAAGAGTCTGTCTGGTGAGTCTTTAATCTCAGTTTTAATGTTAATTCTGGTCTCGTGCCTAAACTCCAAAAGGCAGGGAGTTTATAATGAAGCATGTCAGACCTCGCCTCCCATCATGGTCTGGAATTCAGTTTTTTAGCTTTCCCTTGGCCCAGAGAGGGTCCATGCAGTTTGTTAAGGGGTTTACAATTTTATTTTGGTTTACACTATGGATCATATCCATGGAGTTCTTGCGATTTTGTGGGCCTCCAGTTAAAAACTCTGGTCTGTATGTGATTTGGTTTGGCATGTTGTGGCTCATGAAGCCTGTAAAACAGTGCAGATATGACCACTGTCAATGTTTGCCATGCAGCAATCTCAGCAGCTACCTCGTTGCCTCACAAATGGAAGAACTTAAAAAATTTGGAAAGTAAAGAGAGCATGATGCCATCTCTGATTTGGATGCAAGCAGGCAGTAAGGCACAAATAACAAACAAATGTGAAAGTCTTTATGTAATATTTTTGATCGTTTCATTAGGCATTTGTTTTCTTAATTTTTTAAACACATCAAATTTAAAGATAGAGAACAAAGGGATAAAACTATAGGACTCAAGAAGCAGCACTAAAGCATATAATCTGTTTATACTAGAACTAAAATAATCTCATCAATAATTGGCTGTTAACTCCATGCTTGTCACTTAGAGAGGAGGAAAAACAAAAGGGTATATTCTGAAACACAGATCGAGCAAGTAAATTATTGAGTGATTCACAGTAAGTTGACATCCCTAGCTGTTGCCTGGACACTCAGATTCTAAATTGATGGTGACCATTCCCTGGTGACTCAGAAAACTTAAATAAAAACAGAATCAAGCAAATCTAGCCAAGTTGAGGGTCCACCTTCTCCTAAAAGATTGTTTACTTGTTTATTTAAGACATCAATTCTCAGGCTCTATCTCTCCCTTCCATGGCACTAACTCTCACTTGAACCAACAGTAGCTAAGTACACAGAACCAAATAAAGGTGGCAAAGTTATTTAGAAGCCAGGGGAATAAAATTGTCTAATGCAATAGTCTGTACATATATGTATTTGCTATTTACATAAGCTTATAATTTTCATCATCATCATCAGTATTGTTGAAGGGCTATTTTTAGCTGAATTTTTAATTTTTGTGAATCTGCTAGGTAAAATCACGTTTTATGATTAGCAGCAACGTTGAAGCCATCCAAGTTTCTTCTGCTGCAAATTATCTTTTATTCTTTGTTGAGATTTCAATTGTGTTCTAAAATATTTTTTCTTTTATTTGCAGAAAGACATTTTTATATATTTGCTTTTTACATTTTAAGATAGCTGTTTATTAGTATTTGTGGTCTTTTTACATTTAATTCCTGGGAACATGTTTTACTGCTTTGCATAACATATACTTTTTGAAATATAGTTATTTTTTAACTGATTTTATTCCTGATATCCCCAATTAATTATAGACATAATATTTATTCCTCTGATAGTCAGTTTTCCAAGAGACACTGGTTTCTAAGAATGACTAAGTTTTAAAACTTTTGATTAGAGAATCACAAATGAATAAACATAATTTGAAATCTCTATTATCACTAAATCTTTTTCTAGATGTAAAGTATATAGTTAGTAAAAAGATAATACATAGTTTAAACTAATATTTAAAATAAATTGTATGTGTGTATGCAAATATGAAGAGAAAATATATTAGATTTTTAATATAACAGCTTTACTGAGATAAAATTTATAAACCATACAATTCACACATTTAAGGTGTATAATTAAATAGTTTATAGTATATTCACAGAGATGTGCAACCATTGCTCACTCAATTTTGAAACATTTTTACCATCCCTAGACAGGAATTTCTTAATAATGTGATCCAGTAGTAGTCACAATCTATTCTTGACAATTACTAATTCACTTTCTGTCTCTATAGATTTGCCTATTCTGGAAATTTCATAAATGGAATCGTATAATATATGGTCTTTTGTAACTGACTTCCGTCACTTAGCAAAGTTTTTTCAAGGTCTATCTATGTTTTAACATGTATCAGTGTTTCATTCCTTTTTTATTGCTAAATAATCATCAATCAGTTGATGGACATTTGAGCCTTTTCTACCTGACTATCAAAATTAATGCTATAACATTGCTCTAAAAGTTTTTATGTGGACATAGTAATTTTCCTTGGGGAGATAGCTAAAATTGCTTAACCTTTTAAGTAACTATCAGACTGTTTTCTAAAGCAGCTGTACCATTTTATGTCCCCACCAGCAGTGTGTGAGGGTTTCACTTTATATCCTCAACAGTGTTTGTTATCATCTTTTTACCAATAGCCATCATAGTGGGTATGAAGTGGTACCTCACTGTGGTTTTTATTTGTATTACCCTGATGACTAATGATGTCGAGCATCTCTTCATGTGCTTGTGAGCCTTATTATATTTGGACAAACGTTTATTCAAACCTTTTGCCCATTTTTAAATTGGGTTATCTTATTGAATCAAAGAGTTCTTCGTATATTCTAAATTAAAGTCTCTTATCAGATATATGGTTTGCAAAATATCTTCTTGTGTGTATTGTTTTCACTTTCTTAATGATATTCATTGAAGCATAGGAGTTTTAAATTTTGATGAAGTTAAATTTATTTATTTTTTCTTTTGTTGCTTCTGCTTTTGGTATCATAGCTATGAAACCACTGCTTAACCCAAGTTCTCCAAGATTTATATCTACATTTTCTCCAAGGAGTTTTTAAAATTTTAATACTAATATTTAGGTCTTTGATCCATTTTAAGTCAGTTTCTGATATGTTATGATGTAGGTTACACAGCTGTCCTAACCAAAACTATTTGATTATAGAACCAACAGGTTAGTATGCTTGCTGCACAGTAACAGACCAATTACACGGAGACAGCAGGGCTTGCAGCAGAGAAAGAGTTTAATGATTGCAGGGTACCAAGCAAGGGGATTGGAAGAGACCTTCAAATCCATCTCCCTGAGGAGTTCTGGGCTGGGAATTTTAAGGGGATTGTAGTGGGTGAGGGGCTAGAAAATTGGGATTGTTGATTAGTTGGGTTAAGGGGGATAAAATCATCAGGACATGGAAATTGCATTCTTTGGTGAGTCAGCCCCTTGTAGGGTTTTTCAGATCATCTGGCATCAGTGGGGTCCTTCAGACCAGCTGGCATCAGTTGGTGCTTCAGATCAGCTGGCATTAGTGGATACCTTCAGATCAGCTAGCATCAGTGGGGTCCTTCAGACCAGCTTAGTCAGTAGTTACATCAGTATGCAGGACCTGAGGAATATCTCAAAGGAAAAATGTAAGGTTTTATAATGTTCAAATTGTTATCTATAGAATAGTTAAAGGGAATTATAGTCTTGTAGTAAGGTCCACATGACTCTGAGGCAATGTAAAGACTATATTTACTTCTGGATTTTAACTGTATAGTTTTAGGTTGACCATTTGAACTCTGAATTTTCCTTGCTGTAATTTAATCATCAGTTTAAAAATGTGCAGAAGAATGGGCCATTATATATAACCAGCTTGAGTCTTAGAAAATTTGACATGCCTTTGAACTTCCCCATAGTTTTTCATGGACGTTTTTGCCCTTAGTGGGTAAGTTACCCATTGCACTGACCTGATGAAGGCATTACTTGTTTCCAGTTTTGCAAGATCCAACCCAATGAGCTGCTTGGAGGAACCAAATCAACATTTCCCATTCCAGCCAAGACAATGTGCATACAACAAAAAGGCAGACACTAGTCACTCTGCTCAGTGCCCAAGCAGTTTCATCTGGCAAGCCTCTCAGTTTCCCCCAGCTGGCCTCCAGTGCCTTTGGTCTACTCCAGATTGGGCAGTATAACCACTGACTGGAAGATCAGCAGGTAGTTTCTGGGCAAGATTGAAAAGCAGACAGCCTAACCCTGAGTTAGACCTGCTAGCAATTCCTTCAGGGATCCCTTTCTCAAACAAAAACATATACAACAAGACAAAGACAAACAAAAGGTCCAAGTTTCGGAAATTCCTAAATCAAATTCCAAGTTTCAGTGTCCTTTGTTCTCCTTCCAGTTTAGTGGGAATCCTCTCAATCAAGGTCCTTCTTATTACTAGGGAGTGTCGACAAGACCTCAGAAGAGGCCCCAAGAACTCCAATTAATTGGCCAGCTAATTAGGAGAAAGGAAATGGGGTGCCGGTTGACCAGAGAAAACTTATCAAAGAGGTCTTTCAAAACCTGTTTCCTTGATGTTAACAATTCATGTGCCAAAGGTCAGCACTGCCCTGTGAACAGGCAAGGGACCAGAGACAGGCCCCACTTCAATGGAACTGAGTGGCTTTTTGACTTGTCTCTGGGTCTGTCCCAGTGATGAGAGGGAACCAAGCAACAGGGAAATGCCCACAAGGGGCTCCAGGGTAGGCTCATCATAATTTGTTATAAGATCAAGAGGTTTATATGTCTGCTATGCAGTAACAGACCAATACGCTGAGCCAGCAGGGCTTGCAGCAGAGAAAGAGTTTAATAATTACAGGGTGGCTGAGGGAGAAGATGGGATGAGACCCCCAAATCCATCTCCCTATGGAGTACTGGGCTGGTTTTTTTTGACAAAGTCTCACTCAGTCACCCAGGCTGGAGTGCAGTGGCACAATCTCAGCTCACTGCCACCTCTGTCTCCCAGGTTCAAGTGATTCTCCTGCCTCAGTCTCCCGAGTAGCTGGGATTACAAGTGTGTGCCACCATGCCTGGCTAATTTCTGTATTTTTAGTAGAGATGGGGTTTTGCCATGTTGGCCAGGCTGGTCTCAGACTCCCGACCTCAAGTGACCCACCCTCCTTGGCCTCCCAAAGTGCTGGGATTATAGGTGTGTGCCACCCTGCCCAGCCTGGGTTCAGATTTTTAAGGGGACCATGGAGAGTGAGGGCTGGATAATTGGAGTTGTCAATTGGTTGGGGAAAGGGGGATGAGATAATCACGATGTGGAAACTGCATTCTTTGATGAGTCAACTCCTTGTGGGGTCCTTCAGGCCAGCTGGCATCATTGAGGTCCTTTTGACCATCTGAATCAGTAGGTGCATGGTTACACAGCACCTGAAGGAAAATCTCAAAGGGAAAACTTAACATTTCAAAGTGTTCAAGTTGTTACCTATAGAGCAGTTAAGGGGAACTATAATCTTATGACAAGGTCTGTGTGATTCAAGGACAATAGGCACCAAACAACTATGAGGAAGGCGTCAGAGAGCAAGCTAACGGTATTAGCTCATTCTCACACTGCTATAAAGAACTACCTGTGACTGGGTAATTTATGAAGAAAAGAGGTTTAATTGACTCATAGTTCTTTTTCTGGGCGGGGGGACTGAGTCTCATTCTATTGCCCAGGCTGGAGTGCAGTGGTGCGATCTTGGCTCACTGCAACTTCTGCCTCGCAGGTCCAAGTGATTCTCCTGTCTCAGCCTCCTGAGTAGCTGGGATTATAGACATTCGCTACATTGCCTGGCTAATTTTTGTGTTTTTCGTAGGGACAGGGTTTCACCATGTTGGCCAGGCTGGTCTTGAGCTCCTGACCTCAGGTGATACGCCTGCCTCAGCCTCCTAAAGTATGGGATTACAGGTGTGAGCCACGACACCTGGCCAACTCACAGTTCTGCAGGCTGTACAGTAAGCATGGCTAGGAGGCTTCAGGAAACATAATCATGGTGGAAGGCAAAGGGGATGCAAGCATGTCTGATCATGGCAGAGCAGGAGAGAGACAGGGGGAGAGAGAGAAAGAAGGGGGGAAGTGCTACCCACTTTCAAACAACCAGATCTCATGAGAACTCTCTCACTGTCATGAGAATAGCAAGGGGGAAATCCACCCCAATGACCTGATCACCTCCCTGCAGGTCCCTTCCCTAACACTGGGGATTACAATTCAACATGAGATTTGAATGGTGACACAGAGGCAAATTATATCATTCTGCCTCTGGCCCCTCTCAAATCTCATGTCCTTCTCACATTTCAAAAGCAATCATGCCCTCCCAACAGTCCCCCAAAGTCTTAACTCATTCTAGCATTAACTCCAAAGTCCAAGTCCAGATGCTCCAATTCCAAAAGGGAGAAATTGGCCAAAACAAGGGCGCAACAGGCCCCATGCAAGTCCAAAACCCAGCAGGGCAGTCATTAAATCTTAAAGCTCCAAAATAATCTCCTTTGAAACCATTTCTCACACACAGGCCACACTGATGCAAGGGATGGGCTCCGAAGGCCTTGGGAAGCTCTGACCCTGTGGTTCTGCAGGGTACAGCACCCCCAGTTGTTTTCACAGGCTGGTATTGAGTGCCTGTAGCTTGTCCAGGTGCACAGTGCAAGCTATGACTCCACCACTGCTGCAGACTTCGGCGTGGATATCCAAGTGGTTCCATACATTCTCTGAAATCTAGGCAGAGGCTCCCAGTTTTCAACTCTTGCCTTCTGCACACCAGTAGCCCTAACATCACATGGAAGCCACCAAGTCTTGGGGCTTGCACTCTTTGAAACAATGGCCTGAGCTGTACCTTGGCCCCTTTTAGCCACAGCTAGAGCTGGAGTGACCAGGATGCAGGGTGCCATGTCCTGAGGCTGCACAGAGCAGCAGGGTCCTGGGGCTGGCCCATGAAACCATTTTTCCCTGCTAGGCTTCCAGGCCAGTGATCAGAGGGGCTGCCACAAAGGTCTCTGAAATGCACTGGAGACATTTTCTCCATTGCCTTGGCTATTAACATTTGGCTCCTCTTTATTTATGCATATTTCTGCAGCTTTCTTGAATTTCTCCCCAGAAAATGGGTTTTTCTTTTTCTTTTCTACCGCATGGTCAGGCTGCAAATTTTCCAAACTTTTACACTCAGCTTCCCTTTTAAATATAAGGTTTTTTTGTTTATGCAAATGAGCATCAGTTTTTAAAAGCAGTCAGGCCACATCTTGAATGCTTTGCTGCTTAGAAGTTTCTTCTACCAGATACCCTAAACCATCTCTCTCAAGTTCAAAGTTCTGTAGATCCTTAGAGCAGGGGCGCAATGTCAGTAGACTCTTTGCTAAAGTAGAGCAAGAGTGACCTTTGCTTCAGTTTTCATTAAGTTCCTCATCTCCATCTGAGATCACCTCAGCCTGGACTTCATTGTCCATATTACTATGAGCATTTTGGTCAAAGCCATTCAACAAGTCTCTCAGAAGTTCCAAACTTTTCCTCATCTTCCTGTCCTCTGAGCCCTCCAAAATATTCCAACCTCTGCCTGTTACCCAGTTCCAAAGTTGCTTCCACATTTTCAGGTATCTTTATAGCAATAACCCACTTCTGGTACCAATTTTCTGTATTTGTCTGTTTTCACACTGTTATAAATAACTATCTGAGACTGGGTAATTTATGAAGAAAAGAGGTTTAATTGACTCGTGATTCTGCAGGCTATAAAGGAAGTATGGCTGGCAAACCTCAGGAAACTTACAATCAGGCAGAAGGTGAAGGGGAAGCAAGCATGTCTTACCATGGTGGAGCAGGAGTGAGAGAGAGAGAGAGAGAGGAGAGAGAGAGAGAGAGAGGAGAGAGAGAGAGAGAGAGAAGAGAGAGAGAGAGAGAGAACACAAGCGAAGGGGAAGTGCTACACACTTTTAAACAACCAATCTTGTGAGAACTCACTCACTGTCATGAGACCAGCATGGGGAAAATCTGCCCCCATGATCCAATAACCTCCCACTACGTCCCTCCCCTAACACTGAGGATTACAATTAACATGAGATTTGGATGGGGACACAGAGCCAAATCATATCACTGACCTAATGATTAAGGCTGAATGTGCTGCAAACTTGGTTTAGTTTTGTTTCTCCCCCTCCCTTCTTCCCTGATTAACTTTATAAAGTTTGAAGGACCAGTTTCATATTCTTTTTCTACTGAAATATCTTGGCATTCTTGTGGAAAGTTAATTGAATGTAACAATTTATTTCTGGACTCTCAATTTCATTCCTCTGTATCTTTATTCCTATACCAATATCACACTGTCTTGATTACTGTAGGTTTATAGTAAGTTTTAAAATCTGGCTTAAGTTTAAAATCTGACTCTTCTAACTGCATTGTTCTGTTTCCAGCTTTTTCTGTGTGGCAACTTTCAGTCTCTTGAATTTCCTTATAAGCTAAAATATGCTGACCAATTCCTGCAAAGAAGCCAACTAGAATTTTTATATGGCTTGCACTGAATCTGTAAATCAAATCAGAAAGTATTGCTATCTTAATAATTTTAAGTCTTTCAACTCATGAACATAGGATATCTTTTCATTTATTTAGGTTTTTTAAAAAAATTTTCTTTCAATAACATTTTGTAGTTTTCAGAATACAAATTTTACACATACTCTGTTAAATTTATCTAGGTATTTTATTCTTTTTGTTTGATATAACTCAAGTTGTTTTCTCAATTTTTTGAATAGTTTATTGACAATGCATAGAAATGCAGTTGATTTTTGTATATTAATTTTGTATCCTGAAATCTTGCTAAACTAGTTTATTTAAGTATATTCCTTAGGATTTTCTATATACAAGATTTTGTCATCTGCAAATAGATAGTTTTACCTTTTCCTTTATAATCTGATACCTTTTATTTATTTTTCTTTCTTTCTTTCTTTTTTGCCTAATTGCCAAGGCTAAAATCTTAAGTACAATGTTGAGTTGATGTGGCAATGGTGGACATCCTTATCTTGTTCCTTATCTTAGAAAGAAATCGTTCAGTCTTTTGCCATTAAGTATGATGTTTGTGAACTGTATGGTGGATGGACTTTACTAGGTTGGGAAAGTTTCATTTTGTTGATAGTTTGTTGAATATTTTTATCATGAAATGGTATTGGATTTTGCCAAATGCTGTTTTTTAGTCTGTTGAGATAATCATGTGCTTTTTGCTCTTTGTTCTATTAATATGGTATATTACATTAATGGGTTTTTAAATGTTATACTAACTTTGCATTCTTGGGATAAATCCCATTTGTTCATGGTGAATAATCCTTTTAGTTTATCTGTTATCCCAACACAGTTTTGCTTACACTCACCTTTTTTTTCCTGTTATTCTAAATTACATTGCTATATGTTGTATGCCCAACAGTACAATTATGTAAGTATTGTTTATATAATTGATTTTGAAAATTAGTTAAGAGAATAAAGAAGTGTTGGAATATTGTGAAATATATATATTTGGTCTTCATCCCTGCTCCCTGGCATGCAGCCCCTAAAATCCTTCGAATGTCCAAAGAAATGCTTTTTGTATGCTAATGATTGACTGATACCTGGCAGCCCCTTCAGGATCCCTTCAGGATCCCTTCAGGATAGGGGCTGATCACCAGAGAGACCAAGGCAGGATTGGAGGGTTGGGACTTTCAGCCCTACTCCACAACTTCTGAGGAGAATAGAAGGTTAATCTGATCACCGATGGCCAATGATTTAATCAATCATGTCTATGTATTGAAGCCCCCATAAAAACCCCCAAAACAGGGTTCAAAAAGTTTCCAGATAGTTGAACACATGGAGGTTCCTGGAGGTGGCACACCCAATTAGGGCATGAAAGCTGCACACCCCTCCCCCCATTCCTAATCCTATGCATCTCTTCATCCATATACTTTATAATATCCTTTATAACAAACCAGTAAATGTGTTTCCCTGAGTTCTGTGAGCCACTCTAGCAAATTAATTAAACCCAAAGAGGAGGTCATGAAGCTGATCAGTCAGAAATCTCAGAGGTTTAGACTTGCAGCTGAAGCGGAGCAGTTTTGTGTGACTGAGCCTTCAACCTGTGGGATCTGATGCTATTAATATCCAGGTAGATAGTGTTAAACTTGAATTGGTGAACACGTAGCTGGTGTCTGGTGCCAGAACAATTACTTGCTTAGCGTGTTGGGAGAAACCCCACACATTTGGTCACAGAAGTCCTCTGTGTTGAATGTTGTAGTGTGAGAGTAGAGCAAAAACAATTTGAGTTTTTTCCATACAAGTGTTTATATTGTTTTATGTAATTACATCATTATCTTTACTATTGCTCTTTGTTTTGTGTGTGTATCAATTTGAATTACTGTCTGTGGTCACTTGAGTCCAGCTTGAAGAACTTTATTTGGTATTTATTGTAAGATAGTTCTCCTAGCAACACATTCACTTAGTTTTTAAAAATCTGGGAATGTCTTTATTTTACCTTCATTTTGAAGCTTAGTTTTGCTGGATATAAAGATTCTTTTTGATATTTTTTCTTTCTGCATGTTGAACATGTCATACCACTACTTTCTTGCCTCCTTGTTTTTTGTAAGACCTCAGCCAATAATCTTACTGGAGTTCCTTTGTGTGTGAAGAGTCACTTTTTTCTATTGTTGCCCTAAAACTGTCTTTATCTTTTTTTCTTTTGCTTTCAACAATTTTACTATTTGCTTTCAAGTTTTACTATGATGTGTTTGGGTCTAGATCCCTTTTCATTTATCCTACTGTAAGTTCATTGAGATTCTTGAGTGTACAGGTTAGCATTTTTCAACTAATTTGGAAAGTTTTCAGTCATTATTTCTGCTATTATTTGAATGTGTTTCCTTCAAATTCAGGTATTGCAAATGTGATAATATTAAAAGGTGGGCCCTTTCAGAGTTGATTAGACCTGGAAGAATCATCTCAAATTAATGGGATTGAGGTCCTTATAAAAGGGCCTTTTGGCTCGAGCTTGTCCTTCCTCCCTCTGCCATATGAGGATGCAGCAAGAAGGCCCTCACCAACCAAATACTGATGGCTTGCTCTTGGATTTCCCAGGCTCCAGAGCTGTGAGAAATACATTTCTGTTCTTTATAAACTAACCAGTTTCAGGTAGTAGGTAGCAGCACAAAATGGACAAAGACAATTTCTTTCAATATTTTTTCCCTGATTTATCTCCCTTCTCTCCTTCTGGTCCTCCTGTTATCATGGTTAGTGACAGTGCTCAGAGTAAGTGTAAATAGTGAGAAGTGGGCCATTAAAACAGGATAGTTGGAGAAAGAGACCTATCTAGATCAGCGGCTAGAATACAGTGAATGCTCAATAAATGAATGTTTGCTGACTTGAATTAAATTATCAAGGAGGAGCCCAGTTTTCCTTTACCTTTTTTCATCAATGTGGCTCTTGACACTATTAAGTTCTAGGGATGCTACGGCCAAAATATGGCTATTAAAAATAAGCACATAAAGCAGGTTTTGAGCAAATTAATGACAAGATATTCTAGTTAACACCCTTAAAGTAAATGTGAAGATACATACTTAAATGTAGTCACTTAATGGATTAGAGATGAAAATTCTGCTTGATATACTCTCTTGATTGCTTGAAAGCTATTTAGAAGGTCAATAGATAACCAGTCAAAATCTGATGAAGAGAGCACGTTTTACCATCTTTGTACAGAGCAGATATGTTGTCGTTAAACTGATGAAGAATCTCATTTTCCCTTTGGAGGCCCGGAAGATGGACTCATTAACTTTATTTTTAAGAACCTTTTTTTCCTTTGTAACCTTCAGAGAAATGCCAGCAATTACAGAAAAGGCAAACTCACAGACCAAGTGATCTAAAGACTATTAAGTACTGTGGTCTCAATAACCTTTCGTAGCATAAAATTGATCACAATGTAATATAATACTTTAAATATATTTCATATCATATGAATTTTACTAATAACTTTTAAAATTAAGAAAACTTCACCTGCCTCCTTGCAAAAGGAGAATTTAAAAATATGAAATCACTTACCCACCTACAACTATTTGATCATAATTGAATACACAGAAATACATATATCATTGATCATTTCAAAAAGTCATACAGTAAATACTAAACTGATATTTTAGCATTTATAAAATAAAGTACATTTTTACCAATGAGGTCATTAGAATTTTATGCAATTTTGCTAATGTGGTTTGAATTACTTGTACCACTTTTTGATAAAGCACATGGGAGCAAAATATTTTAAAAATATTTGGCCGGGCGTGGTGGCTCATGCCTGTAATCCCAGCACTTTGGGATGCTGAGGTGGGTGGACCACAAAGTCAAGAGATCGAGACCATCCTGGCTAACATGGTGAAACCTTGTCTCTACTAAAAATACAAAAAAATTAGCCGGGTGTGGTGGTGGGCACCTGTAGTCCCAGCTAGTCAGGAGGCTGAGGCAAGAGAATGGCATGAACCAAGGAGGCAGAGCTTGCAGTGAGCCAAGATTGTGCCACTGTACTCCAGCCTGGGCAACAGAGCAAGACTCCATCTCAAAAAAAAAGAAAAATGTTTATATGCACAGAAGTTTCATCATTAAAATTAGCCCTCTCAGGCCAGCTGTGGTGGCTCACACCTGTAATCTCAGCACTTTGGGAGGCCCAGGCGGGTGGATCACTTGAGGCCAGGAGTCCAAGACCAACCTGACTAACATGGCAAAACCCCATCTCTACTGAAAATACAAAAATTAGCTGGACGTGGTGACAAGTGCCTATAATCCCTGCTACTCTGGAGGCTGAGGCAGGAGAATTGCTTAAACCTGGGAGGTGGAAGTTGCAGTGAGCCAAGATCGCACCACTGCACTCCAGCCTGGGCAACAGAGCGAGACTGCGAAAAAACGAATTAGTTCTTTCTCAAATAATTTTATTTCTTTTCAACATTTTAAAAATTAATAAAAAACAGAACAAAACAGAACAGAGAATGACCAAGAACGTGTTAGTTGAAATAACAATTTGCTGTTAAAAAATACAATTTTATGTTTTGCAACAACAAAGACATTAATGCCTGATGCCATTTTGTAAATTGTCTATTATTCTCCTTGAACTTCATGGGGAAAGAAAAAACTTGATCAAGTTCACACAACTGGATTTTGTGTAGAACAACACTAAAAACTGAATCTCTTATCCTCTGAATTCGCTATTTTTTCCCCAGTGGATTTTATTCTCAACATGATCCCTGAAACTCATTCTAAAACACATGCCTAAAAACTATAAATGCCTTGCTTTGACCTAATGACCCCTCCCTGGCTAATGGATACAATCAAAAACCCGCAACATTGCATGAAGGTCCCTCATCTTCTGGCCTTCCTCTACTTAACCCCATCTCTTGCCTCTTTCCCATTGATATTCCTACTCTCTAGTCACACCAAATTCCTTCCAATTCCCTGCACCTTCATGTATTCTCTTGCCATGATGCATTTTGCTCTCTATGAAAGTAATGCCTTCTTCTCCTACTTTAAGGGTCCTTGTCCTTTGAGGCTCTGTTTAATCAATAGCTTGGAGAAGCTTTTTCCAGCTCCTCAGTTGCAAGATTTGAGCTCCTACAGGCATTGGAAGTGGTTGCTGAATGAATGAATAAATAAACAAGCTCCAATATTGTATCTTCTTTTCATACCATTCACTTAATCATGTGTGTGAGTGTCTGAATGATTCATGCATAACCATCTTTGTAGAAAAAAATCAACAATAATGTTAGCTTGTGCCCGTCTTTGTGTACCAGCAAGTGACTTCACTAGAACGTTCAACTACCTCATTTAATGTGCACAGCTCTCAAATGAGGTTGGCACTCTTACTATGCCCATTTTAAAGACGTGGAAACTGAGGCTTAGAAATGTTGAGTGACTTACCCAAGGTCATGTCTAATGAAGTCACCTCTGGGACCAGCTCTCAAGTCTGACCATTAATTACACTGCTTCTACTTTTAGCAACTTCTCTCACAACCATGTGGCTTTTCTTTCTACCTTGGCTGAAGAATTTGATTAAGCAGGGACTGAATGCAAGGAGAAAGTAGCTGTTTTCAATATCAAAAAGTAGATGATAGATCATAAAAGTCAAATTACAGGAAAGAGGTAGTGATTCATTAAATTATTTTGCAGTTCAATTTGTCAATTCCTCATGTACCTTTCTCTCTTGATAACCACAAGTCTCTGCTACAAGTAACATTAAAGGCAGAGTAACGCATCCCTTCAAAGTTAGTCCCAATTTGTGATGTCATTATGTGATGTTGTGGGCCCATACCAGCACATGACAAAATACTCTGAGCTTCAAATGATCTGCTTGGCTTTAGCCAAAGAGTTGGAAAGAAAAATTACACAATTGTAACCAGAATGTCCTCTTCCTCCCCTGCTCCCCAAACTGGAGCCCTGCTGTTGAATCCCTGGCAGAATGGGTTGCCTGCCAGGTGCTTGTCAAGGTTGCTGAGAGATGATGAAAGAAAAGCATAGAAATATAATCTGATTTTTTTATCTTTTCCCTCTATAACTCATATTTGAATATATGATTTTCTTCCCTCCTCCCCCACACCCTATTTTCTAGACTAATCACAATGACATTTGGAGAACTTTCTGGATGCTTTGTTTGATGTATGTTATGTGATAAACTATGTCCTTCCCCCACCCCCCAAATTCCTATGTTGAAGTCCTAAGCCCAGTATCTCAGAATGTGACTGTCTTTCAAGAGGTCATTAAGGCTAGATGAGCTCATATGGGTGGGCTCCAATCCAATATGACTGGTGTCCTTATTGGAAGAGGAGATTAGGACACACAGCAGGAAGACCATGTGAACACACAGGGAGAAGGCGGCCATCTGCAAGCCAAGGACAGAGGCCTCAGAAGAAACAACTCTGCCGGCACCTTGATCTTCGACTTCCAGCCTCCAGAATTGTGAGAAAATAAATTAAATTTCTGTTCTTTAAGCCCCTTAGTCTGTGGTACTTTGTTTTGGCACCCCTAGCAAACTAAGATGATGTGCAAAAGCAGAAACATTTTCTAGACTTATAGCAGACCTTGGGGAGATTTCTGGATTTTTTTTGATGTATGAAAGCTGAACTATTTTCAAATGGCTAAGTTAGGATATGGGTCTCCCCTGAAAATAATTCTTTTAACCACCTAGGCAAGAAATCCTATTCTTTACAGAAAAATGACAGCCTTGTTCTGTCGTAGAACAGTCAGAACACATCTGGTAAACATGTTTACCTCTGGGCACCACACTTAGGAGAGGTGTAGACAAAGGAATATCTAGATGGTAAAAGAGGTAAAGCCTATGTTTTATTAGTTGAAGGAATTAGGAAGTTTGGTCTAGAAAGGCAATGACTCATGAGGTGGGGATGAGCACTTTTTAAGTATTTAAGTATTTAAGTATTTAAGTATTTATGACTACAACTGCAAAATATTGACAAAGCAATTAAAGAGAAGAATTTTAGTTCAATATAAGAAAAATTTATGAAAGTCAGACATTTCCAAAGATGAAATGACCAACAAGGAAGTAACAAGCTCTTTCTCTTAGGAAGTGGCCAGAGGGTAGTTGACAACTCGTGGTGGGTATTGTAGAAAGGATGTTTTCATCAGGAGAAAAAAACATTCTGATTGGAAAAGTACTTCAAGCAGAGGCAATTCAACACAGAGAATGAGTTAAAAGCCTGTTGCAAAGATGGTGGAGGAGCAAAGCAGGATGGTAAGGTCACTCAAAGTTGAGAAACTCCAGGGTCACCACGCTGAGGGGCTTGAGGACCTAATGGGAAGATGGAGTTGCCCAGCGGGAAGATGGAGTGACCCAGCGGGAAGATGAAGTTGCCCAGTGGGAAGATGGAGTTGCCCAGTGGGAAGATGAAGTTGCCCAGCGGGAAGATGGGGTGGCCCAGCGGGAAGATGAAGCTGCCCAGCGGGAAGATGGAGTGGCCCAGTGGGAACATGGCTCAGCGGGAAGATGGTATGACCCAGCAGGAAGACGGAGTTGCCCAGCGGGAAGAACGGGTTGCCCAGCAGGAAGACGGAGTGACCCAGCGGGAAGATGGAGTGGCCCAGCCGGAAGATGGAGTGGCCCAGTGAGAAGATGGTGTGGCCCAGCGAGAAGATGGGGTTTCCCAGTGGGAAGATGCGGTGGTCCAGCGGGAAGATGGTGTAGCCCAGCGCCCAGGACAGTTCCGCTGGGCCTGAGCTCGGCGCTCTGTGCCCTGCTGGCTCCTGTGGCTGTGACATCACTGCCCAAAGCTGCTACCTCCCCAGCCCAGTGCTGGGTTGACAGTACCAACAGGAAGACAGCTGGCAAAAGAGGTATGTGGTGCATGCGCTGCTGGGCTCTAAGCCTAGCTGAGGACAGAAGAGAGGCTAAGGACTGAGCGAGCCTAGCCACCACTTCAGCCCAGGGTCAGCGGGCAGGGGCGGGGCTCACTGGAAGAATGTATTTTCTTCTGCAGCACTGGAGGTCTTTGAGTCTGTGAACTTGATTTAATACTTTTGCCTCCAATGGGTCAAATCTAACCTTAGTAGTTCCTCTCCTTCCGTCTTGGAGAGAGAAAGGAAAGCCCGGCTTTCCGGGACTGAGACACTTAATGAAGAGGTCATTGCCTCCCACCTCCTGGTGCCGTAGTTTTGCAGAAAGCCGCTCCTACCCGGATTCCGCCTATTTCCTGGACTCAGTCCAGGCCGACTCAAGAAAGGATAAGGGGCAGGACGTGGTGGCTCACGCTTGTAATCCCAGCACTGTGGGAGGCCGATGTGGGCAGATCACGAGGTCAGGAGATCGAGACCATCCTGGCTAACACAGTGAAACCCCGTCTCTATTAAAAATACAAAAAAAATTAGCCGAAGGTGGTGGCACGCGCCTCTAGTCCCAGCTACTCGGGAGGCTGAGGTAGGAGAATCGCTTGAACCCGGGAGGTGGAGGTTGCAGTGAGCCGAGATCGTGCCACTGCACTCCAGCCTGGACTACAGAGCGAGACTCCGTCTCAAAAAAAAAAAAAAAAAGGATAAGAAGGGACGTATTACTATATTACTATAGACCCCTGGGTCTTTCCTTTCCAGTTCCAAATTATTTACTTGTTTCCTCATTTATTTATTTATTTGGTGGTCAAAAGTGCAGCACCTGGAGGATGCTGCCTGTTTCTGAACTGCGGTTCCGGCACTTACCAGCCTTGTGACCTTGGGCACATCAAGTGCCCAAGTTTCCTATCTGTAAAATGGAGTTGCTGATAATAGCATCTACTTCATAAAGCTTGGTTGAGGCCAGGCACGGTGGCTCACACCTGTAATCTCAACACTTTGGGAGGCTGAGACAGGCGGATCACCAGAGGTCAGGAGTTGGAGACCAGCCTGACCAACATGGTGAAACCCCATCTCTACAAAAGTACAAAAAAATTTAGCCAGGCATGAAGGCAGATGCCTATAATCCCAGCTTCTCGGGAGGTTGTGGTGGAAGAATCACTTGAACCTGGGAGGAGGAGGTTGCAGTGAGCCGAGATCGTGCCATTGCACTCCAGCCTGGGCAAGAGAGCGAGACTCTGTCTCAAAATAAATAAATAAATAAATAAATAAATATAAGTAAATAAAGCTTGGTTGAAGATTAAATAAGGTAATACACGTAAAGCCCAATAACTACTACCAATCATTAGTGTCATTACTGGTAGCAGAGGAAAAGCCACCCAGACTGGTAAATCAGCCCTTACAGGGCAGTCTGGGATGGGCTGTGATGGAGTGAGAGGGGCAGGACCGCAGAGAAACATGCCTCTGGGACTGCGGCCTC
The DNA here is from genome assembly GCF_000001405.40 of Homo sapiens. Lineage (NCBI taxonomy): Eukaryota > Metazoa > Chordata > Mammalia > Primates > Hominidae > Homo > Homo sapiens. The sequence continues at coordinate 52,894,814 of NC_000008.11, forward strand.
TAGGAAGCCCTCCCAGAAGCTGGATGCCCACGGGGTTCTGAAGGAAGGGAGTGTATTGGTGCTACCGAGGGCACAGGCATGCACAACAGGCTGCGTGCTCTGAGGGGCTAAGGCGGATTTGGGGAGGAAACAGCCCCTCCCTTTTCTCAGGGTCCCTACCAGATGTGTTGAGGCAGAAAAAAAGCAGGAGGAAAGGGGTGAGTGGCTCCTCTTTAACTGTTGTGGCTGAGGTCCGTTTCCAGTGGCTGTCCATCCTTTTCCGAGAAACCCACTGGCCAAGGATTCTTTCCTGTGGCAGGAGGCCAAACGCTGGCTTTGTTGTGGATGGTACTTGTGAGTTCTTCCAAGACGCGGCAGGGGCCTCTGCTTGCACATTCCTGTGATCTGGATCTACCTTCTCTGCCTCCTTCAACTCCCTGCGTCTCTAAATCCAAAGCTTGGTTCTGAGTTCCAGCTTAGCAGCCACTCCGGGGCGGCTGTGAGTAGCTCCAGCCGGGTAATTTTCCACAGCATCTCCTGGAAGTCTTCGCCATCCAGGAGGTGGGGCTGTAGGTGCCTTCTGGCGACCCCTGCGGTTTTCCTCCAGTCGTCCAGTTTAAACCAGGGGAGGAGAGAAGAGTATTCTATTCTAAATGAGTGCCTCCACACTGTACACGCAATTCTCTTGGAGTCCTCCTGAAGCACCCTCTCACCTCACCACCAGTCCAAAGATAGTGTGTTGACAGTCCACCCTGGGACTGGGGGTGCTGTGGTGCGGGGACAGTTATGGGAAGGCAGATCTTACAGTGCATCCTGGAGAGGGGATCTGGCCACAATGTCTGACTGTTTTCCAGTTTACAATGTGAGGCCATAGTACCTCCTTGTTTCCATATGTGGGTCCTAGTTCAGCAAAAGGGCTGTTCAACATCTTGTTCCACTTTTACTCATCTGATCTTTACATAACTGAATGACCTGTGGTTTGTTGCCAGGTTCCTTGACTTTGATTATGAACAAAAGGACAGTAACAATGTAAATCCTTTGGGCTACCCATTGAGATGGACAGGGACCAGGAGGGTATTCAGGTGGTGCCACATGGGCATTGTCTAACAGTGGGGAGGATGGGCTTTGTCACCAATGCCTCAGGTGAAGCCCTTGCACTCCACTTCCTTCTCTTCATCATCATCACTCATCTGCTTTCCAACTCCATTTTTTCTTCTCTGTGTTTTTTTGCCTTTCTTGCCCCAAACATGGGAGTTACACACTGATTTAGTCTTTGTCATTTACATTTGTGATTCTCATTAAGGCCCATAACTTTAACACCATCATTATGTGGATAGATTCTAAGTACTTTCTTGTAAAGTTAACTTCTGTTCTGAGCTCCATTTCTTTGTAGAATTGAGCTCCTGAAGACTTTTGCCTGTTATTCCCCTTATATCTTGACCTCAATATACAAAGTAAACTTTAAAAATTATTATTGTGAATCTCCACCCATGAAAACATGCCCAAAATAGCATCTTTCCCAAAATATACACTAAGTTCACTGAGGTGTCCATACTTTTCTGCTTCAAAAAATGTTTGTTTAAGTTGGTCTCAGAAATGCTTGCTGTTTTTCTGAGGTTCTGCCTCTCAAGAATCAAGCTGAATTCTGGATTCTCCAAGAAATTCTAGATCTCCCCAATAGAAACAAATCTATTTATTCTCTGTCTTCTATTGTTGGTAGCTGTATTAGAGTACTTATCAGAGTATTGACCCTACTAGGTTCTTAACTGCCAGAGAGCAGGTAACCATTGGTATCTCCAGTAAAGCTTAAAAGAAGATTTTCTACACTTGTTCTGAAATTTAATTTGGCTAATTATAAAACTATGAATAATGAATTGTAATTTATGGAAATATAAACAGACCATGTTGAATATTCACACTTTCTTTGTCCAGATCTATCTCCTTCTATCTCTACTTGAATATTTGGTAGTCTACATAGAATATTTCTTGAAAGTAGACAATAAAATATTTTCAGATTTTTTAACTGAACATTAGCCGAAATAAATTATTCTATTCAATGACACACAGGTTTTTGAATGAATAACTAAATAGGAACAGATAAGAACACCTTAAAGTCCTTTTGCTGCCCAGATACTTTATCTGTTTTGGCTTGGTAATTATAACTTACATAAGTATGCAACATTTCATTTCTTATTTCTCTAGAATTACTCTACCTAGTAGCTTTCAGAGCATGTTAATGATGTATAGACCATTAGATAGCTCACACATCTATAATAAATTTAAATATTTTATATAGACTTAAAATATAACTAAATTGATAAGGATAGATAGGCATCTTAATCTATTTTGTGTTACTATAACAGAATACCTGAAGCTTTGTGACTTATAAAAAGAAGCTTATATGGCTCACAATTTTGGTGTCTGGAAAGACCAAGATTGGGCAGCTGTGTCTGGTGAGGGCCTCATGCTGCTTCCACTCATGGCAGAAAGAGGCAGGGGGGTGGACATGTGCAAAGAGATCACATGGTGAGAGAGAAAGCAAGGTAGAGAAACTGAGGAAGCCAGACTCTTCTTAACAACCCATTCTCAAGGGGCCTAATACATTCATTTCCCAGAAATGAAGCAGTTACTCACCCCCAAGGAAGGGCATTAATCTGTTCATCAATGATCCCCATCCATGAGCCAAACACCTCCTACTAGGCCCCACCTCCCAACATTGCCACATTGGGGATCAAATTTCAACCTGAGTTTTGGCAGGGACAAACCATATCTACACCATAACAAAAGGCTATATTGTGCTGTGGTGACAAATGATCTCCAAATCTCCATGGCTTATCTAAGCTTTATTTATTACTCATCCAAAATCCATTTGGCCTAGGATACCCTCTGAAACCACCATCCCTCAGGTAATAACTCAGTGATCCAGGTTGCTTCAATCTTGTGGCTTTTGTACATCAACACAAACCACCCTCCACGACCCTCCACAGCAGTGGAGGAGAGAGTACAGAGAATTGGGTGTTTCTGCCATAAATCTTTCAGTATGGCTCACTGGCCACAACTGGTCACAGGGTCCCACCTAACTGCAAGGAGACTAGAAAATGTAGTCTTTCAGGTGACTAACTGATTCTGCTCACCAGCTCAGTTTAGGCGAGCATTAGTCATGTCTACCTCAGTTTGCCATTCTGAACACTAAATATTTTGTTTGTTCTTCTTTTCCTATGCAGCACACACCCGCTTTGTCCCCAAGAGGGACAACACAAAGTCCTGTGGTTGCACAGTATTAAACTCAGAGTCTGGGATTGCTAGAAGTTGTGTAGGAGTCTCTACATTCAGTCCACACATGACTGTCTTGGGCTGGACACTTATGATTTAAAAAGAAGTTCTCAGCCCCCTCCCCTAACACACAACAAGTATACAACAGTTGAAGAAGAATAGGATAGATACAATCAACATTCAGGAAAAAAAATGGAAAATAAAGGTCCAGAACTGGTTCTTGCAAAACTAACATTTCCCTGCGAAGACATTGTGCTGGCTTATACCCTCTGCTGATGAGGTCCTGACTCTGCTCTTAGGAGGCTCTCTCAAGACCATTGTCCTCTCTGGGTTAGGCTCTGTTCTCTGAAATGCTCCTTCTCCATTATCCTTTTTGGTTAACTCTGACGTGGACATTGGACATATGCTTTCCTTGGGAACCATGAAGCTTTGTAAAAATGTTGCTTTTTAATAATCACAGTAACAATAATAATGCTCACCATGTGTTTAACGTATTCTTTTCGTAAGACATTAAATAAAATGCCAACTCTCCCCATCATCCACCAAAATTTTCTAAATTACCATTTATTGCATAAAAAAGCAGATGGAACTGGCATTTGAATCATATTTATCTAAACCCCAATTGTGTATTCTTTCCATTACATTTTTGTTTTTTAATGTTATTTTTGAAACCACATTTTTAATATTGATATAATTGTCAAATCACATGCTGTTTGCAGATAAATTCTACATGCTATGAGATTAAGAAGTAATGCAGATAAATTCTACATGCTATGAGATTTCCCCCGATTTGAAGTTGCCTGCAAAACTGTAGAACAATATGTACATAGATATGGCCAAGATATGAACATTTCCATAATCACAAGGCTCCTTTGTGCTCTCTTTTGTGGTCACTCACCCCTACTTTTCTCCTGCCCAAACTGCCTCCTTAACTTCTGGAAACCACTAATCTGTTCTCCATTTCTATAATTTTATCATTTCAAAACCATGATATAATGAAATCATACAGAATGTAACTTGCTGGGATTGGCCTTTTTCATTCAACATGATTCTTTGGAGATTAATCCAAGTTGTTGCACGTATCAATCACTTGTTGTTTTTTGTCACAGAGTTGTATGCATGCTATGAATGCACTGCAGTTTGTTTCGCCTTTCACCCATTGAAGCACATCTGGTTGTTTGCAGTTTTTGGCCAGTATAAATAAAACCATATAAACGTGCATCTACAGGTTTTTGTGTGACTATACATTTCATTTCTCTGGGATGATGCTTAAGGATGCAATTGCTGGGTTGTATGGCTGCTGAATGTTTCACTATAAGAAGCTGCCAAACGGTTTTTCAGAGTGGCTATAGCCATTTTACATTTATACCATTTACTATCCACCAGAAAAGTATGAAAGATCCAGTTTTGTACATCCTCACCAGCGTTTGGTGTTGTCATGATTTTTTATTTTACCATCCTGATAGACATGTAGTTATGTATCACTGGGGTATTAATTTACATTTCCCTAATGGCTGATGATGTTGAACACATGTGCCTATATGCCACCTGTGTATCTTTTTTGGTGAATTATCTTTTCAGGTTTTTTGCGTATTTTATATTTGAATTGTTTGATTTTTCCTGCTGAAATTCAGGAATTTAAAAAAATTATTATTCTACATGCTGGTTCCTTTGTTGGATATGTATTTGCAAATATTTTCTCTCTGTAACTTGTGTTTTCATCATCTTCAAAGATATTTCAGAAATCAAGTTTTTAACTTCGATAAAGTCTAGTTTATCTTTTTTTTTTTTTTAATGGATCATGCTTTTGGTGTCAAGTATAAGAACCCTTTCCCAGACCTTGATCTCGAAGCTTTTCTTCTACTATTTTTTCTAAAGTCACATAGTTTTACATTTTGCAGGTAAGTCGGTGGCCCATTTTGAGTTAAATTTTGTGTAAAATGTAAAACTTAGGTTAAAGTTCTTTTTTTTTTTTTTTGTCCTGTGATGTCCAATTGCTTTAGCACCGTTTGTTTCTAGGCTTCCTTCATGTTGGTTTCATTTATTTGTTATTGTCATCGATGCTGAACTGGACATACCTGCATATTTAACTTTTTGGTGCATTAACTAGGCTTTCTCTTCTTTAATAATTGATTCCTAAAAATATAATATTGAAATAACTATATGAATATTTAATATTTTGAAAAAAATTTAAAATTATGTTTCAAAAAGGATTCACCAATTTATATTTCCACCATTAGCACATGAGGTTTGTATCTACCCACATCCTTAATTACAGAGAAAACTATCAGTTAATTTTTGTCAATTTTATGATTGAGACATTTTTATTTTCAATTTTCTTTTCTCTACTTAATAAAATTGTGCATATTTACCTAAACATATTGATTATTTGTAGTTTTTTCTTTGATTGTGATGATATATTTTATTGATTTTCTTTTTTTCCACCTTTTATTTTGGATTCAGAGGGTACATGCACAGGTTTGTTACATGGGTATATGCTGAGGTTTGAGGTATGGATAATCCTGCCACCCAGGTACTAAGCATGCTATCCAATAGGTAGTTTTTCAGCCCATGTCCCTCTTTCTCTCTCCCCACCTCTAGTGGTCCCCAGTGTCTATTTTTTCCCATCTTTATGTTCATGAGTACCTAATGAGCTCCCACTTATAAGTGAGGACAGTGGTATTGGTTTTCTGTTCCTGTGTTAATTCACTAAGAATAATGACCTTGAACTGTATCCATGTTGCTGCAAAGGACATTATTTCATCCTTTTTTATGGCTGTGTAGTATTCCATGGTGTGTATGTACCACATTTTCTTTACCTAATCAACCACTGATGGGCACTTAGGTTAATTCCATGTCTTTGTTACTGTGAGTAGCCAAGCAGCTTTTCAACTCCCTTTCTGCCCATAGTCAGTTAGGAGACAAGCTCAATTAGCCACATGTTCTTACAGTCCAGACTTGTGGTTTCTTGGTGAAGTGGACCCTGGGAAGCACTGCTCAGACCTCATGTAGAAGTAAAGGACTTATTTTCCCAGCATCCTGGAGTGTTGCTAACAGAGAGTTCTCCACCAGCAAGCTCTTCAGAATGGTCTGACTTGAAGAGAGCTGTTTTACCCAATGTTATGACCTTTCTGGGAAGCCCACATCCATAACTGCCCATCACAAGAGTGTATAGTCCCTGTCCTTTGCTCCAGTTGGTGAAAACCATGATGTATCACCCAGCTACTCATGCCTGGCTGACACCTCCACTGAGGCTGCATCAGAGCCCAACTTCTTTTCTGCTGAGTTCTGCTTCCTTCCCTTCCCTTCCACAGGTGTGTTCCCAGAGCACTCCCTTGAAAACCCCTGCCCACTAATCCCTCTTTCAGAGTCTGTCTCCCAAGGGACCCAACCAGCAGTGCTTAGCAGTGCAACTCCTTTTGAAACCTAGTAGACTTTTGGTCTATTTGATTCTAGTCAGTTCTATTTGTTATTAACCACACCCAAAGGTCTTTGGTTCTTGGATTTGCTGTATTTCATTGCTTCATTGTCTCTCGCAACCCTGCCTCTCATTCCCAACTTGAAGAGGTGTCTTGAGTTGATCTGGAGTCAATGGGAGAGCTACACCTTTGAGTCATTCCATACAATTTAGAATTTAGTAGATCCTATGCCCTTAGTTTGCTCTTTGCACAGAAGAATCTTGATCCACTGTGAGGCTTAACAATAGGTAGGAAGTCATAATCTTATTTTTATTTTTTTAGAGATAGGGTCTCACTCTATCAGTCAGGCTGGAGTGCAGTGCCACAATCACAGCACACTGTGGCCTTGAATTCCTGGGCTCAAGCAATCCTCCCATGTCAGCCTCCCGAGTATCTAGGACTACAGGTTGCACCACCATGTTTGGCTAGTTTTAAATTTTATTTTGTAAGACAGGGTCTTGGTATATTGCTCAGGCTGCTCTATGTTGCTCCTGGCCTCAAGCAATCCTCACACCTCAGCCTCCCAAAGTGCTGGGATTACAGGCATGAGCAACCACACCCAGCGTGGAAGTCATAACTTTAATATTATCCTCTCCCCGAGGCTAACTTGTAGTAGGATTTTTTTTTTTTGAGAGATCCTTAAGGTCCTTTATTAATGGTTTAAAATACTTTACATGCTAATACATTCTTACCCTACAGGGATGACACTTAAATTTTACTGAGCCATGCAATATAGGGTGACTTCAAGGCTGAGGAAGGCTGCTGTTTTCAAAAGGATGCCAAACCTGGGCACATACTCAATTTCTGTATAAGCTATACAGAAATATATGAAATATATATTTTCTATATAATCAGATATATTTTATATATAAGCACATATTTATGAATGGTTGACATATATTTTAATATTTTATATATTTCTCTAGTTAAAAATATATTTCTGGATACTAATATATACTATCTTAAGTATTCAGATAAGCTCTGAAATGATGAAGTTTGTCAGTCATTCATTCCTTTGTAAATTATAATATTGTCACTAAATTTTTCACAGGAAATGAGAGGATGCCTTTATGTGTGTGTTTGTGAGGGTCTGTGGATAAGGATTCATGTGTGTTTTTGTAACCAAAGAGCCACTCTGTTATTTAACAATAGAAGATATTTCTCAATTTGATTTAACATTTATATTTTCCCTAATCTCTTGCTAATTAGAAAATGTGTCTATGCTTTCCAATGCTCCAGTTCAGTACCCTAAACCACAGAATTCCCAAGAGAATTGTTAGAATTCAATGCAAGATGGAGTTTTTCCCAAAAAAGCCAGTGTTTTCTTCAATCTGGATTCAGACAGCAGATGAGGTCAAAGAGGCAACCAATACTTATCTCTGGAATCTCCATCAACCTAATCCATCCATATAAAAAAATGCCTATGCTGAGAATAAACTGCAGGTAAATTCAAGACTCTGATAACTGTGGGCAAAAACATTAGAAATTGAAATAAGGTGAGTTCTACCAACACCTTCCAGTTTTACAGGCAGAAAATGTGGTTTGCTATATAATCTGTATTAAAAACATCTTCCTTCTTCCATTCTGCTGCTTAGAGCCTGAGGGATGCTGGAGCCATGAACTAGAAGGAGCTCACCTCCCAGAAAACTTTGCAGATCAGAGCTCAAATTCTTGCCTTGGATTGTGTACCTCCACATTTTTAGGTGAGCGAAAATTGAACTTTGGATTGTTTGAGCCACAGATATTTAGATTTGCATCACATGGAGAAAAATCTAATTCCAACTGAAACATCATACCACTTGGAGTAAAATCCAAAGCATTACACAGCTCCAGTGATCTGGTTACTAGCGACATACACCCATGAGTTTCCCACTCTGTCTACCCTAAGGCTACCCAGACTAACACTGCTGGCTCAGACCCTTAGACATTTCCTCAGCCTACATTATTTTTTCCCAAGAGAATTGTATGGCTCTTTCTCTCCCTTAATTGAGTTTTCTCTTCAAATATCATTTTTATTAGAATGGCCTTCCCTGATCTATATATTCATATTAACTCTATCCTCCATCTCTTCATTTTCCTGGTTTTTCAGCTTTGTTGTTCTCCTTAATCCTCATCATAATCTAAAATGCTAACTATTCACACACTTATTTGTTCATTTTTTGCCTCTCTCCACTAGTATGTAAGCTCCATGAGTTCAGAGTACCTTTTTACCCACTGCTGTATCTCCACCACCTTGAATAGTGCCTGGCTTATTGTAGTTCAATGAATGAATGAATGAATGTGAAGGCACATCATCTAGACCAAGAGAATACAATAGCTAGTTGATATTATTATGTGCCTGAGAGCCCAAAAATATTGTAAGGTTTATGGTTTTCAAAAGTTAGGAAGCCTTACATAGCAAAAAAAAAAAATTAAAACTGTTCCTTCTTTGCCAGAAAGCTATGGATATTCAATCATATCCTTTTAAACAGTACAGCCAATATGGGAGAAAATTGATGAGTATTAGAAATCCTACAGAAAAAAAATGTTGTTGCTATGAAGTAAATAGCTTCAGCTGTAAGTAGGCAAAAAATATTTTCATGAAAAAACAAACTAGAAATTCAGTATAAATTTAGAAAGCAAACAGTTAAGAAATTTAGTGTAAATTTAGAATTTAATTGTGTAGCATTGCTATAGACTTTTAGAATCTGAGATTTTCAAGCTCAATATTTTTTCTCAGTTTTATCTTCTATTATTTGGGATAAAGAAGCAATGGGCTTTCAACTGTTCAATAATCCAAATTTCCAAAATCTCTTCTTCTACATTACTGCTTACAAATTGGTTATTTCTTTCTGAGCTTCTTTCTTTCTTGTAATTTTTCTGTCATATGTAGTCAAAAGCATTTAATGTACACTATTAAAATTTTATTTTCCAACCTTCTTTCCTAGAGTGACACTTTAATTAGCTACCTAATTTGCCTCTAAAATTATCTCAGTTTTGCTACATGTTTGCCACTCCACAACATAGTATCTTGCCTTCTGACTACTAAGCCATTGACATACACATTTGAGATACTTGTCAGAGCCAGACCCAGCTCTTGCTACCAATATTTTTATCAGTCAAGATAAAGTTGGTTATACTTTGGTACAAGCATGCCAAAATCTTGGTGGCTAAACACAGCAAATATTTGTTTCTCACATACATATAATCTGCTCTGGGTTTCTGGGTGACTCTAAATCAATCCAGTGGGTTAGCTTTCAGGATTTTTAGACATTGGTGTATCTCACCCCACTATGAAGATTCTTCCATGACAACCACAGCAGGGAAGCAGAGAGTACACAAAATTATGCACCTGCTCCTTAGTGCTGCAAGTCAGAAGGGACATACATAACTTAATATTTTTAATCGATCATTGGATAGAACTATGATTTGCCCACATAAGTATGAGAGGACTAGGAAATGTTATTCTCCTGGCCTCCAGGAAGGGAAAGAGAACTGGATATGGTGAGCACCCGACAGAGCAGTGACCAGTGACAATAGTAATGCCTGTCACCAATATCACAGGCATTGGTTTCTGCTTAACTCCACTGTGAACTCAAAAGTTAAATAAAATTTTTCATCTTCTGTAACTGTCACCATTTGATCCAAAATTTAAAAGTAGTTATATATAGCAAAGGAGGTCAATTTGAAACATCTTTGAATCACAGACTATGCCAAATCATCCAGGTTGATTATCATATCACAGGAAAGTGCCTTTGGGTAACAGTTGCATGCTGTATTAGGATCCTAAAATTGAAATCTGTGGGCATTCTAAAAGGGCTATCATGGATACAAATCTTAGTAATTATTTCATCATTATCATCATTTTTTTTTACTATTTTATTCAGAGCAGGAATGTTTAGAAGAATGTTTACAGTTTGGTAATCTTTCCAAATTGTATACATCTGATTGTAGAAATTGGTGGTATAATAATTCAGAAATTATATTTTTGGTACTGGAATGCATGATATTTTTCTGGAGGTACTTTAAAATACATTGTTATATTTTATTTAAGTTGGGTATGAAAATATTTGACAAGATTATTGCCGTCAGAAGAAATATAAAAGGCATTTGCTCCAACTTCACACACATATAGTACACCCGAACTGAACACAGGATAATGAGGCCAGTACTGTCAAGAAACTGTCCAAGGAAATTAAATTGAATGCTGATTATGTACACACTAGAAAATCTTCAAAGAAGATTAAGAAGATGATTACTCTAATGACCACTAATGGAGTATTGTGTGATTTTTGAGTTACTTAACCAGTAATGGGGGTGGATTATCTCTTTTATCTACATTCTCTCATTTTGTTGTTTTAAAATTTATATTCTAACTATCCCTCAAATTATTTGAGGTGGGTAACACAAGCCTGGTGGACTTCCACTTCCAGCAATTGAGATAATATACACATAGTCCTCCTACCATAAATATCTATAAAACTGGATGCCTATTTTTAGGTATCAGACAAAGGCAGTACAAGACTGATCCTTGAGGGAAGAGGAACACTTGAGGGGTGCTCCATCTCTCTGCCAAGGGCAGTGTACCCTTAGCACAGAGGGCAAGTTGAGGCTGAGCCGAGCACAGTGGTGCAGGGAACTGGGAGGCAGAGACCAAGTTCTGGCCCCTGACACAAAGGAGCAGGCCTAACAGATGCCACAAAGGAGGAAGCCACACACAGGGGCCTCGAGACTGTGTTGTCTCTAACAATCTTTCTTCAAACGTCATCTGCAAAATTTGATTTTCCCTATTGGAGTTTAAAACTGTGAGGTCCTGAAATTGGTAAGACTTTATTTCAAAGTTGTAGGTTTCCTCTCCCTCCACCTGCAGAGTAACACTTTAATTACATAAATTAGTCATATCTCTGAAATAGTCTATCAGACACTAGGTGTTCATTCAATTTCCAAAGAAAAGGTCACCTTTTCCTGGGCAATATCCTCCCCTGGACAGAATTTTATAATCATAAATTGCACACTTTTAGAAGCTGTCATTACAATATGCTAAGATTCTTAACTTCTGGTAAAAGTAAGGAATAAAAGTTCTTTTATAAAAAATATTTTATTTTTAAAATGACAGTCATTTCTCTACTCTTCCATCGTATGCTATATTTATCAGAGCTTATCTAGTTATTTTTTCTTTTTGTGCTTTACTCATACATTGTTCTTAGTTTTCAAGTTGCCACTCTATGTTATAAAATACAGGTTCTTGGGATCCCTTCAGGTAGTGAAAGAGACTCTTTGTGAAGGAGCCTGGGAATACACTTCAAACAAGCCCCATAGGGGTATCTCATTATCAATTGAGTGTGGGGAGCTCATGTTACTCAAAGTTGGTTTTGTGTTTAAACATTCACAAAGGTCCCTTTATCCTCCCCAACCTGATCAAACTTGGTGTGTGAACCTGGAAGCTATCTGTCTTTCTATCTATCTATCTATCTATCAATCATCTACCTATCTATCATCTATCACTTTCAGATCAAACCATATTATAAATACTCACATTTAGCTTTATTTGGGTTATTACCTAAAATTTTGTTAGTTGGAGAACTACAATGAAACAGTAAAAACTAGAGAATCTGTATTATTCTCTTGTTTATGATATAAGCTAGTAGCAACTGACCTTAATTTCCAACTTTGAAATCTACACTTAGGAGAGAAAGATCTGCTTTGGTTCATACATTTATTCAAAAAGTAATAATGAAACAACTAATAGCATTGTTCTAAGCCTTATGATTATGACAGTGAACAAAAGAGACAGAAATCCCTGACAGCTTACCCTTTTCATGAAACTTGGCATAGTTTTAAAAAGGAAAAAAAAAAAGAGAGAGAGAGAGAGAATCTTACCATAGAGTTGCCCCACTTTTTTTGGGGGTGGGGTGGGGACGGAGTCTGGCTCTGTCGCCCAGGCTGGAGTGCAGTGGCGCGATTTCGGCTCACGGCAAGCTCCGCCTCCAGGGTTCACACCATTCTCCTGGCTCAGCCTCCCGAGTAGCTGGGACTACAGGCGCCCACCACCACGCCCGGCGAATTTTTTGTATTTTTAGTAGAGATGGGGTTTCATCGTGTTAGCCAGGATGGTCTCGATCTCCTGACCTCGTGATCTGCCCTCCTCGGCCTCCCAAAGTGCTGGGATTACAGGAGTGAGCCACCGCGCCTGGCCGAGTTGCCCCGCTTCTTATGTACTAACTTGTGTAACTCAAAAATAAGAAAAGAATGAGGCCATTTTGCATTAGAAGTGCATTCAGTCAGTTTGCCTCAGAATAATTTTCTATTTTCTTAGGTGAGAAGACTAAGTATAACCTAATAAATAATTCTGGTGAAGATAAATCAAGAGGAACTTGGCTTGCCCTTCATGAAAGAAGCTAAGTGGATTTAAATTAGTTTCCTGAGAGTGAGGGTTGTTAAACACAAAATGAGTGGTTAAAAAAATAGGAAAAACCTTTACTGACAAATGCGTTCAGACATTATGATAATGTTTCAGGCAAAAGCTTGAAACCCTTCCTCCTACAACAGAGTATATGCAATCAAGTATTTTCATGAAAATTTTAGTAAGGCGTATCTCATTTTAGCCTAACGGAATAGCTTTTAAAAAAATATCTACCAACTTATTTCTTTTCCTAACTTTTGATTCACTATATACTTTAAAAACATTTAAAGTTATGTTGACTAAAAATTAAAGTAACAGATCTTAGATGTTAAATTTGTAGAAACTAGTCTCCAAATTAGTTTCAGGCACAGATAAAAGTTACATTTTGCCATTAAAATGTGGGTATTAAAATAACCAGTTGTCTTGTGAATTATGAAGGTTAAAAACTTTTGCAAGCTTCTGCCGCAACCACAGAGATGCACAGATAAACGAAGAGAGAACAAAGCCTTGCTTTAAAACCGTTGGATTTAAATTCTGGATTGGAATTAATGACCACATCAGGGAATTGGGATTGTTTCTTCAGAGAGGAAATCTACAATAAAGGCCATCATTTCTACAGTATCCTCACTAAAATTTCTATAGCAAACATGTGAATTTGGGTGATTAGACAAAAACTAAATATATTGTACTTAATATTTACAAATATATAATGGATATTAATATTGTTATAGACACCTTGTAATGCAGGCATTTGTATAATATGGAAATGGGAGAAAGCCTAAGTTTAAAATAAGGAGAGCTATTGGTACTAGGGAGATAAGCGTGATACTGTGACAAGAAGAAAGAAGATAGAGAAGAAGGCTTATTTCACTCAAATATTTTTGGAATTTGGAACACGTGAACATTTCTACACAGGCAAGGGACATTTGCTTTTTATTGTGTCTTACATTTTTCTATACATATTCTAATTGATGTGCCATAATGAGAACCCAGATACTGAATGAGACGACTTTCTAATGATACTGAAGGATTCTTATCCAACTAAATTCAACATTGAGTACACTGCTCAGACAATGCAGAGTGATAGGAAGAGGAGCCGTTCTCTCAGAAGCACTTCTCCAGGACCTCAGACTTCTCCATAGGTGGGGCTGATAACAAGGCTATGTGTATCAATGTGACTAACTTTTGCATAATAGCAGTAGGGGATTCTAAAAAGGCAAAAAAAGCCTTCTGATTTTATCTCATAACAAACACTTCCAAATCTTTTGTGATGTCATTTATTTAAAGTATGGAAAGATTCCTTTAGGTATATATGATGCTTTAGGGAATAAATTACCCTTTTAAAATCCAATTCATGACGCAAATGTGTTGAACTGAATGTTTTCTAAAAATTTCAAAAGAAAATGTATTTTAGGTTCTGCTGTCAATAATCAGGTAGTATGCATATTTTGTGTAGTTGATAATTCTTTTCTATGGTGCTATCTAATCATGCTATGATTCATAGATAATTTATAATTCTTTAAGTATATGACTTCATTTTTGGAAAAGAGAAAGAGAACTAAGTAAATGTATCTTCTTCATTTACCTTTCAGGAAGGGCCTGAAGAACACTGAGTCTGTGTTTAAAAAAATTTAAAATATAAAAATAAAAATAAATGGTATAAATTTAAAAAATCATGAAGGACACAAACATTGTTTATCTCATTGTAGTAGTCCATAATTTCTTAATGATGGCTATTACTTTATGCCTGATTAATGAAAATATACAAAATACTTATGACTTTTGCAATTTAAAGAGGAAAAATACAATTGTTTAGATAACGAGACTATGGAACAACTTTATACATATCAGTCTGTTGACTATTAGGGCACTAATAAGTTATTATCATTGTGACTTTGGAAAGTAGAATGGAAATTAGTAGAAAGATGCAGGGAAATAGTGAAGGAGTGAAAGCCATGCCATCCAAATATATGCAAGATTGATATACTATTTTGGGTTGGAAACATTGGAGAAATTGTAGTTTCAGAAAGTGTGAGCTGACCCTGTCTCTTCCTGCATCCAGTAAGTCATAAAGATTCGTCTAGGAGGGATGCCCTCCCCATACAAGGGCAAAAAAACAGCACTTATCACCAGAGACTGGGAATTGGAGGCTGCAATGGATCTGAATAAATTCACTTAATGAAGTACACTTTATCTTCTACTAGTTTTATACCCTCCCAAATATTTCCTAGTGACTCCCCTAGAAATTTACTGCTTCTAGCCAGTCCCCTTTTGTCCTTTCATTTCTTCTCAAATTTATTATTTGTTTCAACGATACAAAAGCATTTTCCTTTGTCCACTTCTTTGGACTTCACTCTCTTGTGAAGATTCCCTTATATGTGGAAAACTAATTAAATTTGTACGCTTTTCTCTTGTTTATCTCTGTGGAGTCAATTCTAGATCCAAATGAGGAGCCCAGGGTTGGAGGTGATCCCTGGCTCCCCTGCAATAGAGAATATAACATATCTGAAAACTCTTCTTCAGCTCATCTTCAAAACTAGTCTGCAACATTAATGTTAAGGTAAGGGTTCTAATTATTGTCTTCTTCTTTTCCAGTACAAATAGTAAGACTGGCTCAGAATCTAACTCTTTGTGTAGAATTCTTATTGACTGTCATGAACATGGTCTAGTTTTGGCTAAGCACAAATATTCACAGTATTTAATATGTTACTTAGCATTAGCTATATTGCTTAGACACCTTTGAATTCATTTGAGAATTGCATAAATTACCTCTATATTAGGCTGCCGGTGGTAACTTAGTTAAGGGTCAAATAATTATAATTTCTTTTTGGAATCAGTTTTTATCATTTATGACTCTCACCTCTCTCACAAAACAAGGATCTTCCTTTAAGAACCCCAAATTGAAAACCAAATATCTGAGAATAATTTGTGTAACAAGCTAAGTAACTCTAAACAGGGACACCCCTGCCTAGGTACCTTAGGTAATGATCATAAACATGAGATTCTTTCCCTGATCCCTGCAAAACATACCTCCAGCCCCAGATCAACTGGGAAATATTACAATGACTTGGCTACTAAACAGTATTAGTTGGTTGGATATCCCTAGATTCAAGCGTACATGGGTCCCTCAAAGATTTCTTTAACCTGGAACTTAACACAAAAAGAATGATGTGATGGCAGAATAAAAAAAATCTTAGGGGTCAAATCTACTGATGGTTTACTTTACAGTTTCTGCCATAGAAAGATGTGGCCAGTCCCATTACTGCCAAAATCTTCACATATTTTATTCTAATTTCTTTATGATTTTGGTGTTTATATTTACTTATTAATATATCTTTTTACCTTTTATAACATATTTATTGAGGTTATAATGAGAAATAACACCATTTAGACATTTCAGGTTTTAATCTTCTTGGTTACACACATAAATACAACTTAAAGGGTATAGATTACTGGATCACAAATGTTTTTCTTAGTGTTTTTTAGACTGTGATGCATTTTCTTCTTGAATTTAGCATTGATGAAAATGATGCCATCAACCTGATTATTGCATCTCTTTCATCGCCTGAATGCATGATTTTTTCTTATATATTTGAAATGACAATAAAAGAGAATCAGGGTAGGTCTAGATGTTGGTCTCATTCTTTGATTTTGCTTTGTGCATAGTGAGAACTGTTGGTCTGGAAATTCAGATATTTTGACTTTGACAATTGCTTCTGTAATCTATCGGGAATTGTATAGTAGGTAGTATGAGGTAAGGATGTAGCCATTTTGAGGGAATTATTTGAGGAGGATCAAAACAACATATGGCAAACACTATTCATGTTTTCTAATGATAAAGTTGGGCATAAGCACATAAGGGGTATATATTTACCAATGATAAGTGTAAGCAAATAAGCATCATCTATGATGATTCCGAACGTGGTCTTATATTGCCGTCAATATATCTTTATTAAAGTCATCTTTGGCCACAGGTCTTTAATAGTCAAGGTCTTTGTTTTATTTCTGCTTTGAAACTTACATATTTTACTTTTATTCAGGGGCTCTCTGACTTCTTTTGTACCAGCTCAGTATTGAGATGAAGTATTTCCTATGGTAAACTACTGGCGATTATTGCTGTACTTCCTATTTCATTAACTTAAAAATATTAATTGAGTTCCTAACATATGTTCCTAAGAGGGTGTGGTACCTGCTCTGAAGGAATTTACAATTTGATCAAAAAGCCAGACAAGTAAACAAATTACATTACATATAGTAGTGCCATCAAAGGCATCTTAGAAGAAATACAATAGGAGAGGGATCTGGACCACTTCCTGCTAGATCAGAAACATCTTTGGCCCTACAAATTTATGTGTTATACTGCCCAATTGGTTCGTTCATTCATTCATTCATTCATTCGTGTTGCATATGGTTTTCGGGCAATGTCATTGAAAGCAAGCACAATAAGAAACACTGGGCATTTTCCTCATGTTGCACATCTTCCTTACCTTTCTTCTAATTTGTATTTCAAATGTTATTTTGCTATTTTAAACTATTTTGGTATTTTTCTGTCTCAGTTTGGGAAAAGTAGAGAATTAGCATAATGATTTAGGTACATCAAACAAAATATTTTTATATATGTTTTTCAAATATTTCAACCTGGAATTTGCAGAAGAATTATCTTAATTGTGTGTACAATTTCAAGGCAAAAGGAGTTATAAGCAAACATTAAAAAGGCAGGAAAATCTAAGAGATTATTTTGCTATTAATTTTCTCAATTAAATTTTGAATGGCTACACTTCATGGGGCTCTTGAAATTCCTATAGCATAAAAGTAACAGAGAAACACCGTGCAGAGTCTTCTGTTTATCCCTCCAGTCCCTCACTCCTTCTCCCTCCTGCACCAGCCTGCCTGGGTCCAGCTGACTCACCTCTATGGGCTGCACCCACACCCTCCCTTGCTCTCTGGCTTCCCACTAGGTTAGGCCAATGGACACCCCACAGGAGGTCAGAGGGCAGGAAGGGATTGAGTGGTGTTTCCTGTGGCTCCTTCCTGTGAACCTGTGGAGTGAGGAGATCCAGTCACATCCTCCTACCAAGCTTTTGGTCCTGCCATGTTATCTAGACCACACAGTTCCAGAAATTGCTCCCTTGTTTCATTCTTTCAGGCACATGGAGGTTAATGCCTCTTCCTCCTCCACTGTGGCTCCTCCATAAGGACCCCAAACTGAAAACAAGATATCTGAGAATATTTTGTGTAACAAGCAAAATAACCTCTAGTAGGGACATCCCTGTGTAGGAATCTCAGAGAATCATCATAAACATGAGGTTCCAGAGTACACTTTTTCTTATTTCTACTCATTTCCCTAAGCATTACTCATACTTTTCATAGTCTTCTACTAAGACTTTGCAAATTCCCCAAATCCAGTGTGCTATTGGATTACCAATGGGACTGAAACATACT
Source organism: Homo sapiens (assembly GCF_000001405.40). NCBI lineage: Eukaryota > Metazoa > Chordata > Mammalia > Primates > Hominidae > Homo > Homo sapiens. The sequence goes on from NC_000008.11 coordinate 52,913,348, forward strand.
CTAAATTGTATTTCAATGAAAAACCCATGAATGGAGACTGTCTAAAGTATAACTTGGGCAAACTGGAAGTTTAAACAGATATATTTCTTCATTTTAAAAGATGTCAAGTTAAAAGAACAGAATAATTATAAGGGAGAAATTATATTTCCTTATAATTTGATCTCATTATAAAGTAGTGTACAAGAGTTTATATTTTGACTTCACGTTAATTTGAAATAAGCATTAATTATTTAGAAGCTTCACTAGGAAGATTATAAAATATGAATGTAAAACATTATATCATGCTGTACTAGCTTTGGTAACTACAACTCATCCATATCAGAATGTCTAGCACTCAGTAAATACTTATTAAATGAATGAATTGCCCATAATGCAAAAGTGTATGTTATAACTTAAGTGAATGTATTTACAAAAGAAAAAATCTTCAGAGAATTAAATTTCATCAGATAAGGAAAAATAAACAGGATTTAAAAAAATAGACCATCTTACACTTGGAAATTTTCAGAGTTATATATCTGGACTGAGAAGTGAAAAGAAATTGGACAGCTTAGTTGGGAAAGAGGTTGTTAGAGAATCGCCTCCTAGTTTTCGATGATAGTCATTCTGATGGTTTATTGCAAATGGACTTGAAGCAATCTGGATACAAGAGGGTAGTACATTACTGACATTTTAAGTGCTATCAAGAATTGACATTTCAAGCAATGTTTTAGTTGGTAAGCAGAAATGTTAGTAGTCTGGAAAGACGTTAGGCAATTGGCCAGTTTTATTGACTCTAATTCCATGGCTTTATTATATGGTCAGTATTTTTTTAATTCCAAGAATTTCCCCTTGTGTACATATTTATAAGGCTCCCTGGATAACATGTTTTGTTCCCTAGTCTTCTATGGCAATAACCTAGGAGAGCTGCCATTTGTAGGAGTAAGAAGGAGCCAGGGCTCAGGCACCAAATGGCTGAGTCTTGAACTCTGTCTTCTCTGCTTACAACTTTGTGACCTTAAACAGGTGACTGACTTTTGCATGCCTTAGTTTCCTCATCTGGAGGATGGGGATGATGATAACAACACCAATCTGAGAATTAGATGAGTTGAGACTCCACAAGCATTCAACAAATGTAGATTATCTTTCCCAGAAGTGCTATTTCTGCTGGTCATCTCTAAGCATGCCCAGTTTCTATCAGAGTATAATTAAAGACATGAAATGAAAACATTCCATGAATTCAACAGGCAAAACATGTAATATTTCTTGACAATTTCTTTAACATGAGCTAGTCTTGAAACAAGTCAAACTTTAGAAAAAAAAAAATCTCACATGCTACCTTGACTCAGTTGCTCTGGAATGACTATAATTTGAGAGTGAGATGCTAGGAGCCATCAAATCAAATGATGTTTTCCTGTCCATACCATAAACAATGCTTTGGCTTTTCAGTGCACTCTTGCATACTTCTAGCACAGTGTTGTTTTATGGCAACAGGCTGTGGTGCCCAAATCTTCACATCTGGTAGCCAGATCTTGTGTGCATGACCCCATCTTTGATCCCCAGAACCTGTGTAGCCTTTTGGAAGGGGAAGGTCATCTGAGGAGAACCTACTCAGGGAGCACAGCAGCAGAACTCCCTCAAATCACAGCAAAGGGGGGAGTGTTGCTTAGAGATGGCACAATCTGAGCAGTAAATTACCACACAGATGCCATGGTTATTATGTCAACTTATTATACCTTTTCCACTTCTCAGCATTGTATTCTAAGTACCTAAATAAGAACCTCCATGAATTATCAATATTATCTCTGTGTCACTCACATAGGGCCATAAAAGAAAGCAGATAAATGATAATAGCCTTTAGTCTTCTATTAAAGTTCTGTGACCTTTAAGTTACAGAAACTTGGGTTGTACATAAATTATCTGCAAGCCAAGCTGACATGGTGATAGAGTTAAGCTGTAAAAATGGCCAACCTCACAAGTGACTCAGTTGGCCAAGAATGATGATGGACAAACCGTGAATAATGATGCATATCCAGGACCACTTCTAAGCATATAGATCACAGGCAGCACAAAAATGCTTTGACTGAGGATCCATCAGAGGCATCTTTGCTTCCAAATACTGTATTTTTCCACTAGCCAGCCCAGTAACTGAAAACCTAGAGGCTTTCCTTGGGTTGAAACATCTTTGAAATACTTTAAACAACAAACATTACCTGAGAGGGTTCTTCATTAACTCAGTAGCATCCTTTGATTCATTTATTGATTCATTCATTAAACATTTATTAAGCTTGTACTGTGCACTTGGCAGTGAAAATAGAAATGAAGGCTACACTCACCTCTTTCAGTCAGCACCCAGTCTAGCTGGAAACATGGAGGGGTTAAAAACATGTCTTGGGGAAAAAGGCTGTGGAGAAGAGATTCAAGTGTCATGAGGACCCGGAGGTGGAGTGCCTACACCTGTAAGGAGTTAAGGTATGGCTGATGGTATATGAATTCTATCTTATAAGTAACATAATTCAGTGTGAAGATTTTAATTGGGAAATGATATCATCAGATTTGGGTGTGAGAGCTAATACTGAGGCAGCAATATAAAGTAGTGAATGGGGACAACAGGCTGGGGAAGTGGAAATATGGAAATTAAGAAAGCTATTGCAATGCTCTAGGCAAGACATGATAAAAACATGAACTCGGCTGGTTTAGTGGGAAGTTAAAGGAGGTTTTGGATTCAAGAGTTTATTTAGGAGTCAGGATCAGCAGTAGTTCTGATTGGAACTTTGGGTATGAGAGGTTTCTGGCCAGGATGACTGCATATCTCTGTTGGTGCTGTTCATAAAGAGAATATGATAATCAGGTTTGAGGGATGGGGAAAGTGATGAGTTTGCTGTGGAAAGCTGGGTGAGAGCCGCCAGTGGATATGGAAAAGAAGGTGGCCAGTAGGCACGAGGGCACAGACGCAGGGACTTAGCAGGAATGAGCTGGGCTGAGTGGCAGACTTGAGTGCTGTGTCACCAGCACAGAGAGGTGGTTGGGGCTGGGAGTATGAAGTCCATTTCCTTTTAACTGTTACATTACCAAACATCTGACAGAATCTGGATAGCAAATAAACACACACTACAAATGCAATCACAAACAACCATGTACGTACACAAAAAGCATCATATTATGAAAACATGAACACACTGTGTTTTAGTGTTAACTTATGGGAAATTATTATCTTCTATTTAAAATGTAATAGCTTCCAAAGAAGTAAAAATGAAGATTTGGGGAAAGAGTATGAAAGTATTCTCCGGTGTTTAGCAAAGGTGTTTTCTCATGACTTCGTTATTGACAACTAGGGCTTTTGGAGTTTAATGGCATATTATGAAGCTCCATATTTTGTTCACTGCTAACTGTTATAGGTGATTCTAACTTAATTACCTCTTTAAAAATTGCTATAGGTTCAGGTTCTTTCACATCCTCAGCAGCTGAGAGGATCAGGACTTCTTACAGAAACAGCCACTTGCACTTCAAGGCTATGTGTGTGATTCCATGGTTCATTGATAATGTGCCATTTTTCTTCCTGAAAAAAGTTTTGTCTCCTAGGGCTCCACTGGGATATGTTAAAAAGGCACAAGTGCTATATTACAGAGTATTGGAAATGCAGAAATTACAGGGTTTGGCTTTTAGTTATCTGAGTGTGTTTCTGTTTCTTTTCTTTTATTTATTTATTTATTTATTTATTTATTTATTTATTTATTTATTTATTTTTTAGATGGAGTTTCACTCTGTCACCCAGGCTGGAGTGCAGTGATCTCGGCTCACTGCAACCTCCACCTCCTGGGTTTAAGCGATTCTCCCGCCTCAGCCTCCTGACTAGCTGGGACTACAGGTGCCTGCCACCACACCTGGCTAATTTTTGTATTTTTAGTAGAGTCAGGGTTTCACCATCTTGGCCAGGATGGTCTCGAACTCCTGACTTCAGGTTATCTACCCACCTTGACCTCCCAAGCTACTGGGATTACAGGCGTGAGCCACCACACCTGTGTATGTTTCTGGAGCATAACTCTGAAGCAAAATATACAACTGTGATGCCCTGAGAAGAGAATGTTGTGTTAATTGTAAAGTTCAGTCATCACAACTTAGTTGGCTATGTCAAGACCTTGATGAAATACAAAAGAAAAATGTAATTTTAAAGGCACAATCCAATCAGAAAATAAAATTTATAAAAATATTTTTTGGGCCTGGCATGGTGGCTCACGCCTGTAATCCCAGCAGTTTGGGAGACTGAGATGGGCGGATCACGAGGTCAGGAGATAGAGACCATCCTGGCTAACACGGTGAAACCCCGTCTGTACTAAAAAAATAGAAAAAATTAGCCAGGCGTGGTGGCGGGCGCCTGTAGTCCCAGCTACTCGGGAGGCTGAAACAGGAGAATGGCGTGAACCCGGGAGGTGGAGTTTGCAGTGAGGCGAGATTGCGCCACTGCACTCCAACTTGGGCGACAGAGTGAGACTCCGTCTCAAAAAAAAAAAAAAAAAAAAAAAAAAATTTGGACTACATTCCTTACTTCCATGATTTTATGAAGGCTCACCAAGTGAGAATTTGAGATGAATTATTTACATTGATAATATTACTGATAGAGATAGAAATGTGTTCTTTCTTGTTTTCACTGTGAAGACACAGAATTTCATACAATTCCAAGAATAACTGTATGAAAGTGCCTTTTGGGATGCATCCTTGGTTTTTGGATTTAAATTGACCTCTGTTGGTTGCTGTTGTTAGTGCTTTCACCCTTGTGAAAATATCTTCATATATAAGAACCACATAGTCAAAGACAGTTGGAGGAACTAAAATGAAATTATTCCAGTTGAAATATTATTGAGAAATAAAATCATAGGATAAGAGAAACATTAAAAACAATGTCTAAAATCATTGTGTCAAAATCTGAAATTCACTCTCCCACATCCTTATTCATAAATTTATGGCTAAAATTTTAAAAACCCAGAAGTTAAAAATTAGAGGCCATATCAATGAAGAGTTGATCATTACATGTACATGTTTATTTGGTTCTATATTATAAATGTGCTGAGCAAAATAGTGTCAAGAAATACTATGAAATCACACATTTATTTATTCAACAGATATTTATTAAGGGCCTATTCCAGGTACTCTTCTGGATTCGATGTACAAGTCTCTTCCCTCTGGCAGATCTAATGGGTCAGGTAGATAATAAGCATGCAAACAACAAAATATTGTGTAATATCAGCTGGGGCTGTGAAGGGAACCAGAGCAGGATAAGGGGAGAGAGAGATGTAGAAAGGTGTCACTGTAGATCGAGTGTTCAGAGAAGGCTTCTTTCAGAAGGCAGCATTGAAGACAACCCTGAATAAAATGAGGCAGCCATTCCCTAGAAGAATTTGGGAAGAGCATGACAGGGATAGAAAATACCCACTGCAAATACTAAGAAGGATTGAGCTTTGGTGTGAAGTCAGTGAAGAGGGTGATAGGAGATGAAATTGCAGAGAGGGAGTGGCCAGACCACAGCAGGTCTTGCTAGCCTGCAAGAGGAATTTACATTTTATTCTCGTTGTAAAGGAAGACTGCAGAAGCTTCTGAGCAGGGAGGACTCCAAATGATTTATTTTGTAAAGGATTACACCAGCTGCTGTGAGATGCAGGCTTTGGAGCAGTGGTTCTCAAGAGTGTTCTTCGGAGCAGTGGGTGATTTTGTCTCCCAGGAGACATTCAGTACTAACATGTATTAACTAGAAAAACTATTAAACAACTAAAAGAGGGTTTAAAAAAAAAGACTCTAAGGAATGCAGAAATAGCAACTGAAGGAAACAGGCCTAAGACAGAGTAAACCAGGAATAAATAAACAGCTTGGAAGAGGGCCCTCCCCAAGGCTGAATGTGACCTCATCAGAGAGGCAGTGGCTGCCAGGAGCACCTGCCACGCCTGGAGGGAGGAAACTTCTTCCCGCAGACATAGGTTGCAGCTCCACAGTTAGTAAAGTGCTGGTGGCAGAGAAACTCAGTGAATGTGGCAGCCACACCATAGGAAAAAAGCCTACTGGAATCAAGAAGAGAAGCAACTTCATTTTGCTTTGACAAAGTCTAACACTGTGCCAGCTGGCAAAAGAGAAATATTTATAGGATCTAACTACAGTATTGCAACACTGGGCAGAGAAGGAGGGATTTGGTGCTGACAGGCAATGAAATGACAACTTGTATCATGCACCCCTTTTCAGGTTCCATATGCACACTTCCTCAGGCATTTAGACTCCCATAGGACAATTAAACACCTTTACCTTTTCACCTAACAAGATGCGGCTATTGTTCCTACAAGTGAAGACATTCTTACCCTTTCCTCCAAATGAGGAGACATACAGTCCCAATAGTCACTGCAACTGTCACAGAACATATTAGTTACTCCTCAAATTTAGTCATCTTCCACTGAGAACCCTCTACCCAAAGACTAACTTAAAAAGTTAACTTCCAGTGAGGATGAATCTTTACTTCCTCCATGTTGAGCCTCCTGTGTAATCAACCTGCAACTAGGTAGCTGGCTGTACCTCTAAAAGAATGATTCCATATTTGGGGCTAAAACATTTCTCTCTGCTGTTGGCTGATTAGAGACTCAGCAGTAGCAGCATCCAGGTCAGCCTTGATAAAGAGAAATCCATGTTGTTGAACCCATGATAGCCTCCATTCCTGTCACCATGGACATTTTGCTCTTGGGTTCATAAGTACCGTGGTGCTGGTGAAAGAGGCTGGCCAGCATCCATAGAAGTCATCATTTTTCCACCTGATTATTGAGATCCTCCATTGCAGAGAATGCTCTTTGATGAGTATTCATATGAGACATTGTGGTAGGCAGTCTGCCTGATGATGCCTGGTTCCCGACATTCATGCTCTTGTGTAATTCCCTCCCCCAAGTGTGTGCTGAACCTAGTGTCTTGCTTCCGGGAAATAAAATATAGCAGAAGTGATGGTGTGTCCCTTCAGAGATTAGTTTCTAAAAGACCATGACTTTTCTCTTACTGGTATTCTCTCTCTGGTTCTGTTTGCATACTTGTCCTGATAGAGAGGGAGGGCTATCTGCCAAGGAATCAAAGGTGACCTCTGGTTTACAGCAAGTGAGGAATTAAGGTCTTCAGATTCAGAAATGGAATCTTTGCCAAAACCATGTGAGTGGGCCTGGAAGTGGCTCTTTTCCCTCAAGACTTCACTAGAGATTGCAGACCTCGTTGATGCGTTAACTGCAATCTTATGAGACCATGAAGCAAAGGGGCCAGCTAAGCCATTATTGGATTGTTGTTTTAAGCCACTAAGTTTTTTTGGGGGTAAATATACAGCATAGATAACTAATACAGACACAAATATCTTCACAATCTATGTCCATTTTGAGAGACCTATCTATGTAACTCTTTCCCAAACTTCACTGTCACCAGTCTTCCAATCCTGTCCTTTGCACATCGCTTACCATTCAGCCAATCCTTTAGCTTTTGCCCATGAATTGATGTACAGTAATATTTCTGGCCACATGTCAGTCTGGTCAAGGCAGACCTATCTTGTTTCAAATAACATGAGAGATGTCTGAGAAATCAAATAATTAGGATTCAATTTTATTATAATTTTTGAGGGCTTTTTGAATGTGTTGTATGTTTTAAGATGTAAACTCAGTCACTTCCTCTTTAAAATGCTTACATATTCTAGGGTCAGAAATCTTATTCTCTGCCACTAGAAAGATGGTCATGATTTTTATACCATCAGCAAATAATCTGATTTCTGGGATATATCATTAATGTCACCAAGGGTTGATCTTTAATAGGCTACTTTATCTATTCCCATACCTTTTGATGCTCTTTATAGGAAAAGATATTCAAAATCTTTATTGTCTCTTCTGGGATCTCTTCTAATCTCTGGAATTAAATTTCCAATTTTCTCTTGAAATTTTCACCAGGAACGTCTTCATCACAAATATAATGAGTCTAAAATAATTCTTCACCTCTATCTTCTACAGACTACTCCTTTCATCTTCCAGCTTTTTCTGGCCAAATTTTTCATTTTCCTTTTTTTCTATCATCTGTAAATGGTATCATCCTTCTTCTAGTCTTGTAGACAAGAAATGTCAAAATTTCTCTTTTCCCAGACAACCATATGCTTTTGTGTCTTCATCTTTTTGCACATATATTGTCTGAATAGAACTGTCCTTATCCTCATTTTCTATATCCTTCAGGAACTAGCTACAGTGCCACATCCTCAATGACATCTTCCCTGATTTCTCCCAATTGACAAGAACAGTTCCTTTTAATGGACTGCCACAAGACTTTGCCTGAATGCTGCTTTGCCTTTATCACAGCATTTTATCTGGGATGGAATTTTTCTAAAGTGTGTTCTGAAGAAGACTAGTCCCTTGGAAGCATTCACATAGAGAAGTGTTCTTAGGACATATTAAGTCTAAAGAATTTTGTCTACTGCTCTTTGTCTTGGAGTTTCCTGATTTACATGAGCATACTGAAGATTCTAAAAGGATATGCAATAAAGAAAGTTATTTATCTTTAATCATTTTCACTTATTGTCTACCATTATCTTTCAGAGCTCCTTTGCCATATACAGTATCTGCTTTCTTATTGTTGTATTTCTTGGTACTCTACACATTATCTTATGCATTATAGTTACTTGATGATTGTTGACTGTGATGCATCTCCCTCCACACTCTGAGCTGGATGAATCTCAGACAACATTTTGGTAATATTTTCTTGTAGGCAATTCTGCTAGAACTTTAACCAGGCCATCGGGAACTAAAGGAAATGAATTATTAAACTACTACTGACTGAGAAATTAGAACTGCTTGAGGCAACTATTAGTGGAAGAAGTGAGGAAGATGAATACATGACACCACGGGAATTTAAATGGAACATTTATAAACTTTTGGAAGTATTACCACTGGCTTGATGAAAGAAGACATAAAAATGATAAGAAACCCAATATTCAAATGAAATATCAGAGCATTAGTTCTAGTGAATAAAGTACTGATGAGTCAGCCCAGTCAGAGAAGCATCCAGCCTCTTCTAGGCGGTCTATTCATTAACCAACTTTTAATAAGGTGCAGTTTGCCATGACGTGGTTGACTGTTGCGTAGTCCATGTAGGTACTATATTTGAAGAATTTAAATCTATTGTTACATGACTCCCTGTGCTCCTGGCCTGCCTTCTAAGATGGTAAAGAGGAATCCGTTTTCTCCTAGGCTTTTATTAATAAACTCAGTGGCCACGTTGCTGTGATCATTTTTCCCTTTAGCGCTGCCTTCAGAAGTACAATGTGCAGAAATTGGAAAGTGCTGTCATCCTTTTAGTGTCATCAAAAACATTTCATTTTTAAACAGTAATAACCAAGCTGCTCTAAGTGGCTTTGTCCCGAAAAAAATGAACTCAGATAAATGTTGCAGCTTATTTTATTATGTGAAATGCCTTCTGAAGAACATCTGTGTAAACAGAACCACATCATGCACACACTTCTGCCCTGTCACTTGGGCCCGGCAGTACCTTTATTGTCCATTACTCAGTCGTAATGATGCTCCTGGCACAAAGGGTTCCAATATGAAGATATATTTTGTGGTATTTTGACCAATTTGTATTCATCATCTTATCTTTCTAAGCTATAAAGACGAACTGATATCAGAGTGGCTTATTTAATCCTGTTTTAGCCTCCAACTTAAATTCTCTAAGTGAAAATGATTTATTAACATAGAAAAAATAACAGCTGACTATGTGGGACTAATCCTTCAGAAACAGCAAAAGCAGAAAATGATTCATAGGGGCTGGAAAAGGTCATTTCCTTACAATTGAGAAGTTCTTTCATCTTGAGGCTATTGGTTGGAGGTGCTACTAAGTTTAAACCTTGTAATGAACATAGGAGATCAACAATCAATAGAATGATACATTTCTTAAGGAAAATGTTTAACTTAAGATTGACTGGCTACTTATCAAACCTCTCTTTCCTTTGGCTCTTATGAAAGAAATGGATTAGACCCTAATTACAATTGCAAAAATCACATAAATATCTTTTATATTTGAATCTGAATGTTGGCTTGGCACTGAAATTGCATATAATAAAGCAATTAGTGGGATTTAGCTTTGACGATTCTTGACTGATGAATACATTTAAAACATTTTACTTGGAATTCATTCTGTGGCTTACAATTCCAGTATTGTAAAATCAGTGAAATCATGACAACATAAATGGTATGGACTGTCTTCTAATATATCTAAATATAAGTTCACTATGCTTCATAGCAACTCATTAACTAAACACATTTACAGATTTCTGGGAAGGGCTTCCAATTTCTTTTTCTTTTTAATAGACTTTCACTTTTTAGACCATTTTTAGGTTTACAGAAAAACTGAGCACAAAATACAGAGAATTCCCATCTTGTCCCTGCAATCACTTACCTTCACACACACAGTTTGTCCTACCATTAGCATCTTTAATTAATGTCTTACATTTGTTACAATTGATGAACCAATATTGATATATTATTAATAACTAAAGCCCCTAGTTTATACAAGGGTTCAATTTTTTGTGTCATACAATTGTACAGGTTTTGACAAATACATACCATCAAGTATCCACAGTTACAGAACTATGCAGAATAGTTTTGCTGCCCTAAAAATCTCCTGTGCATTACTTATTCATCCCTCCTTGTTCCCCATCTCCTGCTCCCTCAAACTTTGGGAATCACTGATCTTCTTTATTTTGCCTTTCCAGAATGTCATATCGTTGGAACCATACAGGATGGAGCTTTTTCTGACTAAATTCCTTCACTGAGCAATATACACTTCAGTTTCCTCCATGTCTCTTCATGGTATGATATCTTCTTTCTATCACTGAATAATATTCCATTGTATGAATATATCACAGTTTGTTTATCCAGACACCTACTGAAGAACATCTTGGTTGCTGCCACCTTTTGGCAATTCTGCATAAAGCTGCTATAAACATTCACATGCAGGTTCTTGTGTGGGCATAAATTTTTAAGTGATTTGTCTAAATATCTAGGAGCACATTTACTAGATGGCATTATAAGACTATATTTAGATTTGTAAGAAATGGCCACATTGTCTTCCAAAGTGGCTGTATCACATTGTATTCTCACTAGCAATGAATGAGAGTTCTTGTCCACCAACATTTGGTGTTGTCAGGGTTTTGTATTAGGTATGTGGCTGTATCTCATTATTACCTATCTTACAACTTTCTAAAGATAGAGAGCTTTGACCATTTTCCATAAGCTTATTTGCCATCTGTATATCTTCTTTGGTATTTCTTCTTCTGTATATCTACTGTGTCCATTAGAGCCTATTGAATATATGTGCTCCTGTCCCAAATTTATATGTGGAATCTCTAATCCCCAGTGTGATGATATTTGGAGGTGGGGACCTTTGGGAGGTAATTTGGTCATGAGGGTTAGGGATCAGTGCCATTGTAAGAAGAGAATGAAATAGATCTTACCACTTTCTCTCTCTGTTGTGTAAGAATAGCAAGAAGTTGGACATCTGTAAATCAGGAATAGGGTCCACACCTAGAACTCAATCATGCTGGCACCCTGATCTCAGACTTTCAGCCTCCAAAATGGTGAGAAGAAACTTTCTGTTGTTTAGGCCACCCAAACCATAGTAGTTTTGAGAGAGCCAGGTTGGAGGAGGTCCTCAGAAAAACTCCAACCGTCCTGTGCACTGGGGTGGAGCCTCAGGAGGTTCATGCCCTTTGCAGTGGGGAGGAGCCTGGCTCCTCCTCTTCCTCTTTGGAACCTGGGATTTGAGCTGCGGGTGGGAAGCACTCTAACAGGGACTCTGGCCTTGGAGAGGATCCCTGTTTCCCCCACTTTTTTCCCTTTCCACCCAATAAAACCCTGCTTTACTCATATTTCAAACCATCTGCAAGCCTAAATTTTCATGGCCGTGGGACAGACAAGGATCCCATCTTTAGCTGAACTAAGGAAAAGTTCTGCAACCATTTGTTGTAGCAGCCTGAACTAAGTCAGAGCCCTTAGCATATTAATTGTAGTTAAATTCCAAGTCTGATGGTTCCAAAATCTCTGCCATATCTGAAGCTAATTCTGATGCTTGCTTTGCCTCTTCAGACTGTATTTTGTCTTTTGGTGTCTGTTGTAATTTTTTGTTAAAATCCAAACATGATGTGTTGTGCGAAGGGAACTTTCGTTAATGAAGTTTTAAACTTAATCTGGCTAGGAGTTAGGCTCCATTTACTGCTTGTTGTAGCTATAGGTGTCAGAAGCTAAAATTTATTCTATCACCCTTGTTTTTGTCTCCTCTGTTGTTTATGGGTTTCCCTAGTGACCTCTCCTTAAATAGCATCTGTGACATGCAATTCTTTCAGTTATATTTCCCTGCTATTATACAGAAGCAGCTCCAATGACATGGTAGTAAAATGTAGAGGGAGAAGAGGCATTCTATAGTCCTTTGATTAGATCTCTGTTTTTTAGTGAACCTATGCATTTGGAGAGGTGACCCTAACAAATACTTCTTAGCTTCTCCTCTAACCGTCTTAGGTGAGTCAGTAAGGCTGGAGAGGCTGGAGTTAGGTATTTCCCTCTCCTAGCGATGAAGGTTAGAAGAGGCTGAAGTTGGGTATTTCCCTTACTCCACATGAGTTAGGCTGGTAAAGTAGCTTCCATTGAGGGCAAGCCTTTGCTAAGAAGAACAGAAGCTCTGGATGTATTTCAAAATTGTTGCCTTTCCCCTCCCCATGCAGGAAGCTGGAAGGAATTTTTATTTTATCTTCATAGTGAGAACCTGGTGGGATTCCTGGTGGTAAAAGTGATAAAAGTGTGGGGACCTCCTAAGGCTGTGCCCACAGAAGTTTTTCTCTCTCAATCTAGTCCATGCTCATTCTTCAGCAATTGGTCAATCATTCCTTCAGTGTTTCAACCAGTTGCTGGCCTTAGTTGTGCCTCCACCCCCTGTCAGCTGTGATCCTCTGTATCCACCTATCTCTCTCTCTGTAGAGTTTTGGACTGGTGGCTTGCCCTCCATCCTCAATTTTTGGGTGGATCTAAGAACAGTTGGTGATTTTCAGAGCCCAACTTTGCCATTGCTATGAGGACATGAGTGATGACTCCCAAACTTTTTACATGTCAAAGTGAACTAGATGTCTCCTTCTTGTATTTTTTCACTTTGCACATTTTATGAAACAGAACTTTAATACTTTGACCAAAAGATGTTTCTGACTTTGAATTGAGTATTTTTCCTGAGTTTTCCTATTAGCATTATTACACAAACATCATTTAATGTGATGACTTACATATGCATCCTAAAATCATAACCAGATATCACATATACAGGAAAATGTCAAAATCCACAATTGGGGTTTTAGTACTTTACTTCTGAGAGTATGAAGGAGCATCAAGACAGAGACAGTCTTTGCCAAATTTTCCCCAAAAAATAGCATAGTGGCTTTGATGGAAAGCGAAGACAGGCTTTTCAATTCTGTGTATAACATCAACCCAATGACGTGCTATGGACAAGTGATTTACTTTTATTCTGTCTCAATTTTCTCCTATAATAATAGTAGTAACAGCAAGAGCAAAGAAAAGATGTAATGAATACTTATTATATCAAGGCAGTATTCTTAACTCTTTACCTGTACTATCATTAAATCCTCAAAGTAATCTAAGAGTTGGAAAACATGAGGCATAAAAAGGTTAAGTGATTTATGCAAGGTTGCACAGCTAGTAAGTGGTGCAGACTCGCTCTAAAGCTCTCCTCATTAAACATGAGAAAACAACCCAAACTCCGTGTGATGATGGAAGTGAAGAGTATCCTAGGCAGAGGAGTAAGAATGAGTAAGCTTATTTCTACCCTCAGGCCTTTGCAAAGATAGAAATAAGTCCTAAATGTTTGAAGGACACAAAAGTCCAAATTGACTAGAGCAAAATAAATAAAGTAAAAAAAAATGGAAGAAGATGAGATTAGAGAGGGCTTGTGTCATAATAGCTAATGTTTATCAAGTTCTTTTAAGTATTCGGTGCTGTTGTATTTTATATTCGTTTTCTTTTAATTCTCAAACAACACTGAAAAGTAGTTCTAATAGTAATCATTACTGTTGCTATTAACACTATTGACAGTCAAAACACATGTGACATAATTTTTTTAAAAAACTTCAAAATAACTTATGGATAAAAAAGAAATAAGGAAAATGACAATTTTTTAAAAGATCTGACTGCCACAGTGCATATAAGACTTTCAAGATATAGGTCAATTGGTACTTTGAGGCAGATAGAAAAATAAGTAAAAAGTGACCATTGAAACAATCATTGTAAGAATTTGGAAAGGCAGCAAAGTAAAAGCCCAAGAAAGAAAGAAAAAATTATTTTAAAATTTTAATAAAAAATAAAGAATAGGATCAACAAAACAAATAGCTCAATCTTAGAGAAGTCTTTTAAAATAGTCCTTTCAAACCTCTGGCAAAATATATTAAGAAAAAGTAAAGTACAAATAAGAATATTAAATATAAAAGTGGCCAAGAGTAGAGTTAAAAATATTTTTAAAACAACAAGCTATGGTATTTGCAAAATAAAAAATACCATAAAGGGTTAAAAAGAAAAGCTAAATAACGACATACCAAATAGATAAATCTGAATAAAAGCAAGGTGAAGAAGCACAGGTAGATGATGATAATATTTATGTAAATGTTTAAAATACTCAAAGGAATATTAAATATACTTTGGATTAAAAAATGTACTGTAAGTATAAAAGCATGGATGGAAAAGACACAAAACCAACTTCAGAACTGTGGCTGTGATTTCAGGTGGAGAGCAGTATTTACACTGATTTCAAGGTATGGAGATTCTTGCAACAAATGTGTAATGCAGATCTGGACTCCAGACTCATTAGAAATAAAAGGCTCAGGTATTCATTTTGGGGTAAGATTTTGTTTCCTTCAACTAAGCTAGGTATAATTTTCCTTTTCTGCTCTGAACTGCTGGGGGACTTTTTCTGCACTGGGGTTTGTGCATATACAGGGGTCTCAGTTTCACCTTCTTGCCTCAAGTAGTTAAGTCCCATCTGCTGGCTTTCCATGTGTTATTTAAAAAATAGCTTTGTTGAGATATTGTAGTAAACATGCAACACGTTTCCCTGTGTCCCTCTAGTCCTCTCCCCGTCTCTCCTTTTCCTACTCCCCTTCCCATCCCTTTTCCCAAGAAAAAAACTGATATGATTTCCGTCACAATAGATTAGATTAGATTTTCTGCCATTTTATGTAAGTACAATCATATAGAATATACTCTATTTTTTTGGACTGGCTTCTGTTGCTTTGCATAATTACTTTGAGATTCATCCATGTTTTAGTGTGTATAAATTCTTTATTCTTTTTTGTTGTTGAGCAGTATTGCATCGCATGAATATACTGCAGTTTGTTTATCTATTAACTGGTTGATGAGCATTTGGGCTGTTTTCAGTTTTTGGCTATTAGATATAAATCTACTATGAGCATTCATGTATAAGGCTTTGTATGAACATATATCTCCTTTTCTTTACAATAAATACTTAGGAATAGAATGGCTGGATTACATGGTAGATGTATATTTAATTTTTAAAGATACTATCAGTCTTCCAAAGTGGTTGTGCCATTTCATACTCCTAAAGTGTATGAGAGTTTCAGTTCCTCTGTATTCTTGACCACACTTGGTATCATCAGTCTTTTTAATTTTAGCCATTCTAATAAGTGTTGTAGCAGTATTTCTTAAAGGTTTTAATTTGCATTTGCCTAATAATTTATAATGTCAGGCAGCTTTTCATGTGCTTATTTGCCATCCAGTTACCTTTTGTGGTAAATTGTCTGTTCACACATTTTGCCTATTTTTAAAATTCGACTGTTTGTTTGCACATTACTAAATTGTGAGAAATTTTAAAAATATTCTGCATAAAGATCCTTTATCAAATATGAACCTTACAAATATATTCACCCAATCTGTAGATTGTCTTTTTATTCTCTTTAAGCAGAAGTATTTAATTTTTGATTAAGTCCAATTTATCAATTCTTTTTTTTTTTTTCTGAGATGGAGTCTCGCTCTGTCGCCCAGGCTGGAGTGCAGTAGCACGATCTCAGCTCACTGCAAGTCTACCTCCCAGGTTCATGCCATTCTCCTGCCTCAGCCTCCCGAGTAGCTGGGACTACAGGCGCCCACCACCATGCCCGGCTAATTTTTTGTATTTTTAGTAGAGACGGGGTTTCACCGTGTTAGCCAGGATGGTCTTGATCTCCTGACCTTGTGATCCACCCGCCTCAGCCTCCCAGCGTGCTGGGATTACAGGTGTGAGCCACCGCACCCGGCCTATCAATTCGTTCTTTAACAGATTATGCTTTGGATGTTGTATCTAAGAAACCTTAGCTTAACTCAAGCTCACAAAGTTTTTGTCCTATGTTTTCTTCCAGAAGCTGTGTAATTTTAGATTTTACATTAGACATATTGTCCTTTGAGTTAATTTTTATATATAGTGCAGTATAGCTTAAAGCTCGTTTTCTTGTTTAGCGGATATCTGTCTGTTCCAGTGCCATTTGTTGAAAAGACTATTCTTTCTCCACTAAATTGTCTTTGAATGTGTTGAAAATCAGTTGTCCATGGATATGTGGGTCTTTTTCTGAAGTCTTCATTCTGTTTTATTAACTAAAATAGTCTATCTTTACACCAGAAACCACACTGTCTTGATTACTATAACTTTATAATAAGTCTTGAAATCAGGTAATGCTAGTTTTCCAAACCTGTTTTTCTTTTTTTGAAGTTGGACAGTTATTCTAGATCCTTACATTTACATATGAGTTTGTTTGCTTGTTTGTTTGTTTGAGACGGAGTCTCTCTCTGTCACCTAGGCTGGTGTGCATTGGGTGATCTCGGCTCACTGCAACCTCCACCTCCCAGATTCAAGCAATTCTCCTGCCTCTGCCTCCTGAGTACCTGGGATTACAGGCATGCGCCACCACGCCAGGCTAATTTTTGAATTTTTAGTAGAGATGGGGTTTCACCATGTTGGTCAGGCTGGTCTCGACCTCCTGACCTCATGATCTGCCCACCTCAGCGTCCCAAAGTGTTGGGATTACAGGCGTGAGCCACCGTACCCGGCCACATGCGAGTTTTAAAATCAGTTTCTCAATTTATACTCCCTTCCCCACCCCCAGAAAAACATGTTAAGATTTTTAGTGGGATTGCATTTATCTAAAGATCAACTTGGGGGAGAATTAACATCTTAACAATATTGAGTCTTTTGACTCATAAACATGGCATGTCTTTCCATTTATTTAGGTCTTTTTAAATTTCTTGAAGTAATGTGTTATAATTTTCAGCGTACAGATCTTTTACATACTTTTTTTTTTTTTTTTTTTTTGAGACGGAGTCTCGCTTTGTCGCCCAGGCTGGAGTGCAGTGACACGATCTTGGCTCACTGCAAGCTCCGCCTCCTGGGTTCATGCTATTCTCCTGCGTCAGCCTCCCAAGTAGCTGGGGCTACAGGCACCCGCCACCGCACCTGGCTAATTTTTTGTATTTTTAGTAGAGACGGGGTTTCAGCACGTTGGCCAGGATGGTCTCGATCTCCTGACCTCGTGATCCACCCGTCTCGGCCTCCCAAAGTGCTGGGATTACAGGCGTGAGCCACCGCGCCCGGCCCTTTTACATCTTTTGTAAGATTTATCCCTACATAGTCATATTGCTTGATAGTATTGTAAATGGTATTTTTAAAAATTTAAATTTAAAAACATTTAAATTTCTGATCATACTAACAACGTATAGGATGTAGAAATGTAAAAAACTTTTAAATGGATCTTATATCCTACAATCTTGATAAACCCACTTGTTTACCAACAAGTTTGTTTTTACAGATTCCATAAAATTTTCTAGAATTTTTTTATAGATTCCAAAAAATTTTCTTCATACACAATTATAGATTCTAGCTTCTAGAAGTATTTATAGACAATTATAGATTTTAGAAGTGTTTTCATAGATTCCATAAAAGTTTCTTCATAGACGATTATTGCCTCTTCAAATAATAACTGTTTTACTTCTTTGTTCCCCGAATTGGACGTTTTAAAATTTCTTTTTCCTTTCATTTTTTTTTTTTTTTTTTTTTTTTGAGACCGAATCTCGCTCTGCTGCCGAGGCTGGAGTGCAGTGGCATGATCTCGGCTCACTGCAAACTCCCACCTCCCGGGTTCACGCCATTCTCCTGCCTCAGCCTCCCGACTAGCTGGGACTACAGGCACCCACCACCATGTCTGGCTAATTTTGTGTATTTTTAGTAGAGACGGAGTTTCACTGTGTTAGCCAGGATTGTCTCGATCTCCTGACCTCGTGACCCGCCCACCTCGGCCTCCCAAACTGCTGAGATTACAGGCATGAGCCACTGCGCCCGGCCTAAAATTTATTTTTCTTTCCATATTGCAATGGCTAGAATTTCCTGCATAAGACTGGTTAGAAAGGTTGAGAAAAGACATTCTTGTTGTTAATTTTAAGGAAAAAACATCCAGTCTTTTTGTATGACAAGTACTATGATTTCGATGTTTCTATCTTTTGATTTCTGCCTTGAAAAAATTTTTTTCTAGGCTAAGAAAAAACAGTTTTGGAAGTCAGAGCATCACCAAACCAAGGACAGTGATTGCACTAAGTAACATTATTCTTGATACTCAATATTCAAATATCACATTGAATACTTTTCAAAATAAGGGGTGGTTGGAGTTAAGTATTTTGTTATTGATAAAAATTTTGGTTCAAGCACTACAAATTGCTAATGGAAATTTTCCTTTTTGACAATAGTGTGGGTAGGTTTCAGGGTATATAAGGTAAATTCTATATGTAAATGTTTATTTCACATATATTTTTTCACTTCTTTTGTGGTTATCGTCATTTCATAAGTGCTAGGAGAAATCTCTTCTCCATATATTCTTAATTTCTTCTTAGTAGCATTTCATGACTACAAAGTACTATTATGGTAATATTTATAAATACATATATTTTTACAATTATAAAAGTAATATATAAGTTTTATGTAAAAGTTTTGGAAATTCAGAAAAATGTAAAGAAAATCAAAGTTACTGACAAGTCCATATCTTACAGAAGTATTTTTAACATTTTGGTATATATATTTCCATAAAGTCACATATTTCCAAGTAATTATGTGTATGAAACATACATATAGGCATGTAGTTTCATTTGGTAATTACTGTTTAGAGAACTTTATATATAAAACTTTTTACCTTCTGCTTCTGGTTATAAATGAGGTAGCTTATATCACACAAGTCCTCCTATTATGAACTACCATAAAAACTGAAGAAGAAGAAGAAAGCAACTAAAACATCTGTTTGAAGGCATTGGGGAGCAACCAAGAAAGTCAGGATTTAGAAGACCAGATTGAAGTACAGAGGAAAGCATAAAGGCTTAACAGGCATGTACTTGGGGTCCCAGCAGGAGGGACGAGAGAGAGTGGGACAGAACCAGTACTTGAAGAGAGAGGGCTGAGAGCTTTCCAAAATTGAAACACACACTCACATGCACACACACAAACACACACACACACCCCTAAATCACAGATTTAAGAAACTCTATAAACCAAAACCTGGATAAATGGAAAGAAAATCACTCCTAGCCCATCATAATGTAGCTTCTGAAAGACCAAATCAAAGATATACTTTAATAACAGTAATAGAAAATAGACAAATTACCTTTCAAAGAGCTACAGTGACATAAAAAACCACTTTTAAAAATAAAAATAGTGGAAGAAAAAGACCATAGAATTTCAAACGCTTGAAAGAAAACAACTGCAAACCTGAAATTTAATATCCAGTGAAACATTTCTTTAAAAAAAAGTTGGGGAAAATAAAGATATTTCAAAACAATAACAATAGCAGTAAAAGTTTATCACCAGCAGAATGCACTTAAAATATTAAGTGAATTCATTAGGTAGAAGAAAAGTGATACCAGATGGATGCATAGTAATGCAGGAAGGAGCAGGGAACACTGGGAGCACAAACGTGTGGGTAAATATAAAGGCATATTTCCTGTTTAAAAGTAATAATAATGTTTTATAGAGTTTTAAACATATGCAGATTTAGAATATATGTTAACAGTTGCACATAAGGAAGAGGGCAGTAAATGGAGTTCAGTGTTAAAAAGGTTTTGCATTCTCTGGGAGGTTGTAAAAATAATAATTTAAAGTATCTATTAGTAAGTTAAGGATACATATTATAATCTCTAGTGTATGTCTAAAAGAATGATTAAAGCATGTAGAAATAATAAGTTAATGGAGTGGGATAAAGTAAATAATAAAAAAATTAATTAATCCAAAATAATGTAAGAAAGGAAAACACAATGGAAATGAGATAGGAAAAATAGAGGACAAAGAATATAGCAGGTATATATCCTTGTTTTAGTCTGTTCAAGCTGTTAAATGAAATACTATACACTGGGTGGCTTCCAAACAACAGAAATTTATTTCTCACAGTTGTGGAGGTTGGGAAGTCCAAGAACAAGGTTCTGGCAAATTTGAAGTCTGATGACCATCTTTTTTGCTGTAACTCACAAAGCAGTAGAGATGAGGGATCTGTTTGGGGCCTCTTTTATATCGGCAAGAATCCCATTCATTAGGGCTCTGCCCTCATGACCTAATAATCACCTCCCAAGGCTTCACCTCCAAATACCATCACATTGAAGATTAGGTTTCAGTATGTGAATTTTGGGGAGACACAAACATTCAAACTTTTGGCTCCCCCCAGATTCATGTCCTTCTCATATCTGACATACATTCATTCCATCTCAATAGTCCCCAAAATCTTAATTTGTTCCAGCATCAACTCAAAAGTTTAAAGTTCAAAGTCTCATTTAAAAATCAGATATGAGGGAGACTCACAGTACAATTCATTCTGAGGCAAACTGCTGTTCAGATGGGAACCTGTGAGATTGAACATGTTGTGTGCTTCCAAAATACAAGAGTGGGACCAGGCATAGGATAGACATTCCCATTCCAAAGGGAGAAATAGGAAAGAAGAAATTCATAACAAATGCTTCCCAAGTCCAAAATCCAACAGAGCAAACATTAAATCTTTTTTTGGGGGGTGGGGAGTGGGTACAGAGTTTCTCTCTTGTTGCCCAAGCTGGAGTGCAATGGTGTGATCTCCGCTCACTGCAACCTCTGCCTCCCAGGTTCAAGTGATTCTCCTGCCTCAGCCTCCCCAGTAGCTAGGATCACAGGTGTGTGCCACCACACCCAGCTAATTTTTGTATTTTTTTTAGTAGAGACAAGGTTTCACCTGTTGGCCAGGCTGGTCTCCAACTCCTGACCTCAGTGATCCACCCACCTCAGCCTCCCAAAGTACTGGGATTGCAGGCATGAGCCACGGCGCTCGGCCAACATTAAATCTTAAGTCTTAAAAATAATCCTCTTTGGTTCCATGTCTCACTTCCAGACATACTGATGTGGTGAACCTGTCTCCACAGCTTTGGGTGGCCCTGCTCCCAGGGCAGCTTGATACCTGGCTTGCATCCTGGCTTCCTGGGGCTAGAGTCACACACTGGCTGCTTTACTGCTCTGGGTCAAGGGAGCTGACCTACCCCAGCTCTGCTGAGCGTTGGGCTTCACAGGGACTCTCTGTGGTGCCTCACACCCTCGGAGGCTTTTGCACTCTGCGCCTTTATAAGGGCACTAATTCCCTTCATGAAGGCTCTGTTCTCAGAACCTAGTCACCTCCCAAAGGCCCATATCCAAATACTATCAATTGAAGATTAGCTTTCAATATGTAATTTTTTGGGGAGACAAAAACATTCAGACCATAACAACCCTAATACTATCTATAACTACATTTAATATACTATGAACTCAATACTTCAAAGACATTGTCAGATTGGATTAAAACAAATGTTCTAATGCTTACATGGGACCCACATTAAATACAAAGACATAGAAAGATTTAAAGTAAAAAGATTTTTTAAAAAAAGCTGTTCCATGATAATATTAATGGAAAAACAGTTAATGTAGCTGTAATGATATCAAACAAAAGTGGCCACATACAGCAAGTAGGAAATGGCTGGGCGCGGTGGCTCATGCCGGTAATCCCAGCACTTTGGGAGGCCGAGGAGGGCGGATCACGAGGTCAGGAGATCGAGACCATCCTGGCTAACATGGTGAAACCCCATCTCTAATAAAAAATAGAAAAAATTAGCCAGGCGTGGTGGCAGGCGCCTGTAGTCCCAGCTACTCAGGAGGCTGAGGTAGGAGAATGGCGTGAACCCGGGAGGTGGGGCTTGCAGTGAGCCAAGATCGTTCCATTGCACTCCAGCTTGGGCGACAGAGCGAGACTCTGTCTCAAAAAAAAAAAAAACAAAAAAAGAGAAAAAAGAAATAGAAACCTAGTTAAAGATGTTATAATGATAAAAGGTAATATATACAGATAATATTATAATTATATGTGATATATTCTATATTATAATGTTAAATGTATGATCATTTGATAAAATCAAATAACATGATGATAAAATCATTATAATTAGGCTATCAAGATGAAAGGGTAAATTCCACAGGAAAATATAGCGATCTTAAACTCGTGTACCCTTAATAAAACAGCATCAAATTATGTAGTGAAAATTGGCCAGTCATGGTGGCTTGTGCCTGTAATCCCAGCACTTTGGGAGGCCAAGGCAGGCGGATCGCTTGAGGTCAGAAGTTCGAGACCAGTCTGGCCAACATGGTGAAACTCCATCTCCACAAAAAATACAAAAAAAAAGAAAATTAGCTGGGCGTGGTGGTGTGCCCCTGTAGTCCCAGCTACTCGGGAGGCTGAGGCAGGAGAATCACTTGAACCTGGGAGGCACAGGCTCCCACCACCACACTTCAGCCTGGGCAACAGAGTGAGTGAGACTCTATCTCAAAAAAAAAAAAAAGTAAAATTACGTAGTACAAGTTGACAGCATATAATGAAAGCGTAAGTAGAGAAATTCACACTCATTAATTGAAATTCCCCCCCCCCGTCCTTTCAGTAACTAATGAGACAGTTAGATAAAAATATCAGCAGAAGCCAGGCACGGTGGCTCACACATGTAATCCCAGCACTTTAGGAGGCTGAGGTTGGTGGTTCGCTTGAGCTCAGGAACTCAAGACCAGCCTGGGCAACATGGTGAGATCCTGCCTCTACGAAAAATACAAAAAATTAGCCTGGTGTGGTGATGCGCACCTGTAATCCCAGCTACTAGGGGTGCTGAGAGGGGATGATTACTTGTGCCCAGGAGGTTGAGGCTGCAGTGAGCTGCAATTGCACCACTGTACTTCAGCCTGGGTGACAAAGCAAGACCCAGTCTCAAAAAAAAAGAAAAAAAATCAATAGAGAAATTTGAACAACATAGTAAGTTTGACTAGTTGACATATGTAGAGTTTTGCACCCAACAAGTGCAAAACAATTTTTCAAGTACACATGAAATAATTAGAAAATAACTATATACTGGGGAGTAAGTTTCAAAAAATATCTATGAATTGAAGTCATATTGAGTATGTTCTCAGTTTACAGTGTAATTCAACTGGAAGTCAACAATAAAAAGGCTAGAAAATCTCCAAACGGTTGAAGATGATCAACTATATACATACATGTGTATATATACACATAAACATATATGGACACACGTGTATACATACGTGTATATACACGTATATACACATGTGCATATGTGTATACAAACATTCACACGTGTATACACACGTGTATAAACTATATACATGTGCATATATACACACATACACACATGTGTGTATATATGTGTGTATATACACACGTGTGTATGTGTATATACACGTGTGCATATGTGTGTGTATATACACACAAGTGTGCATATATGTGTGTATATACACTGTGTATGTGTGTGTATATACACGTGCATATGTGTCTGTATATACACGTGTGTATATGTGCGTGTATATATGCGTGTGTATATATGTGTGTGTATATACACGTGTGTGTATATATGTGTATGTATACACGTATGTGTATATAGTTGATCATCTTCAACCGTTTGGAGATTTTCTATTATATATATTTTTTCTTTAACATTATATGGTGTTTTATCATATAGTGTTTCTTACGGACATAGCTTAAGAATCATCTGTTATTTTGTTTCACAGAAAGTGTGAAACTGCAGGGGAGCCGATTTGTATAGATCCTGGTAAAAAGATAATTGAGTAGGTAAATTCCAGGGAGCTTTTGGACAGTGGATCCCCCTGTCAGTGGTTTTGGAGTCCCTAGTTTCAGTTACTCGTGGTCAACTGTGGTCTAAAAATATTAAACAGAAAATTCCAGGAATAAACAGTTCCTAGGTTTTCAATTGTGTTGACTTCTGATTGGCGTGATGAGATCCAGCCATCTTACTCCTTCCCACAGAAAGTGAGTCCTCCCTTTGCCCAGCGTTTCCCTGCTGTCTACAATATCCACCTGTTAGTCACTTCACAATCTGGGTTATTAGATGACTGTGGCAATGACCAGTGTGGTGTCTTCAAGTTGCCTTGATTTTACTGACTTTTTGCCCTTATTTCTCTCTGGCTCCAAAGTGCAAGAGAAGTGATGCTGGCAATTCAGATATGCCAAAGAGAAGCTGCAAATGCCTCCTTTAAGTTAAAAGGTAAAAATTCTGGACTTAATAAGGAAAGAAAAAAAATCATATGCAGAGGTTGCCAAGATCTACTAAAAACAAATCTATCCACGAAAATGTGAAGAAGAAAAAAGAAATGCATGCTAGTTTTGCTGTTGCATCATTTTTGGATGGAAGAACAGAAACATGTTCCCATTGACCGCAATGGGTACTATCCATGGTTTCAGGCATCCACTGGGGCTCTTGGAACCTATCCCCCATAGGTATGGGGGGGCTACTGTATTTCTGGCCCCACAGTCTTCTACTGCCGACTTTAGGTCTCTCTGGATCTCAGGCCCCCTTCTCTAAGATGCATCCTAGAGGACCAAAAATACACTTTATTTGGGCTTCGCCTGCTTTTGTGGAAGGGTAGTTTACTAGAGGATATAATCTCGTGTTTTAATTTGCTCTCTCTCCTAAAGGAAATGTGGAGAAAAAAAAAAAGCAGAAATTGGAAATAACCAATATTTAGTTTATTTCATTCGATTCTTAGGGGAACTGGTGAGGAGCCTAAGATGATTTTCCCTTCCTAGAGAAAGAATCCAAAGTCCAGGGAAATAGCGACAGGGGAGTTCAAGACTGCCCCTGCTAGTCCTTCCTTGGCTACTCTCCGCTGCGATCGCAGGATAGCTCTCATTAGCAGGAGAATCGGGCAAGTGTGTGGATAAGTAGAGAGTGTGTTGAACAACTTGTAACGTTTTATGAAATACGCATTGTCATGGTTCCCTAAAAGGCTTTGCGGAAGCCGTTTGTCTTTACTAATCAAGTCTTTACTTACACAAAAGTAGAAGTAGAAGTAGTTTTAGAAAACATACTAACAATCTTCTATCCCCTTGAAGACCAGAGTAGCAGAAAACAGGTGATTTGCATTATAAAATTGCACTCACTTTTTCCTCCTTTCAGATTTCACATTACATTAGCCTATTTGTGTTACGGTGTATAAAAAATGGAACAGGCGCCTCCACTACATTGTTCTCCTTTAAAAATAGATCACTTACACCCTAACTTTGTTTTCCTTAAATTCGATTCTTAACAGGAGAGCTTTCTATTATTTCAGATGGAGTGAGGTTGCACGACTGGGATGGAAGAAAGGAATCCCTTAAATTTGGGGGAATTTCTGTTCTCTGTTCTAAGACCATTTTACTTGGGGTGTGGGGGTGGGCGCGGCGGTCAGGGCAGTGGAACGCAGTCGCGGCTGCGCCATCCCTGCACTTCCAGGCGCGCGGGAGGGACCGGCGGGGACGCGAGCTGCGGACTCTGGCGAACTCGGGGGAGGCAGACAGGGGGAGGCGGACACCCAGCCGGCAGGCGTCTCAGCCTCCCCGCAGCCGGCGGGCTTTTCTCCTGACAGCTCCAGGAAAGGCAGACCCCTTCCCCAGCCAGCCAGGTAAGGTAAAGACTGCTGTTGAGCTTGCTGTTACTGAGGGCGCACAGACCCTGGGGAGACCGAAGCTTGCCACTGCGGGATTCTGTGGGGTAACCTGGGTCTACGGAAGTTTCCTGAAAGAGGGGAGAAGGGTTTGCATTTTTCCTATGGAGGATTCTTCTCTCTCTAGCATTTCGTTTGATGTATTCAACTGGTAGAAGTGAGATTTCAACAGGTAGCAGAGAGCGCTCACGTGGAGGAGGTTTGGGGCGCCGCGGCGCCACCCCCACCCCTCCTCGGGACCGCGCCTATTTCTAAAGTTACACGTCGACGAACTAACCTATGCTTTAAATTCCTCTTTCCAGCCCCGTGAGTCCGCGGCGACATTGGGCCGTGGGGTGGCTGGGAACGGTCCCCTCCTCCGGAAAAACCAGAGAACGGCTTGGAGAGCTGAAACGAGCGTCCGCGAGCAGGTCCGTGCAGAACCGGGCTTCAGGACCGCTGAGCTCCGTAGGGCGTCCTTGGGGGACGCCAGGTCGCCGGCTCCTCTGCCCTCGTTGAGATGGACAACGCCTCGTTCTCGGAGCCCTGGCCCGCCAACGCATCGGGCCCGGACCCGGCGCTGAGCTGCTCCAACGCGTCGACTCTGGCGCCGCTGCCGGCGCCGCTGGCGGTGGCTGTACCAGTTGTCTACGCGGTGATCTGCGCCGTGGGTCTGGCGGGCAACTCCGCCGTGCTGTACGTGTTGCTGCGGGCGCCCCGCATGAAGACCGTCACCAACCTGTTCATCCTCAACCTGGCCATCGCCGACGAGCTCTTCACGCTGGTGCTGCCCATCAACATCGCCGACTTCCTGCTGCGGCAGTGGCCCTTCGGGGAGCTCATGTGCAAGCTCATCGTGGCTATCGACCAGTACAACACCTTCTCCAGCCTCTACTTCCTCACCGTCATGAGCGCCGACCGCTACCTGGTGGTGTTGGCCACTGCGGAGTCGCGCCGGGTGGCCGGCCGCACCTACAGCGCCGCGCGCGCGGTGAGCCTGGCC
Source organism: Homo sapiens (assembly GCF_000001405.40). Lineage (NCBI taxonomy): Eukaryota > Metazoa > Chordata > Mammalia > Primates > Hominidae > Homo > Homo sapiens. The sequence goes on from NC_000008.11 coordinate 52,940,391, forward strand.
GTGTGGGGGATCGTCACACTCGTCGTGCTGCCCTTCGCAGTCTTCGCCCGGCTAGACGACGAGCAGGGCCGGCGCCAGTGCGTGCTAGTCTTTCCGCAGCCCGAGGCCTTCTGGTGGCGCGCGAGCCGCCTCTACACGCTCGTGCTGGGCTTCGCCATCCCCGTGTCCACCATCTGTGTCCTCTATACCACCCTGCTGTGCCGGCTGCATGCCATGCGGCTGGACAGCCACGCCAAGGCCCTGGAGCGCGCCAAGAAGCGGGTGACCTTCCTGGTGGTGGCAATCCTGGCGGTGTGCCTCCTCTGCTGGACGCCCTACCACCTGAGCACCGTGGTGGCGCTCACCACCGACCTCCCGCAGACGCCGCTGGTCATCGCTATCTCCTACTTCATCACCAGCCTGAGCTACGCCAACAGCTGCCTCAACCCCTTCCTCTACGCCTTCCTGGACGCCAGCTTCCGCAGGAACCTCCGCCAGCTGATAACTTGCCGCGCGGCAGCCTGACTCCCCCAGCGTCCGGCTCCGCAACTGCCCGCCACTCCTGGCCAGCGAGGGAGGAGCCGGCGCCAGAGTGCGGGACCAGACAGGCCGCCTAGGCCTCCTGGGGAAACCGACTCGCGCCCCATACCCGACCTAGCAGATCGGAAGCGCTGCGACTGTGCCCGCAGGTTGACCTTGCCAAGCCCTCCAGGTGATGCGCGGCCATGCCGGGTGAGGAGAACTGAGGCTGAGATCGCCACACTGAGGGCTCCCTAAAGCCGAGGTGGAGGAAGAGGAGGGTAGAGGAGGAGGGCGGTATTGCTGGGAACCGCCCCCTCCCTGCCCTGCTCCCTGCTGCCCCACCCGAGCCCTGGCAGTCTGGAACCTGGCTGGAGTCGGAACTCTCCGCGCCTTCGAAGGGAGGCCCGAGGACGCTGCCGGCGCCCCCAGGCGTCGGCTCCGCGCGGCCCCTGCTGTAGCTGGCGCACAGCCCCGGCGGGTCCCCTTGTCCTCCGCGCGCTCTGGGAAGACGGTCAGGCGCGCGCGTTTGGCGCCCACCCCTGTGAGACCCGCTTGGCCTGGCGCCGCGGGCGGGGACCGCTGCCGAGGCCGCCAGCGCCTCTTCAACTGGGGAAAACACAACAACTCGGGATGCCCCATCGGAGTGTGTATACACCTGTGTGTGTGTGTGTGTGGTGTGCGCGCGTTTGCGGAGGCATGAAATGCGGGGAAAGAGGCTGGCGCTTGGCAGTGACTGCCTAGAATATGATACGAATAGTGATCCTTCTTTCTGTCTGCCCCTACTCCTTTTCTTTGCCTTTTCCCTTTCCTATCCGTGATCTCCCCTGAAAATGTCAGACTCCCGGAGCAAGGAACCCGGAGTAGCCCGGGCGCGCGGTTCCGGCGCCCCCTGGAGGAGCCAGCGGCCGAGTGCTTAGCGTCGGAGGATCGCGGGGCTTTGTGGTGGAGCACTCCGGCTGAGCGCGCTTCACAGCGCTGTGGCACACTGGTCATCGTTGCTTATAGAGGATGCCAAGCCCCACCCCCATTCCCCCAATTGGCCTCGTCTCTTGTCTTACTTAGATCAGTTTGTTGTAACTGTTCATGTGTGTACTGTTTTTCAGGACTGAAAACTTTATAAATAATGTACATGTCCTAATCTCACGAGTTGCCATGAAGATCAAATAAGATAAAAAGAAATGCGATCTATTCTCTTGTGTTCCCTTTCTCCTCTGCTTCCTTGGCTCCGCCTTAGGGAGAGCAGGAAGCAGGGATGACCGACGGCTTCAGGTTTTCTCTGCTGTACTTTTCACAGGGAGCTGTGGATTACCTGGGCTTTATTCCTTACTTGTAGACGGCATCCGGTAGGTAGTCCCGGTAAACCGGGTAAATACTGGTCCTGGAGTCACCAGGGAGATTGGCCAGCATCCTACCTGTGTTTTTGTCTCTGCATATGGAAGACAAAGTGGATTAAGAGAGAGGACTGGCATTGGGTTTGCCCAATCCTCTGCAGTTTAGCCTTAGACATGAGGGCCGAACCCTAAGCAAAGTCTGGTAATTGATTATGGTGTTTTAAAAGGTATTAATCTTTAGGATGAAGTCCAAACAGGATGAAAATTTCTACAAATGTTTGTTTCCTATGTCATGTGTGAGAAAAAAAAATGTGAGTGTTGCAGCACATTTTGTTTGCTTAGTTTGGCATCTTCAATCAATTTCTCAATTATTTAGGTTGAAAATAGCTTTTAATAAATATTTGGAAGGAAAAAACTCCCCCTTGGAATGGGGGGAAGCAAACCCCCTCTCTAATTTTGGTGAATAAGAATTGCTTTCTTAGCTCTCAGAGTTTTTAGGAACATTGAAATAATTCATAGCCATCAGTTTAGAAAATATACATTAAAAAACCTTCTGTCTTGGGTGGCAAATAATAGTAAATTGTTTAAAAGAAAGTTTTCATCTACAATGAGTTTCGAGTGGTGGACCTCATGGCATTTGAACAGGCCTCTCTCTGCTGGCCGGCTTCGGAGGCTTCTTGGAATTCATTTTAATATCTTTCGAATTTCTAGGAAACATTCTATTGATTTTCCTTAAACTCTCAAAATTATCTCATGAATCCTCTGTAACTTTTCAAAATTAAAGTTTTAAACTTAGAGTAACTTCTAGATTACCTAAGGTGATGGACAAAGAGTAAGGTGAACATTTGGCTACAAACACAGCTGGAGTGATTGTCTGGATTCAGTATCTCATCTGTCTTAATAAGCTCAGTAACTGGACTCAGATGGGGGACAGCTGAGTGATCCATCTGTCCACTGTTTCATCCCTACAGTAGATTGACCTCGAGCCTTCTTGGAATCTATGGAGATGACTGCTGGAAAAATACACGGGCTGACATTGCTGTTCATCCCCAGCAAGGCATGGACTGGCTTCTGAGTATGCCTGTGGGATTAATCAGGTCTCAGCAGTTGAGTTCCTCCTGGGCTTTCTGATCACTGGATAAACTGTTGTATCATTATTTCTAGGTCGTTGCCCTTCATACGAGCATGTAGACTGTATATCTCAGGCTTCCTTTTTATGTCTTGGGTAATCGGTTGAATAAATACACACATAAGCCAGGCAAAAGTAGAATTTATTCACATCATTGTATTGCAAAGGTTTTAACACTGTGTTGAATTCTTGCAGTTTCTGTGTAAACTCTATGGTTTGGTTTTACCACTTTGAATAGTTAAAAATGTCTATTTGCTTTTACTTAATTTAGTGCAGTTATGTAATGTGTATGCTTATGTTTTCTCTTGACAAACGCAGAAACTCTGTAGTCCATTGTAGAGGAGCTCAGTTTAAAATAAAAGCTGAAACATTCTGTGTGATAAGTGAACATTCTATTTTCTGAGAACAAGTTATCCACAATTAAGTCACCTTAGCATTTGTGCAGTGTTACTATTTAAAAATACTGCCTTCATTGGAAAAGTGATCCAATGAATACTCAATGAATAAATAGAAGTATTTGACAGGACAAAATTAAGAATGAACACCCCCACCCCTTAATTTGGTTGATTGTGAAAATGATGCAAAGCTGCTGATAAACACAGAGATTCCAGAACTTATGCTGGGCAGAGAAAGGATGCTAAACTTCTATCATACCATCAAAAGCCTCATTTCTTAAATATTTGAGCAGCTATGTGGAGGGGGAGAAGGGAAGAGAAATTGCTTCAATTATTAGTATACACATTGCTATCAGCAATATGCATAGACATAGCACAAATATGCAAGGTGGAGAATCTCACCTGAAAAACTCACGAACTTATTATAAACCCTTCTTTCCTCAGCAACATGCTGGGAAAACAACAGCAAGACAAAAAAACAGTAAACTCTCCTTGGATATTAATCATCTATGCTTATGCACATTAAGAAAGAGATCAGAGAATTCTGCCCATAATGGTCTTTTATTAGCACAGCTTTGGGTCTGGCACTTCGGCCCCCATTTTACATACAAAGAAAGTGAGATACAAGGAAGTGGATCAATTTAGCCAGGCCCACAAAGATCAGTGAAGACCAATCAGAGCCACCCAGTTCCCATTCTATTCTAGGAATTGTGTCATCTTGTTTCAGCAGAGATGGAATTCGTTGCAATGTGTAATTTGGAAATATTAGACTAGAAAACAATGATGTCTTTTAAATATTTAGTAGATTAAGCAAGCTGTATCTACCATTAGCTCATACGAGATAAAGGGAGGGTAAGATTTAATATTATAAAACTTCAATCTTAATTCAGAGACTTACAAAGTGTATGGGATTGTTGAAAGTTATATGAGAATAAAAATTCCTAACAGAGCTGTCACACAAAGGCACCATGTGCATAGCAGCCTCCACGCTTTATGTACGTGGAACTGTGCCCCAGAGGGACTATTCATATAGGAGACAATGCTAATGATGGCTGTACTCTGTAGAATGGAGCTTTGCAATGGATGATGCTGTCCTTGAATTTAGGGCAAGGGAAATGTATTTGTTTATACCATATCTCATAAGGTTACATTGGTGACATCATGTTAAATAAAAATAAAAGATGGAAAAAGGGAAGGAAATTTAAAATGATATTGCTCAGAAACTGTCAGAATGCATGAACTGCATGCTTCCCACAGTCCAGAAGATTTCTCTTGGGCCTGGGGGGCAATAGTGCACACAGACCTGATGCTCTGTTGGGCCAAGACCCAGGGAGCGGCTCACCATCTTCCTGTAAAATCTGGATCTTCTCATATTGTTCGACCAGAAGGTTAACTCACCCCCATTCTGAGGTAACCCAAGGGCCAGAGTCACAACTGCAATAACCAGGCCACCGTTTACCACGGAAAGAGTGGGTGTTTGCATAGTCAAAAATGTGGGAGAAATTGCCAGAGTTCCCAAAGGTGAGGGGCAAATCATTTGTGAATGCTAAATAGTAACAACAAAACGGACATCTTAAATGATTCATCCATTTGCCAAAGAAGCTTCTTCCTTTAGGCAGTGATGAATGATCTGGTAGAGGAAGAAAGACCAGCCCTATACAGTAACTGTGGTGTGAATGCAGCAATCAAACCTGAAAAGATGTAAATATTTACACCTGCAAAAGTACCAAGTGAATTATCCACATTTTCCTACATAATACTATTTTGATTCCTTTAACTCCTCTCTTCCAATAAAAATACCACTCTTCATTGCTACATTCTATTTATTCTCTTTACAGAGGAGTTCCAGGGGTCTTAGTTAAAAGGGAGTTACATAATTCCTTAAAAAAACTGCATCTTGGATTTATCATGACAATTTATTATTATGGTTAAAGATTATACTAAACCTTTAAACACATTTATTTAAAATGAAAATGTATTTTAAATGTACAGAATATGTTAAGTAATGAGGTTTCTTGTGACTTTTTTTTCCTTTTTCTTTTTTTTTTTTTTTTGAGACGGAGTCTCGCTGTGTTGCCCAGGCTGGAGTGTAGTAGTGGTGCGATCTCGGCTCACTGCAAGCTCTGCCTCCTGGGTTCACGCCATTCTCCTGCCTTAGCCTCCCGAGTAGCTGGGACTACAGGTGCCCGCCACCATGCCCGGCTAACTTTTTTTGTATTTTTTTTTTAGTAGAGATGGGGTTTCACCGTGTTAGCCAGGATGGTCTCAATCGCCTGACATTGTGATCCACCCACCTCGGCCTCCCAAAGTGCTGGGATTACAGGGGTGAGCCACCACGCCCAGCCTCTTGTGACTTTTATACTTCCAGTTGAAAGGAAGAATGCATCTATATAACTTTTCTATTGAATCTTTCAAGTGATAATGAAAACAATAATCCACATAATTTTTTGAACTTTCATTTAATAATGTTGAGCTCAATTTGTGTTTAAATTTTATGTTCAAAATTGTTTTATTTATTTAAACAATGAGGTCTCACTATGTTGCCCAGGCTGGAGTTGAACTCTTAGGCTCGTGTGATCCTCCCACCTCAGCCTTTTGAGTAATTAAGACTACTGGTAAGTGCCACCTCGCCTGGCTTGAGATAGTTTAATTTTTATCAAAGTAATACTTAATTTTAAATTAAATTTGAAAACAGCCAAATGTAAAACATTTCAATAGCTTTAGGAGTACAAATGGTTTTTGGTTACATGGATGAATTGTATAGTGGTGAAGTCTGAGATTTTAGTGCACCCATCACGCGAGTAGTGTACGTCATACCCATTATACCACTCTGTATGCCTTTAGTACCCATAGCTTAGCTCCCACGTATAGGTGAGTAAGTACTGTATTTGGTTTTTCATTCCTAGTTACTTCACTAAGAATAATGTCCTCCAGCTCCATCCAAGTTGCTGCAGAAGACATTATTTCATTCTTTTTAGGGGCTGAGTAGTATTCCATGGTGTATATATTCCACATTTTCTTTATCCACTCATCTGCTGGTGGCCACTTAAGTTGGCTCCATATCTTTGCCATTGTGAATTGTGCTGTCATAAACCTACAAGAGTAGGTATCTTTTTGATATAATGACTTCTTTTCCTTTGGTTAGGTCTCCATTAGTGGGATGCTGGATTGAATGGTAGGTTTACTTTGAGTTCTTTGAGAAAACTCCATACTGTTTCCCATAGAGGTTGTACTGATTCACATTCCCACCAACAGTGTATAAGCATTCACTTTTCACCACATCCATGCCAACATCTATTGTTTTGACTTTTGAGTAATCGCCATTCTGGCTGGAGTAAGGTGGAATCTTATGTGGTTTTGTTTGCATTTCCCTGATGATTACAGTGATGTTGATGTTCAGCATTTTTTCATGTTTTTGGCCATTTCTTTTCCTTTTTTTTGAGACAGAATCTCGCTCTGTTGCTCAGGCTGGAGTGCAGTGGCATGATCTCGACTCATTGCAACCTCCACCTCCTGGGTTCAAGCGATTCTCTTGCCTCAGCCTCCTAAGTAGCTGGGATTACAGGTGCCTGCTGTAATGCCCAGCTAATTTTTGTATTTTCGGTAGAGCCAGGTTTCACAATGTTGGCCAGGCTGGTCTCGAACTCCTTACTGCAAGCGATCCCCCTGCCTTGGCCTCCAAAGTGCTGGGATTACAGGCATGAGCCACAACTCCTGGACTTTGTTGGCCATTTCTACATCTTCTTTTGAGAAATGCCTACTCATGTCATTTGCCCATTGTTTAATGGGATTATTTGTCTTTTTCTTGCTGATTTTAAATTTCTACAACTTTTGATTGTAGCAGAAGATTTATTAAAAGCATCAAGTTTCCACCCAGTCCCAACTGGCCATAGTCCCTCCCAGCCACATTAACTGTTGATTCTGGGATTTACCTCCTTATTACTGAATTATAGGTTTATACCTCAATGTTTTACTTGCTTAATTTTAGACATGATAGTGAAGATTTTGGGGGTGGGGTTGTTGACACTTTTGAAAGCCAGTTGTGTTCAGGGGGTCTCTCCACTTATTCTGTTTTCAGACTTTTAATTTGTCTCCCTATTTTTTGTTCCTGTACTTAGTTCCTGTCTTTTTGCAGCACCTGGTTCCCTGCAACACATCTCTGGGACCAATTTCTCCAGGCTGTGAAACTCCAGTCTCCAGCAGAGATGGGGAGCAAGCGTCTCCTGGCTACAGCGGCCAGGCTGGGGAGCCTACCCATTCTTCACATAGCTTTCCTTCAGCCTCCCTGTTTGTGGCCCTGCAGCTCACCTCCAACTTCCATGGGCACGATGGTCTCTCTGAGTGGCTTTGGAAGCAAATTAGGTTGGATAAAAAGTTGGTGTGTCCTGCTGTAGACATTTCTGCATTCTGTTGCTTACAAGTGCTCCTTCTGCTGACCAGCCTATCAAAAGCCATTGATATCTCTCACCCTTGTTATCGCTTATCTAGCTCTTTGTCCATTTAAAAAATTTCTTTCCTGTTCTTATAGTAGGGTTTTCATAGAAAATAACAGTAAATAAATACTGTGTAAATGCCATCATTTTAAACTGAAGTGTGTGTGTGTGTATATATATAACAGGTTTGATGAAATTTTAGAGAACTTTCTTCCTGGCTTAGAAGAACTCAGTAAGAAATGAGTTACTTGGAAGAAGCTTAGTCTACAAATGTCAAGAAATGTCTTGGAATGAAATGATAAATTCAAGCAATCTAAAATATTAGGTTTCCCTGACAACCAGCATTCTGATATTTGGAGATACCCACATGTATCTGTCAAGAAAGCATAGCCCACTCGCCACAGAACCTCTGTGTAGTTCAGCATCACCCCCAGGCCAGGCCCAGCACACACAGCGGCAGTCATCATCCACATAGGCCAAGCTGTCTTTGAGACCTGTTAATTAGATCAGCTTCTCCAGGTGGCATCGGGGCATCAGCCTTTCCAAAGCTCCCAACCCGGACCCCAAAATGAGATATGGAACAAAGCCACTCAGATGACATGCAGCTCTGAGAGAGTGAGAATCAAAGCTTGCCACTGCATGCCTCTGAGTTATGTGGCCCTATTGTGGTAAAAGCTGAGACACTGATGTGATTTTATTTTCTCACCCATCAGTAATGATCAGTGATTCTGGGCTTGCTTTTAACCGCTCTCTTTCAGAAGCTTGTACTTTTGCTTGCCTGATTATGAAGTTATGATAATAAGTGAATATCATTTGAGTAACAAATAACAAATAGTATCTAAAATATTAAAATATTGATTGTTTAGGCTTTCCAGGGCACATGCTTCTCTTGATTGTAGTGTTTTATTTTAAAAAAAAAAAATCGTACAAGAATTCTTTCTTTGGCCTGCTGGTGTGTATCAAAAACTCTGTTTTTTTCCTTGCCATTAATATATTGAAATATAAATAATCTCCCAAAATAAACATTTTCTCTGTGAGTAATAATTTATGCCCTGTAAGTAAAAAAGAAAACTAGTTAAATTAATTCTATTTGTTATTCTCAGTAGGGGGAGCAAAACGGATAAAATAAATCTGCAAGAGTTATTGTATTTTCTATTTAAGGTGTTGGTAAAAAGTGGACTTGCTGCCACCTTAAGGATGACTGGTGCAGAAAAATCGAGCTTCGCAGTTGCAGCCATGCTAGTTTTTTAAATAATAATGATAATAATCTTGACTTTTTCCCCACTTGCTGGTTGCTCTCATAACACTCCACAGAAAGCGAAAATGTAATAATAGTCTTTGCCATTTCTCTACTGCAGTTTGTTCCTTTACTATTGTTATTTTATTTTATCTTATTTTATTTTTTGGATATGGAGTCTCACTCTGTCGCCCAGGCTGGAGTGCAGTGGCGCGATCTCAGCTCACTGCAACCTCTGCCTCCCGGGTTCAAGGGATTCTCCTACCTCAGCCTCCTGAGTAGCTGGGATAATAGGCACGTGCCACCATGTTTGGCTTATTTTTGTATTTTTAGTAGAGATGGGGTTTTTCCGTGTTGTCCAGGCTGGTCTCAAACTCCTGACCTCAAGTGATCCACCCGCTTTGGCCTCCCAAAATGCTGGGATTACAGGCATGAGCCACCACCCCCAGACTACTATTGATATTTTAGACATTTTTTTCTTATGACTGTAATGGGATCTTTATACATGTGTTTTAGCTTGTTTTTAAAATCATTTCCTTAGGGTATGCCTAGATGTGGAATTATTCTTTCACTTTCTCACAGTGAAGACTCTAAACCCCACATCCCCCTCCACCCTTTCGTCATATGAAAGAGATGTCTCTCCAACCAAACATCAACTGCATTCAGTGGCTCTTGATTCCTTTTGTTCTCACCTTCTCAAGGGCTTCTTTCTTTTGGCTCCCTCTTCTCTTCTAAATTATACACATCCACATACTGCATAATATTTATTAGCATTTGTAGGAGATCAAAATATACCACTCCAAAATATGCTACTTGTATTATTTTATTATTTTTTATTTATTTATTTTTTTGAGATGGAGTCTTGCTTTGTCGCCCAGGCTGGAGTGCAGTGGTGTGGTCTCAGTTCACTACAACCTCTGCCTCCCCAGTTCAAACAATTCTCCTATCTCAGCCCCCAAGTAGCTGGGATTACAGGCAGGCGCCACCATAACCAGCTAATTTTTGTATTTTTAGTAGAGACAGAATTTCACCATATTGGCCAAGCTGGTCTTGAACTCCTGACCTCAAGTGATCTGCTGCCTTGGCTTCCCAAAGTGCTGGGATTACAGGTGTGAGCCACTGCGCCTGGCCTCAAAATATGCTACTTTGGCATGAGGATTATTTTGAGCTGAAGACAATTGAGAAACATTGGATACCAATTCAAAAAAGCTCTCTGGCCTGGTGCAGTGGCTCAAGCCTGTAATCCCAGCACTTTGGGAGGCCGAGGTGGGTGGATCACCTGAGGTCGGGAGTTCAAGACAAGCCTGGCCAACATGGTGAAACCCCGTCTCTACTAAAAATACACAAACTAGCCAGGCATGGTGGCAGACGCCTGTAATCTCAGCTACTCAGGAGGCTGAGGCAGGAGAATTGCTTGAACCCAGGAGACGGAGGTTGCAGTGAGCCGAGATCGCGCCATTGCACTCTAGCCTTGGGGACAAGAGCGAGACTTCGTCTCAAACAAAACAAAACAAACAAGAAAAACAACTCTCTGCCTCCCCTCCCATTTGCTTAAAAGCAGGCTGTCTCTTAATCACCGGAGACAACAGTAGACTCGTAGCCCAGAAATGGCACCAAGAGGAATCTGCACAGCAAACCTTGCTTAAACAAGTCATTTCTTCCATTAGTTTCCCTCTTATATTACTTTCCCACAGTTTGCTGCCCCTAAAAGCCTAAACCCATTTTTTAAATCTTGTCACTTCTCTGTAAGTTTATTGTTCTTTGTTGAGATGGTATGTAAGCCCAAGTTCTAATCACCCTTCAGTTACTCTTTACTGAGTTTCTCCACATGTATGCATGCTGCACGTGTTAATAAACTCTATTTTTCTCTTGTTAATCTGTTTTCTGTTGGTTTAATTTCCAGGGCCACATTCAGATAACCTAGGAGGGTAAAAGAAAAGTGCCCCCTCCCTAAACATTCAAACACTCTAATATATTCAACTTCATTAAAAAGAACTCCTTAAACTCTTCTCTGCAGATGAAGCCAGCTAATAAATGTGGAAACAAATGAAAGAATTTGAAAAATCACCATTTCGCAGTTAGAATATCAACCACATTGTAATAATTGATTTAAGGAAGGTTTATCAATGGATACAAAACTATTGGGTGGAAGGTTTACTGGGAGCAAGGATATTTGCATGGTGCCAAGATAGCACGCCAAAGATCACTTGCTAATTGCAAGGGTAAAAGATATACCTTTATAAAATAGAAATCTGGTTGGATTACCAAATAATCCAATGTAATGTGACTAATGATGTGTCCGGAATTGGTGAGTTATTGGTCTCACTGACTTCAAGAATGAAGCCGCGGACCCTCGCGGTGAGTGCTACAGCTCTTAAGGTGGCGCGTCTGGAGTCTGTCCCTTCTGATGTTCAGATGTGTTCGGAGTTTCTTCCTTCTGGTGGGTTCATGGTCTCCCTGGCTCAGGAGTGAAGCTGCAGACCTTCGCGGTGAGTGTTACAGCTCTTAAGGCAGTGTGTCTGGAGTTGTTCGTTCCTCCCGGTGGGATTGTGTTCTCGCTGGGCTCAGGAGTGAAGCTGCTGATCTTCGCGGTGAGTGTTACAGCTCATAAAAGCAGCGTGGACCCAAAGAGTGAGCAGTAGCAAGATTTATTGCAAAGAGCGAAAGAACAAAGCTTCCACAGTGTGGAAGGGGACCCGAGCGGGTTGCCACTGCTGGCTCTGGGCAGCCTGCTTTTATTCTCTTATCTGGCCCCACCCACATCCTGCTGATTGGTAGAGCCGAGTGGCCTGTTTTGTCAGGGCGCTGATTGGTGCATTTACAATCCCAGAGCTAGATACAAAGGTTCTCCATGTTCCCATCAGATTAGTTAGATACAGAGTTTCGACACACAGGTTCTCCAAGGCCCCACCAGAGCAGCTAGATACAGAGTGTCGATTGGTGCATTCACAAACCTTGAGCTAAACACAGGGTGCTGATTGGTGTGTTTACAAACCTTGAGCTAGATACAGAGTGCCGATTGGTGTATTTACAATCCTTGAGCTAGACATAAAGGTTCTTCAAGGCCCCACCAGAGCAGCTAGATACAGAGTGTCGATTGGTGCACTCACAAACCTTGAGCTAAACACAGGGTGCTGATTGGTGTATTTACAAACCTTGAGCTAGATACAGAGTGCCGATTGGTGTATTTACAATCCCTGAGCTAGACATAAAGGTTTTCCATGTCCTCACCCGAGCAGCTAGATACAGAGTGTCGACTGGTGCACTCACAAACCTTGAGCTAAACACAGGGTGCTGATTGGTGTATTTACAATCCCTGAGCTAGATATAAAGACTCTCCACGTCCCCACCAGACTCAGGAGCCCAGCTGGCTTCACCTAGTGGATCCCGCACCAGGGCTGCAGGTGGAGCTGCCTGCCAGTCCCGCACTGTGCACTCGCATTCCTCAGCCCTTGGGTGGTCAATGGGACTGGGCGCCATGGAGCAGGGGGTGGTGCTCCTTGGGGAGGCTTGGGCCACACAGGAGCCCATGGCGTGGGTGGAAGGCTCAGGCATGGCAGGCTGCAGGTCCCGAGCCCTGCCCCGCAGGAAGGCAGCTAAGGCTCAGTGAGAAATTGAGCACAGCGCCGGTGGGCTGGCACTGCTGGGGGACCCAGTACAACCTCCGCAGACACTGGCCCATGTGCTAAGTCCCTCATTGCCCGGGGCCAGCAGGGCTGGCTGGCTGCTCCGAGTGCGGGGCCTGCCAAGCCCATGCCCACCCAGAACTCCAGCTGGCCCGCAAGTGCCGCACCCAGCCCCAGTTCCCACTCACACCTCTCCCTCCACACCTCCCTGCAAGCTGAGAGAGTGGGCTCCAGCCTTGGCCAGCCCAGAAAAGGGCTCCCACAGTGCAGTGGGGGGGGGGCTGAAGGGCTCCTCAAATGCCACCAAAGTGGGAGCGCAGCCAGGGGAGGTGCCGAGAGCAAGCAAGGGCTCTGAGGACTGCCAGCATGCTGTCACCTCTGAATGACAAGACAACCTGGGATTATGTGCCATCTGGTACCATGCAATATAACATATATGGTACCACATATGGAATGTTCTTGCCCAAGATATTTAACTGTAACCTAATCAAATATTTGACTAATTTCTGGTTAACAGGGAAAATCTGGGGATATAAGAATAAGAAAAAAATGCGGAAACAATAAACACAAATCTAGAATGTGAGCAATTCCATAAGACTGAGAGGTGACAGCGTGTTGGCAGCCCTCGCTCGCTCTTGGAGCCTCCTTGGCTTCGGCGCCCACTCTGGCCCAGCTTGAGGAGCCCTTCAGCCTGCCGCTGCACTGTGGGAGCCCCTCTCTGGGCTGGCCGAGGCTGGAGCTGGCTTCCTCTGCTTGTGGGGAGGTGTGGAGGGAAAGGCGTGGGTGGTAACTGGGGCTGTGCGCCGTGCTTGTGGGCCAGCACGAGTTCCGGGTGGGCGTGGGCTTGGCAGGCCCTGCACTCGGAGCGGCCGGCCAGTGCCGACAGCCCCTGGCAGTGATGGGCTTAACACCTGGGCCAGCTGCTGCGGAGGGTGCACCAGGTCCCCCAGCAGTGCCGGCCTGCTGCGCTGCACTTGAATTGTTGCAGGGCCTCAGCTGCCTTCCCACAGGGTTGGGCTCGGGACCTGCAGCCCGCCATGCCCGAGCCTCCCCTCTTCTGTGGGCTCCTGAGTGGCTGAGCCTCGCCGAAGAGCACCGCCACCTGCTCCACGGCGCCTGGTCCCATCAACCGCCCAAGGGCTGAGGTGTGCAGGCGCACGGCGTGGGACTGGCAGGCAGCTCCGCCTGCGGCCCTGGTGCAGGGATCCACTAAGTGAAGCCAGCTGGGCTCCTGAGTCTAGTGGGGACTTGGAGAACCTCTATGTCTAGCTAAGGGATTGTAAATACACCAATCAGCACTCTGTGTCTAGCTCAAGGTTTGTAAATGCACCAATCAGCACTCTGTATCTAGCTAATCTGGTGGGGACTTAGAGAACCTTTATGTCTAGCTAAGAGATTGTAAATACACCAATCAGCACTCTATGTCTAGCTCAAGGTTTGTAAATGCACCAATCAGTGCTCTGTGTCTAGCTAATCTAGTGGGGACTTGGTGAACTTTTGTGTCTAGCTCAGGGATTATAAACACACCAATCAGCACCCTGTTAAAACAGACTAATCATCTCTTGGTAAAATGGACCAATCAGCAGGATGTGGGTGGGGCCAGATAAGGGAATAAAAGCAGGCTGCCTGAGCCAGCAGTGGCAACCCGTTTGGGTCCCCTTCCACACTGTGGAAGTTTTGTTCTTTTGCTCTTAGCAATAAATCTTGCTGCTCCTCCCTCTTTGGGTCTGCACTGCCTTTATGAGCTGTTACACTCACCGTGAAGGTCTGCAGCTTCACTCTTGAGGCCAGCAAGACCATGAGCCCACCAGAAGGAATAAACAACTCTGGATGGGAGGAATGAACAACTCCAGACATGCCACCTTAAGAGTTGTAACACTCACCGTGCAGGTCTGCAGCTTCACTCCTGAAGCCAGCGAGACCACAAACCCACCAGAAGGAAGAAACTCCGAACATGCCCAAACATCAGAAGGAACAAACTCCAGACACACCATCTTTAAGAACTGTAACACTCACTGTGAGGTTCTGTGGCTTCATTCTTAAAGTCAGTGAGACCAAGAACCCACCAATTTCAGACACATTTTGGGGACCACGAAGGGACCATCGCCTATTGCCAAACAGTGAGACTATCACCAAGTGGTGAGACCACTGCCTATCACTGAGTGGTGAGACTGTCACCTATTGCCAAGCAGTGAGTACCATCGGACCCCTTTCACTTGCTATTCTGTCCTAGTTTTCCTTAGAATTTGGGGGCTAAATACCGGGCACCTGTAGGCTAGTTAAAAGTGATGAGCTTGGCCACTGGACCTAAAACATGGGTGTCAGGCTTTCTGGGAAAGGGCTCTCTAACAACCCCCGACTCTTCGGAGTTGGGAGTGTTCGTTTGCCTAGAACCAGCTTCTGCTTTTCCTGTGCTTCTGGGCTGAGCCGAGGGTCGACAGAGAGGAAAGCCATGCAGCTCCGGGGTCCCGACAACAAGTTGGTTGACCCTGCGGCCATGAGCAGAACTCTCAAAGGCATGTCGCCCAAGTGAGACTCACCCATCTATCCTATCTATCCTGACCCTTGCCCCTTGGGTCCTAGTGCCTGCCAGACAAGCTTCGTCCGCCTCTCTTCTCCAAAGTTAGTCGCACTTCTAAAAATTTCTCCCTGTCTCTGGTGCTTTTCTAGTGTCTCCTATAAGAATGACTTCTAGTATAAACTCCAAAACTCTGTTATCTTCTTTAGGCACCCTGGCTCACCAATCAGAAAGACATAATTTTTGCCCAAAGCCCCATCATAGGGGGTACTACCTGGAATTTTAGGATCCCTCCTCAGATTAACAGTCCTAACAAAAGCTATTCCTGAAGCTAGGATATGGGGAGCCTCAGAAATTGTATCCTTCCTATTCATATAAGTGAGGAAAAAAGGAGTAACTATTCCAACCCTGGAGATCTCTTCCCTCCCTCAGGGTATGGCCCTCCACTTCATTTTTGGGGCATAACATCTTTATAGGACAAAGGTAAAGTCCCATTACTAACAGGAAAATGCTTAGGACTCTAACAGGTTTTTGAGAATGCGTTAGTAAGGGCCACTAAATCCGATTTTTCTTGGTCCTCCATGTGGTATAGGAGGACAGGCAAGGGTGCAGGTTTTCAAGAATGTGTCAGAAAGGGCCACTAAATCAGACTTTCCTCGGTCCTCCATGTGGTCTGGGAGGAAAACTAGTGTTTCTGCTGCTGTGTTGGTGAGCACAACTATTCTGATCAGCAGGGTGCAGGGACTGTTGCGGGTTCTTGGGCAGGAGGAGAAACAAAACAAAACAAAACTGCAGGCGGTTTTTTCTTTCAGATGTGAAGCACTCAGGCATCAACAGGCTCACTCTTGAAATGCATCCTAAGCCATGGGGACCAATTTGACCCACAAACCCTGAAAAAGAGGCGGCTCATTTTTTTTCTGCACTACGGCTCGGCCCCAATATTCTCTCTCTGATGGGGAAAAAAGGCCACCTGAGGGAGGTATAAATTACAATACTAATCTGCAGCTTGGCCTTTTCTGTAAGAGGGAAGGCAAGTGGAGTGAAATACCTTATGTCCAAGCTTTCTTTTCATTGAGGGAGAATACACAACTATGCAAAGCTTGCAATTTACATCCCACAGGAGGACCTCTCAGCTTACCCCCATATCCTAGCCTCCCTATAACTCCCCTTCCTATTAATAATAATCCTCCTCTAATCTCCCCTGCCCAGAAGGAAATAAGCAAAGAAATCTCCAAAGGACCACAACTCCCCCATCGGGCCATCAGTTATGTCCCCTTCAAGCTGTAGGGGGAGGGGAATTTGGTGCAACCTGGGTACCTGTCCCCTTCTCCCTCTCTGACTTAAAGCAGATCAAGGCAGACCTGGGGAAGTTTTCAGATGATCCTGATAGGTACATAGATGTCCTACAGGGTCTAGGGCAAACCTTTGCCCTCGCTTGGAGAGATGTCATGCTACTGTTAGATCAAACCCTGGCCTTTAATGAAAAGAATGTGGTTTTGGCTGCAGCCTGAGAGTTTGGAGATACCTGGTATCTTAGTCAAGTAAATTATAGAATGACAGTCAAACAAAAGGGAAAAATTCCCTACCAGTCAGCAAGTCATCCCCAGTATGGATCCCCACTGGGACCTCGACTCAGATCATGGGGACTGGAGTCATAAACATCTGTTGACCTGTGTTCTAGAAGGACTAAAGAGAATTAGGAAAAAGCCCATGAATTATTCAATGATGTCCACCATAACTCAGGGAAAGGAAGAAAATCCTTCTGTCTTCCTTGAGCGGCTATGGGAGGCCTTAAGAAAATATATTCCCCTGTCACCTGAATCATTTGAGGGTCAATTGATTCTAAAAGATAAATTTATTACCCAATCAGCCCCAGGTGCAGATATCAGGAGAAAGTTCCAAAAGTAAGCCCTGGGCCCTGAAAAAAATCTGGAGGCATTTTAAAACCTGGCAACCTTGGTGTTCTATAATAGGGACCAAGAGAAATAGGCCCAAAAGGAAAAACAAGATCAGAGAAAGGCCACAGCCTTGGTCATGGCCCTCAGACAAACAAACCTTGGTGGTTCAGGGAGGACAGAAAATGGAGCAGGCCAATCACCTGGTAGGGCTTGTTATCAGTGTGGTTTACTAGGACACCTTAAAAAAGATTGTCCAATGAGAAACAAGCTGCCCCCCTCGTCCATGTCCACTATGCTGAGGCAATCACTGGAAGGTGCGCTGCCCCAGAGGATGAGGGTTCTCTGGGTCAGAAGTCCCCAACCAGATGATCCAACAACAGGACTGAGGGTGCCCAGGGCAAGCACCAGCTCATATCTTCACCCTCTCTGAGCCCCGGGTACCTTTAACCATTAACGGCCAGGAAATTGACTTCCTCCTGGACACTGGCATAGCCTTCTCAGTGTTAATCTCCTGTCCTGGACAACTGTCCTCAAGGTCTGTTACCATCTGAGGAATCCTGGGACAGCCTGTAACCACGTATTTCTCCCACCTCCTCCGTTGTATTTGGGGGACTTTGCCCTTTTCACATGCCTTTCTTGTTATGCCTGAAAGTCCCACACCCTTATTAGGGAAGGATATATTAGCTAAGGCTGAGCTATTATCTACATGAATATGGGGAACAAGTTACCCATTTGTTGTCCCCTACTTGAAGAGGGAATCAACCCTGAAGTCTGGGCTTTGGAAGGACAATTTGGAAGGGCAAAAAATGCCCACCCAGTCCAAATCAGGTTAAAAGATCCCACCGCTTTTCCTTATCAAAGGCAATATCCCTTAAGGTCTGAAGCTCATAAAGGATTACAGAATATTGTTAAACATTTGAAAGCTCAAGGCTTAGTAAGGAAATGCAGCAGTCCCTGCAACACCCCAATTCTAGGAATACAAAACCTGAATGGTCAGTGGAGACTAGTGCAAGATCTTAGACTCATCAATGAGGCAGTAATTCCTCTACATCGAGTTATACCCAACCCCTATACCCTGCTCTCTCAGATACCAGAGGAAGCAGAATGGTTCACAGTTCTGGACCTCAAGGATTCCTTCTGTATTCCCCTGCACTCTGACTCCCAGTTTCTCTTTGCCTTT
This sequence comes from Homo sapiens, assembly GCF_000001405.40. Classification (NCBI taxonomy): domain Eukaryota; kingdom Metazoa; phylum Chordata; class Mammalia; order Primates; family Hominidae; genus Homo; species Homo sapiens. The sequence goes on from NC_000008.11 coordinate 52,958,639, forward strand.
GAGGATCCCACAGACCAAACATCCCAACTTATGTGGACGGTCTTGCCCCAAGGGTTTAGGGATAGCCCTCATCTGTTTGATCAGGCACTGGCCCAAGATCTAGGCCACTTCTCAAGTCCAGGCAGTCTGGTCCTTCAGTATGTGGATGATTTACTTTTGGCTACCAGTTCGGAAGCCTCCTGCCAGCAGGCTACTCTAGATCTCTTGAACTTTCTAGCTAATCAAGGGTATAAGGTGTCTAGGTCAAAGGCCCAGCTTTGCCTACAGCAGGCCAAATATCTAGGCTTAATCTTAGCCAGCAGGACCAGGGCCATCAGCAAGGAATGAATACAGCCTATACTGGCTTATCTTCACCCTAAGACATTAAAACAGTTGTGGGGGTTCCTTGGAAGTACCGGCTTTTCCCTACTATGGATCCTCGGATACAGCGAGATAGCCACACCCCTCTATACTGTAATCAAGGAAACCCAGAGGGCAAATACTCATCTAGTAGAATGGGAACCAGAGGCAGAAACAGCCTTCAAAACCTTAAAGCAGGCCCTAGTACAAGATCCAGCTTTAAGCCTTCTTACAGGACAAAACTTTTCTTTATATGTCACAGAGAGAGCAGGGATAGCTCTTGGAGTCCTTACTCAGACTCGTGGGACAACTCCACAACCAGTGGCACAACTAAGTAAGGAAATTGATGTAGTAGCAAAAGGCTGGCCTCACTGTTTATGGGTAGTTGCAGCAGTGGCCATCTTAGTGTCAGAGGCTATCAAAATGATACAAGGAAAGGATCTCACTGTCTGTACTACTCATGATGTAAATGGCATACTAGTTGCCAAAGGAAGTTTATGGAGTTTATGGCTATCAGACAACCACCTACTTAGATACCAGGCGCTACTCCTTGAGGGACTGGTGCTTCAAATACACACATGCGTGGCCCTCAACCCTGCCACTTTTCTCCCAGAGGATGGGGAACCAATTGAGCATGAGTGCCAACAAATTATACTCCAGACTTATGCCACCTGAGATGATCTCTTAAAAGTCCCCTTAGCTAATCCTGACCTTAACCTATATACTGATGGAAGTTCATTTGTAGAGAATGGGATACGAAGGACAGGTTATGCCATAGTTAGTGATGTAACCATACTTGAATGTAAGCCTCTTCCCCCAGGGACCAGTGCCCAGTTAGCGGAACTAGTGACACTTTCCGGAGCCTCAGAACTGGGAAAGGGAAAAAGAATAAGTGTGTATACAGACAGCAAGTATGCTTATCTAATCCTACATGTCCATGCTGAATATAGAAAGAAAGGGAGTTCCTGACTTCTGGGGGAACCCCCATTGAGCATCAAAAGGAAACTACGGAGTTATTGCACGTAATGCAAAAATCCAAGGAGGTGGCAGTCTTACACTGCCAAAGCCATCAAAGAGGGGAAGGAGAGGGGAGAACAGCAGCATGAGCAGCTGGTGGAGGCAGCAGAAAGGAAAGAGACAGAAAGTCAAAGAGAGAGAGAGGAAGAAACAGAGAGAAAGAAAAGGAGAGAGAGAGAGAGACAGACACAGAAAGTCAAAGAGAAAGTCAAAGAGAAAGTCAAGGAGAGAGTCAAAAAGAGAGAAAGAGACAAAGAAGAAGTCAAAGAGAAAGAAAGAGAAATGGAAGTAGTAAAGAAAAAAACAGTGTACCCTATTCCTTTAAAAGTCAGGGTAAATTTCTGTCTACCCAGACAAGGCATATTGTTCTTATGTGGAACACTGACTTATATCTGCCTCCCCACTAACTGGACCGACACCTGCACCTTAGTCTTTCTAAGTCACAACATTAACATTGCCCCAGGAAATCAAACCCTATCAGTACCCCTCAAAGCTCAAGTCTGTCAGCGAAGAGCCATACTACTAATACCCTTACTTATAGGGTTAGGAATGGCTACTGCTACAGGAAACAGAATAGCTGGTTTATCTACTTCATTATCCTACACACTCTGAAAGGATTTCTCAGACAGTTTGCAAGAAATAAAAAAACTATCCTTACTTTACAATCCCAAATAGACTCTTCGGCAGCAGTGACTCTCCAAAACTGCTGAGGCCTAGACCTCCTCACTGCTGAGAAAGGAGGACTCTGCACCTTCTTAGGGGAAGAGTGTTGTTTTTACACTAACCAGTCGGAGATAGTACAAGATGCCACCCGGCATTTACAGGAAAAGGCTTCTGAAATCAGGCAACGCCTTTCAAATTCTTATACCAACCTCTGGAGCTGGGCAACGTGGCTTCTCCCCTTTCTAGGTCCCGTGGCAGCCATCTTGCTGTTACTCACCTTTGGACCCTGTATTTTTAACCTTCTTGTCAAATTTGTTTCCTCTAGAATTGAGGTCATCAACTTACAGATGGTCTTACAAATGGAACCCCAAATGAGTTCAACTAACGACTTCTACCGAGGACCCTGGACTGACTCGTGGGCACTTTCACTGCCCTAGAGAGTTCCCCTCTGGAGAACACTACAACTACAGGGCCCCTTCATCACCCCATCCAACAGGAATTAGCTAGAGTGGTCATCGGCCAAATTCCCAACAGTAGTTGGGGTGTCCTGTTTAGAGGGTGGATTGAGAGGTGACAGCATGCTGGCAGCCCTCGCTCACTCTTGGTGCCTCCTTGGCCTTGGTGCCCACTCTGGCCACACTTGAGGAGCCCTTCAGCCCACCGCTGCACTGTGGGATCTACTCTCTGGACTGGCAGAGGCTGGAGCCGTCTCCCTCTGCTTGCGGGGATGTGTGGAGTGAGAGTTGTGGGTGATACTGGGGCTGTGCACAGCGCTTTTTGGCCAGTGCGAGTTCTGGGTGGGCATGGGCTCGGCAGGCCCCGCACTCAGAGCGGCCGGCCGGTGCCACTGGCCCCAGGCAGTGAGAGGCTTAGCACTCAGGCCAGCAGCTGCAGAGGGTCCACCAGGTCCCCCAGCAGTGTGGGCCTGCCGGCTCAGCTGCCTCCCCGCAGGGCAGGGCTCGGGACCTGCAGCCCATCATCCACAAGCCTCCCCCCTGCTGTGGGCTCCTGCAGGGCCGAGCCTCCCTGACGATCACTGCACCCTGCTCCATGGCACGCAGTCCCATCAACCGTCCAAGGGCTGAGGAATGTGGGCACAAGGCACGGGACTGGCGGGCAGCTCTGCCTGCGGCCCTGGTGCGGGATCCACTAGGTGAAGCCAGCTGGGCTCCTGAGTCTAGTGGGGACTTGGAGAACTTTTATATCTAGCTAAGGGATTGTAAACACACCAATCAGCACCCTGTGTCTAGCTCAAGGTTTTTAAATGCACCAATCAGTGCTCTGTGTCTAGCTAATCTAGTGGGGACTTGGAGAACTTTTGTGTCTAGCTCAGGGACTATAAACGCATCAATCAGCACCCTGTCAAAACAGACCAATCAGCTTTCTGTAAAATGGACCAATCAAGAGGATGTGGGTGGGGCCAGATAAGGGAATAAAAGTAGGCTGCCCGAGCCAGCAGTGGCAACCTGTTCAGGTCCCCTTCCACACTGTGGAAGTTTTGTTCTTTTGCTCTTAGCAATAAATCTTACTACTGCCCCGTCTTTGGGTCCACACAGCTTTTATGGGCTGTAACACTCACCGTGAAGGTCTGCAGCTTCACTCCTGAGGCCAGCGAGACCATGAACCCACCAGGAGGAATAAACGACTCCGGATGGGAGGAACAAACAACTCCAGACATGCCACCTTAAGAGCTGTAACACTCACTGCGAAGGTCTGCAGCTCCACTCCTGAAGCCAGCGAGACCACGAACCCACCAGAAGGAAGAAACTCCGAACACGTCTGAACGTCAGAAGGAAGAAACTCTGGACACACCATCTTTAAGACCTGTAGCACACACCACGAGGGTCTGCGGCTTCATTCTTGAAGTCAGTGAGACCAAGAACCCACCAATTTCAGATACAAGACAACTGTCTTGCTGATCTCTCCAAACAAGTCCATGTAACACACATATACCCAAAAGAGATGGAGGAAATGTTAAAATAGACTAGAGAAAAATAATAACCAAATGCAATGCATGCACCTTGACTGCATCCCGATTTGAAATGCCAGCTCTAAAAGAGCTTTCAGAGACAACTGGGGAAATCTGAATGTGGATTAGATTTTAGAAATTATTAAATTTTTTGGTAAATTTTTGCTTCTAGAAAAGGTATTTTGGTATATAGGAGAATTTCTCTATTAGGATATGAAGGTGTAAACATGAGGGGTGAAGTGTTATCGTATTTGTAATTTACTTTTAGATTATTTGGCAAAATATGTGTGTATTTACCTTTAGAAAGCATGTACATCAAAACAGTTAAAATTAGAGGAAATGCAGGTGCTCTTCACAGTTTTCTTTCAACTTTTCTCCATGTTAGAACAATTTCTTAATAAAATTTGGAAGCAAAATAGAAACTTATAAAGCAGAAATAGTCCTTGACCACATGTTTCCCCTAAATCTTTAGATGTAGATTCCTTATCCTCATCTTTCTAAGGTCAAAGACTTAAGAGAATTGTATCATTTTGTCTCCACTTCCTCCCTGTTGTCTACTCTGCATGGCATTCCAATCTTCCCTGTCTTTGTCTGCCCAGGCTGCTAAAACAAAATACCATAGGCTGGCTGGCTTATAAACAGCAGATATTTCTTTCTCACCGTTTTGGAGGCTGGGAAGATCAATATCAAGGCACTGGCACATTTGGTGTCTGGTTGAGGTTCATAGACAGCTGTCTTTTTTTTTTTCTGTGCTCTCATTTGACAGGAAGAGGTGAGGGAGCTCTCTTGGGCCTTTTTTCTTTTTTTTAAATACAAAGGCACTAATTTAATTCATGATATGGCCTAATCACCTCCCAAAGATACCACCACCTCTTGATATCATCACTCCGGGGGTTAAGACTTCAATATTTGGATTTGGGGGGGCCATAAACATTTTGACCATGGCATCCTCATAACTGCAATCAACTCAAACAAGCTTTGTGTTTCTACCAGGATAAAAACATTCTCATCTTACCCAACTTCTCAGCAGTTCCACCTGAAAAGGGATTTTCTACAGTATCAGTTTTTCCCTCCATCTCACTCATTGTCTCTTTTTAGTATGGATTCCTGATTCCTCCTTCTTTATTGGACCTCAAAGTGTCAGTGTTCCTCAGTTCTGGCTTCTCTGTCTTTCCACATCCTCTGTGGGTGATCTGAACAGATCCGAGGTGTCAAATACCTTGAATTCACTGATGATGCCTCGATTTCCTGTCCAGAAAACATTTCCTCTGATCTTTAGACCTGTGTGTCTAGTTTCTACTTAACATCTTTCCTTGGACATCCCCAAGACATTTCAAGTGTGACAAGGCCCTGTAGGAGACCAGAATATGCTGTCCCAAAATATGAAGGATTGCTGACCTGAAGACAATGAAGGAGCATGTGCAGGAAAGCTCTCTGCTCTCCCTTGATTAGCTGAAGAGCAGGATATAGATTTACAAGGGCAAAAGGTATCCTGCACCCCTTCTACTAGGGAGAGCAAAGGTTAATTACTGAAAACAATATTTTTAAAAAATTATTATTTCAATAGTTTTTGGGGTACATATGTTTTTTGGTTACATGAATAAGTTCTTTAGTGGTGATTTCTGGGATTTTGGTGCACCTGTCAACTAAGCAGTGCGCACTGTACCCAATATGTAGTCTTTTATCCCTTACTCACTTCTACCTTTCCCCTGAGTCCCCAAAGTCCATTATATCATTCCGATGCCTTTGCATCCTCATAGCTTAGCTCCCACTTAAGTGAGAATATACAATATTTGGTTTTCCATTCCTGAGTTATTTCACTGAGTATAATAGCCTCCAGTTCCATCCAAATTGTAGCAAAAGACGTTATTTTCTTCCTTTTTATGACTGAGTAGTATTCCACGGTGTATATATTTCACATTTTCTCTATCCACTCTTTGGCTGATGGGCACTTAGGTTGGTTCCATATTTTTGCAATTGTGAATTGTGCCGCTATAAACATGCATGTGCATATGCCGAAGACAACTTTGGATGCTTGTTGGCCTGGAGATGATACCAGAGGAAACAACATGAGCAAGCCTTACTAACTAGTCTTTATCTGCTAGTTACTTGACTTTCTGCAAACTGCCAGCCCAAGAGACTCCACGTCCTTTTCCTTTATCTTGTCACTTCTCTAAAAATTTACTGTTCTTTATTGAAGATGCTACATATCCTGGAATTCAAAGCCACCTGTTGGAGAACTACTCATTTCCTGGGTGGCTCCCATATATACGAAATATACACATTAATATACTTCTGTATTTTTCTCTTATTCTACCTTTTATAATGGGATCAGTTGCCAGTAAGAGCCTATGGGAGTTATTCCCTCTCCGCCCTAAACAGAACATTTGTTCTCCCCTAGCCTCACTTCCAAACTGTGCACGGCTACTTTCTCCTTATCTATATGGAGCTCTCTCTAGATGTTTGTTTTTAGTTTCTTTTTCTATATCTAGTTTATCAGCTGGGGCTTCTGATTCCACCTCCAAAGTAGATCTTGAATAAATGCTCAGTGCCTCTCCCTCACTCCCACTGTAGTCCCCTATTGGGAGTCCTGCCATCCCTTGCCTGAACAACTGAAACAGCCTTGTGAACTGATATGCTTCCCTCCAACCCATTCTCCCTGTAGCAGTAAGAGTTATCTTATTAAAGAATAAATTGTTTCACTCACTGTCTTGCAAATGTCTCTTAATAGATTTTCACTATAGTTTGAATAGAATCCAAATGTCTTACCATGTTTACCATGCTCTTTAGGGAATTGCCTGGCTCCACCCTGCTTTGCTCCCCAAACTCTTCCCATGGCTACTTCCCCTGGGCTCACCATGCCCCAGGGGCCATGGCCGCCCAGACCCAGGCTTCTGCACCACAGTGTCTCTGCACCTGTTCTGTGCTTGACCAGCGATGCCACCCCAGTTCTCATAAGTCCAACTCCTTCTTATCCTCGAGGTCAACTTATCTACTCAGAAGGAAGACTTCAGCTTACTACTCAGTGCTCTTCTGTATTTTGACTCCTTGTTTCGGCTAGAATTTCTAGGTATTTTATTTCTTTGCTTCCTTGACTTTGTCATTCCCACTGCATGTGAGCCGCCTGAGGGCGGGCCCGGTGCTTCCTGAGCCTTTGACACCCAAAGCAGAATCTGACTCAGTAAGTACCCAATGAATGGTTTTGAATACAGGGGTAGGTAAATGAATATCTTTAATCCTAGGCATTTATGTTTCAGGCAGCTTCGCTGCTAATTTTACCATTTACACCAATAATTTAGAGTTTTGGTAAATTTTCTTTGAAATTTTAAGCCCTGGAAACGACTTTGGAGAACAGACGAGTCAATTTTCCAGAGTAGCCACCAGAGGGAGCACTGAGACAATTTTTGTAAGGAAAAAATACCCAGTATTAATTATTCAAGTCAGTTGGGTCTTTTATATAACTTCCCCAGGTTTTACTCAGAAATGGCAAGTTTTCTCATGACTGTGTAACCACATCTTGCATATTAAAATAAAAATTACCAGTTAAAGTCAAACCCACAAAATTGGAAATATTGATAGTTATAGATTCACTCTTAAACCAGAATTAAGAAACCACAATTAAGATAATTTTGACCAGAAACAATTTCAATAATTGTGTTAGTCTTCTGTATTGTTTAGATTTTGATGATATGTTTGCACACAATTGTTAAGAAATTTAAATTTAAATTCTATGCTCATGAAGATACCAGGATTTTAATTTCACAATAGCTTTATTTGTATGTTATTTTTATATTATCCCATACATTGGAATTTCTCCAAGTACAATCAATTTAAGCATAACATACTTTTTCTTTTCTTTTCTTTTTTTGAGACAGAGTCTCACTCTGTCGCCCAGGCTGGAGTGCAGTGGAGCATCTTGGCTCACTGCCACCTGCGCCTCCAGGGTTCAAGTGATTCTCCCGCCTCAGTCTCCCAAGTAGCTGGATTACAGGCGCCTGCTACCATACCCAGCTAATTTTTTGTATTTTTAGTAGAGATGGGGTTTCACCATATTGGCCAAGCTGGTCTCAAACTCCCAACCTCAGGTGATCCACCCAGCTCGGCCTCCCAAAGTGCTGGGATTACAGGCGTAATTTGGGATATGACAAATTTTACATTTGTTGACTTTAGTGCAACCATGGTGATATAACTGTTTTTAGTTTAATTCTTATAGAGAAAACTCTTTGGGAAAAAATATAAGGTTTGTTATATTAATAACTCTTTTGTCCTGAAGAGAACAACATGTTTCTTCCGTATTCTTTGCGTGTGTGTGATAAAGCAAAACAAATGCCTATTAATGCATTAAACAGGATCTAGTGGTAGGTCCAATCATATACTACAGTTTTGAAGTAGTAATAATAAACCATGCTTTGAGAATTCTGCAATGCCTGTACTGAGTTATGAACATTCCTCTCATTATTCTTGGTGACAAAGCCTTAGGTACTCCTAATTCTACTATAGTTTGTTGCCATGTTCATAATAGAAATGCAAAATTTTAGTTATAGATTAGAGAACCTTTTTTTTTCCTTTAATCCAAGTTCATAGATTGCCGAATTCTTTCTTTTTTCTTCTTTATGTCTCTTTTTATTAAATTTTAGGTTCAGGGGTACATGTGCAGATTTGTTATATAGGTAAATTGCATGTCACAAGAGTTTGTTTTACAGATTTCATCACCCAGGTAATAAGCATAGTCCCTGAAAGGTAGTTTTTCAATCATCACCCTCCTCCCACCCTCCACCTTCACATAGGTCCCGGGGTCTGTTGTTCTTGGGTATTCTTAGCCACTGCTCTTTTGGCTCAGTTGAGCTCACAGTGCTGGCAGTGATTCTATTTGGGAACAGTATCTGTGGGCACCTTTGCTTTTGATGCCAATTTTAAATCTTCTATTCAAATATGTAAGCTAGTAACCAAACTAAAGTGTAGAATTGACTTACTGATAACAAATGAAAATTTCCCTTTCAAAGAAAGGGGATATTTAGTAATCCTCTGTCACTTTTTCCTATACCGTGACTTAGTCATAGCTTTGGCATTTGTCATAATAACAGCCAAATATTTGGTCCAAAGTTACAAATGAAAATGTGCACAAAACTTTTTAAATAGAAGCAAATATGCCAGAAATGATTTGTATTATAAGTAGTTGAAAACAGTTTATACTACATTTTTTGGAAAATTTAAGACTTTGACTAGACATGTTTATCTGTATCTGCTTATATCTGTGTCCATCCACACACAATAGTTTATACTCTAGTATTTTTTTTTTTAAAATTAGACTTTGGCTAAAACAGCATATGCCTAATACCTATAGAATTCTATAATAATGTTTTCTATGATTCTGAAGATACTTCAGATTTGCCAGTGTCTCCAGTCAGTGTTAGAATTTTGCATATCTACCATTCCTTTTTTTAGTTATACTGGCCTGACAGTTAATAAAATATAGATGCTAAAATATCTGATAAGCAAGTTTTAAATATATGTCAATGTAAAAAGTCATGCTTTAAATACTAAAAGACTGCACTTTTCCCTGCTTACTTTTATTATTGTTTCCAAAAAGCGAAAAGGACATCGCTTTTGTAATGGTTTAGTACAGCATATGAACATTTCTGTCCAAAAGAAATTTACTTTAGAGGCATGAAACCAGGCCACAGCCACGCTTGACGACACAAAGTTCTGAGAGGTAAATCATGAGCAGCAATTTCAGGTCATTTCCCTGAGCAGGAGGGCATTTCAGCTAAGAAAGAACAGCAGAAAAATCATGTACACTCAGCATGCTGATTTACCCAGTGCAGAATAGCTCTTGTCTAGAAAGGAGCTAGATTAGAAGTCCAATTTTTTAAGTTTCATATAAAGGAGAATTAACAAGTAGTGCTTACAGAGAAAATGGTTGAAAATGCTTGTACTGAACCACGTTGAAGTATCTAAAGAAGTATGATATGCAGTCACCCAGGTTTATAGTATTACACATCTAGATATATCCACCATGAAGATGTTTGGCAATGTACAGGCAAAATGTCCAAATGGCTCTTTTTTAAAGCTTCTATTTGGATATTTTAATACTGGAAGAGGGCTCTAAGAAATGAAAATAGCTGAGTATCTGCATCCCATAATTAACCTATTATTCATTCATTCAATCACTCAAAAAACACATATTTGAAGTCTTACTATGTGCTACATCTGAACTATGTATTGAAGGCACAACAGTGAGCAAGGCATGCAGTCTCTGACCTCATGAGCCACAGATGGAGTTCATATTCATTAACTGAACATTTCCTCTGTGTCTGTGTGCTGTGCTGACCACTGGTACTGCAGAAATATAGGAAAAGGTTCCTATTTTCAGAGAGCTCATGGTCTAATGGTGGAGATGAACACATTCACTACAGGTGAGGCGTCCTGGTGTGTCCAACTGTGTCTTGAAATTGGTGGGTTCTTGGTCTCACTGACTTCAAGAATGAAGCCGTGGACCCTCGCGGTGAGTGTTACAGTTCTTAAAGGCAGCGTGTCCGGGGTTTGTTTCTTTTGATGTTTGGATGTGCTTGGAGTTTCTTCCTTCTGGTGGGTTCGTGGTCTCACTGGCTCAGGAGTGAAGCTGCAGACCTTCGCGGTGAGTGTTACAGCTCATAAAGGCAGTGTGGACCCAAAGAGTGAGCAGTAGCAAGATTTATTGCAAAGAGCGAAAGAACAAAGTTTCCACAGTGTGGAAGGGGACCCCAGCGGGTTGCCACTGCTGGCTCTGGGCAGCCTGCTTTTATTCTCTTATGTGGCCCCACCCACATCCTGCTGATTGGTAGAGCCGAGTGGTCTGTTTTGACAGGGTGCTGATTGGTGCGTTTATAATCCCTGAGCTAGACACAAAGGTTCTCCACATCCCCACCGGATTAGCTAGATCCAGAGTGTGGACACAAAGGTTCTACAAGTCCCCACCAGAGTAGCTAGATACAGAGTGTCTATTGGTGCATTCACAAACCCTGAGCTAGACACAGGGCGCTGACTGGTGTGTTTACAAACCTTGAGCTAGATACAGAGTGCCGATTGGTGTATTTACAATCCCTGACCTAGACATAAAGGTTCTCCAAGTTCCCACCAGACTCAGGAGCCCAGCTGGCTTCACCCAGTGGATCTCACACTGGGGCTGCAGGTGGAGCTGCCTGCCAGTCCGGCACCGAGTGCCCACACTCCTCAGCCATTGGGTGGTCGATGGGACTGGGCACCATGGAGCAGGGGGCAGCACTTGTTGGGGAGGCTTGGGCTGCACAGGAGGTCACGGCGGAGGTGGAGGGGAGCGGAGGCTCAGGCATGGCGGGCTGCAGGTCCTGAGCCCAACCCTGCCCCGTGGGAAGGCAGCTAAGGCCCGGCGAGAAATCGAGTGCAGCGCTGGTGGGCTGGCACTGCTGGGGGACCCAGTACACCCTCCGCAGCTGCTGGCCTGGGTGCTAAGCCCCTCATTGCCCGGGGGCGGCAGGGCCGGCCAGCTGCTCCTAGTGCGGGGCCGCCAAGCCCACGCCCACCTGGAACTCCAGCTGGCCCGCAAGTGACACGTGCAGCCCCTGTTCCTGCTCTCGCCTCTCCCTCCACACCTCCCTGAGAGCTGAGGGAGCTGGCTCTGGCCTTGACCAGCCCAGAAAGGGGCTCCCACAGTGCAGCGGTGGGCTGAAGGGCTCCTCAAGTGCCGCCAAATTGGGAGCCCAGGCAGAGGAAGCACCAAGAGCGAGCGAGGGCTGTGAGGACTGCCAGCACGCTGTCACTTCTCACTGGCATGAAGTGCACATGAGGTGTTATGAGAATGCAGTAAGAAATAGATTTATGACAGTGTTTCTTCTCTAATAGCTGCTAAAGATGGTTTACTCAGTCATAAAGAAGTCGCCTTGTAGTCCTAAGCTGGGTGTTTTATTTATTGATCTGTTAGTTTACAGACCATATTGGCCATTTCATTTATCTTGAAAATGAGAGTTTATCACTGAGATCCCATGGGGCTTTATATTAATTGCGTATTTAAAGAAAATTAAAAAAAAGAAACAAAATAGAGAAGTAAATGATTAGGTGTCATGATGTGGCTTTTGACTTATAAACCTGAATTTGAGGTAAAAAAAAAAACAGGTTTCCTACTCTGCAGCTCATCAATTCCCAGCAGGTGGCCCCATGTGGCTGGAGGCAGGGCTTCCATGAAGTGCTGAGACCTTAAAGCTGTGGCCTTTGCTCTCTTTCCCCTTGCCTTTGAGGCGTAAACTGAACAAATGTAGAGCAATTTTAGAAATCCAGTATAACTTAACAGATACAGGGCTTTCTGTTGTCTGAGTTTCAGAAGTCTGCCTTCATCTTTAGTTTCACTGAAATGTTGTCTCAGGTTGCCTGAGTCTTAAGAAAACAGGATCTTGATCCCTCTGTTTCACGTGAAAGGGGCAAACGCCTGTTCAGGCCTCACTTCCTGCCAAGCAGTCTTCTGACATCACAGGCCACCACCTGGCTGCCCCTGACTCACTTTCTCTGTCTCTAGCACTGCTGTTCTCTTATCTCACTCTTCTCATTTATTGTACATACTTCTTCGTGCTACCTTCAGGTCATCATAGATTAGCGTTTTCAAAACCCTGTTACTATCTCAGGTACCCATAAAATGATTCTTGTTTAAAGACTGAAAGGGGCTCTGTGATCATACACAACTGAATGCAGACAGAACTAGTCACTATGTTTGCCAATTTCATTAAGTGGGGGAAAAATAAAAAAACTTAGCCTTGGCAAGTGGGGAGCTTCATTTAGACAAGTCGATTGAATGCTCTACTTCCTAACAGGGTGCTTTGATCTCAGATAAACACATACATTAGAAATTATTATCCTAAAATGTTAGGTTTGCTTTTAAGAAATATTTTATGAAATGTTTCTGGTTATTTATAGGATAAAATCTAAAGCCTTTATCTTGTCATTCAAGGTTCATCAAAGTTGAGCCCCAGTTAAATTTTTAATTTTTTTTAATTGAAGTGAAACTCACATAAACAGTTTTAAAATGAAAAATTTAGTGACATTTAGTACATTCAAAAAGTTTGGCCACCACCACTTCTATCTAGTTCCAGACATTTTTATTACTCCTAAATAAACCCTGTGCCCATAGGCAGTCACTCCCCGTTCCTCTTTCCCCCAGCCACTGGCAACCACCAATCTGCTTTCTGTCTGTAAAGATTTGTCTGTTCTGAATATTTCATATAAATAGATTCACACAACATGTGACCTGCTGTGGCTGATTGCTTTGACTTAGCTAATGTTTTCGAGCTTCATTCATAGTGTGGTGTGACAGGAAGACCTTTTCACCTACCAATTTAGGTTCAGTGGCTGGGGCCTGCTAATTTAGCTGACAATGGACAGATTAACAGGAGAAAAGATAACGTTTATTCATATGTAGAACACAAAAGAAGTGGCTCCTGAACTGCTAAAGATAGAGGTTTATACGGCATCTTTCACAGGGGAAGAGGAGAGGGGAAAGGGGGCTTCTATGGGCAGATCCAATGGTTTCCTTATGAAAGACAAATCGATTTTTAGGGGAACAAATACAAGATAAGAAAATTTGTGATGACTTATGTTTAGGTAGGTACAAGTGGTCTTCATCTTTTTCTGGGCTGTAAAACTCCCTGGAGAGGGATTTTTGTGGCAGCCTCACTCCTAGAAGTTTCTGCTTCTAGTAGGATAAGGGAAGCTCCAAAAAAGCTGCTTTCTACATCTGTTGAATCTCAAATGCCTTCAGTTTAAAACAATCTTCATACCAACTCTGGGGGCTGAGTGGGTCCCCACAGTAGCATGTCTTTCTACAGCTGAAAAACATTACATGTTTTTCTACAGCATGTCTTTCTACAGTTGCTGCTTTCTACAGTTGAAAAACATTACATTCACCTATTCATGGTTGATGGACATTTATTTTCTACATTTGGCTATTACAAATAATGCTACTACGAACATTCATGTACAAGATTCTGTGTGGGCTTTTCTCATTTCTCTTGAGTGGAAGTGATTGGGTCATAGATTAACTCAATGTTTAACCTTTTGAGGAACTGCCAGACTATTTTCCAAAGGGGCCACACCATTTTATATTCACATCCTAACCAGACTTGCTATTATTGGTTTTTTTTTTTTAATTGTAGCCCTTCTAGTGGGTATCAAGTGTTATCACACAGTGGTTTTGATTTGCATTTCCTTAGTGACTAATAGTGTTGAGCATCCTTCCATGTGCTTTTTGGCCGTTTGTATATCTTCTCTGGAGAAATGTCTGTTGAAGTCCTTTATCCCTTTTTTAATTGGCTTGTCTTTTTAAAATTGTTTTTAGAGTTTTTAAAAAAATGTATTCTGGCTTCTAGACCCTTATTAGACATGATTTGCAAGTACTTTCTCTCATTCTGTAGGTTGTCGTTTCACTTTCTTGACAATGTCTTTTAACACACCAAAGTTTTTAAGTTTGATAAAGTCCAGTCTGTTTTTTCTTTTGTTGCTCATGCTTTCTGTGTTAATTTTTAAATTTTAAATTCAAAAACAAGATGAAGAGCTAGAAAAAGCATCTCTTTGGCTCAGTGTTATTTGAATGCCTTCAAAAAACTTATAGGGAAGTGGAATAATGAGTTCTGCTTCATTTTACTGTCTCTTCACTATATTTACTAGCTTGAAGAATAAATAAGAGGATTTTCTTTTTTTGTATTTCGAAAAGATGAAACTTTCTGAGAACTCACCACTTATCGGAAACACCATTTTTATTTCAAGAGGCAAATATCTATCCTAAGAAATAAAGTACAGAATGCTCTGTTTACCATCAAAGGGCTATTTTCTGGAATTCTGCATATTATATATTTTCTTAGAAAACACTACAAATGTTTTCCCATACCAAATAACAAAATCCTAATTCTAACATGCATATAAAAAGTGTCTTGTGGAAAATATTAGTATTTATTGGCTAAGTGTCAATATTAGCCAGATGTCAAGTATGCAGGAGACCTTTGATATGAATTACACCTTTACTTCTCTGTGGTAGTTAATTTTATGTCAGTTTGACTGGGTTAAGGCACACCCAGATAGCTGGTAAAGCATTCTTTCTGGGTGTGTCTGTGAGGGTGTTTCTGGAAGAGACTGGCATTCAACTGGGTGGGCTGAGGAAAGAGGACCTGCCATCACCAGTGTGGGATGGGTACCATCCAATCTGTTGAGGGCCCAAGTAGAACAGAAAGGTCTCTTTTTTAGAGCTGAGTCATCCACCTTCTGCACTTGTACGTCAGAGCTCCAGGTTCTTGGGACTTTGGACTCTGGGACTTAACACTGTTGGCCCTTTGTGTTCTCAGGCCTTCAGCCTTAAACTGGGAGTCACACTCTCAGCTGCTTTGGTGTTCAGGCCTTCAGACTCAGACTGAATGACACCCCTGGCTCCCCTGGGTCTCCAGCTTGATTTGCCAATCATGGGGCTTCTCAGCTTCCATAATTTCATGAGCCAATTCTCATCATAAATCCCCTCTTTTATGTCTATGTATGTCCTACTGGTTTTGTTTCTCTGGAGAACCCTGACTGATACATTCTCTAACACTTCAGAAATAGACTGTATTATCCATATTATTATGACACTCTAGGGCTAAGGGAAATTTTATAAAATTGGCCTCATGTCATTCAATTTGTAATTCATAAATGTAACACGAGCTAGACAATTTCAGTTTACAGCCTGATGACAACAGATGCAACATTCCAAAGTGATGTCACTTTTTTGAAAAGTGAATGGTCCTACTTTTCCCCGGCCTATAACCTTTCAGTGGATTCCCATCATTTTTAGACTGAAGTATAAGGCTTACAAGGCCTTTCCAATTCTTTGCCTTTCTCCCCCACCTCATTTTTTCGGCACTCCCTCTTCTTTCCCTTTCCCACCTGATGGCCTTATCTGGCATCCCTAATATTTAGCCTGTTGCTCCTATAGCCAAGAGCTGAAAGGCTTCATGATTTGTTCTTTACCAAATGTGTTATCTACAGTAAGGAGAGTGGAGAAACCTAGAAAGCAGGATTTTGGTTAGAATTCTATAAAACCCTCAGATATCCCATCTAGAGTTGACTTTTTAAGATGTATGGGATGTGTCATTCCTCCGGCCTACATATTGATGTCAGCAAATTAAGAAATGGTCTCCCAGCCCCCATGATCCTGGCAACTGCATGTGTCCCCTGATGGCCAGCTGCCACAGGCAAGAGTAAAGGGCCAGAGAGCTGTGTGATCTTGGCAGCTCCTTTCTCCTGCCACCCTTTCTCCTAATACCGATGATGTCAGCACTTCAATCTGCCTAGGAGAAAATCGTACATTGTAGTACATGACCCCTTGTTTGTCTTTCTGCCAGTTGCCCAAAGAATCCCCAGACTCCTAGATCATCACTCAAGACTTGAACTCTTGGCCATATAGTCTGGTGATGCCAGCGGCCATGGTGTCTGATACTTGAGTTTTGCTCTGGCCGTGGTTCATCTGGTTTTGTGCACCTTGGCTTCAAAGTTCTTCTAAAGCTAACCTCACAGTCAGATAGCTGGATAAGTGATCAACAGCAGCGTTACCTGAAGTCTTTATGTATCTTATCTGTGCACTATCATCCTTTTCCATAAATGTAGGTTGAGGCCTGAATACTAATTCAATCTCACTACCACCGTCCATTTCTGAATCAATGGCAAATGTTGCATTGTCAATATCAAGCTCAAGCCCAGAATCAGCAGATGTTTTGTTCCATTTGTGACTATGGCCTGTTTCCTTGTTGTTCTGTGTGGATGCATCACGACAGTGCAAACCGTCAGCATTCTTCTCTTCTTCTCTGCTACCATTTTCAGTCTATTGTTTCTTGCCTCACTATAATCTGCTCCTGACTGGTGCTTTCAGTCCTTCTTCAAAGCTGAGACTGAGTGCTCACTGATTACTGTGCTTGTGGATGCTGGCTAATACTCTCTCTCCAAGAGCTTCATACTCATCACGACGTGGGTAAATTTTGCTGATGAGTGCATCAAACATTTTAGACTAAAGTATAAGGCTTACAAGGCCCTTCCCAATTCTTTGCCTACCACCCCACCTCATTTTTGTTAGCCCTAGCTCTTTTTTTCCTTTCCCACCCTGTGGCATTTTCTGGCATCCCTAACATTGAGCCCACTGCTGACACCACCAAGAGCTGAAGGATCCCTTTAGTGATCTTTTGGAAACTAGATTTTTTTTTTGACAGGTAGGGTGTTTTTTGCTGTCATTTCTAAGGACTGTGATGATGCAGACTGCACAAAAATGATGTAAACACTCCTTTATGGTCATGGTGTCTTTCAACACATCCAAACAAATTAGACCTTATTTCACTCTGTAGACTTTGAGGTGAAGCCACAATTTCTAAGCCATCTGTTACTGCCTCTTCAGGTGTTTGTTTTCATTCATATAAACTGAACACTCATGTTTTGGTTAATGGTTGAGATCCATTTGTTTGCACAGCCTGAGACATTACAGCTCCTGCCCCCAGCCCAATTTTCTTTTTGACCTAGACTGGTTTACACTATTCAAATATTTTCCCCTTAATTTATGATTTTCTTTTTGGAAAGGACTCCGTTTTCAGTACCTTTTCTTTTCTCTTAAAAATATGGCTAAGTTTGGCCAGGTGCAGTGGCTCATGCCTGTAATCCTAGTACTTTGGGAGGCCGAGGCAGGCAGATCACTTGAGGTTAGGAGTTCGAGACTAGCCTGAACAACATGGTGAAACCCCGTATCTATTGAAAATACAAAAATTAGTCTGTCCTGGTGACATGCACATGTAATTCCAGCTACTTGGGAGGTGAGGCATGAGAATCTCTTGAACCTGAGAGGTGGAGGTTGCAGTGAGTCAAGATAGTGCCACTGCACTCCAGCCTGGGCAACAGAGGGAGACTCCGTTTCAGAAAAAAATTAATTAATTAATTAAAACAAAAAAAATATATATATATATATAAGTTCTTTTCCACAAAGTTTGGTTCTATTTGAAGTATACTTCTGGCCCAGAAATTTTTCATAGTTCTGTACTCTTAAGTAAAGATTTAATTGGCCATCCTTTCCCCTTTCCCCCTCAAAAGGTCTTTAGGCCTACAGAATGTTATATAATACGTATTCTGACTTTTTTCCCTAGAGTCTTGTATATTTTCTTTTCTATATAAACTGCAGTATCTTCATGAAGACTAAGGGTCAAATTTACTATGCTTAAAGACAATTTTCATAGGATTATTCTTTCCATAGTATTTTCTTCCATAATTTTCTTATTTTAGAAACAAGTGTTTATTGAGTTAGTGTCCATTGTAATGCAATGTTATTATTTTTTTTTCCATTCTTTTCCCTTGTAATTTTGGAATTTCTGGTCCTGGAAAGAGAATCAAACAAAATCTTAATGTTAATCTATGAGAAATTGGTTCATTGACGCATTTTGCTGAAGAAAGAAAAATTAAATTGGTTGTGAAATGTAGTCTTCAAGTGTATATTTGAGAGTGCTTTTGGCCAGGCGGGGTGGCTCACGCCTGTAATCTCAGCACTTTGGAAGGCCAAGGTGGGTGGATCACCTGAGGTCAGGAGTTTGAGACCAGCCTGGCCAACAGGGTGAAACCCCGTCTCTACTAAAAAAAAAAAAAATTAGCTGGGTGTGGTGGCACACACCTGTAATCCCAGCTACTTGGGAGGCTGAGGCAGGAGAACCTCTTGAACCTGGGAGGCAGAGGTTACAGTGAGCCAAGATCACACCACAGCACTCCAGCCTGGGTACAGAGCGAGATTCCATCTCAAAAAGAAAAAAAAGAAAAAAAAAGTGCTTTTTTGGTATTAGTTCTACTGTCACTTCAGGTTATTTATTATATATGTTTGATTTTTTTCCTATTAAAATACCAGATATATGGAGACATTTGACACATTAGCCTTGATGAAAAGTATAAGATACGTTTAAAGTGGCTGGGCACGGTGGCTCACGCCTGTAATCCCAGCACTTTGGGAGGCTAAGGCAGGCAGATCACGAGGTCAGGAGATCGAGATCATCCTGGCTAACATGGTGAAACCCTGTGTCTACTAAATATATAAAAAATTAGCTGGGGGAGGTGGTGGACGCCTGTAGTCCCAGCTACTCCAGAGGCTGAGGCAGGAGAATGGCGTGAACCCAGGAGGCGGAGCTTGCAGTGATCCAAGATCGTGCCACTGCACTTCAGCCTGGGCAACAGAACAAGACACCATCTCAAAAAAAAAAAAAAAAAGTTATGTTTAAAGCTTCCCTATTTTTTTTTTTTATTGGTAGCCACATAAGTTTCAAGAATAATATGGCGGCCAGGCACAGTAGCTCATGCCTGCCAGCACTTTGGGAGGCTGAGGCTGGTGGATCACCAGAGCTCAGTAGTTTGAGACCAGCCTGGCCAACATGGTGAAACCCCATCTCTACTAAAAAGACAAAAAAAAAAAATCCGGGAGTGGTGGCGGGTGCCTGTAGTCCCAGCTACTCAGGACACAGCTGAGGCGGGAGAATCAGTTGAACCCAGGAGGTGGAGGTTGCAGTGAGCTGGGGATGGTGCTACTGATCTCCAGACTGGCAACAGAGGGAGACTCCATCTCAAAAAAAAAAAAATAATAATAATAATGATAATAATATGGTACATAGAATGAACAACAGAAAAAAATCCAGTTTGTTTCCATTAGAAAAGTGTGTTTAGCATTTTGAGTTGCCACATCAGCTTATAAATTTGGTGCGCTCTGCTAATTACACCTTGTGGAAGCAGATGAATGAAACTTGAGCCCTGTTTTGATATGTAATGAAAGATTATTCTGTAGAAGAATGTCAGCTAGTAGGGTAAAGTCATTCTACTTTTAATTTGTATACTGAGGGACAATGTTGGGTGTTTGGGATCCAGAAGGCTTTATGCTGACAGGTTAGAAACAAGATTGGCTTGTGTGTTATTTTTCATCTCTCTCCTGACTCTAGGTATGTTTCCAAGTTTATATTATCGCACTATTTACAAACATATGTTTTCATTGAGAAATTAATCCCAAAGGATTTTTGATAGATAGACCTCCAGTACCATTATAACTAAAGTCTGTCTAGTTATTGTACATATTTATCCATCAGTTTCAACAGATTGGGGCTGGCTTGGTGTTCTAAATGTATTTAAAATCTGTTTCTACAGGGTTTATTTTTTGTTTTGTTTTGTTTTTAATCTGTGCTGTGAAATTTGAAAACCACTAAAAATGAAGGGAACTTTTTTTTTTTTTTTTTTTGAGAAAAAGTCTGATTCTGTTGCCCAGGCTGGAGTGCAGTGGTGCAATCTTGGCTTACTGCAACCTCTGCCTCCTGGGTTCAAATGGTTCTCATGCCTCACTCTGCTGAGTAGCTAGGATTACAGGCATGTGCCACCATGCCCAGCTAATTTTTGTATAAAAATAAAGGGAAATATTCAATTCCTTTTCTGATGTAATGTAAGTTGTATAGATTACTAATGCATGTCCCTGGTTTTGTGATAAAACTTCTTAGGTTTTATTGATGACGTTTTAGATTCATAGTTGTGTTAAATCAGTTAAATAGATTCCCGTTGTGAATATTAATTGAAATTTTGTCTTTAAGCAGAGAGTTATTTATGAATACAAGCTCTGTGCCTAGAGAATGTATGTGTTTTTATCTGGTAGTATGGAAGGATATAAACTACATCATTAGTGAAAAACAAAAAAAAAGACTTGAACTCTTTTCCCTGTCTCCTATCCTTCCTGAACTACTGAAAATCCTCTCTTGCAGCCTCTGGAGCTCATGGTGCATCACTGGTAAATTCCTTAGGGACCTCCTCTGATCCTCTTCCTTCTTGCTCTGACCAAAATCATGATCTTATCCGAGAATACTGCCTCCCTTGTAGCTCTATCAGTTGGCATCTATTTTCATTTCATTAAGCTCTGTAACGCTAGGCCTGGGGGTAGAGTACCTGCTCACCTTGCTCACTGCCACATCCAGACTAGTGTCTCTTCCTCCTTCTGAAAATGCCCTGGCTTTGCAGCTCATGCCATTAGTCTATATTACTCACTAGCCCTCCTTAGCGCAGTCGTCTCCAGGCCCTGTCCTGCTCTCCACGTTAATGGAAGATGTTGGCACCTGCCCTGCCACTCTGTCCAACACTCCTGTTATAATTCTAGATCTTTAGTATCCACACAGATAATCCTTCCAATATTTGGCTTCTTTTTTCCTTGTCTGCCTCTTCTACATTGACCTTGTGCCAAGACCAGCTCAGTCATGGAGACCCTAACCCAGCAGCAGTAGAGAAATTAAAGACACACACACAGAAATATAGAGTGTGGGGTGGGAAATCAGGGGTCTCACAGCCTTCAGAGCTGAGGACCTTGAACAGGGATTTACCCACGTATTTACTGACAGCAAGCCAGTCATAAGATTTCCTAAAAGTATTCCTTATGGGAAATAAAGGGACTGGCCAAAATAAAGGGATGGGCTCTGGCTAGTTATCTGCAGTATGAACATGTCCTTAAAGCACAGATCACTCATGCTATTGTTTGTGGTTTAAGAATGCCTTAAGCGGTTTTCTGCCCTGGGTAGGCCAGGTGTTCCTTGCCCTCATTCCAGTAAACCGACAACCTTCCAGCATGGGTGTCAAGGCCATCACAAACATGTCACACTGCTGCAGAGATTTTGTTTATGGCCAGTTTTGGGACCAGTTTGTGGCCAGATTTTGGAGCCTGTTCCCAACATGTTCCCCTTCTTTGTTTTGCAAAGCGATAAGAGCAAAGGCAGCTTTGTCACTATGAGCTACTTCTTGCAGGAGTCAGGATCTGCATCTGCAGAGGCAATGGTGATCGCTGCTATCATAGCTACCATTAAATTACTCATTGTGACTGGTTGTCCTGCTTTCCTCAGGTTTTCTTCTGCCATCTGTGACAGCTTCTTGATCTGTCCCCAGGTGGATGGCTGTGTTCAACGGGTGTTGCTTGTGACAGTTGGGGTCCTCCTCAGAGTCATTCTCCACATGGCTGCAACTGGGGGGAGCTCGGGATCCTCCTGGAATCTCTTCCTCAGCATCTGTTTCATGGTAAGGTTTCAGGTGTCTCAATGGTATCCAAATTGGCTGTTGATTTTGGCCTGGAGAAACACAAGCATAACCTCTACCCCAAATTATTATTTTACCTATTTCCCAACTTTTTGTTATTGGATCTCTCCACCAAACCAGTTGTTCTGCTTCTGTCTTTGCAGCTGGTTTCTGTAGATGCTGTTAGCATCTGGCCTTTAGGCAGGCAGGCTCAAAAAATTTAAGGTTAATAATGCTAGATTCCATTGCATATGCAGTGTTCCATAGTCCCTGTTTTCCCGCCTCTGCTTTTGCAACTTCTGTTTCATGGAGAGATTCATTCTTTCCACTATGGCTTGTCCTTGAGAATTATATGGGATACCAGTAATGTGTTTAATATTCCATATAGAGAAAAACGTAGCTAGAGCTTGGCTAGTATGGCCTGGGGCATTATCTGTTTTAATAGAAGCTGGAATGCCAATCACCACAAAACACTGCAAAAGGTGACGTTTAACACAGGCAGAAGACTCTCCTGATTGGCATGTAGCCCAGACAAAGTGAGAAAAGGTGTCCACACATACATGTATGTAAGCTAGACTCCCAAACGAGGGAACATGTGTGACATCCATTTGCCAAAGAGAATTAGGTTCCAATCCTCGAAGATTAACTCCTGTAAAAGATGAGGAAGGTACCATTTGGCAAGTTGGGCATCACTGGATAATAGCTTTAGCTTCTTTCCAAGTAATGCTGTATCTGTGTTTGAGACCACAGGCATTAACATGGGTTAAATTGTGAAAGTGTCTAGCATTAGATATCACATTAGCAACTAGGTGATCAGCCACTTGATTCCCTTCAGTCAAATGTCCTGGAGGAGGTGTATGAGCCCTAATGTGAGTGATGTAGAAAGGGTGCATTCTACTCCTAACTGCTGTTTGCAATTGGGTAAATAAAGTCATCAGTTGTTCATCTGTATGAAATAGTAACTGAGCATTTTCAATTAACTGTGTGGAATGAATCACATATGAAGAATCAGAAATCACATTAACAGGCATATTAAAAGCAGTCAATACCTCAATTACAGCTACAAGCTCCATTTTTTGAGCTGAATTATAGGGTGTCTGGAAAACTTTACTTTTTAATCCAGAATAAGAAGTTTTACCATTACTAGACCCATCTGTAAAAATATTTTCAGCACCTTCAATTGGTTTAAATTTAGTTATTCTAGGGAGGATCCAATTAGTTAATTTCAAAAATTGAAACAGTTTCATTTTAGGAAAATGATTATCAAGAATTGTTCAGTAACCAAGTCCTCTAAAGCCTCCATTTTTCTCTTTGCTCAGCGGCCATTGTTCTATCCAAATTGGCTTATATGTTAACCATTTTAAAGGTATAGGTTCTGGAGGCTCAACAATGGCCACCATCAAAAATGATATCCTAAACCTTGATGAGAACTTTGTCTTTCTGCTTGAAGCGGTTCCTTTAAACCCTGCAAATTTTTTCCTAGTCCCATACCAGGGACATACCGCATTTCATGCATCATATGTTGACTTTGAGGGCTGTATAATTGTTCAGCAATTAGAACTTGTGCTCCCCATTGTTGTAATAAATCTCTCCCTCATAAATTTATAGGTACAGAAGTTATAATTGGTTGAATAGTCCCAGGTTGTCCATCGGGGCCTTCACAATGCAAAATATAACTACTTTGATATACTTCAGGGCCTTTACCAACTCCAACTATGTTAAATTGAGTGGGTTAAATTGGCCACACAGATGGCCAGTGCTGTAGAGAAATGAATGAAATGTCTGCTCCTGTGTCTACCAAACCTTTAACTTTCTTACCCTGAATAGTTATTTCACAGGTAGGATGTTTATCAGTAATTTGATTTACCCAATAAGCTGCTTTGCCTTGTTTATTTGTGCTTCCAAATCCTCCTGCTCGTTTAATTTCACTTTTCCCCATTTCCACATACAGCACTATCAGGAGCTGTGCTATGCGCTGTCCTGGCTCTGCTTTCCAGGGAACAGAAGTAGATATAACAATTTGAATTTCCCCATTGTAATGTGAATCAATGATTACTGTTTGTACTTAAATTTAAACTAGACCTTCCTAGAAGTAATCCTATCGTCCCCACTGGCAAGGATCCACAGACTCCTGTTGGAACTTTTTGTGGGGTATTCCCAGGCAGAAGGCTCACAGCTTTTGTGCAGCATAAATCTATTGCAGCACTGCCAGCTGTGGTAGGGGACAGACATTGTACAGGGGTAAGGAAATGGCCTGAGCCAGAAATGCCCCGGTTTGGAATGGGGCCTGGGATGGGCCCCTCATGGCATTTCCTGAATTTAAAAGGAAAAGTCTCAAATGTAGCTACAATATTTCCCTGTTAATTGGGTGGGTGTATTCTAACAGGGAACTGCCAAGCCTCTAAATCACCCTCTCTTCTAGCTTGTGGGATTCCTGCCTGAATAGAACTGAGAGCGGTCATTCGAGGTGCTGCTCGAACAGTCACTGGGCAACTACTTTTTGCCCAGTGTCCTCTGGAAAAGGAATTCTGGAGGGTCAGGCCACTCTTTATCTTCAAAATCCGGAAGGGTTGCAGAAGGGTAGGGATGAACCTCTTCCTCCTTTGCTGTTTTAGCTTTAGCTGGCAAACAAACCTGCTCTGATACTTCTTCTGTTACTTTGTTATACTCTCCTTCCTCTGCATCATTAGTGTGAAAAGTTTCCAAGGTGGAATGAACCAAAGCCCACACTTGTCCCATTGTTACCCTGATGCTTCCAAGATCCCCTTCTTACTTACCATGGGGATTGCTTTAAGAGTACTGGGCTGTCCTCCAGTTTAGTTCTGTGATCTCCAACGGTTGCTCTGGCGACCCTTTGACCTGGGTTCGAGCCCCCACGTATGGACGCCACTTGCCGAGACCAGCTCGGTCATGGAGACCCTAACCCAGTGGCGCTAGATGAATTAAAGACACACACACACACAGAAATATAGTATGGAGTGGGAAATTAGGGTTCTCATGGCCTTCAGAGCTGAGAGCCCCAAACACAGATTTACCTACATATTTATTGACAGCAAGCCAGTCATAAGATTTACTGAAAGTATTCCTTATGGGAAATAAAGGGATGGGCTGAAATAAAGGGATGGGCTCTGGCTAGTTATCTGCAGCATGAACATGTCCTTAAGGCACAGATCGCTCATGCTATTATTTGTGGTTTCAGAACACCTTAAGCAGTTTTCCACCCTGGATGGGCCAGGTGTTCCTTGCCCTCATTCTGGTAAACTGACAACCTTCCAGCATGGGTGTCAAGGCCATCATGAGCATGTCACAGTGCTGCAGAAATTTTGTTTATGGACAGTTTTGGCACCAGTTTATGGCCAGATTTGGGGGCCTGTTCCCAACAACCTTGTCCCTCACATAATCTCTGCTGCTTATAACTCTAGTTATATTCTACATCTGTCTTTAGAAATATCTTGTTTCCTCTCCATAATGTCAATTTTAAGAATGCCACTCTTTGACCAATGCTTCCTACCCATCTAAATCAACTTCCTTCATGTCTGAGCTCCCAACACTTCTTTGACCTCACTGGGGTTTACAGTCCTTTCAATCTCCTATAGTCATTCATGTTCTCACTTTCTGTGTCACCCCATTTAGATGTCGTGTTGTGTGATGGTAATTACTCCTTTGCCTATACTCTCAACTACCTTGCCTCCTTTTCCTCCTCTGCAGACAATTGACTGAGGTTGGAGAAAAATGCTGACTGGCTTTATTTTAAGTTGACAATCACTAACCCCAAGTAAACTTTAGTGCTGCCTGGCAATCCCGCTCTCTTTTCCAGTATTCATCACTTTCCCACTCTCCTAGATGATTATTTTCCCTTCCCTGCTCTCCACCACCATCTCCATCATTATTGTTCTCAGCTGGTGACCTTGGTCTCTAATCCACTGAGAAAATGGAATCAACCACTGAGTCTCTACCAGCTCGATGGTATTCTAACACTTGGCTGCTACTGGGATGAGTGTGGATCAACTATTTGCTTTCCTAGCTAACGCCAAACCCTTCACTTGTCTACCAGACCCTATCCCCCATCATCAACTCAAAAATGCTGCTTCTGTTTTCTGATTCTTTCTCCTGCTTCAACATGTTTTCCCCACTGTATCAGATTATTCACACTGGCATACAGAAATGTTGGATGTCTTTCAACATTTATTAAAAACTTCCCTTGATGCCATTTTCCCCTTACCATTAAGTGTGAAGTCAGGTGTAGATACTCTTTACTGCGTTGAGGAAGCTCCCTCTGTTCTTAGTTTCCTAAGGGTTTTTACGATGAATGGCTGTGGGATTTTGCCAAATGCCTTTTCTGCATCAATAGAGATGATCAATTGATATGACCTTCTCTTTTTTCAATCTTCCACGTCTTGGCAAATGGCAACTTAATCTCTCCAGCCACTCAAGTTAAAAAACTTTAGTGTCACAGTTGACTTTGGTTTTTCTCCCATGTTCTATGTCCAATTTGTTGGCAAAGCCTATTATCTCTAACTTCAAAATATATCCAAGGCTTGTCATGTCTCAGCCACTCCACTGCTACCATCCCAGTCAAAACCACCACCACCTCTTGTGTAATGGTATCTATGCCCTATCTCTTTCTTCCATCTGAGTTTCACACTGTCAACTTTTCAATCTGGAAAATTAAGTCTGGAACTCTCAGCAAACACTCTTGTTCTACTTTCTTCATTTATATAGCATAAATAAATGTTAGGACTTGTGGCATCTGAAATTTTCACGTGCTTAAAATTCTAAATTTCATAATTTTCTACTTTAATGGCTTCCTAAAGCAATGTCTCATGGCACACGTTCTTAAAATTCACTTTAAACTAGAACAATCTTTCAGTTGCTCAAATTAATACTTTTAGTTCAACGACATTGCCTTTCAGTGACAAAGTA
This sequence comes from Homo sapiens, assembly GCF_000001405.40. Classification (NCBI taxonomy): domain Eukaryota; kingdom Metazoa; phylum Chordata; class Mammalia; order Primates; family Hominidae; genus Homo; species Homo sapiens. The sequence goes on from NC_000008.11 coordinate 52,985,610, forward strand.
AATTTAAAATAATTTAAGTGAAAGCAACAGAGGTTGAGTGAGGTTTTTCATGAATTCATTCACAGTTTGTGACAGTGCATGATTGTTCTCATGAATTCTGTTCATTCAAGTTTTGGGAAAAGGGTAATGAAAATGCCCTGCAAGGTCAGCCAATCCATTCTCTGTATCAGGGCAAAATATTTCTCTTCCAAATGAGCCCATCAAGCCTCTGCCATGCTGAGGCATCCATCCTGGATCTCAGCATGGCAGGGATCATTCAGGCTGTGGGAGCTGTCAGACCTTTTGATCTAAAGGCAGTTAAAAAAAATCCCACAGCAGCCCCACTCAACAAAGGCCATTTGTCTGCTTGACATCAAAATAGTCTAAGTTACAAGGATTGCAGTTTATCATCTTCATGGAGGGACTTTTTTCCCCTAGTTTGTCATTCCTCCCATCCAGCCATCTTACTAATATATCCAGGGTTTATCTGAGCATTGTATATTTTTTATTTCTTTGTGCTTAACTTTTCTGATGTTTGACTGCTTCCTTTCACTCATGCTGCGTCAAGAAGGAAGCCTGACTTCCCCTTTTCTGAGGCTATTAAAACTAAGTGAAAGGCATCTGACGTGGTCCTGCTTTCACTGCTGAGATGATAGCTTTTTTTGGGAAGTAATTTTTAAATTCTGTAAAGTCTATCATAAAAAAACACCAATTTATGCAACATAGAAAATTAAGAAACATTCTTATTTTGTAATAGTTCTTAACTTTTTAAAGAGAAAAATGAAAATTCACCATAAACTCAAAATTGTCTTTGTAACTCCCAAAGCCATGCCCCTCCCTCCTCTCTGGAGCATTTATGTAAGTTTAAATGAATCTTTCTAAGTCTTCTTTTTGTTCTATTTCTCTGTCTATCTATCAGCAGTAGATATCCTGAAGTGTCTATATTATTTTGCTGATCTTTTTGTTTGTCCCTGTGCCTATACTGTGTTTTATTACTTAGTTTCCTGTCTTTTCATCCTTCCTTCCTTCCTTTCTTGCTTTCCTTCTCTTTCCTTCTTTTCTTTTTCTTTTACTTTTTTTTTCAAGCGTCTTGCTCTGTCACCCAGGCTGGAGTTGCAGCCTCAACCTCCTGGGCTCAAGCAATCCTCCCACCTCAGCCTCCCAAGTAGCAGGGATTACAGTCCTGCACCACCATGCCTAAATAATTTTTGTATTTTTTAAAAGACAGGGTTTCACCATGTTGCCCAGGCTGACCTCAAACTCCTGGGCTCAAGCGATCCACATGCCTTGGCCTCCCAAAGTGTTAGGTTTATAGGCGTGAGCCACCACACCTGGCAAGTTTCCTACCTTTTTTTTTTTTTTTTTTAATTTTTCTTGATGTCAAGCAGGATAGTTTTTTGTTTGCTTGTTTTCTTTCCAATAACTTAACTATTCTTAGGACTTTATTTTTTAAATAAAATTTTAGAATCTGTCAAGTTCTGCAGAATTTTGATGGAAATATCACTGATTAAATAGTTTAAATTACCTTCCTAGTCAAGAGCATAACATATCTCATGACTTGCTCAGATCTTTTTGTCCTTCATAATGATTAACATCTTCATTTTACTCATAAAATTTTATTTGTTTACTTTTAAAAAACGATTTATGCCCTTTTATAGCAAGTCCCATTTACAGCATTGTTTCTGTAGGGGAAATTCACCTCAAGTTCCAAACAACCTAGATAAAAAGCAACTTTGGGAATATGTGCTGCATGGAAGCTGGAAATGCTTTACTAGTGATGGTCTACCCACTGTGGGCTCTGTTTTGTAGAGGTCATTTTCAGTTCATTCTGCTTTAGAAATTTTTTCTGTTGGTATGTCTCTATATTATATAGATAGCTATTTGCCTGTGTGGTTATTAGGAGAAGATGAAAGTTTAATTCACTGAAATCTCTCCTTCCTTCCCTTCCTCCTTTCATCATCCCTCCTTTCCCCCTTTTCACCTTCCTCTTCCAGCCCTTCATCTCCGCTGTAGGCAGGCAGTGGAGCGAAGGCCGCAGGCTCCGTGGAGCCTCACCCCATCATGTCTGACTGCTCAGAGCCCTCCGTGTTGTTAGGAGCCCAGGACAGTCCCTCCTGAAGCACATGGACTTTCAGAATGAGTTCTCTCTGCTAACAAGGCTTATTCTTTCATCATCAAAATGTTCCTTAAATTATCCCAGGCCAAAGCCTTAAATATAAAGCCAGCTGGTGCAACTTTATTATAACACGTAGTTTGAATTTAAGCACCTGGATTTGAAATGTTGGAAAATAAGTGTGATTGGGTTTTAGTTGTGTATTCATAAACAGTTGGTGAGGTGTTTATGTCTAGGCAGCTCAACCCTAACCCTGGAGAGGGTCATGTGCTTGGCCTCAGAGATGGAGAGGACAGGGCTCAGTGGCCGCACCTAAGGCAGAGTAGTGTAGCAGGCCCCTTCTGTTGCAGTCGGTCACTGGAGTGCCCTTCCTCTGGGCCAGTGATGGAGGCTGGGCTTCTTTGGAGACCCACAATCTTTCAGGACCTCCACTTCCTTTCCCTGCCACCTGTGTCCATGTATCTGGAATGGGGAAATGGTAAGGAACCCTTTACTGTAACCCTCCAGGAATAGGACAAGAGGTTTCTTCTTCTTCTTATTATTATTATTTGAGTCAGAGTTTTGCTATGGTTGCCCAGGCTGGAGTGCAATGGCGTGATCTCGGCTCACTACAACCTCCGCCTCCCAGGTTCAAGCAGTTCTCCTGCCCCAGCCTCCTGAGTAGCTGGGATTACAGGCATGCGCCCCACGCCTGGCTAATTTTGTATTTTTATTAGAGACGGGCTCCATGTTGGTCAGGCTGGTCTTGAACTCCTGACCTCAGGTGATCTGTCAGCCTTGGCCTCCTAAAGTGCTGGGATTACAGGCATGAGCCACGGCGCCCAGCCAAGAGGTGGTATTAAGCTTATTAACATTTAATCATGCTTCATGAATTTGTCAAAGGCTCACTCATTCAGAGCAAAAATAACTTGTGTATTAGTTTCACCTCTGGACCTAGAAAGCCAGCCCTTAATCAGGTAAGCAGTCTCACATATACTTGGCTGACAGCACTGGGTATACATTTGAATCTTCCACTTTGTGAGTAGTTCGTCTCCTATGGCTTGTTATGAAAAAATTAAGTGAAAGAAAAATATCTCACAGTCTGCCAAAACTTGGAATTGGTTGGCACAGAAATGCATGATTAAAACATCAAAGTGTAGGTACGTTATGGTTTCAGCTTTTTTTCTTGTATAGACACAAGGCTATTATTGTTCATAATGAACACGTAAGACCTTAGCTTTTATTAAATGTGGAAAATAAGGTCAACATTTTTTCTTTAATATACATCTGGCTAATTATGTTGAGTTTTACCTTCCAGAATAAGGAGAAAAATATTTCTAAAGAAAGAAACGTAAGAAGCAGCCAGAGTGAGTAGAAAGGCCCAGGGGGTTGCTGTAATGGAGTCCTTCCTCTCATGCAGGCACTGGGCCAGGCGCTGCCCTTTGTTATCTTAGGGAGAAAGGAGAGCAGGGACTGAAAAGCCTTAGGAAGGAAATGGCCCTCTCTCAGTTGCAATCCATTCTTTCCACTGAGAATCTTGCATTACCCAATAACCTACCATCTTCACAGGCCAACAACAAGGCAGACTGGAGGAGGGTATACATTGTACTCTTTTTTTTTTTTTTTTTTTTGAAACAGAGTCTCACTCTGTTACCCAGGCTAGAGTGCAATGGTACAATCTCCGATCACTGCAACCTCCATTTCCCGGATTCAAGTGATTCTTCTGCCTCAGCCTCTCAAGTAGCTGGGATTATAGGCACCCACCACCACGCCTGGCTAATTTTGTATTTTTAGTAGAGACAGAGTTTCACCATGTTGGCCAGGCTGGTCTTGAACTCCTGACCTCAAGTGATCCACCTGCATCAGCCTCCCAAAGTGCTGGGGTTACAGGCGTGAGCCACCATGCCCGGCCTGTCATCATTTTAAATAAAAGGGAAAAAGCATAGACCATGTGCTTAGAGGAGAATTCCAGGTCGATTATGGGCCTTAAACTTGATTTCCCTGGTTTGCCCAGGCTCTTCATGCCTGTAATGAGAAAACATGTGAATCTGCTTTTCCTATTATGAAATATTCATGTTAATTAAAAGAATACTTATGGAGTACACTTTAGGTGCAATGTGGGGTGGCAGGTGAGAGAGAGGATTGAGAGATGATCTCTGTGCTCAGGACATAGACATCTATTGGAGGATAAACACAATGAGCCGCCCTACCAAGAATAAGAAGAGATATGCCCAAACAGGGCCAAATGCTAATTCTGAGGAAGGACTTACAGAAAGCTTCCAAGAAGGGCCCTGGTGGGTGGGAGATGAGGAACAGTGACTTCAGACAAAAGGACTAAAGAAATGCAAGGAGGCACAGAAGTTCAAGGCTTCGTCATGGAGTTGTGACAGACAGGTCCGGCTGGCGGGCCATCTGGGAGCGTAGGTTGAAATAGGCTGGAAAGGCATCTGTGTCTGGACTTTAGCAGGCTTTGAATGCCAAGAAGAGCAGAAGTGAGAATTTCAGTAAAGACTTTCAAACAGGGGAGTGGCATAACTACATTTTGTGATTAAGGAACTAATTCTGGAGTCAGTGTAAAGGATGGACTGGAGAAGAGACAGACTGGAAGCAGAGGACCTGTCAAGAGGCCATTGTTGTCAACAGTGTCGGTGAGAAGCTCTATGGAAACAAAGCAGATACGAACAGGGAAGCAAGCATGATCTTTGGAAAAACATGTCAAGGCTGGTAGAAAAAGCTTTGGGCATGGGCATTGGACACCCAGATTCTGCCACTTCCCAGCCATGAGATTAGGGCACATCTCTTAAGTTGCTGAAATCAGTTTCTTCATTGGTAAAATGGAAGTGATATCCACCTTATGAGAGAAGTTCTGGGAGAGTGCTTTGTACATTCTAAACTGCAATACCCATTGTGATATTCTTAAGTTTTTAGAATGTTGAGACTGTCTTATTGAATTATTTAACAGATATTTATTGAGTGCCTTTTGTAGGCTGGGCATTGTTTTTGCTTTTGGGGACTCAGAAGTGAATAAAACAAGTAAAATGTCCTGTGCTCATGGAACTTATACACCATGGGGGGATAGAACAGAAACAAAAGGTATAAAATATATAGCCTGTTGAGAGCAATGAGTGGTTAGGAGAAAAAATAAAGATAAAAATGGGGATACAAAATGATGAGACAGCATGACGAAATTTCACATAAGGTGTCCTGGGCAGGTCCTTACTGTGACAGACTGGAAGGAAGTGAAGAAGGAAAAGTGCAGATGTCTGGGATAGAGGCTTCAAGAAAGAGGAAACAGGAAGTGCAAGGTCCTCAGGCAAGAGTGTGCTTGGAGTATTGAGGAATAATAAGAAAATGCGTTTGACTGGAGCAGAGAGCTGAGAAGGCAGATCATGTAGAGTTTGTGGGATAGAGTAAGTGCTTTGGCTTTCACCTCTGCTGAAAGAAGGAACTTCTGGAGGGTTTTGAGCAGAAGGATGATGAGGTCTGAGGTAGGTTTTAACTAGATACCTCTGACAGTAAGTTGAGAAGAGATGCAGGAGGTAAACATAAAAAAAAAGAGACCAGTTTGGAAGCTTTAAAAATGATCCAGGGCACATGTTATGGTGTTTGAACCAGGGTGGTGGCATGGGGGTAGGGTGCGAGAAGTGTCCAGATCCCTGGTGTGTATTGAAGATGAGCTCACAGCATTTGCTGATAAACTCCAGATGAAGTGTAAGAGAAAGAAAAGCCAAGAATGACTTCAAGATTAATTGTTCAGGGAAAACTGCAGAGGGAGCTGCGTTGGGTGGGAATCTTAGCAGCTCCACATTGAATTTATTCTAACTGAGATCCTGAGCGGACATATGTGGCAGGCAGTTGACCACGAGTCTGGAGTTGGGGGAAAGTTCTTGAATGGTGATGTAGAATTGAGGGTCATTAGCACAGAGCTACTGAAAGGAGAAGTGAATTTAGCCAAAACAGTTTTATTGACCAAGAATATAAATAAAAGTGGTTTTTCAACTCACCAAGATTCTGAATATACAGGCAATGGCCAAACCATATGTAAAAATGAAACCAACCCAATTGTCCCATAGATTTTTTTTATAAACATAGAAATTGACCATTTTGATCTTACAGCTTGAAACTTACATTTTTTTATCAGAGTTCCTTCCTCAAGAAATGACCTCCCAGGCCTCTCAAAAAGTATCAAAGAACAGAAACTCACCAGATCATCACATCCAGACAATGAGATGCCAGGTCCCTCATTTATTGTGATTGCTTCTTTAACCCTACCTAGTTCCTGTTTTCTTATACATTGTTACATTTCTTCCCTGCTATATAAACACCTAATTTTAGTCAGTCAGGGTGACGAATTTGATACTGATCTCCTATCTCTTGGCTGTAGCACCCGATTAAATCCTTCTTCCTTGGCAATACTCATTGTCTCAGTGATTGGCTTTCTGTGTGGTGAGCAGCAGGACCTAGACTAAGCCCCTGGTGTTTCAGCAACAAAAATAGAAGTCTGGCCTATAATCTGTAGCAATCAGCCCAGGAAGCCAGCCTGCTATTATGTCAGATTTATGTAAGTCAGATGACTGTTTCTGGTAACAATCCAGGATGCCAAACAATAGTCTCTGTAACCATCAGTCCCAAATGGCAAGAACTTGATGAATAACTGACAGTTTTCCCAATTACTGTGTCTAATTCTAACTTATGACCACCCAGAGAAAGCCAAATATTCTCCCCTACCCAATCACATAGGATGACCCTTCTAGTCAGCTGCCTCCAGCTCTCTCAGGCCAATACCTCCACTAAGGGCACACCTGAAGCTTTCCTTTCCTCCACTATACAGCTTCTCCAACTTTCTGCCTAAATTTGAGTCTCTGCTAAAGCAAGTGATACAAGTGGCTGAATTCCTTGCTACAGTAAGCTCAGGATAAATAGCCTTTGCTTTTCTCATTTGTTTGGTCTGTATTTATTTCCACATCTCCTATAATAGCTGTACGTCACAGAGGAATGACCATTCTGGTAAAGAGATTATACAGAATAAACATAGATCTATTTGGGACAACTTGGTGTATTAAATTCCTTCCAAAAAGAACACCCTAATATCCTTAGAAATCCCCTCCCCTTCCTTTTATGGCTTCCTATATATTTCCCTAAACTATCATAGTTTAAAATGTTTAAACTTATTGTGTGCATCAAAGAACAAGTATAATGTTAAATTGGGTCTTTTCTACTATGAAACAGCTGAATACAAGCAATTAATCATATGGTTAAGGAGTTGCCTTAATTTGGGTTATTTGTACAGAAATAACTAGAACAGTATGGTCTATTGACTTCATGCTAATAAAGAGTTAAATTTGGCTTGGTCTAAATAATTTCTTAAAAATAGTTTTATCATGACAGAGTATATGTTTGTTTTTTTGAAACAGATAATTAGGGCAGCATATCTGTTATGAAAAGCTTGTAAATATTACAGTAAAAAATTATGATTAGAAAAGTTACATGGTTCATATATTAAACATTTTTTTCCAAATAGTTATCCACATTATTGAACTTTCTTTCATTGTCATTACCTTTCCATCCCAGATTTTAAGATTGTAAAGAAGCTGAGATTTTATTGCCACTGAAAAGGATCATGCTTTGAAATCAGAGTGGGACAAAAAAAACCTCCTTATTTGGTTTGAGAAGATTTTGTTAGAGCCTTTGTTTCACTAAAGGCAAATAAATCGAGTGAAATAAGGTATATAAAATAATTTTACAAGCTAAATGCTAATAACAATTTATCTCACTGGATCTACAAGTCAGTCCTGTGAGCTACAGAAGACAGATACTATGATCTCTGCCTCAAGAGGGAGGGGATTGAGAGTGAGAGAAGTTACAAGATTAGCCCAAAGAGAATTTGCCTCTAGTGGAACAAAGCCTCTAACCCAAATCTCCTGAAACCAAGTAAAGAATATTTTTCTTTGTCCCACTCTGATTTCAAACCATGATCCTTTTCAATGGCAATAAAATCTCAGCTTCTTTTTAATCTTAAAATATGACATGGAGGCTGGGTGCGGTGGCTCACTCCTGTAATCCCAGCACTTTGGGAGGCTGAGGCGGGCAGATCACCTGAGGTCGGGAGTTCGAGACCAGTCTGACCAACATGGAGAAACCCCGTCTCTACTAAAAATATAAAAATTAGCCAGGTGTGGTGGCGCATGCCTGTAATCCCAGCTACTTGAGAGGCTGAGGCAGGAGAATCGCTTGAACCCGGGAGGTGGAGGTTGCAGTGAGCAGAGATCGTGCCATTGCACTCCAGCCTGGGCAACAAGAACAAAACTCTGTCTCTCTCTCTCTCTATATATATATATGATATGGAAATGTAATGATAAGGAAAGAGTCAAATAATTTGGATAAGTGTTTGGAAAAATATGTTTAACATATGAACTTTGTAATTATCCTATTCATAACTTTTGGCTATGATATTTGCAATTTATCATCACCGTCAAAAGACAGTGTCTGAAGATTCTAATTGGCTTTTCTTTCTGATTCTAGAATCAAGCAGTATCTTATTATATGAAACAGAGTAAGTTTCCTGATGAGCTAAAGCAGAGGTGGGTGGCTTTATAGGCAGAAAGGACTGAAGAAAACATATAAACAATGAAAAGCAGATTGGCCATTTCAGTTACTTTCCCTATAGGGTTAAAACAGAGTGATTTTTCTTATCATGCCAACTCAGGCAAACTGGGCCCCTTCTGATTGCTTGCTGTGAATCTCCTGTGCTTTTTTTTTTTTTTTTTTTTTTTGATGCAGTCTCAGCTCTGTCACCCAGGCTGGAGTTCTCTTGCTTGATCTTTGCTCACTGCAACCTCCACCTCCCCGGTTCAAGTGATTCTCATGCCTCAGCCTCCCAAGTAGCTGGGATTACAGGCTCCCGCCACCAAGCCTGGCTAATTTTTGTATTTTTAGTACAGACAGGGTTTCACCATATTGGCCAGGCTGGTCTCAAACTCCTGACCTCAGGTGATTCACCCACCTCAACCTCCCAAAGTGCTGGGATTCCAGGCGTGAGCCACCGCACCTGGCGCTGGCCTCTTCTGCTACTGTTTGTTTGTTTGTTTTTTGAAAAACTGGCCCATTTCAGAGTTTCAGAGTTAGTTTAATTATGTGGCAATCTGCATGAATGACTTTCTTAGTCATTCTCCCATTGACCTGATGAATAGAAACTGGCTTCTTTCTAGCCATACTAATCTCCTTATCAAAGGATGCTTAGCCACATCCTTAGGTTTGTCTCCTAAACATACATTTTTATTCTTTACATGACCAGGCTGAGAATTTTCCAAATCTTTATGTTCTGCTTCCTTTTTGAATACTAATTCTGTCTTTAACTTGTTTCTCTCTTCTCACACTTCACAGCAAGCAGTTAAGAAAAGCCACACAGCATCCTGGACACACTGCTTAGTTATTTCTTCTACCGATGTCCTATTGATGTAGGAGTTAAGAAGAAATTATTTAGGCAGATCTTGAGGGTATGGGAGTCTTTGGTAAGGTTTTCCTTTTAATGAAAAGCAGCCCCAGAATTGTTTTCTTTTCTAACAAAAAGCAGCCTGTAAAATTGAGCTGCAGCCATAGACAAGCAAGCTGGAAGCTTCCACGGGTGAATGCCGGCAGTTGTGTAAATAGGAAAAGGCTACCTGGGACTAGGCATGTTCAAATGGGGCTCCATGTTCCCCTCTCTTTGCCAGCCACGTGTACAGTAAAGAGCAGACAACATGGCTCTGGCCAAGTGGGAAGCCCATTTGCATAATATTAGGGTGGGGTGGCCAGCCTTCCCCATAAGCTATGTAAATGTCACAGTTGGTCAAACCAATCTGTGGGCCCTATGTAATCAGACACCGCCTCCTCAAGCCTGTCTATAAAATCCATTGTACCCTGTTGCCGGCTGGAATTCCAATTCGGGCACCCCTCTCTTGCAAGGGAGAGCTGTTCTCCTTTCTTTCTTTCTTCTTCTTTTCTTTTCTTTTATTATTATTTTTTTGAGATGGAGTCTCGCTCTGTTGCCCAGGCTGGAGTGCAGTGGTGCGATCTTGGCTCACTGCAAGCTCCGCCCCCAAGGTTCACGCCATTCTACTGCCTCAGCCTCCTGAGTAGCTGGGCTGCAGGTGCCCTCCACCACGCCCAGCTAATTTTTTTGTATTTTTAGTGGAGACAGGGTTTCCCCATGTTGGCCAGGATGGTCTTGATCTCCTGACCTTGTGATCTGCCCACCTCGGCCTCCCAAAGTGCTGGGGTTACAGGCGTGAGCCAGTGTGCCAGGCCCTTTCTCTTTCTTTTGCCTATTAAACCTCCGCTCCTAGACTCACTCTTTGTGTGTGTCTCTATCCTTAATTTTCTTGACACCAGATGATGAACCCCAGGTATTTACCCCAGACAACAAGGCCACTTCACTAGTTCATCCGTCTGAAATTCTGCCTTTTACAAAGTGTTAGAACACAGACACAATTCAGCCAAATTCTTTGCCACTTTGTAACAAGGATGGTCTTTCCTCCAGTTTACAATAAGATATCCCTCATTTTGAAATATGACTTCATCAGAATGGCCTTTATTGTTTATATTTCTACCAGCATTTTGATCATGACCACTTAGCTAATCACTAAGACAGAGGCTCTCTCTACAGCTCTCCTCTTCTTCTGAGCCCTCACTAGAATCATCCTTAATTTCCGTTCATGGAAATATAGGCTTATTCTAGCATGCACTTCAAAACTGTTTCAGCCTCTACCCATTACTCAGTTTCAAAGTCGCGTCCATGTTTTTAGGTATTTGTTACAGAAATACTCTACTTGTTGGTACCAATTTTTTAGCCCGTTTGTGGTGCTATAAAAGATGTCCAAGACTGGATCATTTATAAAGAACAGAAATTTATTTCTCATGGTTCTGGAGTTGGGGCATCCAAGATCAAGGTGCTGGCAATGGTTTATGGAGAGGGCTGCTCTCTGCTTCCAAGACAGCATATGGCAGAAAGCAGAAGGGCAAGAGACCAAATGCTGTGTGAAGCCTCTTTTATTTATTTATTTTACTTTAAGTTCCGCAATACCTGTGCACAATGTGCATGTTTGTCACATAGATATACATGTGCCATGGTGGTTTGCTACACCTATCAACCCATCATCTAGGTTTTAAGCCCCGCATGCATTAGGTATTTGTCCTAATGCTCTCCCTCCCCTTCCCACCAACCCCCCAACAGGCCCTGGTGTGTGTTGTTCCCCTCCCTGTGTCCATGTGTTCTCATTTTTCAGCTCTCACTTATGAGTGAGAACATTCGGTGTTTGTTTTTCTGTTCCTATGTTAGTTTGCTGAGAATGATGGGGCGAAGCCTCTTTTATAAAGGCCTTAATCCCATTCACTAGGGCTCTGCCCTCATGACTTAACCACCTCTTAAAGGCCCTACCTCTTAAGGTATCATCTTGGTGATGAAATTTCAACACATAAATTTTTGAGGGGACATAAATATTCAAAGCCTAGCAGACTGCATTCTGGTTTGGTCTAGCATACCGGGGCCCACTGCAGGATGCTAGTCCAAAACTAGCCTCCCATAAACTTTGTTTAACATCACTGCTTGTTCCTGTTTGTATGCTGCACCTCAAAGAACCCTAGACATATTTTAAACATGGCTTGTCCTCATGGGGCATAAGAGATGCCCAAGTACCTTTGCTGTCCTTGGCAGCAGCCTCACATCTCCCTTTGTTTGCTTGCTGGTTAGGAGCAGGTGAATGCCAGCCTGTAGAGATTTCCCCTTGTGCTGAGAAACCTACAGAGCATGTACTGAGTCAGACTAATGAGATCAGAAAACACCCAATGCACGAAGACAGGAACAAAAGACTATTAACAGCTACATACACCATAATGTCCAAAAACAAAATTTGAGAAGTGAAACCACTGCATTTATGAAGGGCTGAGTGTACCTATGCATTGTCTGCACAGCCTCCCAACTCGTGCTAGTACTCCACTCCGACATTTACGGGGGGATAGAACGTGCCCTCTGGGAGAAAACAGCCTGTCTCCTGTGTCAAAGGCATGCACTTAATGGGAGACCTTTCAGTTCCTTTATGTATAAAAACCATTGAGATTCACCAAAACAAAGAATGTTCTCTCACTAATTAGGGCTTATGTTGCCAACATTTCTGCAAAGCTGGAGATCGTGTTTTCCCCCTAATTAGTGGCCTTCAGATGGGTTTGCAGTTGGAGCCTCTAGAATTGTGAGAGGATCTGGCTGCTCCAGTGCTTTGTGTCTTTCTGGAGGCACGCCACGAGTCAAGGGTGCCCTGGCATCTTTTTTCTCAGAGCTGTGTGGCTTCCATCGTGGACACAAAGTAAAGTAAGGCAAAAAAAATTCTTCAGCATCTTGGAGAATCTACAAATGACAGCTTCTAACTGATCCTGTTTATCATCCCCCAAATGAGTTAGCAACACTGCTAGTTAACTGTCTACTATAAAATTATCTAAAGACATAAACACATCTCATGTGGACACTTATGCAGCCATTTTATTTTATGAATACTTAACTCCTGACCTGGGGAAAATGTTAATGCATGATCTAGAATGCAATATAATCTTTAAGCTAGCTTTTAAAATCTTAGCGTTCATTATGCATAATCACATACATCTTTTTAACAGATTTTGGCCTAGAATTGTGCTGCTAAATATACTTTGCTGCAGAGAGACCCTATTGCATAATTACACCATTGTTCTTATAAATGACAGATTTACTTCAAAAGGCAATAAATAAATGTTCAAATAAAATCATAATGAGCCTTGTTTTGAAGTGGTGTCAGTATTTTTAAAATTAAAAGTAACTTCTAGATGTTATCTTATTATCCCTTGTTTAAAAATTACTTGGGAGGCCATTAGACTGTAGTTGTTCTAACTCCTAGTTTGTTTGTACACAAATTGAATATTCAGTATGAATGGTCATATTCCAGGTGAGTCAGAATACACCAACTAGCCTCAAACTAGGAGCTTTCCACTGGAGTGATCCAAATACATCTACTGTTCCACTCTAACTAATCGAATATACTCTTTTTTGCTTCCGTGTTCACCTTATAAAAGCCGATCTTCCCCCACCCCACCTCCTCACTGTAGCCCTGAGCTACTTATGGTCTAGCACTGCCTGATTTATGAATCACTGTTTGCTCAAATAAACTCTTTAATATATTAATATGCCTCAGTTTATTCTTTAACACTTTCACGAAAACGCACAAATATAATGCCCTCATTAAAAAGTGGAATACAACAGCATTTTAAGGTGGCAGTGAAACAAAAACAGTATCATTTGTTTTTCAATTTTTGTACCTGACGTACTGGAAGTTGGTTGTGAGTTATTTTGAATTGCTGATGTGAAATGTGGTATACAAAATGGTGTCACTCTGGTTCAGAGATCTAAAGTGGAGTTGGGAAGCCATTCTAAGAACTGCCTGCACATTCTGCAAACTTGCAACAAACAAACAAACATAAAAAACCAGGAATTTGCCTTGTACCCTTGAATTGGGCCAAACTGCAATGATACAACATTGTAGAAAACTGCTGGATTTTTCCAGCACTGCAACTTCTGAAAAACAACCAATGAACTATGGACTTGTGTACTGGCCAGCTGCTGCCATCAATGATAATTCTTTGAAAACAACTTGTATAATCATACTTAGCTTCCTTTTCATTTCTCTTAAAAATCCCTACTGTCCTCCATCTCTTTGGAACACAATTTGGCATCTAGCTGAATCTGTATCTTCTGAATTGCGATAAATTCTCGTCTTACTGAATTGCAGCTTGGTTTTTTGCCTCTTATTAATTGACAGTGGAATTATGATTGCTCCAATAGTTCAACCAAAATAGGCATTACTAAGAATATTGAGTAAGGTTTGTGAGTTAGTTTTTTTTCTTATCTGAATAGTTACTTATTTTTGGATTTTATAATTATTTGAATATTTTTCATCCTTGATTTTTGCAGGCACAGACCACATCAAGCAATTTTAAACAATGTCAGAGCTTCTGTACGTCTTTATCTAGTCCTTAGAGATCACAAATCAGAAGAGGGTGAGGGACTGACTATACAAATGGGAAATGGCCAGACTATATATAAACATAAAACTTTGACCTGCAACCTGCAACTACCTCCCCAGAATATCAATTCCTGATCTACAATAAACAACCCTGTTATAAGTCATGAAGAGGACTCAAATATGCCACCCCAAAATATGTCACTTTTGCACAAGGATTATTTCAAGCTGAAAGCAACTGAGAAAGCAGACACAAAAAGAGCTCTTTACCTTTTCTCATCTGCCTAAAATCAGAGCATAAATTTCATTTTGTGAAGGTATCTCCCTTTCCATCAAAAAGACAACAACTCTTAATTGCCAGGAAGAACTCATCACTAGAGATGGCATGGCCTTTAGTATGCGTAAACAGAACTAACTCAAATAACACTTATATTCCATGAGATTTTACCACATATTTACCATTCCACAATTTGCTATCCCAAAAGCCCAAACCTCTTTTACTTTGTCTAGTCACATCTCCTCAGTTTATCACTCTGTTAAAATGGCATATAGTTCCCAGATCTAACTGCCTCTGGGTTTTCACTTCTTTTCTGTGACACCGCTATACGTCTTTGAAATAAACCTTTTCTCCTGTGAATCCATCTCTTATCAGTTTATTTCACAGGACCCAGACACTGAACTGAAGAATGAATGCAGAGGAAAGGACTTTTTCCTCTCCTATAGTCCGATTTGTTGTAACCCAGACTGCTATCTTTAGTGACAAGCCAGAAAACTAAACAATGACTTCTGCAACAATTGGCCTAAAATGATCAGGACTTCATTAATTACTCACAAGTCTCCTAATTTTTTTCTCTGCTTCCAACTTAGGACCTCGGAAAAGCAACATATGCATCTTTAACCAATTACATAGAATGTCCTCTCGAGTTAGCTTCTTCCAGCTTCCCCAGGCCAGCAGCCTCCACTCCTGGAACACCTGAGGCCTTCCCTTTTTCCACTGTGAAGCTGTACTACTCCTTTGTCTGCTTTTGAGTTTCTGTGAAAACACAAGTTATGGTGGCTAACTCCCTTGCTATATAGCAAGCTCAGAATAAATAACCTTTGCTTTTCTCGTTTGGTAGGTCTTCCTTTATTTACACAAGAGTTTTGAAGGCATCAGAATTGCTGGCTAATTTAATTTTAAAATGTAGACTCTCAGTCTTTCAGAAAGGAAAAAAAAAAGTATTATTTTTTTGTAAGTTCATTGGCCTACAGATGAGAAGCTAATTGGCTGGTGTGCCACTTTAATAGGACAACTGGCTGAATTCAGCCTGATAAAAAGTGTGACCAGCATGGAATATTTAATTAAAAAAATTCTTTGAATATGGACTATTAAATCTTCAAGTGTTTTTTTCCAGCTTTTTTGAGGTATTATTGACAAAAATTGGATATATTTGCAGTGTATAACATGATGTTCAGATACATGTATACATTGTGAAATGATTACCACAATCATTACCACAATCAGGCTAATTAACATATCCACCTCCTCACACAGTTACGTGTATGTATGTGTGTGTGTGTGTGTGTGTGTATGTGTGTATGGTGAGAACCTTCCAACTATACTCTCTTAGCAATTTTCTTTATTTTTTAATTTTAATTGTATTTTTTTAGACAAGTCTCACTATTTCACCCAGGCTGGGGTGCAGTTATGTGATCATAGTTCACTGCAGCCTTGAACTCCTGGGTTCAAGCAATCCTTTTTCCTCAGCCTGACAGATAGCTAGGACTACAGGCATACTCCACCATACCTAGCTAATTTTTAAAATTTTTGGTAAAGATGGCATCTTGCTATATTGCCCAAACTGGTCTCTAAGTCCTGGCCTCAAGTAATCCTTTCGATTTGTCCTCCCAAAATGCTGGCATTACAAACATGAGCAACCACACCCAGCCAGCAATTTTTAACTATATAATACATCAACTGTAGTCACTGTGCTGTACAACACATTGTCAGAACTTATTCATCCTAACTGAAATTTTGGAACATTTGATTTTTTAGTCAGCCTCACATATTGAAATAAAGCATCTCATCACTAAATCAGTCATTAATGTTACAGTAGGTCTGGAACATTATTGCCTTTGCTGAGAGATGCCTAACGGACCAAGAGGGTGATGCAGGTTGGTTAACAGATTAGGCAAACATTGGTCTCTGGGATTCTACAGAGTCCTGGTGAGCTGTGAGCTTGGATGAAAAAACAATTCTCATGAAATGGGAAGTGCTCCTTTTTCTCAAGAGAAAATGAAGAAGCCTTATCCACAAAAACCAACCTGGTCATCACTCACGAGGAGGATGTTGAACTCTGGGTCAAATTTTCTTAGCCATTCATTCATTCATTCATTCATTCACTTATTTCATAGACATCTATGAAGTATTTAATGCATACCAGGCACTATGAGAATTTCTGTGAGTCTATAGAGAAGTGAGTTACACTTTAGTAAAGAAAACATGCATGTGGACTACTGTATAAATAACAGTAGTGCCAAGTGCTTAAGAATACAGAGCTAGTTGTGAGTCTAGCCCTGCTGCCATCTAGGCCAATACAGCACAGAACTGTCAGTAGCCAGAAGACCCTGTGGATGTCAGCTTTTACCTACCTTCTGCTCTCCCTGATCTAAATGCATTAGGGTCCCTCAGACCAGAACTACACAGAACTGAGTTAGAAGAGAGTTTGCTACACTTTCTTCAATTATTCACACAGTTTAGATGCCACAGAGTTTCTTTTGCAATAACAGCCGTCTAAATGGCCCTGCTTCTATAACCTTCATCTCATTGTCATATTTGTTTATTTTCAAACATAAATTTGTTCAACAAGTATCTATCAAGGTACTTCATTTTTGAGGCGTTGAAGAGCTGAAAAGAGTGGAAACCTTGCTCTCAGTTGGAATGAAGGAAGGAAAGTATCCAGTCTTTCTGTATTTTCAAACACAACTATTGTAACCTAAAATAATATAATTTTGAAGATGTAATAATAGCGATAATAAAGATTAACCCCTCAATATTTTGAAAATACTGAAAAAGTGGCTTTCTTAAGTCGGCCAACAAAACATGCAGCCCAGACTCCAAGCCAGACCCCTGGATTCCTGTTCCAGTTCTCCCACCATAAGGAAATACTGGCTTCGTGGAGGTTGTATTAAGGGAGTCATAATTAATCGTATATCAGGATTCTGATTTGCAATGGAATTACCAAGTTAGCCATGATCATTTCGTTTTTAATGTTCATGATTATTTGTTTGTAGTGCTCCTCCATTTTGCTCCTGCAGCTATTGGATCTTTATTTAGCTGAATTACTCAGTAGCCTTTGTTTTCTTAATTGCTCTTCAGTAGCTTGTGATTTTGTACCTTTCTGAACAATTTAAGTTACATTTTATTAAGCTTTACAGAGGTCCAGTTCTATACTATCTCATGGGGGCAGACACTTGCACCTGGTTAAAGGACTTGCTTTGTCAGGATGTGTAAAATCATGGGCAAATCAGAGGATTTCATAATTTAACAAACTGGAGAAGTGAACCAATAATATCTCCATCTCTGCATCTAGCTAGCTAGATCTACCTACCTACCATCTATCTATCTCAGTGATTCTCAACCAGTGACTGTTTTACCCCTAGCTCTGCAAGGGGCAATTTGGCAGTATCTGAAAACGTTTTTGTTGTCACAGCTGGGACATTGGCACCAGGTGGATGGGAGTCAGGGATGCCGCTAAGCATCCGACAATGCACAGAACACCTCCCCATCATAGAGGACTGTCTGGCCCAAAGTTTCAACAACGCCAAGACTGAGAAATGTCTATCTATATCTATCTAATTTTGTCTATCTATCTATCTGTCTATCATCTATCTATCTATCTATCTACCTATCATCTATCATCTACCTATCTATCTTTTCTCTCTATATATTTTTCTATCTTTATAGAAAATGTGTTACATCCTATTAAATGGAGTATAGTAAAGGAATGAACAGTAAGTAAACTAGATAAGTGGAAAGTGTATTATTTTGTCAGGAAACATCAATTAAAGTCCCACTTTGGATTTGGAAAGTTAACTGTGCCTTGATTAATCTGTTTTAAGATCCTAGCTCATTACATTAAGCTGCAAAGACAGGGCCAGGAAACATTTTTCAATTTTTCTTAGAACATTTGTGCTCAGTGCCAGTTAAGAATGTACACTGATAAGAAGTGTATTTGGGCTGGCCGTGGTGGCTCATGCCTGTAATCCCAGCACTTTGGGAGGCCAAGGTGAGTGGATCACAAGGTCAAGAGTTCAAGACCAGCCTGGTCAATATGGTGAAACCCTGTCTCTACTTAAAATAGAAAAATTAGCAAGGTATGGTGGTGGGCGCCTGTAGTCCCAGCTACTTAGGAGGCTGAGGCAGGAGAATTGCTTGAACCCGGGAGGCAGAGGTTGCAGTGAGCCGAGATTGTGCCACTGCACCCCAGCAACCTGGATGACAGAGCAAGACTCCGTCTCAAAAAAAAAAAAAAAAAAAGTGGCCATTTCTAATAGCTAACCATGAATTGGTTTACATTTATCTTTATAAATGGATAAATTATACATTTCTCCCCAAAATTACCTTCTAACTTGATTTGCCTCCTTTTCCATTGTTACATCAATTTTGGTTGGCAAAAACCAATGATCTCAAATAAATAAACAGAAAGACAGAATTTTGTCATCAAAAGTTCTAATTACGAAATCTAAGGTAAATACGATAAACAGAAAAAGACCATTAGAACTGCACCATCATCTCTGTTGCCGTCAAGACCCAGTATCCAATGTTAAGGGGGGATAGCATTTAGAGATATACCTAATGTTAAATGACGAGTTACTGGGTGTAGCACACCAACATGGCACATGTATACATATGTAACTAACCTGCACGTTGTGCACATGTACCCTAAAACTTAAAGTATAATAAAAAAAATTAGTGAGAAAAATTTTGTAGAGAAAAGGGATATTTGAATAGTTTCAAATAACATCTCCCCAAATATTTCTTAATCGCAAAGGATCAGATAGTGCTTGTGTTCATTTTCTGTTGCAACATAACAAATGACCATGCATTTTCTAGCTTGGCATCACATCTGTGGGCCAGGAGTCCAGGAAGGGTGTTCTGCTCAGAGTCTTATGGGTTGAAATCAGGAGGACCACAAGTTGTGTTCTTATTTGCTGCTCAGGTTTCACGTTGCTGGCAGAACCAGTTCTGGTGCTGCAGAATGGAAGACCCGCATGTTGCAGGCTGCCACCCAGCACCTTCTCAGCTCCTGGTTGCTGTTCCCCATTCCCTGCCACAGGACCTGCAACATGCAGTTGCTCCTTCAGGCCAGCAGGAGAATCTCCCCCATGTCCACTTCCCCCACCCATTTTGAGGCATTTCATTAGTTCAGGCCCACCCAGGAGGATCTCTCTTTGATTAACCCAGAATAAACTGATCAGGGATTCTAATTAAACCTGTAAAATCCCTTCGGCAGTATAACAACACAATCACAGGAACTCTCTGTTTCATTTTTTGCAGACTTTATATTAAGTCTAAAATTATTCCAGAATAAAATGTTTTTTAAAAATCAGCGATCTTCCATGGCAGTTGGTTAAGTTAAGACATAATGATTTGGAGGTAAACATTCCCCCTATGGTGGTATAAGTGCTTACAGGAGAGTGAAATTTATCACTTGTTCTTTTAGGAAATGATAGGAACCTTAGTTGAAGTCAGATTTAGAAAGGACCCGGACACAAACATTAGGAGTTAGCAAACAATCCATATCTAAGATGGAGGGAAGGAGATCACCAGACATTAAGCATCTAGAATAGACCAAGTATTTCTATGCTAGGTCCTTCTATACCCATTAGCTCAGGGGGCAACTAAGATACCTATTTTACTGATTAGAAAATGACTGAGGCTCAGAATTATTAAGGACATACAGGAGTAAACTCAAAAGTTGAACAGAGGTAATTTTAGCGAACCTCAAAGCTCAGGTTCTTTTCTTATATGTTGTGCTGCATCACCAACATCTCAACAGATGGATAAAAGTAAAATAATATTGGAAAATATACAGAGAAAACAATGAGCACAGTGTCCTACTTATTCAAGTGCAGAACTGAGTTGCAGCTGGTGTTCAACAAGGAAAGGAGGTGGTGTGAGGGCATAGCAAACTCAAGCACTATTCAGGAAACCATCATTTTGAAGCAAATAAACCAGTGGATAGAGCAGGACAAAGACAATGCCACACCCCTGTTCAATTCTGAACTTGGGCAAGATGGCTGGTGCTGGAAGACCAGGATCCAGTGCTAGGAAGACACCTTGGGGGAGCAAGGCAGGATTGCCAGAATTCCTGCCCAAGGAAGGGCCAGGCAGGGGCAGCTGAACAGATATGGCATCCAGGAAACAGTTCAGGGAAACTCAGGCAGTAGCTCATCTCTGGAATGAGCCAGCATTGGAGATGGGCAGGAAATGGCGAGCAGGGTTGATTCATGGACTGATTCTGTCTTGAAGGCACAGAGGCTGTTAGCTGTGGTCAGCAGCAAAGACCAATGGGGCTGTGTTAGTGACAGGACAGTGCGTGAGGCTTTCTGCTTCTGTTAGGGTTTGCATAGAACTGAGTTTATGGTAGCAAATATTAGCAAAACAAACTCTGATGAACAGAGAAAACTGAGGCTGAGGAAAGGTGCTGCAATGTTCACTGAAAAAGAGTCATGCCAAACTGATTTCTTCTACTGGCTTGACATGTGTACTGAATTTGAGACATTGATTGACAGAGTATATCTAGCGTCAGCAAGGCCTTTGACTAGGTCCCCCTTGATATTCTTACGTATAATTCATTCATTTTGATATTTGCAGAAGGCTATGGAGGAATGTTAGTACAATTTCGTGAATGAACTAAATATTATCAATCGTTTGTGATCAATATCCAGCAGAGTGTCAAAAGCCTGCTTTCTTACTTCTGTCCTAGCTAATTTTCTCCTCAATGACACAATCCAGAGAGAGACCATTTCTAGGGTGGCATACCTTCACAAAGAGCCAGGATGCGATTCAGCTCTCAACAGGGGACTGTGATTAGCTGTTTGCCCAGGAGGAGGCAAGACAAAATGAGACCTGGGGACACGTTACCAGGGAAGGCACAGTCAGAAGAGAACAGATTGGTGCTCACTCTTCTTCCTGGCAGTGGGACTCCTGTGTGGATTTTTAATCAGGTCTATTTTTCTCACCCTTATTTCAGAAAACTTTTTAAAGAAGCTTATTGCATTTATAAAAATTTCGGCAATATTCTTTCTTGAAATACTGAGACAATTTACCTATAAACTGTGCTTTTTGACCAGAGGATATTGGCATCATGTAAATGTTAGCAACAAACGTTGTTTCATGCAGAGACCAGATATTTTTGTCTTTTGCTATTATTGGTTTCTCATTATAATGGGAAAAAAAGCAAGGCCTATTTTGTCTGTTTCACCCCTTTTTCTATCTTCAACATCTTTAATTATTTTCAACACCGTATCTTTAATTCATAAGGAGGTGGGTGAAATCTACCTTAATGTACTACCAGGATCAGGAGTTTAACACTTTATTTAACCAATAGCCAATTTTCTTATCTTGACTCTCTACCACTTACAATCTTTTTTCTTTTCTCTTTCTCCTCCCTTCCTCCCTTCTTTCTTTCTTTCTTTCTTTCTTTCTTTCTTTCTTTCTTTCTTTCTTTTCTTTCTTTCTTTTCTTTCTTTCTTTCCTTCTTTCTTTCTTTTCTTTCTTTCTTTCTTTTTCTTTCTTTCTTTCTTTCTTTCTTTCTTTCTTTCTTTCTCTCTCTTTCTTTCTTTCTTTTCTTTCTTTTCTTTCTTTCTTTCTTTTTCTTTTCTTTCTTTCTTTCGATGGAGATCTCACTCTGTCACCCAGGCTGGAGCACAGTGGAACAATCATAGTTCACTGCAGCTTTCAACTCCTGGACTCAAGTGTTCCTCCTACCTCAGTCTCCTGAGTAGCTGGGACTATACGCATGTGCCACCATATCTGGCCAATTTTAAAAATATTTTTAGAGATGAGGGTCTCATTATGTTTCCCAGGTTCATCTGGAACTTCTGGGCTTAAGAAATACTCCCACCCTGGCCTCCCAAAGGGCTGGGATTACAGGTATGAGCCACCACACCCAGCCTATACACTTTTTGAAATAACAGTTTTATTGAGGTACAATTCACATACCATACAGTTTGCCTGTTTAAAAAGTAAAATTCATTCTTCCTATCCATGAGCATGGAATGTTTTTCCATTTGTTTGTGTTCTCTCTTATTTCCTTGAGCAGTGGTTTGTAGTTCTTCTTGAAGAGGTCCTTCACATTCCTTGTGAGTTGTATTCCTAGGTATTTTATTCTCTTTGTAGCAATTGCGAATGGGAGTTCACTCATGATTTGGCTCTCTGCTTGTCTATTGTTGGTGTATACAAATGCTTGTGATTTTTGCACATTGATTTTGTATCCTGAGACTTTGCTGAAGTTGCTTATCAGCTTAAGGAGTTTTTGGGCTGAGACGATGGGGTTTTCTAAATATACACTCATGTCGTCTGCAAACAGAGACAATTTGACTTCCTCTCTTCCTATTTGAATATCCTTTATTTCTTTCTCTTGCCTGATTGCCCTGGCCAGAACTTGATGCATGCGAGGCTTAAAACCTAGATGATGGGTTGATAGGTGCAGCAAACCACCATGGCACATGTATACCTATGTAACAAACCTGCATGTTCTGCACATGTATCCCAGAACTTAAAGTAAAAAAAAAATTATAAGAAAAAAAGTATAATTCATAATTCTTAGTACATGTATAGAATTGTGCATCCAGCATCACCAGCTATTTAGAACATTTTCATCATCCCCCAAAGAAGCCCTGTGCTCTGTAGCCATCTCCTTTTCCCCTAGCCCCTCTATCTCCAGCAGCCCTAGGTGACAACTAATCTACTTTCTGTCTCAATAGATTTGCATATTCTGGGCATTTCGTATACATGGAATCATTTGGTCTTTTATGATTGAGTTTTTTTCACTTAGTGCAATGTTTGAAAGATTTGTCCATGGCTCGGCATGTATTCATATTTCATTCCTTTTTGTTGACAAATAATAGTTTATTGTATAGATGTACCACATTTTGTTTACCCTTACATCCATGCATGGACATGTGGGTTGTTTCCACTTTTTGGCTGTAATGCATAATGCTGCTTACATAACACTTGCGTACAAGATTTTGTGTGCACATATGTTTTCATTTCCTTTGGGTGTGTACCTAAGCATTGACATGCCAGGCCATATGGTAATTCTATGTTTAGCTTTTCAAGGAACTGCCGGGCTATTTTCTTAAGTGGCTGCACCATTTTACATTCCAACCAGCAGTGTATGAGGGCTCTAATTTCTCCATATTCTCACCAACATTTGTAACTGTCTTTTTGATTATAGTCATCTTTGTGGGTGTGAAGTGATTTCTCACTCTGGTTTTTATTTGCATTTTACTAATGACTAATGATCTTGAGCATCTTTTCATGCACTTATTGGACATTTATGTAATTTATTTGGAGAAATGTCTTTTCAGATCCTTTGCTCATTTAAAAAAATTGGGTTATTTTTCTCTTTTTTATTGAATTGTAGAAGTTTTAAAAATATATATTCTAGATAAAAGGCCATTATCAGAAATACAATTTATAAACATTTCCTCTGATTCTATAGATTGTCTTTTAACCTTTGACGGGTTTACTTGTAGGAACAAAGTTTAATTTTTGGTAGTTTCTAATTTATCTATCTTTTCTTTTGTTGCTTGTGTTTTTGGTGTCATATAAAAAAAAAAATCATTGCCTAAGTTCAAGGTCACTGACAGTTAAGCCTATGCTTTTTTCCTGATACTTTCACAGTTTTAGCTCTTACGTTTAACTTTTTGATCCCTTTCAAGTTAATTTTTGGTGTGAGGTAGGGGTCTTTTTTATTCTTTTGCATGCAGATAGTTGATTATCCTAGAATTTTTGTTGAAAAGGCCATTTTTTTTCTCCCATTGAATTGTCTTGGCGCCTTTCTTGAAAATCAATTAACTGTAAATGTGGGACTTATTACTGGGCTTTCAATTTTATTCCATTGGTCTGTATGTCTAATTTTATGCCAGCTCCACATTCTCTTAATTGCTGTAGCTTTTTAGTAAGTTTTGAAATTGGGAAGTGTGAGTCATGCAACTTTGTTATTCATTTTCAACATTACTTTGACTATTTGAGGTTCCTAGAATTTCCATATGAATTTATGATCAGTTTGTCCATTTCTGCAACTAAGAAGTTGGATTGAAATTGCATTGAATATACAGGTTAATTTGCCATCTTAACATTATGTGGCCTCTCAATCCATGAACTTCTTTCCATTTATTTAGATTTGCTTTGACTCTGCTTTAGTTTCTTTCCTTCCTTCCTTCCTTCCTTCCTTCCTTCCATCCTTTCTTTCTTTTTTTTCTTTCTTCTTCTTTTTTTTTTTTTTTTTGTCTCCTAGGCTAGAGTGCAGTGGTGCGATCTCAGCTCACTTAACCTCCACCTCCTGGATTCGAGCGATACTCCTGCCTCAGCCTCCTGAGTAGCTGGGATTACAGGTGCCTGCCTCCGCACCCAGCTAATTTTTGTATTTTTAGTAGAGACAGGGTTCTACCATGTTGATCAGGCTGGTCTTCAATTCCAATCTCAAGTGATCTGCTGGCCTTGGTCTCCCAAAGTACTGGGATTACAGACATGAGCCACTGCACCTGGCCTGCTTTAATTTATTTCAATGATGTTTTCCAGTTTTCAGAGAATATATTTTGTACTTTTTTTGAAAATTTATTCTTACCTATTTTATTCTTGGTGCTACTTTAAACAGTTTATTTCTTAGTTTTGTATTTGGTTTGTTCTTTGCTATTGTACAGAGATACAATTGATTTTTGTATATTGGCCATGTAACCTGAAATCCTGTTGAACTTGTTTATTCTAATAGCTTTTTTAGATATATTGGGATTTTCTATATACAAGATTATGTCATTTGCATATAGAGATAGTTTTACTCCTTCCTTTCTAATCTGGATGCCTTTTATTTCTTTTCTTGCTCAATTGCCCTGGCTGAAGCCTCCAGTAAATGTTATAGTAGCTAGAGTGAACATCTCTGTCTTATTCCTGGTATTAAAAGGAGAGAATATAGTCTTTCATCATTAAGTATGATGTCAGCTGTTTCTTACAGATGCCCTTTATCAGGTTAAGGAAATTTCCTCCTTTTTTTTTTTTTTTTGAGATGGAGTCTTGCTCTGTCACCCAGGCTGGAGTGCAGCGGTGTGACCTCGGCTCACTGCAAGCTCCACCTCCCGGGTTCATGCCATTCTCCTGCCTCAGCCTCCCGAGTAGCTGGGACTACAGGCGCCCGCCACCATGCCCGGCTAATTCTTTGTATTTTTTCTTTTTTAGTAGAGACGGGGTTTCACCATGTTAGCCAGGATGGTCTCCATCTCCTGACCTCGTGATCCGCCGGCCTCAGCCTCCCAAAGTGCTGGGATTACAGGCATGAGCTATTGTGCCCGGCTGGAAATTTCCTTCTATTACTAGTTTGTTGAGCATAACATTAAAATCTTAATGGCAAATGAACAACAAATCAGTGTGCTTGTTTAAACCTTACTCCCTATAATGTATATTAAATGCTAAAGAATGATCCCAAACCCTTACATTTACTGCTGCAAAAGATAGCCTCTCAACAAAAATCTTCAAGGCTATTAGAGAAAGACCAAGTCTAGAGAATCCAAGAAAAAGCGTGAAGAATTGTGAAGTCTGTGTAAGGAGACAGCATGAGGTAGGAGAGGCTAAGGACTGCTAGGTGTAGGATAGGAGGAGGAGGGGGAACCAGAACTGAGCTGGGGGGTATCAAATGCTGGGAGGGTATGGTGAGGAGGCCAAACCCTGGTTCCTGATACATGCATGTAGAGGGAGGGTGAATTCATGCTCCTCTTAGAGAAGCAAGCTGTCATCATCTCCAACAAAACACTCACGTAATGGTGGTTTCTCCTAATGAGTAATTCTGAGTGAAGGGATAAGCTTTGCAGGATATACTGGGTAAACTTTCACTGTGCAGGGGTGGTTTAACTTGTTTTTTAATTTTTTATTCTGACTATTTTCCTTCTTTTTTGTGTTTTGTTTTTTAATTTTAATTGACAAATAATTATACATATTCACAGAGTACATAGTGATGTTCTGATACATACGTACAGTGATCAGATCATGGTAATGAGCACCTCCATCATCCCAAACATTCATCATTTCTTTGGGTTGAGAATATTCAATATCTTACTTCTAGCTATTTGAAACTATACACTATACTATTGTTAACTTTAATCATCCTACAGTGCTATGGAACACCAAAACTGATTCCTTCTATTCAGCTGTGTTTTTGCATTCTTTCACAAATTTTTCCCGTTCTCCCTTCCTCCTACCCTTCCTAGCCTGTAGTATCTTCTGTTCTGCTTTTTACTTCTATGAGATCAACTTTTCATAGCTTCCACATGTAAGTGAGAACATGCAGTGTTTAACTTTCTGTCCCTGGCTTGTTTCACTTAATGTAATGGCCTCCAGTTCCATCCATGTTGCCACGAGTAAAAAGATTCATCCTTTTTTATGGCTAAATAGTATTCCATTGTGTGTATATATAAACATTTTTAAAATCTATTCATCTGTTATTGGATACCTAGGTTGATTCCATATCTTGGCTATTGTGAATAGTGCTGCAATAAACATGGGCGACAGATGTCTCTTTGATATACTGATTTTTTTTCCTTTGCATAAAGTTTTTAAAAGCTTGCTGATAAGTAAAAATTTGTTTTTTTAAAAAAATTGCAGTAAAGTCTTTCTTCTGTATCAGTTGCTTTGAAAGTTGAGCAACTGGCCAGGTGTGATGGCTCACACCTGTAATTCCAGCACTTTGGGAGGCCAAGGAGAGTGGATGACTTGAGGTCAGGAGTTTGAGGCCAGCCTGGCCAACAAGGTGAAACCCTGTCTCTACCAAAAATATAAAAATTAGCCAGGCATGGTGGCAGGCACCTGCAGTCCCAGCTACTCAGGAGGCTGAGACAGGAGAGTCGCTTGAACCTGGGAGGTGGAGGTTGCAGTGAGCAGAGATCGTGCATTGTACTCCAGCCTGGGCAACATAGCGAGACTCCATCTCAAAAAAAAAAAAAAAGTTGAGCAACTAGGAACAGAAGTGAATGAGCACGATAAATCATTGGATTAGCTGAATCCATCACTGCTCCAGCTAGTTTAAAACAACAAAGACTAACCTTTGGCACAGCCAGGGTCTGACATGGCCAGGGTGAGCAAGGAGAGGGCATCAAATCTGAGTGAAGAACAAGAAACCATTTAAGAGAAAGCCCAGCATCAGTGCTTATAAAAGTTAATGAAGCTATAAGCCACCAGATGCGAGATGAGAATGAAGCAGGTCCAGATAGCCTTCAGCACTAAATGTGGGGTGACAGAGCTTCCCAGTCAGCCTCAGCCCTTCCCTCAGGGGTACACCCTTGAAGGTGTTGCAGGCACAGCCACTGAGCACCCAGTGGCTGGAACCAAGAAGACGTGATCCCTCAGTGTGTCCTGTGTCTGCACAGCAGTCTAGGAGGCCCTGTAATGGGGAGCAGGAAACTTGGGTCTTTCTAGGTAAAGACTCCGGGCAGAAAATCAAGAGTAATGTCTAACAGACAAAACTTCAACAGCTAGAAACCTCTTCCCTAATAAGGAGGAAACCTGACTGAAAAGAAACAAGCTTAATGAGTTGTTTTGACAGGTAGATCTACTGGCCCATTAAGACAATTTCGTGCCTCTGTTGAAGTGAGATAGTACCTGATTATAAACTCACAGAGCATTCTCCAAAGGGTAGGTGTTAAGTTGTTGGTAGTTTCTTTGTAATGTTTTGTTGCCTGCCTTTATAGGGTAGCTCAATATAAATATGTAACTACTTTGAGAATTATTTCCTTTCTTGGGGGATAATTGGTTTAGCTCATAATGGAGGTTGTTTTGAATGGGAAATGGTCTTATCTATTCCCTTACATAAATGAAAAATTTGTTAGAGGGATATTTTTAAGGCTAAAGATTCTTTCATTTTCTTGACAAATTATCTCCTAAGACTGGTAGGTAATTGTGAAATCACAATGACAGAGATGGGAGAAAGCTGCTACTCTTCTTGTTTGAATTACTTTGCAGGTTCAGAAATAAAATGCTGCAATTCTGACGTCTTTCCATTGTAACAGGAAACAGACAAGGTATTACAAAAATTGCTCATGTTCCCAAATTGGACTGTGAAATTATTGGTTGTCTTTCAGAGGGTGTGAAAATATTCAGATCTCAGAATTTTTATCTAACTTTCACAGACATAAATGCTCATTTTATTACTTTTAAATGACTTTTCTGCAAGACTTCATCCATGTTTGTGGGAATCTGATGCATGTGTGTACATGAAGAAGGTAGATTTTCTGTTTCTCACCCAGATTATACTGATATGTAGAACAAGTGGAAGTGGAAACAGCAAAGATGCCCCACACAGTGATATTTGATTACATAGATGTTGTTTCTGTTTTTGAATGTGCCTCTGACGGTTTGAATAGTAAACTACCAGGATTTAGAGACTGTTAGGATGCTAGCTTGGAGGACTCCATCAGACGCACTCAGGGCGTTCATAAGATTAGCCTTCCCAGCCCTGATCCCTCTCCCAACCATCCCACTCAGATCTATCTAGTCAGAATCTGTACATGCCACTCAGGGAATCTGTTTCTTTAATAAGAATTCTTGGGTGATTCTAAAGTTTTAACCAGTTTTGGAGCTACTAAACTTTTCCAGTTTCTCTGTGTTATAGAAGAAGAAATGAGACTCAGCATGGTATAACCCTAAACTGTCAGAAAATGTTGCAGAGGTTTTCAGTGATGTGCTAAGGTCATGCAGCTATTCAGCGACAGCCCTGTTCTCTGGTCCTGGTTAAGAGCTTTGCCTCTTCCCATGGCCTAGAGGAGGCTGAGGTCTCTGTTGCAGCTGCACCACAATGCAGCTTCTCTCTCTGCCTACTCCTGCTTTCTTCACTTCCCAGCCACCTCCTGCACACAAACCTCTTCCTCAGAATAGGTTTTTTTTTTTGAAATTCAGCCTGACACATAGGTCTGCTGTCAGATGCACACATCTCTGCCCTGCTCAAGCATTCATCAGTATATTTCTCCAGCATGCCACTGGAAATGTTGATCCCACTTTTTCTTAAGTTTTGCAATAAAACTCAGGGGGGAGAAAAGAAGAGGAGAGGGGGAGGCAACATGGAGGGCAACCTGGTTTTTACAGTTCCAGTGCTAAGTGACGTACCTTACCACTTCTCTACCTAATCTGAAAGCGACCAACAGTAATGGGCAAAATAGCTTACATAGGAATTCCTATGTATTTGTGAAAGTTGTCAGAATCAAAACCAAGCCACTTGTGTTTTTAAAAAAAAAAAAAAAAAAGCCTGACAAATAGAGCCAGGGAAGGCCATGAAAGAAAGGGTCTGATAGCAAGGTAACTGTCACAAAAGACTGCAAAAACCGCAAGCTAGTACAAAGACTATTGGAACCTTACACATACATGCAAAAATACTTCTTCAAGGACTTCTGCCCAGCAACTGCCTGTCCAACCTCAGACTGGTGCTGCTCTTGTTATTGATCCCCATAGCCAAGGATAATTATCTCAAAAACAATTATGTAATCCTCCTCATCTCTCCTTTAAGACACTTTGCCTTCCTTTTACCTCCCTGAATGCACACATAGGTTACTATATGTGTCTTCCCATTGTAATGCCTATTCCTGCAGAAGCATCATTTTTTCTTAGAGAATCTCTCTTCGTTGTTATTTAGACATATTGCATTAAGATTATAATTTGCATCAACGTTACGTATTCTCAAGTAGAGTATTTTTATTTCTGAATTTTAGTTCATGTTCAGAAATTCTGGAAAAATGGCTGTGAATTGTTAGTGCAAAAATGTAATTCTTCCACAGATATTCAATACATATTTGGAGAATGATTTCATCAAGTGATTTTGATAAGTGAAGTTCTTAGAAAAAAATTCTGCAAATATGGGAACTTTTTTTAGGCACCATTAGGACAAAAGGTCTAAATTATTATAGAAAAAAATTCATTCTATTAGCCTGTTAGAAGAGAAAATCTGTTAGAAAAGATGTCTGAGGTGAATTTTTAAACACTAAAATGTTCTTTCCTTAAGAACAATTGCATTTTGCATTTATGCAACTGCATAACAACTTTAAAGAAAGAAAATTTTTCATATATTCATCTATCATCCAGCTGCTTTAGATGTGATAGCTCATTTACCTTGAATGATCATGTATGCTTTATAAATATAATATTTATATATACTTACATTGCATTAGAATTTTCAGTTTTCCCTTATGATTTCTTTTAAACAAATCTGACTTTTACCAAATAGTCTCAGTAGAGGATAGTAAAAATAGGAATGTATCTTCTATCTCATTAAGTTATTTAAATACTTTGTTGAAGTTTTAGGCCTTCTTTCTCAGTGCAGTGTTGGAATACATTCTTTCTATATTTCAAAATCGCAGTTTAAAATAAAAGGTTGATTAAGTTATTTCAGTGGATCTGAATTGATGCTGTCATTAATTAAAATTACATTTATTAAAATTCAGGTAAAATGAGGAAAATATATTGAAGTAAGCTTTTCATAGGAAAGTCTGAAACATTTTAAGATAAATGCTCATTGTACCTGATCTAAAATAACACTATTCTGAACTAGCATTTATTTCTACTTATAATTTTAATTCTGTTCAAGGCAAAAACTATGAACTCCTATAATACAGAATTTGTAAGTCTAGATACTTTACGAAAAATCATTATCCATTCAAGAGACTAACTGAATGCTTGGGATATGCCAGCTTATATCTTTGGTACAAGATAAATATGATTTGGTTTCTTCTACCAAGAAACTCATAATTTGGTAGAAAGATGGATGTAAAGCAGATAAATTCATTATTTCGTATATACTGTAATGTCAGCAACTTCATTATAGCTACTTACTATGGAACTTAACATAAATAAGCACCAAACATTTTTGGTTATCCTTAGTTAAAATTATAGTTAATCCCATAGCCCCACGTTTTCATTTTAGTTAGTGACCAACTGTGAATGACAAAAATGTTGACATGAGTTGTTCTGAAACTTTAAAACACTGGGAACCTTTTTTTAAGGTAAATTTCACATAACAAAATATTAATTATTTTTCAAATAAATTGTTCAGTAGCATTTTGTACATTCACAATGTTCTACAACCACTGAGTCTAATTCCAAAACATTTTCATCACTCTCCAAAAACCTTGTACCCAGGAAGCAGTTTCTCCTTATTCCCCTTCTCCCCAGCTCCTAGAAACGACCAATCATGTGTACTCTGTCTCTATGGATTTATCTATGATAGATATTTCATATAAACAAAGCCATAAAATGTGTGATCATTTCTGTCTGGTTTCTTTCACTTAACACGTTTTTGAGATTCATCAGCATTGTAGCATGAAATATTCCATTGTGTGGATATACTACAATTTGTGTATCCATTCACGGGTTGATGAACAATTCAACTGTTTCAGCCATTTAGCTATTGTGAATAGCACTGCACTATTTTACAATCCCACCAACAACATATGAGAGTTCCAATTTCTTCGTATCCTCACCAGCACTTGTTATTTTCCTTTTTTGTTTAAGTTTTTTTTTTTTAAATTATAGCCATCCTAGTGAGTGTGAAGTGCTATCTTATTGTTGCTTTGATTTGCACTTCCCTAATGACTAATGATTTTGAGCATCTTTTCTTGTGCTTTTTGGCCTTTTCTGTGTCTTTTTTGGAGAAATATCTAAGTCCTTTGCCTATTTTTAATCAGGTTGTTTGTCTTTTTGCTGTTGAGTTGTAAAATTTCTTTATGTATTCTGGATCCTAGACCCTTATTGATTATATGATTTGCAAATAATTCTCATTCTAGTAAAACTTTCTTCTTTTGTGTTCCCAAAGAGATAAATGTCCGGGCCAGGTGTGGTGGCTCACGCCTGTAATCCCAGCACTGTGGGAGGCTGAGGCTGGCGGATCACCTGAGGTCGGGAGTTCGAGCCTGACCAACACGGAGAAACCCCATCTTTACTAAAAATACAAAATTAGCCAGGTGTGGTGTTGCATGCCTGGAATCCTAGCTACTCGGGAAGCTGAGGCAGGAGAATCACTTGAACCTGGGAGGCAGAGGTTGTGGTGAGCCGAGATCACACCACTTCTCTCCAGCCTGGGCAACAGGAGTGAAACTCCAGCTCAAAAGAAAAAAAAAAGATAAATGTCCTTAATTATCTCTTCCACGAACCCTTCTTTGACTCTCCCCAGTGCTCTCTGTCTGCTTTGTTTCATGTATACTTTTATGCTTCTCATATTTATCTGGTGGTTTGGTGGAAAGGGAAAAAGTTTAAAATTCTGGTTAATTATATGCCAATCCCCATAATCTTGCATGGCTGCCCACTTAATATTCTCCCTCAGAATAATGAGTGGAAGAGCAGAGCTATTTTTACATCTATAAATTGTGATTTTTCTTTAATGTTCCATAGGAAAAGATGTAAGTTGTTCTCTGTGAACTTGAGGAATGGTGAATAACTATTTAGCTAGCCAGCCTAGCCACAGCTCCAATATACTAGCCTGGGTGATCTAGTTTACACTGTATCAATCCTAACTATTATACTAGGATAACATTTTATTTGGAGGAAGTGAGAAATGCCCATTTCTAGAGGGCCAAATCAAGTATGTGGTACTTGTTGATCATTGTTTTAATATGTACAAAATGCTGTTGACTTTCCTTTTATTTGGTATGTCATGTTTATTGTTTATGTTAAAAATGCAAAAGGGGGGGCAGGGCCAAGATGGCCCACTAGGAACAACAACAATCAGAGGCTCCCATTGAAAAGAAGCATATTTAGTATGTGAATCCTTCACTGGCAACCAATATATTCAGGTTCTCTCGTCAGAATTGACTAGGCAGCTGATGTGATCCGCGGAAAGGAAGGAAGAGCAGTGTGGTGCAGCGGCCCACCTGAGAGCCACATGGGGCAAGGGAGCACCCGCTTCCCGGCCAAGGGAGGCAGTGAGTAAACATGCTACCTAGCTGGGGAAACTGTGTTTTATCCACAGAACTGTGCAACCCATGGATCAAAGATTCCACTTGCAAACCCACACCACTGGGGCCCAGAGTCCCAACCCCCAACCCTGGAGCCCTGCAGATTCTCAGTAGCCTCTCAGCTGGAATCTGCCTAAGCCTACTGTGCCCCTTGAGGCGGGGGGAGGGGCGACCAACACCACAGCTGAAGCTGCCTGCTGCCTAAGCTGTTTGAGCTCCTTGGGGGAGGGGCAGCAGCCAATACTGGGACTGATAGCAACCTAACACATTAAGCTCCCAGGGTGGGGAAGGGCAGCAGCTATCTCTATTGCTCCAGGCCACACTTTTCCCCTGCTGAAGCCAGGGAGGCTGGACGGCTTGGTCTCCAAGAGGTGTCCCCCACAGCCCAACACACCAGCTGTGGCAGACTGCGGCCAGAGCACCTCTTCAGGCCTGACCCTGACACACCCTTCCTCACTGGGTGGGGCTTCCCTGCAGGAACTCCAACAACTCCAGCCAGAAGCTCAGGGACAGAACCCGGATCTCCCTAGGCCTGAGCACTTAGAGGGAGGGGTGGTCACAGTCTCTGCAGACCAGCAGACTTAGCCTTTCCTCCTGGTAGTTCTGAGGAATCCCAGCAGTCCAGATGAGTGGGTTTTCCCCCCAGCGAAGCACACCCCCTCCACCAAGGGAAAGTCAAAGTGCTTCGTTAAATGGGTCATGTTCCCTGTGCCACCCAACTGGGTGAGACCCTGTCTGTTGTCAGACATCCTATACAGGAGCATTCCTACTGGCATCAGGTCAGTGCCCCTCAAGGTAGAAGATCCCAGAAGAAGGAGCAGGCATTCATCTTTGCTGCTCTGGAAACCACCAGTCATGTGTGCTCTGTCTCTATGGATTTACCTATCATAGATATTTCATATAAACAAAGTCATACAATGTGTGATCATTTTTGTACAGTTTCTTTCACTTAACGTGTTTTTAAGATTCATCAGCCTTGTAGCATGAAATATTCCATTGTGTAGATATACTACAATGTATTTATCCATTCATGGGTTGACATCTCCATGTGTAGGAGTGAACTAGATGAACAGCGCCTGAAGTGAAACCCCCACAAACCGAAGCAGCCCTACAGAAGAGGGACCTGACCATTGAAAGAAAAGAAAAACAAGCAAACAGAAAGCAACAACAACAGCATCAACAACAAAAAAGTCCCCACAAAAACCCCATTCAAGGGTCAGCAGCCTCAAGAATCGAAACTAGACAAACTCGTGAAGATGAGAAAGAATCAAAGAAGAAATACTGAAAACCCAAAAGGCCAGAGTGACTCTTCTCCTCCAAATGATTGCAATGCCTCTCCAGCAAGGGCTCAGAACTAGACAGAGGATGAGATGGACGAATTGACAGAAGTATGCTTCAGAAGATGGGTAATAAAAAACTCTGCTGAGCTAAAGGAGCATGTTCTAACCCAATGCAAAGAAGCTAAGAACCTTGATAAAAGGCTAGAGGAGCTACAAAGTAGAATAACTAGTTTAGAGAAGAAAATGAATGACCTGATGGAGCTGAAAAACACAGCACAAGAACTTTATGAAGCATACACAAATATCCATAGCCGAATTGACCAAGTGAAAGAAAGGATATCAGAGTTTGAAGACCACTTGCTGGAATAAGGCATGCAGACAAGATTAGAGAAAAAAGAATGAAAAGGAATGAACAAAGCCTCCAAGAAATATGGGAGTTCGTAAAAAGACTGAACCTACGATTGATTGGGATACCTGAAGGAGACAGGGAGAATGGAACCAAGCTGGAAAACACACTTCAGGATATTGTCCAGGAGAACTCCCCCAATCTAGCAAGACAGGCCAAGATGCAAATTCAGGAAATACAGAGAACACCACTAAGATACTCCACAACAAGATCAACCCCAAGACACATAATCATCAGATTCTCCAAGGTCAAAATGAAGGAAAAAATGCTAAGGGCAGCCAGAGAGAAAGGCCAGGTCACCTACAAAGAGAAGCCCATCAGACCAATAGTGGACCTCTCAGCAGAAACCCTACAAGCCAGAAGAGATTGGGGGCCAATATTCAACATTCTTAAAGAAAAGAATTTTAAATCCAGAATTTTATATTCAGCCAAACTAAGCTTCCTAAGTGAAGGAGAAATAAAATTCTTTCCAGACAAGCAAATGCTGAGGGATTTTGTTAGCACCAGGCCTGCCTTGCAAAAGCTCCTGAAAGAAGCACTAAATATGGAAAGGAAAAACTGGTACCAGCCACTGCAAAAACACACCAAAATATAAAGACCAATGACACTATGAAGAAACTGCATCAACTAATGTGCAAAATAACCAGCTAGCATCATGATGACAGGATCAAATTTACACATAACAATGCTAACCTTAAATGTAAATGGGCTAAAACACAGACTGGAAAATTGGATAAAGAGTCAAGACTCATTGGTGTGCTGTATTCAGAAGACCCACCTGAAGTGCAAAGACACACATAGGCTCCAAATACAGGATGGAGGAAAATTTACCAAGCAAATAGACAGTTAAAAAAAACAACAACAACAAAACAGGGATTGCAATCCCAGTCTTCGACAAAACAGACTTTAAACTAACAAATATAAAAGGGCATTACAAAGAAGGGCATTACATAATGGTAAAGGGAACAATTCAATGAGAAGAGCTATTCTAAATATCCATGCACCCAATACAGGAGCACCCAGATTCACAAAACAGGTTCTTAGAGACCTACAAAGAGACTTAGAGTCCCACACAATAATAGTGGGAGACTTTAACACCCCACTGTCAATATTAGATAGATTAACAAGACATAAAATTAACAAGGACATTCAGACTTGAACTCAGCTCTGGATCAAGTGGACCTAGTAGACATTTACAGAACTCTCCACCCCAAATCAACAGAATATATATTCTTCTCAGTGCTACAAGGAACTTATCCTAAAATTGACCACATAATTGGAAGTAAAACACTTGTCAGCAAATGCAAAAGAACTGAAATCATAACAAACAGTCTCTCAGACCACAGCTCAATCAAATTAGAAGTCAGGATTAAGAAACTCACTCAGAACCACACAATTACATGGAAATTGAACAATCTGCTCCTGAATGACTCCTGGGTAAATAACGAAATTAAGGCAGAAATCACAAATTTCTTTGAAACCAATGAGTACAAAGAGACAACCAGAATCTCCAGGACACAGCTAAAGCAGTGTTAACAGGGAAATTTATAGCACTGAATGCCCACATCAAAAAGCTAGAAAGATCTGAAATTGACACCCTAACATCACAAATAAAACAGCTAGAGAGGCAAGAGCCAACTAATCCAAAAGCTAGCAGAAGACAAGAAATAACTAAGATTTCAGTAAATCCAGGAGCTGGTGTTTTGAAAAAATTAGCAAAATAGACCACTAGCTAGATTAATAAAGAAGAAAAGAGAGAAGAATCAAATAGAAACAATAAAAAATGATAAAGGGGATACCACCACTGACCCCACAGAAATACAAACTACCATCAGAGAATACTATATAAGCACCTTTATGCAAATAAACTAGAAAATCTAAAAGAAATGGATAAATTCCTGGACACACGCACCCTCCCAAGACTAAACCAGGAAGTGGTCAAATCCCTGAATAGACCAATAACAAGTTCTGAAATTGAGGCAGTAATTGATAGCCTACCAACCAAACAAAAATGCACAAGGGCTCACTTATATCCACTAAGTTCCACTTGTAACCTCAATCCCTTAAGTCTACTTTTCTCAGTTGGCAAATGCTGGATTGGAACACAGCATAAACTACTTACAATTTGTAGTGGTTGTTAGTGGTGAAGCGAATACTGAAGTGAAGATCAGGAGGTCAGTTTTGAGTCTGAACTCTGCCACTGATGAGCTGTGTGTCCCAGGGCAAGTTGTTTCCACCCTCTGTGTCAGCATCAATATGAGAAGGGCATGTAATTGCCCCCATG
The DNA here is from genome assembly GCF_000001405.40 of Homo sapiens. Lineage (NCBI taxonomy): Eukaryota > Metazoa > Chordata > Mammalia > Primates > Hominidae > Homo > Homo sapiens. The sequence goes on from NC_000008.11 coordinate 53,022,859, forward strand.
AGCTCCTCCCTCCTCAGAGATTGGGGTTTCAGTTATTATGTGTCTGGTTGTATAGACTGTCTTGGAAATTACTTTCTGTTTTGTTTATTTGTTTGTTTGTTTGTTTGTTTTTTGAGTGTCTAGATTTTGTCAGCGTTTTGTAGTAGATTGAAATCTTCTAAGGGTGGGGGCATAGAACCTGTCTCTTTCTTGTGTCTTTCAATAAAGCCCAATGCAGTTCTGTGCATGGTGCAAAATCTTTGTTGAATAAATGTGTTTGAAGAATTAAAAATGTCAGAAAGCTAAGTATCATTAGTACCAGAGACCTAAATGGTTATAGATATCACTTCATTTAAGAAATGTACATAGGAGCCATCTAACTTCTGTGAGGTAATTTACTGCCACCAGGAAACTGGATCACAGGAAACTGGATTACAGAGAGTGCAATGACATCTCTTAAGCCTCTAATTCCCTCTGTCTCTCTTTTCTTAAGTATAAGGATATGTTCTCCTTCTTACAGTCATGAGGATCTCATATCAGATATGTGTCCTCTTAGTACATTAATCCTGGGCAAATTAGAATTAGAGGAAACCTAGACTGGAAAGAGAAACTAAGTCTGGTGAATGGCAGAGCAGAAATGGAAGGCTTTTCAAATTTGGCTTTGGGAGAGATAACAAGGGGTTGGAGAAGATGAAACATGAATTATATTACACATGCATTAGTGAGGAGGAAGGAGACTGATGTGCTAGAGGATTTCTCTGCAACTTCTCCAGCATCAATGATGCAAAGGTGGCGTGAGAAAGAGGTAAGCAGAGACAGAGTCCCTGAGTCTTAATGGTATTTGTTAAGTAAAAATCACCCAATGCTCCATCCTTCTCAAACACTGACGTTTTTGCACATCTTTGGAATAATGATGAGATTTGGAAAGAGGAAGTCAACAATGGAGTCTTAATACTCTAATGCACTTGAAAGAAGGTCAAAAAATGTTCTTAAATTCATATTGTCTGCCATAGTGACACTCTGGGGAATAGTGATCCTTCGAAATCTCTAATTAACAAGAGATGGAAAATGGAAATTAATTATGCAGTACCCTCATTATTGTTTTCAAATGTACAAAATGTTGTTGATTGTTTTGTTGTTGTTCTATGTGTCACATTTAATTGCTTCATTTCATTAATGTATAGTGGTTTTCTTCTGTCCACTTGAGACTTATATTTCTTAGGCCTATTTGTCTCCAAACGACTAGTTCTCCTCCCATAGGGGTGATTTTTAGGTTCAGGTTATAAAAGCACACATTTTAAGGTTGCCAAGGTAGTACAGTGTACTTGTTGTTTATAAAAGTTTATTATTCTAAAATAAGTAGCCTGGTCTCTGAGTGTAGGTCACTTTGCTTATGATGGCTGAAGGGTGCAGAGTGTTCTCAGCAGGCTTCATTGTCTTCTCTTCACCTCCTCCCTGCAAGCTCTGATCCCTGAGGGGGTCCAGAGGTGGCTCCTGTGGGGGCCTTAACTCTCTACTATTCTGAGACCAGAAAGCACCTCAGTGGTTTGTGGAAATCCTCAGCTGAACCTGGCCTTCCTTGTTTACTCTGAAACTGAAATGCCAGAGACAAAACGCTGATAGATTCCACTGAAGGTGAGAAACTAAGAAACTCACATTTATGGTGCACACACACACACAGTCTGAGCACTGTAAGTGATTATACAAATATAATCTCCCTTCTTTACAGCTATGCAGTGAGATTGCATTGTCACCATTTAGAACTGAGGGCGCAGAGGCTGAGTACACATGAGGGGCTGGCCAAAGACTCTCAGCCTGCACCCCCGAGCCCTTGCGTTATTCTAAGCTGTTTCATTTCCTTTCTTGCAATTGTCCTCTCCTCTGCTCTCCAAACTGTCAAGTCCTGAGGTACAAGACCTCAGGCGCTGAGTCCTCCTTCCCTCTCTCCCCAGTCCTTAGGACCCTAGCTGGCTGTGGCTCTTCCACACCACACATGCCCCATGTGCCTTCTGACCTGCGTCTCATTTGATCATGCATGCTCTGTGAGCTTACCCGCTCAGGTTAATTTGTATTTATATTACTCTTTGCAGAGGATTTTTTTCAAACAGGTAAAATTAAAGATAGTCCTTAAAATGTTCCCATAAGTTAATGTTTAACAATATAGATGATTTAATTCCCTATTTTCTTCTATTATTTTAAGTATGTGAAAATACTGAGTACATCACAACTACTTATACATTTTACTTCCACAGTATTTAGCTGTTAATTGACCCTACAAACCATTACATTGGAGAGAAAATGCATTTTCAAAGATGGTAAAATTAACATAATTGGTAGATAGCTGACTCTTAGATGCAAGTATATCATCTCATATAACATAGAAAATTATTTTACTAATTCATCATTGTCTATCTCTGTGTGCCAATATTAGGGTTCTTAAAATGTCTTTGTAGGTCTAAGGAAGTCCTTATACCTTAATCAAGGAGGACTGGAGTAGTGATGTGTTTGCAAAGCGGAGCAGGACGTTTATAGAATCTGTTTATACAGTAGGAACTGTTTTTCTGTTTGTTTGTTTGTTTTTAGAGACAGGGTCTTTCTCTGTCACCCAGACTGAAGCACAGTGGCATGATCATAGTTCACTGCAGCCTCAATCTCCTGGGCTCAAGGGACCCTCCCCCGTCATCTTCTTAGAGGATCTGACTTGGTCCAAGTTGGCTGATAAGAGCATTTCCAGGGAGGCTGGATTAACAATCTTGCCCATTCCCTCGAGGTTACCTCTGCCCACCACACATTACTCCTGGATATCAGATCCAGAATTTTGCCTATTGTCCCTGCTCAAGGGAATCAAATGTAGCAACATTTCCTCCCCTGATTCACTCACAAATATCATCATCTTCCCACTCTGACCATGTTTTGAGTATGTCCTAATATGATGTTTCTCAACCTTGAGAATTGCCTGCCAAAGATACCTTAAAAGTGCTAAGGCTCTTGACTTGTGCAGTATCATTATATAAATGCTATGGCTATGAGTCATAGATAATTCATAGATTTATTAGCCTTGAGTTGTGGGCAGGGAGAAGGCTTGAAATGGAAAACTTAGCTCTCTTTGCATTTGCCACTGATTATCAGGAAAATTTATTTGAATTTCAAGATCAGACACACCTGATGCATCTAGAATCTCTTAGTTGTCCACTAAATATCTGAGTGAAAATGCAGACACTGTGGTAGTCATGACATCGAAAACCTTAATATAGGAAGGCCCCTAGAAATATTCTGGCTTAGCCTCCTCCTTGTTGCTAAGAGTGTGACTTGCCTAAAGTCACCTACTAGGTGATGGGGAAGAGTTCGAGCCTTCGTCTTATTACTCACGTGATTACCTTTCAGATGATCAGGACAATTTAATAGCAGAAGCATGATACTCAATAAAAAAGGGGGAGTTTGTTTAATCTTTTTGGTTTTTTATACATATAATGCAAATTAATTTGGTAATTAATTTGTTTTTAATTGGTATTTCCATTTTGTACTTTTAAATATCATATAATTATGACCACATGCCAACAATAGATAGGTTTTGTTCATACTATAAAATAACAGCAATATACAAAAGTAGATCACTGATAGAAACAAAGAGTAACTTGCAGCAGCAATTTATTATAAGACTTGTTTCTGTTTTTATATTTTTACGACACCTGAGTTGGGAGAGAAATGTAATAATAGAGTTAAACTTGGGAACAGTCTAACACACTTTTCTGAGCACATTCACACTTGCTGGAAAGAGTGATTTATATGCACTTAAGGTAACAGAGGAAATAGCAAAGTCAAAATTTTAAAATGACCCATGACTTTTCATAAACATACAAGTTTATTTCTTATTTTTAATGCCTTTGGTTTGTCTCAGGGGAAAATAATAAAATTTGTTTCTTGAGTTATTTTTTGTTCAGCTGCACATTCCCTAGGGTTAGATTTTAGAGAGTATTCTAAGAATGTTCTCTGGTGCCTGGGGTTTGCTGCATTTGAAAACCTGGTGTTTTAAACAAATTTTTTTTTTCAATTAATATGGGACAGAAAATATTGAACCAATTAGCATAGAAGAATGTAGCTTGTTGCATTTAACGACCAAATCTATCGTTTATTAATTCTGTGACCTTTGGTTTCTTTTTACTCATCGGCAAAATTGGGAAGATTATAATATTAATATTATTGGACTGTCAGGATGATTAGCACTTTTAATGTAAAGAGTGTACCACATAACAGGTATTTAGTTCATTTTACATTGGAGAGCTTAGTCTGTACAACCGGGAGGGCTTCCCAGGGGTCTGGAAAGGCAGGGAAGGATGGAGGTGCAGTTCTGTGCCTACCAGCCCTCTCGGTCCAGCCTCTGCAGTCAGAAAGGCAGGGCGGCAGGAGGGAAGGCTGAGTCTTCCCTCACACACACGTTCTCTGAACTTCCCTACCACCCTGTGTTCTGGAGTCCCAGGCAGTGTGAAGTGTATTTCACACAATACCATGCAGTTTTACTTTCCCAACATCAGTGCAGCAGGGGCAAAGAAGGGGAACACGGGTGCTGGCAGGATTGGGTCTCCAAGACAAAGGGAGCCTCTGCTTCAATGACCCCACCAGCTGGAGTTCTTCACAGATAAACCTTAAGGCCCAAGGCAAGGTTCTGTCCTGGGCACCTGCTCCCCTGCATTGACTGGAGTGATATGGAGGTGTTTCATCAGGGTATTAGGATGTTTCCTGATGCTTGGTCTTTAAGGACAGATGTTGCATTCGGAAGTGCAGATGCATCCAGTCACTGTGTTTTTCTCATGCACTCACAATCCATGCAATTACACAACTTGAAGTATTTAAATTTTTCCCATTGGTGGGAAGTTTCAGCAGCAAACTTAGCATTGCCAGATTTTAATCATTTCATGTAGACTCATTATTGTTTCATGTTTAATTCTTGCCAGTACACAATTTATCATGACTTCAAAATATATTGGCTGATGATTTATAGGCTTATTTAGTGCCTGCACCTCCATGTTGATGTCTGGGAAAACACCACAAAGTCTCTTGCCAAAGGCAAACTGATCTTCCTAAGGGTCACCTTGAGAGGGTACTCACAGCACCATCTATAGTTTTTGTTGCATAAAATATATTTTCTAAAATTATCGTTGAACAGCTTGAATGGCTTCATACCACGTAATAGCTCAAAACACCTCTCTCGGTCCCCCCTCCCTTTCTCTCTTTTATCTAATATTTATGAAGCATCTACTTTGCCCCAAAGTAATAGGCAATTTTAAGATGAATAAGATAGTTTCAGGAGCTCCACTGTGAAGTCACAATAGTATTATCAGCGCTTCTCTAGGGCTGCACCATTATAGATAACTGAAATACAGAAAAACGTGGGTCTCTCTTAGAGGATGACAGCTGGCTAGGTCCTCCAGCCACATGTTCAAAGGCAAATGGATGGGAACGCTGAGAGATGAGATGGAGACAGCTTTCTCCCATTGCTGGCTATAAATGACAAACACGGGAGATTCTTTTGCAATATTAGCTTTAATGAAAACCAAAATTAAATAAAGAGGAGGCTGATAAATGAGCTGAGCAAGCATCTCAGTGTAAAATACAATTCATCAGAGCCAATCAGGACCTAAACTACAACAAAATACCGCCTTTCCCAACAGAAAGGCTATTGAATGACTCAGACCATCTGTGTGATGCCTTCAGCTGCCCATTTTACTTTTGCTATATAGATACATTCAGAAGTTATCCAATAACTTAAAAACTTTTTTTATGAAACTAGACTTCAAAGTTATTATCTTCAAGATTGTTAAGCCCATAGAGCACAGCAATAATCAAAGATAAAGAAAGACTTTAAGATTCAAATTCAAGTCCATTTGACTAGCTAAAGTTTCAACACAGAACAAAAGCCAAAGTAGGGAGTGAATTCAATGATGAATTTACTGGAAACTAGAGAATTTTCCCTTGGACTTCTGTTACAGACCTAGAGAACAATGATGAAATCATTCAAATTTCAGTTTCAGTTTTTAATCCTACCATGAGCCACATGATTCTTAGGGAGATTAGATGTGCAGAGAGCTACAGGCAATGAAAGGGAATTGGAAAAACGCTGGATACTATTAATACAATCTACCACTTCTTGAGTTTTTCATAGATATGTTGCAGATTCTCCAGAATCTTCTTTAATTGTTACTCAATCATTCCACAAATATTTAATGGGCCCAGCCATGTTCCAGGCACATTGGGACCAATAAAGAAATAGAAACCACGGTCTCTGGTTTAGGATAATTAAAATGAGTTTGGATGGAATCTCGGTGCATAAATTTGCTGAGACAACTAGCCAAGGAATGTCTGTGCCTGCTGAAAAAGTAATAACATAATGAAAGGAGAGAGGGATTGCCAACTCCACTGAGCTTGCTAATACCTGGGGCAGAAATTGTGACAAGGAAAGGTGTGGAGATACATGACTGTAGAATACTTTCTAGTGAGAAAAAAATTTTTAAATAAACTTTTGAGGATAAATTCAGTGTAACAATAATTATGGCATCTCCATCTTTGAAAACCTTATTTGAAGTCATTTTCCCCCAAAGCATAAGTCATCAACTACAGTCTTTTTCATGTTTTATTAGGTTGGTACAAAAGTAATTGCACCAAGCTAAAAGTAATGGCAAAAGCCGCAATTACTTTTGCACCAATGTAACTGCAATTACTTTTGCACCAAAAGTGAAACTACATTTCACTTTTATTTGATTTTATTTCAATAGTTTTTGGAGAACAGGTGGGTGTGTTTTGGTTATATGGATAAGCTCTTAAGTGGTGATTACTGAGATTTTGGTGCACCTGTCACCTGAACAGTACACACTGCACCCAATATGTAATCTTTTATTCCTCACCCCCTTCCCAACTTTTCTCCGGAGTCCCCAAATTCCATTATATCATTCTGCCTTTGCATCCTCATAGCTTACCTCCAAATCCTCATACTGTCTCACTTATAAGTGGGAAGACATGATATTTTGTTGTCCATTTCTGAGCTATTTCACTTAGACTAATGGTCTCCAAACCCATCCAGGTTGTTGTGAATGCCATTATTTGTTCAGTTTTATGCTGAGTAGTAGTCCATTGTGTGTGTGTGTGTATATATATATATATATATATATATTTTTTTTTTTTCTTTATCCACTCATTGGTCGATGGGCATTTAGGCTGGTTCCAAATTTTTGCAATTGCAAATTGGACTGCTAGAAATTACATTTCATTTTGAACGTAAGTGCTTGTTTGTCATCGTCTCTCTAAGCCAACAATCTTCTTGATGACAAAGACCAAGACGATCTTGGCCTGGAGCCTCAGAAGCAGATACATTAAAGTACTTACTCCATGAATAGTTTTTAATTACTTTTTCTTCATACTCCAGGGAAAGATTTGGGATCAAAGCAAACTAAAACAAAACAAAGACATTTATTTTCAGCTTAAATTATTTAGATCATTGCTCAAACTGTCCGTTGGGTACCAGGTGTTATTTATGCTCTTTTTAGCAGTAGTTCAGAGACTTACTTGATAACCTGAATATCAAACATTGCCAGTTTATACATGTTTATTCAACTTTGGGTAATGATTTTAATTTTGAATAATAAAAAGTTATTTGAATTCTGTATCAAACTGAGGGTTTTTTTTTCTAATTGGTAAAGTACAATCAATACTACATAATAAATCTCATGAATACCTACTACAAGTGCTAGTCTCCTATGACTAACCCATCAATAAACTGTACCATATTTAAATATAAAATTTAAATTCTTTATTATTCTAAAGTAGGTGATAAATTAGCACGATTTAAATTGACTTGGTAGCAAAAAAGCAATCCTGATTTTCATTAGCTGAGAATAAGGACATGATATTTGTACTATAACTACAGGCAACTAAGCTGTTCCTTGGAAGGGCAATGTAATTTATATTGATTGGTGACTGGGGGTGTGCAGAGGTAGGCACAGGCAAAGGAATATGTGAACCCAAACTCCTGTTATTATTGTTTATCCTTTCTTTTAGAACAATTCTCAAGTATTTTTGGATTATTAACTTGCTGAGTCTCATAATGTTTCTTTTGAGTAGAAAGTGTAGCACATTTTATAGGTGGAAAATCTACAAATCATAAATAGTCATTGGCAGAGGAATTTGCTGTCTATCTTTAATCCTACCTACTCTTCCTGTTTACATTTTGGTTACATGGTTAAGTTCTTTAGTGGTGATTTCTGAGATTTTGGTGCACCCCGCCACCTGAGCAGTGATGTGTGATTAGAAATGTTCAGAAATTCAAATGAGTTTTTGATGTGTTTCTCCTCTTTGTTAAATATATTGATATGAGTCAGTTAGGGTGCCAAAATATAGTGTAAAGAATGAATGAAACTAATAGGATAATGTAGTCAGTAATACATACTTATTCCTTTTCACGTGTTACTTCTGATATAAATTACTTAACAAGAGTTCAGAATGTTGCCATAGAAAAGGAATCTCTAGCATACTAGTGACAAATGAAGTTATTATAGACCTATACTCAAATTACATAATACCCAAAACAAGTGAGGGACACATTAGACTAGAAAGTTGTTGGCAATATATTGAAATTATTGAAATTTCTCATCTTGGTATCTGTCTCTAGAGCTCTAGGCAATGTCTAATATATAGTAGGGGAATAAAAATATTCTTAGAAGCTATGTGGACAGTAAAATGCATTAAAGCTTTATTCATCTTTGTGGTCTTTAAAAGAAATATGGAAGTCTCTAAAGAAGCACCAGATATCTTTAAGGGAAATTAAGGGTTTGCTGGAATTATAATTGCACGAGCCTAAATAAAGATACTAAGCATTCATCAGTCATGCAAATTATTTTGCAAGGGGTAGGAAGGAGGGGTGGACTTGAACCCAGTGTTTCTCTCTAGGGCCATACATGGCATTGCTGGTAGATCAAGTCTTTATGGGGGGGACCGCCCCAAGCCTTGCAGATGTTTAGCATCCTTCACTCGCTGAAAGCCAGCTGTGTTCCCCAGCAACTGTGGCCATCCAAACTATTTTTTTTTAACATTTCCAAATGCTGATGTAAGTGGGCTGGAGTAGTATCATTGCATATTCTTATCCTCTTTGTTGCAATGAAGGGCAAGGTCCTTGCAGAACAGACTCTGGCTAGGGAGCTTTGTACCCTCAGCATTTGTTCTCATCAGCTGAGGAGAAGGAGCCAAAGACAGATTCCCTTCCCCAGTTCTGGATAACTCTAAATTTATACCCCATACCACGACATGTGGAAAGAAAAGAAGACCAACCAAATGAGAAAAACAAAGACAATTTGTTCTTCACTTGTTGTAGCAAGGGAGTCAGCTACCTTCACTTGCATTTAGGCAGACTCATTGCAGGCAGAGGAGTGGAAAAGCTTCATAGTGGAAAAAGGGAAGGCTCCAGGTGTGCTCTCAATGGAGGCTGTGGGCCTGGGGAGGCTGGAGGCTACCAACTGGAAGCACAAAGTCCTGTGATTTGGTGGTGGTGGTGGGGTGTATTTGACTTTCTCTGATGTTAAGTTGGAAGTGGGGACAAAAATTAGGGAAGCTGTCAGTTGTTAATTAAGTCCTGATCATTTTGGGTCAACTGCCACAGAAGTTATTGTTGAGTTTCCTGAATTGTCACTAGAGAGAGCAGTCTGGCCCCCTGCAAGTCTGATTTATGGCAGGCTGGCTGCCTGGGTTGTTATAGATCAGAAGGTTGGCTTCCTGGAGGTTGCTGCAGATTGTGGGTCACAGTTCTGTTTTATATGTAACATGACCATTGTCCATTTGTATCTTCAATCTCTCACTACAAATAGAAACAGCAATTTCCCCAAGGGAAATAACACTCAAAATGATGACAAAAGTAACATAGTGATTGAAATGGACAAGAAAAGAATTTTATGAATCTTTCTTAGTCATATGTGTTACAGTAGAGGTATGCCCTGGGATTAATATACACTTGTGCACTGCACAACATTCTTTTGGTCAACAATCCTGACTGCATGTATGATGGCAAGCCCATAAAATTATAATGCCATATTTTTACCTACCTTTTCTGTTTAGATACAAAAATATTTAACATTGCATTCTTTTTTTTTTTTTTTTTTGAGACAGAGTCTTACTCTGTCACTCAGACTGGAGTGCAAAGGCATGATTTTGGCTCACTGCAACCTCCGCCTCCCGGGTTCAAGAGATTCTCCAGCCTCAGCCTCCTGAGTAGCTAGGACTATAGGTGTGTGCCACCACGCCCCACTAATTTTTGCATTTTTAGTAAAGATGGGGTTTCACCATGTTGGTCAGGCTGATCTGGAACTCCTGACCTCAGGCAATCCACCTGCCTTGGCCTCCCAAAATCCTGGGATACAGGTATGAGCCACTGCACCTGGCCAACACTGTGTTCTAATTGTCTACAGTATTCAGTGCAGTAATATGTTGTACAAGTTTGTAGCCCAGGAGCAAAAGGCAATACTATGTAGCCTAAGTGTGTAGTAGGCTATGCCATCTAGGTTTGGGTTAGCATGCTCTATGATGTTCACACAACTACAAAATTGGCTAACAATGCTTTTTAAGAACATATCTTTGTGGTTAAGCAACATGTGACTATACATTTAAATAGTCCTTGAGGTTTGTCTGTTCTAATTCTCATTTTATTATTTGTTTTTCTTTTTAATTTGTGCTAAAAGTCAAATTTAAATGTTGCAATCTCCTCTCTGTAATTTTAAGGCAAATTTGTCCTATACTTTGATGTAGCCTTATAAAAATTCATTTTGTGAGCTATTACAGTGGTTAAAAGGATCTTTTCCTGAGAATTCCTGGGAATAGCAGAAATATTAGAAATATGCAGGGTAATGGCTTTGTCACTTAATTAATACATTAAATTACTCTGAAATGACAGTTTGTAAAACTGATATTTATGTAAGCATTAGAACACAATTGAGTTTGAAAGATTTATGTTTCTGGAGTTGGCTGTCAACCCAACCAAGGATGCTGTGAGGCTTTCTTCCAGATATGTTATTAAATTCATGTGGAGGGCAGAAGCTCCACAGTGTAATTGCAGTGTCAGGACATGCTGGTTGACATAGACTGAAACACTAAAATAAATGTGACAGTAATAATAATGATCAAGATGTCAGTATTTTAGTCAATTAATATTTTCAGAATAGCACGAAAAATGACTGTCTTTCAAAACACACAAAATCTGCTTGATAAATATAATCAATGGTTTGATTTAAACATTACAAAGAAAAATAATACTTAAAAAAAAGATTAAGCCAAATGGTGATTTTGCAAACTTGCAACTCAGAGGAAAAATTAATTCTTCAATGATTAGAATACATTTGAATTAAGTTGAAGCCTAATATTGACTCTAACTCTTACCCTTAGCCCAACATTAATCCTTACCCTATAAAATAATATTTACATATTATTATACTTCCTCTCGGTGCTTGCTTTTCTTTCTATTTCTCCTCAGGAGCGAAGAAACACTTCTATGTAGGGAGCCGCTTGAAATATTTACTATGTATACTTACTCAATAAAATAACTTAAAAATAGCACTCCTCTACTATAATGTGTAGATTATAAAATCTTTAGCATTACTCCCAAATGTTGCAACCACTCTTGTGATCAAGTACGCAGTTATTGGAAAGAGTTTTGATATTCTGGTCTGAAGAGCGGACATTTGGGGGAAGCTGCGAAATTCAGCAATGCTCCAAGGTTTCCTTTTATTGTGTCCCCCACTACCGCTGTCCCTAGGCACCATTCGTCTGTTTTTGAAATGCTACTGTAGCCAGTGCCTCTAATTTTAGTGGAACTTCAGAATGTAGGAAGGGTCCTCCAAAGCAAGAGGAATCCTGTTAGGCAGTTAGCGTCCTGGAGGGCTGCTAAAATTATGCCGCAGTAGCCAGCTTCCCATGGTCCCTATGAATAGAGTTTGCAAAATGAACACATTGCCTTTTGGAACCCACCATTTACCTCTCAAGAGGTGATTTGACAAGACAGTAACGATAGTTTTCTCTCTTGGCTGTTCATTGGAGGACTGCCATCTCAAAGTCCTGACCCACAGTTACTAGAGTATTTTAAAGTAATGCTTTTACGTGCAATCAATAGAACTGCCTTTCCTTGGAGCCTAATCTTCAATGCCGCTTGACGGTCTGTGATTATGAGTCGCCTGGTGATGGCTGTTGGCCCCTGATCAGACACTCTGTCCAATGAGCAAGTGCACTTCACTCGTGCTGGAAGCCCCCAGCTAAGTGAAGTCAATTAGTTTCCCAACTAATTGGCCTGAAAAATGCTGCATTTTCATTCAGCATTGCATGTAATGGGAATAAATTACCCCTTTCTGTGCACCACAAAAATAACTTTTTAATCTCGATTTAGCACTTATGTTATCCTGTCTTGAATCATATCTAGTTATTTGTACACGTACCTTACCGTTTTACCCCTCAATTTCTCGAAAGTATTGATGTTCATTATTATGTCTCTGACACCTAGCACATGGTGCCTGGTATATAGCAAACGTTGCTTAATTATTGCATACTATAGAAGAAATAACTTTTACTTTATAAAAAGGCAGACTAATTTAAGAGGCTTATGTGCATCTGGTGCTATATGGAGATATATTTAAAATTTCTTGTGTTTTAAGAATTAAATTAAAAGATGTTCTTAATGCATATAGGTGAGGAGAAGGGTTGGAGTGAGATGAGCTACCAGGAGAAAGACTTGCCTGGTTATTCCATACACTGGAAATGAAGAAGAGCTGGAAGCAATCCAGCACGACTAACTTGGTGGGCGTCCCAAACAGAGGTACATTAGAAGTAAACAAAAGGTTTTCACTGTTAGGTTGACCTGTGCCTCCTTAAAGAGCTTCAGGTAGCAAGACCTCTAGGATCATTTCAACAATCCTTGTTCCCTAAAGCAGCTAGGGCAGATCCTAGATTATATAGGGACTTAGTCAAGCATCTCTGTAACTAGACACAGTCTTCACAACCTGCTAACTCAACAACAAAGGATAGGGGTTTGTGGTAACTCTTCCTCCAGACCATAGAGACTGCTAGGAGAAGGAAGGATTGAAAATTTAAAACAAGGTAGCTTCAAACTCAAGGAAGTTGAGATTTTGTAGTAAGTTCAGTGCATGGACTTTATTGTCTGACAAATCTTGGTTGAACATCATTCTACTACTTAGTAGATTTTGACCTAAAGCAAGTTTATTGTCTTCTTTTCTTCATCTAGAAAATAAAATGATGGCCGGGCGCAGTAGCTCACTCCTGTAATCCCAGCACATTGGGAGGCTGAGGTAGGTGGATCACCTGAGGTCAGGAGTTCAAGACCAGCCTGGCCAACATGGTCAAACCCCATTTCTACTAAAAAAAATATACAAAAATTAGCTCGGTGTGGTGGCAGGCACCCATAATCCCAGCTACCAGGGGACGCTGAGGCAGGAGAATTGCTTGAACCCAGGAGGCGGAGGTTGCAGTGATCAAAGATCATGCCATTGCACTCTAGCTTGGGAGACAAGAGTGAAACTCTGTCTCAAAAAAAAGAAGAAAAAAGAAAAGAAAAGACATCTGGCACAAAGCATGAAATAGTGACTTTTTTTTCTTTTTTCTTTTTAACGGAGTCTCGCTCTGTCACCCAGGCTGGAATGCAGTAGCGCTGTCTCCCCTCACTGAAAGCTCCGCCTCCTGGGTTCACGCCATTCTCCTGCCTCAGCCTCCTGAGTAGCTGGGATTACAGGAGCCCGCCACCACGCCCGGCTAATTTTTTTGTATTTTTTAGTAGAGACGGGGTTTCATCGTGTTAGCCAGGATGGTCTCGATCTCCTGACCTCGTGATCCGCCCGCCTCGGCCTCCCAAAGTGCTGGGATTACAGGCGTGAGCCACCATGCCCGGCCGAAATAGTGACTTTAAGTAGCTGTCAACTCACACGCAAAGCCCCAATCAATTTAAATTGCAAGATAGGGCTCAGCTTAGCAGCCAGATGATATTGATGAACTGGGCCTGAATAGAGAGCTATCCGGAAGGAATGGGCTCCAAAAAAGGCAAGTGTGTCTTTTTCATTTCAGCCTGTTCTCTAAACCAGAGAGAAAGAATTGCTGAGAAAGACATATGGCCTAGGCAGTCCTGGCATGCTGTAGATGGTCCTGGGAGATTGCATATGCTAATCTTCTCATTAAAGGAAGTAAAACAACACCTAAGTATCTGTTTTAGCATTTATATCTTCATAGATGTTTTTAAATACAGTGCCAAAAAAAAATACTTTGTCATATTATGTTTCCCAAAATTTTGCAAGCTTTAATTCCCTTACCTCATATTATAAACAAACAACATTGCGTTGTTAACTAGATTGCATTCCTGCAATCAGACTTTTCCAAGCAGTGATAATGATGATGATGATGATGACAACGGCAAAAACTTATTCTGTAGGGCAATAAACTGAGTATGTTTTTATTATGAATCTGTAGTCTCTTGAGCCTAACCCTAACCCTAATTTCTGTTGAAGATAGTAACTTTCATCTTTGGGCACTTACTGTGTTTCAAGCATTGTAGTAGGCCCATTTTACATCTCTGTAATGAATCACATGCCATTAAGAAGCACACACAATTCAGCACTCAGATGAAAAGGAATTTTCTTCTTTGGGAAGTTTTATTTCAGAATATGACACTTTCTATGACATCCTCACATGTGAAGGATGAAAGAGAAGAATAGGTAGGAAGCTAGGTTCATATCCTAGAACTGCTAGCTAAAATATAAAACATCCCAGTGAAATTTGAATTTCAAAAAAAAAATGAATGATTTTTAGTATAAGGATGTCCCAAATATTGCATGAGACATCCATAAACTAAAAAAGAAGTGTTGTTTATCCGAAATTCAAATTTAACTAGGTTATATTGTTTGCTTGTTTAAAAGCCATCAAATTATCTAATAAAACTAGCAAAACTAAAGGACAAAATACGGCAAAAATAGTCTTCCTCCAGCCTGTGTTTAGCTGAAGTGAGCTGTTTGTAGAAGGCATATGGCTGAGTCATTTTTTAAAATAAACTTTTTATTTTGGAACAGCTTTAGGGGAACTGGGAAGATGGTACAGAGAGTTTCTATATAGCCCACAATGAGTTCTCCCCATTACTCTATGAATATGGCATCTTCGTTACAATTAATGCACCAATATCAATAAATTAGTATTATCTAAGGTCCATAATCTATTCAGATTTCCTTTGTTTTAACCTAAGGCTCCTTTTATGTTCCAGGATCCTATCTAGTACATCACACCATGTTACATTTAGTCATCTTGTATAAGACTTCTCTTGCCTGTGACAGTTTCACAGAGTTCCATCCTTTTGATGACTTTGAAATTGTTAAGGAATGTTGTTCAGATATTTTGTAAAATGTCACCTAATTAAGATTTATATGATAGTTTTCTCATGATTAGACTAGGGTAATGTGTTTTAGGGAGGAAGACCCCAGAAGCAGAGTGCCTTTTTCATCCCATGATATTAAGGAGACATGCTATCAAAATGACTTACCACTGGGTTTATTTTTTCTGTTCTTATTTTAACTTATATTTTAGGCTCGAGGGTGCATGTGCAGATTTGTTATACAGGTTAACTCGTGTCACAGGGGTTTGTTACACAGATTATTTTACCACACAGGTATGAAGCCTAGGACCCAATACTATTTTTTCTGCTCCTCTTCCTTCTCCCACCCTCCACCCTCAGGTAGACCCCAGTGTCTTTTGTTCCCTTCTTTGTGTTCATGAGTTCTCCTCATTCAGCTCCCACCTTATATGTGACAGCATTTGGTATTTGGTTTTCTGTGCCTGTGTTACTTTGCTAAGGATAATAACCTCCAGCTCCATCCATGTTCCTGCTAACAACATGATCTTGTTCTTTTTTAATGGCTGCATAATATGCCATGGTGTATATGTACCACATTTTCTTTACCTAATGTCATTGATTGGCATTTAGGTTGATTCCATGTCTTTGCTATCGTGAATAGTGCTGCAATGAACATACACATGCATGTATCTTTATGGTAGAATGATTTATATTCCTTTGGGTATGTATCCAGTAATGGGATTGCTGGGTTGAATGGTAGTTCTGCTTTTAGCTCTGTGAAGAATCACCATACTGCTTCCACAATGGTTGAACTAATTTACACTCCCACTGTTAGTGGGAGTGTAAACTAGTTTCTCTGCACCCTCGCCAGCATCTGTAATTTTCTTTAAGTTCCTTATAGATGCTGGATGTCAGATGCATTGTTTGTGAATATTTTCTCCCATTCTGTAGGTTGTCTGTTTACTCTGTTGGTAGTTTCTTTCGCTGTTCAGAAGCTCTTAAGTTTAATTAGATCCTATTTGTTGATTTTTGCTTTTGTTGTGTTTACTTTTGGACTTACCACTATTGATATTAGCCTTGATCATCTGACTGAGGTAGAATTTGTCAGTGTCTCCTACTATAAAATTATCCTTCCCCCCAACTCCTATAGATCTTGTTTTTTTCTTCTTCTTCTTCTTTTTTTAAATGCTCTGTCAATCTTTTAATTGTTTTATTTAGGTTATTTACTTTTGATGTAATTATTGATATTTAAGGCAAAGTCTGCCATTTTTTAAAATTTTTGGTTCTGTTTTTCCTTTCCTGGTTTTCATTTTCCTGCCATCCTATGGACAACACAAGCAGTGTTTAGCATTTAATGTTAATTTATCTATAATTTTTAAGTGTATCTCTTTGTAAAGCAGTTGTACTGGTTGCTCTAGGCGTTACATTATGAATAACTTATTGCAATCCACTGGTGCCAATATTTTACCAATTCGAGTGTGGAAAACTTCCTTGCTTTTATATCCTTTAGTATCCCCAATTTATAATATAATCCATTTTAAATATTTCCCCTACATACATCGACAACAACACTACATGGTTTTATAATTTTTACTTCAACCATCAAACATAACTTAGAAAGCTCAGGAGGAGAAGGACAACATATTGTGTTTACTCATATTTTTGTTCTTTCTTCTAAATTTGTATTTTTCCTTCTTTACGACATTCCAAGATTTCTTTTTAAAAAAATTTAATTTTAGGTTCAGGGGTATATATGCAGGTTTGTTATATAGGTGAATTGTGTCATGGGCGTTTGGAGTACAGATTATTTCATCACCCAGGTAAGAAGCATAAGTACCCGATGGATAGTTTTTCCATCCTTACCCCCCTCCCAACCTCCATGCTCAAGTAGGGTCTGGGATCTGTTTTTTCTTTCTTTGTGTTCATGTGTACTTAATGCTTAGCTCCCACTTAGGTTTACTGTTCCTGTGTTAGTTTGCTTCGGATAATGGCCTCCAGCTGCATCAATGTTCCTGCAAAGGACATGATCTCATTTTTTTATGGCTGCGTAGTATTTCGTGGTGTATATGTACCACATTTTCTTTATCCATCCTACCATTGATGGGCAGAAAGGTGGATTCCATGTCTTTGCCACTGTGAGTAGTGCTATGAACATACACATTTATGTTTCTTTATGGGAGAATTTCTATTCCTTTGGGTATATACCAGTAATGGAACAGCTGGGTCAAATGGTAGTTCTGTTTTAAGATCTTTGAGAAATATTCAAATTGCTTCCCACAATGGCTGAACTAATTTACATTCCCACCAGCAGTGTATAAGTGTTCTCATTTCTCTACAACCTCATCAGCTTCTGTTATTTTTTGACTTTTTAATAATAGTCATTCTGACTGGTATAAGATGGTATCTCATTGTGGTTTTGATTGGCATTTCTCTAATGATTAGTGATGTTGATAATTTTTATATGCTTGTTGGTCACATATATGTCTTCTTTTAAAAATATCTGTTCATGTCTTTTGCCGACTTTTTAATGGAGTTGTTTGTTTGTTGCTTTTTAATTTGTTTAAGTTCTTTATAGATTCTGGATATTAGATCTTTGTTGGATTCAGAGTTTGCAAATATTTTCTCCCATTCTGTAGATTGTCTGTTTACTCTGTTGATAGTTGATTTTGCTGTGCAGAAGCTCCTTGGTTTAATTAGGTCTCATTTGTCAATTTTTGTTTTTGTTACACTTGCTTTTGGTGTCTTAATCATTAAATCTTTGCTGGGGCCTATGTCCAGAATAGTATTGCCTGTTATCTTCCAGGGTTTTTATAGTTTTGGATTTTATATTTAGGTCTTTAATTCATTTTGAGATGATTGTTGTATATGGTGTAAGGAAAAGGTCCAGTGTCAATATTTTGCATATGGCTAGCCAGTTTTCCCAGCACCATTTATTGAATAGGGAGTCTTTCTCCATTGCTTGTTTTTGTTGACTTTGTCAAAGATCAAATGGTTGTAGGTGTGCAGCATGATTTCTGGGCTCTCTATTCTGTTCCATTGGTCTATATGTATGTTTTTGTACCAGTACCATGCTGTTTTAGTTACTGTAACCTTGTAGTATAGATTGAAGTCAGGTAATGTGATGCCTCCATCTTTGTTCTTTTTGCTTGGGATTGCTTGGTTATTCTGGCTTTTTGTTGTTGTTGTTGTTGTTCCATATGAGTTTTTAAATATTTTTTTCTAATTCTGGGAAGAATGTCATTGGTAGTTTGATAGGAATAACATTAAATCTGTGAATTGCTTTGGGCAGTATGGCCATTCTAACAATACTGATTCCTCCTATTCATTAACATGGAATATTTTCCCATTAGTTTGTGTCATCTCTGTTTTCTTTCAGCAAAGTTTTGTAATTCTCATTATAGAGCTCTTTTACCTCCCTGGTTAGCTGTATTACTAGGTATTTTATTTTTTGTGTGGCTATTGTGAATGGGATTGTTTTCTTAATTTGGCTCTCAGCTTGGGCATTGTTGGTGTATAGAAATGCTGCTATGTTTTGTAGATAAAAAGCAAGTGTAACAAAAACAAAAATTGACAAATGAGATCTAATTAAATCAAGGAGCTTCTGCACAGCAAAATCAACTATCAACAGAGTAAATCCCTCTCTTCCTATTTTGATGCCTTCTATTTTTTTTTCTTTTGCCTGATTGCTCTACCTAGGACTTCCAGTCCTATGCTGAATAGGAGTGGTAAGACAGGGCATCCTAGTCTTATTCCAGTTTTCAAGCAGAATGCTTTCAGCTTTTGCCTATCCAGTATGATGTTGGCTGTGGGTTTGTCAGAGATGGCGCTTATTATTTTGAAGTATGTTCCTTCAATGCTTACTTTGCAGCAGATTTTTAACATGAAGGAATGTTGAATGTTATCAAAAGTCTTTTCTGCATCTATTGAAATGATTATGTGGTTTTTATTTTTAGTTCTGTTTATGTAATGAATCACACTTACTGATTTGCATACGTTGAACCAACCTTGCATCCTATGGATAAAGCCTACTTGATTGTGGTGGGTTAGCTTTTTGACATGCTACTGGATTTGGTTTGCTAGTATTTTGTAAGACAATTTTTGCCTTAGTGTTCATTAATGATATTGGTCTGAAGTTTTCTTTTTTTTTTTTTTTTTTTTTGTGAGATAGAATTTCGCTCTTGTTGCCCAGGCTGGAGTGCATTGGAGTGATCTCAGCTCACTGCAACCTAGGTTCCACCTCCCAGGTTCAAGTGATTCTCCCGCCTCAGGCTCCTGAGTAGCTGGGATTACAGGCCCACACCACCACGCCTGGCTAATTTTCATATTTTTAGTAGAGATGAGGTTTCACTATGTTGGCCAGGCTGGTTTCAAACTCCTGACCTCAGGTGATCTCTCACCTTGGCCTCCCAACGTGCTAGGATTATAGGTATGAACTACTGTGCCTGGTGGCCTGAATTTTGTTGTTGTTGTTGTGTCTCTGCTGAGTTTTGGTATCAGCATGATGCTAGCCTCATAGAATGAGTTAGGAAGGATTCCCTCCTCCTCAAGTTTTTGGAATAGTTTCCATAAGAATGGTACCAGCTCTTCTTTATACATACAGTAAAATTCAGCTGTGAATCTGTCTAGTCCTAGGCTTTTTCTTGTTGGTAGGATTTTCATTACTGATTCAATTTTGGTACTCATTATTGTTTTGTTCAGGAATTCAATTTCTTTCTCATTTAATCTTGGGAGGTTGTATGTTTCCAGAAACTTATTGATTTCTTCTAGTTTTTCTAGTTTGTTTGCATAGAGATATTCATAGTAGACTCTGAGGGATTTTTGTATTTCTGTGGGGTCCGGGGTACTGTCCCCTTTGCCATTGTGTAATGCTCTTGTGTTCATTTAGATCTCTGTTTTTTTTCTTTGCAGCTAGCTAGCTGTCTATCTTATTTAATCTTTGAAAGAAATAAGTCCTGGATTCATTGATCTTTTTTTATTATTATTATACTTTAAGTTATAGGGTACATGTGCACAATGTGCAGGCTTGTTACTTATGTATACATGCTCCATGTTGGTGTGCTGCACCCATTAACTTGTCATTTACATTACCTATATCTCCTAATGCTATCCCTCCCCCATCCCCCCACCCCACGACAGGCCCCTGTGTGTGATGTTCCCCTTCCTGTGTCCAAGTGTTCTCATTGTTCAATTCCCACCTATCAGTGACAACATGCGGTGTTTGGTTTTTTGTCCTTGCAATAGTTTGCTGAGAATGATGGTTTCCAGCTTCATCCATGTCCCTACAAAGGACATGAACTCATCCTTTTTTATGGCTGCACAGTATTCCATGGTGTATATGTGCCACATTTTCTTAATCCAGTCTATCATTGTTGGACATTTGGGTTGGTTCCAAGTCTTTGCTATTGTGAATAGTGCCACAATAAACATATGTGTGCATGTGTCTTTATAGCAGCATGATTTATAATCCTTCGGGTATATACTCAGTAATGGGATGGCTGGGTCAAATGGTATTTCTAGTTCTAGATCCTTGAGGAATGGCCACACTGTCTTCCACAATGGTTGAACTAGTTTACAGTCCCACCAACAGTGTAAAAGTGTTACTATTTCTCCACATCCTCTCCAGCATCTGTTGTTTCCTGACTTTTCAATGATCGCCATTCTAACTGGTGTGAGATGGTATCTCACTGTGGTTTTGATTTGCATTTCTCTGATGGCCAGTGATAATGAGCATTTTTTCACATGTCTGTTGGCTGCATAAATGTCTTCTTTTGAGAAGTGTCTGTTCATATCCTTAGCCCACTTTTTGATGGGATTGTTTGTTTTATTCTTGTAAATTTGTTTGTGTTCTTTGTAGATTCTGGATATTAGCCCTTTGTCAGATGAGTATGTTGCAAAAATTTTCTCCCATTCTGTAGGTTGCCTGTTCACTCTGACGGTAGTTTCTTTTGCTGTGCAGAAGCTCTTTAGTTTAATTAGATCCCATTTGTCCATTTTGAATTTTGTTGCCATTGCTTTTGGTGTTTTAGACATGAAGTTCTTGCCCATGCCTATGTCCTGAATGGTATTGCCTAGGTTTTCTTCTAGGGTTTTTATGGTTTTAGGTCTAATGTTTAAGTCTTTAATCCATCTTGAATTAATTTTTGTATAAGGTGTAAGGAAGGGATCCAGTTTCAGCTTTCTACATATGGCTAGCCAGTTTTCCCAGCACCATTTATTAAATAGGGAATCCTTTCCCTGTTTCTTGTTTTTGTCAGGTTTGTCAAAGATCAGATGGTTGTAGATGTGTGGCATTATTTCTGAGGGCTTTGTTCCATTCCATTGTTCTATATATCTGTTTTGGTACCAGTACCATGCTGTTTTGGTTACTATAGCCTTGTAGTATAGTTTGAAGTCAGGTAGCATGATGCCTCCAGCTTTGTTCTTTTGGCTTAGGATTGTATTGGCAATGCGGGCCCTATTTCTGGTTCTATATGAACTTTAAAGTAGTTTTTTCCAATTCTGTGAAGAAAGTCATTGGTAGCTTGATGGGGATAGCATTGAATCTATAAATTACCTTGGGCAGTATGGCCATTTTCACTATATTGATTCTTCCTATTCATGAGCATGGAATGTTCTTCCATTTGTTTTTGTCCTCTTTTATTTCGTTGAGCAGTGGTTTATAGTTCTCCTTGAAGAGGTCCTTCACATCCCTTGTAAGTTGGATTCCTAGGTTTTTTATTCTCTTTGAAGCAATTGTGAATGGGAGTTCACTCATGATTTGGCTCTCTGTTTGTCTGTTATTGGTGTATAAGAATACTTGTGATTTTTGCACACTGATTTTGTATCCTGAGACTTTGCTGAAGTTGCTTATCAGATAAGGAGATTTTGGGCTGAGACAATGGGGTTTTCTGATATACAATCATGTCATCTGCAAACATGGACAATTTGACTTCCTCTTTTCCTAAGTGAATACCCTTTATTTCTTTCTCCCACCTGATTGCCCTGGCCAGAACTTCCAACACTATGTTGAATAGGAGTGGTGAGAGAGGGCATCCCTGTCTTGTGCCAGTTTTCAAAGGGAATGCTTCCAGTTTTTGCCCATTCAGTATGATATTGGCTGTGGGTTTGTCATAAATAGCTCTTATTATTTTCAGATACATCCCATCAATACCTAATTTATTGAGAGTTTTTAGCATGAAGAGCTGTTGAATTTTGTTGAAGGTCTTTTCTGCATCTATTGAGATAATCATGTGGTTTTTTTCTTTGGTTCTGTTTATATGCTGGATTACATTTATTGATTTGCGTATGTTGAACCAGCCTTGCATCCCAGGGATGAAGCCCACATGATCATGGTGGATAAGCTTTTTGATGTGCTGATGGATTCGTTTTGCCAGTATTTTATTGAGGATTTTTGCATCAATGTTCATCAGGGATATTGGTCTAAAATTCTCTTTTTTCTGTTGTGTCTCTGACAGGCTTTGGTATCAGGATGATGCTGGCCTCATAATATGAGTTAGGGAGGATTCCCTCTTTTTCTATTCATTGAAATAGTTTCAGAAGGAATGGTACCAGCTCCTCCTTGTACCTCTGGTAGATTTGGCTGTGAATTCATCTGGTCCTGGACTTTTTTTGGTTGGTAGGCTATTAATTATTGCCTCAATTCAGAGCCTGTTATTGGTCTATTCAAGGATTCACTTCTTCCTGGTTTAGTCTTGGGAGGGTGTATGTGTCCAAGAATTTATCCATTTCTTCTAGATTTTCTAGTTTATTTGCGTAGAGGTGTTTATAGTATTCTCTGATGGTAGTTTGTATTTCTGTGAGATCAGTGGTGATATCCCCTTTATCATTTATTATTGTGTCTATTTGATTCTTCTCTTTTCTTCTTTATTAGTCTTGCTAGCAGTCTATCAATTTTGTTGATCTTTTAAAAAAACCAGCTCCTGGAGTCATTGATTTTTTGAAGGGTTTTTTGTGTCTCTATCTCCTTCAGTTCTGCTTTGATTTATTTCTTGCCTTCTGCTAGCTTTTGAATGTGTTTGCTCTTGCTTCTCCAGTTCTTTTAATTGTGATGTTAGGGTGTCAATTTTAGATCTTTCCTGCTTTCTCTTGTGGGCATTTAGTGCTATAAATTTCCCTCTACACACTGCTTTAAATGTGTCCAGCGATTCTGGTATGTTGTGTCTTTGTTCTCATTGGTTTCAAAGAACATCTTTATTTCTGCCTTCATTTTGTTATGTACCCAGTAGTCATTCAGGAGCAGGTTGTTCAGTTTCCATGTAGTTGAGTGGCTTTGAGTGAGTTTCTTAATCTTGAGTTCTAGTTTGATTGCACTGTGGTCTGAGAGACAGTTTGTTATAATTTGTTCTTTTACATTTGTTGAGGAGTGCTTTACTTCCAACTATGTAGTCAATTTTGGAATAAGTGTGATGTGGTGATGAGAAGAATGTATGTTCTGTTGATCTGGGATGGAGAATTATGTAGATGTCTATTAGGTCCGCTTGGTGCAGAGCTGAGTTCAATTCCTGGATATCCTTGTTAACTTTCTGTCTCATTGATCTGTCTAATGTTGACAGTGGGGTGTTAATGTCTCCTACTATTATTGTGTGGGAGTTTAAGTCTCTTTGTAGGTCTCTAAGGACTTGCTTTATGAATCTGGGTGCTCCTGTATTTGGTGCATGTATGTTTAGGATAGTTAGCTCTTCTTGTTGAATTGATCCCTTTACCATTAAGTAATGCCCTTCTTTGTTTATTTTGATCTTTGTTGGTTTAAGGTCTGTTTTATCAGAGACTAGGATTGAAACTCCTGCTTTTTTTTTTGCTTTCCATTTGCTTGGTAGATCTTCCTCCATCCCTTTATTTTGAGCCTATGTGTGTCTCTGCATGTGAGATGGGTCTGTTGAATGCAGCACACTGATGGGTCTTGACTCTTTATCTAATTTGCCAGTCTGTGTCTTTTAATTGGAGCATTTAGCCCATTTACATTTAAGGTTAATATTGTGATCCTGTCCTTATGATGTTAGCTGGTTATTTTGCTCATTAGTTGATGCAGTTTCTTCCTAGCATTGATGGTCTTTACAATTTGGCATGTTTTTGCAGTGGCTGGTACTGGTTTTTCCTTTCCATGTTTAGTGTTTCCTTCAGGAGCTCTTGTAGGGCAGGCCTGGTGGTGACAAAATCTCTCATCTTTTGTTTGCCTGTAAAGGATTTTATTTCTCCTTCACTTATGAAGCTTAGTTTGGCTGGATAGGAAATTCTGGATTGAATATTCTTTTCTTTAAGAACGTTGAATATCGGCCCCCACTCTCTTCTGGCTTGTAGAGTTTCTACCGAGAGATCAGCTGTTATTCTGATGGGCTTCCCTTTGTAAGTAAGCCAACCTTTCTCTCTGGCTGCCCTTAACATTTCTTCCTTCATTTCAACTTTGGTGAATCTGAAAATTATCTTTCTTGGAGTTGCTCTTCTCAAGGAGTATCTTTGTGGCATTCTCTGTATTTCCTGAATTTGAATGTTTGCCTGGCTTGCTAGGTTGGGGAATTTCTCCTGGATAATATCCTGCAGAGTGTTTTCCAACTTGGTTCCATCCTCCCTGTCACTTTCAGGTACACCAATCAGACGTAGACTTGGTCTTTTCACATAGTCCCATATTTCTTGGAGGCTTTGTTCATTTCTTTTTATTCTTTTTTCTCTAAATTTCTCTTCTTGCTTCATTTCATTCATTTGATCTTCAATCACTGATACCCTTTCTTCCAGTTGATCGAATCAGCTACTGAAGCTTGTGCATTCGTCACATGTTCTTGCGCCACGTTTTTCAGCTCCATCAGGTCACTTAGGGACTTCTCTTTATTGGTTATTCTAGTTAGCCATTCATCTAATCTTTTTTCAAGGTTTTTAGCTTGTTTGCGATGTTTGAACTTCCTCCTTTAGCTCGGAGAAGTTTGATCTTCTGAAACCTTCTTCTCTCAACTCATCAAAGTCATTCTCCATCCAGCTTTCTTCTATTGTTGGCAAGGAGCTGCATTCCTTTGGAGGGGGAGAGGTGCTCTGATTTTTAGAATTTTCAGCTTTTTCTGCTCTGTTTTTTCCCCATTTTTATGGTTTTATCTACCTTTGGTCTTTGATGATGGTGATGTACAGATGGGGTTTTGGTGTGGATGTCCTTTCTGTTTGTTAGTTTTCCTTCTAACAGTCTGGACCCTCAGCTGCAAGTCTGTTGGAGTTTGCTGGAGGTCCACTCCAGACCGTTTGCCTGGGTGTCAGCAGTGGAGGCTGCAGAATAGCAAATATTGCTGAACAGCAAATGTTGCTGCCTGATTGTTCCTCTGGAAGCTTTGTCTCAGAGGGGTACCTGGCCGTGTGAGTTGTCAGTCTGCTCCTACTGGAGGATGCCTCCCAGTTAGGCTACTCGGGGTTCAGGGACCCACTTGAGGAGGCAGTCTGTCCATTCTCAGATCTCAAACTCCATGCTAGGAGAACCACTACTCACTTCAAAGCTGTCAGACAGGGATATTTAAGTCTGCAGAGGTTTCTGTTGCCTTTTGTTTGGCTATGCCTTGCCACCAGAGGTGGAGTCTACAGAGGCAGGCAGGCCTCCTTGAGCTGAGGTGGGCTCCACTCGGTGAGAGCTTCCTGGCTGCTTTGTTTAGCTACTCAAGTCTCAGCAATGGTGGGCACCCCTCCCCCAGCCTTGCCACCACCTTGCAGTTCGATCTCAGTTTGCTGTGCTAGCAATGAGCGAGGCTCCATGGGCATGGGACCTCTGAGCCATGCATGGGATATAATCTCCTGGTGTGCCAGTTTCTAAGACCATTGGAAAAGTGCAGTATTGGGGTGGGAGTGGCCTGATTTTCCAGATGCTGTCCATCTCCACTTTCCTTGGCTAGGAAAGGGAATTCCCTGACCCCTTCACTTCCTGGGTGAGGCAATGCCTTGCCCTGCTTCGGCTCATGCTCGGTGGGCTTCACCCACTGTCTTGCCTGCACTGTCTGACAAGCCTCAGTGAGATGAACCTGGTACCTCAGTTGGAAATGCAGAAATCACCCGTCTTCTGTGTCACTCACACTGGGAGCTGTAGACTGGAGCTGTTCCTATTTGGCCATCTTGGAACCGCCCCCTCTTATTGTTCTTTTGTATGCTTTTTCAGGTCTTAGTTTCATTTAGTTCAGCTCTGATTTTGGTTATTTCTCCTCTTCTGCTAGCTTTGGGGTTGGTTTGCTCTTGTTTTTCTAGTTCCTCTAGGTGTAATGTTAGGTTGTTAATTTGAGATTTTTCTAACTTTTTGAGGTGGATGTTTAGTGCTGTAAACTTCTCTATTAACACTGCTTTAGCTGAGTCCCAGAGATTCTGTTGTGGTTTATCCTTGTTTTCATTAGTGTCAAAGAATTTCTTGATTTCTGCTTCCATTTAATTGTTTACTCTAAATAATTCAGTAATATATTGTTTTGTTTCCTTGTAATTGTATGATTTTAAGCCATCTTTTTGGTATTGATTCTATTTTTATTGTGCTGTGGTTCAAGATTGTGGTTGGTGTGATTTCCTTTTTTTTTTTTTTTTGCTTTTGCTGAGAATTGTTTTATGGCTGGTTGTGTGGTTAATTTTAGAGTAAGTGTCATGTGTATATGAGAAGAATGTATATTCTGTTGTTTTGTGGTGGAGAGTTCTGTAGGTGTCTGTTAGGCCCATTTGTTCAAGTGTTGAGTTCATGTCCTGATTATCTTTGTTAGTTTTCTGCCTTGATGATCTGTCTAATACAGTCAGTGGGATGTTGAAATCTCCCACTATTATTGTGTAGTTATCTAAGTCTCTTTATAGGTCTTTAAGAACTTGTTTTATAAACTTGGGTGCTCTTGTGTTGGGTGCATACATATTTAAGATAGTTAGGTCTTCTTGTTGAATTGAACCCTTTGCCATTGTGTAATGCCTTTCTTTATCTTTTTTGATCTTTGTTGATTTAAAGTGTGTTTCATATGAAATGAGAATAGCAACCCCTGACTTTACTGTGTTTCCATTTGCTTGTATTTTTCTTCATTCTTTTACTTTGTGCCTAGGGGTGTCATTGCATGTGAGATGGGTCTCTTGAAGACAACATACAGTTGGATCTTGCTTCTTTATCCAGCTTGCCACTCTGTGTCTTTTAATTGGGGCATTTAGCCTGTTTACATTCAAGGTTAATATTTATATGTGCAGATTTGATCTTGTCATTGTGTTGTTAGCTGGTTATTATGCAGACTTAATTGTGTGGTTGCTTCATAGTGTCAACCATACAGTTTATGTACTTGCTTGTTTTTGTGATGGTTGGTAACGATCTTTCCTTTCCATATTTAGCACTCCCTTCAGGACCTCTTGTAAGGTAGCTCTGGTAGTAACAAATTCCTTTAGCATTTGCTTGTCTGAAAAGGATTTTATTTCTCCTCTGCTTATGAAGCTTAGTTTGATAAGAAATCCTTGGTTTGACTTTCTTTTCTCTAAGAATGCTGTATATAGGCCCCCAATCTCTTCTGGCTTGTAGAATTTCTGTTGAATATTCCACTGTTAGCCTGATGAGGTTCCCTTTATAGGTCAGCTGGCCCTTCTTTGTAGTTCCTTTAATATTTTTTCTTTCATTTTGACCTTGGAGAATCTGATGCCTTGTGTCTTGGGGAAGATCATCCTGTACAGCATCTTGCAGGATTTCTCTGTATTTCTTGAATTTTAATCTTGGACTCTCTAACAAGGTTGGGGAAATTTTCATGGATTATATCCTGAAATTTGTTTTACAAATTGTATTTTTCTCTCTGTCTCTTTTAGGAACACCAGTGAGACATAGATTTGGTTTCTTTACATAATCCCATATTTCTTGGAAGTTTTGTTCACTCTTTTTAAATATTTTTTTATCTTTTATTCATTTTTGTCTAACTGAGTTATTTCAGAGAACTGGTCTTCAAGCTCTGAGATTCTTTCCTCAATTTGGTCTATTCTGCTGTTAATACTTGTGATTGTATTATGAAATTCTTTTGGTGAGGTTTTCAGCTCTTTTAGATCAGTCTGGTTCTTTCTTAAAATGGTCATTTCATCTTACAGCTCCTGTATGATTTTATTATATTCCTTAGATTCCTTGGACTGGGTTTCTATTTTCTCCTGAATCTTGATGACCTTCATTTTAATCTATATTCTGTATTCTATATCTGTTATGTTAGCCATTTCAGCCTGTTTAAGAACCATTCCTGGATATTAGTGCAGTCATTTAGAGGTAAGAAGACACCCTGGCTTTAAGAGTTACCAGAGTTCTAGTGCTGGTTCTTTTTCATCTGTGTAGGCTGGTATTTCTTCAGTGTTTGAAGTTGCTGTCCTGTGGATGGGTTTTTTTGCTTTTATCTTCTTTGATGACCTTGGGGTTTGATTGTGACATAAAATGGGTTCAGTCAGCTAGCTTCATCTCTGGAAGATTTTAGGTGGCCAACACTTGGCTCAGCACTCCTGGGCTAGGTGCTGTAGCTCTGGCAGGCTGGTACCAGGCCTCTGGCTTTGCTCTCTAGCCCCTTGGCATTAGAAACTTGTTGAGCTGGAAGGGCCAAAGTGTTCCCAGTCCTCTAGCTATGATACTCTGATGGGTGGTGCCAACCAAAGTGGTTTGTTGGGATGGTGGTAGCAGGATCCATTCCTGCTCATGTCAAGGTCCAACAGTCACCCTAAAGCTAAAGTCTCTTAGGAGAGCATGGTGAGTGTTGGGGGATTGGTGTCCCTGTTTGTGCTCCACTGCAGACACTCCTATACCAAACCCTCTGGGCCTCCACACCCTGCCCCTTCCACCACTCTAAGCAGCTCTCCTTGCCAAGTCAAGTGTCCATGGCAGTCATGGGGCCTCTTGCCACTAGGATTCCAGATGTCGATGGTGAGCACAGGCCACTCCTTGTCTATTCAACTCACCCATGATTTGCTGGGGGCTAGAAACCAGTCCTGGTGATCAGTAGCACAGTATAGGGTTCTCAGTTTCCTTCCCTTTCAGCCTAGCACCTGTGTCTTCCCTCTGCCTACTCTCAATGCCATCCCTCTGAAGATCTGCTCAGAGTGTGTCAGTCTTCCCAATGTCCCAGTCTCTTGGCAGAAGATGTTCCTCCTGGCCACATCTAGTTGGCTGTCTTGGGTCCCTCTCCTCTCCCAAGATTTCTTCTTTTATCACTTTTTTTCTGTTTAGAGTTTCCATGAATCATTCACTTAAGGTAGGTCAGCTGGCAACGAATTTTCTTAGCTTTCTTTCATTTCAGATTGTCTTGAGAGCCCTACAATCCTGAAGGATATATTTTGGAAATTATTTTTCTTAAGCACTTGAAAACTGTTCTGCTACTTCCTCTGACCTCCATGATTTCTGATGAGAAATTCACTGTCCCTAGAATTGATTTTCTTCTTAGGTAATGTGTTGTTTCTCTCTGAATTGATTTAGAAAAAAAAAATTTGGTCTTAATTTTCTGAAGTTTGACTACAAGATGTCTTGGCATGGATTTCTTTAGATTTATACTATTTTGGGGCTCAGTAAGCTTCTTGACACTATAGGTTTATGTCTTTTTTTTTTTTTTTTTTTTTTAGAAGGAGTCTCACTCTGCTGCCTAGGCTGGAGTGCAGTGGCATGATCTTAGCTCACTGCAACCCTCAGCCTCCTGAGTAGCTGGGATTACATTTGTGTGCCACAGGGCCTGGCTAATTTTTTGTATTTTTAGTAGAGATAGGTTTTCCCATGTAGGTCAGGCTAGTCTCAAACTCCTGACCTCAGGTGGTATACCTGCCTCAGCCTCCCAAAGTGCTGGAATTACAGGCATGGGCCACCACACCTGGCCAGGTTTATGTCTTTTGTCGAATTTGGAAACTTGCATCTATTATTTATTCTAATTCTTTTTAACTCCATGTTCTCTGTTGTTTCTCTGTTTTTCACATATTTTAATTGTTACTGTTCTATCTTTAATTTCACTGAATTTTTTCCTTCTGTCTATTCTGCTGTTGAATCCATCTAGTGGATTTTGCATTTCAGTTATTGTATTCTTCTTTCTAAAATTTAAATTTGGTTCTTTTTATCTTCTTTTTTGTTGAGACTTTCTATTTTTTCATTTGTTTGAAGCATTTTCATAATTTCTCATTGAAACATTTTTATGATGGCTGCTTTTAAATCTTTGATCACCTAATGGCAGCATTGTTTTGGTTTTGCTATTTGTTGATTATCTTTTTTCATTCAGCTTAAGATCTTCCTGTTTGTATGATGAGTGATTGTCTGTTGAAACCTGGATATCCTGAGTATAATGTTAAAGACAGAATCATATTTTGATCTAGTGTTTTATTACGCTTCCTCTGACACCACTCCAGTGAGTGAAGTGGGCTGCTCCCCATTACTAATAGGTAGGGGCTGAAAGTCTATGTTTTCCACTTAGCCTCTAGCATCTGTGATGGGGAATGCCTCATTGCTACTCCCAGGCTGGATTGGAGCTTAGTCTCCCCACTAGGCCTTTGCCGATATGACTCTTTCAGGGAAGGGAAGAAATGCCTTGTTCCTGCTCTCCACCTGGCCTCCATGACACCATGGGGTTAGGGGTGGCCTCAGTACCATTAAGTGGTGGGGAAAACCTCTGCTAACACCACCCCAGTGAGGAGGGGCAGAACACCTCATTACTGCTGGATCACATGGTGCTCCCCACTGGCACCATGGCAGAAAGAGGGCTTGTTACTGCTCAAAAGGGGTGAAAGTCCTGGCTCCCCATTCAGCCTTTTCTGACACCACTCTGTGGGAGGCCAGAATGCCTCATTGCAGCCTTAGGAGGATAGAAGTGTAGGTTCCCCACAAGGCGTTTGCTGGTATGAGTATGGAGGGGCCGTACTTTTTTGGTTGTGTTTGGCTGGAGTAGAATAGATATTGCCTAAAAGTTTTCTGTCTTGCTAGGTGGTCACTTTCCTGTTCCTTTGACTAGAGGGACCAGGATTTTGAGGAAACTTTAAAAAAAAAATCTATCCCTATTGCCATTTCAGGGCTACTGGCTTCCCCAGTCTAGGATATATGAGGCCAAAAGAAAAGAAGCTCAGGGAACTCACTACAGCATTGTTTTTAAAGTCCCAAGGTCCCTAGCTGATCTGCCTTCTTCTCTCTGCCTTTTGGGGTCTCTTTATACCTATTTACTTGTTTATTTTTTTAGTTTGATTTTTTAATTGACAAAATTGTATATATTTACCATATACAATCTGTTATTTTGAAATATGTATACATTGTAGAATGGCTATTGAGCTAATTAACATATATTATCTCACATAGTTATTTTTTGGGTGAGAACACTTAAAATCTACTTATTTCACTATTTTCAAGAGTACATTTTTATGAACTATTGTCGATATGGTCTACAATATAGCTCTTGAGCTTCCTCCTCTTATCTAACTAAAATTTTGTGTCCTTTAACCAACATCTCTCCATTTCCTTCACTCCCAGGGCCTGGTAACCACCATTCTACTTTCTGCTTTTGTGAGTTTGATTGTTTTGATTCCACATGTGAGTGAAATCATGTGGTATTTGTCTTTCTGTGCCTGGCTTATTTCACTTAACATAATGTCTTCCAGGGTCATCCATGTTGTTCGGAATGACAGAATTTCCCCCATTTTAAAGGCTGAATATAGTATTCCACTAAGTGTATTACCACATTTTCTTTATTCATACATCTGATGGAGGACATGTAAGTTGCTTCTGTGTCTTAGCTGTGGTGAATAATGCTGCAGTAAACATGGGAGTGCAGATCTCTCTTCGACATATTGATTATATTTTCTTTGGATATATATACCCAGTAGTGGGATTTTTGGATCTTCTTATGTTTATTTTATATATAATGCCCCGGGATTTTAGTTGTACTGAGTGGGAAGAAGAGGGAATAGTCGTATGTCTACTCTATCATCTCCAGGGTCTTGGATTTGTATTTGCTAATTCTAGCAATCCTATCAAGTTGTCATGGAACTCTAGACTGTTCATATCTAGAATTCTTATTTTTAAAAAAACTCTGATAAGTTCAGGCCACTATTTTAAGAGTGTCTATTATTCCTAATTGAATACCTTTCATAACTCATATATATGAGATATATATAACTCATATAAATGCAAATATTGCCTAAATGTTACATATATGAGTTCTGAAGTGTACTAAATTAGTAATAACAGACACTCATATATTTATTTATTTATTTTTTTATTATTATACTTTAAGTTTTAGGGTACATGTGCACAATGTGCAGGTTAGTTACATATGTATACATGTGCCATGCTGGTGCGCTGCATACACTAACTGACAGTCATATATTTATACAAATATTGCATAGCACTTCAATAGAAGATTTTAAAGTAATTTATCTTTTTTGGCATGTCAACAAGCTCTTTTAGAATCCACATTAGGATATTGTAGTGAAAAAGTTTGAAAAGTACTGCATTAAGAGTTCCTTAAAACATTTATTTTAATTTTTAAACCCTAGCAAATATTGAAAAAGGTATATTATTTTATGTTTGACCCTTTGTAAATCAACATTAACTATTCCTAACATTTATGTTTACGTCTACTTTATTGAATTCTTTCTAAACAAGAGCCAGATATGGAGGGATGTGCTTTTGCATTTTAGTTCATTTAATCCTTATAATTCTACCAGATAGTTATCCTCACTGTATGGGTGAAGTGTCTGAGATGTTAAGTGACTTGCTGGAGTGTTACAGCTAGAGTTAGAACTCAGATCTCTCTGATATCAACCTGTGCCACATGCTTGACTACATTCTATTTCCTTCTGTGGGCAGAGACAAGCTCACATGTACTCGCTTCACCTTTTCTCACTAGCCCACCCTTTTTACCATGCTTGCTTATTCTGATGTTTTTATCCAATGTTCCCTATGAACTCTTTTCATGGAGCTTCTATTCTCTTGTACTTCTGGGCCACTGTATTCAATGAGAAGCTTTCTCCCTTATTAAGATGTTCTCCTACTCAGTTAAAGCTTTGTGGCAGTATTAATTAAATAGGCTTTAAATAATAAGTTATTTCGCGTTTGGGATTTCATATTGAAAAATAAAATACTTTCTTTTGTTCTTCATAAGAAAGTACCAACTCCTGAGTGTCAGGCTCAGACTCTCATGCATTTAATGCCTTTCCATAAGTGACTGAATATTGTTTACGAGAAAAAAGTAAAGAATGTCTAGTGGGTTATTTATAATCTAATTCAACTTAAGTGGCAGTTTCAATGATATCTGGGATACATCTAACCTAGCTTAGTTGTAAATTTGCTGCTCTATTTAAATAATTTGAAATTCAGGATATTCTTTTCTCTTCTAATAATTAAGATCAAGGAAAAGTGGAAATGAGCAGCATGAAGTGGAGCTGGATGAAAAATTTCTAATTCCAAAAGCACTGTCTTACCCAGTGAAAACTAACTTAGGTTTATACAGGAAGTAAGATTTGTTGAGCAGGGGGTGAACTGATTTGGGCTCTGAGATCTTTTACCAGAAATATGGTGTTTGGCAGGAATAAGCAGGCAGCTGTGCTCTGCTTTGAACCAGTCAAACCCAGGCTGAATCTGCCTACCCTAACACTCTCTAGCTCCTACAAGTTTCAGAAAGTCTCATTTTCCCCAACTAAACTGTGGATAGCAGTACTCAACTTGTGCTTGTGCAGATTAAATAAGATAAAATCTGTGAAGTATTTGCCACATTATTGTTGTGCGAAAAAATGCAATTATTATTATGAAGCTAATTTACCTGGATTATTTCCAGATTTCTGCCAAACTAGATTTTAGGTTCTCACTTTTTACATTGCATGCGTTTGTATCCCATCTATATTTTATCTGTAATAGTGTTGTGCTTAGTCAGTGGACTCAACTACTTTTGCATTGATTAGGTCAAAGACTGGTGAAAACTGGGCACGCAGCATTGTGCTGAGGCACTTTTGTACAAATCGTCTGGGTTATACTCTATCCCTATACTTTTAGAATTGCCCAAAGAAAGGCACATTTAGTTAATTGAGGAAGTTGGGCTAAAATTTGAAAGTCTGGAAGGAGTAAAAGATTCTTTTTTTTATGATTATTTACTTTCTTTTATGTGTAGTTATTAAGAACCCTGGCCTCCTTAGTTACCATCTGCATGCCCTTGATCAAGATTTTTAAATTCTCCGTTTCTAGGGTTTTCATAAAGAAAATGGAAACAATAATGGTCCAAACAGAGTAGAGCTGTCAGAAAGAAATCATGCATCAAAAATGCAGCTCAGTCCTTTAAACAGATTAGATGCTGATTTTCACAGTGTTGAAAATAGTTCTTATATATTTTTAATTTTTTTATTATACTTTAAGTTCTGGGATGCATGTGCAGAACATGCAGGTTTGTTACATAGGTATACATGTGCCATGGTGGTTTGCTGCACCCATCAACCCATCATCTACATTAGGTATTTCTCCTAATGCTATCCCTCCCCTAGCCCGCCACTCCGTGACAGACCCCAGTGTGTGATGTTCCCCTCCCTCTGTCCATGTGTTCTCTCACCACTCCTATTCAACATAGTATTGGAAGTTCTGGCCAGGGCAATCAGGCAAGACAAAGAAATAAAGCGTATTCAAACAGAAAGAGAGGAAGTCAAATTGTCTCTGTTTGGAGATAACATGATTGTATACTTAGATAACTTCATCGTCATAGCCCAAAAATTCCTTAACTGATAAGCAACGTCAGCAAAGTCTCAGGATACAAAATCAATGTGCAAAAATCACAAGCATTCCTATACACCAGTGAGAGCCAAATCATGAGAGAACTCCCATTCACAATTGCTACAAAGAGAATAAAATACTTAGGAATACAACTTACAAGGGATGTGAAGGACCTCTTCAAGGAGAACTACAAACCACTGCTCAAGCAAACAAGAGAGGACACAAACAAATGGAAAAACATTCCATCCTCATGGATAGGAAGAATCAATACATGGCCATACTGCCCGGAGTAATGTATAAATTCATTGCTATTCCCATCAAGCTACCATTGACTTTGTTCACAGAATTGGAAAAAACTACTTTAAATTTCATAT
Source organism: Homo sapiens (assembly GCF_000001405.40). Taxonomy (NCBI): domain Eukaryota; kingdom Metazoa; phylum Chordata; class Mammalia; order Primates; family Hominidae; genus Homo; species Homo sapiens. The sequence continues at coordinate 53,058,215 of NC_000008.11, forward strand.
GGAACCAAAAAAGGGCCCATATAGCCAAAAAAATCCTAAGTAAAAAGAAGGAAGCTGGAGGCATCACACTACCTGAATTCAAACTACACTACAAGGCTACAGTAATCAAAACGGCATGGTACTGGTACCAAAACAGATATATAGACCAATAGAACAGAACAGAGACCTCAGAAATAACATACACATCTACAGATGTCTGATCTTCAACAAACCTAACAAAAACAAGCAATGGGGAAAGGATTCCCTGTTTAATAAATGGTGTTGGGAAAACTGGCTAGCCATATGCAGAAAACTGAAACAGGACCCCTTCCTTACACATTATACAAAAATTAACTCAATATGGATTAAAGACTTAAACATAAGACCTAAAACCATAAAAACCCTAGAAGAAAACCTAGGCAGTAGCATTCAGGACATAGGCATGGGCAAAGATTTCATGACTAAAATATCAAAAGCAGTTGCAACAAAAGCCAAAACAGACAAAAGGGATCTAATTAAACTAAAGAGCTTCTGCTCAGCAAAAGAAACAATCATCAGAGTGAACAGGCAACCTATAGAATGGGAGAAAATTTTTGCAATCTTTCCATCTGACAAAGGGCTAAAATCCAGAATCTACAGGGACCTTAAACAAATTTACAAGAAAAAAACAAACAACTCCATCAAAAAGTGGGTGAAGTATATGAATAAACACTTCTCAAAAGAAGACATTTATGTGGCCAACAAACATACGAAAAAAAGCTCATCATCACTGGTCATTAGAGAAATGCAAATCAAAACCACAATGAGATACCATCTCATGCCAGTTAGAATGGTGATCATTAAAATCATACTACAATAAAGACACATCCACACATATGTTTATTGCAGCCCTATTCACAATAGCAAAGACTGGAACCAACCCAAATGTCAATCAGTGATAGACTACATTAAGAAAATGTGGCACATATACACCATGGAATACTATGCAGCCATAAAAAAGTATGAGTTCATGTCCTTTGCAGGGACATAGCTGAAGCTGGAAACCATCATTCTCAGCAAACTATCACAAGATCAGAAAACCAAACACCACATGTTCTCACTCATAAGTGATAGTTGAACAATGAGAACACAGGGACACAGGGATGGGAATATCACACACTGGTGCCTGTTGTGGGGTGGAGGGCAAGGGGAAAGATTACATTAGGAGAAATACTTAATGTATGTGATGAGTTGATGGGTGCAGCAAACCACCATGGCACGTGTATACCTATGTAACAAAACTGCAAGTTCTGCACATGTAACCCAGAACTTAAAGTATAATAATAACAAAAAAAATTCTGCTTAAAAGATGAGCCACAATGACACACACACACACAAAAGTCACGAAACAACAGATGCTGGAGAGGATATGGAGAATTAGAATGCTTTTATAGTATTGGTGGGAGTGTAAATTAGTTCAACCATTGTAGGAGATAGTGTGGCAATTCCTCAAGGATCTGGAACCAGAAATACCATTTGACGCAGCAATCCCATTACTGGGTATATACCCAAAGGATTATAAATCATTCTACTATAAAGACACATGCACACGTATGTTTATTGCAGTGCTATTCACAATAGCAAAGACTTGGAACTAACCCAAATGCCCATCAATGGTAGACTGGATAAAGAAAATGTGGCATGTATACAACATGGAATACTATGCAGCCATAAAAAAGAAGGAGTTCATGTCCTTTGCAGGGACATGGATGAAGCTAGAAACCATCATTCTCAGCAAACTAACACAGAAACAACATAGTTCTAACTCTCTGAGATAAAATAATAAAGAAATAGAGGAGACACAGGGGAAGGGGTCTGCTGAAGTTTTGCAAATTGGAAACAGAGAGATCAGGAACAGTGAGTTCAGCCAGTTCTTCCAGCAGGACATTAGCTGTTGCTGAATCCCATGGTCTGGGGCCCAGCTCTGAAGGCTCAGCAACTAGTTTTTTTCAGAACATTGGGTTTGATGAGACTCAGGAAGACCGACTCTCCTTCTAACCACCGATTTCTATCAGATGGTGCTGACTTAAGGTCTCAATTTCTATTCTATTCAATGAAGTGAGCAAACTGGCTGTTTTAAAAAGAGTATTTAGTTATTTCTCTATTAGTTTCAGTTTTCTTGTAACACTGGAATTAGAAATATACATCTTCTCATATCATTATCCTTTTCTAATTTATCTAGCTATGATTTCAGAAATTCATTCTTATTATATCATTTTTTTCTCACTCAAGCCCTATATCCCTATCTTCTCAACCCTTACTGTAGACTTAATCTTATTCTAAGTTATATCTAAGTCTACTGAAATAGAAGGCTGAGTCAAATTTGCCCCTCTGCAAATATAGGCCACATTGGTGCTAGATTAATTTTCTCTAAACATTCCTTTATCGTGTCATCTCCATACATATTCCTGCCTGTATTCTCTTCATCACATATAATCTCTTTTTTTTTGGTTTTTGATGTCTCCCATAAAATGACCCCATATGCACAGTCAAACTTATTATTCAATACTTTATTGTTTCTCAATAAATATTTATTGAATACTTTGTATATACTTGGATCTAGGGATAAAATGGTGAAAAATTTAGACATGTTTCCCTCCCTCAGGAAGCTCACAGTTTACGGGAAAGGCAGGTGATTAGAATCACACTGAAATGGGATCACTGCTGGATTAGTGACACACAAAATAATCACCAGGGCAGGTAACTTAGTTGAGTTCAGGAAAGACCACTAAGTTGAAATGAGCTCTGAGCTGGTGTTATAAGGGGAATATTTGTGGCTGCTTGAATATTTGTGGCTGCTTGAAGAGGGGACCAGACAGTTCCAGGCAGAGGAACAGCACATGTGAAGGCCCTGGGGTGAACCTTCCCAGTGACCTGAAAGACTAGGGGTGTAAGCAGCACTAGATTGCATAGGGCAGTATTTTCACTGTCTGGGATGGCATTCTATTCATCTATCAGCACCACAGTATTTTTTCTCTCTCATACCATGGATCCCTTACACATTTAGCATATGAAAGAGGAGAGGTTTCAAATGTTTGGTTGTATTTGACAAGGCTTTTTAGAAACTTTAAATGTTAATTTAAATCCAATTTTTTAACACTCTTTTCCCATTTTCATAATATCTCACTTCATTCCTGACAAGTGAGATCATTTTCTACATTTCCTTGGGACTAAAAACTTGGCTTAAAAATCTCATGGAAATGCTATTTTCTTGAAATGGCCAAGTTCAAGAAGATGGTGAAATGGTGTTTTCCTCTCTAATTAAGTTGTTTTTATCTGTACAAAAACTGGTCCCAAAGACCTTGTACAGGTTCTCCTTCTTCTTCTCCTCAATAGGAAGATTGTTTGCAAATGGCATTTGATTTGCAAACTGCTACAGAAACCGTATGTGTAAATGCTTCCAAACCAAAACTGAATCTTTTTCAGGGTTGAATTTAGATTTTTATTTTTATATTTTGCTCTTGAAATCTAATAAACTGGAAACAGCTAGCACAAGAAGATTACCCTGTTTAACAAAGCTTTTGATGGGGAAGGTTTCATGTCTTCTGGTTACAGAAGAGTCCTCTCTGGTGCTCACAGGTGTTAGTTAAAGTAATGAAAACAGATTTTATTCAGTAATGGTAACCATAAGGGAAAGAGCTGAGCTCCATTTCAATCTGCAAATTGCACAAAGGGAACTGGGCTTTTTAAAGAGAGAATGAGGGAGTAGGGCAGGGCTCTGCAGAGTCATGGAAGTGAAAAAGTACAAAGCCTGGGTCCGTGGAAATGCTATTGAGATGTGAGGCTGGGCTTCTAGGTCAGGTGGGGACTTGGAGAACTTTTCTGTCTAGCTAAAGGATTCTAAATGCACAAAGCAGTGCTCTGTGTTTAGCTAAAGGTTTGTAAATGCACCAATCAGTGCTTGGTAAAAACAGGCCAATCAGCACTCTGTAAAACGGACTAATCAGCTCTCTGTAAAATGGACCAATCAGCAGGATGTCGGTGGGGCCAAATAAGGGATAAAAGCAGGCCACCGGGGCCAGCGGCGGCAACCCACTTGGGTCCCGTTCCAGGATGTGGAAGCTTTGTTCTTTTGCTCTTCCTCAATAAATCTTGCTGCTGCTCACTCTTTGGGTCTGCACTACCTTTATGAGCTGTCACACTTACCGCGAAGGTCTGCAGCTTCACTCCTGATGCCAGGGAGACCACAAACCCACCGGGAGGAATGGACAACTCTGGATGCGCCACCTTTAAGAGCTGTAACACTGCGAAGGTCTGTGGCTTCACTCCTGAAGCCAGCGAGACCACGAACCCACCAGAAGGAAGAAACTCCAAACACTGTCGAACATCTGAAGGAACAAACTCCCGACACACCATCTTTAAGAACTGTAACACTCACCGCGAGGGTCCGTGGCTTCATTCAGCAAGACCAAGAACCCACCAGAAGGAACCAATTCCAACACACCATCAGACCAGCTGTGTCGGCTAGCTGGCAGTATGGAAGTTAGGATTTATCCTCCTGCAGACTGGGAGACCTAGGCCCTATCTGCCCTGATGATTACATCTTAAAGGAATGACTTCCAGGTCCTTGAGAAAGACACTGCTGAGGTGTGGGGGATGCATATTCACAACTGTAATCCTCTTTTCATAAACACTCTAAGAAAAGCTGTCAGATGTCTATGTCAGGTGTTGGCTGGAACAAAGAGTAAATTCTTTGGACAGTGCTGAGCTTTTCTAGACCGGAACTCAAAAGGGAGCTGGGTCATCCGAGCGACATGACCTCATACTACTAGAAGCCATACTAGGGTTGGTTAAGTATCTTATTTGGATAAGTTGCTACATCAGTTCTCAATTTCTCCTGCAAGAACTCAACATTTAGCATAGATGTATGTAAAAGAAATCATTTTACAGTACTATAAATCTGAGATCCTTAGTTTTGAATTGCATGAATATCCTTTAGTTACTTTGATATTGGAAACAGTATTAAAATAAGCACAATTTGTAGTTTCCTGGCATATGTTTATTTGAATATTTTTATAAAGTTTTAGAAGCACTTTGACCTCTGAACTCTGGGGGAAAATAGAATTAAAAAGTATGTTTCGCTCAACAAGTTTGGACTAAATTCAGTTATATCTGCTTTCTATCAGTGATCAGAGTATTGACTTAAAACGTAAGGGTTTATCTTTTTTCACAATTTTGTCAATGTCCAAAATTGAACTGATTCACTATTGCTTCATTATACTCTTTAAAACTATTCTTTGAAATCATTCTTCTGTCTCGTAATTTACATAAACTCAATAGATTTGTAAACTCTCTTTGATTAATTTTGTAGAAAATCAATCACCTCTGGACTTGGACCAGCCCTTAGCCTGATACCTCAAAATTATTTATTACTCAATTAAAAGATTCTGAAACAAATGTAAATGGCTCCAGAATTTTAAAATATGTTGATGATGATTATGACTCCCCATGAGGCAAGCTGTCAAAGGAATGACTGCCACCTACAATAACTTCTTCCTCAGGGGCATTTCAAATCACCAGGCTGAGATGCTGCATTTCACACACAGACTATTCCAAAGTGCAATGTTTGGAAAAGCGTTTCATTTTTAGACAGCCAGAGGTTCTACATCACTTTCAGAAGAGCCATGTTTTAGGGCACTGTTAATGATCTTTAAAAGCCCATTTGCAATCACAGAAGACAACAAATGGCATTTATTTTGTAAATTAACAAGATGCTTTTACTGCTCAAGCATGCATGAATGTGCCTCTCTTTCTCTCTCTCTCTCTCTCTGTGTGTGTGTGTGTGTGTGTGTGAGAGAGAGAGAGAGAGAGCAAGAGATAAAGGCAGAGAGACAGAAAGACATAAGAAGGAGGAGGGGAAGCAGAGGAAATATGTGTCACTACAAATCCTTCCCTCTTCAGGATATTCTCCACCTCTGGTCCCTGCAGATCCTTTCCACCTTCTCCATGTCACTCTATAACCCTGGCATTAACCCAACTTGCCTCCTCTGGCTTTTGGCTGGGTCAGCTCATGTGACCCATGACAGATTACAGGCTGCTAGGAGAGAGGTGTCAGAGTCTTCATGCCCTGATTCCCTCCCTGCTTGGATATAGATTAGCAGAGTACTTGGCGAAGGCCACAGGAAAGCCATGAAGAAAGGCTTGGGTTACCTCACAAACTAAAGAATTCCTTTCAGCTCAGGTCCTGGCAGAGAGTAATGGGAAGATGCAGTGGAGGAAAACAGCAGTCATGATGACACACATCAGTCTCATGATGAACTACAAAATCAGGGACAAGGTGGTAAAACCTTACATTAATTGTGTTCTCCTTTGCCACCTTATTTCATGAGTATCATGGGTGGTTGTTAAAGTTTCAGGTTTCAGGAGAAAATATATTTGAATAGACATCAGCCCATGATAGTACATCAGATAATGCTGAGATTTGTGTGGTCCCTGCATTCGGGACTCAATATTTTCACCCATTTAAAGGCCTTTGACATCCCCATCAAAAGACAGGAGCAGACACTGAGGCGCAAAGGAGGAACTGTCCTGTTTGGCCTGGTTGCCCTCACTTGTTTGCTGACCTTCTCTATCCTTCTCTTTCAGCTTCTGCCTGAGCTCCTCACTGGGATCCTTGACTTCTGGCTTCTAGGTTTTGTCAGTAGGAGGCCCCAGCAGACAAGAGTCAGCAGTGATGGGACTGTAAACTAGTTCAACCATTGTGGAAGTCAGTGTGGCGATTCCTCAGGGATCTAGAACTAGAAATACCATTTGACCCAGCCATCCCATTACTGGGTATATACCCAAAGGACTATAAATCATGCTGCTATAAAGACACATGCACACGTATGTTTATTGCGGCATTATTCACAATAGCAAAGACTTGGAACCAACCCAAATGTCCAACAATGATAGACTGGATTAAGAAAATGTGGCACATATACACCATAGAATACTATGCAGCCATAAAAAATGATGAGTTCACGTCCTTTGTAGGGACATGGATGAAATTGGAAATCATCATTCTCAGTAAACTATCGCAAGAACAAAAAACCAAACACCGCATATTCTCACTCATAGGTGGGAATTGAACAATGAGAACACATGGACACAGGAAGGGGAACATCACACTCTGGGGACTGTTGTGGGGTGGGGGGAGGGGGGAGGGATATCATTGGGAGATATACCTAATGCTAGATGACGAGTTAGTGGGTGTGGTGCACCAGCATGGCACATGTATACATATGTAACTAACCTGCACAATGTGCACATGTACCCTAAAACTTAAAGTATAATAATAATAAATTTTAAAAAAAAGAGTCAGCAGTGAGAATGCCAAGGTGCTGACTCCCGGCTCCACCCCGGCGGCCCTGCAGTTTGACAGCAGCTGCTGCCTCCTTGACCAAGGCCCAGAGCGGCAATCAGGCCGGTCAGGGCTCCAGCCGCAGCCACCACTCTTCCATCCACCGCTTCCCCCTTCCCACCCAAGCCAAGCCTGAGGGCTCCAGACTCCTGTGTGCTGTCCTCAAGCTGCCCACACCCTGTGGGTGGGCCGCACAGCCAGCCTGTGTGTCTGCTGCTTATTTCCAGCGAATACATTCCTAGTCCACAGAGTCCCTGTAGTGGAAAGACACACGTGTAAGAGGAAAATAAGTCTATTTTAAAGATCTCCAAATTGACTTTCTCCAATATAAGAGAAAAAAAATATTTCCAAGAACTAGACTTATAGTGAGGAAAATATCTGTGAAAGTCACTTAAACATTTCAGACTCTTATCAATCAATAGGATGTGACCTTTCCTATCCACAAAGTCTCATGTTTGCTCCTTCTCCAGGTGTCGTGAATCGTATTAGAAAAATCCATTCGTATTTCAAGTATTCACTCATGCAGGCAAGTGTAGAGAATACAGAAGTAATGAGATCATTCCATCTAGTGTCATCCAATGTTGCAGTTCCTGGGAATCTTCAAAGTTAACCATGTCAGTCAACTACAAACGCTTTTTAAAGTGCGACATAAACCATCATTTGCCATGGGAAGTCATGTGGCAACATACAGAGGACATTTTAAAACACAAAATTTACTTCTGAATTTTTTTTAAAGATGTGACTTACAATACCTCATGAATGAATATAATTATGAAAGCAGTTCAGGGCATATTATTGTAATGCCCTATTACAAATATCATTTTTTTTTACCATATATTTTATCTTAAAAAATCTTGTATCCCTTAGTTTTAAGTAGACTGTTACTAATCTCCAAGAAAAAAGGCTTATTAATCTTTGTTAGGTAGAGACACTATCTATATAGCATGAAATGGATTGCTTTGATTAAATTATCCAAAAACCTAGAGCTAATTGACAGTAATACCTGATTTATTTAGATTCCTAAAACACAGTATTGAAATCTAAATTAGCTGTTTTTATCAAACTGGTCTACCTACTTTTGCCACCAAAGCTACTGTCTTGGTAACTGCTAAGAAAAATTGCCCTTTCCTTTGAAATCCCATCCCCACCCTCAGCTTCTCCCATCTCCCTATGCTCCATTCCCCTGTGTGTTTGTTGTTACTGTTGTTTGTTTGTCAGCCTGTGTCACCCAGGCTGGAGTGTGGTGGCACGATCTCAGCTCACTGCAGCCTCAACTTCCCAGGTTCAGGTGATCCTCCTACCTCAGCCTCCCGAGTATCTGGGATGACAGGTCCCAGCTAATTTTTGTGTTTTTTGTAGGGATGGGGCCTTGCCATGTTGCTCAGGCTGGTCTTGAGCTCCTGGGTTTAAGTGATCCTCCTGCCTGTGCCTCCCAAAGTACTGGGATTATAGGCATGAGACACTGTGCCTAGCCCTGTTCCCCTTAATGGTATCTTAGAGTTCACTTCCTCCAACACAGCTGATCCCTGTCTGGGGTCTTCCTTATATATTAGTGCCCCTGTTATTGCACTTCTCTTCTGACACTTAGCATAATCACTTACTGAGTAAGTGATCTTGTTTGATGGACTCTTTATCAGACTAAGTGACAAGTTCTCTATAAGCAGAAAGCCTCTTCTAATTCACATGTAGGATGCAGTAAGAACTCCCCTATAGAAAATGTTCAGTAAATGTTTGTGATAACTGAGGGACAAGTAAAGAGCTTCATCTGCAATTTTTCTTTACTTTTTGTCCTTGTGAGCCTGCATAAGAACAAGCTACACTGGGCAGTATCACTTCTGTTGAGTGTATCTTTTTTTGTTTTCTTTAACTTTTATTTTAAGTTCTGGGGTACATGTGCAGGATGTGCAGGTTTCTTATGTGGGTAAATGTGTGCCATGGTGATTGCTGCACGGATCAACCCATCACCTAGGTATTAAGCCCAGCATCCATTAGCTATTCTTCCTGATGCTCTCCCTCCCCCAACAACCCCTCTTCGACAGGCCCCAGTGTGTTTTGTTTCCCACCACGTATCCACGTGTTCTCATCATTCAGCTCCCACTTACAAGTGAGAACATGTGGCATTTTGTTTTCTGTTCCTGCATTAGTTTGTTGATGGCTTCCAGCTTTATCCATGTCCTTGGAAAGGTTATGATCTCATTCCTTTTTATGACTGCATAGTATTCCATGGTGTATATGTACCACATTTTCTTTATCCAGTCTATCATTGATGGGCATTCGGGTTGATTCCATGTCTTTGCTATTGTGAATAGTGCCGCAATGAACATACACGTGCATTTATCTTTATAATAGAATGATCTATATTCCTTTGGGCATATACCAAGTAATGGGATTGCTGGGTCAAATGGCATTTCTGCCTCTAGGTTTTTGAGGAATCACCACACTGTCTTCCACAATGGTTGAACTAATTTACACTCCCACCAACAGTGTAAAAGTGTTTCATTTTCTCTACGATCTTGCCAGCATCTGTTGTTTTTTGACTTCTTATTAGTAGTCATTCTGACTGGTGTGAGATGGCATCACATTTTCGTTTGGATTTGCATTTCTCTAATGATCAGTGATGTTGAGCTTTTTTCATATGTTTGTTGGTGACATGTATGTCTTCTTTTGAAAAGTATCTGTTCATGTCTTTTGCCCACTTTTTAGTGGGTTTTTTTCTTATACATTTGTTTAAGTTCCTCGTAGACTTTGGATATTAGATAGATAGATTGCAAAAATTTTCTCCCATTCTGTAGGTTGTCTGTTTATTCTGATGATAGTTTCTTTTGTTGTGCAGAAGCTCTTTAGTTTAATTAGATCCCATTTGTTACTTTTTGCTTTTGTTGCCATTGCTTTTGGTGTTTTCATCATGAAACCTTTGCCTGTGCCTATGTTCTAAATGGTATTGCCTAGATTTTCTTCTAGGGTTTTTATAGTTTTGGGTTTTATAATACATTTAAGTATTTAATCCATCTTGAGTTGATTTTTATATATCATATAAAGAAGGAGTCCAGTTTCAATTTTCTGCATATGGCTAGCAGGACTATGAGCACCATTTATTAAATAGGGAGTCCTTTCCCCATTGCTTTTTTCAAGTTTGTCAAAGATCAGATGGTTGTAGATGGATGGTCTTATTTCTGAGTTCTCTAGTCTGTTCCATTGGTCTATGTGTCTGTTCTTGTACTAGTACTATGCTGTTTTGGTTACTGTAACCTGTATCTTTAATTGGGTACTGAATGTTCATATATGTAGGACAGCCCTAACCTAACATTGAAGAGACCCAGAATCTCGTCCTGACGTAGTCACTAGAACAATGTGAAAACTGGCTATTTTCTCTGCCTATTTCCTTTTCTGCATCATAGGAATTGAGATAACTTCCCAACCACAGAGAACCGTGTTGAGACTTAAATTATATAATAGATAGGTAACTGCCAAAAAAAAAAAGGACCATTAGTTAGAGTTGGAGTTAGGTCTCTCCTCTGGGGAGCTGTACCTCCAATCTATTGTGGTACAACTAGAAAGAATGAATTTTATATCCAGCAACTTATTCCCAAATTGACTGCTCCTGTCACTTCCAAACCTTAGTCTGTGTAACCCTCTTCCAAAGGCTGTTCACCGATTAGATGTTCTGATTGCAGTTATTTAAACTCAGCCTGACTTCAGTCTACATTAGAATGGTTGGCAGGTAATCAAGAGGCCAGAGATTCATAGAGGCAATATTTTCTTTGTAATCTGAGGCTAATAAAATCATCAGATACAGCCGCAATTGTGTGCTTAAGCCTTCATGACTAGAGAGACAGTTGTGTCTTATCATTAGAAAAATGGCTGTAGTATCTTCTAATCACACAGTGAACTAACACTAACAAAATAAAAAATCATTTTTGTTTTGGTTTATTTTTCTATAAAGGCTGGGATGTGCTTCATACCTGAAATACATGAGGCTGTGAAACTTACACTAAAAAATCCAGAACAGAAAAGAAACTAGGGGCTGTGTTCCTCTCCAAATTGGCTGGGCTCCAGCCTGTGCTTTGCAAACATTTCCACATCTTTCCATTTGTGGAATTTTATTCTTTTTTTTTTTTTTTTTTGCTTACATTTTAAGAAGTTTCCTTCTGGAAAATCCTAATCTCATGGGAACACGAGGACTAGAGAAATTTTAAAATGCAGAAAATGGCAGAGCTGAACAGAGAAAGTGGGCTCCAAGTGAGGGCAGAGACAGATGTTATTTCTCCCTCAGCCTGCTCTTGAAACTACAGAGAAACATTTTTTTACTCTCCTTTTAGAGTTGTCTTCTTGCTTTGCTGCTCATATTGAAGTGCAGTGGTCTCTAGAGTGTTATTTGTCATGTAAAATTGTTTTTCTCTGTTTTGTCTACATTTGCATGCCTCCTCTGCTCAGCAACTGGCCTAAGAACTTAAGATAGATGAAAAGAGATCTTGGCCACATGTAGCGCCCCAGACACATGCCCATGCTGCACATCTCTCACCTACTGCCTGGGATCTCTTTCTTAGGAGATGTTTATTGATCTAGTATCTGTGGGAGGTGGAGACTGGCAGATGAATTTTTCTCCCTTCCTGCCATGGTGCAGCTGTTGTCAAACACAGTAGCTCAGATGGCTGTAGGGAAACAGGTGCAACTGGTCCCACTGTATGCAGAATTGGTGGGTTCTTGGTCTCACTGACTTCAAGAATGAAGCCGCGGACCCTCGCGGTGAGTGTTACAGTTCCTAAAGATTGTGTGTCCAGAGTTTGTTCCTTCTGATGTTCGGATGTGTCCAGAGTTTCTTCCTTCTGGTGGGTTTGTGGTCTCGCTGGCTTCAGGAGTGAAGCTGCAGACCTTTGCGGTGAGTGTTACAGCTCTTAAGGCGGCGCATCTGGAGTTGTTCATTCTTCCTGTCAGGAGTTGTTCATTCCTCCCAGTGGGTTCATGGTCTTGCTGGCCTCAGGAGTGAAGCTGCAGACCTTCTGGTGTTACAGCTCATAAAGGCAGTGCAGACCCAAAGAGTGAGCAGCAGCAAGATTTATTGCAAAGAGCAAAAGAACAAATCTTCCACAGTGTGGAAGGGGGCCCGAGCGTGTTGCCGCTGCTGGCTCAGGTAGCCTGTTTTTATTCCCTTATCTCACCCCACCCACATCCTGTTGATTGGCCCATTTTACAGAGAGCTGCTTGGTCTGTTTTGATGGGGTGCTGATTGGTGCATTTACAATCTGTGAGCTAGACACAGAGTGCTGATTGGTGTATTTACAATCCTCTAGCTAGATGTAAAAGTTCTCCAAGTCCCCATTAGATTAGCTAGCTACAGAGCACTGATTGGTGCATTTACAAACCTTGAGCTAGACAAAGAGTGCTGATTGGTGCATTTACAAACCCTGAGCTAGACACAGAGTGCTGATTTGTGCATATACAATCTTCCAGCTAGACACAAAAGTTCTCCAAGTCCCCACCCAACTCAATAGCCCAGCTGGCTTCACCTAGTGGATCCTGTGCTGGGGCCGCAGGCAAGCTGCCTGCCAGTCCCACGCCACACACCTGCACTCCTCAGCCCTTGGGCAGTTGATGGGACTGGGTGCCGGGGAGCAGGGGGCGGCACCCAATGGGGAGGCTGGGGCCACGTGGGAGCCCACCACAAGGGTCTTGGGCATAGTGGGCTGCAGGTCCCAAGCCATGCCCTGTGGCTAGGCAGCTGAGGCCTGGTGAGAATTCGAGCATGGTGCGGGCAGGCCGGCAGTGCTGGAGTACCCAGCGCCCCCACCGCAGGTGCTGGCCCGGTTGCTAAGCCCCTCACTGCCTGGGGCTGGCAGTGTTGGCCAGCCGCTCCAAGTGCAGGGCCCACCAAGCCTGTACCCACCTGGAACTCGTGCTAGCCCATGAGCACCGCATGCAGCCCTGGTTCCCACCTGTGCTTCTCCCTCCACACCTCCCCGCAAGCAGAGGGAGCTGGCTCCAGCCTCAGCCAGCCCAGAGAGGGACTCTCACAGTGCAGTGGCAGGCTAAAGGGCTCTCAAACGTGGCCAGAGTGGACGCTGAGGCCAAGGAGGCACTGAGAGTGAGCGAGGGCCACTAGCACGTTGTCACCTCTCAATCCTCACTCTAAACAGGACACCCCACCTGATTTTGGGAATGTGGCCGATGACTGCTCTAGCTACTTCCTGCTAGATAAGGGTGAAGAAGGGGCCCTGCAGTTGTAGTGTCTTCCAGAGGGGAATTCTTTAGGCCAGTGGAAGGGCCAGTGGGTCAGTCCAGGGATCCTTGGTAGAAGTTGTTAGTTGAGCTCATTTGGGGTTTCATTGGTAAGGCCATCTGTAGCTTGATGGCCTCGATTCTAGAGGAAAGAAATTTGACAAGAAGGTTAAAAATACAGGGCCCAAAGGTGAGTAACAGCAAGATGGCTCCCAAGGAACCTAGAAAGGGGAGAAGCCATGATCCCCACCTCCAGAGGCTGGTATAAGAGTATGAAAGGCATTGTCTGATCTCAGAAGCCTTTTCCTGTAAACACCGGGCAGCATCTTGTATTATCTCTGCTAAGAGATCATCTCGGGCAGCGTAAGTCTGGACTATAATTTGTTGGCAGTCATGCTCAGTTGTTTCCCCATCCTCCGGGAGACAAGTGACAGAGTTGAGGGCCATGCACGTGCATATTTGAAGCACCGGTCCCTCAAGGAGTAGCACCTGGTATCTAAGCAGGCAGTTGTCTGATAGCCATAAACTTCCTTTGGCACCTAGTATGCCATTTACATCATGAATAGTCCAGACAGTGAGATCCTTTCCTTGTATTATCTTGATAGCCTCTGACACTAAGACGGCCACTGCCAAACTACCCATAAACAGTGAAACATTAATTTCCTTACTTAGGTATGCCACTGTTGTGAGGTTGTCCCACGAGTCTGAGTAAGGACTCCAAGAGCTATCCCTGCTCTCTCTGTGATGTATAAAGAGAAGTTTTGTCCTATCAGAAGGCTTAAACCTGGAGCTTGTACTGGGGCATGCTTTAAGGTTTTGAAGGCTGTTTCCACCTCTGGTTCCCATTCTACTAGATGAGTATTTGCCCTCTAGGTTTCCTTGATTAGAGTATAGAGGGGCCTGGATATCTCGCTGTATTCGGGGATCCATAGTCGGCAAAAGCCAGTAATTCCAAGGAACCCCCTGAGCTGTTTTAATGTCTTAGGGCGAGGATAAGCCAGTATAGGCTGTATTCATTCCTTGCTGATGGCCCTGGTCCCTCTGGCTAAGATTAGGCCTAGATATTTGACCTGCTGTAGGCAAAGCTGAGCCTTTGACCTAGACACCTTGTACCCTTGATTAGCTGGAAAGTTCAAGAGATCTAGAGTAGCCTGCTGGCATGAGGTGTCCAAATTGGTAGCCAAAAGTAAATCATCCACATACTGAAGGATCAGAGTGCCTGGACTTGAGAAGTGGCCTAGGTCTTGGGCCAGTGCCTGACCAAACAGGTGAGGGCTATCCGTAAACCCTTGGGGCAAGACTGTCCACATAAGTTGGGAAATGTGGTCTGTGGGATCCTCAAAGGCAAAGAGAAACTAGGAGTCAGAGTGCAGGGGAAAACAGAAGACATCTTTGAGGTCCAGAACACTGAACCATTCTGCTTCCTTTGGTATTTGAGAGAGCAGGGTATAGGGGTTGGGTACAACTGGATATAGAGGAATTATTGACTCATTAATGAGTCTAAGATCTTACACTAGTTTCCAGTGACCATTCGATTTTTGTACTCCAAGAATTGGAGTGTTGTGGGGACTGCTGCATTTCCTTACTAAGCCTTGAGCTTTTAAATGTTTAACAATATCCTGTAATCCTTTATGAGGTTCAGCCTTAAGGGATATTGCCTTTGATAAGGAAAACTGGTGGGATCTTTTAACCTGATTTGGACTGGGTGGGCATTTTTTGCCCTTCCAAATTGTCCTTCCAATGCCCAGACTTCACGGTTGATTCCCTCCTCAAGTAAGGGACAACAATTGGCTAACTTGTTCCCCATATTCACGTAGATAATAGCTCCAGCCTTGGATAATATATCCCTCCCTAATAAGGGTGTCGGACTTTCAGGCATAACAAGAAAGGCATGTGAAAAGAGCAAAGTCTCCCAGTTACAACTGAGAAGGTGTGAGGAATACCTGGTTACAGGAATCTGGGATTCCTCAGATGGTAACGGACCTTGAGGACAGCTGTCCAGGACAGGAGATTAACACTGAGAAGGCTGTGCCAGTGTCCAGGAGGAGGTCAATTTCTTGGCCTTCAATGGTTAAACGTACCCGGGGCTCAGTGAGGGTGATGACATGAACTGGCGCTTGCCCTGGGCACCCTCAGTCCTGTTGTTGGATCATCTGGTTGGGGACTTCTCACCCAGAGAACCTTCATCCTCTGGGGCAGTGCACCTTCCAGTGATTGCCTTGGCACAGTGGATGTGGACGAGGGGGCAGCTTATTTCTCATTGGACAATCTTTTTTAAAGTGTCCTAGTAAACCACACTGATAACAATCCCTACTGGGTGATTGGCCTGCTCCATTTTCTGTCCTCTCTGAACCACCAATATTTGTTTGTCTAAGGGCCATGACTAAGGCTGTGGCCTTTCTCTGATCTTGCTTTTCCTTTTGGGCCTATTCCTCTTGGTCCCTATTATAGAACACTGAGGTTGCCAGGTTTAATAATGCCTCCAAATTTTGTTCAGGGCCCAGGGCTTGCTTTTGGAGGTTTCTCCTGATATTTGTGGTTGATTGGGTCATAAACCTATGTTTTAGAATCAGTTGACCTTTGAGTGATTCAGATGACAGGGGAGTGTATTTTCTTAAGGCCTCCCATAGCCACTCAAGGAAGGCAGAAGGATTTTCTTCCTTTCCCTGAGTTACAGTGGACATCACTGAATAATTCATGGGCTTTTTTCTAATTTTCCTCCGTCCTTCTAGAACACAGGTCAACAGATGTTTATGACTCCAGTCCCCATGATCTGAGTTGAGGTCCCAGTGGGGATCCATACTGGGGATGGCTTGTTGACCAGTATGGAATTTGTCCCTTTCTTCAGCTGTCATTCTATCATTTACTTGACTAAGATACCAGGTATCTCTAAACTTTTGGGCAGCAGCTAAAGCCACATTCTTTTCATTAAGGGCCACGGTTTGATCTAACAGTAGCATGACATCACTCCAAGTGAGGTTGAAGGTTTGCCCTAGACCCTGTAAGACATCTATGTTCCTATCAGGATTATCTGAAAACTTCCCCAGGTCTGCCTTGATCTGCTTTAAATCAGAGAGGAAGAAGGGGACATGTACCTGGGGTGGGCCAAATTTCCTTCCCCCTACAGCTTGAAGGGGACATAACCAATAGCCTGGGGATTCTTGTGGTCCTTTGGAGAGATTTGTTTGCTTATTTCCTTCTGGGCAGGAGAGATTAAAGGAGGATTATCATTAATAGGAAGGGGAGCTATAAGGAGGCTAGGATATGGGGGTAAGCTGAGAGGTCCTCCTGTGGGATGTAAATTGCAAGCTTTGCATAGTTGTGTATTCTCCTTCAATGAAAAGAAAGCTTAGACATAAGGTATTTCACTCCATTTGCCTTCCCTCTTACAGAAAAGGTCAAGTTTCAAAATAGTGTAGTAATTTATACTTCCCTCAGGTGGCCATTTTTCCCCATCAGAGAGAGAATATTGGGGCCAGCCTGTAGTGCAGAAAAAAATGAGCCACCTCTTTTTCAGGGTTTGTGGGTCAAATTGGTCCCAATGGCTTAGGATGCATTTCAAGGGTGAGCCTGTTGATGCCTGAGTGTTTCCCATCTGAGAGACAAAACCGCCCGTGGTTTTGGTTTGTTTTGTTTCTCCCCCTGCCCAAGAACCATCAACAGTCGCTGGACCCTGCTGATTGGAATAGTTGCACTCATCAATGCAGCAGCAGAAACAACCCATGTCCAAGAACCTGCAATGGTCCCTGGATCCAGCTGATTGGAATAGTTGTGCCCATCGACACAGCAGCAGAAACACTAGTTTTCCTCCCAGACCACAAGGAGGACCAAGGAAGGTCGGATTTAGTGGCCCTTACCAATGCATTCTTGAAAACATGCACCCTTGCCTGTCCTCCTAGACCACAAGGAGGACCAAGAAAAATCAGATTTAGTGGCCCTTACCAACACATTCTTGAAAACCTGGTAGAGTCCTAGGCATTCTCCTGTTAGTACTGGGACCTTACCTGTGTCCTACAAAGATGTTATGCCCCAAAAATGAAGTGGAGGGCCATACCCTGAGGGAGGGAAGGGATCTCCAGAGTTGGAAGAGTGATGTCTGTTTTCCCCACTTATGTGAATAGGAAGGATACAATTTCTGAGGCTCCCCATATCCTAGCTTCAGGAATAACTTTTGTTAGGCCTGCTAGTCTGAGGAGGGATCCTAAAATTCCAAATAGTCCCCCCTACAATGGGGCTTTGGGCAAAAATTATGTCTTTCTGATTGTTGAGACCAGGTGTCTAAAGAAGGTAACAGAGTCCTGGTGTTTATACTAGAAATCATTCTTATAGGAGAAACTAGAAAAGCACCAGAGACAGGGAGCGATTTTTAGAAGTGGGACTAGCCTCGGAGAAGAGAGGTGAGAGGAAGTTTGTCTGGAAGGCATCAGGACCCGGGGGCAAGGGTCAGGATAGATAGGATAGATGGGCAAGTCTAGCTTGGACGACATGCCTTTGAGAGTTCTGCTCATGGCTGCAGAGTCAACCAACTTGTTGTCAGGACCCTGAACCTGAATGGCTTTCCTCTATCAACCCTCAAGCTCAGCCCAGAAGTACAGGAAAAGTGGAAGCTGGTTCCAGGCAAATCAACTTGCCCAACTCTGAAGAGTCAGGGGTTGTTAGAGAGCCCTTTCCCAGAAAGCCTGACACCTATGTCTTTAGTCTGGCAGTCTCTCTAGTTGTTTTTAACTGGCCAACAGGTGCCCAGTATTTAGCCCCTGAATTCTAAGGAAAAATAGGACAGAATAGCAAGCAAAAGGGGTCCAATGGTACTCACTGCTTGCCGATGGGCACCAGTCTCACCACTTGGCGAAAGGCGATTGTCTCACCACTTGGCGATAGTCTCACTGCTTGGTGATAGGTGATAGCCCCTTCATGGTCTCCAAAATGTGTCCAGAATTGGTGGATTCTTAGTCTTACTGACTTCAAGAAAGAAGCCGCAGACCCTCACAGTGAGTGTTACAGTTCTTAAAGCTGGTGTGTCCAGAGTTTGTTCCTTCTGATGTTCGGATGTGTTCAGAGTTTCTTCCTTCTGGTGGGTTCGTGGTCTTGCTGGCTTCAGGGGTGAAGCTGCAGACCTTCACGGTGAGCATTACAGCTCTTAAGGCAGTGCATCTGGAGTTGTTCGTTCCTCCCATCCAGAGTTGTTCATTCCTTCTGGTGGGTTTGTTGTCTTGCTGGCCTCAGAATTGAAGCTGCAGACCTTCGCAGTGAGTGTTAACAGCTCATAAAGGCAGTGCAGACCCAAAGAGTGAGCAGCAGCAAGATTTATTGCAAAGAGCAAAAGAACAAATCTTCCATAGTGTGGAAGGGGACCTGAGTGGGTTGCCGCTGCTGGCTCAGGAAGCCCACTTTTATTCCCTTATCTGACCCCACCCACATCCTGCTGATTGGCCCATTCTACAGGGACCTGATAGGTCTGTTTTACAGAAAGCTGATTGGTCTGTTTTGACAGGGTGCTGATTAGTGTGTTTACAATCCCTGAGCTAGACACCGAGTGCTGGTTGGTGTATTTACAATCCTGTAGCTAGACGTAAAATTTCTCCAAGTCCCCACTAGATTAGCTAGACACAGAGCACTGATTGGTGCATTTACAAACCTTGAGCTAGACACGGATTGCTGATTGGTGCATTTACAAACCTTGAGCTAGACACAGAGTGCTGATTGGTGCATATACAATCCTCCAGCTAGACACAAAAGTTCTCCAAGTCCCCACCTGACTCAGGAGCCCAGCTGGCTTTGCCTAATGGATCCCATGCCGGGGCCACGGGTGGAGCTGCCCACCAGTCCCGTGACGCACACCTGAACTCCTCAGCCCTTGGGCAGTTGATGGGACTGTGTGCCACAGAGCAGGGAGCAGTGCCCACTGGGGAGGCTTGGGCTGTGCAGGAGCCCACCCCGGGGGGGCTTGGGCATGGTGGGCTGCAGGTCCTGAGCCCTGCCCCTCAGGAAGGCAGCTGAGGCCCAGTGGGAATTCAAGCGTGGCAAGGGTGGGTCGGCAGTGCTGGGGCAACTGGCGCCCCCTATGCAGCTGCTGGTCCAGGCACTAAGCCCCTCACTGCCTGGGGCCGGGGGTGCCAGCCAGCTGCTCCAAGTGTGGGGCCCGCCAAGCCCGCGCCCACCTGGAACTCACGCTTGCCAGCAAGTGCCATGTGCAGTCCTGGTTCCCATCTGCACTTCTCCCTCCGCACCTCCCCACAAGCAGAGGGAGCTGGCTCCAGCCTCGACCAGCCCAGAGAGGGGCTCCCATGGTGCAGCAGTGGGCTGAAGGGCTCCTCAAGCATGGCCAGAGTGGATGCCAAGGCCAAGGAGCTGCCAGGAGCAGGAAGGGGCTGCTAGCACGTTGTCACCTCTCACCACACCACACCAGCCCATCACCTACCTCTTCTCTTGCCTTCCCTGCTTCCCCCTGGGGCTCACTCCTACTTTTCCGGATTTACACAACCTAATTACAAATGAGCACATGAATTTTTGCCTCAAGCTTTGTTTTTAAAAAATCTGAGTTCAGACAACAATAGGAGTGTGGATAAATGTAAAGTGAAAGTTAGGAAGTGACTAAGAAAGGGATTTTTAAGTTAGCATGATGAGGAAGTATGCATACTGTGAACATTGTCAGAATCAAGATGGTGTCGCTAATGTTAAAAACAAACTAACAAACAACAAAAAACCTGTCAAAGAGAGCTGGGGGAGACCAGGAGAAAATGCTTGCATATCTGATAACAAAACTGTCAGAAAAGACTCTGCAACATTACGCCTCAGGCAAAGGTCATCGGAATACAAGCTTCTGCAAAAACATACTTCTGCAAGAACATCTGCCCAGCAACTGACTGTCCAACCTTGAACTGGCATTATCCTCATTGCTGATATTCGTAGCCAAGGATAATCATCTCAAAACAATTATGTAATCTTTTTCATTTTTTCTTTAAAAGCCTTTGTCTTCCTTTTTCTTTAAAAGCCTATATGCATATATGCCTATATTTTTTCTTTAAAAGCCTATATGCATAATCCTCCTTGAATATGCATATAGTTTACTATGGCACATGTATTCCCATGGCAATGTTCTATTCCCAAATAAATGTCTTTTTCTTTTAGAGAGCTTCCTCTGTCATTTAGGTTGACAATATTGACACTAAATTGGATAAAAAAAATTTATGTAGGAAAACAGCCAGTTGCATGTCAAGAATAATACCATCTTGAAGTAAAACTGCCATAATGACTAATGTTTGACTCCTGCATACCAAGGTGTTCCTGCAGCAAGGTCAAGAAACAGGCCGGCTGCAGTGGCTTATGGCTGTAATCCCAGCATTATGGGAGGCCGAGGTGGGTGGATCACTTGAAGTCAGGAGTTGATTCCAGGTCTCTGTAGGACCTTTCAGGACTTCCTAGTGTGTTCTCTGTAGAATTGCTCTGATTACATCAACTTAATTACATTACTTTAGACACAGCTCTGTAAAGGAAAACCTGGCTTCTTGACTGGCTGATTGGGTTTTTTCTTCATACAGCTTCACTACAAGTCACCTGCACAGTGACTAAAAACAGCCTTTCAGAGAGTCACACCATCTAATTCACTCAGTAATGTAGAAATTGTGTCCAAGAAGTCAGTCAACTTTTTTTTACTTTTATAACCTCATTTGCATAAAACACGAGAGCATTTTACAGTGATCTTGTTTCTGATATGCCTTTGTTGTACAACAATAATTCTGATAGAGGTTTTCATGGTTTGTTGGTTTTCAAAAATTATTTTTATTATTGTTTACACAGCTGATATGTTTTGGCTTTGTGTCCCCACCCAAATCCCATCTTGTAGCTCCTATAATTTCCACATGCTGTGGGAGGGACCTGGTGGGAGATGATTGAATCATGGGGGTGGGTCTTTCCCATACTGATCTCATGACAGTGAATGTGTCTCATGAGAGCTGATGGTTTTAAAAATAAAAGTTTCCCTGCACAAGCTCTCCCTTTTCCTGCTGCCATCCACATAAGATGTGACTTGCCTTCTGCCATGATTGTGAGGCCTCCACAGCCATGTGGAACTGCAAGTCCAATAAGCATTTTTTTTTTTTGTAAATTGCCCAGTCTTTGGTATGTCTTTATCAGCAGCATGAAAATAGGCTAATACAGTAAATTGGTACCAGTAGAGTGGGGTGCTGCTAAAAAGATACCCAAAAATGTGGAAGCAGCTTTGGAACTGGGTTAACAGGCAGGGATTGCAACAATCTGTAGGGCTCAGAAGGAAACAGGAAAATGTGGGACAATTTGTAGCTCCCTAGAGACTTGTTGAATGGCTTTGACCTAAAGCCTGATAGCAATATGTGCAATAATGTCCAGGCTGAAGTGGTCTCAGATGGAAATAAGGGACTTGTTGGGAATTGGAGCAAAGGTGTATCTTGTTATGTTTTAGCAAAGAAACTGGCTATTGGTGGCATTTTGCCCCTGCCCTAGAGATCTGTGGAATTTTGAACTTGAGAGAGATGTTTAGGGTATCTGGCAGAAGAAATTTCTAAGCAGTAAAGCATTCAAGAAGTGACTCAGGTGCTGTTAAAGGCATTCAGTTTTATAAGGGAAGCAGAAAATAAAAGTTCTGAAAATTTGCAGCCTGACAATGTGATAGAAAAGGAAATCTCATTTTCTTTTTTTTATTTTTTTATTTTATTATTATTATACTTTAAGTTTTAGGGTACATGTGCACAATGTGCAGGTTAGTTACATATGTATACATGTGCCATGCTGGTGTGCTGCACCCATTAACTCGTCATTTAGCATTAGCTATATCTCCTAAAGCTATCCCTCCCCCCTCCCCCCACCCCACAACATTCCCCAGAGTGTGATGTTCCCCTTCCTGTGTCCATGTGTTCTCATTGTTCAATTCCCACCTATGAGTGAGAATATACGGTGTTTGGTTTTTTGTTCTTGCGATAGTTTACTGAGAATGATGATTTCCAATTTCATCCATGTCCCTACAAAGGACATGAACTCATCATTTTTTATGGCTGCATAGTATTCCATGGCGTATATGTGCCACATTTTCTTAATCCAGTCTATCATTGGTACTGGTACCAAAACAGAGATATAGATTAATGGAACAGAACAGAGCCGTCAGAAATAATGCTGCATATCTACAACTATCTGATCTTTGACAAACCTGACAAAAACAAGCAATGGGGAAAGGATTCCCTATTTAATAAATGGTGCTGGGAAAACTGGCTAGCCATACGTAGAAAGCTGAAAGTGGATCCCTTCCTTACACCTTATACAAAAATTAATTCAAGATGGATTAAAGACCTAAATGTTAGACCTAAAACCATAAAAACCCTAGAAGAAAACCTAGGCATTACCATTCAGGACATAGGCATGGGCAAGGACTTCATGTCTAAAACACCAAAAGCAATAGCAACAAAAGCCAAAATTGACAAATGGGATCTAATTAAACTAAAGAGCTTCTGCACAGCAAAAGAAACTATCGTCAGAGTGAACAGGCAACCTACAAAAATGGGAGAAAATTTTCGCAACCTACTCATCTGACAAAGGGCTAATATCCAGAATCTACAATGAACTCAAACAAATTTACAAGAAAAAAACAAACAACCCCATCAAAAAGTGGGTGAAGGATATGAACAGACACTTCTCAAAAGAAGACATTTATGCAGCCAAAAAACACATGAAAAAATGCTCACCATCACTGGCCATCAGAGAAATGCAAATCAAAACCACAATGAGATGCCATCTCACACCAGTTAGAATGGCGATCATTAAAAAGTCAGGAAACAACAGGTGCTGGAGAGGATGTGGAGAAATAGGAACACTTTTACACTGTTGCTGGGACTGTAAACTAGTTCAACCATTGTGGAAGTCAGTGTGGTGATTCCTCAGGGATGTAGAACTAGAAATACCATTTGACCCAGCCATCCCATTACTGGGTATATACCCAAAGGACTATAAATCATGCTGCTATAAACACACATGCACCTGTATGTTTATTGTGGCACTATTCACAATAGCAAAGACTTGGAACCAACCCAAATGTCCAACAATGATAGACTGGATTAAGAAAATCCCATTTTCTGAGGAGAAATTCAAGATGGCTGTAGAAATTTGTATAAGTAACAAGGAGCTGAATGTCAATCCCCAAGACAATGGGGGGAATATCTCCAGGGCATGTCAGAGGTCTTCAGAGTGGTTCCCCCATCACAGGCCTGGAGGTCTAGGAGGAAAAAGTGGTTTCGTGGGCTGGACCCAGAGTCACCGTGCTGTGTGCTGTGTAGGGACTTGGTGCCCTGCATCCCATCCACTCCAGCCATGGCTGAAAGGGGCCAATGTAGAGCTCAGACTGTGGCTTCAGAGGGTGCAAGCCTCAAGTCTTGGCAGCTTCCACATGGTGTTGAGACTGCGAGTGCACAGAAGTCAATAATTGAGGTTTAGGAACCTCTGCCTAGATTTCAGATGTATGGAAATACCCAGATGCCCAGGCAGAATTTTGCTGTAGGGGCAGGGTCCTCATTGGAAAACCTCTGCTAGAGCAGTGCAGAAAGGGTCCAGAGCCCCCACACAGAATCTCTACTGGGGCACCACCTAGTGGAGCTGTGAGAAGATGGCCACCGTCCTCCAGACCCTAGAATGATAGATCCACCGACAGCTTGCACTGTGCACCTGGAAAAGCCACAGAGGCTCACTGCCAGCCCATGAAAGCAGCCAGGAAGGAGGCTGTACACTGCAAAGCCATAGGGATGGAGTTTCCCAAGACCATGGGAACCCACCTCTCACATCATAGTGACCTGGATGTGAGACATGGAGTCAAAGGTGATCATTGTGGAACTTTAAGATTTGACTGCCATGCTGGATTTCAAACTTGCATAGGGCCTGTAGCTTCTTCATTTTGGCCATTTTCTTTTTTCATTTGGAAAGGCTGTATTTACCCAATGCTTGTACCCCCATCATATCTAGGAAGTAACTAATTGCTTTTGATTTTACTGGCTTGCAGGTGAAAGGTGCTTGCCTTGTCTTGGATGAGACTTTTGACTGTGGACTTTTGAGTTAATGCTGAAATGAGTTGAGACTTTGGGGGACTGTTGGGAAGGCATGATTAGCTTTGAAATGTGAAGATATGAGATTTGGGAGGGGCCGAGGGAAAATGATATGGTTTGGCTCTGTGTCCCCACCCATATCTCATCTTGTAGCTCCCACAATTCCCATGTGTTGTGGGAAGGACCTGGTGGGAGATGATTGAATCACAGGGGCGGGTCTTTCCCATGTTGTTCTCATGATAGTGAATGGGTCTCATAAGATCTGATGGTTTTAAAAATGGGAGTTTCCCAGCAGAAGGTCTCCCTTTGCCTGCTGCCATCCATGTAAGATGTGACTTGCTCCTCCTTGCCTTCTGCCATGATTGTGAGGCCTTCCCAGCCATGTGGAATTGTAAGTCCAATAAACCTCCTTCTTTTGTAAATTTCCCAGTCTTGAGTAAGTCTTTATCAGCTGTGTGAAAATGGACTGATACAATGACTCATCATCATTTTAGAAAATCACATTATTGTTCAGCTTAGAGGGTCCAAATCACATTGACAATCTGAGTTGTAGGAACTGGCTTGTCCATCCCTTTGATCAGGCACACCAGAATCTGGAAGACTTTATAAGTGCCATGCTGTGCACTTGGCACTCAAAGTTAGTCTAGGCCAAGGAGAAAACAGAAATAGGTCTGCTGGCTGCTATATTAGTGACAGAAGACCAGCCTTTCACTGGAAAATGGACGTGCAAAATCAAAGTCTTTAACTGGAGAACATAGGGAGTAAAACACACTTCCAAAGTCACCTTCTAGAGGGTGGCCAGATCCAGAGGCCTGACAGCAGGATTCTAGACTATTGGGTGAAAGACAAGCTTCAAAACTGGCTGCTGACTGATGGCATTGAACGATCAGTATTCACCTTTTTAATCTTGCATGCTTTGTATTTTTCATGACTTTTAGAAAAAAGTAAAAATTATCGTGAGTGCTCACCACCCCATAGAAACTCTTTCCAGTATTTCTACCACTGTTCTCTATAGGGAATAAATAATCAGGATAAAAAACTCTAAGCTAAGCTACTAAAACTGCTCTGGCTTCTTTGAGTCGGTATGTAGACCACTTGGGGTTCCTAACATGTTGCGTTTTCTACTCCACTTTTTGTTTATCTTTGCAATTAGACATTAATCAAAAAAATATGGGGCAGAGACACAGAAAAATAAAAGAAGAAAGCCAAGTTTTTGAGTATCAAAAGTAGTTTGAATGAAAAGTAGTTTTGTTTTATTTTATAATTTTACTTGCACAATTAATTTTTATTTTTCAGGGTTGAGCTTTTCAAAGAGGTGAACGTGAATGTATTTATATTCCACATATCTGAAAATCACACACACAAAGACTCTTGGAAAAGCCGACCACTTTCTTCTGGCAATGACACGGTGTCCCAGAAAGGATCCAGGTGGAAGTGGGGCCCATGAGGATGTCAATGGGCAGCCCTCCAATCTCAATGTCACAGGGTTCCAGTGGAGATGAAAAAGGCTCCTGACTCATTGAGGATCTGACATCAAATTGGATTACTATAAGGCAATCCTATTTAAAAGAAAACCCAATTTGTATAAAGCTTTTCTCACAGGTTCTAGCCTCTCATTTGTTTAGAAAATGCAAAATCAAATTAGAAGATTCTGCCTTGTATCTTATTATTTGAATCAACATTGATAATTGCTTTATTTTCTTAAAGGAAATGATGGTAGGTTTGTTTATAGAAGAGAATAGATTGGAGGTCTCTAAGGGTCCTTCACAGGGCCCTGGGGAGACCACAAGAAAGAATTACACTGGTGGCCATGCAGGATCATGGTCATTTAAGAACATCTCAGTAGGAAGGGGGTGTAGCACGGAGAGTAATGAAGAATCTGGAAATGTGAAGTGGCTGTACTTTAGGTAGGGGTGAAATAGACTTGAATTAGGTAAACATTCATTTAGTACTTTGTTTAAACCAATATTTATAGACCACATTTTCACTGCTTGGAACTGTGCCAGAAGTTGGTATTGTAACTTGTATGACACCATTCCTATCCTTGTCCATTTTACAGTCTAATGGGACGGGGTTGAGGCAACAATAAGCAAACAATCATTGCACTGGAGGGTGGTAAGTGTTCAGACAAAATTAGGTTCAAAGCATAAGGGGGCACAAGAACTGGAATATTCAAAAAAGAAGAAAACATAGTGATTGATGTTGGTAGTATTTGAGGTGGGGCAATCTCAGATAAGGATTGTGAAAAATTTATCACGGGATTCTTTCTTTGTTGTTTTTTTTTCATCAAGGGACAATTTCCCTTCTTTCTGTGCTTTTCCCCGTAGAGATGTTTAGACTCTGCTGCTTGGATCCAACCCATAGGAAAGCAATCTTAAAAACTCATAAGGTTTGATGCTTCAGTGTCTTACTGTTCTCATAAGTATTTGCTTCATATACTTCAACCAAAACAACATATTGCAGCAGATAGAATGCAGAGTAATAAGCCAGGTGTTAAAGGGATTTGCACAAATGTGAAACTATGCTACTCTTCCCACTGTTTTGTTTTATTTTGGAGAACAGATTTTTAAAAATATATGATTTATGTTCTCATGCAGTGGATTTATAATTGTTATTTTTAAACAAATTAACAAATGTCTTCAGAAGCCTCAGTTTCTTTTTCTAATGTGGTAAATATAGGTAAATGTAACCCACATAAGCAAAATCTCTTAGGAATCTTCAATATTTTTTAATAGTGTAAAGAGGTCTTGAGACAAAAAGTTTGAGAACCACTGTTTTTAAAACAGCAGGATTTGAATTTTTTCTAACCATCTAATAGGAATGTGGCCTTGGGCCAATTATTTAACATCCCAGAATCTCAGTTTGCTCATCTGTAACTTGGGCTTTTGAACATAGCTATCTCACAGCCTCGTTGTGAAGATTAAAAGCAATATCTTTGTAAATTATGCAGATAATGTTTAGTATATATTATCTTCAGGAAGAATCCATACCTGGGAAGCATGAGCCTTCTGGTCACAAGTTTCTTCTGTGAAAAGTGTCATTCTCCACAGTTTTGTCATATCCTCATGGAGAAATCCTTAGAACAATCCCATTCATTTTGATCTCTGTGCAGGCTCATTTAGCTACTTTCAGATTATGATTTCAGTCTCCCAGCTATTCAAGGGAAGAAGGTTTCTTGGACAGTGGAGAAGAGCAAATATATATAACAGTTGTAAATTAATAGCAGTAGTTCTTATTTCTACATCAATCTTTTATGAATTTATGTGCCTTGAAATAAAACCTGCAACTGAGCTGTACTCTCTGGCAGAGCCTGTGCTAAACCTATGGACATAAGCCCCAGAGTCCCAAAGCATTTTAATAGTGATCAAATTGAGTCTAGGAGCTGGAAATTTAGGCAAAAAAGTAGCAACAAAAAATATGGTGTGCTTCCAGCACATCCAAAGTACTGCTACCACATGAAAAAGGCCCCTTCCCTCCCTCTAGGGTGTTTTTAGCTATTACTTTTAATGCCAAAAACCACAACTAGTTTTGCAGCAGCCTAATACTTCTCTCTACCTATTACTTGTGAGTATGTTGGACACTTCTAGAAACATCCTACTATAAACACATGCTATTGCTATTAATGTTTCAAAAATTCTTTTTATTCAGTTAACTTTCTCTTGTAAAGTAGAATTATACCCATAAATTTTAAAATTTTAAAGTATACTACATTATTTGCAACAGATGTTATGCATACATAGTACTTTCTAGAAAAGTATTACTGCCAGTTGAAAAATATTTATTCCTCAAAACAACAAATTAGAAATCATGGACTATCAAACCACCACCTCATACCTTCTTTTTATGATAGTTAAGAAATTAGGATTTTATGAAGCATCAACTTTTCCATCCTGTGCTGGAGTTACTGTCCTTTGGGGACTAAATTTATGTGGAAAAAGCAAGCCAAGAATTTTGCCTTAGGATTTTTAATGTAATCACCAAGGCTGTTCTATTTTTCCCAAATAGTGCTCAATGTAGCAACATAACCCTTTAGTATCAAATAAAGGGAGAGAATTAGTCCAATAAAAATTTTAGAATGATTCCTTGAGTGAGTATATTCAAGAGTTGAATAATTTACTTTAAAAACTCCAGGAAATTTTCTTCTTTTATATAAACCATTGACGTTCCAAGCTTGCCTGCAATGTATTCCTCACATTTCTATCCCATATGGAAACACTAGAAATTGAATCATTTATACCTATCCTCTAAAAAATAATTTTTTTTTACCCAATATTTTTGGAGATTTATCCAAGTTATATTTGTAGTTTGTTTTTATTTTTCATTTAAATTTTGGATTAGTATTTCAGTGAATGAATATATCACATGTTGTCTGTTCATTCTGTTCATGGACATTCAGGTCGGTTTGAATGTTACAAATAATGCTATGGTGCACCCTTTTGTACCTGTCTCCTTAACACATGTGCTAGCGTTTCTCTTAAACATGAGGCCAGAATTCGAATATGTGGGTCTTAGGACATATACACACCCCTGGAACATACTTATGATCTCTCCTAAGTATTCCCTAAGAGTTCCCACTCTTAAGATTCTCCTAAGAGTTCCCACTTCTTCTTTACATGCTCCTCCATGTTTGATGTTAAAAATATATTATTAATAAAATGTATGTGAATTGTTATTTTCATTGAGGTTCTCCTTCTTTCTTTCTTCCTTTTTTTTTTTTTTTTTGAGATGGAGTTTCACTCTTATTGCTCAGGTTGGAGTGCAATGGTGCAATCTCAGCTCCCTGCAACCTCCGCCTCCTGGGTTCAAGTGAATCTCCTGCCTTGGCCTCCCAAGTAACTGGGATTACAGGCACCCGCCACCACACCCTGCTAATTTCTTGTATTTAGTAGAGACGGTGTTTCACCATGTTGGTCAGGCTGGTCTCAAACTCCTGACCTCAGGTGACCCATCCGCCTGGGCCTCCCAAAGTGCTGGGATTCCAGGCATGAGCCACTGCACCCCACCTTCATTGAGATTTAAGTTTATATTTCCCTAATAGTTAAGATGAATATTGTTTCCCATGTGTTTAATGGCTGAGTGTATTCTTTTTTTAAACTTTATTTTTACATTAATTTGCACAAGTTCTTCAGATACATGCAAGAACCATTGCATTTGTTGACAATATTTCTCTGTATGGGCTTGGTTTTTCACTCTCATTATAAAATCTTTTGTTGTACAGGAATTCAAAATGTTGATAATCTAATTCATTCATCTTTTTTTTATTTTTTGTTTTGTGGTGTATGTCTTGCTTAAGAAATCCTTCCCTAATCTAACTTCATAAATGTATACTCCATATTTTCTTCTAAAAGTTTTACTTTTCACATTTATAACTTTAACCTACTTTAGAATTATTTTATGTATGTATGGTACACTGACTTGCAATGCCTCCTCCAGCATATATCAAGTTTTCTAATACACGTGAGTCTTTCTGGTTCTATGGTTTGTAGCACTGATGTATTTGTGTATCCCTGCATAAATATTGTACTATCCCAACAGCTTTCACAACATTAGTATAATTTTGCTGTCTTGTAAGGCAGCCCTTTGCTGTAGTTATTGTTACTGTTGTTTTTCAATACTCTATTGACTTTTTTTGACCCTTTGATTGTCTATATTGTTTTCTAACCACTTGTTACAAAAATCACAAGAAATTCTGTTGATAGGTTAAGAAGTATCATATGGGATGTATACAATAATTTTGGAAAAACTGACATTTTTAAAATTTTATTTTAAGTTCAGAAGTACATGTGCAGATTTGTTAAAACTCATGCCACCCAGGTATTAAGTCTAGTACCCATTAGTTATTTTTCCTGATCCTCTCCCACCTCCCACCCTCCACCTTCCAGTAGGCCTCCATCACTCTTGTGCCCCTCTATGTGTCCATATGTTCTCATCATTTCGTTCAGCCTTATAAGTGTGAATATGTGGTATTTGGTTTTCTGTTCCTGCATTAGTTTGCTAAGGACAGTGGGCTCCAGCTTCATCCATGTTGCTGCAAAGGGCATCATCTTTTTCTTTTTATGGCTGCATAGTATTCCATGGTGTATATGTATCACATTTTCTTTATTGAGCCTATCATTGATTGGCATTTAGGTTAATTTTATGTCTTTGCTAATGTGAATAGTGCTGCTATGAACATACACATGCATGTGTCTTTATGGTAGAATAATTTCTATGTCTTTGGGTCTATACCCAGAAATGGGATTGCTGGGTCAAATGGTAGTTCTATTTTTATGTCTTTGAGACATCACAAAACTGTTTTACACAATGGTTGAACTAATTTACAGTCCCACCAACAGTGTATAAGCATTCCTTTTTCTCTGCAACCTCACCAGCATCTGTTATTTTTTGACTTTTTAATAGTAACCATTCTGACTAGTGTGAGATGGTATCTCATTGTGGTTTTGATTTGCATTTCTCTAATGATCAATGATGTTGAGCTTTTTTTTTTCATACACTTGTTGGCTACATGTATGTCTTCTTTTGAAAAGTGTCTGTTTTTGCCCACTTTTTAATGGGGTTGTTTGTTTTTTTCTTGTAAATGTGTTTAAGTTCCTTATAGATGTTCAATGTTAGACCTTTGTCAATGCATAGTTTGCAAAAATGTTCTTCCATTCTGTAGGTTGTCTGTTTACTGTGTTAATAGTTTCCTTTGCTGTGCAGAAGCTCTTTAGTTTAATTAGACCCCATTTGTCAATTTGTGCTTTTGTTACAATTGCTTTTGGCATCTTTGTCATGAAATCTTTGCCTGTTCCTATGTCTAGAATGATATTGCCTAGGTTGTCTTCCAGGGTTTTCATAGTTTTGGGTTTTACATTTAAGTATTTTATCCATCTTTAGTTGATTTTTGTATGTGGTGTAAGAAAGTGGTCCAGTTTAAATCTTCTGCATATGGCTAGCTAGTTATCCCAGGACCATTTATTGAATATGGTGTTGACTTTGTCAAAGATCGGATAACTGTGGGTGTGCAACCTTATTTCTGGGCTCTCTATTCTGCTCCATTGGTCTATGTGCCTGTTTTTGTACCAGCATTGTTTTGGTTACTGTAGCCTTGCAGTATAGTTTGACGTCAAGTAGTGTGATGCCTCTAGCTTTATTCTTTTTGCTTAGGCTTGCCTTGGCTATTTGGGCTCTTTTTTGGTTCCAGATGAATTTTATTTTATTTATTTTTTCTGTCAGGGTGATTTTTATTTTTTTATTTTTTTGCTGTGTTTAATTTTTTTTTTAAATTTCAGTAGGCTTTTGGAAAACAGGTGAGGTTTGCTTGTATGAATAAGTTCTTTAGTGTTGATTTCTAAGATTTTGGTGCACCCATCACACAAGTAGTGTACACTGTACCCAATGTGTAGTCTTTTATCCCTCATCCTCCCACCCTTTCCCTCAGGTCCCCAAAGTCCATCGTATCACCCTTATGTCTTTGTTTCCTTATAGCTTAGCTCCCACTTATAAGTGAGAACATACAATGGCTTTCCATTCTTGAGTTAGTTCACTTAGAATAATGGTCACCAATTCCATCCAGGTTGCTGTGAATGCCATTATTTAATTCCTTTTTATGGCTGAATAATATACCACGGTGTATGTATATTCCACATTTTTGTTATCCACTCATTGACTGATTGGCATTTGGGCTGGTTCCATATTTTTGCAATTGTGAATTGTCCTGCTATAAACATGCGTGTGCAGGTATCTTTTTCATATGATGACTTCTTTTCCTCTGGGTAGATACCCAGGAATGGGATTGCTGGATCAAATGGTAGAACTACTTATACTTTTTTAAGAAATCTCCACACTGTTTTCCATAGTGGTTGTACTAGTTTACATTCCCATCAACAGTGTAAAAGTTTTCCCTTTTCATCACATCCATGCCAACATCTATTATTTTTTTCATTTTTGATTATGGCTATTCTTTCAGGAGTGAGGTAGTATCACATGATGGTTGTGATTGGCCTTTCCCTGATCATTAGTGATGTTGAGAATTTTTTCCATATGTTTGTTGGTCATTTGTTTATCTTCTTTTGAGAATTGTCTATTCATATCCTGAGCTCACTTTTTGGTGGGATTGTTTGTTGTCTTTTTCTTGCTGATTTATTTGAGTTCCTTGTAGATTCTGGATATTAGTCCTTTGTTAGATGTATAGATTGTGAAGATTTTCTCCCACTCTGTGGGTTTTCTATTTACTCTGCTGATTATTTCTTTTGCTCTGCAGAAGCTTTTTAGTTTAAGTCCCATCTATTTATCTTTGTTTTTGGTGTATTTGCTTTGGGGCTCTTTGTCATGAAGTCTTTGCCTAAACCAGTGTCTAGAAGGGTTTCTCCAGTGTTATGATCTAGAATCTTTATGGTTTCAAGTCTTACATTTAAGTGTTTGATGGATCTTGAGTTGATTTTTGTATAGGGTGACAGATGAGGGTCCAGTTTCGTTCTTTTACATGTAGCTTGTTAATTATCCCAGCTCCATTTGTTGAATAGGGTGTCTTTCCCCACTTTATGTTTTTGTTTGCTTTGTCAAAGATCAGTTAGCTGCAAGTATTTGGCTTTATTTCTGGGTTCTCTATTCTGTTTTATTGGTCTACTAGCCTATTTTTATACCAGTATAATGCTGTTTTGGTGACTGTGGCCTTATAGTATCATTTGAATTCAGGTAATGTAATGCCTCCATATTTGTTCTTTTTGCATAGTCTTTCTTTGGCTATGTGGGCTCTTTTTTAGTTCCATATGAATTTTAGGATGGTTTTTCCTAGTTCTGTGAAGAATGATGATGATGTTTTCACAGGAATTGCATTGAATTTGTAGACTGCTTTTGGCAATACAGTCATTTTCACAATGTTGATTCTACCCATCCATGAACATGGGATATGTTTCCATTTGTTTGTGTTGTCTATGATTTCTTTCAGTAGTGTTTTGTAATTTTCCTTGTAGAGGTTTTTCACCTACTTGGTTAAGTATATTCCTAAGTATTTTATTTTATTTTTTTGCAGCTATTGTGAAAGGGGTTGTTTTTTATTTGACTCTCAGTTTGAACACTGTTGTTGTATAGCAGAACTACTGATTTGTATGCATTAATTTCATATCCTGAAACTTTGCTGAATTCATTTACCAGTTCAATGAACTTTTTCAAGGTGTCTTGGGGGTTTTCTAGGTATACAATCATGTCATCACCAAACAGCAACAGTTTGACTTCCTCATTACCAAATTGGATGTCCTATATTTCTTTCTCTTGTCTAATTGCTCTGGCTAGGACTTCCAATACTGTGTTGAATAGAAGTGGTGAAAGTGAGCATCCTTGTCTTGTTCCAGTTCTCAGGAGGACTGCTTTCAACTTTTCCTTGTTTAGTATAATGTTGCTGTGGGTTTGTCATAGATGGCTTTTATTACCTTAAGGTATGTCCATTCTATGCAGATTTTGCTAAGGATTTTAATCATAAAGGGATGCTGGATTTTGTCAAATGCTTTTTCTGTGTTTATTGAGATGATAATGTAATTTTTGTTTTTAATTCTCTTTATATGGTGTATCACATGTGTTGACTTGTGGATGTTAAACCATCCCTGCACCACTGGCATGAAACCCACTTGATCATGGTGGATTATCTTTATGAGATGCTGTTAGATTCTGTTAGCTATTATTTTGTTGAGGATTTTTGCATCTACGTTCATCAGGGATATTAGTCTGTAGATTTCCTTTTTTGTTATGTCCATTCCTGGTTTTGGTATTAGGGTGATAATGACTTCATAGAATGATTTAGGGAGGACTTTGTCTTTCTCTGTCTTTTGAAATAGTGTCAGTAGGATTGGTACCAATTCTTCTTTGAATGTCTGATAGAATTCAACTGTGAATCTATCCGGTCCTTATTTTTTTTTTTTTTTTTTTTTAAATAGAGTCTTGCTTTGTCACCCAGTCTGGAGTGCAGAGCTGTGATCTCGGCTTATTGCAACCTCCACCTCCCAGGTTTAAGCAATTCTCCTGCCTCAGCCTCCCAAGTAATGGAATTACAGGTGCTATTACATTAGCGATGCCTACCTAATTTTTGTATTTTTAGTAGAGATGGGGTTTTACCATGTTGGCCAGGCTGGTCTTGAACTCCTGACCTCAAGTGATCTGCTTGTCTTGGCCTCCCAAAGTGCTGGGATTACAGGTGTGAGCCACAGTGCCCGGCCTGTGGATGGGGGTGTGGTTTCCAGGCCAACGGGATTATGTTCCCGAGGGATTATGGCTGTCTCTGCTGTGTCACACAGGTCACTAGGAAAGTGGGGGATAGCTGGCAGCCACAGGCCTCACTCAGCTTCAACAAAGGCTGCAGCCTAAAAGGCTAATCTTACTCCTGCTCTGCCCCTCCAACAGTACCAAGTTTATTTCCAGGCAGCTGGTAAGCAGGACTGAGAACTTGCCCTGGGCTATAAGCCTCCCAGGTGAGAAAGCAAGCAAACTCACAGCTTCTTGGCTGTCTCATGGAGCCTGCAGCAGCAATCCACCTCCTTCAAAGCATCTGTGGATTCTCTTGTTTTTCCTGCTATGTTCCTATGGTAGTTCTTGGAGCAAAAGTTTATGATGTGGGTCTCCACACACTGCTCTGTTTGTCTGAATAGGAGCTGCAAGTTAATCCTGCCTCCTATCTGCCATTTTCCTGCTGTGTTTTCCCATATGAATTTTAAAATATTTTTTCTAGTTGTGTGAGGAGTGTCATTTGTAGTTTGATAGGAATAGCATTATGAGAATTTAGTAAAGAGATTTTTTAAAAAGGGACAGGGAGCTTATTGGAAGAAAGAATAGGTCAGGTGCAGTGGCTCACGCCTGTAATCCCAGCACTTCGGGAGGCCGAGGCAGGTGGATCACCTGAGCTTGCAAGTTTGAGACCAGCCCAACCAACATGGAGAAACCCCGTATCTATTAAAAATACAAAATTATCTGGGCATGGTGGTGCATGCCTGTAATCCCAGCTGCTCGGAGGCTGAGGCAGGAGAATTGCTTGAACCTGGGAGGCAGAGGTTGCAGTGAGCCAAGATCACACCATTGCACTCCAGCCTGGGCAATAAGAGTGAAACTCCATAAAAAAAAAAAGAGAGAAAGAAATAAAGGAAGAAAGGAAGAAAGAAAGAAAGAAAAAAGAAAGAAAGAAAGAAAGAAAGAAGGAAAGAAAGAGAAAGAAAGAAAGAGAAAAGAGAAAATAACATCCCAAATCTGAGAAACAAAATGGACATCCAAATTCAAGAAGCTCAAAGGACTGCAACTAGGATGAACCCAAAGAGGACCACGCTGAGACACATTATAAATAGACTATTAAAAATCAAAGACAAAGAGAAAATCTTGACAGTAGTAAAAGAAAAGCAACTTGTCATGTGCAACAGAGCTACCATAAGATAATTAGCAGATTTCTTAGCAGAAACCTTACAGGCCAGAAGAGAATGAGATCACATATTGAAAATCCTAAAAGAAAAAACCTTGCCAACCAAAAATATATATCTGACAAAACTGACAAAACTGTTC
The DNA here is from genome assembly GCF_000001405.40 of Homo sapiens. Classification (NCBI taxonomy): domain Eukaryota; kingdom Metazoa; phylum Chordata; class Mammalia; order Primates; family Hominidae; genus Homo; species Homo sapiens. Next base: position 53,094,365 of record NC_000008.11, read on the forward strand.
TTCAAAAAGAAGGTGAAATAAAGATTTTGTCAGACACACAAAAGCTTAAGGAGTTCATCACCACTAGACGTGCATTACAAGAAATGCTAAAAGGTGTCCTGCAAGTCGAAACCAAAGAAGAATAGACAGCAACCTGAAGGCATAAGAAAATAGAAAGCTTGCTGTAAAGGTAAATATTTAGGTAAAAACAATGCTGTAATACTGTAATAATGGTGTGCAAAGCATTTTTAATTCTAGGATAGAATTTAAAAGACAAAATCATAAAAAATAACTATATCCAATTACACTAAGGAATTCACAATTTATAAAGATGTAATTTGGGACATCAAAAAGATAAAGGAGGGCTGGGGAAATGTACACAAATAGGGTTTTCATAAATGATTACAGTTAAGTTGTTACCAGCTTAAAATCAATCACTATGTTTTATGTAAGCCCCATAGCAACCACAAAAATATACCTATAGAAGGTACACAAAAGAAAAATAGAAATAAATCAAAGCATGCCAATCCAAAAAAAAATTTAATGAAACACAGAATAAATCTGCAAGAGAGGAAAAGAGGGATGGAATACTTATGAGACAAAGTTAAAAGAATTAACAAAATGGCAATAGTAAATCTCTTCCTAACAGTAGATATTTTAAATCTAACTGGATTGAACTTCCCAGTCAAAAGACAGAATGGCTGAATGGATTTTTAAAAACAAAGATGCAACTATATGCTGTCTACAACATAAAAACAAAGATGCAACTATATGCTTACCTTGGAGGTGGACAACACATAAAGGCTGAAAGTGAAAGGATGGAAGAAGATGTTTCACATAAGTGGTAACCAAAAGAGAGCAAAGGTGCTCATTCTTATATTAGACAAAATAGACTTTAATTTATAAACTGTCACAAGAGACAAAGAAGGACTTTATATAATAATGAAAGAGTTTTATCAGAAAGATATAATAGTTGCAAATGCATATGCACCTAACATCAGAGCACTGAAATACATAAATCAAATATTGATTAATTAAAGGAAGAAATAAATAGTAACACAAAAATAGTAGAAGGTTTCAGTAACCTACTTTCAATAAGGAATAGAACAAACAAACAGAAGATTAATAAGGAATTAAGGGACTTGAATGAATAATATAGATGAATTAAACCTAACAAACTTCTACAGAACCTTCTAGCCAAAAGTAATATTACACACATTCTTCTCAAGCATACATGAAACATTATTCAGAATAGATCATGTGTTAGGCCACAAAACAAGTCTTAACAAATTTAAGAAGACTGAAATCATACCAAATGTCTCTTCCAACCACAGGGGAATAAAACTAGAAATCCCTAGCATTAGAAAAACTGGAAAACTCACAAATATGTGGAAATTTAACAGCACACTCTTGAACAACCAATGGGTCAAAGAAGAAATCCCAAGAGATATTAGAACATATCTTGAGACAAATGAAAACAGCAATATAGCACAACTTACAGGATATAACCAAAGCAGTACTAAGAAGAAAGTTTATAGTGATAAATGTCCACCAAAAAAAAAGAGAAGAAGGAGGAGGAGGAGGAGGAAGAAGAAGAAGAAGAAGAGGAGGAGGAGGAGGAAGAGGAAGAAGAAGAAGGAGAAAGAGGAGGAAGAGGAGGAGGAAGAGGAGGAGGAGGATCTCAAATCAACAACGTATGTTTATACTTTAATGAACTGGAAAAATAAAAAAAGGTTAAAACTAAACAGAAGAAAGAAAAATATAAGATTAAAGCATAAATACACACAATAGAGAAAAAAGGGGAGAAATGACTACCGATGACACAGAAGTAAAAAGGATTATAAGAGACAACTCTGAATAATTATACATTGTTATGCACTGAATGTATCCCCTCAAATTATATGATGACATACTTACCCCCAACGTGATAGTATTAGAAGGTGGGGGCTTTGGAAGGTAGTCAGGTCATAAGGATTGAGCCCTCATAAATTAGTGCCCTTATGAAAGTGATGCTACTTTCATAATAATGAAAGAGAGGTTTGTTTCTCTATTATGTGAGCATACAATGAGAAATTGGCAGTCTATGACCCAGAAGAGGGTCCTCACCAGAACCTGATCATGCTGACACCATGATTTCAGACTTACAGCCTCCATAACTATGAGAAATACATTTCTGTTGTCAATAAGCCATTAATTCTATAATATTTTGTTATAGCAGCCTGAAATAACTAAGTCATCCACCAAAAACTTGGATAACCTAAAGGAAATGGACAAATTCCCAGAAAGATAAAACCTATAAAGATTAAATTATGAAGAAACAGAAAAATTTGAATAGCCCTATAAATAGTAAGGAGATTGAATTGGTAATCAAAACTTTCCAGCAAAGAAAAGAAAAGTCGAGGACCAGATGGCGTCAATGAAGAATTCTACAGAAAATGTGCAGAAGAATTAATGTCAATCTTTCTCAAATTCTTCTAAAAAATTGAAGAGAAGGAGACACTCCCAAACTTCTCTTATAAGGCAAGCATTATCCTGATAACAAAGCTAGACAAAGATACCACAAGAAAACTACAGACCAATATCCCTGGTGGATATTGATGGGAAAAAAATCCTCAACAAAATACCAGCAAAACAAATTTAACAGCATATTAAAAAGACTAAACAGCATGACCAAATGGGAGTGCACCAAATGTGGTGCAAGGATGGTTCAATATACAAAAACTAATAAATGTAATATACAACATTAATAGAATGAAAGACAAAAATCACATGATCATGTCAATTGGAGCTAAAAAAAAACATTTGGCAAAATTCAAAAACCTTCCATGATAAAAACACTCAACTTACTAGGAATACAAGGAAATTACCTTAACGTAATAAAGGTCATGTATGAAAAGCCCACAGTTAATATCATACATATATAACATTAATAGAGTGGTGAAAAACTGAACATTTTTCCTCTAAAATCAGAAACAAGACAAAAATTCCCACACTTACCACTTCTATTCAACATAGTACTATGAGTTCTAGCCAGAGCAAATAGGCAAAAAATGAAATAAAATGAAAGTCATCCAAATGGGAAAGGAAGAAGTAAAATTATCTTTGTTTCCAGATGACATAATCTTATATGCAGAAAAGCCAAAAGATTACAAATGTTAAAACAAACAAATTCAGCAAAGTTGCAGAATACAAAATCAACACTCAAAAATTAGTTATGTTTCTATAACCTAACAAAAAACAACCAAAAAAGAAAATCAAGAAAATAGGCCATTTATAGTAGAATAAAAATACTTAGGAATTAATCTATCCAAAAAAGCAGAAGACTTCACTAAAAATTACAAAACATTGCTGAAAGAAACTAAATAAGGCACAAATAAATGGAAAGACATCCCATTTTCATAAATTGGAAGACTTAATATTGTTAAAATATTCCAGTAGCATTTTTTACAGAAGTAGAAAAAATTCCTAAAATTCATATGGAATCTCAATAAACTATGAATCACCAAAACAATCTTGAAAAAGAAGAACAAAGCTGGTGGCCTTAGACTTCCTGATTTCAAAATATATTACAAAACAATGGTAATCAAAATAGCATGGTACTGGCACAAAGACAGACATATAAACCAATAGAACAGAATAGAGAGCCCAGAAATAAACTCTTGTGTATATGGTTAAGTGATCTTCATCAAGAGTGTGAAGAGTACACAGTGGAGAAAAGATACTGTCTTCAACAAAAAACATTGAGACAACTGGATATCCATTTGCAAAAGAAAGATAATGGGCCCTTCTCTTACACCATATATACAATTAACTCAAAATGAATTAAAGACCTAAATGTACTACCTGAAACTATAAAGCTCCTATAAGAAAATGGAAAAATGTTCATGACATTGGAATGGGCAATGCTTTCTTGACTATAACCTCCAAAGCACAAACAAGAAAAGCAATAGACAAATAGGACTACCTCTAACTGTAAGCCTTCTGTACATTAAAGGAAAAAACAGAATGCAAAGGCAGTCTACATAAAGGGAGAAAATATTTGCAAGCCACATATCATATAAGGGGTGAATACCCAGAATTTAAAAAAAGGTCCTACAAGTCAACAACAATAACAAAGCCTTAAAAAATATGCAAAGAGGTTGAATAGCCATTTCTGCAAAGAAGATGCATCAGTGACCAACAAGCTTATGAACAAATGCTCTATATCACTAATCATTAGAGAAATGCAAATCAAATCAACAATAACCCATCACCTCACATCCACTGGAATAACCACTATAAAAACAAACAAACAGAAGGTTTGTGTGTGGTAAGGGTATGGGAAAATTGAAACACTTGCACTCTGTTGGTGGGATTATAAAATGGTGCAGATACTATTGGAAACCATATGGAGGTTTCTGAAAAAGTTCAAAATAAGACTACCATATGATCCAGCAATCCCACTTCTGGGTATGTTATACTCAAAAGAATTAAAAACAGGATCTTGAAGTGATATGTGCATCTTCATCTTCATTGCAGCATTATTCCCAATAGCCAAGATGTAGAAGCAGCCTACATGTGCATGCATACACGAACGGATAAAGAAAATGTGGCATATGCACACAATGGTATATCATTCAGCCTTAAACAGGAAGGACATCCTGACACACGCTGCAGCCTGGATGAACCTTGAGAACGTGACGCTAAGTGAAATAAATCAATCACAAAAACACAAATATTTCATTATTTCACTTACATGTGGTATATAAAGTAACCACAAATGGAAGCTGTTCGGTACAGAGTTTCAGTCATACGACATGAAAAAAGTTCTAGAGGTCTATTGTACAACAAAGTGCATGTAGTTGAGCCTGTAGTCCCAGCTACTCGGGAGGCTGAGGCAGGAGAATCACTTGAACCCGGGAGGCGGAGGTTGCAGTAAGCCGAGATTGCGCCACTGCACTCCAGCCTTGGCGACAGAGCAAGACTCTGTCTCAAAAAAAGAAAAAAAGCTATACTATATACTTTAAGTTGTTAGGAGGGTAAATTTATGCTGTGTGTTTTTACCACAATAAAATATATATTAATATAATTGTTCTGGAAAGGCTATGTACTATATTATTCCAACTATATAGGACTCTGGAAAAGGCAAAGCTATGGAGACAATAAAAAGATCTGTGATTCCCAGGAGATTGCAGGGGAGGGAGGGATAAATAAAGAATTTTTAGGGCAGTGAATCTACTCTATATGATACTATAATAATGGCTACACTTGCCAAAACCATAGAACTTACAACACCAAGAGAAAACCCTAATGTAAACTCTAAGCTTTGGGTGATAATGATGTGGCAATGTGGTTTCACCAATTGCAGCTAATGTACCACTTTGGTGCAGGTTGTTGACAGTGGAGGAGGCTGTGTATTTGTGGGGTAAGAAGGATAGAGGAAATCTCTGTAGCTTCTACCTCATTTTGCTGTGAACCTAAAAATATTCTAAAAAGAAGTCTATTTAAAATGTAAAAACAATAGCAAAATTTAGCCAGAATTAAGTCTGTTTTCCTGAAGCCCCTTCTCTGCCAAGTTGTCAGTCACCCTGAGGGTGTGACAAACTAACTGGCTTGGGGTTGCTCTTAAGAGAAAGAATGGCACATCATGCCCAGGAACGATAAGGGAGAATCCCCAGTTTTTGAAATTTTCCAGATAAGTCCATATCACATTCTACACCATCCATCCTCACAGTGACCCAGTAAACAGCCTGGACGACATAATTCCCATTTGGGAACAGCTCTTGTAATAGTCAGGTGTGTGGACCAGCAGAAAATGAGGGAAGCAGAGTCAGATGAGCAGGTCAGTACTGAGTATCTTCTGCAATGAAGGCAAGTCATTAACAAACTGATTGGGAAAGCCAAGCACATCACAGAAGTCAAAGGAAACCAAATTCATTCTTGGGTAAAGGAGATTTCATTCAATAAGTAAGGGGACTATTGCAAAAGAGAAAATGAAGACCTGCAAGCATCTCAAAGGCCAGGTGGAAGAGGGCTTTTTTTTTTTTTTTCGTGGGGCAGAGTAATCACGGCTAGAAAGAACTAGCAGTGGCAGGTGGGATTAGCAGTGGCAGGTGGGATGAGCCCGTGGCCTGAGGGGACAGTTTGTCTGGGAATGTTTTTGGGTTGTTCTGTGTTCATTGCTCAATGGTGGGACAGAGTTCAGCACTGGGGGAAGGAGAGAAGCCTGACCACAGATGAAGCCAGTCAAGTTCACCAGTACTCTGTTCATCCAGATTGTCAGCAGGACAAACAGTGCAGCTAATCATGCCCAACAGATGGACACGGGAAGGGGCTCTGTCTAGCCTTGTCATAGGTACACAAGGGGGGCATTGAGTCTTATCTGAGTCACATGGGAAGGGGGGCGTTTTATAGTAACCTGTTTCTCTCAACACAAAAGGGTGGGCAGGGTGGGGGTGGGTTCTTTCCAAAGGCACAGGGTTCAGGTAAAGCTCAACATTGTCACAGATTAGTTTCAAAAGCCACATCAGCATGGCTGAGCCTTCTAACCAGCAACCAGGGTCGGCGGTTGTCACAGAGCTCTGACAGCATGTGGGCAGGACATACCCTCCACGCCATGTGGATTTCCCCAGCTGGAGGCAAGCAGTGATTGTCTCAGTCTGGCATGCAGTGATAGCCTCTGTGTCAAAAACTCCAAGCCTTCCTTTGTGCCTGTGTCCAGAGCAGGGACAAATCCAGGAGTGATGGCAGCAATTAGTAGTAGTGCAGATCTTTCCAGGTGTGATTCCAACCAGTCCCCTATAGCATGAGCCTGAGGGCAGCTATGTGAGTGATCCAGACAGTGGTTGGTAGTCACAATCCAGTTCCACAGTCTATGGCCCAGAAAATGGTATTGTTAACCTGCAGCAGTCAATCCAAAAGTCTGAGCTCTGCCCACTGAGCAAAGCAAATATGTCTTCTTTCAGCTTGATGTTGCTAGACAACTGGAGCATTCACATGGCATTTCAGCTTAGCCAAATGTCATTATACTGGGCCTACACATTTAGGGGACCTCTGTGAATTGAGGATCCCATTGAGTCAGAAGCTGTGCTTCAGGCAAAGGAGTAGAAGATTAAGTTTCCCCACAGGAAAAGCTATGCCTCTCTAATGAAAAGCTGAGATGCCACTGGGGACAGGCCAGCAGATTCTTAACTGTACCATGCCCAATTGACAGATAGGGTTCTTTGAACCCTTTCCACCTATCAGAAGTAGAGTCCAAAAAGAGCCATCTCAAAAATGGCATGGCAGGCCAGAGACACCCGATCTCTGAGTTAGGCATCCATCTTCCCATGAGCTCTGAGTCAAGGCCATGGCTGCTTTCCAAGAGTGAATCTAGTGGCCGTGTTGGATCCCTAAGTCCAGAACTCCAATGAAGTTCCTCCACCTGGAGACTGCCTGCTTTTGCACGCTGCCCACTTTGTCCAAAGACTCAGATCAACAAAGATCCTCATCAGTTACAGACTTGTTCTGTTTCCAGTACTCATGGTCCAAGAAGGTGAGATGGATAAGGTAGACTCGACCATCTACCATGGCAAATGGCTGAAAGGCCATCGCTCAAACCCTATAGGTTACATTCAGCATTTCTGGGGTTACAACCACAGTTTCCAGAGGTCTGGTTGTCTCTCAGCAGGAGGTGAGGGAATGGGTGGCTGGGGTTTCTGGAGCAGCCACTGAGACTCTGTTCTTTATGCCTCCTCATCTGTGTACTTCCAAGTGTCTAGAGAATACCTGGGCCCACAGACTCTTCCATGGACCCCTTTACATCCCTCCCAGTCCCATCCTATATTCCTCCACCTCTCTACCCACCATATCTTTTATTTTTTGGATGCCTGTATTCAACATAGCTATAAACATCCTAGTCTCTCCACTTCCCGCAGTTCAACAGCATTCAAGGATGGGTATATTGGTCTTCTTGGGGTTAGGAGACCTTGACCAGACTTAGCCCTAATCTTTCCAGCAGCAGAGATCAGGGTGGAGGAAGACCACAGTTCTTGGGGGATGGGAGAGTGTCTCTCCACACCATTGACCTGTGGAGCAAGATGCAGCCCTGTTGTGGGAACTCCTGGATCCTTCTTCGAGACTCCTGAGTGATAGGCAACAAGCAAAGGGATTCCATTGTTTTCAGTCCACTCAGAACTCAACTCTGGGGACTCTTGGACCCATCCTTCTCTTGCCTGGAAGAGAGAGCGAAAACAAAAAAGGACCATTTTTGGTCCCAGGAACTGGGAGCTGTTTCAACCCTGCTCCCAGTTCCTGGGCAATCACCTTATAACAGGCATCTTTTCATATCATTGTAGGTGGGAGGGAGACAGCAAGGAAAAAGTGGGATTCTGGGATTCTACTGATGAAAAATAAGAATTCAATGAATGCAATTTTATTCCATCAAGGTTCATTAGTGCCCAGAATGTATAATAGTGCTGTCTGGAGTTTTCCATCCTCTTAAAGTGGATGGAGACAGATGTTGCAGCAGGAAAGCAGACAAAAGTTAGTGGAGGCTTGGGTAACCCGCGGGGCTCATGTTTTCCTTGGGCCTAAGATAGCTTTGAAAGACTTTGATTCTATTTCTTCACAAGCAGCACAAGCTCTTTGCAGGGTGCTGGCAAGGAGGAGGATAGTGGGTGAAGAAGAAGAGCAGAGTTAACACAGCATAGCTTTCAGAGGAAGAAATTTTATTTGAAGATTTAAAAGGTAAAGTGTTCATTTAACTAGAAAGCAATGCAATGTTAGTTTTTTTTTAATTGATTATTTTAAACACTCCTAGAAGAAATGGGTATGCACTTTTGGTATTAGACATGAACTGTCTAAGGAATTTCCTGCTTGCAGGAAGCTTTCTATTATTCTTGGACCTGCTTGGATACTTTTAGCTGATGTTACAAACAAACTATTAGAAGATTTGAGACTCTCAGCTTTAAAACGGCTCATTTATTCACTCAAGAAATATTTCATGTGACAAATCCACATGAAACAATCATGTACATTAAATATTAAGGTACAGACTGTGATTTTTTTAAAGATACAAACAGTAAATCATCTTATTGTGTGCCAAATCCTGTTTCTAGGAATGCTATGTGGAATTTGTACTTGTAGAGTAACTTTATATTCAATACCTCCTCCTACCAGTGGAATATAGGCACAACAAGGTGAGACTAATCACCCATAAACAAGTCTTTCCCTGAGTTGCTATCCTATTAAAAAAACCCAAAATGTCTGGGTGCTGTGGCTCATGCCTGTAATCCCAGCACTTTGGGTGGCTGAGGCAAGAGGATCCCTTTAACTCAAGAGTTTGAGACCAGCCTGGGCAATATAGCAAGACTCTGTCTCTAAAAAAAATTAAAAATTATCTAGACATGGTGGTGCATGCCTGTAGTCCCAGCTACTCAAGAGGCTGAGGCAAGAGGATCACTTGATCCCAGGAGGTGAAGGCTGCAGTGATTGTGCCACTGCTCTCCAGCCTGGGAGAGACAGTGAGATCCTGTTTCTAAAACAAAAACAAAAACAAAAAACAAAACAAAGCAAAAAATCCAAATGACTCTTTTCCTTTCTTTTCATATATTAAATTCCAAACTTTTCTGCCTATTTTTCAGGCAACCATCTAAAATCTAGTCTGTGCGATCTTTTACCAAACCATGTATTTTATTCTGCCTCTGGGCTGGACAAAGTAAAATCCTTGTTGCTCCACAACTGGTATATTAATGACTACCTACAGTCATATGGGGGTCCTCTGTCTCCTCTTAAACACAATTGCCTACTAGATTTGGGTGAAATCCTAACTGTTTAATGTTTATTTCAACCCATGTATTATCTCTCACTCCTCTGAACAAAGATATGGCTTACAGTTTGTATCTTTAAAAAATTGCAGTCTGTTATTAAAATTTAATATACCTGGTTGTTTCACATGTATTTGTCTTGCCTTTCCTGAGAGCAACCACAGATCATAGATCATGTATGAACTTTTCTTTAGAGCTTACAAATAATCAGGTGATTTAGGTAGATCACTCTCCACTGATCATAGGCACAGAAAATTTAAACACTATTTCACAGTTTAAGGAGGGCAGCCCTGGTCTTTTTAGTCCTTTTATCACATTATGACTTTCTGTTACTCGCATCCAATAACAGTGACCATAGTTTCTAATTCAAAAATTAAAGCTCCTGGCTTGATAAATGGCTTATGTGCCACAATGGGGACTGAGAGGCAAATGAGTCATAAAATAGTGGAAATTCTAGTACATCTAGTACATATTTATGTCTTATGGGGACAATACAGTAACACATTTCAACTTGAAACTGCTCCCAATAGAAAACTTGCACTTCGTAATTGCTAAATATATTTGAATGGAATTGATGAAATCAAAATAGATAAAGACAATCTGGGCTGTGGCCTCTGGTTTTCCACAGTCACCATAACTCTGTTGCCTCCAGCATCAGCACCCAGATTAGAGTGCAGTCCCCTAACAGTGGGTAGGAAGGAAAACACAGTCGGCTATGACTTACACACCCAAGATTAGATTTTTCCAGTACAACTCGGTGGTTCCAGCATTCTCTGCTCACTTGTCTTTATGATTCTTATTTCAACGTTTCCTCCCAGGGACTCTGGTTTCTGCTAACATCCTGGGCACTGAGCTATGAGGATTCCACAGATAGAATCCCACAGAAGCCAAGTGCTCTAACATGCAGAGATCACTGGGACAGGAGAGTTGGAATGTTAAGAAAATCTCTCATGAGGCATCTGGGAGCTGAGCATGGTGGTAATTGTGCACAAAGACCAGGTCTAACTGCCTCCCAGCAGTGACTGAAGCTTCTCAAATGGGAGACTGGAGGGTCCAGCCCAAGGCTGAAGCACCAGAGTTCTTCTAAGGATAATAAACTCATTCACTGAAGCACCAGAGTTCTGCTAAGGATAATGAACTCACTCACTTAGTCTCACTGGAGAGGAGGTTTGTGATTATGAACAATTTCCCCTGACATTTGGCCACAAAATGATGTCCAAATATTTATGAAGTTTGTGTTTCCCACTACATAGTTCCTATCACAAAATTGTACTCTAACAATATGCCCAGGAATACCTGTAAGTCTGCAGAAAGATCTAACAATGTTTTCTATTCATGCAGCCTCAATAAAGGGGAGACTTAAGGTCAACAATCTGATTTCAGTCTGTTGAAATTCTTTGCATTACAAACTTTAAAATTCTCTTTTTATTTTCTGTTCTTTTTCCATTTTCTTTCTTTTGTAAGAAAGTAATCATGATTTGAGTATGACAACTTAACTTTATGCTTTTTGAGTACTATTCATCAAGGCTGAATTCCAGATGTAATATGCTTGGAGGAAAACATCCTTTAAATCCTTCTATGAGTCATCTTATAATTTAAAAGTATTGATAATCTTTATTGTAATTCATTTACTGTTTTATGCCTTGTCATATGATGATAGAACATTCAGGCCAGCAGGCTAAACTATGGCAGAGATTATTCAAAATGCAAGGGTTTCCAGATAATAATTAACTAACCATGCCAATGCTAAATTACTTTTTCTTTTAAGGTTTTACCAGTTTGGCCACATATGAGGAATGAGTGAGCATAGTTATGAGGATGATAGATCAAATCACCTAAGCATATGGAAAGCTTATTATGTTTGGCACCAGCTGATTCACTAGTGTATAAATTTCAGTCTTCACTCCGTTTCATAATGGAGGGTGATATGTCCTGGAGAGATAGTCATCACAAATCATCTTTTCTTGACCTACAAAAATTAACTTGATTTTAGAAAAATTTAAGAGGGCTAAATCTGTAAATATTACAATTTTGCCTTCCCTGTATATTCTGTATGTTCACATCAATACAAAGCATTTGACTCTGTGGCTTGTGCTGTTGTAATGTTCTTGACCACGCTAATGCACTTATGGCAATCTGAAACCACAGCTTCCATGTTGAAATTTCACAGTGTATTTTGGGGAGCAGATAAATGTAACATGGTCCCCTGAACCGAGTTTATATGATGCCATAATTAATTGATCCTTTCAGACACTGAGAAAACTTAAGTAATAAACAAAAACTATTACATTGCTACTAAAGGACTATAAAGTCAAATGAGATGGTAATCACTGGATAGTGAATTACTTAATTTCTTTTTTTTATTATAATACTTTAAGTTCTGGGGTACATGTGCACAACGTGCAGGTTTGTTACATAGGTATACATGTGCCATGGTGGTTTGCTGCATCCATCAACCCATCATCTGCATTAGGTATTTCTCCTAATGCTATCCCTCCCCTAGCCCCCTACCCCCTGACATATCCCGGTGTGTGATGTTCCCCTTCCTGTGTCCATGTATTCACATTGTTCAACTCCTGCTTATAAGTGAGAACATGTGGTGTTTGGTTTTCTGTTCCTGTGTTAGTCTACTGAGAATGATGGTTTCCAGCTTCAACCATGTCCCTGCAAAGGATATGAATTCATCCTTTTTTATGGCTGCATAGTATTCCATGGTGTATATGCTTCACATTTGCTTTATCCAGTTTATCACTGACAGGCATTTGGGTTGGTTCCAAGTCTTTGCTATTGTGAATAGTGCTGCAATAAACATACATGTGCATGTGTCTTTATAGTAGAATGATTTATAATCCTTTGGGTATATACCCAGTAGTGCAATTGCTGGGTCAAATGGTATTTCTTGTTCTAGATACTTGAGGAGTCACCATGCTGTCTTCCACAATGGTTGAACTAATTTACACTCCCATCAACAGTGTAAAGCATTTCTATTTCTCCACATCCTCTCCAGCATCTGTTGTTTCCCGACTTTTTAATGATCGCCACTCTAACTGGAGTGAGATGGTATCTCATTGTGATTTTGATTTGCATTTCTCTAATGACCAGTGATGATGAGCTTTTTTTCATACATTTGTTGGCTGCATAAATGTCTTCTTTTGAGAAGTGTCTATTCATATACTTTGCCCACTTTTTGATGAGGTTTTTTGTTTTTTTCTTGTAAATTTGTTTAAGCTTCTTGTAGATTCTGGATATTAGCACTTTGTCAGATGGATAGATTGCAAAAATTTTCTCCCATTCTGTAGGTTGCCTGTTCACTCTGATGATTGTTTCTTTTGCTGAGCAGAAGCTCTTTAGTTTAATTAGATACATTTTGTCTATTTTGGCTTTTGTTGTAACTGCTTTTGGTGTTTTAGTTGTGAAGTCTTTGCCCATGCCTATGTCCTGAATGGTATCGCCTAGGTTTTCTTCCAGGGTTTTTATGGTTTTAGGTCTTATGTTTAAGTCTTTAATCCATCTTGAGTTAATTTTTGTATAAGGTGTAAAGAAAGGGTCCAGTTTCAGTTTTCTGCATATGGCTAGCCAGTTTTCCCAACACCATTTATTAAATAGGGAATCCTTTCACCACTGGTTGTTTTTGTTAGGTTGGTCAAAGATCAGATGGTTGTAGATGTGTAGTGTTATTTCTGAGGCCTCTGTTCTGTTCCAATGGTCTATGTATCTGTTTTGGTACCAGTACCATGCTGTTTTGGTTACTGTAGCTTTGTAGTACAGTTTGAAGTCAGGTAGCGTGATGCCTCCAGCTTTGTTCCTTTTGCTTAGGATTGTCTTGGCTATACAGTCTCTTTTTTGGTTCCATATGAAATTTAAAGTAGTTTTTTCCAATTCTATGAAGAAAGTCAATGGTAGCTTGATGGGAATAGCATTGAATCTATATATTACTTTAGGAAGTATGGCCATTTTCATGATATTGATTCTTCCTATCCATGAGCATGAAATGATTTTCCACTTATTTGTGTCCTCTCTTATTTCCTTGAGCAGTGTTTTATAGTTCTCCTTGAAGAGGTCCTTCACATCCCTTGTAAGTTGTATTCCTAGGTATTTTATTCTCTTTGTAGCAATTGTGAATGGGAGTTCACTCATGGTGAGGCTTTCTGTTTGTCTGTTATTGGTGTATAGGAATGCTTGTGAGTTTTGCACATTGATTTTGTATCCTGAGACTTTGCTGAAGTTGCTTATCACCTTAAGGAGATTTTGGGCTGAGACGATGGAGTTTTCTAAATATACAATCATGTCATCTGCAAACAGACAATTTGACTTCCTCTCTTCCTATTTGAATACCCTTTATTTCTTTCTCTTGCCTGATTGCCCTGGCCAGAACTTCAAATACTATGTTGAATAGGAGTGGTGAGAGAGGACATCCTTGTCTTGTGCTGGTTTTCAAAGGGAATGCTTCCAGTTTTTGCCCTTTCAGTATGGTATTGGCTGTGGGATTGTCATAAATAGCTCCTATTATTTTGAGATACGTTCCATCAATGCCTAGTTTATTGAGAGTTTTTAGCATGAAGGACTGTCGAATTTTGTCAAAGGCCTTTTTGTCATCTATTGAGATAATCATGTGGTTTTTATCATTGGTTCTATTTATGTGATGGATTATGTTTATTGATTTGCATATGTTGAACCAGCCTTGCATCCCAGGGATGAGGCCGACTTGATCGTGGTGGATAAGCTTTTTCATGTGCTGCTGGATTCAGTTTGCCAGTATTTTATTGAGGATTTTCGCATTGATGTTTATCAGGAATATTGGGCTGAAATTTTCTGTTTTTTGTTGTGTCTCTGCCAGGTTTTGGTGTCAGGATGGTGCTGGCATCATAAAATGAGTTAGGTAGGATTCCCTCTTTTTCTATTGTTTGGAATAGTTTCAGAAGGAATGGTACCAGCTCCTCCTTGTACATCTGGTAGAATTCGGCTGTGAATCCTTCTGGTCCTGGACTTTTTTTGGTTGGTAGGCTATTAATTACTGCCTCAATTTCAGAATTTGTTATTGGTCTATTCAGTGATTTGATTTCTTCCTGGTTTAGTCTTGGGAGGGAGTATGTGTCCAAGAATTTATCCATTTCTTCTAGATTTTCTAGTTTATTTGTGTAGAAGGGTTTATAGTATTCTCTGAAGGTAGTTTAGATTTCTCTGGGATGGGTAGTGATATCCCCTTTATCATTTTTTATTGCGTCTATTTGATTCTTTGCTCTTTTTTTCTTTATTAGTCTGGTTAGTGGCCTATGTATTTTGTTGATTTTTTTCAAAAAACAAGCTTCTGGATTCATTGATTTTTCGAAGGGTTTTTCGTGTCTCTATCTCCTTCATTTCTGCTCTGATCTTAGTTATTTCTTGTCTTCTGCTAGTTTTTGAATTTGTTTGCTCTTGCTTCTCTAGTTCTTTCAATTGTGGTATTAGGGTGTCGATTTTGGATCTTTTCTGCTTTCTCTTGTGGGCATTGAGTGCTATAAATTTCCCTCTACACAATGCTTTAAATGTGTCCCAGACATTCTGGTATGTAGTGTCTTTGTTCTCATTAGTTTCAAAGAGCATCTTTATTTCTGCCTTAATTTCGTTACTTACCCAGGAGTCATCCAAGAGCAGGTTGTTCAGTTTCCACGTAGTTGTGTGGTTTTGAGTGAGTTTTTTAATCCTGCATTCTAATTTGATTGCACTGTGGTCTGAGAGGCTGTTATGATTTCCATTCTTTTGCATTTGCTGAGGAGTGTTTTACTTCCAATTATGTGGTCAGTTTTCGAATAAGTGTGATGGGGAGCTGAGAAGAATATATATTCTGTTGATTTGGGGTGGAGAGTTCTGTAGATGTCTATTAGGTCTGCTTGGTCCAGAGCTGAGTTCAAGTCCTGAATATCCTTGTTAATTTTCTGTCTCATTGATCTGTCTAATGTTGATGGTGGGGTGTTAAAGTCTTCCACTATTATTGTATGGGAGTCTAAGTCTCTTCATAGGCCTCTAAGAACTTGCTTCATGAATCTGTGTGATCCTGTGTTGGGTGCCTATATATTTAGGATAGTTAGCTCTTGTTGTTGCATTGATTCCTTTACTATTATGTAATGCCTTTCTTTGTTTATTTTGATCTTTGTTGGTTTAAAGTCTGTTTTATCAGAGACTAGGATTGCAACCCCTGCTTTTTCTTGCTTTCCATTTGCTTGGTAAATATTCCTCTATACCTTTATTTTGAGCCTATGTGTGTCTTTGCACATGAGATGGGTCTCCTAAATAAAGCACACTGATGCTGACTTGACTCTTTATCCAATTTGCCAGTCTGTGTCTTTTAATTGGGGCATTTAGCCCATTTACATTTAAGATTAATATTGTTATCTGTGAATTTGATCCTGTCATTATGATGCTAGCTGATTATTTTGCCTGTTAGTTGATGCAGTTTCTTCATAGTATCTATGGTCTTTACAATTTGGTATGTTTTTGCAGTGGCTGATACCAGTTGCTCCTTTACATGTTTAGTGCTTCCTTTAGGAGCTCTTGTAGGGCAGGCCTGTTGATGACAAAATCTCTCAACCTTTGCTTGTCTCTAAAGGATTTTATTTCTCCTTTGCTTATGAAACTTAGCTTGGCTGGATATTAAATTCTGGGCTGAAAATTCTTTTCTTTAAGAATGTTGAATATTGGTCTCTACTCTCTTCTTGCTTGTAGGGTTTCTGCAGAGAGATCCACTGTTAGCCTGATGGGCTTCCCTTTGTTGGTAAGCCGACCTTTCTCTCTGACTGCCCTTAACATTTTTTCCTTCATTTCAACCTTGGTGAATTTGACAATTATGTGTCTTGGGGTTGCTTTTCTCGAGGAGTATCTTTGTGGTGTTCCCTGTATTTCCTGATTTGAATGTTGGCCTGTCTTGCTAGGTTGTGGAAGTTCTCCTGGATAATATCCTGAAGAGTGTTTTCCAACTTGGTTCCATTCTCCCTGTCACTTTCAGGTACACCAATTAAACGTAGATTTGGTTTTTTCACATAGTCCCATATTTCTTGGAGGCTTTGTTCATTCCTTTTGATTCTTTTTTCTCTAATGTGTTCATGCTTTATTTCATTCTGTTGATCTTCAATCTCTGATATCCTTTTTTCTGGTTGGTTGATTTGGCTATTGATACTTGCATATGCTTCACAAAGTTCTCATGCTGTGTTTTTCAGCTCCATCAGGTAATTTATGCTCTTCTCTAAACCGGTTATTCTAGTTAGCAATTCATCTAATCTTTTTTCAAGGTTCTTAACTTCCTTGCATTGAGTTAGAACATGCTCCTTTGCTCAGAGGAGTTTGCTATTACCCACCTTCTGAATCCTATTTCTGTCAATTTGTCCAACTTATTCTCTGTCCAGTTTTGTTCCCTTACTGGCGAGGAGTTGTTATCCTTTGATGGAGTAGAGGCCTTCTGGTTTTTGGAATTTTCAGCTTTTTTGGGCTAGTTTCTCATCATCTTTGTGAATTTATCTACTTTTGGTCTTTGATGTTGGTGACCTCTGTATGGGGTCTCTGAGTGGACTTCCTTTTTGTTGATATTGATGCTATATCTTTCTGTTTGTTAGTTTTCCTTCCAACAGTCTGGCCCTCTGCTGCTGGTCCGCTGGAGTTTGTTAGAGGTCCACTCCACACCCTATTTGCCTGGGTAATACCAGTGGAGGCTGCAGAACAGCAAAGATTTTACAGCCTGTTTCTTCCTCTGGAAGCTTCGTCCCAGAGGGGCACCCACCAGATGCCAGCCAGAGCTCTTCTGTATGAGGTGTCTGTCGGCCCCTACTGGGAGTTGTGTCCCAGTCAGGATACATGGGTGTCAGAGACCCACTTGAAGAGGCAGTCTGACCCTTAACAGAACTCAAATGCTGTGCTGGGAGATCCGCTGCTCTCTTCAGAGCTGTCAGGCAGGGACGTTTAAGTCTGTGGAAGCTGTGCCCACAGCCGCTCCTTCCTCCAGGTGCTCTGTCCCAGGGAGATGGGGGTTTTATCTGTAAGCCCCTGACTGAGGCTGCTTCCTTTTTTTCAGAGATGCCCTACCCAGAGAGGAGGAATCTAGACAGACAGTCTGGCCACAGCAGCCTTGCTGAGCTATGGTGGTCTTCGCACAGTTCAAACTTCCTGGCGGCTTTGTTTACACTGTGAGGGTAAAACTGCCTACTCAAGCCTCAGCAATGGCGGAAGCCCCTCCCCAACCAAGCTCAAGCATCCCGGGTTGACCTCAGACTGCTGTGCTGGCAGTGAGAATTTCAAGCCAGTGGATCCTTAGCTTGCTGGGCTCTGTGAGGGTGGGACCTGGTGAGCCAGACTACTTGGCTCCCTGCCTTCAGCCCCCTTTCCAGGGGAGTAAATGGTTCTGTCTTGCTGGAATTCCAGGAGCCACTGGGATATGGCAAAAAAAAAAAAAAAACTCCTGCAGCTAGCTCAGTGTCTGCCCAAATGGCCACCCAGTTTTGTTCTTGAAACCCAGGGCCCTGGTGGCATAGACACTGGAGGGAATCTCCTGGTCTGCAGGTTGTGAAGACTGGGAAAAGCACAGTATCTGGGCTGGAGTGCACCATGCCTCACGATACAGTTCCTCATGGCTTCCCTTAGGTAGGGGAGAGAATTCCCCATCCCCTTGCACTTCCTGTGTGAAGTGATGCCCCATCCTGCTTCAGCTCACCCTCCATGGGCTTCACCCAGTGTCCAACCAGTCCCAGTAAGATGAACTGGGTACCTCAGTTGGAAATGCAGAAATCACCCACCTTCTGGGTTGATCTCGCTGGGAGCTACAGACTGGAGCTGTTCCTATTCGGCTATTTTCTACTTAATTTCAATCTTTGTAATTGGCTTTATTTTAGATCTTTGTAAGTAGGTGGTACCATAGGAGACTCTTAATGGCTTGAGAAAAGAAAGGAAGCATGGAGATAAAACTACAGCTCTCCAGCTACCATTAAAGATTGTAGTCCACATGACTTTCCTTCACTAGATAATAGCTCTGAGATCTGGGACTGTGAGCTATTTATGACAGAGGTGTGTGTGTTGTGTGGTGATCCCCAAGTGTGCATGCTCGGTCACCTGAAGACTGTACATGCTGAAAAATTATAGAGTCCCACCCCTTAACCTGCTATGTAAGATGATACAGGGCTTGTAACACAACAAGAAATATGTATATTTGGTCTTTGCCCTGTTGTTGACACACAGCTTCTAAAACCCTTGGTATCTCGTAAGTGATTAGAATGTGTTTTACATGCTAATGAGATAACTGATGGTTGGGTCTCCTAGATAGCTTCAAGATGAGGGCTGGTTGCCAAAGGAACCAACCCTTGGAGAGGAGAAGGGCTGTAGATAGAGTCATTCACCAATGGCCAATGACTTAACCAGTCATATTTACACAATAAAATCACACACACAAAAAAACCCTATACAACAAGGTTCAAAGCAATTCTGGGCTGGTGAACACGTGAAGGTGCTGGGAGGGTGCTGTGCCAGGAGAGAACACGGCAGCTCTGCACCCCTCTCCCTCCCATAGCTGGTCCTATGCATCTCTTCCATTTGGCTGGTTCTGAGTTGTATTTTTTGAATAATAAATCAGTAATAACAAGTGCACTGTTTTCCTGAGTTCTGTGAGCCATTCTAGCAAATTATTGAACCTAGGGAGGGTGTCATGGGATTGATAGCCAAGATTTTACCCAATTTATAATTAGTTGGTCAGAAATAGGAGAGGTCCAGAACTAGCTATTGGTATCTGAAGCAGGGGCAGCCTTGCAGGGCCTTTAACTTGTGGGATCTGATGTTAACTCCAGGTAGACTGTGTCAGAACTGGATTGAATTGTAGGACACCAGCTGGTGTCTGTAGAATCGGTGAATTGATTGGTGTAAGAAAAACCCCACACATTGGGTGTGAGAGGTGTGGTGATGAAAAACAGTCATGGGGTGGAGCGGGGAATCTGCACTTTAAGATCTCCCTTTGTGAGCCCCCTGAGAACCCCAGATTTATGGAACAAGCATACAAAATCAATCTGAGTTTGTTTAAATCCTGCCTTGTCTTTTGCTATGTGTCCCTGGACTCATCACTTACATGCCCCATGACCAGAATGTGCAGAGAGACTTTGCACAGCTACATAAAATAGAACCAGGTCCTTATTTATTAATGATTTAGGGCTTCATATTTTGTCATTCCTTTGGATCTGCAAACACACTTTTCTCCTGGAAGTTCCTGGATGAATGCTGGAAGCCTATTTAATTGATAATGTGGCATTGCATGGCCTAGTGCTGAAACTTGGGGCTGCTGAAGACACAGCTGACCCTCTGAATGCTCCCAAGTGCCAGCAGGGCTCTGCCCACGACTGTGCTGGCTGCCTCCACTGCACAGGGCATCCAGCCCCCAGCCCACTGCCCACACAGACCCTCCTAGCGTGGACCAGCTCTGCCTGGGGAACAGAAAGTGCTCTCTTTCTTTCCTCACCCCAAACAGTGGGTTACCAAATATTTGATCTTTGCAATTTGATATGTTAGAAATAGTATCTCAGTATAGATTTCACATGCATTCATCTTACAGTCAACAAAATTGAGCATTTTTTCATAGGTTGAAGAGCTATTTTTGCTTCCTTGCCCATTACTATTGTAAACAAAAAAGTGACTGAGGCAGGTCTCAATTGATTTGAGGTTTATTTAGTCAAGGTTGAGGAGGAACCCAGGAAAAACACAAACCACAGGAGCATCCGTGTTCTCTGCTTTCTCCAAAGATGGTTTGGGGAACTTCAGTATTTAAAGAGGAAAGAGCAAGCAGGAGGGTAAATCTTTTTTTTTTTTTTGAGACGGAGTGTTGCTCTGTCGCCCAGGCTGGAGTGCAATGGCGTGATCTCAACTCACTGCAACCTCTGCCTCCTGGGTTCAAGCGATTCTCCTGCCTCAGCCTCCCGAATAGCTGGGATTACAGGTGCCCACCACCATGCCTGGCTAATTTTTTGTATTTTTAGTAGAGACGGGGTTTCACCATGTTAGCCAGGATGGACTCGATCTCCTGACCTCGTGATCCGCCTGCCTCAGCCTCCCAAAGTGCTGGGATTACAGGCATGAGCCACCGCCCCCGGCCAGCAATTCTTGAAAAGGAGGGAGGGTAGGCAATGAGGCAGGTAGTTACATTCTTGTGAGGCTCTGATTAGTGCTTAGTGAATCTACATTTTACAAGTGAAAGGAAGGGGTAGAGGAAAAAGTCAGTTATGTGTTCGTCTTGAGGTAGGTACAGGAATGATTTCTGTTCTTGCCCTTCTCCTGTACCTGAGAAAATAAGCTGGTAATTGGCATTGTCAGGGTGAGATTTAACAGAACTCTCTTTTAGAGCTAATTTGTAGGAGGTCTAGTGCTGAAACCTGGGGGTGCTGAAGACACTGCTGACCCTCTGAATGCTCCCAGGTGCCAGCAGGGCTCTGCCCATGACTGTGCCTGCTGCCCCCACTGCACAGGACATCCAGCCCCCAGCCCACTGTCCACCCAGAAACAGCTCTGCCTGGGAAAGGAAAAGTGCTTTCTTCCTTTCCTCACCCAAACAGTGGGTTATATATCCTGAAAGAGGTAGAGCCCACTAGGGAAAAATGCAACCTTCTTTCCTTGCAGGAATCTGGCTTATGGATAAGGCTATGACACAGGGTTGTGAAATTACAGCTGTCTCCTTGGGAGCAAAAGGAAGGCAGCTTTGCATGACTCAGTTCCCACCTTTGGCACAGTGAGTTTGGGGTACTGAGAGTCTATCTTTTTCACACTATCCGTTACTTTTGCCTATTTTCTGTTGGCTTATTGATCTCTATTGATTTTTAGGAACACTACATGGAGCTGTTTAAAATATAGTTCTTTGAGAGACAAGCTTAAAATATTTTCCACAGTTTCACATTTCTCATTCCAACAATTTTGTGTTTCTCAAGTCTTCTCAATCTTCTTGTGGGGTGTGTGTGTGTGTGTGTGTTTGTGTGTGTGTGTGTGTGTTGCTTTGTTTTTCTCCTTAGAATTGTTTTCTTGTTTTCTGGATCTGTCTTGTTTTCTGTTTTGTTTTGTTTGCAGTTTCTGGAGTTGTCATATTTTAGAAGAGTTATTTTCTTCTGTGGGTTATCAAGCTCAGGTCTGGTGCTGGGAGGAGCTGAATTTCACTGGTTCTGAAAGGCAAAGGAGCCTTTTGCTGTTCATCTGCAGCTTTGTGTTTCTCAGCAATCCTTCAGCCTGGGAATGATTTAGCTCACCCGTGCTCCTCCCTCCTGATCCTTTGAAGGTCAGGTGGATTTAGCATAATCACACTGGTCAACACCAAACTTCTTCCTGCCGGGGTCCTGGGAGCATGAAGCATCAAGCATTTTCTGGGATTTACTAGCATCACACCTTTGTCCTGGGCTCCTTGCTAAGTCTCTCAGCAGAGCTTGAGGCCTTCAAGTCAGTAGCCACCTGCCTAGGAGAGGCTGGTAGCTGGTAGCCAGAAGTTGAGATGGAGGGATCCGGAGTCAGGCTCCATGATAAATTCCTAGATTAATCAAGCAGAATAACAGCTTTATATATTAAATCTTTCTTTCCAAGAACATAGTCTTTCATTTGTTTAAATCTTCACTTTTTTTCTGTTGGGCACATTTAGAGTTTTCTCCTATAGTTCTTGCACATCTATTGTTAATGTCTAAGTATTTTATTTATTCCTCTGTATCTCTAAGCAAGTCGACCCCTAAGTATTTTATTATCTTTGTAGATATTGTAAGAATTATTTGCTTCTAGTATGTTGTTTTATTATTCCTTCAATTGTTATTTGTAAAGGGCTTTCAGTTATTTGAGGAGATTTCAAGGTACATTATCAATTTATTTGCAAATGATATGCAGATTTGAGTAATATCAAATGACAGTAGATATGCTTGTCTTGATTCTGGTGTTAATGGGACTGCTTCCAGTTTTTTCATTGTGCACAATGGTTAATAGGTAGGTATTATCAACTTGTAAGTGTTCTTAATATTCATGTGTTAAGATTTTTTTTTTATTATACTTTAAGTTTTAGGGTACGTGTGCACATTGTGCAGGTTAGTTACATATGTATACGTGTGCCATGCTGGTGCGCTGCACCCACTAACTCGTCATCTAGCATTAGGTATATCTCCCAATGCTATCCCTCTCCCCTCCCCCTACCCCACAACAGTACCCAGAGTGTGATATTCCCCTTCCTGTGTCCATGTGATCTCATTGTTCAATTCCCACCTATGAGTGAGAATATGCATGTGTTAAGATTTTTTTATTAAAATGGATGTTGAATTTTTCAAAAATATTTAACATGAAACTCTACAAATCATTTTTCTTTTTAATTTAATATGAATCTATGATAAATCTTATTCATACGTTTAAAAATGGAAATATCTTGATATCCTACAAATAAAGCCTACTTATTCTTGGTATGTTATTCTAAAAATATGTTTTAGGATTCTGTTTTTTGTGTTTCATTTGGGATTTTTTGTCTGTAATTTTATGTGTGTGTGTGTTTTCTTATTGGATGTACAGTTTATTATTTTCCTCATTTCATGAGGAATTTAAAGAATATACTTTTAAATATTCTGAAACAATTTAAATAGCATTAGAATAATTAGTTTTCTAAAGATTTTGGTAGCATCTCACTCTGAACCTGTATCTGTTATGACATAGAAATGATATTTCAGGGGGGTGTGTGTGTGTGTGTGTGTGTGTGTGTGGTAGGGAGAAGGGTTGGTTAGATTAATGACAATCATCTTGTCTCTTGTAAGTATCTAATCATGCAATTTATATTTTCCTGTTATCATTTCTTTCTTTGTGCTGTTCAGAATATATTCTGTGCTGCTAAATATTCCTTTACTTCTATTATTCATCTTATGATCTTTAAACAATATAGATGGACTGCAATTTTTTTTAAATGAAATTAGCATATTTTCATCACCTCCCACGTTTCCTTCCTCTACTTCTTCAAAATATTGATTTGGGACATTTATATTTACCTGATAGTCTCTAATCCTTGCATTTGTTTTAGTCTGGTGTATTCAATTAATTCGATTCAGGGCTTATTTTTCCATTTGTAGGTGGGCTGATATTCATGCTATGCTCTTTCAAGATGAATGCATGATGGAAATATTATCTATCTCTTTTTAATATTATCAAATGTTTTGTCTCTTGCTTTTACACTTGAATGAGAGTTCAGACGGGTATAGAAATAGGGGAATCTTGTCTTCTTTCTCAAACACTTTGCTCAGCTCTGCTCATGTTCCACTGAATGCTTCTGTGGAGACTATTTTTTCCCTTTTGAGCATCTTAATGTTTTTGTCTTGTTGCCCCAAAATCTCTTTCTTATTTTTGATGTCCAGAAACATTACCACAATATGTCTTGCTGTAGAATTCTTGGTGTAATTTTTCCTGGAATCAAATATTTTCTTTAAATCTGCATATTCATGTCTGTTTATTTCTTGAAAGTTTTATTGCTTTATAAACTTTTGATAACTTTCTTAAGTTTTATTTACATTGGACTTATTTTAAATGAGGATGTGGGGGAATTCATTACATTGGACTTATTTTGGATGAGGATGTGGGGGGATTCAATTATGCATGTTTTGAGTCTTATTTGCTCCTCTTCTTTCTATTTATTTTTCTGTATTTAGTTACTTATTTCTGTTCTATTTGGTTCACTTTAATCATCTTCATCTTCTTTGTTTTTTGTGATGTTTATACTCTAGTGTTCACAGCTTTCAATTTTGCCTTCATTTCTATGATCCACTTTTGCTTCAAATTTTTCCCCTTTATGCTTCTAATTTTTCTGCCAACTCTTATTTCATTGTCTTTTGTAGTTTTGTAATTTCTTTTCTGACTTTTTACATCTTGTCTTTTTGATATCATTTTTTATAAAAGGGAATTATTTCAGATTTTAAAAAATTCATTGCAAAAAGCCGATTGAATCCTTATCTGCTTCAATCACCATATTAAGCTTTTTTTTTTTTTTCTGCTGAGTGCTCCCTGTCATTCCTATGTTCTAGGTTCTTTTCTCTTTTCTTTATCCTCAAAAATTTTATAGGTCTTGTGGTGGCCTTTTTTTGAGAAATCATATTTGAATAAGTCATGCTCAAAAGGGAGAAAACAGCCTCCACAGCAGCATGAAACAGAACAAGAGAAGAGAGCGGAGTAAAGTGCTCGAGAAACGAGACAAGGTTCCCAGACTATATACCCATTTAAACTTTCATTCAAATATGAAAGCAAACACTGTAGAAACCGCGAAATCATGGGCAAGCTAATCACCAAATACATGTAAAAGATGGAGGTCAGATGCTTGTTCCAAGCTAGCATTGATTTTTTTATGATGCAAATATAGATGTTCTCTTTTAATCTTTCTTTACTTCTGCATAGCCAATTAAGATAAACAGCCACATAGTGTCCAGAGTGAACATCTCTCTCCTCTCACATCAGGCCCAACGGGTAGATGTTTCCTGCAAATACAACTTGACTATGGGATTTTTCATGCAGCTGAGTCTTTCTCTACTTCTTGGAGCCATAAGTGTGTCCAAAAGAATATCCTATTCTCATTTTTGCATCCACGAGACTTTGGATTCTCACCTCGCATATAGCCCTACTCTAGGGTGTCAACATTGCCGGTTTGTTCTGGGATCTATGACACACTTGTGCTATTGTGAAATCTTGTCATACTTCTAAACCATCTTCACACTTTTTCCATTATTTTTCAGGGATTCAAACATTTTCTAGTTTTTCAAAGGAAGTTTCTTCTTTTATTTTTGTGGAATAACACAACTCATGAGCATGCCTTAAGCAACATTGGAGTATATAATTAATTCTTCGGTACTATCAAATTTTAAAATCTATGTGTAGAAAATAAGGATAAATTTCATTCCTATAAGAGACAGGAAAACTTATAATTAAGTTCCACAGGGGACAGCTAATTAAAATGTTATCTTGACACTAGCTGTTTCACATTCTGTCACCGGTCTCTCTTCTCAGCAAAAGGTACATTTTTAAGTAAGTTCACTTTTCTCAAAGGCCTCATTAAGTGAGCTGATTTCTGGACACAAAGATAAGCCCAAATATTTGGTTGTGATGTTCTGTGTCCTGACACCAATAAATTTAACCTAAATTCCCAGAGATGTTGCCAAGGTAATTTCCTATTACCATCCTTATGAGAATAGTTGATGGCTCCCAGGAAAATGAGATGATTTTGAAATATGAATCTTTTTATTGATATACTGAAACTTTATCATTGGGAAAACACATTCAGGGACTTATAAATACAACTACTAATAAGTCTAATCTTTGTTTTGATGTTTGATGAGAGGTTGATGGAAAGAAAATGGATGTGGAATAA
Organism: Homo sapiens; assembly: GCF_000001405.40. Taxonomy (NCBI): domain Eukaryota; kingdom Metazoa; phylum Chordata; class Mammalia; order Primates; family Hominidae; genus Homo; species Homo sapiens. The sequence continues at coordinate 53,120,471 of NC_000008.11, forward strand.
GGATATCCAACTAAAGTTGTATTGAATGTTAAGAAGGACAATCTCTTCACCACAAAATGTTATACTCTTATTTAAGAGGTAATAAACATTACTTATTAAATCTTGCTCTAAAAGTTAACTACTACCTTTAACCAGTGTGGAAATAATTCTTGACTTTCTTGGCCATTAACCTTTGAGACTTAAACCTTATTATAATATGCACAACTTGATAAATAATTTTATAATTCATTTATTTTCAAGCAAAAGGGGCACTGCTGAAAGAAAATTTATCTAATTCATAAATTATGCAGATAAAATGCAAATAGACATAGTATGGTCCCATCAGTTGACTTACTGCTGAACACTCTGACATCTGAAAAATAAATGGCTAGAAAATGTACAGGTAGGACATACAGAAAGAGCAAATTGGTAGAGGGCTGTGCCCTGGCACTCCATCTAAGTGCTTCTTTATTGAACCACGGCCCTCTACAGGTAAGGGGTGTTATGCTATTATCCGGTGTTTACAGAGTCCATCTGAACATTGTTTTTTTAATAGGTGGTTTCATCACTTGTTTGCTTGTTTTTTGGTTTTTGCTTTGTCTGAATATATTTAAGCCATGTGAAATGCAAATTTGGCTAATTAATTAGCTTCTCTGGTCCAAATAGCTAAGTAGTAACTTCAGATCTCAACCATTTCAATGTAGTCAATAAATCTTTCCTTTTTGGGCAAAAAGTAGCATATATCTGTATCTATCTCTATCTCTGTATCTGTATGTTTAGGGTCTTGAAGGGCCAATTTGACTGGATTTATAAGTTGAGATAATTCACATAAGTTCTCAGTATTCAGGCCCTTAATCTGTATTTAAGTTTCTATTGTATGGTTTGCTCCTGAAGAAGTTCTGGGTCATGGTATGCTGGCTTTGCTCCACTGCTGTTGTGTTCTTCACATGTGTTTTGGGCCTTGTGCATTTTCTCACTCTATATTTAGATAACAAATTCTAGGAATTAAGGTAGGTGTTGAGCAAATTCCGTTACTCTTTCTTTCATTCTTTCATTCAACAAATCCTTCTTTAAAGCTGGGGCCTGCAGTAGGACCTGGTGATCCATCAGGAAGCCAGAATGGAGAAGGGCCTGCTTTTTGTCATTCTGCTGTGAAGCATTTACTGCAGGGGGTCTGATCATTTTGGTCCTTAAGGGAATGAAGGTAATGAGGCAAATTTTATGATATATACAGGAATCACTCCCATTCTCCTGATTTTTGACTAAGTTCTTTTGAAGATATTCTGGCTTACAAAGTTGCTGTTGCTCAGAATTAAATACCTTTTAAGATAAAACCTGTCATGAATCCCACCCATTTTTTGCTCCTAGGAAACACCTAAGGAGGATATCTAACAGCTTAGCCAAATGTTTTTCTGAAAGTATATTCTTGAATAAAAAATAAACACAATTTTTTTTCTTAGAAGGAAGGAGGAAAAATATAATTTCCAGAAAATGGATTGAAGTAGAGATAAAAATTATGAAGAAAAGTGGCCTTTTAAAAAAATCAAAGTAAGAAAAAGCAGATTTTAGATCATCTACATGGTTAAATGGGTAAAGTATCCTCTTTTGGAATGTATGACATATTTAATCTTCAGGTAGTTACAATTTAACTTATTTGCTTTTTATTAACTTGTTTGTTTAATTGAAATAGTAGAATGATATGGTAAAAGTTTCAAACACTGTACAAACGTCTATGTCAACATGCTTTTCTCCCTCCCACATCAGACCAGCAACTTCTCAGGCTCCTTCCTCAGATGTGGACAATGTCTTCAGCTTTTTGTATTTATTTTTGAAGGCTCTCTAGGTATACACATGTCCAGATCCACCTTTTTACATTCATTTGGGAGAATACAAATACATACTAATCTTCACCTTGCTTTTTCCACTTGACAATATTTCTTGCAGATTATGTCATATAATGTAAAGATACAGACTGATCAAATTTTTTATAGCTCTTTTATTTTTTTCAAATGCAATATCAAATAATATTTGCTTCCCACTCCAACTGAAAGGTAGGTCTGCAATGAGCTAAGTTTCCCTGAGCCCTACCAATGGCCTGTTCATTCAGCAGAGGATGGGACAGGGTCTTCTTGTCTTATGGCTAAGCAACTAAGGAACCACTAGGTGACAGAGTTGTTGGGGCTTTTCATTACTATCTTCAGAGAGCCACCATGGGTCTGGGTGACATCCAATCAAAACTTTCTTTTCCTTGTTTAGAAGACAAAGAGGCAATTTTTTTTTTCTAATATGTGTATTGAGACGACACTATCAAAAAGAGTAAGCAGATAGAATTTCTCAACAGAGCAAGGAATTAGCAAATGTTTCATAGTCTTTGGTAGTACAGAAGTACAGAATAATTTTTGAAAGTGGTGCAGAGACCTCTTTGTATAGCCAATGGTCATACTCTTTTAGTCTCCATACTCCCAAGAGAAGAGAGAACCCTTTCTGATGGTGCCCAGACTTTCAGACTCCTTTCGAGGAATTCCCAAGAGCCTTTGAGAGCAAAGTTAAATTGCTGGATCCAAGTGTATTTGGAATTTAGTTTTGAAAGATACTTATAAATTTCTCTCCTAAAATGTTGTAGTGATTTACATTCCAACTAAAAAGTTTCTCTGCTCTGGGGATCAGAGTGTATATTTTTAAAGTGTTTTCATTTTTTTTTCAGCTTTATTGAGGTATGAATGAAATACAAAAGCCTGTATATGTTTAATGTATACACTTAGTTGAGTTTGGACATCTGTATTCACCTGTGACACCATTACTACAATCAAAGTAATGAATATATCCATCACCTCTAAAAGTTTTCTTTTTTTAACTTTTTCATTTTTTTTTCTGTGGTAAGCATACTCAATATGAGATCTTCCCTTTTAACCAATGTTTTAGTGCACTGCATGGTAATGTTAACTATAGGCACTATGTTGTAAAGCAAATCTCTGTAACTTATTCACCTTGATAACTGTAACTTTATTATTTACTTTTTAATGATATAGATGCAGTTTTAATATGGAAAGATGACTGCGATATAAGTAAACATACATTTTAATGTCTGCCATTATCTGGTTTTATGTCTTTTAAAATTTTCTTTTAACTGACAAAAATTTTATATATATATATATATATATACACACACATATATATTTATTATGTACAATGTCTTGTGAAATATGTATACACTATGGAATGGCTAAATTGAACTAATTAACATATGCATTATCTCACATATTTGTCATCTTTTTGTGGTGAGAGCACTCAAAATCTACTGTCTTAGCAGTTTTCAAGAATGCAATACTGTGTTTATAACTGGAACTTTATATACATTGAACAGCAGCTCCCCATTTCCCCTTCCCCATCCTTGGTGACCACCATGCTATTTTCTGCTATAGGTTTGACTACTGCAGGCCCCTCATATAACGGGAAATCATGCCATATTTGTTCTTCTCTGACTGACTTATTTCACTTAGCATAATGTCTTCCAGGTCTGTTTAGTTTTTATTTTTATTTTTTAGATTTTTTACTTTTGATTATTGAGATACATAATAGCTGTACATATTCAGATCTATTGGCATTGCTGCAAATGGTAGGATTTATTTCTTTTCTAAGGCTGAATAATATTTCATTGTATGTATATATCACACTTTATCCATTCATCTGTTAATAGATATTTGGATTATTTCCATGTCTTGGCTATTGTGAATAACAATGCATGAACATTTATGCCAACCTTATAGTTAAATTGATAACTCAGAGTTGTTTAATTTGTCTTTCCTAAATGGCCTCTTCAAATGCTTTTGGGCCATTTGTATTTATTTTTTTGTCTAAACTCTTGCCTACTTTTTAAATTGAATTATTGATTTTTTTCTTCATCATTTGTAAGTTCTATGTATTAAAAAATATGTCTTTGGATATATTGCAAACATTTTTTCTTTTTTTCTTTTTGAGACAGGGTCTTGCTCTACTGCCCAGGCTGGAGTGCAGTGACACAATCATGGCTCACTGGAGCCTCAACCTCTCAGGCTCAATTAATCCTCCTACCTCAGCTTCCTGAGTAGGTGGGATTACAGGCATGTGCCACCACATCCTGCTAAATTTTTTTTTTTTTTTTGTAGGGAAGGGTCTTGCTATGTTGCCAGGCTGGTGTTGAACTCCTGGGCTTAAGCAATCTTCCTGTCTTGGTCTCCCAAAGTGCTGAGATTATAGGCATGAGCCACTGTGCCCAGCTTGCACAGTTTTTCTGTTGATTGTTTTACTTTTTATGCTAAAATTTCTGTACTCAAAATTATCAATTGCTTTATATATGGTTTCTGAATTTTATGCTTGGCATAGAAGGGTCTTCCTGTCTCCAAGTTCATGAAAATAATTTTGCCTCATTATCTCACAGGTTTTCTTCAGTTTTACTTTTTTCTTTTTTTCTTTTTTTTTTTTTTTGAGACGGAGTCTTGCTCTGTCACCCAGGCTGGAGTGCAGTGGCGCAATCTCAGCTCACTGCAAGCTCCGCCTCCCACTTCAAGTCATTCTCCAGCCTCAGCCTCCCCAGTAGCTGGGACTACAGGCACCCGCCACCACCTAGGCTAATTTTTTTTTGTATTTTTAGTAGAGACAGAGTTTCATCTGTTAGCCAGGATGGTCTCAATCTCCTGACCTCATGATCCGGCCGCCTCGGCCTCCCAAAGTGCTGGGATTACAGGCTTGAGCCACCACGCCCGGCTTCACATATCTTTAATTTAAATCATTGATTGATTTGGAATTGATTTTGGTGGATTTTTCCTTTAGCATTATACCCTAAATTCCCGCATGGTTTTAGTACATTTCTAGTCTCTGTATTTATTCCATTGATCTATTTATTAATACATAAGAATCAGAATGGTTTGTGTGTTAGAGAGAATAACGTCCCCAGTCTCCAGAACCTGTGGATCTGTTAGCTGCACATAGATGATTCGCATAAGGGTTCTGACACAAGGAGAATGCCCTGGAGGACCCAAGTGAGCCCAATGTCATCAAGGGCAGGAGAGTCAGAGTCAGGCAAGGAGATGAGGAAGCAACAGGCAGAGAGGAGGGAGCAAAAGGAGCCTCACTACTGGTTCTGGGATGGAGGAAGGGCCGGGAGCCGAGGAATGCAGGCAGCCTCTGGAAGCTGGAAGAGGAAGAAATGGATTCTCCCATGAGCCTTTAGAAGGAGCCAGCGCTGCTGACCCATGTTGGGCTTCTGACCTCTAGAGCTGTAAGAGAATACACTTGTGTTGTTTAAAGCCACTTAGTTTGTGGTAATTTGTTACAGCAGCCATAGGAAATATATTTCACTCTAACTTGAAAATAAAAAGCTGTTACACTTGTTGGCCTTTTCCCCCTTGTAGCACTTCTATTTCAAGATTTTCCTACCTCTTTTTATATGTCTGTTTTTCCAAATAAACTTTCCACATAGCTTGTTCTGTTTCAAAACTATTCTGCCACCATTTTTATTGCCATTACATTAAATTTTTCAATTCGATTAGGAAAAATTGATGTTTTTTACAAAATCACGTATCAAAGTCTTAACCAACTTTTGGATAGGTTAGTCAGTGACAGGTCATTCAGGACTTGGAAGTTATCAGGGAAAATAGTCAGGCACCCGCATTGTCCTAAGGTGAAAACTGATCCCTTGACAAAGCAGAGGCAGTCACCACGGAAAGGATTAGAGAATGTTGCCTGAGACAGGAGGCCTGACAGAGACTCCTGAATGACCTAGTGCTGAATCCTCTTTGCTTGTGGAAATAATCTACCCAGATTTCAGACAGGATTGGTAAGTTGGAGCCTCGGGCAAGCCTGTTCCATGGCGTAAAGTAGAGCTAGCTACGAAAAGGAAACCCAATTCAGTCCTGATCCCGCTTTCCTCCATGGGACCCCTTCACTAAGGCATAGGGAAGATACAGCTCTTGGGGCCCTCTACACCTTTATTAGGGAGAATCCTCAAAGAATGTTAGCAAACTTAATTTTAAAAGGAATACCATTAGCGCTCTTTGTGAAGTTTATTTAAAATAGGGTTGCATGATTTTAGTGTATTAAGATGGTATATTTTACTTAAAACATGTTTTGATCACTGAATCAAAGTGTATAATACATATACAAGCCAAAAGCAGTGCTTGCTGGAGGTAAGGTGCTGTGTCCTTCACTGCAATTGTCTCTCTTACATTACAACGTTTTAAAGACTGAAGAGAGAGCTTTGGAAGAACAAGAAAATAGAGGGCAAGTAAAGAAGTATTCATGTATGAAACGTGTGTTTAGTCATTGAGAAAGCACAAATTAGATATCAGGTGTTAAACATGCATAATCCAGATTTGTTCTTTTTGCTTCATGTTGCTTCAGCTACACAGGGTCTTTTTTGGTTCCATATGAATTTTAGGATTGTTTTTTCTAGTTCTTTGAAGAATGATGATGGTACTTTGATGGGAATTGCTTTGAATCTATAGATTGCTTTTGGCAGTATGGTCATTTTTACAATATTGATTCTTTCCATCCATGAGCATGAGATGTGTTTTCATTTGTTCGTGTCATCTATGATTCCTTTCAGCAGTGTTTTGTAGTTTTCCTCATAGACATCTTTCACCTCCTTGGTTAAGTATATTCCCAGGTATTTTATTTTATTTTATTTTACTTTATTATTTTGCAGCTGTTGTAAAAGGAATTGAATTCTTGATTTGATTCTCAGCTTGGTGGTTGTTGGTATATAGCCATTATTCTAAATCTCCATAAATGAGTCATTATATCACACTGAGGCCCATGAATTTTGTCATAAAGTCTTTAATAACATTGTTTATATAGTTAGGAGCCTACCAAAAATATTTGCTCGGAAACTTGCCACTCTAGGAGCAGTGCTGTATATGACCATGAGAGAGTTACTTAACTAGAAATTCCTCAATTTTCTTATCTCCAGAATGGACTGAAAAATAATGCCATGATAGGTTGATTACAAAAAAAAAATTGCTGAAATCTCCACCCCTTCCTGTATCCATACCTTTTGCCATGTGAATTTGAAACTTCTCCTGTCAAGAGGTGAAGTCTTTCCCTACCTTCCCACGCCTCCTTGAGCTCCTTGAATATAAGCTAGACTTACGACTTGCATTGGCCAATGTGATGTGAAGGATGAGAGTATGTCAGTTCTGAGACTAGGCTTCAAGAAGCCTTGTACACTTTGCTTTCTCAGTTGGACCCTCACCAATATTATGAAGCAAGTCCGAGAGAGCCTGCTGGAACATGAGAGACCATTGACTATAGTAAAATACTCATCTTCTAGCTGAGCCACCAGCTAACATCAGACGCAGAGTAAGCGTACCCAAGATAAACCAAGCCTGGGCCAGGTCAGAGACCCATCCAGCCAACTACAGACTTATGAGAAGTGAAAAATATTTATTTTTTAAGCCACTGCATTTGGCAGGTTTTTTTTGTTTTTTGTTTGTTGTTTTTTTGTTTTTTTGTTTTTTTTTGAGACGGAGTCTTGCTCTGTCACCCAGGCTGGAGTGCAGCAGCACGATCTCGGCTCACCGCAACTTCCACTTCCAGGATTCAAGTGAGTCTCCTGCCTCAGCCTCCCGAGTAGCTGAGACTACAGGTGCATGCCACCATGCCTGGCTAATTCTTTGTATTTTTGGTAGAGATGGGGTTTCACCATGTTGGCCAGGCTGGTGGATTTAGTAGATTGAACCCCTGACCTCGAGTGATCCGCCCACCTCAGCCTCACAAAGTGCTAGGATTACAGGCATGAGTCACTGTGCCGGGCCTTCATTTGGCAGTTTAAGCCACTGTGTTATTACACAGCATTAGCTAACGGATACAAGAGGTTGTGAATATTAGACTAAGTTAATTAAATTAAAAGAATTGAATGAATGAAAACACATAAGGCACTTAGAATGATGCCTCCTACAAAATAAATGCATTTTTCTTATTGTCATTCTGATTATTATCAACAATTATTTCAACAACTCTGTAACTTACCAAGATCTATGAGAACAGGGATTTCAGCAGAATTTCTCGCATATCTGTGAGTTTGTATGTGGGCGTTCACTGTGCTTGGGCCAGGGCAGCAGATGTTTGCCGTAAAGTTTTATTAATAACCTAACTTTCTCAGTTTTTCCATGCCAGCTATGCCACTTGGGTTGGGTTGTTATAACTTCTCTGCCTGGTGTGCGGAGATTGAGTATCAAGGCAGGAATATTTTAGTAGTCTGTGAACACAGGTCCTGTCAGCATTTTGTGCCTAAGGCTGAATTGTACTACATAGAGAAACCACAACACTTTAAAACTGTGTTACCTTTTTGTGTTACATAACATAGAGGTTTTAGGAGTTGATATCTCTGAATTTGATAGAATTCAGTCATTCTACAAAATGATCAAAACTTGGGCCTTGTGGTAATATCACTTCTCTTATGTAAAACTGTGCTGATATCCACAAGAGTATAAGAAATTAAAAACTGGAGGGGAAGGTGAGGAGAGGGTATACATTCCTGCTCAGACTAAAGCTTTCCGGACACTGGAGGTCCTAGAATGCCAGATAGAATGAAGAGGCTGTACACACTGAAACTTCAAAAGGCCTATGAAACTCTTGGGCTTTCAACCAATATAATGTATTTTGTGTTAAACATCATTTGTACTGCCTGAGAACACAGTTGTTTTTAAATGGGTGTGTTGAAAATATTTTCCTACATAAAAGTTTCTTTAAAGTAGGGCACAGTAGTTAGAAAACTTGTTCTTACTTAATTCTATGCTATAATTTTCTACAGATTCATGATCTTGGGTAATGTTAGGTATCTCTAATACATAACACAGGAAGCAAGTGACCCAATTTTTAAAATATTGCACATTCTAGTTGGCAAATATTATTAGAACCATACTGCCAAGGATTGGCATAGCTGGTTCATGATTACAGCTTTGGCTTGGGGAAACACAGAGAAGAGAAGAAGCTAGCAACTTCAGAACAATCAGAACATGTACCCTTTAATCAAGTATTATAAAAATTCTTGAAATAAAGTCATAAGGGAAGGTTGCAGAAAAACTAAAGTATTTGCTTTCATTTACTAGAGATTTTAACAGAATGGCGTTTGAGGAGATGCAAGAATGTCACCAAGATTTCAACTGAAGTGGTAAAGGAAACCTATCTCTAGATGAATAAGGAGAACAGCTGGTTGGATTTGGCAGGCTGAGACATCAAAGGCTGCAAGACAGGTGGCTGCAGGGGTGTCAGCTGAGATGCCCAGCTTGAAAGGTAAGAGACTCTTGGGAAAATTAAGGGGCCACATATATTATATTTTTCTTGTTCATCTTTTCTGGTCAGGCTTTTTTTAAATTTAATTTTATTTTAAGTTCAGTTTTTTTTTGTTTATTTAACTATTTATTGATTTTTTTTATTTCAATAGCTTCTGGAGTATGAATCATTTTTAGTTACATGAATAAATTGTGTAGGTGAAGTCTGAGATCTTAGTGCACCCATCACCTGACTAGTGTGCATACTACCCAATATGTAGTTTTTTATTTCTCACCCCTTATACCCTCCTGTTTCTGAGTCTCCAAAGTCCATTATACCACTCTGTATACCTTTGTGTACCCATAGCTTAGCTCCCACTTATAAGTGAGAACATATGATATTTGGTTTTCCATTCTTGAGTTACTTCACTTAGAATAATGGCCTTCAGCTCCATCCAAGTTGCTGCAAAAGACATTATTTTGTTATTTTTATGGCAGATTAGTATTCCATAATGTGTATATAACACAGTTTTTTAATTCCCTCATTGGTTGATGGGCACTTAGGTTGGTCCTATATCTTTGCAATTGTGAATTGTGCTGCAATAAATATGTGCATACAAGTGTCTGTTTGATATAATGACTTCTTTTCCTTTGGGAAGAGACCTAGTACTACTACTAGGTCTTGTTGGATCAAATGGTAGATCTACTTTTAGTTCTTTAAGGAATCTCCATACTGTTTCTCCATAGTGGTTATACTAATTTACATTCCCACCAGCAGTGTAAAAGCATTCCACTTTCACTGCATCCATGCCAACATCTATTGTTTTTTGACCCTTTAATAGTGGCCATTGTTGCAGGAGTTAGGTGATATCTCACTATGTAATTTGCATTTCTCTGATGATTAATGATGTTGAGCATTTTTTCTTATGTTTATTTGTATATCCTCCTTTGAGAAATGTCTATTCATGTCATTTGTTCACTTTTTGATGGGATCATTTGTGCTTTTTTCTTGCTGATTTGTTTTAGAATCTCGATATTATTTCTTTGATGGATACATAGTTTGCAAATATTTTCTCCCATTCTGTGGGTAGTCTGTTTACTCTGCTGATTATTTCTTTTGCTGTGCAGAAGCTTTTTGCTTAATTAGGTCCAATTTAATTTAGTTTTGGTTTTATTGCATTTGCTTTTGGCATCTTAGTCATAAGTTATTGCCTAGACCAATGTGCAGAAGAGTTTTTCCCAGGTTCTTTCTAGAATCTGTGTAGTTTCAGGTCTTAGATTTAAGTCTTTGATCCATCTTGAGTTGATTTTTGCAAAAGGTGAGAGATAGGAGCCCAATTTCATTGTTCTACATTTGGCTAGCCTGTTTTCCCAGCACTGTTTATTAAGTAGGTCATCCTTTCTTAGATTTAGGCTTAAGAGCAAGATTTTAACTCTTAGTTTTCTTTCCAGAGCTGTAACAAATTACATCTCATATTATAAAGGAACATACTCTATGCAAAAAGATAACTTTGTAAACTTCCCTGAAAATATTTTGTTAAATAAAAGGGACCCAAAGTAGTCAATGCCATCAACTCCAAATTCTATCTAAATGAACTGTAGTAGAGACATAGAGACAATTGGGAAGATATTTACCGCAAATATATTAAGTCCAGGGGCTGCAGCACTGAGACGCTGGGAATGGTAGCAGGAGAGGTCCCAAACTTCAGTACTGCTCCAGGGTATGTCATTGGCTCTCAGCCCTACGCCAAACGTCCTGTGCTCTTGTCTTGTTTCCAAGACTCTTCCCTAGCCCTACGTTTGATTCTAATTCTGTAAACGACACAATATTCTTCCAGTACATTCTGAAGTTAGCCAGAATCCATTGCTGGGTCTTGAAAACAAAAATACTGACTTTTACAACCTTCCAATCAGTCTTTAATTTCTCTGTTTTTCTTTCATCTACAAATTTCTAGATATATTCTTTTTTAAAATAAAAATAGTTAAGAATGGTCATTCAGGTAGTTACATAGGCTTTTGTGGGTTTTATAGATACATAACCATTATTAGTACAGGATAAGAAATCAACATACAAAAATGAGTAGCATTATATATGCCAACAGCAAGCAATCTGAAAAAGAAATCAAGGAAGAATTGCTATAAAAAATTAAAATACCTAGCAATAAATTTAACCAAGGAGGTGAAAGAGCTTTACAATGAAAACTATAAAATATTACAAAAAGAACTTGAAGAAGACACAAATAAATAGGAAGATATTCTGTGTTCATAAATTAGAAGAATTAATATTGTTAAAATACCCATACTATAAGCAATTTACAGCTTCAATGCAATTCTTATCAAACCGCCAATGACATTCTTCACAGCAATAGAAAAAATAATCCTAAAATTTATATGGGACCACAAAAGACCATGAATAGCCAAAGCAATCTTAAGCAAAAGGAACAACCCTGGAAGCATTACATTACCTGACTTCAAAATACATTACAAAGCAACAGTAACCCAAACAACATGATACTGGCATAGAAACAGACACATGCACGAATGGAACAGAATAGAGAATCCAGAAGTAAATCCATGAATTTACAGCCAGGTCATTTTTGGCAGAAGTGCCAAGAACACACAATGGGGGAAGGACAGTCTCTTCAACAAATGGTTCTAGGAAAACTGGATATCCACGTACAGAAGAACGAATAGACCCCTATCTCTCACCACTTACAAAAATCAACTCAAAATGGATTAAGTGCTTAATTGTAAAACCTGAAACCATGAAACTACTAGAAGAAAACATGGGGGAAACACTTCATGACATTGGTCTGGGCAAGGATTTTTTAATGATAAGGACCCAAAGCACAGGCAACAAAAGCAAATTGGGATTACATCAAACTAAAAAGCTTCTGCACAGTGAAAGAAAGCAAAGGAAACAATCAACAGAGTGAAGAGACAACCTATAGAATGGGAGAAAATATTTGCAAACTATGCATCTCACAGGACATTAATATCCAGAATATATAAGGAACTTAATTCAATAGCAAAATAATAATAATTTGATTAAAGAATAGTCAAAAGACCTGAATAGACATTTCTCAAAAGAAAACATACAAATGGCCAACATGTGTATGAAAACAATGCTCAACATTGCTAATCATCAGGAAAATTCAAATAAAAATGACAATGAGACATCATCTCACTCCAGTTAGAATAACTATTATCAAAAAGACAAAAATAAATGCTGGATGTAGAGAAAGGAGAACTCACACACTATATTTAAATTAATACAGCCATTATGGAAAACAATCTGAAGTTTTCTCAGAAAACTAAAATTAAAACTATCAAATTATTCATCAATCTTCCTTATGGGTAAATATTCAAAGGAAAGAAAATCAGTATGTTGAAGAGATATCAGCAGCACTCCCATGTTTATTGCAGCACTATTCACAATAGCCAAGATATGAAATCAACAAAAGCGTCCATCAATGGAGGAATGAATGAAGAAAACCTAATATATTTACACAATGGAATACTATTTTGCTCTATAAGAGAATAAAATCCAGTCATTTTTGACCACATAGATAAGCCCAGAGGACAGTATGTTAGGTAAAATAACTCATGCTCTGAAAGATAAACACCCCCATGATTTCACTCATATGTGGAATCTAAAAAAACATTATGTCATAGAAGTAGAGAGTAAAATAGTGGTTACCAGAGGCTGGGAAAAGGAGAAGAAGAGGGGGTTGGAGAGATGTTGGTCAATGATTACAAAGTTACAGTAAAATAGGAGGAGAAATGAGTTCTAGTGTTCCGTTGCAGAGTAGGGTGACTATAGTTAACAACAAAGTGTATATTTCAAAATAACTAGAAGAGAAAATTTTGGATGCCCTCACCACTAAGAAATGATAATATTTGAGGTGATGAATATGCTAATTACCCTAATTTGATCATTACATAATGTATACATATGTCAAAATATCACACTGTACCCCATAGATATGTACAAGTGTTATATGTCAATTAAAAATATAATAAAACTGAAAAAGACATGAAAAATTTGTACATTTTCTATGAGAAGATGTGTTGCACATCCCAAAGGGACTTTTTAAAAACTTTTCCAAATAATAGTTATATATTAGTTAGAAGTTTCTAAATCATGTTAGGAGGCAGATTTTTTTCATACAAAGAAAGTTAATTGTGCAAAAATAGTTTCTTTCACAGTTAAGTTTCCTAACTATCAAGCTTCCCAGCTAAGCTTTCTTCTTAAAATGTCTGTTATTATCCCAGTTAAGGAACTATATATAGGAGCTCAAATTTTCATCAGATTGATGAAATGTCAGCTCCTTCAGAGAATGGATTTTCAGTAATCCATCTGTTAAATGGTTGGATTTTTTTAAGTATGAGATTTCACAATAAAAGAGAAGAGGAAAATATTTAGATCCTTCAGCCATATTATTTTGACATAATGGCATATTTACTCAATAGAAGTTCTTCACAAATAATTATAGTTTCCATCAAGGCCATTTCTTATGCTCAACTGTAATTACTTTGGATTTGCTGTAGTTCACATCCCATTCTGTAGCTTACTTACGAAGAAAATTGTGATTAAAATTTAGAATTTTCAAAATTGTCCTTGAAACTCTTTGCCTCTTCCTAAGAGAAGAAATTTAAATCTCTTTAAAACTGATTCAACTAGAAGCCTAACATGAATGCAAAGTTGGTGAGAGAGCATATCAAAGTCACATAGCTAATCAGTGGCAAAATCAGGACTTTAATATAGGTCTTTTACTCCAAGGCTGTGTTCTACTTACAGCAAAATATTGTATTTTTTTAAGTATCACTATTTTAGAACACTTTTTAAAAACAAACTGAAACACTCTTTTGCAGATATATGTAAATGTCTCAATTGTATTCTTTTTCTACTTTAAACTGCACTTAGTAATTTTAGTTCCTTCAATGTTCACATATCAAGCAGCTTATGTTAGTGGATTTTAAGGTTGAATTTTAAAATATTAATGTTTAAACCAATTAAAGATGCAATAATTCAACTTGTTCTAACACTTTTTCAATAAGATTTGGGTTTCTTAAGAGCATTCTAACAGTAATAACTGATTCTTATTGTCTTTAATTTATTGAGTAAATATTATTGAGAACCAACCATGGGCGAGGAACTGTTCTGGGAACGTGGGATGCCTCAGGTAACTAAAAAACCCCACAATCTCTGCTCTCATCAAACTAATGTTTTTAAAAATTATGAACAGACAATAAACAAAATGGAAATCCTTTGGAAAGTTTGAATAGAAAAGCAACATAACCCAGCTTATGTTCTAAAAAGATAGCCATAAGTGCTGTATGGAAATCATCCTAAGAGGGTGGGAGGAGATGAGGGTAGAAACATGAACACTACTTGGAAACATATTACAATAGTCTACTGAGAGATGCTGGTGGTGTGGAAAAGGTGATAGCCATAAAGATCATAAGCAGGTTAGACTCAGGAAATATTTTGAGGGTAGATCCAAGAGGATTTCCTGGCAGATAGAATGAGATGAAGGCAGGATTTAAAAATGCATCCAAGGATTTGGAGTAAACAACAGGAAGGATGAGCTGCTTTCAACAGAGATGGGAAAGAATTTGAGAAGAGCAAATGTGGGGAGAAATCTTTGTGTACAAAAGACTAAAAAGTGATTAAGAGCTCAGATGGGACCAATGACATATGTCTGTCTCCATGTATTTCATAAATGAGGCCACATGCTTTTTGGGGGTGTCTCTTTGCAGTGAGTAGAAACGAGAATGATGAGTTGTCTTGAAATGCATTCCTGGGGTTGGCCAGGCACGGTGTCTCATGCCTGTAATCCCAGTGCATTGAGAGGCTGAGGTGGGCAGATCATCTGAGGTTGGGAGTTTGAGACAAGCCTGACCAACATGGAGAAACCCCGTCTCTACTAAAAATACAAAAGTGGCCAGGCGTGGTGGCACATGCCTGTAATCCCAGCTACTCAGGAAGGCTGAAGCAGGAGAATTGCTTGAACCTGGGAGGTAGAGTTGCAGTGAGTAAAGATCGTGCCACTGCACTCCAGCCTGGTCAACAAGAGTGAAACTTGGTCTCTAAAAAAGAAAGAAAAAGAAAGAAAAGAAAGAAAGAAAGGAAGAAAGAAAGAAGGAAAGAAAGAAAGAAAGAAAGAGAAAGAAAGAAAGAAAGAAAGAAAAAGAAAGAAAGAAAGAAAAGAAAGAAAGAAAGGGAAAGAAATGAATACCTAGGGTCTAGTAAGGAGGGTCAAAGTCCTAGGAGCTAGAAGACATTTGGCTTTCAGACTTTTATTCAGTACCATCTCTTATTTACTCAATTGCACATTCATGAGGGCAACATAAACAAAGCACAGTCTTTTTTCTCAAGGAAGGGAAATATAGAAAAGCAAACAAATAAAAATTTCTCTGTTTTATTAATTGGACCTTATGATGTATAACAGTTTTTTCTTCCAAAACTTTATTTATATAAAGTTTTTATATACTTAAGAAATACATAAATTACCTACAAATTTCTTAATGTTTATAATTAAAATGTTTTTGTAATCTTTAAAATTTCAATTCAAACATGTTACGAATTTGGTGGATCTCCCCTAAAACAAACAACTGTGCCCAGAGTTTGTTCCTTCTGGTGGATTTGTGGTCTCATTGACTTCAGGAATGAAGCTGCAGACCTTTGCAGTGAGTGTTACAGCTCTTAAAGGTGGTGCAGACCCAAAGAGTGAGCAGCAGCAAGATTTATTGTGAAGAGCGAAACAACAAACTTCCAAAGCATGGAAGGGGACCTGAGCGGGTTGCCACTGCTGGCTGGGCCAGCTTTTATTCCCTTATTTGTCCACACCCACATCCTGCTGATTGGTCCACTTTACAGAGTGCTGATTGGTCCATTTTACAGAGTGCTGATTGGTCTATTTTACAAACCTCTAGCTAGCCACAGAGCGCCAATTAGTGTGTTTTTACAGAGCACTGATTCATGCATTTTACAAACCTCTAGCTAGCCACAGAGCGCCAATTAGTGTGTTTTTACAGAGCACTGATTCATGCATTTTACAAACCTCTAGCTAGCCACAGAGTGCTGATTGGTACATTTTACAATCCTAGCTACAGAGTGCTGATTGGTGCATTTTGCAATCCTCTTGTAAGACAGAAAAGTTCTCCAAGTCCACCTGACCCAGAAGTCCAGCTGGCTTCATCTCAAATCCCCCCTCTAAACAGGACACCCCAGCTGCTGTTGGGAATTGGGCGATGACCACTCTAGCTACTTCCTACTGGATAGGGGTGAAGAAGGGGCTCTGCAGTGTAGTGTCCTCCAGAGGGGAACTTTCTAGGCCAGTCAAAGAGCCAGTGGGTCGATCCAGGGGTCCTCAGCAGAAGTTGTTAGTTGAGCTCATTTGGAGTTCCATTTGTAAGGCCATCTGTAGCTTGATGGCCTTGATCCTGGAGGAAACAAATTTGACAAGGAGTTTAAAAATACAAGGTCCAAAGGTGAGTAATAGCAAGATGGCTGTCATGGGACCTAGAAAGGGGTGAAGCCATGCCGCCCAACTCCAGAGGTTGGTATAAGAGTTTGAAAGGCATTGTCTGATTTCAGAAGCCTTTTCCTGTAAATGCTGGGTGGAGTCTTATACTATCCCTGACTGGTTAGTGTAAAAGCAACATTCTTCCCCTAAGAAGGTGCAGAGTCCTCTTTTCTCAGTAGTGAGGAGGTCTAGGCCTCGGCATTTTTGGAGAGTCACTGCTGCCAGAGTCTATTTGGGATTGAAGAGTAAGGATAGATTTTGTTATTTCTTGCTAACTGTCTAAGAAATCCTTTGAGAGTGTGCAGTAGTAGGATAATGAAGTAGATAAACCTGCTATTCTGGTTCCTGTAGCAGTGGTATTCCTAACTCTATAAGTAGGGGTATTAGTTGAATGGCCCTGCGCTGATGGACTTGATCTTTAAGGGGCACTGATAGGGTCTGATTTCCTGGGGCAATGTTAATGTTGGGACTTAGGAAGACTAAGGTGTGGGTGCCTGTCCAGTTGGTGGGGAGGCAGATATAGGTTGAAGCTCCACATAAGAAGAATATGCCTTGGCTGGGTAGACAGAAAGGTACCCTGGCTTCTCTTTCTTTCTCTCTCTTTGTCTCTCTGTCTCTTCCTCTGTCTCTCTTTCCTCTCTGTCTCTGACTTTCTGTGTCTTTCTCTCTTTCTGACTCCTTCTTTATCTGTCTCTTCCTCTCTCTCTCTTTCTCTTTGACTTTCTGTCTTTCCCTTCCCTCTCTCTTTCTGTCTGACTCCCACTTTGTCTCTCTGTCATTAACCACCCTGAGGGGAGAAAACTATGCCCCATGAAAGTCCCCATTCTGTTTCAGTCGGGGAATACTGGGGCTTAATCTCTTGGAGGGGATTGTTTCATACCAAGGATCCTTCCATAAGTATTTCTAATGAGAGGTTCCACCTGGCAGCAATTTTGGCCTCAGCATCTGCCTGATGGTTTCCTTCTGCCTTTTCTCCTTCACCTTTTTGATGGCTTTGGCAGTGTAAGATTGCCACCTCCTTGGGTTTTTGCACTGCATGCAATAAGTCCATGATTTCCTTGTGGTATTTAATGGGGGTTCCCCCAGAGGTTAGGAACTCCCTTTCTTTCCTTATTGCAGCATGGGCATGTAGGATTAGATAAGCATACTTGCTATCTGTATACACATTTATTCTTTTTCCCTTTCCCAGTTCTAAGTCTCAGGTAAGTGCCATTAGTTCTGCTAACTGGGCACTGGTCCCTGTGGGAAAAGGCTTACTTTCAAGTGCTGTTACATCATTAACTATGGTGTGGCATAACCTGCCCTTTGTATCCCATTCTCCACAAATGAACTTCCATCGGTATACAGATTAAGGTCAGGATTAGCTAAGGGGACTTATAAGAGATCTTCTCAGGTGGCATAAGTCTGGACTATAACTTGTTGGAAATCATATTCAATTGGTTCCCCATCCTCTGGGAGAAAAGTGGCAGGGATGAGGGCTGCACACATGTGTATTTGCAGCACCAGTCCCTCAAGCAGCAGCATCTAAACAGGCAGTTGTCTGATAGCCATAAACTTCCTTTGGCACCTAGTATGCCATTTACATCATGAGTAGTCCGGACGGTGAGATCCTTTCTTTGTATTATTTTGATAGCCTCTGATACTAAGACAGCCACCGCCACAACCACCCATAAACAGTGAAGCCAGGTTTTGCTATATCAATTTCCTTACTTAGGTATGCCACTGGTTGTGGGGTTGTCCCACAAGTCTGAGTAAGGACTCCAAGAGCTATTCGTGCTCTCTCTGTGACGTATAAAGAGAAGTTTTGTCCTGTGGGAAGGCTTAAGCCTGGAGCTTGTACTAGGGCCTATTTTAAGGTTTTGAAGGCTGTTTCTGCCTCTGGTTCCCATTCTATTAGATGAGTATTTGCCCTCTGGGTCTCCTTGATTAGAATATAGAGAGGCCTGGCTATCTCACTGTATCTAGTGATCCATAGTTGGCAAAAGCCTGTGATTCCAAGGAACCCCTGCAACAGTTTTAATGTCTTAGGGTGAGGATAAGCCAGCACAGGCTGTATTTGTTCCTTGCTGAGGGTCTTGGTTCCTCTGGCTAAAATTAGGCCTAGATATTTGACTTGTTGTAGGCAGAGTTGGGCCTTCAATTTAGATGCCTTGTATCCTTGATTAGCTAGAAAGTTTAAGAGATCTAGAGTAGCCTGCTGGCATGAGGCATCCAAACTGGTAGCCAAAAGTAAATCATCCACATACTGAAGGACCAGAGTACCTCGACTTGAGAAGTGGTCTAGATCTTGGGCCAGTGCCTGACCAAACAGATGAGGGCTATCCCTAAACCCTTGGGGCAAGACCATCCATGTAAATTGGGACGTGTGGTCTGTGGAATCCTCAAAGGCAAAGAGAAACTGGGAGTCAGAGTGCAGGGGAATACAGAAGAAGGCATCCTTGAGGTCCAGAACAGTGAACCATTCTGCTTCCTCTTGTATTTGAGAGAGCAGGGTATAGGGGTTGGGTACAATTGGATATAGAGGAATTACTGCCTCATTGATGAGTCTAAGATCTTGCACTAGTCTCCACTGACCATTCGATTTTTGTACTCCTAGAATCGGGGTGTTGCAGGGACTGCTGCATTTTCTTACTAAGCCTTGAACTTTTAAATATCTAACTATATCCTGCAATCCTTTATGAGCTTAGGCCTTAAGGGATATTCCCTTTGATAAGGAAAACTGGTGGGGTCTTTTAGCTTGATTTGGACTGGGTGGGCATTTTTTGCCCTTCCAAATTGTCCTTCCAATGCCCAGACTTCAGGGTTGATTTCCTCCTCAAGCAGGGGACAACAAATGGGTAACTTTTTCCCCATATTCATGTAGATAATAACTCCAGCTTTGGCTAATATGTCCATCCCTATAAGGGTGTGGGACTTTCAGACAAAACAAGAAAGGCATGTGAAAAGAGCAAAGTCTCTGAATTACAACTGAGAAGGTGGGAGAAATACCTGGTTACAGGCTGTCCCGGGATTCCTCGGATGGTAATGGACCTTGAGGACAGCTGTCCAGGATGGGAGGTTAACACTGAGAAAGCTGTGCCAGTGTCCAGAAGGAAGTCAATTTCCTGGTCCTCAATAGTTACACATACCCGGGGCTCAGTGAGGTGATGACATGAGCTGGTTCTTGCCCCAGGCACCCTCAGTCCTGTTGTTGGATCATCTGGTTGGGGGCTTCTGCCTCAGAGAACCTTTGTCCTCTGGGGCAGTGTGCCTTCCAGTGATTGCCTTGGCATAGAGGACATGGATGAGGGGGTGGCTTGTTTCTCATTGGACAATCTTTTTTAAAGTGTCCTTGTAAACCACACTGATAACAAGCCCTACTGGGTGATTGACCTGCTCCATTTTCTGTCCTCTCTGAACCACCGAAGTTTGTTTCTCTAATTGTCATGACAAAGGCTGCAGCCTTTCTCTGATCTCGCTTTTCCCTTTGGGCCTGTTCTTCTTGGTCCCTATTATAGAACACCGAGGTTGCCAGATTTAATAACACCTCCAGATTTTGATCAGGGCCCAGGGCTTGCTTTTGGAGCTTTCTCCTGATATCTGCAGCTGATTGGGTAATAAACTTATCTTTGAGGATCAATTGACCCTTGATGGAGCCGGGTGACAGGGGAGTATATTTTCTTAAGGCCTCCTATAGCCACTTGAGGAAGGCAGAAGGATTTTCTTCCTTTCCCTGAGTTATGGTGGACATCACTGAATAATTCATGGGCTTTTTCCTATTTCTCCTTAGCCCTTCTAGAACACAGGTTAGCAGATGTTTATGACTCCGGTCCCTATGATTTTAGTCTAGGTCCCAGTGGGGATCCATACTGGGGAAGGGCCGGCTGACTGGTAGGGAATTTGTCCCTTTCTTTGGCTGTCATTCTATCATTTACTTGACTAAGCTAGCTGCAGCTAAAACCACATTTTCATTAAATGCCAGGGTTTGGTCTAAAAATAGCATGACATCTGTCCAACTGAGGTTGAAGGTTTGCCCTAGACCCTGTAGGACATCTATGTACCTATCAGGATGATCTGAAAACTTCCCCAAGTCTACTTTGATCTGCTTTAAATCAGAGAGGGAGAAGGGGACATGTACCCGGGTTGGGCCAAATTCCCCTCCCCCTAAGCTTGAAGGGGACATAACCAATAGCCAGGGGTTTTTTGTGGTCCTTTGGAGATTTCTTTGCTTGTTTTCTTCTGGGGAGGGGAGATTAGAGGAGGCTTATCATTAATAGGAAGGGGAGCTATAGGAAGGCTAGGATATGGAGGTAAGCTGAGAGGTCCTCCTGTGGGATGTAAATTGCAAGCTTTGCTTAGTTGTGGATTATCCTTCATTGAAAAGAAAGCTTGGACATAATGTATTTCACTCCATTTGCTTTCCCTCTTACAGAAAAGGTCAAGCTGCAGGATAGTGTCATAATTTATACTTCCCTCAGGTGGCCATTTTTCCCCATCAGAGAGAGAATACTGGGGCCAGGCCATAGTGCAGAAAAAAATGAGCCACCTATTTTTCAGGGTTTGTGGGTCAAATTGGTCCCAATGGCTTAGGATGCATTTAAAGAGTGAGCCTGTTGATGCTTGAGTGTTTCCCATCTGAAAGAAAAAACTGCCCACATTTTTGGCTTGTTTCCCCCCTACCCCACCCCACTCCCCACCCAAGAACTCACAATGGTCCGCGGACCCTGCTGATCGGTATAGTTGCGCTCACTGACACAGAAGCAGAAACACTAGTTTTCCTCCTAGACCACAAGGAGGACTGAGGAAGGTCGGATTTAATGGCCCTTACCGATGCATTCTCAAAAACCTGCACCCTTGCCTTTCCTCTTAGACCACAAAGAGGACCGAGAAAAATCAGAGTTAGTGGCCCTTACTGACGCATTCTCAAAAACCTGTTAGAGTCCTAAACGTTTTCTCCTGTTAGTATTGGGACTTTACCCCTGTCCTATAAAGATGATATGCCTAAAAATGGAGTGGAGGGCCATACCCTGAGGGAGGGAAGGGATCTCTAGCATTGGAAGAGTGACACCTTTTGTCCTCACTTCTAATCATATGGATAGGAAGGATATCATTTCTGAGGCTCCCTATATCCTAGCTTCAGGAATAGCTTTTGTTAGGCCTGCTAGTCTGAGGAGGGATTCTAAAATTCCAGATAGTAACCCCCCAAGTGGGGTTTTGGGCAGAAATTTTGTCTTTCTGATTGGTTAGCCTGGTTGCCTAAGGAAAGAAATAGAGTTCCAAAATTTATACTGGAAATCATTCTTACAGGAAAAACTAGAAAAGCACCAGAATCAGGGAGTGGTTTTTAGAAGCGGGACTAGCTTCAGAGAAGAGAGGCAGGAGGAAGTTTATCTGATAGGTGTTAGGACCCAGGAGGCAAGCATCAGGATAGATAGGATAGATGGGTGAGTCTCACTTGGGCAATGTGACTTTCAGAGTTTCTCTCATGGCTACAGGGTCAACCAACTTTTTGTTGGACCCCAGAGCTGAATGGCTTTCCTCTCTGTCAACCCTCAGCTCAGCCCGGAAGTACAGGAAAAGCAGAAGCTGGTTCCAGTACAGGAAAAGCAGAAGCTGGTTCCAGGCAAACCAATGCTATCAACTCCAAAGAGTCAGGGGTTGTTAGAGAGTCCTTTCCCAGAAAGCCTGACACTCGTGTCTTTAGTTGGGTGGCCATGCTAGTCACTTTTAACTGGCTGACAAGTGCCCAGTGTTTAACCCCCAAATTCCAAGGAAAAATAGGACAGAATAGCAAGTGAAAGGGGTCCAGTGGTATTCACCAGTTGGCAATAGTCCCTTTGTAATCACGAAGATGTATCCAGAGTTTGTTCCTTCCAGTGGGTTGGTGGTCTCGCTGACTTCAGGAATGAAGCCATGGACTTTCGCGGTGAGTGTTACAGCTCTTAAAGGTGGTGCGGACCCAGTGAGTGAGCAGCAGCAAGATTTATTGTGAAGAGCAAAAGATCAAAGCTTCCACAGCACGGAAGGGCACCCGAGCAGGTTGCTGTTGCTGGCTGGGGTGGCCAGCTTTTATTCCCTTATTTGTCCCCACCCACATCCTGCTGATTGGTCCATTTTACAGAGTGCTGATTGGTCCATTTTACAGAGTGCTGATTGGTCCATTTTACAGAGTGCTGACTGGTCCATTTTACAGAGTGCTGATTGGTCTATTTTAGAAACCTATAGCTAGTCATGACAATTAGATTGGTGCATTTTTACAAAGCATGGATTGGTGCATTTTACAAGCCTCTAGTTAGCTCTAGAGCACTGATTGGTGCGTTTTACAATCCTAGCTACAGAGTGCTGATTGGTGCATTTTACAATCCTCTTGTAAGACAGAAAAGTTGTCCAAGTCTCCACCCAACCCAGAAGTCCAGGTGGCTTCACCTCTTACAACTACAGGTTGAGCATACCTAATCCCAAAATCTAAAATTTGAAATGCTCCAAAATCCAAAAGGTTTTGAGTGCTGACATGATGCCACAAGTGGAAAATTTCACATATGACCTTGTAACAGTTCATAGCCAGAACTTTATTTTATGCACAAATATTATTTTAAATATTTCAGAAAATCCTAACTTCAACCTATTTATAAGGTGTATATGAGACACAAATAATTGTATGATTAAACTTGGATCCCATTTCCAAGGCATCTCATTATGTATATGCAAGTATTCTAAAATAAAACAATAGAAATTTGAAACATTTCTGGCCCAAGCATTTTGGACAAGGTATACTCAATCTGTATTATGTAATTTCTTTGTCTCACTTTGCATTTGAGTTCTGTATTAATTTTCTGAGGATTCCATAGCAAAATAGCATAAATTGCATGGCTTAGAACAAAAAAAATATTATCCCACAGTTCTGAAGGTCAGAAGTCCAAAATCAAGGTGTTGGAAAGTTTATCCTCCTTCTGAAGGTGTAGGGAAGGACATTTTTCAGGTCTCTCTCCTAGCTTCTAGTAGTTCTGGGCCCATGGCTGCATAGTTCCAATCTTCACATGGTATTCTGTCTGCATGTGAATCTGCGCCCAAATTTCCCTCTTATTTAGAATAGAGACATCAGTCATATGGATTAGGAGCCCACCCTATTCCAGTATGACTTTATCTTAACTAATTACATCTGCAATTACCTTATTTCCAAACAAGGTTACATTCTGGGGTGCTTGGGCTTAAGATTTCAACATATGAATTTTGGAGAAACACAGTTCAACCTATAACAAGATCACAATATTGTTGGTGTCAAGTGATGACTGAAATTTACAGTGTTTCTTTATTGAGGTCCATGGACTCCTGTGTCAGCAGATTTCTTTCCATGTCCACAGGTCCCAAGTTATAAAAATATGGGTGTACAGAGACTTCCACTTTAGACACAGGCTCTAGGGGGGTGACGTTAGAAGAAATTGAGCTCTTTTATTGAGCTATGATAGCTGTATTAATTGTGGCTCAGAACAAGCTCAAGGATGCCAAAATCAAGTGTCACATTAATCAAGCTCCCCCCAGGTTGGTCATGGAAGATAGTATCTGGTGGTAAACTGAGGTGGTAAATAAGAATTGAGGCCAGGCACTCAGCAATGTCATTCTGCTAAACCCAGTCAAACACCCAGGAAATGATGTCAGAGTGGGGTGAAACCAGATGATAAGTGAAGCTGTAGTGCCAGAGAGTAGAGATGCTGGGGTGATATTTAAACCTAGGAAACACTGAATGAATTCTTCCCTACCTGAGGTTATCTTACACGCCAAATCCTGAGCCTTTAACTCCACACATTTCTCTAATATTTGGAACCATGTGGGATCTCTAAGAAGTCTGTGCAAGAGCCTTGAGGGCTTTTGAGCACCCTATGTACAGTTTTCTCCCAATGTGGTAAAGTTTCATGGTCTCTGTTTCGGAATATGACCCTCACTTGGGGAAGGACATGGGGGCTAGCAATGGTTCTTTCACTGTTAGGATTTCACGTTTAAAAACTGTTGAACCTAACGAGAGGACAAGTGTTATCGCTCATTCCATTTTTCATAAAGCCATTTGAGCAAATATTTCTTTAGATTGCTTAAAAGTCCAAGGTAAGACTGAAATGTAACAGTTACAGCACTAAAAATGTGATACAATCTTTCATTTGCTAGTAAAGATAGTAATACATGATAAAGAAGAGCAAAAAGAAAAATCCAACTCTGAGCTGTTAAAAGAAACCCAGTAAAAATAAGTTGTCACAGAGGATAAAGAGAATGGCTGAGTAAAGGCACTGTTCTTTATTACAGAACAACATTGTTTTCTTCTGTAATAAAGAAAATATTAAAGTTTTTAAAAAGTTCCTTATCAATCAATATTGGTTACATAAATATTAAATTTAGAGCAGAACAATTTATTTGCCTGCCTTTTGTTAAAGGACATTGGCTGGTCAGTGTTAGCTGATATTTACATAATCCTAGTTAAAAATATAAAATTCTGAGCTGGAGAATACTTTATATTATTATTTTTTAAGTTGAAAAATAAGTTTTCATATTCTGTGAGGAACATTTTGTACCTAAAAATCCATTTGCCATTGCTGTTAGAAACTATGAAAATGTTAACAAGGTTTTCAGAGTATGCTAATGATGTGCTGTCTCTTGAAGAGGAACGTAATGTGACTGACCTGAGGTGCAAGCTTTGAGTGGCTAAAACAATTACATTTTTCTGGCAATAGCACATATAACATGGGTGTTTGGGGTTTTCTTTTTGAGAGGCCCCTTAGTGGGATTCAAGTGGAGTTCATACCCAGAGAGTTGACTGCTCAGAGGTAGACATCCACAGGTATAAATGAGTGGAATGTGTTCTGATGTAATTGATTGAAGTGAACATGTGCCTCACACATTCCAGATGAGTGTAAAGGGCAACTACACAGCCTGGAGAGCCCTTAGGGCCCAGGGATGGGGGCTGTTCTGCTGTCAAATATTTTTCCAAGTTCTATCCCTGTGCCTTTATACTTGTACTCTTCAAGGACACATTTTGGTAAACCACAGGCCTTCGTATACCCATACGTGTTTGGTCTTATTTTTTTGCCTGCACTCTTATAAAACCAGACATCCACAACAAAGGCCAAGCTACTTCACCTGAAATTGGATGCACTATTTTGACCTCAGTTGCACGGGGCTCTCATCAGTTGATAATACATTCAGTGAGGCCTAAGGTCATGTGTACCAACCTGCACCAAGGGAAACCTGTGCCAGCAGTTCTCAAAGTATGATCTGTGGAACCCCCATGGAGTCCACAAAGTCAAAACTACTTTTGTAATAATATTCAGATTTTATTTACCTTTTTAACTGTGTTGACATTTGCACTAATGGTGCAAGAACAATAGTGGGTAAAACTGCTGATGCCTTTGCATGAGTCAAAGCAGTTGCAATAAACTCTGCAAGTCAGCATTGAGTTCTTCACCACACACTGTCAGTAAAAACTATATGCCAGTGTCACATAAAAACCACCTTGACAAAGAAAAATTAATACTTTTATTACATATTATCCTTTAAATATGTCTTTTAATACTCAGTGTGATGAAATGATAAATAAGCATAAGGCATTTCCACTGGATACTAAAATACGGTGGTAAATCTGAAGGAAATTCACATGTGGGATTGTGTGGGCTGCAAGCTGAACAAGCCATTTATTTTTACGAACACCATTTTTACTTGAGAGAATTACTGACAAACCATGGATATTTAGACTCGAGTATTTGGCAGGCACTTTCTCAAAAATGAACAGAGTAAGCCAGTCACTTCAAAAAAGGCAACAACTCAGTGCTCACTGCCAATGACAAAACACGAGCTTGCAAGTGAATATCAGAACCTTGGAAAGCTTGTAAAAGTCAGTGCAAGCTTAAGAGTTTCCTGTTAGTTAAAGACTTTTCTGATGTAACTCATGGTAATATTAAGTGTCAACATTTGGAAGATCTATATAACTCAGTGAACTAGTATGTTGCCAAAATCTAATGCATAATGCTACAATATTATGTTTGGTAAAAGAACTACTCAAAATGCAATGGATTTTAATGTTAGTATGAAAAATTCACTAAAATGATTTCAAATTCCACATTGGTGAACAACGTGAAGAAAATACCACTTGTCTGATTTTGCTCTAGTAGCAAAGAAGATTCACAATGGGCTAAAGTGGCTATTAAAGTACTCCTTCCTTTTCCAACTACCTGTATGAAATTGGATTTTCTTCATATATTTCAACAAAACAATATATTGCAACAACTTAAATGGAGAACCAAATATGAGAATTGCTGTCCTCTCTTAGGCCAGACATTAAAGGGGTTTATAAAAATGTAAAACAATGCTACTCTCCTCTCTATTTTTTGTTTCCTTGTTTTGCAAAATCTAATTTTGTTTTATAAAAATATATTATTTATAATTATACTTAATGGATTTGTTGTTATCATTTCAAATGAATTAATAAATGAAAGGTTTAGCCGGGGGTGGTGGCTCACGCCTGTAATCCCAGCACTTTGGGAGGCAGAGACGGGCAGATCACGAGGTCAGGAGTTTGCGACCAGCCTGTCCAATATGGTGAAACCTTGTGTCTACTAAAAAATACAAAAATTAGCTGGGCATGGTGGCGCGTGCCTGTAGTTCCAGCTACTCTGGAGGGTGAGACAGGAGAATCACTTGAACCTGGGAGGTGGCGGTTGCAGTCAGCCAAGATTGCGCCATTGCACTCCAACCTGGGCAACAGAGCGAGACTCCATCTCAAAATAAATAAATAAATAAATAAATAAATAAATAAATAAATAAATAGTTTAAAATGCAGTAGCTTCATTTTCTAATATGGCAAATATTAGTATATATAATCTATATAAATGAAGGCTTTCAGGGGTTCTTAATAATTTTTAAAAGAAAAAAAAGAAAAAGATGGCACTGACCGACATAATATATACAAACTGTATCTTCCTATATAAGATAAAGAAGAATTATGGACTAGTGAAATAACTGAGACATAGAATCAAGAACATTTCAAATAAAAATAAATTTTCCCTCATTTGACTAGCTCTTTCAGCTACAATAGATTTTATATCCTGAGTCATCTAAGAATAATTCTTTACTTAATATTAACTTTCTGCTTAGAATAAGCACCCAGGCATAACGTTTTATCCATTAAAATACATTGAGTAGCTCTATCAAAATCTGGCCACACAACTTTGGGGCATGGCTTGAGCCAATGTTTAATGAAAAACTCACTGGCCTAGGGCCCCATTATCCATTTTGCAGCTAGAATGAACTTTAACAAACACACATCTGATCTTTGTCCTGCTCTCTACGACAAGACAAGATTAGAGAGTTTTCATGGAATATCCATGCAGTTTAGGATATAGCCCAGACTTCGCATTACTTCTAAGAAGTAAGACAAGGCATCTGCTCACCTCTTGTCTTACCATTTTTCCTTTTCCATTCTATATGTATAATTTCCTTAATGTTCCATACTCTCAGAGAGTGAGGTTTTTTTAAAATAGTATCTTCCGAGTCTAAACCCAATGCTTTAATATATGGACATTACTGCCATCATAATATTTATTGCATACAAAATGCTTTCCTAAGTGTTATCTCTTTTCATTCTCACAAGAGCACAATATGCGATATTATCCTATTACAACTTACAATATAAGGGATTGAGATCCACAGGGGTTAAGTAGCATCCTCGAGATCACAGTTGTTAAGTGAAAAGGGCTGGCACTTAAGCTCCAGTCTTCTGATCTAACTTCCCTGATAGTTCACTGCACTAATGTGGTCAGAAAAGTGCCTACATGTATCTAATATGTACAGCTCTGTTACTCTTCTGGTAATATCAAAATTTTGAGATTTTTTTTTTTAGCCAGCTCCAAATGATTCATCTGACTTGAATGGTTCTATATCACCCATTATTTACACCAGAATACCATAAAGATCTTCCAGAACCCAATCAACCATTATAAGTGAAGTTCAGTGTCAATTCTTGCAACGTGAATTATTACTTCTGTAGAGTAAGAACTTTACTAATATATGCATATAATATCTAATTTACTTGAAAATTCTACTGCCTAGACTACACAAAGAAGTTATGTTTCATACTGTTAGTTTTAATCCACAACTTGATGATGAGTAAACAGCATTTGAAGAACCATAATGGGATAAACCCTCAGGGATAGCTTGCATTTAAACACCCAAGTCAAAAGTCCACATTCTGCTGTGTTGACCACAAGACTTCCAGCTTCTTTCCACACATTCAGCACCAGAGGTTTACCAGCTGGCATAATGGATACTAGGAATGACTTCACCAGCAAAATGAACGGGGTGCATGAACAGAACATAAGCACTTACACAAATTATAGGGAATGGTGCATTTTTTTCAGCTGAAAATTCCCAACTGGATTAGGTCAATTTTCAACAGCTCCTGGGTTCAGGGATCATCAGAAGATTTTGTCCCTGGATTCTGGCTGGAGCATTAGCCAAACTGAAAAATAGACTATTATCTCATCTGCCTTAAATGGGCCTTTCCTGAATGGGGTTACAACCTACCTGGATACCCTTTAAGGTTCCTTAATGTCAGTATGCATGGCAAGATTAAGCATAAAACATTATATATTTCTGTGTTTTGAAATTGTGTAGAGGAAATCTATTACACTGACCCACTTCTAACTAT
This sequence comes from Homo sapiens, assembly GCF_000001405.40. Lineage (NCBI taxonomy): Eukaryota > Metazoa > Chordata > Mammalia > Primates > Hominidae > Homo > Homo sapiens. The sequence continues at coordinate 53,149,894 of NC_000008.11, forward strand.
TAGAAGCTATGAATATTAACCCCCCAAAATCTGATCATTGTAAATGACAAAATTTACATAGTTCAATTTTCAAAACTTCTATTATAAAGCAGTATAAGGAACTTAGAATGTTGCTACTTCATAAGTAATATTAAATCAAATAGTGTTGAGTTACTTGCTATTTTTCCTATTTAAAGACTACAGAAAATAGGATTGCCTTTCACTTTGTACTTTATGTTCTTCTGTATTATTCAAATTACATAATATTAATATTCTATATTACTCACATTATATAATAAACATGTATTACTTTTTAATAAAAACTCCTAAATAATAGAAAAAACTAAATTAATTTGATGCTAAGATTGATGTAGAACTGCAACTTCTTGTACAACTCCCTAATTTCAGGTTTTTGGGCTGATAAAAATATCATCACTATTTTCTTAATAAATTACTATAGAAATGTTATTTACTTGAGTTCATATTAATTTTATGTGTGAATTTTTAAGGACAGAGTGACCCAGTTCTTTTATAAAACTCTGAAAAGCTCAATCAGGATCCTTTATTATCTTCACATTCCATAAAGCTGAGTCCTCATTGTCGAACTGTGGTCAACATGCCAACAGTAATCTTGAGTATAACAAAAGATTTAAAAATTTTAAAAGCTATCATGTAGTAAATCATTTTGTTTTGTTTTGTGGATGAAAACTGGAAGTTAGGGACTGTATATTATAATCTTTAAAACATCTCCATTGCTTGCGTGTAATGCTGTGTATATATGCCTGATTTATGGAATGAACACATGGTTTTCATCTCACTTAGTGCCTATGTGTTTGAAAATTAGTTTAAAAATTAACTACCTATATGAATGTTAATTTTTTAAGATGCCCAACCCTCTTGCTAGTTTTAGCATTTTCTGTAAGAATTAGAAGTGAAAGATAATGGTATATATAGTGTACCCACCAAGATATTTCTCAGTACCTAGGTTTATTACAATCTGGGGGAGAGAGCAAGCTACACTGTAAAAATAACTTCAGAATCAATTAAAATATGGGATAAACACTGCTAGCTGTGAACGACCAGACTGTCAGAGAGCAGCCTCCTGGGCCAATATCATCACAGGATATATTCTGACCCGAGAAAACCTGTATCCTTCCCACCTCTCAGAAGAGAGAAAAGTAAGACAGGATAAATTTCAAAAGCAGAATGAATGTGAGAAATCACTGTTCATTATACCAGCTTTCATTATTGGTAAAAGAAAGTTTCCATTTCTGATATCAAAACACATCCCTTCTGCTTATCTTTTCTTTACTTCATCTACCCTATGAATATTTAGTAGCTCAAGAGCCTGGCTTCCTGAAAAGTCAACTTTCTTACCACCTGCTTACAGTTCTCTTCATGTAGACTTCCAGGCTCATATCCTTTCTAAAAGAACAGGAGGTTAAAAAAAAAACGTTGGCTTTAAATTATCAACTTTTTTCCATTTAAAATGAAGGGATACCTCTTCTAGACTCCAAGTGAATGGAAAAACAATAGCCCTAAATATCCTCCACTTCCACATAACTGCTCCCACAAACAGTTATGTCATAAAAACAAATGCCTTCAAAACAAATGTCGAGAAGGACCAATGCTTCTCAGTTTGAATGTAGGTTGTATATTGACATGTCAGGTAAATTTGAAAATGCATATTTATAAATTATATAAGTTTTTCAGGCTAATGGTTTTATATTTGGTTAAATTTATTGTCTAAGCAGCATGTGCACTCATAGAAAACTACAAAAATGATTTTCCCAAGGAGACGTATATTTAAAATTCTACTATTTCTGCTCCACATTTGGAATGAATCAGAGTGAGCCTTGGCAGCTTCTCGCCATGCACCCACGAGGCATTAACAATGGCTTCTAGGTTCTCATATGAAGCCTGCATAACGTTTTAGGTGACTAGGATGGGATGTAGTTTGGGAGACCTGCCAAAGAGAAAGGGATACTTCCAGCTGAATTTGCTCATGGATGGACATTTGGGACGGCTGATTTGAGGCATATAAGAAAGTCTTTCTTTCACTCCAAAAATACTTTGAGCACTAGCTTCACGGCCGGAAATCCTACCATAAAATATCTTTTTTTCATGCTAGTCTTTCTTCCTTAATTGAAAGGTAAACACACTTAGGGGCAACCACTAGTGATGGAAGGAAGTTCAGCCAAATACTCAGAATTCTTGGTGTCAATCATAGGCCAACCAAGTTCTGAGTCTGTTCCTTCTATCAGAGATGTCTTTGCAGTAGTGAGAGGTGTTGGGATATCCAGGCACAAGCACTATGCCAAGGCTCAAGTGGGCATGTGGCTTTGAGGTGGTCTGATTTAGTCACCACAATGACAGAGGCTCATGTGTTGAAACCAGGTTATGAAATCAGAACAGAAAGCTACCTCTTAGTTGCATAAGCTACAGAAACCAACACTTGGAGCAGGATTGCTCCTATGCCTGAAGTAGGAATGTGCCTACAGTGGGGGTGAAGTTGCCTAGTCCCTCACAGTGAGGAAGCAGAGCAGAGCAGAAAGTGAAGGTTATCACTGCAAAATGTTTACATAGCATACAGAGCTCAATGTACCTTTAGTAGCTCACATACAGAATTGTACATAAAAACATGAAGTTATTAATGTCACAAATTTGTTGAAAAAGAATGTGCTGATAATTTGACAACCTAACAATATTCTTCATTTGTTCAGTAATAGTAACTATTGTAATGATTTTATCTTATTTTAATACTCAAATGAGCTTTGTCAAGATAATTTGGATGAGTTACAACTTATTTTATATTTTCTTTCAATTTGTGATTTTTTTTTCTGTCAATGTATTTTCCTAAAGCTTGGAAAATATTGCATTGATTTCAATGGTCTAAATAGCACATCTAGTATAACCCTAATCTTATTAGGCTTTTTGCAAGGACATTCATAATCTTGATTTAAATAATAGGTCAACTGTGCCTGTAAGTGTAGGTGATATGGTTTGGCTGTGTCCCCACCCAAATCTCATCTTGAACCATAGTTTCCATAATCCCCACCTGTTGTGGGAGGGTTTGGATCATGGGGGAAGTAATTGGATTATGGAGGCAGTTACCTCTATTCTGTTCTCATGATAGTGAGTGAGTTCTCATGAGATCTGATGGTTTTACAAGGGGCTTTCTGGCACTTCATTCTAAACTTCTCCTTGCTGCCACCATGTGAAGAAGGACATGCTTTCTTCCCCTTCAACCATGATTGTATGTTTCCTGAGGCCTGCCCAGCCATGCTGTACTGTGAGTCAATTAAACCTCTTTCCTTTATAAATTACCCTGTCTCAAAAATGCCTTCAGTAGCAGCATGAGTATGGACTAACACAGTAGACTGGTGCAATATATTGCTCGCTCCCCTTCCCATTACCTCTGATTATTTAAAGTTGCAAAGTAGTGTTTTATATCAGCCAAAATAAGCTCGTTTTGATGACAAAAGTGCCATCAAATTATTCTCATCCTTCTTGCTTAGCTATTGGTTTGTAGACTGCAATTAGAACACTTCACACTCAATTAGAAAGCTGAGAAAAATAGGTTTTAAAAAAGAAGTTGGGGTTGCTATGACTTCCTTGAAAATAACCCTAGACTGTCTATTACAACACGGGAGAAATGGCTTACAGAACCAAGCATCATGAGGTCTGAGGACAGATGTTTGTTAGGTTGTCTTCACCATGGCAGCTTACTTTCTTCTCTGAAGTCCCTGGTCTCCTATTAGTGGTGTCTGTGGTGGTGGGTGAGGACTCAGATGGGGGACAAGAGAGCCCTTCCTTCTTCCTTGTCTGAAAAAAGTTAAGGATGCTCAAATTTGGAACAAAAACTTGTTGAGACCATAAGGCTATTCTGCTTTTTTGCTAACGTTTCATTGAACAAATATAAATGGTTTCTATCCTACACTACACTCTGTCCACCTACAATGGTATGTCTGTCTTTCTTTGATCAGTTGAATAATACTTCATCAGAAGTCTCGTAATGAAGGACTTTCCCCATAATTAGAGCTCAAACTCTAGCATCTTCTCCTATATCTTCTAGCAGGGCTCTCTACACCTCTGTTTTCTAATTTTTAAAAAGGCAATAACAATATTAAGAACAGCAATATTTACATCACTATGGCTTTGGAGATAAAGTATTTTGCATAAAACACCTAAATCTAACTAAGAACTATTAATCTCTTATTCCACCAAAATCACCTTTCTCTGACACACATTTCTAAACACCTAATTTATGTAAGTCATGTGCTCTAAAATAACTTTCATTCTATGAAACACATAACATTTTGAGGTGGGGATTAGTAATGTAGTTTCCCTTAGATATAATTAATCAAGGATTACTAGAATACTACCCCACAATTTTTGTTCTATTGTGCTACCTTTCATGTTGAATGAGCACCCTTCCTGGTAAAAGGGTATTTCATTACTTAAAAAGAATAAAGAACTGCTGAAAAGGAGTGGGGAGAGCCAGGGAGCAGGGGGACTGCAGGCTGGTATGTGTCAGCTGGCAAGAAAGTCAAGAAATAGTGACCAGAGAAATGTATAGTCTGCATGCCTGGTGTTTTTATTACTGCTTTTGGATTATCACAAATAATCCTTTTAGAACAAGAATGTCTCACAATAATTTTTGGAAATAGCAAATGATTGATTTAAAGAAGTGGTTCCCTCCACTGCAGTGAATTTTTATGGATGAAGGATATAAAATCATAGAGGAAAGGTGATCATTCAGAAAAGGGAAGCAATGGAATTCACCCTGGGAGCCCAGAATGGAGAGACTTCAGGAGGCAGCCCAGGGCCAGGAATGAGTCACCAGTAAGCCTCTGACACACGCTCAAGCCTTTTTTTTTTTGTCCACACAGCCTTGCTCAGGGCACAGTAGACACGATGTGAACAGGCAGAAGATGGAGTCTTAAAACACAGATTTGAGTCCCAACATTCACTGGGTTGTTAACTAAGCACTTGGAACTTAGGTCTCCTCAGATTTTAAATAACAACAATATAGTACCTACTTCACATTGTTTTTTGCTGTTGTTTTTTCTGTAAAGAATAAGAGATATAATGAGAAAAGACATTTCGTAAAGCAGACTATCGCCACAAATGTTAAAGAGTTAACACTCAGAAAGTACTTGAGTGATTTTGTAGAAGGTGGGGGGAGATGAAGGGAGAGGACGGTTGACAACACAAACCCACATATGTCTACCGACAATTACTTTATTGCCAAAAGCCAGAAGCATCTCCAGAGTATTAGTCCCTCAGCCTGAAGTTCCCTTCTCCCTAAGTTTATCATGGTTGCTGATATTCTATGCTAGGAACATTTTCTCAATTTAAACTTGCAGAAAATGTTCAGCATACGTTCTGTGCATTCTATTCATGGGTTTTTATTTCCATGAATTTTAAGTGAATGCCATCATTCTGTTGTCTGCTAGGTTACTTCAAAAGCGATTGTCCTATTAAGCAAAAAATTTCCTCTTTTCTCTTCCTACATTCCCTCCCATTGTTACAAGGCATTTTCCATATGAGTTGGCCACACAAGAAATATGCCAGGAGATAAAAATTGTCACAGACTTCTTAGTGTGTATTTTCATTTCTCTTGCTACACATCAGAGTGATCATGAAGAACAATTTTCTGGCATCCATATTGGGTGTTTTTCACTGAGACACGTTGAGAACTAAATACACCACTAGTTTCTCCATCTGACTGGCAGGCACATGATCACTTACTGTCACATCAGGGAAGATGTAGAATGGGAAGAAACTGGAATAAAAAACAGAACTTTAAGCCCAGCAGCAGGGTGTTCAGGTTTGTCCAAGTGCTCAATTCAAGACCCAGGAAGCCTTCTTGCTCACTTGCAGAAAAAAACATCTTGATGGTCCTCACTGCTAATTACCTGACAAAGAACTTGGTGCCGAATGGCATAGCTGAATGCCAGTTACCAGTGGGAGAGTGTCAATGAGGCAGACTGGATCAATATAGCACAAATAACTCAACCCAGAATTTAAAACCAAGACTTGGCAGCATTTCTCATCATCCTTGGAAACTTAAAAACACTAGACATCTACTTTTCAGAAAAATTAGACATATAGACAAAATTTCGTTTTACAGTTTTAGAGATACATAGGTCCCAGGCTCATTACTCTTAATTTAGAAAAATTAACCTGTGGCATAATTTATACTGCGTGACTGGTACTTCCATGATGATAAAATAAGAAAAATGAGTTGTTTGGTAAACGAACCTGATTTTTTGAAATTGAGTTTCAAAACGGTACATACTTCAAGCAGTTCTACAAAAAATATCAATCATTTAGTCAACCTATCCAACTGTTCTTTGCATATCCACGGTTCTAGGCGAAGGTACAACAGAATTGATTAACACATGATCCCTAGTTGTTCCAGAAAAGGAGGAGGGCCACCTGGACCTGAAGGATGAGGGAATCTCCAGGGTAGAGATGTGTGTGAAGTACAGAGAAAACATTCCAGATACCAGACAGATCCAGCAGTGAACCATGTCTGCCTCTCACTTGGAACTACTTGCCCCTCCTGTTGTTCCCTATGCAGTTTGCTCATCTGATTGATAAGCTCAATCTGTTTGAACATAGCTTAATAAGAGTTACGGGTTTTCAAATTCCACACATTCTAGCACAGTACTCAGGTGTGAGAAAGGAACAATATATGCTGGTAGAATGAATAAGTAATGGAATGAGGCACATAAGCCCAACCTCTAATTCTGCTTGGAAGTCATTTAAGGGCAACCTTCAAGTGACCAGTAATTTTAGTAAGAAAGAGTTCCTGCAAAGCTCTCCAGTTATGGAAAAGTGACACAGTATTCAGTTCTAGGCCAGAGTCTCTTTGAGAGAAACTGGGTCATGGTCTCGAGGAAGTGGTTATAGATCTTGATGATAGGTAGCCTGTAAGTGCTCTGAGGACAGCATCTGTGCCTAATATATCTGCTCATTGTAGGTGCCACTCTGCTGGCTGTACTGAATTTAGGATCATGATAGGGGGTGATCCAGTTCTCCGTGGCAGAACCCTTACACAGTGCCAACCTTAAAAAAGAAGAAAAATGAACTCTGTGGGGAAACTCAAATAAAGCAAAAGAAGTGACATAAAACAATGACACCAAGGAGCCATGTTTTAGCAGAACACACTCTTTAAAAACAGGAAAACCAAAAATAATTATTATGGAAAACTTCACACATAAAAAATTAGAAAGACTAGTGTAATGAACTCTCAGGAGCCCTGATAGCTATTGGTCCACTTATGGCCAATATTGTTTTACGTATAACCCCTCCCCACCAACAACATATCTTTAAAAAAGTTTTATTGATATATAATAGTTGCACATATTTTGAGGGTACATGGGATATTTTGATACATGTATACAATGCATAATGATCGAATCAGAGTGATTAGGATAGCCATCACTTCAAACTATCTTTTCTTTGTGCCGGGAACATTACAATTCTTCTCTTCTAGCTATTTTGAAATACACAATACATTCTTATTAACAGTCATTTCCCCACCATACTGTCTAGTACTAAATGTATTCCTTCTATCTGACTGTGAGTTTTGTTGTTGTTGTTGTTGTTTTATTTTGTTTTTGTAGAGACAGGATCTCACTATGTTGCTCAGGCTGGTCTTGAGCTCCAGGCCTCAAGTGGTCCTCCCACGTCGACCTCCCAAAGTGTTGAGATTACAGACATGAGCCACCATGCCTGGCCCTAACTGTATTTTTATACCTCGTAACCAACTTCTTATCACTGCGCCCCTCATTTTTCACCCTCTGGTAACCACCATTCTACTCTCTACCTCCAAGAGATCCAGTTTTTTTTTTAGCTCCCATGGATGAGTGAGAACATGTGTTATTTGTCTTTCTGTTTCTGGCTTATTTCAGTTAACACAGTGACTCCAGTTCCATTCATATTGCTGCAAATGGTGGGTTTTATTCTTTTAATGGTTAAATAATATTCCACTGTGTATATGTACCACATTTTCTTTATCTATTCATCTGTTGATGGACATTTAGCTCTACTCGATATCTTAGCTATTGTGAATAATGCCGTAATAAATATAGGAGGGCTGATATCTCTTTGATATACTGATGTTCTGCCTTTTTAATGTATAAACAGCAGTGGGATTACTGGGTCAATGGCAATTCTATTTTTAGTTTTTTCAAGAAACTCCATACCATTTTCCATAATGGCTATATTAATTTATATTTCTACCAACAGTGAATAAGAGTTCACTTTTTTACATATCCTTACCAACATGTGTTATGTTTGTATTTTTAATAGCAGTCATTCTAACTGAAGTGAGGTAATATCTCATTGTTGTTTTCATTTGCATTTCCCTGATGATTCATTATTTTGAACATTATTTTTTACATACTTGGCCATTTGTACATCTTCTTTTGAGAAATGTCTATTCAAGTCTTTCACCCGTTTTAAAATTTGATTATTATGATAATTATTTTGCTATTGAATTTTGAGTTCCTTTTATACTCTGGTTCTTAATCCCTGGTTGGATTAATGGTTGGTAACTTTTTTCTCCCATTCTTAAATTGTCTCTTCACTTTGTTAGCTTGTTTGTTTGTTTGAGTCAAGGTCTCACTCTGTTGCCCGGGCTGGGGTGCAGTGGTGCAGTCACAGGTCACTGCAGCCTCAACCTCCCCAGACTCAACTGATCCTCCCACCACAGCCTCCTGAGTAGCTGAGACTACAGGCTTGCACCACCATGCCTGGCTATTTTTTGGAGAGACGAGGTTTTGCCATGTTGCTCAGGCTGGTCTCGAACTCCTAGGCTCCAGCAATCCACCTGCCTCAGCCTCCTAAAGTGTTGGGATTACAGGTGTGAGCCACTGCACCTCACCTTCTTAATTTTGTGGATTGTTTCTTTTGCTATGCAGAAGATTTTTAACTTAATTTAATTCTGTTTGTCTATTTTTGCTGTTGTTGCTTGTGCTTTTGAAGTCTTATCCATAAAATCTTTGCCCAGACCAGTGTCCTGAAGCATTTCCCCTATGTTTTCTTGTAGTTTCATTATTTCAGGTCTCACATTGAAGTTTTTTATTCATTTTGACTTGATTCTTGTATATGGTGAAAGATGGGGCCTAGTTTTATTCTTCTGCATATGGATAACCAGTTTCCCCAGCACCATTTATTAAAGAGACCATCCTTTCCCCATTCTGTTTTCTTGGCACCTTTGTGGAAAATTAGTTGGCTGTAAGTGTTTGAATTTATTCCTGAGTTTTCTATTCTGTCCCATTGGTTTATGTGTTTGTTTTTATGCCAGTACCATGCTGTTTTGGTTACTATAGCTTTATAGCATACTATGAGCTCAGGTTGTATGATGCCTCCAGCTTTGTTCTTTTTGCTTAGGATTGTTTTAGCTATTTGGTGTCTTTTGTGGTTTCACACAAATTGTAGGATTTTTTGTTGTTGTTATTTCTGTGAAGAATGTCATTGGTATTTTTACAGGGGTTGCATTGAATCAGCAGATTGTTTTGGTATATAGATATTTTAATAATATTATTTCTTCCAATCCATGAGCTGGAATAGCTTTTCTTTTACTTTTTATTTTTGGTTCCCTCTTTAATTTATTTCATCAGTGTTTTATCATTTTCTTTGTAGAAATTACAAATAAAAAGATATGTTGACTTCAGTTTTTGAAACAGTTTGAGTAGAATTAGTTAGTTTTAGTTCTTTCTTAAATTTATGGTAGAATTCAGCAGAGAATCCATCAGATCCTATGCTTTCCTTTGAGGGGAGACTTATTATTACTGTATCAATTTTGTTATTCATTATTAGACTCTTCAGGTTTTCTGTTTCTCCATGGTTTAATCTTGGTAGGTTGTATGTGTCCAGAAACATCCATTTCTTCTGGGTTTTCCAATTTATTGGTGTATAGTTGTTCACAGTAGTCAACATATCTTTTTATTTGCAAATATTTCAGTATAGATCTATAAAATATAACTCTTATAATCACAATAATGTAATAAATAATATTTTAGGTTAATGCTAACTCTTTATCATGTAAGATATAGCCAGTACTCAAATTTTTCCAATGGTCTCATAATTTATTTTTAGTTTTTTTATATAGGATCTCAATAAAGTACATACATTGCAATTGGTTGATATGTCTTTGAAACATCCTTTAATTTATAGATTCCTCTTCATCTTTTCCCCTGCAATGTATTTGTTGACAAAGTGAATTCACTTCTTTTGGCCTGATTTTGATGATTGACTTCCAAAATGTTACTTGGTATGTTCCTTCACCTCCTTTATTTACTGTGAGTCAGCATTTAAATCTAGAGATTGAGCAGATTTAGTAAGAATACTTCATGCCATGGTATACTTCCATTGGGAGGCACATATGCCTACTCATTTCTTTTTTTGTGGCTAGTGGCCCTTGATAAACATTGCTTAGATTTATTAATTAATCAAAGCAGACTCTTCACTAGGGGTAGTGATATGATTTGGCTGTGTCCCCACCCAAATCTCACCTTGAATTGTAATAATCCCCACGTGTCAAGGTCAGGGCCAGGGGGAGATCATTGAATCATGGGGGCAGTTTCCCCTATACTATTCTTGTGGTAGTGAATAAGTCTCACAAGATCTGATGGTTTTATAAATGGGAGTTCCCGTGCACAAGCTGTCTTGCCTGCCACCATGTAAGATGTGCCTTTGCTTCTCCTTTGCCTTTCATCATGATGGTGAGGCCTCCCTAGTCATGTGGAACTGTGAGTCCATTAAACTTCTTTCCTTTATAAATTACCCAGTCTTGGGTGTGGATTTAGTAGCAGTGTGGGAACAGACTAATACAGGTAGACTATGGCCTTTCAAGACAAAGAAAGATGTAGCTCTGAGGCAGAGGTGAAGGAATTTGAGCTCCCTCTTCATTAAAGCCTTTCTTGTCTTTCCTGGGAAATCCCTTTCCCATGCTGTTTCCTGAGATGTCTGCCACATAACCTGAGAGAGCTTCAGCCTGTCTGGTTAATTAAGAATGGCTCTTCTCTTTTTTAGATTTAATATTTGAATCCAAGGAAACAAATGATAGAAATATAACATTATTTGTAATCATATACTTAAGATTTACATACACATTTATGTATGTATGTAAATATTACTTATTTACATATTTATAATTTTATACCTTGGCTCTATTGTAACCTTCCAGAATACATTCAATAATGTTTTGACTCAGTAAATGGCACATGTGGTACAAAACTAAAACTGGCTGATATAGTATTCTCTCAGCCACCAAATGTTTCTGTCCAGGAGCAATCATTGTCCAAGATTTTGTATTTTTTCAGACATAGTCTTTGGTTAAACAAGAACTTATGACTATAGTGATTCACTATATATATATATACACACACACACACACACACACACACACATATATATATATAGTGTGTGTGTGCCTGTATAATTTATTATCTTCAATTAACAATTATTACTATATTTTATACTCCTGAAATTTTCCTTTGCATACATGGTTACAGTTATATTTCTTTTTTTAAATTTCAACTTTTATTTTAGATTCAAGGGTACATGTACAGGTTTGTTATATGGGTATACTGATTGATGCTGAGGTTTGGGGTACAATTGAACCCATCACTCAGCATAGCACCCAATAGGTAGTTTTTTAACCCTTGCCCTTCATGCCCCCCCTCTCTAGTAGTCCCCAATGTCTATTGTTCCTATCTTTATGTTTATGTGTGCTCAGTGCTTAGCAGTTCTCACTTATAAGTGAGACCATGCTGTATTTGGTTTTAAGTTCCTGTGTTAATTTGCTTAGTGGCCTTCAGCTACATCCATGTTGCTGCAATGGTCATGATTTCATTCTTTTTTATGGCTGCCTAGTATTCCATGGTGCATATATACCACATTTTCTTTAACCAGTTGACCATTGGTGAGCACCTGGGTTGATTCCATGTCTTTGCTATTGTGACTAGAGCTACAATAAACATATGAGTGCATGTGTCTTTTTGGTAGAACGATTTATTTTCCTTTGTGTATATACCCAGTAATGGGATTGCTGGGTCAAATGGTAGTTCTGCTTTTAGTTCTTTGAGAAATCTCTAAACTGCTTTCCAGTGGCTGGACTAATTTACATTCCCCCAAGCATGTATAAGTGTTCCCTTTTGTCTGCAGTGTCACCAACATCTGTTCTGTTTTGACTTTTTAATAATAGCCATTCTGACTATTCTTAGATATGAGATAGTATCTCATCACAATTTTGATTTACATTTCTCTGATTATTGATTTTTATTATTAATTTTTTAACATTAGAGATGCTTCAGTTTTCTTATAAAAATAATACTTGATCACTATAAAAATTTAAATAGTATAGAAAAGTGTGAAGAAAAACTGAAAACCACATGTATTTATATTAATACTACCTAGATACCTTTTGTGAATAGAATTACATAGATAAACTAATGCAATAATTCAATGAAGATATGGTAATAGAGGTACAATAGAAGTTCAAAATAAATAAGAAACATGTTAGACAGGTTTGTGAAATTCTTCAACTATGGTATCTGATAGGAGTGATGCTGAACAAGGCAGATGTTACCGACTAGATGTTAAAAGAAGATTAATTGGCCAGGTGAGGTGGCTCACACCTGTAATCCCAGCACTTTGGGAGGCTGAGGTGGGTGGATCACTTGACATCAGGAGTTTGAGATCAACCTGTCCAACATGGCAAAACCCCGTCTCTACTAAAAATACAAAAATTAGCCAGGTGTGGTGGCATGTGCCTGTAATCTCAGCTACTCAGGAGGCTGAGGCAGGAGAATCACTGGAACCCGGGTGGCGGAGGTTGTGGTGAGCCAAGATTGTGCCACTACATTCCAGCCTGGATGACAGAGTGAGACTCTGTCTCAAAAAAAAAGATTAATTAACCTGTGTAAGAAAGAGCCTAGGGAAAATGTAAAATGAGAAAATGTCTTAGACCAGAAAAACTGATGAATTCGATGAACCAAAGAGAAATAAGCATGCAACATGAACAGCCAGAAGAAAGTTTTCAGGAACTAGTGGAAGATTACTGATGTGTTATTGAAGGACTCATTCAAGAGTAAAGATTATACTACTCTGCACAAGAAGTTTCCAAGTGTCTGTACATCATCCTGTGAAAAATCTGATCATAACTTTAATTTCAAAATCTTGTACCATTTTGCATACCTTAAAAGTTATCTAGCTTATCTTTAGTTGAATATTTTCTTTTGGAGAGATTGTATATTTTAAAAAACTGTTTAGAATTTGTGAGCATATATTACATGTTTTAAAAGTTATAGTTTCTGAAATAGCCAAAGAAAAGCAGTTGCTTTTCTTCTTAAGCAGTATAGTAAATGATTAGTTGTGATATGTTTAAAAACTTCTCTGCCTATAGTTTCATGTGCTCATGAAACACTAGTCCTCATTTTATAAACACTGAGGGTTTATTGTGGGCAAGGTACCATACAGAGTATTAGAGACAGTGGAGTGATAGATTCAGTTCCTCAGTCAGGAAAGCCTAGAAAGTGTTTGTAGACCGCCCGTCCTGGCTCTGTATCCTCAGTGGAGCCTTTGGATAGGCATGTGCTCATCCTCAGACATATGCTCCTTCATCTTTGGCCAGGGAGGAGCAGCAGCCATGATCTAGATGACGGCCACAGCAGGCAGCTTCAGACTTGGTCCTTGGTGACCTTTGGTTACATCAGCAAGGGGTATATTTTAAAACTTTAACCCCCAATTTCCACTTTTAGATAGCAATTGTCTTTTGAAGGTATCGTTAAAAAATCACACTAAACTTTTTTTTTTTTTTTTTTTTTTTTTTTTTTTTTTTTTTTTTTTTGAGGCGGAGTCTCGCTCCGTCGCCCAGGCTGGAGTGCAGTGGTGCGATCTCGGCTCACTGCAAGCTCCACCCTCCCGGGTTCAAGCCATTCTCCTGCCTCAGCCTCCCGAGTAGCTGGGACTACAGGCACCCACCAACACGCCCGGTTAATTTTTTTGTATTTTTAGTAGAGACGGGGTTTCACCATGTTAGCCAGGATGGTCTCGATCTCCTGACCTCGTGATCCGCCCCTCTCAGTCTCCCAAAGTACTGGGATTACAGGCGTCAGCCACCGCTCCCGGCCCACACTAAACTTTTATTATGAGAGAAAGTCTTCCAAGATTTGGTTTTGTTTTCTTTAACAATTGCAATCACCAGATTTTGGAGAAGTCCCTGAGAACAAGCTCTGTCTTAATCCATTTGGTGTTGCTTTTACAGAATACCTGAGTCTGTGTTTATAAAGAAATGAGGTTTATTTGTCTCATGATTCTCGTGGCTGGAAGGACACCTCTCGGTGTTTACACCTTTGTGTAATCACTCCCTACTGGGTATGGGAGGAACCTAGTGACTTGCTTCTACTAATAAAATATGATGGAAAGTACTGGAATATTTATACAAAGTAGACGGAATATTCATTCCAAAATTAGTTTGCAGAAACTTTTAACTATTGCCTTGCTGGCAGTCTCTCTATCATCTTCTCCACTTGCACACTTTGTTGAAGCAAGTTTCTACGTGGGAGAAACATGCATAGCAAGGAACTGAAAGCAGCCTCTGGTCCACAACCAGTGAGAACAGATGCCCTTATGGAACTGAATCCTTCAAACAATGATGTGAGTTTGCAAGTGAATCCTTTTTCAGTTTAGCCATCAGGTAAGACCACAGACTCTAAACTCAAGTTTGATTGCAGCCAGACCCAGCTAAGCCATGCTCAAACTCCTGCCCCAAAGAAACTGTGAGAAAATAAATATACGTTGGTTTAGGCTGCTAAGTTTTGTGGTAATTTTACATGCAGCAATAAATAATTAATACAGGACTGAAGAGCTCCATCCATATTCATTTGGACCTTGCTATGGTCTGAAAATGGTTTGTTTCCACCAAAACTCATGTTTGAGGCTTGGTTCCCCAATGTGGTGGTGTTGGGAGGTGGATCTTTAAGAGGTGATTAGGTCATTAAGGATGGATTACTCTCTTCTCAGGAAACTGGGTTAGTTCTTAAGAGAACAGTTTATCCCTGTGAGAGCAAGGTGTTGTTAGGCGAGATTGTGTCCAGTGTCTGCTCTTTTCTGCACGTGCACACTTCCCCTTCCCCTTCACCATGCTGTGACGCTGAGCAGATGTTGACATCATGCTTCCTGGACTTTCCAGCCACCAGAATCATGAGATCATGAGCCAAATAAATCTCTTTTCTTTATAAATTACCCAGCCTTGGGTATTCTGTTACAGCAACACTAAATGGAATAAGACAGACCTTGTTCTCAGGAACTTCTCCAAACTGTGATTGCAAGTAGAAGCAGAGCCTGGAACTGTTAAAGAAAGCAGAACCAAAGCCTGGGAGACTTTAATCTCATAATAAAAGTTTAGTGTGATTTTTAATGGTATTTTCAAAAGATATTGCTGTCTAAAAGCAGAAATTAAGGGTTAAAGTTTGAAAATATGCCCTTTGCAGAGGAAATTCTTTGTCAGAGTTATTTGAGCTTAAGAAAAAAGCAATAGAAATTTAACAACTGGATGTATAGCCTCAAGACATAGTCAATTGTTACCTAACTGAAACCTTTTTTTCCCCTTCTAGCAACTCTCCATCAGTTAAATAAAATTTAAAAAAGAAGAAAGTTTAGAGAAATAGTTAACCGCTTTTAGAGTGGTTTGGGGAAACATTTATTTTCTGTAATACCTCTATAGGACCTCTGATAAAGTTCTTCATCTTTTATGTTTGTTTGTTTTACACAAGATGAATTTTAACAATGAAATAACATATTCCCCTGTTGAATGTCCCAAAGAACAAACCTCAAAATGTATTTAATTATTTCTCTACTTCCCTATTTTTTCAATTTTTTTCTGTCTGATGAAGTGATTTGTACACCATCTATTTATTAAAGATATTTGATATGTTTACAATAGTAAAACACAAATAAAAGAGGTCATACATGGTAGAAAGAGGAAAACTAATGTATATCCCTTTACCTTAGATCAATTAGAATTAAATTTAGATATATATTTTCTGATACCCAGGCAAACGGGTGACCATTGAATCACCTCTGCTTACTTGGAATTCCTTAAGAATAGGGAGCATGTTTTATTCATTGCTTTAACCCAGTGTCTGATCCAGCCAGGCACATAGCTTGTATTTGTTGAACAAGGGAATGAGTGAATGAATACATAAATAAAATGCATCTCTGATTCCTGTTTCTAAGACTGTCTCCAAGTTTTGACTTCTCCTAAGCTTTTAAAAACTCAGCAGACTGGATAACCAAACTCTAATGTTTGAGACATGAAAAATCAAAGGTGAATTGCAAGCTATCCAAAATTTAAAGAAAGAAATTTCTACCATGGCATGGTGTTAGAACTCTTTAGTTGATGTCAGGGTTACTTTGGGAAGTAACATTTATCTTCATAATCTCACCAATTCTGTCACATATATTTTAGACTCAGCAAAACAGGAGGATGAGCCTCTGTTCAATGGGAAAGTGTTTAATTTGCTGCAATTACACAGCTTTAAGATGGAGATATTTAAAATAATAAGGAATACCATTTACTAAGCTCCATCTATTTATGAGACACAGAGAAAAAAGGTTTATACTAATGGACTTATTTCATCCATATAGCAAACTTGAAAGTAGATATTATTATACCCATTTTAAAGATGAGGAAACTGAAGTCAAACAACTAGTAAGAACTTGAACTCAGGTCTATTCTAACGCAAAGTGTGTTTAGAGCCAAAACTAATGACACAGTTTCCTTGATTGAAAAATGTCGTTGACCAAATAAAACTTGATGCACAGATTGAAAAACAAACAATGAACAAACGAAAACTAGTTTTTTGTTAGTACAGCTAAGACTGTCAAGCCTTAGTCTAGTTGCTGTCTCAGCCAGTTCCCTTGCTGTTTAGTTGGTCCTATGGATGTGCCTATCATTTATTATTTGTATTAAGTAATCACTGTACTAAAGAAGATTATGAATACTAAAGAAAAGAAAGGAAAATGCTATTGACTCTGGGATTAATTGAATATCAGCATTTAGGAAAAAATAATCAAAATATTAAATGTATACACAAATAATGTTATTAATTCATAATAATATGCATTTAATCTTACAGTTAAGTAACTTCTCCTACAGAATCAGACAAATCAATGTCTAAACTTCCTTCACATTTAAAATGTAAAGGTCCTTTTGAATCAATTTTGGCCACTGGCAGTTAAACACAGCATTGCTATGATGTACTGATTTTCGTAACTTTTACTATTGGCCTTTTTGGCACTATTAAAGTTGTCAATATAATTTCTAGGCATATTTCAGATCACAAGGGTTTTATCTATAGTGTCTACTTTGTCAGACTCATAGTCATTTATAGAGTTGAGAGCATTAACTTTGGATTCATGAAAACTTGTATTTGAATCCAACATCTGCCATTGTGTGAGTTTGATCAACTTTCTTTTCAGTTATGATAGGTTACACTGTGCTTTGGTATCAAATTACACTTACATTTCAGTGGCTCACACAGCAGGGCTTTATTTTTTCCTCCAGCTGCATGTCCATTCCATGTTCACCACAGTGGTTTTGCCCATTTTGGGGGTTGGGAAGGCTTCTCAGAGCAACTGACACCCAAACCAAGACTGGAGGTGGAGTGGAGGATTGGGATGTGATGGGAGAAAAGCGTTTCAGGTAGAAAAACAATGTGAGCAAAGGTCTCAAAAGTTAGAGTTTGGAAATTGTGAAAACTAGTTTTGGAGGCTATAGAGTGACAAAGGCTGTATTAAGTTCTTGATTTATCAAATATTTCTGTGACCTCAACAAATTTACTTCAAACTCTCTGGGTCTCGGTTTCCTCATCAAATGGAGAGAATGATAGCAACATTTTAACATCAAATATCCAATGATTAATGAAGGCAATGCATGTGATAATTCCTAACTCATTGCTTGGAACATATTAAATGACAGTTTTTGTGTATTTTGCTTGCCAGAATGTGAAATTGTGCAGTCTATCAAATGTAAACATAATGAAAAATTCAGTGAATATTTCTCAACACCAACACTCTTGGGCCTCAAAAGGAGGTTAAAAATGGGATCTAGATGCTTTGTGTTTCCACATAAACAGTTGTAATTCAAAATGTTTTTGCTTTCCTTAATTTCACATTTTATTTTTTTCAACTAGGCAAACTTTTTCAGTATCTATATATGAACACTTCTCTGGGTCCTGCAGGAATATCAAATCAAGTAAGACAGTCTCTCAAGATCTGTAGATCTGACAGCATCTACAGCCTAATGGGAGAGATAATCCAAACCATACTGAATTTTCTAGCTATCTATTTGCTAAGTGGTTTCATCTATACACAGCTGTCCTGAAATAAATTCAGGGTTTTTTTTAGCCATCATAATGAATGTCTATTTGTAATTAATTGTTCTTGACCCATAAAGACAGATAATAAAAATAGATATATCCTAATTATTTTGTGTATTTCTCATTTTTTGATTTGCTGTTATAATTGAAATAAAATTTGATTGATTCAATTAAGATACTATGATGTCAATAAGACCACAATTAAATCAAATGGCTGATTTAATGACATCATATTCTTGGATTGATACAACCTTTCTATAAAATGAAAGTAGAGAGAGAAGACAGAATGGAAAACTTAAAATGTTGGGCATTTATATCAAATAAAAGTTCTTTTAATTTCAGGATATCGGTTACAGTTGGCAGCTGCAATAAATTACAACATCTGATAAGGAATGATAATGAGCTTTTCTCCCTTCTGTGTTCAGCTTTACAGAATAAGAAATGAAAGTCTTTTCATTAAAATGATTTTATTTTTTCTATATAATGCCCTTCTATTACTGTGTTGAAGAGATTTTTTTTTATTCAACAGTAAGTGGAAGAGCATGTGATTTTGAATGTACATTTTGGGCACTTTTGTGACGTACTAGACTTGGGATATCAATTAGTGAGGAGTTCTTTATGATTCTTATTTTAATTGTGAGGTATCACCTATAGAGTGATGTTTTCCACTCAGCAATTTAAAATAGGAATGTGGGCCAGTCAAAGTGGCTCATGCCGGTAACACTAACACTTTGGGAGGCCCCAGGGCAGGATGATTACTTAAGCCCAGGAGTTTGAAACCAGTCTGGGCAATATAGTGAGACCTTGTCTCTACAAAAAAATGAAAAAAATTAGCCAGGAGTGGTGGCCTGCCTTTACTCCCAGCTACTTGGGAGGTTGAGGTGGGAGAATGGCTTGAACCTGAGATGTTGAGCTGCAGTGAGCCATGATTATACCACTGCACTCCAGCCTGGGAGACAGACAAGACCTTGTCTCCAAAAATCTACATAAATTTAAAAAATTAAATAGGAATTGGAGGAATAATTTTCAACTTGAAGATAACCTACAAGAAATGAACTTTCATGTTTTGCCTCCTTTGCCCACAATTCTAAAATGCAGCACTAGGTAATGTAAAAGAGACCACTGGTTCTCACCTAATGGCCCAGTGCTCCTCTCCATTTTCCAGCCCTGGCACTGGGTGGAGTCATATCACTCATTCTTACCAGTGGAAAATGCCCATGGATGTCAAGAACAGTTACGCTTTCTTCTCTCTCTCCCTCTCTTTCTCTCAATCACATTTATAGAAATGAAGTTTTCTGGGTTTGGGAAAATGAAATATGGAGCTGCATGGGACCCTTAAACATTGCTTGGAGAAGAGCCACACAAGAGAGCCACTAGAACTGCACCTGCCAGTGATGCAAGCAAGGAAAGCACTGCTCCAGCAGTGGGTCCCAAGGCTGGGTTTATTTGTAGCAGCTGGCTCGTCTTGTGTCTTCCAATCCCCTGTGGCTAAGGTGAGAAATGCCCAGCAAGCACACAGCATGCCTTCCCCCTGAAGTTAGGCTGGGGACAGCAGCTGGGCTCTGCCAGTCCACGCAGGACAGATGTGTGGGCCACGTGGTCTAAGGACATTTTCCCTGGAGAATGTTGAAACCATTCCTATAAACTTTTTAAAATTAACCAGGAAACAGGGATGAGGAGAAATAAAAATAAACCCAGGTTGCAGCACATCAGCATTCGTCATGGGGTCAGCTGCTCTCTGACCCCTTCCTCACAGTTGTTTGGTCCCTATTGCCCCAGAATCATACAGACCCAGTCACAAGATTATAGCTCCCTTAACTGCTCTAGTTGTTATCTAACAACTTTGAGCATGGTCAAGCGTTAAGTTTTCCATTTGAGATTGTTCCTTCAGGTCCTGCATACTGATGAAACTACAGACTCAGCCGATGTGACGGAACCCACTGATGCTAGCTGGTCTCACAAGGAGCTGACTCATCAAAGAATGCGGTTTCCATAAGATGATGATTTCATCCCCCTGCCCCAACCAATCAAAGACCCCAATTTTCCAGTACCTCTCCATCCATGACCCCCTTAAAAATCCCATCCCAGAACTCCTTGGTTAGATGGATTTGAAGATCTCCTCCCACATCCGCACTTGACCAACCTGCGATTATTAAGCTCTTTCTCTGCTGCAAACCCTGATGGTCTGTTCCTGTACAGCAGGCATTTGAACCTGGTGGTCCTGTAACAATGTGAGTTGGTGAGGAGCTCTGTAATAGCTTCACTGCCACAATCAAGTACCAACCATTCTTTCCCTACAGTGCAACTCAGGATCATTGGAGACATTTCAAATAGGATAAGAGTGCATCGTGTAATATAGATGAGTTACATGTGGAACATCTCTATCTGAGAACTAATTTCCATTAGATCATGTGACCTTCTATGATAGTTAATTTTATGTGTCAATTTGACTGGGCCATGGGCTGCTCAGATCCCTGGTTAAACAGAATGTATGGATGTGTCTGTGAGCATGTTTCTGGAAGAGATTAGCATTTGAATTGGTGGACTGAGTAAAGCAGATGGCCCTCCCCAGTGTCAGCAGACATCATCCCATCCATGGAGGACCCCAATGGAACAAAAGTCTAGAGGAAGGTTGAACTCTCTCTCTGCCTGACTGCTTGAGCTGAGATGGCATCACTCTTCTCCTGCCCTTGGACTGACACTTACATTATCACACTTACAGTTGTCAGGCCTTTGGACTGGGATTGGAACCACACCACCACCTTTCCTTGGTCTCTGGTTTGTAGACCACAGATTGTGGAACTTTTCAGCCTCTGTAATTGCATGAGCCAATACCTTATAATAAATATCATTCTATGTATTTTCTATTGTTTCTGTTTCTCTGGAGAACCCTGACTAATACAACTTAAGAAAATAATTTCACTGTATTCTCAAAATAGTTAGAATCCTGAAACAATGCAGATACAGTCTCTAACCTGTACTCCTATGAGAAATAATATAGGGCATATGGGTAAACATAGATTTTGTTGAGAGTAATAAAATCAATATAGTATAATCATATCTGATTAATATTGTAGCCATGTATGCAGGGTACTATGTGATGCTGCTCTATGGGGCAATACAAAAATCATAGGTGAAAGTAATATTGTAGAAGCAAATAAAACTTTTAATGGTATAGATGTTGATGATCAAATACATTGGTAAATCAATCACAGTTCCCTCAAGGTATTAGCTCTCTGGAGGAGAATTCTGAAGAAGTTTTAGACTTGATTAATGATAAATTAATTATGGTTCTCAATCACTGCATAGATGTGTATCATCAAGTCCAGATAGCTATAGATCACAGAGGTAAAAGAAGTGCAAAGTGAGTACAGAAACCTGAGAAAGTTTGCATTGCTATTATTGGATGCTGCAGCTGCCTGTCTAGAAGTCTAGACCAACCCCTCACTGCTTACTTAAAATGCTTAGAATGTGTGCATTTTGATTGTTTATCTGATTATACATTATTGCAAGGCCAATAATGGCCATCAAACTATGAGTGATTGTTTTGCATAAGCAGGCCTTGACCACAAGTCGGGGTGGTGAGCTATGCAGGGGGGTTTACTCCAGCAGGCCTGGGCTTGGCTTGAGCTGTTTTGCTAAGTGAGAGAATTGTCTTTACACACTGACCCCTTGTCAAGAAATGAAATCTGCTAGTCAGCAGTGTGGCCATGGGTCCAAGACAAGTCTCTGGTGGTTTACGCCAGACTGTCAACATTGTTGATTGAGTAAAGTGAGTCTAGGTCACTTTCCTCAAAGAATCTGCCATTGGGGCTTGGCTGCATAGCAAGAATATGCCTATAAGACCAGCTGGGGATAAGAAGCTCTGCTCAAGACTCTTATTTTGGGGTCCCTTGTTCTGTAGTGTTCTGGGTACACGTTGGTATATGTTGGTTTTTGATCTGAGAGAAGAGGCCTGTGCTGGTGTGACTCTTTAGAGAGAGGGCACTGAGGACTTGCTCTTTCTGCTCCCCAGACCCCTTGCTGTACAGCAGGCAGCCTCTGGCTGCAGTGCATGTCCTCACTTTAATGGTATTCCTGTGTTGAATCATTTGCCAACAATAATTGAATATTTTGTAAGCGTGGCCATTGTGGATCCTGTGAATATTCTTTCGTGGTTGAATCCTGTCTAACTCCCACCGTTAGTGCTGTTTCTGTTTCCCCACAGAGACAGAAACAGTGCCTGACCAGTGGGACGCATCCACTAAATGTGAAATGACTGAAATACCTATGTACCCTTCCTTGGTGGGGAAAGAAGCCAGAGTGATTTAAATAAATAGTGACCAATATAATTAAGTTACATTAGTTACCCAATAAAATCAAGTTTTTCATCTCCAAAGACAAATCTAACCACTAATAGAGAGAAAGAAAAACTGGAAGGTCTGTTTGTAGATCTTGGTTCATCATTAGACCTTAATAGCTGATACTTACAGAACTGATATTTACTGAGCACCTACTCTGTGCCAGGCACAGGGCCAAATGCTTAATATTTATTTGTTCATTCATCCATTCATTTATTCAACAGATATTTGTTGAGCACTTCCCTGATGGCAGTAATGTTTTAGATGCTGGGGATTCACCTGATCTATTTATCTCAGCTACCCTGTGGGTTGGGTTCACATTCTCATTTTACAGATAAAAAAACTGAGCTTTATTGAAGTTAACTTGAATCAGATTGTTATCATAGAACAATTTCAGGAATCTAGTCCTATCCCTGAGTCTCTTAGACTTTCAAACTATGCTTGGTTTCCATAAGACACAGAACCCTCCCCTGTGAAATAGGATAATGTTCTCCCACCTACCTCAACAGGGAAGCAGCTTAAGACCAAATGGGATGACGTAGACCACAGTGCTTTTCAAGCCATCAAGTGCCATATAAATTTATTGTTATTATGTGCCTAAGGAGTATCTTTGCAACACAAAATTAGTAACATATTTTAAAATTTTTCTCATTGTTTACTTTTCCTGTTTAAGAATCAGAGGTAGTTTGAAGAAAGTAGCACAAAGATGCTTTTTTAAGAGTAGTTTCAAGCCCCATAGCCAAAGACTTTATTCCTTCACAGTGGATGGTGGCACAGCTACAGAGACATGTCAAGGGCAGCTTTTCTCCCAACACACAGAAGATCACAGCTCTTGAATCAGACTTTGTTCATTACCCATGCAGTTTGATTTTGCATTTTGACCTTAAAAATCATGAGTCATGGTGATAGGTTTTAACCAGTATGACTCTGCCTGAAGGCAGAAAAATGGATTAATGACCTTCTGAATCCTACCCTCTTAGACTGAGAATTATGTTTTCTGTAAACGCTTTCAGAACTAATTATAGAAGAACATCCACCAAGACTAAAAATTTGTTTCAAAATGAAAAATAACTGCACCCACAGTTTAGGTACTAAAAGATTTCTTTTGACTGTTTCTGCAAAATACTGACTTTAGGCAAGAAATGGTAAACAATTTTTTTAATTTAAAATAAAATTTCCAAGTTACACAGCAGCTTGAAGTCTATACAATAGCAATTACCGTGTAATTAAAAGTCAGATGGTCTCTGGTTATAAATGTCATGAAAAAGACTACCTGTCTGATGGATTGTTTTTAGGAGCCATCACTAAGCACTGGATATGGATAAACAGCCTTGAGTTACAAAAAAAAAAAAATCCTCTCATCAGGACACCACTTAATTAAAGAAGCAGAATGTATTGTTTTCAAAATATTCCAGGCCTTTGCATGAAGTTTCAGAAATCTGGCTACAGAAGAAAGGAATAAAATATTTAGAAGAGAGCTGTTAGTCATCCATGAGATGGAGGTTCTGCAGGCCCATTTTTTTGCACTGGATTTTTCAAACTCTTGCCACCAATGAGCTGTTGAGAAAGTGGGCATTCTTTGTGCACCTAGTAGGGATTCAGACACAGTAGCAGGGATTACCTGCTATACCTGATCGTATGGGTTGACTTGTTCTCTCCCAAAAACAACTTAAAGCCTGTCATCCAGAAGACCACTAGGATGGCTAAACAGTAGGAAGGAGAGCTTTTATTGGTCATATCAGTTTGCAAGTGGGAAAAGAAAGTCTCCAGCATGGACCAAAGGTGCTCTCTCTTTGAAGAGAGGGAGGACAGGTTGCGTTTTTATGCCTCACAAAGTCCATATGACACAACAGAGTTCTACATATTCACCAGGTTTTGGGGAAATGCTAGACATAGTTTTGAGGGGAGCCAAGCCCATGTACAATGGGCAAACATGTATGTAACATACATTCCATGTTCACTTTGGGGTGGGCATTGAAATGAGATGGATTTTTCCTGTTTACATCAAAAGGTGAACTACAGGACACAGAGACAGTTTATGCACAGCCTCTGTGAGCTGCTAAAGCTGCAGTAGCTTATCAGGAAAGAAAGCATGTTGGTAAGGCAAGTCCTCTGTCCAGTCCCCATTGAGGTGGTCTGGATTATAAGTCGGAGTTAGGATAATTTGCCTGATAGCTCCCATTGTTAGGGAGTTTAGCAAAATGTGTTTTTTTCTGGTAGGAATTTGCCATGTCAGCCAGGCCCGAACCCTTGACTCATAGGTAACTTTGTTTCCTTAACATTTTGGTTCATCTTAGTTGGTAAAAGGCATCTATTTTCATCTCTCAGATCACATGTCCTAACGCCTAGATGACTAAGGTTCACTCAGAATGTGACCTTATTTGGAAATAGGGTCTTTACAGAGGTAATCGAGTAAAATGAGGTCATTAGGTCAGGTCCTAATCTAATATGACTGTGACCTTAAGAAAAAGGGGGTTACTGAGACACAGAGACAGTCATGCACAGAAGGAAGACAGTATGAAGAGACACAGGAGGATGCCGTGGGAAGACGGGAGCCACGCTGCAGAGACACAGAAGGATGTCATGTTGGGGCCAGAATCATGCTGCTGTAGTCTGATGAAGATCTGAGGCTTCCAAAGCCGGAAGAGGCAAGGAAGAGTCCTTCTCTTACAGGTTTCAGAGGTAGCATGACCTTGCTGACACCCAGAGCCTCCAGAACCACGAAGCAATACATTTCTGCTTTTTTAAGACACACAGTTGATGGTACTTTGTGATGGCAGCCCTAACAAATGAATATAATAATCTTTCTAAAGGAATCAATTTTGTTTAGTCATTAAGAGGATGGGCTTCCAAGTCAGTCAGTCAGCCAGTCATTCAGCCAATATTTTCTGAGCTCTCTGCCTTAGGCACTGAGACTACAGACAATGAAGACAGGCTGGGTCCACTTTTCACACAGCTCACATCAAGCAGAGGAAGGCAGATAATGAACAAGCAGAACAGAATATAAAGTGAGTTCAGAATTGGTAAGTGATACCAAGAAACAAAATGGGACACTAGTTAAAAAGAGTTATAGTTGAGATTTTAAAGGGTGTCATGAAATGCCTCTCTGAAAAGGTAATTTGAGCAGAGATGCAAAGGGTAAAAAAGGAAATAGTCATGTGAATACCTGGCAAAAGAAAATTCTGTGTAGCAGGAACACATCTGCTATATTCCAGCAATGGACAGAGGAAGAATCTAGCAGGAGAGTCCTGAATTCAGGAGACCATGATAGGAGATGATGTTTGAATGGCTTGTGAAACCAGGTGAGTCATGGTGGAGAATCTGGATTTTAGACTATAGCTAAAAGAAAATCACTGGAGTCTTTTAAGTACAGAGTCCATGTGACCTGTTTACATTAAAACATTTCTAATTGAAGTATTATTTTTATACTTCAATTTTATTCCCATTTATTTTTAATGGGAATGAAGATTGGAAGCAGGACAAGCAGCAACTTAGATGAGAGAGGGGATTGGCTCTGGCTAGTGTGGTAGTGAGGAGGGGTAATCAATTTATTTCCAATTTTTTTTGTCTTTTTTTTCCTTTTTGTGGCAACAAGGTCTCTCTATATTGCCCTGGCTGGTCTAGAACTCCTGGGATCAAGCTAGTCTCCCACTTCTGCCTTCCTAAGTGCTGGGATTACACAGGCATGAGACACCATGCCTGGCCACTGTGATCAATTTAGGATTGAGTTTGGATGCAGGATTGGCTGATAAATTCAATTCAGTGCAGCTGGTGAGGGTAAATAAAAGAAGGAATCAAAGATGATTCTTTATGTTCTGATGTGCAACTCAGTGGTGATGCCATTAAAGGGGATGAGAAGGAGGAGGGTTGATGGTAGAGAGAGATAGTGGAGTCAAGATTTTCATTTTGCACATGTTTAATTTATGAAGTCTGTTAACACATTTGTACAGAACTGTGGAGTATGCAGTTGTCAGAAACTTATGGGAGAGATTAGTGCTGAAGATATGACTTTGGAAATGATCTACAAATAGAAAAACGAAAGAAAGGGAAGGGTCAAAGATTATGTCATGGACTATGCCATCACATAGAGGTTGCAGAAGAGGAGAAACAAGTAAAAGAAGATGTAGTGAGCTTGGGGATTTAGTGGCTGACTAAGGAAAAAAGAAGAACATGACAGCAGTATTGCACAGAAAGCTTTCTTGGTGCAACATGGACAGATTTACAAGAGAGGGGAAGTCCCTTCCAGCAGGAAATAGCGTAAGACACCACACGGAGTGGGAGAGGAGTGTCGGAGAGGAGACTTACAAGACCAGGTGATGTAGCTCAACAGCAAGATGGGGACCCTGTGTCAGGGAGCTGAGAAGGACAGCAGAGGCTTCAGGTCTTTTATAGCCACAGAGTTTGTCTTACCTATGACGAGCAGATATTGAGTGCAATTTTGTAGAGTATGCCAAGCAAGCAGGCTCTAAATCATAAAAAATATACTTATTTGAGCAATTGGATGTGTAAGAATTATTTGAGTTTGGCATCAGTGGTCCTTGAGCCAAAGGTCCTTGCCTGCTGTGAGGAAGTAAACATAGAGAACAGCACAGGGGGATGTTAGGTACAGTAAGTTCCTCTTCAAAGAGTCAGCTTGTTCAGCTTCTTTGTTCTTTGTTCTCTATTTCAAAGCCTAACTTCCTCGTTCTTTGTACCTCCTTGCCCCTAGTTACATTTATCTATAACCCACATCTGTTCCCTTGGTTACCCACTCTACAACTGCCCTTCCTGCTGAAACTATTCTACCCACCAAAACCACTCCTCCTACCACTGTAACCCACATCCCTGCTCTATTTGAAATAGCCAATTGGGATTAGCTTAGATTGTGCCATCCGGCTCCAGCCAATGGGAACAGGACACAGAAGCAAGGACTAACCTCTTTAGGGATAAAAACCCCTTCCCTCGTTTGTTCGGTGTGTTCTGGCAGTGGCCAGGAGGGCAAGTGGCACCCTTCTGTGGAAGTAAATTTGCCTTGCTGAGAAATTCTTTGTTTGAGTGCTCATTTTCCTTGCGACTCCAAGCTCTTATTTCCAACAGGGAAATCTTTGACCTGTTTATGTAACAAAGGATGAGATAGAAAGACAGAAATGCTCAAGGATGGAAAGAAAAGTGAGTGAGCAAGAGAGATTAAGAGACAGAGAGTCAGAGTGTAACTTGGAAAAGTGGTGAAGAAAATCTCAGGAAAAAAGGAGCACTCCACGACTGCTGAGGGTTCAAGAAGAGGACAGAGAATTGATGCTGTATGTGCCTGAACAAGACAATTGACAACCTTGTTGAGAGCAGTTTCAGTGGAATAGTCAGGGAGAGAAAACCTGGATTGGAGCATGCTAAGGAATGGAAGTAGAGATGTGAGTATCTACAAATCTTCCAAGGAAGACTTTCTAACTGTTTTAAGGTATGTTGTCTGAAGAAAAGCAGAGATGTGGGCTAGTTGCTCTACAACAGTGGCAGACTTGAGAGTGCTTTTAAAACCTTTTTAAGGAGAACCATTACAGCATGCTGGTTTGGTGTTGGGGGCAAAGAGAACATCCTTTCCTTGGTTTCAGGTTTCCCTGTGAAGGGACCTTCACCAGAGGGAACTTTTGGCCTTTTGTAAGCCCTTTGCTCCTCACAATGGAGAATGAGTTAACTCGTCTTAGTGGAAACACATTGGTCCTGTTTCTCAAGCTGATGGAGTTGATCTATTAAAAGTTTGCAACACTAGGATTTCTTTTTCCCTTTTTTTCTTTCAGTGCCAGACTAGGATGAGACAGCCATCCTGGATAAGTGTTCCTACTCTAGACCTAAACTTTTCTTTAGGAAGGCTTTCCTAAGGTCTAAACTGGATCAGGAAGCAAAGAGTGTCAGCAAGCCCTTTGGCCAACAATTTAAAGATTCTCTACAGTGGATTTTCAGTAAGAATGATGAAAATCTTATTTCTATTACCCTATTTCAATCAAGTCTATCTCAATAGATTCCATACTTGGATCCATATAAAATATAAATATGTTGTGTATTGACCTGCTAAAAATGTACAAATTGGATATTGGCAAGAATGATTTGGTAGAATGGAAAGTAAATGTTGGGGATATGGGAAGGAGAATTGTAACTGGAGGAACCAAGACAATGAGTAGGCTGGACCTGCAGTATTGTATGTCCACTGAAACAGAAGAGAAAGTGGAATAGAGGGGTGCAGAGGCAGATAGAGCAGGGAGAGAGACTTGGGTTGAAATCTTGACTCCACAATTTAGCAAGCTAGATGGCTTTGGGAATCTTTCTTAATCTCTCTTTTATTTCTATTTGTAAAATGGGAATAGTAATACTTACCATAAATTTGTTGTGAAGCATACATGAGCTTTCAAATGCAAAATTCTTAGCAAAGGATCTGGTCCCTTATAATTGGTAAATAAATGATGATAATATCTGTAGTAATGTATCCGTAATAATAAGTGTATACATCAGGCAAGATGAAGTATAGAAAAGTGTGTGGGAATATATAGACATCCTTCTGGTGTCTAGCAAAGTTGTTAAATTTGTAGTTTGCACATCCATAAAGCCAGAGGAATTTTCTAGAGATTTCGATATAAATAACTTTTCATGTCTTTCTTCAGTGAAAAAATCTTTTTGGTGTTTGGTGTTCAAAAAGTCTTTTTGGCATTCACTTCGGGCAGGATGAAAACTGTTCTTGCTCTTAGAAACTGAGCAACCTGGAACAGATGATTGGCCTGTTTCATACTTTTAGTTCCAGGAAAATTTAACTTCACTTGAAAATGGAAAAGTTTGTGGAAAAGTCTGAGAGCAGCTTTTTATCACAGAGTGTTTGTAGAGAGTCTGAGAACAGATACATTTTGTTTCTCCTGATTCTCTCCTTATTGATCACGCAGTTTAGACAAAAGTCCTTATCAAAGTTTCTATTAAATTGTAATGATTTTCTTCAACAATATGCAATGAAGAACTGAAGGAGAGCTTCATGAGAGCTCGGTGCCTATTAGTCCACACTCCTTCTCTACTAGTGAGGCATCCCATATCAGAGATATTAATAACATTGTCTGCCAGTTCCTTTTAAGGGAGGACACTACCCTAAGGTAAAAGGTAAAATTTATAAAATACATATATTAAGGCATTCAGTTTCATTGACACACACACACAATCTGGTGTATTTCCTGTACCATGGAGTGTTCCCTTACACCCCTTGGAAGTTAATCCCCTTTACTCCTCCTCCCCAACTACCAGGCAAATACTTTCTGATTCTATCTCCATCTATTTGTTTTGCCTGTGTTTGGATTTGGTGATATGGAATGATGAAGTATATATTCTTTGTATAAGACTTTTTTTTCCACTCCACAGAATGTTTTTGAAATTAATGTTATTTCTGATATCCACAACCTATTCCTTTTTATTGCTTATTGGCTGGCTGAAATATTATTCTTTTGTAAACTGTCTGCCCAAGTCTTTTGTCAATTACCTTATTTATTTTTTACTGGTAATCTTTAGAAGTTATTTACATATTTTGGACACAAATTTTTATCAGATATAAATATTGTGAATATATTTTCAGAGTGAGTGGCTTGTGTATTTATTACTTTGATGGTACATTTTGATAACCACAAATTTAAAATTGTATCAAGTCTGACTTATCAATTATTTATTATAATACTAGAGAATTTGGGTCTAGTGTAAGTAATCTTTGTCTACCCTGAGAGTGAGAAGATATTGTCTGTGTTTTCTTTGAAAAGTTATATGGTTCTAACTTTCAACATTATGCCTACGATACAACTCTATTCAGCTTTATGAATGGAACGAGGTATGGTTCAAGGTATATATAGATATTTAAATCAGGTTTATTATGGTATAGTTTACATGAAATAAAATTCATCATTTTGAAGTATACTTGATAAGTTTTGACAAAAGGGTACAATTCTGTAACTTCTACCACAATTGAGGTACAGAACATATTTATCAACTCAAAGTTTTCTAGTGCTCCTTTTCAATCAATTGCTTTTATTTCAAATGCTGATGTGTCTCTGTCCCTTTAGTTTTGCTCTTTCTACAATGTCATATAAATGAAATCATACAACATATAGTCTTTTCTGTCTGATTTCTTTCATGTACCACAATGCATTTGACATTCCTTCATACCATTGCATGGATCAGCAGTTCATTCTTTTTATTGCTGAGTAGAATTTGAATGCATGGGTTTACCACAATTTTTTTTATTCATTCACCAATTGATGGATATTTGGGTTGCTTTTAATTTTTGCCTATTGTGAATGAGCTTCTATGAACATTTGTGTGTGGGTCTTTTGTGGATTTATGTTTCCATTTCTCTACATGAATCATATGGAAATTGTATGTTACATTAATAAGAAACTGGCCAGCTGTTTTCCAAAAGTGACTGCATCATTTTGCCTTTCTATCAGCAATATATGAGAGTTACTCACATCATCCCTGATACTTGGTATTTCTTAGTCTTTTTAAATGTTAGCCATTCTAGTAGGTATGCAGTGATATCTCACTGTGGCTGTAATTTGCATTCTAATAATGAGTATCTTTTTATGTATTTATTGGCCATTTGTATAGCTCCTTCAGTGAAATCTCTGTACAAATATTATTTTTAAATTCTACTTGGATTGTCATCTTATTATTGAGTTAGAAGAATTCTTTACATAATTTGGATGTGTGTTTTATCAGTTATGTATTTTGTAAATATTTTTGCCCAATCTCTGTGCGTGTATTTTTTATTATGAATGAGTGTTGAAGTTTGTCAAATCCCTTTTTAGTGCATTAAATGGAATAATCATGTGCTTTTTCCTTTCTATCCTGCTGAAATGGTAACTCACATTGTTTGATTTTTGAATATTGAACAAACTTTGCATTCTTGGGATAAGCATTATCACTTGATAAAATAATATTTGCATACATTGCTGGATTCTATTTGCTAGAATTTTGTTGAAGATTTTACATCTACGTTCATGAAGGCTACTGGCCTATAGTTTAATTTTCTTATAATGTCTTTTTCTGGTTTCAGTATCAGTGTGATGCTACCTTCATAAAATAATTTAAGTACTATTTACTTCCCTTCTATTTTCTGGAAGATTTTGTGTAGGATCAGTATTATTTCTTCCTTAAATGTTTGGTAGAATTTATCAATGAAGTCATCTTGTCAGGAGTTTTCTTTGAGAGAAGGTTTTTAACTACAAACTAAATTTAATAATACGGACTGTTCCGGTTACCTATTTCTTCACATGTGAGCTTTAGTACTTTGTGTCTTTCAAAAAAATGTATTCTTTTCATCTAAGCTACAGAATACATTGACATAAAGTTGATTGTAGGATTCCTTTGTTATCTTTTAATGTCCATAGAATCTAAAATGGGATATCTTTCTTCCAGGTAGGGTAATTTGAGTCCTCTCTTTTTTCCTTTCTGGCTAGAGGTTTATAATTTTATTGATCACATCAGTGAATCAGTTTTTAATGTCATTTATTTCCTCTAGTGCTTCTTTCACTTTTCCATTTCATTGATTTCTACTCTTTGTCATTCTTCTTTTTCTGCTTATTTTGGGATTAATTTTTCTAGTTTCTTAAGACAATAGCTTAAATTAAAGGTTGACAAATTACAGCCTGTGGCATATTTCTATCTAATCTCTTAGCTAAGAATGAATTCTATATTTTAAACTGTTGTAAAATTATAAAAAGTAAAGCCAAGTAATATTCAATAATATTCAGTAGAGATCATAGTGGTCCACAAAGCTTAAAATATTTACTGTCTGGGCTGGTCTCGGTGGCTCATGCCTGTAATCACAGTACTTTGGGAGGCCAAGGAGGGCAGATCACCCGAGGTCAGGAGTTCGAGATCAGCCTGGCCAACATGGTGAAACCCTGTCTCTACTAAAAATACAAAAATTAGCTGGGTGTGGTGGTGCGTGCCTGTAATCCCAGCTACTTGGGAGGCTGAGGTGAGAGAATCGCTTGAAACCAGGAGGCAGAGGTTGCAGTGAGCAGAGATCATACCACTGCACTCCAGCCTGGGTGACAGAGCAAGACTCTGTCTCAAACAAACAAACAAAACAATTTACCATCTCTTCACTCATTTGTAAACATTTATTAATTGCTGGCTTAGATCATTGATTTATGATGTTTTGTCTTGTTTAATATAAGCATTTAAAACTACAACTTTCCCATGAATCACTGTTTGAACAGCATCTCACAACTTTGTTATGTTGTGGGTTTTTTCCCCATTCAGACAAAACTTCAATTTCTTTTGTGATTTCTTCTTTGCTCCAGGGGTTATTAAGTGTTGCCTAATTTCCAAATGTTTACATAGATATTCCCTCCACCCCTTTTTCTCATTACTGATTTTTAGATGAACTCTGTTGTGGTCAAAAAGCATATTTTATATTATTTCAGTCCTTTTAAGTGTATTGAAAGTTATTTAAGATCCAAAATAAATGTTGTCTGGGTAGATATTTTATTTACACTTGAAACTAATTTGTATTCTTCTGTCTTCAGGTGTTTTATGTATGTTAATTATAGAGGTTCTTTTTTATACAGATATTCTGTTTTTCTTTTAAAAAAAAACTTTGTTGAAATATATCCTTTTTTTCCATCTAGTTGACAAAGTGCCTTGGCCAAAATTCAATACACTCAATATCTGCGAGTTAAATTTTGAACTCTTTAATCTGTTTTTTGTATAAGTTTTCTGTCTTTACATTAGTCTCATGCTCTTTTTATTACTATAGCAAGCACTGATAACAGGTGGTGTGTATTCTAGTATTACTTCAAAAATATTTTTTGACTATTCCAGATCCTTTGAAACTCCATCTTAATTTAGAAATGCCTATCTCTTTTTTCAGAAGTATCTGCTTGAAATTTGTTTAGAATTACATTAAATCTGTAGATCAATTCTGGAAGGACAAATATTTTTTAACAATATTGAATCTTTCAATCCATGAATATAGTATATTTAGGCTTTCTGTAATTTCTCTCAAAGATGTTTTATTGTTTTTAATGTAAGAGTTTTACATAACTTTTTAAGGGATTTATTTCTAGGCACTTGACAGGTTTTGATACTCTTGTAAATGGATTTTTAAAAATTATTTTCCAATTATTTATTGCTAGTATATAGAAGTGCTACTTATTTTTTAATATATTGACTTTTTAGCATGTATTTTTGCTAAATTCACTTGCTAATTCTAGTATTTTTTTACATTGTAGATATCATAGGGTTTCTACATACGCAATCAGAATTTTAGTTATTCTTTACCAATTTGTATAACTTTATTTCTTATTCTTTCTTTATGAAGTGGCTAGAAGGCTAGAAGTTCCAGTACAATATTAGATTAACATATGAAGAAGCAGTGAAAGGGGACATCCTTGTCTTGTTCTAAATCTTAGAGGGAAAGCATTCAATATTTCACCAATATGGAGGAGGTTACTAAAGGCTTTTTTTCTTTAAGAAATCAAATATCAGTTTTAGAAAATTCTCTTTATTTCTAGTATACTGAGAGTTTTATCACAAATAAATTATAATTTTTATCAAATACATTTCTGCATTTATTAAGATTATCTTTTTTCTATTATTCTGTGTATGTAGTAATTGATTGATTTGGATATTAAACCAACCTTGCATTTTTTAATTAGATTCCACTTACTCATTATAGGTCCATTTTTAATATATTGCCAGATTTGGTTTACTGATGTTTTCTTAAGGGTTTTTTGTGTCTATGTTCATGATGAATATTGACCTGTAATTTTCTTATAATGCCTGTACATTTTAAAAGTTAGGATTTCACTAGCCTCATAAAAAGTATAATTGGAATTATTTGTTCCTTTTCTGTCTACTGAAAGCATATATGTATTAGTCATATTATTTCTTCCTTAAATGTTTAACTGACTTCACCAGTGAAACCATTTAGTCTTGAAACTGTTATTTTGTTTTTATTTTGTTTGTCTTTGATGGAAAAGCTTTTCATAATGAATTTAATTTTTTTACTAGATATATGAAAAATCAGATTTTTTGTTTATTCTTTTGCCTGCTTTATGTTTTAAGAAATTGAGCATATCATCAAAATTCTTGAATTTATTTACATAAAATTGTTCATACTATCATTTATTACATTTTAAGTATCTTTAGGATCTGTAATATTTTTTCCTCCTTGATATTGGTAAATTGTTTCTTTTTTGATCAATCTTACTAGGGGTTTATCAGCTTTACTCATTGTCTCAAAGCACACTTTTTTGGCTTGTTGATTTTGTCTGTTGTCTCTTTCCTACCTCATTAATTTCAGTTTTTGTCTTTATTATTTTCTTTCTGCTATGTATGTTTGCTTTTTTGTGCACTCCTGTTTCTAGTTACTTAAAGTGAGATCTTAGGTTATGTATGTATTTGAGAAGTTTCTTCTTATCAAATATAAGCATTTAAAATTGCAAATTTCCCTTTAAATAATGATTGATCTATATCCCATAGATTTTTATATATGGTCTTTTTAATAATACCTAATATAAAATCTTTTGTAATTACTCTAGTTTGACCCATGGGTTTTTCTGTTGTTTTGTTTTGATTTTTTTTTCTTGTTGGTATATTTGCTTTTTAGAAGTGAGTTCAAATACTAAGATATTTTCTAGATGTATAACTCATTAATTTGTAGTTTAGTTTCATTGTAATCAGAGTCACACGTTGTATATGATTTCATTTCATTTCTTTTTGATTCACTGAGGTTTATTATATTGCCCAGTATGTGATCCATCTTGGTAAATGTCCATGCATATTTGAAAATGATGTGTATTCTGCTATTGTTGGGTGAGATTTTCTATAAATGTCAAATGGATCAGGTTGACTATTTGTGTTGTTTAAATTTTCTAAAGCTTTAATGATTTTTGTCTACTTGTTTTGTCAATTACTGAGAAATATTTGCTAAAATCTCCAGTCATGATTGGAATTTGTCTGTCTCTTTCTCCCCTCTCACAAGTTTTGTTTCACATATTTTAAAGTTGTAATATGAGATTACTATATACTTCAGTTTACAATATTTGATAAATTGATTCTTTTGTCATCATGATATGTATGTCTTCATTTGGTAATATTCTTTTTCTTGACATATAATTTATTTGACATTGGCATGGTCATATCAGCTTTCTTATGTTGAGAGTTGCATGTTACATCTTTTCCTATATTTTCACGTGTGGCTTATTTGTATCTTTATTTTTAAAGTAGTTTTATGAAAAGAGCATATTCTGAGGTCTAATTTTCTAATTCAGTTTGACAATTCTTGCCTTTTAATTAGAATGTTTGACTCATTACATTTAAAATCATTAATGATATTAATAAATTTAATCTTAAGCTCTGAGTAGTTTTCCCTTTTATCATATATGTTTTCTTTTTCTTTTTCTTCTTTCTAACCTATTATTTAATGAACTGAAGGTTTTTTCAAAGTTTTTGGTTTGTTTTTAGTATTCTATTTTATCATTTCTATTGGCTCTTTAACTATATCCCAATATTTTTTAAGTTGATATGCTAGACACTAAAATATGAATATCTAAATATCTAAATTGATTAAGATACCCTTGGCTATATTAATGTATTATTCTACTTCATAAACAATATTACAAATTCATACCAGTTGAATTCAGTTTACTCAACACAATCTTTGTGCCCTTGTCATATATTTTACTTTGACATCTGCTATGAACAGTGTAATACATTTTCATTATTTTGCTTGAAGTAGTCAACAGATTTTTTTATTACCCATATATTTGTTTTTTCTATCTGTATGTCTTGTCCTCCAAAGAGTCAATGTTTTAATATTTACCTTCAGCCTGATACAAATTCCTGTATATTTGTCTATCTAAATATTTTTATATTGTCTTCAAATTTTAAAGAAGAATTATGATACATATAGAGTTAAAGGTTAACAAGGTTTTTTCTTTTATCATGCTTGATCTTATTCTCAAAATATTTGAAGTTAGTGATGAACTGAATCTAAGTAGAATTGCAAGAAAATTCAGACTCAGATCAATTACAGATTAGAGTGACTCAACCATCAACCCTAACAATCAGACAGAAGATATGTAGAGGTTAAAAAAAAGACAAAGAAAAAAACAACAAACAAACAAACAAAAATGTGGGAAAATGAATAAAGCCTCCAAGCTCCATGAGGAGGTGTCAAATGGTCTAACATACATGTAAGTGGAACCCCAGATGTCCTTTAGAAGAGAGTTTAAGAATGAATGAGGATTCATCCTGTCTGTGACTCCTTGGGCTTCTAATCCACTGTTGGATCCATTATCAACTTTCTGTCTCTGAAGACCAAAGAAAGCAAATAAAATAGCAGTAGGTACAAGCAAAAAATATTTGTAACAGAAACTTATTGTTCTGTCTTGCAACACAAGGTGTGAGACATTCCCATAAGTTATTACTTGAACGCTTTGGATGTATGGCTCTAGAATCTAGCCATGCCACATTAGGTAGAGGGCAAGGAAGATAATATCTAAAGACACATGTAGCATTTATCTGAGTTACCTGGAAATACTATACAGTCTTTCATGAAGACAGTGTAGTTAGCATAGTTGAAAAAAATGTGGAGACACAATGTTTCTGGTAATAGAAGGCCTAGTAATTATGCATAACTTTGTTATTGAGCAAATTTCAATACAATAGCAACTAATAAGAATCATCCCCTGCTTAGGTAGGCATAGACTTTGCCCTTCTGGCTGTCTTCAGATATCTATTTTCAAACTTCCAGGTATATTTTTTTTCAAACTATAGATACAGTAAGAATCCCTTGAGCATTATTCTCTTGCAATAAAACAGTTTGTAACTAAAGATAATTTCCCATAACCTTCCTTTGAACATTGTTATCAAACTTGACAGTAATTCCTACTCCTATAACTTCTAGGGAAATTCTTTAAAACAATTATGATTTCGATTTGTGTTACTCTGATAATAGTGATGTTGAACATTTTTTCATATGGTCGTTGGCTGCTGCTTTGTACCCCAAACATCAGTGCAACACAGTATACTCATGTAACAAATCTGCACGTGTACCCATGAATCTAAAAGTTGAAATTATTTTTTTAAATGCTGAACAGTTCCCCATCCCCTAGTTTAATAAAGAATTTAGAGTAAAACAATTGGAAACTATCATAATGTCATGATTATAAATAGATGCATAAGTTAAGTAGAAATGGATGTGATTTTGAAGATGAACAAACAATTTTTAAAGTAACCCCAAAACTTGAGGGTTAAGTTCATACAGTTTTGACTTTTCATGATCACCCACTACCATCTTATTTTTTTATTTTCATATTCCCAGGCAATATTATTTCTGCAGAGGCAACATTATGTGAAGAATCTTATCTTGTAAAATAAGATTCTTCTAAACATTTTATCTGAATGAGCTTATAAAAAGGGTTATTGAAGAAGAATTTAAAGACAGCCAAGTATCAATAATCTGGAATCGTGAGATATTTAGGCTCACTTGGGAGTATATTTGATGCTAACAGCTTAATCTGTGACTACTCAATGTCTCAGCTCAGTTTCCTTTTTTCCGTATCTAGAGTGGTGAAAGTCTTTACTCAAGTAGGTTTTTAAGGCAAAATGTAGCATATTTGCTTGATCCGATTAATATTTAAATTGGAATTCCAGAAAGACATTTTCCAAAATGGCTATGTAAAAGAGGTATGAGGTCTAATAGTTACCTTTATAAGTGAATTCCTGGAGCTTCAGAAACCTGAGTGTCTTTGCTACACTCAGTTCCATCATTCCTCTGCTGATAACATACAAGAAGAGAGATAAAAAGGCATTTTTAATATAATCCATTTGGATGTTACCATATAAAAGATAAATTTTATGACAACTATGAGGCTTCAGGCCAGAATCCCTATTGGGACTTATATACTGCTTCCCAGCTGCAGAACTCAAACTGGACATAAACATGGGTTTCTGAATTAAGGGTCTGGAGAGCTACAGGCTCAGAACTACACAGTCCTCTTTGGCCTTGGTGTCACTGTTTTACCATGAAGTGAGGGAGGTATTTCTGCAGCGTAGGGCTTTCTGAGGCTACCTTATGCTTCAAATGAAAATGCTGGTTTGTTGATGCTATGTCAAATCATATCTGCAGAATCCTGGGCTCAGAACTTGCCAGCAGCAAATCAATGCCACCCTGCTTAGGGAGAACCTCCTCATGGTATAAGATACTTTCCTTTTTTCTTCCATAATGAATAGAATAAGCAAAATATGTCTTTACCTTGACTAGAAAATCCAAACGTAATTAGCAACCATGTTTATCTTTACATCATTTAAAGCATCATTGATATCAGTGAATTTTTCATAAATATGAGTTCTGGTGCTGTTGAAACATTTTTCATGATAATTAGCAGCCTTAGCAAAAAAGAGACTTAGACGGTCTTTAGGAGTAATCCTGCATTTACTGTAACTGTGAGGAATGAGAAATCTGTTCAAATGATATTGCTAGAAGATTTCTAAGTAAAAGCCTTAGGGAAGTTTATATAACTAAATATTAATATCTGAAAATTGAGTTTTCCCTTTACTGAAAAAGAAAACTTTTCATACTCAAAAATATTTTGAAAAAAGTCCACTTCACTGAAAAGTGGTGACACAATTATTGAAATAATATATACCTCCTTTCTAAATCGATACAAATAATATCAACTTCCTTTATAAATTAGTACAAATGTAAACAAAGATCTCTTTTCTTTGTTTACCCATGGATTTTGAAACTGTTAATATTAACCTAATAGAGTGCTTATGTTTAGTAACTATGACTCAGTAAAGATATGTAAATATAGTTTATTCAAATAGTTAACTTATTTAGAACTAATTTGATTATAAATTTTCCTTGAACAGTCATTCCAGTTGTGTTTTAAATAATCTGTTTCATTAAAGATATTTTCAAGTTTCCTATAGTTATTCAAGACACAGACTTTAAGGTCATTATACAAATTATTTCTAGTTAATGCAAGTTTTTATAAATGTTTTCCCATGAAAGGGTTTCTAAATAACTGCAAAAACCTAGATTGTAAAAAAGACCCACAAAAGAAAAAGGTAGGTGTGGGGGTGGTGGGAGGAGTTCTTATCAGAGTGAAGAGCATTGGATCAAAAGATCCGGGCTTGGGGCAAGCATCTTGGCAGGCTACTCTGCTCACTCGCCTCTGGATGGATTCTGGTTTCTCCATTTACCTCTTAGGTATGATACCAAGAACTGCATGAAGCACACCTTTGAGGGCATACAGGTCCTGTGAATCTTGAGAGGCAGCATCACACAGTGTTAGAGGGTTAATTTCATTCATGAAATTGAAATCTACCAGTTCCAGTACTCAACCCACAAACAACCCGTGGGTCCCCAAATGTCTCCCTTACACTACATTTATTTCTTTATTTGGTTAGATCCTTGAAGTAAAGCAAAGACTCATCACAAATGAATACTTTGTGAACTGTCGTTGTTGTTGTGGTGGTGGTGGTTGTAATCAACACAATCTTCTGGAGAGAGGAATTGCCTGAATCAGAAACAAACTCTCCTGATTTTGAGTAAGAGTTTACAAGAATTTGTATTGCTTCCTTTAGTTATCTTTACGTAGATAATAATGAGCTTATCATTGGAATGTTTGTTGTTTGCCTTTTTATTTAAAAGCACCTCAAGAATCTTACTTTGGAGAAAGAAGATAAAAACCCATTAAAATTCTCACACGATGCATCTGCTCCACTTGGGCTTGTACTTCAGGGCCTTTGCACTTCCTCTCCCTCTTCCTGGAAGTGTTGATCCAGGTATCCCCATGGGTGCTCCCTGCATGTCTTAAAATCTTTATTCAAATCTCATCTCATTACTCAGGCACTCCCTGATGACATTCTAAAGAGTACCCCATCTGTCTTTTTCCTTCCACGCTGCTTTGTTTTGCTCTAAAGCACTTGCCCCTCTCTTATATTATGTTATGCATCTGTTTCTGTGTGGTAAGAGTCTATTTCTGTCATTGAAATTGAAGTTACATGAAGTATGAGACTTCTTTATTTTTCATTTGTTGAATTAATAACTGATGGGAAAAGCACCACATATATTTGTACTTATATACAAGAAATTTAAAGTTTTGGATTGTATAATTCCATTTAGGAATAACATAAAGTATACTTTTAAGTAACAGGTTGATTTTCTCAAACAGTGGCCATTCAGGCGCCTTCTTTTTAAAACTGCATGTTCTGAGGCTCAAGTGCAATGAAAATGATCCAATTTATTGCTCTCCATAGTCAAAACTGTGCCTGTGCCTTCCAGCCTTCCTTCCTGTGCCCGCTTCTTCCCACACTTGCTGCTGCTCTCTTTCCACTGCACCCACACCGAGGGGTTTTCATCGGACCCTTAGCCCTGCCGTGTTTTTTTTTCTTCTTCTTTTTTGAGACGGAGTCTTGCTCTGTCACCCAGGCTGGAGAGCAGTGGCGTGATCTCGGCTCACTGCAACCTCCGCCTCCCAGGTTCAAGCGATTCTCCTGCCTCAGCCTCCCAAGTAGCTGGGACTACAGGCACGTGCCACCACACCCAGCTACTTTTTTGTATTTTTAGTAGAGATGGGGTTTCACTGCGTTAGCCAGGATGACCTATTAGCAGATCTCCTGACCTTGTGATCTGCCTGCCTTGGCCTCCCAAAGTGCTGGGATTACAGACGTAATCCTGGCCTAGCCCTGCCTTTTAATTTACTCGAGTCTGCTTTTGGGATTCATCCATGATGTCACGTGTATCAGCAGTTTGTTCCCCATTTTTGAGATTCATTCACCATGTGACATGTATCTACTGATATAGCAGAGTAGTGTTCTATTGTATGGATATGTAATATCTTTTTCTGCATTTACCTGTAGATAGAACTTTGAAATGTTCCCAATTTGGGGCTACTATGGAGAGAGTTATAATGGACCTTTACACATGAATTTTTATGTGGGCATATGTTTATTTCTTTTAAGTAAATACTTAGGAGTGGGACTGCTGGTTAATATGGCAAGTGTGTGTTTAAACACTTTCAGTGTTTTCGAAGTGGCTATACCTTTTGACATTCCCATCTGCAATGGCTGAGAGTTTCTATCACTTCAGGCTTGGTATTGTGGTATCACATTTTGGTTTTAATTTTGATTTCTCTGACAACTAATAATGTTGAGCATTGCTTTTAATTTTCAAAAGTTATGGTATTAAATACACAAAGTAAAATTCACTTTTTGATGCACATTTCTATGAATTTTGATAGATGCATAGGGTCATGTAACCACTGCCACAATTAAAGTACAGAATGGTTCCATCTCCCCCTCATGCACACATTTCTCTCATGCTGTCCCTTCATAATCAAATCCTCTCCTACATTTACAGTTAATGTAA
This sequence comes from Homo sapiens, assembly GCF_000001405.40. Classification (NCBI taxonomy): domain Eukaryota; kingdom Metazoa; phylum Chordata; class Mammalia; order Primates; family Hominidae; genus Homo; species Homo sapiens. The sequence continues at coordinate 53,192,001 of NC_000008.11, forward strand.
TTATGAATACTGTTGGGCTACATAAACCATCTTTTACTTGTTTTCTATTTTTTCCTTGTGCTCTTTGTTATTTTTCCTTTTTTATCCTTTTATGGACTAATTTAGTATTATCTAATATTCAATTTTATCTCCATGATTGACCTATTAGTTTTATATCTTCACTGTATTTTTTTAGTGGCTGTTCTGGGATTTACAACATGTGTCTTTAATTTATCACAGTCTACTTTCAACTAATGTCAGAATCATTCACATATAAATTAAGAACATCCTAAGAGGAGATTTACATTTCTTTCCTCCCATTCTCTTACCTGTATTTCCATGTATTTTATTTCTAAATGTTTTAAATCCCACAACACATTAATACTTTTTCAAATAGTAAACTGTCTTTAAAATTTTAAATTATTGAGGTATAATTTGCAAAACATTCGATCTTCTTTTAAAGAGACGAAAATACATATAGGACAATATTTTCTATTTACCCACATACACACCATTTCCAGTGTTCTTCATTCCTTTGCACAGATCTTAATCTCCATTTGGTATCATTTTTTTTTCTTTCTGAAGAACTTTCTCGGCTGTTGTAAAACATTCCTTGGCTTTTATTTGCCTCAAATGTCTTTATTACACCCTCAGATTTTTTAAGAAAAATATTATTAGAAATGAATGTGGGATTAACAGTATGTTTTTCTTTACACTTACTCAGTTTGAGTTTTCTTGCATCTGTGAATTTACAGTTTTCCTCATGTTTGAAAAGTTTTCAACAATTATTTCTTCAGGACCTTTTTCTGTCTCCCTTCCTCCCTCTCACCTCTTCTTCTGAGACTTTAATTACATGTATTTGAGGCTGCCCAATACTTGCCCAAAGGTCACTGAGACTTTTTCATTCCTTTCTAGTCTTTTTTCTTCTGTGCATAATGTTGGAAAGTTTCTATTGCTATGTTCTCAAATTCACTGATTTTTTTCTTCCACAATGTCAAATCTGTTAATCTTATCCAGTAAATATTTTACTTTATACATTTAGTTTTTCGTCTTTAGATGTTTCATTTTCAAATATCCTTAATATGGTGATGTTTTACTGCAAATCTTGGAGCAAATTTATAGGATTTGTAGTTGCTGTTCTGAAGTTATTCCTTGACACCTCTATTGTTTCCGTCATTCCTTACTCATTTTCCTACTGCTTGTGGATTATAATTTGCTTATTATTTGCATGTGAAGTATTTTTTGATTGAGTGGGAAACATTGCATACATCCCATTATTAAATGTTTAGATTTTGTTGTTTTACTTTTAAAATGTAGTTTTCTTTTGGAGAGGCAATTAAGTTTCCTCTGCATTATATTGTTACTTTTGGAAGATTATTTTTAAACTGTGTTAGTGTAGTTTTAGAATATCCTTATGTCTACAGCTAATTTAGCCCTAGTACTAAGATATGACCCTTCTAGTAGTTCCACTGATCTTCCCAGGTTTTCAGCAAGCTCTTTTTACTCTGGCTGGACAGAATTCAAATGCCTCCCCATTCCATGTGAACTTTGGGATTGTTTTTCATATTGCCACCAGGAGTTAGTTGTTCTTTGAGTGGACTTGCAGTTTTACTCCTCACATGCATAGATTAATACTCCACTGAAGGCTCAAGGGGACACCTTTGCACATTTCCGGACCTCTTTTTCTGTGTTGCTCCTTCTTGTCTGGTTATTTGGCCTGATTATTTCAGGCACATTCACCTCCGTGAACTCCCACCTCTGTCTCCTCTCTTCACACCAGCGAGATGGCTGGTCTCAGTCATTCTAGCAGGAGTAGGAGGTGAATGTTAGGGATAATTGAAAGTTAGAATCAGCATATGTCCATGGATTAGATGTAGTGTGTGAGAGAAGAAGAGACAAGTATGTCATCTACATTTCTGTGCTGAGAAACTGGGAGGATAGAGGTATCCTTAATTGAAATAGGAGTTTGTGGAAGAAAAAAGGTTTCTAAAGAAAGTGCGTTTAGGATATGTTAATTATGAGGTATCTATGAACTAGTCTAAGGAGATATTGAGTAGGCAGTTAGATATATATTCTCTGGAGTTCGGTAGAGAGATCTGAGCTGAGATATAATTGGGACTATCGGTCTATACGGTACTAATAAAGTACTGTATGGTGCTCTAGGTGATTACTGGGAGGACAATGGTAGATAGAAAAAGGAGGCGGTCCAGTGGCTGAGCTCAGGGCACTCTACGGGAACAGGGAATCCAGCCCTGGGGGTGCAGCTGTGGTGAAGGCCAGTGGGTCTGTGTGGGTGAGGTGGAGCCTAGGGCTGCAGCCAGGGTCCAGCTACAGCTGACAGGCCCTTCAGGATGATAGATTTGAGGCACTTTTCTCTCTTCTGTGTACTTGATAGTCTGGGCGGTGAAGACATGACTGACAGGGTCACACCCTTGCTCCTCTGCCTGCGGAATCAAAGACTCCATCTGGGGCTTGTGTGTCATCTGAAAGCTACACGCTCAGATCTGGCAACGGAGAGGGAGCAGGGCTGAAGAAGGAAGAGTAGCGTCCGGGCGCAGTGCACAGCCCAGAGCACAGAGCTCCCGCAAGAGAGTGAGCCCCATATTGTTGGTGGAATTTTCCAGTATTCCAGTTAAGTCCCTTGTTTCATTGAGTGTTTTCTCCTGTGCCTCAGTCAGTAAGAGCACAAATTACTGGAGATCCTTCTTTACAGAGACATGTTTGGTGGCAGCTGGAGTTCTCCCCACACCTATTTTCCATATTCTCTGACTGTGCCCTCTGATTACACTTAGCAAAACTGTCCAGGCCGTCTGATTTCAAGACATAGCTGACCTGCCATTTGGGGCGTCGGCAGGGAAGCCTCATCCACTCCTGAGTGTTGGCAAAATGACCGTGCCCAGCCTCTCCCACCTTTAGCTGTGGCTCTTGACCCCCCTCCACAAGGTGTGGGCCAGTCTCGAGCCCACGCGTCCACATCATTGGTCAGCTGGTCAGTCTCCTGCGTGTGTCTCTTCTCTACTCATTAAACTGCTTCTAGTAACCCTGGTGCAATAAAGAAAGTGGAATGCGCCAGCAGTTGTCAAGCATTGGAAAGGAATCAGCCTCACTACTTTGGATTTGGTTCACCCTTAGCTTTTCTCACAGCTACACCGTCCTCAAGCATCATCAGTAGCTGCTGCCTCTTCTCTCTCCTCTCTCCTTAGTTCATTATCAGCACCAATAAGCAAAGATGCTGGCAAAGTGCACAGTTTGCACCTCTTCTCCTTGGTGGTCTTAAGCCACAGACCCTTTTACACAACAGTCTCCATGCTGTCTGCCCTGCACAGCTCAACCTCTGCAGAGAAGTTCCCTTTACCACCTCCACCTCCTGCCTCACCGAGGGCTGCTGCAGACCACTGGGTCACCTGCCATCCAAAGGGGCTGGGTGGGATTGTACCAGCTGGACACTCCACCTACTCCCCACCACCTGCAAATACACAAGGAATGCAGGACCCACTCTGCCAAGGCTGTCACATCCCTTCTCTCTGAAGAACTGGAAGTTTATTTTCTGGTGCATGGAAGACAGAATCTCCCTGACACTATGTGGATTGTAAACACTCCCATGGTCTGAAAGGACCACAGGTTTTTCTGCAGCTCCTTTCTAGCCCTTGCCAGTCCCTGAGCCTGGGCTGATCTGGATACTTTGTCTTTCCACTTTGTCTTTCTCCCTGTGCTGTTGGGCCTTCTACCTCCTTGGAGGTGTGAATTGCATCACCCTTGCAGTTTGTGCTATCTTTCTGTGAAGTACATACATTGGATGTGGGACAGTAATGACAGCTGTCACTGTCTTGTTCCTTCTGACTCAAGTTAAGTTTCGGTCTGTCTTGCTCCACTGCAAAAAAAAGACAAAACAAAAGCAAAAGTGAACCTGAAGAGAAAGGAAAGGAGGGAAGACCTCATAGCCAGATCTGCTGGGTTTTGTGGAGTGATTTTCTTTCTCCTCCTTTAAGGGGCAAATGCTTTTTCCACTGGTACATTTGAAGTCCTCCAACTATGGAGAGGTACCAGCTCAGGACAGGTGGCATCCCAACACAGAGTGTTCAGACAGCCTGACCTTTTCAACTCTGGAGGGAAGAGATTTACTGTTGGCCACTCCTGGGTCTTTCTGGTATTTCAAAGGAATATAAGGTTCTGTGAATAGGAAATGAAGAGGTAAATATGTTAAACCCATTAAATCCATGATTGGTCGATATACTTCTGTCATTTTAAGAGACTAAATATGGAAGGACGGCAGATGTGAAAACCATCGTACAATTTTAAAATGTCACAATTAAAAATGAACTGGCCCTTGCCCCCTAAAAAAGTGAATCTGTCATTAAGTAGCAATATAACCTTTGATAATTCACTTTACTTGTGTATCTCAGGTGCTTTGTGTGTAAAATGAAGCAGGTAGACTGATAATATCTAATACCTCTTTTAGTTTGAAATCCTCTTCTTTCTTTCCCTCCTCTACAGGCAGACAGAAAACTTAAATTGTAGGGCATTCCAAGGTCTTCCAATAATATTCAACAAAGGTAACTTAAATAAGTAAAAATATTATAAAAACAGAAGTCATTGGCCATGAGATTTCAAGGTCTACTTCGTTACTTGCTAGAAGAAAATTAAAGCAAAAAATAAAGAAGGAAAGATCAAGGCTAAAAGTAGAAAAAATGTAGGTGGCAGGAAATATAATTGCATAGAAGTTTGAGAAATAGGCAGACTAAGTAATGAATTTAATATCAAAATGTCGAAGAGTCTAAAAGGGATAATTGAAGGTCAAGAGTGAGCCAGAAAACCTTTGACTGAAAAAGCCAAAAATATACAGGATAGAAAGTAATACAGAAGATATAAATCTATTAAAATATTTATGTAAACAAATGAAAGCTATAAAACTTGTGGCAACAGAAGTAAAAAGTAGGGGAAATAATTAGCATTTATAGAATACTATTACATGTCAGGCATTGGGTTAGCTGGTTTACCTAATCAAAGCAATTTATGAGTTCACTGGCAAATTAAAAACAAGAAACTAGGGCCACCATGAATAATTATTGTTTATGATGCATAAGCTTTGAGGATGCAAAGAAGTCTTGATCGGCGTTTGTGAAGTCAGTAGGACTTGAGCATGGGCCTGTTATCTGTATTTTCAATGTTTCTCATGCATGGTCAGGCTTGAAAATCACTGGTCTAGTGTGCATCCTTTGAGGCGGGATGTTTGCATTCAACTGGTGAAAGCAATGCACTGCTATAACTGCAGAAGACAGCAGAGGGCTATGGAGATGAGGGGAGACTCCCATGTAACTGAGCCAGAAAGCTGGGTGGGTGGGGCTTAGACAAATAGAAAGGAGAGGGGAAGGAAAGCAGTTTTGAGGTTGGGGCAGGCCTGGCTTCTCAGGGAGTCAAAGTTAGTTGGTTTGGCTGAAAAAGAGGGCATAGATAACATGGATTTTAATTAGAGTAAGACTAGAAAGGAAGTTGATGTCATAATTGACCAGTCTTAGCCACTGGTCAGGGTGGTATCTGAATTGGCAAAGCCCAGATGGAGAGTGAAAGCATTCGCAAGAAAATTGTTGTAAGCACAAATTGAAATATACGAAAAGCTCCATCCAGGTTTATATCTGATATGGGTTGGCTGTGTCCCCACCCAAATCTCACCTTAAATTGTAATTATCCCCATGTGTCAAGGGTGGGGTCAAGTGGAGATAATTGAATCATGGGGGGCAGTTTTCCCCATACTGTTCTCGTGGTAATGAATAAGTCTCATGAGATCTGATGGTTTTATAAATGGGAGTTCCCCTGCACAAACTCTCATGCCTGCCACCATGTAAGATGTGCCTTTACTTCTCCTTTGCCTTCTGCCATGATTGTGAGGCCTCCCCAGCCATGTGGAACTGTGAGTCCATTAAACCTCTTTCCTTTATAAATTACCCAGTCTTGAGTGTGTCTTTATTAGCAGCATGAGAATATACTAATACAATATTTAAGACTCCATAAAGAATAAGAGCAGGTATGTCAGGCAGGGAACAGTATTGAGTTCTAACAGCAGCTGGGCACTACCTGGAAATACTTAGGTATGCATGTGTTCAGGGGGCAGGAAATGGAAATAACCAGAACCAAGCAGGTCAACAGGGTTCCAGGTAAGGGGGTCCCAGATAAGGGTCTTTGGGTTCCAAATTCTGTGGCTCTCACACAGCTCCCAGGAACTAGAGTATGCATGGGGTAGCAAGTCAGAGGGCCTCACCAACTAAATGGAAAGGCACAGTGAGGTCCCAGGGGAAAGCTGAAGTCCAGAAGGTCAACGGGGTTCACACAGAGAAGCCCACCCCAGGACCCCAGGTTCTGGGCCACTCTGGCATGGAAGTGATTCAGGACAGGCAAGCCCCCAAATTGGGGCTTTCCCAGGAACGATTCTTGCATCACCCAGGAAAGAATTCGAGGGCCAGCCAGTGGTGTTAAATAGCAACACTTATTGATGCGCCAGTGTACAACAGCAGCAGACATACTGCTCCTTGCCCAGCAGGGCTACTTCATAGGTAGTGTGCCCAGAGTAGCAGCTCAGAGGAGCTTTTGCAGTCATATTTATACCAACTTTAATTCTATGAAAATTAAGGAGTAGTTTATGCAGAAATTTCCAGGAGTAGTTTAAGCAGAGATTTCTAGGATAAAGGCAGTAACTTCCGGGTTGTTAGGTTGTTGCCATGGAAAGGAGCGGTAATTTCTGGGTGTTGCCATGGTGATGGTAAACTGACATAGCACACTGGTGGACAATCTTGGGGAGGTGCTTCCTCCCCAGAACTGTTTTAGCTAGTCCTCAGTTTGGTCCAGTGTCTCAGTCCCACATCCTACCTCACCAACAGAGCAGAGAGGAGCCCAGGAGGTAGTGTGTGTTTGTGTGTGTGTGTGTGTGTGTGTGTGTGTGTGTGTGTGTGTGTGTGTGTGCATGTGAGAAAAAGAGGAGGAAGCCGGAGGAGTGCGCGGACATGGGAGGGAAGACATCAGGGGAGAGCAAAAGAAAGGGGACCCCAGAGGTGGGAGATGGGGCACCCTGGTCTGCACTGGAAACTGAGGGAGGTCCGCTGTCCCGGGAAGGATCCCCAAGGAGATGCGCAACCCCCAGGTTCTGGTCACAGGTATCAACAATGTGTGCACACCTGAGAGATTCCATGTGAACTCACTTTTCACAAACAAGCGCTGAGATTGTGAAAAGTGGGTTCATAGGGAATCTCTTAGGTCCTTCCCTACTGCAAAATGCTGTGCACAACCAGCGCATTGGGGCAGGCTGTGTGGAATTACAGGGAGAGTGCTTTAAAAAGGAGGCGGCCAGTGAACACAGTTCTTCAGAATTTTTAAGGTAAAAGGAACTTATGTAATACCTTCAAGGACTAGCAGGGCAAAGAAAGGTGATTCAGTAACCACAGGTATAGTGTGCTGGACTATGTTCCAGTGGGAGAATAGATCACCCTAAATTCATGGGCACAATGGAATAAAATCGACCAAAGAATCCTATAAGGGATATCTGTTTTCCTCAGTGATTCTCTGTGAAACCTTCTGGTTCTTATGAAATGAATCCACCAAATCCTCCAAACTATGAGAGCTAGTACCATGGAGTGCCAGGGAAACCAAGGAAGTGCTTTTGGGAGAATAGGAATATACATTTAAATGTCTTGGCATTTTGGCTAATTACTTGTGATTTCCTAGGGAATAGTCACAAGATGATACTCTCATATCCGCATATTCTATCAACCTTGTGCCTTGCAAAATATTATGCTCTTCACCACTGAAGAGTCCAGGAAGCAGTTGTTTCTATACATAAAATGTGCTTAAGACTTCACATCCCTGGAGTTTAAGATGAAAGGAGAAGAGATACATCACAAGGCACAAAGTTGCAGTTATATAGGATGAATAAATCTGGAGATCTAATGTTCACCTCCTGGTTAATATTTTTGTACACTGGTAACTTGCCAAGAGAGTAGCTATTAGGTACTCTTACCGCAAAGAAAGAGAAAGGTATCTACAGTATATGAGATGATGAGTGTGTTAATTTGCTTAACTGTAGAAATCGCTTCGCCATGTGTCTATCAAGATAAGTATATCAAAACATTATGTTGTACATCTTAAACATATACAATAAAAAGAGGAAACACAGTTTAACTGAAGAGCAGAAGCCCGAACTATTGTGGTGTGTTTGCATTGACAAAACCAACAATTTCTTTATTACAGTGATCTATTTTGCTATGAAATTGCTCTGGGCAAAACTAAAGTTCATTAAAAGAAAATAGTTTGGAAAAATTTCTCATCAGATAATCATTCAGATCATTTAGTGGGCTTGGGCTTTTAACAAGGAACAGAAGATTTCTCCCAAGAAAGATTTTCTCAGAAAAATAGGATTGCTTTTTCATGGATGATGATGTTATTAAGAAAATGTTTAGTTTTCAAGAATGAAAACCTTGGAGTTAACAACAACCCTTTGAAATCTAGCTCAGAAAATCTGTCTGGATTTTGATTCAACATTTGCCAAAAATATCTGACATACAGATCTAACCAGACATTGCCAGACATAGCTCAATATTCTGTGATTAGAGTTGCTGAACTCACTTCTGCCTTTAGGTCACACCAACTTGAAGCGTAGTTACCTTCCAGAAGGCAATAATGGGCTCTAGACAGGCTTCTTAATTCACTATAAAACAAAGACAACAAAAAGTCTTAATTCGGTCAAACTCATTCTCCATCCAGTTTTGTTCCCTTGCTGGCAAGGAGTTGTGAACCTTTGGAGAAGAGGCGTTCTGGTTTTTGGAATTTTCCACCGTTTTGCGCTGGTTTTTCCTCGTCTTCGTGAATTTATCTACCTTTGGTCTTTGATGCTGGTGACCTTTCGATGGGGTTCTTGTGTGGACATCCTTTTTGTTGATGTTGATGCAATCCCTTTCTGTTTGTTAGTTTTCCTTCTAACAATTAGGCCCCTCTGCTGCAGGTCTGCTGGAGTTTGCTGGAGGGCCACTCCAGACCCTGTTTGCATGGGTATCACCAGCAGAGGCTGCAGAACAGCAAAGATTGCTGTCTGTTCCTTCTTTGGGAAGCTTCATCCCAGCGGGGCACCTGCCAGATGCCAGCCAGACCTCTCCTGTATGAGGTGTCTGTCAACCCCTGCTGGGAGGTGACTCCCAGTCAGGAGGCACAGGGGTCAGGGACCCACTTGAGGAGGCAGTCTGTCTGTTAGCAGAAGTAGGCTTCAGAAAGTGGGTAATGACAAACTCCTCCGAGCTAAAGGAGCATGCTCTAACCCAATACAAGGAGCTAAGAACCTTGAAAAAAGGTTAGAGGAATTGCTAACTAGAATAACCAGTTTAAAGAAGAACATAAATAACCTGATGGAACTGAAAAACACAGCACAAGAACTTCGTGACACATACATGAGTATCAAGAGCCAAATTGATCAAATAGAAGAAAGGATATCAGAGATTGAAGATCAACTTAATGAAATAAAGTGTGAAGACAAGATTAGAGAAAAAAGAATAAAAAGGAACAAACAAAGCCTCCAGGAAATATGGGACTACATGAAAAGACGAAACCTACATTTGATTGGTGTACCTGAAAGTGACAGGGAGAATGGAACCAAGCTGGAAATCACTCTTCAGGATATTATCCAAGAGAACTTCCACAACCTACCAAGACAGGACAACATTCAAATTCAGGAAATACAGAGAACACCACAAAGATACTCCTCGGGAAGAGCAACCCCAAGACACATAATTGTCAGATTCACTAAGGTTGAAATGGAAGAAATGTTAAGGGCAGCCAGAGAGAAAATAATGATGAATGTGACCTTAGTTGGTAAGTGTTGCTTGTTAACCCTGAAAATATAATGTGAAGTACATGTGTAACACAAGACTCTTAACTGAAATTACTTGAGGTTTAGATTTCTATACCTAATCTTGGATGTATTCCTTAGGGTAAAATAAGCATATTTAATATTCAAACTACAGTGTTAAATATTTCAGTTGAAGTACTTTTCTCCCAATTCTGTTAATTCAGCACAATGCTCATCTCTGAGGATATGCAGGCAAGTAAAATTTCCTCTTGTTAATAAGTTCATTAAGACCCGGAGCCATGGTTATTAACACCAACTATACTGCAGAGTTTTCTGTGGCACTTTTGAAATACAAGGACTTCCCACTTTAACCCTTAGTGTTGGTTTTGGACAGCGCTCGGTATCTATTACTTTTATGCCCTGCAGAGGATTCTGATACCCAGCTAGTGAAAAGAATCACTAGTCTTATAAACATACTTTGCTTATCACCTCTTCCTTTATTTTTCTAAAGGTCATTTATATGCAATTTCTCATAAAACTAACTATGCATCTTTCCTGTAACCCAGCAGTTTTACTCCTAGGTAGTCACTCAAAACAAGTAAAGACATATGCCCACAAAAGGACTTGTGCAAGAGTGTTTATGACACTTTATTCATAATAGCTCTTGTGTCCAACAATAGGAAAGTGGTGGTGTGGACCCTCTGATACACTCATATAATGGAATGCCACTCATTAATTAAAAGGACTGAATTATTGATGCATGCAACAAGATTAAATCCCCAAAACACCATGCTTAATAAAAGAAATCTCACACAAAATAAAGGTACTTTAGTATTTAATACTGTATTATAGTATTTATATTACATTCTAGAGCAGACACAACTAATTTATGGTGGAGATAATCAGAACAATCATTGTGTTCAGTGAGGACAAAGTTGGGGAGAAGGTCAGTGAGTGTTGGTTGTTGGGAAGGCAAGAGGGAAATTTCTAATGTAATAGTCATAATCTATTTATTAATAGGTGTTTGATCATTCTATTAGTCTGTTTTCACACGCTGATAAAGACATACCTGACACTGGGTAGGTAATTTATAAAGAAAAAGACATCTAATGGACTCACAGTTCCACGTGGCTAGGGAGGCCTCACAATCATGACAGAAGGTGAAAGGCATGTCTTACATGGCAGCAGCAAGAGAGCATGAGAACCAAGCACAAGGGGGTTCCCCTTATAAAACCATCAGATCTCATGAGACTTATTCACTACCATGAGAACAGTATGGGGGAAACTGCCTCCATGATTCAATTATCTCCCACCAGGTCCCTCCGGCCACATATGGGAATTATGGGAGCTACAATTCAAGATGAGATTTGGGTGGGGACACAGCCAAACCATATCAGTCATACTGGTGCATACATTTATCAAAACTCATTAAATACTACACTTAAGATTTGTGTATTGGATTTTTTGTAATATTACCTCAAAAGAAACAAGTTTAAACAAATCTTGAACACCTGATGACACATACATTGAAGTATTTAGTGGGAAAATGTAACAAAGCAACAAGCAACTTACTTTGAATAAATGAGGTGTACTGATGGATAGAGAGCAAGATGGATGGATAGGTAGATAGGAATGTGATAAAGCAAACAGAATAAAGTGTAAATGTAGGATCTAGGTGGTAGATGGTGCAGAGTTTACTATAAAATTTTTTTCAACAGTTTTGTATATTTGAAAGTTTACATGACAGAATGTTAGGAAAAACATTAGAAGTGTGCATGTAATGTTCAAAGTGAATACTTTATCCATAATAACTCACTGATTTTGCATAAATCTTGTGATGGTGAGAGACTAGCTGTCCACCAAACCGACTCCTCTTCTTCCTGATTACACAGCTATTTCCTAAATAGTCATATGCTTAAATGTGGTCAGGCGACTGAGTCTGACCAATGGAATGGGAGTGGAAGGGATGTGCACCATTATCAGGCCTGGCCCATAAAAACCTTTCTCATCTGAAATTGGATGGAAACATGACCTTGGATACCTTTTGTTGAAGATAGTGGAGCCATACACAGTGAGTCTCTTAATCACTGAAGGGATGATGCTTGACAATCAGAAGTATCAGTTTTGGACTACTTGTGAAGTAGAAATACACTTCTAGTTAAATCACAGAAGTGTGTGTTTTATTTATTATAGTAGCCCGTGCACAACTCTACATGCCAGGTCCTATTAGTACCTTATTTAACATATGAGGACACAATCCAGGAGTCAGGTGGCAGCTCAGCAGCAGCCTTGCCATCCAAACCCAGGCAGTCTGGCTGCAAAGTCCAGGCTCCTGAGCCTTACACTATCTTGCCTCTTTCTTCCTTGCAGGCAGAGATACAAGATCATTGTTTGTTTCTCTTTTAAGAAGGTCATATAACCCTGTGACAGTGGGTAATCCTTCAAAATACACATTTATATTCTTGGGAGCAGACTTTTCTTGCTAATGGTCGAGCATGCTGGTTAGCCACCATTTCTGCCAGCTGGCAAGCTTCCGGGTACATAATGTCTGGCGAAAGCAGAGGGAGGCAGGAGGGAAGGAAGAAGAGGACATGAATATCAGCATCGCCAACCCTTGCAGACATTCTATCCCCCATTGCTAGCCTAAATGATGAAAAAGAGGGGGTGCCCCAGCCATTGCATAAAGCTCCCTGGTATGTTTCCAGCTGGTGTTTCTGCTGGCCCCAAGAATTCACATCCAAATAAGGGAGACTGAGCTCTCTTCCTTAACCTTCACCTCGCTCTGTCTCATTAGTAGTATCTTTGAAATAAACCATGTGTATTGATTTACCGAACTCCTGGTAATGAAGCTGGTGCTTACAGGACCCACAATGTAAAAAAGAGAGGTCAGAAGAGGACCTCTGCTGTTTCACTGAACTGAGCTCTGATGGGTTCACCACATCCTGCAAAATACATGCCTCAAATACAGCATCTGGTCCTCCAACATGCAGATGCAGGAAGTGGAAATTTTATATATAGAACTATTACCATGGTGTCTTTGGAACTTGTGTGAACCATCACGCTCCTAATTGCCAGATGCCATGCAGCTTTGAGTTACATTTAGGAAATTATCAACGCTGCCAAATTCACATTTAAAGACAATAACAAGGGGCACAGCAATATCAAGTAGGCTCGCAAATCAAATGCAAAATCAAATGAAATTCAGCCACAGACCTTCTGTTTTCATGTTTGTTATGCTTTACCAGGTAACTGAATGTGAAAATAAACCCATGAGGATTCTGTATTTTTTAATGTAGAGCTACAGGTTACAAATCAGTCAGCTTTTGGCAACACAATAGCGTTTCTGAATATTAATTGTTAACAATCTCTGAGCATTGAAATGATCTGAAATATCTTAGATTTTAAAATAAAATCTTCAACTTTCTCTAGGTGATTAATGTCGGAATAGAAATTCACCAAACTTACTCTTTAAACTGAACCTTTAGAAAAACTCTTGCGACCCTAGCCCAAATGAACCAATGGCATTTTGTCATACTACCCTCAGCTTCTTCCACGTGTAACAGATGTCAGGGTTTGGTTTTCAAATGTTTGTCAGCTAAGTCCCCAGAGACCACAACGTATGCTCATGTGTGGCCCTCAGGGCTGCTCAGTAACAAGAAAAAGAGTGGACCCCAGACTTTTGGCTCTGTTCTATCACATAATTTCTGAGGAGTTTCAAATTCAGTTAACTACTCAGCTTCCATATAATGTGCCTCCCTAAAATTCATGTCCACTCAGAACCTCAGAATGTAAACTTATTTAGAAATAGTATCTTTGCAGATGTAATCTAGTTAAGATGAAGTCACACTGGAATAGGGTGGGCCCTAACTCCAGTCCTTATAAGAAAAGAAAACAGAAACAAAGACACATGGGAGAAGGCTATGTGATAAACAGGCAGCAATTGGAGCCATGTGTCCATCGTTTGTGAAACACCAAGGATTATGAGCAGCCTCCAGAACCTGGGAAGATTCAAGGAGGAACTCTTCCCGAGAACCTTCAGAGGGAGCCTGGCCCCACTGACACCTTGATTTCAGACTTCCAGTCTCCAAAACTGGGAGACAAACATTTCTGTCCTTCTAAGCCACCCAGTTTGCAGTGCTTCATTATAGCAGCCCTGGGAAACTAATACAGGAAACACTATCTGTTAAAGAGGTAGTGTTTTAAGGATTTATTCCTAAGTATTTGAAATCGGATCAATGGGAAATGCAAAATGAGTCTTTCCTCATTTTGTTCAACTTTCCTCTGAAAGAGAAAAAGGAACAAGTGTTTCCTCTGAGGTCACAGCTACAGACGCCAGCTAGGCACTGCCAGCCATCTGTCATTCTCCACTATTATGCTTTAAGGAGCAGAAGACTTTCTATGGTAAATAACAGATAGAGAGCAAGCCCAGGGCCCCTTCTTCCAGCATGATCCTTGCTGTCTTCCAAGATGGCACCTGTGAGACTCTAGATCTGAGATCATCCTCATTGATGAAAGTGTCAAAATATAGAAGCATTTCTTTGCAAAAAAAGTTTAGAACCAGGCTGCAGAGAGTGATATTGGCATGCTACTTGTCACATCAATGAGCTTGCACTGGTTGTCTAGCCTTCTGAAGTCTCTATTTCATCTTTTATGAAATGGAAACAATGGCAATGCCTACCTCAGGATTATTTAGAGAGGTAAACAAGTTAAAACCTGAAAAGTGTGTAGAACAATAGTCAGCTCACAAAAGCACTTAGTCAATAATAGCTGTTATTGTCTAGGACAGTCCCAAATGTTCCAGAAGGAAAAGTTCAATATAGAGATTATCATTGCCTGGGAGACATTTGCTTCGCCTTCTGTTTTCAAATGCTTGCAACATAGAAGACTGGAGTGAATCCAAGACAAGTGTTAATACGTTGTCCAGATCTTTTATCCCAACTGATGTAAAACCATGAAGCAAGATAGCTATCTATCTCTGGTAAATAATCTATGTATTCCCTTGGCACGAGCAGCTTCCATGGCTTTCTGATAACAGTGATAAGAAAATTATTTGTCCATTAGAAGAACACCTTTTTTATCTGCTTTCTTTCACTGTATGGACAGAGTGCTCTTGACTTTTAGCCAAGACTTAGAATCAATTTGAAATGACACTGTTGATAGAGACAGCACCAAGTTTTCCTCCTGTGACACAGAAAATTCCAACTTCATAGGCATCTGAACCAGCACTTTGTGAGGCTGATAGATGCCTTCATTATTCAGAAAACACAATTATCTTTACTGTGTGATCTGTCATGAATATTCTGACTTATTGAATGTGATAGTTCCTAGTCTCCCACAGTATGTTAATTCTAGAAAAAAAGTTGGTCACACTTATAAGGAAGATCACCCATTTACTTATTGTGTTTCTCCATGAAAGTTGACTATTTGGCTTGTTTAGTTTCTTTGAACCCTGTATCGACTCATTTACTCAAAGCATAGAGCAAGAGAGTGAAACATCAAAGTTGGATGGTATCAACATTTCATTGCTTCAAGCTTACATCCAAATTTCACATGGTCTTCAGCTAAACTGCCTCAGGAGAGCTAAGAGCCCCTCTCTGTCTCCAAGTGAGTGCAGGTCCCTGCATTCAGTGGGCACCAAGTGAGCAAAGGAGCACATCTTCATTTTGCTTCTGGAGACTTCTGGTTTCTGGTCTGACACAAAAGAGCTTACATGTTATCACCTCTGTTCTCTGAAGAAGAAAGCTAAAAAAACTGAAAATCAATGACTCTTCTTAAATCCATCAGAAAATTGAGGTGACAAGACCAATTACTGACTCAAAAGCTGGAAAGAGAAAGATATGGAGAACCAGAGTGTACTGAGCAAAAGCCCCAGCTAGTAGAAACACTTAAAGGGTGATGGACTAATTCCTAGAGGCTGAGAATGGACTACTTCAGTAGAGAAAAAACCCCTCAGGGCCCAGCTGTGGTGGTGATGGGGATACATGATGAGTTGCAACTCCAAGAGACTACCAGATTCTCAAGGTGAAGATCAGAGAGAAAACCCTGCCTGATTTGAGCAAGGGGAAGGAAAGTAATCATTTTGAAATACACTTGGAGCATTTCAGTCTCATTAATAGTGGTAAATCCTAAAGGAAAACTATGTTATTTCCTTAAGGAAAACTTAGATCAACTAAGATGGGTTTTACCAGAGCCTAACCAATGAGGGGGAAGGGAAACACAAAATCTCAGCCCCCGTTCCCCTCCTATCCCACCTAAGACGGTGAAAAAAGCATGAGGAAGCATTTGTGAAGATTACATCCCAGGAACATAGGCCCATTAAAAGACTGAGACTCAGTTATAGAACTACAAAACATTTAGCTTTCCCCCATACCTTACCACTGTATCAATAGAACACTTTTATAATAAGAGAGGATTACAGATAAAAAGAACTGCAAGGCTCAGATTATTTTAGAAGACATCTGTAGGGAAACCAAAGACAACAGGGGAGTTGAAAACAAGGGCACTAGAAGAAATTTTAGCCTCGGATACCTATAGCAACAGCAAACAGTAAACACAGCCTAACTCCTTCCTAGATAAATATAAAATTGCACACTAAAGGAATATTTACCTCGGTTTCCTTTACACAGTACACCATGTCTGGCTCAAAAAAACAAAAACAAAAACTCAGGGCATACTAAAAAGAAAAAACACAGACTAAAGAGGCAAATCAAGCATCAGAATCAGACTGGGATGTGGCAGCAATTTTAGAATTATCAGACTAGGCATTTAAAATAATGGATTAATATGCTAATGGCTCTCATAGCAAAAGTAGGCAACATGCAAAAGCAAATGGGAAATGTAAACAGAGAGATGGAAACTCTAAGAAAACATAAAACTTAAACTTTAGAAATCGAAATGAAAGAACATCTTTGATGGTCTCATTAGTAGACTTAACACAATTAAGGAAATCAGTGAGCTTGAAGATATGTTAATAGAAACTTCCCAAATGAAATGGCAATGAGAAAAAATAATGGGAAGAAAACAGAACTGAATATGTAATAGCACTAGAGGGATTTTTTAATAGACTTTATTTTTTAGAACAAATTTAGACTTGCAGTAAAATTAAGAAAATGGTACAGAGATTTCCAGTATATCTTCTGCCCAGTTTCACTATTATGGGCATCTTACATTAGTAAGCATACATGTTACAATTAGTGAACCAATACTGATACATAAGTATTCACTAAAGTCCATATATTTTTCCATTTTCTTAGTTTTTACCTAATTTTTTTTGTTTCATGTCCCATCCAGAGTGCCGTGTTACATTTAGTCATCATGTCTGTCTCCTTAGGCCCCTCTTACCTGTGACAGGTTTTCAGACTTCCCTTATTTTTGATAATCCTGATTGTTTTGAGGAGTACTATTTGGGCATTTTGTAGAATATCATTCTCTGGGGATTTGTCTGACGTTTTTATTATGTTGTAAACTTGAGTTATGGTTGTGCTGGGAGGAAGCCCAAGGCAAAATGCCATTTTATCACATCATATCAAGGGTACATACTGTCAACATGACTTGTCACCCTTGATGGTGACCTTGACCACCTGGCTGAAGAATCGTTTGCCAGGTTTCTCCACCACAAAGTTACTCTTTTCCCCTGTTTCCATGCTATATTCTTTAGAAGGCAGCCATTCTGCACAGCCAATACTTAAGAGGTAGGGAATCATGCAATACCTCCTTGAGGGAGGAACATCTGCATAAAATATTTGGAATTTGTCTCTTTTCCCATTTATTTATTTGTTTAGTTATTTGTAGGCCAGTGTGGACTCATCAATATTTCTATTACACTTTGGGTTATAATTCAATACTACTTTATTCTGTTGTTCAAATTGTTCCAGCTTTAGCCACGGGATATCTTTCAATTGGTTCCTGTATCCTCTGACATATCCCCAGAATTAGAAGATTATTTATTTATTTTGAGTATATCCTCAATTTCTGGCACTGGAAGACATTCCAGGCTAATCTTGTATATTGCCTGCCTCAGTCTTAGAATTGTTGCTCATGTCTTATATTGGAGAGTGGCATTAGAAACTATGATCTGAGCACTAAGTGTGCTCATTGCTACTGGGTGTCATTTTACTTAGATTCTCTCAGTTGACAGAGCAAGGAAATACATGTGTATATGATAGGTCATACACATACACATCTATAAATTTTTCTATATGTAATTATCTGGATCTATATTAAGACAAACATGAGGTCATACTGATGTCTCCAATTCTAATCTATTACTACATGGATGATTCTAGTTCCCCTTGCTTGTCTGCAAATTCCTGTGCAACTAGGAAACCTGGCCCGTACATCTGCCATCCATTAACCTAATTGCTCAATTCCAATATACATGTGTCATAATAGCATGTATCCATCATTACAGTAACAAATAAATTATTTCGCTGCCCTAAAAAATCCCTTGTGCGTCACCTATAATCTTCTCTCTCTCTCCTTGAACCTCTCATTACCATTGATCTCTTTAGTTTCACTCTAGTTTTGCCTTTTCCAGAATGTCATAAAATTTAAATCATACAGGATGCAGTCTTTTAAGAGTGGCTTCTGAAAGTGAGACTTGGAAATATGCATTTTGGTATCATCCATGTCATTTCGTGGTTTGGTAGCTCTTTTTAAAAATCACTGACTAGTATTCCTTTATATGGATATGCTGCAGTTTATCCATTCACCTATTAAAAGATATCTTGGTTGATCTAGTTTTTATCAAGTATGAATAAATCTGCTATTATGAATAAATATGCTATCAACATTCATGTGTGGGTTTTTAGATGAACCTAAGTTTTAAATACAGTTGGGTAAATACCTGGGAGTTCAATTGCCACATTGCATGGTAATCCAACTGTTTAGTTTTGTAAGGGAAAAGAGGGTTAATTTTTAAAATTACCCCCAGTACCAATGTTTTATGATCCTACCAAAATATAGGATTTATATCCATTCTATATCAATGGTTAATAATGATAAAATGCAAAACATGAATGGGAGGGAACATGAAAATGATGATATACTAGCACTATTTTTCCCCAGAGTATTCTTTTCAGTGAATTAATACTTTATCTCAACCAGCTCATTTGGGATTAACAATAAATTCACATAGGGAAATAGGTGCTGATCTCTGTGACTGCCACCTTAGACATCTTGAAACCTATCATTGTCTTTCAGGCTAACAGTCATTAAGAAGTAATTCTCTTTTTTAGGGTTTCAGGGAGTATTCACTGGCCTATCTCTGGCAATCAGTGAGATGTGTTCATTCCAGCAATTTCAATGTTATATAGTCAGGTGACATTAGCCCAGTTGTTTATGAACTGTTGAGCAAAATGCAATCTGACTCTTTTAAAAAGAAAAAAACACAAACTTTTATTTTAACTTCAGAGGTACATGTGCAGGTTTGTTATATAGGTAAACTTGTGTCATGAGGGTTTGTTGTACAGATTATTTCACCATCCAGGTATTAAGCTAGTACTCAATAGTTACTTATTTCTGATCCTCTCCTTCCTCCCACTCTCCACCTGCAAGTAGGCCCCAGTGTCTGTTGTTCCCTTCTTCGTGTCCATGTGTTCTCATCATTTAGCTCTCACTTGTAAGTGAGAACATGTGGTATTTAGTTTTCTGTTCCTGCATTAGTTTGCTAAGGATAATGGCCTCCAGTTCCATTCATGTTGCTGCAAAGGACATGATCTTGCCCTTTATTATGGATGCATAGTATTCCATATGCACATGGTGTATATGTACCACATTTTCTTTATCCAGTCTACCATTAATGGGCATTTATGTCGATTCTTTGTCTTTGCTGTTGTGAATAGTGATGCAAAGATCATATGTGTGCATGTATCTTTGTGATAGAATGATTTATATTCCTTTGGGTATATAGCCAGTAATAGGATTGCTGGGTTGAAAGATAGCTCTGGTTTTAGCTCTTTGAGGAATAGCCACAATGCCTTCCACAATGGTTGAACTAAGTTACACTCCCACCAACAATGTATAAGTATTTCCTTTCCCCCACAACCTCACCAGCATCTGTTACTTTTTGACTTTTTAATAATAGCCATTCTGACTGGTGTGAAATAGTATCTCATCATGGTTTTGATTTGCATTTCTCTAATGATCAGTTATGTTAGGCTTTTTTTTCATATGCTTGTTGGCTGCATGTATGTTTTCTTTTGAAAAGTATCTGCTCATGTCCTTTGCCCAATTTTTAATGTTTTTTTCCTTGTAAATTTGTTTAATTTCATTGTTTACCCAAATGTCATTCAGAAGCAGGTTTTTCATTTCCATGTAACTGTACAGTTTTGAGCAATTTTCTTAGTTTTAACTTCTATTTTAATTGCACTGTGGTCCAAGAGAGTGGTTGGTATGATTTCAGTTTTTTGTATTTGCTAAGGATTGTTGTATGTCCAATTATGTGGTTGATTTTAGGGTATGTGCCATGTGGCAATGAGATGAATGTATATGCTGTTGTTTTGGGATGGAGAGTTCTGTAGAGGTCTATTAGGTCCATTTGGTCCAGTGTTGAGTACAGGTCCTGAATGTCTTTGTTAATTTTCTGCCTCAATGATCTGTCTAATACTATCAGTGGGGTGTTGAAGTTTCCCACTATTATTGTGTGGGAGTCTAAATATCTTTGAAGGTCTCTAAGAAATTGCTTTATGAACCTGGGTGCTCCTGTGTTGGGTGCATATATATTTAGGATAGTTAGATCTTCTTGTTGAATTGAACCCTTTACCATATGTAATGCTCTTCTTTGTCTTTTTTGATCTTTGTTGGTTTAAAGTCTGTTTTGTCTGAAATTGGAATTGCAACCCCTGCTTTATTTCTGTTTTCCATTTGCTTGATAGATTTTTCTACAGCCCTTTATTTTGAGCCTATTGGTGTCACTGCATGTGAGATGGGTCTCTTGAAGACAGCATAGAATTGGATCTTGCTTCTTTATCCAGCTTGCCACTCTGTGCCTTTTAACTGGGGCATTTGGTCCATTTACATTCAAGGTTAGTATTGATATGTGTGAATTTTATCTTCCCATTGTTCTGTTAGCTGTTTATTATGCAGACTTGTTTATATGACTGCTTTATAGTGTGACTGATCTGTGTACTTAAGTGTCTTTTTGTAGTGTCTAGTAACTGTCTTTTCCATATTTAGTACTTCTTTCAGCAGCTCTCATAAGGCAGGTCTGGTGGTAATGAATTTCCTCAGTATGTACTTGTCTGAAAAGGATCTTATTTCTCCTTCACTTATGAAGCTTAGTTTGGCTGGATATGAAATTCTTTATTGGAACGTCTTTTCTTTAAGAATGTTGAATATAGCACCCCCGCCTCCCCATCTCTTTTGGCTTGTAGTGTTTCTGCTGAGGGATCCACTGTTAATCTGATGGGCTTCCCTTTGTAGGTGATTTGTCCTTTCTCCCTACCTATGTTTAACATTTTTTCTTTCATTTCAACCTTAGAGAATCTAATGATTATACATCTTGGGGATCATCTTTTTGTGAAGCATCTTGCAGGAGTTCTCTGTGTTTCCTGAATTTGAATGTTGGCCTCTCTAGCTAGGTTAGGGAAGTTCCCATAGATGATATCCTGAAATATTTTTTCCAAGTTGCTTCCATTCTCCTCTTTCAGGGATGCCAAAATATTGCAGATTTAGTCTCTTTACATAATCCCGTGTTTCTTTGAGTTTTTGTTCGTTCCTTTTCATTCTTTTCTTTATTCTTGTCTGACTGTCTTATTTCAGAAAGCCAGTCTTCAAGCTCTGAGATTCATTCCTCAGCTTGGTCTATTCTGCTGTTAATACAGGCAGTTGTATTATGAAATTCTTGTAGGGTGTTTTTCAGCTCTATCAGGTCAGTTATGTTGTTCTCTTCTGTACTGGTCATTTTCTCTGCCAGCTCATGTATCATTTTCTTGTGATTCTTAGCTTCCTTGGATTGGGTTTCAACATTCTCTGGAATCTTGATTATCTTCATTCCTATCCATATTTTGAATTCTATTTCCACCATTTCAGCCCAGTTATGAACCCTTGCTGGAGAATTAGTGTGGTCACTTGGAGGAAAGAAGGCACTCTGGCTTTTTGAGTTGTCAGAGTTCTTGTGCTGGTCCATTTTTGTCTTTGTGGACTTGTGTTCCTTCAGTCATTAAAGTTGCTGTTCTTTGAATGATTTTTTTTTCTTTTATCCTATTTTATGACCTTGAGGGATTGATTGTGGTATAAGGTGGTTTTGGTCAACTGGCTTCATTTCTGGAAGATTTTAGGGGGCCAAGGCTCAGCTCAGGCCTCCTGGACTACATTCTCTAATTCTGGGGGACTGGTATCTGGTCCTGGCTTTGTTCTATGGCCCTTGGAGGTTAGGAACCTGCTGTGCTAGAGGCTCCACGGTTGTCCCAGACTACTGGTCACAACACTATGATGGGTGATGTCATCCAAATTGCTTCATGAGGTAGTGGCAGTGGGATCCATCCTTGTTTGCACATGCCAGCCTCAGCAGCAGTGGCATTATGGTGGGGTACAAACTCATCAGCTATGGTGGGGTGCCAGCAGGTGCCAGGGTGCCAGACTCTGAGTTTGGAGCAGCAGTGATGGCAGCATGACATGGTGGGATGGGGTGAGGGGGACCCTACCAGCATGTGTGTGTGCATTCACACTGGAGGTGGTTATTAGCATGGCGGTGGGATGCTGCTGTGCACAGGACTGTGTATGTCCTCTGTGTGAATTCCTGTATATGGCAGTTGCTGCTCAGTGTGGGAGTGTGTCCAGTGTTCTCTGTGCCTAGTTTTATGCCAACAGCAGTGTTGGCACAAGGGCAGGATGCTGGTGGGGGTGGGACTGGTAGGCTCCATGCCTGACAATGCTCTGACAGGTGCAGTGAGGGTAGGGAGGTAGGGTGCACTCATGCTTCCAGCAGTAGCATGGCAGGGTGCATGTGCACATGTATGCTGACAAGGAAAGATAGGCAAGGTCCACTCGCTTACACACACACCAGCAAAGCAATGTAGGGGATGTCCATGGGCAAATGCATGCAGGCAAAGCAGCACAGGGAAGGCTGCAGTGGGAATGAGAACATGAGTGTGTTGGTATATGCCCATGGGGGCTGCTCTGCTGGAGCTCTCCGCTGGTCAGCTGCCATCCACCAGGGCAGGAGCTATGATATGGCCCCTAGGAGGTACACAGCCCCCTCACCAGAACCCAAAGCTGCACTGCAAACAGGCGTGGTCAGGCTGGGGCCATGGAAGAGCCCAGGAGACTGAGGGATACTAAGATCAGACTGGCTCCATCTCATGGACAAGACGCTCTGCTGAGCTCAGGTCCAACATTTCCCCTGGTGTTAAAGTCTCCTATGGGAGCAAGTCAAGCCTAAGGGGATGAGCATTCCTGGCAGTGCTCCACTGCAGACACTCTCACACCAAACCCTCTGGGCCACTGAGGCTGGAGTTCTGCCCCTACCATTTCTCTAAGCAGCTCTTCCTGCCAACTCAAGTGTCTGTGTTGGTCAAGGGGTCTCCTCCTGCCAGGGTTCCAGAGGACTTTGGTGACAGCAGGTTGTTCCTTGCCTGTTCAACTCACCCCTTCCCCAGGAGCCACTGGAGGCCAGGAATGAGTTCCAGTGCACAATAGCCCTGTGTGGGGTTCCCAGCTTCCTCTGCCTTCAGCCCAGCTTCTGTGTCTTCCCTCTGTCAACTCTCAATGCTTCCCTCTGAAGATCTGCTAGGAAGGGACCAGTCTTTCTGATGACCTGGTCCCTCACTGGCAGATGTTCCTCTTGGCGCCATTTAGTCGGCCATCTTGATTATGTATATCACAATCTGATTCTTAAAATTGAAACATTTTTGGAAAGAAACTCGATAAAATTTTGAAATTTTTAAAAATCTTAGTTTTCACAATGTTGTTTAAATTTGAATTAAATAATGTTACAGATTTTGAGATTCATTATGGACTATATTCATTTGCTCAGGCTGCCATAGCAAAGTACCGCAGTGTGGGTGGCTTAAACAACAAAAATCTATATTCTTACAATTCTGCAGGCTAGAAATCTCAGGTCAAGGTGTCAGCGGGATTGGTTTCTTCTGAGGCCTCCCTCCTTGGCTTGTAGATAATCGTCTTCATATGCTCTTTCCTCTGTGTGTGTGTGTGTGTGTGTGTGTGTCCTAATGCCCTCTTTTTATAAGGACACTGGTCATATTGAATTAGAACTCACACTAATGGATTCATTTTAACTTAATTATTTCTGTAAAGACTCTATTTCCAAATAAGGCCACATTCTGAGGTGCTGGGGGTTAGTGCTATACGGCACATGAGTTTTTGGTGGGCAGAGAGGGGAATAGAATTCAGCCTAATATATGTACTTTAGTTTCTCACTATCAATTTTCAAACTAACAGTCATCACAAATTCAGTACAGACTTGATTTACCAGGAGTGTCATATACGAGCTTTATAAAAAGTGAGTCAGGAAACTTTTTTTTTTTTTCATTTCAGGAAAGCACTCAGGGGTGCCCAGCAGGACAGCCTCCAGCTCTTCCAATCAGAGCTGTAACACCATTTCCTGAAACACCGTTTTCAACTAAGCTTTGGAGTGACAAAAATACCTGTTATCACGGACTAATGCCTCCAGGAAAGAAATCCTCGTGATATGCATCTGTCCCCAATATGGCCACAGTAAATCTGAGAGGAAGAAGGCACAGGTAAAAATTAGGCTTGCTCATAGAATACAATATTTATGACTGTTGTTTACGCCTGCTTGTTTTACAGAGGAAAATTAAGAGCTGTGGAAATTAAAGACTAAGATACGCAGCTAGCTAAAAGCAGAGCCTAAGTTCCAGGTTCCTGATCCACTGCTCATTATTCTTTGAAGAAAAGATCACTCATATTGTTAAGGATTCTTTAGATCTTATATAGAAATCTACAACATTTACACCTCTATTCTGAATATTTAACTGACTCTGAAATATACAAGGCACTGTGCTGGGCCCTGAGGAATAAAAATTTTGTGTAAGACTCCAAAGCTGCACTTAGAGGGCTTGTGATTGTATGGAGGTAGCTAGTGGGAAGGAGATTGGAACGTGTTCCCAAAAGTTTCTAGAAAAAAATAATTTAATACAAATGTTGTGTGAATGGAACAGAAAGGTACCACAGGTACACTAAGGGTAAAGAAAGTACTTCCTGAGGGAGTAATCAATAAAGCTAAGATTCCTACAATTGATCAATGTCCAACAGGAGACCTTGGGTTTTTCAATAAAAGCCATTAAGCAGCAACAGTGATCTCAATCCCATAAAAGGATTCCATAAACCAAACATTTAGTTGGTATAGATAAATAACTGTAAGATACCTTATTAAATGTCCCACTATTAAAATTAAGCTTTACAATTATCTACCAATTGGACAATGCCACCAACACATGACAGTATTAGTGTTCTTGTTTTATAAACGTTGTCGTGTGTGTGTGCGTGCACACGTGTCTTTGTATATGAATGTGTATGTATACATATATAACAAACAGGGGTGTTATTGAAAAACATTTAATGAAGTTAATGTAAAGTATTAATGTCCAAAGCAAAAAATTAAGACTATATTTTTATTTTCTAGACAGAACTATGTGTTTATATGCATAATAAAACTGCTTTCCAAGTGATGTAAGTTCAAGTCACTTTAATCATTCCCAAATCACCTGCTGAGGTTTAGCATTTCTTTTCCACATATCCCATCACACTGTGTCCCTCCTCACTGGGTTTCCGCTGCACACTTGGTTGCAGTGAAGGAATGGCTGCTGTAAGGGTCTGTCTGCTCTTGGTTCCCCAGCGCTCCCAGAGGCCGTGAGCCAGGACGTGTCCACCAACACTGGGGCCTGCAGCCTCATCCACTGCCCCTGCCTGCTGAAGCTTGGAGTGAGGGGGCAGTGACCCCTAGGCCCTTCTCCCACCTCCAGCTCTGTGTGCCCCACAGTCATGGGGCCGCCTGCATTTGGGCTGACTCACAGCCTCTGCTGGGGACACCATCCTCTTATGCTCTTTGCCAAATGGTGTGGAAGACTTTGCAGCCTTTATGCTTCACACAGAAGCTACGGTTTGAGTGTGCGCGTGTGTGGGGGGGGTGTGTGTGGTGTGTGAGATTTATGTTTGTTAGATAATAAATGATTCTAAGCATTTAAGTCAGTTATAGCCTCTCTTTTATGGAGAGTGAAGGCAGTAAAAGATTCCCTCCTCCCCACCCTTCACTTTACCTTATATTGTTGTCTGAAAATCTATTATCAGACTTAAAGGAAAGATGGACTAAATTATGCTCCAAATATTTTGAGTTGTATAAGGCCAACTTTAAACCCCGCTAGCCTTCCTGTTCTGTAAAGCTTTAATGAACTTGTTTCTCTATCTAGTCATAGAAACCAAAACCCCAACTACCATTAATTCAGATCAAATAAATTGCTACTACTCTGAGAAGAAATAATTATGGACTCTTTGATGTTTTCTTCAGCTTATTAACTTTATATAATTTGCCTTGGGAAATATATTTTAACCCAGTATCAAAAAAGTACATATCTATTTATACTTCTGATTCCTAACTCAAAATCTCAAACAGTCGAATATGTTAACAGATTAAGAAGATAAGCATTTTTATCTTTGTTTCTAGTGCACAAAGAAACTAGGTCTGAGAACTGTTAAATAATACATTCATAGTCATAAAACCAGTCGATGGAGGTGATTTCGAATATAAATTTCTCTGCCTCCCAAAACCATGATTCTTTAACTTTCTTATAATGTTGTCAGTGATAATATTTGCATAAATTTGACACAGTAATATTTAGGAATCTGAGATAATATGCAATGACAAATTTACTTTTTACCACAAACACTTTATTACGATAGGGAAATTATTCATATCTAAGAGAAATTGTTTTCTGTGTCCTTATAAAATGTTTCAATTTATTGCTCAATTCCACTGTTAATAATTTCATTGTATTATTCTCTGCCACCACTAGGCTGTCTTTTTAGTTGTATTCATTGTCTGGCTTTCTGTGGCCCAGCAGTAGTCAGAGGAATGGGGTTTACATGAGTCTCTTAAAAGCCTTAGCATTTATGTATTACTATTCCTTAAAGAGGATGTGAATTGGTGAGCTAACGAGGTTTTGAAGAAAGGCTGAATCTACTTGGGATGATTCTTTTTATCATGCAGAGCAGTAGATTTCCCATATGCACTGTGGAGAGGTGAGTGGGGAGGTTTTCAGTGGAAGAATGGGGTGAAATTCTGTAGCCTTCTAGCGCTGTGCATTCCAGTTTCTATTGCTACATAACAAACTGCTGCGGAACATGGTGGCACAAAACAAACTCAGCTGCACTCACAAATTCTGTAGGTAAGGAATTTGGAGACAGCAAGAATGGATTGCTCTGAACCACATTGTCTGGATTCCCAGCTGCAAAGACAAAAGCTGAGAGTGACTGTACGGCCAGCAGTTGAAATCTAGGGCAATGCCTTCAACTCACCTACCTGGCAGTTGATGTCCTCTGTTGGCTGGGGCCTCAGTGGGGCAGTTACATGTGGCATCTCAGCAAGGGCTTGCCTGGGATTTGTCACAAGATGACAGCTGGTTCCAAGGGTAAGAATCCCAAAAGGGAAAGGCAGAAATGCAGGGTGTATTTTGATTTCATCTCAGAAGTCACATACTCTGTGGATTGTGACATTAACATTGGTCTGTCCGTGTTCAAGGGAGGAATAGACCAAGCACCAGATAAGAGGCATGCAAAGGTCTTATTGTATGAAGATCATTTAGAATAAAAGACACTGTACCATTTGGGGACATCCAGTCTCCTGCAATGAGTCAGATCTTAAAAATATACTTTCATTACTTTGTGAGCCATGTGATTTCCCAATAGCACAAGCAAGTAGGAAAAGAATCAATGATCTGAGACTATTTGACAATTAAATTTCTCATATCATGAGACTCTCCCTAGAAGACAATGAAAGTTGACTGTATATTTGTTCTTCACAACTGAATCTTTACTCCTTCAGTATTCCTATGATATAGACAGTGTAATGTACAGTAGCTGATACTTTACCCATCGATTGCCAGTCATTAGGATCTGTTTTATGAAAATGGTGAGAAAGACACTAGCAAAGCCTGCTTGAGTAGATATGGCCAGGAAAACTCAGTGCAACCAGCAGCTGAATCACAAAACACAGAAGCCTAACCATACCTGAACACTTCACCAAAACAAGTCAGTAGCAAAGACAGTGTTGGCTCACAAAGTTTTTACTCCCTGTCAAAATATTTGTGGGGTTTTTTTGGAAAGGGGTGGGATATGGGATAGTGTTAACATCCTTACTTATGTTTGAACAAATATTTAAATGACAGAATCCAAAGAAACCTCCCTTAAAGCAAATAATTTTTGCCTGAATGTTGATCTAACTACAAAGACCCTCGTTCTTTAAAAGTAGCCCTTAGAAGTAAATGCTGATATGGAAGAACAATTTCAAAATGTGACTTAAAGAAAAGCCGAGATCTGTTTTTAAATTTGAAAATGAAGTTGTGGGGAAGCTCATAGAATGAAAGAAGACACCGCAGAGGGTCATCGTATCACAGTGTGGTCATCAAAGCAGAGTTCCAAAATGTCAACAAGCTATGGGAAAATATTTTGTACTTTGCCAGTAAAAGTCATCATAAAAGACAAACCTAATCAGTATTTGGTGGTGCACTCCTCAGTTTGTCCCAGAGAATGATAAATACTCTTAATTTTCACTTCAATTGAAGTATGCTGCAGCTGGCATAGGTCACAGTGTTGTGTGGGGTTGCAAGGCGGATGGCAGAATCCCCTTCTTTGTAAGTAAGCTAAAGACACATTATTTTGTGTCTTTTCCTCTTATTGTCCCTGCATCATAATCACTTCTCTATGCCAACAATATACCTAGATCTACATATCTCAAAACGGTGTGTCATTTAGAGGGGACAGTCATAGGATAAATTAGGTCCAGAGAGCCACCATATGACAAAGTCCATGAGTTAAAGAGCCCATCTTTACAGAAGGTCCAGGAAAAGCATTAATTTAGTCAGCAGAGGGAAGCAATTGTTGTATCTTGTGTTTTGTGTTAGCAGTCGCATTTTTAGAGTTTTTATTTCTAACAACTGAAAATACTCATTGATTTCTAACAGATGTCACCTTGTACTATTTAAAAAATAATGTCAGTATTAGAACTCTTCAAAGGTATCCCTTACTCTAAGGCTTCTGTGTTAAATTTTACTAATTTTAAGTATCTTCTATTCTTTTCTATTAATACAAAATGCATAAACTTAGATATTAGTTGCTACTTAGAATTGATACTAGGGAATGAAAATGTTCTCAGTGTGGGTTTTCTTCTTGGTGATATGTGAATTTGGAGCCTATTTCCCAGAGTGGAAGGGAAGAAGTAGTGCAAGGTGTCAGAACTCCGTGTCCCTCCAGCCCGGGGCAGACTGTGCCAGTGACACTTCTGTTCTTATTGTCCACTCACCCCACACCTTAGGTCACTCTCCACCTCCACCAGCAAATATGCTCTCCACATGCGTTCCTTTAAAAGCTGTCCTCCCCATTTTTCCATTCTCCCAGATTCATCCCCTTCCTTCTTGTAGAGCCATTGAGGAAAGGGTCAAAGTGTAACTAGATGAAACTGTGGTAGATAACCATTGTATTCCTCTTTCCAGCATTGCTTTCTCTTCTCTGGTAGTAGGATCCATCTTTCCAGTGGAAACCCATTCTATAAGGATCAAGGAAAACTAACCCTTCTTGATGCCTCCCTGCTAGTACACACATGCACATGCACCCAAGGGGCTCTGGGAACACATCACTGAGCCCAGACCCACTAAAGCACACATCCCCCAGCAATGGGATTGGTTCAGGGATAGGACAGTTAGAATCTCATCCTAGAATATATGGGTTCTGGAAAAAAGAGGGTCTCTCTGTTCCTCAGTTTTTATGAGCTGCATGGACTATGTGAGCCTGGACCTGCCAGTGCCACACTTAAAGATACATGGCCTGAAAATGAAGGTGCCAGAGAAATACAGAGAGAAATAGAGCCCTGGCGTCATCATTTGAACACTGAATCTGCCCATATCCCTCATCTGAGACATCAGCTCCCTGAGCTTCACTGCAGGGGAAGCCCCATGACTTGTGAATCAGCAACGCTGTGCTCCCTCTTAGGTGAGAAAGTAACCAACCCAGTCCTTTCCCCTTCCTAGGACAAACCCTCACTTCCAGAAGGCATGAACCAATGGTGATAAGGCAATCCATTTGTCAAGAATGAATCACTTTTATATTTGGAGAAGGAAACAAAACTTTCATTATGCAGAAAGACGAAAGACCTGTGTTTCCTCTTGCTAGATACTCAGGCCTTCTTCCTAGCACATAGTGATATCCAAGTTTTATTTTGCAGCTACTGATGGGAAGGAGATGGCAGTAGGAATGAGTCATGTCCCAACTACCCACTAGATCTCATGAGTTCGTTATGTGTCAGGTGACTATGAGAAGCAGCCCATGGGAATCCAGAGTCATGTTATTTTAGAACTGGAAGAAACCATAGAAATCATTCAATCCAATGTTTATGTAGTGAGGCCAATTGAAAATAATAATAATTTTATCAACTAACACTTAGTGAGTACTTACTATAGTTATATGAGCACAATAACTTTATGTGAATATTTGGTCACTATTTTACTGAGGAGACTATAGTGTAGAAAAGATAGCATTTTGCACAAAACCACACTAATCCCAAATGGAGCTGAGACTTGAAACTAAGCTGTCTAATTCCCAAGTCTATCCTAGTTTTTATTCTCCCAATCTCATTAGTTGCAATTCACTAACCTCCATGAACACTGACCCTCAGAATTCCCATCATTTTGCATGTAAAAATCACATTTTTCCCACCTCTTCCACTTACTAACAATGTGGCTTTGGCAAATTTACTTGACAGACACAAGTTTTATACAACTAACTCATAGGTCTGTTGAGAGTAGTAATTCAGGACACATGAAACACTTGGTATAACAATAAATATAAGGATTTATAATTATTGATGTTATCAGTAGCAGCATTGTTCTTTTTAAACAAAAACTTGCTGATACATTTCCCTAGTAAATAACTCTCAAGCTTGAACAACATATTTTTAACCTGAATTTCTGGGTGAGATGTGTTACGACATACAAATATCAAGTTTTATTGATAATTTCAAAAATACAGAATATCTCCAGTTTGGGTGAAGTGAGAGAAATCTGGGACTAAAAGGGTGGTTCCTAGTCCTTCCTTCCTGCATCAGACATGGTCTCTTCCCCTAAATAATAGCTGGAGTTTCTAATGAAGTTGCAGTTCAACTCAAACAACAAGGAGAACATCTAAGTTATGAAACACGTCCATTGTATAACCCAAAATCATAAACCCTTAGATTATAGGTTTATTATAAGTAATCCTCTAGCCAGGGACATCCTGCTAAAGATATTCTGTAGGTTTTTTCCACATAGCAAAAATCACTATTTATCACAGGTCTAGTTGGCAAGGAGAATAGACAGTCACTGTTTTCTTTGCTTTCTCCACTTAGTTGCCCGGTGGTGAGGGGGCTTCCTCACAAAACAAATGAACTGGTTGCAGACCAGCTATTTTAACTCTTTCCTCCCTAGTTCCATTAAAAAATATTAAAAACAGCTACACTAGATCCTGTAGTTCAGTCTGTGTCTTATATGCACTTTTATAGCATAGCTCATAACAATGTCTCCTCTGCTAGTGTCATTCCGAGGCTATATTGCTGCCAAATTATTTGGCTTCCAATATATTGGCTTCCTCGACCAACTCAAATTCAAATAAGTCATATATTATTGAAAGCAGTTGCCACTTTAACTGTCTCCAAATATTTGAATAATTTTTATTTTAACTTTTCTAGTAATTTCAAGTATAAGATAAATACACAGATAAAACAATTTTAAAAATATATCTAGGTAGATGGATAGTGTAACCAAGTACCTCCATTTTTCTAAGTTGGTTGAATTTTTTTTATTATTTTCTCTTCTTTTCTTCTTTCCCCATTACCCCTACTCCCTTCTTCCTACTTAGTCCTTTAGAAATGCAAATGCAACCTTTCACCTCCCCTCGCCAGACATTCCCTACAGGGTAAGTTCATCTATGTGCTCCAAGATCTCTCCTTGACAGTGGATTTGCAGACCAAAGCATGCCCCAGGGAACCCTCACATCTAGGGAGTCACCTCAGGAGAGCATGTCAAAAGCATGCCCACTTGGCCACTTTTACAACTTATTTCTGACCAGGAAGGTACCAACTCAACTGCCCAGTACATAACTGCCCAGTAGGAGGGGGACAACTTCCCTAGCTCATTTGCTCCCCTACCTTATAAAAGTGCCCGCTTTCTGCTCCCAAAGTGAAGCAGCACATTTAAATGCAGGATGCTTTGTGCCCTTCCCCAAGCTAGCTTCTGAATAAATTCACATTTTTTTTTTTTTGTATCAGACCTCACACTCCCTAACTGGACTCTGCATTCAGCAAACAACTAAACTCCTTTTTGGTTACAATAGACCTTTTAGAATAAGCTATGTTGTACTAAAATTTGTGCTGCCATTGCAATATATTGTAGTTACTTGCTTAATTGCTTGTTTTTTGTAGACTGTAAGATCAAAAATGTATTTGGCCACTTAAGACACTAATAAATCCACTAGTAAAGCACTAAGAAAAGTTGGGGACGGGGCGTGCCTGTTTTGTTTACCACTGTTTATTCAGAATGTAGCACAGTTCCTGACAGAAATATATGACTGAATATTCTCTCAAACACGTTATTGAAAAAAAAGTAACTGTCCTGTCTCTTTGTTCATTTGTTTTATGTTATCATTAGTTTTCACAAACATGGGGACCATCAGCAGGAATGTGAGGAATGTATAGTGCTCCCAATTAATCATAAAGAAGATATTATAATGCCTAAAACTTGCTACATATTGAGTTATCTCCCCAGATATATTAAAATTTTCTTTAGAAAATAAGTTTCTAATTATATTCCATATTCAGAATTCATATACCCAAATACGCAACAACCAGCACAAAGAAAGGATCTCAATTCAAATGAAAAACTATTTGCTCTCTTATTTCCTTAGAATTTTTCTAACTTATTTTTGTCCTCATTTCACTAACCAACCAAAGATTCCACTGAAAATGGAAGCGGAGGCCCCTACCACACTTGCACTCCAATCCCTTATGAAATTGACTTACCAATCAAAGATAAACATGAATAAGAAATTTGCTTTGTTTTGAAAAGAGACTAGGACTCAGTAGTGTGTTCTTCCCAATTAGCAAAATGAGTCCCTTTTTACTTCCCATGCCTAAGTTTTGCTTCTGCTTCCACAAATCTTTCTTTCATCAAGATACTGGGTTTTAAGTTGTTCTTTGTGTGTAAAATACTATGCGGTTTAGAAACAGATCATTCTTGGCAGGGATGTGTTGTATTGTACTGGGAGCAGGGCAGAAGGCTGCTTGTGTTTCCAGGTGGAGTTGCTATTTCTTTATGCTTTTATTGATGGAACAGTTTGATTTTGAATTTTGCATGTTTTTGTAGTGAAAAAAGTGGATTTTCATTGTGAGAGCAATAGGTAACATTGAATCAATCCTGGCAGCATTATTGTGAAAACAGGTGAATTATCCTAAGCAATTCACAGGTCTGGGAATTAAAGACCACAGTTTAGATCCCCACAATTCACAGGTCTGGGAACTAAAGATCACAGTTTAGATCCCCACATATTTTGTTTTTATCCACTAATCACCCACAACATTGTCATGGATGGAAAGTTAGAGTAACCCTTATAGTTTTGAGAAACAGTTTCCATTGTTCTTGCTGAAGTGCAGCATCACTGAAGTAATTATAGAATAAATAATTTACCACAATAATTGACTGTTGTGATTTTCAGCAGGTACAGTTTTGATTTTATTGCAAGGCACACAATCGTATATACAATGCATAATTATCATCTTTTAAAGTACAAGATAAAAATCATATACATTATAGTAAAGAACATATGAGTATATTCTTGTTTCAGAGAAGAAAATTGCCTTAAGGAAGCTGGGTTATACCGTTTTTGGATGTGATTTTCGTATTTATACTGAATCATCCGAACAGCTCTTGGTTAGAAAATAAATCTCATTGATAGGACACACAACCTTTCACAGCTTTCACTTTACAATGTTCCAATTTAAAGTCAGCCAGTGTGCTCCCTGAATTTGCATGAGTCATCGTATTTCATCCCAGGACTAGATGAAACACCTATAAATTGTCTGACAATAGTTATACACGTTTAAGAACTGTATTTCTTAGTAATATATCACAGAATAGAACCATTTTCTTAAGATTTTATGTGACTCTTTATTGATTTTTTTTCTCCAAGCTATTTTTCCAAATGATGTATTATTTTTGGTATTAAGCCTAGAGTTTTGACTTAAACTCGAAGGATGCTCTTAGATTGGTAACTACTCTGAGATACTAAGAGTGTTTCCACTCTCCTCCCAGTTAGAGTGGGGGGTTTCCTCCTCAGTGCTGCCCCTGCATGGCTGGTTCATTTCTCTGTGCCTTCTCTGACCCCTCGTTAGGACCTGTCTTCCAGACCTTCTTACCAGGGTGGAAAGAATAGGGTTCATGTAGAGAATGGATCTGAAGGTTAAACACATGGAGTTCTAGTCTCAAAGAGACACAACAGACAGTGTCCTCCTTGTTGAGGTCAGAGAATAGGAACATCAAGAAATGAGAGATATCAGAGAGCCAGAGGGGTTTGGACAAATGCATTGCCTGGAACAATGAATAAATGGCAATGTGGTCCCTGCTTCACAGCAGGACATCAGGACAAACAGAAAGCGTGTACACACTTTGACAAAGAAATACATTTGTGCAAGTGGTATTTTCCCTGCTACGTTGTTTACTTTATCATTCCTTTAAAGCAGTACCCTAAAATGATATTCCCTTCTTCACTCCTTTTTCAATGTTGGGGAGTCGATATTAACAAGAATCAAGAAGCTTGGACACCCCTTGTGGGCACATACAGCTACTATTCTCTCCTTGGGCTGCAGACTTACATATGAGGAGATGCAGGAAAATCAGGCAAACCAATAATGGCAATTAACGCTGTAAGAGCACGTGAAGTGCTAACTTAAAGGAAACAGGCCAGGCGTGGCCATTCACATCTGTAATCCCAGCACTTTGGGAGGCCGAGGCAGGTGAATATTCTGAGGTCAGGAGTTTGAGACCAGCCTGCATAACATGGTGAAACCCCGTCTCTACTAAAAATACAAAAATTAGCCGGGCTTGGCGGTGCACGCCTGTAATCCCAGCTACTTAGGAGGCAGAGGCAGGAGAATCGCTTGAACCCAGGAGGTGGAGGTTGCAGTGAGCCAAGACTGTGCTACCGCACTCCAGCCTGGGCAACAGAGCGAGACTCCGTCTCAAAAAAAAAAAAAAAAAAAAAGAAGACAGAAAAAATTAAAGGAAACACACTACTGTGATTTCATCTCATAATCCTATCTCTGTTATACTTTGCACTGGAAAGGAATCTGACGAGAAAGTCTCTTGGGTTTTCCTGTTCCATAAAGAAGTTTTTATATTTCCTATTTCACCAGGGCTTGTTTCTGGAACTATCCTCTATATAGATATCCTTCCTGTACCATAGCCAAGATTTTTAACTATGGGATTAGTGTAAACCAGTATTTAAGCAATTCCTATTTACATTCAGTTATAAAAATACAAGGGCAGATAGGAATCTCAATAAAACAAGAAATACTCAAAAGAGCACTTCATTTTCATTAGGAGAAATCACTTCCATTCTGCCATATGTCATCTGTGTTAGGTGCCATGATAATCTGGAGTAGAGGCAAACATGGTCAGAGTAACATTCTGAAGCCATGTGTAAAACCTTCAATGCAAGGTTTTGTTTCCAAAAGGTGAGAGTACATACACCACCGAGAACTTGCATGGTGAACAGAACTTAACAGTTGTAATGATGTCTGTAGTTACATAGGGCTATATATTCAATTTTTCTATTAAATTCCAGAGGATGCAGCCCTAGTAATATATAGGCTTGGAGTGTTATTTCTAAATTATCCCTTTTTTCTTCTCAGGCAAATTACAGAAAAAGCCATTACCTCTGAAATGGTAAGTTTCAGGGGGAAAAAGAGGGAATTTATATGTCATCTGGAAGTTTTAGCAAAATTACCCTAAATGTGCTGCTCCTGGCATTATCCTCAGCAGGTATGCCCTTCACAGAATGCCATGCAGGATGTGTCCTGGCACCAGGAGGGACATCATGTCCTCATTCAGCACACATTTAGGAACAATTCTACTTCCTGCTGAGAGCCACAAAATAGTACCTTGAGATCTACAGAAGCAAAACACCTTCCTCTCCGTGAATAGAGAGATCTGCGAATCGCTATATGTTCATAAAGAGATGTGGCAAATAAACTAGATCCTGCGAAGGCTACAACCTGGGAGCTAGTTAAAGCCTTTGTGATTCATTAGCACATGAGTTGTGAGCACTGTTACGGGACTAAATGGTATTCAGGGAGTCTGAAAGAGATCATGCCATGACTAATTCCCAGCAAAATGTCTCAGCATCAACTTAGCAACTCAGGGGATATCATTAGTGTGCCCTCAGGAAATTGCCTGGCTGGGAGGCAAGCCTATTCCTTATTCACACAGGTACTATTATTTACAGAAGATACTATATATATATTTTCAGTGGTATTCACACCACTTTATGTTTCTTGACAATGGGACATGCTTTATTATAAGACTGTTTACCTGAATAGCATGCTAAGAAAAAAAACTGTAGTTTTTGGGAAATTAAACCATGTTAAAAACAATCTTTTGAACGTTTAAATAATTTCATAAATAGCAAGATAATGTTCTGGTATAAGTGAACATCAGATTCCTCAGATGTGGGTCCAAGCCATATGTAAGCTGTAATTCTTACCACACAGCCACATGAAATGCATGTCCACACAGCATACAGTGAGCTGGGCATGAACCCTGGAAATAGTTCCCATTCCGTTGGAGGTTGTTGCTGTCATTGTGAAACATCTGGA
This sequence comes from Homo sapiens, assembly GCF_000001405.40. Lineage (NCBI taxonomy): Eukaryota > Metazoa > Chordata > Mammalia > Primates > Hominidae > Homo > Homo sapiens. The sequence continues at coordinate 53,228,891 of NC_000008.11, forward strand.
TTGGATGCCCATTGAGCTCTGAAAGCAATGTTTTTTCTTTTCCTTTTTTCTTAAACCGAGCTTTTGAAACTACGTTTCATAGGAAGGCCACAGCAGATGGGTGCTGAACCTTACCTAGCAAACCAGAAGGAAAAGACCTGTTCCCTTGTTCATCAGAGGAACTGAGGCTCTGCCTCGCTTCTGTGCCCTAGAGAAGAGGTGCATGTGTTGCGTGGACCTTTTGTCCTTGATGTTTCCACTGATCACGAACGTGGTCTGCATCTGATGACTTCAGACCATGAGATCTCTAAAAGTTTATTTTAAATTCTATCTTTTCATGTCAGACTGCAGTAGTGATCTGAGTTAAACCTAGATCATTGAACTCCTCTCTTCCCGAAGAACTGTACGAAGACATCTCCACGACTAGTCATACTGGTTTATTCATCCCATCGATGTCCCTCAGGTAAGCAGGATCCTGAACTGTATTTCGGACTCTGCTAGTGCTCTGCCGCTCCATCCTCATCTTCAGTGGAAAGCAGAAGTCCCGGAAACACCGCTTGAAGTTTTCATCAAGAAAGGCGTAGAGAATGGGATTCAGGCTACTGTTGGTATAGCCTAAGGCGATGCAGAAGTAATAGCTGGAGAGAGCAGCTGTGCTGTGGGAGGTGCTCCCCAGAGCCTCCACCAGGATGAATATGTGAATGGGAGTCCAGCAGACGACGAAGACTGCCACCACCACCAGGACCAGTCTGGTGATCCTACGCAGGTTGCGATCTTTCTCTCGGGAGCCAGAAAGGAGCCGGACGCTCTTGAGACGCAGGATCATCAGGGTGTAGCAGACGATGATGATGAGGACAGGGATCACGAAGGCAAAGATGAAGACGCAGATCTTCATGAAGAGGTCCCACCAGGAGTAGTCATCATCTGGGAACTGCAAGGAGCACTCAATGACATCGACGTCTGGAGGAGGGCAATAAAAACCACAACACAGAAACCTGTTATTGTTATTACCGTGGCTGCAAAGTGTTTTAAATATGAATTTTAATACCTTTTATTGCAATGGTCCAATTATGGTAAGATGACATTACCTGAAGTAGATCACCAAATTACTAATGAATACTGTATTTTGTTAGCCATCCTAATCTTTGTGCATGGAACAATGATGATAGTCACTGTTTACTGGTAACATACACAATACTGTAGAATTAAGATTAGCTGACAATCTTGCTCATCTAGTTGCAGAAGTTGGTTTGACACTGATGGCTTGCAGAAGAGGTAAAGAGTTAATGTATACCATGAGTACTTATTTCTATTTCCATTCATTAACACTTCTCCCAGACCTAAGGCTCTGGCAATAAAAAAGCTAATGTCTATTTGTAATAAATGACTAAATATTTCAAATCTAGCCACTGAATTTAACAAAAGCCAACTTGTTTGAAAAACATTAACTGGTTTACAGGAAATCATTATGTGGGTCAACAAAAATTGATATGGAATTTGTTTAAATATGACTCAAGTATTGTCATTTAATGGAACCAATGACACTCATTGTGATTAAGGGCATTACTGAAACACAAGTAAAACCTTTGGAGGAGGTGGGGGAGAATCATCAACATCATCAAGGGAATTCTGAGTAAATCAGGCACATTTATTTTCATTTTTACCAACATTATTATGTAGCTCAGATAAAACAAATATTTGTATGTGATTACTTAGAAAATTGCTATATTTGCTCTGCTTCTCTTTGCTGGGTAGTATTCTCTTTGGAGTAGCCTTAATATTAGGAAGACCAGGGACTCAGGATGGACACCTTCTAAACTATTTTTGTGGGTGTCCCATGGGCTCACCTTTCCCCAAACACCAGCTAGCCCACATTTCCAACCCCTGCCCCTGAGAAGTCAGCGAGCACACAGCAGAGCTCTCTTTGCCCTGGTCCTTCCTCACAGACAAGGTAGTCATGAGCAACACCATGAGCGTGATTACAGTAATGAAAATATTTTTTTCTGACACTGGAAAAATCTGCTTCAAAAATAGCACATGAATATTTTTTTAAATAGCAAAACAGCTCTATTAATGTTTTCTAAAACATTTTAATGCAATCTTAATAGAATATCCAATCTTACTAGAATTTTAATTACATATACTTTAAAATAAAAAGGATATAAACATTTTTGACAATTAATAAAGACTATCTTAGAGACCTTCATGTATCAATGAAATACCAGATGAAACCTTGGAGTAGTAAATGAACACTTCCAGAGAAATTTGTCATTTTTGATTTTTTAAAAAAGTCATTGTCCAAAGTAATATTACTATGAAGACTATTAACTTTTGCTTTAGTGTTTATGGTAAATGATTTTTAAATCATTACTATTATAATAGAATATAAGATATCCATTAAGCAACTTTTGATGGGTGACACATGAAAAAAAAATCTGAGTTCAATATAAATATTCTATTCTGGGTTTTGACTTGTTTGTTGAATCTGGTAGAAGAGTTTCCTTGGAGGTAGGGACCATGGTTTGGTTTGTTTTTTTCTGCTTAGCTTTTATTTTCAGCATTAGTTGTTTCCTGTGGCTGACCTCAGCTTATATGTCACTTCAGAGACGTTTAGATGGAGGTCTGTCTCTTAAATTGTCCTCTCCTCGGTAACTTACACTTTGTCTACATGTTATATTCACCCAATTTCCCAGACAGAAGCCTGTCTGATCTGTAATTGTGTGTTACCTTCCTAACATTTTTCTCTCCATCCAGAATGTGAACTGCCTTAGTGGAGAAACCCAGCCTGCCTTAATCAACACTGAATCCCTGGCACCTAGGGTAGTACCTGGAACATGTGGTGCATAAACAGAATAAATTGTTAAATAAATGAACAAACAAATACATACCACATGAATAACAAACCCTCGAAAGTGTGTCCTAATTACAGTAGTTATTATGGAAAAGTCACCGGCTAAGCTAAGCTAAGCAGAAGCCGCACAGGGCTGCTGTTTAATTCGGATAGACCTTTAACTCCGAGGCTCAGCTTCCTCCCAAACAAACTGCCTTGCATGTGGTGGGAGATGGTAAGTATTAGATGACTGGGTGAAATAATTAACAACAGCTACTTTACAAGACTTTGGGAAACAAACGTCCCACTACAGAGTTGGAAATATCCTCCAGAAATGTCAATGAAGCTGAATTTGTAGCGTAAAGAGAGTGCTGAGGCAATCATCAAGAATCCCAGTGCACTTCACATTATGCTAAGGGGATCAAGCCAGGCACAGAAAGACAAATATCACATGTCCTCAAGCATCATATTTGGGAGGTTAAAAAAAAAAACCTGAACTTACAGAGATAGAGAGTAGAACCTCTAGAGGTGACCAGAGGCTGGGAAGGGTTGTGGGGAGGGGGATATACAGGGGTTGGTTAATGCATACGAAATACGCTTAGAAGAAAAAGGATCATGTTCAGTAGCACAAGAAGGTGACTACAGTTAACAATAATTTATTATATATTTCAAAATAACTAAAAGAGTGAAATTGGAATGTTCCTAACACAAACAAATGAGAAATACTTGAGGTGATGAATATCCCAATTACCCTAATTTGATCATTACACATTGTATGCTTGTATCAAAATAGCACTGGTACCCCCTAAATATGTACATCTATTATGAATTCATAAAAACTAAGCATTTTTTAAAAAAGAAATTCCTGTCCAAGCATGCCATTTTTATTAAATGTTCTGTTTCAGGAAGAAGGGGGCATTTTCAGGTTGAAGTATCCATACAACTGCCTCAGTTTAACAAGCAGATTTTGGTTTCTTTATATATTAATATCAGAGGGCTGTGGCTTCTGCTGGCTCCTGTTCCAGCATCTCATGGTTGTCATAATTATAGAGTTAGTTCTAATAGCTAAACTAAAGCTTTTCTTGTGTGTATTCATTTTGTTAAGAATAATTGTTTCTGCTTATAGCGATTATAATAATTCTTAGCTACTATAAAAAAGTAAGAGCAGACTATGAATCCTCACATAATACACACACATATACTACAGTATGGAAAATATTAGAGTCAACATTTTACGTTCACAAAGTGAAAGCTTTGCCTCAGAAAAGTTTCTTGCACTTTATTTCTATTTGCTGTAGGCATGAAGAAACAAAATCCTATGTGTGATTAATCATATTTTGAAATGCAAATATGATAAAGTTGGGCATTTCTTAAAATTTACCTAGTAGTATAGCTTGACACCTGCTATGGCTATGCTAGAAATTCATTTTGTAGTTTCAGAGGGAAAAGATCAGCTTCATTAAAAAACAATGAATAAAGTCATTATACATTTGTTCAAATCCACAGGACACATAACCCGGAGAGTGAGCCCTCCTGTAAACTCCAGGCTCTGAGTGATAACGACGTGTCAGTGTGGGTTCAGCAGCTGTAATAAATGGACCACTCTGTAGGGGAGGATGTGCCTGTGTGGGGTAAATGGAGGTAAATGGAAGTGCCTCTCTGTGCTTTCTGGTCAGTTTTGCTGTGAACCTAAAACTGTAAACTGAAACCTAACTAGATTAAGTCTAAAAACAAACAAACCATGTATCATGCAAGACAAGCTATGATTTTAGTGCCTTGCCCTTTCACTATGACCTGGAAAATCCTCACTATATACACTCAGTTATCTGCTCTCACAGGTATTATGAACCCCCTAGTAAACTGGAGCATTTATATACCTGCTGGAGCATTAAACAGCATGAGTAGGCCCAGAGTGACTATTCTGCTCACCTCCCCATCATTAATTTCTATGAGGAACAAAGATGCTTTCTATAGCTTTATATTTTGCTAGTAAAGCAAAACTCCTAGAACAGTACCTCTCACCTTGGCTGCAGGTCAGAGTCACCTGGAGAGAGCTCAAAAATCTTGACACCCAGGCTGTACCCCAGGTCAATTACACCAGACCCTTAAGGGGTGGGATGCAGGCAGCAGTGTTTTCTAAAGTACCCAGGTGATTCCAATGTGCAGCCCAGAGTGAGAACTACTGTCCTAGAAATACAGGAAAAACATCAACAGGGGGCCGGGCGCAGTGGCTCACGCCTGTAATCCCAGCACTTTGGGAGGCCGAGGCGGGCAGATCACGAGGTCAAGAGATTGAGACCACCCTGGCCAACACGGTGAAACCCTGTCTCTACTAAAAATACAAAAATTAGCTGGGCATGGTGGTGTGTGCCAGTAGTCCCAGCTACTCGAGAGGCTGAGGTTGAACCCGGGAGGCAGAGGTTGCAGTGAGCCGATATCGCGCCACTGCACTCTAGCCTGGCAACAGAGCAAGACTCTCTCTCAAAAAAAAAAAAAAAAAAAAATCAGTTGGCTGGTTTGCATGGGGTAAAACCTGATATGTCCAAAATCAAGTGGTTCTGCTCATCTGTAACTACCATCCGTTAACTTGATTTTGAATGGCCTACAGCCAAAGCTGTTAAAATAGTGATTTGGAGGTTATCCTTTAGGAATAAAAGAGGAAAGAACCAGCATATGTCACCAATAATTTATATCCCTTGTTAAAGAGAAAAAAAGGAGTGAGAAGGTGTGTCCTGGACTTGCCAGGTTGTACTTTAAAATTCCACATGCCTGTGGTTTCTTACCTCATCCTCACCCCTCCACTTTCTACTAAACATTGCCAGAATGGGAGACAGGTCGGGCATCTCTCTTCTGGCAATGTCATTATTGCATTCTGTGTTTAGAGGTGGAAAGGGACACAAAATTGTTCTACTTCTCATCTTCCATGGATTTAGGCACTACATTTCCGTCGTCTTTTGGCATCGATTTCCACTAAATATGTGGCCTACTCACGCTCAAATTAAAAGTCTATGTAATTTGAAGCTACATTTTTATGAACAGAATGAAATGACTGCTCTTACCTTCCCTGACTTTGGTGCCTCCAAGGACTATTGCAGAGATGCCAACAGATGACGACAGCAGCCAGATGCAGATATTGATGATCTTTGCCTTCAAGGGTGTGCGGAAGTCCAAAGCCTTCACGGGGTGGCACACGGCAATGTAGCGGTCCACGCTCATCATGGTCAAGGTGAAGATGCTGGTGAACATGTTGTAGTAATCAATGGAAATTACTATCTTGCACAGCACATCCCCAAAAGGCCAGGAATTCATCAAGTAGACCGTACTCTGAAAGGGCATGGTTGTAGTAACTAAAGCATCTGCCAAAGCCAGGTTAAATATGTAAATGTTGGTTGCTGTCTTCATCTTTGTGTATCTAAAAGAAAAGAAACAATAGCATTTCCCTCCATTTTCAAGTCAAACCCATAAGGTGAATGTGTTTGTGATAGCCTTTGGATTACTGATTTTGCTTCTTCATTCAATTATTCTTATATTCATTGAGGGTCTAACATGTAAATGGACTGTTCTAGACATTGATAGGAAAAATGGACAAAGATCTCCAACTTTATTGTTTATTCTAGTGCTTTGTTTAAAAAATTTCAATATAGAAGATACAGAAAATAGCAGAGATAGATGAATAGACATATAGATCTAGCATTGCATATAATACAGATCTTTATTTTGTGGCTGACAATTCATCTTAATCCTGCCCAGAGTCGCTTGGCTTTAAGCATTTTTCAAACACTATATTCATTCTCTTTGACTTGTTTAAAACATTTTTTTCCTCAGGGTTATTTTGAGAAATCAATCATTATAATTATGATGTATTTTGAAAATACAAAATGGTTTTCAATTTTGATATATGCTCAGTTGCAATGGCTGAAACACAATTAGGTTTGCTGATTTTTGTTCTCCAGTGCACCATTAATTTGTCATTTTAAATATATTATATAAATAAAGCAGATTGAATTCTGCTCTTACACATCATAGCACTAAGCATAGTATGGTACAGCAGAAAAGAAATAATTCTGTCTTTCTTTACTCCTTGAGATATTTTCTAAGCACGTAATATGTCTCATCTTCCAATTGAGAGAAGAGTAATTTTCAAGGTAGGTAAGAAAGATTGCTTTTATGCCTGAGTTATTCTTTACATTATAACATGATGTTTAGGACAACTTAATTTTCAACTAAGACTGAGTTAAGAGGGTTGTTTTGCTTAGAGAATGCTTCCTCAAATATCCATAGAGTATTAAATAAATGTTCCAAACCATACCATCAGATTTTCAAAGGCCAAGAGCTGAAATATGTTGGGAAAATCCATACGTTGATTACTTTCTACAGCCTCAGATTTGAAGATCTTGTCACAATTCAAGCGTGCCCCATTTGATACATGAATTTCCACATGAGAAACAACTCTGAACATTTCATGATAGAACAGAACAGCTCTTGCTCCTCTTGGAGGCAGTGTGGTCTCATGTGAACTCAGACAATCCTGAGTCTGAACTCAGAGAATGACTTATCTGATTTTCAGTTCCTGCTAAATAAGAATCATAAAACCTAACTCACAGTACGTGAGACAAGGGCAGTAGATGGCCTGATGCACAGGTTCACACTCCAGCCTCAGTGTCCACTGCCTTCCCTCCCCACCTCCCATCTCTACTCATTAGGAAGTGGCTGTGTTTGGGGTCAGCTGGGAAGGCATTGTGAAGACGGGTACTAGAGTTGGTATCTGTTAGTTTCCATTTGGATGTTCTGCTTACTAAAGAGTGATTTAATCTGGAAAGCGAGGAGTTTATTTAAAAATGTGTTTTGCCTTTATACTTTTTATTCAGACATTATTAAATGACCTATAAGTTTTAGATAGTGACTAAACATGGATGGCCAAGTTCTCATAGCACAGGCTTTAGAAAAGCAGAGATAGCCAAGCAAGGACAGTTACTGAGAAGGAGCCACATGTTTCTAATGAGAAAGACTGAAATGCTATCTGTTCAGATATTTTCTTAAAAATATGGTTTTATGTTTGAAAAAAATGCATCTTACAAACCTAACTTCTACTCTTTCAACTCCTCCCACCCCAAAACCCCAGATACTAGCAAGGATTCCAGCAGGAATCTGACTCCTGCTCTTGTATTTTATGACTCTGATATTCCCCTCTTTCTTTATGAAGTCAGAGTGGCATTCTTTTTGCTATAAACTTAGGCAGACCTGGGTTCTAGTCCTTATTTTTCAAACTAACGAGTATATTTTAGAGGGTCCTTAACCACCCTGAGCTTCAGTTTCCCCAACTATAAAATGGAAACTATAATATTTATCTCATAGAGTTCCAGGGGTAATTAATGAATGCACCTGACCCAGACAGCATGTCTAATCTATGTCATGTTCCCCAACTCCCACCTCCCTTCTTACGTGAGTGGAAGCCACCAGTTACCACAGGAAGCAGAAAAGAATGTAGTTTCTAGGTAACATCCATGGTCATATTTACCCAGTTCAGCTTAAATATAAAAGGTGAGAATAAAAAGGAGCCCCAGGACCTGACACAAAGAACATGAATGCAATGATCCATAAATTACTGTAAAATGTAATGTGCATCTTTAAGTAGTCATACAATGTAGAGTGATAGCTTGATTTTAGTTTTTCAAAATATTTATAGCCAATAGATGTATGAAACTGTGTAAGACTTGAACATGTAAAGAATTCAAACTCCATCTGCAGATCTCAGAGAGATGAGTACAGGCAATAATCACACTGACCACATTTCCGAAGTGCCTGCGTCAGGACCTCTGCCATGCATTCCCCAAGCTTTGTCTCAATTCATCCTCACAGTCACTTCATGTGGTAGGTACTGGTATCCTTATTCTATAGATGAAGTGACTAAGAATCACAGGATTTTCTTTAAAATTCTCAAAGTGATATAACTATAGGCATAGCAGAAATTTAAACCCAGGGGTTTGATCCCAATTCGTCCATTCTTACATCTCCCCAGCACTTTGTAATTTGCAAAGTCCAGTATTTTGACTTCCCCGTATCTTACTTGATTCTCGAAACTACTGCCCTTCTAGTTTACCTGAAAGACTTATGTCTTTTCCCTCATATAGCTGAAGAAATTTAGGCTCAGGTAAGTTAAGTGATTTGTTTGGTGTCAGCAGAGGCAGGACCTCAGTGGGAGGATCTGGATGGGGTGGCAAGGCAGGGCCCCCTTCCAGGTTTCTGGAAGACACATGCTTATAAACCTACAACACTAGAAGGGGAGAACTCATGAGTATAATTAAAAGTAATGAATAAACTCTGAATTCAATGAATATTTGTAGATAGTTCTTCTGCGTACTACACTGGACTACTCTGTGAACGTGAATATAAAGCAAGGCTGTGACGCTCAGAGGCAGGCTGGTTGAGCCCCAGGGTATTGTTTGTATCTAACCGCAACAGAATTAGCCAGTCTTTTCATTCACTGTATGTCCACCACTGAAAAAACAAGCAAGCTTTCTCATTATGCTATGATATGAAATTATTTTCCATTTCACCCACACTGCTTTACAAAAATTCACAAGCATTTTAAGCAAAATGGCACCATCTGGGTGGGAAGTTCTGGCTTGTGTGGAGGAGCTGGAAGTGGGCTGGCAGCTCGTGGCTGCACTTTTGAGCATACACACCGCAGGAGCATATGGTATGAAAAGAGCAAAGTCCGTGGGCTGTCCTCGCTAAACTGACAACATAACAGACCTGAAAAAACAGTACGGTGCATGGAATGGGAAGCAAGGGGCAGGCCGGGAAAGAGGGCTTACCTGGGGAACTTGAGTTGTGAGCACCGGGAAGGCTATGGTGGCCAGGCAACAGGGCGGAGGGTGTTCCAGAGACTTAGAAATGCTCCCCAGTGACACTTTAACTCAAGACCATCCTAGCGTACTTCTCTTTACAGAGAAACGAGGGTTGGCTTCAAAATTGGCAGACACTGGTGCTTGTGTGATGGTGAGGGGAACAAAGTTATCTGCTGAGATGTCAGGAACCAGTGTCACCAGGCAGGGTTTCTGGGAGGACGTGACACTCACCATGCTAGAAAGGTGGCACTTGAGAAGGGGGAGCTGACCCTGCAACACAGCACTCTCAGGACTTCCTGTCCTTTCCATGCATGGCTGTACTCAGACAATATGCAGGAGGTAGAGGAGGTAATTATTGGATTATTAGCATGCTTTGCTGTTGAGGTGCATTGCCTAGGTTTGTTTTCTGTTTTTTAAATTTCAATGATGCTTCTTTAATCAGGAACTCCTTTTCACCTTCATGACAATAGTATAATAAACCTTTAATCTTGATGACTGATTACCATATACCTTTCAAATCAACACACTTTCAGTTGCACTGATTTCAGTTATTCTGGGTCTTCTCTTGCACTTGTCCCCTATGGTGACGCATGCACCCTCTCTTCCCTCTCCAGTTATGTGCATGGCCCCTCCTCTGTCTTTACTCTTTCATTTCCCTACCCCATAAGTAGCAATATACTAGACTTTGAGGATGACTGAAAAACTCAATATACAGACCCTGGCTCTGAGGATCTTTTAAACTGAGAGCAGATTATAATGTGAACTATAGGAATACATGGAAGAGAAAGATTGCTGTGTAGTGAGGAAATCAGCACATATTCTGAAGAGAAAATTTAGCAGGATCTTGAGATTTGAGAAAGATCTGGACAGAGAGAGAAGCTTTCTGGCTAGTGTCTTATTCAGAGTCAATGAGGAAATGGATTTCCTGGTTCAGGGTTCCTGCTGAGGAGTCACAGGTGGCTGCCTGGGATGGGAACAGTAGTGTCAGGCCACAGAGGGCCCTGAACACCAGAAGGAAAAAAATCACTTTAACATTTATTGATGACATTATGTGACAGACACTGTCTGGGGAATTCCATATTATCTGATAAAGTTGTCATGATGATTAAATGAGACATGCATAAAATTACTTAGCACCAGACTGGTACTTGATAATTTCTTAGTGAATGCCAGCCTTCATTGTCACATGACTGCTCCTGCTGTTGTTACTGTTATTATTCATTACCTGCCACAGCCCTAATAAGCCATATCACAATCCCATAAGATATCACTGCCCCTACTTTCTTCTGAAGAGAAAAAGTTTGAGAAAACGTCTTAGAAATACTCTCAGTGTTTTTCAGTTCTTGGAATCTACATGTAATAAGTAAAGGAACTCAGGCTTGTCTTATTCCAAGCTTTCTTTAAAAACCAGGTATTTTATCAGAGAAATAAATACTGCCACTTCCTGCAGTTCAATGTTGAAAAGCATTCTGATGAGGACGGTCAAGTATGCATCATGAGGGTAGAAAACATTTAGCATGAGAAACAGGGCAAGGTCCAGGCAGAAATACTGTAATAATACATTAAATACTACCCCTCAATGGACAAAACAATGTCATGTACATTGTGGAATTTTTCCATAGGCCCATTTTTGGGGGTGGGGAAACTGAGTTAAAAGGGAGTAGGTGACTTGCCTGAAACTACAAACTAGTGAGACAATGGGAATTCAAACTTCAGCTCCAATATAATAAAAAAGAAAAAGGAAACAAAACAAAACAAAAGCCCTGGTGATTTTCTAAATAGATTCCTTTAATACAGCAAAAACCTAAAGGTCCATAGAATGCACCTGAACAAATGCTGTTTGGTGAAAACACAAGTGTGATCAAATGCCATGGACCCACAGGAAGCTGGTGGCTCTCTTACAACACTAGAGCTGCCCTTGGAGTCCAAAGAGGCCCAAGACACCAAACTCAGTAAGAGGAGAGCTCTGCAGCAGCAGGGAAAATGCAGTCCTTCTTCACAAATGATGGAAGATGAGCATGGTCAGAGATGAGTTTGGGAGCTCTTTTCTCTGTATTGCCAACAAGCATTTTCCTGGGCGTGTCTTCCAGATGCATGGCATTCTAGATTTTATGTGCAAAATGATCAGAAATGGTGGGGGAAATGGAGAGGGCTGGTCAAAGGATACAAAGCTTCAGTATAAGATGAATAAACTCAGGGGATCCAATTTACAGCAGGGGGCTAGCATCAACAATACTGTATTGCTTATCTTGAAATTTGCTGATTGAGTAGATCTTAACTGTACTCACCCCTCCAATACACACCATACATGCACAAAATGGTAACTGTGTGTGGTAATGGCTGTGTAATCTGTGGTAATCACAAATTAATGTATATCAAATCACCATGTTGTGCATGTTTAATATATGTAATTTTTATTTGTCAATTATGCCTCACCAAAGCTTGTGGGTGGGGGGAATAATGAACTCTGATGTAAGGTATGGCCTCTGGGTTATGATGTGTAAATGCAGGCTCATCAGTCCCACAAATGTCCCACTCTGGGGGAATGTGAGAATGGAGACTGTGCATGTGTGGGGGCATGGGGTATATGGGAACTGTAACTTCCCTTCCATTTTTCTGTGAAGTTAAAACTGCTTTTTTAAAAGTCTGTTTAAAAAATAAAAATAAAATGAAGAATGATGACCGTGCTGACGTGACTTTTCAGTGGAACTTACTTAAAAACATAATGAGTGTTTCACTAAATTTTTCAGTCAGTTTCAGTTCACCTCAATGAAATTAACTGCTATATGCTCTTCTGGGTTATTTACTATTGAAATTGTAGGGTTTTTTTTCTAAAGGGGCAGTAGTTTATTAATTCTAGAAAAGAAAGGAGGGAGGCAGAGGCAGGAGGATGGCTTGACCGCCCCACTGCACCCCAGCCTGGGCCACAGAGAGAGACTCCATGTTTGTTTGTCTGCTTAAAAAGAAAGGTAAAAGGAAAGGAAAGAAAAAAGAAAAGGAAAGGGAAAGAGAAAGAAAGGAAAAATGGAAGGAAAGGAAAATGGAAAGGAAAGATAAGGAAATTAAATTCACTGCTTCTCAAAGGATCTGATATCCTTTGATATCCCTCAGTCTGTAGTATTCTGAAGGAGTCATACTCACATAGGAGCCAGGCCCTTGCAGCTCTCCAGAATCACTCTCCTGGTGCAAAGCGCAAAGGCGTCAAGAGAACAGCAGGCACCCACGTGCGATCAGGACTCCAGACGCACAGCCCCGCGCAGGTGCAGGCTACCCATGCAGAGTGGCAGCAAGCAAGGAAGGAAGGGTAACGGGGAGCGATGATTCCGCGGGAACAGCCAGTGCCCCTGGGAGCTGCTAAGCTCCTCCTCTCAGTTGTCCCGGCTGTGGAATCATGCGCCTCTGGACCCCTAGAAGGAACGTTCTAGTGCATTCAGGGTTATGTGCAGGGTGAGCGCTTCTCACGCCCAACAGCACCTATAAGAAAATGGCACCTCGCTAATGACTGGCGTGCACTTTCCTAGGGCACAACTACCCGGATGCCTAGCGGTATATGGATACTTAAAATTAGTTTTCCTATTTTTATACAGAAAGCTGACCTAAGTCAAAGCAAGCCACAGAGCGTGGGCACATGGAGAGGAGGATGATGGCCCTCTTGCGCTGCCCTCTACCCATGAAGCCAGTTCTCCACTGGACAGGAAGCAACCCAGCCAGGCAGAGGGCGCTGAGAAGATTCAGGGCTAAGCAAACTGGGCTGTGATACTGGATTGATCATTTAACAACTGCCTGCCCTTGGGCAGTTCATTAAACCTCTGTAGTTGATTTCCTCATCTGAAAACGAGCTCTAACAATCTTCATTTCATAGGTGTGTTGTGAATTTGAGTGAGCTCAACAGGAGCTCTGAAAATCAGTCCTGTCATAGCTGATCTCTGACTGCATGTAACTAACTCCAGCCATTCTTTTTTTATTTATTTTTTTAGACGGTGTCTGGCTCTGTCGCCCAGGCTGGAGTGCAGTGGCGCGATCTCGGCTCACTGCAAGCTCCGCCTCCCGGGTTCACGCCATTCTCCTGCCTCAGCCTCCCGAGTAGCTGGGACTACAGGCGCCCGCCACTACGCCCGGCTAATTTTTTGTATTTTTAGTAGAGACGGGGTTTCACTGTGTTAGCCAGGATGGTCTCCATCTCCTGACCTCGTGATCCACCTGCCTCGGCCTCCCAAAGTGCTGGGATTACGGGCCTGAGCCACCGCGCCCGGCCACTCCAGCCATTCTTAATCCAAGGCTTCCCTGCCCGGCTTCACACCAGTCCCTTTGGGATCTCTCAATTCATCACATGGTTTTGTCGTCTTCCATTGAAATTCCAACCTGTTTGGCCAATGGAGAAGGCAAGTGTTAAGCCATTTATAGTATTATCCCCACTCCTAAAATCTATTCTTCATATATAAGCCTTCCTTATCCAAGACATAAACCAGCACCCCCTCCAAAGAAAGGGAAAAAAAGGGACTGCTGCTGATCTTTCTGTTGAGGAATAAATCAATGTTATTCTGAAACTATCTCTTGTTAATATGATTCTAAGTATGTATTACTTGCACCACTGAAACCACATAAGCTAAACCTTCAAAAGGCAACTGTCCTGCAGCCATACAATTTGAGATTTTTAGCTGAGCACAGAGACTCCTGGGGCCATGACAATTAAGTGCATCCAAGTTAATCAGGAATGAAGGGAGGTGCCAACTGCACAGCCACATGAAAATATTGCTGCTGATGAGATGCAGCTGAATGAGTCATGGAGAGGAGATATTCTGTACCAGTGAGAAGCAAATTCCTTCTGAAACTAACTCTGAGACAGGCATCAGAAAACACGTAAAGTCAACACAATCAAGAAATGATTTTGAAGGCTACAGTTTTTCCTGGAGTCTATTAAAGTTTAGGACCTCTATACCTGATCACCCAATTGGTTTCTCGCATTCTCACTTGCTCTCTTTCTCTCTCTCTCTGCAGTTGTATAGTCTCTGATCCCTGAGAAACAGTTCCACGAGACTTTGGCCTCCATCTGTGATCACACATCCCTCAGGGGAGAAAATAATTTGGCTAATCCACATAAGCAGTTGCAATTCTCTCTTTCAAAAGGTTGTCAAATGTATACAAATTACTTTGAGAAATGAAAGATAGTCTCTTGAAAATAATTTCTGAAGTTATTTTTGCTACATTTGTATTAAAGAAAATGTTTAAAGACAGGATCAAGAAATTAAAGACAGTTTCAAGAAAAATTAGAACATACTATATTAACCAAAGCCTAAAATAAGACTGGTGTCCTGTAGGGAGCAGCCATTGGTGAATTATACAGGTACCATATTGTACCTTTGCTTTTTTTTAATGCCTCTGTATGTGTGATTTGGTGATATTATCTAAGGTAGGCTATGTTGACACTTAGGAGAATGTGGAACATGTATGTACACACAACTACAGTGATTACAACACATACTTCAATGATGGAGAAGAAGAAACTTGGGAGAGAAGAGGCAGGCATTGTGCCAGACCCTCTGTCACCCCATTCCGTCCCACATTTCTCTAGTTCCAAGACAGCCACATAGTTCTGGTGAGGCTGAGACAAGTACAACCATGAGGCCCAGACTGGCCCAGGGGTGACTTGAATGAGTCAGTAAATGGCACATAACCTAAGATATCCCAGCAGAGGAAGCCTGGAACTTCTGTTCAGTGGACTGGGGAAGAAACACTGTATCCTGCTATTTATAAGCAAGAAGAGGAGTATTTTTAGAAGGACCAAGCTCTACGCCTAGCAAGCTTGGGTGAGTTGGCTCCCTTTGGTGCAGAAATTTGAGTTCAGGAAATGTAACCATTTCCATAGTACTTTTGCAGTTTTGTTTTCTTCTACACCCCTTACAAAGTTCCCCCTTTGGGGAGGTTTCAATACTGCTGAGGCTGAACTGTAGGGAAGCAAAAGTCTCCCAGAGGAAGGTTCGTGAGAGATTGAACCCTACAGGTCTGTATTGTGATAGCAACAAATTAATTACAACTAATGAGAAAAGGAATAGGCTAAACTAAGACCAAGGATCAAAGAATTTTCTGATTCCTCCTATTTTTTCTTGACAAAATTTCCTTGTTTATCCTTATAATTAATTTACAGAAATAAATGAAAAGAGAACATATACATAATTGTTGTGAAAACTGAAGCTTGACAGAGTGTCCTCTTAAGGAGAACAGAAAGAGGATGGGCAGTGTTCTGAGCTGAACCGTGTCCTCTCAAAATTCCTATGTTGGAGTCCTAAACCCCAGTACTTCAGAATGTGACTGTACGGTCCTGCCTTGGTATCCCTGGGGGAGTGGTTCCAGGATGCCCCCGTCAGATCCAAAATCCATGGATGCTCCAGTCCCTGATATAAAATGAGATAGTTTTTGCATATAACTTATGCAGATCCTCCCTTATACTCTAAGTCATCTCAAGATTACTTATAATACCTACTACAATGTAAAGGTTATGTAAATAGTTGTTATACTCTATTGTTTATGGAATAATGACAAGAAAGAAAGTCTGTACATCTTCAGTGCAGGTGCAATTTAAAAAAACAACATTTTTCAGCCATGGTTGGTTGAATCCATGGATGCAGAATTCACAGATATGGAATGAGGGCTGACTGCATTTGGAGACAGGAGCTTTAAAGAGATAATTAAGGTAAATGAGGCCATATGGGTGGGCCCCAATCTGATATGACTGGTGTCCTCATAAGAAGAAGAGATTAAGACACAGATGTGTAGGGGAAAGGCTATGTGAAGTTACAGGGAGAAGGCAGCATCTACAGGCCGAGGAGAGAGGCCTCGGGCCTCAGGGGAAGCCCTGCAGACACCTTGATCTCAGGCTTCTGGCCTCCAGAACTGTGAGACAATCAACAACAGGGGTTGCTTAACCCACCCAGTCTGCGGTGCTTTGTTATGGCAGCCTCAGCAAACTAAGGGAGGCTCTAGAAACCTGAGGTGTCAGGGAGATCATCACACTGAGCCATTTAGAAGGAAGGAGTCCAGCTGAGTCTGCAGAAAGGAATGGATAACTGGGAGAGAGAGAGATAATTAGATTTAGGATTTGTCAGAATGTACCTGACAGTTATGGCCACACAAATGGATGAAACCATTGAAAGGGAGTGTGATGAGTCACCTTGGCCAGGCTACAGTCCCCAGGTTTTCAAACACTCATCTCGGTACTGCTGCAAAGGTGTTTTGTAGGAGTGATTTGAGTCCATAATCAGTTGACTTTAAGCAAGGGAGACCATCCTATGTAATCTGAAAATGGGGCCTGATCCAATCAGTGGGAACCTTAAAAGCAGAGCCAAAGATCCCTGAGGAAGAAGAAATTCTGCCTGGAGAGCAGCAGCTTGTCTCTCCTGACTTCCTATCTTAGCCAGTCCCACAGTCACCTATGCCATTTTTTTGTGAGAAATTTCTTAACATGGACATCCTCTACTGGTCCTGCTTCTTTGGCTGATCCTTGACTAATACAGAGAATATGCAAAGTGAGGACAGAAGAGAGCTGAGAAGGCTCTGGAGAATATGAGCATTTAGGAAACCTCAGAGGAAGGGCAATCTGTGCAGGGGAGCAAGGAGAATGCCAGAGGATGTGGGGGAAGCCAAGGAGAGGGTGCTATTCGAGAAAGTGAGGACCTAAGGTCACCCAAGCATGCCAGACCCTCCACACAAGCCAAGTGAAAGTGGCCTAAAACGAGCATCTGAAACACACACCAGGGCTTTGGTGAAGGAGCATCAGGGGGAGCTCAAATGCTCAGGGCAGAGGACTGCGTGGAAGAAAAGGAAACAAAGAGTAGGGATTACTCCTCCAAGAAGCTTGCCTACCCATGACAGGCAGGAGGATGAAGGACATTAGCTAAGGAAATGAGGAAAATGGAGGGTTGGTGGATAGTGGGTTGTTGATTGTTTGTAAGATGACAGATGCTTGGTTATGTTCATGTGCTGAAGAGCAGGTGAAGAGGGAGAGATTGCAGACACAGTAGAAAGGAGATAGCTTATATGGTAAAGACCCCAGGAGCAATGAGCTTCAAAACCAAGGAGAAGGAATTAGCCTTGGATAGAAGGAAGGAGAATCTTCCTGTGAGACAAAACAGAATGCAGGGAGGATGGCTGCCAAAGTGTGTATGTAGAGAAGCAGTGTTCCTGAGGGCTGCACTCCAGTGTCTTGGTGAAGTACTGGGTAAAAACACTCATGAAGAGAATATGATAAAGAGAGTAAAGAATATGACCATGAAGAGAATATGATCAGGTGGAGGGTTTGGGAATAAGGGTAGATTTGAATTCATTTTTTAAAATGGGAAATGAAACAAGGAATTGGCTCTTTCTGGAAAACAGAAGAGGGACACAGAAAAACTTCTAGGGAGAATTAGGGTCAGATATACTTGAAGGTGGTGACTGTCTTGACAAAAATAAAATTGATTTTATCCAACAGCATCCAACTAGCTGGGTATAGGAATAAGGAAGGTAGGTTACTGGCTTGATCAAGGGTTAAGGCTTTGGTGGAAGACACTGGCAGAAGTACAAGAAGGCAGGACACTTGGGTGTGTTGTCAAGACAGAGCTTTAAGTGATAGCTCATGCAGTCTAGGATGGGGAAGAGAAAAAGAGACAATCTGGGAGAAAATGTAGAACCTCCTGGAAAGAAAGAATCCAAATGTTTGCAGGAGTGGTATGGTGGGAAATGAGGAGCAGAATGGATAAGAGCATAGGATCAATGGTCAGGCCACTGGCATCATTCTGGCCCCGTGAGTTACCCAGGTGTAACCTTAGTTTATTTCATCTTTCTGCGCTTTAGTTTCCTCATCTGTTAAGTGGGTATGGTAATGATATACCTATAGTTGTGAAGATTAAATAATTCACATGAAGAAGGTAGCTTTACCTGCTTGACACATATTAAGTGTTCATTAAATGTTAGTTATCTTCTTTAAGGGAGGAGAAAGTCGAACGCGTATGAAGTTGTGGTAAGAGTGGCAGAATGGATGTTTGTGATGTCAGAGGTAGGGCTGCCTCTGGCAGGGCAAAGGGGCGTGAGTGTCATGGTGTTCATTAATTAATGAAAAATGAAGACTGCACGGGGGAATCCTGCACAGGAGGAAGTCAGGAACCACAGGATTAGAATCATGATGGTCAGCCAAGTGTAGTGGCTCACACCTGTAATCCGAGCACTTTGGGAGGCCAAGGCCGGCAGATCACTTGAGATCAGGAGTTTGAGACCAGCCTGCACAACATGGTGCAACTCCATCTCTACCAAAAATACAAAAATTAGCATGGTGGTGCATCCCCATAATCCTTGCTACTTGGGAGGCTGAGGTGAGAGAATTGCTTGAGCCTGGGAGGCAGAGGTTGCAATGAGCTGAGATCATGCCGCTGCACTCCAGCCTGGGCAATAGAGCCAGATTCTGTCTCAAAAAAAAAAAAAAAAAAAAAAAAAAAAAGAATCCTGAGGGTCACACCCACATTCACACCCAACAACCACAAACCCCAAAGCCTGATGAGTGAGGGGGCTGGAGCACTGACATTTGAAGGTCTCCACAGTGAAAGTTAATGTGCCCTAATTATCAAGGGATTATGTCAGTTGGTACACACTAAATGATGAGAACTCTTGAAACTTTAAATCAGAAGATACGAGGCAGCATTCCAGGGGCCCAAGGTGGGAAAAGCTATTTGTAAGGCAGGCCTAAAAGTAGGCATATCTTTCTCCAGAGCTCTTTCTCCCCAGGTCTGAGCTGAACAGTCTAGATCTGCACCTGCCCACACTCTGAGCATCTAAGTTCCATTTCTACAATGATTTTCTATAAGGTTGAACTATGCTAGGAGCCTTTCCCATGTAAAACATATAAAATAGTATCCTTCATCTTTCAAGCACAGCTACTCAGTCTCTTCAGTAACAAGGGCTATGGGGCCTCCACACCCTGGTTCTGCACTCAGGCCTGATGATCACAACGCAACCCACTTCATGCCACCCTCTCTCTGATCTTCAGTCTCTTCATTTCCTAAGATAAATAAACCCAAGTACATCAATTCTTCTTCAAAGGTTTTATTTTTCAATCCTTGAACCATCTATCATTATGAAATAATACTAAATACTCCTTTTCCTTCTTAGCTATAGACTTGAGTGAACTAGGTTCACTAGACATTAACCTTTTACTTGTGAAGACCTTAAAATGTATGTGCTCTAGCCATAAGTGAACTAGATAGATTTCAGTAGGTTGGTACTCCAGGATGGCAGTAGAACTCTTCGCTTTTCATTCATCATCAAACGTAACCTTTAAGTATTGGGAGGTGGGAGAATGGAGAATGATGTATGTGAACTATCCAACTTCTTTTATATTTTTAGCTGAACTTATCCCCTTATAACACACTTTAGTGTTGGATATATTTGGGAAATCTATCCATTAAAAATCCTAGCTAATCTACAGGATTTTTTTTTCCTTCTTACATGTCAAATGTTCCCCATGGAGTTATATTTGCACATAACATCTAAATGTTATTTTAGGATTCTTCATTCTTTTTAATCCTAGTCTGCAAAAGGTTGTAGAGCAACTACAAAGCTCTTTTCAAACTGCAGACTTCAGGGGCTCATTCAAATAACAATATGTATCTGTTTTACTTGAGCACCTAAATATGATATGGGTAGAAACAGAGCTATTTTTTTTCCTAGAGCTTTCTTTTGCTTAACAATGTTTCTATTACCCCACCACCAAATAAATAGCTTCTGTACCAAAGATCTCCTAAAATTTTTAATTAAAATTTAGAATACAGTTGTCTTTTCTTTTGTCTAATTGTCTCTTTAGTGGAGGCCAGCCCTGAGATTACTAATGACTTGGACAAACAATTTAATTTTAAAATATTCCTTCCTTCTATAACCTTTACTCATCATGGATAGAATTCCTGCGAAATGCAATAGGCAATTATGAAAACCAAGGGCACCAAGCTATAAACACTAGTTGTTGATGAAATGAGCTTTATAATATGTGTTTGGCGACTTAAATGATGGTTTTTAATGTCAGAGCATACATAGGAATAAAAGACCTGACATTCTCAAGCAAAAAAGTAAAAATAAAAATAAAGCAGTATTTTATTATGATAATTTTCCAAGAGAAACATTTATGCTACCATTCATGATATGGTTGTTAAAGTTCATAATAAATAAATGGCCTGTTTCAAAACTAAAATCAAGCTTAAAAAAAATCAGCTATTCATCGTTTCAGAGTCCCTAGCCAGGGTGACTTGCATCCCGCCCTTATTTCATAGAGACTTCTCAAAGGAACACAAGCTTCCTACTCCCTCTCACAGGTGTGTTGACAAAGCTCTAGTGCTCCCAGAAAAGGAAACACATCTATCTTAAGAAAAGTGCAGAACAAAGTTAGGTTTTCCTTTTCTTGTTTTTCTTTCTTAAAGTCAGAATCACTTTGCTTACCAAAAAATTAGCATATATGTGGATATTGGGATACTTATTATTGGAAGTTGACTTGAAGAAATTTCCACACACACACACACACACACACACACACACAAATAAAACCTTCAATTTCTCATGGTGAAAAAAACAGCGAAGTAGTTTTTGAAAATCTCCACAGGCCATGTTTTAGAGGATAAATATTATTTACTGATATTCCTAACAAATGGGATGCCATTTGATACTAAAAAGGCTCATATATGCATATCAACAACGCTAGAGCATATATCAGGTTTTGTTTCATAAGCCAAAACACCAGTCTGAGGAGTCCCAGGAAATTCGGAATTATCTTCAGTGCATTGGGTGGGCTTGAAATTTATCTTAAGAAATATTTGCAAAGGGCATAACAAAGTGCTCCAAACTGGCGCAGGCAAATGGATTAGTTCCTTTACCAGGAACCCCTGACCCTGTTGTCAGCACCCTGGCACCTTGCCCTGCGCATAGAGTTTTCAGCAGAAACACTGGGCCCTAGGGTGGGGTCGGGGGGTTACTCTGAAATCTTCCAGACGCCCCTGGCCGCTCGGATTCGCCTGTGTGAACCTCTCAGCACTCCACCAAAAACTCCCAGAAAATCCTTCACCTCTTCTAGGAAGCCACCCTGTAGCATTTCCAGGATCCTTCACGGAACAGAGTCCCCACCACCTGGCTGGCTGCCCCCACTGCTGCTCCAGTGGCGGGGCCTGACCCTCACTCCCTGCCCCGCCCAGCCCCCAGCGCTGCGCTGTCCCCGCGCTCACCGGATGATCACGAACATGACCAGCGAGTTGCCCACCAAGCCCACGACGAACACTACGGAGTAGACCGCCGTGATGATGACCGGGATGGCCGGGGAGATGTGCGCGGGCTCCAGCTGCGCGTCCTCCGAGCCGGCGCTGCCGTTGCTGTCGGGCTCGGCCCAGCCGGGAAACCAGGCGCTGCTGTTGGGGGGCAGGCAGGCGCTCGGGGCGCAGGTAGGGCCCGGCTCCCCGCGGAAGATCTGGATCGGGGAGTCCATGGTGGGGCGATTGCAGCAGGAAGGCGAGGACAGGCGGCACCTGCGGCGCTGCGGGAGCGAAAGAACCGGCTGGACGCGGAGAGGCAAACTTTGCCCGCGCCCTGGCCAGCGGCGCTGGGGACCCGGAGCCTGCGGACTCCCACCCGGGCCGCAAGTCGCCGGGGGCAGGACAGGGAGAACGGACTTCTCGCTGCCTTTCCGGCCAGCAGGCGCGCCGCTGGGTGCCAGAGAGGGGCGAAGAGCGCTCGCTCCTTCTCCCCCAGCCCCTGAGGTGCCTCCCTCACCAATTCTAGGCACCGGCCCCTGGTGGAACTGTCCCCAGACTGCCTGAGTCCCCAGGGTCAAGCCCCCTTCCCACCTCCCAGCACGGAGCTCTACCTAGAACTGCACCTCGAAAGCCCAAAGCTTACCTATGGTTCCCAGAGACAGGCGAAGGCGAGGTTTTTTACGGGACGCCCTGGTAGGTGCTGAACCGCGCGCTCACGAGTCCCGCTCAGCTCTTGGCATCACCTGCTCTCGGACCCCGGCCCCGCTCTCCGCCCGAGGGCTGCTGTTCCGCCGAGCGCAGCCCCCGCCTCTCAGCGCACGTCTCCCACTACTGGCGGCGGCTCTGCGGGGCGGGGCGGGGCGGGACCGGCGGGACGCAGCCGGGACGCGGCTGGGCGCTGGGGGCCTGCGGGCGGAGAGCTCGTCTGGTGCGCCCGCCCCAGGCCGGCAGGTCCCTGCCCCGCCCCGCCCGCCCGGAGTCAGCCCCCAGCTCCCCAGCCTCCCAGCCCCGCGTCCCCTCCAGCCCCGCAGGCTCGCCCGGCCCACTAACTGCCCGAGCGGCACACCGCCTGGTCCCCGGCCATGCAGCCTTCCCCAAGACCTGAGACTGAGCCATTTAGATTTAGTAAAAAGGAGGAGCATGCCTATTTAGTGCAAGTATGCACCTGGATTTTCATATTGTGTCTAGAACTTCTTATCTGCATAGTTCGCAGTCAGGAACTACGCTTATTAGAATGGCCCATCCAAAGAAAGTAACAAAATGATCCAGTTAGAATAAGACCAGTTCATAAAATAATGACTTAAAAGACACATAAATAGAATATTTCCTTGCGTTCTCTTCCATTCCGTCTGCTCTAACTGGGATGACAGGCTGCAGACAAACTGCACCTTACGGGTATTACCTGAATTGCTGATAGTATCTGAGAAGGGCAAAACACTCTCCTTACCCGGGCCTCAGTGGTGCTCCAGGGAGGTGACAGTGTCTCTGTTTTACATTAATCCCTGCAGCCATCACGTTCTCCTCACTTCTCCCTCACAGTAGGGCTGCCTCCATTATACGGCCGCGAATCTGAGCGTCCGTAAATAAACTGTCACCATCATTTCTTTGCAAAACTCTGCTAGTCCAAGGGTAGCTGTCAGATCCTGCTGAGTGAGAGACATTCTCTTCTCAGGCAAAGGGACCGGCAAGACACAAAGGGAGCAAGGGCTCAGCCCCTGAGGTGAAGGTTCTGAAAGGGAGTGGGGAAGTTCCCCTTCTCCACAGGGTACTGGAGACAGGCCTGGGGGAGACTGGGGGTTTAGGCACCTCAATTTCCCCAGTGGATTCACTGCCTCAGGCTGACAAACACAGGTCCCCACTGCATCCCACAGCTAATGTCCATGCCACACCTGGACACACTAATGACTGATACAGCCCTTCCCTCCATCAGCGGAGGGCAGAAGGGGGTTCCTGTCTCTTTCAAGACGCCATGACCCCAAAGTGGGATTTGACCACCAGCGTCTTGCCGCCTGGAGATGAACAACTCTTTTGAGCAGTGTAATATGAAGAGCATAAGGAAATCTTCCCTTTGTTCAACCATATCCCTTCAACCCTTTCAAATAATTTTGAAAATTATTATCAAGTCTTAGAGTTCTTTTAAGTCTGATTGCAAACTGTCATTGAAGGATCACATCTCCTTCAGTAACACATCAGACCTGCTGAGACCTCATAAGGGCCTCAGTAGTTTTATTTCATTTGAGCACTCTTACCTTTCTTGTTTACCAAATTAATGGCCAAAATAAAGGGAAGACAAAATGAACAGAGCATTGAGAAGCCCTCAGGTGGCTCAGGTTGCCAGGGGAACCCACTCGAGTCTCTAAATCCAGGAAGTATGGCTGCTTCTGTGGAGTCATGCTCTTAGGAGTATGCAATTTTATCATAATATCAGATAAAAGCTCATAAAATAGAAAGGAAAAGTAAACTGCTAAAATGCTATATACTGTTACACACTGATATAAAGCACATGTGGTTATACTTGGCCATTCTACTCAATGCAAACACTATGCTTATAACTAAGTACATGGAAAGCACTTTTAAAGATGAAAATGTGGAGATTTTTATTGGATAATGCTACAATGCTAAGGAGCATCCTGGGTAGTGGGTGGCTTTGACATTTTTGTTAGATAGACTAGATAACCCACCAGTAAATTGCAATTAACTCCCTTTCTTGTGGCTCCAACAACAGATATTGTTGTGCAGCAATGAGTGCAGAGCTGGAGGGAGCAACTTCATTAGCTTAAGACCCCAGTGCAGCCAATGGAGTCTTGCTGAGCCGGGATGCAGCTGGCTTCAGCTCACTTCACTCAGCAGATATTGCAGAGTATCCCCAAGTGGCTGAAGAAAAGGCACCCTCTGGGGATACAACAATACCAACACAGAGACAATCTCTTCTCAAAGAGGATGTGAAGCTAGTGTGACACATGGGATCTAAATTTTTTTAATGTTAGGAATAATTAATAAATAATTAATAACAAATTCATCCAACTCTGGCAAATGTTATGTGGAAAGGTGTTTAATAAACAGTGATAGCCAGTGCAGCAAATTTGCATGAAATTTAAAAATAGCATCCCTTTCATAAGGCACTTTACTTAGATCTGTCAGCAAGTTGTTATAATAAATACCCAAATCAGTCTTGTCTTCGGTGTGAAGCATACTGTGAGATACTGCACACTTAGGTGCAGTGTAGTCTACACAAGTGTGCAGATCCCCTGAAGAAGACCTGGTGTCTGGGAACCCTGCTCAGTCAGAGAACATCAGGGAAGCCCTTCTTGAAATGGCATTGAAGCTGATATTTAAGGATTGCAGTTATGGCAGTTATCCAGGAGAGGGGGAAGAAAGAGCATTCCACAGCATATGTGAAGAATGTAGATGGTCAAGAGTGGGGCATTTCTGTGGCACCCTGACGAGGCTGAGGTGCTTGAGCCTGGTGATCAAGAGCAGTTAAGGTGCAGACCATGCTGAGCCTTGTCAAGAATGTCAAAGATTTTGGATTTCAGCCTAAGAGTAATAAAGAGCCAGTGAAGGCTCTCAGGCAGGAGAGTGGCATGCCCAGATTGGGGTCTTTGAAGTATCACTTGTCTTTAGTTTGGTGAACATACTGGAGGGAATGAGGAGGTGTGAGGAGCTCCAAATTCAATTGGAATCATGTGCTGTTCCAGCTAAAGGTGCCGCGCATCTGCATGTGACATAGACAACATGCAACCAGGACTTTTTCACGGCCATAGACTTAAACTTGGAACTGCTTATACTGAAATTCTTGACTGCATTAAATCCACAGGTTTGAAAAGTCAATGCCAGTCACATGTCAGACTCTAAGTTGGGGAGTGAGAGAAATTTTGGCAACACAAAGCAATGAATGGCACATCAGACGTATGGGCAGAATTATTTCAAAAGAAGTTGAGATTATCTCTGGTAGTAGAAGAAAGATGACACTAAGGTAGGGATCGGAATTTAAGCAAGAATTTTATCAAGAAGGAAAGGCAGGGAGGCACATGTGCAAAGGTGTGAGAGCCTGACACGTGGTGGTGTGGGGCTTGCAGTGTTACAGAAGGTGTGGGGGGAGGAAAGTGGTGCATCAGGACAGCCAGGGTGCAGACTCAGGGAAGAGCAGGTCGGCCCGGCTGTGCTGGGATCGTGAGCTGACCGTGTGGTGGAAGTGGCCCTGACTGACACAAGGAGGACACCTTTGGACAGAGAACAGTAGTAAAGCTCTCCTAACCATCTAGGTTAGAGATGAATCAACCCTAAAACAACACAATTGCTAAGCAGATTGGGGAGGATAGGATAGTTTTGAGAACTGTGTAGGAAATTAAATTGACAAGAAATGGTCTGGATGAATATGGAAGTTAGGGAGGAGAAAGAGTTTAGAATTACTTTAGGATTATGCTTGGGTGACCAAGTGAATGACGGTGCCATTAACTGAAATAAGAAATACAGGAGGAATCACAGCAAGCTGTAGAAAGAACATAATGAGCTTGGGTTTGGAAGGCTGTGTTTGAGGCATCAGTGAGGCATTCATTTGTGTGCGTGGTCCAGGGCTGTCTAATGCTGGGCAGATTGTGTTGGAGAGACACAGGCCGAGCCATGCAGGTGAATAAGGGCATGGAAAGTGAACATCGCAAGAAAATCAAGCTGATGAGAAAATGCTGGAGAAAGCATGCGCTTTAATAGGGATCTATCAAAGAACACTGATGAAGAACAGGCATCAATGAAAAAGGAGGAACATAAGCAGAGAAACCAAGAGAAGAAAGAATTTCAGGATGGAGAGGTGATCAACAGTGTCCACATGTCCAAGAACTTAAATAAGTTATTTGGCAAAGAGAATGTCACTGGAGACACCAGTAATATCTATAATTAAAATTATGTTTTATATTTGTGCAATAGAACAGAAATGAACAGACAATAAAACAGTGAAAGGGCAAAGACCCACTGGGCCTTAGAGTCTCTGCTGAAGGTACTCCTAACCTGGGGCAGAGGGTAGGGGTATGCCACATGGCTAGTGCGAAACATACCTGCCTCTCTTTCACTGCCCAGGGCCACTCCCCACTTTATATCACAACTGTGGGAACACAAAAAGCACCCCTTGCCGCTGGCCATGGGAGAATTTTGCTCTCTGTAATGGAGGTGCCCTCCCTCTGGTAGACAAGGTCTCAGGCTCTTGGCTTGTGTGATGTTACTCTCCCCTTTACTCATTGAAATTCAGTATGTTTCCACTGAGGTTAAAACACAGCCAACTCCACACACTATAGGTCATCACTAGCCTGGATTTTGACCAAAGGTCATCCTTATTGGTGACTGTAGGGAGAGAAGGCTCCTGCTGCAGTGGACAGCTGCTCCAGTGCTGCCAGGCCATGGGTCACACATGGCAAAGCCACTTTGTGTCTCAGCTGATCAGCCTCTATCTGCCCAGTTTGTAGGAAGTTGAGTTTTTCATAAGGTTCTCTGTAAAAGAATTTCCGAAATCACTTTTTCTAAATCCTTTTGCAGACAAATTAAATTAAGGCAATTTTTTAAAGGAAAATTCACTCTTTATTCTCTGTAATGCCTGTATTATTTGAAGTTTTACAAAATGATATATTACTTTTCTAAAATTTTATTATTATTATACTTTAAGTTTTAGGGTACATGTGCACAACGTGCAGGTTAGTTACATATGTATATCTGTGCCATGTCGGTGTGCTGCACCCATTAACTCATCATTTAGCATTAGGTATATCTCCTAATGCTATCCCTCCCCCATCCCCCCACCCCACAACAGGCCCCGGAGTGTGATGTTCCCCTTCCTGTGTCCATGTGTTCTCATTGTTCAATTCCCACCTATGAGTGAGAACATGCAGTGTTTGGTTTTTTGTCCTTGCGATAGTTTGCTGAGAATGATGGTTTCCAGCTTCATCCATGTCCCACAAAGGACATGAACTCATCATTTTTTATGGCTGCATAGTATTCCATGGTGTATATGTGCCACATTTTCTTAATCCAGTCTATCATTGTTGGACATTTGGGTTGGTTCCAAGTCTTTGCTATTGTGAATAGTGCCACAATAAACATACGTGTGCATGTGTCTTTATAGCAGCATGATTTATAATCCTTAAGGCAATTTTTAAAAAAATAAATAAATAATCCTTTTGCAAAGACATATTCAAGTTCCAAGGGATCTTTTCTTTTTCTCTCTCTGTTTGGTTTGTTTTCTGTCAAGTCCAGGAGGATCCTCTACCCCTACCCAAGCCCCTATCATTACCTCACATTAGTGTTTACTAAGACTGTTTCTGGGAATTATATTCTCTTCCCCAGTGTGGGGATGCTCCTCATCTACCTTAGAAGAAGCATGGTGGGAAGATCAGACCCCTCCAAGGATTATTTTCACAAACATTGGCTGAACTGACTCTCCCGCTCCGATATGATCCCCCTCAAGTGGGTCTGGAGGACAAGTGGATGCCTCTCTACTTCCATCATTCCCGCCTTCACTGTACTTGAAAATTCTGGTTTGGACTGTAGCTGTAGGCACTTTCCATTCTTCAACTTCTGAGAACTGAATCAAAAAACCATTTTAAAGGGCTTGAACACACTCTTTACATGAAAGTGTTGCTCATAGTTCAGATGACTGTCTTACAGTTTCAGGTTATGGATAAAGACATGAGTCTGCAGGGAGAGCAAGATGGCCAGGAGCTTTTCATCTTCAGGAATTACTATAATTACTGATGCACAATCCAGCAAGCAAGGACATTTAGGGCAGATGCACAAAAGCACTTACCAGAGAGGGACTGGTTGACTGCTAGTTTGGAGAATAACTGGCTTCCCTGGGAGTGAGGGACTCCTCAGTCCCTGAATGGCTGGATTTTGCCTTGCTCTTGAATGGGCCGGGAGAGGCTGTGCAGAATCTCCAGAGTGTAGCCTGAGCAACCAGCAGACTTTAAACTCTTCCTCCCCACTCACCTGGCTCCTTGGCATGAAAGCGCTCTGACAAGGCAGCCATGCTGTCAGCTTCTGCAGAGGGAAGACAAACTTCACCCTGGGATGGTGGGTCTTTATTACCAAACCTACAGTGCTCAGTCCCCCAAAATTTGGTCTGGTCATGCAAGTAGTCTGATCACCCTCAACCTTACCAAACCCACTGTCCTGTATGCAAAGAGAGAAAAGCATTTTTAGTTAATAAATATTCATACTGATACTTTTACTCATATCTCCAATACAATTTCTGGCATCTACAAAGCATAAATTAATTGGATGAATTAAAAATGATGGCAGGCTGGGCGCAGTGGCTCTTGCCATGATCCCAGTGCTTTGAGAGACCAACGAGGGAGGATCTTTTGAGGCCAGCCCTGTACAACAAAAATATTTTTTAAAAAATCAAAAATTATTAAATAAAAATAAAAATTAGCCAGGAATGGTGCCCACCTGTAGTTCCAGCTTGAGCCCAGGAGTTCCAGGTTACAGTGTCACTACTCTCCAGACTTGGGGACATAGTGAGACCCAGTCTCAAAAAAAAAAAAAGGACAAATTATATGTTACATTTCACATTAAAGAAGCAAAGGAGAATGGATGGGCTCGGGACCAGTAAAAGTGCTGATAGAATATAAGCATGTGTTGGAAAGCTAGCATTACCTTGAGACAGTGGTTATATTTAATTTACCAACTTCGACAGCATTTTTTTTTCTTTTTTCTTACATACATCTTGAAGTATAATTATGGCCAAAATGGTAGAACCCAAGTCTAGAGAAAACTGGTTGGTGGATTTCTTTGGATCCCACATAGCATTGTGCACATTTATTAAGATCAATAAATTCACTGAGTTTAACAAAACTTAGGAGTTCATGACTCCAAAGGCAATTATACTTGGAACAAGCTTTGTATCTGAAGGCAGTGATTGCTCAAAATTTTACTTATTTTGCAATAAAGTTAACAATTATTCAGTTAGCACTCAGAGTCTAGAAACAAAAATCCTCTCAGTGGAGAAGGCTCAGTAGCTCATGACATCTAATAATATCATCTCTACTGACTCCTTTGTCTTATAAGAAAAAGATCTTCAGTTTCTAGCATTTCACAGCATGTGCCATTCAAATTAAAAGCTTTAGACTGCACTCAAAAAATCATATTTAGAAAGAAGATCAAAGCATGGTTCTACAAACTACAAGAAAAGAAAAACAGAATAGAGAATGTTTGAATAATCTACCCTAAGAAAGAACGAGATAATTGCAAGCATGTTTCAGGTGATACAGAGGTGAATTCTATGTGATTTATTCCTGCCCCCCACTCACAGTTTAACACAATGTGAAAACAAGGACGTTCAAACAGCAGAGGGAGTAGGTGCTATAAAATATTACTCTTGGTAAAGAGATTAAAAATAAACAGAGATAGAACTGGCATAAATACTTTCAATGACACAGCAAAATTTGAATCCAGCTTTATTTAGAAGATATAGAAATTTTTTATATTTCAAAATCTAGGCAGCATATTAAGCCACCTCTGTGGTCATGGTAATAATAATATCATAAATTTGTTTGAGTCTTTGCTTTCATCAAGGTACTTCATATAAAAAATGCCTTATATTTGGTCATATCTTCCTTGTACTTTACTCAGAAAAAAACTGACTATCCCTATTTTATAATTAAGAAAACATGTTCCAAGAGGTTAAGCCCTATAACCATGATCACTTAATAAATGGAGGACTAGGAATAGAATCTTCCTCTTGAATTTCAACCCAGTGATTTTTTTCACCTTCCCAGGTTGCACAAAAATTTTAGTTTGAATGAAAGCAGAGATGAGTCATAACAGTAAAATTAAAATGTGAGAAGACTGTCAAGTGTTCTCTTTAACACTGAAGCATGAACTGTGGCTTCATTGTCTTCATTGTGCAAGAGCTACCTAATGTAATTTTAAACCAGAAACAAATGGTCACAACGGAAACAATTTTGAAAAATTGCATCAATACTAGTATGTTGAACTTCTCCATAAAAAGACTGTATTTGGACAACTAAAGCAAGTAGAAAAAAAGACTCATCAATTCCACAGTCAATGAAAAGAAAAATATCGAATAAGTGAATACCGAAAATATGTTTATTTGGGGAAAAATAATTGATATGAACAGGATTACATGAAACGTGAAAGTAACATTTTGTTATATAGGATAATTTATCAAGCTTAGATGGTGAACAATAAAAAACATTATGTATAGGTCAAAACAAGCAAGATTTCCTTATTAGTTTAAAAAGATTGTTGGCCAGGTGTGATGGCTCACGCCTGTAATCCCAGCACTTTGGGAGGCCGAGGCGGGAGGATCACTTGAGGTCAGGAGTTCGAGACCAGCCTGTCCAACATGGCGAAACCTTGTCTCTACTAAAAATACAAAAAATTATTCATTCATGAGCGCATGCCCCTGTAATTCCAGCAACCTGGAAGGGTGAGGCAGGAGAATCACTTGAATCCAGGGGGCAGAGATTGCAGTGAGCCGAGATCATGCCACTGCACTCCAGCCTGAGTAATAGAGTGAGACTCTGTCTCAAAAAAAAAAAAAAAAAAAAAAGATTGTTAATTGTTTTGCTAATATGTTCACATGAACCAAAAGTCAAAACTATTTACAAAGATATTTGGAAGCTTTGTTCTCTCCTATTCTATCCTTTTCCTCCCATCCTACTCCTATCTCATATAAGCAAACTACTTTCTCAGTTTCTTTTACATGTGTTTTTGTGTTTCTTTACGCAAATGAAATCAAATTACATACTCTACTTTTTTACATAAAAATATTAATTGTTCCCCACCATGTTTTTTTTTAATGTAGTTGTACATTCTGGAGGTATTTCTATACTGAGACACAGTTTTCTCAATTTTAAAAAAAAAATTTTAACTTTTTCAGAGTATTCCACTTTGAGGCTATACCAGAGTTTATATAACCAATCCTTCACAAATAGAAGTTTGGATTGTTTTCATCTCCTTCTATCACAAGCAATGCTGCAATTGTGTGTATACATCACCGGGCAGGAGTGCAGGTATACCTGTAATTCTCAGAGGGGGGTGATTTAATCAAAGCATAGTTAAAGTAAGTAGTGTGCTTTAGCATTTGGGAATCTTTTGTTCTGGTCGTTAAAAACAGACTCTACTAAAAATTAAATTATACAAATGTTAATTATATATCATATTATAAAATTATACTATAAAATCATATTATTATGTTGTCTTAATAAATTACGTTATAAATAAAGGTATTAAACAAATAAATGAATCACTTCCTCACTATTTTACTGTGCTTTAGTCTGTGCTCTGGAGATGTCTATTATATGGACGTGGCGGGTACTGTATAATGGTGTGCTGCGTTCGGTAACATCACATCGGTTGCTGACTCAGCCATGATAGGCAAGTATTGAAACCACAGAAGTTAGCATATGCTATCAGTCAGGGTCTTGTTTTCTTTTTTTCTAAAGAGCCAGTGGTTAAACATTTAGCTGCATACCACCCATTAGATATCTTTGAGCTATTCTTAACCTGTAGCAATTTAGTAGACTCCAACTTTATACAAGGAAATTAAACATTTTTAATTGACATCTGATTCTCATTCTCCACACCATTCACTTCTCTTATTGAATCTCTCTACTTTTTAATGACCATATAGATTTTTGCATAGGTTCAGTAAGAATCTGCTCTTCTTTTTACCAGAATGCAATTGGAAAAAAAAATCAGAAAAAAAAATTGGAAAATCTTTTCTGGTGTTAATTTTGGCAAATTATATCATCCTATAGTTTCTTCCTTCCTTATGATTACTTAATTTTTATATTTGAAATTTTTCCCCTTTTCAAACACAGTGTTTTATCTATTCTATCATTTCTCATTATTTTTTTAGAACCAGATTTGAATTTAGTCTATTGTATTTCTTTTTAAAAGCTTCATAATTTCTGCTTTTACCTTTACTAATTCCTTTCTTCTGTTTTTGTTCAGCTTAATCTATTCCTGTTCTTCCATCTTTTCCATTTGGAGGATAATTTATTTCTTCCTTTTCCCAATAGTTAAAAGTATGTAAGGCTTGAATTTTCCTCTGAATTCTCACTTTATTTTATTTCAAAGGTCTTTAAACACAATGTTTTCATTATCTCGCTTTGAGGAAATTCTCTAATTTTGGTTTCTATTTCCTCTTTGATCCAAGAGTTGTTTAAGAGTTTTGTAAATGTAAATGTTCAAAAGGAGAAACTTTTCTGTTTTCTAATTGTTAAAATTTATTTCTATTCTTATGTGACTATGATCAAATTGTCTGAGTTTTTTTCTTTTCTCCTGTTTTGGAGTATATTGAAATTTACTTACGTGGTTCAATAGATGGGAAATGTGAATGTTCCATGAGCTTTTGAAAAAGAAGATATTTTTTCCAATTTAAGGATACAGAGTTTAGTAAATGTCAATTACATGTACTTATTAACCATGGTATTTTAGTCTTTTATATCCTTATTTATTTACTGTCAACTTGATGTATCATATAAGAAAGAGGTGATCTAAATTCCCTTACCACACTTGTGTTTCTTGTGTCTTCTGTAATTTCTGTTTTATGAATGTTATTGCCATACTTTTTGATGCATTGCTATTTACAATTGTTATGCTTTCACTGCACATTTCACTTATTAATGCTAATTTAGTTCATTCTGTCCCACATCTCATCTTGTCTGGTATTAACATCTGGGAAGGATGGAGTTAAGCAACTATCCTGCAATCCATTTCTCTTCAGTTATAGGATTTGGGAGAAACTCCTTGGAAATAAAGGAGGCAGTTAGCTCAGTCTAATCACCTTGTAAACATACCTTAAAAGATGCTCTAGAAAATACGTTGAATAATTGAAATAGATAAGAAAAGAGTCCTTATCTATTGAATGCTTTTAGCAGGATGTTCCTGTTCTAGGATTGTTTGCGGTAAATAACTTGAGAATCTTTGGACATACAAGCCATGTCTCCTGGAAAATATCACATAAGTTATGTAAATTATATAAATCTGAGATAAAATAAAGGCATTTCATAACCTAAATGCTCTCTGCCATGCATGAGCAAGGTAACCACAGACTCATTTAGAAATATCATCTTATGAGTTGGCCAGAGAGTATGTCCAGTGCAAGCAAAAGGGACCTGGTGAACATGTGAATGTCCTGGACACCTGGCTGCTATAGCTGTGTCACTTGGAAATTACTAATAAGGTTTGATATATAGTAGATTGTCTGGTTCGTGGAACTCTGATTTA
Source organism: Homo sapiens (assembly GCF_000001405.40). Lineage (NCBI taxonomy): Eukaryota > Metazoa > Chordata > Mammalia > Primates > Hominidae > Homo > Homo sapiens. The sequence continues at coordinate 53,263,048 of NC_000008.11, forward strand.
ACAACTCAATCCTCAATCCTTTGTGTTAGGACAACATCACTACCTCTGCTTTCTTTTTCTTTGCCTTTTTCTAGTGTAATGTTTTATCATTTTTATCTGCAACTTTTCTGAATCTCTTTATTTAGGGAGTGTTCCTTATATATAGCACGGAGTTGAGATTTGCTTTTTAATTCAATTTGAAAATATTTTTGTATTTGTAGGTAAATTAAGCCCATTTGTATTCATTAATTTCACAGACATATTTTGACTTAATTCTCTCCTATTATTTTGCATTAAGTTTTCTGGGTTTTGCAAAGTTTTGGTTTTGTTTTGCAGCTTCTAATAATATAGGGTACTATTTTTTCTTGTTTTTGTATTTAGTTCCTCTGATATTTAGAATGGGTTCTGTTTATATTGGTCTGCTAGGATTGGCATAACAAAGTACCACAGACTGGGCGGCTTCACCAGCAAAAATTTATTTTCTCACAGTTCTGGAGGCTGGAAGTCCAAGATCAAAGTGCCAGCATAGGAGGGTTCTGGTGAGGCCTCTCTCCTTTGTTCTTTGATGGCCACCTTCACGATGTGTCCTCACATGGCCTTATCTCCATGGATGTAAAAAAAGAGACAGAGGGCTCTGGTGGTTCTTCTTCTTCTTGTAAAAACACCAGTAAAAACACCAGTCCTATAAAATTAAAGCCCCATCCTTATGACTTCATTTAATTCAGTCACATTGAGGGTTAGGGATTCAACACATAGATTTGTGGAGACACATTTTAGTCCATAACAATGCTTATAAAGGTGAAGTGGTTATCCTCATAATCACGATTACATAAAATCACCTTAATCGTCTGCTTCTGAAGAAAATACACATTAATTTCTCTGGTAAACTGAATAAGTGCCCCCCAAATATGTGCATGTCCTAACATCCAGAACCTGTGAATGTTACTGTATATGGAAAAGGGGACTTTGTAGCTATCAGTAATGTAAGGATCATGAGATGGTGAGATTAACCTGGGTTACCCAGGGGACCCAATGTAATCTCACAGGCCCTTGTAAAAGGCAGGCAAGAGTCAGATTCGAGTAGAAGGTGATCTGATGACACAGCAGAGATTGGAGTGATACACTCTGGAGATGGAGGAAGGGTCCATCTTGCCTTTTTCAGTTTCTAGTGACCACTTGTATTCCACCAGCCAAGGAACTCAAGTGGCTACTAGAAACTAAAAAAGGCAAGGAAATGAATTCTTCCCTCAGAATCCCCAGAAGGAAGCAGCCCAGCCAACATCTTGACCTTAGCCTTGTGAAATTGATTTTGGACATCTGACCTGCAGAACTATAAGATAATAAATTTGTATAGTTTCTATTTCTTTTCTTTTCTTTTCTTTTTCTTTTTCTTTCTTTTTTTTTTTTTTTGACAGAGTCTCACTCTGTCACTCATGCTGGAGTGCAATGGCGTGATCTCAGCTCACTGCAACCTCCGCCTCTTGGATTCAAGTGATTTTTCTGCCTCAGCCTCCTGAGTAGCTGGGATTACAGGCACATGCCACCATGCCCAGCTAACTTTTGTATTTTTTAGTAAAGATGTGGTTTCACCATGTTGGTCAGGCTGGTCTTGAACTCCCGACCTCGTGATCTGCCTGCCTTGGCCTCCCAAGGGGCTGGGATTACAGTCATGAGCCACCGCGCCTGGCCTAATTTATGTGGTTTTAAGTCGCTAAGTTTGTGGTAGTTGGAGGTAGTTTGTTAGAGCAACCATAGTAAGTTAATACAATTCTCTCTATAAGTAAGATAAAAATTAGCATATTTCTTTTCTCCTTCCACTGCCAAGTTTTAGTCAATATATTTCTTAGTGTTCACCTTTGAACTGTGAAACATGTTTATGATTTAAATACTTGATTTTGCAACTTCATGTGATACTTTTGATTCCCAGACATTACAAATTAGGCAATTAGCAAAACTATGCCACTTCACACTTTTTTTGCTACCTTCTCTTTCATATACATATACTAGTATACGTATCATTTCCACATTTTCAAGGCATATACATTTCCATTATATTCTGTCACATTAATTTTCCATATTTCTTTAATCTTAGTTTTACAGATAAATATTATCAATGTTCACTGCTATTACCTTTGCTCTGGCTTCCTTAGCCAATTTATGTTTTATTGAAGTTTTTCCTGTGTTATTTTTTTAAATGGCTCAGGAAACAGTATTTTCTGAGCTTTTATGTATTAAAACCTATTTTAAAACCTATCTAATTTGGCTAGATAAAAAATTATTTGCTCACACTTTCTTTCCTTAAAGATCTTGTAGGCATTGCCTCACTGTCATCTGGCTTTATATGTTGCCATGGAGAAGTGAATTCAGCTTAACTGCATTTCCTCTTATAAAACTTGATCATTTTCTCAACTTTTCATAGATTTTAAAATTATCTTTTAAAGTCCAGTAAGTATACCTGAATATTTCTCAATATCGATCATGTTAGACCAATTTTTGTCATTTCAAATTGTAAAATTCTGCCTGTGTGGCAGAGACTCTCAGAGCTTTGAAGCATGAAATATGATCCTGATGTCACCCTACACCATGAGAACTTCCTGCAAGTAGGTACTACAGGAAAGTAAAAGTCACTGATGAATAATCAAAAAGAAAAACTAAAAGAAAATGTATACAAAACAAAAATTAGAGAAAAAGAATAGATATAAAAGAAAAACAAAATTGTATCTCACAAACACACACACACACACACGACACAGCTCCACCTTGTACAAGAGCTCTTCCAGCAGGCTCAGCAGCTGAGTGGCATCTCCTGTCTCCCCCAGCTCCCTGGATAGAAGACCTAGTCCTACTGATTCAGCAGCCAGGAAACATCAACAGATTCTATTTTGTACAACTTCATCTTGTGGAAATCCTGTACCAGGAGGATGGGAGAAGCTGAGCAAGGCTCCTATTCCCCCACTGTCAACTCCCACTCCATAGGGAATACCTGAGCAGAGAAGATAAGGAAGAATGAAATTTGCTTTTCCTGCACAGCTCTATGTTGCTGAGAGCTGCTCTGGTTTTCTCAGCAACCAAGTGGTAGTCCCTTCCCCAGCTTTCTGGGGTGGAAGAACTATTTGGGGTAGCTTCAGCAGCCTGTGAACATTGGCAGATCCCAAGTTCCTCAAAGGTTGCCTGCAGGAAATTCTTACTGGGCAATGGCAGCACCAGTGGCAGCACTAACTCCTAACCTTTCCCCTTCCCCACTCCCCACACCCATGCAGCTCTAGCCCATAAGGAGGATCTAGATGGATTAGCTGGTGAAGAGTGAATCCTCATCCCCACTGCAGCCTACCTTCTGCTCCACAGTACAGAAATTCTTCCTCGAGGAGGGTCAGACCAAGCCCCAAAGGTGAGCAATACCCTACCCTGCCATGGGGCCTGGCTGTATTTGGATCAGACAACAGAACAATTTATGTCCCAGGACAATGTAAAAATTAATAAAGCAATCAGTAGCAATTAGTGGAGGCTGCCAGTTGGGGGTGATACCACAGAGAAGAACAAAAGGTAAATGGGGAAATTAGTGGAAAAAAAAACAAAGAGAGCCCAACCAAAGCTACAGTCATGTCTGACAGTCAGGAAGATTATGTGCCTGCCCAACACTAACCTCTGAGAATGATCAGAGAGGGAATCTCTGAGCTCGAAGTCCTGAGTTAAACATAGGGCAAAAGTAGTATCCAAGCCACATATGGCTCCAACCATACTTGACTAATACATTGGAAATAAGAGCTCAGAGTTGCCAAGAGAACAAGCACTCAAACAGAGAATTTCTCAGCAAGGCAAAGCTTACTTCTGCAGAAGGGTGCTGCCTGCATCAGTCATGATCACAAGAGCACCCCAAACAAACAAAGAAGGATTTTTATTGCTAACACAGCTTCTGTTTCTGTGTCCTTTCTCCATTGGCTGGAGTCGGACCACACAATCTAAACTATCCTGATTGGCTAATACCTGAACCTTTCCAAATGGGGTAAATGCACAGTTTGTGAAAAGAGGAGGAGAGGGAGAGACTGTTTGTTACTAAGGTGGGAAGGGTTGTCTACAGAACAAGTACAAAGTATGTCTGAGCATGTCAGGGCACGGCTAGTTACAAATTAATCTGAGAAACAAGAAAAAATGGAGAATGTGGGTTACAGGTCAGGACTAGTGGGAATAGTGGTTTACAGAGCAGTAACTGGGGGTGAGAACATACAAGGAAGTTGATACCGAAAACAAAGAACAAGGAGGTTTCACCTTTGAAGAGGAACTCACCGTACCTGACAATTTCCTCCCTTTGATTTTTATAATTCTTCTTCTTCAAATTTATTTAACATATTTTGGCTTTGTTGTTCTTCTTGATTTTCTAAAAGTAACAGTTTATCTGAATAAGGCAGGGGAGAATGGAGAAGGTTTTAGTGAGAGCTGTTTCAGTAAGTTTTGGCACCAATCCACAGGCACAGGGTATAATGTAGCATCCTACAAGAATGAGTACACCTATTACAATTGCAAGGGAGGTGAGGATTGAGATCATGAGTCCCTTCCATTTGCCAAACCCTTTTTCCATTAAACTAGTGAAGGGGTCATTTATTCCAGAATTCTCAGCTAAGTAATTCTTGGTGGCTAAGGTAGTAAGACCTTGTAGCGCCTTTGTTATGGTTCCATCGGGTGCAGTGTTATTAGGGATGCAAGTACAGCATTGGGTCCCAATCATGATACATACTCCACCTTTTTCAGCTAATATCATGTCAAGATGTTAAGGGCTATCCTATTCTTCCAGGCCATTTGGCTGGTAGGGCCTAATTGTTCAGTTATTCCTTTAATGGCATCTCTTGTGTAATTGAAAAATCACTGTTGATTACAGTAAATATAATTTATCCAATCTACATTCTTGTTTATAGTTGGTCACCAGCACAATGCAGATTCAAATCCTGCGGCTATTTGATTTTGGGCTTTAAATTCATTTGGCACCCCTCGTGGAACTCCAATGGCATCTACATAACCATGAAGGTCAAAAGACCCAGGAGGGGCACCTCTTTTTTTGTGATTTTCCTTCCTGTTTTGTTGATGAAATGCCAGGGTAAAAGGGATGGCCAATTGGACTAGAGCGCAAGTGCTTCTCCATTTACTTTGACAGAGTACCCAACAGTGGTCCACCACAATACCACCACGCATCCCCTAGGGAATAAACAAGGGCAACTTGACTAGTAAGCTCTCGGAAAGGCTTGGTTTCACTGCATTCTTTTGGGTCTCTGAGGGACGTTAATCTTTCCCCCTGTCGTGAGAGACATGAGGTACAATTAACATCAAAAGCTGGAGACCAGAGGGCCCTTGGGGCTGACCCACAGAGCCTTTAACTTCAGGGAATAGCAGTGAGAGATTCTTACATGCCTCGTGGCCCCAGGCTGTGGGGTTTTGAAAGAGACTCACCATGCAGCTCATGCCTAGTCAGTCAGAAGACCGCCCAAGTGGGAAGGGGACTATCTGGGCCTCTGGCCTCCCTGCCACACAAGCATAACTGTCACTTTCATTTAACCTGTGAACAGAATATTCAATCCGTTCCAGCCAGGCATTTGCATCATGGTATCCTGTTTCAATCGCTAAAGTTTGCTTTAAATCTTTAACTTCTACAATGTCTACTATAGTTTTATCAGTGGGTATTGAAAGAACAGCTGTTTGATTGGAAGAAGGTTCAGAAGGAGGAGGAACGGAAGGGGGTGGAGGAGCAATGAAGCACATCTCAAAGGATCCTATAGGGTCTATTCCAGGAACATCAGCTCCTAGGCCATAGAAGCAACCTATAATGGGGTTAGTGTCAGTAGAGGTGGGGAAAGTAATAGAGATTTGCACATGGTTACATTGTTGGAGTTTACAATTAGAGGGAGTTGTCTCTTTGGTAAAGTGGAAGTAAGGCTTTAGGTTAGCACAACCTCCTCCTGGAGAGGTCCAGCCTTGATACTTGGTGGTACAGACCACATCTCCCCAGCCAAAACAGAACTTCCAATAACTGCCTTGTGCTTGTTTGGTGCAAGAGTCACTCTTATAGGCAGTTCTATTTATCCTGGAAGGGCAAAGGTACTTTTCTAAAGAGGCTAGCTTCCTTTGGCTTTGGAGATCTCCACAGGGCATAACAAGACAAGGTAATGGTTTGAGGGGAACTAGACTTAGTTATATTAATAATAAGATGTGAGGTAGCTGGGGAGAAGAGGAAAAGGAGGAAGAGACAAATTAAACTGTTCTTTTCAACGTTACTGTGGTTGGGGTGGGTCCTGAAGTAGATGGTGCTCTTTTGACCCAGGTGTGATGAGTCCAACCCTTTTCACTGGTCTGGACTGCTGTTTCAGTTGTTAGAAGCACTAAGTAAGGTCCTTCCCATGTAGGTTTGAGCTTTCCCTATTTCCAACTTCTGATAAGGACGTTATCTCCAGGCTGGTGGTGGTAAACCGGGAATTTGAGGGGTGGAGTCTGTGTCAGGAGACCTTGAATCCTCAGGGAGGAGAGGGTGGAAGGCAACCCTAATATATAATTCTTGAGAAGTTGGTCTTTTGTTTCAAAAGTAGGAAGGCCAGTAGTAGAGTTTAGGTAAGGCAACCCATAATGCATTTCATAAGGGGATAGGCCTATGTCTTTTCAAGGGTCAGTCTGGACTCTTAAAAAGGCAATAGAAATGCATTTTGTCCAAGGTAGCTGGGTTTCTAAAATCAGTTTGGTTTAAATGGGTATAGAGGGTTTGATTCATTTTGTCTACTTTCCCTGATGATGGCGGATGCCATGGTGTATGATATTCCCATTTTATTCCTAATGGTTGAGTTAACTTCTTAATGATGAGGGCAGTGAAGTGGGTCCCATTGTCTGAATCAATATTCTCTGTTAAACCAAACCTTGGTAGGATATGTTCTAACAGGGCTTTGGCCACATTGTTAGCTGTTGCATTTGAAAAAGGGATAGCCTCTACCCAGAGGGTGAGATGATCTACTATGACTAGTAAATATTTAAGGTGGCCTACTGGGGATAGTTCTGTGTAGTCAACTTGGACACTTTGGAATGGCCTCAACCCTGGGTTTCTTTCCCTGAATAGTCTTTAAGTTTTATTTATTGGTTTTTCTGCATACTATACAACTATCTGTGACTTGCCTAGCAAGAGTGTAGATTCCTATACATCCATAAACCCTAAGAACTGCATCACACATCACTTGAGGGTCCCAATGAGTTCCCTGATGAAGTTGTGATAGTATTTCTCTCATAAGAGGTTTAGACCACATTTCCCTTCTGTCTGGTAGTACCGACTTTCCCTCTAGGTTTTCCTTAGCTCCTAATTTTGTTAGTTTTTCTTGGTCTGCATAAGAGAAGATGGGGGTTGTTGTTGGAGGGGGAAGATGAAGGGTTAGATGGAAAATGGATGCAGCTTGGGAAGAGGCAGCTTGATTGGCTATTTGGTCAGCTAGATTATTTCCTTGACTTTCAAAAGAGGGGTTTTTTTGGTGTCCTCATGGTGGGACATGAACAATAGCTCTTTCTTCTGGCAGCTGGAGATTATGTAGCACTTGTATTAATAACTCTATTTGGACTAGGTTTTGACCTTTACTGTTAATAAGGCCTCATTCAGTCCATATTTTTCCAAAGGTATGGACTACTTCAAAGGCATAGTTGGAGTTAGTATAAATTGTTCCTTCCAGATTTTGTAGAAATTTTAAGGCTTGATTTAGGGCAAATAGCTCACACATTTGTGTGGACCAGTCATTTGGTAATTTTCCTGATTCTATTTCTGTGAGGGTGTTCCTGTCAACTATGGAGTACCCATTATGCCTTTTTCCTTCAATAAACCGGGAAGAGCCGTCTATAGAAAGGTGACGCCCTGTTTGGAAAGGCGTTTCACTTAGGTCTAGTCTAACTTTGGTTTGATAACTGATTAGATCTAAACATTTGTGCTCATGGGTCTCTGGGTTTGGATTCCCTGTTAAGAAGGCAGCAGGGTTAAGTGAATTGTTAGTGGTTAAGCTTAAATCATCCTTTTCTAATAAGATAGCCTCATACTTTAAAATCCTTGAGTCAGTAAGCCACCTTCCTGGCTTCTGATTAAGGATAGTTTTGAACAAAGTACACCAGATGGAGTATAACAAACAGAGGAGTAAGCTGCTCGTGAGTGGATTAAAAAGGTAAAGAAGTGGGTCCTACCTCTAAATTTATCAAGGGCTCTTGGTGGGACTTGAGATAAAAGAAACAGAGCCCCTGAGCTCCCTATTCCTCCTCAAAGGCCATAAGTGGATGACTTCTTTTTCTTTTTCCCATTCAGGACATTCTCTCTTGAAGTGACCTATTCTTCCACATTTGAAACATTTGTTTGCCCTTTTACTCTCCCTATTTTTAAGTTCCCTTGCTTTGCTTTTTCATACCCTTTATATGGCCTAGCGAGTAGAGCCTTAGTTCTTTACAGGGTTTGATGCCTTGGATACTTTGTTTTAGAGCAGACAGTAAGATTTTTGCCTTTTGCTTTGCTTTTCTTCATCCCTTCTTACATACACTTTTTGGGCCTCCCTCTAAAGTTTCTCTATAGGCCAGTCTTTCTGGTTCTCAATTTTCTTTTTTTAATTTCTTCATGATATCTGGCTACCTAGTAACAAAATGGAGGTTTAACATCCCCTGCCTAAGGGGATCCTCTATGTCTAAGCCTGCATATTTTTTTCATCTTTTCCATGAGTTTGTTTAAAAACTTGGCCAGGCACAGTGGCTCACATCTGTAATCCCAGCACTTTGGGAGGCCAAGGCAGGCAGATCACAAGGTCAAGAGATCAAGACCAGTCTGGCCAAACACAGCCCACATGGTGAAACCCCTTCTCTACTAAATATACAAAAATTAGCTGGGTGTGGTGGCATGCACCTGTAATCCCAGCTACTCGGGAGGCTGAGGCAGGAGAATTTCTTGAACCTGGGAGGTGGAGGTTGCAGTGAGCCAAGATTGTGCCACTGCACTCCTGCCAGGTGACAGAGGGAGACTCTGTCTCAAAAAATAAATAAAATAAACAAATAAACAAACAAACAAACAAACAAACAAACTCCATGGACCCTTCGCCTTTTCCCTGCTTTATATTAAATGCTCAGGAAATATTTTGGGTTTGAGGTACTGATTCCCAAATCCCTTTAATTATCAGTTCCCTAAGGTCCTTCATGTTTTCTCGGTGTTTCCCTGAGTCTGTGGGGCTCAACCTCTCTTACCAGAGATTTCTTGCACCCTTTCCCTGGAGGCTCAACCCCCCTACTACAGGTTTCTTTCGCTCCTTTTCTTTCACATTGTCCATCTCTGGCCACTTCCCTGGGGGGAATTTAAGTCCCTCTTAGCTTGGGCATGTCAGTATAAACCTCACAACAGGAATCTGCCATAAGCCATATGAGATGACTATGGAACCACAGATAAGGATCACATTTGCTTCGCACTCAATTGTGTGTCTCACTCATGTACTTTCTATCTTCAAGATGTCCCGACCACCAAGGAATACTTCACTGCCCCCATGACTTTTCTTACTTTGGTCTGTGCACAGAGTTACCTGGTCAACCACAGTATCTGTAGGCCTTTCTTTTCAGGTTGCTGAGAGCCCAGGTTTATTCATCACACTGGGTGGGTCTTGATCCCTCACTTCTGAGGCCGCTGCAATGAAGCAGCAGGATGCATCTCCTCACAAGAGGGGACCAACTGACCCTTTCTCTGAGGAGAATGAGATCCTGGACAAGCCTCAAATTGTTGGAAATAAGAGCTTGAAGTCACGAAGAGAACAAGCACTCAAACAGAGAATTTCTCAGCAAGGCAAAATTTACTTCTGCAGAAGGGTGCTGCCTGCATCAGTCATGATCACACAAGCACCCCAAACAAAGGAAAGAAGGGTTTTTATCTCTAACGCAGCTTCTGTTTCTGTGTCCTTTCCCCATTGGCTGGAGTCAGACCACACAATCTAAACTATCCCGATTGGCTAAGACCTAAACTTTTCCAACTGGGGTAAATGCACAATTTGCTAAGAGAGGAGGGGATGGAGAGACTGTTCATTACTAAGGTGGGAAGGGTTTTCTACAGAACAAGTACAAGGCATGTCTGGGCATGTCAGGGCATGGCTAGTTACAAATTAAGCTGAGAAACAAGAAAGAATGGAGAAGGTGGGTTACAGGTAAGGACTAGCAGGAATAGTTGTTTACAGAGCAGGTAACTGGGGGCGAGAAGGTACAACGAAGTTGAATCTGAAAACAAAGAACTAAGAAGTTTCACCTTTGCAGAGGAACTCACTGTACCTGACAATTTAATGTATGTTCTCAAACAAAAACAGAATTAAACTATGTGATAGCCATAAATGTTTAAACTTTCATCATAGAAACTAGAAAAAGTAGAGCAAACAAAACTCCAAACTAGTAGAAGGATGGAAACAATAAAGGTTAGAGCTGATATAAATGGAATAGGAATTCTAAAAACACTAGAGAAAATCTACAAAACCAAAAGTTGGCTCTTTGAAAAGAAAAATTGACAAACTTTAGCCAAATGATGCCATCAATAAACTGAAAAGAAAAGTCATCAAAATGGAGAAACTATCTGTAATTTATATATCTGATAAAAGATAAATCCAGAATATACAAAGAACAATTACAACTCATAATCATTTTAAAAGTAACTCAGTTTTTAAATGGGCATAGGATCTAAATAGGCAGACCTCTGTAAAAGATATACAAGTGACCAATAAACACACGAAAACGTGCTCAACATCATTAGTCACTAGGGAAATGCATGTCAGAACCACAATGAGATCATACTCGACACCCACTACTATGGCTACAATAAAAAATATAGACCATAAAAGTGTTGGAAAAGATGTAGAGAAAGCATAACCCTCATACATTGCTGGTCCACTTGGAGCAACAGTTTTGGAGTTCTCAAAATAGTAAATGTAGAGTTGCCATATGATCCAGAAATTCCTGTCCTTGTTATATCCAAAAGAAATGAAAACCTGTATCTACACAAAAACCTATACACTAGTATTCTTAGCAGTATTATACATAATACCCAAGAGTGGAAGCAACCAAAATGTCCACCAACTACTAAGCAGATGAATAACATGTTGTATGTCCACACAGTGAAATATTATTCAGCCAAAAAAAAGAGAAAAGAATGTAGTACTAATGAAGACATGGTACCGCATGGATGAACCTTGAGAACATCATGGTAAGGGAAAGAAGCCCATTGCAAAAGACCACATATCACATGATTCCATGCACATGAAATGCCCAGAACAGGCAAATCTACAGAGGCAGTGAGGACATTCATGGTTGCCTAGGTCTGGGAGTGGGAGATAATGAATGACTATCAATGATACAGGATTTCCTTCTGGGGTGATAAAAATGTTTTAAAATTAGACTGTGGTGATAATTGCACAACTCAATAATATACTCAAAACATTGTATTTTTCACATTAGGTAGTTGAGTTTTATGTTATGTAAATTATAGCTCTATAAACGTGTCAAAAAAGAAAATTACCATAATGAAAGGAGACAGAATATCTCCAGTATCTCCCCAGGAAGAAGATAAAGGCCGTATTTTCTTATTACAATTCTGCAGGTAATATGGTGGGCTAACAGTGCAGTTATCCCAATAGTTAGAGGAAGAAAGTCTCAAAAGAATGGAAGTTGTCTGTATGGGATAGCAAAAAAAACAAGGAACAAAGGGAGGCAGAACACCCCAAGTGTTAGCAGACAAATACCAGCTAATTCAGTACCCTGTGGATTTGGAATTATGTCCCTATGGCAGCTATGAGTGCATCAGACTGCCATAGCAGGAGCAGCCACACCCTTTGTGCTGATTTTATATGCACTCAGCAACCTTTTATTTGTATTTCACTTCCCCTTTATCCTTTTCTACAGGAAAAAAAGGCACTGATCACTCTAAGAAAGAAAATTACCACTCATGTTACAATTGAGTATCTTATTATACAAGAGTACATTTAATTTTCTTATTGAGCAGTGCCTTGTGAGCCTGATGATTATAAGTATGTCGCTGAGACTGGGTCCCTGAGATTATGTTTCTGGACTCTTGAAGCTGAAGACCAGACTGTGGATCATAAACACAACTCCACTTCATGAAGTTTGTAGGAATCCAGCCATATGATTGACACTTTTTAATTTTGATATTGCAATCAAACTGTAAGAGTTGTATTCTCTGACAATAGCTTTTAAGAAATAATTACCTGTATTAAGTAAGAGAAATAATTGGACGATTCTAAACACTGGGCCCTGCTAATGGCAAATATTTAGGCCCAGGAATCAAGCAGCAGTTAAAGAATCTTTGTCTTTAAGAAACCTTTTTTAAATGTGTCAAGATAACAGAAATTCAGGTCAACATAAGCATCAAAAGTACATTTAAATATAACTATTTTTTGTGTCAGTCTAAATTTGCCCAATTATTTCTTTCAATTGCAGATCAGGTGGAGAAAATAATTATATTAGGTACCCATTAAAATGTACTTTACATCTCTGCTTTTACTGTAAAAGAAAAAGAAGTTTCAGAATATTGTTCTCTTTACATCCATATTCAATTTTCTAATATAAGCCATCTATCACAACAAGGCCAAATTTTATGATAGGTCCACAGTCCCATATACAAATCCTTGGGCCCTCATGCTTTTGAACCTAACATTTTTCAAATTTCAGAAAACTAATACAGTGCATACACCATGTTTTACATAATTTCTTCAGGGAGCTCTGAGGTGGCACTCTTGTAATCCAATATTAATGGTAATCAATGTATTGACTACTCTTGTAATCAGTCATTAATATTGCACCAAACTGGGATAAAGACTCACGTTACTTCAGACCAGATTTTGCCTCCCTATAAATTTACTGAAATTTTCTGAGGAAAAAAATTGATTTTCAGAGCTTTCTGCTTTTGGAATCATGATGATGTGTAATTTAAATGACTATGTCACATCAAGAAGAGAACTAATAAATTTGTCATGGGATGAAGGAAAGGAGAACAGATGTAATCCTTCAGGTCTAATAAGAAATTATATATAATTCTCTTACCTTCTCACCATCCCAATCCACCCTCATATTCATGCCAGAATCAAGCAGGATGACATACTTTAGAGATGTCATTTAGCTACATGGTATCATGAATTTAACATATTTAAAATACAAGTTAATCCTGGGATTAAATCTTTCTCTGTCTTCTTTATCTCCCCCAGGATTTTCTCAGTGGTGTGGATTGGGACCAGCCTCATGTGCGATCCAGAAGTAGAAAGGACTGGAAAAGAGATTCTGATGGACACAGAACTCCTGCTACATCATATAGATTGACAGAACATATAAATATAAATAATCATATTTTATTGTCTGATTTAAGCATTATATTTTATTGATAGGTGTGTTAGAAAACAAGATTTTATAAAGCTTTCCCAGATGGCAGAATTTAGAGAAAAATATTTCACATCAAAATTCAGGGACTTCCTCCATAAAAATAGCACTGTTTAGCTCTAAAGCGAGAGACTGCATTTCAGTTTGTTCATGACATACAATGGGTGGACAGGTAAGAAACCAAGTCAGCAATTGCTTGATTTACATTTTTATAGCCATTATAAACAAGACTGGTTCAGATTTTGATCTGATGACTAAATTGATTTTTTTGCAAAGGGAAATATTTCATTACTCACACCAGAATTCAATTCTAAGAATTTTCTTGCATGTAATGTTTTCCAGTGTTTCAGTGCGACTTCCACTGTCTCTGACCCTGGAGAAAACTCTCGTGGTAAAGCACAGGGCTTCCTGCAGAAGGCTTGTCTGGAGACACTGGCACCAATACTCCTATGAAACACATTCAACGCCTACTTTAAAATTCAAATGACCAACATTCCTTTCAGCCGTATTTGCATATGATCCTGGCCTTTTTTTATCTGGCAGGGATGTTAATAAAAACTTAGTTTTGAAATAATTTTAGTTTCTCTCTTAAAAATGGAAAACTGCCCAAGTCTGTATTTGTTTGGGGAGAAGATAGAATGTCTTATACAGAATTCATTCCATATAACAGCTCTCAGAATAAAGCAAAAGAAGAAGTCATTTCAATATGGAACGTCATAGAAGTCATGGAAATCGATATCCAATATGCAGTAAGAAATGTAGTGATATACAGATCATAGGATGATATTGAACTCTCCCATCTTTCTTCATTCCTTTGTCTAGAATTGCTGACAAATCAACATTTTTATCATGCATATGCCAATATCTAGTTACAGATTAAATTTTTTGGATCTATGAGGACAAAAGTGAGTTGCTGTAACTTTAAAGTAGGGACATTAAGAAAGAAAAGAAAAGAAAAGAACAAAAGAAGGGAAAGGAAGAAAGGAAGGAGGAAAGAAAGAAAAAGAAAAAAGAGAAAGAAAGAATGCAAGAAAGAAAGAAAAAAAGAAAGAAGGAAGGAAGGAAGGACAGCAAGCCTCGACATATTTGGATTATGCTTATACCAAAAATATTGCCATTTCTCAAAAAAAATTAAAACATTCCTTTTAGAATTCCATCCACAAATTTCTGTATATGAAGAAATGCTATGTTTTAGTATTTGGAAATGTCCCAAAGTCACTTTTAGGCTTGCATAGTGAGTCAAATTAATCAGATTGTGGTTTTTTTTTTTTTTTTTTAGGATTTAAGTTTCTTTTATTGTTGTTTACCTTCAAACCAGTAACGAGGCTATGTAACAGATATGGTTGTACATAGCCATCAGTTAAGAGGCTTCACCACCCCACTGGCTTGCCAGGTCCTCACAGGGGTGCCCCAATTAGGAGTCTTGGGTGGGCACAGGACATCACTAGGCATGAGCTTCATGGGTGGTTCATGAACTTGTCTTTGAAACATTAACTGGGCACTCCAGGCTCTACCTACAACCAGAGGAGGCAATTTTGAGTTGTGCTCATCAGACCTACAGAATGGTTGGCCCTGGCCAGACACACCTCTCTATCCTTTGAGTTTCTTGGAGGAAGGAGAACCATGTCTTGTATCTCTACATCTGCAGTGCCTAACACTGTAACAGGCCTATAGGAGGCCCCCAGGAAATATCTCTTGATCAATTGGATAGACTGACTTACCTTCAGTTCCACACCCTGGGGTGAGTGAACATTTCTCAGAGACGAAATGTTTGGTCGGATAGTCTTGAGGGGTTTCTTCTTTGTAACATTGCCAGTTCTCAACAATGTAGGGATGGAAGTCTGAGCTTTCTCACAGCTTCAGCAGGCCTGCAGAGAAGTGGGGAAGGAACATCTGTGTCCTCAACTGGGGCTACTCCCAGGGCAACAGAGCCAAATAGCAGGAGAGGGACGGTGACAGAAGGAGATGGGCAAGGGGGCTGTAGAAGCCTTATGTAGATTACATGAGAGATAATGAATGCACCAACCTTTATCCTTCTTTTCATATAACACTGAAATATCATCCAACTAAGTGAGGCTTATGGTCTACGGTATTGGTATAAGATTCACAGAAAATAATAAAAATAAGGATAATGTGACTTTTTTCACCAAGTTAAGCATATCCTTTTAAACAAATTACTTAATATAGGGATATGTATTTTTTAATTTCATATATTTGGGGAGTATTTTATGGCATTATGGAGATAGTGGATTTTTTTCCTTTTTAATGTTTTTTTATTATTATTATACTTTAAGTTCTAGGGTACACATGCACAACATGCAGGTTTGTTTCATATGTATACATGTGCCATGTTGGTGTGCTGCACCATTAACTCGTCATTTACATTAGGTATATCTCCTAATGCTATCCCTCCACCCTCCCCCCATCCCACAACAGGCCCTGGTTAGTGATATTCCCCATCCTGTGTCCAAGTGTTCTCATTGTTCAATTTCCACCTATGAGTGAGAACATGCAGTGTTTGGTTTTCTGTCCTTGCGACAATTTGCTCAGAATGATGGTTTCCAAAAAGAAGACAAGCAGCCAACAGACACATGAAAAAATGCTCATCATCACTAGTCATCAGAGAAATGCAAATCTCACACCAGTTAGAACGGTGATCATTAAAAAGTCAGGAAACAACAGGTGCTGGAGAGGATGTGGAGAAACAGGAACACTTTACACTGTTGGTGGGACTGTAAACTAGTTCAACCATTGTGGAAGACAATGTGGCGATTCCTGAAGGATCTAGAACTAGAAATACCATTTGACCCAGCCATCCCATTACTGGGTATATACCCAAAGGATTATAAATCATGCTGCTATAAAGACACACGCACACATATGTTTATTGCAGCACTATTCACAATAGCAAAGACTTGGAACCAATCCAAATGTCCATCAATGATAGACTAGATTAAGAAAATGTGGCACATATACACCATGGAATACTATTCAGCCATAAAAAAGGATGAGTTCATGTCCTTTTTAGGGACTCAGATTGTGTTTTGGATGTGCTATGGTTTAAATGTGTCCCCTCCAAAATTTATTTGTGGTGGTATTAGGAGGTGGGGCCTTTTGGGAAGTAATTAAGCCATGTGGGTTCCACCTTGATGAATGGATTACTGCCTTATGAAAGGGCTGGAGGTAACTAACTTAGGCCTTTTTCTCTAGCCCTTCTGCCTTCCCCCACCTGAAGACACAGCAATAAGGCACCATCTTAGAAGCAGAGAGATGGGACTTTTACCAGACACCAAACCTGCTGGTGCCTTGATCTTGGATTTCAAGCCTCCAGATCCATGAGAAATAAGTTTTTATTGTTTACAAATTACCCAGTCTGAGATATTTTGTTATAGTAGCACACATAGGCTAAGACAAAATGGTTCATAAGCATATTATGATGACATTTATAAAAGAGGAGTCCCAAAATGTTTTGAGCAATGACAAAATTTTGGAAATATGTGTGTGTATCAGTTGGAGTCCCATCAGGAAATCAGTAACCACTCTACATATCTTAAACAAAGGATATTTAATCCAGGGAGTTGGTTATGTAGCCAATGGAAGAGCTGAAGACACAAACAAGAGACCAAAATAGAACCAGAGAATAGCAGGAAATTGTACCAGCTCTGGGACTGGAGGGTTGTGCGGGAAATGGAGTTCGTAGGGTCCAGGCAGAATCTTGGAACATGTGGCAAGAGATAAAACCACCGGAGTGATGGAGCAGTGTGGGAGGGAGGCACCAGTGTGAGCTCAGACCAGAGAGGGAAGGACTGGCCAAAGGACCTGGAGCCACAGTGAGGTGTAGATACTGCTGGAGATGCTGCTCAAAGTAAAGGGTGGGGAAGGAAAACTCTGGCCTCTTCACCTCTCTCACACCAAGCTTTTCCAGGACTACTGTTGGTTGAGCTCCTGGGAAACCACAAAGAGGTGAAATGTGGAACTGCATGCATGTATTCCTGGCAATACAGTGCAAGTGGAGGATGCAGATTATAGCTGAAAGCAAACCAGTAAGTGTTAGCTGCTAAAGTACACTTGAAAAGATTTATGTGGAGTTTGGTATTTCTCTATGTCTGTTCATTTGTTTCTCAGATAACTGAGCACATTCTGCATTCAGGCAAAATTTCAGGCTTTAGGAGGAAAAACACCATCTCCTGCTTTACAAAGCTTCCCTACTAATGAGGAAGACAGGCAAGAAACAAGAAAACACATAAATAAATAAACACAGAACTGTAAGACAAAACAAAGTGTGTGATTGGGCAAAGACTCCTTTGAGGTCTTCACATGTGAACTGAGGTTGGCCAGGCAAGCCGGACTGAGCTGCGGGGGAACTTGGCAGCCTGAGCATTCCAAGTAACAGAGCCGCAGTGCCTCTGGAGCACCGCTGTGAGGGAGGAGAGAAGGGTGGGAGATGAGGCTGGAGGGCTAGATGGCGTAGGGCCTTGGAGGCCTCATTAAGGTACCCTGTCCTAAGGGTAATGAGAGGCCCATAGAAAATTTAAATCAAGGAGTGGCATGATATAATTTTTTATTCCAAAAATATTATTCATACTGCTCTATTTGTATAATATTGTGGGGGCAGAGGGACAAAAGTGAATGCAGACAGGCAAATTAAGACCTTTTAATTGCCCAGGAAAGATGATAGTGGTATGGACTATGGAGTCCTGAGGGAAACAGAGAGAAATAGATGAATTTGAATATTATTTAGAAGTTAACAAAGAACGTTTATGGAGTGAATGTGGGGGAATAAGAGAAAAGAAGAGATCAAAGGTAATTCCTAAATTTTTGTTTTAAATAACTGACAAGATAAGTGATATAGTTTGAATGTTTGTCTCTTCTAAATCTCCTGTTGAGATGTAATCCCCAGTGTTGGAGGTGGGGCTTGGTGGGAGGTGTTTCGGTCACAGGGGGATCCCTTATGGCTTGGTGCTGTTTTCACTATAGTGAGTGAGTTCTCTAGCGATCTGGTCATTTGAGTGTTGGCACTTCCCCCCTCACCTCTCTCTTACTCCTGTTCTCACCATGTGATACACCTGTTTCCCCTTCTGCCATGATTTTAAGGTTCCTGAGGCCTCACCAGAAGCTGAGCAGATGCCATACCAGTGCCATACTTGTACAGCCTGCAGAACAGTAAGCCAATGAAACCTCTTTCCTTTATAAACTACCCAGTTTCAGGTATTTCTTTATAGCAACGCAAGAATGCCCTAATAAAATGGGGGTTCCATTTACTGAAATGGGGAGGATAGGATCTTCTAACTCTTCGTTATTGAAATGTCACTGAGAGGCTGCTTTGGATATGTTAATGTATGAATTATTCCTCAACAGCCAAGTGAAAGAATTTCATGCCATTTCATTAATAGAATTATACTAATCAGTGGAAATAAAGCTAGATACATAAATAAATTTAGGCAGCACTAACATTTCAATGGTAACATAAAGCCATAGGATTAGGTAAGATCACCAAAAGAGAGGGCGTAGATGGACCTCATGTTCCCTTGGAAGAAGCATGATTGGCTTATTTAAAAAACAACATAAAAACCTCTTGTTTGAGGGATGCATGGGACACCTTTTGGAATAGATGTTTCTATATCTGAATTTCTTTCTATGGGTACTTTGAAGAGCACTAATTGAAGGGACTTTGGGCATTTGTCACATGGAAAATACACTAACAACTTGCCACTTAGATTCTTCTTCCTGTCATTTTCAGGACTTCTTGTCTTTCTCGGCACTTTCATTCGATTTGGAAAATTTTCAGCCATTATTTCTTCAAATTTGCTCTACCCTCGTTTTCCTCCTTCTCCTTCTGGATGACACAGATGTTACTCCAGTGACACAGACAGTATTCCAGTGACACAGACGTTACTCCAATGACACAGATGTTACTCCAGTGACATAGATGTTACTCCAGCAACACAGACATTACTCCAGCGACACAGACATTACTCCACAGATGTTACTCCAGTGACACAGACAGTATTCCAGTGACACAGATGTTACTCCAGTGACACAGACATTACTCCAATGACACAGATGTTACTCCAGTGACATAGATGTTACTCCAGCAACACAGACATTACTCCAGCGACACAGACATTACTCCACAGATGTTACTCCGGTGACACAGACAGTATTCCAGTGACACAGCTGTTACTCCAGTGACACAGACATTGCACTTTTTGACTACATCCCACACCTCTTGCACATTCTGTCCTGTTTTTGCCCATTCTATTGTCTCTTTTTCTTCTTTTTGGATATATTTAGTATACCTGTCTTCCTATTTACTTACGCTGTTTTCTACTGTGTCCAGTGCGCTGTTACATCCATTCAGTGAGTTCTTATTTCAGACATTAATTTTTCAATTATAGAATGCTCATTGGATTCTTTTAATAGATTTTAATTCTTTGTTGAGATACTCCTTTTCTAAATCCATTTTTGTCCAGATTTTGCTCTGTTTTCTTTGACATATTAATGTCAGTCATACTAAAGTCTTGTCTTTTATGTCCAAAATCTGGGTCATCTTTGGTATCCTTCGACTGACAGATTTATCCTTTGACTACTGGTCACAGTTTCCTGCATATTTATATTTCTAGTAATTGAATGCTGGATATTATGGATGACACATCGTGGAAGCTATGAAATACATTTTCCTCCTTTAAAGAGGGTTCAACTTTGTTCTAACAGGCAGGTAAATTACTGACAGATCACCTATATCCTGTCAGGCTAAGGCAGCCCGAATGTGGTTTTGTGTTTATTCCTTAGTTATACCTTTAACTCCTACTGTGTGATCTTTTCACCTGAGAGTGGTCTTTCTGGGGTCTCAAGTGAAGGCCTGGGATAAATATCTCCCCCAAAGGTCTGGCCATGCTAAGCTGGAACTCTACTGTCTCCAAAATATACTACACAGCTAGAGTAGCTAAAGCAGCATGGTACTGGCATAAAAACAGATACCTACACCAATGGAACAGAATAGAGAGCCCAGAAATAAACCCACACATTTACAGCCAACTCATTTTCAACAAAGGCACCAAGATCATATATTGGGAAAAAACAGAAAACTGGACATTAACATGCACAAGAATGAAATTAGACCTCTATCTCTCACCATATACAAAAATCAACTCAAAATGGATAAAAGGTTTAAACATAAGACCTGAAACTAAGAATCTACTAGGAGAAAACATTGGGGAAACACTTCAGGACATTTGTCTGGGCAAAGATTTCTTGAGTAAGATCTCAAAAGCACAGGCGATCAAAGCAAAAATTGAAAAATGTAATGACACCAAGCTAAAAAGCTTCTGCACAGCAAAGAAAACCATCAACAAAGTAAAGAGGCAACCTACAGAATGGAAGAAAATATTTGTAAACTATTTATATGATAAGAGATTCATAACCAGAGTACATGAGAAACTCAAACAACTCAATAGCAAAAATCAAATAATCTGATTTTTTAAAAATAGGCAAAAGATATGAATAGATATTTCTCAAAAAGAGACATTCAAATGGCCAACAAGTATATGAAAAAATGCTCAATATCACAAATCATCAGGGAAGTTCAAATTAAAAACACAATGAAACCCAGTTAAAATGGCTATTATAAAAAAAAAAAACAGAGAAAACAACACATTCTGGCAAGGATGTGGAGAAAGAGGAACCCTCATACACTGCTGGTGTAAATGTAAATTAGTGCAGCCACTGTGGAAAACATTATGGAGCTTCCTCAAAAAAACAAAATTAGAACTACCCTATGACCCAGTAATCCTACTGCTGGGTATATTTCCAAAGGACAGAACATCAGTATATCAAAGACATATCTGTACTCCCATGTTCGTTGCAGCACTATTCACAACAGCCAAAATAGGGAATCAACCCAAGTGTCCACCAGCAAATAAACGGTTAAAGAAAATAGGGTAGGTATATATATACACACACAAAGAAATGTCATTCAACCACAAAAAAAAAACCAAAAAGCTTGTCATTGGCAGCAATGTGATGGACCTGGAGGACTTTATGTTAAGTGAAATAATGCAGGCACAGAAAGACAAACACCGCATGTTCCCACTCATATGTGGGACCTGAAAAGCATTGATCTTATGGACATAGTAATAGACTGATTGTTACCAGAGGCTATGAGGTGGAGGGATGAAGAGAGGTTGGTTGATAAGCACAAAAATACAATGAGATAAAAGGAATAAGATCTAGTGTTCAGTGGCACGATAGGACAACTATAGTTGACAATGATTTATTGTATATTTCAATATAGACAGAAGAGAACATTTGGAATGCTCCCAACACAAAGAAATGATAAATATTTGAGGTGATGAATATCCCAGTTATGGACATTGATTATTACACATTCTATACTTGTATCAAAATATCACAAGTACCCCCAAAATATGTACAACTATAAGAATAGGTTAAGAGTTATATCCAATATGACATCCTGTCTTCTTGTTGTTGTGGTAAGTTCATTTCTATTTTTGTGACTATTGATCTATTTGAATTCATTAAAAGTAGAATAAAAAAGAGAAATGCCTGCTCTCCAGGATCTCCACCTGGCTCTCAGCCCCAGCAGCTGCTTTTCGGTATACGCACACAGTGGAGTCACCCAGGCCCTGAGACATTCCCACTCACATGCTGAGCTCCCCTCTCTGTGGTGTGCCCTCTTTGTGACTTTGCCTCCCAAATCTCAGTCACCTTAGTACCTCGAACTCATCTCTGCCTCTTCTACCAGCAAGACCACTGCCTCCTCCCTGGGATCATTTTTCCCTGAGCAATGACCCAGAAATACGTCTACAAGATGCAAGTCTGGGTGAATATGGGGCTAACCTTGTGTGTCTCTGTGTTTTCCGCATTGCAAGCCAGACTTGATTGTTTTCCAATGCCTGCAAACTGTTTTTCTAAATGTATTTTTCCAGACGTTACAGTTTTTTTTATGATAGGGTGGTAAGTATGAGTTCCATCTACTTTCTCTATGGCTAGCAATCTAGTTATGCTTTCATTATTGACTTCTAACCTAATTCAATTTTGATCTCAGAATGTGGTCTCTACACTATCAAATATTTGAAGTTTCCTGAAACATTTTTATGACCTAGTAGATAGTCAATTTTTATAAATAGTTCATGTGTGCTAGAAAATAATGTGTATTTGTAATGTGTGGCCATTGGAGTCTACTAGTACCAACGATATTAAGCTCACTAATTGTATTGTTCACATCATACACATCATTATTAAATTTTTTTGCCTGTTTTATATATCAGTTACCGAAAGGAGCATGTCAGTTGTTTCTGTTTCTCCTTGTGGTTCTGTTCATTGTCCCTTTATGTGTTTTGAGTTATTCTCAAATTTTGAATAATTTTAGGATTATTTTAGTTTCCTGTGTATTTGACCTTTACTAATTACTCTTCAGTAACTCCTTATCCCCATTGATACTTTGACTAAAAGCCTAGTCTGTCTTTTATTAATGAAGCAACACCAGCTTCTCTTTTTCATCCTTTTACTTTAAACATTTTTGTGAACTTGTATTTTAGGTGTAGGCCTTGCAAGAACAGGTTAAGAGTTAAATTTTATTTTTATATCCAATATGACATTCTGTGTCTTCTTGTTGTTGTGGTAAGTTCATTTCTATTTTTGTGACTATTGACCTATTTGAATTTATCTATCATTTTATTGTTTTCTATATTTTCAGCTTTTCCTATATTCTCTTTTTTTCTCTCTTTCTTCTTTTAGACTGACTTGGTTTTTAACATTTCATCCCCCAACCTCTACTCTTTCAGAAATTATTCCCGGTTTTGTTGTTTACTTGGTGGTTATCCTTAGAATATTAACATGCTGTAAAAGTCAGGATGCTGGTAGGAAATTAATCGCTTATATGAGAACATTTTAATAAAGGGGGTATTCTCTGAGGCACAGTCAGGGTTTAGCTGGGTTTTATGAGGAACAGTAATCGATCATTGTCACACCTGGGTTTGAAAGGGCAAGGAAAGGAGAGTGGTTTCCAAACCCACAAAGGGTAGAGATAGCTGTGAGAGCTTTAAAAGAGGATGTCTTGGGTCGGGCACGGTGGCTCACCCCTGTAATCCCAGCACTTTGGGAGGCCGAGGCGGGCGGATAACGAGGTCAGGAGATTGAGACCATCCTGGCTAACACGGTGAAACCCCGTCTCTACTAAAAATACAAAAAATTAGCCTGGCATGGTGGCGGGCACCTGTAGTTCCAGCTACTCGGGAGGCTGAGGCAGGAGAATAGCTTGAGCCCGGGAGGCGGAGATTGCAGTGAGCCCAGATCACGCCACTGCACTCCAGCCTGGGCGACAGAGCAAGACTCTGTCTCAAAAAAAAAAAAAAAAAAAAAAAAAAAAGAGGGTGTCTTACAGAAGCTGCCTTTGGAGAGCAACGCAGCCACCTGGGATGACCCAGCAGAGGGAGCCGGGGAGTACATCCCTCTCCCTCACTCCCCTCTCACCTCCAGTGCCTCCCAGGGCAAACCCACGGAACAGGCACAAGGGCCAGCCTTCCTGCGCAGAGCGGGACAGGCCTGAGAGGGTAACTGAAGAAGTCGAGCATACAAACATGTCTGAAGCTAAAGTAAATCCACCACTCCACTCTCTCCCGAATAAAACAGGAATCCTAGAGCACATCAGTCCAACCACTTCATGGTAAATTAGTATAATATTGTTGTGAGCCTTTTACTTGCATTTTAACCCTCAAACTTCGCATTGTTCCTTCTTTCTTTCACTCATTTATTGCTTTTTGCACCCTAAGCCAATATCTTTCTTTCTCATACTCCTTCAAGAGTTCTTTCAGTGAGGGCCTGGTGGTTGTGAATGCCTTCAATTTTTGTTTGTTTGAAAATGTCTCTATTTTGTCCTTATTTTGTAATGAAAGTTAGGCAGACCAAATAATTTGAAAGTGACAGTTATTTTCCCTGAGCCCTCTGCAGATATTATTACAGTTGTTTCTGGGTAACATTGTCTTTTAATGAAGTCAGCGCTGGTTTAATTGTTATTCCATTGTAGGCAGTCTGTCTTTTCATCTGCTTTTAAGATCTTTGTCTTTTTTCTTTCAGCTGTTTAACTACAGTTATTTAGGTTTCTTTTAAAAATCTATCAGTTTTTCTTTTAACTTCTCAGCCATGCTTTTCTTAAATATTCCCTCTTCTCCACTTTCCCTATTCTTTTGCTTCTGGAATGTTGATGAGTGTGTTTTAGACCACTCTTTCCTATTTGCTATCTCTCTTAACTTCTCTGACATATTTACCATTTTGTCATCTCTTAGTGCCATATCTAAGTACTTTCAAACTTCTTTTCTAGCTTACCAGTTCCCTCTAAGCTGTATCTAATCTGCTCTCTGAATCGTCTATTAACTTGATAATTTCATTGACTGTATTTTTCATTTCTAAATCTTATATTCTCTCATTTTAAAAATCAGACTTTTTGTGCTGTGGCTCCTGCCTGTAATCCCAGCACTTTGGGAGGCCAAGGTGAGCAGATCACCTGAGGTCGGGAGTTCGAGACCAGCCTGACCAACATGGAGAAAACCCATCTCTATTAAAAATACACAAAATTGGCCGGGTGTGGTGGCGCATGCCTGTAATCCCAGCTACTCAGGAGGCTGAGGCAAGGGAATCACTTGAACCCGGAAGGCGGAGGTTGCGGAGAGCCGAGATCGTGCCATTGCATCCAAGCCTGGGCAACAAGAGCAAAACTCCATCTCAAAAAAAAAAAAAAAGAAAGAAAGAAAGAAAAAAGAAAATCAGACTGTTCTTATTTGATATGAGTAGGTAAAGAGCCATAGAAAATACATGCATGTCAGTACAGTATGTAGTTTTTTTCCTATCTCACTGAAAAACCATAATTTATGTATCCTTATTTTAGGACATTACAGACAATAAAGTTGCAAATTTATCTTTTTTTCTTTAATCTTTCCTAGGCAGTGAAGATCTATAACTAATATTCACCTTTCTCCTTCTGCATATTCCTCAAATTTCTTGGCACTTTTGCATTTTAGCTGCTCTCAACTCTGTAGTTCCAGTTGCCAATTAAGTATTCGTCATAATTTAAAATTAACAGGTAATATATAACATTTTCAAAATTACTAATAAATGGATATGGATTTAAATTCAAGTCTAAGGCTGATTCCTGCAGGGCCATTTATTTTTGGCATTTAATACCACCTGCCTATGCAGGAAATTAAGTAATGTTCTTTCCTTAACTATAATTTTTTTTCTTTTAATGATGGCAATTGCAGAGAAGAAATAAATCACAAAGAAAATAAAAACAGAACTATATATGTAACTATTTGTGGTTACACTGCCTTTTCTAACAAGGCATAATGAAATTGAAGATCAAGCAATAATGTAATTATTTATGGACAATCAATCTAGAGCACTCAGACTCCCAAGACAATGCATTTCTCTTGAATGGCAATACATTTAAACTGTATAATTCACAACTTCTAATACTAATTTTATTTTGCCTACATTAATCTGGTTGGTGTTAAAGGAAAATAAGTAAATGCTTTGGCTTTTATATTTTTGCAGTCTTTTATATTTCATGTAGAGCATCAATACCACATTTTGTAATTACAAAGATTATATCATTTAAATAATGCTTCTAAAAAAAACAAAAATTGGCAAGCGGGACCTAATTAAACTAAAGAGCTTTTGCACAGCAAAAGAAACTATCAAGAGAATCAGATTAAACAGATAACCTATAGAGCAGGAGAAACTATGTGTCCAAGTAATGTCTAATATCCTAATTTATGAAGAACCTAAACAATTGAACAAAAAAAAAAACCCCATTCAAAAATGGGCAAGAGACATAAACATTTCTCAAAAGAAGACATACAAACAGCCAACAAACATGAAAAAGTGCTGCTCATCACTAATCATCAGAGAAATGCAAATCAACACCACAATGAGCTACCATCTCACACCAGTCAGAATGGCTATTACTAAAAAGTCAAAAAATAACATGCTGGTGAGGCTGTGGAGAAAAGGAAATGCTTATACACTGCTGCTGGGAATGTAAATTAATTCAGCTACTGTGGAAAGCAGTTTGGAGATTTCTCAAAGAATTGAAAACAGAATGATCATTTGACCCAGCAACCCCATTACTGGGTATATACCCAAAAGAAAACAACTCATTCCACCAAAAAGACGCATGCACCCATATGTTTATTTCAGCACTATTCACCAGAGCAAAAATATGGAATCAACGTAAATTGACACAGGAAGAGAAAACCAAATGTCACATGTTCTCACTTATAAGTGGGAGCCAAGCATTGGGTACTCATGGACACAAAGGTGGCAACAATAGACACTGGAGACTACTAGAGTGGGGGGTAGGGAGGGAAGGGGAAAAGGGTTGAAAAACTAACTGTTGGGCACTCTGCTTAGTACCTGGGTGATGGGATCATTCATACCTGAAACCTCAGGATCACACAATATACTCATGTAACAAACCTACATGTGCACCCACTAAATCTAAAATAAAAGTTGAAAAAGATAAATAAATAAATAAATAAATAAATAAATATAAATAAAACTTCTGAGATTTAAAGCCCCGTTGTTAACTGCTTGAATTTTTTGAGGATACAAAAATACATGGAACTTGTTGACAGGCAAACACCTTGTTTGTCACTTTGTTTCTCTATTGTATAGAGGTGATCGCTCTTGTTAAATGCAAATAAAACAGGTCAAGGCCACACCCAGGTGATGTTCCAAGGTAAATGTATATTACATCTTCCCATGTGCTCCTCTCTCATTGATCAATGTCTCTTGCTGTCCCTCTAGCCCAGGGCAGCCAGGAGCATCCTAGAGCTCTGAAGCAGTCCCTATTTATTCCATCCCCTTCCTTTCTTTCTTCCCCAGTTCATCTATCTTGCTTTCCAAACACTCAGTCAAGGATTATCTCAAAAGTAACATGAAGGTCCAGTCTATATGACATAACTTGATGGACACATGTTTCCAAATATGGACTCATCTTAATAAAGAGCTCCATTAGGACTCTATTCTTTTCATTTGTGTAGGTGTTACAGGACCAGCAGATTCATATGCCCACTGCACAGTAGCAGACCAATACACAGGGACAGCAGGGTTTGCAGCAGAGAAAGAGTTTAATGATCACAGGGCAGCTGAGAAAATGGGAGCCTTATATCCATCTTCCCAGGAGTTCTGGGTTGGGTTTTTAAGGAGATCATGAAGGGTGAGGGGCTGGAAAATTAGAGTAATTGATTGGTTAATGTAAGTGGGGGATAAAATAATCAGGATATGGAAACTGCCCTCTTTGGTGTCAGCTCTTTGTGGAATCCTTTACCAGCGATGCAAGTAGTTCCATGACTACACAGGACCTGAAAGAATATCTCAAAGGGAAAACTTAACATTTCATAATGTTAAAGTTGTTATCTATAGAGCAGTTAAGGGGAACTAGAACCTTATAACAGGGTCTGTGTGATTCTGGGGCAATAGGTACCAAACAACTATGAGGAAGGGGTCAGAGAGCAGCTGACCTCATGATGAATGCTGATGTGCTGTACACTTGGCTTATGTTTGTTTTTTCCCTCCCTTATTCCATGATTAATTTTATAAAGTTTACAGGGGCAGTTTCATAGGTATATCAGACTTGAAGGGTCCCTCATTAAAAATTCATGACCTCTGAGGTAGTAAAAACAGCTAAAATCATCATTAGCACCTAGACAGTAATTTTCACTGAGCAAGGCCACAGATACCTGTGCAAAGAGGAAAGCAGCAGGATCTCTGAAGCCAATCTCTGAGATAATCTCACCAGTCTAGTGTGCAAATGTGTGGATGGTGCATGGTAGGGACTCAGTAGACAATGAATGGAATTGTGGGTTGACAATACAAAGTGGCAAGTGTTAAATTCATGTTTCACCTCATTCTCAGCTTTCTATGAGGCTTTGTTCTTAGGGCACTGTTAGAGGGCCAGAAAGTCAATCTCATAAACAAATGCAACTTAATATAAGGTGTTAATAAAGAATTTCCAAAAATACTCCTCCAATACACCATACACATATACACACACACACACACACACACACACATGCACACCCACCCCCATCATGTCCTCATGGTCTCATGTAAATACATCTGTTACCGCCTTTCTCCACACCATGTAATCACCAACTGGACCTACTTCTCCTTCAACTTGGCCACATGTCTCAAATTCAAGTGCTTACTAGGTCCTGGCAAACGACGTGATTGTCCAGACCAGGTGGAGGCAGGTGAGGACTGCATCTTCTAAAGCAGCAACACTGCCCAGCTGCCAGCTGCCAGCTGCCATGTGTAATGTGGGCCTGATGTACTGTATATTCTAACTTTTTTAAGTTGAGAAAGATATATTAGCCTAATGTAAAATTAATGGGTAACCAATTCAGCTCTGCATCAGTTAATATATTGTTCATCTTTGCCCAAATTGGACCACAGGTTGCCAATATTACGGTCTCTGAAGTAGAACATGATTCTCTGAAAGTGTATCTAGGTCTTGTTCTTTCTTCTATCTTTAGCGCTTAGCCTAGTATTTCACGAGTAGTAAGAGCTGGGTCTGTGGAAGAGCTAAGTATGCACACAGTGCTATCCATTCCCAGGAGAGTCCAGTGCTTAGAAATATCCCTGGGGCCCAGGGAAATGATTATCTTTTCTCCTCTAAGATAGAAAAGATCTTAGAGGAGATAGAAAAGATAGTCTTTTCTCCTCTAAGAAGAAAATTTATTTTTATAGATGCTTCCCCTTACCACAATACATCAAAAATAGAAAAGAAGACATAAAAATCATTCAAGGCAATATTATCAAAGACCATAAAGTAAAATATTTTCTTAAAGTAACAAATCCTTGATATTTTCTTATGTCAGGTTTGACTAGAAAAGCAAAATCGGCCGGGCGCGGTGGCTCACGCCTGTAATCCCAGCACTTTGGGAGGCCGAGACGGGCGGATCACGAGGTCAGGAGATTGAGACCATCCTGGCTAACACGGTGAAACCCCGTCTCTACTAAAAATACAAAAATTAGCCGGGCGTGGTGGCGCGCGCCTGTAGTCCCAGCTACACGGGAGGCTGAGGCAGGAGAATGGCGTGAACCCGGGAGGCGGAGCTTGCAGTGAGCCGAGATCGCGCCACTGCACTCCAGCCTGGGCGACAGAGCGAAACTCCGTCTCAAAAAAAAAAAAAAAAAGAAAAAGAAAAGCAAAATCAGCTAAAACATGTCTAGACAGTGCCAAGTTCTCCCTCAACTTGCTCTTCTGACCACAAATGATACTTTGGGTGCTTTTATGCATAAACTCTCGCCTACATTAATGTTTGCAGTGCTCTGTGTTCATAAAGTTGCTGCCCAGAAAATTATGAGCAAGAAAAATTTGAAAGTGTCCTGAAGAGAGTGAAGAATCACTTGATTTTATGAACTTGCTCTTTGTTGACAGAGTAAAATAACACTTAAAGTATCATTCAACCTACTCTACCAAAGTGCAGTACAGATTTAAGGAAATTACATTTAATTCAGACAAAAAGAAGAGCTTAACACAAATGATTCAAAACTCAATGATCTATTTGGTTCAAATTCATTATCTACTATTAGTTTTTTACTTGTTCAGACAGTCTAAGTTTAATCTCCTTACTTTCAACTAATGTTGGTTTCATCTGTTAAAAAAAAGAAAGAAGGAAAGAGAAAGAAAGAAAGAAAGAAAGAAAGAGAAAGAAAGAAAGAGAAAGAAAGAAAGAAAAAAGGAAAAGAAGAGAAAAGAAAAGAGAGAAAACAGGCCAAAATACCTCTGACTTGCTGGTCATTGCATCACATTACCTGGGTCTAGGGTATATACTACACAATGAGCTTCATGAGCCCCATGAAGCCCTTGAAATTGTGGGCAAAATACTCTCTCTGTTTTCTTTTTGGGAAGGGAGTTCAGATCTTTTATTAAATTGTCAAAGAGACTAAGAAAATATTAATAATCATGGAGATACATGATCTCCCAGTTCTCTTCCAATACTGAAATTTCTGTGACTATTTCAGAAATTCATGCAGGTGAGCGAGATCATGAAAATAAGTAAAAACTGTGTAAATACCTTATGGGAATAACAAATTAGTCAACTTAAGAATAATTAGCCAATGGCTTGTATGTATTAATCCTGTATCCTTTGAGATTGTTTACTATTGTTACAAAATGCAAAACCAAACCTCAATATACAAAAAATTTAACAAATCAATAATAAATGAATGAAATACTCAACAGAAAAAAATTGAGCAAATGGCACCCCCCCTTTCCAAGCACCAACCTGGTGTGATATATATATAAACATAAATATATCAACTTTAATGAGCTATATCTAATTATCTGTTTCTATATAACAAACCACCCTGAAACTAA
This sequence comes from Homo sapiens, assembly GCF_000001405.40. NCBI lineage: Eukaryota > Metazoa > Chordata > Mammalia > Primates > Hominidae > Homo > Homo sapiens. The sequence goes on from NC_000008.11 coordinate 53,293,820, forward strand.
GTGGCTCAATACAATCAATAATTGTTTATTATAAGGCATCATGAGTCTGTGAATTGGCTAGAGGTTGGTGGAAACCATTTGGGCTTACACATCTGCAGGCTGGCTAGGGATTCTACTCTTAGTTGAGAATGGCTAGGACAATACAGCCTAGGCAGCTCAGCTCCATGCTTCTCCTCAGACCATTGGGCAAATACAGGTGTGTCATGCTCATGGTGATGGCAGATGAGCCAGAAGAAGCAAAAACTTTGAAGGTCTCTTAAGGTCTAGGTTGGAATAACTTCACCATCACCTCTGCCTCATACTGTTGCTCAAGGCAAGTCATGTGGCTGAGGGTTGAAGAAATACACCCTGCATCTTTAATGCAAAGAACTGAAAGTTATGGAAAAAAGCATAAATACAGAGTTCTCTATACGGAGGCTATTAATTAAGTTTATCACATGGGCCAAACTTCTGAAGAGTCCAAACAGGAAGCAGGTTTATTTTTCTCCTGGCATTGCCTTAAAATATGTTCTATTGAGACTCCCTTCTCCTACCCCTTGACCATACCTCGAATTTTAGCTCATTTGCATTGAAACAGTCTATCTGAGTAATGACTCCTCACTTTCAGGCAAGAATATGTTCAGGCCAACCATATCCAACATCTAATTCAGAGCTTCAATTTTGTCAGGTTTCTTTGCTCACAGACTTGTAGAGGGGACAAGGGTGACAGTTCAGATCCCCCCTTCAAGGAAGGATGTGCCTCCCAGCTGCAAGGAGTGGATAGCAGATAGATCCAGCTGTCAGCCCCTTCAGGGCAGCCTCAGCTGCAGAGAGCCCCCACCCAAGCCCACGCCTTGTCTGAGCACCAGTATCCAGTGCCTGCGGTGGGGGCATAAAGGCCTGGCCAGTTGACCCCAACCCAGACGATGCTGGTGGGCAGTTCTTCCTGCAGAGCCCCTGCTGGGGTGGCTGAGGCTTCGTAAGACCTGCCTCACTGTCTGCCTGAACCTGCTCCCTCCCTCTTGCTTTCACAAGTGTCAATCCCAATAAATATTTTTTGCACCCCAAACTCCACCTCAGCATCTGCTTCCAGAAAATTCAGCCTGTAACAGATTTGTTCTATAACTATTTCCCCTCTCCTCCTGCTGACTTCTCCAGGGGATGTGCCAGGGAATGGGAGACCAGGGGTAAGGATGGAAAGGTCGTGTCACTGCTGCTGTTGTAATTCAGATGTGCTGTATCAATCTCTGACTCCATCTAGCTATCTATACACATCTACACATACATGTCTATCTCTACCCATATATATCCATATGTATGTATCGATATCTTTCCATACATATGAACACATATATATCCACAGCTATCCACACACGTTTGAATATATGTTGTATCACTACCTCAGTGGTAAAGGAAGGAAGGAAGGAAGATGGCATCATTGCTGCTGTTGTAATCTAGATGTGCGTAAGGCATCTAGCTATATCAATCTCTATCTAGCTATCTATGCATAGATATGTAAGCATACCTATATCTATCCATACATATCTATACATATGTATCTCTATCTATCCATACATATTTACATATCAGAACATACATATATACATCTATCTATACATATCTACACATACATATGTATCTACATGTATCCATATATACATATTAAAAGAAAACTGTTTTTCTACTCAACAACACTTCTAACACTCAATGTGTGGGTTTTTTCCACAGCAAGCAATTCTCCAATTCTCGTGGATATCAACTGAGTGTCCTAAAATTAATTTAATTTTGACACCATCTGGAGTCACTTCATTAGCATAATGTGGCATCAGATTCCACTAATTAAGGGCTCAGACCCACAAGACTGCCACTTTAAACACCAACTGCAAGTCCTGGGCCTCCCAAACTTCCAGATGCCCATAAATTAGGGGTTTCCACCATCCCTTTCTCAGGATTGGTAATTTGCTAGAATGGCTCACAGAACTCAAGAAAACAGTTTACTTTCTACCACTGGCTTATTAGAAAGGACACTACTGACTGGGCATGGTAGCTCAAGCCTGTAATTCCAGCACTTTTGGAGGCTGAGGAGAGAGGATCACCTGAGGTCACGAGTCCAAGACCAGCCTGGCCAACATGGTGAAACCCTGTCTCTACTAAAAATACAAAAATTAGCTGGATGTGGTGGCACATGCCTGTAATCTCAGCTACTTGGGAGGCTGAGGCAGGAGAACCATTTTAATCCAGGAGGCAGCAGAGGATGCAGTGAGCCAAGACCATGCCACTGCACTCCAACCTGGGTGACAGAGTAAGACTCCGTCTCAAAAAAAAAAAAAAAAAAGAAATAATGCTACTGAGGAACAGCCAGATGGAAGGCATGTGTAGTTCAAAGCATGGGGGAGGGGCCCAGAGCTTCCATGCCCTCTCTGGCCACCCTCCCAGTGTAACAGGACAAGCTGCAGACAAAATCCCTCAGACACCAAGTTAAAGAAGCAAAGGCTTTATTCAGCCGGGAGCTTCCGCAAGACTCACGTCTCCAAAAAACGAGCTTCTCGAGTGAGCAATTCCTGTCCCTTTTAAGGGCTTACAAGAGTGAGAGGGTCGTGATCAATTGAGCAAGCAGGGGGTACGTGACTAGGGGCTGCATGCACCAGTAATCAGAATGGAACAGAACAGAACAGGGATTTTCACAATGCTTTTCCATACAATGTCTGGAATCTGTAGATAACAACCAGTTAGGTCAGGGGTCGATCTTTAACCAGGCCTCGGGCGCCGCACCAGGCTGTCTGCCTGTGGATTTCATTCCTGCCTTTTAGTTTTTACTTCTTTCTTTGGAGGCAGAAATTGGGCATAAGACAATATGAGGGTTGGTCTCCTCCCTTACCAGCACTTCAATGTGTTCACCAAACTGGAAACTCTCCAATCTCTGTTGCTTATGGTTCTTATGGAGGCTCCATTACAAAGGCATGAATGATAAGATCATTGGCCACTGGCGATGGAACTCAATCTTCAGTTCCTCAGGAGGTCAGGACTGGGGCCACATGGTTGATTCCTCTGGCAGCTGGCCCCATCCTGAAGCTGCCTAGGGCCTACCAAGAGTCATCTCATTAGCACAAACTTAGGAAGAATTAAAAAGGGCTTGTTCTGAATAACAGAAGGTGTTCTTCTCACCCCTACCACTCAGAAAATTCCACGAGTTTTAGGAACTCTGTGCCAGGAATTGGGAATAAAGACCAAATATATATATTTCTTGTTCTATCACAGTATCTTTATCTATCATCATCTCCCACCTGCTTATCCTGCCTCCATGTATCCCCCTTCTAGGCATACCTTCATTTTTGTGGGGATAAGGGAAGACTGCCTCATGGCTACCCAGAGGTGTATGGGGGTAGATGCTTCTCTGCCCTCTGTTCACCTCTGCCTTGAGCATCTGGTCCCATACAGAGTGGCTTGGACAGCGGTAAGAATCTTGTCCTTCCTGTCTGCTCCTGCCCCTGTGGCCTCTGGCAAGAGGCCTTACCTTCCCTTATATATGTGTTCTGAATGCCCTACAATCCCATTGTTTTTATAAGTAAGTAGATTTTACTAGAGTTTCAGAAATAGCTATAAAAAATTGCAATGTAGAATTAAAATTTTAAACTGGATGCTTAATAGGACTGATCACAGAGTTCAAGGGAAAAACAAAGAAAAATTAAATCCTTCACATGAGCTCTTCCTTGCATACACCTTGTAGTTAGCCTTCTTTTCCTTGTATAGGATATTTTCCCCTCTCTGCCTCTCAGAGAGCTACCCCTTCAAACTTCTCTACAACCTCCAAATCTCCTTTTCCTCTAGAATTTGTTTGTTCACCCACCAAGGAAATTCCTGGAATGCAAGCATCACTGATGTCTAAATTATCGAGTAAAGCAACATCTTTGGAGATTGATAGGAAGGTGAATAACTGGATTGCAGTTTCACAGTTCACGGTAGATTTGGAAACTTTTTTTCTAAAAGTATCTTTGCATTTTATTTTAAACGGCAATAAATGCACTCCATTTTTGCTCTTGTCTCCTGTGCGTGACAGAAGACACGCTCTGCCACCCTCATCTTTTCCTTAAAAGTCGCCCCCAACTCCTGCCCCAGATCTATCTACACACAAGTTAGGCTTCATTACACCAAAGAAAGCATGGCATTAAAAAAACAAAAACTAAAACAAAAACAAAAAAACCCTATTGGCTATCTCTTCTGTTCCAAAACACTGGACAAAGTTTCACATGATCTTTTTGAAATATTGTGATGATGGCTGGGCGCAGTGGCTCACATCTGTAATCCCAGCATTTTGGGAGGCTGAGGCAGGCAGATCACCTGAGGTCAGGAGTTCAAGACCAGCCTGGGCAACATGACAAAACCCTGTCTCTACTAAAAATACAAAAAAAATAGCCAGGTGTGGTGGCACACACCTGTAATCCCAGCTACTCGGGAGGCTGAGGCAGGAGAATTGCTTGAAACCCGGCGGCAGAGGTTGCCGTGAACCGAGATTCACACCACTGCACTCCAGCCTGGGCCACAGAGCAAGACGTCAGCTCCAAAAAAAAGAAAAGGAATATTATGACTACATCCTTTTGTAGTACACTAAATTTGGTTAAGCTTAAATAACTTTTTCAAATATTATGCAGTACAAGCAGAATATATCAAGCTTGCTTGGCTATATAGCAAGAAAAACTGACTTGTAATAATCAACCCTGAGACATATCTCAGCAATATGATCAAACATTCAAAGCTAACATTCAACCAAGACAACACTGGATCCATCTTTCTGAAAAAGTAAGGCAAGACAATGCAAACCAATGATCTTATATTCAGCCAAGCTCTTCTTCAACTGTTGTGGCTACAGAAAAGTTTTGTTTTGTTTTGAACTTTTATTTTAGGTTCAGGGGCACATGTGAAGGTGTGTTATGTAGGTAAACTCCCATCACAGCGTTTGTTGTACAGATTATTTCATCACCCTGGTGTTAAGCCTAGTACCCATTAGGTATTTTTTCTGTTCCTCTCCCTCCTGCCCCTCGACCCTCAAGTGGGCCCCAGTGTCTGTTGTTCCCTTCTTTGTGTCGAGTTCTCATTTAGCTTTCACTTATAAATGACAGCATGTGGTATTTGGTTTTCTGTTGCTGCATTACTTTGCTAAGGATAATAGCCTCCAGCTCCTTCCATGTTCCTGAAAAAGACATGATTTCATTCTTCTTTATGGCTGCATAATATTCCATGGTGTATATGTATCATATTTTCTTTATCCAGTCTGTTATCGGTGGGCATTTAGGTTGATTCCATGTATTTGCTATTGTGAATGGTGCTGCAATGAATATTCGCATGCATGTGTCTTTATGATAAAATGATTTATACTCTTCTGGGTATATACCCAGTAATGGGATTGCTGGGTGGAGTGGTAGTTCTGTTTTTAGCTCTTTGAGGAATCACCATACTGCTTTCCACAATGGCTGAACTAATTTACACTCTCACCCACAATCTATAACTGTTCCCTTTTCTCTGCAACCTCACCAGCATCTATTTTTTGACTTTTTAGTAATAGCCATTCTGACTGGTGTGAGACGGTATGTCATCGTGGTTTTGATTTCCATTTCTCTAATGATCAGTGATATTGAGCTTTTTTTCATATAATTGATGGCTGCATGTATGTCTTGTTTTGAAAAGTATCTTCATGTCCTTTGCTCACTTTTTAATGCAACATCTTTGTTCATAATATTTTATGAACAAAATATTCATAAAATATGAATATAATTATATTATGGATATAATTATATTATGAATATTATAAATATTCATTTATTTGTTGTTTGCTTTTCTCTTGTTTAAGTACTTTATAGATACTGGATATTAGACCTTTGTCAGCTGCATAGTTTGCAAATGTTTTCTCCCACTCTTTAGGTTGTCTGTTTATTCTGATGATAGTTTCTTTTGGTGTGCAGCAGCTCTTTAGTTTAATTAGATCCCATTTGTCAATTTTTGCTTTTGTTATTATTGTTTTTGGTGTCTTTGTCATGAAATCTTTGCTCGTTCTTATGTCCAGAATGGTATTGCCTAGGATGTCTTCCAAGGTTCCTATATTTTGGGTTTTACATTTAAGTCTTTAATCCACCTTGAGTTGATTTTTTTATATGGTGTAAGGAAGGAGTCCAGCTTCAATCTTCTGCATGTGGCTAGCTAGTTAACCAGGCACCATTTATTGAATAGGAAGTCTTTTCCCCATTGCTTGTTTTTGTCAGCTTTGTCAAAGATCAGATGGTCATAGGTGTGCAGTCTTATTTCTGGGCTCTCTATTCTATTCCATTGGTCTACGTGCCTGTTTTTGTATCAGTACTATGCTGTCTTGGTTACTGTAGCCCTGGAGTATGGTTTAGAGTCAGGTAACATGATGCTTCCAGTTTTATTCTTTTTGCTTAGGATTGCCTTGGCTATTCAGGCTCTTTTTTGGTTCCATATTAATTTTAAAATAGTGTTTTTCTAGTTCTGTGAAGAATGTCATTGGTAGTTTGATAGGAATAGCATTGAATCTGGAAATTGCTTTGGGCAGTATGACCATTTTAATAATATTGATTATCTTATCCATGAGCATGGAATGTTTTTCCATTTGTTTGTGTCATCTCTGATTTCTTTCAGCAGTTATATGTAATTCTCATCGTAGAGATCTTTCACACCCCTGGTTATCTGTATTCCTAGGTATTTTATTCTTTTTGTGGCTATCATAAATGGGATTGCCCTCCTGATTTGGCTGTTGGCTTGGCTTTGTTGGAGTACAGAAATGTTAGTTACTTTTGCACATTGATTTTGTATCCTGCAACTTTGCTAAAGTTGTTTATCAGCTGAAGGAGCTTTTGGGCCAAGACTATGGGGTTTTTCTTGATATAGAATCATGTTATCTGCAGATAGGGATAGTTTGACTTCCTCTCTTCCTATTTGGATTCCCTTTCTTTCTTTCTCATGCATGATTTCCCTGGTTAGAATTTCCAATACTATGTTGAATAGGGGTAGTGAGAGAGGGCATCTTTGTCTTGTGCTGGTGCTGGTTTTTGTGGGGAATGCTTCCAGCTTTTGCCCATTCAGTAAGATGTTGGCTGTGAGTTTGTTATAGATGGCTCTTATTGCTCGTCATAGTATGTGCCTTCAGTATCTAGTTTAGTGAGAGTCTTTAACATGAAGGGATGTTGAATTTTATCAAAAGTCTTTTATGCATCTATCCAGATAATCATGTGTTTTTTGTCTTTAGTTCTGTTTATATGATGAATCACATTATTGATTTGCGTATGTTTAACAAACCTTACATCCCAGGAATGATGCCTACTTAATTGTGGTGGATTAGCTTTTTGATATGCTGCTAGATTCTGTTTGCAAGAATTTTGTTGAAGATTTTTGCATTAATGTTCATCAAGGATATTGGCCTGAAGTTTCTTTTTTTTTTTTTTTTTTCGTATCTCTCCCAGGTTTTGGTATCAGGATCATGCTGACCTCATAGAATGAGTTGGGGCGGAATCCCTCCTCCTCAATTTTTTGGAATAATTTCAGTAGGAATGGTACCAGCTCTTCTTTGTACATCTGGTAGAATTTGGCTATGAATCCATCTGGTTCAGGGCTTTTTTTTGATTTGTAGGCTATTTATTAGTGATTCATTTCAGAGGTTGTTATTGGTCTGTTCATGGAATTAATTTCTTCCTGATTCAGTCAGTCTTGGGAGCATGTATGTGTCCAGGAATTTACTCATCTCTTCTAGGTTTTCTAGTTTGCATAGAGGTGTTTGTAGTAGTTTCCAATGGTTATTTTTTATTTCTGTGGGGTCAGTGGTAACCCTCATCATTTCTAATTGTTTATTTGGATTTTCTGTCTTTTATTTTGTATTAGTCTAGCTGATTACCTATCTTATTAATTTTTTAAAAAAACCAACTCCTGGATTTGTTGATCTTTTGAATTTTTTTCATCTTGATTTTCCTCCAGTTCAGCTCTGACTCCCGTTATTTCTTGTCTTCTGCTAAATTTGGGGTTGATTTGTTCTTGCTTCTCTAATCGTCCTGTTGTGATGTGTAGAAGACATAATGGCATAATCTACATGGCAACTCATAAATAGATGTGGAACTTCACATCTTGATGATAGCCAAGACATCATATTCCCAAGTGCATAGAGAAAATTCTTCTAAAACTTGATTGTATATTTGGTTACAGATAAAACATTAGTAAGTTTGGTAAAGTAGAAATATTACAAGCATGCTCTTTGATCACAATGCCATAAAATTCAAAATCATTAACAAAGTCACAGGCCCTCCTACACAGAAAGTTTAATTCTTAGAGAAAAGGGGAAATAAAGACTCAAATAAAAGAATTCCTAAAACAAATTTAATGAAAACATGTACATCAGAATCTCTGATACATGAAAAGCAGTGATCAGAGAATTTATAATAAACATTCCAATTTTAAAAATTGAAAAAATGAAGAAAAACTTGAGAAAAATTCTCAAGAGACAACAACAATGAAACAGAAACAGAAAGAAAGCATAAGAAAAATAATAAAGATAAACGCAGAAATTAATGGGTTAGAAAAGAAAAAATAATATACCTAATTAGTAAGTCAAAATAAGTATAGTATTTTCTTTTTAATAAATAAACACTAGTTATCTTAATTTAGAAAAAGGGAGGAAGCACACATATACAAAAATGAGAAATTACAAAATTACAAAATAATTTCAGAAACATAGATGAAATAATTTCACTGAGAAACAAAGTTTAGCAAAATTAAACCAAGTAGAGGTAGATAAATCAATTTACTGAAAGACAAAGAGAAGGGTTTCAAGGAACTATACTGTAAAAGAAGCACTGACCCCAGGGTGTTCCACAGGGGAATTCTACCAACCTTCAAAACCGTATTGTCCCAGTGCTCTATAAACTGTTCCAGAGCATTGACAATGAAGGAGAAATTTTCAGTGTTTTCATGAATCAAGTAGAACATTAAGAATTAAACAGATTAAGACATCACATACATAACAACAAAAATTCAGACAAATATAATTTATAAATATCAATACAAAAATATTAAAAAAAGTATTGGCAAACAGAATACAACTTCTTGGGAAAATAACAATAACCAATTGGTATCTACCCCAAAATGCAAGGTAGAGCAATGTTAGGACATCCATTAACATAATACAGCTTACTAGAAGACCTAAAGAGAAAAATTACGATTATTTCCATAGGTGCTGAAAAAGACTTTAACAAAATTTGATACTAACACAGATGAAAATATTCAAGAGAACAGGAAATGTTAAAGTTATTTACACTTAGATCAGGAAAGAGGCAAGAACGTTCATACTAAATTCAGCATTCTACTGAACGTGCTGGTCATTGCATTAAATTAAACAAGAGACAGCAAGGAAAAGCACCAGAATTGGCAAACTACAACTTGTAGAAGATATGAGGGTCTATCTGGAAAAGTCTGGAGAATCATAAACCAACTCAAACAATAAGAGAATTCAGGAAGTGGAAGAATATAAACTTTATAACATACAGAAATTAATGGCCTTTAGCTGAGTGTGATGGTGCACGCTGGTAGTCCCAGCTACTTCAGAGGCTGAGGCAGGAGGATCTCTTCACCCCAGGAATTCAAGGCAGCAGTTAGCTATGATCACGCAACTGCCCCAGCCTGGGCAACAGAGTGAGACTCCATCTCTTAAAACAAACAAACAAACAAACAAAACCAGAAAATCAGAAATTAACGTTAATGACCTTCATATATTAAGCTAATAACAAGTAGCAGAAAAGTGCTTTTACAAACACAATTAAAAAGATAAAAATACTTAGGAATAAACTTAAATTAAATATACAAAACCTATACAACGGAAAAATTAAAAATTTTCTGAAAGACCAACAAGTAGTTGTGAACAAATAAAAATGCATTTCTTATTCTTACATAAAATGACCCAACATCATAAAGTATCATTTCTCCCTAAATTAATTTGTAAATTTGATACAATCCTCAAAAAATACCAAAAAGCTTCTTTACCAAGGTAGACATGCTGATACTAAAATTCATATACAATCAAAAATGCAAGAATAACCAGAAAAACATTGAAAAGAAAAAAACTATGAGAGAAGGCTAGCTCTTTGAGAAATTAAAACATAATTCAAAGCATCTATAATTAAGTAGTGTGCTATTGGTTTATTGTGTAATAGACAGTAAATTAGAATTAAAAGTCCAGAAACAGAACCACATACATATGGAATACTATAAATAAAGGTGACATTTCAAATCACTGTTGCAAAGATGTACTTTTTAATAAAAGGTACTGAGAAAACTGGGTAGTCATTAGGGAAAAGGTAAAACTATATCCACAACTTATATCATGCACAAACTGTATCTATAACTTACATCATGCACAAACTATATCCATGACTTACGTCACACACAAGAACTATCTCCAGATAGGTCAAAGATGAAAGCATGAAAAATGAAGCCAGCAGGGCACGGTGGCTTATGCCTGTAATCCCAGCACTTTGGGAGGACGAGGTGGGTGGATCACCTGAGGTCAGGAGTTCAAGACCAGCTTGGCCAACATGATGAAACCCCATCTGTACTAAAAATACAAAAAATTAGCTGGGTGGGGTGGTGGGCACCTGTTATCCCAGCTACTTGAGAGGTTGAGGCAGGAGAATCACTTGAACCCAGGAGGCGGAGGTTGCAGTGAGCAAAGATCGCACCACTTCACTCCACCCTGGGCAACAAGAGCAAAACTCCATCTCAAAAAAAAAAAAAAAAAAGAAGCTACGCAAGTACTAGAAGTAACAGTAAAGATTTTGTAATCCTGATTAGGGAAAGATTTTCTAACCATGCCTCAAAATCTAACTGTAATAAAAGATAAACTTGATTACCTAAAAAAAAAAAATTTAAGATCTTTTAAGTTACAAAAAAAAAATCATAAAAGTCAAAGATAACTTAGAAATCAGGAGAAAATAATTATAACATTTATCATAAATACAAGGATAACATCCCTAATACATAATAAATTCAAACTGCAGGGGGGAAAAGGTGAAAAACCTCATCAGAAACGGGCAAAATATATGACAATTTATTCATTAAAATATTTATAATTTAGACCCTAAAAATATGAAAAGGTGCTCAAACTTACACCTTATTAGCAAAATGCAAATTAAAACTACCCTGAGACATCATTTCTCACCAGAGAATCTGGCAAAAATTAAAAAGTATGACAACACATTCAGTTGGGGAGATGGGAAAACAGGACTCTCATAGCTTACTGGTGAGAACAGATAGACACAATTCTTTTAGAGAAGAATCTGGCAATATCTAGTGAAACTACGTAAGTACTTACTTTTTGACTTAAAGAACTCACCCTAAAGTTACATCCCCAACAATAAGAAAATACATATGAATAAGATTGTTACTTGCGGCTATGTTGGTAATTACAAAATATTGAAAATAATCTAATGCCCACACCTAGGAGAGCAGTTGAATAAACTATGATACATCCACACATAGTCTACTGTGCAGTGTATAAAAAGATGGGGAAGATCTTTCTGAACTAGAGAGAGGAAAGCTGAAAGCCAGGTACAAAAGGGCATGTATATCGTGCTTTCTTTTTCAGAGACAGGATCTTGCTCTGTTGACCAGGCTGGAGTGCAGTGGTACAATCAAAGCTCCCTGCAGCCTTGAATTCTTGGGCTCAAGCAATCCTCCCACTTCAGCCTCTTGAGTAGCTGGGAATACAGGCGCATGCCACCACACTCAGCTGTTTTGCTGCTTTTTGTATAAGAAAGAGTATGAATCTGTTCATTTCTATTAATAGAAACAGAAAGAATAAAACATAAATAAATGAAATATGTTACCTATAGGTGGTGGTGGAAAATGAGGTATAAAAAATGAAGAGGTGAAAATGGGTTTGAAGGGAAGGGAAGAGACTTATGCTTCTCTGAATGTGCTTTTGTGTACAGTTTTGATTCTTAGAACCATCTTATATCTAGATGTCTAAATGCTAAGGTTGTAAAAGACAAATAATTCCTGAAGAATTTTTCCAGATCATAAGAGATTAAAGACACAAAACTCCTACATTCAATGTGTAAGCCTCTTCCTTTTCTTTTGTAATGAAACTCATGTGGAACAATTGGCAAAATTTTGAATAAAGTCTGTAAATTAGACAATAGTACTGTAGGAATTTTAATCTCCTGATTATGGTATTTATTCTGTGGGGAGGTAAGAGAATGTCGTTATTCATAGGAAATACATATTAGAGTACTCCTCCCTCTGTCTTTCACTCTTTCTTGGTCTCTTACACACACACCTGCATATAGAAAGAGAATAAATTTTAATTATCTAAAATTACTTTTATATATTTAAATAATTATATAAAATTACTTTGATATATTTATGTGTCAATTAAGATTTTTTATTGTCAAGTTAATTTTAGGGATTTTCAACTCTAGCTATACATTAATTAAAATGAAATTCTAGAATTCTTAATAAAAACTACAAAACAGTCAAAATATGTTGGTGGGTATCAGGCTAAAAGCTGACAGCCTAGAAAATTTGTGCCTGGATTCCATCAAAATTTGAGAAATTTTAATGAGATAAAAAAATTAGTCAGCCGGGCATGATGGCTCATGCCTGTAATCCCAGCACTTTGGGAGGTGGAGGCAGGCAGATTACTTGAGCCCAGGAGTTCGAGATCAGCTTGGGCAACATGGTGAAACGTCATCTTCACAAAAAATACAAAAATTAGCAGGGTGTGGTGGTGCATGCCTGTAGTCCCAGCTACTCGGGGGGTTGAGGTGGAAGGATGGCTTGAACCCGGGAGGTGGAGGCTGCAGTGAGCTGAGATCATGCCACTGCACTCCAGCCTGGGCAACAGAGCAAGGCTCTGTCAAAAAAAAAAAAAAATTTTTTTTGAAAGGTCAATCAAAGTAAGAAGAAAATAATAAAGGCTGGTGAAGAAAGCTTGGCTGTGCCCAGTCTCTTATGTCTTCTCTTCTACCATAAATCACACCAGTAGTAACAACTCAATCTCAAGCATTGGAAAAGCCAAAACAAGGGAGAGGTAGGGGACTTCCAAGGTCTCATTTGGCCACTCAAAGCTCCTATGACAGCTTCATGTTCTGCCTACCCATTGTCAAAGCACACCAGCTCAGCATCCTTAAGCATCATAAATTCTTTAAGCAACGCGATCTCAATGTGGTTAGAGACCGCCTCTAATTTCATGTCATGATGTGGCTCTTTGTGTAGACTGTGGATTTGAAATGGTAAATATAACCAAAATGCTTTGCTGTGTGAGCCTAGCCTTAAACTGCTGTGATGATCCCTGCAACAGCTGCCATTCCATAGACACTTTTTCTTTTCTCACCTTCAGGATTACACTGGGCTCCCGTGGAAAAAATGCAAACCTCTGCTGAATAGCTTACTGCAAAGTCAAACTTTGAACTGATTTCATGTTTTAATAAGTGTGTCAAAGGGAATTATGTTTTATTAAAGTGGCTTTCATGATAACCACTGTAGATACCAATAATAGATCCTGATGAAACTTTCCCCATAAGTCTTTCTAGGTATTTAGACATGGCCGACAGCAAAACTTCCCCTATGGGAGAGAGACTTTGTAAAGTTCTCCTGCGGAAGATGAACAATTCCCTGTCTCTCGTCAACTGTCAGACTCACGAGACGAGGTTTTCTCAAGATATTAATTTCTTTTTTGTTCTTTTTTCTTTTTCTTTTCTTTTTTTTTTTTTTTGAGACAGTCTTGCTCTGTTGTCCAGACTGGAGTGCAGTGGTGCAATCTCGGCTCACTGCAACCTCCACCTCCTGGGTTCAAGCGATTCTCCTGCCTCAGCCCCCAAGTAGCTGGGATTACAGGCGCACACCACCACGCTCAGCTAGTTTTTTGTATTTTTAGTAGAGACGAGGTTTCACTATGTTGGCCAGGCTGGTCTGGAACTCCTGACCTCAGGTGATCCACCCGCCTCGGCCTCCCAAAGTTCTGGGATTACAGGTGTGAGCTACCATGCACGGGATCAATATATTAATTTCTTATTCTCAGCTTTACTGTCTATGGTGCCAGTGTAATTGGAAAACCTTAAATGTCTTTTTCCTTTTTTTTTTTTTTTTTTTTTGAGACAGAGTCTTGCTCTGTCGCCCAGGCTGGAATGCAGTGGTGCGATCTGGCTCACTGCAAGCTCCACCTCACGGGTTCATGCCATTCTCCTGCCTCAGCCTCCCGAGTAGCTGGGACTACAGGCACCCGCCACCATGCCTGGCTAATTTTTTGTATGTTTAGTAGAGACGGGGTTTCACTGTGTTAGCCAGGATGGCCTCGATCTCTGACCTCGTGATCCACCCACCTCAGCCTCCCAAAGTGCTGGCATTACAGGCGTGAGTCACCGCACCCAGCCAAATGTCTTTGTTCTTGCTGTATATTTCTTGAGTTCCTCCCATAGCTCAGGCTCTATGCGAGGCTAAATTTTATCCTAACATCATGGGATTCTTCAATCGAAGTCCCACACAGGCCAAGTTTAGCATTGGTAGAAGATGACAAAGGCAAGCTGATGTAAATTAGCCAAGATGTTCAGAAGGCCCAAGGCATCGAGAATGCTTCATTGAGAAGGCAGCATTTTTGCAGGACCTTGAGATAAACACTGAATTTTTTAGAGACTTGACCTTCATTGCTAAGCTCTACACCTAGCTGGAATTTCTACCTGTGTGATCCCAAGGCAATGCTCACATAGTAACCTATGGCTGGGTCCTCTTGCCTAGAAAGCCCCTGGGTATGCAAGATGCCAAAAAGAACATGTCAGGCTTAATATTTCTTTCCCCATAGAGAAAAATGTCTTTGAAAATCATGCCATGATATTTAGAAGGAAACAACAAAATTATTTCTTATATCAATGATTTTTTAAAAAATTTAAATTAGTAAAGTTGCCTCTAAGTTCTTTGCTAAACACAATCTATCATAACACAGGAGTTGTTAAAGTTATAATGCCATAACCTCAAACAACAGAAATAAAGATTATTTAATGAAAATGGACTTTCAAAATTGTATAGAAATCTATAAATATTTTAAAAGTCGTTTCATATGAATACATCTTTACAGAAAGCATCCTCAGAAAAGAAGCACAGAAGATGAATTAACCTGAAATGAACATAAATTAGACAAGTTGACATTTTACTCCAAACAAACCAGAGTAATGATTTATCTAGTTCTGCATGAAAATATGTCTAAGTATTCTCTCTCTCTCTTATTGTACTAAACACTGGAATTTTTTTTTTCTAAACTTTTCCTACTACTTGACTTTTTCATGTTTATTTGGTTTTGAATAACACTTTGACAACTTGATATTCCCTGCCCTGGTTTCCAGTGTGCTCTTTTTATCACAGTTTCATTTTTTATTGTCTCCCATTTTTGCCCAAATTGAACAAAGTTTCTAAGTCGTTTTCTCTTATGGAACTGATCATTTACATAAGTGGTAGCCAATAGAGACAGTTGGCATGAAACCAAGAGGGAGCCTCCATTTTGATGACTACTTTCAAAGAGCCTCAATACACCTTTCTCCATATCCATACCCATTCTAAAGAACTCAGTGCAACCTAGCTATTGCTCATGATTTTTCACCTCACTGATTCAACTCCTCATCAAATCGACTTTTATGGCTCCTAAAAAGAATGTTTAGTAAAGCTTGAAAGTGTCTCAGGAAAATGAAGACCACATGTCTAGAGCTGAGGCACCTAAATCCTTAGTACATCCAGATCCTCTGGAATTGTGCCAAATGTCCTCATGCCACTTGCACAGATGATGCTCCATGGTTTACTGGTTCTACATCTAGAGATGAATTTAGTGATGGAAATGAGGCAGTGAAAAACTTCAATCAACATATGATATTAATGTTATATAAACAGTAGTTCCAGGAACAGCATGCTTCAAATAGCTAAATAATATGTCCACCTGGTACCAAACAACCAGAACCAGAAGTAGCAAGTGTGTTTCTAATTAAAATACTTCAAGTATGACCAAATAAAACCCACTGGTGTATCTGTGCTGCTCGGATTTGGAAAAGAGAGGCCCAGTGGGCATCACAGATGGCACCTGCCCTTCCACTCCCCAACCCTCAGTCTCACTCACATTTTTGGCCACAACTAAAAAGACTCTGTTTTCTATAATTTATAGATGAACCATCAGATTTATATTTATTATAATTTATAACGAACCATCAGATTTAATTTTTATAAGACATAGTACCAGAATCAAAGATAACCATGAGTATATGAGCTTCTCTAAAATGTTTTAGAAGAAATTACCTGGAAATAAAACTTCAAAATGTTACCCCAATCCCATGTCAGTTAGCCAAAGTGCAACACCTGTGTGTGAGTGCACGTGTGTGTGAATGTGTGTGTGTACAGATGAGGGCATGAACAATCTTAGAACAGTAAGAAGGTGAGTCTTCTCAAAGGAATGTGAGTTTAATTGTTTAAATTCCAAGTGAACTTCAAAGAAATGGAAATAACAGCTTTGGCTAGAATGCAGATTGACAGGGAAGTGTAGAACATAATAATGACAGGAAGTCAGCATGTTGTGATTTGCTTTGGTTTTCACATGTTCCTTTCTTCATAAACCTGTGACTATGTATGAAGAATAGACTTCATTTTTAATGTAAGTAATCTTTCTCATAGATTCAATTCCCAATGTGACCTTTTTAGAACTAAATTGTCTAACAAGACTGCTTAATATTTTAAATACTCAGTTCACTGTGTCTTAATTACAGGCCAAAACGGCACTGTGGGCCCAAACTACCCTCTTGACTCGGCATATTGACCAAGTTAAGTGAATAATAGCACATCTCTTTTCCCTGCCTCTTCAGGTAATCACACTATGAAGGTCATACAAACAGTTTTTGTGTTGGAAAAGCCAAAATAATATGCTATTGAAATGCAAATGCCAGGGAAACTCTGGCAGTTTTCCCTCATTTCTAGACTCTAACTACAGGGAAAGTGCATGATATATAAACAGTAGTGCACAATATATAAATGGTAGTGCATGATATATAAACAGTAGTTCCAGGAACAGCATGCTTCAAACAGCGTGCTAGTCCATTTTTACATAGAAGTGTGTGATCAAAGAAAAAGAAAAGTGTAATTTTTAATATTTTTGAGAAAGACACACTATATTCTCCAAAACGGCATACTCTGCAGGTTTTACTTAGACATTTTTTTCTAAATGATTTATCATAAAGAATATAACATCTTTTGAGTAAAATAAATAGAAGCAGGTAATTTAAATAACAAACAGAGCAGTAAAATTCTCAATGCTCTCAAGGCAAACCCTTATTCCCTCATTCCCATTCATGCTGCATTGACTCCAAGCATCCAGGTCAAAGTTGTTACAGTCTCATCCTGTTGTCAAAGCCAACTGGATGTCAAAAATACATACCATCCTAGTTACTGACTGACTCCTGAGCAGTTCCTCATTGCCGCCACTAGGCTAAAGCCTGAGGATATAAAATATGAATAAGTCATCATCTCTATTCTTGAATCAGCGCTAAGAGCAATGAGAGAATCAAAGGTTCAAATTTATAAGATGTTTTAAAGCAGGGTGTGAAAAAAGGGCTATCGATGCACAAAAAGAGGGCAACGGAATCTATGGGGACCATCAAGAAAGGATTCATGGACTAAGTGGTATTTGAGTTGGACCTTGAAAGAAGTTTGCTGGGCAAAAAGAGGAAGCTCAAAGCACCATGTTCAGAGACATAGCACTGTGAACGTGGGTGTGCTCCAGGAGAGGCTAGTGCTGCTCAGTGCAGCTGCAATCCTCTTTGTCCATTTGCCAACAGGCATCTTGAAGCTTGGCCAGGATCCTTTGCTGGACTATTCAAGAGCTGCTCCTATCTGGTTTGTTTACCACTTGGGTACAACTCCATATTAGATGGCCGCTGAGTGGTTCTTGGAAACAGAATACTGCTAATGCTTTGTAGTTGAACAACCCTTTTATTTTTAAAAACTGCCTTTAAATTCTCTTTCTGGCATATATCCAGTAGCTGATTTGAGCTCTTGAGGTCTGATCTCAATTGAAAATAGATTATCTATATAACTCAAGCAAAATGACCCTCTTTATAACATTTTCTGGAAAATGTAGGCAAGAGATTGATTAAATTTTTTCTCCATCAAAAAAAAAAAATCCTGCCTATGTTCCATGTACCTCTCCTTAGTAGATCTCACCTACTTTGACCTCTCCCAGCTTGGACACCTGCCCTTCATCTACTCATAAGCTCTCCCATGTACACATGTTCACTAGTGGGCAAACATGCTTTAAAATAAGTCTTTGTCCATTTTATCATGTACAAGAAAATAAGTATTTTATCCAAGTTTCTGTGAAGTGTCTGTGTTATACATGCTTTAAGAGCCCCTGTTATGTCAATTATCCAGGTGCAAAGCTTTGACGCTTCAAAGTAACCACACCATAGTTTGGGTAGAATTGAAGACAACTAAGACCTTTCCTCAAAATACCAAAAATGTATTATTTAGAACACCTTAAGAAATTGTTTCCCTCACTACTATGGCATGGTGCCCATGGCATAGCTAGTGTCCTCCTTCATTGTAGGACCTGTTTGTGCGAGCAGTGCCTCCACTGGGGAATTATTAGATTTCTACTTAATCTCCCAATTAAGCAAAACTGATACACTAAAAACCCATCCCTCTGCTATTTTCTAAGATGGGGAAAGTATTTTTTCAATAGTATTGTAGTTTCTTACTTGACATGCACAGATGGTACTATTCATGTGCCAGCTAATTCCAACAGCTTATACTACGCATTTACAGTTCATATTACAATATGAAATACGTTAAGAGCACAAGGTATTTTGTACATGCTTCCACATACAAGTAAGACATTTAACATGGTTTAATGTGCAAAGCACATGTGGGATTATGAGTCTGTTTCCATCCCTCCTTCCTCTTCCATTTTCCCATGTACTTCCTGTCACATACTGTCCACCCTGTGCTCTGCTGGGTAACAGTCCCGTGGTACTGAGCTGAACCTCACGTTGTCACTAGAGGAATGTAGCTAGACAAACATGAGTTTTGAATTTATTAGGAAGTCAATGTATCCTCTCATCTATCCCAGAGAAACCTCAGATCTTTCTAGGTTTCTCTAAATTCATTCCTTCAAGCCTGCTCTTTGGTTTTCAAGTCTGTTTTGTTTTTAATACATTTACCAATTGCTACCATGTGCAAGCACTACATGCTCTTGGAATCTGTTCATCTTTGCAAATGTCTGGCTCTGTCTTGCCTCACTGGCTAGTTTTCCCTGGTGATGAGATCTCGGTTCTTTATTATAGGGCAAGAGAACAGACAAGGACTGGACCCTGAAAGGCATTTGGCAAGAATGATGACAGGATGCTAAAATGACAACTTAAAACAAATTGAAAACCAAATTCATTTTGTATTAGCAATGCTACTTATTTTATTAAGCAAAAGAACAGAAGGCATTTCCACCACTGTCTTGATGACCAGGTCTAAGAGAATATTCTATGGCTCATTAGCAGGAAAGAAGAGCAACTTAAGGATATACAACAGAAGCATATTCAGCTCGTGCTGCCTGCACACACACAGCTATACAAGAATAAAGCTTTTTCACATAGTTAGAACATTTAGTAAATGCTTCTGTGCCTCACAGCTGCTGTCCTGGCCTAAAAGAACATAGGATTTAAATGAGGGCACAGTCTGGGAAAAGACCAGCACCCCTCACTGCTCCCTTTAACAAAAGCATATTAAACAATTCAAGGTGCCACAGAGATGATAAAACAGGGAAGGAGGAAGAGGGCTGGGACACAGATGTCACACAGCAGCTCACTGCAGGAGAGGAGCAGGAATGACAGCCACAGTGCAACACAGAGGACAAGAGGGGCAGGCTTTGGGAGGTGGACAGTCAGCCGAGCTGCAGGAGGGTTGCAGCTAAATTCTGTCTCCTGTGTGCTTTTTAAAGTAAATCAGAGGAGCAGAGTGGCATCTCTGATTCACATCAAATCAAAAATAGATTGTTGTCTTAGTCATTGCAGGCAGCTAAAATAAATTTCCACAGACCAGGTGGCTTAAACACCAAGTATTTATTTTTCACAGTTCTGGAGGCTGGAAGTCCAAGATCAAGGCACCAGCATGGCTGGGTTCTGCTGAGGGCCTTTCCCAGAATGCAGACAGACTTCTCATTGTGTCCTCACATGGTAGAAAGAGGGCCAGGGAGTTCTCTGTGGTTTCTTCCATAAGGGCACTCATCTCATCATGAGGCTCCACCCTCACAACCTAATCACCTCCCAAAGGCTTCACTTCCTAACACCATTAAACTGGGGGTTAGGGGTTCAACATATGAATTTGCGGGCAACGTGAACACTCAGTTCATAACAATCATGTTAGTTCATTCATGGCAGTAGAATAATGTCTTGGAAAATAGGAAGCATGGAATAAAATGGATGCCTTCAAACCATCACTTCGTCCATTTCTGTAATTCCTTTCTTCTCAAAATTTGAGAGTCCACTGAGTATCTAAAGAAACACTCCATCTTGCACCTGAACAGAATTATTCAATGCTAATATTTTCAATATTAACCACGATTATTGATTCACATTATTCATTATTTATTCACAAAATTATCATTCTCATGCATTCATCTACTACGCACCAGATGCTAAGCTGCCCGCTTGCAGAAGATCAAAATGTAAAGGGAAAATAAACGATTAGCAAATGAAGACAGTGCATCATCAGGAAGGCATATATAAGGCTCCATGAAACCTCCGGGAGTAATTCCTTAACCATATTGGGACGGTGTTGGGATGAGAGAGGCTGGGGCAGAGAGGCCTCTCATAGGAGTTGACTTTGAGGCTACATATTAAAACATAAGAAGAACTTCATTGAAGAAAACTCAAGAGAAAGAATTCCTGGGAGACAATGCACTATGGCAGGCTCTGGGAATGAGCGAAGGTGGGAAGTAGAATTTCACTGGTGTGGGGAAGACGGGCAGGGCTGAGTGACCAGAGGCAGTGACCGGGATGATATGAGCACAGGCTCTGCAGCCAGGCAGGCCAGGGTTGGACTCCTAACTCCTTCACTAACTGGTAGTGCAGCTTCTATGCCTCGGTTTCCTCCTCTCCTCATCCAAAAAGCGTAGTAGCACCTGTTAGCAACACATCGGTATCTCCGTTGAACTACAGAGCTTAATAAATGCTAACTTTGCCTAGATGTCCAGTGCCCTCCATATAAAGGTTTTTCTTCTGAATGTCCTTTCTGAAAACTGTTGGAAAATTCCAAAAGTTGTTTGTTTGGCTTGGGTTTTGTGTTTAGGTTACATGGAGCCCACTCAAACCAAAGAGGCCATCAAAAGGGAAGTTCGCTGGGAAAAATCAGAAGGCAAGAACGGTCTCCAAAAGAAAAGTCTGAACGTGACACTCCCTTGCTTCAAGGCCATCAGTAGCTTCTCAGAGCCTACAAAAATGAGTCTAAGCTATATTTTTCCATCAAGACTCTGCTAAGGTGTGACCTTCCCCATATGTATGTTCACTCCCCTCCCTAACCCTTAATGCAGTTAATCATCCAGTCTTGAACACAACTTCCATAGCTTACATATACCATTGCCATTGGGCATGGAGTGATTTGTTTATGGGTCCATCTTTCCCACTGTTCCTATGCTGCTTCAAAGCAAGAAGTAGGACATAGCCACTTTGTGCTCTTAATGACCAGCTCAGTGAATGGCTCAGGTAGCTTCTAAGTAGCATTTGCTTATCTGAACCATCCTAAAGATTTTAGGATGCCATAAGCAATAGGGAGAAGTATGATCATATTTATGTTGGAGAGATAATAATGTAAACCACAAAGAAGAGTATGGACTTAAGGAAGGAGAAAATAGATGCAGAAAGATCAGTTCAAAAGCTTTCAAAATAATCCCCACTGAGAGACGATGAGCACTAGAGTAAGGTGAGGAATGTAGAGAACATGTATTCAGAGCTTCGCACCTGGCAGAATGCTCCACACTTTTCAAATGTGACTGCAGTCTATCCTCAGTTACTGTTTCAGGGGAGTGCTATTTTTATCCCCATTTTATTTTTATTGTTTATTTATTTATTTATTGAGACAGGTTCTCACTCTGTCGCCCAGGCTGAAGTGCAGTGGTGCAATCTTGGCTCACTGCAACCTCTGCCTCCAGTATCCCTATTTTCAATATGAAACCAGACTACTGGGCAGTAAGACAACTTGTCCAAAGTCACATAGCTAATATGGAGTGGGAAGTGTGTTGGAGAAGAGGTAAAGAATTTAAGAGATATTAGTAGGTTTAAAAACTCAATTAATAAATAAATCCTGGGGACAAGCAAGAGGAAAAATCATAGCGTCTAATTTGTATGCTTAAGTAAGATCTTTAAAAAGCCAAGTGATATAGGAAAGAAGGACCAATTAAGGAGGGAAAGTCTGACTATTATGGTAATATTCTTGCACAATACCTGACATGGAATTCAGACGTCTACTCAAATAATTTAGACACAAATACTTTGAAATACACAGTTAATTGTTGCAAAGGTAACTTAAGAAAATGAAATGTTCATGAAGTGTTTTCAAGATTTAGCTTCACCTTATGTCTGAAATATAGAAAGCCTGACAGTTTCTCTGCTATAATGTTCTGTTTTTTCTATTACGACAAATACAATTCAACCAAGCGAAGTTGCTGTATGACCACATGAAGACCAGGCGGTAAAGTCCTAGATGAATCTTTAGGAAGGCAGAAACCCTATCTATTTTAATCATCTCTGTTTCCTGAATGCCTTGCACAATACCTGGGACATTGCAGGCATTTAATCAATATTTAATAAATTGAGCCATTACATGCGTTATTAAAGTAAAATAACAGCATTATTCATGTTTTTTCAAAAAGAAACATGTAGTTTCTCTGCTTTCAGTAATGTTACAATCACAGTAGGATCACAAAGGATCCGTACACACATATATAAGAGAGCATGTGGGCTACAGGACAACTGAGAAGCCCAGCATGAGGACTGTGGGAGGGATGAGGAGAGTTTGCTGCTGCTGCTGCGGGAGAAATATGTCACTGGGGACACCTTTATCTGAAGGTGACAAACTACCCAATTCAGGAAAACCACTTAAATAATAAGAGCATTCATTGTCTCACAAAATAAGAACAGAAGTCAGAAGTGCAAAGATACCATCAAAGACTTGGCCTCTTTCTGCCTCTCTGCTGTGCCATGCAGAGCCTCAGATTCTACCGAGGCAGGCGCCCCAAATACCCTCCGGACGCTGGCAGCAGTTGCGTGCTTCATCTGTCCTCGTCCAGGTGCTCAGGAGAGGCTCGCCTGTGCTGGCTTCCTCTTGAGAAGGGAAACCATTTCTCGGGAGTGTTGGCTAAGGCTGCCTCTCATCCCTGGTCAGCATGAGTCACAGCCTCATTCTAGAACCTGGAGATGGCTTTCCCCTGGAGGGGCGGGGCTCACCCCGAGGAGTTTAAACTGGAGTAGGCTTTCACCCCTTGGAGGAGCAGGGGATAGCAGAAAATCACTACCTCTCTTAGGAAAGAGAAAAAAGGGCATGAGGTAAAGCTGCAGGGCGAGACAAGCTAGAGCTAAACCAGCCCCGAGGAACAGAAAGACACTCCCAGCCAAGATCCCGATTCACTGTAAGGATTAAAATGAAAGAAATAATCTGAATTTGATCCGAAGACCAAAAAGACCTTTCTCTTCCTATACTTATATAAAAGATAAATGCAGGAAGGGGCGGAGCAAGATGCAGAAATAGGACCCTCTGTTTCTTCTGAGAGAAACACCAATTTGAATAATTCTCTACTCACGAAAGAACCATCACAAGAGCAAGAGAAACTGGTGAGAGACCACAGTACCTGGTTTTAGCATAAAAATCGACAAAGACGCATTGCATAGGGAAGGAAAGACAGAGTCACAGTGCCCACCTCACCCTTCCTCCAGCTCTAAGGGATAAATGCAGAGGGTGCAACACAATTTATCACCTACACCAGGCCACTTCTGAGCATGCAGGGAAGCACATAAGTTATTAAAATCTCGTGTGTATGTGTATATATGTGTGTGTGCATTTATCTTTATCCAGACCATAGCATTTTTAAATGAGAAAATACTCTTTATAAAGGAATAAGATTGTTAAAGTAAATGAAAATGGAAACACGACCTGAAGAATCCCTGAGCATACAAAGCCAGCCGGGCCTCCTCGTGACCTCAACCTTGCTTGATTTGCAAATATAAGTGAAACTTAAACTATTCCTTGTAAATGCCTATATTAAAGAAAAACAGAACGTAAGCTCAGCCAAACAGAAGCAACCAACAAACATATAACTGTTATAAGAGTTATTAAGAAATTATTTTAGGCAGATAGAGAGGAAAAGGGGTCCTTGGGAAGTTTTTATTTCTTTTAAAGCAGCTCCAGAAATGTTTCTTGTCTAGCAGGAAAGCCCCAGCTCTTAGAGCCAGGCGGCAAGCTTTGATATGCAAATGCTGACCATTAGAAACTGGGTCCACCCAAACATGGCGCTTCCCGCTGTCTTTTTCTTGCCCTTGCCTCTACATGTGCCTGGCAACATGGCCGCCCCCACATATCCTCAGTGTGTGGAACATCAAGGCGCCCTGCATTTGCATACTAAAAGCTAGGGTGGGAGGGCCAGTTTTTTGGCGGGGTATGTGAATGGCCTGGTCAAACCAATCCCCTGAGCCCTATACAAACCAGACACCACCTCCTCCAGCCCTCTCATATAAACAGCCACTCTTCCGCAGCACTCAATTTTCTCTTTGTTGGAATCCCCCCTCCCTCTGTCTCTGTAAGGGTGGAGCTGTTTTCTTCTTCCTTCCTTCTTTCTTGCCTATTAAACTTTTCACTCCTTAAAACCACTCCATGTATGTCCATGTCGTTTTATCCAAACCGGTGCGAGACCAAGAACCCTGGTGTTCCTTCAGTCATCAGAACCGGATCATAACTAGTGACTTTTTAATGGGATAAACCAGCTAAGGCAATTGCACAGCTGTAAGCAATCAAATATTTTTCCTTGTTTTACTTCCTTGTTCATCCTATGAAAGTCTCCCCCTTGTGTTCCCTCCATGGAGTTCTCAAACTACTCTGGTTTGGAGCTGCCCAATCATGAATCACTGTTTGCTCAAATAAACCCTTTAGTATTTTATTATATCTCAGTTTACTTTTTAATAAGATACTTGGTAGGCTAAGAGCAAATTATGCTAAAAATTTTTCTTAACTTTCTTTCTTAGTGAAATGTAGAGAATATTTCAGCCCAATTATCTTCACAGATACTGTCTTTTGCCTCCATTCAGAGTATTTTCCCTTGACAAAAATATTTGTACAACAAAATGTCTTCAATACTTTTCTCTATGACTCTTTTGAATAGGCTGACAGTAATTGTAGGCCATCTCAATTTCATTTCATCCTGATAGAGTGTATAAGTTTATCCAATTAGAAATAGGAGCTAAATCAAAAGTCCTTTCTTGGCCAGGTGCAGTGGCTCACGTCTGTAATCCCAGCACTTTGGGAGGTCAAGGTGAGTGGATCACTTGAGCCTAGGAGTTCAAGATCAGACTGGGCAACATGGCATAACCCTGTCTCTACTAAAAAAAAAAATATGAAAAATTAGCCCAATGTGGTGGCACACAACTGTAGTCCCAGCTACTCGGGTGGCTGAAGTGGGAGGATCACCTGAGGCTACAGTGAGTCAAGACAGCACCACTGCACTCCAGACAGGGTGATGGGAGTTGAGACCCTTCTTGCCCCAAGTTAAAATACTAAGCACAAATTATAGAACTTCAAATTAATTTTGTACATATTTAAGCACCCATTTAATTTATTTTTATTCTTCCCTTGCTCTTTTACAGACCATTTTCAATCTGGTCTTGTTGGCAAATTTTGTTTTTAATGATTACGATTTGAAAAGCTTCAAACTTTTTGGTACTCTATGAGTTGAATATATTGATAAAAAATTTTCACCCAAAAGATAACAAGTATTGGCAAGAGTATAGAGAAAGGAAACACCTGTGCACTGTTGGTGGGAATGTACATTAATACATCCACTATGGAAAACAGTATGAAGGTTCTTCAGAAAACTAAAGGTAGAATTACCATATGATCCATCAACCCCAGTATATCTGAAGGAATGAAATCAATGTGTTGAAGTAAAGTGTCAGCACTCACATACTCTGCAATGTTATTTACAATAGCCAAGACATGGAAACAACTTAGGTGTCCATCATCAGATAAATGGATAGGGAAAGAGGAGATGTGGATAAAAGGCTACAAAGTTTCAGTTAGACAAGACGACTAAGCTCCAGTAATCTATTGCACAGAATGGTGACTATAATAAATAATGACACACTGTATATTTCAAAATTGCTTTTAAAAAGTAGATTTTATATGTTTTCATCACAAAAAAATTGTTAAGCATATGAGGCAAAAAAAATCTCGTTAATTAGCTTGATATAATTATTCCATGGTGTAAACAAATATCAAAACAACACATTGTGTATGATAAATAAATATAAATGTATACAATTTATGACCCACAAATATATACAATTATTATTTGTCAATTAAAAATAAAATGTTTAAAAATTTTTCAACCATTTTTAAATATAACCATAATATAGAGGACCAATTCACAAAAAGTCCACTTTTATCATAAGACCCACTGTAAGACACACACTTATAAAATTTTTAAGTAGTTTTTCTATGGTTCAAACACCTACACTGTGACTGATGAAGGGCCTCAAAGAAGAAAAGCCCATGCCATCAAGCTGAAACATTTTACTATATTCACAATAGCTGTGTCATTAAAGCTTTGTAGTGTGATTACTTACTGCTCAAACAAAATATTTATAAACATAGATAACTACAATGTCCTTTGTAAAAGGCGGAATATCCCATCTTGTATGAGCACAATTATACATTATGTGTTCACCATTATGAAGGCCAAGTATATTTTCTGCTCCACTGATTTCTTAATCTGATAAGAATGTTGCATTTACCACAATTTTGTGTTTCGCTAAAATTTATCTTTACTTTATCATGACAAAAATATGACTTTATCTTCAGTGTCAAATTTTAAAACTGAATTTATAACAGCCCTCACCTCAAAAAAGTCAATTTTTTTTTTGAGATGGAGTTTCGCTCTTGTTGCCCATGCTGGAATGCAATGGCGAGATCTCGGCTCACCACAACCTCCGCCTCCTGGGTTCAAGTGATTCTCCTGCCTCAGCACCCTGAGTAGCTGGGATTACAAGTGTGCACCACCATGCCCAGCTAATTTTGTATTTTTAGTAGAGATGGGGTTTCTCCATGTTGGTCAGGCCGGTCCCGAACCCCCGACCTCAGGTGATCCGCCCGCCTCGGAAAAGTCGTATTTTTAACCTCCAACGGAATGAACTTCCACGTGCTCTACTTTGACTTCATGAGTTAGATGAAATAAATCAAATTTTACCGGAAATAACTGGTTTTCTTTATAAAGCATCTTATAGCATTGAGACAAAACTAGCTTTACTTAATTCTTGCAAAGTTCTTCTGTTAATGGAGCCAACACATTAACAGTTTTTGTTTTACACTTCTACTTTCACAAATAAAATGCTTGAAATTGATAATATATGACATTAACTTAGGACGTTCACTTGATCTAAATGACGAGTCTTGCTTTACAGGGGTCTATGCAAACACATCTTCTGCAGCTGCACGCTAGCCTCCTTCATAAATGAACCTCTAGCCTATGAGGCAGAAGTCTGGTCTGTGATACGATCTTCTGGTTTTTAGGTGGTCAAGGACAACACGTCAGCCACCATGGAAGAAGGCAAAGCAGTCACACTATTTTAATGTTACACATTGTCATTTGCTCCCATATTCATTATCAAATTTTCCCTGAAACATGAATTTTCATCTTTTAGTTTATTACCATCAAAATGGTTTACTGAAAATATTTTTTAAATCATTGCCAAACAATATTATAAGTAAAAGGTAGATTTACTTGCTAAGATTCACACTCAGACTATTCCGCAACACTCAGCCTCTGTTTCTACCACATTTCTCCTTCACTTACTCTATCACTTCCCACAGTTTCCACTGACCCCATCTAATGGTGCCCTAGTGACCTTGATACATCGGTCTCTGGCCAAAGCCCAGATTCGGCACGACAGATTCGGTACATCAGGTAGTCAGCAGAGAGGCAACACTGCATAGTTCCCTATTGCTCAAATTGTGGTCTGAGGGACTAGTGCAAAGATGTCACTGGAAGCTTAGTGGAAATGCAGAATCTCAGATACACCCCTGACCTACTGAGCCAGCAACTGCTTCTGAGCGGCATCCCAGATGGTCTGAGTGCACCCAGCAGTCGGGAAGCTCTAGAATATTTTTCCTAACACCACTGAGAAAGACAGGAAAAACTGGGGAGAGAGGTGTCCCTAGCCACTGGCAGTGGAGCACACTCCTTTTGCCCAGTGAGCACCCGGAATGCTGTCTTTGAAAGGGAGGGGTTAGCCACATTGGGTTTGCAAGGGGCAGGAGCTCAGAGTGGTCACTGGTCTCTTTCCCAGTACCGTGATAAGGTGAGGGCTCTACATGGCACAGCTAACTCCACCAGGTGGATTCACTAAATCTGTTCCAGTTTGTTGCTGCAACTATTGATCATAACACCTCTTTGAAAACTGAAGAATTCAAGTAAATGTAAACCCAGAGAGGACCCAGGCAAACAGGGTGGCATAATAATCTGACTTTCAGTAAAACTCTGCCCACTCTACATCTCTTCTCAAATGCACAGGCATTATAAACTCTATACCCTGCATTATATTCTCCACTGCTATTTCAAAGGCAAAGTCAAAAAGCATTTATTTATATTTTCATTTAGAAATTTATTTATTCTTTTCCTTCAGTAGCTTTTCTTATTTACTTTAAAAATATTTTAGGGGAGATCAACTAAGTTCAATCTTATGTTCAACTGGTGTGTGTGTGTGTGTGTGTCTCCCTTAAGTGTTCTACTTTAGCAATAAATCAGATTTATCATTTTAAAAAAAAGGCCTCTAGAAACGAAAGGTGAGTTAAATCAAAGAACTATAAAGCCCCCCTAGGAATACACTAGCTGAAATATTCAAGCAGTGATAGCATTTAAGAGGAAATTACTGTGTCTGTTCATCAGTTTAAAACATAGAACAGCTCTTGAATGTATAAAGATTTTAAACAATCTCCCCTAATGAACGTGTACCATTAACAGAAATTACAAAGTTCTGTTAATATTTAACACAAATAGAACTTGCCTCTCCCATTTTCCTTTTACAAAGATATGTGTTAAATCAAGCAAGGAGCTTTAAGAATGCCACGATCAAAAATTATGGTCTAACTAGGAAGCCTAATGCTAAAAATTGGGGGCTTGAGTTTTTTTTCTCTGCAGGAGAATGCAAAGGTAAGAATTGTTGCTATTTCTAAAGAATTTTTTATGATTTACAGGTAGTTTAAATCTAATATGTTGTTTCCTAAACTCCTTATTTTAAATCAAGAGTCTAATATTTTAAGATAACATTATTAAATTTTATGAATATTTTCATTCTTCCTTCAATAAAAGCATTTTAAGGTATTACAATCACTTTGGGTTTCTCTGAGATTCCTTATGTAGATTGTTTCCATAAAATTAGTTAAACTTACTAGGCAGCTGCTATGAGTGAGGCATGGAATGTACATTATCTCAGTTCTGCATAACAATTCTTCAAAGCTGATATTGTTACACCCATTTTACAGTAAAAGTAACTGAGGTTTAGTGTGGTTAACTCATTTGCCCTAATCATATGCCCAGCAAATTAATGTCTCTTTTACACTTATCTATTTGGTAGTATTTCCCCATGTTTTACTTTGGCTGTATAATTTTGTTGATTATTTTTCTTGAGGAATTTTACCAGATAATGTTGAAAATGTTATTGCCGAGGACCATATTAAGATACTATCCCCCAAAAAAATTCAAAGAAAATTTGAAATTAAATAAATAGGAAAAAATGGCTAACGTTATAGATATAACTAATATTTTGAAATAGATTCATCCAGAATTTTCCCCATGCAAATGTAAGTATATGCATACACACAAATATAAAGGATATAGATGCATAGAGCAATTATGCATTCATTTGGCCAAGTACATTCATTCATTCATTCATTCATCAATCCATCCATGCATTCCTCCAGCAAATACTGATGGAGCAGCCCTCTGCAGCCTGGCATTGTGTCAGCAGTCTGTGTACAGCAGGAAGTAACACAGACATGTCCTCTCTTTTCATGGACAGAGAAGCATTAAACAAATAATTGTAAAATAATTAGTTACAAATACAGTAAGTGCTATAAGAAATATTTAATAGGAATTTAATTCTTTCAGGAAGTATTTAATGCTACGAAAGGAAACGTGATTGGCTGGAACAAAAAGAGCAAAGGTAAGAAGGGTGAACAATGAAGCTAGAGAATTGTGCTAACACCCTGATGGCCACGTGGAAAATTTCAGACTTCAGCCTAAAAACTGAAACGTCTAAGTGAGAGAGTGATATTTAAAAAATACACATTTTTTAAAATGACTCTGACCTCAGAGTGGTGATTTCTAAGATACAAAACTTAGAGAGACAAGAGTGGGGAGAGTGATTCTGAGTGTACTGTGGCAATCCGTGCAAGAGATGATGGTAACTCAGCCCTGTGGGGCCCAAGAGACCCTGAGAAGATGTTGTAGGCAAACAAGCCTCCGTGGATGGAGATGCCCCTAATTATACTTTCACTTAACATATAGTGACTGTCCTTTCCATGTTAATGAAGAGATACCTGCCTTGCTATTTTAATAGTCACGTATTGAATGTCGTGAGTATAGCATGGTTCATTTAACAAATCATATATTTTCAGATAATTATTTTACATTTTTCTATATTAGAGAGAAGCTAGGCCAGGTGTGGTAATTCATGCCTGTAATCCCAGAGCTTTGGGACGCCAAGGCAGGAGGATCTCTTGAGCCCAGGAGTTTGAGACCAGCTTTGGCAATATAGCAAGACCCATCTCTACAAAAAAATTTTTTTAAAAAGAAGCTGCAGTGAACACATTTGTCCATATACCTTCATAAACTTGTCCAATTATTTCTTTATAATAAAGCTTTAGAACTGGAATTGATGCATCAAAGGTTGTGGGGAAAGAGTTTGATCAGAACTGTAACCTGAATAGTTTGCACAATTCACATCTCCACTAGGAGTGTGGGAGAGTGACGATTTTCTCATATTCCCAGCTCACTTGTTCTAACTTTTGCCAGTGTAATAGCCATTTTTCTCTTTTCCAGAATATTGAATAGTTGGACCACTTACATTCTCCTATGGTTGACCTTTGCTTTTTCTTTTGTCCTCAGCTCACTTTTCTATTGGAAGTTTAGTTTCATTAGACTGATTTAGAAGCAGTCTTTAGATGGTAAAGATACAGCTTTTTTGTCAGTCACATATAGGCTTCAGGTCATTCTTCCTGGCATTTAAAAGTGTTTCATATTTGTGATTCTGTTAAAATCCTTATAGAAGCAAATCTATAAAATCTTCGTGGATTCTAACTTTGGTAACCAACTTAGCAAAACCTATTGTGGCCTTCTGAATTTGGAGAGGAGGATTTTGCTAATAATATTTCCAAAAAAATTGCCAAAGGAATATATACACATGGTTACAAGTGACAAACATGTGAGCCATTTTCACTTCAAAGCTAATCACTTAACGCTTTTAGCTGGTGTTTTTTTCCTCCATATAGTAAATCCCTATCTTTTAATGTTTCTGATTCTGCTTCTTTCCAGTGTTAGTTTCATGGTTTCTGTATCTACACACTACCATACACTACCTCAGTATATTCTTTGTGAATCCTTGCATTTCTGAAAGCATCGTAACCTATTC
This sequence comes from Homo sapiens, assembly GCF_000001405.40. NCBI lineage: Eukaryota > Metazoa > Chordata > Mammalia > Primates > Hominidae > Homo > Homo sapiens. The sequence continues at coordinate 53,325,745 of NC_000008.11, forward strand.
TTAAGCATAATAGATAATTTAGCTAGAATTAACCAAGAAAGAACTCTAGATCCCAAATAATTTCCCAGGTTTATCTAAATTCAAATGTTACCATGAACTATTGTGTATATTTACCTATGTGTATGCCCATGTCTACAGTGTATCTATAACTCCCCACATCTGTACTTATGTGACTATTACAGTAAGAGAGTATACGTGGCCCATTTTCTGTTTCTTTACATTTCTTTCTGCCCTTTATTTTATGTATTGAAGGTTTGGACTTCCCAAGTCTATTTTTTTCCCTAAATAATGCTTTTCCAGTACTTAGTCTAGCACTTTCTGCTATATGGTCAAAGAAACATTAGCAAGACAAGAAGTAGAAAAATTTTTCTATTTCATGGAGCTGCTGAAAAGCAGATACATTCTTCAGAATACAACTGTTCTCAGAATAAAAAGGCATTTATGAAAAGGGAGTATTGGAAGACATCCAGACTTTAGAAATTATTATGTTCTGTAAAAATAACCTTTAAACTCTAGAAGTCTACCATTCCTACTAATTAGTTGCCATGGTAATAATACATAAATTGACATCTATGTTGACTGAATGCATCATTAGTTGTAAATCTGCTTTCTTAAGCCAGACAAGGGTCCTTGGCATTCCCCCTTCCCATGGGTGGCATCTGGAGAGACCAGGTTTATGGAAATTAGTGATGAAAGAAATGCAGTTTAGTAAGAAAAGTAACTATAACTAAATTCAGATAGATTGATCAGTTTTCCACAAAATGGCCTAAACCATTTATGTTGTCCTACCAATAGCATATAAGAGGGTACCTTTCTCCATACTCTTGACAACTTCAGATATTACCAATATTTTCACAGTCTGAAAAATGAAAACTGATCATTTGTTGCAGTAGTTTGGACTTGATTTTTAATGGCCTATGAGAAGTGTAGGACACTGATTTTTCTTCTTCCATATGTGCCTCTTGATATCTGTTGGGAACAGGCCCCCAAATCTGGCCATAAACAGGCCCCAAAACTGGTCATAAACAAAATCTCTGCAGCAGTGTGACATGTTTGTGATGGCCATGACACCCACGCTGAAGGTTGTTGGTTTATCGGAATGAGGGCAAGGAACACCTGGCCCACCCAGGGCAGAAAACCGCTTAAGGCATTCCTAAGCCACAGACAATAGCATGAGCGATATGTGCCTTCAGGACATGTTCCTGCTGCAGATAACTAGCCAGAGCCCATCCCTTTATTTCCCTGTTTTAGTTAATCTATAATCTATAGAAACAATGCTTATCACTGGCTTGGTGTCAATAAATCTGTGGGTAAAACTCTGTTCGTGGCTGTCTGCTCTGAAGGCTGTCAGCCCCCTGATTCCCACTCCACACTCTATATTTCTGTGTGTGTGTCTTAAATTCCTCTAGCGCTGCTGGGTTAGGGTCTCCATGACCGAGCTGGTCTCAGCAGATATCTTTATATGTTATTACTTGGCTGTGTTTTCATTTATATTGTATTGAATAATGTATTATTATTTGTGTATGTTATATGTAATATATGTTGCAAATATAATTATGTATTATAAAAGTAATTATTAAAATTGATGAATATTTAAATGTGTAAAATAAATCAGCAATCTTAAAACTGTTAAAAAAATCGCCTTGGAACTTTGCTTCAGTGTCTGCTCACCTCCAATAGTGCTGTTTAAAAGCTGATGTTGTTTTTACCTTCATTCCTTAATGTGTGCTGTTGTTGTTGATGATACCAGTTGGTGTGTGTGTGTCTAGAATTTTGCATCGCTTCTTTTTATTCTGGGTGTTATGACATTATAAAATGGTGAGTCTTGGTATGTGTGTTTCTTAATTCATTGTATTGGATATTTTTACTGTTTTTAATACGAATTCTAGAATTCTTATTAGATAGCTACAAAACCTAGATTACTTTTCTAGCTGTCATATCTTTTTGTATTTTTATTATACTTTCAAGTCATTTATAAATCATTTAAATACGAGTTTCTTCGTGTTAAAATATGAAGATAACAGAACTTATGTTCTGCGATTGTTGCAAAAGTTAACTAAGTGAATATGAGAAGGACTTTGCCAGAAAGCAAGCACTAGATAAATGCTCTGAAAGATTTTGCATGGGAGATTTGCTTCAAATATCTGAGTAACCCTTGGTTGTCTATGTATGTTTAACGGGGAGGCCCTATGAAGTGTAATTTGTGAGCTCCCTTCACGCAAGCAGGACTTGTCCAGCAGGATCCGTTTCAGGGTGTTTTTTTTTTTTCTTTTTCTTCTCCTTTCCCTGAAGCCTTTCAATTTTCTAAAGAGGGGCCTTCGGATATTTTGCCTGAGTGATAAATGCTTGGCCACCAACAATCTGCACATGAAGGTGGAGGAAAGGTCAGGGCCAGAGGCCAGACAAACTGGTTCCTTGACAGTCCCCAGCTCCCACACCTTGGGCCGCTCAGCCTCCTTCCACGTATGGCACGCGCTTGGCCCAAGCCCCCAGAGGCACGCTCCACTCTGGTTCCCTGGAGCTGCCGCTTTGGTTGTCATCCACAGCCCTCTCTGCCCCTCCTTCCTGCAGTGCAGGGAGTGCTCTCGCCCACATCTGCACGAGTGTGCCCCCTCTTCCCTGCAGTTACTCCCCACAGTGGGCCTGGGGAGGAAGATAAGTATTTTAGGAAAACGATCTTAGCAAATAGTTTCACATAGCACAAGAAAAGTTCTAGTCTTAAATGCCGTTCTGTTCTCGAGTCTCTCCTAATTATTCACTTTCATTTTTCTGTAACCTGCTATTTTCACAAATTATGGCACATATTTTTGCAAAATAGCAAGAAAGTGGCACAGTCAACGCCAAATGGGCTTATTCACAGGAAAAGGAAGGGAGAGAGTAGCCAACACAATGGGGTAGACACACACTGTGGTGGGGCACTATGGGCTTTGGAGTCAGATGGGCTGTGCCCAAATCTTGGCTGGCTGTGTGACTTTGGACAACTCTCTGAGCTGTGCTTACTGGCCTATGGAAAGGGAATAATAAACTTCCTGGAAAGTTTGGAAGATCCAGTGAGAAAAATGTATGTAAAATACCCCAGCCACAGTTGACTACCAATAAATATTGGCCCCCAACCCTCACTTTTTTTCTTTTCAGCTTATTGGAGTATACAGTACAGGGAAAACATAGGCTCTCTAACTGATTTCAAATATGCTGTGATACTAATTAACAATGAAAATATCATTTATTCCATACTCTGGAGAGTGTATTCTATTTCTCATCAAGGAAGAGAAGCTACAGCACCAGTGATTCTAACATCATTTCATAATCAACATGATCCCACCATTGTGGATCAGAAAATGAAGGTAAAGAAAAATCACTGGATGTTAACAACAAACAAAATTGCACTCTCTTTTCTCCCAAGTTCTGCCATTTTAGTATTGTTTTGCAGTGCTAAGGATACATATATATGTACATTTATGGCATCATTAGACACTAAATTTGGTCGGCATGCTTGGTTTCATGTTAAGTTTTCCAGCCGTATATTAGAAGTTACAGCACAGGCAATGTGTACACAGCATAGAGTTAACTTCCCCAAACATCATCCATCATTAGAATAAGAACAAGAGGAAAAAGAAGAATAATTCAACAAAAACATAGCTGTGCCCTGCCAACATCTACATAATAAGAAAACCCATTGATTAAAAGCACCAAGCTCAGTTTATGTTTTTCTCATGTAAAATAAAAATTGGTCTATATTTTCCCAGGAAATTACTAAATACATTAGAATTTACATAGAAACAACCCAACTGAGAGACCCGGGGAGGCTTAGAGCTAAGGAAACTGTCTATAGAGTATTAAAATGGAGATTGGACAATTAGCCACTGTATGTCAGTTTAGTCACATCAGATAATACAAACCTCAAATTAACATTATTAGCCTGAAGTATGCTACCTACATTGTACATTGTAGAATACCAAATTAAATAATAAACAAAATCATGTTTAATATACACTAATGAACTTTATCAATCTCCTCCTCTTTCCATCCTGTTTTTACTCTCTTTTCCTTTGCCCACATTTCTTCTTTAAGCCAGAATCAATCAACTATATTAACTCTCCATTGCCAGTCTCCAGAGGTTGTGTGAGGGGAAGAACAAATACTGGGATTCAATTTCTAATCTACTCCAGCTGTGTGACCCTAAAGAACTTCTCAAAAATGGAACCAGTAGGGCCCGGAACCAGCCTGTTTTATTTAGAGCTATATCCTCAGTTCCTCAGAAAGCTCCCATGCATAAAGAGTGCTCCATAAATATTGGTTACATGAATGAATTACTAATGCCTGTCTTTTTAGAATCATTGTGAGGACTTAGTATGTGTCCGGGAGAGTGTTTGGCACTTAACAAGTGCTCAATAGAAGGCACCTGTGGCTGATGCTTGTTTACTGCAATCCACTTGCCCCAGAGAATGAAAGAATAGAGTTGTAAACAGCAGATTAACCATTTGTAACATAATATCCGCTGGGCTAAGCAAATCATCTAGTCTCATGTCTTGCTCAGAATTCTCACAAACGAACACAGATCCCCCTTTCCACCCTAAGATTATTTCTTCTTCTTCTTCTTCTTATTTTTTTTTTTTGGAGACAGAGTCTCTCTCTGTCCCAGGCTGGAGTGCAGTGATGCAATCTCAGCTCACTACAACCTCCAACTCCCTGGTTCAAGTGATTCTCCTGCCTCAGCCTCCCTGTGTAGCTAGGATTACAGGCACGCACCACCATGCCCAGCTAATTTTTGTATTTTCAGTAGAGATGGGGTTTCACCATGTTGGCCAGGATGGTCTTGAACTCTTGGCCTCAGGTGATCTGCCCACCTCAGCTTCCCAAAGTGCTGGGATTACAGGCGTGAGCCACTGCGCCTAGCCAGGATTATTTCTTAAAAGCTTTATAATTGACATAGCATAAAATTGTCTATTTAAAGTGTGCAATTCTGTAGTTTTTCATACATTCACACAGTATGCAACCACCACCACTGCCTAATTTTAAGACATTTCCATCACCCTGCGAAAGAAACCCCATACCTATTAGCCTTCACTCCCAATCTTTCCTGCCTCCGAGTCCCAGGAAAACACTAATTTACTTTCTGTCTCTGTAGATTTGCCTATGTCAAATACTTAATATAAATATAATCACTTAACATGGGGCCTTTTGTGATTGGTTTATTTAATGTAGCAAAATGTTTTCAAAGTCTATCCATGTTGTATCACATATCAATATTTCATTCTTATTTTTATTGTCAAATAATATTCCCTGATATGGATATGACACATTTTATTTTTCATTCATCAGTTGATGGCCATTCAGATTATTTCTGCCTTTAGGAATAAGGCTGCTTATGGACATTTTTATACACATTTATGTGTGATCATTTGTTTTCATTTCATTTAGGTATATAACTATGAGTGGATTTGCTAGGTCTTATATTAATTCTATGTTTAATATTTTAAGGAACAGCCAAACCTTTTTCCAAAGCGGTGCACCATTTTACTCTCCCACCAGCAGTGGATGAAGTCTCCAATTTCTTCAAATCTTAGCGACTGATTTTTAAAATTAAATCTTCTAGTGGGTGTGAAGTTGTATTACATTGAGGTTTTGATTTTCATTTCTTTAGTTACTAATCATGTTGGACATCTTTTTATTTGCTTATCAGATATTTGTATATCTCCTTTGGAGAAATATTTATTCAAATCATTTGCCCATTTAAAATTTTTTTGTCTTTATTATTGTGTTACAATATTTCTTTATATATTCTGGATACTCTTATTAGATATATAATTAGACTCATTAGATATATAGACTCTTATTAGATACATAATTAGACTCTTATTAGATATATAATTAGACTCTTATTAGATATGTAATTAGACTATTAGATACATTATTTGCAAACAGTTTGTCCCATTCTATAGGCTTACTTTCCACTTTCTTTCTTTTTTTTTTTTTTTTTGAGATGGAGTCTTGCTCTGTCACCCAGGCTGGAGTGCAGTGGTGCAATCTCAGCTCACTGCAACCCCGCCTCCCAGGTTCAAGCAATTCTCCTGCCTCAGCCTCCTGAGTAGCTGGGATTATAGTCATGTGCCACCATGTCTGGCTTATTTTTGTATTTTTAGCAGAGATGGGATTTCACCATGTTGGCCAGGCTGATCTTGAACTCCTGGCCTCAGGTGATCCGCCCGCCTCAGCCTGTAATCCCAAAGTGCTGGGATTATAGGTGTGAGCCACCATGCCCAACCTCCACTTTCTTGATATTACTCTTTGCAGCACAGAAGCTATTAATTTTGATGAAGTCCAATTTATCTATTTTTTCCTATGGTTGCTTGTGATTTTACTGTGATTTGTTAGAAACCATTGTTTTATCCAAGACTACAATGATTTACATTTATGTTTTCTTCTAAGATTTATATAGTTTTTAGCTCTCACATTTAAGTCTTTAAACTCTCCACCCAGTAATAGCAAAACATATATATTCTTTTCAAGCCTATTCTAGAAATTTCATGTAAATGGGGTCGTAGAATATTTGTCCTTTTGTGACTGGCTTATTTCACTCAGCATAATGTTTTCAAGGTTCGTCCATACTGTAGCATGTGTCAGAATGTCATTCCTTTTATGGCTAAACAATATTCCACTGTATGTATAAACCACATTGTGTTGGTGCATTTATCTGTTGATGGACACTTGTATTGTTTCCACCTGTTGGCCATTGTGAATAACACTGCAGGGAACATTAGTACACAGATATCTCTTTCAGTCCCCATTTTCAATTCTTTTGGGTTAATACCTAGTAGTGGAATTGCTGGGTCATATAGTAATTCTATATTTAGCTTTTTGAGGACTTGCCAAATTTTCTCTACAGAGATTGCACCATGTTACATTCCCATCAGAAATGTACAAGATTTCCAACTTCTCTGCATCCTCACCAACACATGTGGGCTTATTATAATTATAATAATTGTTGCTGTTATAGTCATCCTTGTAGGTGTGATGTGGCATCTCACTGTAGTTTTGATTTTAATTTCCCTAACAACTTTTTCATGTCCTTATTGATCATTGATATTTCTTCTCCAGAAAAGGTCTACTCAAGTCTTTGCCTATTTCTAAATTGAGTCATTTGTCTTTTTGTTTTTGTGTTTAAGGAGGTTTTAAATATATCCTGGATATTAAACCCTTATCAGATATATGATTTGCAATACTTTCTACCATCGTGTAAGTTGCTTTTTTCATTTTCTTGATAATGTCCTTCAATGCATAAAGCTTTTATTTTTATGAGATCCAATTAGTTTTTTTCTGCTCATGAATTTAGTATTATATCTATAAATCCATTACCAAGTGTTAGGTGCATATATATTTAGGACTGTAATATTTTCCTGTTGGACTATTCCTTTCATCATTACCTAATGTCCCTTTTTGTTGTTTTTTAACTGTTGTTACTTTAAACTCTGTTTTGTCTAATATAAGAATAGCTATTCCTGCTCACTTTTGGTTTCCATTTGCATGGAATATCTTTTTCCACCCCTTTACCTTAAGTTTATGTGAGTCCTTATGTGTTAGGTGAGTCTCTTGAAAACAGCAGATACTTGGTTGGTGGATTTTTATCCATTCTGCCATTCTGTATCATTTAAGTGGAGCATTCCAGCCATTTGCATTCAATGTTAGTATTGAGAGGTGAGATAGTGTTTTATTCATCATGTTAGTTGTTGCCTTAATACCTTGTGGGTTTTTTTTCCATTGTGTTATTGTTTTATAGGCCCTGTGAAATTTATGCTTTAAAAAGGTTCTCTTTTGGTGTATTTTGAGATTTTCTTTCAAGATTTAGAACTCCTTTAAGCATTTCTTGTAGTACTGTCTCAGTACTGATGAATTATCTTAGCATTTCTTTGTCTGAAAAAGACTTTATCTCTCCTTCATTAATGAAGCTTAGTTTTGCTGGATACAAAATTCTTAGCTGACAATTATATTCTTTTGAGAGGCTAATGATGGGACCCCAATCTCTTCTGGCTTGTAAGGTTTCTGCTGAGAAGTCTACTGTTAATCTGATAGGTCTTCCTTTATAGATTATCTGATGCTTTTGTCTCATAGCTCTTTAGATTCTGTCCTTCATCTTGACTTTAGATAACCTGATGACTATGTGCCTAGGTGATAATCTTTCTGCGATGAATTTCCCGAGTGTTCTTTGAGCTTCTTGTATTTGGATGTCTAGACATCTAATAAGGTCAGGAAAGTTTTCCTCAATTATTACTTTAAATAAGTTTTCCAAACTTTTAGATTTCTCTTCTTCCTCAAGAACACCAATTATTTTTAGGCTTGGCTGTTTAACATAATCCCAAATTTTCTGGAGGCTTTGTTCATTTTTTTTATTCTTTTTTCTTTGTCTTTGTCTGATTGGTTTAATTCAAAAGCCTTGTCTTTGAGCTCTGAAGTTCTTGCTTCTACTTGTGCTAGTCTGTTGCAGAAACTTTCTACTGCAATTTGTATTTCTCTGTGTCTTTCATTTCCAAAAGTTTTAATTGTTTTTTCTTTATAATATCTATTTCTCTGCAGCATTTTTCATCCATATCCTGTATTTTTTAAATGTAAGTTGGTTTTCATCTTTCTCTGGTATCTCCTTGAGAAGCTTAATAATCAACCTTTTGAATTCTTTATCTGGCAATTAAGAGATTTCTTCTTGGTTTGGATTCATTGCTGGGTAGCTGGTGTAGTTTTTTTGGGATGTTGTAAAACCATGTTTTTCCATATTACCAGAATTACTTTTTTGTTTCCTTCTCATTTGGTAGACTGTTTCAGTAGAAAGATCTGGAACTCGAGGCCTGCTGTTCGGAGTCTCTTGTCCCATGGGGTGATCCCTTGATGTGCTGCTCTCTCCCTTCACCTAATGATGGGGTTTCTTGAGAGCTTGACTGCTGCCGAGTCTGTCCTGCAGACTGGCTGAGTGACAGATGGAAGAAGTTCGCTGACACAGGTGTTTTGCCTGACAGCACGGCTAAGGGACCCCATGGCTTAGCACCGCCGACAAGAGTGCAGTGCAGCTGCAGCAGCACCCATAAGCTGGAGATCCTCGTATTTATTTAGTACAGATTTAATGACAAAGGCTTGGAGCAAACACAATTTGTGGGTAATAAACATTGTCAATCCCCCGAGTAGAGAGCAGTCCTGTGCACGAATTATCAAAGGTTGGTTTCTGGAGACAGGAGTAAACAAATTTATCTAGATAAGTCCCTTTACATTCCCTTGTTATCTACCCTTTGCTCTCAGGCTCCAGATAAGAGAATTTGGCTACCTTCAGCCAAATTTTCTTTCCAAGCTTTGGCAAAATTTCCTGCCTTTCCAAGAAGGTTTGTGTCTTTCCCTATAATTGCTATAACTTTTCCCACCACCCTGACCGATCTCCTACAGACTACAGTTATTGTTATTGCTCTTCTGGATCTAGCCACCCAATGGGTCTACTAGGCTCTGGGCTGGTGCTGCAGGATATCTGCAAAGAGTCCTGTTATGTAATTCATCTTTAGGCCTCCCAGCTGTGCACACCAGTACCTGCTCTGGTAGAGGTGGCAGGGAAGTAAAGTAAACTCTGTGAGAGTCCTTAGTTGTAGATATGTTTAGTGTGCTGGCTTTCTTAAATGCTGGTTATGCTAGCAATGAAGTTGTCATGTGGACACACTGAGGACCTCTGGTTAGCCAGGATGTTGCAGGCAGTGGAATTAGCTGTTGTCTTCTCTTCCCTGGGATCAGGGTTGTTCTGTCATGAGTTGTTGTAATGACCTACATTGGTTGGCCTCCAGCCAGGAGGTGGCACTTTTGAGAGAGCACCAGCTGTGATAGCAGAAGGGGGATATAAGCTTGCCCTAACATGGCCAGGGTATTTTTGTTTCTCAGAAGATGGGTGGGGCCATAAAGCTACCAAGAGTTTCTATGTTTTGTGTTTGGCTACCAGGGCAGGTAGGAAAATACCATCAGGTTGGGGCAGGGTTAGGCAGGTTTGAGCTCAGGCTCTCCTTGGACAGAGCTTGCTGTAGCTACTATAGGTGATGGGGGGATGGTTCTCAGGCCAATGGGATTCTATTACAGAGGGGATCTTGGCCACCTTGCTTCAGACCATAAGCCATGCTGCTGAGAAAGCAAGCATGGCTTTCAGACCTCACCCCCCACCCCCCATCTGCCTACTCTGTTCGTTGCAGCTCCTGTGCTCCTGCACTTGCTCATATCCACAGCAACTCCCACTGATCCCCTGGACTCCACTCAAGACAATTTATGCCCAGTCAAAACCACTAACAATTACACTTGGGAGTCTCCTTCACCCTGTGATCCCTCCCAAATTCTGCTGGCTGCCTTCCCTGAGGGACCCATGAGATATAGTCAGGGATGGCTTCCCTGAGCTCAAACTGGAGACTGGGAGTGCATCAAGGCCCTTCCCACTGGTACTTCTACTTTTATATTTTGCCCGACTCCCTAAATCCATTTCATCTCTAGGTAAAGTTAAACCCTTCTCATGTGATCTGGATTTTCAGATTCCCCAGTAGAGACATGTGTTCAGATGTGTGTCCCCTCTCACACTTTGGGAATTCAGTTTTTTGCCTGTTTCATGGAATTTGCAGTGCCATGCCACTTCTTTCAAAGGATCTGTGAATTCTTTCAGTTTTCTGGTACAATCCTGTGGCAGTTCTTGTAGTAAATATCACAGTGTGAGTTTCCACATGCTGTTCTGCCTATCCATGTGGGAGCTGCATAATAGCCCTGTTTCCTATCTGCCATCTTCCCGTGATCTCTAACTTCATCTCATACTGTCCTGTGAATCACTCAACTTCAATCCACACTGTCTCCACGCCCCTCTTAGAGCAAGTCAGACAAATTCTACCTTAGGGAATTTGCATTTGTTCTTAACTCCATCTGAGAACAATTTTCCCAGATATCCAAATATTCAACCCCCTTATCTCCTTCAAGTATTTGTTTGTATTTTATCTTCTCAATGAGGTCTACATTGATCACTATTTTTTGAATTGCAGTCTGGTCTCCCCCTACCCATAGCATTCCCAATTTTCTATTTCCTCTATGTTTTTTTTTGTTGTTGTTGTTCCATAATTCTTATCACTTTCTAACATAACACATGTAATCTACTTTGTATTTGCTGTTGATTGCCTTTCTCTGCTACTGCAATATTAGCTCCATGAGGGAAAGGATCTTTGGCTTGTTTACTGATATTTTCTAAGCACACAGAATAGCACCTGAAAGCACAGTTGGTACTCAGTAAGTATTTAATAAAGAGTGAATCAATTATTCTATAACTTTGATGGAACATTTTAGGAAAAAAAATGCTGCTGTGTTTTCAAATCCACAAGCTGTAAGTTAGAAGACATTTAATTAACCACATTTTCTGAAAAACATTATTTGCACCAGGAGATTTAGTACTTATTAAGAGAACTATTTGAATCTGAGTATAAAATATGGTCAACCACAACAAATTCACAGATATAGATGTTAATAACTTCCCATTATTTATGAAGAGGTGATAATTAAACTGATTCAACATAAAAATAAAACAGCCTAATAATATTCTAAACAGTTATGCAAGAGAATGAAATTAATGGACAAAAGTATAGAAATCTATTACTCAAAGAGACATAAGACTCCAAAATAAGATAGGTTGTTAGTAGTTATTTCAACTTTTAAAAATAGCATGTTACCTGCAGATTAAATTCATGGGAGAAAGTAATCAAACAAAAATAAAATTTGCAAAATTAATTACAGTGTTCAAAATATACAGCCATTGAATTACACAGGGTTGATCAAGATTAGCACTTCAGTGGCATTAGGATGTGTAAGTCTTTAGAAACCTGAGATGAGGCAAATCTGCAGTGTTTATCACAGGTTAAAACTGGATATGGGGGAGGGCAGTCGAGATGGCTGAATAGGAACAACTCCGGTCTACAGCTCCCAGCATGAGCGACGCAGAAGGTGGGTGATTTCTGCATTTCCATCTGAGGTACCGGGTTCATCTCACTAGGAAGTGCCAGACAATGGGCGCAGGACAGTGGGTGCAGTGCACCGTGTGTGAGCTGAAGCAGGGCGAGGCAATGCCTCACTCAGGAAGCGCAAGGGGTCAGGGAGTTCCCTTTCCTAGTCAAAGAAAGGGGTGACAGACAGCACCTGGAAAATCGGGTCACTCCCATCTTAATACTACGCTTTTCCAATGGGCTTAAAAAACAGCACACCAGGAGATTATATCCCGTACATGGTTCAGAGGGTCCTACGCCCACAGAGTCTCGCTGATTGCTAGCACAGCAGTCTGAGATCAAACTGCAAGGTGGCAGCGAGGCTGGGGGAGGGGCACCCGCCATAGCCCAGGCTTGCTTAGGTAAACAAAGCAGCCGGGAAGCGCAAACTGGGTGGAGCCCACCACAGCTCAAGGAGGTCTGCCTGCCTCTGTAGGCTCCACCTCTGGGAGCAGGGCACAGACAAACAAAAAGACAGCAGTAACCTCTGCAGACTTAAATGTCCCTGTCTGACAGCTTTGAAGAGAGCAGTGGTTCTCCCAGCACGCAGATGGAGATCTGAGAACGGGCAGACTGCCTCCTCAAGTGGGTCCCTGACCCCTGACCCCTGAGCAGCCTAACTGGGAGGCACCCCCCAGTAGGGGCAGACTGACACCTCACACGGCCGGGTACTCCTCTGAGACAAAACTTCGAGAGGAACTATCAGACAGCAGCATTCGCGGTTCACGAAAATCCGCTGTTCTGCAGTCACCGCTGCTGATACCCAGGCAAACAGGCTCTGGAGTGGACCTCTAGCAAATTCCAACAGACCTGCAGCTGAGGGTCCTGTCTGTTAGAAGGAAAACTAACAAACAGAAAGGACATCCACACCAAAAACCCATCTGTACATCACCATCATCAAAGACCAAAAGTAGATAAAACCACAAAGATGGGGAAAAAACAGAGCAGAAAAAATGGAAACTCGAAAAAGCAGAGCGCCTCTCCTCCTCCAAAAGAACACAGTTCCTCACCAGAAATGGAACAAAGCTGGATGGAGAATGACTTTGACGAGTTGAGAGAAGAAGGCTTCAGATGATCAAACTACTCCAAGCTACAGGAGGAAATTCAAACCAAAGGCAAAGAAGTTAAAAACTTTGAAAAAAATTTAGACGAATGTATAACTAGAATAACCAATACAGAGAAGTGCTTAAAGGAGCTGATGGAGCTGAAAGCCAAGGCTTGAAAACTACGTGAAGAATGCAGAAGCCTCAGGAGCCAATGCGATCAACTGGAAGAAAGGGTATCAGTGACGGAAGATGAAATGAATGAAATGAAGCGAGAAGGGAAGTTTAGAGAAAAAAGAATAAAAAGAAACGAACAAAGCCTCCAAGAAATATGGGACTATGTGAAAAGACCAAATCTACATCTGATTGGTGTACCTGAAAGTGACAGGGAGAATGGAGCCAAGTTGGAAAACACTCCGCAGGATATTATCCAGGAAAACTTTCCCAATGTAGCAAGGCAGGCCAACATTCAGATTCAGGAAATACAGAGAATGCCACAAAGATACTCCTCGAGAAGAGCAACTCAAAGACACATAATTGTCAGACTCACCAAAGTTGAAATGAAGGAAAAAATGTTAAGGGCAGCCAGAGAGAAAGGTCAGGTTACCCACAAAGGGAAGTCCATCAGAATAACAGCGGATCTCTCAGCAGAAACTCTACAAGCCAGAAGAGAGTGGGGGCCAATATTCAACATTCTTAAAGAAAAGAATTTTCAACCCAGAATTTCATATCCAGCCAAACTAAGCTTCATAAGTGAAGGAGAAATAAAATACTTTACAGACAAGCAAATGCTGAGAGATTTTGTCACCACCAGGCCTGCCCTAAAAGAGCTCCTGAAGGAAGTGCTAAACATGGAAAGGAACAACCAGTACCAGCCACTGCAATATCATGCCAAAATGTAAAGACCATTGAGACTCGGAAGAAACTGCATCAACTAATGAGCAAAATAACCAGCTAACATCATAAAGACAGGATCAAATTCACACATAACAATATTAACTTAAAATGTAAATGGACTAAATGCTCCAATTAAAAGATACAGACTGTCAAATTGGATAAAGAGTCAGGACCCATCAGTGTGCTGTATTCAGGAAACCCATCTCACATGGAGAGACACACATAGGCTCAAAATAAAAGGATGGAGGAAGATCTACCAAGCAAATGGAAAACCAAAAAAGGCAGGGGTTGCAATCCTAGTCTCGGGTAAAACAGACTTTAAACCAACAAAGATCAAAAGAGACAAAGAAGGCCATTACATAATGGTCAAGGGATCAATTTAACAAGAAGAGTTAACTATCCTAAATATATATGCACCCAATACAGGAGCACCCAGATTCATAAAGCAAGTCCTGAGTGACCTACAAAGAGACTTAGACTCCCACACAATAATAATGGGAGACTTTAACACCTCACTGTCAACATTATAAAGATCAACGAGACAGAAAGTTAAAAAGGATACCCAGGAATTGAACTCAGCTCTGCACCAAGCAGACCTAATAGACATCTACAGAACTCTCCACCCCAAATCAACAGAATATACATTTTTTTCAGCACCACACCACACCTATTGCAAAATTGACCATACAGTTGGAAGTAAAGCTCTCCTCAGCAAATGTAAAAGAACAGAAATTATAACAAACTGTCTCTCAGACCACAGTGCAATCAAACTAGAACTCAGGATTAAGAAACTCACTCAAAACCGCTCAACTACATGGAAACTGAACAACCTGCTCCTGAATGACTACTGGGCACATAACGAAATGAAGGCAGAAATAAAGATGTCCTTTGAAACCAATGAGAACAAAGACACAACATACCAGAATCTTTGGGACACATTCAAAGCAGTGTGTAGAGGGAAATTTATAGTACTAAATGCCCACAAGAGAAAGCAGGAAATATCCAAAATTGACACCCTAACATCACAATTAAAAGAACTAGAAAAGCAAGAGCAAACACATTCAAAAGCTAGCAGAAGGCAAGAAATAACTAAAATCAGAGCAGAACTGAAGGAAATAGAGACCAAAAAACCCTTTGAAAAATTAATGAATCCAGGAGCTGGTTTTTTGAAAGGATCAACAAAATTGATAGACCGCTAGCAAGACTAATAAAGAAGAAAAGAGAGAAGAATCAAATAGACACAATAAAAAATGATAAAGGGGATATCACCACTGATCCCAGAGAAATGCAAACTACCATCAGAGAATACTACAAACACCTCTACGCAAATAAACTAGAAATCTAGAAGAAATGGATAAATTCCTCGACACACACACCGTCCCAAGACTAAACCAGGAAGAAGTTGAATCTCTGAATAGACCAGTAACAGGCTCTGAAATTGTGGCAATAATCATTAGCTTACCAACCAAAAGAGTCCAGGACCAGATGGATTCACAGCCGAATTCTACCAGAGGTATGAGGAAGAGCTGGTACCATTCCTTCTGAAACTATTCCAATCAATAGAAAAAGAGGGAATCCTCCCTAACTCATTTTATGAGGTCAGCATCATCCTGATACCAAAGCCGGGCACAGGCACAACCAAAAAAGAGAATTTTAGACCAATATCCTTGATGAACATTGATGCAAAAATCCTCAATAAAATACTGGCAAACCGAATCCAGCAGCACATCAAAAAGCTTATCCACCATGATCAAGTGGGCTTCATCCCTGGGATGCAAGGCTGGTTCAATATACGCAAGTCAATAAATGTAATCCAGCATATAAACAGAACCAAAGACAAAAACCACATGATTATCTCAATAGATGCAGAAAAGGCCTTCGATAAAATTCAACAGCCCTTCATGCTAAAAACTCTCAATAAATTAGGTATTAATGGGATGTATCTCAAAATAATTAGAGCTATCTATGACAAACCCACAGCCAATATCATACTGAATGGGCAAAAACTGGAAGCATTCCCTTTGAAAACTGGCACAAGACAGGGATGCCCTCTCTCACCACTCCTATTCAACATAGTGTTGGAAGTTCTGGCCAGGGCAATCAGGCAGGAGAAGGAAATAAACGGTATTCAATTAGGAAAAGAGGAAGTCAAATTGTCCCTGTTTGCAAATGACATGATTGTCTGTCTAGAAAACCCCATCATCTCAGCCCAAAGTCTCCTTAAGCTGATAGGCAACTTCAGCAAAGTCTCAGGATACAAAATCAAAGTGCAAACATCACAAGCATTCTTATACACCAATAACAGACAAACAGAGAGCCAAATCATGAGTGAACTCCCATTCACAATTGCTTCAAAGTGAACAAAATACCTAGGAATCCAACTTACAAGGGATGTGAAGGACCTCTTCAAGGAGAACTACAAACCACTGCTCAATGAAATAAAAGAGGATACAAACAAATGGAAGAACATTCCATGCTCATGGGTAGGAAGAATCAATATCGTGAAAATGGCCATACTGCCCAAGGTAATTTATAGATTCAATGCCATCCCCATCAAGCTACCAATGACTTTCTTCACAGAATTGGAAAAAACTACTTTCAAGTTCATATGGAATCAGAAAAGAGCCCACATCGCCAAGCCAATCCTAAGCCAAAAGAACAAAGCTGGAGGCATCACGCTACCTGACTTCAAACTATACTACAAGGTTACAGTAACCAAAACAGTGTGGTACTGGTACCAAAACAGAGATATAGATCAATGGAACAGAACACAGCCCTCAGAAATAACGCCGCATATCTACAACTATCTGATCTTTGACAAACCTGAGAAAAACAAGCAATGGGGAAAGGATTCCCTACTTAATAAATGGTGCTGGGAAAACTGACTAGCCATATGTAGAAAGCTGAAACTGGATCCCTTCCTTACACCTTATACAAAAATTAATTCAAGATGGATTAAAGACTTAAATGTTAGACCTAAAACCATAAAAACCCTAGAAGAAAACCTAGGCATTACCATTCAGGACATAGGCATGGGCAAGGACTTCATGTCTAAAACACCAAAAGCAATGGCAACAAAAGCCAAAATTGACAAATGGGATCTAATTAAACTAAAGAGCTTCTGCACAGCAAAAGAAACTACCATCAGAGTGAACAGGCAACCTACAAAATGGGAGAAAATTTTCACAACCTACTCATCTGACAAAGGGCTAATATCCAGAATCTACAATGTTCTCAAACAAATTTACAAGAAAAAAACAAACAACCCCATCAAAAAGTGGGCAAAGGACATGAACAGACACTTCTCAAAAGAAGACATTTATGCAGCCAAAAAAACACATGAAAAAATGCTCATCATCACTGGCCATCAGAGAAATGCAGATCAAAGCCACAATGAGATACCATCTCACACCAGTTAGAATGGCAATCATTAAAAAGTCAGGAAACAACAGGTGCTAGAGCAGATGTGGAGAAATAGGAACACTTTTACACTGTTTTTGGGACTGTAAACTAGTTCAACCATTGTGGAAGTCAGTGTGGCGATTCCTCAGGGATCTAGAACTAGAAATACCATTTGACCTAGCCATCCCATTACTGGGTATATACCCAAAGGACTATAAATCATGCTGCTATAAAGACATATGCACACATATGTTTATTGCGGCACTATTCACAATAGCAAAGACTTGGAACCAACCCAAATGTCCAACAATGATAGACTGGATTAAGAAAATGTGGCACATATACACCATGGAATACTATGCAGCCATAAAAAAGGATGAGTTCATGTCCTTTGTAGGGACATGGATGAAATTGGAAATCATCATTCTCAGTAAACTATCGCAAGGACAAAAAACCAAACACTGCATGTTCTCACTCATAGGTGGGAATTGAACAATGAGAACACTTGGATACAGGAAGGGGAACATCACACTCTGGGGACTGTTGTGGGGTGGGGGGAGGGGGGAGGGATAGCATTAGGAGATATACCTAATGCTAAATGATGAGTTAATGGGTGCAGCACACCAGCATGGCACATGTATACATATGTAACTAACCTGCACATTGTGCACATGTACCCTAAAACTTAATGTATAATAATAATAAAAAAAAAAACAAAAAAAAAAACTGGATATGAAGCTAATATGGGTTATCCTAAGGTACACACATAGGAATGTGAGTACAAATTCCACATTTATGTCTAAAATCAAAATCTCAAGTAATAAGTCAATGACATCTGAATCTAGGATCTAAGACACTTGTCCAAAGGTCAGGGAGTCTACGATAGAGCAAAGATTAATGAAGAACAAGCCAATTCAAACACTTAGAGATAAATGTCATAGGATGGCATAAACATAGGGGCATTAAGTCAATTGTTAGATTGGAAAAAAACAAATCATTCTTGGAAAATGGGAGCAAGGACTGGGAACTCCAGTTATTGGGGATTTATGGTCCAGAGAAGGAATTCAGTTAAAGAACCAGAGAACAATAGAAAAAAAAAATAAACAAGTACTGGAAGATGGCTACCAGGCTCAGATCATTCTTGGTAGTGAATCAGCAAAAACCTATCTTTGTGTTTTCTATAGAGTCCCTTTCCCCCTACCCCCGCCCCCGGAATCAAGCTGGGTCTAGCTGCATTTACTAGAGGCCCAATCACGAGACACAGACAAACTAGGAAAGAAAGGAATTTATTGCTGTAACCAGACACAGGGAGAAGGCTGAAACTATTTGACTTTCTGGTTTCCTGGTTTCACAACTGGTAAGGCCTGGGGACATATGGAACTAACCACACCCTTAACTAAAAAGCCAAACCTTGGCTGTAATTAACACACAATTAAAATAACTTACCAAGTTTTACCTTAAAGTTAATAAATGCTAAGAGTTAATTGAAACTACTGGAATTAGATTTATATGCAAGGTGTGTAAGAACAGTAAAATGTGTTTTTTAGTAAAATGTTGTAAGAAGGCATGGAAATGTAAACTTTTGCCTAGGGTTAAGGGATTGTTTTGAGTTAAATTAGAAAGCAGCTGAAGGTTCAAAGAAGTGGTGGAAGAATTGTGGAAATCAATTTTGCAGAAGAGGTTCTGTGTGTGAAGATACTGACTAAATTCAAAAAAGGGTATATTATGGGTTTTCTATAAATTAAGCATTGCAATAAAAGCATAACAAGGTTTTCCTAAGGCACTAATCTGCTCTTTGGCAAAATTTCTAAAGGGTTATAAAAGGTTTTTTGCTTCTTTAAAATTTCTGAGTCATCATCTTGGCAAAATAATTAGTTTATGGTAATTTGGAAATCTGTTTCTTAATATCAAGTGTTTTAAACCTTGAACATATTTGACAGCCTTCCCAACGTCAAATTTCAGTTTCAAAATTGTCTCCCCTGGTGCCTGGCTTTTTGAATACTTCAGACGGCCTCTGAAGTGTCCCGAAAAGAGAGGTAAACAGGATCATTTGACATGTTTAGGTACATGGGATTGCCAAAATGATGTTCAATCTTTTTTAGGTTATATTTTTGTGAATAATACAAATATATGTTCCATAACATGGAATTTCTAAAATTCTAATGTCTAAATATATGTTATCAATCATAATTAAGGTTGTTATGTTATTGTAAACCATGAAGATAATCAAACTTATTTATCAATTGTGTTTCTAACAGTAACTACCCTGGACATTTTGCTATTCACAGACAATTGTCTTGTTTAATTCTTTTCAAAAGATGGTTTATAATGAGCTATAGGACCCTGACAGGTGCTCTCAAATACAATTTCTGATTATATTTGAGATAGTCAATTTTCTAATAACTTTAGAGATTGTAACATTGGAATAAAGGAAAATGTACAGGACTCATAAAGAGCTGAAATGTTCATGAATATCAAACAAAACAAGAGTTAACTAAATGGACTGAGCTCAGAAAGCTGAAGCAACCTTTTTGACATTTTGCTTGGAATATTGCTGATCCATGTTTGGTTTTTCAGACTCAGGGAAACTAATTTTGAACTACTTACAGTCTTTAATATTAAGTAAGGTATACACTCCTGTGATCAAGATTTAGAACATGTTTTTTTCTCTCTGCCTGGTTCCTCTAAAATTTAGAACCTATCTGTGAGTATTCTTAAATTATGGCAATATAGCTGTTTGCAGCAGTGCAAAAAGAATCCATTTTTCTCTTGCAACAGGACACAATTGAAAAAGCTGGTAATTTTACCAAGGCTTTGACTGGAAGGGTATGCTTCTCTTTAAGGAGTCAATCTCGACTTGCAGAGCCAATAAAAGCCCAGTGGGGATACTGGCCTCATACCCTCACCTACACAGTGCCTTACAGGGTTACTGACCTGTGGTCAGTAAAGAATGTCACTTTCTAACAGGCCTAGGAGCTCCAAGTTTGTCTTGGGACCTTAAGAGGAGAGGATCACCTGACTCACAGGTATTTGAGGATACAAACCAGTGGTTGGGCTTGGCTTTAAAAGGGCTTATCTGTGATTCCTTGTGGAACACACTTCCATCAAAGCCAATCCAAATGACCTATGTAGAAATAATTATTCTTGCTGCACTTTATGCAAATAATCAGGCCAAGTATAAGACTAAATTCTATTTAAACAACTCAGTTCTAAGATCATTTGTTTCTTAACAAAAATGAGGACTCGCAAGAGAGAAATTATATCCCAAAACTTATACATTTGCCATTAAATTCTAAACCTACTAAGTGCAAAGTTTTTGCTTACATTTTAGACTAACTCTGCTTGTTCCTGTAACCCTACCAGCAATCTCCGGCTGCAGCTCAGAAAGAACAAGAGGGATGGGTAATGCAAAAATCTGGATCAATATCTTGGTTCTGAGCAATTATCCTGCAAATCCTACCAGGTGATGGGAATAAATAGGATGTCCATCACTTGGAGGTTTCATTTTGGGAAAAGTAAAACCAACGGAGCTAACCAAAGTCAAGCACCATGCACCCAAATCCTAGCAAACATAGCTATAGCTACCTGTTATCAAGACATCCTTTCCTCTTGCTTGTTGGAGGAGGACTCAATTCCACAGTTTCACCTTAGCATTTGGCTTATAATAAGGAGTCCATGCAACCCCCCATATCAAAGACAAATTCCAAGCTTTGGGTCAAAGCCCTAGGAAAGAAAACTGGATCTGAGGGATCCAGAGGCAGGTAATAATGGAAGTTAAAAGGCACAGCACAGGTGAGCATGACTGATTCCTGCCAATTAAGCCAAACCCAAGCTTCCTGTTTCATGGATAAAGGCCACATTAATATCCAAGGCATAAATGAGGTTTAGGGAATGCCAAGGCTACTGACAGTAGGTGGAAAAGAGGCACAGGTGAAAGCAAATAATTCCTATTCTCTAGGCACCCCTGCTTCATGGGTGAAAGCCGCTTTGGTACTCATGGTGGCACCTGCCAAGGTCGCCGGACCTTGTGGATGCAAGGACAGAAGAGGGAAAGACAATGCTCTTCCCTCTCTCCCTCACGTACCCTGGTTATCTTCTAAGAAGATAAGGGAACCAGTGATGCCTGATCCCCTCTTTCTAGATGGGTAGCCATTCATCTTCAGTCTGTACCCCCTTTTGAATGCATCCTGAAACCCTGGGACTCATTTTAAAAATGCATTCCTTTTTCCTTTCTCCTCCTTAGTTCTCTCTGCACAAATAGGTAATTGCATCTCCATACTGTGAGACACTTCCCTCAGATGCATCCTCCAAACTGGAGTTAATTTCCCAAACCTTAAATTGGTTGGTTTTGGATTGGGCTCAGGGGAAAGGAACCCAGAAACCTGACATGCCAGCAAAAGGGTAAAGTGCAACCAGTTGGGCTTTTGGCCTCCCTCTCACTGTGAAAACTGGTAAAATGCCTTGGAAGTTTTTTAGCTGTCCTTCCCCCAACTTTGTTTCATTTTCATACATGTTTTCTAATAACCTGGTTTGTCTTTTCTCTCCTTCAGGCCATCAGACTCCAAGCGGTCATTCAACTGGAGCCTCTGACAATGGCCCCTTCTGCCAGGAACCCTTAGATAGGTCTCTGAGGGAGCGCTGACTGCCGATTCCCCCAAACAGCATTCCCCTGTCAGTCGGAAGTATTTAAGATCGGTCTTCATCCTT
Organism: Homo sapiens; assembly: GCF_000001405.40. Taxonomy (NCBI): domain Eukaryota; kingdom Metazoa; phylum Chordata; class Mammalia; order Primates; family Hominidae; genus Homo; species Homo sapiens. Next base: position 53,347,811 of record NC_000008.11, read on the forward strand.
ATCGTTAATCTAATAGCAGTTAGATGTACTTCTTTAGAGGGGGGAATGACATCAAGGTGGGAGGGGGTCCCTGGAGAAACTCCAACCAGCCTGCCCACTAGGGTGGAGCATTGGGAAGTTCACGATGTTTGCAGCAGGGAGGAGCCTGGCCCCTGCTCTTCCATTGTGGAAACTGAGATTTGAATGGCCAGGTGGGAAATGCTCTGGCAGGGACTCTGGCCTTGTAAGAGTCCCTGTTTGCCCCTTTTCTTCCTTTTCACCCAATAAAACCCTGCTTTACTCATCCTTTGAACTGTCCACGAGCCTAAATTTTCATAGCCATGGGATAGACAAGGCCCTTGTCTTTAGCTGAACTAAGGAAAAGTCCTACAACATTGGCACTAGGAATGTAAGGCTGTCTCTGTTATTTTAGTTTGCTCCAGGTTAAGGAGAAGCCCATGCAAGGCTCCTACTCACCATATGTTTTATTTCTAGCTTTGATGTCTGGGCACTGATTTCCCTAGGTTTAACTATTTAGTCAATGTTAAGGCAGTGGTGTGGGAATTTGTCTGTGTAACTGGAGTGCTAGGCAGGCCTGTCTGTGTGACTGTCATGCAGGCCTATCCATGTGATTGTCTGGGAGAAATGGCCTGCCACAATCCCCAGTGTCAATTTGTGCATGATTTCTGTCATGCTTGTATACTTATTTATCATGAGAATTGTAAAGAGACGGGGTATTATAATCTTTCTGGCTACATCCTGCTGAGAAAGGGTCATCGTTATGGGGCACCAAGTGCAGCACTGGAGTGGAATAGGTTGGTTTGTTCCCGGTAGCACTCTCTGTTTCAGGGGCTTAGAGACAGTGCCTGCTGAAACATAATAGTATGCAACAGTAACACGTGTAAATAGGTTGCTGCTGTTTTCTTCTGAAGTTTAAGTTGTCTAGTCTTTAGTTCACAGGACTTTAAGAAAGCACAGCTTAGATTTCAGTGATTTCTAATTATGAAAAATGGAAAAAAGGAAAAGAAAAAGGAAAGAATTAAAAACATTATTTTGGAGACTTGCAGCCAGAAAAAGTAGAATTTAATTTAAACTGTGGAAAATAATAAAAATAGAAAAACATCAGGCAAGATTGTAATTTAACAACAGGTGTACTATAGTTTTGAAACATGATTTTTCTCTCGTCAATTTCCCGTTTTTATTAAAAGACAAATTATGGTAGAACTGGTTTGCATTATTATACTTGGTCTAATTATTTGTATACAGTGCAGCAAGAATAATTACTTTTCACATAGGCCTTTTAAATTGACTTTGATGTAACTTTGTTCCATAGAAGGAATCTGAGATAAGACCTTTTTAGAGCCGAGTCCAGGCATGGATTTGTACTATCAAATACCTATGAGTTAGGTGAATTCTTCTCTTGAGGTTCCAAGATAACTTGGGGTTCCTGGCCTGTCAGAAAGTGACATTCTTTACTTACCACAGATTAGAAACCCTGTACAGGGACTGTGTACACAAAATATGAGGCCAGTTTTCCAAGGGCTTTATTGGCTTCATAAGTCAAGTTTGATTCCTTAAAGGAGAGCATAACATTCCAGTTAAAGTCTTGGTAGAATAACCAGGTTTTCCAATTGCGTCTTGTTACAAAAGAAAACAGATTCTCATTTCACTTATGCAAATAACTATATTGCCATAAGTTAGGAATACTCACAAATAGTTTCCAAATTCTGGAGAAATCAGGTGGAGAGAAACAAATATGCCCCAAATTTTGTTCATAGGAGTATGCTGCACTTGTTAAAAGTTGTTAATAGCTTAAAACAAGTTTCTTTGACTCTGAAAAGCAAAACAAAGTATCAGCAACATTTTAAGCGAAAAGTTAAAAAGATCACTTCAGTTTCTTATTAGCTTAGTTCATGCAGTTAATTCCTGTTGCACTTAATACATCTTATCTCTCCAAGAGTGCCAAACTTTTTTTCTCTATTCTGATGTTACAATCTCCAAAGTTATTAGAAACCTGCATTCAAGAACACCTGTTAGAGCTTTATAGCTGATTGTAAAACCACTTTCTAAAGAGGCCAAAACAAGACAACAACTGTTTATGGATGACAAAAAGTTTTAGGGTAGCCATAGTTAAAGACAAAATTGACAAGAAATCTGTTACCTCTGTGGCACACAATAATTTAACATAACCATTATAATTATTATGGATAACCTATAATAAGATATATCAGAATTATAGGAGTTTTCCATAATTTTGAAACACATACTAGAACATATTTATGCAAATATGGCCCAAAGAAAGCCAAACCCCATTTTATACTTGGCAATGTTTTCTGTATGATTTTTGTAACAAATATGACAAATTTTACCTTTACATTAGTGTACTGTTAATGTTAAACTTAATTTTTAATAAAACTTTATAGACATTTACCCAACTTTAATGTCTGACTATAAGGTAAGGTTTTTATAGGCCTTTTATAACCCTTTGTAATTTTTGTTAAAGAGCAGGTTAGTGCTCTAAGAGAAACCTGTTGTGCTGTTTTTTTTTTTAATGCTCAATTTACAGAAAAACTGGATGATACCCCTAACTGTAGCCAATATGTTTACACACAGAATTTTTACAATTAATTATCTTATAAACTTTCCACAACTTGTTAAACCTTTAGCTTTGTTTTATTTAACTTAAAACAATCCTTTAACCTTTTAATCTAAGCAAAAAACCCACATTCTCATGCCTCCTTATAATCTTTTTATCAAAAGTATATTCTACTTTCTTTACACACCTTGCATGTAGACTGTTTCTTCAATAGTCTTAAATACATGTTACTCTGTTACCTCTTAGCAACCTTTACTTTTGGTGAAAACCTTGGTGAAGTTTGGGATTTTAATTATGTACTAGGTGTGGAGCCTAAGACCTAGACAGAAGTGCAGGGAAGGTCTGACTCTTCCCAGCATTTAGCTTAATGTGTCTCAGGCCTTACTTAGCTGTAAAGAAGGCAAGTTGTACAGCTAAGAGTCATAGTGGCATTTTAAAAAGCATTTAGGAGGCCTAATAACTTTTAAATTGTTCAACATTTCTTGCATAAATTCCCTCTCATAAATTATTTCATGACTTAACACAGATGAGCTACAACATGCTTTCACTTTCTGACTTGTTTTAAACATCCCTCCATTTTAAACAACCAGTTATTTTACTTTAGGACAAGAATTTACCATACAAGATTCTTTCTTACATAAAATGACAACAGTCCTTTCCCAGAACAAACTTCCTTCATGCTCATGGACTAGACTGCTTAAGGCCACAAGATTAGAAGTTACAGTATGTTACTAAATAATTCAAGATGTGGCTGCCTTCATTAAACCAATATTAATGTTTTATTTATCAAAAATTATACAAGCAAAGATCATTCTGTTTTGGGCTGAGTTTATAGTTTTGTAGCCCCTATGCCAAATTTTGACACCTTATAATATTTGGTTGGGATAAGAATGAACTTGCTTGATCAATAAATGCAAACAAAATGTATGCTGGAAATTCTTAAGATATTTCTAATATTACTTTACCAATAATTTAAAGCTAGCTAGCTTATTAAAGATTTTACTTAAGTCAGATAAACTTGAAAAAGCATTTGACCAGTGTTTCCATTTTTCCCTTAAAGCATTTGATTTAAGCACTTTTATTTTTCTTTAAGCCAATTAATTAGAGCTCTTTTTATTTTTTTCAGTAGTGAAATACTGTGTATACAGCATATAAATATATAGACAGACATCCAAACAGAAGTACATTTTATAGATTCATAAGTCCTCCTTTTTTCCTATCTTAGACTTGCAAACTCTGAATAACCTGGTACATTACCCTGGCAGTGGTCAGCTAAATAGCCCTAAATCTGCATATTGAAGGAAACAACTCTTAGGTGAAAACTGAATTGGCAAGATTTACATCTCAAGGCACAGACAGAAAAGTCTGGTGGTGCTAGACGGAGATTACTAACTTTATTTAGATATCGACTATCTATCTTTTAATTGGCTCTCTGAGCTCTGGGCAGAGCCCACACTGAATCCTGGGTTTTCAAAAGGAAGGAATATTATGAGGCTAGATCATGTGATGCTTTTACAGTGCACTTAAAAATTTTTTTTTCAAGCAAAGACATTTCTAAGTGTCTAAACTACATTTTTCTTACAGATACCAGAGTAGCTTCTGTTGCAATAACTACTAATGAAGAAAACAGAATTCAGTCAACTGAGAAAAAAATAAATCCTTTTCTCAAAAAGACAAGGTCCTAGGAGAGAGATAAACAAAAATATGCAGGTCTTTTAAATACAAACACACACATATGCACACATATATATACACATCTTGGATGTTAACTTTTAATTAAGTTGACTCTTAACCATGGAGCTCCTATAAAAATCTTTTTCTTTCCCAGAGGCCTCTCAGCAGGAGTTGTGGAGGGGTACCCGTACCGTTTCTAATCTGACAGAAGTCTTCCCAGAGGGCTCTCTGACGGAATGGAGGCAGCGTTCCCCATCTTAAATTCAACAAGACTATAGGTACAGATCCAGAGATTGTTTAGATAGACACAGACACAAAGATAGTTTCAGATAGACACAAAAGGAGGTGCACGTGGGTGAAATAGGCCTGAAAACCAAATACCAAACGGGTGTACAAACCAGCCCTATTATCTTCCTGATGGTATGGAACAAATGGCTTAATAGCCCAAATAAGGAAATAATAGGCTCCAGGCATACGGTTCGGTTTTCACTCACCCTTTGAGCTAGTCCACTCCTGCCAAACTTCCGTTCTTTCCTAGTGAGGAAAAGCACATGCAGTTTTGCCCATGGGCCGGCCCTCAGGAGATTCCCTGGGACAATCTCACCCGGCAGCTGCTGGGAGTCTCCTATTGACCACCTCCTTGCAATCTGCTGGCCACCGAAGGCAGCATCGTCCTGGCGGCCTCCTGGCTGAGTCGCCAAAATTTTCGTTCCCGGAACCAAGCCGGGTCTGGCTGCGTTTTCTCGAGGCCCAATAACGAGATGCAGACAAACTATGAAACAAGGGAATGTACTGCTGTAACTGGATACAGGGAGAAGGTCAGAGAAAATTCCACCAGACCAATTTAAAGTGTCACAATTTTCTTAGTGCTTATATAGGTTGGGGTTATGTGCCTATGTGCAGTATAGCATTCGCCTAAGTCTGTTGGTAACTAATTTTGTTTCAAGTACAAGGTCAGCAAGCAAAAAAATGCTTGCTGGGTCCTATTAAGCTGTGGGGGCCCCAGTACCTTCAAGACCTGTCTATTGTGTTACTGGAGTGATTATTTCTATCTTACCTTTATAGCTTGATCTGGAGAGCTGCCTTAGGCTCTCCAATGAATCTATTCAAACAGCTGCCTCTGTTACCTTGACTCATCTCAGATTTTGTTGACCTGAGGCAGGTCCTGGCCCTAGGAATGTAAGGCTGTCTCTATTATTTTGGCTTGTTCCAGGTTAGGGAGAAGCCCATGCAAGGCTCCTACTGACCATATGTTTCATTTCTAGCTTTGATGCCTGGGCACTGATTTCCCTAGGTTTAACTACTTGCTCAATGTTAAGGCAGTGCTTTGTCTGTGTAACTGGAGTGCTATGCAGGCTTGTCTGTGTGATTGTCAGAGAGAAATGGCCTGCCACACCCTGAACTAGGAGAACCATTTTTTTCATGGTGACAGGCAGGAATGAGTCACAGAAGTGGTAACTGATAGGGCCCAGCTGAAAGGTTAAAAATCTATAGGAATGCAAAAAAGCATAAGGCCCAGATGGCTTCACAGCCAAATCTTCAAAGACCAGACAATCCCATTGCGACTTAAATTGTTGTAGAACATAAAAACAAGGGAAGATTTCCAAGTTATTTTTCTAGAAGTAAATATAACTTTGGCATATAAGTTGTTACATAGCACAAAAGAGACTACAAATTTATCTCACTAAAGAATAGAAAAGTAATCAAATTGTAGTAACAATCAAAGCATATTTTGAAAATACACATTATGACCTGTATTAGTTTCCCAATGCTTCTCTAACGAATTGTCACAACTTAGTGGCCTAAAACAATACAAATTGATTATCTTACACTTCTGGATGTCAGAGTCTGAAGTGAGTCTCACTGAGCTAAATCAATCTTTTGGCAGGCAGCCTGGCCAACATGGTGAAACCCCGTCCCTACAAAAAATACAAAAATTAGCTGGTGGTGGGCACCTGTAATCCCAGCTACTCAGGAGGCTGAAGCAGGAAAATCACTTGAACCTGGAAGATGGAGGTTGCAGTGAGCTGAGATCGTGCCACTGCGCTCCGGCCTGGGCAACGGAGCAAAACCCTGTCTCAAAAAACAAACAGACAAACAAAAAAGAACCTCTTGTCAGGGCTGAGTTTCTTCTGTGAGTTCCAGGCAGAAATCTGTGCCCTTGCTTTCCCAGCCTCAAAGCCAGCAATGCTGCGTCTTCTCTCATCTGATCTCTAATTCCATTTTTATTTCCATTTTTATATCTTTTCTCTCTGATTCTGATCTTCCAGGCTCTGTCTTATAAAGATCCTGCGATTACATTGGGCTTAACTGGACAGTCCAAGATAATCTCCCCATCTCAAGATCCTTAACTTCATCACACCTGCAAAGTCCCTTTTGCCATGTAAGGTCACACATTCTCAATTTCAGGGAATGAGGGTGTGGACATCTTTGGAGGCCATTATTCACCCCACCACATGCTTCAGTTGGGATTTATTTTAGAATTGCAAGGATAATTTGATATTAGAAAAACTATTAATATTATTTACCATATGAATAAATATAGAAAAAATAATATATGGTACTCCCTATAGATCTAGAAAAGACCTTCAGCAGAATTGAACATTTGTGTCTTTTAAAATCACTAAAATAGGAATGAATATTCAGTCAACATCATATATAATGTATTTATATACATTATGTGTAATATATGTAAATACAATATATTTACATATATACACATATTTATACATAATGTATATAAAATGTATTTATATATTACATATATGTACATATTACATATTTATATACAAAATGTATATAGAGACATTTTATGTACTTTTATATATAAATATGTAATATGTACATACATTTTATATATAAATATGCAATATGTACATATATGTAATATATAAGTATGTATTTACATATTATAAATGTAATATGATAAAGTTTACTTATATACATTTACATATATAAATATACATTTATATATTTTATATACATTCATATATAAATATAAAATATACATTATAAATAAAATAATGCATATAAATTCATTTTATTTACTTTTATAATTATAAATATATATTTATAATGCATATAAATGTGTAAGTAATATATATAAATACATTTTTCTTATACATTTTTATATATATATATATATTTATATACCTAAGACCAAACACCAGTTTCTTAGGAATATGACAAGGACACCACTATATTCTCTATTATTTATTATTATACTAGAGGCATTGCCAATGTAATTAGAGACGAAGAAAGAATTAAAGGTATAAAAAATGGTTTTAAAAAGTTATCTTAATTTTCAGATGTTAGGAAACTATATCTGAAAATTTCAAGAGTACAATGATAAAAATACTACAAATATTAAAAGAACCAAGATAGATAAATATAAAGTCAATATAAAATATAAACATACAAATTATTTAAAATATTTGCTTTCATACATACAAAGAAACCTTTAAAAATATATAATAGATAAGGAAACTCCCATTCATAATAGCAATAACAAGGTAGAATATTTAAGAATAAACTTAACAAGAAATTTGCAAAATTAATAGGATGAAATATTTAAAACACTCTTGAAAGATAAAAGTAGACTTGATCAAATGCAAGAACATTCCTGTTCTTAGATTGGATGTATCAGCTTCATAATTATGCCAAATTGTCTGAAGTAAATAATATAATCTCAGTAGAAATATCAACAAAACAGTATTCTGAAGCTCGGTAACTTCATTTCCAAATTTGTAGCAAATAAACATGCAAGAATAGCTAGGAAACCCTCATAAAAGATGAACAATGAAGAGCTGATAATAAATATCCCTCACAATTAAAAGTGTGGTGCTGGCATATGAAATAAACAAATAGGCCAATAGATTAGAAAAGAAAATGTGGAAATAGCTATAAGGGAATTTAACATATGATTAAAAGTAGAATCTCAAATCAACAGTGGAAAAAGCGTAATTTTTCATAAGTGGTATGTGCACCTAGATTGCCTTTTGGCAAAAGATAACATTGGGTCCACACTTCACACCAGAATAAATTTCAAATGGATCAGAAGTCATAATAAAAATGAAGCCATATATATATTAGAAAAAAAATGGGTAAATTTCATTATAAGCTGAGTATGGAGGAAACATTTTCAACTTTGACCCAAAATTCGGATATAATATTAAAAACAGAAGATGTATAAGTTTAACTACATAAGTTTGTTAAAAAATGGCTAATTCCAGGCCTGGGGAGAGAAAGGACACAATGATTCTGGGACATCTCATTGCAATAGAAGGCTAAGAAATGTCCAGAGACTAACAGTGGCATTAAAAAGTCACAGGAACTGAGTTACATAGACCCCTGTTGGCCTAATTTGGCACTATTTGACCATCAAAAAGAAAAGCCATGGTAGCGGATCATTGCATATTGAATTTTTAAAAAGAATCCATAGTACATTTGTCAAAACTAAGAAACTGACACTGGTACATTACTATGAACTAAACTTATAGAACTCTCTATATCTTTGCAATTATTCTGTAAATCTAAAATCATTCCCAAATAAAATTTTAATTTAAAAAGAGAGAGAGAATTCATATATTGATCATGATCATGATGAGGTAGTGGAGTGAGGGGGGTTCCAGAAGAATGCTAACTAAAAAGAAATGAGGAGAAAGAAGGATAGAATTAACAAATCAGTATTTTATAACTCCAAAGTGAAGAAATTAATTCAGGCAAAGATGATCAATAAATGTTAGTACCATCTGGGGAAAGATCTTTGGTTAATAATGCATTCCCATGCCTCAGAGTCACACTCTAGGGATGTTCTCTTAATTACAAATTAATGAGATATCTTTACAATGAAGAGATCTGGGAACCCCACCTTATTCAAGGGACAAAATTTAGCATCACCAATAGCAGAATGAACTGGCTCTGTGGACCTCCTGCTGTGATGCAATGAGATGTAAATAGCCCTCTGTCACATTCTTCCAAGAATATTTTAACTGAATCTAATCTTGAGAAAACAAGCAAAGATGTCCAGAATGTGGCACATTCCACAGCACAAGTAACCTGAACCTCTAAAAGACATCAATGTCAGAAATAACCAATGCATAAAAAAGCTGGTAGACAATTCTGAAATTAAAGAGACCTAAGAGATATGATAAAATGGAATGCATTTACTTTATTTGGATTCTCTTATTAAATAAGAATAAAAACAAAAACACTACTAAAGGATGTCTTGAAACAATTTGGAGAATTTTGTGGGGCGGTGAGAGGGACAAGGTCTGGCTCTGTCATCCAGGCTGGAGTGCAGTGGCACGAACACAGCTCACTGCAGCCTCTGCCTCCAGGGCTCAAGCCATTCTCCCACCTCAGCCTCCCAAGTAGCTGGGACTGCAGGCATATGCCACCACACTCAGCTTACTTTTTAATTTTTTGTAGAGATGAGGTCTCACTATTTTGTCCAGGCTGTTCTTGAACTTCTGGGCTCAAGTGATCCTTCTGCCTCAACCTCCCAAAGTACTGGTTCATTGCAGGCATGAGCCACCATGCCTGGCAATTTGGAAAACCTTAATAAGGGTGGCATATTAAATTATATTATTGAATCAATGATAAAGTGTCTGGATGTGAAATTGGTGTTATGAGAATGTCCTTGTTCTTATAAGACACAGGCTAAAGCATTTGGAATGAGGTATCATGAAGTCTGCAATTTATTTCCAATAGTTTCAGAAAAAAGTGTGTATGTGTACACATACTGAAAGATATAAAATTAATATGGCAAATGTCAATAACTCATAAGTCTAAGTGAAGTGTAAACAGATGTTCAGTGCTGATATTTTAACTTTTTCTTGCTTTGAAATTTTCAAAATATTCATTTGAGGGTAAAAAACCTGCTGGATGAAGAAGGAAGAGGTAGAATAGAGGAAGAAAGTAGTTGTCAGATTTAATAAGTATCAGATACTGTATCTGTCATTTTCACAACTATTGTCTCATAAAAACCCCCTGGTAAACTTTTAAATAGATATTATTATTCTCATTTTTTTTTTAACAAATGAAGCTATGGTGGCCCAGAGACGTCCCACAACATGCCTAAAATCATAGATTTTTGTACAGGTGGAGCCTGGATTCAAAACCACTTTTTTCAGGCATCCAGACTTTCTCTCTTCCATTTAAAAGCACTGGGGCCAAGGACCTTATCTGGGTAGCTCCAGACAAGGCTTCCACACTCAGCACAATAGTCAGGAGCCCAGGATGGCCAGAGACTCTAAACTTCTAAGAACGCAACCTCCTCCATTTGCAATTCGACCTCTGTCAAATAGCTGTTACAGTCGTGAGTTGCTTAATGGTAGGAGTATGTTCTGAGAAATGTGTCTTTAGGTGATGTCATTGTTGTGCGAACATCACAGTATTCTTACACAAACCTTGATGGGATAGCCTACTACCCCCCTAGGCTATATGGTATGGCTTATTGCTTCTAGGCTACAAAGCTGTGCAGCTTGTTATTGTACTGAATACTGTAGGCAATTGTAACACAGTGGTAAGTATTTGTGTATCTGGACATATCTAAACAGAGAAAAAGTAAAGTAAAAATACAGTCTAAAAGATAAAAAATGGTACAGCTATATAGGGCTCTTGCCATGAATGGAGCTTGCAGGATGGAAGTTGTTCTGGGTGAGTCAGTGAGTGAGTGGTGAATGAATGTGAAGGCCTCGGACATTACTGTGCACTACTATGGACTTTATAAAACTGCACACTTAGACTACACTAAATTTATTTTAAAATGTTTTTAAATATTATTAAGGCTAATAAGCTAACATTAGCTTACTATAACTTTATTATTTCATGTCGTTTTAAGTTTTCAAACTTTTTTAATCCTTTATAATAACACTTAGCTTAAAACACAAACACATTGTACAGGTGTACAAAAATACTTTCTTTATATCCTTATTCTATAAACATTTTTCTATTTTTAAATTTCTTATTTATTTTTTACTTTCTAAACTTTTTTGTTAAAAAATTAAGACACAGACACACACATTTAGCCTAGACCTGCACAGGGTTGGGATCATAATATCACTATCTTCCATCTTCACATCTTGTCCTACTGGAAGGTCTTCAAGGCAATAACAGGCATGGAACTGTTATCTCCTGTGATAATGATGCCTTCTTCTAGAATCCCTCCTGAAGGACCTGCTTGAGACTGTTTTACAGTTTAAAATATGTAAGTAGAAGGAATACACTCTAAAATAATAAGAAGAAGTACAGTATGGCAAATACATAAGCCAGTAACATAGTTCTTTCTTATTATCAAGTATTCTGTACTGTCCATAATTCTATGTGCTGGACTTAGATGACTGGCAATGCAGGAGGTCTACTTATACCAGCGTCACCACTAACCGATGAGTAATGCTTTTTACTTACACCAGCATCACCACTAACTCGTGAGTAATGCTTTGCACTACAATGTTACGATGGCTACAATGTCACTAGGCCATAGAAAGTTTTCAACTCCATTGCAATTGTATGAGACCATGGGTCATATATGTGGTCCATCATTGGCCAGAATGTCATTATGTGGTGCATAGCTGTATATTGTCTTACAAACGCTTCAAAAGGAAAAGCTGCAATACCACCAAATTCATGGAGTGAAACGAAGTAAAAACACTGCTTCAAATAACTGAAAATACTTCAGCTTTTCTATCCTAAACTAAAGGTAATCCAAATGCCTCAAATGTTTCCCACAATATGGTTTAAGGACTCCTAAATATTTATTTAAATATTGTTTTTAATATTCTTTTTATTGAGATATGGTTCACATACCATCACATTCATCCCTTTAAGGTATACAATTCAATGGCTTTTAGTATATTCACAGAATTGTATAACCATCACTCACAATCAAATTTTAGAACATATTCATCATCCCAAAAAGTTGCTTCCCATTTCCTCTCAAACCCCTCCATATCCTGGCAGCAGCTAACCTACTATCTGTCTCTATGATTACCATTTCCCTATTCTGGACATTTCAATAGATGGAATTGTGCAATATGTGGTCCTTTGTCACTAACTTATTTCACATAGCATCATGTTTTCAAGGTTCTCCCATGTTCTAGCGTGTATTCGTATTTCTTTTTATTGCCGAATAATATTTCCTGTTTGGATATACCATATTTTGTTTATCCATTCATCAGATGATGAATATTTGGATTGTTTCCACTTGGGGGTTATTATGAATAATGCTATTATGAATAAGCAGCCATGTACAAGTTTGTATGTGGATGTAGGTGTTTTACTGTCTTGGGCATATATCTAGAAATGGGATTGCTGGGTCATGTGGTAATTCTGAATTTAACTTTTTGGAGAACTGTGAAACTCTTTTCCACACTGACGCTACCATTTTACATTTCCACAAGCAATACGTGAGGTCTCAATTTCTCTACATCCTCGCTGACACTTGGTGTTTATAGTCATCTTAGTAGCTGTTTGGTTCCATCCATCCAACTGGGTGTGATGTAGTGTCTCATTATGGTTTTGATTTGCATTTCCCTAGTGACTAATGATGTGCATCTTTTCATGTGCTTATTGTCCATGTGGATGACGTCTTTAGAAAAATGTATATTCAAGTTTTTTCTCATTTTAAATTTGGGTTTTTTGACTTTATTATTATTTTTACTGTAAGTGGCCTATAATTTATCTAAATTCTGCTGCCTACACTGCATATCATTATGGACAAATTACATAAATTCTTGGCACCTTTGTTTCTCCACCTATCAAAATGAGATCATATTATCAATATCACAGAGTTTTTACGAGGGTTAAGTGCATATAAAGCATTTATGGCCAGGCACTGTGGCTCACGCCTGTAATCCCAGCACTTTGGGAGGCCAAGGTAGGCAGATCACTTGAGGTCAGGAGTTCGAGACCAGCCTGACTAACATGGCAAAACCCCATCTCTACTAAAAACACAAAAATTAGCCGGGCATGGTGGTGTGCGCCTGTAATCCCAGCTACTCGGGAGGCTAAGGCAGGAGAATCACTTGAACCTGGGAGGCAGAGGTTGCAGTGGGCTGAGATTGTGCCACTGCACTCCAGCCTGGGTGACAGAGAAAGATTTCCTCTCAAAAAAAAAAAAAAAAAAAGCATTTATTACAGCGACTGAAGCATTATAAGTGTTCAGGAAATGAGATTCAATTCTGAAAGGACTCATTGATTGTAGAAAGTAACCATGGTGCAATTAGGATTCTGCAGTTGGGGATTTGAGACAGCATTTACGGAAATAAAAGGTAATAACTGTGCTCAAAGTCCTGTCAAAAAGAGTTATGAAATATTTATATATCTTCAGTAAGGATATTATTAAATATCCCCAGAAGACACATTGAGTTTTGCTACAATTACATAAATACAATAAGAACTATAATACTGTAACTAGATAGGAAGGTTTACAAAAAAATTTAAAAACAAAACAAGTTTAAATAAACTAATTACTCGACACGCATGATTATAAGGTTTTTTTATGTTTTTATATGCATTTTACATGGTTTTGTGCTCAACAGCCATGACTGGGGAAGAATGATTAAACATTTTTCTTTAGCAGAACTAAATAGTTTCTCTATTAAGAAGTAAAATATCTTAGGAGGTTTTATTTACTTCTTGGAGAAGATTTTGAAACCAAAGCCTCCATTCATTGTTCAAAGGATCAAACCAATCCTGCAAATGTAGCCCAGCTGTGGATTTGGTAACAATAAGCAAAGGTGGGCCAAGCAGAGAGTACTGTATTTGTTTTTCACAGAATCTCCTTAAATTGATTGATTGCCTATAGCTCTCTGTGCTAGTTGTCTGTTCAATGGCCAGTGTTGCTAAGCAAGCTAGATTAAGGTGGCTTAATTGACTGGTATTTCAAGAAACAGTCCACAGAGAAGAGGTAACTCCACATGCCATTTCAAAGTTCAGTTGGACCAGGTGGCACCACTTAGTGAGTGAAGCTGTATCCAAGACATCAAAGGGGGAAAGGACAGTCAGTGTAGGGAGCCCCTGAACAAAGAGCAGATGACAGTTTTGCTGAGACATGATTGGACTTCTTTAAATATTATAAGGACCATTGTATCACCAGGTCATTATATTTTAACTCTCTTAGTTTTACATATAAAATTTAAAAGAAGCATTTTACATGAATAAAGATTGTCCAAATATAAGTCAGGAAATAAAACTGGCTTAAATTTAGAGTATGGCCATAACATAATTGTTCTTTGCTCTATCTCTGCAGAAAAGAATCAGAGGGCACCTTCTGTAACACAGGCCCTGACTCTCTTCCTTCTGATGAACCTCGCACTGTGACACAGGGGAGAATCCCAGAGGACAAGATCCTAATGAAGCACAGATCAAATCAGTTCTCTCCACCATTAACTGCAAACAATAAAGGTAGGAGGTGGCTTAATCAGCCTCTAGGCTAAATGCAAATTATGTTCCTCCTCTTTTAGATCAATGTCATAAAGAGATAATGCTGTTACTCATTTAGCCTCATGCAATCTCTGTCACTGAAAGGAAGAAAACATGATTATGTTCATTTACCAGGTTAAAAAATGACGTGCAAAAAAATTAGATGCCTGACCTAATGTCATGAAGTAAATCAGTGTGGCAAATCTCTTAGATGTTCTGACTCTCAAGCCATGTTTCTTTTTAATACAACATGCTCTGTTTTCTAATATATATTATCTGGAGCTAAGTTGTTTTAAACATTTGGTTAGAAAAAGGAAAATTCAAAGGTAAGTGTTCTTTCCACTCTTCTCTTGACATCAGTATGTTAGAAATATCAGTGAATTAGAAATAGTTCTAGCTCTGTCTCTAACTAGCAGTGGGAGGTGAGCTTATCACCTGAATGTGAGCCCTGCTCGCACAGTTCTCAACTATAACAAGCTGTGCTTGCCTTAGCCTACCAACACACTGGTTTGAGGAAAAATTTGGTAATATATCTGAACATGCTTTGAAAAGTATAAAGTACTACAACATTATAAAGTCTGATTTGCTAATGCAACTTTGCCCTTTCTGAATTCCCATCACTCTTTGTCTATACCTCCCTTTAGGTGCTTATCATTTTGCACCTCATGCATTAAAACAATTGGTGTTTGTTGGCTGGGTGCGGTGGCTCATGCCTGTAATCCCAGCACTTTGGGAGGCTGAGGTGGGCAGATCACAAGGTCAGGAGTTCAAGACCAGCCTGGCCAACATAGTGAAACCCCCGTCTCTACTACAAATACAAAAAATTAGCCGGGCGTGGTGGCGATTGCCTGTAATCCCAGCTACTCAGGGGCTGAGCAGGAGAATCCCTTGAACCCGGGAGGTGGAGGTTGCAGTGAGCCAAGATTCTGCCACTGCACTCCAGCCTAGGTGACAGTGCGAGACTCCCTCTAAAAAAAAAAAAAAATCTGTATTTGTTATGCAGAATACATTCTTTGATGGCAGTAACCAGGAGCTGTGAGACTTTTAGACTCTTAAATCTCTGAAGTGTGCCTACTAAATGAATGGAAGTTTTCCCAAAGGACTGGACTCTAACAGAGGCCATTCTCACCATTGATGTGGATGTGACATTCCCGGTGCAGCTGTGCTTCAGGAGAAGAAAGATATGCTGGACACGCGGGCACCCTGGCAGTGACCCAGAAAGATGGTAAGGCCATTGTGTAGGTCACTTTTTCATGGCCAAAGACATAGCCTAACTCTTCTGTTATCATCTGTATGGAAATCGTTGTTCCTTCCTCCTAACCCCTTAATAATCATGGAGTGAGTTAATGCCTACAGCATGGAAAAAAGATTAAGGATTAATTGTGGGGGAAAAGCTCCATTGCAAACAGTTTATAAAAAGACAGCTTGCTTGGATACAGTTGTTAGTACTGTATATATGTTAAAATTTGCACTTGAATGTCCACATGCATTGAGATATATGTCAGTATTGAAGGTATTTTACATCAGATACTCCATGTAAGCCGATACCATTATGTAATGATGTGTATCACTGTGTTCTCAATGTTTTCTAGAAAAGTGAATAACATTAGCAATAGGAAAGGAAATAGAACCATAAATGGTTTGTTAATTGTTGTTCTGTGATATGGGCATTAACCTGTGTATGGGTGGCTGCGTGTGGGTGTGCGTTCATATTTTTGAGTGTGAGCTTTGTCTTCTGTGCACACACAATACTACTGTCACCTGGTGCTTTGAGTTGTGCTTCCAGAGATAATGAAGAATTTATGCTAATATATGCATTTGACTAAACCCGCTTATAATTAAGGGGCATGAGTTTTCCAGACAAATGACGTGGGTCAGCTGTGACCACTGAAGCTTGTAACCACTGAAAAGCTAAAAACTACTTTGCCCTAAGGTCAAGTTCCTTAACCTCAGCTAAGAATGCCAAGTCTTCATTGAGCAATGCTGCTCAGCAGAGACAGCAGAAGAGGACCACTCTATGCGCCCTAGATCTATCTTACTTTACATCTTCCTTTGTATTTTATTGTAAAAGTTCTTCAGTTTAATCATCTTTCCTTTAGAAAAGGGCCCTGATAACATCTGCAATCATTCCTTTCAATTACCATGTTTGGCCTTCAAAAAGAGGGCATTTCAATTTCATGGTCAAACACAGGATGCAATTTTGTACTTGAAAATAATGGCAAGAGCTAGACTGGGACATGGAGGCAGATGACATTTTAGCTACCAATGACCTAGCATGTTACTGATTGAACGAGAGCATCTGAAATATCCCCCAGAGTTTCTAGGAAATTTTAGAACTAGATTTATATTTTGAAACTGCAGATTAATATACTGAAAGAATTATTATCTGACAGACACAACAAATTAGTACTTGGACTTCAGAATAAATGCTGTTGGCAGCAATTATTAAAAGCAGTAATAAGTGCTGTTGATCTGGCCGCCACTTCCTTCCCTTCCTAAAGTTTTGATGAAACATAACCTTTTTGATGTCACAGGACTAACAAAGATCTTGAAGTTGAACTGATACCCACTGGCATACTGAAAACTGGCATTCTCTCTTCTAAAGGATCAGCATGAAGTCTTGACAATAAAACAGAAAGGGATGCGTTGAAATTAAAGTTTGTCATTTTAAAACCACAATTTACTATTTTTGAATGCTCAGATCTTAAAATGATAAAATGCAGTTCTTTATTTCTAAAAGTGCCTCTTCAGGAGTAACTCCTCTTAATCTGAGGATGAAGAGGGGTCCCAACGTCACCCAGAAGCCTTTGTCCCTTGGTCATCAGCACCAGCCCAGGGGCAGAGCCTCGTGTCTCAAACACAGGGTGAGCGATCCTGCTGTGGGAAGTGTCCCCTCACCTCCCTGAGGAGGACCGTGCTTTCATGATTGATTTTTCACATTTCTCCTTTACATTCCACTCTATATTTCCAATACAGAAGTTCTACTCATAACAGCAAGCTCTAAATGCACATTTAAAAAATCTGATTAACTAAATGATTAATTAACTGGGTTTCATTTCCTGTTTTGTGTCACAGTCCGAAATGTCTAGGTTTTAAAAGGCTACAAACTCCATTATGACTATTCATTTTCAAACTAGGCTACAAACTCCATTATGACTATTCATTTTCAAACTATTATACAAATAACAGAAACCAACAAATCTAGGTCAAAAGCACCTAGAAGCATGCTTTAAAGCACCCATGTGTGCACAGAACCATCCACAGAGTGGTACAAAGCTGGTTGAAAGCCAGAACCAAAGCAAAATTAACCTGATCCTATCCCATCTAACTGTGTGAACAGCCTCTCAGCCAATCACCCTATAAAAACTGGCATGGGTGTCAGAAAAAGGTGTCTGCTAAATAACAAACATTTGGCTTTTAGTGCTTGGCTGGTTGAGTGAACGTGGCAGACACCAAACCGTGTGCCTGGAATTTTAAAAATCGGAGTAGTGGCATTTATTGGCCAGAACGACTAGAAATCTAGAGGAAATGCTCCCTAATAACACAAAGCACTTTCACAGATAGATTTTGCCACAAAAACGTTCAATTGTTCAACAATGTTGATTACTTACAGGCAAAACTAAAGCTGAAATGGATAAGATGACCGGCTGATTCATAGGGTGAGTCACAACAGAAAGAGATGCAACTCTTAGTTCCCTCCTAGGCAAATCTAACAATCGAGTCTAATTTAATTGTGAAAATGCAGTTTAGTTCATTTCAGGAAACAGGCTTCTTTCTTAAGAGAACCAGTGACTGATTTTTGAAGTTCAGCATAGAAGGAGAATTCTCATTTATATGTGGGCAGTTATATTTTCTGTTGTACACATATATGCATATATGTATATATGCACTCACATACACATGTTTATTCATTAATCCAACAAATATTTATTACATGGCAGATACTATTTTAGCTCCCAGAGTTACAAAAAAGAATACAACAAAGTCCCTATCCCTTGAAGCTGACACTCTGGTGAAAGGAGAAATTGAGTAAACAAATACCTAAATCTACCACACATCAGATGGTAATGTGTTCCATGGAGAAAGTCAAGGCAGGGAGAGGAGAATGGGGAGTACTTGGGGAAGGTGGGTTGCTAATTCATGCAGTATCCAAGGAAGGCCTCCCTGAGATAGCATGGGAGCAGAAACCTGGAACAAGTGAGGGTGAGATATGCACAGAATTCTAGAGGAAGTGGGCTTCAGGCAGTAGGAATAGCCAGTGCAAAGCCCTGAGGCAGGAGCACCTTTGGTGTGTTGCAAAACAGCAGTGGCCCCATAGCTGGGATAAGTGAGGCGGGAAGAGTGGCAGAAGAATCATCTACATGAATGCATTTGTAGGATCTATCATTTCGATTAGTTAAGTTCTCTTTTTTCTTTTCTCCCATTTCTTCCCTTCTCCATTTCATCTCCATCATTCTCCAGTGAAACTCCTATTACTAACTCAGAATATATCTTTCCAAAATATTCTCTTTGCTTATATGATTATATTGAGACACACATATTCAGACACATAAAAGTTGTATTCTGCCTTTGTTGCACAAAAATGAGGTCATATTTTTCATACTTTTCTCCATGTTGCATTTCTAACTTAACTACATCAATCATGTTTTCCATATATCTGTAGCAGATGAGCTGCAGATGAAACTCCTGAGACACTGAGTTAAAGAAGGAAGAGGTTTATTCGGCCAGGAGCATTGGCAAGACTTCTGTCTCAAGAGCCAAGCTCCCCAAGTGAGCAATTCCTGCCCCTTTTAAGGGCTCACAACTCTGAGGGGGTCCACATGAGAGGATTGTGATTGATTGAACAAGCAGGGGTATGTGACTGGGGGCTGCATGCACTGGTAATCAGAACAAAACAGATCAGGACAGGGATTTTCACAGTGCTTTTCCATACAATGCCTGGAATCTATAGATAACATAACCAGTTAGGTCAGGGGTCGATCTTTAACTACCAGGCTTAGGTCAGGCAGGCCCAGGCCTGGTTTCGGGTCTGGTTCCTTGGTTTCAGGTCTGGTTCCTAGGCACCAGGCTACCTGCCTTTAGTTTCACTTCTCTTTCCTTTTCTGAGTATAAAACAATATAAAACAATAAGGGCGGGTCTGTCTCTCTTCTCTCATTTCCCCCCTTTGAGACTCTCACTTTTTATTAGTGGGAGTTCTCATTCTTATTTTCACTACTTACGTCTTCCTGTGCAATAGATTGATAATGATTCATATGGTACACTTGTGCTGATACATAACATGAAGTGACATTGAGAGACTGGGCTATATGCTCGGCTAATTGCAAAAACAAATTTCTTGTTTTTCCTGGAATTTCTGGTACTGGCACATTCAGTTCATCATAGAAGGTTTGAAACCATGATATTTACTTGAAGATCCAGTCTAGCTCCATCAATTTTTAGGGTTACCCATTCCTCTTTTTTTTTAGCAAGGATTAAGGGGGTTGGTATTACTAGTTCTAAGGGTTTACACTGACCACTGGTACAGGAAGGGCCACTTTTCCCTTGCTGAATGTGGACAGGATTTTTTCATTTTTTTTTTTATCCAAGTAGCCTAAATGACACAAGACCAGTATCTTCATTTATTTTTACACAGTCTTAATTTATGATAAATGTACTTATTTTTTGCCATATAGCCTGTTTTTTAATTAAGAGAACCACATCCTATTTCTAACTTATTATTAATGACAGCATAGGCATCAAATTTCAAGGTGACTCATTTGGGCACCTCTTTTGTTTTCTGTTTTGGCTAACACTTTACTCATATCATTTATGAGTCCCCACCAGTCTTCAGTTTTTAATCTTATTTTAATAACTGTGGTCATGGGAGGCTCAGATGGGTCATAACACATATTAGGTTGGTCATTTCCTTGGCTACATACCTTGTATAGAGTAACATTATACAAACAAGTTCTTTTTAGAGTTCCAGTACACTTACAATAACCGTAAAATAATGGGACCATAGTGACTTTTTGTCCTACCTCAGTGACTTGATGTATACACTGGGAACTGCCCTCAGTCTGAGGAAGGTCAGTTGAAGTCCTTACTGTACAAGTCCAAATTTTAAGGAAAATTAGTCTCGTGATGAGTTTCTTCATGCTTTGGCTCTGCATGAACAAGTCAGCTTCCGGGTGTGACTGGAGCAGGGCTTGTCGTCTTCTTCTGAGTCACTTTGCAGGGGTTGGCAAAGCTGCTCCCATCCACGTATAGCTCCCAGTCTACTGATGTTTAAGGATGGTCTTGGAGGTTGGGCCTACTAGAATAAACTGAATCCAATACCTCCACACAGTTATGTTCAGCTGGGCTCTTTGATACCAGGAGCAAAGTGGTGGGGTTTAGGGTGTTGTAAACTTTAATGGTTAAGTGGGTATTTTCACAGAGCAAGCTTTGGTATCTGGTTAGTCTAGTATTCGTTAGCTAATGATGTCCTTTGGTATTTATTAAAGTCACCATGGGGCCCTACAGTCTGGGTTAGAACTCCAACTGCCGGGGGGTGGAGCCAAGATGGCTGAATACGAACAGCTCCAGTCTACAGCTCCCAGCATGAGTGATGCAGAAGACGGGTGATTTCTGCATTTCCAAATGAGGTAATGGGTTAATCTCACTGGGGAGTGTCGGAAAGTGGGTGCAGGACAGTGGGTGCAGTGCACCGAGCATAAACTGAAGCAGGGTGAGGCATTGCCTCACCCAGGAAGTGCAAGGATCAGGGAATTCTCTTTCCTACTCAAAGAAAGGGGTGACAAACAGCACCTGGAAAATCGGGTCACTCCCAACCTAATACTGCACTTTTCCAACGGTCTTAGCAAACAGCACACCAGGAGATTATACCCTGCACATGGCTCAGAGGGTCCTATGCCCACAGAGCCTCGCTCATTGCTAGCACAGCAGTCTGAAATCAAACTGCAAGGCGGCAGCGAGGCTGGGGGAGGGGAGCCTGCCATTGCCAAGGCTTGAGTAGGTAAAGTGGCCGGGAAGCTTGAACAGGGGGGAGCCCACCGCAGCTCAAGGAGGCCTGCCTGCCTCTGTAGACTCCACCTCTCGGGGCAGGGCATAGCCAAACAAAAGGCAGCAGAATCCTCTTCAGACTTAAATGTCCCTGTCTGACAGCTTTGAAGAGAGTAGTGGTTCTCCCAGCATGCAGCTGGAGATCTGAGAATGGACAGGCTGCCTCCTCAAGTGGGGCCCTGAACCCCGAGTAGCCTAACTGGGAGGCACTCCCCAGTAGGGGCAGACTGACACCTCACACGGCCGGGTACTCCTCTGAGACAAAACTTCCAGAGGAACGATCAGGCAGCAACATTTGCTGCTCACCAATATCCACTGTTCTGCAGCCTCCGCTGCTGATACCCAGGCGAACAAGGTATGGAGCGGACCTCCAGCAAACTCCAACAGACCTGCAGCTGAGGGTCCTGACTGTTAGAAGGAAAAACAGAAAGGACATCCACACCAAAACCCCATCTGTATGTCACCATCATCAAAGACCAAAGGTAGATAAAACCACAAAGATGGGGAAAAAAACAGAGCAGAAGAACCGGAAACTCTAAAAGTCAGAGCGCCTCTCCTCCTCCAAAGGAACGCAGCTCCTCACCAGCAATGGAACAAAGCTGGATGGAGAATGACTTTGATGAGTTGAGAGAAGAAGGCTTCAGATGATCAAACTACTCCGAGCTAAAGGAGAAAGTTTGAACCCATGGCAAACAAGTTAAAAACCCTGAAAAAAAATTAGACAAATGGATAACTAGAATGACCAATGCAGAGAAGTCCTTAAAGGACCTGATGGAGCTGAAAACCAAAGCATGAGAACTACATGACGAAGGCACAAGCCTCAATAGCCGATTCAATCAACTGGAAGAAAGGGTATCAGTGATGGAAGATCAAATGAATGAAATAAAGCGAGAAGAGAAGTTTAGAGAAAAAAGAATAAAAGAAATGAACAAAGCCTCCAAGAAATATGGGAGTATGTGAAAAGACCAAATCTACATCTAATTGGTGTACGTGAAAGTGATGGGGAGAATGGAACCAAGTTGGAAAACACTCTGCAGAATATTATTGAGGAGAACTTCCCCAATCTAGCAAGGCAGGCCAACATTCAAATTCAGGAAATACAGAGAATGCCACAAAGATACTCCTCGAGAAGAGCAACTCCAAGACACATAATTGTCAGATTCACCAAAGCTGAAATGAAGGAAAAAATGTTAAGGGTAGCCAGAGAGAAAGGTCGGGTTACCCACAAAGGGAAGCCCATCAGACTAAAAGCAGATCTCTTGGCAGAAACTCTACAAGCCAGAAGACAGTGGGGGCCGATATTCAACATTCTTCAAGAAAAGAATTTTCAACCCAGAATTTCATATCCTGCCAAACTAAGCTTCATAAGTGAAGAAGAAATAAAATACTTTACAGACAAGCAAATGCTGAGAGATTTTGTCACCACCAGGCCTGCCCTAAAAGAGCTCCTGAAGGAAGGACTAAACATGGAAAGGAACAATCGGTACCAGACACTGCAAAACCATGCCAAATTGTAAAGACTCTCGAGGCTAGGAAGAAACTGCATCAACTAACAAGCAAAATAACCAGCTAACATCATAATGACAGGATCAAATTCACACATAACAATATTAACTTAAAATGTAGATGGACTAAATGCTCCAATTAAAAGATGCAGACTGGCAAATTGGATAAAGAGTCAAGACCCATCAGTGTGCTGTATTCAGGAGACCCATCTCACATGCAGAGACACATATAGGCTCAAAATAAAGGGATGGAGGAAGATCTACCAACCAAATGGAAAATGAAAAAAGGCAGGGGTTGCAATCCTAGTCTCTGATAAAACAGACTTTAAACGAACAAAGATCAAAAGAGACAAAGAAGGCCATTACTTAATGGTAAAGGGATCAATTCAACAAGAAGAGCTAACTATCCTAAATATATATGCACCCAATACAGGAGCACCCAGATTCATAAAGCAAGTCCTTAGAGCCCTACAAAGAGACTTAGACTCCCACACAATAATAATGGGAGACTTTAACACCCCACTGTCAACATTAGACAGATAGACGAGGCAGAAAGTTAAAAAGGATATCCAGGAATTGAACTCAGCTCTGCACCAAGCAGACCTAATAGACATCTGCAGAACTCTCCACCCCAAATCAAAAGAATATACTTCCTTCTCAGCACCACACCGCACTTATTACAAAACTGACCACATAGTTGGAAGTAAAGCACTCCTCAGAAAATGTAAAAGAACAGAAATTATAACAAACTGTCTCTCAGACCACAGTGCAATCAAACTAGAACTCAGGATTAAGAAACTCACTCAAAACCACTCAACTACATGGAAACCGAACAACCTGCTCCTGAATGACTACTGGGTACATAATGAAATGAAGGCAGAAATAAAGATGTTCTTTGAAACCAATGAGAACAAAGACACAACATACCAGAATCTCTGGGACACATTCAAAGCAGGGTGTAGAGGGAAATTTATAGTACTAAATGCCCACAAGAGAAAGCAGGAAAGATCTAAAGTTGACACCCTAACATCACAATTACAAGAACTAGAGAAGCAAGAGCAAACACATTCAAAAGCTAGCAGAAGGCAAGAAATAACTAAAATCAGAGCAGAACTGAAGGAAATAGAGACACAAAAAACCCTTCAAAGAATCAATGAATCCAGGAGCTGGTTTTTTGAAAAGATCAACAAAATTGATAGACCTCTAGCAAGACTAATAAAGAAGAAAAGAGAGAAGAATCAAATAGATGCAATAAAAAATGATAAAGGGGATATCACCACCAATTACACAGAAATACAAACTACCATCAGAGAATACTACAAACACCTCTATGCAAATAAACTAGAAAATCTAGAAGAAATGGATAAATTCCTCGACACATACACCCTCCCAAGACTGAACCAGGAAGAAGTCGAATCTCTGAATAGACTAATAACAGGCTTTGAAATTGAGACAATAATTAATAGCTTATCAGCCAAAAAAAGTCCAGGACCAGATGGATTCATAGCCAAATTCTACCAGAGGTATGAGGAAGAGCTGGTACCATTCCTTCTGAAACTATTCCAATCAATAGAAAAAGAGGGAATCCTCCCTAACTCATTTTATGAGGCCAGCATCATCCTGATACCAAAACCTGGCAGAGACACAACAAAAAAAGAGAATTTTAGACCAATATCCCTGATGAACATCAGTGCAAAAATCCTCAATAAAATACTGGCAAACCGAATCCAGCAGCACATCAAAAAGCTCATCCACCATGATCAAGTGGGCTTCATCCCTGGGATGCAAGGCTGGTTCAACATAGACAAATCAATAAACATAATCCAGCATACAAACAGAACCAAAGACAAAAACCACATGATTATCTCAATAGATGCAGAAAAGGCCTTTGACAAAATTCAACAACACTTCATGCTAAAAACACTCAATAAATTAGGTACTGATGGGACATATCTCAAAATAATTAGAGCTATCTATGACAAACCCACAGCCAATATCATACTGAATGGGCAAAAAACTGGAAGCATTCCCTTTGAAAACTGGCACAAGAAAGGGATACCCTCTCTCACTACTCCTATTCAACACAGTGTTGGAAGTTCTGGCCAGGGCAATTAGGCAGAAGAAGGAAATAAAGGGTATTCGATTAGGAAAAGAGGAAGTCAAATTGTCCCTGTTTGCAGATGACATGATTGTCTATCCAGAAAACCCATCGTCTCAGCCCAAAATCTCCTTAAGCTGATAGGCAACTTCAGCAAAGTCTCAGGATACAAAATCAATATGCAAAAATCCCAAGCATTCTTATACACCAATAACAGATAAACAGAGAGCCAAATCATGAGTGAACTCCCATTCATAATTGCTTCAAAGGGAATAAAATACCTAGGAATCCAACTTACAAGGGATGGGAAGGACCTCTTCAAGGAGAACTACAAACCACTGCTCAATGAAATAAAAGAGGATACAAACAAATGGAAGAACATTCCATGGTCATGGGTTGGAAGAATCAATATCATGAAAATGGCCATACTGCCCAAGGTAATTTATAGATTCAATGCCATCCCCATCAAGCTACCAATGACTTTCTTCACAGAATTGGAAAAAACTACTTTAAAGTTCATATGGAACTAAAAAAAGAGCCTGCATTGCCAAGTCAATCCTAAGCCAAAAGAACAAAGCTGGAAGCATCACACTACCTGACTTCAAACTATACTACAAGGCTACAGTAACCAAAACAGCATGGTACTGGTACCAAAACAGAGATATAGACCAATGGAACAGAATAGAGCCCTCAGAAATAATGCCACATATCTACAACTATCTGATCTTTGACAAACATGATAAAAACAAGCAATGGGGAAAGGATTCCCTATTTAATAAATGGTGCTGGGAAAACTGACTAGCCATGTGTAGAAAGCTGAAACTGGATCCCTACCTTACACCTTATACAAAAATTAACTTGAGATGGATTAAAGACTTAAATGTTAGACCTAAAACCATAAAAACCCTAGAAGAAAACCTAGGCAATACCATTCAGGACATAGGCATGGGCAAGTACTTCATGCTAAAACACCAAAAGCAATGGCAACAAAAGCCAAAATTGACAAATGGGATCTAATTGAACTAAAGTGCTTCTGCACAGCAAAAGAAACTACCATCAGAGTGAACAGGCAACCTACAAAATGGGAGAAAATTTTTGCAATATACTCATCTGACAAAGGGCTAATATCCAGAATCTACAATAAACTCAAACAAATTTACAAGAAAAAAACAAACAGCCCCATCAAAAATTGGGCAAAGGATATGAACAGACACTTCTCAAAAGAAGACATTTATGCAGCCAAAAGACACATGAAAAAATGCTCATCATCACTGGCCATCAGAGAAATGCAAATCAAAACCACAATGAGATAACTCTCACACCAGTTAGAATGGCGATCATTAAAAAGTCAGAGAACAACAGGTGCTGGAGAGGATGTGGAGAAATAGGAACACTTTTACACTGTTGGTGGGACTGTAAACTAGTTCAACCATTGTGGAAGACAGTGTGGCCATTCCTCAAGGATCTAGAACTAGAAATACCATTTGACCCAGCCATCCCATTACTGGGTATATACCCAAAGGACTATAAATCATGCTGCTATAAAGACATATGCACACATATGTTTATTGTGGCACTATTCACAATAGCAAAGACTTGGAACCAACCCAAATGTCCAACAATGATAGACTGGATTAAGAAAATGTGGCACATATACACCATGGAATACTATGCAGCCATAAAAAAGGATGAGTTCATGTCCTTTGTAGGGACATGGATGAAGCTGGAAACCATCATTCTCAGCAAACTATCACAAGGACAAAAAACCAAACACCCCATGTTCTCACTCATAGGTGGGAATTGAACAATGGGAACACATGGACACAGGAAGGGGAACATCACACACTGGAGCCTGTTGTGGGGTGGGGGGAGGGGGGAGGGATAGCATTAGGAGATATACCTAATGTTAAATGACGAGTTAATGGGTGCAGCACACCAACATGGCACATGTATACATAGGTAACTAACCTGCACGTTGTGCACATGTACCATAAAACTTACAGTATAATTTAAAAAAAAAAAAAAAACTCCAACTGCCATTTTTTCTCTTTTTGACACATATGGTGTAAAGGGTTTTGTCAGGTCAGGTAGCCCCAGGGCTGGAGTCAACATGAGTTTTTGTTGTTTTTTTTAAACTCATAAGAAGCTTGTTGCTGTTGGCTGTAATAGATGTAGTTTATCTAATCCACATTTTTATTAACTGTCACCCACTAAAATATTGACTTAAATCCTGTAGCTGTTTGATTTCAAGTTTTAAATTGATCTAGTATTCTCTGCAGGACTCCAATTGCATCTAAGAATATGTGAGAGTCAAAAGACCCATAAGGGGCTTCTCTTGCTTTACAGTGTGTTATTTTTTCTCCCTCTGGTTGATGAAATGCCAGGGTGAAAGGGATAGCCAAATGGGCTAAAGCACAAGTGCCACTCTAGTTATTCAGCAGAGTGCCCAGTAAACGTCCACCACAATACCACCACACATCTGCTCGGGGATGAACAAGAGCTGACTGATTGATAAGCTCTTGAAATTTCTTAAACTCATCACATCCCTTCAGGTCTCCAAGGAATGCTAAGTTTTCTCCCTGTCATGAGAGACACGAAGTGAACTTAGTGTTGGGAGATGGAAGCTGAATGGCCCTCAGGGGCTGACCCGCAGGGTGCCAGACTTCGGGATATAGCAGAGAGAGCTTGGCATGACTTATTACTCCAGGCTGCAGAATCCTGGAATAGAGCTACCATGCAGCCTATGACTGGTTGACTGGAGGACCACCTTAGTGGAAGTGGGATAATCTGGGCCTCTGGCCTGCCATGTGCACAAGCATAACAATTGCTTTTGTTTAACATGCAGATGGAATATTTGATCCATTTTAACCAGGCATTTGCATCTTGGTATCCTGTCTTAACTGCTAAAGTTTGTTTTAAGTCTTTAACTTCTATGATCCTCTAGTAAAATGAATGTATGATTTTAGGAAATTACAAAAACTGGTTGGGGCAGTCCATCCTTGCTCTTTAGTGGTCCACAGAATGTTGGACCAACTATGGCATGAAAGCTCTACATTGGGGGCAAGATTCCTAGTTGGCACCGTGGTCTTTTTTGAAATCTCCCTGGATTAAATCATCGTAGTTTATTAATGCCCAGTCTAAGGAGAGTCAGGAGGGACAGAAGTATTTTTCTGAAGTAGAGAGCTGTACAGGGTATAAAAAGGCAAGCATTAAATGCAATAGTTTGAGGTGAAATTGACTTAGTTATGTTAACAACTAGATGGTCAGCAATAGAATAAGGAAAGAAGAAAGAGTAATAGAATAGATGAAAAGAGTTAAATTTTTCTTAGCTTTAGTTTGATAGGGTTTTCTCCTGGGACTATGGCCCACAACCTGGAGGGGGTGGCACTTTCTTGACCCGGGTGTGATGAGTCCATCCTTTTTTGCTGTATGAGCAGCAGTCTTGGTGGTTGGCAGCACAAGGTAGGGTCCTTCCCAGGCTGGCTTGAGTTATCCTTCTTTCCACCCTTTGATGAGAATGTGATCTTCAGGCTTGTGCTGGTTTACCAGAAATTCTAGGGGTGGTACATGTGCTAAAAGACTTTTAGTTTTTGAGAGAAGGGAAAATGGAAGACAAACCAAGTATATAATTTTTAAGAAATTGACCTTTTGTTTTAAAATGTAGGGACCTTGACAGTGTACTTTATAGTCCTTAGTGCCTTTTTACTGAGAAATTTCCTTCAGCACCTATTTTTATTAGTTTTTAAACCAAAGAAAGCCAAATACCATTTTACATTTAACAATGCTTTTGTATGATTTTATAGTAGATAAGCTAAATTTTACCTTTATATTAGTGAGTTATTAATGTTAAACTTAATTTTAATAAAACTTTATAGACATATTTATCCAATTTTTAATATTTGACTATAAGGTAAGATTTTATAGACTCTTTTTAACGTTTTATAATTTTTGCTAAAGAGCAGGTTGGTGCTTTAAGAAAAACCTGTTATGCTTTTATTTTAATGTCCAGTTTATGGAAAAACTGGATGATATCTCTTTAACTTTAGCCAATGTTTACACATAGAACTTTCTTTCCAATTAACATTTTAAAAATTGATTAAACCTTTAAAACAAAATATATACATTTTAAACCTTTTAATGTAGGTAAAAATTTATTCTTATGCCTCCTTATAATCCTTTTGCCAAAGGTATATTTTACTTTCTTTATATAACTTGCACATAAACTGTTTTCTTTTTCAATAGTTTTACATTCAGGAGTCCTAGTTACTTTTAAATTATACAACATTTCTTGCATAAATTATTTTTTATAATATTTTTCTCTTTCACGACTTTCACAGGCAATTCTTCGACATGCTTCAACTTTCTGACTTATTACAAATATTTCTTTTTTTAAACAACCAGTCAATTTATTTCAGGACGAGAATTTACCATATAATACTCTTTTTACATAAATTCCGCCCCCTCCTTTTTTTTTCCATTTTTTTTCTTTTGAAGATGATAACCATTCTTTTCCAAAGAAAACTTCTTTTATGTCTGTGGACTAGACTGTCTAAGGCCACAAGAATAGAAGTTAGTAGAATACATGTTATACTGTTAACTTTTAGGAAACTTTACTTTTGTTGAAAACCTTGTAAGTTTGGGATTTTAATTATTCTTTGCTATTAATAAGACCTGTTTTGTCCAAATTAACTTAGAATTGGTATAGATGGCCTTTTTTTTTAACACAATAGCCCCATACTTTAAGATTTTTGAGTTAGTAAGCTACTTTTTTGCTTTTTTGATTTAGGATAGTTCTGAACTGAACTAGTGAGGTGTGCTGACAATGAGATTTCCTCTAAAAGTTATTTTTTTACCTTTTTTCTGTTAGCAAAGCAGTTGCCGCTACAGACTGAATGCATTTGGGCCATCCACGGGTTACTGGTTTACGGATTTTTGATAGGAAGGCCTCAGTGCTTTTGGGATACATCCTTGTTTACACTGACAACAAAGTGGTATTGGAGTGTTATAGGGTTATGGAGAATACTTTCAATTATCAATTATAGGTTTTAAATTTACCTTGGCTTTTAAAGGAATAGGGTACACTTTTTTTTTTTCTTAACTACTTGTGTATATCTCTCTTTGACTTTGTCTCTCTCTCTTTGACTTTCCTTTTTCCTCTGTCTCTTCCTCTCTTTCCCTGCCACTCTCTTTCTCCTCTCTGCCTCGCTCTCTCTCTTCTTGATTATGCTGCAGTTCTCTCAACCACTGTGGAGAGATCTAAAACCAGCTGTAACAAGCGTCTATGTACGGGAACTGGTCTGGGTGCCCTGACTTTACAGGTTACCTTGTGCCATACCTTTGAAACAAGGGACCTGTCCAGGCTTCCTTCTGATGGCCAACCTACTTCTAATGCTGGCCAGTCTATTTTACATAAAGTTCTAAGTTTTCCTGGTGTCATAGTACTCCATAGTCTCCTTTAAATCTTTTTTTGAAATTTTTCAACATAGCTCCTAGTAGGGTGGGTTTTCTTGTTCCTGACCCATGCTTCTTTGAGACAAAACACCACACTCACACCGCACGCACACCACAAAACAAAGAACAGGTAAAAAGGGCACACACACACTTTTGCAGTTTACACCAAACCAAAATCAAAACCAAAATCAGAGTATCCAGAAATCCAAGCCAGGTCAAAACAGAAACCAAAGTATCAAAATCCAAGTGAAGTCAAAACAAAAACGAAGTGCTGGTAAAGGCACACCGTGGGTGATCAGGCCACACTTCCACTCAAGTGGAGTGGACAAGTTCCCAAGACCGGTCCTGTCAAGCAATTCAAACCAAGTTAAAACCAAAACCAAAACCAAAGTGCCGATAAAGGCATGCCATGGGTGATCAGGCCACACTTCCACTCAAATGGAATAGGCAAGTTCCAAAGACTAGTCTACCAAGTTTCAGATGTCTGGACTCCAAGTACCATTTCCTTCCCAGTGTTCAGCCACCACGTTGATCCTCCATGGGGGCCTGCCACACACTGCTCTGGTGAGGCATCCCACTGTGTCAAATGCCTACCCAGGAGTGCTCTCAGGATCCGTGTCACTCGGGCTGGTCGGAGTCCCTTGCAGGGATGTTCCATAAGGCAGGCTTAAGCTGCCTAAGGAGCTGCCTCAACTATCCACCAATCACCTCACTTCCCAGTCAGGGAACCAAGAAATGTAGCAGGATGAGCCACAGACAAAACTCCTCAGACACCGAGTTAACGAAGGAAGAGGTTTATTCGGCTGGGAGCATCGTCAAGACTCCTGTCTCAAGAGCCAAGCTCCCCAAGTGAGCAATTCCTGCCCCTTTTAAGGGTTCAAAACTCTAAGGGGGTCCGCGTGAGAGGATCATGACCAATTGAGAAAGCAGGGGGTATGTGACTGGGGGCTGCATGCGCCAGTAATCAGAAAGAAACAGAACAGGACAGGGATTTTCACAGTGCTTTTCCACACAATGTCTAGAATCTATAGATAACATATCCGGTTAGGTCAGGGGTTGATCTTTAACTACCAGGCTTAGGTCAGGCAGGTCCAGGCCTGGTTTTGGGTATGGTTCCTTGGTTTTGGGTCTAGTTCCTAGCCACCGGGCTACCTGCCTTTAGTTTCGCTTCTCTTTCCTTTTCTGAGTATAAAACAATATAAAACAATATGAGAGGGTCTGTCTCTCTTCTCTCATATTTAAGTCAGATGATAGTTTTAATTTTTTATTTTCCAAGACCATGTAAAACCTCACGAATTCCAGATATTCTGTTTTACACAGAACTTCTCCTATTGATGGACACTGTTTCTTTCTAGTTACATTTCCTTATAAGATTTATATCATTTATTTTCACTTAAATATTTAATACATCTGGAAGTATTTCTTTTCACTTAAGTATTTAATACATCTGGAATTAATTTTTCTATGTAGAGTAAGATAGGGGTTCAATTTTATTATCTTACCAATGGGCAGAGTGCTGTACCAGCACCACTTATTAAAAAATACCAAATGTTATGTTTTCTCTTCTTGCATACTGTTGAATTTTCACAATTAAATTAGACTTGGTTGTTAGATTTGCCTAGGAGGGAACTTTCTGGCCCTCTGTTCTATTCCACTGTGCTATTTTCCATGCGGCCTTTATAGTGTTGTAATATTTGGTAAAATCAAAATATCTTAAAATCAAAATTCCTTAGTCTTCTTTTTTTTCTGCTTTCTTATTCTTTAAATATGTGTCCTTCCTTATGAATTTTAAGATAATTTTCTCCAACTCCATTAAGAAGAGTTTTTCCATTAGAAAGCTAATTGTAATTTAAATTCACAGATAAGTTTTTGGAGAACTGACATTTAAGTTACCTCAGCTTTCCCAACTCTAGAGCATGCTGCGTGTTTCTGTGGGCTCAGCTCTTTCCTGTTCCTCCTAAGTTAGCAGGCACAGTGGCTTTCTTGTCAAATTTGTCTCCATTTGTAGAGATTTCTTTTCATTTTTGGAATAAAACATTTCATCTTACATGTTTGTTTCCAAATCTTAATCATTATTGAAGTGAAAACTACTGGTTTTATGTAAGTATTAAATATCTATTTGTTTTACTAAATTTTATTTATTATTTTATTTTTATTTTTTTAAACACAGCCTCCCCCTGTCACCCAGACTGGAGTGCAGAGGTGCGATCTCAGCCCAGGGCACCCTCTGTCTACCACACCCTGGGTTCAAGCAATTCTCTTGCCTCAGCCTTGGGAGTAGCTGGGATTACAAGCACACACAACCACACCTGGCTAATTTTTGTATTTTCAGTAGAGACAGATTTGCCTATGTTGGTTGGCCAGGCTGGTCTCGAGCTCCTGACCTAAGTAATCTGCCCACCTGGGCCTCCTAAAGTGCTGGGATTGGCTGGGCCCGTTGGCTCACGCTTATAATCCCAGGTACTCTGGAAACTGAGGCATCAGAACCACTTGAGCCCAGGAAGCGGAGGTTGCAGTGAGCCTAGATCAGGCCACTGCACTCCAGCCTGGGTGGTGGAGTGAGACTCCATGTCAAAAAAGGCCGGATGCAGTGGCTC
Source organism: Homo sapiens (assembly GCF_000001405.40). Taxonomy (NCBI): domain Eukaryota; kingdom Metazoa; phylum Chordata; class Mammalia; order Primates; family Hominidae; genus Homo; species Homo sapiens. The sequence goes on from NC_000008.11 coordinate 53,381,178, forward strand.
GCTCCTGTAATCCCAGCACTTTGGGAGGCTGAGGCGGGTGGATCACCTGAGGTCAGGAGTTCGAGACCAGCCTGGCCAACATAGTGAAACCCCATGTCTACTAAAAATACAAAAATTAGCTGGGAGTGGTAGCAGGTGCCTGTAATCCCAGCTACTCGGGAGGGTGATGCAGGAGAATCACTTGAACCAGGAAGCGGAGGTTGCAGTGACCCAAAATCATACCATTGCACTCCAGCCTGGGCGACAAGAGTGAAACTCTGTCTCAAAAAAAAAAAAAAAAAAAAAGAGACCAAAATGCTAGGATTACAGGCATGAGCCACCACATTCAAAATTAGAACTATTAGTTTTAATAGTTCTAAATTTCTCAGGTTTTCCACATATACAAATATAATCTCAGCAAAAATGGAAATAGTTATGTTTCTAATGTTCCAATGATTTTTCTAATTATTTCAGTCACGTTTCTCATTTTATTTGCTGGAATTGCCAGGCAATGTTAAATATTAATGGTGATTATCTGTTATCCTTCCTTATTTTCTGGCTTAAAAAGAATTTTTGCTTTGAAATCTAGAATATTGACTGTTAGTTTTGTTGGAAAATATTCTTTAATATGTTTATGTAATTACCCATGATTAGTTTTTATTTTGTCCTTTTCATAGAAATGGCTGTTAATATTTTTAATGAACAGTGTCTTGATATATTCATAAAGTTTTCAACCATTAATCTTTATGTAGAAGAATATATTGATAGTGAGAGTGTTGGCTCACCTGTTATGTCGGCTACTCAGGAGGCTGAGGCAGGATGATTCCTTGAGCCCAAGAGTTCAAGTCTTCCAGCCTGGGCAAAATAGCAAGACTCCCACCTCATGTATATGTGTATTGTGTGTGTGTGTGTGTGTATCTTAACTCAAGATATTATTAAGTTAATTTAATATTTTATTAAGATATTAATTTAAGATAAATTAAGGTATATATCTTAATATATAAGATATATATATTCTAGGATTATATATATATGTGTGTGTATGATGTATATACACACACATATATGTATCTTCCTAGAATAAACCATACTTGGATTTAGAATATTATACAGTTGGTAATTTGGGGATTCTGCTTCCACATCTTTTATTTTCAATTTTTAGTATTTATATTCATCTATAAATAGGTTTATTATTACTGCTTTTCAATGTCTTTGCCAGGTTTTGATACTAAAATTAGGCTAGATGATTTTCATTTTTTTCTATAATCTTGAATTATTTACAAATATTAGAGTTCTTTATGGTTAGACCAATTTCACATTTAAGCCTATCTAATCCTAGTGCTTTTTTAAAATAATAGAATATTAGTCCTCTTTCTGATCACTTATTTGGTAACTCGTCTATGTTTTGGATTTTTTGGTTCAGTTCTGAAAAAATTGTATTTGCTTTATAATAATCTAATTTTAGTACATAATTTGATGTAATAGAGTTGAATTCATTACTGCATAATCTCACTTATATGCGGAATCTAAAATGCTTACAATGTTTTTGGTCTTTTACCATTTTTCCTTCCTCATTCTTGACACTTAAAATTTTTGTTCTTACCTTTTTTATCCAGTCAGACTTATGAGTGGCTCATGTATTTGCATTTTTTTCCAAAAACCTGCTTTTTTTACTTTCCAGTCAAGTAATTTCTGCTTTTATCTTTATTAATTCCCTCTTCCTAGTTTATTTTGATTTATTCTGTTAGTGATGTTTTTTGAAATTATTAGAATAACTATAAAATTCTCCCATTTTTTCTTTATTCTTTAGTATAATTATTTATTAGTATAATTTTCTTTGTGTAGAGCTTTTATTATTCCATAGATATTTTTCTTTATTCAAATTGAGGTGGCAAAAGAACAGGCAACAGAAGCAAAAATACACAAACAGGATTGTAAAAGCTTCCACACAGCAAAGGAAATGATTAATAGACTGAAGAGACAACCCATGGATAGGGAGAAAGTGTTTGGAAACCATATATCTGATAAGGGACTAATATCCAAAATATATGAGGAACTCAAACTCAATAGCAAGAAAACAAATAACTCAATCAAAAAATGGGCAAAGGACCCAAATAGATACTTCTCAAAAGAAGACATGTAATGGACCAACAGATATATGAAAAAATGTTTATCCCTAACTACAGGAAAATGCAACTCAAAACTATATATGTTAGAATGAATCATTGTTATCCAAAAGACAAAACATAACAAGTATTGGCAAGGGTGTGGAGAAAAGGGAATCCTTGTGCATTGTTGGTGGGAATGTAAATTGATGCAGCCATCAGGAAAAACAGTATGGAGGTTCCTCACAAAAAAAAAAAAAAAAAAAAAAAAAAAAAAATATATATATATATATATATATATATATATATATATATATATATATATATATATAATTACCATATAATCCAACAATACCACTCCTGGGTATACATTCAAAGGAATTGAAATCAGTATGTCAAAGACGTGTTTGCACTCCAACATACTGCAGCATTATTCGCAATAGCCAAGATACAGAAGCAACCTAGCTGTCCATTTTTAGATGAATGGATAATGAAAATATATATGTACACAATGGAATACTATTTGTACTATTCAGCCTTTAAAAGGAAGGAAATTCTGTCATTTGTAACATTGATGAACTCAGAGAACATTATGTTAAGTGAAATAAGCCAAGCATGGAAAGACAAATACTGCATAATCTCACGTATATGTGGAATCTAAGAAAGTTGAACTCATAGAAGTAGAGAGGAGAATGGTGGTTTTCAGAGGCTGGGGAAGAGGAATGGATGGGAAAAGGGGAGATGTGGGTCAAAGGGTACAAAGTTTCAGTTAGGAGGAATAAGCCTTAGTGATCTATTGCACAGAACGATGACTATAACAAATAATGATGTATTAGATACTTCAAAATTGCTAAGAGAGTAGATTTTAAATGTTCTCACCACAAAAAATGAAAAGTATGAGAGGCAATTTATGTTAATTAGCATTATTTAATCATTCCACATTGTAAACATATAGCAAAATATCACATTGTACCCCACAAATATGTACAATTTTTGCTTGTCAATTTAAAATAAAATTTTATTAAACTTTTTAAAAATTGAGATAAAATTTACATACAGTAAATGCCAAGATGGTAAGTGTTCAGTTCAATATGTTTTAACAATTATAGACACCCATATAACCCTACCCGAAATAAGCATAGAGCATTTAGGCCCCACAAGTGTTCTCCATGTCATTTCTAGCCAATCCCTCATTCCACCTCACCAAGTGCAAATGATGCACGATTTTTTTTTTATTTTTATTTTTTTGCTCCTTAGCTAGTCTGGGTTCTTGTCTCACAACCAGAAAGAATTAGGCATGTAGACGCATTGAAGGGTGAGGAGGGCTGGAATGTATTCAGCGAAAAGAAAGATCTCAGCAAAGAAAGGGGGTCCTGTAAGCAGGTTTCCACCTCCCAGATTTAATACCAGAGCCATTGCACATGAGTTGAAGAGGCCAGGCTCCTCCCCTGCATAAGGCATGAATTCCTGGTGGTTCCACACCATTCCTCCAGTGCATGTGGGTCTCCAGTCTGCTGTGGGCATGCCCAGGAAAGCTCCCTGTGCAGCTTCCCTTATCTGCACAAAACATCTGGTGTAAATATTTGTGGGGAAGGTTGAAGTTTCTCCGGGGGCTCTTCCCTATCTGCCTAGGCCTTTATCTGCCTCCTGCATCTATCACAACCACTGCTCTGATTTTTGCCACTGTAGATTAATGTTGCCTGTTCTATGAAGTTGTATAAATAGGTTCACATAGAGCACACTTTTTTCTGGCTCCTTTTGCTCAATATCATGTTTTTGAGATTTGTCTGTGTCAAGACTTCTCAGCCTTTATTGATGAGTATTGCTCCATTGTATGAATAGACCTCAATTTGTTTATCCATTATCCTATTGATAGCTATTTCGGTTGTTTCCAGTTTGGGGCTATAGTGAATAAGGCTGCTATAAAAATTTTTCAAACAAGTCTTTTTGTACACATCAATGTGTATTACTCTTGAGTAAATACTTATGTTAGTGGAATTTCTGGATCGTGGTTTAGATTATGTTTAATTTGATAAGAAAATGTCAAAACAATTCCCTAAAGTGTTTGGACCTTTTTACAATGTCCAAGAATACCCACAATTGAGAGTACCCACAATTAGTACTGTCAATCTTTTTGATTTTAGCTATTCTAGCTGATGTGGAATTTTATCTCATTATTGTACTGATTTACAATTTCTTGAAGATTGTGTTGAGCATGTTCCTATGTATTTATTGGACATTCATTTTTTTGTAAAGTGTGTGTTCATATCTTTTGAATATCAATTAACTACATGTTGTAGATCTAATCTACAACTTTCTATTCTCCACCCCTGACCTATGTGTCTCTCCCTACACAAATATCTCACACTCTTGACTACTGTAGCTTCAAAGTAAATCTTGAAATCATGCAGTAGGAGTCCTCCAACTTTGTTCTTTTTTAGAATTATTTTGGCTGTTCAAGATCCTTTGCATTTCCATAAAACACTTCAGCATGAGCTTACCAATTTCTTCATAAATGTCTGCTATGATTTTATAGAGACTGAGTTGAATCTATAAATCAATTTAGGAAGCAGGGATATACTAATAATACAGAAACTTTCAATCATAAATATGGTAGTATATCTCTATTTGTTTAAATTTTTAATATATCTCAGCAATGTTTTCCAATTTCAAAAATAGAGATCTCACATTTTATTTATATTTATTCCTAAATATTCCTAATTTGTTTGTAAGGTGTTGGGTTTTTTCAAATATTTTTTGGACATCTATTGAAATTATCATATGGAAAGTACGTGGTGAATTACATTGATTGATTGTCATACATTAAATCAATCTTACATTCCTGTGATAAATCCGTCTTGTCAGGATATATCACCCTTTTTATCTCTTGCTGTATTTGATTTGCTAATATCATATGGATAATGCTAATTTTTATTTGCTAATATAGGGACATTGTTATGTAATTTTCATTTCTTATACCTTTGTCAATTTGGGGCATTAAGGGTATACTAGCCTCATAAAATACATTTTGAAGGTTTCATTTCTCCTTCATTTTCTGAAAGATTGTGTGTAATATTAGTATTATTTGTTCCTTCACAGAATACAGCCTGAAGCCATCTGAGCCCCAAATTTTCTTTGTGGATAGAGTTCTCATTACAAATACAATTTCTCTCATAAATTCGGGCTTTTTAAATTTTCTGTTACTTCATAGTCAGTTTTGCTAATCTGCGTTTTTTAAGGAGTTTATCCACTTTAGTCAATAAAGTAACTGGCATAAAGTTATTAGTAAAGTTTAATTGTATCTTCTTTTTTTACTATTGATGTTGGTAATGTGTTACCTATTTTCTTGTCAGTTGCCTGACATTCCCCTGGGCAGCACTGAGGAAGTCTTGACACTTCAAATGAAATACCATATGGCTTTGCCACCATAGGAAGTCATGAAGTCACCAGAAATACTCACAGCTCCCTGGCCAGGGGAGAATGACTGTCCATAACTATTTCTATAGCAGGAGACAGCACCATGCAGCCAACTGTCTTACCAGGTCTCTGATATCCTGCATGCTGGCAGCACAACTGAGCAAATATTTGAGTGATATGAATAAGTTACACTTGAATGGGAAGGCTGTCAGAACTTGGTGAAGCAGAGAGCTTGAGAAAGTGGCAGTCTTCCCTTATCAGGAAAAACAAAAACAAACAAAAACAAAAAAAAACACTCTCATGTTTTACGAGGAGAGATTGCCTGCAACCAAAGGCTACCAGGCTGGGGGTTCAAAACCAAGAGAATGAGTTAACAGAAATCCAAACTTGGATAGGGTTGGATGGCCAATCCCTCACACCTGCTCCCTTCCGTGCTCTAAGGAGTGTGGACTAGACACAGAAGCCAAATAGGAAATAATAGTAATGGCGGGAGAACTACTAAATTACAGAGTTTCCCAATAAAGCTTGTTTGAAAGATAGAACACAGGCCTGAAGCTAAAACAGGGCTTCCAATCTCTTCCTCTTTGAATTCCAAGCCTACTCCTGGGGCTCTGAACCAGAGGTGCCTGGTTGCTGAAGGGCAGGGAGCTGCTGGAAAATGCAGCCCTGGGCCCTGAGGAGGCCTGAGGTAGGGCACGAGAACTCTGTGTATCACAAGGAGCCTGCTAGAAGCAGGAGTCTTGCGGCCTCCAGATGCACACACATTAAGGAGGAAGCCAGGGAAAGAGGCTGGTGCACGTTGCCTTTTTCATATACTTTGAAGGCAACAAGCGCAAAAATTGAGCTAGCCAATTAGCAGCTTCTTTGCAATGAAAGCAGTCGGATCATCTATGCCTGAGGGTAAGGTCATTAGGGCGCAAAACTAAAAATGTTTACTCTAAAACTGCCCCCATCTGCACCATGATACTCACACCCAGGAGAGGAGCAAAATTTCTACTTTCTTCAGGGAAATGTGAGGACAAGAGGAAGTTAACCCCTAAACACAAACTCTGTGCACAAAACCAGCTGTGAAGTCCAGAAGCAAAGCAGCCATCCATCCAGCAACTGTCAGTGGGCTCCTCCCTAAACCAGGAGCTAAGAGCAGAACAGTGGAGGCCCCTGCTCCAACCCACAGCTGAGCACCTTTCATGCATCCCATGCTGAAGCAGCCCCAACCATCTCTGAGACTAAGTGAAACCACCTTTGCAAAATTATAACTGAAGAAATCATGACAGTGAAAGAAATCAGACCTAACTGACTCCATCTTGCTTCTAACCTTTAAGCTGTCCTTGTTCATTCCTGGGCATAGGCTGAACTAACTTTGGGAAGGAATTCAGTTCATGGTTTGACTCTGAAACAAAATTGATAGCAGCCCTTTCCTGAAAAGACCCCCTTCTTGCCTGGGGGCCAGTCTGCCTCTGCAGGACTAACAAATTAGCTACAAGATTAGAAATTACAGATTCAGGGTCATGCAGCATATGGCTCCAAGAGTCTGAACCGCCCCAAATTGCTCCTGGGTATAACATCACTATTGTAAAACCTAAGATCAGCGCTTGAGATATTTTGCAGACCCTGCACTTGTTAGATCAGCTGACACCGCCCAGACCAGTAATCTGGCTCAACTAGTTCTGCCATCCCACCCAGGAATGGAAGACAGCAAGAGAAACTCACTTCGACCACCTATGATTACATACCCAAACTGACAAATCATTACTCCCCACTTTCCAAGCCCCTACCCACCAAATTATGTTCAAAAACTCTGATCCCTGAATGCTTGGGGAGACTGATTTGAGTAATAATAAAACTCCAGTCTCCCACACAGCCAGTTCTGCATGAATTACTCTTTCTCCATTGCAATTCTCCTGTCTGGATAAATTGGCTCTGTCTAGGCAGTGGGCAAGGTGAACCCAAGGGGTGGTTACATAATGAAGTTCAATAATTCCCTCAGAAATGATCCGTAAAATAATAAAGGCACCAAAGACCTTTTTAGGAAGGCTTTTATTCCTTGTAACAGTAGAAAGAATCACACAGTCTTGCAAAATGGACAAGGGAGATTTCCTGAGAATAAAAGGGAAAGGTTAATCCCATTGACCATGGCAATTTGCTGAACGATTTGGAAACTGGGTGATATGGTAGAAAAGAGCAGGATTGAAACAAATAATGGACTACAGTTGGGTTCTGATTCCACTTTAACTTGCTGTACAGCCTCATCCCTTGTTTTTCTGGAGATTCTCTTTTTCTGCTTCACTGATTTATATTTACATTAAAATCAAATGAGGCCATGTTTCTGAAATCACATTGTCCCTACATGGTCATCACAATGAGTCTGTAATGTGACTGAAAGACAGCCATGGATACAGGTAGAGGATATCTAACTAGGATTGCTTAAATGTGAAGACTCAGAAATTTAGGAAGAGGGTAAATTACCACAGGAGGCTGCAGATCATGCCATCTATGGAGGCACAGGCCCCAGGAACCAGAATTTGCTTCGGGAAGTAAAGCTATGGATGAACATGCCCTTGTGGACTGGGGATCTCACCAAAAGGGAGAGGCTCTCCAGTTGCCTTTGCCATTCATGTGCAGGGCAGGGTCATATGCCCACCCACCTCCCTTCACCGCTGCCCCAGACCAGCTGTTCTAGAGACTCTGACTTAGCTTAGGCTGCTGTAACAAATCCATAAGCTGGCTGGCTTACATTTATTTCCCAAGTTCTTGAAGCTAGAAATTCAAGATTGGGGTGCCAGCATGGTTGGGTTCCAGTGAGGACCTCTTCCTGGCCCACAGATGGCTGTCTTCTTGTGTCTTCACATCATGAAGAGCACAGGGAGAGGAAGCAAGCCTTCTCAGGTCTCTTCTGATAAGGGGACTCATCCCATCATGAGGGCTCCAGGTCCATTAGCCAATCACCTCCCAAAGACCCCAGCACCTAATGCTATTACATTGAGGGTTAGGATTCCAATGTATAAATTGCGGGGAGAACACAAACATTTGGTCCATAAGACAGGCAGTCTAGGATGTGTAAATAATGTGAACATTTCTTAGTGTTTACTGGGAGACTGGGTGAAGCAAAGCTCGATTTTTGAGGCTTATTATTTCTCAGTAGACCTAAACTTCAGGCTGGCCTGAGATCTACCTCAGCAGTAGTGAATAAAAAGCGGAGGGATCCTATTAGTTTGCAGGCACAGTCTGAATCTTACTTGCGAGCTCATCAGGCATTCAATTCAGTCACTCAATCAACAACTGCTTAATGAGTGAGGCCCAGGTGCAGCCACTGCATTGAGTACCCATAACAGATGTGGTGGCTTGCCAGGGAGGGAAGGAAAGGGGGTATCTATAACATACTGATCCCTTCTGCTAGAGAATTTGGAGATTGTGTGGTGGAAATATAACCTTATTCAGAATGGCCAAACAAGCTTGTATATATTTACTGATTTTATTTAATACTTAACTTTGAATATCTAGAAGCTTGGGGGAATAAAGTTTAGATGTTGAAAAGGTAGGCCAGGATCAAAGTATAGATACATTCTTAGGACAGCTGGAGAAAATTCAAGAAATTCCTTTTTCCAGTTTATTCATTTGACATCATAATTTCATGTCTTTTCTATGCCTGACATCATTGCTAACCACGGGAAATTCATGGTACATATTAACTGCATAATGCCCAGTGGAGTGTCTGGCACGCAGCAAAGAAGAGATACTGTTAGTAATTAGCAGTATTTTTGCACCTATTGTAGGCCAAATAAGTATTTTCATTGATCAATATGTAAAACCATTCAGTTCCTAGCACCAGGAAAAGCAACTAACCTCTCTCCCAGGCAATATTCCAGGATAGGCTGCCAGTTGGACTAAGGAAGCCACTCCTGCGGAACCCTGGGAGATCTCACACTGATTTTTTTTCTTTCCACTGCTCAGCTATAAGGTCTGATCAAAATACATGATCTTCTTTGAGACCTAATTCCCTCATATTATGGGAGCTGAAAAGATTTCAGCTCTAAACAGGTATCCATAAACATTTAGGCAGGAATACGTGAGACTCGCAAGTCCCAAATAGACTTCCTACGATTCTAAGCCTAGTGAAGTTGGTAAAACCAGTCCTGGGCAGAGGTTGGAACTTCTTGAAGGGCTGCTCCACTCTCTCCAATGCTGGGGTTATTGGTCACTCACTGGCCACCCAGCCTCCATTTGCCCACCTCAGGTAATGGCAACCTTGCTTTGCTTCTGATAGGGCAAGTCACTGTCTGAATTTGCCCACCTCAGGTAATGGCACCTTGCTTTGCTTCTGATAGGGCAAGTCACTGTCTGAATTTGCCCAGGACCTGAGGGTTTCCTAGGATGCAGATATTTTTGGTGCCAAAACAGGACAGTCCCAGGCAAATCAGAAGGCAGGACACTGTGATCGTGAGACACCCTATTCCCTGCCCTCATCTATGTGAGCTGGCAGGTTTGGCTCTGCTCCCAATCCAGAAACTTCTAGGGCTTATTTCAGCTATCTTTCAGGAACTTGAAATATTTTATTGTGTTGGCTATGCCCTGAGAAGATGGAGTGTCTAGAGCTGCTGGGGCCAACTTGCTGTGCTATCTGGGAAATTTGGAAATGGAGCCAAAAAAAAAAGAAATGGAGACAGAGAAACCAGCCACTTGTGACATCATTTGAACACCCACATCAATCCACCCTTCAAACGAGACCACCTCTTGTTTAAAGAGCTATAGTACCTTACACACATCCCCTCGTGTAAGTCGATGTGGCTAAAAGGGAATTTCTAGATTTTTCTCACTGCTACCTAGTCAGCATCTGATTAGTCCAGTATAAGGAAACTGCTAGATACACTCCCAGCCCTCGAGGAGTTCAGGATTTATTTGGGCCACAAGACAGAAAAAAAAAAAAAATTCAAATCCTGGGATGGCATATGACAAGAGGTGCCATTAGTAAGTGCTCTTCAGTTCTGAGAAAAGCAATCTGGTCCGTGAGGATCTAGGACATTAGTGAGCTGGTCCTTAGAGGACAGGTAGGCTTCCACCAGTGAGAGGGACAGGGGGCCACCAAATGGAGGGCCTAGTGGGAGCCACTTATTACCTACAGCAGCAGGCAGTCACTATTAGTCATGTTCTCCCTGCTGGAGTGGAAGCCCCTGAAGACAGAAGATTCGTCTCTCCCCGTACCAAGCAGAGTACCTAGGACAAGACAGGTACTCAAAAAAGACAATGTGTTTGCACAGTCTTCTAAGAACATAAAGTAGATACATAAACTAGAGCAGAGGTTTGATGTGAGATACAGTTGAATGATTATTGTTTTGAATGAAACTCTATCCACTTAACTGGTCACTACCCCAGCAGCTAAGAGGCCTGGACAGCAGGGGATCCACCTACATGGGTCCCTTCCAGGAGGCCTTGCCCTCAAGGTACGGGATGGGGACCTGGCTTCAAAGACACAACTACAATATGAAAGTTTAAGTGTTTTTAGTATTTACAGACCCTCAGGGATAGAAGGCAAGCCTAGAGACCACACACACACAGGGGGTCAGGGAGCACAGATAGGGAGAGAGAGAAGAAACCCATGGCCCAGCACCTTTCTTGGGTCCAGGGTGTTATCTAAACAGGTTTCCTGGGGAGCTTTAATTGGTAGGTTGAAAGCAAGCAGGCATTAGTTCCAGTAGGTCATGCTGGGCTGAGAGGTGGTCACTTTGAGTTCTTGTGCAGATGTCTGAAGAGCTTCTTTAAAGGAAGCAACAGGAAACCGGGGAGCCCAGCCTGCTTAGGTGTCTCTGAGAGAGATATTTCTAAGTTTTACTTCTGGCCACCAGCAAGAGCCATTCTGATGGGGAACAGTATTGGAAACTGAGTCAAGGGTGGACTGAGCCCTGCTTCTGGTATGAGAAAGCTAAACTTATATTTTACAATGGATATAACATAAAATTATAAATGCTCACTTCAGTCACCTCCTCAGTGCTTCTGTTTTCTTACCAGCTTTTATTTTCTTAGTAACATCGGTCATTCTCTATAACTATTTGTCCCCACTAGAGCATAAGTTCCACAAGGCCAGGGTGACCTTATCCACCAGGCAGAGGCAGGGGAGGAGGGAGTACGGACTCTGGGCCAGGGCTGCTTTGGTAGGAAAGCTGGCTGTGCCTCTTATGATGCAATCTGGAACAAACTATTCATGCTGTTTGTGCTTCAGTTTCCTCATCTGTTAATAGGGGATAATATTGGGCTTTTCCTCACAGTTTGTCATGCAAGTAAATCGAGTAGGTCACTTAAAAGTGCCTGGCACATAACAGACACTCCACAATTGATAGCTATAGTTATGGCTAGTTATGTTCATCCTTACTCCTCCTGCACCTAGAAAAACGTCTAGCAGATAATTCATGTTCAGGCAATATTCTTAATTTGAATGAATGAAAAAAAGAGTAAAATGGAGTTCAGGTTAAGGAATTTCTTGAATGTAAGTCAAAGAGTTATGAAATACACCATGCTGATCAGTGGGTTTCAACAAAGTAGATTTACTTGAAGGTCCCAACTGCACACACTGTTCCAGGGGCAGAATGATGAATGGGGGACATTTTTAATATGGCTTGAAAAAGTTCCCATGTGACTATGATGGACACACCATGCCTTACCTTAAAAATCATTGCTGTAAACCAAAACAGGTGATAATACAGAGGAGCATGATGAAAGTAGGGCCCGGAAACATTAATCCAACATTGGCACAGAAGATTCAATGGCAGAGAGTAAATCAACAGTAAGGAGAAGAAAGTGAGCTGGCCTAGATACTATGCGGAGGATGTCCCTTCCCCTAAAAGCAACTAGATGCTTCATAAAATAAGTGTTTTATTTACTTGCTGGGCTTACAGAAAGTTAATTAAAGAAAAAAAAAATTAGAAGGCTCAGAATTTTTTTTTTTTTTTGAGATAAGGCCTTGCTCTGTTGCTCAGGCTAGGGTTCAGTGGCACAATCATGGCTCAATGCAGCTGCGATCTTCTGGGCTCAAGCAGTCCTCCCACCTCAGCCTCCCAAGTAGCTGAGACCAATAAGCACACGCCACCAGAGCTGGCTAATTTTTTTTATTATTTGTAGGAATGAGGTCTCCTATGTTCCCCAGGCTGGTCTCGAACTCCTGGGCTGAAGAAATCCTCCCACCTTGGCCTCCCAGAGTGCTGGGATTATAGGCATGAGCCACTGTGCCCAGAAAATATCTTAGCCTTGGTCCAGAAAACAGAGGCTAAAGAAAGGATTAAGACACAGATATCAGAAGAGGCCAACTGCATACCTTATGCCATTTGCCCTGAATTGAATGCTTGATGAGCATTCAATTGCCTGATATCCTCTACCTGTATCCATGGCTGTCTTTCAGTCACATTACAGACTCATTGTAATGACCATGTAGGGACAATGTGATTTCAGAAACATGGCCTCATTTGATTTTAATGTAAATATAAATCAGTGAAGCAGAAAAAGAGAATCTCCAGAAAAACAAGGGATGAGGCTATACAGTAAGTTAAAGTGGAATCAGAACCCAACCAGCATGAATTCTTGGTTCCTCCAGTGGTTAAGCTCTCATACTGAGGAAAGGAGGAGCAAATCCTGGCTTAAAATCATTAAAACGCTATTGCTTAGTAAGCCAAAATTGGAGGTGTGATTGTTCTCAGAATGACAACCCAGGTAAAGGAGGGAACATGTTTTTCCGGAAGATCCTACTGAAACAACTCAGTCTCAGTGAAGCCCAGCTCATAGTGGTTTTATAGAGCCACACCTTAGCAGAAAGTGGTTTGAAGATGGAGGGCTTCTTGCCAATGCCTTCAGTTTCACAGCTGCAGAACCCTCTAGTGCTACGAAGGCACACTACAGAAGTCAGACATTTTTGGACAGCCTTTCGATACATCTGTAAAGACTGAAACAACCAAAACATAAGAACGGAATCCCAAGTTTGTGTTTATATCTCACATTTGGTTGGACCAAGGAGAAGTATCAGAAAAACTTCAGACTGTTTCCTGGTTACTCGTGAGCACCTCCAACCCACCTTCTCCTGTGTAGTAATTTTTCATCTGCACCATACAGAAAATAATCAAATTCAATCTTTGAAAGCCATCACTTTGGGTTTGTACACAGTATAAGCATTTCTGATAAAAAGTATCATAGATTTGATTCTATCTGACCAAGGCCACCACTGGCTGAAAACAAAATTAATGAACTTTCACAAAGTATCATTTTTAGTTTTCACTACTGATTCTTGTAGAGTTAAACATGGTACCAAAAAATCATTGTCTTTCATGAAAACTTTGGGAATTAAAATGTGCAGAAGCTGGGCCTGTTATTCTAATAGCAGTGTGTATTTTCCTTATCATTTTATCTCAAGGACATGGGAGTCCTTACCATGCCCCATTATGTGGGGCATCAGACTCTGCCCTGAGAGTGCGTGCATGCTGGGTATGATCAGCTGCCAGTGCACACAAATACCAGATTGCCTCTGCATAAACCTTGCTGCTTTTCCAAGAAGCAGATTTTCATTCAAGGTTTTTTATTCTAAGACAGAAAAGATAAAAAACTTCAGTGCCTTTGAGATTCTTAAAGACCATATGAAGAAGCAAAATTCATCAGTTTTCTACTTTTCACATTTTTCATAATTTTGATATGTTATAATAAAGTTATGGAAAACTTTAAGTCAGCAAAGATGACTTCATAAGTTATTTATGGTTTCATAACATCAAAATGCAGCAGCTTGAAGTAAGAGTGAGCATTTCTCAGGATTCTGTTGGTAGGTTGATATTCCTTCTGCTGTCTCATCCACCAGCACAGTGGGGTCCGGATGGCCTGTTCTGGCCTCTCTCACATGTCTCAGGGGCTGGTGGGGATGGCTTGTCCACATGCTCCACCTGCTCCTTACAAGATGCTCTGATGGGAGCACTTCAAGTCAGTGAGAGGCAAGTTGCAAGGTCTCTTGAAGCCTAGGCTCTGCAATTTATGTGATGCCACTTCTACCACATTCTGGAGTCAAAGCAGGTCATAGAGCTTGCCCTGAGTGAAGAGGTCTCCTAGACATCACCTCTTCATGAAAGAAATGGCAAAGTCATATTTTGGAGAGGCATGCATGAAGAACAGAGAGGTTTTGCACCCATCTTTGTAACCCATCTGACCCAGGTTTCCCTCTGACCACAATAACTCACAACTGTCCTGTGAACATACTCACCTCTTCCCCAGGGCAAACACATTCTCCACTTCCAAAGACCCCCAAATCTCATCCAGTCGGGCCCAACTTCCATGATCTCTGTCCTGCATTAGCGGGGACAAATGCAAATGAGAGGCCTCCTGGGGTAGCTCCTTGGATGTGGCCCTTCATGGTCCAGGGACCTGAGAACTGAATAGCCAAGTTATCTGCCTCTCACAAACACAAGTTAAACAGAAGACACAGGGCAGGAAATTCCCAACAGACACTCCCATTCCAAAGGCACAGAATAAGGAGTTACATAGCAACCACACTGCTCTACAGTAATTCCAAACCCAGTCATCAGCTGTCGTTGGGGTCTCCCATTCTGTAGGAACACAGATTTGAGCTTCATTCTGCTCCATGGAAGTCATTCTCTAATCCGTTGTTCTCTATGCTTAGCTCCACCTTCTGAGACATCTTTCAACAGGAAATGGACCATGTCTGTAGCTAAGTAGCTTTCTTAGACTACTCTCGTTACATAAAAATTTGGGGTTCTGGAAGCTTCTTTTCAAATGTTTTTGCCTTTTTAGTCCAATTGGGCCATGCTTTCATTCATATGACTCTCTTACAACTTTGTGGGATTCACTCTATGCCCCAAATTTCATAAACATACTTATTTTTGAGACAGACTTCTTTCAAATTTTGGTCTGTTGGATTGCTTTGGGAAGACACTCTTAAGAGTTTTAGAAGCCCTTTTGTCTTCTAAGAGGGTCTGGCATGACATTAAATCTTTCTGAGGTATCAGAAGTCCCCTAGCCACAACTTTGATTTTATGTTTCTTTACCCTGAGGCTATTTCTTACTTTTAAGAACCTTTTGTCAGTTGGAGAGACTGAAAATGTGGTAAATGAGAAACAGTTTTATTTTCAACCCAGCAAGTACTATCTCTTCTTTATTTTCTCAAAATTTTGTTTACAAATCAAACAGTTCTCTCTATAGCTTCTTTATAGTATTGTGCATATTGTCATACCTACACAGAACTGCCCAACTGGCCTTTTCAACATTTTGTCTAGAGATCTCCTTAGCCAGACACAGGAATTCATTAGGAACATGGCATTTCCTATCTTCCAGTTACTGCAGGTGACATATTTGCCAGTTATTCCCCTACTACATAACACAGGTCACCCTTTTCCAGCCTCAAAAAGTTATTTTCTCAGCCATGCGTGGTGGCTCACGCCTGTAATCCCAGCACTTTGGGAGGCTGAAGCAGGCACATCATGAGTTTAGGAGATCGAGACCATCCTGGCTAACATGGTAAAACCCCATCTCTACTAAAAATACAAAAAATTAGCTGGGTGTGGTGGCGGATGCCTGTAGTCTCAGCTATCGGGAGGCTGAGGCAGGAGAATGACATGAACCTGGGAGGCAGAGCTTGCAGTGAGCCAAGATTGTGCCACTGCACTCCAGCCTGGGTGACAGAGTAAGACTCTGTCTCAAAAAAAAAAAAAAAAAAAAAAAAAGTTATTTTCTCACACCAACAGTCCTAATTGCCACCTCATCACTTTTCTAGCATCACTCACTGTCCAGTCCTAAAAACAATGACACTTGCTTTACATTTTCTTCAGTAGCACCCTACTCATGGTACTAACTTTGGTATCAGTTATCTATGGCTATTTGGAATAATGAATATTACAAAACTTAACAACTTAAAACAACTATGGTATATGATCTGGTGGTTACAGTTTCTGTTTAGGGTGATGCAAAAGTTCTGGAAATAGATTATGATTATGCTACACCATATAATGAATGTAAATAATGCCTCTGAATTGTACACTTAATGGCAAATTTTTTGTTAATATGTATTCTACCACAATAAAAAAATTGTTAGAGGTGTTAACAGTAGAGGAATGGATATGTAAACTATGGAACATCATTCAATTGAATACTATGATCTTATTAATATGATTACCATTTAATTAATCATTAGGAAGCCATTAAAATCTTGTAAAAGAATACTGAGGTAGAAAATGTTAACGATATTGTAACATCATTCTGTGGCTCTCCAAAGCATATATAAATACAGAGAGATTTATTTTAAGGAATTGGCTCATGGGATTGTAAGAGTTGGCAAGTTCAAAATTTGTAGAACAGGCCAGGAGGCTAGAAACTCAGGCAAAGATTGATGTTGCAATCTTAAGTTTAAAATTTGTAATACCAGATGGTAGGCTGGAAACTCAGGCAGGAAACCTCAGCATTTGTTCTTTAGGCTTTCAACTAATCGGACAAGGTACACCCACATCATCAAAGGTAACCTCTTTTACCTAATGTCAACTGATTCTAAGTATTACTTCTAAAAGATACCTTCACAGCAACATTTAGTGTTTGACCAAACAACTGGGCACTATAGCCTAGCCAAGTTACACATGAAATTAACCATTACAGATAGAATACTGAATTTTTTTTAAAAAATGCTACAAAACAATATATATGATACACTATCTTTTAAAATGTATGCACATATACATATATGTTAATAGAATACTGTAAATGTTTATCTTAAAGTAGTAAGATTATATTTTATTTTGCCTTTGTGCTTTTCTGTGTTCTTCAGCTACGTGCATAGAATTTGTATTTGGTTTACAATTACTAATAAAAGTTAGCTTTTTAAAATTATGTAAAGCATTAGAAGATTGTTATGACAAAATATTGAGTGAAATAGCAGAACATTCTCGTTGCTTCTTGAGTGATGGATGCAAGAGAGAAAATTTCCCTACTTTTTTCCTCATCCAATTTTATTTAATTGGCACATATGATTTTTTATACTGAAAACATTTGAAAACTTTTTAATAACATGGAAAATGATTGTGATATACTCAGGTGAAAAGAGCAAAATTCAGAATTGTACATACAATAAGATTATAGCCTAGTTAAAAACATGTATAGAAAATAGTATGGGCCAGGCACGGTGGCTCATGCCTGTAATCCCAGCACTTTGGGAGGCCGAGGCAGGCAGATCATTTGAGGTCAGGTGTTCGAGACCAGCATGGCCAACATGGTGAAACCCCATCTCTACTAAAAATACAAAAATTAGCTGGGTGTGGTGGCAGGCACCTGTAATCCCAGCTACTCCAGAGGCTGAGGCATGAGAATCCACCGAACGCGGGAGATGGAGGTTGCAGTGAGCCGAGATCAGGCCACTGCATTCCAACCTGGACAATAGAGTGAGACTCAACCTCAAAAAAAAAAAAAAAAAAAAAAAGAAAAGAAAAAGAAAAATAGTATAGAAAGAAGTACATCAAAATACAAACAAGGATTATATTAAGATTGTGGGTTGATGAAAAAGATTTTTTCTATTTATTAAAAAATGTTTCTATAATGTGAATATTACCTATACAATTAAAAAGAGTTTCCTGGCAAACATATGGTAATATGCCTCAGTGGACTCTCAAGATTTTGTAAACATCGACTTATTTGTAACTTGCCCTTAAGTGGATCTGTGGTGATAAGCCAGCTTATTCTAATCATATCACCCTAGTATTTTAGGAACATGCACTGGCTCTTCTTTATAATTAGATAGGCCAAGTTTTCAGCTGGGCAGTCTTCTCAAATAACTGTGTTATAAGAAATACTTTTTAATCTCTAAGCTTTACTCATTATTACAATGAGGCTACTAATAGCTATAGTGATTGTTAAACAAAAGCACTTAAACAATACCTGTGTAAATGTTTGTTGCTCTTATTGCTTCCATGTGCCTGCTTCCTGAACTCTTTTTATTATAGCACTTTAAATTGTGGTAACAATATGAACCTATAGCTTCAAAGGCATATAAAGCAGTAAGTATATTTCTTGCTCAGCAAACATTCATAGCAGGAGTTTCATTGGCTAAGGTGGCTCTCTTCCAGGTGATCATTCAGGGACACAGCCTCCTTCCATCTTACAAGCATTTCTCAACTCCCAGGGTGTCACTGTCATCTGCAGCCAGCTGGCAGAAAAGGACAGCAAAGGACATTCATGGAGGGTTTGTATAGCAGTCATGGAAGTGGCACACATTCTGGGAAATAGCCCCCCATGGAAAATGTAATCCAACTGTGGACCTGCAGAAAGCTTTCTGCCACGTTTCCTTAACACTTTGTATCTTTCTCATTTGCAGTTATGTGTATTTGTCTCATCTATCTGAAAGGATATGCGCTAAGGGGATTGCCTCATGCAGTGCATCTTCTTTGGTGCATATATGATGCTGAGCGGATGCTCATGTGCTGAGTGGAATAATGCCCCTACTCTGAAGCACTCCTGTTCTGAGGCAGGGATTGACGTTAACACTAAAGACAGTTTGCCTTTTTTTTCCTATTGTTAAATCCACAATCATCTAATTATGAAAAATGTCAATAATAAAAAAGAAACAAAATGTAAATCTAGTTAAACATACATTATTGATATTCACAGGAGAAAAATATCTGGCAGCTATGGCTTATAACTGGAAAATTAAAACACTGAAGAGAAACTGGCAAATGCTTTCTCCTTGGGAACTGGCATTTCTGCAGCCAATTAAAGAAGAAAAGCAAAGTGATGTTCAATAACAAACTCTTCTCATTTTATTAGAAATCATCAAAGACTGAAAAAATATAAAGAATTTTTGTGTGTGAACCATGCAACAAAACCCGGGCGCATATCAAAATAGTTTCCATTATAACTCCCCAAATAAATAATTATTTCATTATGTAAGTGCTTGTTTCAAATTTATTTTTCCATTTTGTATTTTGTCTTCTTGAAATTAAATTGGCCGGGAGCGGTGACTCACGCCTGTAACCGCTGCACTTTGAGAGGCTGAAGTGGGCAGATCACCTGAGGTCAGGAGTTCCAGACCAGTCTGGCCAAGATGACAAAATCCCACCTCTACTAAAAACACAAAAATTAGCTACAAAAGAATATATCCAATGAGGCTGGTTGTGGTGGCTCACACCTGTAGTCCAAGCAGTTTGGGAGACTGAGGCAGGAGGATTGCTTGAGTCCTGGAGTTTGAGACCAACCTGGGCAACACAGTAAGACCCCATCTCTAAAAAAAAAAATACAAAAATTAGCCAGGCATGGTAGTGCATGCCCGTGGTCCCAGCTACTCAGAAGGCTGAGATGGGAGGATCACTTGAGCCCAGGAGGTTGAGGCTACAGTGAGCTGTGTCTGCCACAGCACTCCAGCCCGGGCAATGGAGTAAGGCCCTATCTCAAAATGAAAGAAAAGAAAAGAGAATATGTCCAACAGTGTGAATCAGACATGGAGGAATAAGGCCTTTGCCAGGTACCTACCTCAGTGCTAACTAGATGCTATTGACCTAAAACCCATGATTTATACAAATCTTCAAATTCTTCGTTGAAGTTTAACAAGTATCTACAAAGTGCATCCCAGTCCTTCCTGTCATCCTGCTGAAAGCCGAAATCTGAATATTTCTGGTTGGGGGTCTCCCCATTTTTGAAAACCCCCACCCTGGACAACACCCATACCATGCTTTGCAGCTCAGGAGGCACATGTCCTCGGGAGAGAGGACTTGAGACTGTGAGAAGCAGAAATAGAAGATGGCTCGGTGAGCAAGGAAGCTAATTACTCAGAGCAGATCAGGTAATAGGCTTACCAAAAAAATGACTGCAAAAGTCTCTTTTCACTCACTTCAGTGTTCATGATGAAAGTTTTAACAGCAATTCAAAAATTCAAAACTCGTATTCTAAAAGTAGAAAAAAGCAAAGCCTAAATAAAACTCCCAGTCACCCTCTCCACATGAAAACAAGACAACTAAGCAGAAGGATAATAATTATAACTCAGATGTGAGACCTATCAACCCCATAAATTTTATTTTTTTAATTATGTGATTCTTTCTTAGTACAATGTACAGTCAGCCTAATTCAAAACCAAATGGCTATAAAATCCCAAGCCATGACTATAAAAGTCTGTTAAATAAATAGCTGATTTATCATCCATTGGTTGGAAAGTTAAATATTTGCTTATCAGGGTTATGACAGTTTAAATGTCATTTTCCCTTTGGAAGATACAATTCAACCATAATTTATTTTCCATTTACATTTTTAGATTATTAATTCAAAAGAAACATGAGTGAAGACTTAATTTTAAATAATCAGGTGTATGTCTATAAAATAAACATCTGTCCCCAGTATATAAAGATTAAAATTGTGTCTCATTTTTTCTTTCTTTTCAGCTTTGATATATAATTGACATATAAAATTATATATATTTAAGGTATAAAATGTGATAATTTGATAGAGGTACACATTGTGATTACCACAATCACGTTAGTTAACATGTCCACACCTCACACTGTTAGGCTGTTCTGTTCCGTTTTTGGTAAGAACATTTAAGATCTATTTTCTTAGCAAATTTCAAGTACACAATACACTATTGTTAACAATAGTCACCAGGCTGTACATCAGCTCTCCAGAGCTATTCACCTTGTAACTGAAGGTTTGTGCCCTTTGGCCAGCATCTCCCGTTTTCCTGCTCCCCAGCCCTGCAATCTCTGTTCTACTGTCTGTTTCCATGAGTTTGTTTTTTACGTTCCATCTGTGAGTAGGGTCAGGCAGCACTTGTCTTTCTCTGATTCACTGATTTCACTTAGCATGATGCTCACAAGGCCCATCCCTGTTGTCTCAAATGGCAGGGTTTCCTTCTTTTTTACTCATTCATGATTTTTTATAGCCACAAAATCACCCATTTTCTCTTGAACCTCAAATTTTTAGATGCTCTCTATCCTTGGAGGATGGACAGCCACCTAGATGACGTGGTCCAGTAGTTCCTCTCTCATGGCTCCAAACCCAAACACATATAACCTTCCACAGTGGAGTCTGAAATTCCAACTTAGAGATGCATTCCTTTGGTTATGAGTTCTAAATAACTAATAGTTATTTAAAATCATTTGGAAATTTCATGGTTCTAAAACACTAGAGCTTGAAAGATCACTTTGCAAATCAGGAAAGTGAGAGGCCTGGAAGTATCTAGGCCAAGTCGCATGACTCATGACAGGTAAGGACTGGAATCCTGTTCGCCTCATGCTCATCACCAAGTTCCATGCAGGCACTCAGGATCATACCAAAAGTTTTTTTTTTTAATTAGTCAGTCATGGAGAAAGGCTGTTATGGGGCAAAACTCATCACAATTAAGGTGCTTTTGTTTTGTGTTGTCTTGTTTTGTTGATAGAATGAAAGGCAGGTGGGTGGAGACAGCAGAGAGCAGATAGAGGAACTCCCAGCACCTTAGAAATGGAGGAAGCCTTGGAGAGCACAGGGACTCTTAGGCCCTGGAGGGCTGAGAAGAGAGTCTGAAATCCAGAACTCAAAAGGAGCAGATGGGAATATTCCATGCACATACCATGTTTTTGCTGACATGTTTAAAACACAGGATTTCTTTTTCCTGCTCACTGATTCTTTGTTCATTGGTTTAAATGTAAAATATACCTATACTTTCATTATCCAAACTAATTATTTGTTTCTGGATTACATCCACTATTTGTTTGATTTTGGAGCACTTCTATACTTTGCTCAATTTTTGTGGTCTGGCAAATATCATAATTTCCCATAGGACAAAATTTTGGTCTCTACAACTCAAATTGACCTGCTAAATTACTAAATTAAGACATATTAGCAACTTTGGACATTGGGTAGTATTTAGAGATTGGGGCTTGACTTCTTAAATCTGGATCCTAACACAAACCAAGCATATCATTTTAGACATGCTGTTTTTCTTCTTGGAGACAATATGCTCATCTACAGAATGAGGGCATTAGAGTATATAAAATGTTTAATTTTTTCCTACTCTGAATTCTGTGGCTCTGTATAGAACATAAATAAAATGAATGATATGGTAAAGACTGCAGGCCAGTTTCCGTGTTAAGATAAGTTAATTAAACACGTGCATACAATTTTGCTCCCTGCTGAAA
Organism: Homo sapiens; assembly: GCF_000001405.40. Classification (NCBI taxonomy): domain Eukaryota; kingdom Metazoa; phylum Chordata; class Mammalia; order Primates; family Hominidae; genus Homo; species Homo sapiens. Next base: position 53,403,793 of record NC_000008.11, read on the forward strand.
CTTCTTTAAAACTGCATTCACACACAAAGACACATGTGCTGGATGATGAAGAGAAGATAAGAGACAGCAGCAACAGATGGACAAGTAGTAATTAGCAGCTCAAGAGAACTAAATCCAGTGCCTCCAGAAGAGAAAGCTGAGATCCAAACCAATTTAAATGTCAGAATCCTTAAAAGATGAGAAAGCGGTGGCACCAGTTACCTCTGGAACGAAGGATAGAGGGAAGGGAGGAAAATATAGAGATGGGGTGAAAGTTCCTTGACAGGCTTTTAGCCCCCGGGATATCTTTCCTACTCAGTGCTCTTTGGGTGACTGATCTAACCCCACCCCAAAAGTTTAAAGCTTTATTCTACAGTAAAAGTTAAACAAGGAATATCTGATGCCTTGCAAATAAAAGGAGTTGTGTCCTATAGAGACAAAAAGGAGATTAAATGATTATAGGGGTGTTAAAAGCTAAATTTTAAATGTCCAGTCTTTTTATTCCTGCATCCTATCTCCTAGGATGCTAGAAGCCAGACCTTTAACTTTTAAGAACACAAGATGCATAGAGTCTTTTCCACAGACTTTTAACAGAAAAGACCTAGTGAATCAGTGAATCGCCCACTCAGATTACCTTATAATAAACTCAAAATCAATAAGTCACTGCTGTACACAAACATTTCTGGTGAGATTTTCAGATTCCTCTTAATCATGAGCAGCAAAACAAAAACTACCAGGTTCATGAGAAAAATTGATAACATAGAGAGCAGAAAAGAAGACAAGCAGAGAAAAGCAATTGTATAAAATTGACATTAAGCAAAAAAAAAATGCATCAGCCAAAAGTTAATGTCATCAGAGGTATAAAATAAGATATCACATGCATGAGAAAAACAGGATACTATGAAGAGAAACATACAGAGAATAATAGACAGCATTTGAAAAACACTTGAGAAGTAAAAGCTCAAAATGAAAACACAAAAGAAAGTTTAAGAAAGTTAAAGGGTAAAGTTGAAGTTCTCTCCAGAAAGTAGAACAAAGAGATGGAATATTGAAGAAAACATAAAGTGAGAAAACTAAAGAACTAGATCAGGAGGTCCAATATTCAAATAGGAGGTCTGGAAAGAGAGAGCATAGATAGTGCATTAGAAGAAATTATAGATGAAATAACTCAAGAAAGTTTCCCACAACTGAAAGGACCCACCAAATGTCCAACAAAATGTGTAAAGCAAACACACAACAAAAAACATTTTCTGGAAATTTCATAATATTGGGGCCAAGGAGAAAATTCTACAGTCTTAAAGCAGGGGTCGGGGGAACAATTTATATAGAAAGCATGAAGAGTTAAAATAGCTTTGAATGTCTCAACAGCCTGAAGGAAGAAGATAAATGAGCAACCTATCAAAACACTGAAGGGAAGTGATTTCTAACCTAGAAATCCATATCCAAACTATCAGTGAAGCATGGGGGGTTGCATAGAAACATTTTCAAACCTGCAAAACCTCAAAAAAAATGTATCTCTTTTGGAACTTCTTAAATATCTCCAGGAGAATGCTCATCACCAAAGTGAGAGAAAAAACTAAGAGAGAAAAAGACCTGCAATGCCGGATGCCAGTGGCTCACGCCTGTAATCCCAGCACTTGGAAGACCGAGGCGGGTGGACCACCTGAGGTCAGCAGTTCAAGACTATCCTGGCCAACATGGTGAAACCTCATCTCTACTAAAAATACAAAAATTAGCTGGGCATGGTGGGACACACCTCTAATCCCAGCTACTAGGGAGGCTGCAGCAGGAGAATCGCTTGAACCCAGGAGGCGGAGGTTGCAGTGAGCCGAAATCGCGCCACTGCACACCAGCCTGGTGACAGAGCAAGAGTCCTTGTTAAAAAAAACAAAACAAAACAAAAAAAAACCCCACTAGAATGGAGGAAACGGGATTCAATTCAACAGAGACAGAGGCCAAGGCAATCCCCAGGAGGGGAGGAAATCTCACGATGACAGCTTGTCGCCAGCGTGATCAAGAGACAGACCTGTTGAGGCTGGTGTCCCAGAGTGCAGACCTGCTCTCCCATGCATGCCTTCCTGCCAAGGTCACCTGTGCTCCTTTTCTGCTTGGCTCTGTGAAACCCTAAGAGGAAGGCCACAGTGGGCTTAGAAGCTGAACGTACAGAGCACCCCTCCTCCCACTGAAGTTCTGCCCCATGTCACTTTTTGGCCCATGCCACAGTCAGCATCGTGCCCAGTGTTTCCATGCATGTACTTAGGACCTTGTCTGGTGGCTTCCTGGCAGGCACTCTTCCACACGCTCTGGGATGCTGAGGTCCCACCCACTCTAAGAGGATCATTTATCTGATCCTGGCCATGAAGCCTCTTGCTTCCAAAGCTAGGTGTGTGGTTATTATTCAATTTTTCAAAATAAAACAATATAATGTTGAGAGATACATAGGTGTTAAAACCTATTTTTTAAAGGGAGTAATTGAACCTGAAGATAGGACCGTGGTTAACTTGCTGCAAGACCAGATGGAAATGCAAGGGGAGGAGCCTGAAAGGGGGACTCTAGTCCCACCCTCACCCTGGCATTTGTTTTTATATATAATCAATTATATACAAACCAATGAGAGTCAAACTGAATATCACTCTGGTGATCACTTCCAGGTGACTTCTTCCAGCACACTCTATGGAGGAAATTCACTGGACTGCGCACTGAAACCATTTCTCTGCTTGGAGGTTACCGTGAAAAACCTACCTTGCTTGTTTTCCCCCGAGAATTGTATTATATAGCTTTCTTATTAAATTTCAAAAAACAAAATCACAGCAGAGGTTTCTATCAAGTAACACCGTTTGCTAAATAAGAAAGACTGTAGAAAGATTGAGTGGAAGGCTTAATAGTGCAAAGAAAATAACTCAACAGTTAATTTATGACCCTTAATTTACTGATCATGGCAATGAAACTAGTCTTCATTTGTAATGTTGATTTATCAATAAGAAATCTTTACTGAGCTCTGTTTTCATCAGATGGCCTAAGTATCATTTAAAAAGAGTGCCAGAAAATATTGAATTTCATATTATCCTCTACATCAATAGAATACTCTTTAAAATAATTCATAACATCAATATATCAACATATCAATACAGTGTAGATGTGTGTATATATGTATACGTGTGTGTGTGCATATATATATATATATATATATATATATATATATATATATAATGTAATAACACATTTGGAGATGTATAACCAAAGCTAATGCTATGGCCAATTATTATCCAAATGTTAGAGTTACCAGTGAACTGAAATTAGCCATTTCGCATCTTGCACACCCACCCCAGAACAGGTCAGGGATGGCACCCCCTGGCATCCTGGAGGCACTGTGCATGGCATAGAAAGGGAAGCTGAGCCAAGAGCACCAAGATGCTGAACCTCACTTTCCCTCACTTGGACACACACTCACTCCCTTTCCAACAGCCCATCCTTCTCCTTATAGAAACCTGTGAGAAGCAAAGCTCACTTCCTCCAGAAAGCTCTCCCAGGTAATGTAACCCAATTCCTTCAGAGAGCACGAACCCTTAGGGGACCTACCACCCTAGCGCCAGAGCTGAGGTCTCCAAAGGTTATGGGGCCAGATGTGATTTGGATGTTTGTCCCCTCCGAGTCTCACGTTAAAATGTGATCCCTGATACTGGGCGTGGCCTGGTGGCAGGTGTCTGGGTCATGGAGGTGGATCCTTATGACTGGCTTGGTGCCATTCTGAAGTTAATGAGTGAGTTCTGGCTCTGTTATTTCCCATGGGCGCTGATTGTTTAAAAGGGCCTGGCACCTCCCCTGCCTCTCTCTTCCTTCCTCTCACATAATGCCTGCTCCCCTTTGCCTTCCCCCATGAGTAAAGGCTTCCTGAGGCCTCCCTAGAAGCCAAGCAGATGCTGGAGCCAAGCTTGTTCCTGTACAGCCTGCAGAACCATGAGCCAAGTCAACCTCTTTTCTTTATAAATTACACACTGTTGGATATTCTTTTATAACAACACAGACTAAAACAAAGCCCAAGCCCTGATCTTAGGGAGCATGAGCTCAGGCCAGAAAAGGAACTGATGGGGGAAATATGAAAACTCCCCAAGTATGTGAGAGGCTCTCCACTTCCTGGCTACGTGTTTCCTTCTTAAAGAATTAGAGAAAAACTCAAGAGAAAAGGATGAAGATAATAAGGATATAAGTATTTGTGAGTGACTTATAAGGGACAAAGTGCTAGACACATGTTACCGCTGCCCCTCACATCCTCCTGTGAGGTCATGTGCTCAGCCCTTAACACTCGGGCAGACGTTAAGGAAGGGAGTTGCTCGAGGTGGTGGGCGAGTGGGCCCAGGAGCCAGGTGTCAGCTCCAGGCCTTTTGCTCCACCCTGTGGAAAGGGCTCCCTCTTCCCAGACACTACTGTCTCTGACATGGAGCAGCACCATCAGGTCACCTCGCCGGGTGGATGTTCACACTGCTTCTCTGTATTTGCCTTTCTCCATTCTCTGACATTTTCCTCTTGCTCTTTTTGACCTATTCAAGATTTGAGCCTTGAAAGAGTAGGCATTAAAAAGAAAATGAGACAATTAACCCATTTCGAATACAACTACTGCAGCAAAGTTCAAAAACTGGAATATTTAAGAATCAGACAAGTACAGAGCCTTTGTAAAAAGTGTCATTGGAACTGCAGAATGAGGCTGAGGGAGCCGCCGTCCTCTGACTAAGTCTTTACAGTTGAAAGGAGGTCAGGATGTCTGTGAAGCAAACAAGTGCTCCAAGGGTTTCCTCACTCACTCTTCACCCCTGAACAAATCAGACAGAAAAAAACTTTTAGCTTTTTGGCTCCACCGCATCCCTTATGTCTTTCTACGCTCTTGCTCTTGGCAGTGTAAGGGTGGAGAGCAGGAGGGGAGCAAGCTCACCTATGACAATTGAGAGTCACCTCAGGAAACCCACAGATGCAGGGTTGGATGCTTCTTGTTCCTTAGTTCCTGGTGATTGTCTGTACTTGTCTAGGGAAACACAGTTAGATGTGAGAGCTTTTCCCAATGGCTCCATGCATACGTGTGCCCCACAACGTGCTCCTCGTGCCAGCTAGCAGGCATGGACCCAAACACATCTTCCCCCTGCCCCTCACACGGCCCCCGGAGCTGACAGCCCAAAGGAATCAGAAGGAACTTCGAGACAAGCCAAAAGGATCCTGGAGGAGAGAAAGTGAGGAAGAAGAGCGAAAGGAGAAAATGAAAAGCAAGGACATAAGAGGAATTAAGCTGCATTAGATGCCATCACATTTGCCTGTTGAAAACTGTGTGGAAAGGACATTTTTCACCAATCATGGAGATGTGGAGCAATAAAGGGTGAAGGACAGGAACGCAGGAGTAGAGGAAGATAGGGGACCCATGGATTCAGCCACCAAAACTCAGATACCACCCACTGCTGCCCACCTTAGCTAGCTCTATTTGGCTGCTTTTCTTAGTGAAATTGAAAGTGCAGTGCTCACTAGATATACTTTTGAGCAGTTGAGGAAAGGAAGGGAAGAAGGGAAGAAAGGAAGGAGAGGGGCAGGAAGGAGGGAGGGAAAATGAGAGAAGGGATTCAAAATATCAATGACTTTCCTCATAGACATAAGAAAAGCAATCTTAAAATTTATATGGAACCACAAAAGACCTTGAATACCCAAAGAAATCCTGAGTAAAAAGAACAAAGCTAGAGACATAATACTACATGACTTCAGAATTTACTACAAAACTATAGTAACCAAAACAGTGTGGTACTGGCATGAAAACATATACCAATAAGACAGAATGGAGAACCCAGATATAAATCTACACATTTACAACCACCTCATTTTCTTTTTTTCTTTTCTTTTCTTTTTTTTTTTTTTTTTTGAGACAGAGTCTTGCTATGTCATGCAGGCTGGAGTGCAGTGGAACAATCTCAGCTCACTGCAACCTCTGCTTCCTGGGTTCAAGCAATTTTGCCACCTCAGCCTCCCAAGTAGCTGGGACTACAGGTGCACACCAGCACACCTGGCTAATTTTGCATTTTTAGTAGAGACAGGGTTTCACCATGTTGACCAGGCTGGTCTCAAACTCCTGACCTCAAGTGATCCACCCACCTAGGCCTCCCAAAGTGCTGGGATTACAAGTGTGAGCCACCGCACCCAGCACAACCAGCTCATTTTCAACAAAGGCACCAAGAACATACAATGTGAAAAGGATAGTCTTTTCAATAAATGGTGCTAAGGAAACTGGATAACTATATGTAGAGGAATGAAACCTCTATCTCTCACCATACACAAAAATCAACTCAATGTAAAGACTTGAATCTAAGACCTGAAACTATGAAATTACTAGAAAAAAAAAACTTGAGGGAATGCTCCAGGACATTGATCTGTGCATAGATTTTGGGGGTCAAACCTCAGAAGCACAGGCAACCAAAGCAAAAATAGACAATTGTGATTACATCAAGCTAAAAAGCTTGTGCACAGCCAAGGAAACAATCAGCAAAGTAAAGAGACCACATACATAATGAGAGAAAATATTTGCTAACTATTTACTGAACAAGGGATTAATAACTAGAACATATAAGGAGTTCAAACAACTCAACAGCAAAATAATAATAATAATTGAAATCAAAATGGGCAAAAGATCTGAACAGACATTTCTCAAAAGGAGACATACAGGTCGGGCACAGTGGCTCATGCCTATAGTCTCAGCACTTTGGAAGGCCAATATGGGTGGATCACTTGAGCCCATGAGTTCAAGACCAGCCTGGGCAACACGGAGAAACCCCGTCCCTACAAAAATTCAAAAAATAAAAATTATCCCAGCATGGTGGCACATGCCTATAGTCCCAGCTACTCAGGAGGCTGAGGTAGGAGCATCACCTGAGCCCAGGAGGTTGAGGCTGCAGTGAGCTATGATCATACCACTGCACTCCAGCATGAGTGACAGAGTAAGACCCTGTCTAAAAAAAAAAAAAATTGCCAACAGATATATAAAAAAAGTTCGACATCATTAATCATCAAAGAAACACAAATCAAAACTACAGGCCAGGCATGGTGGCTCACACCTGTAATCCCAGCACTTTGGGAGCTGGAGATGGGCAGATCACTTGAGGCCAGGAGTTTGAGACCAGCCTTGCTGACATGGCAAAACCCCATCTCTACTGAAAATACAAAAAATTAGCCAGGCATGGTGACACGCACCTGTAATCTCAGCTACTCGGGAGGCAGAGACACAAGAATTGCTTGAAACTGGGAAATAGAGGTTGCAGTGAGCCAAGATTGTGCCACTGTACTCCAGCCTAGGCAGCAGAGCGAGACTCTGTCTAAAAAAAAAAAAAAATGAACTACCATCTCACCCCATTACAATGGCTTATATCAAAAAGGCAGGTAACAACAGATGTTGGTGAGGATGTGGAGAAAGGGGATCCCTCATACACTGTTGGTGGGAATGTAAATTAGAAACAGTCTGGCTGTTCCTCAAAAACTAAAAATAGAATTACCATATGATCCAGCAACTCCACTCTGAGTATATAGCCAAAGAAAAGAAATCAAAGAAGGATCTACACTCCCATGTTTATTACAGCAGTATTCACAATAGCCAAAATATGGGCTCAGCCTAAGTCCCCATCAACAGGTGAATGGATAAAGAAAATGTAGTAGATATACACAGTGGAATATTATTCAGTCATGAAAAGAAATGAAGTTCTGTCATTTGCAGCAACATGAATGGAACTGGAAGACATTATGTTAAGTGAAATAAGCCAAACACAGACAAATACTGCATGTTCTCGTGCATATGGAGAGCTAAAAAAGTGGATCTAATGAAGATAGATTCGTGGTTACCCAGAGGCCAGGATGGAGAAGGGGAGGAGGAATGAAGGAAAAAAAGAATGTAAACTAATTTATTACTACTGTAGTGTACACTTAAAAATGGTAAAGATGGTAAATTATATATGTATATTTTACCTCAATAAAAATTAATTAAAAAAAAAGAAAACTCTACCCTCTTCCAGTATTTATAGGGTGAACTTTCTGCTTCTTTTTTATTCCTTCCTTTTTTTTTCTTTTTTTTTCTCTCTCTCTCCTATAGGGTGAACTTCTTGGCTCAAAAGGACTGTGACAAATGTGAAAAGAATTTGAGATAGAGGCTTTAGAATCCCCAATGTGCTGACTGGTTAATTAAGCTTAGCATTGGAATTCATCTCTAGGGTCACCTACTCAACCACTGCTCAGCGTCCTCTGCGTCTGTCTTGTGCATTCTCTCAGATAACATCTGAAGTCCATAATCCCAGTACTTTGGGAGGCCTAAGCGGGTGGGTCACCTGAGGTCCGGAATTCAAGACCAGCCTGGCCAACGTGGTGAAACCCCGCCTCTACTAAAAATACAAAAATTAGCCAGGCATGGTGGTGGGTGCCTGTAATCCCAGCTACTCAGGAGGCTGAGGCAGGAGAATCCCTTAAACTGGGGAGGTGGAGGTTGCAGTGAGCCGAGATCATGCCATTGCAAGGTGAAAAGCTCTTAAAGACCAAAAAGGCAGTTTATAACCTCAATACACTTAGCAAATCTAGTATCTGACCTGCATAATTTAGTTTACCTATTTACATTTTGATGACATCTGCATTTTACCAATAATTTTTAAGGCTGTTTTTATTTCTCAGATTAAAGTCGTGATCTAAACGGTACCACAGCTTTTATCTTCCCTTTAAAAAATATTTGATCCTAGCACTTGTCTTCCTTTGGGCCAATTAATTAGAGCTATTTTTTATGGACATCTCGCACACACAACACATATATAACTACACAGACAAGCAGAAGAAAATCCAGCAGCCATAAGATTTTTTCGTTTGCCAATCTCCTAATTGGATTATTGGCCTCCGGAGGGAAGACTTTTGAGTTAGGCTAGGAAAATGTGCGGCTTTTAAGGCATAAGAGGCATAACTGGGAAGCAAAAACAAATTTTGAGAGGGGTCTATCTGCCTTTAATTCCTGGGGTTCCAGGAGAAAAACAGAGGTCTCTCCCTTCTCATGTGTCCATTAAAAGTGGCAAGGCAAAATGGAGAAAAATACTTCAGCCGACCAAAAAAAAAAAAAAAAACACACCTTTTCCCAACAAAATGAGGTCCTAGAAAAGAAAAACATAAAGGCCTTTTAAATATACCTGTGACTTGGATATCCACTTTTAATTAAGCTGGGTGCTTTTTAAGAAAATCTTTTTAAATCCCCTATTACCTGACTTTAACCAGACCAAGCAGACAATATTTCTGACTTTCAAACTTTACTAAAGACTCAGAGAAAGGAAAATCCAAGGCAGTTTGGGAGGGGAAGAGAATCAACAAATAGCAAGGGTCGCACAGACACCAAACCAGAAAGGACTCATTCCCTAAGCCAGGACTGAATCTGGCTGCCATGGTAAAATGGGGGAGGCTAAACGAAGCATTGTCACCTGGTTACAGGTCAGGTTCCCAAGGAGGTAAAACAAGATGGAGGCCCGCAGCAAAGTTTGCTGCTGACCATGCAGAATGCCAGGCAAAGCACACTGGATTGGCTGCAATTTAAGGCCAACCTAACAAATCCTTTTTCATCATTAAAACTTTACAGAGAATATAGACAGTGACAGTTGGGGTCCTGGCCTAGTAAAACATCTTCTAAAAAGCAAAATAGCCTCACTTAAAAGTTAACTCCTGACCCGGCGGAGAAAAGGAAAAGACAGCTTAAATGCAGGGCTGTGTTAACTGCTGACAGGGTGGAGGAAAAAAAAAATGATGCCAGCCGGTCGCGGTGGGTCACGCCTGTAGTAACAGCACTTTGGGAGGCTGAGGCGGGCAGATCACCTGAGGTCAGGAGTTCGAGATCAGCCTGGCCAACCTGGTGAAACCTCGTCTCTACTAAAAATACAAAAATTAGCAGGGCATGGTGGCGCAATCCCAGCTACTTGGGAGGCTGAGGCAGGAGAATCGCTTGAACCCGGGAGGTGGAGGTTGCAGTGAGTCTAGGTCGCGCCACTGCACTCCAGCCTGGGCGACAGAGTGAGACTCCTCTCAGAAAAAAAGAAAAGAAAAAGATGCCTGGGGAAGAACCTCTTATTCTTATGCAAATGGTTCCTCCACCAGGGAAAGAAACTTAATTGCTGTCGGACAGAGTGGGTCCCCTTGGCCAGGGGAGGGGAAGCCTCCATGGACAAGTGGAGGGAGTGCTGGCCAGCCTGCTGGTGCGCAGCCTCGAGCCATACACTCCAGCCCTGGCCGGGAAGGGACCGGGGGAGCCGCCATTCACTGGTCCATGCCGCACACACCTGCAGCCCTTGGGGTGGGGTGGTGCGCAGTTTCCTCTACCCCCAGAAGAGGTACAAGGACAAAAAGGCTTAGAAGCGAAAGGAAAAAAAAAAGATTTTTTGATTTGCATGTACTCACCCTTCCTCAAGACTCACGTCTGGACACCAAAAATGTTGCAGAACTTTCTTCTTAGGTCAGCTAAAACCAGGCTCTTGTCACACGACCAGGAAAGAGTAGGGTCACAGACACATAGAAGCGTGAGAAGACGGAATTTATTGGATAAAAAGGAAAAGAAAAATAACTCTCAGCAAAGCGAGACTCCTGCTAGCAGGTTTTCCGCCTCACAGTTTGAATCCCAGGTCACCACACAGGAATAGGAGAGGCCAAGCTCCTCTCCCCTGCGAAGGTCATGAATTTCCGAAGGCTCCACCCTGCCTTCCCAGTTGGCAGGTAGGCATTATTTAGAATCAGTCAGGAAAGGGCAGGCTTCATCAGGCACCAGAAGTCTGGTTTTTCATCCTTCAGGCTGTTTTAGGCTTGAAGGCGGGGTTTCACCAGGGACTTTTGGCTGCGTCCTGTCTCCATCAGTTGTAAATGCAAAAGGCATTACTCGCAACAAAGAGGGTCATTTATAATAAGCTTCAGTTTGCCAGAAAAAAATATAATTATTATATTTTATGTACCTAATAACATGGTCTCAAAATATATGAAGCAGAAAGTGACATAACTAAAGATAAATTGACAAATGCATTATTGTAGTGTATTTACTATACCACTTTTAGCAATAGAATAAACAGACAAAAGTTAGTAAGGACAAGGAAGTTTTAAATTATACAATAAACAAGCTGTACCATAAGCTTATATAAAATACTGCATGTAAAAATTGCAAAACACATTATTCTCAAACACATACAGAAAAAAAAAAATGGTTGGCCATTCAGACCCTAACACAAATCTTATATTTCAATGGGTTAAAATTTTCTTTGATAAGATAAGAAGTTAATATTCTATGAACATTTCACAGGGATTTCTTAAGGTTGCAAACTATTTGGCCCATAATTTAATGGGCCTGTTATCAGTTCCATCTGCTGTTCAGGGTGAACCACTATCATGCCAGCTGGCCTTTCATAATAAGTGTGTGCAAGCCTCGACTTCCACTTTCTAAGCCTCCAGTCCCCCCAATATGTACAGTGGATATAATAACACATACTTTTCAAGGTTACTATAAAAATTCTATATGGTTTATAAAGGATCTAGTACAATGCCATACACATAGTACACATTCAATAAATTATGGTTAATGACTTATGAAAGCAGCATTTGAAAATACATATTCAGAGGGTTTTAAAGATCACTGCATGGTTTTCAAGTCTCTCTCATACTTTTCTGCATGGTAGTCTCCTATCCATCCTGGCCATAATTGACCACCATAAAGAGTCACTGAAGATTTGATTTTAAAAAAACAAACAAAAAAAAAACCCTGGACTAACTAAATTTAACAGAGTTTAATTTGAGCAAAGAATGATTAGCAAATCAGGCAGTCTTCCAAGCCAGAGTAGGCTCAGAGAGACTCCAGCACAGCCACATGGTGGAAGATTTATGGATAGAAGGAAAGTGACTTACAGAAAACTAAAATGAGGTACAAAAACAGCCCATTGGTTACAGCTCAGTTTGTCTTATTTGAACATGACTTGAACAGTTGTGCACCTGTGATTGACCAAAGCTCAGTGAGTGGCACAAGAGTAGGTTACAGTCTATTTACACATCCAGTCAGGTTAGAGTTTACAATGTATGGAGAAACCTTTAGACCAAACTTAAAATATGTAAGGAGGCAGCTTTAAGCTAAACTTGATTTATCAGGTCTAAGAAGGCACCACCTCCTAAAGTTAAAGTGATCCAGTACCATTCCGTAGAGATTAAGTAGTATGAACAAACATTTAAGAACATTTGCAAAAGACACTGTGGAGATCACTGTCAGATGTGGGGAATTAAATACAAACAAATAATTATAAGATATGATGGAAGATGAAAGTTTCCATTTTAAAGATACAGTGTAAGCAAATTAAGTGGCATTTGAGATAGGGTTTGAAGCAACAGCACACAGCCCAGGAAATTTAGGGTGGACCCATATGATTTCTGCTCACCAGCCCATGAGGAGTGTGGAGAGGCAGGTACCCAGAAAGAACACTTTTGTCTTTACACAAAGCAAATGGGCATTGTTGTCTAATGCACACAAGTCACCCTCAGGTGAGAAAGCATCCAGCGTGGGGGTTCAAGGAAGGGGATATGTTTCCTAATTAATCTACATGCGCCCTCTAGGCTAACAGAAAGACAAAGACACTGGAAAGAATGGTTCTTCTTCCTTCACTGTATATTGTGGGTCTGAAGTCTGGAATTAGCATAGTCAGATTCAGCCAAGAAAATGATAAATAAGGCAGACAGCATTTATTCCTTGTATGATCGCAACAGCTAATTAATTGGGAGGGCATTACATTGAGGCAACTCCAGCACCCTGGGTTCCTGTATAAGTAAACCAAAACCCAATTCAGTGTTGAAGTAGAACAAAACTTAAGTTTAATCAGAAACTGCCAAGTAAACTCTAACTAGGAACTGTGCACTGAAATGAATCAAATTAGGCTACTGCCGCACTTAAACCAGCCAGATGTTTTCTTTGTCTTGCCTCTCCGTGCACCTTATAAAAATCCTCCCCTCAGGATCCTTTGTTGGAGCTGTGGACTGCTGGCAATCTGGAGCCGCCTGATTCATGAACTGCTCTCTGTTCGAATAAACTCTTTACTATTTTAATAAAACCAGTTTATCTTTTAGCACAACCAAGTGGGATAAATTCCTCCATTTTCCTCTACTTTGCATATGAGGAGACTGAGGCATGACTTCTAAGCAAGAGAGCTGAGATTTGAACTCCAGTCCATGATTTAGTCTTGTTAAATTGAATTTAGTCTACAGCTTCTTCTTTAGATATTTTCAGTCGGGACTAAAGGTTTCTTAATACATAGTGAACTGTCACCTAACTGGATGTGTAAACACACCACAACCTACTCTTACAACAAGTCGCCAAGTCTCAACCAATCACAGCAGCTGAGATTTGGCTGATCACAGGCAGCCAACTGTTCAAACCACGTTCAAATAAGACCAACTCTGAGCTGTAACCAATCTGATTGTTTCTGTTTACCTCACTTCCATCTTCCATACGCCACTTTACTTTTTTTGTCCATAAATAGTATTGGACCATATGGCAACCCTGGAGTTGCCCTAAGCCTATTCTGTTTCAGGGGGCTGCCCAATTCATGAATCATTCTTTGCTCCATTAAACTTTGTTAAATTTCTCTACAGTTTTCCTTTTAACAACCACCACACTACACCTCTATCAGCAGCCCTAAAAAGGGAACAGGTTGAGGACAGAGCTGGGACATGGAGGATGGAAGGACAGAAAGATGGAAAGAACCTGTTGGTTTTCAGAAACCAGTACCCCAAAATACGACATGCTGAACTGAAGAACAAGACTCAAGGTCTCTCTGACCTTCCACCGTTTCTTCCAAAGAAACTGAAGTTCCATTATCTGCCTAAGATCCAGACCTATCAAGGAGAACAGTTTTCTTCCCCTCCCTGTAAGACCAAAATGTAACCACCTGAATGGACCCTTTTTCAAGATGATGACTATCTCCAAGGATCACTTAATTTCCAAAGAGAACTATTTACAACTTAATTTCTGTTCCCCATTCAATCATTCTCCTGAATAATCATTTATTCCCATCAATAGACTTCCTCTTCTCCATGTTCCCATAACCTGTTTTATCAGAATCCAAGGCCCCTTTCTTTCTGAAACCTCAAGTTGGCACATAAGCTTCTCTACCTTATTGGGAAGTTGAGTCTTCGTTTCGAAGGCTCCTGTGTATACACGTTAAATACACTTGTACACCTTTTTTTCCTATTAACCAATCTGCCTCATGTCAGCGATTTTCCAGCCAACCTTTAAAGGGCCAAGGGGAAAGTTCTCTCTTGGCCCCCACAACCTCAGTCCTTGTGACATTACACAGCCACTGAACCAACCTTGCCTGCATTCACTACATCCGGGGCCTGTTCAATTTGTAGATAATCAATCTGCCTGTTGTTTGAGCCCCCTTGTTGCCAGTAAACTGAGTTTGTTTCCTACTTTGTATTGGTCGCAAAGAAGGAACACCCAATCAGAAAAAAAGACAAACAGATTTTATTCCTGGCCAGGAATGTAGAAGGAGCATCTTCTCCCTGAGACATGGGAAGCTGGGTGACATGGTTTGGCTGTGTCCCCACCCAAATCTCATCTTGAATTGTAGCTCCCATAATTCCCACATGTTGTGGGAGGGATCCAGTGGGAGGTAATTAAATTATGGGGGTGGGTCTTTCCTATGTTGTTCTTGTGATAGTGAATAAGTTTCATGAGATCCGATGGTTTTATAAAGAGGAGTTCTGCTGCACTTGCTCTCTTTCCTGCCACCAAGTAAGACATGCCTTAGCTTCGTCTTTGCCTTCAGGATGATTTTCTTTTTTTCTTTTTTTTTTTTTTTTTTGAGACAGAGTCTCACTCTGTCACCCAGGTGGGAGTACAGTAATGCAATCTTGGCTCACTGCAACCTCTGCCTCCCAGGTTCAAGCCATTCTCCTCTCTCAGTCTCCTGAGGAGCTGGGATTACAGGTGTGCACCACCACGCCTGGCTAATTTTTAGTAGAGATGGGGTTTCGCCATGTTGGCCAGGCTAATCTCAAACTCCTGACTTCGGTGATCTGCCTGTCTCAGCCTCCCAAAGTTCTGGGATTACAGGTGTGAGTCACTGCACTTGGCCCTTCTGCCAAAATTGTGAGGCCTCCCCAGCCATGTGGAACTGTGAGTCAATTAAACCTCTCTCCTTTATAAATTGCCCAGTCTCCGGTATGTCTTTATTAGCAGCATAAGAACAGACTAATACACTGGGGAATTTTAAGGAGTTAGCCATGGGGTGGGAAAGTATGCAAACATGTGCAAGGAGGAACCCTAGACACAGGCGTAGACAATAAACTCTCCTCTTCATGTGACATATGTTCAGAAAATGGTGGTGATTTTCCTATAAGTGTAAACCAAGAGTATCTGAGACAAGTCTCAGTCAATTTAGAAAGTTTACTTTGTCAAGGTTAAGGACGTGCCTGTGACATATCCTTAGGAGGTCCTGATGACATGTGCCCAAGGCAATTGAGGCACAGCTTGGTTTTATGCGTTTTAAGGAGACATGAGACATCAATCAATACATGTAAGATGTACATTGGTTTGGTCTAGAAAAGTGGGACAACTCAAAGCACGGAGGGGGCTTCCAGGTCATAGGTAGATAAGAAACAAATGGTTATATTCTTTTGAGTTTTTGATTAGCCTTTCACTGAATACACACTTCATAGGAATAGTCACTTATGCTTTAGTCTGGCTTAGTGAAAACAATAAGGCAAAAGAAGCAATCAGATATGCACTTGTCTTACATGAGCAAAGGGATGACTTTGAGTTCTATCTGTCCTTTGTCCACAAGGAATTTCCTTGTGGGCAAATTGTGAGAGAGGTATGTAGAAAAGAATGGGAGGAAGGTTTGCCTGATGCAGTTCCCAACTTGAGTCTTCCCTTTGGCTTAGTGATTTTGGGGTCCTGAGATTTATTTTCCTTTTACATAAGGGTGGGAAATTTAGCATTATAATGATATGTTAATGATCTAAAGGTAACAAGGGGTCATCTGTTCCAGTCTGTGCTGGTTTGGGGGTCATATCTCCCTCCAGTATCTGGTCAGGGGTTAAGAAGCTCTGGTGCCATCCCAGGCCATCTGGTTTTGTTAGAGGCATTTGAACCAGAGTGACCCCATCTTGAATAGGGGCTGGGTAAAATAAGACTGAGACCCACTGGGCTGCATTCCTAGGAAGTTAGGCACTCTAAGTCACAGGATGAGATAGGAGGTTGGCACAAGATACATTTTATAAAGACCTTGCTGATAAAACGTCTAGACCAAAAATAAAATTCTAAGGCACCCAAACCATCCAAATGGACTTCCTCTTCAGCCAGGGCACTCTTGAAATTCAACCTGAAAGACTGATTCAGGCTATCCTGGGAAGTGAGGGTAGGACATGCCTCATTATACATCCCTGGCATTAACATCAACACAGACTTTAAGTCTGATAAGAAACATTTTACAACCTATTCTCTCTGAAGCCTTCTACCTGAAGGCTTCCTCTGCAAATAAGAACTTTGGTCTTCACAATCCTTTATTTTAACCCAAACATTCCTTTCTGTTGATCCTAGGTCTTTAGATAAACTCAGCCAATTGTCAACCAGAAAAATTTTAAATCTATCTGTAAGCTAGAAGCCCCTGCTTTGAGTTGTCCCACCTTTCTGGACCAAAGCAATGTATTGCTTAAATGTATTTGATTGAAGTCTCATTTCTCCCTAAAATGTATAAAGCCAAACTGCACCCTGACCACCTTGGGCACATGTTCTCAGGACCTCCTGAGGGCTGTGTTATGGGCCATGGTCACTCATATTTGGCTCAGAATAAACCTCTTCAAATATTCTATAGTTTGACTCTTTTTGTCAACAAACAGGATGTGGTAAAGAAGCCAGCCAAAACCAAGATGGTGACAAAAGTGACCTCTGGCCTTCTTCACCGTTTATTATATGGTAATCATAATGCATTAGCATGCTAAAAGACACTCCCATCAGTGCCATGACAGTTTACAAATGTCATGGAAACAGCAGGAAGTTACCCTATATGGTCTAAAAAGGGGAAAAACCGTTCCAGAAATTGCCCACCCCTTTCCCAGAAAACTCATGAATAATCCACCCTTTGTTTAGCATATAATCAAGGAATAACTATAAGAATATAATCAAGAAATAACTATTATACTTAATCAAGCAGCCCATACCACTGCTCTGCCTATGGAGTAGGCATTCTTTTATTCCTTTAATTTCTTAATAAACTTGCCTTCACTTTACTCTATGGACTCACCTGAAGTCTTTCTTGCATGAGTCCAAGAACCCTCTCTTGGCGTCTGGATCAGGATTCCTTTCCGGTAACAGTCTTTAAGCAGCTGTGCCTATAAATAAAGGAACTGAATAAAAACAGTAAGAATAAGAACCTTCCCAGTTATTTCATCAAGGCTGCTCTGGTAACCTTCTTAGGATGGGATTTTCTGTTACTTGCAACTAAAACCATAATAAATACACACAGATAAGGCAAGACAAGACAGGTGGTGCAAGATTATGAACAGGATCCCATGCCCCATTGAGAGGTCTGGACTGAGGACGTATTTGAAACTGCCTTTGCAAAATTATGACTGAGACAATGAAAGAGATCTAACCTAACTGACTCCATCTTGCTTCTAACCTCCAAGCTATCCTTGTTCATTCCTGGGTGTAGGCTGGACTAACTTTGGGAGGAACTTATAGTTTAAACCTAAAACAATAACAGCCCTTTTCCAAAACAAAACTTCTTGCCTGGGGACTAGACCACCTTTGTAGGACTAAGAAATTTGCCACAAGATTAGAAATTATGGTTTAGGAGTCATATAGCTGGAGGCTACAAGATTCCAACCCTCCCTAAATTGCTCCTAAGATCAGTGCTTGAGATATTTTGCAGACCCTGCACTTGATGGATCAGCTGGCTCCACTCAGATCAATAAACTGGCCCATCTGATCTTGTGGCCACCACCCAGGAACTGACTCAGTGCAAAAGAACAGGTTCAACTTCCCATGATTTCATCTCCTATCTGACCAATCAGCACTCCTGCCTCACTGGCTTCCCCCTGCCCACCAAGTTGTCCTTAAAAACTCTGATCCCCAAATGCTCGGAGACACTGATTTGAGTAATAATAAAACTTCAGTCTCCTGCACAGCCGGCTCTGTGTGAATTACTCTTTCTCTATCGCAATTCCCCTTTCTTGATAAATCGGCTATGTCTAGGCAGTGGGCAAGGTGAACCCATTGGGCACTTACATATTTATAATGGGAGGGTTGATAGAGAGGGGAAGGCAGAGTCTTCAGGAAGCCCTAGTGCTTCTGTTTTGGGAAAAGCAGCTCAATAAACCCCCAAAAGAAAGAGGATCTGAGGAGGAATGGTTGACAGCACGGAGAAGGAGTTCTATAGCTGAATATTCATGATCTTACCCTTTTATTGAACTCTTTGGCCACATTTCTATCCAGCAAATCTCCATTTGTAAGGGTGTCTCCCTCTCTGCACTAGGAACAGAAGAATGACTCCAAATCATTAGTGAGCTTGGACAATGGATAAGGCACTGATATAAATCTGTATAACAGACCTCCTTTGTTTAAGGTGCTTTTTCCACAGTCATCTCTTAACTGGGTCTTTCACTGCATCCTTTCTTTGTTTCAGAAAAGTCCAGTGGGTGGTTAAGCCCAGAAGTTTACACTCTTTCTTTGAGATCAACTCAGGCAATTTACTCATTGCTCTGCATTTTCTCCCATGTATATAAGAGGTACAAATGTTTATAAACTTCTGTTTTGCTCTTGTTAACCTTTTGTTACAGGGAATCCCAATTAAGAACAATGACAGGAAGAGAGACCACTGTTTCCCCACCCCCATATGATAAATGAAATTGATAAAAACCAGTCACAACACACCTCAGCTCAGGACAGGCAGCACAGTCATCAGGTGGCAAAATGATTGTCAAAGTAATTATTCTTGCTACCCTGTCCCACTTAAATTCAGCTCTCTGCAGAAGTGAGCTATCTGAGCCATGTGAACTGCCATTGCAGATGTCTACAAGGTAAAGACAGAAAAGCAGTGGTTTGGCTTTTTTTTTTTTTTTTTTTTTTTTTTTTTTTTTTTTTTTTTTTTTTTACTTTGTGTTGCTTTTACCATTTATAAACTGCTGCTTCCAAGCCTTAAGAAAACACTTTTTTTTTACAAAAATAGTGCAGCCTTCCCACAACTACTCTAAATAATTAGAACACTTAAAAATAACTTATTAATCTGTGCTCCCAGAAGTTGAAAAAAAAAGAAATAAAATAAAATAACCTATTAAAAATCCAGGAAAGGATTATCCACAGCAAATGACACAAATCTTAGCTCACCAAGTGCAAATTAGTTTCCTTATGTTGAGAAGCAAAGAGGGTCAAGTACAGAGCATAAGAAAATAACCTAGGTTCACCATGTTTCCCAGTGAAGTCCTGCGGCCATGCAAAAGGCAATTGTGCATTTACAAGTGATTTTAGATTGAGGAAGCATGTGTAGTTTTCCCCAGTTAGCCAGCTGAGCATTGTAAAAACAGAAAAGGTGTGTATTGAATTCACTTTCACAGTGAAGAAAGAGCACCAAGTTAGGACTTAATTCTAAATACTGAAGGGCAGGGAACAAGCCATAATTTCTACCCTATTGAAAGGCATATTCTGTGGCCTCTAACCTGAGAAACCAGGGTGTTGAATTCTAGCTCTAGCCTATTGTGGCCTTGGGTTCTCTGCCTGGGAGAAAGTTGGACTTCCTCCAACTGACAAGTAACTTGGAGACAGTCATTCAAATTCCTATGGCCTCAGCATACAGTGAGTAATTTGGGATAAGTGAGCTTTCATATGCTGTAGTGTTTCATCAAACAGTACAGAAGAAACTGAGGCCTTTCTCATCTCTGGAAACCTAAGATTTTATGGTGGTTAACTTCCCATGAGGCTCTATATGACAATGATTAGCTTCTCTCCTTCTCTCCTGTGGGCTGTGCAGTGGGAGAGGTGATTAGGATGGAAATGCTTGTCTATTCTATTCTGCCAGCCAGTCATTCAAATTACTGGATGTCTGCAATTTATTGCATGACCACCTTGAAACAGGACTGTCCTAGGCCATGAGGATACAAAACATCAAAAAAGGCAGATGATGCTTTGGAGCTTTCACACTGAGATGCCTCTGAACCCAGGGTCTTGCCGGGCAGCAATAACCCAAGCATACCCTGAGAATGAACCTGTGTTCCTTAGTGAATGTTTGCTCAGTGTTCCCAGCTATAGACCCCAAGAATGGCCAACTCAGATGTTTATACCATACCTATGAGAAACAACCTGGAGCCTGGCCTGTTCATTGGAACACAGGCCATACAAGGAACTGAGCCCATTTGTTTTGGGCTAGGTGGGGGTTGCTAAGTGGAGGTTGCTGTGGGAAGGGTACTGTATAACCTGCATGCTTTTACAAATTGGAACAGTTTTCCTGTCCAGCCTGCTGCTCCTGCATTCCCTCTATGTAAGTTCCCTAATAAAGCTCATGTCTGCAGGTCTTTTCTTCAGTTTCTCTGAGGTGGTACCCTCCCAGCTCACAAGCTTGTGGGTCTAGTATGACAGTAGGGAGCCCAATATCTACCACAAAAGATGATTTTACCAAAAACATATGCCACTAGCTTTGTTTCCCAGGACCAAAATCAGATTATAACTTTGCCTAAAGCAGAGCTGCTGAGAGTTCCTTGCTCATTTGCTTTTGGTTAAATTTGGCACATCCCTGCTCTGAATCTGGTGGGATGTGGCATTCCAGCTTCTGCTTGAAGCCAATAAGTTACCATAAGGAGTTTATTGTGCCTCAGATGGTGATTCAGGGTACCAGGAGACCCTGGGAATAGATAGTCTTTGTCTGATTGTGGTGATGGCAAAATATGCCCACAAATGTACCACACCAGTATCTGAAAACAAATTTGAATCCTGATGGTAAAATTCAGTATGCAGAATCATTGTTTTGATTTCCTAAGATAAATGGAAAAACTGATTCAGAAATATAAATAGCCACAGGCTTCCTACAAAAGACTATTTTTCATATCCTTTGAATATTGTTTTAATGAGACAGCTATATTTCATCGTTTATCAATGACTTCCTTATTTAAAAAAAAAACTAAGATTTAAAATGCATATGATTATTTTCTTCTTGGTTTGGATGCACTTAACCTGTGCTCTGAGGTAGTTTATAGCTACCTCAGGGCAGCAGGCACCATCACAGCTCATAGCTGCTGAATTAGATCTTTCTCCTCTGTGGTCCATAAATGATGGAAGGCCCAGCGGCATGGCAGCCTGTTCAGTAAAGCACTGATCTTTCCACCACCAAGCAGAGTTGATCTTTCCACCACTTTAAGCAGAGTTGGGTTTGGTGTGTTGGTTTTGGTTTGGTGCGTTAATCTTTTCTCAATCAGGGATGTTTACTTACCTACTTAGGAATATCCTACAGTGCATAACAGTGTATGCTAGTACTTTGCAAAAAATGAGAGAATTATTGCCCCTCATACAGTCAAGAGTTGGGAGATTTAACTGAGAGGAAATATTGAAACTGTTTAAAAGCTCAGGACCTACAACCTGATTGCTAGAGTCTGAATTCTAATTCTAACCCTTCCTGGACCTCTCTGTGCCTCAGTTTCCTCATCTATGAAATGGGGACAGTGATAGTAGAGTTCACAGGTGTTTGTAAGCTTCAGTGAGTTAAGGATTATAAGTGGTTAGAAGGGCTCATGGTACAAAAATAACTAACTTTTACATAGAACTTACTAATAAGAACTTAAATGTTTGCTTTTATTTATCCTAGACCAAACCACCATTACTTTTCAGCTGGACTTAGCTTCCCCATTAGTTTTCTCTACCCTTCTTAAATCTATTCCCCACATAGCAGAAAGATATTTTCACATTAAAAAATTATCCATGACTTAGAAATGAATTATAAACTTAAAGGCAAAATAAACAGTCATTAGCTCTGTACTCTAGTTGATAAAGTTGTTTCCAATGGAAGTATGTGTTAAGAAATCTGCTACTACTATAGATGTATAATAGAATTGAACAATTAAGTAAATGAATGATGCATGGTGGAAACGGTTTCTCGCTGTTGGAGTGAGTGTTTACAGATAAGCATGGGAGGATGCCAGAATTATCCAGGTGGTAATGAATTAGAGGTGAGTTATCAGTATGAGCTCATGTTTAGCTTAATACAGACACAGGTGGTTAAATATAAAAATACTTGTAGATGGGTGTGTGTGCATATATATATATATATATATATATATATATATATATATATATATGGATTAGTATAAACACATATATTTCCTTGCTTTGTCAGCTGACAGGGCCTAGAAGTAATGACTCCTCAGTAACAACAAGCATACCTAGCACCCAGATCCTGGTTTCTAATACCATTTTCCAATGCGATTATATTGAGATTTATGGGGAAAGGGCAGATTTTAGGACTGGGGCAGAAAACATATGAGATGAGCCTATAACATCAGAAAGTAAGAGAGTGTTGAAACACTCACACATGCATACAATGATGGGGTTTTTTTTTTAATCTTTCTCTAATTTGGTTCAGCGGTCCTTTCAGGAGAGTGACTATATACTCTAGCCTTGCCCTGACAGGGCTCCAAGGGATTTGGTCATGGATGTTTACATCATGCCTTTCATGGAATACTTATCCTGGAGGACAGCCTAGCACTTAACTGTGCAACCTGTGACCAGGTACCTGACCAGGTGTTGAACAAATTTCTCACAGGAAATTTGTTTATATTGGCAGATGCCCTTATACTCTTGTCTGACCTGTGTCCAATTTATTTCTTTGAAGATAACCACTTTCTATAAGAGCCTTGGCCAGGATAAAAGTTAGGTCCAGATAGGTCTGTCAGGTGAAACATAGAGAAGGCAACACACACATACATACATAAAAACAGAAAATAACAGAAGCAGTTTATTACCTACAGGTCTATAAGAAAAGAGGGATACCGGCCGGGCGTGGTGGCTCACACCTGTAATCCCAGCACTTTGGGAGGCCGAGGCAGGTGGATCACAAAATCAAGAGATCAAGACCATCCTGGCTAACATGGTGAAACCCCGTCTCTACTAAAAATACAGAAAAAAATTAGCCGGGTATGGTGGCGGGCACCTGTAGTCCCAGCCACTTGGGAGGCTGAGGCAGGAGAATGACATGGACCCAGGAAGCAGAGCTTGCAGTGTGCAGAGATCACACCACTGCACTCCAGCCTGGGCAACAGAGCAAGACTCTGTCTCAAAAAAAAAAAAAAAAAAGAAAGAAAAAAAAAAAAGAGGGATACCAAGGCAGGCCGTCAGAAAGATCACAGGACAATGTATTCAACCAGCAGGTGAGCAGCCAGAGAAAGAGAGGGACCTAAGGACTGAGGCCTTGATTGGGGTCCAGGGCATTGCTCAAGCAGGTTTCCCAGGAGAGTTCTAATT